>NC_000014.9:87111713-89611713 GCF_000001405.40 Homo sapiens
TCTCTTGACAGACTCTCTTGACAAAAAGCAATCTGGTTTCCTTGACTGAACTTCTCATCTACTCTTGCTTTGGCATAATTATGGTCTGAGTTTCTCAAACACCTGGACAGAAACGTGTTGCCAAGTAATGTAAAAAAAAATTACATCCCCCACAATTTTCATAATACAGCAATGTTGATGCAGACAGCAGCTGCTGTATTATATGGGGCATGCAGAATAAAGCCAACAGCGGGTAAGCTGGGCCAAGTGTGGGCGGCTCTCTGAGATTTTAAAGTCCTCCATGAATTGAAGATGAGAGACTTCTCTGAGTCCCAGCTCCTTTCTTAACATTGTGCTATATGAGGTCACACATATACAGATATTTGAGAAGCATTTTCTTAGGAGAAATGCTTCATGCTTCAGGACTTGTGGTCCATCTTTTTTGTTGTTCTAAACCCTGCCTTTTGATTTTATTTCTGCTGATTCTGATTTTCCTGTATTTCATATCTATTTTTTCTCTCTATTCCCACTGCCATTAGCATCAGGCCAACTGCACCTCTCTTTTTTTTTTTTTTTTAAATTAAAACAACCTGTAACTCATTCTCTTACTTCCAGCCTAGCTGCCAGGTTAGTTTTCTCTTATTTTTGTACCAAACTTAATGGCTTAAAACAATTTATTATTTTATAGTTCTGGAGGTCAGAAGTCAGAAATCGATTTCACTGGGCAAATATCAAGGTGCCCATAGCGCTGTGTTCCTCTGGAGGCACTGGGAAAGAATCTGTTTTTCTAGCCTTTTCCAGCTTCTAGATTCCACTCACATTCCTTGCCTCACAGCCCCATCTTCAAAGCCAGCCATGTAAGGATGAATCTTTCTTATGATGTAGGGACAAATCTTTCTTTTGATGCCATCCCTTTCATTCTTTCTTTCTGCCTCTGTCTTCTATTTACAAGGATCCTTGTGATTATATTGCACCCATGTGAATAATCCCACCACTCAACATTGTTAACTTAATCACATCTACACAGTCTCCTTACATGGCAGTGTATTCCCAGGCTCTGGCCATTAGAATATGGACATCTTTGTTCCTTGCTTTCTCTTCAATGTTCTGACACCTGCTCACCTAAAGACCCATGTTTCTAAACCTTTTCCCAAATGTGGATGAACCTGACCAAATAATATAGTGCCACTCCACCTTAGTTTTCACCATCTGTAAAATAGGAATATTAATAGTGTTTTTTAAACAAGATTGCTGTTAAATACATAAAACTCCATTCTTTGTCCTGAAAAAGTCATAATCCATGTTGATGTATGTAGTTCTCTGACTTACATTTCTAAACTTTTCTGTCTCATAAGGTAGCCACTAGCCACATGGAACTATTTAAATTTTAATAAATTGAAATTAACTAGAATTAGAAATTCATCCCCTCCATTACCCAGACACATTTCCCATGTTGGCTAGTGGATATTATATTGCACATGGCAGATATAAACATTTCCATCACTATGGGAGTTCAATTAAACCTTCCTTTAAACTATTAGCATCTAATATTAAGTTGAACTTGTTAAATTGAGTTTAGCCTAAAGCTGCATCCTTACATATTTTAAGTTCAGCCTAAAGGTGTCTCTGTACATTGAGAACTACAACCTGAATGGAGTTATATACAGATTGTAGTCTATTCTTGGCCACTCAAAGATGGCCAACTGTTCAAACTATTCAAATAAGGCAAATGATGAGCTGAGAGCAATCCAGCTGTTTCTGTACTTCACTTCCATTTTCTTTACATCACTTCCCTTTTTCTGTTCATAAATCTTCCACCACGTGGCTTTGCTAGAGTCTCTGAGCCTACTCTGGCTCGGGAGGCTGCTCGATTCATGAATCGTTCTTTGCTCGATTAAATTTTTTAAAATTTAATTCAGCAGAAGTATTTCTTTTAACAGATGACATTAGAAGTGGGATCCAAAACAGAGCTTCTAATAACCCCCAGGAGTGCTGAGTGACCAAGTGAGGTACCTGCCTGGCCCATCATGCCCATTGCTCTCTTGGAGTAGCTGGGGATCATGCTGAGTTCTCTCGGATTCTGAAGCTCCATGAATTTGTGTTTTGAGCTCTCTGAGTTTATTTGAGCAAATTTCTGATGCAAACTGGATTTAGACATCAGGACAGAAACTGGACCGGGTCTAGGATCAGATTGGATCTAGTAATTAACTGGTTTGGATCCAGTTAGAGGCCTCTCACATCTCACTGTGTCAAAAATAAACCAGTAGTAAATGGCAATACTGCAGGAGGTGTAAAATTTAGCTTTTTGAAATTTGCAGGGATTTTTGTGTTCTACCTCTTTGTTACATTTTTCTTGAGCACTTAAGTAGGAAAAAAAAATCATTGGCTAACTTGATCAAGGAAACCTGAGAGCCAAAGCCAATATTTGAGGTAAAAATGGGATCTTTAATTTCTATAGAACTGAGTTCTTTCCAGCTTATACATGCATAAGTACTAGGCCCCAGAAGTAGCAAACTCTTACAGAAATGGTGAAATCTGACTAAAGATATGTTACAGTGGAATGTTCCAGATGACTACATTGCACTGAAGTGCATTTGAAAATGAGGGCTCCCAAATTAGTCTCATCTAGGGATGCCTGTTGATATGCAGAAGGTTCTAAAAAGATTTCAATACTTTTATTTAAAGACTTTATAAAAGGCAAATAAAATGCTTACGTGACTAATTGAAAAAAATTAAATTTGCTAAACTTTTGTCCTAGTTACTATCCCATCGCAAAGGTGGAAGGAAAGCTATCCTAGATAAGGTGTGTATATAAGGTAGGCCGTCAGGTAAAATAGGCGTATTTCTTTTTCAGATCTATCCATGCTGCGTCCAGGCATATAATGCTTTGTTAGCCCTATTCCTTAATGGGCTTGACCCATTACCCTGAACTGAGTAATTTTAGCTAAAAAACAGTAGCTGTTTCAAGAGGAACACCCTATTAAACTAAAATACACCTTTTTGGAATTTAATTGCCTATATTGAAACTCTTTTGTAAAAGAAATTTACGTCTATAAAGGAAATCTGCATTTTTAAGGATGTCTGCCCCTGTACATTAGGAACTCATACCATTCTTTTAAATTTACATAAGAAGTCATACCTTTGTTTAAGCTTTTCTGGCCATCTTAAGTGAACTTTAATTTGAGCAATGTTTTCCCCCTTGGTTTGAGCAAATGATGATACAATATTTAGACCTAAAATCTTAGCTCTGTGCTTATAAAATATAATTTTTTGTTCCACCTATGAGTTATCCTTTTAGAAATGCAAGTTTGTTGCCTAGTTAAAAATACTTAGGGCAATGAAACCAGTAATTAGAATATTGATAGACAGAATGTGGAGAACAAAAAGTATTTGAAAGCCCGCAAATGAAAATCCTTTATGAGAGCTATAGGAGCCGCATCTGTGTGTTTGTATGTCTATATGTGTTATGTGTATGTGATATTTGGTAAATAAAACTGGTTTTTAAATTGTTGGTAAAATAGAAATTGTTTCAAAATTATCAGTTAAATATAATTAGCTACTTGCTTGATTTGACTGTGAGCTTATGTCTTTGGTTTAGAGTCTCTGGGTTCAGAGGTCTGGATAGATGGCTACAATCAGGTCTGGATAGATGGCTATAATCAGGTCTGGAGACATGATCTTAGTGCCTAGACCAGCAGCTACAAGCCAGAATTAAGCCTGATAATGGCCCCTTTTCCCTCTGCTTTCCCTGTTTTGCCTCCTGGCTATTTTGGGAGGGGTTGGATCCTCAAGGTATAGCCTTCACAGCTTTGACTTCTGACCTGATGGATGCAGAGAGGTCTTGACCTTCACAGTCCTCCTGGGTGCCACGTGGCTACTTAGGACCTAGAATTACTGGGGGAAGACATTAGGGAAGCTACCAGTGTAGTTTGTAGCTTCAAAATTATTTCCAGTAATCTAAAATCCTAGAGTCATGTTATGTTAAAATAGGTAATAGATAATCATAAACTGTCTGAGTCATCTTTAAGGTACTGAAATATTAATTTATTAGACATGAGTTTAAGTTTATATACCTTGACATGTTGTTTTATATAGCACAGAAAAGCTAAATATATTTAGATCTGTTGATAATAATTTGAAGAATTGAAGTTTCTTCAAACTTTAGAAAATTGAATTTTAAAATGGAATTGAAATTCCTTCAAACTTCAGAAAACTTGGGAAAACTATTTTTCTAAAAAAATTATAAAAATTTTTTATCTACAAATACTGATATAAAATTACTTTCAAAATTACTTTCAAAATTACTTTTGAGGGTTTTCACTAGAAATTAGGTTTACTAAGAGTAAAAACTACTAGATATGAGAGAAACAATTCTGTATGCAGAGTGTATAAACTAATGCAAAATATGCATTTGATGAGGAAAGTTAAAAGGGCATAAAAATGTGTGTTAAAAATTTTGTCTGGTTTCTTAAAGGTTTCAGATTGAAGGAGTAAAAAATTTGATAAAATGAGATAAATATAGAAAGTTGGAAAAAATGTAAAATGAAAAGTTTATGAAAATCTTGTTAAAAGATTATAGATTTGACAAATTTATTTAGGATGTTTTATTAAAATTAGTTTTAATATTGATAATACACTAATACAAAAGTAAAATTTGGTTTTCTGTTTGGAACAAAAATTTTGTGTATTATTAATAAGACATTAAAATATTTTTATTCACTTTTTGAGTAAACTGCAAAAGGGGGGAAAATGGGGAGAGGAAAGAACAAGGAGACAGATTTCATCTCATGATATCTTAGGTCTTTGGTGGTTTGGAAGACTGACTCTTTTTTATCAGAGTACAGGTTTTTGTTTTTAAAAATCTTTTAATTGTCACTTTGGTTAAATGAGTGACTATTGCTTTACAGTGACCTGTCTTCCTATTTTGGTCAAGTATTTTAAACCTTTTACATAGTTGACAGGCTTCCCAAAATCAAACTTCAGCTTCAAAATTAAGTCGTTTTTGCCCTCTAACTTTGGGATGCTACAGAGAGCACCTGAAGCACCCAAAAGAGAGGTAAACAGGATTATCTGACATGTTAAGTTAGATGGGAATCATTGTCAAATAAGAAATAATGTTTAGCCTTCTTCAGGTTATATTTTAATGAATGTGTTCCAAAATTGTATGGAATTTCTAAAATTCTAATATACCTGAGTGTATGCTATCAATTATAATTATGGTTATTAAGTAATTGTAGACCACAGAAATAACCAAATTTCCTTGTCAATTGTGTCTTTAATTATGACTATTTTAAATTCACAGTTAATTGCTTAATTCTGATGCAGTTTCTGAAAACTCCACCAGTACTCAAAATCCTAGAATATGTTGTCTTTAAGGAGGTTCATGAAAGGATGGAAAAGACCCTGAAAATCACTCTTGGATACAGATTTCTATTGACTTTAAAATCATATTATTTGGACTGGGTAAGAATTCCTGGAACTTTAATGGAAAGACTGACTGGTTTATAAAACTGCTAACCCAAGCAGAACAAAAATTAATTGAATACCAAGATAATACTTTGCCAGATTTGTATGTTAAATCAGCCAATACTGAATTTGTTTAGATACACAACTTGAATGAACTCCATGGCCTAAGTTAAATTACCTATGATAATCCATCAGTTACCAGTGCTATGCACCTGAATTGGAGAAACAACTGGTATTCAAGAGGACGTGAGTCCAATATTAAGCATGGACTCCTGAAGAACCAGAACAGCCATCTTGTCCTTCCTGAGTCTTTAAAGCTTTTGTTATTAAAAGTTTTGCATTCCATGACTCATCATGGAAAAAATAAAATGATCCAAATTATATATATATATATATATGTGTGTGTGTGTGTGTGTGTGTGTGTGTGTGTGTTGACTTCTAAATGGCTAAAATTGTTTGTGACCAACGTTTGGTTTGTCAAACCCATGTTCTTGGGAAGAAAATGAAAACTTCAGGTGCATTCAGCTACCTGATGGGCCATTTAAACCTTTATAAAGGGATTTCATTCCATTGTCATTTCTTCAATGCATGTTTTCTGGTTATATCAAAGCTTTTCCATCTACGAGGGCTGATACTATAACAGTAGCTTATTATGCCACAGAGTGTTTTCACCATGTAATGAAAGCTTATCATGGTTCACCGACTGAAGACAATCAACCCCTTCACAATCAAGAACCAAAAGATTGGATCTTCTGAGAACATCAGAGAGAGTGCCCTTGCCAACCATACTGCAGCAAAACTTTGGGACCTTAAACCTTGGGTTCATAACCTCACAACTCAGAAAAGCCCCTCCACACTCTTGGAACTGTACACCCATTGGAAACCTTAAGATAAAGCTAACTAGGGAGGTTTCTCTGCTGAAGAAGATAGCATCCTTGATGTGGACAGCTTTTTCCCAAGATCATGGATCAAGATTTCTCTATTAAGATGAGACTCCTAACTTACTTTTTTTTTTTCCTCCTTGCTTATGCCTCTGTGAACAATAGAAGTGAAAAGGGGGTCTATTGTGCGCACTCGTGGGGTATACTTTTATTTGTGAAGGATTTTGAAGCCAGCCTTATACCTGGATAACCTTATGACTTGACAGATGGAAGATGAAGGCCCAAAGTAGGTGAGAAACTTTAATGGTATATACATTGCCTCATAATCAGTCAGAAACCAAACATTAGTCCACTCCTCTTAACCTACATCCTAGGTTAAAGAGAACATTGCCAGGAGGCCTTCACTCTTCTAGAGTGGTATAATTTGTTAGGTCCTTTTTTCCATGGTTTGGAGTAAATGAGGCAATGATTAGAAATTTACTCTCATGATAGGTTGTATAGCAGTTTCGACTTTAAATTCTGTTGTGAAGATTATGCAAAATAATAGAATTGCTCCAGATCACATACTGGCTAAACAGAGAAGTATCTGTGCAGCTGCTGGCACTTGTTGCCCATGGAGAAATACATCATATCAGGTATTATAGAGATTCAGTTGTAAGGGATTAATGAATCCCTTACATGAAGAGACTGCTTAGTTAAAGAGAGTAGACTCTAGGCTGGGCATGGTGGCTCACGCCTGTAATCTCAGCACTTTGGGAGGCAGAGGGAGGTGGATCACAAGGTCAGGAGATCAAGACCATCCTGGCCAACATGGTGAAACCTCATCTCTACTAAAAATACAAAAATTACCCGGGCGTAGTGGCGGGCGCCTGTAGTCCCAGCTACTTGGGAGGCTGAGGCAAGAGAATTGCTTGAACCCGGGAGGCGGAGCTTGCAGTGAGCCGAGATCCCGCCACTGCACTCCAGCCTGGGTGACAGAGCGAGACTCCGTCTCAAAAAAAAAAAAAAAAAAAAAAAAGAGAGAGAGAGAGTAGAGAGTAGACTCTATCTAGCTCATTTATCTAGCTCATTCTTTGATCTATTAGATTTTAAGTGATTTGGTTTCTTGGGACCCTGGCTAAGGAGCATACTCCAAACTCATGGTATTATCCTACTGATAGTTATAATAGTAGCCTTCCTGGTGCACTGTATTCTCTTAAAAGTTTTAAATGTTCACATGCAGCCATCTTTAGAATGTAAAAGAATGTCAACCTCCCTTCAACTGCAATGACAAGAGCTTAAAGAAAAGTGTGAACTTGAGGGTACCATAACCTATGAATGACATGCTGTGACCAAAAACCCGAAATGATGGTGACTGGGAGTGGCACTAAGGCCCTAGGTTTTGGTCACACTCTCACCTATGTGAGAACCTGACCAGAATGGGGGAATTTTTAAACAAAGTTATGGGAGGCCATTGTTTTGAACTGAGCTCATGCACCAGTCCCCAACAGACCAGACCAAACAAAAATGGAGTAACTTGGGCTAAATATGACATAATCAAACTAAGACATTAGAGAAACACATAGATCCTAAAACAAACCAGATTTTGTTTTTCTCCTGTTCCAGCATAGGAGGTAACCTCTACTCTGGCCGTTACAAAAAAAATAACCTGAAGTTCTTGTTCCCACCTTATAAAACCCACTGTTCTGCTATTTTCCAGATGGTTTCAGGACCAAATAAATACATTTATGATGGCAATAGTGGCATCAATGACTAAAGTTTTGGTCAGTCTCTCAAGATTGAGAGGATGATCAAATGGTGAGGGTTGTTAAATCAAGTTTAGCCTAAAGCTGCCTCCTTACATATTTTAAATTCAGCCTGAAGGTTTCTCTGTGCATGGTGAACTATAACCTAAATGCAGTTGTAAACAGGCTGCAGTCTACTGTGGTTCCAGTCACTGAGTTTGGCCAATCAAAGGTGCCCAACTGTTTAAACTGTGTTCACATAAGGCAAACACTGAATTGTAACCAATCCAGCTGTTTTTTTAAATTTTTATTTATTTATTTTTTTACATCACTTTCCTTTTTCTGTCCATAAATCTTCTTCCACCACTTGGCTGCACTGGAGTCTCTGAGCCTACTCTGGCTCAGGAGGCTGCCCAATTCATGAATCATTCTTTGCTCAATTAAACACTTTTATCGTCTAAAGCCAGAGTAGGCTCAGGAGTGGAGAGGGATAGCATTAGGAAATATACCTAATGTAAATGACAAGTTAATAGGGGCAGCACACCAATATGGCACATTTATAAGTATGTAACAAACCTGCACGTGGTGCACATGTACCCTAGAACTCAAAGTATAATAAAAAATATATATGTCTAAAAAAATAAACACTTTTAAATTTAATTCAGCTAAAGTTTTTCTTTTAACAAACTACATAAAATTACTACATATAATTTGTAAATGCAAAATAATCAACCATTAGCAACACTGCACTGTTAAACCACATGCGTCTCAGATACTAGTGGTCACCTCAAACTCAACATATTCAAGAGGAACTTCTTTATACTCTCAATACCCTCAAAAATAGCCAGCTGAGAATTAATGTAAGCCCAAATCTGGTTCACACCTTCATTTCATACACAGAAACACTATAAGCAATTTCAAAATCAGGTTTATAAGTTGATCTTTAAAAAATCCATACTGTATTTATTTTCTGTACAGCTATAAATATGTCCTGAGGTTGTAACATGGTCTTTTATAAACTGGTCTGCATTTTTAAGGTTTCCACCTTAAGTTATCTTTTTTTTTAATTTAATACATGTATTTAGCATTCCTAAAGAGTTCTTGGCAAGCATAAACTTGGCTTTTCTGGTTTAAAACTTAAGGATGTGGCCAATGTAGGAAATAAAAATTCAATTTTTAGCAATTTAATGGGACACCTAACACTCAAAGTTTTGAATTTTTGCATCTCTATAAAATTTCATTAAGCCTCCTATTAAATTACTGTTAAATAACTTAAACATACTGCTGGAATTGAGGTCCCAGTTCCTAGTTCCCTATACACTTATTGAGTATTCTGTCAAGTAGCTGATACAGCTGCAAACCAAGGGAAAAATTCTAGAATGAAAACACTACAAGAACAGGGTACAGGGGTATTGGGTTTTTGATGCTGAATTCCCAGCATCTAATACAATGTCTGACATGTAGTAGGTACTCAATAAATATGTAAGAAAGATTAAAATACTTAATATATCTTGTATAAATAAAGATTATTACATCCAATTATAATGTTATATAAACACCTCCAAACTGTTTAACATAAACACATGCAAATTCATGTTTGCGTGTCTTAGAATGACAGTGTGGAAGTCCTAACTTTATAGGGTACAACACCCTCATTTTACAGATGAGGAAACAGATTCCAATAGCTAGCATGACTTTCTCATTTAGTGGCAGCAAATAAGCGCAAAAGTAGCAACAGTAAAATCATTTGTCCAAAGAATTATTGTAAAAGTTGCCATTTATGTAGCACTTAAAAGTACCAGGCACTGTTCTAGCTTCTTTAAATACATTAGCAATTTTAATCCTTACAACAACCCTGTGAGGTGAGTGCTTTCACTATACTCATTGGACAGATAAGAAAACTGAGTACAGAGAGGTGAAATGACTGTCTCAAAGTTACCTGGTCACACCAAAGCCAGGAAGTGTAGTTCTAAAAACTTTATTCTTTTAATTTATTATTTTTGAGACAGGGTCACACTGTCGCCCAGGCCAGAGTACAGTGGCAGGATGATTGTCTTACTGCAGCCTCAACTTCCCTTAGCCTCGTGGGTAGGTTTTGTTTCAGCAACCTAGCTAAGGAGTCTGTGAGCACATGCAAATACAGGCTCAGCATCTGAGTTAAACACTTTGAGAGAACTTGCTCTCCATGATCAAGTAACCAGAGTTGGGAATAGCCCTTCCTGCCTCCAGAGGGCTGGATTTTCAGCTTCCTTCATTTTTCCTTTTTTCTTTCTCATCCCTGATCTGACAACCACAGGACAGAATGGCAGCATTCATCCCTGAATTCTGACTTTGAGTCACTTTCTCTGCCTTATGTAAGTAATTTGATTCTTACAGGCTTGCCTGTGCGCCTGTGATAGTGAAAAGGCATCAACCTTTTTTTAGTATGGTTTCATTTGACTACAAACAAGGGTGGGATGGAGGAGATGACAGCCTCTCTGAACTTGAGATCTCCTTGAACAATGAAATTAGATTTTCCTTTAAAATACAGAACATTCTCAACCTCAAAGGCCTAGAGTTAGCAGATGGTCAAACACTTCCCAGGCAAAGCCCTGGAAGACTGTCAAAAAAAAAAAAAAAGTCTTTCTTCTGGGAATGGCAAATATCTCTGCTTTAACTGTTCCATAAAAAAGTAGAGGGATGGCTATTTCCATAAGGAAAGAAATTGCCAACTGTTTCAAAGAATTACCATTCATCTAAATAAAACAATATTTTTTTGTTTCTGTTTTCTTAAAATTTTCATTCTTAAAATTTTCATTGTCATTTCCTTCTACAAGCAGAGTAATTACTCTTCTTTTTTCACAGGCCAGGAATAAGCATGATGTAAGGTTTTCTACATAAAACTAAAATTTCGTATTTAATAGTAATCTTACCAAGCTTTCAAAAGTGATACTTGAACAAAAACAAATCCAATTACAAAACCAATTGAAAACATTCTTTAACTCTAGAAACATCCCTCTTACATTCTTTGATATTTATAGTGTGAATATGTTTGTATTTTTTTCTCCTCATATTTTATTACCTAGATTTCCCTCTATTTGGTTATTAACAATGTATGGGCAATATCCTCTATTTTGTGCCAGGCACTAAAATGCTCAAAATATACTTATTAATTAAGTAGCTTCTGAAGATCTGATGGCTTTCTAGACAGATCCATGATATTAGCACTGTTGCCTTGAGAAATTTATTTCAGGTGTTTGGGGGTTCTTTTATCCTTATCTCTGAGCAAGCCTTGAGGCTATGCCTTAGAAGGCAGAAGCTGTCACATGTGTGTGCTCAACATAAATACATTTTGATGCTATATTCAGTTAGGGCAGAGGTATTTAAGAAACATGAGGCAACCCTGCAGCTACAACAACAACCACAAAAACTCTTCCTTTTTAAGGTTTACAAAATATTAATGTTGATTGGGACACTGTACTCTAATATGTTTTAGTATTGAATGGCGTGAACACACATCTGCTTTGCATAGTGTATAGTATCAGGTACCTATTACCAAAATACCTTTGCGTACTGAACAGCCACAAACTCTGTGGTCTAGAACAACATGCCTTTATTGACCGTCTGTCTGAGAGGCCATCTGGATGGCTCTGCTGATCTTGTCTAGGCTTCCTTAAATGAAGGCTGTCACCTGGCATTCAGCTGAGCAAGGTTGGTTTTGGCTGGGATGACCCGGGTAACTTACTTCATTCCACAAGTTGCTCATCCTTCAAAAGATTAACTGAGGCATGATCTTATGGCAGAGGCACAAAGAGAGCAGTTAAGCTCAATTACACAGAGTTATTCAAACCTCTGCTTCCATCACATTGTCTAACATCCCTTTGGCCAAAGCAAGTCACATGGCTGAGCACAGAGCCAAAGGGAAGGGCATATTTCCCTGCCCAAAGTGGAAATTTACTGCAGTTGTTTGGCCCAATCATGGGTCTAAGGAGGAGTGATGAATTGAGTACATCTTCAGAATCTACCACACCCATTATGTGGAGAAAAAAAGAGTAAGATTATAATTCTAATCACTAATGAAACACGATAATCTCTGGAAAAGGTCAAGGACTGTGTGTGAGTACTAGACTAATAGACTAGACTGACTAGACTAGAAAATGATCAATACAACATAAACATTAGTAGTAGTTTATGGTTTGAATTCTATCTAAACATTAAGCTATGACTACATATTGGAGACGTTTGAGGTGAAATAGGCAGAGTATATAAGGATAAAATTGAATAGTATCCATGAATATGAATGTAGCAGAAAACTGGTCTCCATTAAATACTTTCATTTAAATTGGTTTAACATGGACAGAATTTGATTGAAAGTAAACAAATAAAAATACTTTCTGGCCTCCTTGCTGTTACTTGAGTACTCTAGGCAGGTTTCCACCTCAAGTCTTGGGCGCTTTCTATTATTCAGCTTCCCGTGCAATTTATCCACTCACAGTAACACGTCCTCTCATTAATAAGACCTCTGTTTGAGTAAGATCTTCCCAGAGAGGGCTTCTGTAGTCCATTCTCACCCTGCTATGAAGAAATACCTCAGACTGGGTAATTTATAAAGAAAAGGGATTTAATTGACTTATGGTTCTGCAGGCTGTACAGGAAGCATGATGCTGGCATCCGCTCAGCTTCTGGGGAGGTCTCAGGAAACTTACAATCATGGCAGAAGGCAAGGTGGGGGCAGGCACTTCACATGGCCAGAATAGGAGGAAGAGAGAGAGGGGGGAGGTGCTACACACTTTTAAACAACCAGATGTTGCCAGGACTCACTATCACAAGAACAGCACCAAGTGGATGGTGCTAAATCACGCATTAGAAACCTCCTTCATAATCCCATCACCTCCTCCCACCTCCGACACTGGATATTACAACTGAACATGAGATTTGGGCAGGAAGACATATCTAAACCATATCACCTTCTGTAAGGACCTTACCTAAAGGAGTTCTTCCCTGCCCTTTAAGATTCAACCTCTTGCCCAGCTCGTCTTTCCTCAGGAAATAGAATAGGTTGAATAGCAGGAAGATACACATAGTAAATGGCACACTATGTGTATCTTCCTGCTATTCTACCTCACCCATGTAATGTAAGGTCTCTGAAACCAAGGATCATGTCCAATCCCTCCTTACTATATCCCAATACCTAGAATAATTCTGGCATACTGTCAGTGCTCTCCACAATTTTTTTTAAGTGAATTGACTGATTGGCTGAATGATATTAGCTAACTGAAAGTGACGTATCCACCCTACTATCTTTTTTTTTTTTTTTTTTTTTGATATGGAGTCTCGTTCTGTTGCCCAGACTGGAGTGCAGTGGTGCAATCTTGGCTCACTACAGCCTCCGCCTCCCAGGTTCAAGCAATTCTTCTGCCTCAGCCTCCTGAGTAGCTGGGACTACAGGCGCATGCTGCCACACCTGGCTGATTTGTGTATTTTTAGTAAAGATGGGGTTTCATCATGTTAGCCAGGATGGTCTTGATCTCCTGACCTCGTGATCTGCCCACCTCAGCCTCCCAAAATGCTGGGATTACAGGTGTGAGCCACGGTGCCCGGCCCACCCTACTGTCTTTTATGCACACATGCTGTTGTTGGAGAGGTGACTTCATTTACTTTTTTTCTTTGAGAAATGTGTACCTTTATCTCTACTTTTCCTCAGTTTCTCTTGACTCTTCAGATTTATTTTATAGCTGCTGCTTCCCATCCATTCACATTTATCTTAATGATCTCTCCTGGTGCTGGAAGTTAGGACTAAATTGCCGCTACTTAACTCTACATGGCTCCTTGGTATACAACTGGGCTGGTAGTGTGGCTCTAACAAAATGTGGCTACATTGAATTTTGGGTAATAGATGTTTGACAAAGATAACGGCTTGACAAATAAGTTATTATAGTGACCTATACAAAGAATAGTGGCTGTATTTTATATAGCATGTATAGACATTTGAAATTGCAAAGTGTAGAATAATGCTCTTTCATTCTAAATATATAAACTATTTTTCATAAAATAGCACCTTTGTGTGGAAAATGGTTGTTCGTTTTTTTAAGTTTCAAGATAAATTACACTTGGACAGCTTGGTCAACTTAACCATCTTGGAGATCTACAATACTAGTATATTAAAAGTTCTGAGAACTCCTTTAGTAAAGGAATAATTTTGTTGAAACCGGAAGACTTCGAACTTATTTGACCACAAATCTGATTGATGCATTTGTTTGCTTGCATTATTTGTTACTTTCTTGTTTGTTTGCATTTTACAAGGCAACTTACATATTCAGTGGCATATATTTGAGAAAAGACTTTTCTATTAATAATTGTATATGCTATCACTTGCTTATAATTGTAATGCCTTGCTTAAATTTAGAGCCTTTGTTGTGCTTTCCTCTTTTAGAGACTCAGAATATTAGTCACTCAGTGACCAACATATGTCCCACAGTAGTTTAGTATTAACCTACTAGAGCCAGCCTTGAAATTATTCTCAGAGATAATACTCAAGGTTGAAGCAGCGGATGGAGCCCAGAGGTTAAGTACAGGTGAGACTCAGAGATGTTAAACAATGTGCCAGGTAGTCTGTCCAGGAAGAGAGTATAGACTTCATCTGAATTTTATTTCTGCTGAGGATATTGGTGTGTTAGTAAATTCTGAGTTTCTACTACTTATTTGAATAACGGTAACAATCACACACACACACAAATGGTAAAACCAATTAACAATTGCTTAGCGTTTAGTATATACCAAACATTGTCCTTAGTCTTTTATAAACGTTAATTCCTTTAAATAGTTAATACTATTATTGACACTCTTTTTCAGATGAAGAAAATGATGTAGAGTTGAGTTGCTGCTGAATAGCATACAACCAGTGAAGAGAGTGTAAACTCAGGAAGTCTAGGCCAAAAGACTAAAATTCAAATCAGGACTGTATACTGTACTGTTCTTAGTACAATGGTAATCCATAGCAATGCCAGGTTACTGGTATGCACATCTTGCACTATATATATATAGGATAATATCATATTTTTTATAGAAATAAATATATATTTATAATATATATTTTGTCTTCCTCCAAGACACAGTGTTTAATAATTTTTGGTCAATACTGTGTACTTTGCACTATGAGGAACAAAAAAATAACAGACTACACACATAAATAACAGACTACAGTTTCCTACTCCATTAGGAAGTACACACCATTTGAGAAGTCATAACTATGCAGAAAAAGTTGGAACACAAAAGTATACCCATCTTATTTTTGAATTTCATAAAATGCAATGAATGGAATTATACCCCTTATCCTGGGTAAAAATGTCAAAAAGCACTCATTACCAAATGACATTTAGGCCCTAGAATATTTTTGCCACCTGTCATCTTCCTTCCTCTCACCTGTATAAATGGCATTTATCTCTTTTGACATCGTGATTATAATGTTATCACTGCTTTTCACTTATTTCTACTAACCCATGACAGATTTCTTTATTCACATGCCATTCATTTGACATTTATTTGCTGTCCTTAATTTGTATTTAAATATGAATTCCTAAAATCTGCCTTGATTATATGTTGCTGCTAAGCTGATATCTCTCATTACCTTTGAGATTATTCTCAATGGAAAGTAGATAGTGATATTCATTCACCCTTTTAATACATTTTATGGCAGTATGAAGAACAGGTAATGTTCTGGACAGTGGTTTTCAAACTTGAAATTTGGGAATATCAAACTTTTTTCTCCCCCAGCACACATAGGTTGTCAACATACCATGACTGTTGGAATTCTGACATGTGGGAGAAGTGAGCTTATCTTTTGACAAAAACATTCCACATATTTGATGGGTAATTGTGTATGTCAACTTAGTGGGGCCACAGGATGCCCAAATAGTGTTTAGGTATTATATCTGGGTGCATCTGTGAAGATGTTTCTAGAAGAGTCTAGCATTTAAATGGGGAAACTGAGTCAAGCAGTTCCCAAGTGGGTGGACATCACTTAATCCATTGAAAGCCTGAATAGCACAAAGAGATGGAGGAAGGCTGAACTCACTCTCTGCCTGCATTTTGAGCTCAGACACCATTCTTCTGCCTTTTGTACTTCTGGTTCTCAGGCCTTCAGACCTAGACAGGAATCTATACTACTAGATCTCTGAATCTGAAGCCTTCGAACTACATCACTGGCTTTCCTGGGTCTCCAGCTTGCAGAAAGCAGATCATGAGACTTCTGTGGTTCCTTAAACCAAAACTGCATGAGAAATCTATCTATCTATATATAGCTATATGAATATATAGATATGTATATATATAAATATGATATTTTCCTATATACAAATATATGTATAATATTCTATTATCATATAATATAGGATATTATCCTATTGTTTTTGTTTCTCTGGAGAACCCTAATATAATGTAATTTTGAACGGATTTAAAAAATATATACAGGGGTTTATTATGGTAAGAGGATAATGTGGCTAGAAGAAGAGGAGAGAGAGTAGGAAACAAAACAATTAAGGAAATAATTTTTTAAAACGACATAAAAAATAAAAGTTTTTCTTATTCATTGATTCATTCATATATTCATTAAATCACATGTCAAAAGTTTTTTGCTCTGGTCTTATGACCTGTAGTCATTAAAGATGAACAATACCCAAAAATAAACTAAAGAATTTCTTGTGTTTTCTGACCACAGTGCAGAACACTCAAGGTTGTCTAGACACTGATTCTCTTACCCTTCAAATATTCTTTGAAATAAGTGAACCATCTCAACGACTAGGGAGCTGTTTCTTGAGCTAGACTTTAGTCTTTCAATTTCATATTCCAATTAGTGTGACTTTTTTGGGCTACCATAGGCAGACAACTTCAAGTTCATAGGGATACTTAAGGTGTCTTTCCAAAAAATATATAATCAATAATTTAGTCAAAGCACTGCATCATCTCTGATGAACTGAAGTATGTTAAGATCCATGACTCTCACAATGCAGGTCAATTCCATTTCTCCATTATTGAATTGTTATCCATTTGAAAGCACCACCAGGCTGGGCACGTTGGCTCACGCCTGTAACCCTTGAAGTTTGGGAGGCCAAGGTGGGTGTATCAGTTGAGGTCAGGAGTTTGAGACCCGCCTGGCCAACATGGTAAAACTCCATCTCTACTAAAAATACAAAAAGTCCCCAGGTGTGGTGGCAGGCACCTATAATCCTAGCTATTAGGGAAGCTGAGGCAGGAAGATCACTTGAACCCAGGAGGTGGAGGTTGCAGCAGTGAGCCAAGATCGTGCCACTGCACTCCAGCCTGGGTGACAGAGCGAGACTCCATCTCAACAAAAAAATAAATAAAGACAGTGGCACAGACAAGAATGATTTAACAAAATAATTATATCCATTCATAATTAGCCACCATCTAGATTAAATAAATCATCCATATTTAATTTGATAGACAAATCGTTTTCCCAAAAAGAGCTTCCAAAGGCTTTATTGAACATTAAAGAAAGTAAACTCACCTAGAAAAGGTAATATTAATTTCATTTCTTCCAAATTAGACTCTCTGTATTTTGTCTACCCAATGACTTGTGTTTAAAAAAAATTAGATTCAACTTCTGTATGAAAAGGCAGATTTCAACTAATGAATTGTGTATTATTAGGAACCTGCACTCCATCTTGTTATTAAGATATATGAATTGTGAAATTTACCAGTAAAAATTATATTGAGATGTTGCCCCTAAGCAAGGGGAAATTGTACCTTCTAGACATATGTGGCATTTGCAACATGCTTTTAAAGGAAAAAAAAATACATACCAGGAGTAATTAGTAGAATATTTTGATATGTGCTGGCTGAAGATTGTTTTACAATGTAAGATTTTAGCATAATTGCATCCCCCTCACCTCTGCGAGCACATAAGTGTTATTACAGCATATGATAGAAAGAACCCTCAAATGCCACATTCAGATATGTAGTATTTTTCTTAGAAACACATCATTTTTTATTACTGTGGCTTTTTCCAAGTAAATACTGGAAAATATACAAGTCCCATTCAAATAAGTTGCATTAGTTAGTGGATGGCCATAGATGCATTGCATGCACTTCTAATAATTTGTTTTTTGTTTGTTTGTTTGTTTGTTTGTTTTGAGATGGAGTCTTACTCTGTCACCCAGGCTGGAGTGCCATGTTGCAATCTTGACTCACTGCAACCTCCGCCTCCCGGGTTCAAGCAATTCTCCTGCCTCAGCCTCCTGAGTAGCTGGGATTACAGGCACGCACCACCACGCTTGGCTAATTTTTGTATTTTTAGTAGAGATGGGGTTTCGCCAATGTTGGCCAGGCTGGTCTCAAACTCAAATGATCCACCCGCCTCAGCCTCCTAAAGTGCAGACAGGCATGAGCTACCGCGTCTGGCCTTGATTTTTCAAATTATACTCATTTTAATGAAAAAACTCATTTCAAGTCTAATTCATGACTGATTTTTAGAACTATAAATGTCTTTTTTCCCAAAAAGAAGATTTACAGAATGGCTTTTAGCTTGTGACTCAATGTGTCAGTAATTCAAAATATACCATATATGATGATGATCAAGATGACTTTTTATGTATTTTTTTCCTCATCTATATAGTTTTCTTGTCCCAAATGATTTTTGGGAGACAGTTATCCATGAGACTGCCATATTTCTGCATGCCTTGTGAAGTGAGGCAGCAACTGCCCTTTGTTCAGCACTATCTGTTCATGAATATTTTGTTAGTAAGAATAGGAACAGAAACTGGAGAAAATGGCAAGCATACTTCAGTCCAGTGCAATAAAGACAAGGTCTCACCCCAGAACCTAGGGAAGCATGTTGTCTGCCCGTTATAAAAGGTGACAGTTCCCTAAGTTCAAGTCTCCTTTCCTGAAACACCACCTACAGAGGGCAGGTATCACCTGGTCCTCTTCACATCACGGATTGGGAAATGGGGGTTGGGGAAATACAATAGAACTGTTACCCTGACTATTACTATTGGTTTTTTTTGTTTGTTTGTTTGTTTGAGACGGAGTCTCGCTCTGTCGCCCAGGCTGGAGTGCAGTGGCGCAATCTCAGCTCACTGCAAGCTCCGCCTTTCGGGTTCACGCCATTCTCCTGCCTCAGCCTCCCGAGTAGCTGGGACCACAGGCACCCGCCACCATGCCCGGCTAATTTTTTTGTATTTTTAGTAGAGACGGGGTTTCACCGAGTTAGCCATGGTGGATGGTCTCGATCTCCTGACCTTGTGATCCGCCCGCCTCGGCCTCCCAAAGTGCTGGGATTACAGGCGTGAGCCACGGCGCCCGGCCCACTATTGGTTTTGAGTAGTAAACTGTCTTCTATAGTAACCAGGCAACTGTGAGTGGTTAACTTGTTCTGTTGCAAGTGAGATAAAATCTCACACACTTTAAGGTTTTTGATATTCGTGCTGTTTCATCAGACAGTAAAAGAAAGTGCCTAAAGTCAGGTCTGTCCTTTTTGTGTGTCTTTCTGGAGTATTTAGTGTATGACATGCAGCCTAATTAATACTGATGATGCATGTTCTTTTATTATCCTCTAATTTAAGGCTTTCCAAACAATAGACGTGGTTTTGTCATAATCATAAAGTGCTGAAAATATTCTTCACTTGACTTTAAAAAATTAGTTTGTTTTTTAACTTAAAACCTATTTATTTTAAAATAACATTTTTCAAGAAATATCATTCATAAGTTTAAAATACAGTGTCAGTTACCATAAATAGATAGTTGCATGAAAATGAAAGACATCAAACAGAAAAATGTTAGAGTACCACCTCAAATCACCTAGATTTATTACCACCTAAAATCATCTAGTACTATTATCATTGGATAAACACTAATCGAGATAATTGGCAAGGGTCCTAAAGAGAGAGAGAGTCAATAACAGCTGGGAATTGAGGGGGGCCTAGGGTATTACCAGGCATGCAGAAGCCGGGAGACTTCTGAGAAGCAGGAGAAGCAAGGAACACTTCTTACACTCCCAGGCAACTTCCCAAATAGAAAAAGAACCCTGCCTGAGGTAGAGAAAGTAACATTGCTGCCTTTACAAAGACTGGTTTGGGGTAGGTAAGAATAGGCAGTTTTGCCAGAGCACTCTCATGTAAAGCAAATCAGCCTCTTAGAGAGAAAATAAGGACCTTGTTCATTTCGGAACCCTCCGTGCTGAGCACACAGGAAGTATGAGCTGAATAAGTATAAGTTCAGTGAATGAACAAGTCAGATGAAAGAACCAAATCACCAAAATTATGTGTAAGACAGGCAAGAGGAAAGTGACACGGCTGTTCTTCTTTTTGATTAATGCACCTGTCAGAGCAGAACAGACGATGACTAAGATGATGCTGGAGTGTAACATGAAGCCGAGAAAACAGGAATAGCAGAGACAGTGAGCAGCAGTGATGCAACCAGGGTTGCTGGTGAGCTGCTGCTCTGCTTCCCTCCTTGTCTCTGCAGCAACATTCCAGGTACCATTTCATTGCTACCTGCAAAGTCATTTAACCCTTGGAGTCTGGAACATTATATTAGCTTGATTTCTCTCCTACTTTTTTGTCTTCTTGTGTCTTTTTTGGGTTGCCTTTTTTTTTTCTTTCATAGCCTGTATACAGGCAAACCAAAGCTCCTCAATTCCCAATGCATACTTTTCTTTGATGTCCACACCTTTACCGAAAAGAACCCTCTTGGCTGAGCTTCCTGTGGACATGTCATTCTATTAACCAAACACCCCTACAGAGGTCTCTTGACACCATCTCAAACTCCGCATGTATACAACTGAAATTCTAATCTCCAATCCACCTGTCCCTCAAAATTACTTTCCTATTTCTACAAATGATAACCCTATACTCAAGGCACCAGATTCAACACCATTTTTTATAAATCCATCTCATTTTCTCTATCTTAGAAACTGACAATTCTTAGCCAACTTAACTTTATTCTTTCTGCTTGTATTCATTTTTTCTTCATAACTGATACTCCTTTAGATGGGCACTGTCCAATACCAGAGACACATGTGAATACCGGGCACTTAAAATGCATCAGGTTAGGCTAAGGAATTGGATTTTTTATTTCATTTTAATTAACTTAGACATAAAAAATCAAAAGTTTTTGATTTTTAATAATTTTATATCAACTACTTACTGAAATGATAATGTTACAGATTTGTTGTAGCAAATATAACACATAATTAAAATTAATTTTACCTGTTTCTTCTTAGTTTCTTTATGTAGCTGTGAAAAATAATTGTTGTATGTGTAGTTTATATTTTGATTAGGCAGCATTGGTTTAGACCATATCAAGGATAAACAAAATGGCATTCACTGATTTTGAATACCTAATGTGTATCAAATTGCAGGCTAGACATTCTGTAACTTGAATCATATGATCTTCAAATTATTTCTAACAAATCAGTAACATTTTTCACCAGTTTTACACATGAAAATCTGAAAAGAACAAGGGGAGAAAAGAGATTGCACAATGTTAAAGGTGAATAAGCATAGAGTAAGCCTTCACATTCAGGTCTACCAGCCTGATCCAGGGTTTTTCCACTAGATCTAGCTGTCCATCACTGCTAAGAGCTTTGGGAAAGCACAAAGGGCTGCACAGGCTCTAAAGGAGACTGTCACTTCACTCTGTGGTTCATGGAGCCCCAGTTTTGTGTAATATGGTTTGGCTGGCCAGCCTGCAGCAGCTGCTTTGGCTTCTATGTTCATGATACATCCCATGACACTCTGGAGTCTCATGATACTCCCATGCCTGCATGATCTGATCCAGCTGTAAAAACCCAGGGCTGTGTACCACCTGGGCTAGGGGAAGTGACTCAACACTGGATCACAGATGCATGCCCAGGACTCTGGCGGAGGCAGCACTGTCTGATTCTTTCTCAATGTGGTCAGGCACGGCTGCTTTCTGGTTTCATTCATCTTCCACCTTGGCATAAACAGGTTGCGGGGGTTGATGGGATTCTCCTGACTTAGGAACTGCTTCCTTTGTACCTTCAGCTACGAATAAAGGCAGGTGAAATCCCTTTATGACCCATCTCAAAAAGAATGCAATATGTTTGTCCTTGGGGAGATGATGTTAAAATATCTCCAGGAATGTCACTTTCAGTCTGCAAGTCCAGGCCAGTCTGACAAGTCTGTGGAGTTACACAGAAGGACTGCCTTTTGGAAAATGCACCTCACCAGGTTCTCATGGGTTATGTTAAATTTTTCCATCTAAAGTGAATGCTTTCTGAGTTTTTTCATCTGATTATTCAATTAAAATTCAAGGAGCCCAGGTTATCATTTTCAGCTAATACTTTAACAAGACTGCTATGAAAGTAAAGTCTGGTAGAAATCGGATTTTACATAGTGATAATAAATAACAAAAAGAAATATATCTATAATGACCAGCATTTACATTTCTCATAAACACTTAAAAGTGTTTTGTACTACTTATTTTCTTTGATCTGCACAATCATCCCGTATTATGCATATGATTATTATCCTCATTTTAAAGAAAAGAAAACAATGTCATTGAACAATTTGCCCAAAGTCTTACTTTTCATATGATCCAACTTGTTTGGTGTTTTATCAGTTAATTATTTTGCTTTGGGTGTCATTTCTTTTTCTAATTCAAAACAAAATAATCTTCCTACATTTTTACTCTTCATTCACTATAACTACATTTTTCAAGCATTTAGCAAGCGCCTTTTTTCTTTTCATGAAACCCATTCCTGTACAACTACACATCACATACCTGGTGACTCTGTATTTCAAAGTTTCTATGAAATACAATCTCTATGCTATTGACTCCAAATGTATACACCCAGCACTGGACTCTTCACTGAAAACCAGACTGAAAAATGCATGGGCCTGCTTGGTATCTCTGCTGTACTAGTGCTGCGAAAGATATTACAAACTTAACACGGGTCAGACAAGCTCTTGATTCATCATAGGTACTCACTCTCCAACACCGTTCCTTTCCTAGTCTTCACAGTCTCCAAAAGAGGAATGCCATCCACCTAGTTCCCTTACCAAAATCATAGAAGCAT
This sequence comes from Homo sapiens, assembly GCF_000001405.40. NCBI lineage: Eukaryota > Metazoa > Chordata > Mammalia > Primates > Hominidae > Homo > Homo sapiens. The sequence goes on from NC_000014.9 coordinate 87,134,801, forward strand.
CCTGAATCCTTTATATCTCTTACCCCTTGGATCCAAGTCCATCAGCAATTCCTGCCAGCTTCACCTTCAAGCTACCTCCCTGATGAAGTAAACTCTCAGCTCCATTCCTAACATCCTACTCTGAATTACCATAATCTCCTGTCTAGACTACTGAAATAGCCTCTTAATTCTTCTAGCTTTCATTTATATCTACCCATAAACCATTAAAATTGAGATCAAATTTATATTCAGTCAAAATGTACTAATTTCAAGCACACAACTTAAAGATTCCCAGTAAATGTATACACTCATTCTAATCAAGATATAAAATATTTTCATTACACCTTTTATAACTCCTTCTAGTCAATCATCAGCCTTCTCCTTAGACAACCACTGTTCTTACTTCTGTCAGTAAAGACACATTAGCTTTTTCCTGAGTACATGTGCACAGTATGCACCCTTTGTTATCAAAGGACAGATTTCCTTTGCCCAACATCATATTAGTACTTGTGAAATTCATCTATGTTTTTACATGAATTGGTAGTTGTTGTTTTTTTTTGGTACTAAGTAGAATTCCATTATATAAGTAAACAGAAATTTATCCATTCTCCTATTGAAAACCATCAGGTTGTTTTCAGTTTTGTACTATTTTGAATAAAGGTACAATGAAAATTTGGGTACAATTCTAAGTGTAGACAGATGTTTTTATTTCTTATGATTAAATACGTGGGGCTGGAAATGCTGGAGCTTATGTTAAGAATCGATTTAACTCTATAAGAAATTGCCGGCCGGGCGCAGTGGCTCACGCCTGTAATCCTAGCACTTTGGGAGGCCAAGGCGGGCGGATCATGAGGTCAGGAGATCGAGACCATCCTGGATAACATGGTGAAACCCCGTCTCTACTAAAAATACAAAAAAATAGCCAGGCGTCGTGGCAGCCGCCTGTAGTCCCAGCTACTCGGGAGGCTGAGGCAGGAGAATGGCGTGAACCAGGGAGACGGAGTTTGCTGTGAGCCGAGATCGCGCCACTGCACTCCAACCTGGACGACAGAGCAAGACTCCGTCTCAAAAAAAAGAAAAAAAAAGAAAAAGAAAAGAAATTGCCAAATGTTTTCTAAAATTCTCATCTCTTACCAATAACATATCAGAGTTTCACTTGTTCTACATTCTCTCCAACATTTAATGTTGCTTGTCTTTAATTTTACCCATTCAGAAGCTAGAGTAGCTAAATAGAGTTATACCTCATTGTTTTAATTGGCAATTTCCTGATGACAAAAAGATGTCCAAAGATGTGTGCTTATTGGCCATTTGTTTATTTTCTTAATGGAAGTATTCATTCAAATCCTTTGCCTCTTTTTGTTAGGTTGCTTATCTTTTCATTATTTTTTTTAGTTCTTTATATATTCTGTATTTAAGTCTTTCAGATATATTTATTATAAATATCTTCTCCCAGTAGATACTTGGCTTTTCATTTTATTAACAGTGACTTTTAATAAGAAGATATTTTTAATTTAGATGAAGTTCAATTTTCCATTTTCCTTCTTTTTCTTTTCAGCATTAGTGCTTTCTTCTGTATAGTTCAATAAGTTGTTTCCAACCTCAAGGTTATGAAGGTAATCTTTTATGTTTGTTTCTTTCTAGAAGTTTATAGTACTGGCTTTTATGTTTCAGTTTATGATTGGGATTGTATTATTTTTATGTGTATGAAGTGAGACACAGGTTGAAGATTATTTCCCTGCACTGATATTTAGTTTCCTTACCCTCTCCCCTTTCACACTACCTTCCCCAACCTCCTAAATACCCAGTCTTGGAAAAGAGTTTCCTTTTGACATTGAATTGACTTGCAGCCTCAATTGAAAATCAATTGACCAAAAATGAGGAGGACTATTTCTGCATTCTCTATTCTGCCCCATTGATTTGTTTATTCAAATGCCCTCATAACACTGTCTTGATTATAATAGCTTTATAGCTGGTTTTAATACCAGGTAGTGGGAGTCTGTCAATTTTATTCTTTATTTTCAGATTCCTTTGTCTGTTATTGAACCTTTGCATTTTCATATAAAATCAAGAATTAGTTTTTCAATGCCCACAGAAAGAAAAAAGCTACTTGAATTTTGATTGGGATTGTCTGAATCTATACATTGATCTTGTTGAGAATGGACATCTTCTAATTTGTAAAAGTTACTTAGGTCTCCATTTGTTTGCTTAGTTATTTTACTTTTTTTCAGTGTCTTACTGTTTTCTTTGCAGAGGTTTTGAATATTTGTTTAATTATTCTTAAGATTTTTATGCTTCTTGATGCAATTGAAAAGGAAATATTTAAAATTTCATTTTACAATTCTTTGCTACTATGCAGAGATACTAGATAACTTTGCTAATATTCATGAGTTCTAGATATTATTGCTAGAACTCATGAAAATTTACCAAAGCCACAGCATGCAAGTTTATTACACACAAAAAACTCTGTATCAGTTTTTTGTACAATGTAATTTTTGTATAATAACCTTGCACATTGTGACTTTGGTAAATTCTTATATGAGTTCTAGCAGTTACTTGGTATATTTTTAATATTTTCTGTGTAAACCATAATTAACCTAGAGCAATAACTGTTACCTTTCCTCTCCAGTACCTTTGTCTTTTACTTATTTTTCTGACATTATTGCCCTGGATAGGCACAGTGTTGAATAATATGGGAAGTACATATTGAATACAAGTACAGTGTTGAATAATATGGGAAGATCAGATATCGTTTCATTAGCCCAGTTCCCACTATTTCCTCTTAGAAAGCGTTCCATATTTCACCATTAGGCATGAGGTTAACTTGAGTTTTGATGATGACCTTTGTCAGATTGAAAGGTTCCCTTCTGTTCTACTTCCTGAGATTATTTTAAAACCACAAATGTTATTAAATTTCACCAAATGTTTATATGTATCAATTGATACTGTCTTTTTCTCTTTCATCCTACTTATATAGTAAACAAAATTAATTCTCTCAAATGTTAAACTAAACTGGTATTACTGATAATCTTACATTAAATGACTCCTTTTAGAATATTGCTAAATTCAGTTTGCTGATAGTATTTTGTTTGTTTGTTTGTTTGTTTTTGTGATGGAGTCTTGCTCTGTCGCCAGGCTGGAGTACAGTGGCGATTTCGGCTCACTGCAACCTCCACCTCCCAGGTTCAAGCGATTCTCCTGCCTCACCCTCCCTAGTAGCTGGGATTACAGATGGGTCGCCATGCCCAGCTAACTTTTGTATTTTTAGCAGAGACAGGGTTTCACCATGTTGGCCAGGATGGTCTCAATCTCTTGACCTCGTGATCAACCCGCCTTGGCCTCCCAAAGTGCTGGGATCACACATGTGAGTCACTGTGCCTGGCCCTGCTAATAGTGTTAAAGGATCTGTTGGTCTGTGTTCAAAGATGTTGGTCTATAATTTCTTTTTTCTTATAACGTCTTTGTAAGGGTTTTTCAAGTGGATTATGGTGATTTCATAAAATGTTTTGCGAAGCTTCCTCTATTTTCTGAAAGAGTTTGTGTAAGATTGGCATTATTTCTTTCTTAAACTCTTGGTAGAATTTAACTGTGAAACTAACAGGGCCTGAAATTTTTATTAAGAAGGTTTTTAATGGACTTTTTTTTCCATTTTAGCTGTTTCCAAATTAAGTGGTATAAATTTGTTCATAATATTCTTTATTATAGTCTTAATATCTATACAGTCATCAGTGATATTATGCCTTCATGTATCCACTGATCTTTTTGAATCTGATCATTGACAATTTTTACCTAATTTGGAAACCATTGTCACAAATTTTTTTCTCAATTCCATTCTCTATCTTTTCTTCAGGGATTCCAATTAGATGTAATTCAGACTGGTTGATATTTTCCTATAGGTTACTGAGATTATGATCAATTTATCTGTTCTTCAGATTAGAGAATTTTTATTGACCTAGCTTTAAGTTCACTTTAAGTCTATAAAGTGAAATTTTCAATATACATACTGTAATTTATAGTTTTAAAATTTTTGTTTCTTTTTTTATAGTTTCCACTTCTGAGATTCTCCATCAGTTCACTCTAGTATTTTTTCTTTAAGTCCTGAACATATTTACATCACCTGCTTTAAAATTATTTTCTGTGAATTCCAACTTTTAGTTATTTGGGTTTCTATTTCCATTGACTGGTTATTGAGTTTTTGTGTTTTTTTTTTTTGTTTTTTTTTTTTTTAAGATGCAGGATAGAATTTACCTGGTTTTGTTTGTTTGTTTGTTTGTTTGTTTGTTTTACTGTTCTACCAATTTTTATTGTATCCCGGACGTTGTGGATGTTATATATTGACACTCTTGATATGTTGTTCCTTTGGAATGTGTCTATTTTTATTCTAACCAGCAAGCAAATTACTAGTTGATTAATTTGAATTTTTTATGCTTTGTTATTTCAGATATGTTTTAGTTTTACTATTAGTTAGAAGGCAAATTCCACAATTCTGGAGTTTCACTTGGGACTTTATTCTGGGCCTTCATCTATGCTGTTAACTTGTGATTCTTGTGGAGTTTTAGAGGGAATTCAGAGGTTTATCCACGTCCTCTACTTAGGGTAGATTCCAACTCCAAATTCAGTGTCCTGTGCTGTGGGCAGCCGCTGAAGTCTCTTCCAGCCTTGCTTCCTGCAGGGCTTATTAGAGTTTCCCCCACACATGTGCAGTTTAAGGCTCAGCCAAGTTGGTGAATCAGGTAGAGATATGGGTTTGGAGTTTCCCTTTGTGTGGCTGTTATCCAGAATTACCCTCCCCCAAGTTTCCAGATCATCTGGAAACCCAAAACTCCATTCTCTTTTGCCTCCAGTAAATAAAACTGCAGCTTTCTGCTTGAGTTCTAGCCAACCTGTACTACATACATTGAGAAGTTCCCTCAAGGTAAAAGCTGTACACACACACACACACACACACACACACACACACACTTTCATTTTTTCAGAGTCATGTTCCATTTTCTCATTTTCTGGCTGTTTTACTTTGCTCCCCTGTGCCTTCAATTTATTTGTTTTTCAATATTTTGTCCAGATTTATGATTGTTATCAGAGAAAGAGTCTTGCCATTACTGGAACCAGAATACTTTCATAATGATTTCTTAAAAACCATGAAACCTATGTACCTTACCAGCTACATCTTCTTTCATTTGCAATAAAATCTCAGAATCTAGTCTACATCAGTGCTTCTCAACCTTAGCTGCACATTGAATTACATGGAGAATTAACTGGTCCTTTGGTTGCATCCCTAGGCATTTTTTTAAAGCTCCCTAGGTAATTCTAACAGCCAAGGTTTAAAACCACTGCCTTACATAAATTTCCCCTGCATTATTCTCCTACACTTTCTCAATCACCTTCCTTACTTACCAAACTCTACTTATAGGGCTTTTTTTCTGTTTCACAAACACAAAACTTTTTGTGCCTATTCTTTCTGCTTCCTGAAATTCTTTGCTATTGTATCTTTTGCATTCATGTCTTAACTTAAATGCCACCTCCTACGACAGTGAATTTTATGTGTCAATTTATGACAATTTTATGTGTCACGGTGCCTGTATATTTGGTCAGATATTATTCCGGATATTTCTGTGAGGATGTTTTTGGACGAGATTACCATTTAAATGGGTAGACTTTGAATAAATGAGATCACGATCTATTATGTGGGTGGGCCTCATTCAATCAGTTGAAGGCCTGAATAGAACAAAACGCTAAACTCCTCTGAGCAAGAGGGAATTCTGCAGCCAATGGCTTTTGGACTTGAACTGCAACATCACCTTTTCTATGGCCTTCAGCCTGGCATCTTTCAGACTGACATCCTTCAGATTTGAACTGAAACATTTGATCTACCACAGGTATCCAGTATCATGGCCTTTGGACTTGAATCACAACATCAACTCTTCCCTGAGTCTCCAGGCTTCCTGCTCACCCTGCAGATTTTGGACTTGCCCGTCTCCTTTATTGCATAAGCCAATAATTCAAATATGTCTGCTGTACCTACAACATTTAGCACTTACATGTGAATACTCATTCAGTAAATTATTAAGCGTATGAACTAGTAAAGGAGATAGTGGCTGGCAATATTATTCTACATGTCTACTTGTGTTTATTCTTGTTCTATATATATATATATATATATATATAAAGAGGTGAGTGATAGAGAAGGAAATAACCCACAAACACTGTGAACAGGAACCAAGACTCCAAGACTCGGGCGTACTCCCTCTACCCTCAGCCTCAGTTTTTCGAGACATTCCCCCCAAGCTGATTTTCTTTTAAACAAGATACCCAAATCAGCAGCAAAGTACCTGGGGTGGTAACTGAGATTTAAAACACTGAGAATGAGAGGGGGAATGTCCAAAAGTAGAAGTTGGGGAGAAAAGGGAAGGATCAAGGGAGAAGCTAGGCTCTGGAGGACAGGGTTGGGCCACAAGAGGTGGAAGTAAGAAGCCAGTATGAGGGGTACCCGTCCTGACCGCTGTCACCTATAAAAGACATACCAGAAAATTTTAATAGGGGATTCAATTTCAAAAACAAACATCTGGGTCATAACAAAGCATCATTTTTTTGCAGAATTCTCTTTTAAGATCCCAGTCCTGTTTTCACTCTTGTACGTATACATCATGTAACTGAAGTCCTGAAATTAGTGTCACTCCATATCACATATTTAACCCTCAATTTTATTTCAGAAGCCAGTAAGAACAAATATATCACATTTGGGTTAAAATTCAATTTAGGTTAGTCACAATGTTTGGATCTCTGAGAAAGGCTATACATCTCTTTACTCATCAATTCCCACCAACCCCTTTTTAAAGGAAACTTGTGGAGATTCCATTGAAGACCACTTCACAATGCCTGACTTGGGCTCTGGCATGAGGAGGACAGATCAGATGTTGCAACTCGAAGAAATGAAAGTAAAATGTTCTATCTTCCAATGCATAAAGACTTTTCACTCATTGGAAATAAATTTCTGAAAGATTTTTCTCTAGCTTCATAAATAAACCAAGGATCAGTGAATTCATATCCTCATCAATGATATCTTTAGACCAAAAGGAAGTTCTTTGTTATGTTGATGTAAAAATTACTTTTGTGTAATGCTCATCCACTGGGGCTAACTCCACTATTTGAAACAGCACAGATGGCATCTCTTCATGTACATGATCATTTCTCAGTTCTATGAAGCCAAAAAAGCCTCTCTTCTCTTGGCTTTGGCTTCTATTCCACTGCAATAACTTAGCCAAGATCCTTCGAGAGATCCAAATAGGATGTGGATTCTGGATTCTTCACCTCCTAATTGCTCTCTTTCTAGATGCTTTCAATGTGATGACTGACCTCTAACATGTGTCCTCCGTCAAACTCCACATGAGATCTGATCACAAATCAGTTTCTACATTACTCCAATTGATCGCTGAAGCCATAGCCACCCTTATACTGAGCAAAAAGTGGATTTTGTTTACATTTAACACAAGAAAGTATCAGGAACCACATAGTTCTCTTATTTGACTCATTATTTCTGACTGTGCCTTGAAGCTTAACTTGTTTTTCATTTTATAATCCTTCAGAAAGCAAATATCCCAAGACAGAAAGCAAACGACTGAAGAAAAACAGCTCTCTAGTTGCACGGATGGGCCACTGGTGCACTGATCTAATGATGCATGGTTTAAGTTGGGAATATAAACAAAGCAACTAAGGTCCTGAAACTGACTAACTGCATGTATAGGAAAAAATGTAGCCACTCCTTAAAGGTCTTCTAATGTGTATTTATTTTACTATTTTTTAATGGGGTCTAGCAGGACAAATTAATGTTTCCATCAGAGAGAAAGTGCCTTTTAAGTGCAAAACATTTTTCAGAAACTCCTTCCAACACCAGCATAGATGACATCACCAGAAGAGGGATTGTTTAACTAAAAGGGATCATTATCTGTCATTGGGATTTCTCTTCACTGAACAAGCAATTAGTCTGTCAAAGATGGACTGAGTTCTTAAAATAATGTCTAAAAGATGCTTACAGCATCTCTCAGTGTTCCTGACAAATAGAAAGATTGGTTTTCATGTAGAAGTGAGGTTCTAGCTGTTTGTTTTCATGAGAAAAAATAATAACTAGTTTTTAGAAAGTCTTTCATATCTGTTTGGTTTATCTCCAGTCTCATTTTTCATATTTCAAGATAATTCTATACATGCTTTTGCCCCCCAGTAACTACATGTTTTGATGCAAAATTGCCATAGTTACACTAATACCCATCTTTGCAAAACATATGACAGGTAATCACTGAGAAGCAGTGAAATAAATACCACACAAGGGGAAACAATCTATTCTACAATGGAGACTCTGACCATTCTTGCCATTCATTCTAAGATCGTTCGATCTAAGTTTCATTAAAATGATTACATTCGCCCCTGAACTTATAAAGAATAATTGAAAAAAGATAAGTTTAAAAAGAGAGAAGCAGTTCTGTCTACTCAGAAGCAAAGGTTGGCTCCCCTAAATTGAATCAAACTCTGGATGGAACTAATCAGATTTTTCTCAGATTAGCAGTTCATTGGGTAAACAGACAAAAGGCTACTTTTAAGATAAATGTTCTTAATATCAACTCCATAACATGGTAAGCTCGATCCATTACATTTATCCCCACCAAAAGCATCACAAATCACATATAGATTTTTTTTAAAAAAAGAAAAATGAGGAGTTACAAGTTCATTATATTAGAACTATAGTTTTAAATGACTTTTGGAAATACTGCAGATTAATTTTTCACTATAATGACCTATCTATTGAAAAATGGTGATCTAACATTATAAATAAATATAGCAAGTATTTATTTACCTGACTTGCCACAAAATTCTATAAAATCATGAGCAGTTTTCTTAAACTTTTGACTAGAAATAAATATATAGCATCTATTAGCAAATTCACAGGTTTTTCCTTCACTTCTGAAATTGTTAAGATAAAATATTTTTACATGTAAATTTAAATTGGTCTTTGTTTATTGTGTCTGCTCCAATTGTTTCTTCTCTCTTCTCTCCCAAACTGGTAAACATAAACTGGTGAACCTAATTGGGTATATTTTCTTCCCTCATGCACACACACACACACACACACACACACACACACCCATGAATATGCACTGTATACAGGGGAAACAATGATAATGATATGTAATAATGATATGTAGAGCTGCAATGGCTGGATTTTAAGTTCAGTACAGGAACACAACTTGGAATATACAAAAATGTATTTATCCCATTCTCATATTGATGAACATTTAATTTTTTCCAGTTTCCCCTTTTGTAAATAACGTTCTGATAATCTTCCTGTAAATGTAGCCTAATGCACATGTGTAAGGTTTTTCAGGGTTGTTGGATATCAACGTGTAATCTACAGACACCAGAGGATGCTGGGGACTTTTCAGGGGGTCTGCAAGACTGAAATCTTTCCATGATTATTCTAAGGCAGTATTGGCCTTTTCACTTTCATGCTCTTAGGTTTTTGAGAGGCTAATGACATGGCGTGACATCATTCTTTTGATGGCTCATAGAATTTGTGTGCTTCTATATTATTGTATTTTCAAAACTTCATATATTGATATGGAAAATATCAACATATAAACCCACATAACTAAAAAGTGTCCGGTGCAATCTATTATTTTGGGGTATAAAGTGATCCTAAAACCAAAACTTTTGAAAACTACTGTGAGGAGTAATATATACTTAGAAATATATAGAAATAAGAATTTTTTTGATATTAACATAGTGCTCTCCAAAGTATCTATTCTACTTTATATTCCCATCAAGAATTCATCTTACCTTTCCTCCTTACTTAGTATTCCAAGACCGATTCATTTCTATAAACATAATAGGAGAAAATAACACCTTAAAGTATTGTTTTTATTTTTAATGGTTAAATATGAAGGAAAAACAGGAACCCATATAATATCTGTATATCCACAGTTCATATTTAATGAATGTTAACATTTTGCCACATTTACTTTATTTTTCTAACAAACTTAAAAACATTTAAAGAAAATAAAAGTACTTTTTGGAAGAAGATTTGCCATTTTCCTAATATTTTGAAACATTTTGTAATATGTTTCTTTATATATAATATATCATCTGAATTGTGTGACTTTTGATTTATATCAATGACATTATATTGTACATCTCCAACAGCAACTTGTTTTTTTACTCAATTTTTTACGATATATTCATGTTGATACAAGCACATTTTATTTGTTGAAACCCCCTCCATAGAATATTAAAGTATATAGCAGTCTTTGTTTTTATTTTCTTTTACTGATGGCCATGGTAGTTATTTCCACATTTTTCACTACCCTACTATAAAGGCAAACCTTCTCAGAGTTTAATAGGAGTGATACAAGCATAAGCACATTTTATAAAGCCACTCTATCTCCTCCTACCTGGAGAGTAGATTGGATTCCTTGCATGAATGATGCAAGGAAGTAACAGCAGTGATTAATTCCCATAACCTATGTTAAATAGCTTAGACCAGGGTGGTAATGGTGAAAACAACAAGAACAAAGATAGATGAGATCTAGCAATGTTTAGGGGGTAAAAATCAACAAAACTTGACATAGCAATTTTTGTTTTTTTAGACCGAATCTCGCTCTGTCACCCAGGTTGGAGTGCAGTAGCACAATCTCAGCTCACTGCAACCTCTGCCTCCTGGGTTTAAGCGATTCTCCTGCCTCAGCCTCCCGAGTAGCTGGGATTACAGGCACGTGCCACCAAGCCTCGCTATTTTTTTTGTATTTTTCGTAGAGACAGGGTTTCACCAGGTTGGCCAGGCTGGTTTCAGATTCCTGACCTCAAGTGATCCTTCTGCCTTGGCCTCTCAAAATGCTGGGATTACAGGCATGAGCCACTGCGCCCGGCCCTTGGCATAGCAATTTTGATGTGATTGGTAAGGAAGAGAAAAATATAATTTAGTAAATACTAATTGAACTTTATATTTTAACAAAAGAATTGTAGAAAATGTACATCTGGAAGATACACTAAACCAAAGATTTAGCATTTCCGTCATAATGTACTCTACCATCAGTCAGAGTCCTCTTTCAGAGATGCTTGTATCATTACAGCTTCCTACTGTTGTCCAATTTTTTTGTTTGCTTTTGCTTTTGTTGTCCGATTTGTTATCAAACATGTAATAGCACATCTCTCCTTGGACCTATCCTTAAACTTGTCCCTGAATTCAAGCCACCGAGTTCTGCTTTTGATTTTCCTCATCAATGCTTCTGTTCCTTGCTTTGCCTTTTACTTTGCCAGAGACGTTGGCTAGTGTATGCACTCCTCCTTCCAGATCCACTTCAAAAGTCACTCTTCACCCACCTTCCAGCAAAATTAACCACATCACATCTATGTTCACACAGCACTCTGTTACGGAGCTTACACTGTATTGTGCTCCTTTTGTTTTTTTTTAATCTTCTTGTTCGCTTTTGTCTGATGGAAATGTCTATTGATCTATCTTCAAGCTTGCTGACATAGTAAGTATTCAACAAATATTATCTAGTATTATTATGAGCACTCGCTACGTACTAGCCACTGTTCTGGACTTAAATAATAAATGGAATGTATCTGCATTTATCCTGAAAGCAAAAACAACACCTCATTCGTCAGTTAAGTTCATTTATCCCTAGCTGGGCTGATTGGAGTCAGCCTTGGGGCTCCTTTGCTCTGGCTCTCTTCTATCAGGCATTTCTGCTCTAACTTTCCAAAGCTTGCAGTTGTCCTCAACTCTGCCTTTGCTTTATAAAGCCCCAAACACAATCAGCTTTCGATGGCAGCTAAATCTGCCATAGAAAAACCATGAAAGCCAGAAACTCAGTAGGGCCATCCTCATCCTCTGCGAGCAGCCTTCCACCCTCATCTGCCTGAATTTGCCTGCTCTGTGGCGCCAAGTTTTGTTTTTGTTTTTTAATATTTTTTTAGTTTATAATGATAATCCGTGAGAGTCAGAGTCCAGTGACTGTTACTTAGTTGCTAACATGTATTGTGCTTATCTTTGTATTTGCCCATCTCTACTCCAAATTGTAATCTCCCAAGGAACTTAATTCTGGCATTATTTATCTTTCTTTTCTCTAGTAGCATCTAAAAAAAAGTGAAAACAGCAGAAGAAAATTTTTAGAATTGTACCCACATATTAGACACTTAACATATCCTTTAATTCTTCACTGTTAGAAAAGTTTTATACTCTTCTTTCACTAGTTTAAAATAATTCTATATTAATGTTATATATTTGACACCCTCTATAACAATTTAAAAATATAGATATTAGATTATTTCCAGTAGCTTTTAAAACTGAAATATTGGTAATTAAGCATTCACTGGGATATTTTTCTATGTAGAGAAATATATACCACAAAGACCCACAAAACATATAAAATCTCTGGGAAAAAAAATATTGCTGCAAAACAGGCACAATAAAAATGCTACGTTAAATATTTAATCGAGAAGGCTTTGGAATAGGAAAACAATTTCAGAAGACTATTGGCTCCCACTAGTGTCCCCGAGTTACTAGGGCTATCAAAAAACAAAATGACAACAATTTTAAAGATCTTAATTGGCTTTTATTCATGATTCTAGAATCAGCCCTCAGAATTAGAACAAGATCTAAGAATTCCAGAGTCGTAAGGTGGTCAGATGATAATTATGGACAGAAAATGGAAGTGATGCATAAATACGGCCTAATTGGTTACAGCTTGGTGTTTTGCCTTATTTTAATCATCTGGCCACCTGTGATTTATTGGGGCTCAGCTGCTGTGATTGACTAAGACTCAAGCACTTGTTTCAATAGTTGAGGACTCCTAAGTGAGGCTTTTCCTGTTAGACTACGTATTAAGCAAGGTCAGAGTTTGCCAGGTAAGGACTCAATATGGAGGCCTCCTCAGGCTTAACTTATTAACCTCACAGAGCCACATTGTCTCTCCTTTAAGATCTGACATGTTCTGGAGGCTCCACATTGGCTATATTTGAAATAAGCATAGGCAACTTGAATTCCTCAGAATGCTTCCTTTTACACAAATTCTTAATTAATAAATATAAGAATTTGAATTCCCATATATTTTTTTTTTCAAAGAATTTCCTTGAACAACCTCCAGATGTGGGCAGAAAGAGGAGAATTGTTTGCAGCCACCAATAGGCAGTGGGATATCCCGGACATTTAGCTCAAGGATACCATGTGTAATAAATGTTCTTTAAATAAATTACATGCTATTAAAAAAAAATGAATTTCCAGTATGTTTTCTGAGATTCCAAAGTTTGCTATTCCTGCTTTAAGTTAAAACATAATGATGATATCATTAAAACATGAGATTTGGCATTTTAAAAATCTGTTAAGAACTATTAAAAATCAGAGGTGAATAAAAAAATACCTCTTATTCCATAAGCATTTATTGGGTACTAATTATGGTTTGGGAAAAATGGTGGGCCATTGAATTATTTTACACTCACAATGCAATTATAGCCAATGTGTTACAAACACAGCTAAAAAGGACATATTCTAGCCCATCCTATTCACAATCTTATAAAATCTCTTTTTCCAAACACACACAAAAATCACTTTTTCTAATTTGTTATTTTCACCAGCTATTTGGTCATTAGCCCATCTTTCTTGCCACTAATACACTTTTGAGTCATTTCTTTACTTTTTTTCTCAAAACATCTGGGACATTTCCTTATAAATACTATGATTTCCTTTCCTAATGTTTTTCCTTCACTCTTCAACTAACTCCCTACATGTTCTCACATTCTCTTTTTCCTGAGTACTTTATTTTTCTAAATCCTGCCTTGTACTTCTCTCTGAAGCCTGCAAATAAGCGTCTCCAGAAAGAATTAGATAGTGTTAGAACTCCATCAGATTAACCTCTGTCTTTATTCTTTTGCCAACACACTTAGTCTACGTGACAAAAATTAAATTCATAAGAAGGGACACTGAAATTCAAATCCAGCAGGATGAAATGATCCTACTTAAATGCAAAATAAACTGTGTAATCCCATCCCTATAAGTGGTGTGAGAAATTCCTCTCCACCACATCGCATTCCACCCACTTCTTTCAGAGCAAAAATGTGAATCAAAACAATTTAATTAAAGCCAGAGCCATTTCCTGTGTAAAAGAGAGAGAAGGCATTAAAAATTATGTAGCAGGATAACTTACGGAAGTACTAATTTCTATACTGTCCTCAATGTTACAGGGCTTAATGAAATGAAAAAGTAATAATAATAATAATAATAACATGTCCCTTTCCCTTCCCTAGGTGGAAGGATAACCAACCCTTCTGTTTAAAGGTGTAATTTCTTCACATCAGCATCTGTTTTAAGGAATTAGGCTGCAACATACTTTAAGGTCATGAATAAGTCTTCTGCTGGTATTAGAAGACATAAGTGACTCGATATGGAGGAAGATGATGTCTCAAAGACAGGAAAAGTAATATCTTATGGGGAGGGACCCCTCAAGTAGTGAAGATACATGAATTTTCTGAAAAGTAGGCCCCAAGAGGTTGTGTTCTTAGTGCTACAACTTGGAAGGCTTGATCCAAACATTTGTGTCCAAAATTAGCATGGAACCAATGAAGCTGAATGATTTTAGTAAATAATGATGACAGTGCATCAGAAGCAATAAGCAAATCACCACAAGGGATGAAAGAGCAAAGACCCTCTCCAAAATATCTGGGCTTACCTGAACTAAAGATGGTACCCTAGCCAAATTCATTTGATTTAGTTTTGTTTGTTTGTTTGTTTTTAACATGTCGTTTTCTTTACCTGTGCAGTGAGGAGCAAAGGCATATCATTCACATCTGATGCTGGAATTTGACATCACCACCTACAAGGCGAATAGGAAGGAACCAAATGTGCCCAGCACAATTGTGGGAAGACATTATTTCTAATGACATAGCCAGAGCCTTGCTCTTGGGGCAACTATTTGTTTCACAATATGGACTTAGACAATATTGGCTTAGAAAGTAGACTATGAAAGTAGACAATATTGGCTTACAGAGTAGACTAATCACTGTTTAGTCTACAGAAAGTAGACTAATCACTACTTAGAAAGTGTGATTATTGGTTAACTCTTGGTTGTTTATGTTTTTGATACAAGTTATTCCAAAGCCTCTGATTCTCATTTGGAGATACACCCTGAACAAGACAGCCTTACTATCCCCCTCAGCTTGATTTAAGCTCACGTTTCTTCCTAGCTGTAGATCCCTGGTCTCCCCTTTCTTCGAGTATTTACTTTGGAAGGCTTTCAATTTAACATTCTTTCTCTGCCCTTTTGAGATGTAAATCTTCTGCTAGCCTCTTGCCAGTTTTGCAACCCTGCTATGTATTTCTCAAGGACCCGGGAGTCATCCTTTTGAAATGTAATTATTTCAATTACTGTGAAAGAGTCCTTCACTCCCAATGTCTCTGGGAGGGTAGGATGCTAACTTGTCTCAGTGCCGCTTAGCAGCACAGATGGCCTAATCGCATGGACCAACCTCCTCACAAACAGTCACCAGTGCTTTTCCACTTGCTCATCCCAGCACTTAAAAACCCTGCTGCCTTTCAGAGGAGTTGAGTTCAATTTCTCTCCCCTATTGCAATAGAACTGAGGAAAGTCTTCCTTGCCTGCTTAACTCCATCTGCTGCAATTTTTCTTTGGAAACCCCTACCCACTTTCAGTGCCCAAAGCCCAGGTAGAGCGACTTCAAAGGAAACTGAGAAATAGAGGGAAACACTGGAGAGCCTGGTGATATTTCTACCCTTCTATCAAGCCATGGCTGAAGCGAGAACTACTTCTGGACTTTTTATATGTGGAAGCCATCTATTTCTTTTTTTTTTTTTTCCTGAATCCAATTATGATTGAGAGGCTCTGTGTTTGCTTTTGTCTTGTTTTTATTTTGATTTTCACATCTTCAAAACAAAGTATCCAAATTGTCATAGTTGGTTAACAAGTAAAGAAACCTGCAGAGGCCGGGTGCGGTGGCTCATGCCTGAAATCCCAGCACTTTGGGAGGCTGAGGTTGGTGGATCACCTGAGGTCAGGAGTTTGAGACCAATCTGGCCAACATGGCAAAACCCTGTCTCTACCAAAAAAGACAAAAATTAGCCAGGTGTGGTGGTGCACACCTGTAGTCCCAGCTACTTGGGAGGCTGAAGCATGAGAATCACTTGAACCCGGGAGGCAGAGGTTTCAGAGAGCTGAGATCATGCCACTGCATTCCAGCCTGGGCAACAGAGGGAGACTCCATCAAAAAAAAAAAGGAAAGAATGAAGGAAAAAGAAAAAGAAACCTGCAGCAGAGCCACAATTCTCACTTGTGGGGAGATTGAATATAAAAATTTGCACTGAGAGATTGAAAATAAAATTGTGCACTTGGGCCCTTGTTTATGTGTTATAGCCTGTCCTCCATCACCCTGCGGAGTCTTCTCTTGTCTCCTACACGGATAAACGAGATAAAACATTAATTCTGTTTGGCTGACACTCAGGACACTTCCTGAACTTGGACCACCCTGGAGAGATCCAGAGTGAGATCTCTTTCTGAGGCAAGGGAAGTTTTCCCACAAAGCAGGATGGAGTCCAGGCTGTAATCCTTAAGGAATGAGGTGCTTGGGTCAGGTGCAGTGGCTCATGACTGTAATCCCAGCACTTTGGGAGGCCTAGGTGGGCGGATCACCTGAGGTCAGGAGTTCAACATCAGTCTGGCCAACATGGTGAAATCCCCTCTCTACTAAAAATATAAAAATTAGCTGGGTGTGGTGGCAGGCGCCTGTAATCCCAGCTACTTGGGAGGCTGAGGCAGGAGAATCACTTGAACCCAGGAGGCGGAGGTTGCAGTGAGCGGAGATCGCACCATTGCACTCCAGCCTGGGCGACAAGAGCGAAACTCAGTCAAAAAAAAAAAAAAAGTGATGCTTGGAGTGTGGGTGTGCTAGTTAGAAGGCAGCAAGGTCTTCCAAAGTGTCCTCACAGCATCCTCAGATCTTAGGTGTCTTCTCATGTTAACATTCAAAAGAAAAGGTCTGCTCTCTCTTTTCATAATTCCCTACGTGAGTGCCTTAAATCCCTGGTAAATAAATTTGTATAACTTGTATAGCTTGCGTAAATCTGGCATGTTTGTTTCTAGAAGGCAGGAAGAAAGGGATGGGGTGGCTATATTTCCCATCATCCTAGAGTAGGGAAGGGGAGTTAGAGCAGAAAGGGGTACATGTCCTTAGAGGAATGATGAAATTGTTTATGGCAAATAGGCTTTCAGAACTTGGAGAATATTGAAAGATTCATAAATGTGTGGGAGTGTCCTAGAGAGGCCACAGACAAGCATGGCAATAAAACCAAACCTTCTGGTTCCTCCATGTGTTTAGCAAATGTGAAGAGGGGCTATAGTTCAGCCCTGAGTTATAAGTATTAGAGAGTATGAAGGAGATCAGAGCAAAAAGACAAAACCAAACCAAACAAAACATGAAATTATTTCAAACAAGTAATTTTGGCTGAAATGGATAATACAAATATGTCAGAAGAAAAATAAAATATTGATTTATAATCCTCTTGATAACATGGATGATGTTGTTTTATATTGTCCTCTTCCAATTAGCAGATGCCTTCAGAACACAAGGAAAAAGGAAAATTCAGATAATTGTCTGATTTTGCCTGAGGTTTACTAGAATCCTAGTTAAATTGTAATTTGTAAGGCAAGCAATGCCAGTTTCCTGCACCCATAAAGACAAACTTAGCACACTCTAGTTTAATTGCCCCTACTTCTGATGATTCTCTCTAACCTTTAAATGCAGTGTAGATTTTTTCTCAGATTAAGAAAAATTGTATAACCTGGTGTATGAAAGAAGAAAAAACCCTCCCCCACTATGCCCCCTTCAACAAAGCACCTTCTACTGCTCTTTTAAAAATAGCTTTAAATTAGCAAACGGCAAAACGTGTCACTGAAGTTTAAACTACAATTTTAAAAAGCAGACCTAAGAATGCTCATATTTAATTATGGCTGCACGTAATTAAGTGTGGCAATCTGGTGATAAAACCTTTAAGTAATGACTCATAAAGAGATAAAAATGGAGCATGTGTTTAATCAGTTCACAGCCTTCCTCAGAAGCTGGCATCGCTCAGGTGCTAATGAGACACCTGTTGCTGGGGACACCAGAGACAGCATGCAAATCAGTCAGGGGACAGAGAAGAGGAGCACTCACTGTCACTGAAGGCACACGGCTTTGCCAAGATGAATGTCAGGAGGCTTAAGCTCTGATAAGATATTTAAATAAAAGCATCCAAGCAATTCAGTACTTTTTTAAGTAGGGAAAAAAGAGGGACAGAAGGGAAAAAAAGAAACAAATTTCTTCTATTTAACTTATAAATTGTGGAAAATTGTTTAAATTTTTAGGTCATAATGTATTCAAGTTTTTAATTGGTAATATTTGCAAAATTTCTTTTCTTCTTTTTTCCAGCAATTGTGTGTGTGTGTGCATTCAAAAATGTTATTTATACTGTGTATTTGGGTTTTCATTCCTTTCTGCAATGTTAAGGGATTATTTTCTCTATTCTCCAAAATTGAAGTGAATTATTTCTATGACAATAGAAAAAGAAACTTACCTTTTAGTCTCTATACGTGGGTTATACTCTTTTTTCTGGCTAGGTTGTGTGTCACATCAGATGTTAAGAGATATGACTATGTACATTTCTTCCATCTCAGAAAGGAGAAATGGGGTGTTAATATCTGGTTCCCTATAGAACCTTAACAATGTATTAGAATTTGACAAACCTAATGGCCCAATGATGAGAAATGAAGATGAGACTCTTACTCCTGAAAGGAGAAGTGTATGCTTGCTAACACTTCCTTCCCTAGAGAGCTTTAGATTTGTCACAGAACAACCTTCTTCACTCTTAGAATTATTCTCCATGGCCTATTCAACCCTTGGCTATAAGCAGAAACCACCACCAAGGAGCTATTTGGCACTGAGTTTAAATAAACACACGCTATATTAAAACAGACTTTAACAACATCTCAGAAGGATGCTTTGCTATTTCTGGAAATGGAAATTGCTCATGAGTTTCATGATGTATCAGAAGTTTTGGAAGTTTGAAGTTAAAGTGCAATATGTAGACCTTTATTAAACATATGCAGCGAATAAAACTAAACCAAAAGCAAAAGAGCAATGTATAATCCTTTTTGCGGCACGACAAGTACAGTAAAATATTTGGAAAGAAGAAGACTGATTGAAAGTTTACACTGGCTAAATGTGAATCAGAGAAGTCACAATACTGATGATAATGGTTCCACACTGAGCAATTTTCTTGCAAATTTGGATAGCACAAACTAGCATGTGTCATACCTCAGCAAGAGGAACTCAAGCAACTTCAACAAAGAATGCTTGTTCTAAACACAGTGCTTTTGTAGCCAAGATAAATGGGACAGGTCTCAAATGCCAAATTTGATACCCCCAAACTCCCAAGCCCTCAAAAAGCCAGGAGAGATTATTCGGGCAAGAAAGTGAATTATTATTTTATAGATGATATGATTAATAAATCTATCAGACAATTATTCAACCTTCCATTTAATTTTGACTTTCTAGGTGTGCATGGCTTTATGAAAATATTTCAAATGTCTACATTTTTAAAAAGCAAATGAATGAAGTTCTTATTGCCTGTGTAAATTTTGTAAAAGTCTTGACTTCAGAAAATATTAACTTTATATACTAAATAACTTACTTTCATACTCCCATATATGAAATGGTTTAGGTTTACATAAAATTTGTATAAAATTTTGTAAAAATTCACAATGAACTGTTTACATATAAGTCTTCAGGGAAACACTATGTAATGTAACATCAACTTGAAGAGAAATCTAAATGTGATACACGCACGTTGTATATATCTCATAGTTTTGTATTTATTTTATATTTTTGCATCAATTGTATTTTATGCTAATACATTTTATTTCTACTAGAGAATTGTATGGATGGCATTTAGCAACTGACTCCTTTTGGCCAATGATACATCACCAGGAATGTCAGGCGACTATCAGGTGATGGGCAGGCAGTTGTTAACTGACTCTCTAAAATAATAATTGGTCACAGCCAGTGCCAGGGAAAGGCTGTCTCCCAATAGATAGTAAAAACCTGAAACTGGGGATCAGCAGCTTTGCAATAAAATATCAGGAGTTTGATGAGTGGGCCCAAGCATGTGCATTAAGAGGCAAAATGGTGGAGTTTAACTGGTGCATGACTTTCTAAAGACATCTGGCTGGTAAGGAAACAACGCCTCAAGTGAGCATGCGTACAACTCCAGGAAACACACTGCGCATGCTCCCTTCCCTTGCTCTAGCAGGTTACTGCCCATGAGGACAGCCCACCCCAATAGAAAAACAGAGGAGAAGGGATGCAAGACCCTGGAAGTATGACAACGTATAAAACCCTAAGGCAGGCCGGGCACGGTGGCTCACGCCTGTAATCCCAGCACTTTGGGAGGCCAAGGTGGGCGGATCACGAGGTCAGGAGATCAAGACCATCCTGGCTCACACGGTGAAACCCTGTCTCTACCAAAAATACAAAAAAATTAGCCGGGCGTGGTGGCGGGCGCATGTAGTCCCAGCTACTTGGGAGGCTGAGGCAAGAGAATGGCGTGAAACCGGGAGGCGGTGCTTGCAGTGAGCCGATATCGCGCCGTTGCACTCCAGCCTGGGCAACAGAGCGAGACTCTATCTCAAAAAAAAGAAAAAAAAAAAAAAAAACCTAAGTCAAAGGTAAAACGGGGCATTTGACTCTCTAAAGTCTCCTGCTTGGCCCTCTTCCAAGTGTACTTTATTTCCTTTTGTTCCTGCTCTAAACTTTTTCATAAACGTTCACTCCTGCTCTAAAACTTGCCTCAGTCTCTTTCTGCCTTATGACTCTTAAATTCTTTCTTATCAAGAGGCAAGAATTGAGGTTGCTGTAGACCCATACAGATGTGCTGCCAGTAACATTAACAGACCTTTACAGAAAAGCGTGGGGAGGAGAATGAAAAAAAAAAAAAATACGGAGAGTAGAGGGAAGAAAAAGAGGGTGGATTACCTGGTGCATTTGTTTCTAAGCAAATCTGCTGATTTTCAAGAGGTTTGCTCTAGATTTCAAGTCTGAAATTTTATAGAATTGAGAAGTCTGGAATTAAGAAAAACGGTATAATCAATGTGATTTTGAAAGGATATGCATTTTGGGGCATGTCTGTCAAGCCTGAATCATTTCACCAGGGGATTTTTCAGCAGGCAGCCTTGCCTTTCTTTATTGCTAAAAGTCTGTCTACACTGGTGGGAAGCAGCAGCCAAGACATGCCAGTTCTACTTACTTCAAGTACTGTTAGAGGGATTGCCACCTTTTCCTGTGAAGGCATCTGTGGAAAGAGGGATCTCTTGAAGACAAAATTCTCTTCTTGGGTTATGTTAGAAGCATAGGAGGGTGGTTTAAAGGATTGCTTTTACTGTGTTTCTTTTTTCACTGCATCTCAGAGTTTTGCATTGTAAATTATGATTTGTACTTTCTCAAAGACCAGTTGCATAATCTCTCACTTTCTTTTTCTAGTTGCAGATTCTTGCTCAGGCACTCTCTTCATAGGTAAAGTTTACATTTTAGTGGTCTATTGGCCACACTTAAAAAAATAAGAGTTTGTTCTTTCTCATTAAGAAGTATACACCTTTACTTTAGTATTTTATATTTCTTACATTAGTTATACAGTATTTTGTTTTGTACTTTATTTCATAATGGTTGACATAAATGAGTTTCTGAAAATAACAGAACTGTTGAGCTTCTAAACATAACATATTGTGGTTTCTATTGGATATATTTGTGATAGATTTTCTCCTTTTGCTTTCCTTCTCATGAAAATTAATTTTCCTTTTTTAATCCCGAATCACTCACAGTTTATATGGATACAATGAAAATTTTGTTTGTCTTTTTGAAAGTAAGACATTAAAAAAATCATAACCCCACTTACCAAATATGATTATACTGAAAAACCACAACAAATATCTAAAACATCTATTTTTAAAATTTTGAAGAAAATTTCAAATTTCACCTCTAATACATTTCTGTGAAACAAAAATGGCATGTATTGGTATCTCTAATTATTTTATTTTTTAAAATAAGTAATTACTTTATAAGTGGGAGTTCTAACCAATCAATTCTCAATTAATTAATCTAATCTATTATGTTTGGACTTGATATGGTTTCACTCTGTGGTCCCATCCCAATGTCATCTCAAATTGTAATCCCTGAAATCTCCACAAGTCAATGGAGGGACCCAGTGGGAAGTGGTTGGATCATAGGGGGTGATTTCCCCCATGCTGTTCTCATGATAGTGAGTGAGTTGTCAGGAGATCTGATGGTTTTATAAGGCAGTTTTCCCTGCTCTTACATGCTCTTCTGTCTCCTGCTGCCATTTGAAGGAGGTACTTGCTTTTCCTTTGCCTTCTGCCATGATCATATAAGTTTCCTGAGGCCTCCCCAGCCATGTGGAACTGTGAGTCAATTAAGCCTCTTTCTCTTATAAATTACCAGTCTCAGGTATTTCTTATAGCAGTGTTAGAATAGACTAATACAGGTCTGTGCACTAAACTGTTTATAATTCTTAATTCAACTATTTTAATCAATGCTTAAATAATTGTAAAAAAAAAAAAGAAAAAACCTTTTATTGGAACCTATAGTTATTATTTGCGTGTCACCCATAAATAGCTGATGCCTACTCAGATTTCAGAATTACTTATGCATTTTGGGGGCAATAGGGGATGGAAGTGGGTACACCCTTATTCTTATTAGTGTATTTGAATCCCTCTCTCTTTTTTTTTGTCTTTAAGACAAAAATGTAAATATTGCCATTGACCAAGGATGTGATTAAGAATATACTTCCTGTATTTTATGTAATTCTTTCAGAATTCATACCACTTTTATTCATGCTCTCTCTTTGAATAACCCTTGCCTTTATTAGTAGTAGACTATAAGGGAAAATCATTGTTTAGTATTATATCTCTGATATAATTAAGTTCCTACTTTTCAAGAATACTGTTTCATAAAATTAAGTGCTTAATCAACTAGTGTTTTGACTACTTTAGATTTAAGCAGCAAACTGAAGAATTGATTTAGAATTTCATTTGGCTCATGAATGGGTTTTCTTTCTCTCATCACTAAAAAATAGTCACTCCTTGGCAATCATTACCCAAGCTCAGTGACCAGACTTTCATTCCTGGTCACCCTACCAGGTAGTTAGATTTGTTTGTTCAGGCATATGATGCACCACATTGATGCACTGCCTGTTGTTTAGACCAAAGATAGTCAATGCTTTCTACTCTTTTCAAGCCTCATTAGATGCTTGTAATCCTAGTTAGTCAACTAAAAGACAGTCTTCTTTTCTTTAATTAATAACTATAACAGTCTGCATCCCAATCTTTAAATTCTATAAATATTTAAGATGTATAATAAATAAGGATGTATGTAAGAATCTTCTCAAATATATATGTAATTATTGCATAGATTTATTAGAATTTCAAAACTGAATGTGAACTAATTCATTTTTGCTAATGATATAAACTGTATGGATTTTCCAGTGACAGACTGCTCACGGATCCAGACAGAAGCAGAATCATTTCTGTGTAATTCTAGACAGTGATTTTCAACAACAAAGCTTTGTTATCTTAATTTACATGTGGGGTTGGGAGAGGGATGTGGAACTGTCTGTTTGTGTTTTGTGGGCGTGGCTTTGTGTGAAATGCAGAGCAAAATGAGAGGATGAATAAAATTACTACAGGGCCAGGCTTTGTGGCTCATGCGTTTAATCCCGCACTTCGGGAGTCCAAGGAGGGTGGATTGCTTGAGCTCAGGAGTTCCAGACCAGTTTGGGCAACATGGCTAAACCCCATCTCTAGAAAATACACACAAATTAGTGGGGTGTGGTGGCATGTGCCTGTAGTCCCCGCTACTTGGGGGGCTGAGATAAGAGGATCTTTTGATCCTAGGAGCCAGAGGTTGCAATGAGACAAGATGGCACCGCTGCACTCAGCCTGCGCGACAGAGCAAGACCCTGTGTCAAAACAAACAAACAAAAATTACTACAGGATTAAACATTTATAAGGATTCTTGTGAAGATATTATGTTATGGCATTATTACAATTATTTTCATACTCTTTCAAAACAATTTTAGAAAGTGGCAGATTGAACATTTGTTCTCAGTGAGTATCACTGTATCTAGTACCATGGATACATACAACGTGCAAAATAAATTATCATTTAATAAATTAATGAGAAGAGGAAGAGAAAGGGATTTCTGGCTGAGAAGACAACAATAAGGTGAGGAAGAGTTTGTGTGTTGGGGAATAGTGAATAATACCATATGATTGATCCATAAAGAAAGGGAGATGAGCTGGAATAGCAGGTAAGTTTGGTCTAGATCCCTGTGCATCTTCCATTTCCATGCTAAGCTGTTGCATCTTGTTTCTGTTCTCACACATAGAGCTATTCATTATCACTGAGAAAGATCATGACTTCTCTCAGGTTTTAGAAAAAAAAAAAAAGGCAATGTTTGTACAGTAAAAGAGAGTTTGAAATGATAAGAGGCAAAATCTTTAACTATACATGTGATGGTTTTTCTGCTTTATTTAGTCTATTTCCTGCCACATTTCTTCCTTTATTTTCTTTCCTTTTACCATCTTTCCTCCAAATAAGTAAAAAAAAAACATTACTTCTATTTGGCTCCCGCATTTAAGCAGCTGAATCTTTCTACAAAACTGTGTCTTAAGAAAAACTGAAAAAGAGAGGAGAGGAGAAAAGGAGAGGAAGGAAGAAGGGGGAAAGGAGGGGAGGGAAAGAGAGGAGAGAATTTTGATCAAATCCATCCCTCCAGCACATTTTTTTTTTTTTTTTTTGAGACTGAGTCTCGCTCTTTCTCCCAAGCTGGACTGCAGTGGGGCGATCTCGGCTCACTGCAAGCTCCGCCTCCCGGGTTCACGCCATTCTCCTGCCTTAGCCTCCCCAGTAGCTGGGACTACAGGCGCCCGCCACCACGCCCGGCTAAGTTTTTGTATTTTTAGTAGAAACAGGATTTCACTGTGTGTTAGCCAGGATGGTCTCCATCTCCTGACCTCGTGATCCGCCCACCTTGGCCTCCCAAAGTGCTGGGATTGCAGAAATGAGCCACCGCGCCCGGCCCACATTTCTTTTATATTTCCTTCTCTTCTTTCCATTGCTCTCACTCTCTTCCTTCCACCAGGCCCTCTTGTTCTTCATCACATTCTCCCCAGTTTGACCCTCCAACTTTGGCTGAGAAACTTTTGGTTCTTCCTTCTGCTCTCTCCTGCTTAAGCTGATTTAACACACATCTTGCTAAGCCCTTCAACTCCCCCTCTACTGACTGCTCCTTCTTCTGCCCATTCTCCATTTCTCCATCATAAAAGCCCAGAAACTTCTCTGGTAAAGATCAAACAATCCTTAAAGGCTGAGAAAAATGAGGAGAGAGTATATTCTCCAGCTACAGGCTTTGGAGGAGGAGAACCGAGAACATTTATACATAAATTAGGTTTGATGTGATGGTGGTTTAGTTTTAAAAAAGTCTTTTATTTCCCCCCAAGACTTATTTATGCCTTTATGGTCCTTCTTCTTCTGCTTAAAATAACACCATTCTGGCAAAATACTGATATTTGCCTTTTGCCAAGACATGAAAGGGTTAGGATACAATTAAGTGAAAAAAGAAAAAAAGACCCTGAGTTACAGAACTGTTTGTGTTGTTGCTCAGTTTGTTATGTTTAATGCGTGGAGGGATTTTTGGTGGCTATTTATGAAAACAGAATTATTCCAAATGGAGTTAATATGAACATCCGTATCCATGATTTTGATATTCCTCATAAGCTGAGAAAAGTTGGGCCTTATGAGTAACTGAATGAGCCTCTAGAGACGTATGTAGACGATGGCTTTATAAAGTGGTTTGGATGATGACTCGGGTGGAATGCTGCCTCCAATTTCAGGCCCATTATGGCTCAGGGGCAATGATAATGTGCACATAAAAGCTACAGATTGTTCCAGAATGGGTACTATAAAGACAGCCTTTTCCTAATCATGTCACCATTTGTGTCTGATGGCTTGGATTACAGCCTGGATGTTCAAAGGCAAGACTATAAATGGAAAATATTGAAAAGTATGTCATCATAAGCCAGAGTGATCTTTAAAAAATGGTAATCAAATCACCCCAATTCCCAACATAAAAACCCTCAATAGCTTCCAGGGCATTTAAGAAAACATCCTTCAACCTGGATTTAAAAATCCTGTGCGACTTGGCTCTTCTCTGCCTCTTCAGGGCCATCTCCTCCAGGTCTCACCCTTCACATACCAGATCCTCACAGCCTTTTATCTGGTGCTAATAGTTGCCAAGTTCATTCCTGCTTTATGACCCTGCATTGCATTCCCTCTGTCTGAAATGTTTTCTCAAATAATCTTCCCAAGAGGATTGGATTGGTTTTCTCATTAGGGTCTTAGGTATTTGTTATCATCTGCTTAACACATCCTCAAGCAATTTCTTATTTGTCGATCTCTCTGCTCCCCTCCCAACCTCCCCCACACACTCCCTCATCCATGAATCTACCTTTTCTCCCATCTCTGAATCTATCTTAGTCATGATCAAAAAATAAAAACAGTCTTCTGGGAATACATGCCCTTTTCTTCATTTTTGCATGAGTCTGGGAGTATAAAACTGATCAAACAAGACATTTTAATATTTTGTAATGTGCTTTAAATTCTAAGTAGGACTTCTGAGCAATGTAGTTTTATCTTGTTCTCCCTAGAATAGTGCAACAAAGCTGTGCCAACAAATGAATTCCCTGGACTGACCCTGACATTTCTTCCTAAACCTCTGTTTTCTCAGGATGTCAATTGCACACTGCACAGATGCCATGACCTAAGATAGCCAGAGTGAGGGCCTGCACCTGCCCCGGGTCCTCTGTCCGGAAATGGTTTAATCCTTACCTGCTCCTGCAGTTGTTTTGTTTTCTTCCAATCTCTGTGATAAGTACAGCCGCTTGTCCCCGCCCCCACCAACCACTGAGGGAACATCTAACTATTAGTCTAAAAGAAGATGCTAAGGAAATTAGCATCTGGTTTCATTTTAAATCTTTCTTTATCTGAATTTGCAGGGAAGACATGCTTATGGCCAGAGTGAAAGCACAGTAAGAATCAAACTCAGGATAAAAATAATAAATACATAAAACAGGTTTGGTATTACGGTGGTTTAGTTAAAAAAAAAAACTTTTATTTTCCCCAAGACCCAGTTTGATATTATGGCTTGTTTTCATTTACCTCCATTAATAAATGTGTTCTATATTATAAAATAAATTTGGTAGAGAATGGAATATCCATGAACACACACGGATATGCATATGAAATTTTAATTGGCCCGGCGCAGTGGCTCACACCTGTAATCCCAGCACTTTGGGAGGCCAAGGTGGGTGGATCACCTGAGGTTGGGAGTTCAAGACCAGCCTCACCAACATGGAGGGACCCTGTCTCTACTAAAAATATAAAATTAGCCTGGTGTGGTGGTACATGCCAGCTACTCAGGAGGCTGAGGCAGGAGAATCCCAGCTACTTGGGAGGCTGAGGCAGGAGAATTACTTGAATCCAGGAGGTGGAAGCTGCACTGAGCCAGGATCATGCCACTGCACTCCAGCCTGGGCAACAAGAGTGAAACTCCATCTCAAAAAAAAGAGAAAAAGAAAAGAAATTTTAATTGATAGGGTCACAGCCAGAAAAAGAAAAGGAAGAAGAGCATTTATAATTTTTTTCCCTCAACCATCCATTCTAGCATCTTGGTATTTTCTTTTTTTTTCCTGCCAGTGTTTTTTAACTCAGCAACTTAAAAAAGTAATTAATGGCATATTAAAAATACCTTTTAGCATTTTTCTATTTAATATTCAGGATTTTTATCTTCTCATTTATTGTAATAATTTTAATGACTATTATTTTTAAATACTTCAGTATTTCTTCAAGTAGGATACATGTTCTCAATTACTCCTCAATTAATATTACCATTTTATTTCCAAATAGCTTTTAACTTTTCATTGGTCAGCTTATTTTCTAAACATCATGATTATATATTTAATTTAAATGTATAGAAAATATTAGCCCTAAGAGGAAAAATTCATATATAGACCTGAAGGTATTTTATTTGAGATTCTAGGAATAAAAATGGTCATTGAAACTTGAGTAGTGATCATTTTGCTATCAAATCTTATAAAGTTGCTCTGATATCAAAATGCCATAATACAGCAGTATATATACAGAGAGGAAAGAAATTTTTCTAAGAAAAATCAGTACTCCCACTCTCAGAAATATAAAAAGATTCACTTTACAAGTCTCTTCTTATGTTTAAGAGATCTTGAGAAAGCTGATAAATCATATACTCAAACAAATAACCTTCCTTTGTTAAGGAAGGTTACATGATCTTGGGTCAAATTATTGTTAGTGCTGACCTAACCCCAAGACAAAAAGAATTAAACTGTGGGTCACTTTCAGCCTATGATGTTTTTATTTTCTTAATTGAATTCATTGTGAACATTTCATGTGAGTTTTAGTGAAAAAAAAATCTGGAGTTTCAGCATTTCTAGAAATACTACATTCTGAAGCAATATTGCATTTGTGTTTTTCCTTTGTAACAAACTGCTGGGGCTGAGTGGAGGCTGCCTCTTAGAAGACCTGTTTGCCCTAATCCTTACCCTCCACATATCTCCTGTATGCACTTTATTGAGTTAGAGACCTTTGATAATCTCCACAGTCCCAATTTTAGAAAGGAGAAAACTGAGGCACAGAGAAAGTAATGAGTTGACTAGATCAAATGGTTAGTCATTGGCAGAGCCGAGGCAGATTCCAAATTCAAACACTGTCTAATTTAAATGTTATTTAGAACTTTAGTACTCATGCATAAAATTTATTATTTCAAGTGAGTGTCTGTTGAGCATGTACTATGTGTCAGGACCTGTTTTAGGGGGTAGAGGGACAATGATCAACAAGACAGGAGTCATTGGTCTTCTGGAGTTTATGTTATAGGGTCTCGTGGATGGACATCAAAAAGGAAATCAATGAACAAATAATAATTCCTGAAGAGGGTAAGCCAGAATTCCAGAGAGGTGAGGAATCAACACCTCCCTCATCCCAGGAAAGTCTAGCCAACTGTTATGGAAGAGGAGGGCAGAACACGTCAAGGAAGCAATGCTGAGAGTAACTGAGGGTGCTGATAGAGGAGGGTGGTGTTTTGAGATGAAAGATCTTTTTTCTTTCTCATTTCCTTCCTTTCTTTCTCATTTCCTTCCTTCCTTTCTTTCCTTCTTTCTTCCTTTCCTTTCCTTCCTTTCTTTCTTTCCTTCCTTTCTTTCTTTCCTTCCTTTCTTTCTTTTCTTTCTTTCTTTCTTCCTTCCTTCCTTCCTTCCTTCCGTCTTTCCTTTCTTTCTTTTTCTCCATTGGTTCAAAGAAAAGAAGTGATTAAGTGTCAAAGAGTAAGGAAGCTAAGATGAAGATTCCTAGAAGCCTTTTTGGTAAGACAAGTTTGCTAGCTCCTTTGCTTACTTTGCTGCTCTGATTGGTCGTGGTTAATATAATTGTGCGTTTCCTTTTCAATGTACCATCTTGAAGAACAAGGGTTCTTTCAGAGGGTCACCAATCACAGCATGTTTTTAGTAATGATATTTCAACATTCCAATGTTGCTATTAGTGATGTTTTAGCAATCGAATGAAATGATCAATAAAACAGTGTTCTGCAGCCAAACAAAGTGGTCGGATGAAATGAGAACAAATGGCGCAGTTGGAGAAAAAGGCTATCAAAACTAATATATGATGTTAGAAACAAAGGCCGTTGTTCCCTTTACCTTGGGAATATGTAGTGACTGGAACGGAATATACAGGTGCTTTCGAGTGCAGGTAATATTTTGTTTTTTGACATGGCTGCTACTTGCAGAGATGTGTTATATTTCTAAATAATCCTTGAAGCTATACATGTAAGATATTGGCATGTTTTTTAATGTAAATTCTTCTTCAGTTAAAAAGTTTAAACAAAAAATAAAAACTGGCAAGTAATACAGACATTATTGAAATGAAAAAAAATCAGGGGAAAAAAGGCTTTTCAATACTTTAAGGAGGTCCCCAAAATGAGTTGACTTTACATAAATGGAGACATAGAGAAAGGGTATCCAATGGGAAAGAACAAGGTGACCACAGAGGAAAACTAAGGAACAAATGCCAGGATCAAGAAAGACCCAGGGTAAGTTTGTCAGGAGATCTGCTCAACTTGGGACTCTCTAGCCCAGAGCCTGCAAAAATCTTCACTTGGGTTTCACTTGGCAGTCAAAGCCCCAAATCTCAGTGATAGCTGACTTTTAATTTTGCTTGTTGTTTTATTCACTTATATACCCATCCCCTAGAACAGTGGTTCTTAAACTTGAGCATGCCTCAGAATCACCAGGAGGGCTTGTCAAACCATAGATTCCTGGGCTCTGCACAGAGTTTCTTATTTAGTAGGCCTGGGTTGGCGGTCTGAGAATTTCCATTTCCAACAGATTTCCAAGGTGGTGTTGATACTGTGTATCTAGAAACCTTTGAGAGCCATTGCCTAGAAGAATATTATTTTCCC
Source organism: Homo sapiens (assembly GCF_000001405.40). NCBI lineage: Eukaryota > Metazoa > Chordata > Mammalia > Primates > Hominidae > Homo > Homo sapiens. The sequence goes on from NC_000014.9 coordinate 87,165,414, forward strand.
TCTCTTCCTTGATCTAGCTCTACCTTACCTTTATGACTCAAAAGAAAATCAATAAATTTCCAGATGACCGGAACTTAAAGATTGGTTAATCTCACCCCCATCAAGTCTTCATCACCTAGACTACAATGACACAGTTCCTTTCTCCTTTTTTCTGTTTATTTAATTTTTGTTAATCCCTCAAGACCTATTTCCAATTGCATAAGGCTTCTACCATTGGAGCAGACTTTAGTGATTCCTTCCTCTGAATGTATGCAGCACATATCATAGATGCACAGACAACAATGAACACATGGCCTTTGTAGAATTTTGTCTGCATATCCTTCCTGCTACCAATTATGTTGTCTATATACCAATCACACAAACACTCCCCAACACACACATACACACACATACACACACACACGCACGTGCACATGCAGACGCAAGTTTTTCTTGATCTTTACTTGTATTTCTATTGGGTGCCAGTCACATGGTTAGTCACATAGCTTATGACACTTTAATTTTTTGCAATGGCCTTTGACAACACTTTAACTTTACATTTTCCCCAGTGCTGGGCAGACTGACTTTTTTCTAGTAGGTGTTAGCTACCAGAGGGCAGAGGCTGTTTGGTGTTTATGTTGAATCCCCAGAACCTAGCAGAGTGTCTGGCACAGGTTTTATGCTTGAAAGATACTTATTGAATGAATGATGCAGTCAATTTTTGCCACAGAAGTACTGAATGTAAAATATACCTCTAAACATAAAATTAGTATAGGTGATATTGGAGTTCAGTGCTAATTTAAACAAGAATTTAAATTGCTTTTCTATTTAAGTCAAATCATATAATGCCATTGAGAGTACACCTACAGCTCAGCCAAGCATCATGATTTCAATTTTCCAAAATGCAACTACCACTTTAATGTTAAGGACCAGATTCAATCCTTATGTAAGCTTCTGGTTTAAGTCATACAATTCTCCCACCATCCATCCTCCCCCAGTCATTTCATCTTTTAGAATTGTATTTTTGAGTGCTTTACAGGAGAAAGAAAAGTCAAAAGTAACTCTTTTGCATTGGTGCATAAATGTTTCACTTTTATGGATGTGGCAGCAGCTTGTTGACAGTATGAAAATAGAACTAGTAAGAGCAGAGCTTCCAGATGCCACATATGATAACTTAATACATGAGACAACTAAGTAGATTTTATTTTAGATTGTGTTCTGCTATTCTTTGTTTTCTCTCTTCATTATCTGTAACACCTACTCCATGATTCAATGCTAATATAAGATTCAGTAGTTTAAATATCAAGCAACTATTAGATATCAGCATTAATTCATTTGATTCACAACTATTTTTTGAATGTCTAATATGTACCAGGCACCATTCTATGTGTTGGAGATACAGTATTGAAAAAGATAGACAAAATCCTCTCATGGTGAAATTTATATTCTAGCAAAGGAATATACAAACAATTGAATACACCTACACATAAATACATACATAAATAAATAACTTCAGGTCATGACATATGTTATAGGGGAAAAAGGATCAGTGGCAGGGAAGGTTGAGATGAACTACTCTAGGTTATGTGGACAAGGATAGCCTCTCTGTAAAGGTATAATAACATTTTATCTGAGAAGTAAGTGTTGAGAAAACTCCACCATGTGAAATATATGCAAAGGAAAAGAGCAAACATGGAATCACCCATGAAGACATCATGAGAGATTACAGGGTGCTTTACTCTAATGCTACTGTTGAATTTCTAAAAACTTTGCTTTATCACAAATAAAGATAAAAAATAATTACTTAGGCCAGGCGCGGTGGCTCACACCTGTAATCCCAGCACTTTGGGAGGCCAAGGTGGGCGGATCACAAGGTCAGGAGATCGAGACCATCCTGGCTAACACAGTGAAACCCCGTCTCTACTAAAAATACAAAAAATTAGCCTGGTGTAGTGGCGGGTGCCTGTAGTCCCAGCTACTTGGGAGGCTGAGGCAGGAGAATGGCGTGAACCCAGGAGGCAGAGCTTGCAGTGAGCCGAGATCGCAACACTGCACTCCAGCCTGGGCAACAGCAAGACTCCGTCTCAAAAAAAAAAAAAAAGAAAAATTACTTAATGGAGAAGGAAGTGAGGGCCTAAAACAATTTAGACCTATAGTAACAGAGTTTTTTTTTAATAGATTTCCAATAATGAAGGTGTTTCTTAAACACTCACTAGGGATGGCATTCAAAATAATTAACAGCCAACCAGAATGGACACGGGCAGGGATGCTGCCTGGAAGTTAGCTTTAGTTGTATTGCTATAAACATAATATCAATAAGTAAATATAGCACTATCTGGAAATAGCTCTGTAAATGAATAACAGCCTTTTGTATTCTATCAGAATCAGAGTTACTACCATCAGCCCCATAATTTTCATAGCTCTTTGTTACACATATTGTTCACTGCCATAAAGCATAAAGCCATCTAAGAGAAAACCCAATTCAAAGGTTGCCCAATTTCCTATACACAGTACTAGGTCCCCAACTCAATCATAGTTCCAGATGGAAATTTCAATACTAGCTTGGATATTGCAAATTGTATTTTCTAAGTAATCAATTACATTGTTGCCGTTTGCTATGGTGTGAATGTCTTCCCCAAATGCATATGTTGGAAACTAAATTCCCAATGCAACAGTGTTGGGAGGTGAGGTCTATTAACAGGTGACTGGGTCATGAGCACAGAGCTTATGAATGGATTAATGTCATTATTGAAGGAGTGAGTTTTTATTATCATAGAGTGAATTACTATAAAAGGCAATCTGCCCCTCATGCTTTCTGTCTGTCTTCTGTCCTTCTGCCATGAGATGACACTCACCAGATGCCAGCAACATGCTCTCAAAATTCCCAGCCTTAAGAAGCTTGAGCCAAATAATCCTCTTTATGAATTACCCAGTTTTTGGTATTCTGTTATAGAAACTGAAACGAACTAAGACACTGTATTAGTCAGTTTTCATGCTGCTATAAAGAAATACCTGAGACTAGTTAATTTATTTTTAAAAAAAGATTTAATTGACTCACAGTTACACGTGGCTGGGGAGGCCTCAGGAAACTTACAATCATGATGGAAGGTGAAGAGGAAGCAGGCACTCTGTACACAAGGCTGCAGGAGATTGAGAGAGAGAGGGTTGGGGAGAGAAAAGGAGGAACTGCCAAATATCTCATGTCCTCATATTTTAAAAGTAATTATGCCTTCCAACAATCCCCCAAAGTCTTAACTCATTCCAGCATTAATTCAAAAGTTCAAGTCCTCCAACAGTCCCCCAAAGTCTTAACTCATTCCAAAATTAACTCCAAAGTCCAAGTCCAAAGTCTCATCTGAGACAAAGCAAGTCCTTTCTGCCCGTGAGCCTGTAAAATCAAAAACAAGTTAGTTATGTCAAAGACACAATGGGGGTACAGGCATTGGATAAGTTCTCCCATTTCAAATGGGAGAAATTTGCCAAAACATAGAAGATAACGGGCGCCATACAAGCCCAAAATCCAGCAAGGCAGTCATTAAATCTTAATGTTCCAAAATAATCTCCTTTGACTCCATATCTCACATCCAGGGCATGCTGATACAAAGGGTAGGCTCCCAAGGCCTTTGGCACCTTTGCCCTGTGGCTTTGCAGGGTTCAGTTTCCACAGCTGCTCTCTTGGCCTGGTGTTGAGTGCCTGTAGCTTTTCTAGGTGCATAGTGCAAGCTGTTGGTGCACCTACCATTCTGGGGACTGGAGGATGGTGGCCCTGTTCTCACAGCTCTTCTAGGTAGTACCCCAGTGGGGACTTCGTGTGGGGGCTCCAACCTCACATTTCCCTTCTGCACTGCCCTAGCAGAGGTTCCCCATGAGGGTTCTGCCACTACAGCAGACTTCTCTCTGGACATCCAGGCGTTTCCATACTCCCTCTGAAATCTAGGCAGAGGTTCCAAAAGCTCAACTCTTCTCTTCTGTGCACCTACAATCCCAACACCACATGGAAGCCACCAATGCTTGGGGCTTTCACCTCAGAAGCAATTGGCCCCTTTTAGCCATGGCTGGAGCTGGAAAGGCTGGGACAAAGGGCACCATGTCCTGAGGCTGCACAGAGCAGGGGTGCCTTGGGCCTGACCCATGAAACCATTTTTCCCTTTCAGGCCTCCTGCCCTATGATGGGAATCTCTCCCTTGAAGATCTCTAACATGCCCTGGAGAAATTTTCCCCATGTCTTGGCTATTAACATTCAGCTTCTCATTTCTTATGCAAATTTCCACAGCTGGCTTGAATTTCTCCCCAGAAAATGGGATTTTCTTTTCTATTGCATGGTCAGGTTGCAAATTTTTCAAACATTTTCACTCGGCTCCCGTTTTAAACATAAGTTTCAATTTCAGATCATCTCTCTCAAATTCAAAGTTCTACAGATCTCTAGGGCAGGGGCAAAATGCTGCCAGCCTCTTTGCTAAAGCATAGCAAGAGTGACTTTTGCTCCAGTTCCCAATAAGTTCCTAATCTTCATCTGAGACGACCTCAGCTTGGACTTTGTTGCCCATATCACTATCAGCATTTTGGTCAAAACAATTCAACAAGTCTCTAGGAAGTTCCAGACTTTTCCACATCTTCCTGTTTTCTTCTGAGCCCTTGAAATTGTTCCAACCTCTGCCCAGTTACTCAGTTCCAAAGTCACTTCCACATTTTCAGGTTATCTTTTTAGTGGTGCCCCACTCTGCTGCAGTACCAGTTTCCTGTACTAATCCGTTCTAACACTGCTATAAAGAAATTCCTGAGACTGGGTAATTTATAAGGGAAAGGGGTTTAATTGACTTACAGTTCCGAATGGCTGGGGAGGCCTCAGGAAACTTACAGTTATGGCAGACAATGAAAGGGAAGCAGGCAGCTCCTTCACGAAGTGGCAGGAGAGAGAGAACAAAGGAGGAACTTCCAAACACTTTTAAAACCATTAGATCTTGTGAGTACTCAGTCACTATTATGAGAACAGCATGGGGGAAACCAACCCCATGATCCAATTACCTCCCACCAAGTCCCTCCTTTGACGTGTAGGGATTAAAATTCCAGAGGAGATTTGGGTGGGGACACAAAGCCAAACCATTTTGTTATCACATCTCATTATTTATTCATTTTACAGATATTTATTGAATCCCTACTGGTGGTCAGACCCTGTTCTGGGAACCAGGGTTGCAATAGTGAACACAACATACTAAATGCCCTGTCCTTATAAAGCCTGTATGGAAACAAGAAAGAACAACAATGAACAAGATACACAGGTGAAATGCAAAGCATTTTCTGTCATGATAAGAAAAATAAGTAAATAAGAGAATGGGAGTATGAAATGTTGATGGGAGATTAAAATTTTAGATAGAATGGTCTTAAGAAAAGGGTGAATTTGCAATCAAGACCCACAAGGAGATGAAGAATCTAGTTGCATATGTGTTTGTAGAGGGAGCATTTTAAGCAGAAAAAAAAAATGACAAGTGACTGAGGTAGGAGTGAGACAAGCATATCAGCTTATAAGGGACACCAGTGAAGACCAAGCTGACTACACAGGGATGAGGCCAGTGGGAGACAACTCAATGAAGCAAAAGGAACAAATCATCTGTGACTTGGAGGACATAACAAATCCTTTAGCTTTTGCTCTGAGTAAAACAGGGAGCCAGTGAAAGTTCTGGGTAGAAGGGCAACGGTGTTATAACAGCATTATAACCTTGTAACAGCATTACCTTATAATGAGATGACTATGGATATAACTTTGTGCATTTTGTTATCATTAGTGTATTTCTATCTCCGCTTCCTTTCCTTTGAAAGAATCTTTGTCATCATAAAGAAATTTATATATCTTCTTGAATATTTCTACACTCCCAAAATATAATCCTTAGGGTAGCTGTGGTTTCCAAGTCTGTACTCTAAAAGATATCATTTGAATAAAGAATCTCATACATCCAATCCCATTTCCTTCTTGATTGAAGTATTTCTTATTCACCAGGCGTTATGCCAAGTATTTAAGGAAACACTTGATCCAGGCAAGAATTTTGAGTAAAACACAAATTCTAACTAAAAATTCTAATGCCTATTCTTTCTAGATTCCCTTCAAGATACAGAATTTAGAGAGATATAAAAATTCTAAAATTGAAAAAGGTACCCTTCAAATATCACAAACATTGATGAATTTTTTTCTGGAGTCAATGTAAATGAGATCTGTCTGAGGGAGGCATGAAAGATGGATTTGCTCTTCCTATAGGTTGGTCTCCTTGGAAGTAACCTGCAGAGACCTGACCAAGCAGCAACCCTATAAAAATAGAACAGAAATAATATGAGACATAGAAGGAAACTTAACTAAAATAAATAATAACAACAACCATAATAATAATTATATGGAGAAAATAGGAATTTTGATTTACTAAAAAAACTAGTTAGACACGTCCTGAAATTTCCAAGACAAAGAAAAAGAATTTAAAATTCAGTCAGGAAGAGCTCCTTTTTTTTTTTTTTTTTTTTTTTGATATGGAGTCTTGCTCTGTCACCAGGCTGGAGCACAGTGGCACAATCTCAGCTCATTGCAACCTCTGCCTCCAGGGTTCAAGTGATTCTCCTGCCTCAGCCTCCCAAGTAGCTAGGATTACAGGTGCCCGCCACCATGTCTGGCTAATTTTTTGTATTTTTGGTAGAGACAGAGTTTCACCGTGTTGGCCAGGATGGCCTCGATCTCCTGACCTCGTGATCCACCCTCCTTGGCCTCCCAAAGTGCTGGGATTATAGGTGTGAGCCACTGCGCCTGGCTGAAGAGCTCCTTTTATGCAGGTAAAACTATAGACTGGTTTTACATTTATTTTCAATTCTAAACAATAGAAGAAGTTAGCATAGAGTGTAGTGAGAAAAGTAACCAGTGAATTTGTCCTTCCTATGTGAGATGAGTGAATATTTCAGACAAGTAAAAGTTCAGAAAGTAGGCCTTTCTTGTAGCATTCTGGCAAGTGGGGTAGGGGAGACATGGGATTTAAGTAACTTTACCTTAATAAGAGATTAATAAAACAGCTTCTATGCAAGTGTTGGTATAGAATAACTGCTGGAATGTAATGAAACCAGATAAACATAGAATTGAGATAAAATACAGTTATAAAATTTAATTCAATATTAAGTCTATGTCATGTCTAATAGGCATTTCTGTATCTAATGTGAAAAACATCCCTATCTCTGCTTTCGAACATCACTTAACCCAAATACCTATACCTAACAAATGAGGCACAATCATAAAAGTACAGGAAACCCTCACTTTTGAGTTTAGATGGGTACTAAATAAAGTCCTGGCAAATCAAATTCAGCATATTATTAAAATAATACATTGCAAACAAGCAGTATTCATTACAAGAATGCAAGAGTCATTTAATGTTTACAAAATCTAATACAAGTCTAACTTGATTAGATCAAAAGTAAAAAGAGAATAATTTTATCCTTTCAAGAGATCGTACAGTGTTTAGTAGAACTGAGAATCTAGGCCTGATCAAATGTATATGAATACATAATACAGTTAATTTTCTCAACATAATAAAAAATAGTTGTGTCAAGCTACCAAGCAACGCTATTCTCAATGGCTCAATAACATGGAGTCAACAGATATTTACTAAGCTCTGCCTAAAATCTGAGTACATAAGAAAGAGTCAAAGAAGATGGCCTCTGCCTTTCATGGGGTTTACATGAATTGGAAGGTGAGTTTTGAATAAATACCCAAAATGAAGTAAAGAATCTAGTTGTGTGTTTATGTGTGGGGAGAACATTTCAGACATAGGTTGAAAGCAGTAAGGTAGAACTGACAACTGAATGAAACACCAGTCATTATGAATTAAGTCAGAGGAAAGGCTTCTATCAGTTCTACCACTTTCTATCACTACTATTGGTCAATGCCCTGAAAATTTTAGTAATGGCCATTGAAGGAGAAGGACAAGGAGGAGGAGGAGAAGGAGGAGAAGAAATGTAGTAATCAAAATTTTAAAATGGAAGAAAATTATAATGAATTGCAAATTGTATCATTAGACCAAAAAAAGCTATCAAGATTTGTTTGAGTCTCTGGGTAGTAGATAGGGAGTTATAAATAAACATTTCAAAAAAATAATATATTTTGTGTACCAGCAATTAAAAAACACTACACAGCTTAATGGAAAACAAATACCATTTTGAATGCTAACTAAATTACAAAATACTTAGGAATGAACTTAGAAAGCTTAGCAAACCACTATGAGAAAAATCTATGGAACATTATTGAGGAACATAGAAATAACCTTAATAGACAAAAATAGGTAAATAAATAAATAATTCCCTGGAGAAACTGCTCAAATTGAGAATTTAATTTAATTTAGAAGTAAATTAAAAGAAATGTGAGCAAAATGTTTAATGGTATTTTGTAGGATGTTGCAATTCTTTAAACTTAACCTAAGTTAGAAAGAAAAAGTGAATTCATAACAGACAACTTGGAAAACAGGACTAAACAGTGAGTTTTAGAGTATTAGACGTGATAGCAGTGTATAATATCCAAAACAGGATGGTATTGGCAATACAAATAATAAAATAAAAAAACTATGATTTTTAAAAAGCCTAACTTAAAAGGGTATATAAGAATTCAGAACACTAAGATATTTTAAACTTGGGATTTAGATGTTACAAAAACTGGTGGAGGAAGAGAAATTCATAAGTTGATAGAAAAAAATTGTAAAAATAAAAATAACTGATTTTTAAAGCATACACAGATCTCAAGAGCATGTAGAAACAGTTTCTGATCCCTGAAATCACTTCTTTTCTAAGGCAATAAGAGAAAAATAATGCCACAAATTCTCTTCATAATCTTTTCTATAATAATAGGATTTTGCAAAAGTAATTGCAGTTTGTGCCACTGAAAGTAATGGCAAAAACTCAGTTATTTTAGCACCAACCTATAGGTTTTACTCTGCATATTGAACACAAATCTTTACTCTGGGAATCTTAGTTCCCTGGCTTTCTATTGGGAAATATGTGGGATAGGTGAAAGATCATGTGTTTTTATGTTTCAAAACTTTGAATCAAATTTCAAAAATAAGTTGGTATATACGTTATCTTAGGAAAGTTAACATTTCATATCTTCAATGTCCTCATCAAGATAATTATGCTAATTATACCTAATTTCAAGTATATAAAACATGAAGTTCATTTATAAATTAGAAAATTCAGCCAGTTCCTTGCAATTTCTAATCCAAATATTACTGTCTCCGCTTCGTTTAAGTGCTTTAGTCATTCTTATATGTGTCTATGCCAAATATTCTTAGTTGATACTCAGTACTATCTCTGCCCTTTAAGTTAGGCTTGATATTATGGGAGCTAAAAGCCTCAAAACCGTTTAGCAAATTCTTTTGTCAGCAGAGTTATATTTAAACGCCATCAATGAGAAACATCCAGTGATATTTTGAAGATGGAAAAGGAGGAACTGTTTCCCACTGTGGCAATACATAGACATGCAGGCAGTGGCTGACATGAGGTTTGCCTTTACTTCCAGTTAAGGCACCTTCAGTATCACAGTGGGCTGAAAATCCATGTAAGCACTTCCTGTGGTTCTAAAAATCCCTATTTCTTTAAAAATAGAAGCAATTTTCCTTGACCTTTATGAAACCAAATAAATATTGTTTGGGTAAGATACTAGTAGTGTCATGTCGCTGCTTTTAAAACCTTATTCTCAATTATAATTGTTCAAAAATAATTTTAAACTATTATTTTTTAAAATATATTAACCTAGATTAGTCTATGATATTTAACTCCTCTGCATTCGATGATGACAATTCTATGCTTCTTTGAACTTGCTCCTCTCTTAATATCCCTCAGGCTACAACACTGAACTTCTTCAGCTTTGCTGGTTGTAATTTCCTCATTATCTCCCCTGGTTTTTTTTAATCCTCTTTTTTAAAGGTATCATACACATTTCAGTTTTCTCAGCCTCCTGCCAAAGAGAAGCTGTACTCAACTTGAATTGCTGCCAAGTTTAGTGAAGTCTCCCAACTCGCTGATTTTAAGCAATTAAAGAGAGAGATGTAAATATCCACATCTGCCAATCAATTGATTTTTTTTTATGTTCTGGTATATTTTGCAGATTTGATGGGTGAAGTTTTTCTCTCCCCACAGACTGCAGCTGTGAATTTGCAACTTTTGAATTTCTGTTCATTTGCCATTTGAAAAAATTTGTTTGGAAAAATTAAAACTTTTTATGCTGAAAAAAAAATCAGTCAGCATTCTTTATAAGTACCATATAAGGCAAGCATATGGCAGGAGAAAGACCAGTGATCTGGTTGATATGAATGGGCTCCAAAGGGCTTTAAACCATACTCTATGCAACTATTTCTTCACTCTGACACCTGCATGGGTGGATTTGGCCATAAAATTGGAAGTGCCCAAAAGCAATGAAATTCTAATGTCACAGGGAACGCCCCCTTTATGCATCATATTTCTGCACGCTTAATTGTATACTGCAAATTTACACCCATGTCTATACTTGAATACTTCTACTTATTACTGTTTTGCAAATAACTGTATTTTATTTTTGTGGCCAAAAAAACCAAACTTCTGTAGACTCTTACTTGGATCTGATTATTTACAAACTTTTCTCATATGAAGCATTGTTTCATTAAACAATGTTTTGTTCAGCACATCCAGTGTGATGGTGTCTAGAACAAGATGCAATCCCTGACTCAAATTGCTGATATTTCATGTTGTAATTCACTTATCTCACAAGTGCTGTGTTTATTCACCTTTATGTGGTTTACCATCACCATCTTCTACCTTCAAAGAACATATTTTGGGGTCACTGTAATAGAATCTCGCGATGGAGACAGGGGCTAAAGGATCTATGTTAGGAGTGCCTTAACATTCTTCAGGTGGAACTGAAAACTAAAGAGAAATGGTCCAAGGGAAGATGGGGAGAAAGCCATGTTGGTCACAAACCTAATAGCTTAGGTTATTCAAATATTGTTGAACAGCTGAAAAATAACACCTACAAAAGAGGTTTTAAGCTGTAAAACACATCAAAAATCACCAGTAAGATCCAATCTACCAGCAGAAAATAATGCAACAAATTCTATGTCCAATTCTAAAAAGCAGCCCCTGTTTTTTCATTCTATAAAATCTTAATATCTGGTTGCAGAAAATATTCCAATAGGGAAAGATAAGACCATTAGAAGATGAAACAAGCTAGTTAACATCCTTTTTGCATGTCTGTGATGGCTAATATTGAATGTCAACTTAATTGGATTGAAAGATGCAAGTATTATTCCTGGGTGTGTCTGTGAGGATGTTGTCAAAGGAGATTAACATTTGGGTCAGTGGACTGGGAGAGGCAGACCCACCTGCAATCTTGGTGTGCACAATCAAATCAGCTGCCAGTACAGCTAGAATAAAAGCAGGCAGAAGAACATGGAAGGATTAGACTGGTTAAGTCTTGTGGCCTCCATCTATCTCCTGTGCTGGATGCTTCCTGCCCTGAAACATCAGACTCCAAGTTCTTCAGCTTTTAGGCTCTTGGACCTAATAAACCACTGGTTTGCCAGGGGGCTCTCGGGCCTTCAGCCACAGACTGAAGGCTGCACTTTCAGCTTCCCTACTTTTGAGGTTTTGGGACTCAGACGGGCTTCCTTGCTCCTCAGCTTGCAGACAGCCTATTGTGGGACTTCACTTTGTGATTGTGTGAGTCAAATCTCCTTAATAAACTCCCCTTCATATATACATCTATCTTATTAGTCCTGGCCCTCTAGAGAACTCGGACTAATACAACCTTCTTACTACGTATGAGAGAGGGAAGATGCCCAGGGACTGGCTATGGATGCACCCTCATTTGCCTGTATCTAAGGTTTTCACCAAAACTGTAGGAATGAGGTGTCCATTGTGATATAGTTTGGATCTGTATTCCCACCCAAATCTCATGTTGAAATGTAATTCCCAGTACTGGAGGTGGGGACTGGTGGGAGGTGATTGGATCATGGGGGGATGGTTTAGCACCATCCCCCTAGTGCTGTTCTCATGATAGAGTTCTCAGGAGATCGAGTTGTTTAAAAGTGTGTGGCACCTCCCACCTCCTCTCTCTCTCTTCCTCCTGCTCTGGCCATAGCCTGCTTCCCCTTCACCTTCCATGATGACTGTAAGTTTCCTGAGGTCTCCCCAGAAGCCAAGCAGATGCCAGCATCATGCTTCCTGTACAGCCTGTGGAACCATGAGCCAACTACACCTCTTTTCTTTCTAAATTACCCAGTCTCAAGTATTTCTCTATAACAATGCAAGAACAAACAGTACACATAGCTAGAAAATGCCTTTACACATGGATAGAAATTGCCTGTAGGTAGAGAATCAAGGGACTCAAGGAAAGAGATAAGAAACCTTATCAGCAGAATAACCACACAATCAGCAATCCTGATGGAGAAACTGACAATAATTGGGTAAATATTTCCATGAAGCTGAAGAGGACAGAATAATGAATCTCAGAAGGGAAAACGAGGCCTGCCCTATAATACTGCCAGAGTAGAGGGAATAACAGAGGGCACAGAAGCAGCTATTAACTTTGATGACTGTAGAGAGAAAGCAGTGGGCTTGGAAGTTTGGACACAGAGCTAGACTCCTGTTCCACAGGAGGAATAAATTCTTTCCAACACAGGATTGCTTGTTTGATTTGTTTTTGTAGCCTGCAAATAAAACATTCCATATGTTTCTGATTGTGAGTGAAATGGAGGGGAAAATAAAACATCCTACTTTGAAAGTGGGATCCAAATGTTCTCAAATGTCTCCTTCCATGGAAGCGTATTCTATCACAGTCTCTAGAAATATTAGGATGGACGAGGTGCAGAATTCATAAAGAATTTCTACAGGTATCTAAGCAATACAATTATTTTCTGAAGCTTATCTAAACTCTTCTGGTTTTTTGTATGGGGAAGTATAATTTAAAAATATTTGAAAATAGATTGATTGCATATAATGTTCATTTTAAGAATTGTGATGACTAACACTTCTCATTAGTATGTGAAAATGCAAATTTCAGATAACACCAACAGACTCATGCTTAGGACATAAGTAAAATCGAAAACAGGGAAATGCTGAGACATCAGAAAAGTGCCCCATGTAGTCATTTTCCTTCCCCTTCAACTATTTTATTTTCTTATTTGAGTAAAAAACACTTATTGCCAATAACTGGGGAGACAGGCTGTATTATATTTTAATGTGTTTTTAAAATTTTTATTTTAGCTAAAGATATTGCAAGCCACTTTCTAGTCCAAGATTGTCTAAGTCCTAACTCATGCCTTATTCTCATTTTTATGGATTGCAATCTTATATGAAAATAACTTATTTAAAAATATTTTGGTACATGATGTGTGGGAAGGCCCTAACTTGATTTTTTCCAAGTAACAAAATTGAAATCATCTATCCCTTTACTAATGGCTTTCAATGGTTCTCTAAGGACATCAGATGGAAGTTAATTATTTCAGGGAGCATTTCCAGGCTGCTGCTGTTGGTACACCAATCTGGCTGTCAAATCTTGGGTCTTCACTATCTGTTGCCCGGGCCGGAATGCAGTGGCACGATCTTGGCTCACTGCAACCTCCACCTCCTGGGTTCAAGCAATTCTCCTGCCTCAGCCTCTCTAGTAGCTGGGATTACAGGCACCTGCCACCACACCCAGCTAATTTTTGTATTTTTAGTAGAGACAGGGTTTCACCATGTTGGCCAAGCTGGTCTGGAACTCCTGACCTCAGGTGAATCACCTGCCTCAGCCTCCCACAGTGTTGGGATTACAGGCGTGAGCCACTGCACGTGGACTCTATTCACTGTCTTTTTATAATGCTTTTAAGCAGCTCACTTAAAAAGTCTCACTACGTTGTCTTTACAATGTTTTATCTTAGTTGTATGTTACCTCAAAGGTCTGATAAAAATATTTTGTCCAATTTTAAAATATTACTTGGCAATACAATAATTAAATTAAAATTTGTGACTGACTAGAGAATATTGATAAAAGTAAATGCTGTAGCCAGGCTGGTCTCCTATGGCTCCCAGTATAGCCAGGAACATTCCATTTAGGTTTCACTCTGTCTTGGACACTCTTCCCCCAGATATTGACGAATCTTGTTCCCTCTGTAGTCTCAGTTTTCCCTGACCACCTATTATCAAATAGCACTACCCTTCCACTCCAACCTCTTGAACGGCTTTATTTTTTTGCATATCAATTATTACTGACATTTCTGTTATACGATTATTCGTTTATTTTTTGTTTTTCCTGAAAGAACCACCATGAAAAAGAGGAATTTTGTCTGTTTACTGCTAATTCCTCAGCTCCCAGAATAGTGCCTGGCACATCAAAATATATATATATTTGAGACAGAGTCTCACTCTGTTGCCCAGGCTGGAGTACAGTGGCACAATCTCGGCTCACGGAAGCCTCTGCTTCCCGGCTTCAAGCGATTCTCCCACCTCAGCCTCCCGAGTGGCTGGGACTATAGGCGTACGCCACCATCCCTGGTTAATTTTTGTATTTTTAGTAGAGATAGGGTTTTGCCGTGTTGGCCAGGATGGTCTCGAACTCCCGGCCTCAAGTGATCTGCCTGCCTTGCCTTCCCAAAGTGCTGGGAGTACAGGCGAGAGCCAAAGTGCCCGGCCAAAAGTTCTTAATAAATATATATTCTAGAAACAAGTCACTGAACTTGAATGCTCCCTAGATTCACTGGACTGTGATTCCTAAATGAGGTCGCTTTAGTCATCAGATCCACAGCCTCCACATTTACAACAGCAATTCTCTAAATCATTCCTGATTTTCTCTGCATGGGTATATGAAGTGGGCAGTTGCTTCACATTTAACTATTCACTGCCTGCAACTCAAATATACTCCATTCCATGTAACTCTCCCATAGGTCTTTGGAGTCTATGCCTGAAATGACCACACTTAACCAAGAATAGATTTTTCCCTAAGAGTGTTTCCAAGAGACCATCCTAAATTTCAAACAATAAACATAATGTTTATGAAGCACCTATCAGAAATCATGCTGGAAATATCCTGTAAATAAATCATCTCTTTTGATCTTCACAACAGTCCTACAAGGTATGTTGCATCAATTCCTACATTATTAGATGGAAAATCAGAGAGTTGAAATAAGTGGTTCAAGTTGACATAATTAGCATGGAGCTTGTCCAAGATTTGGACATAATGAACAAAGTTCAAAGACAGATGTTTTTCTATTTTCTCTTTCTCTCTCTTTCTTCTTTCTCTCTCTTTGTAAAGGAGCTATTAACCACAATTAGCCAAACTGAAAAGTTTGAGGGCACAGCCAGCAGGACTACCCTAACTTTTGACACCAACTGAAAGTTCAGGAAGTTCCTCAAATGACCCATTTACTAGAAGGACTCTCAGAACTCACTGAAGTCTATTATACTCACAGTTACAGTGTATTACAGGAAAACAATACAGAATAAAATCAGCCAAAGGAAGAGACACCTAGGTCAGAGTCTGAGAGGGCTTCAAACATGAATATTCCCTTGTCATCTTCCATGGAATTAGGATACGTTATTTTCCCAACATTAATGTGTGACAATATTTATAGAGTATTGCCAACCAGATAAACTCTGGAGCTTCTATGTGCAGAGATTTCACTGGAGTTCCATGACATGGGCATGACTGATTCATTGCACACGTGGTGAATTATATTGTATGATCCAAAGCCCCTACCTTAAATCACATAGGAGCTCTTTGTGGTGTGGTTAGGCCTCCTCCTAATATTATCAGGTCTTACCAACTCCACCCTGAGCTCCTTGCCGCAAGCCCCCTCCCTAAACAAAGGTGCTTTTATCAGATATGAAAAGATCTCCTAGAAGTTGAGGGCAATTGCCAGACCTCTCTTCCAGCAAGGCCAAATTCTTTACTACACAGAATTTGATTCATTTACACAGCTTTCAACATCTTTTAAAGACAATATGGCCCATTTTTATGACTAGGGTGCTTTGCCAAATTGTACAAACAAACTTAAACTTGTGGACTCAGAGAAGTCCTGCAACAGACTGGAGACAGGGTGACACACACACACAGAGACCACGGATTTGATCATCATATCAGCTGTTACACCAAGTGCCGTGCTCCATCTTTCAAAGCTTGTTATAGGCTTGGCAGGTTTTTGGAGTTACTAAGCTGAGAAAAACCTCAGATGACAGCAAAAGTGAAACATCAGGACTGTAAACTACTAATTGCCAATTCCGTATGTTTGCAAGGCAAACAACAGGGAGGAATATCAGTGGTGAGAGATTGCTGAAGTTTGTACTTACGTAGCTAGTAGAAAAATAAAATTATGTAAAATCATTCTTCTCTCTAATTCTGTCCCCATCCCCAAATCAAGAATCCTTTATGTAAAGATTAAGGAGCCCTGAATTTAAATCCTCAGTCTTTCAAGCATTTGGTCTATATGTTTATGTAACCTACCTAACCCTGTCTCTATGCTTTGGGAATATGAGAATGATAGGTAAAGTAATATTATACATTATAAAAATGATTGACTTACATTCTTCACCAGCCACATATTTGTTGCTCAGCATGTTGTTCCATCTTTTTTATTCTGTTTTTCCTTTTTCTTTTCTTTCCTTTTTTTTTTTTTTTTGAGATGGAGTTTCACTCTTGTTGCCCAGGCTGGAGTGCAATGGCGCCATCTCGGCTCACCGCAACCTCTGCCTCCCAGGTTCAAGCGATTCTTCTGCCTCAGCCTCCCAAGTAGCTGGGATTACAGGCATGTGCCACCACGCCCAGCTAATTTTTTTGTATTTTTAGTAGAGACGAGGTTTCACCATGTTGGTCAGGCTGGTCTCGAACTCCTGACCTCAGGTGATCAGCCTGCCTCGGCCTCCTGAACTGTTGGGATTACAGGCATAAGCCACAGTGCCGGCCAATCCTGTTTTTCTATAGCGTCCCAAACTCCTAAGGTCTTCTTCACAGAATAAGTGTTCAATGTATGTTTTCTACTATTATTTTTACTAAAGCATTGGGATGAGGTGAAAACCAGTTGGTTAAATCACACTGTAAACATCCTGTAAATAGTCTCTTTTGAGCCTCACAATTCTGCCAGGTATGTTGTATCAATTCCTATATTATTAGATGGAGAATCAGAGCTTTTACACCTGTTAAATACATCTAATCCAAAATAGTTTACTGTCTACTGAGTTTAAAATCAGCCAGAAATACTTCTACAGATTTTTTGAGAAACAGTTTCTGAAGTAAATATCAAAGCGTCCTTATCACCAGCTAGTGTAAACCAAAAAGACAGCAAAAATTTGAAAAAAAGAAAGAAAGAAAGAAAAATCTATAGAAATGCAGGTGTAATGAATGGTTAATAATACTGCCCCTTTTCTAATATTCCCAGTGGTTTCCATGGTGGTGGATCTCAATGAGAAGGAAAAAGAATGTTACATTCTTGTTTTCTTAATAACTAAATAGGGAACCATTAGAATTTTTGTTTAATCCACGAAGGAGATAGAATTAAGAATACAATGTAGTTAAAGGGAGATTACACAGAGGTAGTTAACCTTCTCAGAAAGTCTTTTCCTTTTTTAAATCTGTTGCTCATTAGCTGCTGTTTTTTTTTTTTTTAAATCTTCTCTTTTCTGTATTCCTTTTTTGGTGAAGATTTGTGGCTATAATCATTTCGCTAAATGCTCTGTAGTAAAGTAAAAGTAGAAATAGTTTGTTGGCAGAAATACATCATTAAATGTTTCCATTCATAAATATGAATAAGAATAAAAATAATAAATAATATGATATTCATGATATATAATATACTTAATTTAAATATTACAGTACAAAGTACATATGTTATAGTGTATATATTATATTTACAAATTTACATTGTTATACAGTAATAAATATTATGACTTTAATTTCTATTGAATATTTCATATGTAATTCATACTGTACCTATGCTAGCTCTTTAATTTTGCTCCTAGATAATTTGGTTACCCTCAATTTATAGATAAAGACACAAATATTCTGAGTGAAGAAATGAATTTTTTAGAGTCACCCACAGAAATTGCAGAGCTAATAGGTGAATCTTGGTCTCTGACAGAAAAGTTCATAATCTTACCAATGTTCATGTTGGTGATGATAAAAGAGAAGCAAATCAACAATAATTGTTATCATATCTTGAATGCTTGACATATGCCGCAAATGCTAATACAGTATGCACTGTGCTAAATATTTTACTTCCATTATCTAAGGAAATAGTCTCAGAGAAATCAAATGATTTCATCAAGTTTGTAGTTAGGGACTTTCCAGTGTATGCCATATCTTAAGACTTTTCTTCAATTTAATGATCTCTCTGTTATTTTGAAGAAACTGTGTACCTTTCTGGTGACAAGATCGTTTCCTTGACAACATTTTGACCAGGCTCCTCTGAACTCCCTCTTTGACTAGGCCAACACTTGAGCTCCTTTGTTCTTTCTTACAGAGTCCAACTGTGCAAAGAGTGCATCCTGGTAAGTGGGTTCAGCAAGACCCATCTCCGCCCTCAATATCTGATCACCCTCAATATCTGATTGGGTTCCTCATCCTCCCCCATCACCCAGGTGATGTGTGATTACCTTGGCCTGCCTTCAGCAAGAATCCTGTTAGGTGGGTTTAGGCAGAATCTCCCCTTATGTCTGATACTCTCTTTTAATAATTTTCCATTCACCAGATCCTTACTCTGGTTCTTGGCTATACATTTCTTGTTGCATTCAGAATTAAGCTTGAGTCTATGTTGATACCTTTTTTTGCCTTTACCATAGGTTTTTGTTGTTGTTGTTGTTTTCTGAATAAAATCTGTTTTTATTTTATTTAACTTTAACTACTGTCCAGCTCTGGTTTTTCTTAACACTCTCAGGTGAGAGGTGTCAAGATTCTCACTATTATGAAAGATTAGAGGCTGAAAATTGAAAAGACCTTAGTTCTATAATTAACAAGCCACGATTTTATTGCTGATCTGACACATTTATGACCAGCTTTGAGGGCCGAGTCAAGTTATTTGATTCCTCTATGCTTGGAATTTATTGTCAATAAAGAAGTAAAGTAAATTTGTGTTAGAGTACGTCTGTAAGTGACATTCACTATATCTCAATGTTGAGGAGTTTAGGCACGCTTGTGCAATGGATGCTATTATTGCTCAGCTGCATTGCTTTCAAAAATTGTATTATCACACAGTAGGATGAAAGCAGCATATTATCTAAGAGAAGTAGAAGAGCCAGAACCTGGAATCTGCCCTGACCTGATTTCTTGCAAAATTTCATTTGTTCTTATCTGAGTGTGTAATCTGGGCCTCCATAAAGGCCTTATTAACACTGATTTCTTATTGATCTGTCATATGCCAACGTTCACTTGCAACGTACTTGACATTTGGCTATCATAAAAAAAGGGAATTGGCAGAAATGTGTCAACTTAACTTTTGACCAAAACGCTATGTAATTGAACGGGAAAGCAATGTTAACATTACGCATCTGATTCCAGCTCATGTGCTCAATGGGCTAACATTTTAGAGCACCGACCCTTAAAATTCTAATGCATGTCAAATCGGTATGTAAATATCAGCAATTCTGGGGAGATTTGCAAGGTACGGCCCTATGCTAATGAGCAATATCTTAAGGAGCTGGAGGTTTTTCTTTTCCTCTGCGATATGAATTGGAAAATTGGAAAGCAGGTCAACTTACAAAGTTGTTTGGAGACTGTGAGCTGTTTGTTAATAGATGCATAGTGCCTAGACTATGTAGGACCTAGTGTCATGTACCAGTGACAATAAATAGCAGATGAATATTAATTCCTTTCACAGCCACTTCCTTATCTCCAATGATAATAAAACAAAATTAAACGGCATTAATTCCCAAATAATAAAACTCAGATATAGAGTTAACTAAGGAAAATATAAAACATGCACGCTTTATATGCAAGGGCAGAAAAGTGTTCTTATTCAGCTTATCTGGGAAACTTGCAAGTTTAGAAATGAAAACGTTCTCCTCTTTCCAAAAGCATGACTTGATGTTTGTCCTTGATCTTTATCTGTGAACAGGCAAAAGCATCATTTAAAGTATGCTTTTTACTCATTGTCCTGTATTCAAAATACTTTCATTATAGAATGGCTGATACTCCTACTGGGAATAGTTGAGGAACTCATCCTGATCTAATCCATTCTAATGTGCTCTAGTCCCAGTGCTGTTATTTGTTCTGTGTAAAGTTTCTTAAGCTCTATGTACTATCAAATGGAATAAGACATAACTCATTCTTCTAAATGTTATTATGAGAACTAAACATAAAATGCTTTAGCAAACAGAAAGCACTGTGTAGACATAAGTAATACAATTAGCAGTATCATTCATTTGTAGTTTGCAACACAACAAACAATGCTGCCCCTCCAAAGTTTGAAAGGCATCTTGTCTTCGGTCAATGAAAGTATTCTGGAAAGAAGCTCCTCCACATTTAAATTATATTTTTAAAGCAGCCTATTAAAATGTCTTTGAAAAGTTTACACTGCAGTTTCTCTTGCATATATGGATCTTTTCCTCTCGTAAAATCCCAGGGCATTTCAAATAAGGAAAGGTCATTTAGCTCATCTGGTCGATTATAGCTGTGATCCATTTCCCCTACAAGAAGCAAGGGAAACGCTTCTCAATGTGTATCAGAGAAAAAAACTCTTAGGCCATTAGGACTAAAGCATTGCATATGCCGCAAGCACTAGACACCTAATTTCATCACAGACGATTGATGATTCTGCCATCCGGGCAGAATCAAGCCCGGGATACTGGGACTCAGTGCTTCAGCAGGGAGGCAGGTTCACTGCAGCCTTCATCCAGTTTAAAAAATATTTTATTGACACATAGAGCATTCAGAGTCATAAAAATATATCATGTTTATCACTGCTTTTATGGCATGCATAGATATGACACAGGGGCATTGAGCCATACAGCATTAGACAAGCGTTTATTTCACCCTGAGCTGCTGGGAAGAATGCAGAGCTCAGCTTCTATCCCAGGAGTGGAGCCAATAGGACAGATTTCATCAGAAATAAGCATTTAAGAAAAACACAAAAATCAATGCAGACGTATATATCAGTGAAGTGTCCTGATTGGGGTTTTCTACGTGCTAAACAAGCCTGTTCCCGATACATTAGTGCATATTTCTGCCAAAGGCATTAGACTGCTAAACTGGAGATTTTGAAAAAATGATCATTTTTCATGAATGTGGGAATACAGCCAGAAAATTTACCTTTAAGCACTTTAACTAACACCCGTAGTTTTTGATTACATTATCACCCAGACTCTGATATATATTTTTATAGAGAGCTATTTCCTGAAGAATTATGATCCGAGACATTTGGTTTTTGAGTTACCAAGTGGACAGTTAAATGTGGATCTAGATTTAACGAGCGCGAAGCCCTCCTTCATCTAAAGCCAGGTTAGGGCAAAGCTGGAGGGACAGAGTGTTACAATGAGAACGGAGAGTAGACTTACATTTGCATATAAATGGCAAATGTAAGTAGGTGGAAAGGAAGCATTCAGAAATTTGCATCTGATTTAAGCCTTGTCCTTATTCAGCAGATTGCAAGTGTCACAGCTTGTTGGGCTGTTAGAAAGGTAGCCAGGGGTGAAGACAATGTTGGAAGAGATGAAGGAAAATGAAGTCTTTATAAACAGGGACATGCACATCAAGTGCTCAGAGAAAGTTTCAAGGCCTTCCCTTGGAGTGATACACCCGTGGCCTGGCTAACTGTTTAGCTCTCTTGGAGGCAGAGAAACTCTCCTTTTACATTATACTACCCTAGTGCTACCTAACTTCTACCTGCTTCCGAAAAGGTTACTATTTTTTTCCTGTGAAACAGCATCGTAGTGTTTTTTTGTGTGTTAAAACACATGCATATGACTTTTTCCTCCAGGGGACTTAAACTCCTTCAAGGCAGAGACCATCTCTTTAATGTATATGTATCCCATAATTTTCACTAGTCCATAAGAGTGCAGCAAATGACATACATTGGGCCTTAAATAAATAGTGAACAAATGGAAGAAGAAAGGAAGAAAAGCTGCAGTGCAGAATGACATCATTATGTTTTGTTTGTGTGCAACATGCATGAACTAAGAGGCATCCTCCTCAAGAGAAACTACTGAAAATAGAAAATTAATTTTATACTGAATAATGGGGGAGAATATGGCTTCCTTAAGAAAACAAAAACAAAAATCAAACTTCCTTTGTTGTAAAACTACCTATCCCATATTCCAAATTATACAAATTTAGCACTTGATTTTCTCTGGGTCCAAGCCAGCCATACATGATAGGGTAGGCTCTCAGTATCAGATGACTACAGCCTCACGTCACAGTATAAAGCAAGAAAAGGTTCTGTGTCAGGAAAAATAAAGATATACGTTATTTTGTTTCACTGTGTTTAAAATCTGGTATCAGATGCCATATAATGAGCTAGGCAATAGCAGGTTCCTTTTGTAATAACCTGGCAAGACATATTGAATTCTCTTCTGTATTCCAAAATGAGACATGCACGGAAAGAATTGTTCAGCTCCTTTGCGCTGTGGAGTCATTTACCTGTTCAGGATGGCTTCCCGGAGGATTGTAAAGAATGGCAGGCAGGCACTTTTCCCTTGGTGGAAAAATTGCTCATGTAGAGTTTAACTTGTCTCTGTAGCTTCCAACATACTTCTGAAGTGTGCTACTTAGAGGAGAAAAAAAAAGGTGTTTTCAACCCAGAGGTATTAAAAAAAAAAGAAAGGAAAAATGATGTGTGTTTCATCCCATCTAATCCCTCCTATTTCAAAGCAGCAGTGTTTAAAGAGAAGAGCCCTAGCTGCATACTAGTCAGTGTCTTGCCTGGCGGAGTGCAAAGCGGTACCATGAAGAAGTTCTGTCATTTTCCTGCTGTCTAACCTTGGGTAACTTACTTAACTTCTCTGTTGTCTCCATTTCTTCATCTGTAAAAAGGGGGATAATAAGATCTTTATTTCTTAGGAACAAAAGAGTTGACACCTATATAGTCCTTGAACAGTGCCTCTCTCATAGTAAGTGCTCCGTGTGTTAAATACTGTTCCTGAGGCCAAAACGGTGGTTTGGCAGCCTTGGACAAAATGTGTTTTTTCTGTTTCTTTTGCATGTCATTCGTGATGTGACAAAACAGCTATCTACTTCAAACTCTTCTTTTCAGTCAAACCCACAGCCATTGTTTCCCAATTCATAGCAACTTCTTTACTCACATCTTCCAAGATGACAAGGTTCCTATTAAAAGTATGAGTATCCATCCGGGTGCAGTGGCTCATGCCTGTAATCCCAGCCCTTTAGGAGGCCAAGGCAGGCAGATCACGAGGTCAGGAGTTTGAGACCAGCCTGACCAACATGGTGAAACCCGGTCCTTACTAAAAATACAAAAAATTAGTCGGGTGTGGTGGCACGCACCTGTAATTCCCACTACTCAGGAAGCTCAGGCAGGAGGGATCACTTGAATCCAGGTGGCAGAGGTTGCAGTGAGCTGAGATTGTGACATTGCACTCCAGCCTGGGTGACAGAGTGAGACTCCATCTCAAAAAAAAAAAAAAAGTATGAGTATCCAACATCTATGAAACACTTATCAACCACTTTGGAAATCTGCTGAAACAACTTCAGTGAGTCTTCTCTGCCCACTGAATGAAGTGTCAACTCCTTGGGCTTAGATTCAAGTATTTACAGCTCTGATAAAGCGGTCCTCAGCTTTTCCATCCAAATTCTCCTTCTGCTTCCATCCTCAACCTTGACCTACAGCCAATGCAGCCTGCTTATTATTCTGCACACCTAGGCTGTGTATGTGACCTATGTTTCTCTCTTTCTTTTCTTTCTTTTCTTTTTCTTTCTTTCTTTTTCTTTCTTTCTTTCCTTTCTCTCTTTCTCTCTCTCTCTTTCTCTCTCTCTTTTCTTTTCTTTCTTTCTTTCTTTCGTTCGTTCGTTCTTTCTTTTCTCTTTTTTAAGACACAGTGTAATGGTTAATATTGAGTGTCAACTTGATTGGATTGAAGGATGCAAAGTATTATTCCTGGATTTGTCTGTGAGGGTGTTGCCAAAGGAGATTAACATTTGAGTCAGTGGACTGGGAGAGGCAGACCCACCCTCAATCTCGGTGGACACCATCTAATTAGCTGCCAGCCCGGCTAGGATAAAAGCAGACAGAAGAATGTGGAAGGAATAGACTGGCTGAGTCTTCTGGCCTCCATCTTTCTCCTGTGCTGGATGCTTCCTGTCCTTGAATATCAGACTCCAAGTTCTTCAGCTTTTGGACTCTCGGACCTACACAAGTGGTTTGCCAGCAGCTCTTGGGCCTTTGGCCACAGACTGAAGGCTGCACTGTCAGTTTCCCTACTTTTGAGGTTTTTGGACTTGGGTTGGCTTTCTTGCTCCTCAGCTTGCACATGGTCTATTGTGGGACTTCACCTTGTGATCTTGTGAGTCAATACTCCTTAATAAACTCCCTTTCATATATACATCTATCCTATTAGTCCTGTCCCTCTAGAGAACCCTGACTAATACAGACAGGGTCTCACTCTTCTGCCCAAGCTGAAGTGCAGTGTTGCAGTCGTAGCTCACTGCAACCTCAAATGCCTGGACTCAAGTGATCTTCCCATCTCAGCTTTTCAAGTAGCTGGGACTACAGGTGCATGCCACCACGTCGGGTTAATTTTTCTATTTTTTGTAAAGATGGGGTCTCACTCTGTTGCCAAGGCTGCCGTCCTCCCACTCAGCTTCCCAAAGTGCTGGAATTATAGGCGTGAGCTGCCACACACCTACTTCTGTTTTTTGTACCTGAAAGGGCTATTCTCTACGCTTACATCGGTTCAATTCTTGCCTTTTCTTTAAGGCTAAACTTACGTTGTTATTTCCTATGAGAGCTTGTTCTCGATTCACCCAGGCAGAAAGAATCACTTCCCCCTCCGGATTTTGATATCATTTTCTCACGCCTTCCAAATGGAAGATTTTACTCTGAGGCTCACTTACTTGTGTATCCATACAACTTCCGTCAATAAGTCATATGCCTCCTGAGAACTGAAGCTAAAAAAAATGACACTCTCCTTGCCCACAGCAGGCACTTGAAAAATATTTCATGAATCAATGAATCTACCTACCTACCACACAGAAACAGGGGTTTGACAAAAGGTTCCCTTTCCTAATACAATTAGTATAGACATCTCATAATATTCCTTCAGTGAATACTTATTGAGAATCAAACATCATCAAGGTTTGAGATTAAAGTCTGTGATCTTAAAGACTGGGAGACATTTGAAACCTCTTCTTGAAGGCTATATTTAAATAAATAAATAATCGTTTAATAAGCTGTAGCCTTGGACTATATATATAGATAACTGCCTGAGGGACATTCAGGCTGGCTTCACAGGAGAGGTAGGATTTAGACTGAATCCTAGAAGTTTTCCAGATGAAGTCATTGAGAATGGCAACCATGGCTCCATTGAGAATGGAGCAAAATCAATATTCAAGACAGTGAGTTATGAAAGGAGCAGGTAAATCATGATTAGAAGAGTAATTGGCATTTATTAGGCACTTATTTTGTGTCAAGTGCTAAGCTAGTTTCCTTCAATGTCATCATAAACCTAGAAATTAGGTGCAAATATTATTCCCATTTCACCAAGAAGAAACTGTAGTGTATTAGCCAGAGTTCTCCAGAGAAACAAAACAAATAAGAAAGAAGGTAAGAGGGGGTGGAGGGAGAGTTGCACTCAAGTTTGAAGAAAGAATTCGCTCTTCTTTGAGAAGGGCAATCCTTTCTCTTAAGGTCTTCAATTGATGAAATGAAGCTCATCTATATTATAGAGATAATCTGCTTTACTCAAACTCCATCATTTGGAATATTAATCCCACCTCAAAATCACCTTCACAGGAACATCCAGAACAGTGTTTGACTAGATATCTGGGTGCCATGGCCTAGCCAAGCAGATAAAATTAACCATCACATGTGGCCTGTAGAGATCAAGTCATCCTGTCATGAACACCAAGGGAAAATTCATACAGCAAATATGAGGCTGAGCTGGGATTTAAACTTCTACTTGATGTTGCCTAGTTTGCAGACCCAGGAACAGGATATATTTCTGGAAAGAGCTGGTGGGTCATATTCAAGCCAGGCTCCTTAAGGCAAAGCTGAGAGTTAGAAAATGAAAGACTTGTTACAACTGCCAAATACGAATGGTTAGGCCAAGAGTTGGTAGTGAAGCAGCAGAAACAGAAGCAATGCGAGAATTGGAGTTGCACTAAGAAATTGCTTTGCAATGTGTAATCACTGTCGTGGCCAGCTGAATGCATGGGTGCATTGGCATGTTAGCCTGGATTATAGGAGAAGTGAACTTGAAGGCAGGCTGACTAGAATCAGGAGGACTGGCAACTCTACCTAGCTTGGTAGGAGTCTAAGCTAAGGGTAAGAACAAAATAGCTAATGTAGATGAGAGAGAAGTTAAGTTCAAGTGCACACAGCTGGCACATGGTAAAACTCTTGCCCCTATTTGGCATCTTCATTTAGTTAGTTTAACACTGGCCAGGTTTTCGGGCCCACTGGGCATATGAAGAAAAGGAGAGAGATACCAAGAAACATTAAGAGAATCAAGAAAAAAAAAATTCAAGGGAGCTATCCAATAAGAGATGCTAGGCAGTAATGTGTCCAGTAAGTTGTCAAAGTCATGAAAAGATACATGAGAAAAAACAAAATCTACATGAGAAAGTTATCCCATCCTGTGCGATAAAAAGTACTCTACACAGGTGAAATAAATAATACATAAAATAAAAATCAAGGTACCTACACCGATTAGCAAGGCACTACACTATGCTCCTCAGATACGTAACCTAATTTCATCCATTAAATGTCATCAAAAACAGGTATTTGTATCCTTTCTCCTTCAGGAAGATTAAGTAGATTACCCAAGGGCCAGTAGCAGGTGATAACAGACATAGTATGTAAGTCCACAAATGGCCATTTCCAAATCTCATGTTATTTTTTTTCAATAGGGCCACCCTTTGACAAAAGAATAGTCCATGTACAGCGGTTATTTCCTGATTATTAGAGGTGAGAAGATGTCTAGTCATTAACATTAAAAAAAAAAAAAAAGAGCTCTGTTGCAGGGCTCGGGGAACTTTGAAAAATGTCAGTCACCTATCTACAGGACATTAGTCTACAGGTAGAACTTTTCACACATGACCTGAGAATACCTATCCACCATCCACTCCAGACTGTAGAAAACCTGGCAGCATCCCAAGTTCCTCTTACTTCCAGTGGAGAAACTGAGGGTTGTCCCAAGAATCTCCCCCAACTCTCTACCCTCATTGTTTCCTGTCACAGTGATTCTGTTGGCAGGAGTCTGAGTGGATGTCTTTCTAGTTCTAGGCCAGATGTCTTACATGTGGGAGCTGCAAATGGCAACTCTGTGTTTAATGAGTTACTGCTAACCTTCTAATTCCTGATGAATCAGCGAGAGTCAGAGAGCAATTTCCCATTATATTCTAGTGGATCAGAGCACAAAATATCAGCCTGCTGTGTGTGTCATTCATATCCGAAACCAGCTTTAAAAGCCCAGGTAAAGAGTTCAATAAATTTAAGGAAATTGCAATTGCTGATAAATTATAGACACTTCAGCTGTCTGTATATTTCTCTATCAGCATATAAACGACATGATGAAAGCAAGAAAACTGATTATTTTATAAACTGTAATAAGGTAATATAGTTAGAAAATTTCCAAAAAGTAATTTAAACTTCCAAGTTAACTGATAGGAAACTGTTACTGAAAATCATCATATATTCCCACTCTTTAAAAAAATTTGTGTAAAGACTATTACTTTCCATTTAAAAAAAATCTGTTTTACTTTTCATGTCTGCATTGCCTGATTATGACATAAAATAATTTTATGATAAGTATGAGCTATCAGAGAAGGCAAAGGAATCTTCCTCTATTTGTATCTTCAGGAAAAGATTACAGAAATACATGTAATGTTTACACAATCACATGCCCAAAGACCAGCCTCTGAACCACTATGTATAATAGCAGATATTTTTGGGGCAACCATTATGTGCTAGACTAGGGATCTAAAGTGATGAGACTATAATGCCTACTCCAACCGAAGGCAAAACATGGAGGAAAGAGAAATAAGCGAGCAGGCAGTTTTATGCATTTTAACAGTGCATTCAACATGAATAAGATAGATGGATGGATGGATGAATGGATAATGGAATAAGAGTTGCTGTCATGGATGTTTACAGTTCGGTGTCCTTTCTAAGTTCATTTGTTGAAGCCCTAATCCCCAGTGTGACTACATTTGGATATAAGATCTTTTAGGGGGTAATTAAGGTTAAATGAGGTCATAAGAGTGAGGTACTAATCCAATAAGACAGGTTTCTTATAAGAAGAGAGAGAAACACCAGAGTGCTCTTGCTATCTCTCTTTCTCTCCCTCCCTTCCTTCATGTGCACAGAGGAAAGTCCATGTGAAGGTCATAGCAAGACTGCGGTCATTGATAAGCCAGAGAGAGAGGCCTCACCAGAAACCAACTCTGCTGGGGCCTTAATCTTGGACTTCTGGGCTCCAGACCTCTGAGAAAATGAATTTTGGTTGTTTAAGTCATGCAGTCATTGGTATCTTCTTATGCCAGACTGAGCAGGGTCCTACAGATAGATAGGTAGATAGCACTGTGGAATCAGAGTATGGGTTATAGAAATCTCTGCTTGGGTAACAAGGAAGACTTCAAAGGGAAATTCAATATTTTTTTCCTCTTTGATTTGCTTAAGTTATAAATGCAATACATACTCCTTATAACTTTGCAGCAACATAGAAGGCATATAAAATTTGCAAATATGTAAGTGTTCTATTTGTGCATGACTCTTCCAAAGCAGGCACTCTTAAAGAGCTCAGTTGAATTTTTCCAGATCACTTTAAGGGAGCTGATTTGCAAGGGACAGAGGGCATTCCATATAGGAATGCTGGAAGGTAACACAATTGGAGCAAAATGAAGGGCATGTGCAAAAGCTGAGATGAAAAAGCAGAAAGGAATGAAGCAGAACCTCTCACATGAACTGGCAGCAGGTGTGTGTTCAAGGGTGCCATGCATCAGGCCATCAGCTTATACGTGAAATGGCAGGAACCAAGTCATGAAGGCACTATATGGGGAATTGGACTAGAGATAGGAATAGACAGCCTAAAGAAAAAGAAAATAGCTTATAAACACAGGAAGAGATCCTTAACTTCACTCAAAATTAGAGAAACACAAATTAAAACTACATTAAGATACCAGTTGTCATCTTTCTGCTTGTCAAAACTCTAAAATTTTTATGAAGTACTTTGTTGAGGAGGCTGTGTAAATACAGTACGCTTAGACATTGCTGTTGGGAATGCAAAATGGTACAACCTTATGCAGGGGAATTTGAAAATAGCTAGTAATATTATGTAAACAGTTGCCCTTTGACCAAGCATTTCTACTTCTGGGAATATATCACAAAGATACACTGGTGAAATATAAAAATATATATAAACAAGGAATTCAATGTAGTATTTTCTGTAAAGGTAAAATACGGGAAATAATCTAAATATTTGCCAATGAAGAACTAGTTAAATAAACCATGGTACAGCTGCATTATGGAATACCCTGAAGCTGTAAGAGAAATAAGAAATGATTCTATATAATACAGGTGATCACCAGGATCTACTAATAAGTGAAAAATTAAACAAGCAAAGTGAAGGAAAGAATATTTAGTGAGTTACCATTTATTCTACAACACAGTTTGGAATATATAGAGAAAACCATTATATATAAATATCCATATATATATATCCATATATATCCATATATATATATATGTTTGCTTATATTTTAAAAAATGAAAGGATGAACAACACCAACAAAATTAAATGGCTACCATTAGGGGCCATTTTGCAGGGGACTGGAATGGAAGCTGAATGCTTTTGAAGATAACTTTTGTAAATATTTGAAAAGATGCAAATATTTGACATTTACAAAAATAAATGAATAAGACAAAGCATGAAATTTGGAAGAAAAATGAAATGAAAGAACCTAACTACATATAAGTTAGCTGTCATAACCACACAAAATGGAACCATTCCATGTCACCTTAATTTAACTAGCATTCATATTGGGATATATCCTAAGGTAAAACAGTAGAAAACAAAAAACAAACAAACAAAAACCTCCTACTTTTAGTAATCATCAAATCATCATATTGATGTCGAAGCTGGAAGTGAGTCTATGCTAAGTATATTGGCAAATGAAGTAAGTGAATAATTATATTGGTGTTCTTGACAACTGTGATTTGGGCATGGGGGAAAGACATTGAAAGACTGGTGAGGTCGAGGAAAACCCATATTAAATTGGAAGTGTTTGAATAAAATTATTAGAAATTTTCTCTTTTAAAATACATGCATTGAAACAGCCCAGTACCAATAAGCACTTTTCTAATCCATGTTATATTCTGTAAAGTGTATATCTCATCAAAATGACCCAGTGCTTCTTTGAGAAATGCTTAAATCCAGGATAAAATGGTGCAAACAATTTTGACAGCAAGGAAACTCAAAGACTACTGGAGTCATGTAAACTGACTCAGGAGCCAAAATAAAAAATTTCCCACTAGCCACGTATGGAGTAACTTGAGGATCAGTAAAGATAATTGCAGTGAATTAAAAATAATTTTGTGTTATATCTGTATGCTTTTAATTTTACAAGGAAAGTGTTTAGCTTTAGAAATAAATCTTCATCGTTTATTTTTAGAGGATTGTAGGGGACCAACTCATCAGTTGGAATACTGCTAAGAAAATGGAAATAATCAAACATTTATGTATATTTAAGCATTTTGGTTGCCTTTCTTTACAAACTCTACCTCAGTGTTGTTAAGTAGTTGATGACTAGTAATTTTTCTATTTGAAATAATCCAGATAAGAATAAAGGACCAGTACAGTTAGAATAAATTCAAATGCATTCATGAGTAAAGAGAGATGGAAGTCAAGAAGAAGACTATTCTGTCAACATTAAATTGCACTTTCTAGTTCTAATCTCTCTTTCACAGTTACCAATTCTTGCAGGTCCTCTCTACTTAAATTTCATTCTTATTTCTAGTGGATAAGTTTCCAAAGCAAACAACACGTTTTGTTGGTTTATTTTGTTTTTTTCCATGCATATTTCTTCTCCTGACTTTCTGTTTTTATTATCGGATGACATCATACTTCTCTCATTAATGGAGACTTGAAAGCTTTTCTACCCTTGACTCATTCTCCTTTCCATGATCTCCCATACCAAATATGGTTACCAAGTCCGGTTTATTTTGTCATAGCAATATCTTGAAAACACATCTTTTCTTCATTTTCTTTCTCTGGCCCACATTTAGAGCAGGTAATCAGGGCCTTGGTCTTGGACCTCAGATTACATGGGGTTCTGCTCTGATCTTCCTCTGGAAAACCACTTCACCATAAAATGGAATGTTCCAAAGACCAAGGGAATGTGCTCATCTGAAGTTCACAGATGCTCATTTAGACCACAATGAAGGTACCCAGCACCCTAGACTATCTTGCCCAAGGGCCCCAAGACTACTTCTCTGGGTTGTCCTCCCAAAGACAGACTATCATACCTGATTTGGCTGTTAGGAGAGGGAGTGTGTGTGGAACCTGGCCTCAAATGTCCACATGCTCAAGAGGCCCTTTGTGGTAGAGATGGAGCCTGGGGTTTAAAAGAAGGGGAGTGGGCAAGAGGTGGGGAGTCTCTATTTGAACTCTAGTCCTGTCTTTGTAAACAACAGAAGAAAGCCTGCCAACCATCTAGTGAGACCCTGTCATCTTTCACATGAACTATGATGGTAATCTTGAGACTACAAACCATTCCCTAGAAATTTAGTTCAACCTTTCTAAAAGTCTGGACTTTAAGAACAAGCAGTGTGAGAATGCCCTGATCTCTGATGTATTAGCATGTCTGAGGCAGGGCTGGAAATCTGCATGTGTCACAAGCTCCTTGGTTATTATTCTCCACGTTGGAGTTTATGGTTAAGCGCCTCCTCCCTCCAATGCATTTTATGTACTTTCACCAAACTAGTATTAGTAAGGCTCAGTTCTAATCACACCATCTACTTCTCTGCACCTTGCAATGGGCCTCCATTGCTTAAAAAGCATTAATTAATTATCAAGAGCTCAATTATTATCTTCATGTGACTTTTCCAGGTAATCCGATGCCTTTTCCATAATTTATCTTATAGTTCAGGGATCAGTAAACATTTGGAGTAAAGTGCCAGATAGTAAATATTTTAGGCTTTTCATGCTAGACAGCTATAATGATGCAAATCCACAAAAGCAGCCATAGATAATATGTAAACAAGTAGGCATGGCCGTGTTGCAATAAAACTTTATTCACGAAACAGGATTAGGCCTCAGGCTATAGTTTGTTGACTTCTGATTTGGTTAAACTGACTGACTTGCTCTTCCATGAACCCCACTCTCCATTTGTTCTTGCCATTCCCTCCATTTCTGAACGTCTGTATCCTACTCAAGATTATTTCCCAAAACTAGCTCCTTTAGAGATCTTCCCTGAACATTTTAGTAAAGAGTCCCTTCCATGCCAAAAGCATGGTGCCTGATAGTTCTCACTAGCTTGAATTTTAGTTATGTGTCTACCTGGTCATTTCTCCAGTTTAACAGCCTAAGAGCAAGGATGTTTCTGTTTGTCTTGTAGCACCTGGATTTTTGACTTTATTGTTTATTTAACAAACATTTTGATATAGATGTAGACAGCAGCTGTAGTGGATGAACATTGCTTGTGCCCACTAGTACCCATTAGCCATTCCACTGAAGGGCCAATCCTTCTCTCATTCAATCTCTATGCTACAGATTGAATCAAGCCCAGTGAGGAATCCAGGGTGTACCCCTGAGTCAGTCCTGGACAATCAGAGTGCTGCCTTCTACCCATCATCACTGATTCATGGGAGGATTTAGGCCTAGAGACTACAGCAGCTATTCTGTCACCACTAGGAGCCTGAGAATGAAACCAACGTGAAATAAAAAAGAGAAAACTCATTAGAGAGACTGATTTCTTCAGAAATAAATTGTAGCTGGCTGGGCATGGTAGCTCACACCTGTAATCCTAGCATCTTGGGAGACCAAGGTGGGCAGATTGTCTGAGCTCAGGAGTTTGAGACCAGCCTGGGCAACACGGTGAAACCCCGTCTCTACTAAACACAAAAAAGAAAAAAAAAAATTAGCCAGACATGGTGGCGTGCGCCTGTTTACAGTCCCAGCTACTCTGGAGGCTGAGGCAGGAGATTCACTGGAACCCAGGAGGTGGAGGTTGCAGTAGCCGAGATCACACCACTGCACTCCAGCCCAGGCAACAGAGGGAGACTCCGTCTCATAAAAAAAAAAAAAAAAAGAAAGAAAGAAAACAATTGTAGCCTCTGTAACAAGAACTAGAAATGCCCAAACTTCACTCTGTATTCTCCAAACATTCCCCTACTCCCAGCCTTTTCTTCCACATGAGGCAATAAATTTTCTTTTTTCTAAATTAGTTTGGGTAAGGTTTATTTCATTTGGTACTTTAAAAAACCTTGTTTGGCAATGTAAGTTATCAATAAACCTGAGAGGAATAAATGTAAACAATAACCCTTTATAGGACATAGTAATCGATTTCTAAAAAAAATTGGAAAACTCTCCTATATACAGAGATGATCAAAAAATAAGAATGTAATATATTATATATATATTATTATATATTATATATTTATAATATTAAATATTATAAGTATAATATATATTATAATATATAATGTATTATATTTATAATATATAATAACCCCTTATAGGACATAGTAATTGATTTCTAAAAAACTGGAAAACTCTCCTACATACAGAGATGATCAAATAGTAAGAATGTAATATTGGATCCCATTTTTAAACATTTAGCTGAAATCATTCCAAAGCCTTAGAAATTTGGAAAAAATGGAGAAAAAAAGATATTTTATAACTCATTTCTGAGGCCAACAATGTGTGACATTCATCTTCCATATAACAAGGTGTCTTGGGTGAAAATAACTATTTGGGCCTCTTGAAGCTCTCTCTTAGAAGCTGTGACACTTGTTTTAAGCCTTAAAAAAAATCACAAAGAAGAGAGGGAAGGAAGCCAAAATCTTCAGTGACTAGAACTCAGGCAGTGACATTTACTAAAGCAGCTGCCTCTAGTCAGCCTCTGAGACACAGAGTACACAGAACAAACTGCTTTTTAAACTGTTGTTTTTAGCTGGATGAAAAGTGATGTTTATTCTCATTCATTTCAGGATTTTTCATATCTAAAAGATGGTCTCACCATAAAAATTACTGTTAAAATGGAAGAGCTAATATCGACTTGATCATGAAGCCATAAACATAGTTTAAAAGCTATTTATCAACATAAATGATCTTGCACATCTGACACATTTTTATGCAGAAAAGGGTAGAGTAACAGACCCATGCCTTTATAATGCAGTGCTCTGTAACTAATGATTTTTTGAAAAATAATTTTGCATTTCTCACAATTTTATGAGGAAGCTAATGATTTCAAGTGATGAATTTTTTTTAAACCTTACTCTGTGTGGTTAATGGTTTCTCATAGCTAATAAGAGAATACCACTCTGACAATTTTAGAGAGTATTGTTTTCCAACTAATAATGGATCCTAAAGATTCTTACACCTTTACTCAATGAATTGTGCGTAATCTTCCAAGATGTATTTCCAAGTACATTGCATTATTTTGGTGCATATCCATATATCAGATTATGACTTCCTTAAATATTAAGAATGCCGAAAGAGGAATCTAAATGCATTGCTTATTATGTTGAATTGGCACTGATATATCTTAAGATCTAGTGATTTCTCTCTGCTCTTTTAATATCTTAAAACTTGTTGAACATAACTTTAAAGTAGAAAAAAAGCAATGGAAACAAATAATACTACCTTTTTTCTAGAGTGATTCTTCTTAGAGGGGCAATATCTCTCCCGGATACACCCAAAGCCCCTTGGCAATGTCGGGAGACATTTGTGGTTGTCACAAGGGTCGGAGGTGTTACTGGCATCCTGCAGGTAGAAGCCATGGGTGCTGCTAGGTATCCTGAATGGACAGGAAGCCCCTCACAACAGTTAATTCTCTAGTCTAAAATTTCCATAAAGTTGGCCAGGCGGTGCCCCACAATGGAATTTCAAAGCTCAACCTAATGAAAATTGCTGATGTAATCTGTTCACTCATATCTGGACTTCTCAATTCTTTAATGAAACCCTCACAATCTTGAGAAGGACACTTGTCAGAATGTGCACTCCCACCCACCCCCCAACACTAGCTGTTATATAATTCTTTGTCTCTCAACTAGTATGCTGCTCTTTCACTGGTTTCTGGCTGTCTCTGAGATTAAGACTATATTATTCAAGCCATTGCTAGCCAAGTTCATGGGATTAATTGCAGATACACTATTTCAGCATCTGAATTGCCACCTAGGACTTGGGTAATGTGTGAGATGCAGAAGAATTTGATGAGGTTCCTTCCTATCTACCTAAGGTATGGAGAGATGATCCATGAGTTGGAACAAAGAATGAAAACTGAAAAAGGACACAATTTAAAATCAGCTCTAGGGCTTTAAACCAGTATTTTCTGTACCGCAATAGTGAAAATGAGAGGTATGGGAAAACAGGAGGTAATTTCCAGGTTGTTTCTAAAATACAGTTCTATCTGAACACAGGATAGAATATTTTATGGAATTGGATAACAAAATGGCCATTACTTTAAGACCTAAAGTATGATTTCAGTGCTTGGCTCAAAGAACTGGTAAAGGTGCCATTTTACGTTGGCTGATACCTCTGTGCAGAGTTCCAGAACAGTACCATTTGGACACAGCTTTGGCAGATTGCTGTCACCCAGAGACCTTTTTATAAGCCCAAAGTCAAGCAGTGGAATGTGAAACCCACCATAATATTGGATCACATAGAGGTACCCAGTGGTCTAGAGCATTATGAGGTAAAATCTACATCCAAGTTGAAATAGCTGCCACTGAGATAAATAGAAAAATACCAACTAGCTTCTCCCAAGCTTGGAATGACCTATTCTTATTGGGCAAGGAATTGCAGGTAGAAGAATGTTCTGTTCCCAGGAAAGGCTACTCACAAAGGGGTTGTCCATATCAGAAATTCAGAAAGCAAATTGCCCTAATATGACTAGAAATCTAGATGGATATTCATTGATATTATCCTTCTGGAAAATTATCCTCACTGCAAGAATTAATGGATAAAAAGGGAAGTTAATGGTTAGGATATGCTATTATTTAGGAGAGACAGATTTTTTTGCTCCATTTTAAAGATTATGGGAGACTAGGTTATATATACCACCATTGCAATAATAATTTAAAATATTTAGCTGTGAGATAAATTAAGCAGCTGATCTGAGTTAGTAGATTATTTTAGATAAAATACTATGGTTCCTTTTATGGGAATTGAAATCATTTTTTTCTTAATACCCTACTTCTCTCTGAGACACAGAACCAACATGGAAGCTTATTCTCTACTGAGAGTCATCATTTAAGTTCTTAATAAAAATGCAAAGAGGCATGAAATGTAGTTGAGAGAAAAAGAATATTAACATGAGGAATCAACCTGAAAAGCAATTCATTCAAATCGTCTTGTGATGTTTCATTCCTGAAACTTCTATAAACATAGTTTTCATCATTTAATGACTCAGGTAAAACGGAAACATCATTCCATTTTGGTCTCATCTTTGTTGTAAAATATGTTGATAGTCTTGAATAGTACTATATGATACAAACTTTTTTGAATTACTTCTAACAAATAAGGATAATATTTCCCTTGATTGTAGATATTTCCAAGATGAGTGATAATTTGCTGAAATTACATTTATTATCAAAGTCAATATTTTGCTTCCACTTCTGCAGACTTAAAATTCTAATTGTCATTATTCAAATTGCCCTTATTCATTTATTAAAAACCTTGTATTTGGTGCTTCATAAATGCAAGCTCCTGTATCAGACACAATTCAAAATATGGTAGCTCCTTTGTCTTCTTTTAGCCTGAGATTACAGCAAGTATGGCAGAAGAAATTTAAAAAGAGGGCAAAAGTGAAAGGACAATAATAAGGTTTATGAAGGACTGTTTTGTATTGGTTTCAACAAATTATCTTAAATCTCTGATTCAGTCCTCATGGTATAAAATCCCATACACAAAAAAAAAAAAAAGTGAAATGAAACAATTTCATTTATTTCTTTCTGCTAAAATTGCATTTGTATTTGGAACACTGAAATATTGAAATGCGTATGAGGTACAATTTTAAGTAGTAGCAGAAATATATGTTTGAAATGTCTAAAGTTACTTATAACCTACTGCAAACTTTACAGAATAGGTCATAGGCCTTTGGAAAAGGTAAAATAACTGAACAAAATCAAAGGAAAAAAACTGAAAGGAAAGAATAAGACATAAAAGAAAGAAAAACAAGACGAGGAAAGTAATAATGCCAAGGATAAGACAGCAATTTATATTTTGTTTTCTAACTGATTTAAAGGAATATTATTTGTATTTAAATATTCTAGTTATAAATCCATCAATGCTTAGGCCTCCATTAGTTTTCAAAACCATGGAATTAAAAATCTCTAGGAATAAAAGGACCTTAACTGTGTTCGGATCTCACATGAAGAAATGAACCTGGAATTTAGTTAATTCCATTTTCTTTACTATCAGAGCTTTAAGTGACTCAGCTGAATTCAGAGTTGAATTTTTTCTCCAAATGAGATCTGAGATTTAGGAATCTCATGAAAAGTAAGACAATAAAGAAATGAAAAAATCTACTGATGCTTAGGGCAGAGTAGCGATCAAGATTTGATGTAATAGGCATATGAGAATATTTCTTTCATTTTAATCACAAGTTGATGTTAATATAAAATGTTAAAGATCTGATTTTTGCCTGTATGCATGTATTTATAAATGCTCTAGGCATTGGTATCCTAAGTTGAATAATTGTTGAGTGCTTTTCCGAGGTTGGAAGCTTGACGTGGTTGAATAAAAATTACTGAGATGAAACTGGATTGTCAGGGGAAGCCCCGTTTGCCATTATACAAATGAGCCAAACACTAGAAAATAGCTCCAGTACATCTGTTTATAATGGGGTTTGGCGTTTGAAACAAGATTATTAGGTTCATCTGCAATATCTTAACAATGATCCAGTTCCCAGCTTGCTAATAATTCATGCATTTGGGTACAGAAAAATACAACTTATGTTTTGTGCAGAAATAAATAACATGTAAGCTGTATTTTACTCTGAGATGAACATCACGATAAATAATTCTAAAAGAATTTTTTTTTTCATTTTTTCCCCCCAATAGTACACTCTAAATTTCCCGGGCATGTTAGGTAGAGGGACTTTAGTATGATGCAGGTTCTACTGCAAAGTCAACATTTTATGTCTGACTGTAAAACATGTTATTAAGGATTGAGATGAGAAAACATGAAGCTTTACCTGATCAGAGAGTTAACACAATTCAAGCAAAAATACCTCAGAAGCAATCTTTTTCCAGAAGAAAATAATGACAACCAGTTAGTTTGTAAATAATCCAGATATAAATCCAGTCTTTGACTCCAGTCTTGGGCAAGTACTCTTGGTTTATAAAGCTAAATCCCAATCTGGCTCACCATGAGAAACCGCTGGGGGCCACCCAAACCTACTAAATAAGGATCTCTGAGGAAATATGACAAAATTTGTAGTTTTACAAAAGCTATCCCAGCGCTTTTGGATGATCCATCAGGCTTGGGGACCGCCAGTCTACGTGAAACTTACTTTTTACTAAAATAAAATTTCAGAAAAACCAAGAAAAATCTGTTTTTGTAAAATAAAAACTTTTTCAGATATAATGTGAGTTCAGTATGTAAATGAATCTCAGTATATAAAGGCTAATTATTTGATAATGTATTCTTCCCCCAAATTCATTGGGTTGATAGGTCTCGGGATTTGTATAAGGTAAAAAGCTTTTCTTAAAGTAAAATGGGACCTATTTCAACTGGATCCTAACCTAGAGAATGAATCTCTCACATTTTAGTGAAGAACGCATCACATTAACTTAAATCAAATTATAATTCAGTTTCATCCAGACCTCGAATTTATGGCTGTACAAGACTTGGTTTGTTTTTGCTTTGACATTCCATGACCTTTGACCATAGATAAGGTACTAAGTCTTTTATCTCCATTTTACGCCTCATTTGTTTATGTCCAGGAATTTGACAAAGCAATAACAATTGTTCCTAATTCAAAGTGGACTTTGAAATGAATTCATTTAATAAATATTTATTAAAAGAGTATTTTATGTCAAGACCTGATTGTCTGATAAAGGAAAACTCTCTTATTCATTTAGCATTCATTAAAGGCATCAAAAATCATTTATTGACTCTTTTCATGGATATATCAGAAGTATCAGGTGCCAAGAAATAGAAGAAATTGAGTGATTCAATTAAGTACGAAATACCAGAAATGCATCACTAACTGTTCACTCCAACTTCTGTTGAGTTCAGAGACATATATTGTACTACTGTGATGTTCAAGGCATTGATTAAGAGTTAGAAATACACACGAAGACCTATATTCTATGAGCACACAATGTAAAGTGAAAATATCAATTGCCTAAACACCTGGTATTTATTAGTATATTCATTGGTATCTCTACAGGATATCACAAATCATCTATTGAGCTTAAAAAATAAAAAGAAACATCTGCCAAAAGAAATGGGCCTATGGAATATTTTAGTAGAAAATATGAAGACAAGATATTAAAAGCAAGATATGTTTTACATTGAATAATTGTAGAAGACGTAAGAACAATATTTTGTTAATGTATTTACATTATTTTTAAAGACACTATTGAGTTTTGTCAGAACTGATGGTTACATTTAAAAGCTTAACTTGCGCATTTGCATATATATTGAGTTCAGAGCTTTTAGTAGCCTGAATCTTATAGATGAAACCAGCTTTTAATAATTATCTTGTATTTCTTCAATAAGTAATTATACTTAATCAAGATTCAATTTGACTAAAATCATTTTTATTGTACAGCTATTGTTCCACAGTAAGAAAAATTCAAGTGTTAGTGGATATAATTTATAAGTTCTTATTATGATTTACCCATATTTATTTTAATAATTTTTAAATATCAACAGAAAAAATGAGATATGATATATGTCCTTAGCTCCTCAAACTGGTGTCACTTGTTTAAAAATGTTTTTCTATCTTATAAAGTCCCATTTTTTTTATGCCATCATTGATCTTGCTGTAGCCAAAAATGTAAGTAAAATGTGTATTTTAGCCAGGGGGATCACCTGTCTCTCAACAACCAAAATATTCCATGGCCAGTAGAAGTCTAAAACCATCCCCAAAGATTGGTGCAAACTCTCAAGGGGTGATGGTCTCGAGAGGAAGATGGAGACAAAAGGGTACCAGATGAGATGGTCTCAAGATCAGATCTGATCACCATCTCATAAAATCTCATCTGATCTTGAGACCATCTGATGTGGCACCCTCTTGTCTCTGTCTTTATACATGCATCCTCTAGGGTGTGCCATATTGCTCCAGATATGAGATATGACATCATTTTCATTTCAAAGCCAAAAACAAACAAAAATGAATTTACATGTACAGCAATACAAGTATTTGTGATTATGGAACATTTTCTCAAAGACTTAAAGAGGAAGATGTACCGAAATGGATTACCCTCGTTCTAACTTCTCAGTTTCTCATTGGGAGTCTCTCTCCTTTCTTCAATATAAACCCATGTGCTGTCAGTGAACCCAGCTTCTTCCCTGAAGTAGAGTGATTTCATGCTCCTGGCTGTAGTGATTGGTGGAATGATCTGCACATGGACAAATGAGGCTTAATGAAACTAATAAACATTTTGCCTAGAAAAGGCTCTTTGCTCCTGGATTTCAACCTGAAAATTGCTGGCAGCCATCTTGCAACCATGAAGACATGTGAAAAACAAAGAAGAAAAGAGTCAAGGAATATATTTTGCTAACCTTGTTCAAGCCCTGACTCAAGCCAATCTTCCTAGTGTCTTATGATTATGTGAGGCAGTCAATTTCAGTTTTTGTTAGCTTCCTTTTCCATTTGCACCAGGAAGACATAAATGGTGTGATCTTTTTGTCCCTTATATAGACTTAATATAACAATGTATTTAAAGAATTTACAGGCAGGGAAAACTTCTTCCTTTTTCTTCCTTAATTAAGGTAACTAGAACTAGGTAATACATTATATTTAACTTTTTCATTGGTTACCATAATTAAAGCCATAATTTAATCCTATGCTCCACTGCAATAAACATCTTTGCCTAGATTGAAGTACAGTTATGTTTCCATAACTGTATTTCCTCTACCACTATATTTTCTCTTTATTTTGATATTCCCGCTGTGTCAATATCTTTTATTAAAAACGACTTTGATGGCAAAATTTTAATTGTTCAAAGTGAAAAAATAAATAATCTAGTTTTTTATTAGTTAGAAAATCCTTCTCCAGAAGTGCTATTTGCAATAATATAAAAACTTTGCACTACATAATGAACATTTTGAATTAAAACAACAACACTAGTATAATTTAATGGATAAATTAGATTGTTTTATTTTTCCAGGAAATTAATACAAATTATAGGGAAGGAACCACAAGATGACAGCACAGAATTAGTTAATGAGTTGGAGTGAATAAATCAATTAAAGGAAACACATTTTCTGAATTAATGATTATTATATTGTGATTGAACAACTGATGAATTTAAATACAGACACAAACACACAATTTTTCTCTCTCTCTCTCTATATATATATATCACACACACACACACACATGAATGCCTATCTGTTCCAATGTAGGTAACTGGTTTTCATTTTCTAAACCAAAAAAAGGATAAAAACGTACCTGAAGAAAAAAGAAGTTTAAAAGAATGACTGATTTCTCTTCTGGCTTCTTCCTTAATTGTGTGCATTGAAGAGGGAGACAGTCGTAGAAAGCAATTCTGAACTATCAGTACCCACATCAGTTGCAGATTTACTTCCTGGATAGTAGAATAATTTCCCTGTTTCCCAAGGTGTTAATAGATAAACCTTAAGAGCAGTGAGAACAGTGCCTAAAATCCTAAATTGAAGGGGAATAATATGACTTAAACAATAGAAGCACAGTATGCGTAAATTCAGCATAAGGAAGAATTGTGCTGAAAGGATAAGAAGATGTTACAAAATAAAAAAAAAAAAATCAAAGACTGTATAGAACTAGAACTTCAAAAAAACTTGGACCTGTTCTGAGAACTTGTGTAATAGGAACAAATGGGCAACCAATCGCTTTAGGGACTTGCAAAAGGAATGAATGAGCATCATTTATCTACTCTGATGCTGCTCAGATGCAGATTGGTGATTCATACAGACAGTCTGACCACTAAGCTTCACTTACTCGCTGACCCTTGATTGGCCAAGACTCCCTCATTGGCAATCTCTCCAAGAGTAAATGTATTGAGAGAGACTCAGTTTCTCAAAGGAATATTAGGGTGCTGCTTCCAAAGGAAATGGAGAGGGATATTGCTTAGGCCACCAAAACAGACTGGGCTCAAATCCAAAACTGTCCAGAAAGAGAAAGAAAATAAGAGGCTGAAAGCAAGAGAGAAAAAAGTAAAAGCCACCAGCTCAAGTAAAGTAATCTGGGAGAATGCTTTATATATTTCTCTGAAGACAAGTAATAAATTATAGTTTATGATATTGTTTTGTGCATAATTATATCAAAGGGGAGAACAAGCCAATTTTTCCTTTCCAAATTTCCCAGGTAGAAAGCAAACAAACTGTTTTACAACATCCACGCTTAGAATAGATTTGCTTTCTTCTGACCCAGTGGGTAACACACATTTTAACGTTGTTTTTCCTTTATGTAGCTTCTTAAGCCTTTACCTTTTTATCTACAGTGTATAAGTTGATGTAGTTGCCCTGTGTGCTTTGCTAGCCTCTGGTATTTTTTCCTTCAACCTGAAGTGCACGACATAGCCATGTGTTTGAGGTTTTAATATTTTTGTAATTACTTTATTAATGGGCTGCAAGTGTTTTACACCTATTCTTTTGAAAGAATGGTTGCCAGTTCTGACATGCATTTTGGAATTTGAAGCTTAGAGAAATTAACAAAGTTTTTATTTATTCATTTATTTACTTATTTATTCTGAGATGGAGTCTCACTCTTTCGCCCAGGCTGGGGTGCAGTGGCGCGATCTTGGCTCACTGCAACCTCCACGTCCTGAGTTCAAGCTAGTCTCCTACCTCAGTCTCTCGAGTAGCTGGGATTACAGGCACCTGCCACCATGCTCGGCTAATTTTTGTGTTTTTAGTAGAGACGGGGATTCACCGTGTTGGCTGGCTGGTCTCAAACTCCTGACCTCAGGTGATCCACCCACCTCGGCCTCCCAAAGTGCTAGGATTACAGGCATGAGCCACTGTGTACGGCCAGTTTTATTTATGTAATAAGGCATTATTTCTTGATCATCTGATCTTAATATTTTCAGGACAATGCCAGGTTACAATTTTATCAGTAAAGTCTTTGTTACACGAAGCAATCTTCTTACTAATTTTTTCTTAGTCATTAAGAGTAGTCATAACACATTTTTCTATTGAATACATGAAGTATATTGCTTTTATTTGTGATTTTTCAATGGTTTTAGCATGTTTACAAACTTATACAACAATAACCACTATCTAATTCCAGAACATGTGCATCATCCCCGAAAGAAACACCTTATTCCTTAGAAGTCACTCTCAATTCCCAACCCCTGCCTCCTTCCAGCCTCTAGCAAGAATTAATGTAATTAATATAATTTCTGGCTCTATTAATTTGCATTTTCTGGACATTTAAGAATGTCCAGAATCATAAATGAAATCATGCGATATTCAATATGTGGTGTTTCCTGTCTGGACTTAGCATAGTGTTGCTTAAAAATATGTTGTTTAAAAATGTATGGACTTAGCATAGTATTTTCAAAGTTCTAATGTTCTATCATATAACAATGCTTCATTCCTTTTCATGGCTGAGTAATATTTCATTGTATGGCTATATTACAGTTTGTCCATTCATCAGTTAATGGACATTTGGATGGTTTCCCCCTTTTATCTATTATGAATAATGATGTTATGAACACCCAAGTACAAGTTTTTGTAGGAACATATGTTTTCAATTCCCTTGGGCATATACTCAGAAGTAAATTGCTGGATCATATGGTAACTCGATGTTTAAGTTTTTGAGGACCTGCCAAATAATTTTCTAAAGCAATTTCATTTTATGTTCTCACCATCAGTGTATAAGGAATCCAATTTCTCCACGTCATCTCTAACATTTGTCATTGCGTATTTTTGATTATAGCCATTCTACTTTTCTTAAAGTGGTATTATACTGTGGTTT
The DNA here is from genome assembly GCF_000001405.40 of Homo sapiens. Lineage (NCBI taxonomy): Eukaryota > Metazoa > Chordata > Mammalia > Primates > Hominidae > Homo > Homo sapiens. The sequence goes on from NC_000014.9 coordinate 87,209,863, forward strand.
TGATTTGTATCTCTCTAATGACTAACGGTGTTGAGTATCTTTTTTTATTTTAATTTTTTGTAATGACAGCCTTTCTTTGGAGAAAGGTTTATTACATTTCTTGGCATTTTAAAATTGCATTGTCTTTTCATTATTGAGCTACTTGTATTCTTTGTATACTCTGAGTGCAACTATTGTATCAGATATATTATTTGCAAATATTTCCTCCTACTTTGTGAGTTATCTTTCTGTTTTCTTAATGGTATACTTTGAAGCACAAGTATTTTTAATTTTGATGAATCTCAATTTTGTTTTATTTTCCTTTTTTGTTTGTAGTTTCATGTAATCCTTGTGTACTCCAATATGATAAAGATTTTCACCTACATTTTTCTTTAAGAGGTTTATACTTTTAGCTCTGACATTTAGAACTTTGAACTATTTGAATTAATTTTTGTAGATGGTATGAGATTGGGTTTCAAATTAGTTCTTTTGCATGTGGATATTCAGTTGTCCCAGAATTGTTTGTTGAAAAACATATCATTTTCCCTTTGAATTATTCTGGTATCGTTGTCAAAAAAATCGATTTATTTCTGATTTTAGCTATTTTAGTCTTCTATTTTTTTTTCTGTCAGTCCTTCTACCTAAAATGTTTAAATTTCATTGATGGTTTTTCTGAAAAATCAACTTTTGGTATAAGAGTTTTTTCATTGATTTCTATTCTCTATTTTATTAATTTCTGCTGTCATCTATTATTTTCTTCATTTTTCTTGCTTTGAGTTTATCTTGTTTATCATTTTAGTTTCCTATAATGAAAGATTAAGTTATTGATGAGCTATTTTTTAATATAGACATTTTATCTAATACATTTTTCTCTGAGTGCTTTAGCTGAATTCTCTAAGTTTTGATATGTTATTTTTTATTTTCATTCATCTCAAAGTATTTTATAATTTCCCTTTTGTCTTCTTCTCTGAACCACTGGTTATTTAGAAGTATGTTATTTAATTTCCAAATATCTGTGAATTTACCAAAAAAATTTTGCTACTGATTTCTAATTTCATGTCACTGTGATCTGAGGACATACTTTGTATGCTTTAACTTCCTTTAACTTTACTGAGACTTCTTATATAGTCTAAAATATGATGCATCATGGGGGATGTTTAATGTGAATTTTAGGAGATATATATTCTGCTGTTGGGTGTTCTATAAATGTCTATGTCTAGTTGTTGGGTAGAGTATTCTGTAAATGTTCATTGTCTCTAGTTGTTCTATACTTTTGTTATCTTCTATATTTTTGCTGGTCTTATGTCTAAGTTTTCTACAAATTATTATAAGCACAATATTGAATTCTTTAACTATTACTGTTGAAATATCTAATTTTCTTGTCAGTTTTCTGTCAAATTTTGTTCATGTACTTTAGGCCTCTATTGTTAGGTGCATAGTTGCTCATATTTTCAGGCCTTCTTGATAGATTAATGCTCTTAAAAATGTAAGATCTCTTTTTTTGTTTCTACTAACAATTTTTTTTATTAAAGTCTACTTTTTCTTATATAGTTGCTCAAACTTTCTTTTGATTCCTATTTGCATGTTTTTCATGCATCTTTTTTACATTCATACTATTTATGTATTTTAATCTGAAATGTGTCCTGTAGATAACATATAGTAGGACAATTTTTTTGTCTTTTTTGCCAATTTCTGCTTTTTGATTACATTATACAATCTATTTACATTTGATATAATTACTAATAAGGTAGGATTTACATCTGTCTTTTAGCTAATTGTTTTCTATATGCCTTATGCCTTTCTTGTTTTTCTATTTGTTTATTACTCCCTTTTTATGTTAGATAGAATCATTTAAGTGCCATTTTAATTCCTCTGTTATTTCTTTTACCACCTATTTTTGAGTTGTTTTCTTCGTAGTAGTTCTGGGAATTACAAGCCACATCTTAAAGCATAGCAATCTAGTCCATATTAATAACAATTTAATTTCAATAGTTACTTCCTTCACCCTCCTTTGACCTATTATTGTCATACATATTACATCTTTATATATTACAAGTTCATCCACAAAGATATATAATTATTGCTTTTTGCAGTTGACTTGCAAATAGGCCAGAAAAAAAAAACTGTGATAAACAAAACATATGTTTATACTTTCATTTTCACTTATGTGCTTAGCTTTACTTGTGCTGTTTGTTTTCTCTGTGTTCTCCAACTTGAAAACCTACCTATAGTATTTCTTATAAGAACTGTCTATTAGTGGCAAATTCTGGCAGTGTCAGTTTTTGTTTTTCTGCAAATGTCTTAATTTCTGCCTCATAATCTATATTTCCTTTGTTGCTACATATAGAATTTTTGGTTGAGAGTCTTTTTTCTTTTAGCCCTTGAGTATGACATTGTACTGCCTTCTGGCCTCCATGATTTCAACAAAAAATTGGCTGTTCATTTTATTAAAAATCTCTTGCATGCGATGAGTTGCTTCTCTCTTGCTGCTTTCAAAATTCTCTGTTTGTCATTTGACAGTTTGTTTATGACATGTTTAGGCATGCATTTAAAATTTCTCCCAGATAAATGTTGCAGAGGTCCTACTTGTTTTGGCCATATATGTTGAAAATAATGAGCAAAGTTTTGGCTTCATCCCTTTTTACTTTCTTTCTTTGTGTTGCTTTAATTGTGGTTAAAAAACACACATAACATTACATTTACCATTTCAACTGTTTTTAAGTATACAGTTCAGTAGTGTTAAATATATTCATATTTTTGAGAAACAGATCTGAGAACTTTTTTGTCTTGCAAATCTGAAACTCTATACTCATAAAACAGTAACTCCCCATTTCTCCATTCCCCTAGACCTTGGCAATCACCATTCTACTTTCTGTCTCTCTAATTTTACTAATTTAAGTACCTCATATGAGTGGATATATGACTTTCCATGACTAGATTATTTCACTTAGTGTAATATCCTTAAGATTTATCCATGTTGTAGCATTTCAGAATTTCTTTCCCCTTTAAGGTTGAGTAATAATCTATTGTATGTGTACATATTTTGTTTATTCATTCATTTATCGCTGGATGCTTGGGTTGCTTTTACCTCTTGGCTATTGTGAATGGTGCTGCTCTGAACACACATATGTAAATATCTAGCCCCGCTGCTTTCAATTATTGTGGATATATTTTCAGACATGGGATTGTTGGATAATGTGGTAGTTCTATTTTTAATTTTTTGAGAAAGCTTCATACTGTTCTCCGAAGTGATGGCACCATTTTACAATCCCACCAACAGTGCATGATGGTTTTATTTATTTTTTTCACATCCTCATCAACACTTGTTATTTTCTGTAGTTTTTTAAAATAGTACCATCCTAATGGATGTGTGGTAACATCTCTCCGTGATTTTAATTTGCATTTCTCTGATAACTAGTTGATCATCTTTTTACATGCTTGGTGGCAATTTGTATGTCATCTTTGGAGAAATGGCTCTACAAGTCCTTTGCACATTTTTTATCTGGTTATTTTACTTTTTGTTGTTGAGTCATAGGAGTTATTTATATATTACAGATGTTAACTTCTTATCAGATACAGGATTTGCAAATATTTTCTCTCATTCTATCAGTTGCCTTTCCATTCTGTCAATTATGTCCTTTTATATACAAAAGTATTTAAGTTTGATAAATGCCAGTTGTCTATTCTTACTTTTGTTGTCTGTGCTTTTCATGTCATATGCAAAAAATCATTGCCAAGTGCAATGTCATAAAGATTTTCCTCTATATTTTCTTCCAGGAGTTTTATAGTTTTAGTCTTATGTTTAGGTATTTAATCTATCTTGAGTTCATCTTGTATATGGTGTAAGATATAAGCCTGATAATTCATTTGCTTGGGAATATTAGGTGTATTTTTTTTTAGTTTATCCCACTTAGAGTTTATTGAAATTCTTGAATATGTCTATTAATGTTTTTGCTCAAATTTGGGAAAATTTAGTCATAATGTCTTCAGATATTCTTTCTGTCATCATCTCTCTTTTCTCTTCTGAGACTCCCATAATGTGTATATTCTTGTGCTTGATGGTATCCTAACAGTGTCTGATACTTTGTTCATTTTTTTCCTATTTTTTCTTTATGTATCACTCTGAAAGTCTCAATTGACCTATCTTAAATTTTGTTGATTACTTTTTCAGACAGTTAAAATCTGCTTTTAATCCCTTCTAGTTAATTTTTTATTTCAGTTACTATAATATTCAAGTTCAGAATTTTCATTTTCAAGTTCATATTAAAGAGATCTCTATCTCTTTATTGATATTCTGTATTTGTTGAGATGTCATTCTCATACCTTTTTTTATATTTCTTTAGGCATTATTTTCTTTAGTTCTTGGAACATGTTTTAAAATAATTGACTTAATGTCCTTGTCTAGTTATGCCTAATGTAGGCTTCCTCAGCAACAATTTCTATTGCCTGAGATTTTTCTTGTGTTGGGGCTATATTTTACTGTTTTTAAAAAAGTCTTATAATTTTTTGTTAAAAACTAGATATTTTAAATAATATAATGTGATAATTATGAAAGTCAGATTATTTCCACAATATATATAGTTTTTGTTATTGATGTTTGTTTTTGTCATTGCTATTTGTTTAGTGAATTTCCTGAACTACTTCCATAAAGTCTGTGTTTTTTGTCACATGTAGCCACTAAAGTCTTTGGTCAGTGGTCAGTGAATGATTGGTCAGACATGTCCTTACATGTTTTGAAACTATAAATTTCCCAGCCTTTGCTGAGAGCTTCTATATACAGTTTGGATAGGCCTTCAATGCTTAGGTAAGCAGCTTGAAATTTTGCCTTTACTTTTTACTTTTAGCTTTCGTCAGAGCCTGAAGGTTAGCAAGAGGCAACAGATTAGGGCCTTCTCAAGTCTTTTCTGGGTGTGCACACATCCCTGCATATATGCAAAGCCTTCTAGAGTCACAAGAAAAAGTTAGAGCTTTTCAAAGGCCCCTATAGACAACTTTGCAAGTTTTTCCCTTTATGTTTTTTGTTGAGCTTCTTTATGGTCACAGCTGTTGTCATTGCCTCATGAAGCTGCAATATTAAACAACCACTGTTGATTGTTTTTCACAAATGTAGCCCCAGAATTGAAAGCTCTGTAAAGTTGGTGAGGTCTGATTTAGGCCAAATAAAGATGAGTTCTGCAAATGGATCTTTCTAGAGAACTGCCAGACATGTCATGTAATGGCATGTATGAATATGGGCTTTTGGGGAGCTTCAAACCCATTCTGTCCCTTCCAAAACATGTCTGCTTTACATGGCTACCATCATTATGAGGCTTTTTTTTTTTTTTTTCAAAATTTCTTTAAAGCTAGGGAGAGGAATAAAAATAATTTGAAATGTGGCAAAGCTCACCGTTGTCATTGAGATTCAACCATTTTTCTTCAACAAAATTCCTTGGATTATTGCAGGCCTTTGGTTAATTCCCAGAGTTCTTAAAACATTGATTAGACAATAAATTACTATTACTATTAATTTTGGAGTCAGTGTTTTCATTCTTTTATAGAAGAGTAAATTCTTGGAGAATCTTACTTTGCCATTCCTATGCTCTTACATGTTTGAGGATTTTTTGTAATTTTAATTTTAATTTAATTAATTAATTAATTTTTTTTTTTTTTTTTTTTAGAGACAGGGTCTGGCTTTGTCATGCAGGCTGGAGTGCAGTGGTGTGATTACCACTCACCGCAGCCTCAAATTCCTGTGCTCAAGTGATGCTCCCACATGTTTTAAGCAGTAATAATAGTCCATTCTTAAATCTTTTAATGTTCTTTATTAATACGTAAATAATAAACATGTGGGATCCATTGCAATATTTTCTAAGACATGCAATACATGCACAACTACATCGCTTTCAGAATAGCTCCTTCTTTATAAGAATGGTTGCAATCTTCTGAATCTTGTCCTCTTTCCAAATAAATTCCAGTAGTAGTGGTTTGTAGGATTTGAATATGGGGTATTATATCTACATTGATTGAACTGGTAGGTATTTTATATGACATAATTTAAATGTTTTTGTGATAAATATTAAGTCTATTTATACTCTGGGAAGGAGAAAGACACTCTGAGTGTAATTTTATAGAATATTCATAAGATGAGTTAAATCAGATTTTTGACAGCTCTTTTTATGGATTTTATTTAAATTACAAGTGTTTTTAACTGTTTTCCAGATGCAATTATCACAGACCACAGATTCACGTTCTTTATAACCCTGGGGAGAAATCACACAATTACATAGTCAGAGATTTAAACTGAAACAAATTCTTAAATACAAATTGTCTATTATATGAATAGTATGTAAATAATTAGAATTTTACTAAAGAAGGCAAAAAGCACCAGACATACTTCTGACCTCTTTATACAACCAGTCACTGAATTTAAAATGCTAATTTCCACTGGCTGTGCTTCAAAAATGATGTACATTGAACACAATACTAATTATTTAAGATTTCAATGAATATTGAAAGAAGGCAGAAAGAGAAGATTTTGTGCCTTTAAATGTGTTTTTAATCTGCCTTTCAAGAGAGGTATTTATTTACAAATAAAACACTTTATTGCTTATCTTGTAAACACATATTTACAGTGGATAAAGAGCTTTCAGGAAAATTGTTAATGTAAGTAATGTTAAACACATCCATCAGGGTTCATAAAGTATTTTGTGATATACCGGCTGCAACCTAGAAAATGATGTTTCTGGCCTGGCAAGTTGGCCATTGCCTATAATCCCAATGGTTTGGAAGGCCCAGGCAGGAGGATCACTTGAAGCCAGGAGTCGAAGACCAGGATAGGCAACATAGTGAGAGCCCATCTCTACAAAATATAAAATTAAAAAAATGATTTTCTATAATATTAACATTATGAAGGAAACTTTTAATTCAAGGCAACGTCAATGAAATTGCAAGTTATAGGGTTTTGGATTCAACTGAAGTCTAGGCTCTCAAAATACCTTTAAGTATCCTTCTAGTCATTGTAAATACTGAAAGATCACTATCAACTAGTAGCTCATTTTAAGAAAATATTCCGCTGTCCTAATATGATGTTTTTTTCATTATTCATGAACTTTTTCTTTTATTTTTGAGACAGGGTCTTGCTCTGTTGCCCAGGGTGAAGTGCAGTAGTGTGATCTCCATTTACTACAACCTCTGCCTCCTGAGTTCAAACAATCCTCTCACCTCAGCTTCCTGAGTAGCTGGGACTACAGGCACATGCCGCCTCACCCAGCTAATTTGTGTATTTTTAATAGATACAGGGTTCTGCTGTGTTGCCCAGGCTGGCCCTGAACTCCGAGGCTCAAGTAATCCACCTGCCTCAGCCTCCCTAAGTGCTGGGACTACAGTCATGAGCCACCACGCCTGGTCATTCATTAACTTTCCACACACACACACACAAATAATGTTAGAGCCTAAACTAGATGATAACAAGTCTTTCTGGACATTCCTGAAATAGATCTACATATGAATTTTCCACAATGAATTAAAGTAAACTGAATTTTACCCTTGTTCCCAAAAGATGTGTTTGATATTGTATGTCAAGTAACAGGTATGTAAAAAGGAACAAGGGGATTGTTATGTGAGAATAAGAGCTTGCATACCCCAGACTAGCAGCATAGCACACCACTGGAATGTTGGAAGCCCTGGATTCTGCCCTTGCCTTACTTATATGCAGGCTTCAGTAAATTGTTTAACCCCTCTGTGTATCGTTTTCTTATCTGTAAAATAATAATGGCATTATTCACATGGCAGAATGCTAAGCAAAATAGGTGCCCGATACATAACAGCTAGTATTTTTAATTAGCAAAAACATTTATTATGGAGTCAAAAAATGAATTCTAAGGTGAATGTGAGTTTTTGACTTGAAGAGTCCCAGGAGGAAGTCAGAGGTTTTCTCACGACGAGGTAGATGAAAAGTTCAGGAAGTTTGTAAAAACAATGTTAGGAGTGATTGCCATCTTCCTCTGCATTCAAGACACAATCTTCAAGTGATCTGTGCTATTTCTGATGGGCTCGTATATGGATTCCATCAGCCTAGTTAAGACCACCTTCAACAATCTACCCTGAGGAAATGTCCTAAAAGTCAGGTATGCTGCAAAAAGTTGCCCCCAACCCAGAGAGGAGCAGGCTGGACAGTAGCTTGTCTGTATTAAACCCACAGCCTCTAGAGAAAGGTTTTTGAGGAGATTCCATATGCTGACATATATTAATACATCATCCACAAATTAGGGGAATCTTGTATCTCCAAAGAACATGGTATTATACAGTGGTTAAGATCTCTGGCTCAGATTGGGTGCAGTGGCTCACGCCTGTAATCCTAGTACTTTGAGAGGCCGAGAGGGGTGGATCACTTAAGGTCAGAGGCTCGAGACCAGCCTGGCCAACACGCGACACCCTGTCTCTACTAAAAGTTCAAAAATTAGCCGGACTCTGTGGGGCACACCTGTAATCCCAGCTACTCGGGAGGCTGAGGCAGGAGAATCGCTTGAACCTGGGAGGTGGAAGTTGCAGTGAGCTGAGACTGTGCCACTGCACTCCAGCCTGGGCAACAGAGTGAAACTGTGTCTCAAAAAAAAACCAAAAAAACAAAAAAAAAAGAAAAGAAAAAAAGATCCCTGGCTTAGTTAAAATTCCTATTCCCCCACTTACTAGCTATATAATTTTGGCTAAGCTTCAGTTTCCTCATATACAAAATTGAATGACTACAATCAATCCATAAAGCTTATTGTGAGCCTTCAGTGATAATATGTATAGAAATTACTTAGTGCAGTGACACACACCTTATAAACATATGCTGTATATCGACATACTAATAAACTATAACTAGTAAAGATCATTACATGCAGTACAATTGTTAAAAAATATATGTGTAGGAAACACTCTCACTAAAATATACCATAAAATTTTGGCAAAATATTTGCATGGGGAGGTTAATTATCTGTTTGTTGTAAATGTCTCTGATTCTACAAGGTTTCTGGTTATGATTCACAAGAACTCACAACTCTTATAGAAAATATGTCATATGCAAAGTTTTGAAGTGGAAATTTCTACATCATGTATAAAAAATAACATTTCACAAGAACCTGCATTTTGATTCAAATATCACTTTAAAAAATGTGAAGCTAATCATGACTTATTGCAAGTGGGTATCGTAGAAAACACATACTCCTGCTTCAAAGAAGTTGCTGCAGTGAAAAGGAAAATTCTTTTGACAAGCCCAGGCTTTTAGTGGGTTATAGACAAAGTTGGTTTCAGAATATTACCCTAGAATTGATTTTATCATTGTTAAAACAGTACCTGTCCATCATTAAGAAAGAGGTTTGATGATATCAGCATTTGTATGAGTAGACTTGAGCTCAGACTGCCCTTGGTTGAAATATTTTGCTGAAGATTTAAGAGAAAGACACCAAATAAGGGGCATTGGAATGAACCAATTATGAAGTGATAAAGACAACTGAAGTCTTCAAATTGACCAATTATAACTGACATAGCAGACAAGAGTGGGAAGATTTATGTTAAATGTGTTCTCGATTGTACTCCAGGCAGAGCAACTGGTGTTAGCAGTAATACGAAAAGACTCCCAGGAAATATAAATTCAGGTTAATCACTTTTCTTGATGACAACAAAAGGAGCATAAATTTGGTAAGAATTGACCAGGCCTTTTATTTGATGGGGCAGTATATCTGGAGCAAGCCTGTTTGTAGACATGCACAGAGTGATATATATTTTGCTTGTGTCTCAGATTTCTCACCTGTGAAATGAGGAGAGGTTGTCAGATAAGATCGAGGATGCACAGTTAAATTTTAATTATGGACACATAATGAATAACTTTTATTCATATGGCCCATTCGATATTTAGGAATACTTAAAATTTATTCATTGCTTCTCTCAAATTTAGATTTAACTGGGCATCCTTCATTATTATTTGCTAAATCTGGCAACCTAAATTTGGATAACAATGAGTTGTGAAGATTAAATGAATTAATACATATTAAGCACTTAGAAAGGTATTCAGCACAATGGAAGTACTCAATTGACGTTAGTTTTTATTAAAATTACTACTATTATCTCACTGCAGTAAATATAAAAGTCTTCTTTATGAATTGAGATACGTCATTTCTCATGTAATAATATTTGGCTATTCACACATCTAAAAATTATAATCACTCCATGCAAGTAATTTTTTAATCTAAATTCATGCTCTTTGGGCCCAACCTTCTTGCATGAATGGCAAAATGATGTTTATATTGCTTTTGTTTACCAAGTCAATCTTTTAGGAATTAATTGTTTCTATTAGGGCATCTATTCTCCAATTTGCTTAACAGTCCATTAGAGAAAAATAGAATGACATCTAGATTTGCATAAATGGGTCAATTAGCTGGACTCTCTGTAGGTACTAATGGATGAAATAAAACCGCCTATCTTAATTCAAGATATATTTCATTTATTTTCTAATGAGAGACATGAGAAGGACTAATATTTTGAAGTGTTAGTTTGTGCCTCTCACATTCCCTGTCCCCAATTCTTTTTACCCTTTATTATTCCTTCTCTACTTTGCCCCCAGAATGCAAAATCATAGTTGGCTTCAAATGAATCTTGTCCTAGCAGAATCATTATTGGCATCAAATTCTCATGTTTGTATGAGACACATCTCAAGTGGAAGTGTGATTTAAAGAAAATGTGATCTCATTTTATCACCACCACCCAGGCTAAATATCCTTTAAACTGAAAGAAGAGAAAGAAGATTTAGAGGGAAATCAAGAGAATCAGATGTTGGTGATGTTGCAGCCAGTTTCCTTCCCTAGGGGGAAGAATAGAACCTTGGGGAGATTTGGGGATTGGGAAGAGAGCACACTTTCTTTCCATCTCACTGCTTGGGGAGTTGGCAAGATTCTCAGAGTTCTCCAGCCATGATGGATATAGATAGCAGCATAAAGACCCCAGAGAAGTGGCTTGGAATAACCCAAGCCAAGTTCTCATCCATACTGAAGGGGTATATATTGACACTCATGTCATCTTATGTGAGCAGAAAGTTGCTGACAGGACACTGAAAGCCAGCAAAGTCAGTGACTTTAACCAGCAGATAAAGATTATATAACCGGAGACCAAATGGCAAAATAGATATTTTATACATATTGCCATAAAGTAATTCAAACCAATAATCAGATGCCATCCCTGAGAGGAGGATGCTATGTGTCCCTCTCAATCTCTAAGTTAATTTCTCTCCAATAAGAAAGGAGGGAGGATAAGTAGCCAACATTGCTAGATTTTTCCTCCTGAATCAAGAGAAAACACCAGAGTGGCTGAGTTTTCATCCTGGATGGAGTAAGATAAATGAGAAATCTATTATTACAAAAAAAGTTAAGTTTCTCATTCTTTCTCAAGAGCCCCTGTGATGTGTGAGGCTTGAAGACTTATGTCTGCCTTTAGTAATGATAAAAGCAGTCTAAGTTTTGCTAATATTAAAGACATGCATAACTAATTCATGAGAAGGTGTTTTGTTGTTGTTGTTGTTGTTGTTGTTGTTATTTTCAGACGGAGTCTTCCTCTGTCACCCAGGCCGGAGTGCAATGGAATGATCTCGGCTCACTGCAACCTCTGCCTCCTGGGTTCCAGCGATTCTCCTGCTTCAGCCTCCCAATTAGCTGGGATTACAGGCACACACCACCACACCCGGCTAATTTTTTGTATTTTTAGTAGAGACGGGGTTTCACCATGTTGGCCAGGCTGGTCTCGAACTCCTGACCTCCAGATCTGCCCACCTCAGCCTCCCGAAGTGCTGGGATTATAGGCATGAGCCATAGCACCCAGCTAAGAAGGCTTAAATGAATATCTGATTGGATATGTAAGAGTGTTTATACGGAAGTTAAGAAGACCATTGATTCAGGGCCCACTATGTTCTAGGCACTATACTAGGCTCATGTTCATAATCTTAAGAGATTTGCTATTTTACAAGTATTAAACTTGGGGCATAAAGAGATTACATAATTTGAACAAGTCTCTGACAGTTTGTAAGTGGTAAGGGTCAGATTTGGTTGAGAGCCACTCACTTCCAAGTAGAAGCTTTTTGGAATATCAGAACACATCGTCTCCCTGCTAAGCATCATCTGTTATCAGTCACTGTCCAACTTAACTATGAATAGCCAGACTAAATTTTATAGGAACCTTCTTACTCTCTTCATTTATATTTCAAGAATCTAAAGACCTTCATCAACACCAAGTTTCGTCAGAGGCAGCTTCTGCCCATTTCAGCAGCTTTAAGACTAGGGCAACTGTAATAAACAATTTTTAACTTCCTACCTCAAATTGAACATGAAGAACATTAAAAATGTGTTTCTCCTGGCCGGGAGCGGTGGCTCACGCCTGTAATCCCAGCACCTTGGGAGGCAGAGGCGGGCAGATCACGAGGTCAGGAGATTGAGACCATCCTGGCTAACACGGTGAAACCCCGTCTCTACTAAAAATACAAAAAATTATCCGGGCGTGGTGGCGAGCGCCTGTAGTCCCAGCTACTCGGGAGGCTGAGGCAGGAGAATGGCGTGAACCCAGGAGGCGGAGCTTGCAGTGAGCCGAGATCACGCCACTGCACTCCAGCCTGGGCGACAAAGTGAGACTCCGTCTCAAAAAAAAAAAAAAAAAAAAAAAAAGAGTTTCTCCTATGAGAGGAGAAAGCTACTAAATTTCTGACAAAATCCCTGGGTTAATGAAAAAATCAATAGCAGAATACCCCAGAATATGCCACTTACTTCTGGAACACACATTACTTCCTAAAAAGTAGAGACACTCAATGTCCATTTGAAATTGCATTTAAGTGGTGACTTTATGGAGTCCTTCTTCCATAGTTCAGGAGATACCATTTGGGGATACTTTTGTTATCTTTTAATTGAGTCCTGACCAAATAGTGTGCTTTGAGGTAGGGTTCTGATTTTCTATAAGTCCCGTTTCTTAATCCTGAGCCATTTCTTTAGAAGGCTGCAGGAAAGTCAAATAGTTTCTAGAATATTATTGTAATTATTGTCGTTAATTTTGGATGCTGAGGCTTTTCTTTAATTTTTAAGATGATTTTATAGATATGTCAATGGAAAACTTTGAAGAGAATGTCTGTGGCATTTTAACTCACTTCATCATTGTTTTTCTGGAAGTTTCTCAGCAATTAGTTTGTAATGTATGTTGCCTGTTTTGCTGTAAGTGCATTTCTGTAATTGACCTGTGAGAACAGACATTTATTGAAAAAAAAAAAAAAAAGGCTGCCTGGAGAACATTATTTCAGGCTCACCACTGCCTAGGAAAATAAAAAGCTCTCTGCAGAATTGAGAGAAAAGAATCTCAGGGGGTATTATTTCAATGTTAAGCGTGGTTTGACAAAACAGGTTAAATTAAATTGCTAACATTAGAGTATCTCTTCTCTTGCTATTGAGGCTAGGAAATAGATTGGTCTAAATATCTTAATGAAATATTCACAAAATGTAAATTTTATCATAGAGACAAATTACTTTTCATAAATTGAAAATATAATGTAATCAGTGTTTCGCATATTGCCTGTAAGACATTTTTTGAATAATCAATATTGATACCATACATCATTGATTCAAGAAAACCCCAGCCATATATGTATGTGTATATGTATGTATGTATATATATGTATGTATGTATGTATATATACATATATGTGTGTGTATACACATATATATACACAAACATGTATCTTGGTGCAATAGCTGGATTTTTTAGCTTAAAAATATTAGAATGGTATATGACACTCGACACCAAATAATCTGTGAAAGAAAGAATTGATAACTGCACTTCATTAAAATTAAAATTTTCTGCTCCACAAAAAAGACTGTCAAGAGAATGAAAAGACATGTCACATACTGGGAGAAAATATTTCCTAAAGACATATCTTATAAAAGACTGTTATCCAAAACTTAACAAAACACACTTACTACTCAACAGTAGGAAAATGAACAACCCAAAGAAAAATGGGCAAAAACTTTACTAATCACCTCAACAAAGAACACATATAGGAGACAAATAAAAGCATAGGAAAAGGTGCTCCATATGTCTTCAAGGAAACACAAATGAAAACAACCATGTGATACTAACACACAACTTTTACAGAATGGCTAAAATCCAAAACAGTGACCGCAGCCAATGCTGGCAAGGATGTGGAACAACAGAAACACTCATATGTTGCTGGTGGAAATGCAAAATGATGCATGATACAGCCACCTTCAAAGACAGTTTCTTACAAAACCAAACATATTTTTATCATACACTCCTTGGTATTTACCCAAAGGAATTGAAAACTTATGTTCATACAGAAACTTAGACTTGCATTTTTATAGCAACTTTATTTATAATTGCCAAAACTTGGAAGCAACCAAGATGCCCTTCAGTAAGTGAGTGAATAAAAAAACTGTAGTATATCCAGAAAATAGAATATTACTCAGTACTAAAAACAAATGAACTCTCAAGCCCTGAAAAGAAATAGAGGGAATTTAAATGCATATTACTAAGTAAAAGAAGCCAGTCTGAAAAGGCAACATACTATATTATTCCAACTATATGACATTCTAAGTAAAAGAAGACAATCTGAAAAAGATACATACTGTATTATTCCAACTATATGACATTTTAAGTAAAAGAAGCCAATCTGAAAAGGCTACATACTCTATCACTCCAACTATATGACATTCTGGAAAAGGCAAAACCATGGAGAGGGTAAAAAGATCAGTGGTTCCCAAGCTTTGGAGGGAAGGAGAAATGAATAGGCAGAACACACAGGATTCTTAGGACAATGTAGCCATTCTATATTAGGCCATAGGGTGGATATCTGTCATTATACATTTATCCAAACATATAGAATGTAGAGAAGCAATGCAACCCTAATGTAAACTATAGACCTTGGATGAATGATAATGTTGTTTCTATGTAGATTCATGAATTGCAACAAATGTACCACCCTGGTGGGGGAAGTTAGTAATGGGCAGGCTATGCATTTGGGCAGGGAGGGGCATATGGGAAATCTCTATACCTTCCACTCAATTTTGTGCTGAGCCTGAAACTGCTCTAAAAATAAAAGTTAAAAATAATGAGTATGAGCGGAGTCTTTGAAGCCTGATAGCATGTCCCAGTATCCATATGTTAGGAAAGGACTCTTCCAACAACCTTTGAGATGTCTGGCCTTGTCAATTCACAAGCTCTGTGGTAAATCCAAGAAACCTGACTTTCTGCTTGGCTCTGTTTCTAATGGCTGAAGCCACATTCATTCTGGCATTATTCTGCTAATCTGTTCTTCTAGAAAGGTTTCATCTGTTTCACTGAACAGAATAATTTAAACAATCCCTATTCTTTCCTTTGTTCATAATATTATTTGAAGAATTCCTGGAGAACTATGAAATTTTACCCAAATTAACATTGTGCTGAAATACTAAAGTGTTTTCTTTTGTAATAGTAAAATGTTAATGATTAGAATAATTATTTCTAAGGTAAACATAACATGTTACATTTTAAACAATTTCATTGAGCTTTATCCTAAGCCACAGCCTTGACATTTGGACTCATTAAGAAAAGAGAATTTGTGTCAATAAACTGACGGTCTTTAAATTTCACTTAAAATCACACTCTGATTTCCAGAAGCTAGGACCAAAAATTTTTGGATCTACAAGAAGTTTCTCTAAGAAACAATTTATCTTAAGCCAAGGATGAAAACATAAGGAGAGTTTTGATATTTTGAATCAGGTCCAAGAAGCTGGCAGTGTGAAACCACATGAAAATGCAAAGAACATTCTAAAGAAAAGGTTACTATAGTCTTTTGCAGTAATCCTAAAGATACATAGTTCATATTATGCCAGATTTAGATAGAATTACTTGGGGGGAAATGTTCTTATTCTACTGAAACTAGCTTTTCCCTCCTCATCAATTGGATAACATATTAGGCATTAGTGATAGAAAGACATTTGAAAGCTTTGCCATTTTAACATAATCATGAGAAATGTCTATAAATTTATGTAGTCTGAATTAGGAAAAGCTGCATATTATGGGGAAAATATAGCCACATGTCTATAGCAGAGAGAGAAATATGTTCAAAACAATGACCTGGAGACTATATGATGCCACCTAAGTGTCTTTCTAATCATCAAAGAACATTTAAAAAACACAATCTGTAGTTTTAGCAATAAGTTGACAGTGTACTACTAACCTATTGCTAAGTAGTAATTCATGGATAGTCTCTATTAAAGCATTATTGGACTTATATTTTTCATTTTATATTAATAAGCCAGTAATTATTATGTGCTACACATTCAAAAATTGAAGTATAAACATAAGCAAACATAAAACTAATATTTGATATCCTGGAGCTTCATATTGTGGAAATAAAAGCCATGAATTGAGGAATCCACTATAAGGATAGAATTTGATGGAGTATATGGAAATTTAATGTCTGGTTTCTGAAACATCTGGGTGTCTTTAAGACACTGTCTATAACCAGGTGTTAACATCTCCAAGATATGTCAAAAAAGTTAATTGATGTCTAAGATGACTAGTCCTCTGGTGGTCATAGGGCAGTAAGAGTGGATGAGGTGTCGCTATCAGTTTGGCAGGACGCAAAGCATAAGCCATTTCAGGAACAGCAAAAACTGTGACCACAAATTGAACGTTTCAGGCTAAGTCAACTTGAAATATGCCTATAAAAAACATAAATCATTAGAGGTTTAATGAAGAAGGGGGCAGCAAAAAAAAGTGGTCAAATACAATTGATTCAAGTGAATTATTAAAGTACAATAGTTTTACTGATGTGTTTGTGTGTGTGTGTGTTTGAAGTGCACTAAGCTATTGTCCTTGATATTTTGAGTATATAAAAATGTTTATAAAAACAAATCTCTGCCCACAGGGTATTTAATCTATACTATTGAATGAGTCATCTCAGGCTGCCATAACAAAATAGCCTAGACTGAATGGCTTAAACAACAGAAGTTTACTTTCTCATAGTTCTGGAGGCTGAGAGTCTAAAATTAGGGTGACTTCATGGTCACTCTGATGAAGGCTCTCTTCCTGACTTGCAGATCATTGTCTTTTCACTGTGATTTTACATGGCAGAGAGAGTGATCTCTCTGATATTTCTTCTAATAAGAACACTAATCCTATCTGATCAAAACCCTACCCTTATAACCTCATTTAAACCTACTATCCTCCAAAAAGCCTTATGTCCAAATACAGTCATCTTGGAGGTTATGGCTTCGACATATGAATTTGGGGGAAACAAGAACATTTAGTCCATAACAAGTACAGTACTTCCTGTCTCCCTACTAAACAATGATTAGAAAAAACAAAAAAGATAAAGGAATAAAAATGAGAAGATTAAAAAGAATAGTGTGAAAAAACATAGACACATTGCAGTGGATGTTTAGATGAGGAACCTGTTCCTAGAAAATAGTTCATGGCAAATGCAGCATCACATATGTAGGATACATTCATCAACCATATAATGTATTTCACAAATTGAAGCATGTCCTAGTCTATGTTGATATCTAAAACACCTGAGGCTGGGTAATTAGTAATGAAAAAAGGTTTTGGCTCACAGTTCTGCAGATTGTATGAGAAGTGTGGTGCTAGCATCTACTCAGTCCCTAGTAAGGGTCTCATGCTGCTTCTACTCATGACAGAAGGCAAAGGGGAGCTGGTTTGTGCAGAGGTCACATGGCAAGAGGGGAAGCAAGAGAGAGTGGGGGGGGAGTGCCAGGCTCTTTTAAACATCCAGGGAACTAATAGAATGAGAACTCATTCATTACTGTGGGGGTGGCACCAAGACGTTCACAAGGGATCTACCACCATAACCAAAACACCTCCTGCTAGGCCACACCTCCAACACTGGGGGTCAAATTTTAATATGAGCTTTGAAGGGGTCAAACATCCAAACCATGGCAAGCAATTTTAGAGTTAAAGTGGCACTATTAATAATTGCAAAATTGGTCAAGCTACAGATAGCTCATGCCACGGGCCAACCAGTCACATTGAGTCATTTGGTCTTATTGAAGAATAGAGTGTAAGAGGAACAAGTGAGGGGGATTCCTTGGCACCAAAGTCAATAGAGGTTTGGACTCTGATTGCAGGCAAATGAAAGCCATGCAAAGCTTCCGAAGGCTGGAGTGCCATGATTGAAAGTGGGCTTCCTTATGATGAATCAGGAAGTAGTGTAATTAGAATGTATGGACCAATTTTAGTAAAGGTGGTGGCAATGAAGCAAAAAAGAGAAGACAGGTGAGAGATGTGGAGACAGAGTTGTCAAATCAGGGGCTGATGACGAGGCAGCAGGCAGCTCAGGTCTATAAAGTGCTAACTTTCTATTTGTAAACTATTTCTCTCTCCTCCTATACTCTTTGTTCCTTGCCCTTTCTTTGGGTTTGGAACTGAATATTCAAAATCTGCCCTTTACAAAGCAGAAGCAGGTTGTAAGTTCCAGACATGGAATGATGCTGCTCGAATGGAAAGTTCTGTGGGTGAGCTGTAAGCTCAGATGACCTCTCAAAGGTAATATTTTCTTATACCACAAAAGCATACCTAGTGTGTAAAAGGAGTAATATATTAAGCACTGTTCTGCTCGAGGAATCTTCCGAAATTCTCTAGATACTTCCTAGCTAAGATTTCTTCATCCTTCAAAATTAAAGTAAAAGGCAATGCAGCCTGGGAATTAAAATGTTTCCAAGATTTCTTATGCTGCTCTTTAAGAGTAGAGTTAGATAAGTTTTAGATAAGAAAAAGTGAAAGGATATTATGTTATAAAACCTAATCTGCATGATTAAAAATATCACTGATGTGAACAGAAAAGCAAGCAATTGACTGTTCTCTAACTTCTACTCTCTGCCCTCATTTCCACCCTCCTGGGGAAAAATCCATTTCAATACCTGTCAGCTTACCTGAAAATATTTAGATTTTACAAGTTTTATTTAAAAAATAAGGAAAACTACATTATGGATACCTCTGTTCCCTGATAGAAGCAAAGTGATCTAATTTTGTTGTTTGTGGCATTTGTGAAGCATTTGTTTTGAGACATTCTGGCCTTTTCATGGACTAAGATACAAGAGATTAAAAAAAAATCCTTGTTGCCTGTAAGAGACGTGCTCAGGAATGATTTCTTAGAGGCTAAATTTATCCACAGAAACCTCTTCCTCCAGGAAAAACTGCTGCACTAGACCTTCTATAGACGTCTTAAACAGTTAGTATTCAGATGCTCGAATCACAAGCCTCAGACAACTTGTGGAACTATTGTTTCATTTTAATAATTTATGAAAATCATTTGCTTCTGAATCCATTGTCACACCCCAGTCATGCTCAGGAGTGATTAATTTTCAGCCCAACTAAAATGGCCACCTCTTCTGCCAAGTAGAGAATAAGTGTGTCTCTTTGTTCTGGGCTATGTGTGCATCTTTCAGGAAATGCAAATGGGGAAAAATAGGCAGGAAAGGAAAATAAAACATGCAGACCTCAACAACAAATCACAAAGAACCGGAAAGAAGTAACTGAGTATTTGAGAATATATCAGATCTTGCTGTGAGATAAAATGCATATATTTAGAAAATTCTGGGAAGATCTGAAACCATTTCAACTCTAATCATAAAGCCATTGATTCCTTTGTAAAATGTGCCCACAGCAATTGAGATACCAGAAAGCCAGAGGAATTAGAAAGTGATATAAGGGAACAAAAGCAATGCTAAAAAACACAAGATTATATGTGACTGGAATATGATTTCAAAATAGCATTTCAAAGAATTCTATATGAAAAAGTCTTAAAATAATAATGATTTGTAGGGATCTACTCTAATAGTCCATTCTCATGCTGCCATGAAGAAATACCCAAGACTGGGTAATTTATAAAGAAAAGAGGTTTAATTGACTTACAGTTCCACATGGCTGGGGAGGCCTCAGGAAACATACAATCATGGCAGAAGAGGAAGCAACATGTCCTCACATGGCGACAGGAGAGAAAAGAATGAGTGCCCAGGGAAGGGAGAAGCCCCTTATAAGGCAATCAGATATCATGAGAACTAACTCACTATCATGAGAATAGGATGGGAGAAACCACCCCATGATTCAGTTATGTCTGCGTTGTCCCTCCCATGACAGGTAAGGATTATGGGAACTACAATTTGAGATGAGATTTGGGTGGGGAAACAAAGCCAAACTGTATCATTCCACCCTGGTTCCTTCAAAATCTTATGTCCTCACAATTCAAAACACAATCATGCCCTTTCAACAGTCCCCCAAAATTTCAGTTCATTCCAGCATTAACCCAAAAGTCCAAGTCCAAGGTCTTATCTGAGACAAGGCAATTCTTTTCCACCTATGAGCCTGCTAAAGCAAGTTAGTTACTTCCTAGATACAGTGAAGGTATAGTCATTGGATAAATACTCCCATTTCTCCAAATGGGATAAATTGGCCAAACAAAGGGGCCAGAGGCCCCATGCAACTTCAAAATCCAATCAGGCAGTCATTAAGCCTTAAAGTTCCAAAATGATCTCCTTTGACTCCATGTCTCACATCCAGGTCATGCTGATGCAAGAGGTGGGCTCCCATGCCTTGGGCAGCTCTGCTCCTGTAGCCCCCATCCCAGCTGCCTTCACAGGGTGGTGTTGAGTGCTTGTGGGTTTTCCAGGTGTACGATGCAAGCTGTCAGTGTATCTACCATTCTGGGGTATGGAGGACAGTGGCTCTCTTCTCACAGCTCCACTAGGTGATGCCTCAATGAGGACTGTGTGTGGGGGCTCCAATCCCACATTTCCCTTGCACTGCCCTAGCAAAGGTTCTCCATGAGGGCTCCACCTCCTGCAGCATACTTCTGCCTGTACATCCTCTGAAATCTAGGCAGAGATTCCCAAATCTCAATATTTGACTTCTGTGCCCCAGCAGACTCAACACCACATGGAAGCTGCCAAGGCTTGGGGCTTGTACCCTCTGAAGCCATGGCCCAAACTGTACCTTTGCCCCTTTTAGCTATGGCTGGAGTAACTGGGATGCAGGGCATCAAGTCCTGAGGCTGCACACAGCAGGGGTCTCTGGACTTTGTCCAGGAAGCCCATTTTTCCCTCCTAGGCCACCAGGTCTGTGATGGGAAGGGTTTCTGTGAAGGTCTCTGACATGTCCTGGAAGCATTTTCCCCATTGTCTTGGTGATTAGCATTTGGCTCCTAGTTACTTATGCAAATTTCTGCAGCAGGCTTGAATTTCTTCACAGAAAATGAAAAAACATAAAGAAAACATAAAGACTTCTTTATTCCCAAGCCCTGAAGGTGTGTAAACTTTTGGCTCTTTAGACTTAAACTCTAAGAGCTTGGTTTAATTTGTAGAGAAATCTGACAGTGTACAAAAATCCAGTAAATGCCAAATAATCCAATAGCAAACAAAAAGTCAACCCAACAATAAATACATATGGGGTTGAAACTTAGATCTAAGATGTTTCTGTATGTTGATTGATAGGGATAGATGGTATTTATAAAATGAACAGGAATAGGTGGCATTTATGAAAGAGAGACTACATAGAGAAAGAAGGTAGAGGTCAGAATCCTAAGGAATGCCTGTGATTAGAGGTTAAGATGTAGAGGAAGTCACAGCAAATGAGGCTGAAAACTGGTGTGACAAAGCTGCGTGAGTGTTAAGTTAAATTTGAAGAAAATAATAAATGAGTCATTTTCAGTAACCATGAAGGCATACCATTCATGTTATGCTTGCTTAATAATTACTTGAGGGTGGAACTTAGAGTAAGGGGTGAGTTCTTATTGTATCAATTTCTCCTCTTTTTCAGTTTTACATTATACAAATTTGAAATCTAAGCCATATTAATAACCCCATTGTAATAGTCCTCCTTGAACAGAGTCTGAATTACTGTACTTTGTGGTTGTTGTTGTTGTTGTTTTGGTTTTGTGTTTGAGACATGGTTTTGTTCTGTTGCCCAGGCTACAGTATAGTAGCACAGTCATAGCTGTCTGAAGCCTCAACCTCCTGGGCTCAAGCAATCCCCGCACTTCAGCCTCCCAAGCTGCTGGGACCAGAGGTGTGCATCACCACACCAGGCTAATTTTTTTATTTTTTTGTAGAGATAGGGTTTTGCCATGTTGCCCAGGCTGGTCTTGAACCTCTGGACTCAAGTGATCTACCCGCCTCTGCCTCCAAAAGGATTAGGAGGCTAGGATTTCAGGCATGAGCTACTGTGTTCAGCTGATTACTGTACTTTAACAAGTATCATGATATGTTTTTATTTAACAAGGATACAACTGGACTTGGCAAGCACTGACCATAGGGACTTTAGAAGAGAAGAGGGGGAAAAGTAGGAGGGCTAGAAGCAGTACGGCACAGGGCTAAGTCAAGGGTCCTCAAGCACTCCTGTGCATAAATAAGATCCAACCTTAATGTTTACTAAAATGCAGATTTCCAGGCTCCACGTCCTAAGATTCTAATTCAAGTGGGAGGGGTGAGATTGTCTTGAATCTGCTATTTATGTGTGTGTGTGTGTGTGTGTGTGTGTGTGTGTGTGTGTGTGTGTGTGTGTGTGTTTCCAAGTCTGCCCTTTTATGTTGATGCAGGTTTTCCCCACCAAACTTTGAGAAAGTCTTAGAAAAATTGAGCGGTGAAACAGTACAAAGAACATGCACAAAATTCATTGGAAATCAGAATTCACTGAGTCAACTCCTAAATGCAGCTTGGTGGCTGATAACACAGTCCCAAAATGTTACAGAGTATGAGGAGACTCTCAGAAAGAGCAATAATTTAGTGAAAGGCTAAAGATGCTTTTTGATTCACATTGAAAAAAAATACACCTCTGGGAATAAAAGTTGTTATCTATAGGCCATTTCAAACAAGATTGTCAGTGGCCTCTCCTGCTCTCTAAGGCAAAAGTAATACTTAAGTAGACCATTACATGCTAAGGCAGAAGCTGAGAAGCAAAAATGAGAAAAGGGTCATTTACGCGAGTTACATATAATAGAAAAACCTGTGTTACAATTCCAGATGATTGGTACTGGTAAGGGATTATACAAGAAAGTTTCATGAAATTAGTTTTTCAATTGATTTCAATTATTTTATACTTCTCAGCTACTAAACCAAATTGACTAAAGGCATGAGATACTTAACTGTAAGATGGATGTTCCAAAGGGGTTGCTCCATTGCCGATGCAGAGGATCCTGAGGTTTTAAGTCATAAAGAGTGTGCTTCAAAATCACCTACCGGGCTTGTTTAAAGTGCAGATTCCTTGGCTTCAACCCACATCCACCAAACAGAATCACAGTAGATGGGCTGTAAACATTTGCTTTTTAAACAAGCTCCTCAGGACAAACTGATGTGCCCAAAGTTTGGGAATGAATGCTTTTGCTTCTTTTTCAAGTTTCTCAACCCCCTAAGCTGACAGTCTTACACAATGAACAAAGCTGGTCAAACTGGTTAATAAAATGTTAAAATATAGCAATTAGTAAATAACAGCTTTCCTGACACCCAACTTTCACTGTCAGTGCAAATGCCAAAATGACCACCTAATCTCTCCAAGTCCTAGCCTGGGGCACTTCTACTTCCCCATATTCAGCAGCTGAAACAATAACACCTGGGAGAGCAGGTGCTCAGAACTTCATTGCAGTGCTGTAGCTGGTCTGTTTTCTGTTTGGTTAGTCAACATGCCCCAGGGATCGTTAGCTGTTTTTACCGTTCTCCTGGATCCCTGTGGATTTCTAATGGGCAAACTTTTTAAAAGTACAAATTCTCAGACTCTAAGATGCTGGAGAATCTGATTTAGCAAGTCTGGGCATGTTACCATTTATCTATGTAGTCCCAAAAGCTTCCCAGGTGACTTTGGAGATCACCTAGGTTTGGAAACCAAAACCTTCCTACTCAAAGTGTGGTCTGGAGACCAGCATCACCAGCATCAGCTGAGAGCTTGTTAGAAATGTAGAATCTTAGCACCTCCACCTCACTCACACTGACCAAATCAGAATCTGCATTTCAAAAAGGTGTCCAAGTGATTCATGCACACTAACTAATACGGTTTGGTTCTGTGTCTTCACCCAAATCTCACCTTGAATTGTAATCCCCATAATTCCCACATGTTAGAGACAGGACCAGGTGGAGGTAATTGAATCATGGGTGTGGCTTCCCCCATGCTATTCTTGTGATAGTGAATGAATCTCACGAGATCTGAGGGTTATATAAGGATCTAAGCATCTAGCATTTCCCCTGCTTGCCTGTACTCCATCCTGCCACCCTGTGAAGAAGGTTCCTGCTTCTCCTTTACCTTCTGCCATGACTGTAAGTTTCCTGAGGCTTCCCCAGCAATGAGTAACTGTGAGTCAATTAAATCTGTTTCCTTTATAAATTACCCAGTTTCAGGTATTTCTTCATAGCAGTGTGAGAACGGATGAATACACTAACGTTTGAAAAAGACTAAGCTATTGTAATTCACAAATTCATTAAACTAGGTCAATGATGCCCAGATGAGAATTTTATTACAAAACAGCAAAAATAAGTAAGAGTTAAGGACTTAACCTATGGCTTAACGGGGAAAACCAAAGAAAAGAAAGCTTTGAAATTGCCTTCAGGAGAACAGAATATTTTAGGAGGCACTATTTGCCCTGATATTTGCTGTTTTCATTTTAGAGGGGTTAAATTGCTGGACATTGCACTCTCCACTTACAGTTTAAGCCTGGAGTGACTGAGATTAAGAAATTTCAGGCTGCTAGTGTCATTTTTCTAGTCACGCTCAGTGTTTCAGTTGTGTTGTCTTGCTTTATATTCTATACTGTCTTTTTTAAAAGTATAGGACATTACTAGAAGCAATCAACTTAAAATAAGCCTTTCATGCGCGTCCGTGTGAAGAGACCACCAAACAGGCTTTGTGTGAGCAACAAGGCTGTTTATTTCACCTGGGTGCAGGCGGGCTGAGTCCGAAAATAGAGTCAGCAAAGGGAGATAAGGGTGGGGCCATTTTATAGGATTTGGGTAGATAAAGGAAAATTACAGTCAAAGGGGGTTGTTCTCTGGCGGGCAGAGTGGGGGTCACAAGGTGCTCAGTAGGGGAGCTTTTGAGCCAGGATGAGCCAGGAGAAGGAATTTCACAAGACATTGTCATCAGTTAAGGCAGGAACAGGCCATTTTCACTTTTTTTGTGGTGGAATGTCATCAGTTAAGGCAGGAACCGGCCATCTGGATGTGTATGTGTAGGTCACAGGGGATATGATGGCTTAGCTTGGGCTCAGAGGCCTGACATGCCTGTCTTCTTATATTAATAAGAAAAATAAAATGAAATAGTGGTAAAATGTTGGGACGGTGAAGATTTTGGGGGATGGTATGGACAGATAATCGGCGATGTTTCTCAGGGCTGCTTCCGGCAGGATTAGGGGCAGCATGGGAACCTAGAGTGGGAGAGATTAAGCTGAAGGAAGATTCTGTGGTAAGGGGTGATATTGTGAGGTTGTTAGAAGAAACATTTGTCATTTAGAATTATTGGTGATGGCCTGGATAGAGTTTTGTATGAATTGAAAAACTAAACGGAATAAGAGAAGGAGAAAAACAGGTATTAAAGGACTAAGAATTGGGAGGACCTAGGACATCTAATTAGAGAGTGCCTAAGGAGGTTCAGCATAGCCTTGCCAGTAAAGATTATTTATTTAAGAGTTAAGAGTGGTGGTTTGGGGATAGCACAAGGAGATATCAGCTGTGATGGCTTGGAGAAACAGTGTAAACTGGCAGTGTAAACAAGAGCAGGGCACGTTTGAGTAGTTGAGAATGGTGAATAGGAGTATGACTAGACAGAAGACAGTAGGGATGACAAGTTTTTTTTGGGCACAGTCTAAGTTGGTCTGGTGTCTGGAATGAGACTGGGGCCTAATAAAAAGGAGCATCTATACAGGAGCTCAAATGGGCTGTACCCTGTAGCATTCTGAGGACAGGTCTGACTTCTGAGAAGGGAAAGTGGTAAAAGTATTGTCCAGTCCTTTTTAAGTTGGTGGCTGAGCTTGGTGCAGTGTGTTTTTAAAAGACCTTCAGTCCGTTCTACTTTTCCTGAAGACGGAGGACCGTAAGGGATATAAAGGTTTCACTGAATACTAAGAGCCTGAAAAACTGCTTGACTGATTTGACTAATAAAGGCTGATCTGTTATCAGACTGTATAGAGGTGGGAAGGCTAAACTGAGGAATTATGTGTGACAGAAGGGAAGAAATGACTGCGATGGCCTTCTCAGACCCTGGAGGAAAGGCCTGTACCTATCCAGTGAAAGTGTCTATCTAGACTAAGAGGTATTTTAGTTATCTGACTCGGGGCATGTTGAGTAAAGCTAATTTGCCAGTCCTGGGTGGGGGCAAATCCTCAAGCTTGATGTGTAGGGAAGGGAGGGGGCCTGAATAATCCTTGAGGAGTAGTAGAATAGCAGATGGAACACTGAGAAGTTATTTCCTTGAGGATAGATTTCCACAATGGAAAGAAAATGAGAGGTTCTAAGAGGCGGGCTAGTGGCTTGTACTATAGCATAGCCTGCCTTTGCTGGTGTGTGGTGATTAGGCCTGGTGGAACTGCCATCAATAAATCAAGCGTGATCAGGGTGAGGAACAGGAAACAAGGAAATATGGGGAAATGGGGTGAATGTCAGGTGGATTAGAGAGATACGGTCATGAGGGTCAGGTGTGGTATCCAGAATAATGTGGCAGGCCAGATTGAAGTCTGGGCCAGGAACAATGGTAATTGTGGGACTTAACAAAGAGTGAGTACAGCTGAAGGAGCTGGGGAGCAGAAAGTATATGCCTCAGGAATGAGGCAGAAAATAGATTTTGGAAGTTATGAGCAATGTAGAGAGTACGTTGAGCATAGTTTGTGATTTTGAGGGCCTCTAAAAGTATTAGGGCAGCAGCAGCTGCTGCACGGAGACATGATGGCCAGCCTAAAACAGTAAGGTCAAGTTGTTTGGACAAAAAGGCTACAGGATGCCATCCTGGTCCTTGTGTAAGAATTCCAACTGCACAGCCCTGCACTTCGGCTGTGTGTAATGAAAAGGGTTGGGATGAGTCAGGGAGAGCTAGAGTGGGGGCAGTCTCTAAAGCTGTCTTCAAGGAATGGAAAGAGGAGTGGGGAAAGGATTTAGGATCTATAGGGTCAGCTAGGTTTCCTTTTGTGAGTTTATATAATGGTTTTGTTAGGAATGCAAAACCAGGTATCCAAAGGCGAAAGTATCCAACCATGCCCAGGAAGGAAAGGAGTTGTTGTTTTGTAGAAGGGGTTGGGGTTTGAGAGATTAGTTGAACACGATCGGCAGGGAGAGAACGTGTGTTTTTATGAAGAATTATGCCGAGGTAGGTAACAGATGGAGAAGAAATTTGAGCTTTGGAGGGGGATACCTGATATCCTTTGGAGAATAAATGCTGAAGGAGCAGAAGTGTGTCTTGTTGAGAAGATTCAAAGGAGGGACTACAAAGAAGAAGGTCATGAATATATTGAATAAGGTGAGAAGCGGAGGGGTGGAAAGAAAGTAAATCATGAGAAAGAGCTTGGCTGAAGTAAAGAGGACTGTCCCTGAAACCTTGCGGCAGCACAGCCCAGGTAAGCTGCTGGGACTGATGGGTGTCAGGGTCAGTCCAGGTGAAAGCAAAGAGAGGCTGGGATGAGGGGTGCAGGGGAATAGTGAAAAAAGCATCTTTAAGATCAAGAACAGAATAGTGAGTTATGGAGGAAGGTATTGAGGACAAAAGAGTGTATGGTTTGGGCACCACAGGGTGGATAGGCAAAACAATTTGGTTGATAAGGCGCAGATCCTGAACTAATCTGTAAGATTTGTCTGGTTTTTGGACAGGTAAAATGGGGGAATTGTAAGGAGAGTTTATAGGTTTTAGAAGACAATGCTGTAGCAGGGGAGTGATAACAGGCTTTAATCCTTTTAAAGTGTGCTGTGGGATACGATATTGGCATTGAGCCGGGTAAGGGTGATTAGGTTTTAATGGGATGGTAATGGGCATGTGATCGGTTGCCAGGGAAGGATTAGAGATGTCCCATACTTGTGGGTTAAGGTGGGGGGATACGAGAGGAAGACACGAAGGAGGCTTTGGGTTGGGGAGAAGGGCGACAATGAGATGGGGCTGTAGTCTAGGAATAGTCAGGGAAGCAGATAATTTGGTTAAAATATCTCAGCCTAATAAGTGAACTGGGCAGGTGGGGATAACTAAAAAAGGAGTGCTTAAAAGAGTATTGTCTAAGTTGGCACCAGAGTTGGGGAGTTTTAAGAGGTTTAGAAGCCTGGCTGTCAATACTCAAAACAGTTATGGAAGCAAGGGAAACAGGCCCTTGAAAATAAGGTGATGTGGACTGGGTAGCCGCCATACTGATTAAGAAGGGGACAGACTTACCCTCCACTGTGAAAGTTACGTGAAGCTGGCATCAGTGATGGTCTAGGGGGCTTCCGAGGCAATCGGGCAGCATCAGTCTTCAGCCACTAAGCCAAGAAGATCTGGGAAGCAGTCAGAGAGCCTTGGGCCAGAGTTCTAGGGGCTCTGGGAGTGGCTGCCAGGTGAGTTGGACAGTCCGATTTCCAGTGGGGTCCCGCACAGATGAGACATGGCTTAGGAGGAATCCGGGGTTGCAGGCATTCCTTGGCCTGGTGGCCAGATTTCTGGCACTTGTAGCAAGCTCCTGGGGGAGGAGGTTCTGGAGGAATGCCTGGCCACTGTGGTTCAGGCATTTGGAAGTTCTTGTGTGCTGGAGATGTGGCTGGGGTTTGTCTCACAGTGGAGGCAAGGAATTGCAACTTTTTTCTATTACTGTACACCTTGAAGGTGAGGTTAATTAAATCCTGTTGTGGGGTTTGAGGGCCGGAATTTAATTTTTAGGGTTTTATTTAATGTCGGGAGCAGATTGGGTAATAAAATGTATATTGAGACTAAGACGGCCTTTTGACCTTTTAGGGTCTAGGGCTGTAAAGTGTCTCAGGGTTGCTGCCAAACGAGTCATGAACTGGGCTGGGTTTTTGATGAAAGAGCCTAAACTCTAACTGATTTGGGAGAGGGCGGATAAAGAAAAAGGAGCATTAACCTTGACTATGCCTTTAGCTTCAGCCACCTTTTTAAGAGGAAATTGCTGGGCAGGTGGGGGAGGGCTACTCACGGAATGAAACTGTAAACCGGACCGGGTGTGAGGAGGGGAGGTGATAAAAAGATTATAGGGTGGAGGAGTGGAGGCTGAGGAAGAATTGGGACCTACCTCAGCCTGAGGAGGAGGGGAGAGGTCAGATGGGTCTGTAGAAAAGGAAGATTAGAAAGACTCAGTGATGCTTGGGGTTGTGACTGAGGGGACAAGCAAGAGGGAAAGAAGGAGGATTTGGGATGAGTTGCATTGGGCACAGAGACTAGGAAGGGACCGATCTGTAAAAGGATGCCTGGACATCAGGCACCTCAGACCATTTGCCCATTTTATGACAAGAATTATTTAGATCTTGTAGGATGGAAAAATTGAAAGTGCCGTTTTCCGGCTATTTGGAACTACTGTCAAGTTTGTATTGGGGTCAAGCGGCATTGCAGAAGAAAATAAGACACTTAGATTTTAGGTCAGGTGAGAGTTGAAGAGGTTTTAAGTTTTTGAGGATACAGGCTAAGGGAGAAGAAGGAGGAATGGAGGGTGGAAGGTTGCCCATAGTGAAAGAAGCAAGCCTAGAGAAAAGAGAGAGTAGAGACACGGAGGGAAGGGGTTCGGGCGTTCTTACCCTCCAGAAAAGCGGGAAAGGGGTCAGGGTGTGGAAATAAGGGATTGGGGCACAGAGATATAAGAGGTTGGGGCATGGAAATAAGGGATCAGGGTGCAGAGATATAAGAGGTTGGGGTGCAGAAATAAGGGATCAGGGCACAGAGATATAAGGGGTTGGGGCATGGAAATAAGGGATCGGGGCGCAGAGATATAAGGGGTTGGGGTACTTGCCCCTCCCCTAGAAAAGCGGGATTTGCCACTAAGGGTGAAGGAGAAGGGGTTGGGGGTTTCTTGCCCCCCAGAAAGGCGAAGAAGGGGTAGAGACACAGAGAGAAGGGGTTGGGGTACTTGCCCCTTCCCCAGAAAAGTGGGACTTGGCGCTAAGGGTGAAGGACCAAGGCAGGTGTCCCTGCGTGGTCTGACACCTCTGAAACCTGGGTGAATAATCACAGAGGTGTCCCTGCAATGATTAAACACCAAGGGAAGGCTGCCTTCCCTAGTCTGTGACCGGTGCTGGAGTTTTGGGTACACGGATAAAACGTGTCTCCTTTGTCTCTACCAGAAAATGAATTGAAATTAAAAGAAGGGAGAGATTGAAGTGTGGCACCAAGATTGAAGGGAGAAAGAGGCTGAGGGATAGTGAGGGAGGTTGGAGAAGAGAGTAAAAAGAGGCCGCTTACCCAATTTAAAATTGGTGAGATGTTCCTTGGGCTGGTGGGTCTGAGGACCTGAGGTCGTAGGTGGATCTTTTTCACAGAGCAAAGAACAGGAGGACAGGGGATTGATCTCCCAAGGGAGGTCCCCCGATCCGAGTCACGGCACCAAATTCCATGCAATTCCATGTGAAGAGACCACCAAACAGGCTTTGTGTGAGCAGCATGGCTGTTTATTTCACCTGGGTGCAGGCAGGCTGAGTCCAAAAAGAGAGTCAGCAAAGGGAGATAAGGGTGGAGCCGTTTTATAGGATTGGGTAGATAAAGGAAAACTACAGTCAAAGGGAGTTGTTCTCTGGCAGGCAGAGTGGGGGTCACAAGGTGCTCAGTAGGGGAGCTTTTGAGCCAGGATGAGCCAGGAGAAGGAATTTCACAAGACAATGTCGTCAGTTAAGGCAGGAACAGGCCATTTTCACTTTTTTTGTGGTGGAATGTCATCAGTTAAGGCAGGAACCGGCCATCTGGATGTGTATGTGCAGGTCACAGGGGATATGATGGCTTAGCTTGGGCTCAGAGGCCTGACAAAGCCCTCTGTGTTTCTTTCTCTTTCTCTCTCCCTTGTTCTTTTATCAACCCATGTACTGAAAGGCAGTAAGATGTAGCAGAAAGATTCCTGAACTGCGAAGCAGAAGACCAAGGTTCACAAATTCTATCTTTTTCACTTTGTATTAATTAATAGTCACAACACATTGAATTCTTGAATTGTGCCAGGAACTTCAAAATCAGTCCTGAAAGAAAACTATTTTTCCAATTTAAAAATAAGGGAATTAAGCCTTCAAGAGATTAAAATAAATCATATCTAAAGTCACACTGCTAGTAAGTGAAAAGCAGAAATTTCAGACACTATCTGTTTAAGCCTAAATACCACCAATTATATCAATATTAGGAGAAGATGTGAACAAATTATTTAGATTCTTTGAATTCTATTTTTCCCTTCTATGAAATGCTGAGGCAGCATTTGGAGGTGGTATATTAAACAGACGTTCAGCTTGTGCAGAATCCCTCATGTAGCTTCTAACATCTAATAATTTAATTTTCTTTTGACACATAAATTTGTCTATGATAATTTTAATCTATAATGAATAACATAATCTTGTATCCAATTCTATAATTAAAATTTTCAAAAATATAAAATTATTTGTCACCCTTTAGGATTGGTACTTTTCCAAGATTCCACATCAGAAAATATACATACATACAAAGACCCATTCCCACACATCCTAAAGGTCTATTCTAACGCTCTAACGCATGGGCTGAAAATAACCAAACCCACTTGGAAAAGAACCAAGATGAAGCAGTTATTCTAGCTGACTTTGAGTCTATTTATAAACCTTCAGTAATGAAGACATGTGGTACTGGCATCAAGAGAGAGAAATAGAATAGTGTAACAGAATAGTCTAGAAATAAATTCACACATATATGACCAATAGGTTTTCAACAAAGATACAAAAGTAATTCAGGAGAATGAGGATAAACTTTTCTAAAAATGATACCTGAACAATTAGATATTTTTGTGCAAAGAAAGAAAAAGGGAAAAAGAAAGAAATTTGACCTATAAATCACAACATATACCAAAATTAATTCAAAATTACTACATACCTAAATTCAAATTTAAAATGTATGTAAATTCTAATAAAAATAAAAGAAAATATATTTTTACATTTTATTGGAAAGAGTTCTTAAACACAACACAAAAAGTATAATCCATAAAGAAAAAGATAATTTACAGTTCTCAAAATTAAGAATTTCTGTTTATAAAAAGCACTTTTAAGAAAATGAAAAGACGAGCCATAACAAAAAAGAAAGTAACTGCTAATCATATAGCTGATTAGTGACTTTTGTCCTGCATATATTTAAAAACTCTCAAAACTCAGGAATTACAAAACCCCATCCCTGCTTAAAAAATGGGCAAAAGAATGGGAAAGGCACTTATTTAAAGAAGATACATGAATGGCAAATAAACACATGAAAAGATACTCAAAACTCTAGGAAATTCAGATAAAAGCACATTGAGCTACCACTGTAGATAGAATTAGTAAAAGGGCTAAAATAAAAAATTCTAACAAGAATGAGGAGTAACTAACTGGATTGTTCATCTACTGGTAGTAGAAGTGTAAAATAGTACTATGATTTTGGAAAATAATGTAGTAGTTTTATACAAAGTTATACGTATTTCTCACCCATTCAATCTTAGATATTTACTAAAGAGAAATGGGAGCAAAACTCATAAAATCTGCATTTTCACAGAAGTATTATCAGTAAGAGCCCCAAACTGGAACCACCCAAAATGTCCATTAATAAGATGGATAAATGAATTGCAGTGTATCTATTAAGTGAAATATTATTCAGCAACACCAAAGAATGAACTATTGATACATACAACAACATGGGTGCATCTGCAAGTAAATATTCTGAGTAAAAGAAACCAAATAAGAAAGAAGATGCATTATACAATTCCATGTATATAAAATTCTGAAACTGCAAACTGATCTTTATTGATAGACAGCAGATCAATCGTTGCCTAGGGATGGGAGGAGGAACAGGAAAGCTGGATTGCAAAGGGATACAAGGACACTTTTGAGGGTGATGATTGTCTTGATTGTGGTTATGGTCTCATGGTATATACATATATCAAAATGTACCAAATGTAGCATTAAAACATGTATAGTTTGTTATATGTCCATTATTAGGACATATGTATATAACATTGAGGTACTTTAATGTCTTACATATTTATATCATGATGTATATAACCTTATATATGTTACGTATATCATATGTATGATATATAACATACCATACATTATATATTATATAAAACATATAATGTGTGTTATATATTTTATGTGTTATATATAATATGTGCTACATACGTTATACATAACGTATATGTTGTATGTAACATATGACAATGTTATATATAACATATATGTATATATGTGTATACATACATATATACACATATATAAATATATAAACATACATAACATATATTTATATATAAATTTATATATATATATATATATATATATATATATAAATTGAGGTTCATTATATATGTCCTAATAATGAACATCTAACAAATGGCACATTCGTTTTACAGGGCAAAGGACATTGGAGTTCTTTTTTACTTAAGGTTTGGTAGAATTCACCTGTATTACCACCTGTAATAGTCTATATTTTATGGGAGTAATTTAGTTTCTGGAATAAATTAGTAAATGGCTAATATCATAGTCTGTTTGTGTTTCAATTAGTTTTAAGAACTAATTATTGTATATGTTAGTTCTACCATTTTCCTGTAATTACAGTGTTGATTTCCTCTGATGCAAGCTAAGAAGCAATGGTTGACATCATGTTAGCAGAGTGGGGGTAGAAATCTAGAAAATTTTAGCACTTTAAGCAAAATTAGATGTGTGGGTTTTTTTTGATTCACATATAAAATCAAAGGGGCATTTTAAGTAATATTTCTAGTTAAGGTAACTTTTTTAACAAATACTGGTTTCAAAACATATGTATGTCTTATAATAGTTAACAATGTGAATAATATTTTTTTAAAAGGGTTGTGATTTTCCTAATTAAAAAATTTAAAAATTAATCTGTACTAATTAAATGCACTACAATCATTTCATTGTTCAAGTTTGCTTGCACTGCTTCCAATAAATGTTTAAAATGACAAATGTAATAATTATATGTTCAAATAATTAAATTATAAATGCTAGCCTATAAAAGTGGATTAATTTTTGTAATGTTAGAGGTAATAATGACTTAATTCCTTGCACTGTGTCAGTAAAAATTTCTGTCATATCTCTTATGAAAACACTTGTTTGTCAACATAATTTTAATATGTGTATTAAATAATGTATATAAAAAGTATATGTTAGGTAACAGTTTGGAAAGGATGAGTAGACAACATTGGGTCATAATGATATACATGTTTATATTTGCCACTTTAATAAATGTGTAACAAATACGTATGAGTGAATGAAAATATATATGTCCTCATGAGTCATAAAGTCTTTCCTGGAGCTCTGGTCTTCCAATCTGTGCTTAAGTATGTCAAAGAGCTGTCATTTACTTGCCTTACAGTTTTCCCTGTGCCTGTGGGGGACCAGAAGTAAATTACTTGGGTGAAAAGTTATAACTCTTATGTCTTGCTAGAACTATGTTCCTTATAATAGTTGTAAAACAATATGTGAATAAAAAATGGATATGTTTTTCCTCACTTTTTTTTTTGAGAAACAAAGAGATTAATTACGTCTTAAGTAAAATTGCCTTTTTGTGGCAGAAGGTGAAAAGAAGATAGTAAACAGCATAGTTAAGTTGTAGAAGGTTTGAAGAGTTATGATGTTTATTTACTTTGGTGTAAAATACTTGCAAATAATGAGTTTGAAAGCATTAAACTGTGTGAAATTTTTACAGAGTTGTTTCAGTGTTTATGGCTTTGTTTATAAGATGAAGACCTGGCTTACTACAGAAAAAAATGTTACGTTGGTTGTATAAAAAGGGGTAAAACTATAATTTGGTTTATTTTCCGTTAAAATAGTTTTTTTTTTTAATCTGTGTCTTCTTTGTGTTTTGTCTGGATAAGAAATATTTTATACCATGAGACCTTAAATTTTTGTGACTTTTGTGCATATTCCTGATTTTTTTTTTGAGAAGTCACTCTTGAAAAAGCAAAGGATCCTAAAAATCTTTGCCACTTGGTTCTATGTTTGAATATTACTTCAAACTTTTTGCCTTTATATGCCTCGAACTTATGTTCATGCTTTTTCTGCTTTGACAATTCTATTTGATATTACAGTTTTCAAATTCAGCCTCCAAATTCACAGTAACAGAATATCATTTGCACCTCACCTATCTTTGGGGTTTCCCAGGTTGTTCCTGGGCAATGCCAAAAATAAACTCATTCACTTTAAAAAATGAGAAGGGTAGAAATAATTAGGTAAGTTTGACATTTTTCATGTTTTTAATTTAC
The DNA here is from genome assembly GCF_000001405.40 of Homo sapiens. Lineage (NCBI taxonomy): Eukaryota > Metazoa > Chordata > Mammalia > Primates > Hominidae > Homo > Homo sapiens. Next base: position 87,245,243 of record NC_000014.9, read on the forward strand.
TCAACATCATTGCAAGGGCTGTCCTGCTCATCAAACCAACAATATGAGAAGAGCTAGAAAAATCAAAAGAGAAGTTCAACCTTTCCAGGTTAATTACATATAAGTAAAATGATATCAATATGAATGTATTTACCCAAATGTGTACTTTTTATGTTAGACACAAGCAAAAAATCCTGTTCTTGTATAAACAATGGTGGAATAGCTGTCAACAAGTTGATGTTTTAAAAATGTTTTATATCGAAATTTAATTAGAGTGTCCATGTATTCATGCTCTTTGGCCAATTTTTTTTTAATTATGGGAGTTATGCCCATTGAAAAGACGGCACAAAGTTTGTGCTTGACCTTATATGGAGTTATCAGTAAGATCACCTTATCTCTGAAAGGCATTCAGGTCAGCTTTACTTCACTGGCCAGGGTTGTTATGAATAATAGAATGGACTTAGACTTCCTCTTTGCAGGCCAAGATGTAGTCTGTGTAATTGCTAACACATCCTATTGTACATTGATTAACACCTTGGACCGACTGGACAAGTCCATACAAAAATTTTAGGAAAGTGTCTGAGACAGTCTGAGAGACTGTCACGATTTCCATTCTTTTGCATTTGCTGAGGAGTGTTTTACCAGATTCTGCATATGAGTAAGATTATGTGATATTTGTTTCTATTTCTGGCTTATTTCACTTATAATATTCTCTAGGTTCATACAGGCTGTTGCAAATGACAGAATTTCATTCTTTTTATGGCTAAATAGTAGTTGTGTATATATATTATCCTGTTGTTATCCATTCATCTGTTGATAAAGACTTAGGTTGATTGCATATGTTGGCTATGGTGAATAGTGCTACAATAAACATGAGAGTGCAGATATCTTTCTGACGTACTGGTTTCATTTTCTTTGGGTAAATACTCAGCAATAAGATTGCTGGATCACATGGTAGTTTTATTTTTTATTATTTGAGGAACCTCTATACTATTTTCCATAATGACTATACTAATTTACATTCCCACCAACAGTGTATAAGTGTTTCCTTTTCCTCACATCTTTGCAACATTTGCTTTTTTCCATCTTTTTTTTTTATAATAGCCATTCTAACTGGAATGAGGTGATATCTCATTGTAGTTTTGATTTGCATTTTCCTGATGTCAGTGATTTTTTTCATATACTTTTTGGCCATTTGTATGTCACTTTTTGAGAAATGTCTATTTAGATCTTTTGCCTATTTTTAAATTGGATTATTTGTGGGGTTTTTTGATAATGAGTTGCTTGTGCTCCTTATGTATTCTGGATATTAACCTTTGGGCAGATCTATAGTTTGCAAATATTTCCTCCCATTATGTTGGATGTATCGTCACTTTATTGTTTTCTTGCTGTGCAGAAGCTTCTTAATTTGATGTAATCCAATTTGTCTATGTTTACTTTTGTTGCCTGTATTTTTGAGGTCTTTTCAAAAAAATCTGTGCATAGGTCAATGTCATGAAGCATTTTCCCTATGTTTTATTCCAGTGATATCATAGGTTTTGGTCTTACATTAAATCTTTAACTCATTTTTGCATTTATTTGTGTATCTGCTGGGAGATAAGAGTCTAATTTTATTCTTCTATAAGTGGATATTCAGTTTTCCTAGCATAATTTATTGAATAAATTGATCTTTCCTCAATGTGTATTTTTGCATTTTTGTCAAAAGTCAATTGGCCATAGATGTGTGAATTTATTTCTGGGCTCTCTATTCTGTTCCACTGGTCTGTTTTTATGCCAGTACCATGCTGTTTTAGTTACTATAGCTTTGTAGTGTATTTTGAAGTCAGGCAGTGTGATACGTCCAGCTTTGTTCCTTTTGCTCAAGATTGCTTTGGCTATTCAGGGCCTTTTGAGATTCTATATGAATTTTAGGTTTCTCTTTTCTACTTCTGTGAAGAATGTCATTGGTATTTTGCTAGGGATTGCATTGAATCTGTAAATTGCTTTGGTTAGAAAAACATTTAAACAGTCTTGTTTCTTTCAATTCATGAACATAGAATATTATTTCTTCTAATCCATGAAAACAGGACACAAATGAAATAGATTTTTTTTTCTTAATTATTTTTCAGTGTTTTCTAGTTTTTACTGTAGAGATTTTTCACCTCTTGGTCCAATTTGTCCTAGGTAGCTTATGTATTTTTTGTAGCTATTATCAATGGAATTATTTTCTAAATTACTTTTTCAGATACTTCACTGTTTGTTTATAGAAACACTACTGATGTTTGTGTCTTGAGTTTGTATCTTGCAACTTTCCTGAACTTGTTTATTAATGTTAACAGTTTTTTGGTGGAGCATTTAGGGTTTTCTGTATGTAAGATCACATGTCTGCAAACAGAGACAGCTTGACATTTTCCTTTCTAATTTGCATGCTTTTTATTTCTTTCTCTTGCCTAATTGCTCAGGCTAAGCCTTCCAATATTATGTTGAATTGACATGGTGAAAATAGGCATCCTTGTCTTTTCCTGGATCTTAGAAGAAAAGTTCAACTTTTTCCTTTCCTATATACTATTCACCTGGATTCTCCAAGTGCAAACTTATAGTACATTAGTTTAAGTATTTGTTCATTCTCTCTTGCTTTTCCTCTCTTCCTGTTTATATTTTTTCTGAAACTGGTACAAAAGTTTGTAGTACATTGCAGAAATAATTTCCCTTATCTCAAAATAAGTCATTGTTTATTTTTCATGAAAACATGGAACAATGATCACACTTGGGAAATTATCATTAGTACAGTACTATTACCTAATTGACATACCTATATTAGATTTGTACACAAAGCCACTGTAGCCAGACAAAGTGGATTTATGTACGAAGTTCATAAATGCTGAAAGAAGTTGATGTGTACATGAGGCATCATTACCCTGTGTTTCTACTTTTGCATATGCTTGAAAGTTTCCATAATATATAAATGTCTTTATATGGAAATGCAGAGGGGTAAAAATAGACAAGACAATTTTTTAGAAGAATCAAGTGTTAGGATTCATTCTATTGGATAGTAAAACTTGTAAAGATAACTAATTAAAACAATGTGGTACGATATAAGGATAGACATGTATAAAAAACAGTCCCTCCATATGCAGACAAGTGATATACGCAAAAATTAGCACTACAGAGCAATGGGAAAGAACTGTTTTGCAATGAATGGTGTATAGTGCTGGCTAGTTGAATATCCATATGAGAAAAAAATTACATTTCACAACCCCATTGCAAAGGACACAAAAATCAGCTTCAGTGAATCACAGATCTAATGGTAAAAAGTAAAACAATAAGACCTCTAGGTGATAACAGAAGACTATCTTGCTTAGGTAGGGGAAAATTTTTTACACAGGTTCCAAAAAGCTAACATTGATGAAAATAATTGATAAATTAGCTTATGTTGAAATTAAGAACTTCCATACAACAAAAGGTACCATTAAGACTGTGAATAGGCAAGCCTCAGACAAGAAAAAGATAGTTTGCAACACTGAAACCAAAATAGGGCTTATATCAAGGATATATAAGAAACAAACGTGTAAAAATGAATAATGCAATTTAAAGAAAGGGCAAGACACTAAAACATAAGATCCAAAAAACAAGATACTCATCCAGTTAATACCAAAAGATGTTTAACTTAGTTATCAGGTAAATGAAGTTTAAAATCACCAATACAATATCCTTACACATTCACTGGAATGGTGAAAATAAAAATGACTAGCAACACTGAATGTAGACAAGCATGTGGAAACTTCCACATATGGCTAATGAAACAGGAAATCAGCACTTCCAGTTTGGAAAAGTTTGAAAGTGTCTACTGAGGTTGAACATACATCTGATTTTATTTAGTCATATTCTCAAATGAGGTATGACCACATGTTTACCAAAAAGCAGGTGCCAGAGTGTTCATTGGCCATTATATAAAATAGCTAAAACGTGGTAAGAACTCAAATGTCCATCAGCATTAGAATGAAAAAATGATACAAAGGAAGACTAGATGGCAATAAATTTAAGATACTCTCATAATTAGGCTGGTGCAGTGGCTACACCTGTTATCCCAGCACTTTGGGAGGCTGAGGCAGGCAAATCACTTGAGGTCAGGAGTTTGAGACCAGCCTGACCAACATGATGAAACCCGAACTCTACTAAAAATACAAAAATTGGCCAGGTGTGGTGGTATGCACCTGTAATCCCAGCTACTCAGGAGGCTGAGGCAGGAGAATCGCTTGAACCTGGGAGTTAGAGGTTGCAGTAAGCCAAGATCGCACCACTGCACTCCAGCCTGGATGACTAGAGTGAAAACTCCATCTTAAAAAAAAAAAAATCACAATTATAATGTGAGTAAAAATTGCCAAAACAATATAATGTGTATTATATGCGAACCCAGTTTATATACAGCTTGAATCCAGGCAAATACCATATAGGGTGCTACAAATTAAGATATTAATGACCTGTAGGGGAGATAGAGGGACTAGTGATTATGTAGGGGCATGAAGGGCCTCTTAGGTACTGATAACTTTCTACTGGGTTGGTGCAAACTTGGATGGTGGTTATCCAGATGTGTTTACTTTGTCATAATCTGTTGAGCTGTATATTCATGATTTGTTTGATTTTTCTAGATGTATGTTATACTCAAGTGATAAAATAAGTGCATACTGCATATATACACATGCACGCAAGCCAAAACTCCAGCTCTTTTCCCCTTCAATTTCGAGGAAGAAAAAGCTTTTTAGAAAGAAATGTGGGCTGGGCATGGTGGCTCACGCTTGTAATCCCAGTACTTTGGGAGGCCGGGATGGGTGGATCACGAGGTCAGGAAATCGAGACCATCCTGGCTAACACGGTGAAACCCCGTCTCTACTAAAAATACAAAAAAATTAGCTGGGTGTGGTGGCAGGTGCCTGTAGTACCAGCTACTCAGCAGTCTGAGGCAGGAGAATGGCTTGAATCCGGGAGGTGGAGCTTGCAGTGAGCCAAGATCGCGCCACTGAACTCCAGCCTGGGTGACAGAGTGAGAATCTGCCTCAAAAAAAAAAAAAAAAATGTGGTTCCTAGCTTTTATTCTGGCAGAATCTCTTACCCAGAGCACTGTACTATTCATATTAATAATGAAAATCACTAATATTTATTATTAGTAATTTTGACAATAGCAAATATTTAGTGAGTAGTATGCTTTGGTACTACAGCAACTCTAGATTATCACATTTAATTTCTCTTATTTTATATATAAAATGAATATAATTATTTGCCTTATTTTTAGCTAGAGAAACTGGGTCTTAAGTCAGGAAAGTCACTAGTTCATGATCATATATCTAGCAGATGGTGGAGCTAGGATTGAAATGTAGACTGCCCTGGGCCAGGTGTGGTGGCTCACGCCTGTAATCCCAGCACTTTGGGAGGCCGAGACGGGCGGATCACGAGGTCACGAGATCGAGACCATCCTGGCTAACACGGTGAAACCCTGTCTCTACTAAAAATACAAAAAATTAGCCGGGCGTGGTGGCGGGTGCCTGTAGTCCCAGCTACTCAGGAGGCTGAGGCAGGAGAATGGCGTGAACCCGGGAGGTGGAGCTTGCAGCCACTGCACTCCAGCCTGGGGGACAGAGCGAGACTCCGTCACAAAAAAAAAAAAAAAAAAAAAAAAAAATGAAATGTAGACTGCCCTACTGTGTAGCCTTTGAGCTCATCCACTAGGCCATGCTGGCTCCTACTAAGACGTCCAAATGTAGGTGTCTGTGATCCATTGAAAGGGAAAAAAATTTGAGAAGCAAGTGCATAGAATTACCCCAAAGCTAAAATAAACTGAACATTAAGAAGCAATTTCTAAGCAAAGGGGTGTTAGTAATAGCATTTTCTTTTTCACAGAAGTGAGGAAACTGCATCCAGTCAGTGCAGGTCATTAAACTCAAGCAAAAGTTCACTGAAGCAAAGACACCTATTGTTTATCTCACAAAATAACTGGAGGGTTTTCCAGAGAGAGTGGAGCACAAGGTAAATTACCTAGTGGAAATGTCAACAGGACAGGACTGCACACTAGGGTCTTTTTCATGTGCAATTGACAACAGCTAAAAATAAATTGAACTTGGCAATGGCTCCCCATGTTCCTGCAGCCCCAGGGGGCTACTTTCATTTTAATAAATGATTGAACAAAGTGTTTAACTTCTTTCTGTTTTCAGACTGGTATTCAGGGGCATAGGAAATGCATTATTGAATATTTTCCTGTGCTTTGGCTTCAGGTAAAGGGCTGTTCTTAGCAACCAGAGCTAAAGAGCTGTGTGGGCTTACCCATGAAGAGTACTGAAAATTCAAGTTGTGTTATTAGAAGTGAAGTTATATCCTGTGCCATCCATGTCCCTTCCTACTTCCCCATGACAGACGTAAGGGTAAGACTTCTGGCTAAGGGAAAGGTGTACAGACTGTGCTCCTAAAATAAAATTAAATTAAACACTGCCTATGAGAAATGATTTCGTGATTGTGCCAAGTGGTCATGAATTGGGAGAGAAATGGGAGAGGGAATAAGTTAATATAAAAAATAATGTTGCCCCAGTGACAGGCTGAATCCAAAATAATAAATACCAAGTGTTTCTAGAGTGTTTTAAAAAGGGAAAGCATTAAGAAAATATTTTTAAATACTTTTGGTTTTAAGTTCTTTGAAGATAAGATGTATGCCATTTTTTGTATTTTCCTTCTCATGGTGCTTTGAACACTCTTTTTGTATTTTATGATATCAAATTGAATCAATGCCTTATTATTTAAGTGTTATCTGCTATATGTTACTTAGAGAAATATAATATTGTCCACATAAAGAGGTGAATCTCTAAGCAAAAAGGTTTTGTTTGCAAATAATATACAGGAGGTAAGATTGCAATCCAGGACATACATACAGACCAGGATGATCTCTGGTATGTCTATAGAACAAAGAAAAAGGTTAGAATTTAGTCAGGAAAGACTAGTTATACAAGTCGTTTTCAGAGAAACCTTACTGGCACTGGCAGCATCTTATAAGAGCTGGTGAGCTCTGATTGGTGAGTGTCAGTAGTTGCTAGATAAGACTTGTAATCTTAAAGCTATAGTTAAGCCTTTCCAGCTTTGAGCTGGGTTCGCGAGAGTTTTTGAAACAGGCAAGTGTTCTTGTGTAACCGGCTAGCTGTCCTTGTGCCACTAGTTGTCCTTGTGTGACTCGTGTAGTAACTTGTGGTTTGCAAAAATTTCTTGTGATAGTTCCTGTTATCAGGCAAATCCTGAATGAGAGCACTTCCTTTCATGGCCTTCCCTGGCTCCATTTGTCAGGAATTAACCCAAGTGACTCTATTTGGAATCTTACAATTTTCACAATATTAAAGCAAATAAAAAGCTTCTATTTCTCGTCTTGCAAATAAGAACTGTGCTGTAGGTGTTAGGTGTGCCCCCTCAATTAATTCCCACAATAAATTAGGTACTATTATTGTTCACATTTTATAAATAAGGAAAGTCACAAAAACATTAAATACATTTTTGAGGTTATAGAACTAGGCAAAGCTGGGATTTGAACTAATCTCTTTTACTCTGTACTCTAAGAGGGTCATCAAATATATATTGAATAGTTTTTAGTTTCTTGTCCATATTGGGAAATATGGAGAGACTAATTAGTAGAAAATATTTTTGATATCTTTAGAAATTATGTCTAGCCAACTGGCCTTATATAAACAGAACTAATACCAGTGAAATGCTTGGTGAAATTGAGTCTGTTCTTTTTCTACACTGTGGATAGTATAATTTACCAACATTTAATCTAACATAACAGGTATAAGCTCTATGCACTAGAAGAGTCACATATACCAATTAATTTATTATTTTTTTTCCCTATAGAATCACCTAGATAGCTGCAATGAAAGAAATTCAGATACAAACAGTATCTCCATCATTATTTTTAGATAATTATTAAACCTGTACTCTGTGTAGGAATTTGGAATACATAGATTGCAATGACAAATATTGGGAAATTCAGTTTTGGTTGTAAAATGAGTAATCTTATAACAATTCATGTATAAATTATGAGGCATTTAAGTAAGAAAGTTCTAATGGTTAACTAAAGAAAGCCAACTAACAAAGCCAGTAAAGATGGAAAACCATATTTAGAACTTTTTAACACAAAAACCTGTATAATAGAGGTTTGGCTTGTGGGTGAGTCTCAGAGATGTGAGTATATAATGACTATCGAAGTATATAATGACTCTATTTTAATTCTTGGAGGGTATCCATGGCCAAGGATAGTAAGCCTCGGAAGAAAAGTCACAAGAGAGGAGGAATATAATAGCAGGAACCAGAAATACACTCTATACCAGAAATTAGGAGACAAGGCTTAAAAAAATCAGAATTTGGAAAAAGCAATAGCCAAAATTAGGAAGCATGGGTTCCAGTTTCAGCAGTTTCCTGTGTCTTTGGGCCCATTGCTTTGGTTCTCTGGGTTCCATTTTTCTATGAGTAAAATGGGAGTGTTCAGTTATATAATTTCTATAACTCTTTCTAACTCCCCCATACATCATATTCTACAATCCTTAGGAATGGTTCAATAACATTCAGTGCCCTAAAGGAGGAAAGGAGATTGTAGTATACTCAACTGAATTAAGAAGAAAGACCTTCCAATCTTCTTGTCAGGCCTCTGAGCCCAAGCTAAACCATCGTATGCCCTGTGACCTGCATATATATGTCCAGATGGCCTGAAGCAAGTGAAGAATCACAAAAGAAGTGAAAATGGCCTGTTCCTGCCTTAACTGATGACATTCCACCATTGTGATTTGTTTCTGCCCCACCTTAACTCAGCGATTAACCTTGTGAAATTCCTTCTCCTGGCTCAGAAGCTCCCCCACTGAGCACCTCGTGACACCCCCACCCCTGCCCACAAGAGAAAAAACCCCCTTTGATTGTAATTTTCCACTACCCACCCAAATCCTATAAAATGGCCCCACCCCTATCTCCCTTTGCTGACTCTCTTTTTGGTCTCAGCCCGCCTGCACCCAGGTGATTAAAAAGCTTTATTGCTCACACAAAGCCTGTTTGGTGGTCTCTTCACATGGACGTGCATGAAACTTCTTATAATTTTCTGGTTGCCAACGCAAAAAAGGAACAAATGGTAAATTCTTATAACTAATTATAAGCATTTGGGATAATCTCCTCTAAAATATATGAGAGATGCAATTCATAGAGAGGTTAAGGTAAGATTACTGTGTCAAAGTCAGGAAGTTAGCCAAGGAGACAAGGGGTAAACATGATCAGCTTAAAGGAGCTATGAATAAGGGAAACCAACAAGGTAAAAATCTGGGATGGAAAGAGGCCAAGTAGGAGATCGAGATAAGCCCCTGTGGGAGACCTCAACAAAAATGAGTATGCAGACTTGCATGTGCAGAATGGCAAGACAGGCTGCTATGGCCTAAAGAAGACCACTGCAAACAATGGATCGCTAAGGCATGTTCCACCCAACTTGTTAAAGAGCTTTGCATGTATACAGGGCCGGCCACACCAACAGTACTTCAGGAATACTGGCTACTTAACGCCTTAAGATTCAGTAGAAGAAAGAGTCTTTCCTCTGAGCATAGTCTAGCTTAAGTTCTTGTTCTGGAGAATTTCATGGTAGGTTCTAATTCTGTAAATTCTGTTTAAGAAAGCAGGAGAAAGACCAATAGAATTTAGAAAATATGTTTTAGAAAATGCTAATTATTTAAAGTTTTATAACAAGATAGTAACCTTCAGCCAGCTGATGAGTCAAATTATGTGGAACACATCATGATGGAGAAATAAGATTCTATTTGATTTTTGTATCTTCCATGCCATCAAGTGATGATTTTTGTAAAATATTACAAGGCACTGACAAATTTCCCTGGATTTCTTCACTCACAAATGAACGTGCGGTTGTTGCAAGCTGACCCTGTGCCTCTTTATGTGTTTTCTACTTGGTATGCAGCAATTTCCCTGCCTCCTGTGATAGTTATTCACAGGCTGCTGCATAGTGATTTTTATATGCTTTCTTCCTGCCTTGGACCAATGAAGCAATAAATAAGGGGAAAAAAAGGGTAAGTCTCTCTAAACAGCAGAAGAGCAGTGGTGCAGGAAATAGAAAGCAACTCCCAGAAGGAGCAAATGCATTCATAGCAAATTCCACCAGCAAATGAGTAGTGTCATCCAGCTAATTATATGTAATTGTCCCCTATATTGAAACAATAAATAATGTGGGAGGCCAGTGCTGCTTGTTGGGAATTACAACAACTCTATATAAATAGAAGGAAAACAAATGAGGAAAACCTGAACATAGGTGGTATATCCTGAAATTGTTGCCATAGGTGTTTTATAGTACTGCTCACTGGTATAATATCTTCTACATAAAGAATTCAGTGCCTGCATGTAGGCATACCAGAAGTGAGAATGGTAGTTGTAGATCTTCCAAATCCTAGGGTGACTCTGAGCATGCCACCTAGTACAAGTAAGCAGCCAAAACCACTGTTTATATTAGTCTTCATAACATGATCACCTGGCCAAAGGTAACAAGATATCAATTTCTTAGGCATTTGAAAAGGTGAGCATATTGTCTTAAAATGTGATGCAAAGTATCAGAGACCCATGTCGCTACCATAAGTGTGATGAAGACATTCATTGGTAGCCATTCATCTGTGATACCATCACTCATATGCTGAAGGAATCTTTGTGATTTAGGACCAAAAGTCCAAATGATAGCACTAAAGCCACCAGCTCAATATTATGACAGCCAATGTTATTATAAAGCCTTAAGTCTCTTTCCTATAACTTATACAGAGCTGCACAAGTCCAAGACTTTATGGATAGAAAGGAGAGCTCTTAGCCTGTCCCACAATTTTAATGTATCTATGGCTATGTCTGTCTCTAGTCATCTTATATACAGTCTGTTTTTCCTTTGTTTAAGACAAAAACCTAAGTTCTTTCTACTTTAGGCTGAGATTATAACCACACAGTTACATAAACACAGCCCATCAACTGTCTTTATTCAAAGCAGATAGCAGAAGGGATTCCAAATTCAAGTTTATGCAGTCCTACAAGGCTAACCCCTCTAATTGTCACTACCGTGCATTTATTTTCATGACTGTCTTAGATAATCCTTAATAGTACTAATCTAGACATATTTGTTATTCCATATGTACATCCATTGTTACAATTGTTTATTTTTCTTTTCATTCTAAGATTGTGCATTGAGCTGCTAATATGCGCTAGGCCTAAGATAGGCTCTGGAGATACAAAAATAAATAAAACAACATCTTTCCTCAAGGAGCCCTGAGGCCAGAGAAAATAAACTATCTTTTTCCCTCCTCAACAAGTTAACCAAGCTTATAATAACTCAGAAATTGGAGGTAGGAGAAAGGAAGTGATATGGTTTGGCTCTGTGTCCCTACCCAAATCTCATCGCAAATCATAATCCCCCCATGTCAAGGGAGGGACCTGGTGGGGAGTGATTGGATCATGGGAGCAGATTCCCCCATGCTGTTCTTATGATAACGAGGGAGTTCTCACAAGATCTAATGGTTTAAAATTGGCAATTTTTCCTGATCTCTCTCTCCTGCTGCCTTGTGAAGAAGGTGCTTGCTTCTGCTTCACTTTCTACCATGATTGTAAATTTCCTGAGGCCTCCCCAGCCATGCAGAACTGTGAGTCAATTAAACCTCTTTATTTCATAAATTACCCAATCTCAAGGAGTTCTTTTTAGCAGTGGGAAAATGGACTAATATAGAAAATTGGTACTGGCAGAATGGGGTGGTCTCATAAAGATGATCTGAAAATGTGGAAGCAACTTTGGAACCAGGTAACAGGCAGATATTGGAAGAGTTTGGAGGGCTCAGAAAAAGGCAGGAAGATGAGGGCAAGTTTTGAACTTCCTAGAGACTTGTTGAATGGTTTTGACCAAAATGCTGATAGTGATATGGACAATGAAGTCCAGGCTGAGATGGTCTCAGATGGAGATGAGAAACTTATTGAGAACTGAAGCAAATGTCACTCTTACTATGCTTTAGCAGAGACTGGCTGCATTTTGCCCCTGTGCCAGAGATCTGTGAACCTTGAGCTTGAGAGAGATGGTTTAAGGTATCTGGTGGAAGAAATTTCTAAGCAGCAAAGTGTTCAAGAGGTGATGTGGTTACTCTGAAAGCATTCAGTCTTATGCATTCACAAAGAGATCACCTGAAAATGAAACTTTTATTTAAAAGGGAAGCACAACATAAAATTTGGAAAATTTGCAGCCTGACCATGAGGTAGAAAAGAAAAATCCATTTTTTCTGCTGCAGAAACTTGCATAAGTAAGAAGGAGCCAAATGTTAATCACCAAGACAATGGGGAAAATGTCTCCAGGGCATTTCTGGGATCTTCATGGCAGCCCCTCCCATCACAAGCATGCAGGCCTAGGAGGTAAAAATGGTTTCATGGGCCAGGGCCCAGGGCCCTGCTGCTCTGTGTAGCCTCAGAATTTAGTGCCCTGCATCCCAGCCACTCCAGCTCCAGCTGTGGTTAAAAGGGGCCAAGGTATAGCTCAGGCCATTGCTTCAGAGGATGCAAGCCCCAAACATTGGTGGCATTCACATGTCGTTGGGCCTGTAGGTGTGCAGAAGACAAGAGTTGAGCTTCAGGTGCCTCCACCTAAGTTTCACAGGATGTATGGAAACTCCTCGATGTCCAGGCAGATGTCTGCTGCATGGGTGGAGCTCTCATTGAGAACCTCTGCTAGGGCCATGCGAAGGGGAAATGTGGTGTTGGAGACCCCACACACAGTCCCCACTGGGGCACTGCCTAGCGAAGCTGTGAGAAGAGAGCCACTCTCTTCCAAAGCCCAGAAAGGTAGATCCACTGACAGCTTGCACCACATGCCTGGAAAAGCCACAAGCACTCAACGCCAGCCCATGAAATGAGCCATGGGGGCTGTACCCTGTAGAGCCACAGGGGCAGAGCTACCCAAGTCCATGGGAGCCCACCCCTTATATCAGCATGCACTGTATGTGAGACATGGAGTCAAAGGAGCTTTACAATTTAATGACTGCCATGTCGGATTTTGGACTTCCATGGTGCCTGTGGCCCCTTGTTTTGGCCAATTTCTTCCATTTGGAGTGGGACCATTTACCCAATTCCTGTGCCCGCATTGCATCTTGGAAGTAACTTACTTGTTTTTATTTTATGGGCTCCTCAGTGAAAGGGACTTGCCTTGTCTCTGATGCAACTTTGGATTTGAACTTTTGAGTTAATGCTGGAATTAGTTAAGACTTTGAGGACTGTTGGGAAGGCATTTTTTGTTTTGTTTTGTTTTTCTGAGATGGAGTATCACTCTGTCACCAGGCTGGAGTGCAGTGGCGTGATCTCGGCTCACTGCAACCTCCACCTCCTGGGTTCAAGCGATTCTCCTGCCTTAGCCTCCCAAGTAGCTAGGACTACAGGCACACCACCACACCCAGCTAATTTTCATATTTTTAGTACAGATGGGTTTCAACATGTTGGCCAGGATGGTCTCGATCTCTTGACTTCGTGATCTACCTGCCTCCACCTCCCAAAGTGCTGGGATTACAGGTGTGAGCCACTGTGCCTGGCTGGCATGATTGGTTTTGAAATGTGAAAAGGACATGAGATTTGGGAGGGGCAAGGGGTGGAATGATATGGTTTGACTCTGTGTTCCCACCCAAATCTCATCTCAAATTGTAATCCCCGCATGTCAAGGGAAGGACCTGGTGGGAGGTGATTGGACCATGGGGGCACTTTCCGCCATGCTGTTCTCATGACTGTGAGGGATTCTCAGGAGATCTGGTGGTTTAAAAGTGGCAGTTTTCCCTGCTCTCTTTCTCTCTACTGCCACTTGTGAAGAAGTTACCTGCTTCCCCTTCACTTTCCACCATGATTGTAAGTTTCCTGAGGCCTCGCCAGCCATGCAGAACTGTGATTCAATTAAACCTCTTCCCTACATAAATTACCTAGTCTCGGGTAGTTCTTTATAGCAGTGTGAAAATGAACTAATACAGGAGACAACCAAAAGACATATAAATAAACTTCAGTGTATTTAATCAGCATATAGTTTATTGATGAAATAAAATAGCAAAAGAAAATACAACAGTGTATGATAAAATGCTCACTTAAATAAAATCAATAAGAAAATTCATAGTATATTTAATTTATATGTTCTGTTACCAGAAAACCTTTTGTCTAATTTCCAATTCCACGTCAAATAACTACAGGCAGTTGGAGAGGGGATGAGGTTGCAAGAGTAGGTGCTATGGTGATCATATGCTATAAGATGGAAACCTGAAATACTTGTTCTTCTAAGTCTTCTGTTTGTTACATTTACTAGCCCATCCTGATCAGATATTTATATCCTACACAGGCGAGGCAGGCAAGTCTCCTGGAATCAAATCATCTTACCAAAAGCATATTAACATGATGTTGGCAAATACCCCAAAGATATTAGTTCAAAATCTGGGCACTTTGATTAAAATTTTCTTGTTACCAAATCAACACCAGATAGTATGCATTCTTTCTTTCTTGATATACTCTTTTCTTGGAATAGTCATGATAATGTCTCATTCCTTTACACAATTCTGATGTGGGAAGTAATGCTGTCAAAGGAGATTTTGCTTATTTGTTCAACAGATTAGAAAATCAGTTGAGAAGAATGAGAAGTCTGTCAATATAATCCTTTTTTTAATTCAGTAGGACTTTTGAAAAATAAGTTACTGTGAATTCGACAAATGTTAGATGAATGCCTACCATGTAAAACAATTTGGGCAAGGCATCGAGGAGGACAGAGAATAAGAAGAAAAAGACAAAGATCAAATATGAGTGACAACACCGAGCCTGTTAATTACATAGATAGCCATAAATCTGCTGTGATACATTTCTGGAGGGTTCCTCTTCAATAATTATACCCTCCAATATACAAAGGTGCTAATATATGATAGTCTGTTATTAAAGGTTTAATTCTTTTTGCAAATATTTACTCATTTGATATGATGTAAATGAGGATCTCCATTGTAAATGTAAGTAATTTTGAAGTCAGTGGTCTTTGCTCCAATACCATTTTTATTTAACCAAAACTCTCAACTTGAGTGCTCACAATAGAGAAACAAATGGCTAACTGAAGAATCTAGAGTAAAAGGGAGTGATAGGAAGAGCAAAATAAATATAACAACAGCAACAATAAAAGAAAACATAACCTGTAACTATATATTAAAAGATTAGTTACATGTAAGGTACACAAAATGCCATGGGGAGCAGAAGTTTCTTTAGGAAGCATTTCTACAGAAGACGGATTTGGAGTTTATTTTAAAAATCTGGGGAAACACAAAATGGTAGAAGGCAATGCATGGGCTATACCCCATGGTGTTTTCCTTTGAAACATAAGCACCTTTAAAAATAGCCTGATGGACCACAAGCCCCAGGAACTAGCTGTTCATAGCTAATTATCCAAAGACTTGAAGAAGTCAAGCTGTGCAAAGTCAATTCAACTTTGCTGGTGCAGCCTGAAGCTACTTTAGTTAAACCTTAGTCATAGTGTTTCTAATGAAAGGGGGCAACACAGAATAAAAACTGCAAGCCCAATTCGATACGAGTGAATAAAATTGCAACCAGTAAAGGCACACAACATCCAATAATTAAGACTAACAGCACTATTATTTTTCTAGAAACCTGAACCATAAAAGAGATTAATTGTTTTGTATTTAACTCAGAAAAAAGCTCATTTGATTGGGACTCATGCTTACAACTTACTCAAACAGATGTTACCTTTTGCTAATACAGAAAGGATGCTATTTTAAAAATTGAGCAGAAAACAAATTAAATGTTCATTAAAAATATTTTTGGCCAGGCACAGTGGCTCATGCCTGTAATCCCAGCACTTTGGGAGACAGGTGGGTGGATTGCCTGAGCTCAGGAATTTGCGAACAGCCTGGGCAACAGAACAGGGTGAAACTCCATCTCTACTAAAAGACAAAAAAATTAGCCTAGTGTGGTGGTGGGTACCTGTAGTCCCAGCTACTCGGGAGGCTGAGGCAGGAGAATTGCTTGAACCCAGGAGGCGGAGGTTGCAATGAGCAGAGATGACACCCACTGCACTCCAGCCTGGGTGACAGAGTGAGACTCTGTCTCAAAAAAAAGAATTTAATTTTGTTTTCATAGAATCAATATATTGAATAATATGTAGACTATACCATTAAGTGGAAAATGATATAAAGGAATCAGAAACATTGACTTGTCCTCACCAAGGCTAATCTGGCTACTGACTCAAGTGAATCCTGTCTTGACCACAACAGAGACCAATACTAAGGTCTCCCAGATGTCAGTGTTCCCCACACTAGCCACCTAGAAGCATACTTCTTGCTGAATTCTTTCATCATGGAGGTGGCAACAACTTATCTTTCTTACGAGAATAGACATGTATTCTAGATACACATTCATCTTCCTTGCCCACAGTGCTTTGCCAGCTTGTAGATTTAAAGAACATTTTGCTCACTACCATGACATCTCTTACAACATTGCTTCTGACCTAGAAACTCAGATCCACAAAGAAGCAGGACAATGGGTTCACGCCCAAGGAATTTACTGGTATTACTATGTGTCTCATTATCCAGAAACAGCTGACCTGACCCAAGAGTGAAATGGTCTACTGAAGACTCAGATTCAGACATAACATTAGCAGGAATTAAAGACTCTGAAATGTTAGTGTCATAGAGGATGAGT
Source organism: Homo sapiens (assembly GCF_000001405.40). NCBI lineage: Eukaryota > Metazoa > Chordata > Mammalia > Primates > Hominidae > Homo > Homo sapiens. The sequence continues at coordinate 87,261,935 of NC_000014.9, forward strand.
CGCATGCTTTAAACAAGTAATTAATATATCATGCTATTTTCCTTATAACCATAATACATAAGTAAAGGAACCAAGGGTAGAGGTAGCTTCTCTCTCTTATAAATAATCCACTTGCAAATTTTATTATCTTTTCTTGAAAGTTTAAACTCAATTGGTTAGACTCCCTTAATTCTTAAGCATGGAATGCTGCCAGCCAATGATAGGACAATAGTTCCTCTGAGTTAAAAAATGAGATTAACACCTGATAATTTTGGGTTTCTCATGTCACAGCACCAGTAGGTGTTGCAGTGTTGGCTGGAGGATTGATTCAGTTTATCAAGAGGAAAATGAGTTGGTACTACATTATGTGATCAGTGAAATGTGGGTCTAGAACCCAGGGGATTCTCTTAGGTATCTCTCAATATTTCTATGTCCCAATACTAAAAGTTAAGGGAAAACCTGCAGTGATTCGATAAAAACAAATCCACAGAACAGTTAGACACTCTAGAAGTGGTTTGGCTCATCCCACGAAGTGAGGAAGCAAGGCCACTGGAGGTACAAAGAAAAAGTGCAATGAATAGTCTTTAAAAAGTAAAGTAAAAACTAAACTACAGCATTATTGTTAGCTACAGAAACAATGCACATGTGAAGATTATGGTAACTACGCACATATACTCACCACAGTTGTTGCAGAAATTGTGAAAAATGACTTGTGGATTGATATATAATATACCAACAATTTTCCCTTTTCAGCTTTTTGCTTATTATTTTATATGAGAATAGTTTATTGGTGATCTTTTAATTTAGTGTTTGGGTTAAAGGATATTTAAGTAATTTTGTGACTGAGCTAAAAGAAACTGACCTTGCATGGTGTCTTTGTTCTTATCTCATTTACAAAGAAAATGAGAACATCTCCATCTGCTCAAAGAAAGCCATCTTATTAGGTAGAGGAAGTCATTGTTATTTTGTTGCCTGCAGAGTAAAATATGTGTAAGATGATATGTAAGTTTGCTCAGCAGCCAAAGGGGTGGACTATGCTGGTTTACTTATTTATTACCTTCTTTCAAATTCAAATTCACCTTTCTTGACTCTATAAAAACAAGACTAGAGTTCTGCCAGCTATGCATACCAGATACCCTGGCCAATTGGCTTACTTTTAGGTTAGAAGAGCATTAGAATATTGAAGTGGTGGTGGTGGGGAGATATTTATTTATTTATTTATTTGATTGATTGATTTTGTTTATTGTTCCTGTCAGTCAGGCTCCACCCATTAGCTGTTGGCTCCAACCACCAGCTTCTTTTGGTGCTGCCCTGATCAGCTCGTTTTCCTCCCAGTTTTACTAGAGAAGGCTAGATGGTGGCCCCATCTCAGATCTTGATCTCAAGTTTTGTAGGGCCCTCTCGTGAGCTTCTGAAATACCATCTGGAGATAGGTAGTGCTCCCTATCCGGAGATCTAAGCACATTCCAAAAAACCCTATTCTGAACACATAGGTCCTAGCAAACCTCAGCGAAGTGGAGCATGTGCTTAGTTGAGACGATGGACTGTTAAACGAAGTTACCAAAATCATTCTTGAGACATGCTGCTGAATTAGCAGTGCAGAATCATCCAGATTTATCATTCCTTACTGGAATCATTTTGAGAAAGCCTCACATTAAGATGGCAGACTTACAAGACTGAAGAAGCATAAATTGGTAATCCATGTTGAGTTCAGTTGCTCTAGAGGCTTACTTAGGCACATAGAGAAATTAGTGTAAATTAGATATAAAAATGTTTGTGTTAAGCCATGGGGATTTTGAAGCTGTTCGTTACTACTTATGACCTAGTGTCTCCTGATGAATATAGAAATCAGTACCAGGAGAAATAGTGTGCTGCCATGACAAATACAAAAATATGTACCAGTGGCACAGTGAACAGGAAAGAGACCCAAAGGAAAAATGATGATCTATGTAATGCAATGGCAGAACATAATGTTACCTGCAATAACTTGGGAAACAAATGTTTGAGGAATTTGCAGTGTTCGGGAGAATGATTAGGAAATAAAACTTTACTTGTGGGTGTTTATTGCTATTGTGGTTTATCATATGAAATGGAAAATGTTAGAAGAATAGATGTTCTACTCTCTTGTTTCAGACAAAAGAAGACTTGGAAGAAACAGTCTGACATATATGTTTCAAGTGTTCAGCATATATAAAGTTCTAAGAGATAAAAATTGAGGCTACAAAAATAAATAAGACATACCTTTGTTACCAGAAAGAGGTCTCAATCCAGATCCCAAGAGAGGGTTCTTAGATCCCATCCAAGAAAGAATGTGAGGCAAATCCACAGAGCAAAGTGAAAGCAAGTTTACTAAAAAAGTAAAGGAATTAAAAAACGCCTGCTCCATGGAAAAGCAGCCCCAAAGGCCACTGGTTGGCTATTTTTATAGTTATTTCTTGGTTATGTAATAAATAAAGATTGGATTATTCATGAGTTTTTCAGGAAGAATGCAGACGATTATCAGAATTGAGGGTTCCTCCCTTTTTAGACATAGGGTAACTCCTGGACATTGCCATGGCATTTGTAAACTGTTATGGAGCTGGTGGGAGTGTCTTTTAGCATGTTAATGCATTATAATTAGTGTATCATGAGCAGTGAGAACAATCAGAGGTCACTTTCATCACCACCTTAGATTTGGCAGGTTTGGGCTAGCTTCTTTACCACATCCTGTTTTATCAGTAGGTTCTTTGTGACCTGTATCTTGTGTTGACCTCCTATCTCATCCTGTGACTAAGGATGCCTACCCTTCTGGGAATGCAGCCCAACAGGTCTCAGCCTCATTTTACCCATCCCCTATTCAAGATGGAGTCACTCTGGTTTGAATGCCTCTGAAACCTTCTGCTATACACAAGGTTTCATTCAGGCCTATCTGTCCAATCCTTGCCTCTGAATTCAGTCAGCTTTCCTGACCATCATATCATAGCAAGAACCAGTCAGAAGCAAATGGGTTTTCTCTCCTAACTTTTACCAGATCCCACAAAGCTTGCTGTATGCTGCCGACTCGTGTACATCTAGTAGTGGTTACTCCCCACTTCCTGAGTATACACTCTGGCTCAGTGTAACGTCCTTGAGTACCTCATTTGGTGAATCACTTAATCAACATTGTTTCTCTACTCAGATCCCAACCAGATAGCCTTCATTACTTTGGTTATCTTTCAGAAAATCCAGAGCTCTGAGTGATTAATACCTTTTACCAGCTCTCTCTGCCTTTTCCTAAAAGAGAAATTTTTAAAAAGTAAGTTAAGTCATCCCTCTCACACAAATATAGATAACTCATGAATTAATGAGGGCATTGGTAAGATGTTTCAAACTGCTCAACTGAGGATTTGATTGATAGAAATTTGTATTGTCTACTTGTAAAAAATATTTTGCATTTCTATGAATGGGAATCATTTGCAAAGACATAGGCAGGAAATACTTGCATTACCAACAGTTTTCTACTAGTTAACTTTCATCTCTACAGAGCTACAAATTAACCAAGTGAAATAATCCAAGGCAAAGATCACTATAGAATCAGAAAATTCGTACGTTGTTTTCTAGACAATGCCCAGCATTCTATTAAAAGGAAGTGCTGCAATCTTGTCTGCCCACTTTAAAGTCTTCCATATCTTGTCCTAATATGCCATCAATTAAACTCATCCCTCATCAAGTCACCTACCCCACAAATAGAAATACAGATGCAGATATACTAAGCGACTTACATGCAAATAAATATTTGAAGAATGGCTATGTAGAAGAGGAATTTTATATTCCACGTGTAAACCAATTTGTGAGTTAATTCATTTCCTGGCATATTAGCAGGAAACAACTATATTCCTTTCCACTGCTACCATTTTAAATCTAGTCTTTCAATTTGTTTTTTCTAAATCTGTCCATAATCTTTGGCAAAGCTCATAGATTTCCCAGTGACAGTCAGGCAATGCGTGAAGAATTTGTTGTTTTTTGTTTTTCCTGGTAATAAAATCTTGTTTCAGGCAATATGAAGTCCCTAAATATCATTCAGATTAAAACTTCTTTTCCCTAGATCACACCTTATTTTAACTCGGAAATCTGCAGGAGGAGAAGGGGATATGGTCAATTTTACCTCTATTTTCTGCTTCTTCTCCCATTATATTTAGTAGGTGATGCTTTGGGTCCCACTGGGAGATAAAGAGAAGGAGAGAGACACTTGACTAATAAGAGTTGGAATCAGCTGTGGTGCCTCATGGCATGGTGTGTTTCCATTTTCCATCCTGTGATGAGGGTGTCGCCACCTCCAACTAGCCTTTTGTAATTTCTCCAACTCTTGGTTTCCAGGAACTTACCTTTCTTGCAGAGTCATTCTAATTTCTAGTTATTCTTCTAGGAAGAGTCCCTCTCAAGAAACACAACAGGACTCTTCTCTGTGATGGCCACATCTGGCTTGGTGGAAACCAATGTAATACTCAGACTTTTCATTCCATTTTCAAAGCAAGCCCTTCTGTTTTATTTCCAGACAAGGATGTTTTAGCCACAGCTTCCTACCTTTAAGTTTTCAGACAAAAGTAAAATGCTAGGTTCTCTGTCTTTCAAACTCCAGGAAATGCCTATAAAGCTATTTGGTTCTTTTAAGGCCTCCACTTACTTGACTTGAAATGGCAAGAAGATAATAGCAACCACAGGTTTCTGAAAACCGAGTAAAAAAATTCTCACTTTGCAATCTCTTCAGCCTCTGCCAACACATTCTCTCTGTAGGGAAGGAGACATATCTTCTTCCCATCTTATGTTCATGGCTAAGGCCCCTATAACATAAGACAGATTAACAAGAGAAAAGCATGCAATTTATTTAAAATAAGCTTTATGTGAGATGACAGCCTTCAGAAATAAAGATCCTATGAAACAAACAAACGTGTGTATTTTAAGCCTAAGTTTGATGAAGTGGATAGTTGCAGAGAGTATAATTAGACAAATGGGGTATGATCTAATGGTACTAGTTTGGAGGAAACTTAGCAAGGCCTGTTTGTTCAGATTCTTCTCTGTGTCCCTGTGTCTTCAAAGGTAAATTTGTTCCTTTCCTCTGGGTATAGAGTGAGCACCTCTCACCTGAAGGTCTGATGACCTAGTTCAGGAGAAGATCAGCAATTCATTTCCAGGTCTTATGATCTACTTCAGGGGAAAATAGGGAAGGTCAGAGTGACATTCTTGCTTCTGCTATTTTTTAAAATGCCAATGAGCCATATTTGGGGATAGTGCCTCTGGAACCCCATTAATATTTGCTTGAATACCTGGGCCACAGATGATAGACCAAAGTGGAGAGAACTAGTTTGGAGCCAACTCCATTGCATGTCCTGAATGCCACACTTACATCCTAATATAACATGCTACGTCATCTTACATTAGGGTATAAATGTCCCTTGCACCAACTATTTTATTTTCAGCTGTTGGAGTCTTTGTTAAAACTCCAATACAACAGAAACAGTTGCATCTAACATCTTGTTACGTATATTGTCTCAGAGGGAAGAATGGTAGTAGGTGGTAGGCAGCTATATTTGAGCACAATACAAGGTGAGACATTTTTAAGAAAGGAAACTCTACAAATATGCTGTGGGCTTCCTCACGAAGCGACGAATCTCCTATCACTTGCAGGGTTTAAGCAGAGATAGGATAACCACTTATTCGAATGCTGCATCAGGAATTAGAAGGTTGATTTAGCTGACCTCTCATTTTCATATTTTATGATTATTGGCGTTCGATGGCAATTTAGAGTGTATATATCAACATTGTTTGATTTGATTTTAATTTTAAAGGTTTAGAAAAATCCTTGTGAAATGAAATATGAGCTATCAGTTACTATTCATTCAATCACTCATTCAGAATATCTTTTGAGAGCCTAGTATATGTTAGGCGCTATGCTAGGAACTGGGGAAATTAAGAAGAAACACATTGCCCCTGTGTTCAAAGAGATGACAGTAGCAGAATAAGGAAAACAAGCAAAAATCTCTAGAGTATTTCCACTCCACATCACTATCTTGCCTACTTAAAGTTCCTCATTTGAAATGGGTCATAAACCAAAATAATTTTTTCATAGATAATTTAAAATGACAAATCACTGGCAACTTAATGTAAATCAAGTTAGCATCAGTAATTAATTCACGTGTCACATTTTATATACTAGAATGTAATTCACTTATTACATGTCGTCACATTTCAAAAAGCTGCCTGGGCCTGCACACACGATTTCCTCTGAAATGCATCCTACCTTTATGGAAGTGTTTTTTTTTGTTTGTTTTCAGTCCTGGGGAAAACAGAAGGCACAGCAACAGAAATTTAGACTGAATCGCTCAGGACACGGCATGCCTAAACCCTATGCACTTTTTATTTGCAAAGTATTCAAATGCCTTTACAAGGAAAGTCGGTTAGGAAGGAAGGGCTGCCTGCAGAATTAAGAGCGAGAGTGTGGCTGTGCATTTGTCTTTGAGCTGGTTAACTGAAAATCAATTTCCTATTTTAAAAGCAGACCCATCAAAGGCAAGTGTCCAATTTTAAGCTAAGCTCTACAATATGCTTTTCAATAAAATGTCTTTCTGTCTCTTTCCCTTTTCTCATTTCAACGTCCTGTTACATATTTCCGAAAGCACGGCTTTCATACTTGATGTATGCTATGATTGTGTGGAATGAAAAGCTCTGAAAGACCACAGAGAAAAATATCACTTGCCTCCATCTCTGAGGAGAGGGCCCTTTGAATTAAGACCGATTCCACCTGAGAAGCCTGATTGAACCTGAATTGATAATACCTTCGTGTTGTGGGCTTTCTCGCTTTATTTCCCCTTGCATTCTTTTTTATTTCAGAATGTATTGTGGGTCATTATCCACTTTTCATAGCAGCATGACTGATTAGCAAAATGCTGTGAAAGAGAAACTAAATTCTTAAAAAGAAGTATTCACTGAAGACTTACAGGAATCATACACCAATATTCTGTGCTGATTATTGGAATTCAAAGCTGAACATTGGAAACATCTAAAGGATTTAACTTTAACTCACAAAGGTTTATTTTTTTCTCTTCTTAAATGCTTAGAGCTCTTGAGACTGAAAGGTTTGCATTTATTTTTATGTTTTGACTGTTAATATTCTTTAGTTAGATCTATAACATGGCCTAGAGAAAGGACACGACAAAGACACATGACTTTATGTAAAAAAAAGATTTTTCTTCAAAACCCTTATCTAGACCTTAACTTTCCAAAGCACATTGCCCTTTGCCCTAAGAAAATATACAAGGAAGTTTTGAGCAAACTATGGTTTAGACAACCTGACAATAGTAAGCCCAGCATAAAGAAATGGAAGGTGGATGGAAAAAGGCAATACTGGGAACAGAAACACTGCCTGTGTAGAGGCCAGATGGACCACGATTCCTGAGTTTGTAGCAGCAGTAACAGGCAGGGTCATGTAAGCAGCACACAACTGCAACTGAGGCTCATTAAATACCTACAATTTTCCAGATATAGGTGTAGGCCCCAGCATAAAAAGGTGAATCAAATGTACTTCCTTCTCTATTTACAACTGTAAGATAATATGTAGCATGCCTTAAAGAAGTGGGTATAAAATCCTATAGGAATAAATGGATATTGAAGTACTATGTGAGAAAACCCAAATGATCATCAACTATTAAGTGGAAAAACATAAACATAGTATATCTGTGCAATGGAATATCCCACAATGGACATATTCAGCAATGAAAAGGAACCAACTACTTATATGTACAAAGACATGAATGAACCTCAAACACATTATGGTAAGTAAAAGAAGCCAGACACAAAGGACCACATATTATATGATTCCATTTATGTGAAATATTCAGAAAAGGCAAATCCATAGGGGTAGAAAGTAGATTATTGATTGTCTGGGGTTAAGGTTGGAAATAGGGATTAATTGTCAGTAAACATGGAGGATTTTACCGGGGTGATGAGAATAGTCTAAAAGTGGTTTATGGTAATGGTTTATGGTATCTGGTAAAGTTACCAAAGCTCATCAGATTATACACTTAAAATGGGCAATTTTATGATGGGTGAATTTTACCTCAATGAATTTGTTTTAAAATAAATACTACATGAGGTGAGGGCAAGATGCAAATTGTAGATGAAAGGAAGACTTTTCTTTCCTATGGCTGCTATGGCTGCTATAACAAATTACTACAAACTCAGTGGCTTAAAAAAATACAAATTTATTCTTTTACAGTTCTGGTAGCCAGAATTATGAGATCAGTTTCACTGGGCTAAAGCCAAGGTGTCATCAGAACTTATTTCTTCCCAAGGCTCTGAGGGGAGCATCCATGTAGTTGTCTTCAGTGCCTAGTGGCCTCCTGCATTCCTTGGCTTGTGGACTCTTCTTCTGTCTTCAAACTGCATCACTTCAATCTGCTTCATCTTTACACTGCCACCTTCTCTGAGTCTTCATGCTCCTACATCCCGCTCATAAGTACTCTTGTGCTCACATGGGCCCACCATGATAAACTAGGATAACCCTCCCCTTAATTTAATCACAACTGCAAAGTCCCTTCTGTCATATAAGGTGATATTTTCAGGTTCCAGGGATTATGATATACAAGTATTTGGTGGAGTGAGGTATTTTTCAGCCTACTACAAGACCAACATGATAGTTAATTTTATGTATCAGATTGACTGGGCCATGAGGTATGCAGGAATTGGTCAAATATTCTTCTGGGTGTATCTGTGAGAACGTTTCTGGATGAGATTGTCAGGGCTGAGAACACAATAATACTCCAGACTATGGTGCATTGACCAGCTGAGTACTTTGCACTGAAGGAGATGGGGAGGACCTCAGAAGCAAGGTCTCTCCCACCCTCCCTCATCCTTTCTTCTCCCTTTTATGCAGGACATAGAAACTAGAATTTCTCTCCCCAAGGCAAGCCATAAAACCTAGAAAGGTCAATTTCTGACCTTCCCCTGCCTTTCTTTGGGGAAAATGGTCATATAGGAATTCTCTGACTTGTCTTGCCTGCAAGTAGGTTGTAAGACCCTTGTTCCAGATGAGTCCCACTCTATACTTGGAGGCCAAGAAGAATCTGAACAGACAGGCCTTGCTGTGTTCCCCCTTCAGTTTATTACCAATAGATCATACCCTTTTTCTCCAAGCATGTTTCTCTACTTTTTTCATCAGACTTTGCATAAAAATTCAGTTTTCCCCTGGTTTTGGGTCTTCATTTCTGAAACCTCCTATGTCACATAAACTTTGACTTAAAAACCTATTATGCTTTTCTCTTGTTAATTTGTCTTTTGTAATAGGAGTGTAAGACATGGCCCTTGGAATGTGTGAAGGAAAGTTATTTTTCTCTCCTACAGGATTAACATTTAATCAGTATGCTGTATAAAGCCGATTGCCCTCCTTAATGTACATAGGCCTCATCCAATTAGGTCAAGGCCTGAGAAGATCAAAAAGTCTGACCTCCCCCAAGCATGATAAAATTCTTCCTGTCTGATGGCCTTCAAACTAGGATATAGGCATTTTTGTCCTTAACTTTGGATTTGAATAAAAACATCAATCATTCCTTTGTCTTGAGCCTGCCAGCCTTCAGACTGGAACTGCAGCATCAGCTCTCTTTGTTCTCAGGCCTTCAGACTCAAACTGGAACTAAACCATTAGCTCGCCTAGATCTCCAGTTTTCTGACTCATCCTGTAGATCTTGGGACTTGTCAGCCTTCATAATCATGTGTACCAATGCCTTACAAATATGTAGATTTATGGTAAGAATTTGGTTCTGTTTCTCTGGAAAACCCTGGCTAAATAGCCAACGTTTCAAATATGATGTATTCTGAGTTAGATTGTAAAGGATGGGTGCTTTTCTGTGAGGAAAAGTGAGTAAAGTCATTCTGAGTAGAAGGAATGGTATCAGCAAATGAATAGAGAGGGAAAACTGTTATCGATGGGAGTATCACAGAGCTCAGCCCTCTGACTTTTGTGTTTTCTGTCTCTATACTCATTTCCTATGTTATCTTATCCACCCTGTGTCTCTAAATTCTTCTGCACTATGATGACTACAGTTATCTTATTCACATTTTTTTATACTTACAGCCTCAACCTCTCCCATGTAATCAAGATGTGTAAACTTAACAGCCTACTTGACCTTGCTACTTGTATGTCTAGTAGGCATCTCAAACTTAATAATGCGTTTCAACCAGATTTTTTTATTCCCTCTCCCACTCACCAAATTGGCTTCTGTCACAATCTTCTTCTTAATACACGTTGCCACCATTCATCCAGTTTCTTAAATTCTGGCTTTGTCTTTAATTTTTCTATTTTCCTCAACTTCATATCCAAACCCTCAGTAAATTTTCTTGTTTCTACCTTCAAAATATACACAGAGCTTGACCACTTCTCAATATCACTACTTCTACCATCCTTTTGTGACCAACAATCTAACATCTATTTTCTCAGTTATTTCAATGGCTTCGTACTGGTCTACATGTTTCTACTCTTGATTCTTTATATTATTTTTTCCACAATGCATCCAGAATAATTAAACATAAGTCAGATCATGCCATACACTTCTTCAGAATTTTTCTTGTGGTAGACTCCACAATGGCAGCCAACAACATCACCCCCTAGTCATCTTCATGCTTTTATGTGAATCCCCTTCAAAGAAGTGTACTAGGACCAATAAAAGGACATGATGATATTCTACTTCAAAAATAAGATTATAAAAGACTGTGGGTTCTCTCTCAGGTCTCTCTCAGTCTCTTTCACACACACACACATACCCCACACTCACTTTTTCACTCTCACATTACTCTTTCGGGGGGAAACCATGGCATGAACAGCAGTCCTATGGAGAGACCCATGTGCAAGAAGACAAAGCCGCCTGTAAATATTCATGTGAGACCCAGTCAAGTCAGAGATGACTGCATCCTTGGCCAACATCTTGATAGGAGCCTCATAAAGACTCTGAGCAGAACTACCTAACTAAGCTGCCCCCATTCCTGACTCACAGAAACTGTGAGATAAATAATTAAAATTAAAATTAAATGTTTGCGGTTTTAAGCTGCTACATTTGGAGCATTTTTTAATGCACATGTAGATAATGAGGTCTACCGTAAATTGAAAAATGATGCCTCCAGATTGTCTATTTGGAAAATAAAATACTTGAAAAGGTGAGGTTTATTTGTCTTCTAATGTTTTCCATCTCTAATGGCTTTTTGTTAATTTTGAAAAAGTAGAAGTCACTTTTGAACTATTTTGGCTGAAGCATACACCATTTGGAAGAATACTATTTCAGGAATATTTAAAATGCAGTCATGGAATAATTGTCTACTCATTTAGTTTGGTGGCTTGGTTCTCATACATGAAATTTATTTCTGAGAAGGGTACAAGTGAATTGGGAAACTAAGAGGTCATTTTTATAATTAGCTGCAAGGCAAAAATGTGACAATCTATGGCCATTTATTCATTTATTTCTTCCTTCCATTGACAATGTGTATGGAGCAGCTATTCTGGGACAGACACTGAGATCAAGTAGTTAACAAGGCATAATCTATACCCTTGAGGTAGAAAGATATAAGAAGACAGACGATTTTAAAACATCACAGTAAATGCATGCAATAGTAAATTATTCAGTGAAAAAGCCAGTTTTCATTAGGGTCAAAGCAATATAGGGACATCACTTTTTTTAATTGCAGAGTTGATTTTTCAACACAAAAAGCACATAGTCATACTGGGAAAAATCAGCACTTTGTTAGATTTCTGTGTACTTACTTTATGGTTCAGTATCATTTTTATTTTGAATTACACATGGCAGGCTAGGAAGAAAACTGTTGACTTCTCAGTGCTTGTGGCTTCTAAGATCTGAATCTGGCAATAAGTATGTGATAAGAATAAGTCTAAGTTGTGTGGGAATATGTAGGAGATATGGGTAATCACTCTACAGAGACCAACATTATGAGGTGTGCATAAGCTATGTTATTCTAAGGAGCAGGAAGTAGTCAGTCAGGGATTTGTAGAAGGTCATTCTAGGCATGTGAAACATGGGCAACCAAGAGAAACATGGGAATAGTCAGAAGCTTAGAATAGCTGGGCAGTAATCAAAAGAATAATATCGACAGATGAAACCTGAGGGGGCACAAGGGCCAGATAAACTAGCAGGGATATACAGCAGATGTTGGGAAAGTTGCATTTTATCCTGAGGCCCATGGGGAATCTTCTAAGTTAGAGAGCAATTCAATTTGTGTCTAGGGAAAAAGGAACTTGCTACATGGCATAAAGAAAATATTGGGGGGACATGGAAGGAGGAAGTGGGGAAACAATTACATTGCAATAATCTAGAGGGCTTTGTAACATGGTTGTCTTGTCTAGAGTAGTAGCAGAAAAAAAATGGAGAAAAGTAGACAGTTTCAAAAGATACTGTGTGGCTTTAAGTGAGAAAAGTTGGCAATTTAGTAGAGGTGAGATGGGAGTGGGTGGGGCAAGAGTCATGTATGTTATCCATGCTTCTCACTCATGCAATTTGGAAGACGTTTGTACTAATCCTTAAGGTAGAGAACACAGGAGGAGTCATGGAATTATTATATAGATTTTCTAACTTTTCTATTCATGTCATGCGAAAGTTAACATCAAGCTAGTCTTTTAAAAGTGTGATGTCCAGGTTCATAGAATTGTCTTAGTACTCTACCGTGTATGCTGGGAGGGGAGCAAACAATGGGGAGACAAAACCAAGAGGCCACTGAAGGACTCACAAGATGGCTACTGCAGTAATGTCTTCCAGCGAAGGTGACAAAATGAACACCATAATGGCAACACTCCTCTGTAGAACTGGAATGTGACTAATTACCTTAATGTGTAGCTACTTGAGCACTATTTCCGTATTCCATTTATTTGTGTCTTCCCAAGAGGTGAAGACTAAGTTGAATCTGTCATTCACTTACATACAGTCATGGTGTTTCCATATATATCATGACAAGCTTGTTTTCTGATACTTATAAAATTGGTATACTGTATGCCATCTTCTAAAGAATGCTTGTTTCCTTTATTATAATTCTTATATTTATCTATGAATTTGTGTGTAGATATAATTCATTCATTTTCTCAATGCTGCATTATTCTATTGTGTTAATATAACAAGCCATTTTTTATTATTATACTTTAAGTTCTAGGGTACATGTGTACAATGTGCAGGTTTGTTACATATGTATCCATGTGCCATGTTGGTGTGCTGTACCCATTAACTCGTCATTTATGTTAGGTATATCTCCTAATGCTATCCCTCCCCCCTCCCCCCTCCCCACGACAGGCCCCAGTGTGTGATGTTCCCCTTCCTGTGTCCATACGTTCTCATTGTTCAATTCCCACTTATGAGTGAGAACATGCGGTGTTTGGTTTTCTGTCCTTGTGATAGTTTGCTGAGAATGATGGTTTCCAGCTTCATCCATGTCCCTGCAAAGGACATGAACTCATCCTTTTTTATGGCTGCATAGTATTCCATGGTGTATATGTGCCACATTTTCTTAATCCAGTCTATCATTGATGGACATTTGGGTTGGTTCCAAGTCTTTGCTATTGTGAGTAGTGCCACAATAAACATACGTGTGCATGTGTCTTTATAGCAGCATGACTTATAATCCTTTGGGTATATACCCAGTAATGGGATGGCTGGGTCAAATGGTATTTCTAGTTCGAGATCCTTGAGGAATCGCCACATTTTTTTATCCACTCATCATGAATTGTTTCCGTTATTTTGCTGTTGTGAAAACTTCTCTTATGAGCAATCTTTGTCATTGTTCTGGCTGTTTAAAAACAAGTAATTTTACATTTGCAAACAGGGTCAAGACATATACAAATGTTCAACTTAACAAAATGATGAAAAATTGTTTTTCACAGTAGTTACAATCTCCATAGTAGTTATACCAATCCCACCAACACAGAATAAGAGTTTCCCTCCTTGCCAGGTCTTGATACTTTGAGATTTTCTTGCATCTATGTGCAAACACTGGCTTGCCTCGTTAAGCCTGGGTGGTTGCAGTTAGATCCTGCAGATTGGGATGATTGCTGGCTCATGTCCACTGGCTTGCTCACCCCAAAGTATGGTTCATGCTGTAGTTTCTGCTACTGTTGCGGCATCTGGAGTCCCTAGGAAGTGCCCAGAAGAGCCAGGGAGTATTTGCAGGAAGTTAAAGCTACACGGACCAATCTGACCAGTGAGAGACAGAAGAGGAGAAGGAACCTGAAGAAAAACATTTTTTCCTCAACCCTAAGGATTATTCTGGAAAATCAGTGTTTTTAGTCAATTCATTGCATTCATGCAGCCTCTTTAGATTCATTCCCCTTACCAAATTTTAGACATTTTTTAATTATTATTTTATTTTGGGCTATAAATAAATTCTTCCTCCTTGCCACACTTCTGTTTTTCCCTCACACATATATATCTGGGATTATATCCATTCATGAAGCATTAGCACATCAAATTTTCTAGGGAACTCAGGCTAAGCACTGGGTAATCTTATTCTTCTTTATTATCCTGACTATTTTTGGATTTTGCTTTTGTATATTACTTTTGCCAGTAACTTGCTTTCAAACCTTATGATTGTTTTTTATTGAAATTACATAAAATTTATGGAGCCGTATAGGGAGAAATGACAATTACAACCTTATAAATTAATCTCTAGTCATGATCATGGTATTTATCACCATTTCTTTAGGTCTTCTTTTTAAATTTGCTGCAAAGTAATTTTTTAATGATTTTTGGGCCCTTTAATTGCTTTTCTTACTGTATAGTCTGTTCTTCATAAATCATATATTTTTTATGTTGTATTTAGTTTATTCCTTATAGTGATTATTTCATTTGTTACTGTTATCGCTCACTACTATCAGTACATTCAAATAATTATGCTAGGTTATTGCATGATATACCATTTTTTAAATATTTTAACTTTTAGGTTCAGTGGTACATGCGCAGGTTTGTTATGTAGGTAAACTTGTGACTCAGGGCTTTGGTGTACAGATTATTTCATTACCTGAGTACTAAGAATATTACCCAATAGTTTTCTTTTTTTCTGAACCTTGTTCTCCTCCCACCCTTCTCCCTCAAGTAGGCCCCAGTGTCTGTTGCTCTCCTCTTTCTATCCATGTGTTCTCATTATTCAGCTCGCACTTATAAGTAGGAACATGCCGTATTCGGTTCTCTATTCCTGCATTAGTTTGTTAAAGATAATAGCTTCCATTTCCATCCATGTTCCTGCAAAGTACATAACCTCATTCTTTTTCATGGCTGCATAGCATTCCATGGTGTATATGTATCACATTTTCTTTATCCAGTCTACCATTGATGGGCATTTAGGTTGATTCCATGTCATTGCTATTGTGAATTGTGATGCAATAAACATGTGTGTGCATATGCCTTTATCACAGAACAATTTCTATTCCTTTGGGTATACACCGAGCAGTGGGATTGTTGGGTTAAATGGTAATTCTGTTTTTAGTTCTTTGAGTAATCACCACACTTCTTTCCATAGTGGTTAAACTAATTTACACTCCCACTAGCAGTGTAGAAGCATTCCCTGTTCTCTGCAACCTCACCAGCATCTGTTATTTTGAACTTTTCATTAATAGCCATTCTGACTGCTGTGAAATAGTATCTTATTGTGGTGTTAATTTGCATTTCTCTAGAAATGCATATGATTTTTGTATATTGACTTAATAGTCAGCCATCATTCTAAATTGATTATTATTTATCAGCTTTATAGTGTATTTTTATATGTGGTCAATTTATTATCTATAAATAATCGCAGCAAATTTCACTGGCAAAACTCAGCTGAGCATAGTGTTCTCTTCATGGAAACATTGATGAAGACTTTTGATAGTGATGGAAATATTCATAAGTTACGTTTCTTTTCTTTTTTTGAGACGGAGTCTCACTCTGTCACCCAGGATGGAATACAGTGGCAAAATCTCGGCTCAACCCAATGTCTGCCTCCTGGGTTCAAGTGATTCTCCTGCCTCAGCCTCCTGAGTAGCTGGGACTACAGGGGCCCACCACCACCCCTGGCTAATTTTTGTATTTTTAGTAGAGACAGGGTTTCTCCATTTCTCCAGGCTGGTCTTGAACTCCTGACCTCAGGTGATCCACCTGCCTGGGCCTCCCAAAGTGCTGGGATTACAGGCATGAGCCACCATGCCCAACCCCTAAATTATGTTTCTTCTTGATTTAAACTCCATGTGCTATATTTGTCCAGGAATTTAACAATTTTATTTAAATTTTCTAATTTATTCAAATTAGAAAAAAAGCTGGACAATATGCTGAACATCCTAGCAATACTTCAGCGTAATCCTCTGTAGTTTCTAATTACATTAACTTTTAAGTAATTATTATTTTTTTTCAGCTACCATCTATATATCAGGCATTGTATGTATTACATAATGCAGTCATAGATCCAACCTTAAAGAATCTTACAATTCTGTCCAAAAAGGATAAGAAATGCACCTCAAATAACTAAAATTCAAAGTAGCAGCTGGTATATTATCACTGAATGGCACAGAGTTAGTGCTGAGGGCATCTAGAGGAAAGATGGATAACTGTCAGATAAGGGGGTTGGGAAGACATCAGGAATGCTTGTATATGGATTTCCTACTGCAATCACATAGCCCAGGTTTAACGGTTTCGTCATAATCACTTCCAGACTGTGATGAACATTCACCAACAGAATAGCAGCAATGATGTCATGTAAGTGAAGCTCCCTGGCCTCTCTGGGCTGGGAAGATGTATGGAGATGGGCTAGCAGCAAATGCAGCCAAGCATCTCTTTTAAGAAGAGCTGGCTTAAGCCAAATGTGAGCAGAGTTGACCAAAGCACTTTAATAAAAGAATTAAACAACAAAAAGTACAATTTATCTGCAGACTCCCCAAAGAGCAGGTTGATGCTTACAGATTCATTATTTGGAGTAAAGGCATAGAAAATGGCAAATAACAAAGTGAACACGATTTAATTGTTGTTTAAAAATAACTATTAACTATTGATTTATTCCCATGTTGCAGGCTCCCTGTTATACATTTTATAAATAATTTTTCATTTTTGAGATGGAATTTCGCTCTTGTTGCCCACGCTGGAGTGGAATGGCCCAATCTAGGCTCACCACAACCTCCACCTCCTGGGTTCAAGTGATTCTCCTGCCTCAGCCTCCCAAATAGCTGGAATTACAGGCATTTGCCAGCACGCCCCACTAATTTTGTATTTTTTTTAGTAGAGATGGGGTTTCTCCATGTTGGTCAGGCTGGTCTGGATCTCCCAACCTCAGGTGATCTGCCTGCCTCAGCCTCCCAAAGTGTTGGGATTATAGGCATGAGCCACCGCACCCGGCCTATAAATAATATTTTATTTCGATAAAAAGGGGGCAGATATTATCATCTCAGTTTTTTAAACAAGCCTATCGTCATGATTTTTAGTTGCCAACCTGGGAAAACAACTCTGCTTAACTTAACCAGCAAAGGAAAACAGCACAAAGGCTGGAGAAGTTACCCTGGAAAATGGACAGAAATCAAGGGAGTCTAAAAGCAGGAACCATAGCAAAGGCTACACCATAGGAATGGCATAGCAGGACCCCTCTGCTCACCACTTGTTCTTCATAGCTCTAGACAACACCCCAGCCACCACTGGACACTATGCAATGAATTCACTATTAACCGCTCCTTCATCTTGGTGACACTGACTGAAGATTCAGAGTCCTAGATGGGAGCCTCTGTCTCATCCATGCCTGACTGTGAATAGGTGTGAGAAAGGAGAGACTTTTGTTCCCCTTCAGCTCTCCAATTGAAAACAGTTTCCTACTTCCCACATGGACTTCCAGAAATGGATATTCTTCCCAATCTAGAAAGAATTTTAGATACTCATGGGCATGCCACTGGATCTAATTTCCAAGGTGACTTAGCTAATGAGCAGAGCTGTTGTTTTTCAGGCTTTGGTCTATCTGAATTAAAACCCCATGATCTTTTTTTCACTGAGTCATCAGTGTTGATAAATACTACAGAAAAACTTAAAGAATGTGTATAATTTTTACAGGAAAGTAGTAAGGATAGGCCTGCCATTGAGCACTTATCCTTTGGAACAGAATGCTGAGCAAAACAAAGTGGGAGATATAGTCTTACATCCTTAGAGTTTACAGCTTAATTAGGGGCCACATAAGAAAAAAGCCTGCTGATGGATGGTGTTATCACTACCTAATGAGTGTCAGTGCTAATAAGAGACAGAACATTTAAAATAAAGAGATTACTATGATAGGGAACTCGTTTCACTTATTCTTGGCTTCACTTTCTCTTACAGGAAACCTTACAGGAGGGGTACTTGGGATTTAGATCTACAGGGGACAGTGTTTTAGGCAAAGGAGGATTTGTTTATGCAAAAGAACATGTAGACAAAAATCTATTAGACCAGGGGTTCCCAGTGAGCATTACCAGCAAGCATTACCCCCTTAGCTCCACCTCCCGTCAGACAGGCAGCAGCATTAGATTGTCTTAGGAGCATGAACTCTATTGTGAACTGCACATGTGAGGGGTCTAGGTTGATCTTATTTAGATTCTCCTTATGAGAATCTAACTAATGCCTGATGATCTGAGGTGGAACAGTTTCATCCCAAAATCATCCCCCACCCCTGTCCATGGAAAAATCCTTTTCCACAAAACCAGTCTCTGGTTCCAAAAAGTCTGGGGATTGCTGTATTAGACTGTAATGCAGAAGAACTTTCTGGATTAAGTGCACGACACCATAAAGGGAATAAAATAATTGGTCATTATAGTCACTGGATTTTTAACTATAAACCAAAATCTAATCATCAGATTAATGGTCAAGGTTTTGGGGAGTCAGAGAGTAACTGCCAGCTCTTTCAGTTTAAAGGAATTTATTTTTTGGAGGGAAGGGCACAGACTGAATACCAGCTCTGCAGTGATTAGCAAATAAGCATGGAGCAAAGGAGAACCAAGCATAGTGCCTCCAGCTACAATGTGCTCTCAAGCAGGTTATCGACCCAGCCAGCAAGATGCTGGCTAATAAACAGCAAGGAGAGATTTGGGCGAAAGTCAGTTGTGAGAGGTCTGAAATATAAACAAACTCAAACTGTGTTTTGTGGCTTCAGGATAGAGTTCCATTTACACTGGCTTTGACCTTATGAGAACATAGTCAGTGGCCTTGCAGCAAAAAGAATCATGCTCCCTTCTGAAGTGAAGCCAAGAATCATGCTTCATTGAAGAATTATAAAGCAAATCCTACAACAAGCCTGCATCCTAGTGATGCGTCCTTCAGTCCTGCTTATACCAGCTGGTCACCTGGAAGAGAAAATCTCTAGCTGGGCCAATGACACTAACATTAGTATTGAAGCCCCATTATCATCAAGGTGAGGAAGGCTTCATTCCTTTTTGACTTATTTAACAGAAATATCCTTACTTCTTGGTAGTTCTTTGTTGACGATTCACACAATGACAAGCAGATGTGGGTATGTCGAGAGAACGATAAATTATAATACATCTCAGAGGTTATTAATTTCCCATTCAGCCTTCACATACACACTCTTATCGTACCTTATATCTACTTTCTGTCCTTTCCATGCACACGCATGTGCATGCATACACACCTTTCATCCCTTTGCTTATATGACCCTCTCAGTGACCCTCACAATATTGGCTTATTTCCAGTTTTAAATAGAAAGTTTAAATGTCACCTTCTGGGACCTGTCTAGCTCATGTAAGTTAGCTCTATCACAGCATCTTGGTTATTTCCCTCAGAATACTTATCGAATACTTATATTTATTTACTTATCTTCTTGATTACTTTGTGCCTGTGCTTCTAGGTTGTTAACTCGGAATCCAGTGATCACGTCTCTCTTATTTATTTCTGCATATGTAGTGTCTAGCAGTGTCTGGCCTATGAAAAGCACTCAATAATTACTTGTTGAATATACAAATGAATGAAGAGTTGCAATTTTCTTCTGAGTCACTGGCCATTAAACAGATGTTAGTAGATCTCATGCACAGAAGGAAAGGTAGACCCAAAAGGACCTTAGAGATCTGATTTTTGTCTGAATTACTTAATCTAGCTTTTTTCTTCTTTTCAAGGAAACAGAATCTCATTACACATGGAAATGAGTATCAGAAGTTTTGTGTGCATTTTTTTAATTTATGTAACACAGTGATTGCTGCTACCTAAAGAGGGTCTCCACATTTCAGTATCACACAAAACACTGCTTTAGATATATAAGTGATTGGTATTATTTGTTGCATAGATATTAGAATGATTAGATGATTAGATGGTTGAATGTAAACTTGTGAGTGATATAATAATGCATAGAATCAGGGGATTTACTTTGGGCTATGAATCAAATAACTGAAATGCAAACATGAAGATAATTCTTGCTTTGAATTTGCAGGCTCTAATTAATATTTATTAGGTAGGGAGTAGAGTCTCTGGCTGGGAATTTTAATTAGCAAGCAGATGGCTTCTTTAATGTTGAAAGTGTAGGTCGGAATTTTTTAGCCCAGTTAGCAACAGTCTGTTCCATAGCTCCATACTCTACTTACACGGCACACATGACATCGTGATAGCTTGGCAACAAGTAGTAACTGAAGAGGCAGATGGTTTAGGGCAAAGTTACACTGTTTCTGGGAAAGACATCTCACAGCGCTTCATCACAGCCTGGGGACAGTTGCTTGCTGGTTGTTACGCTAACATGTAGAAAATCAATGCTGTAAAAATGAATTTGTGGGCACCACCATTTCACTCTGTATGACAAAATCATTGTGGTAGGTTAAAACACCTTCAGTATGTTTCAGTATGTTTATTAAAATCTCTCAGGAAGCCTAATGCATTTTACTCCATTCACAATTTAGAAAAAAAAAAAAAGAAAACAACGGTCTGATTATTTCTAGTCTCTTAGAGGGCAGCGTAAATTGTACCTCTTTTTTGATTGTAGTATGTATGTAAAATACCTTGTACAGAATGCATGCAATGTAGTAAACTATCAATAAATAATTTCTTACCTTTCCATAACACTTGAAAATTACAGTTTGCTTATACATTTTTAATAGTTATTTATGAGGCACTCATTATATTTCAGACACTGTAGGAGTATTTTATAGGCATTATCTTGGTTAACCCTCATACTTACCCTATGAGGTAGAGACTATGATTATCTCCATTTTCCAATTTAGAAAATTAAGTCACTCAACTACGGTCACATCTAGAAAATCAGATCTGTCTTATTTGAAAATCCATGCTATACATATTTTACTATTTAATTCAGTATGTTCATCACTTGGAAAAGATCGGTACATTTAAAGCTTTGATTAGAAGCATTCCATTGTGATTTCTTTTTTTCTTTTTTCTTTTTTTTTTTTTTGAGACGGAGTCTCGCTCTGTCGCCCAGGCTGGAGTGCAGTGGCGGGATCTCGGCTCACTGCAAGCTCCGCCTCCCGGGTTCACGCCATTCTCCTGCCTCAGCCTCCCAAGTAGCTGGGACTACAGGCGCCCGCCACTACGCCCGGCTAATTTTTTGTATTTTTAGTAGAGACGGGGTTTCACCGTTTTAGCCGGGATGGTCTCGATCTCCTGACCTCGTGATCCGCCCGCCTCGGCCTCCCAAAGTGCTGGGATTACAGGCGTGAGCCACCGCGCCCGGCCTCCATTGTGATTTCTTTGTGTTTGTGTAAAGTGCCTTATATGTTTAAGTAGTGATGAACTGCATATGAATAAGAACTGTTTTATTCTTACGTTCTCATGTCTTCCCCAGTACTGGAGATATAGTCCATGCTTTATAGATGTTTGGCAAGTTAGTGAGTTAATGATTATAGAAGAACTAACAGCATGAAATATTACACACTGCATATTAGCTGCTCTGTTTCTATTAGAAGTGCTCAGGCTGAAGGTGGGTGGCTGGCTGCCTGTCATGAATAACTTAGAATCTCTTCTGATTATTCCAAATCAACAGAGAAATTGTCCTGTGGAGGATGATGTCAATGGGTCACACAAATTCAATGATTTTTAACTTGGTTCTACAAGTGCCATGGAGTTTAGAATCTTATTTACCTGATTCTGAAGTTACTTTTTATTTCCCTAAAAAGTTTGAATCAGAATCTAGGAGAAAACAACAACAGAGGTCCATTGTATTTCCCTAGCACCACACTCAAACTTGAGGGAATATTTTATTGTTCTGAAAGCCTTGTTACCAATAACGTATAATCTCCTACAACATCTTGATAAAGTGACGCTCCCGAGGGCATTGCTTCTAACTAAATTGTATAGAACAATTACATTGGGAAAATCTCAGGGTACTAGGTAGAAAAAGCAGGTTTCCTGAACCTCATCCCAGACAAACCAATGCAGAATTTTTGATTGTGGGGCCCAGAAAATCACTTTGTGTCCTGATTCCCTGTGATGGGGATGATCACTACAGTCTGAAAATCCCTTTACCCAGACTATCTGGAGACAAGAATTAAACCTCAGGCCACAAGACATACACACTCACACACATATACTAATGTCTGTCCTCATGGTTCTTCTATGGAGAAACAGAACAATGAATCTGTGTGTGTGTGTGTGTGTGTGTGTGTGTGTGTGTGAAAGAGAGACATGAAATCCTTAACTGACCTTTAGTTGAAAGCTCTCAAAATGGATTTTTTTCTATATATATGAAAAGGAAAAAAATATATATACACATATATACATATACATATATATATACATATATACATATACATACACACACACACACACATAGAGAGAGAGAGAGAGAGAGAGAGAGAGAGAGAGATTTTAAAGAACTGGCTCACACAATTGTGAGAGCTGGTAACTCCAAAATCTATAGGGCAGGCCAGCAGGTTGGAGAGCCAGAAAAGAGTTGATGTTGCATTTCAAGTCCAAAGGCAGTCTGGAGAGAGAATTCTCTCTTTGTTGGAGAACCTCAGTCTTTTTCATTTAAGGCCTTCAATTAATTGGATGAGGCTCACCCAACATTGTAGAGGGTAATCTACTTTGCTCAAAGTCTATTGATTCAAGTGCTAATCTCATCTAAATAATACCTTTGCAGAGACATCTAGATTGGTGATTGACCAAATATCTGGGTAGCATGCCTTGCCAAGCTGACATATGAAATTGACAGTCACACCCAGAATTCACACAAGAGAAAGCTCATAATGGTTTATTCATCATTTGGGCCCATCAAAAAATAAATGATTCTGAGCAGAGAGCCCACAGACACCGTTTTATAGATACATTTTAAGTGCAAAGGAACGTCACAGGTTGAATTTGTGTAGCTCCATTAGTCTCTAGTGGAAAATGCCCAGGCAAATCTTAAAGGAAAAAAATCTCAATATGGTGAATTTTTGGGTGGTTTTTAGCATATATATATATATATATATATGAGAAATATCTGATATATATATGAAATATCTATTTAAAAATGGATATGAAATATATTATTTATATATGTATGGATGGATGGATAGATTGATAGGTAGAGATTTGGAGTGGAGATTTATTATATCAGGTCATTACATTCAAGGTTTTACATCTTTTTTATTCCCAACCAAAAAGAATGGAAAAAGGAAAGAAACACAGGTGGTGGTGAAGGTTAACCTACCTCTCTGATCAATGTCAAATTCAGAAGGAGCTGAACTTGTTTCCTGGCTCATCTAAATATAAAGTGAAATTCTTCCTCCTCCCAGTCCTGATCAGTCACAGTTGCTGACAAGCTGGAATTCCATGAAAAGGTGAAATATTCTAGGTAAATGTCTTACTCCTGATGTTTAAGCCAAGGAGCTCATTTCTCCGATTCACTGAAGGAGAAACCTGGCCGTTGCTCTCATGGGCCATCAAGTTCCCATTTCAGTGTGCCAAAAGGCCTGCCAGAAAGCACTGCTCCAGAACTCAACCTCACTGCAATGACTCCTTTTGCTCATGAGGGCTACATAATCCATATTGTCCCAGAACTTGGTGGAATAAATTAAGAGGCATTAAAATTCAATTTCCTATAACACATGAAATCCTTCCTAACTGACGTTTAATTGAAAGCTCTCAAACTGAATTTCCTGTCCTTGTTAATGGTAAAATGAGAATTTTTAAATATATGTATGCAATTTCTCATTAATAATTTGCTTCTAATTTGGCATATACACCAACTTCAACTATTGCAATAATTTTCCAAACTAACCAGTAGGAATTTTCATGTCTGCTGATTATATCATGGAATATGATTTCACCCAGAGTGTTCCCATGAGATATATTTTCTTAGAACAGAGCCTGGCTACCTATTAAGGAGACGGTTTTAGCTAATGGAATTAGAATTTTGGCTTCCTTTCTGTTGGTTTTACTATGTGGCTGTCATGTGTGCTCATGTATGTCATGGAGGCTTGTGCTTTTATCCAACTTCCTCCTGGGTTTTTGTATCCATGGCTGGAAGTCAGTCCCAGGTGCAGAATAGATATCAAGGATGAGTAATCCTTCACTTAAAAGTGAAAAAATCACAAATATTTGCCTCCAGGACATCACAGAGGCTGTTACCTTTATACAGTATTCTCTTCTTTATCTTTTTTCCTTTCTGTGATTCAACTTGGAATTAGTAAACTTGATAGATGATATATAGATAGATAGATGATAGATCAGAAAGAGAGAGGGAGGGAGAGAATATTTTCCAAAATAACTACCTATTTGTAAATAAGCTGCATTGGTTTCGAGGCTCATTTTCCACAAAAAGCCACTGCTTTAGGTAATCGGTTCCCTTGCTATTTCCCAAATTTTCAATGTTATTGCATCCTCTCTGCTTTTGTGAAAGCTACGTATACCTCTTTCCCATGAAGTCTTCTACTTGCTCTCCACCTACCAGATCTTACTTTTTAAAATCTAAATAAAGGCATAATTCCAGTTCTTCCAATTCCTTAGGCCTACAGTAATCCCTCCAGTCTTTTGATTGCTTTTTGCATATAACATCAATACTACATACTTTGCACTTATAGTGTGTTACTTTCTCCAACGTTTATTGGGTTTATTAGTCTTTTCTTTTTCTTAAAGGCAGTGACAGTGCCCTTTCAAGGTGCTTATTCATCTCACACAGTATCTAATCATATATAAGGTATTCAAATTATTGGCAGATTTAAAAGTAAGTCTTAATCACAGTAGCACTCAAATCAGGTTCACATGGTTGTGGGTAGAGGTGGAGCATCAGTGAGCTGGAGACAATCATGGTGGGACCTCATTTCCTATCTTGAAAAAGTTGTGAGTTTTCATGTCTTTAAAAAAAGATAGATTCATGATAGATTTATGACTTCCATTTTTTTTTCATTCTTTACCTTTCTTTCTTTCTCTCTCTCTTTTTTTTTCCTTTCTTTTTTTTTGAGACAGCATCTCGCTGTGTCACCCAGGCTGGAGTGCAGCGGTACAATCATAGCTCACTAGTGCCTTGAACTCCTGGCCTCAAACAACCCTCCCACCTCAGCCTCCCAAAACTCAAAATGCTGGGATTACAGATTACAGGCTTGAGCCACTGTGCCTGGCCCTTGACTTCTGTTTCATCATCGCTCCCTGACCCACCTTCCCTGGGAGTATGCAATTCCCATTCTTTTCATTACTGAAAAGCTGGATAGTTAAATTAAAGGTATTATTCACTAACCATGCAAATTTGGCGTTATAAGTATTGTCAGTAACAAGTTATTAATAATGTTATCAGTAACAAGTTACTAATAATAACAAGTTACCAATCAGTAACAATTGCTAACAATAAGCTTCACATTTTTTTCTACTCATGGCCCTAACCATGAGAAATCTTGGGAAGGACTTGGCATCTGTCTTGGTAAACTTCTTTTCCTATGATTTATGAATAAACATAGTGTAGAAATGAGAGTCAGAAAATGCTGATTTTAGAGCAGTAATGGTGGAGAGAACAATGATAACTTTCAGAAATGTTCTAGAACTTTCTTAGTTCATAAAGTAGGTATGGAATTACAAATTTGTAGGAATATGCCAATCTAAGAATTTTAATCTTATTTAATATGTTGCATATCTGAGAAAAATGTTAAAACAATGGTTTTCCTACGTGTAACTATAGAAAATACTTATTTATTCCTTTATGTTTTCATTTGATACTACTTGTTATCTATGATTTGGAGTGGTCTTCCCCAAATAAGAATGACTTTGTCAGGATCTGTAAAAGTACCCTTGATATGACATCTATTCCATGAGGTTTTCTGCCTGAACTAGCATAGGGTAAGGATATTCCCACCAGAAGTAGAATGTCATAACCAGTACCCCTTACTGTGGAATGAGAATCCCAAGTCAAAAGAGGCATTAATCTCATGTTTAAGCCAAGAGGCTCATTCCTTGCTTGTCAGCCACACTGGCTGAATGAGCAGACATTCTGAATTAAACATTATAGAAATTAATTTGTAACTTAATGCAAGAGATTTCCCTTGAGAATTTTTTTTACAACTCCTTTTGACATAAGGAATTCCCTTTAGGAACAAGGCACATCTAAACAACAGATTATATTTTTCTTCCCTTAATATATATACTTGTGTATCTGTTCATCTAGATAATATATTTCCTTTCATTTTCCGTGATTGGTTCCTGTTTTCCTTGCTGTGATAAAAATGTATACCATCTTTTGGGATAGTTGGAGGTGTTCCTGTCAGAAATACTGGCAATTGCAACATAATTAAAAATGAAGGACAACTTTAAAAGACAGAAGTTTTACAGTTTTTTTCTAGTCATTATTGCAGTGACTCTACTTTGGAAAGTTTTGAGAAAATCTATTGTTTAGCGATTTAGGTTGTTTATAAAAGCTCCATGGTTTCAACCATGAACATATATATCTTACTGAAAAATATTTTGTTATATTTTTACAGACCTTTACTCAAAGTAGGTCAATAGGCTATTTTAAGGAACACCCTTTTATGGCTTAATATAATTGCAAGTGATTTTCTCAGAAAATGCTGTGACAGATACACAGTAATTTTCCTTAACAAATGGCATTGATACCTAAGTATTAGCAAGTGATAGGCATGATGCTGTGTACATCAGTTTGTAAAATATAATTTACATAAATTTGATTAGGTCCAAATAATTTACGGAAGAGATTTCTAAAATATAATGTTCATTGTTTTTTCACTATGAAACTTTCAGTGGCTGAATACTTCCTATAGGTTAAAGCTGAAAATTTTTAACATAAAAAAGATGGCCAATGGTATGGTCTTTGCTTTTCTTTCTAACTATATCCTCTATGGCTCCCAACATGTATAGAACTCCAGCCGTATCTTCCAAGATAATGCCTTGCACTGCTTATCCTCAAACGTGAGGTCTTCTGTGATAACTGTCCCCTCCATTTCTCTTTAGGCCCTTCCAATACCCTTCATTCCTTGGTCTTTGCACTTCACCCGTAACAGACCCTTGCCACTTTTCCTTTCACCATGCTATTTTATTCTTCTGGGACTTTGTTCACATTTTTCCTTTGCTGGAGTTTCCAGCTCACTCCTTACGTCACCAGGCTAACTCATAATTCTGCTAACCTCCAGACAGCTTCTCTCATCCTCTCCTGATTGTTTGATTTACTTCTTCCTTCCTGCAGTCCCACAACACCAAGTTCAAATTCATGATATAAAACTTGCTTACCTTGTGTGGCTGAGGTGGGCAGATCACTTGAGGTCAGGACTTTGAGACCAGCCTGGCCAACATGGTGAAACTCTGTGTCTACTAAAAATACAAAAGAATACAAAAAAAATTAGCAGGGTGTGGTAGTACACACTTGTAATCCCAACTATTCAGGAGGCTGAGGCAGGTGAATCATTTGAACCCGGGAGGCAGAGACTGCAGTGAGCCAAGATCATACCACTACACTCCAGCCTGGAAGACAGAGTGAGACTTCGTCTCAAAAAGAAAAAAACCTTGCTTCACTATATTGAAGATATCCTTTCCAGTCTATTTTTCTTACTAAAATAAAAGCTATGTGAAGGCAGGGATAGACTCATTTATCTTTGTATTCCTTGCTTCTAACAAAATGCCCTGCAAATTGAAAGGTCTTCATAATACAGTTTTGAAATAAATATTATTCTTTATTATTCTTAAAAAGAGGCAAATTATTTGAGACCATGCTGTGAACTACTCAATACTTTTAGAAAAAGATAATTCAGCAGAGCTTCTCAATGGTTTATAATGCCTCCAATTTTTATTTGTATACAAAAATATACCTTCTTGCCACATGATTTCCATAAATTGCTAAAACATTAAAATTATCTAAGCATTTGAAAACCTCTTACCCTGTTAAGCAAACATATAAATCCTGTAAAAAGTTGGATTTGCATTTAAATACTGTGAACATGTCATATAAGGCTGGTGTTCTACACTAATGTTCCAGGGATGATAAGAAAGGAAAACATAATTCTTTAACTGAATATTAAGAAGAGGTAATTGATCAGTATTAGGATTAGGGAGGAAAGACTAATGTCTCAGAGGGAGGTACAGATGGGTAGATCTCTTTGACCTTACTACAATATCCAAGAATTACTCCACTGATTAATGAAGAGAAGAGCAGGACCAGGCCTGCTGTAAAGGGAAATGTGGATGAGCCATCCTGGTGGTACAGGGTTGTGTGCCTAAAGATGGCAGCAACACGGTAAAGGGGAAACCTCAGTAAGAGGGGAGTGAAGCATTCTGCCTCTGCAGGTAGACAGTCCTCTGAAAATTTATTCATTCAACAGCTATTTTTGTACTCAAAATATTTTTAAAAATAATTTTAAATTCCATTTTAGATTCAAGGGGTACATATATGGATTTGTTACATGGGTGTATGGCATGATGCTGAGGTTTGGAATACAAATGATCTCTGATATGGTTTGGCTCTGTATCCCCACCCAAATCTCATGTTGAGTTGTGGTTCCCAGTGTTGGAGGAGGGGTCTGGTAGGAAGTGATTGGATCATGGGGGCAGACTTCCTCCTTGCTGTTCTTGAGATAGAGTTCTCACAAGATCTGATTGTTTGAAAAGTGTGTGGCACTTCCCCCTTCTCTCCCTATCTCTCTCTCTTCTGCTCTGCCATGGTAAGACATGCTTGCTTCCCCTTTGTCTTCTGCCATAATTGTAAGTTTCCTGAGGCTTCTCAGCCATGCTTCCTGTACAGCCTGTAGAACTGTGAATCAATCAAACCTCTTTTTTTTTTTTTATAAATTACCGAGTTTCAGGTATTTCTTTATAGCAGTGTGAGAATGGACGAATAAAATCCCATCACCCAGGTAGTGAGCATAGCACGCAATAGTTTTTCAACCCGTGTCACCTCCATCTCTCCCTCCCTCCCCACTCTAGTAGTTCCCAGGGTCTACTGTTCCCATCTTTACGTCCATGGGTACCCAATGTTTAGCTCCCACTTATAAGTGAGAACATGCAGTATTTGGTTTTCTGTTTCTGCATTAATTCACTTAGGATAATGGCCTCCAGCTGCATCCATGTTGCTACAGAGAACATGATTTTGTTCTTTTCAATGGCTGTGTAGTGTTTTCAAAATATTTTTGGTATTGCATCAATCTTTAGGGATATGGGTGTGAAGACACATTTGTTTTTCCTATACTACTCACTGTGGAGTGTAAAGAATTGGGAAAAGATAACTGTTGTTAAAAAAAATCTTTAGTAGTAGAAATTGTGTTTTTATCTTCACTGTACTAACCAACTACAATTGACTGGGAATCCCCTGTAACACACACATTTTACATGCATTTCCCCGTAACTATGTGTTATTTCTTTGGGCCCCTAAGTATGGGAAATGGCCTAGAAGAAGAAAGACTTAGGCAAAGCCTACGAATAAATACTTCACTGAGATGTGAAAACTCAAGGTAGCCAGAGTGAGGGAAAAGGAGAAATGAGGTAAGATCAGGAAAACAAGCACAGGTGATACGTTATCAAGCTGGACACAGGCTTTCAATAAAAACAAACACAACTGGTTGTTTGGTTCTGTGAGATTACTCCAGAGAGATCTCCCAGAACTACTATGTGTCTAGTATCTTTCTCTTCCTTCCTTCCTTCCTTTCCTTCTTTTCTTTCTCTTTCTTTCTTTCTCTCTGTCTCTCCCTTCCTTCCTTCTTTTCTCTCTCCCTTTCTTTCTTTATCTTTCTTTCATTCTCTCTCTCTCTTCCTTCCTTCCTTCCTTCCTTCCCTCCTTCCTTTCTTCCTTTGTGTCAGCTAGCTCTCAGTAATCAAAGCTTGCCCCATAGGGTGTAACTTTCTCATGATTCTGAGTAGTGTTTCCAAGTCCCTTGTGGCAGCCACTGGGGAAATGCAGCTATTAGGGCTCAGTTAGCCTAGCCTTTACCCTCTGAGTAGGTTTCTGCAATTGCTGGTATCTGAGGATGAGACAGGAGGATCTGGGAATTTACTACCACAGGAAAGAAGAGATTGAGTGGATCTATAGAGGTGCATAAATTGGGTCCTGAACATGTGGAATATGTACCACACATTTAAAAATGTGACATCTTGTGGTATAGGGACAAGGCATTAGCTAACAATAAACATAGTACATTTTTCCCTCAAAAAAAAAGTATCAGCTGGAGCTATTCTAAAACATTTATCCAGCACTTACTTATCTTTTTAATTTTTTTTTTTTGAAGTCAGGGAAGGAAAACTTTATTTGAGACTATTGCAACAGGGGAGAGAGACTATTGTAATAGGGGAGAGAGATTGAATTCAAATTAAAATACAACAAAGAGAGGTGGTGATTTATAGCAAATAGCAGGGTGAGGGAGTGGATAGAAAATTACTAGGAGGATCTTGGTTGGATATCAAGGTAAGAGCATGTCTTGAATGGCTATCAAGCTTGGATAGATTCTTTCTAAAATGTCTTAGCTAGATTCTTGTTAAAACTGGGCTCTGGGCCAGGCATGGTGGCTCACTCCTGGGCAACATGATGAAACCCTGTCTTTACTAAAATAAAAATAATTAGCCGGGCATGGTGGCATGTGCCTGTAGTCCCAGCTACTCGGGAGGCTGAGGCAGGAGAATAGCTTGAATCCAGGAGGCAGAGGTTGCAGTGAGCCAAAATCACACCACTTCACTCCAGCCAGGGCAACAGAATGAGACTCCATCTCAAAAACAAAAACAACAACAACAACAAAAAAAAAACAACTGGGCTCTGCAATACATCTTTTTTTTTTAAACAAAGAGAGGGCAGGTAAATATAATCTAGTTAAGATGTAATTACATTGTTTTGTTTTTATAATATTTCTACTATGTAAATATATAGTTTTTGTGTATTACATTTTATGGAAAGTAGCATTGGTTTATATTATAGTGAAGAAAGATTTCCCTTCCAAATAAATATTTAAGTAAAAAATCAGATTAAAGGAAAAAAGGCAAATAATCATAACATTGATGGTGATACAACAACAAGAAAAAAAGCATTGGCCGGGCGTGATGGCTCATGCCTGGAATCCCAGCACTTTGGGAGGCCGAGGTGGGTGGATCACCTGAAGTCAGGAGTTGAAGACCAGCCTGGCCAACATGGTGAAACCCCATCTCTACTAAAAATACAAAAACTTAGCTGGGTGTGGTGGCACGAGCCTGTAATCCCAGCTACACGGAAGGCTGAAGCAGGAGAATCGCTTGAACCTGGGAGGCGGAGGTTGCAGTGAGCCGAGATTGTGCCTTTGCACTCCAGCCTGGGCAACAAGAGTGAAACTCCAACTCAAAAATAAATAAATAAATAAATAAATAAATAAGAAAAATAAGAAAAAAAAACATTAAAAGGAAGAATAAAAGTGATAAAAGGTTTAGCAATGCTATGGGTTATGACTGGATCTCAGTTACACCTCAGTATGCATACAATGAACTTTGTAATAATGAGTTTTCGAATTAAAATTCTTGTTCTTAAATCTTTTTTAAGATTTAAATTCTTTTATGTTCTGTACTTTAAAATATCAGGACTCAAGTCTACAGAATGGGTTTAACTCCATGAAACAATTAACATACTTCTAAGCACATGGTTAGCATTTTATCAATGATGTTGTCATGTCAGTTTTACTATTAATATGTGTGTCCTTAATTTAAGAAAAAGGGAAGAAATGTATGAGCAGATAATTTAGTACTGGCAATATGATCTTTTTATTTTTCTCCATTTGCCTGGAGAAATGTTCCTTCCTAGATTCACAGACTTTCAAAGCTAAAAAAAGTTGAGACATCATCTGATTAATTCTGTCTTTATAAAAGGAGGCCCAGAGAGGCTAATGAACTTTTTCAAGACTACACAGCTAGTTGTTTAAAAAGTTTGAACTGAAACCTAAGTCACTTGCTCATTTCAGGAGGAATTATTTTCATGGTATTACTATACATAACTCAATTAGGCTTCTAAACCCAAATGTTTCCGTAACCAGACCACATTTAAGCCACATTATTTCCCTGTGCAAAAAGAATATCTCAACTGACTGACCTCTCTGCAGCATTTAAAAGTATTTGCTATTCTCCTTTTCTCCAAGAACTCCATTCCCTTATATTCTAGAATGCTGTTGCCTTCTCGTTTCTCTCCCATTTCTCTAGTCACAAATTTTCTGACTATTTTATTTCTCTCTCTTTTTCCTCCTGCCCTTTTGCTGACCTTTAGATTTGTTTTCTGATATTTTTCTAGGTTGAATCCTAAGCAATTATAGACTTCTACTTTATATAATAAAATATTTTTAAAATCCTTGGCAATCTATTTTTTCTATCAGTGGTCTATGTACTTATGGGTTTTTTTTCTTTCTTTTACCTTTGTTTTATTTTCCTGCAGGGACTAGTGTCATTATTACCAAACCATGAATTTAGTAATAAGTGTAGTAATCTAAAGAAGGAAAGGGATGCATCATCCAGAACAAAGTCAATTGGTAAAGGAAGGAAGGAAGTGCAATATAGTTGTTCTCACTCTTTGGAAAGGGGAAGTAGAAGCTTTTCTGGTTGGGGTGGAGGCCCGGGTCCAGAGGACAGATAGCGGGTGAAGAAGAAACAAAGGATTTCCAGGGTTCCAGTTCCCTCACCTCTTTGAGCCTTGCTTCTTTGGACTGGATGTAGTTGACAGACATGGGGAAGAGGGGATTTCCAGCAAGGTAGAAACCTCAGATAAATTGAGAGGAAACCCAAAAGATGAGGGGTGTTTATCAAATATTTTTGTGGGAGAGCAAACTGATTGAGGAAGGTGACCATATGAGTGGCACAGAGGGACTCCTCTCAAAGTCGTGGACACTCTAGTGGTTCACAAAAAGCAGCCAAGATTTCCCAGGCTCCACATAGATCCAAAGACAACTGATAGTCTGAATACACATAGAGTCAGGCTACAGATGCTGCAATATCCGGAGACCTCCCAAAGTGAAAAAATACGGTAGGGACCAGGGAATTTATCAGCGGCCAGTGGGACACCCCAAGGGACAATAGGACCCCAATAGCACCTGAGTAGATTGAGTACAAAACAACCAGGGCTCAGGCCTGACCAATTCCATGACACTAGTGACTAAAAAGAGCCCCAAGCAATGCCTATAAAGTTAAAGATTCCTCTCTCTTGTCTACATAATGAGGAATGAAAAGCTGCTTCTGCACACCAATTTCAGTCTAAGGAAACCCTAACAAAGAAAGCGATCTTTGAACTTACTGCATATTCAATCATATCCTGTTAGCTCAGAAGAAACTCAAACCGGAAGGTTACTGTTGTACTTAATTGGCAACTCACTCAACCCTTCCCCTCAACATCTAACAACCTTTGCCAGTGAGTGGAAATGAAGAATCTAGAAGTAGATGTTACAGACAATCCAAAAAATTGCTTTTTTGGTGTATTGTATACATTTAGATACTGCTATTCGTATAATGTTCAATATCTAAAACAAATTGACAATTATAAATCTAGCACTATGGCCATGCGCAGGAGTAAGCCATGGAAATCGTATGTTCCGAGCCATGTGCAGGCCCCCGCTGGGTTTCCTTCACATGGATGTTCCACAAGCACTGCAAATCAAAATGCCCAATGTTGAACTTATCTTCACCTCTTCTTTATTTTCTTACTCATGATAATGGCAAACACAATGTAGATAGAGACCTCAGAGCAATGTTTCTTTCCGATGTTAGATCAAAAAGTGACAGATAGATAAATAAATAAATGCTTCCCCAACTACTTGCAAGATATCACTGCTAAAGTTCAAGTGGCCTAACTTGAGAGCAATGTGACATACGACAAGTTTCAGTAAAAGTCAGTTTCTTCATAAGTGTAAAGTGAGGCAATTAGTAACAATTAGAGAGTTCATATGAAGAAGAAATAAGAAAGTGTTTATAAAATTCTCTTGCATTAAAAAAAAGATCCTGAAAATATTTTTAAGAAAAGCCAGTTTAATTGAAGGTTTGGGATAATATTTTTCCAAATGAATTGTCTAATTTATGTTATATATATGTTATGAATGGTCTAATTTATGTTATATGTTATATGTTATGTATTCCATTTAGTCAGAATTAAACAAAGATTTAAGGCAGGAATGTATTAATGACTCAATTCATCAGTTCATATACTCAGTGAGATATTACTGAGACTTTATAAAACACCATCACGTGGACTTTTAAAATAGATGAAGTTTGAGCCACTGTTATTTGAAAAGGTAAAAATTTGATATACACCTCACATAGTGTAGCCAAATCAATTCCAAATGACTCAAGGAATTAATATTTTTAATAAAAAGGGGCCATAGAAACACTAAGAAAAAAATATGAGTGAATTCCATTATAACCTAGGAATAGGAAAACTTTTAGAACTATGACTCAAATGCCAGAGAAAATAAAGGAAAATGTAGATACTTTTTACTAATATTTTAACAAATGCATAGTGAATAGTATAAAAGATAATTGACAAAGAAAAAAGTATATTTAAATTACATTAAATAAATAATATTCCTAATATACAAAGAGTTCCTAAAAGTAAAGAAGGTAAAGACCAATAAGCTAATAGAAAAAAAATGAGCAAAAGATTTGATAATGCTAGAAGAAACCTCCTTATTTAGTAAAGCAGTTAACAAGTAGAAAGTACCAAGCATTTATCCTCCCTTTCCTGTTTGAAAAGTACCACAGTGTACCCCGCAGTTGATGAGGGGAGTGTCTTTCAGTAGAAATGTTCCAAGTAATAAAAAGAAAAGAAATTTTAAAAATTAGAATATTGCAATTTTTTATCTTCTAATGGACTAATGGATCTATTGATCCATTGATGCTCAGTGTACAATTAGGGAATACACTGA
Organism: Homo sapiens; assembly: GCF_000001405.40. Classification (NCBI taxonomy): domain Eukaryota; kingdom Metazoa; phylum Chordata; class Mammalia; order Primates; family Hominidae; genus Homo; species Homo sapiens. The sequence goes on from NC_000014.9 coordinate 87,297,150, forward strand.
GCATGAATAATTCTTAACATGAAGAGAAACAACCAGATACCAAGTGCCTTTAAATGGAACTACACAATGCTACCAATGAAACATTCTTACCCAATAGAAAAAATAAATCTAATCTGACTCTGCTTAAACCTATAAATCTAGCCACCAATTGACAGGAAATACAGGAGATAATGTATGTTAACACCACAGACATGACATGATCCATATAGAGACTGTGGGAAACTCCACAGAATAGTAACCTTGAATATCCAACAAGTAAGTGCCAGAGGGGAATAAGTGCAATAAAGAGACACAGAGATATATCAATGCATCCCAATGTATATAATACGTTTGGATTCTGCTTTAAAAAGGTGAGAAATTGTAAGCAATTGAGAATATATAAGCAATGTAAATATTTGATATTTTAGAATTATTATAAATTATCTTAGGAGTGATAGTGTCACTAAAATTTAACTCTCAATAAAAATATTCTTGTAGAGTTACATACTGAAATATTGACAGGTGATTAAAAGAAAAAAAACTTAATATGGATATAGACCACAAAATCCAGGTATTAGGGAATTCTTCAGGACAAATGACTCAGTTCTTTGAACAAGTAAGTTGCAAGGGGAAAAAAAGAAGAAAAGGGAAGCTTATGAACTTGTACATTAAAAAAGAAGTAAAAGATATACATCAACCATTGACCTATTTGGGACTTATTTATATCATTATTCGAAAAAGTAAATTATTAAAAAAAAGAGATTAAGAGATAATTTAGAAAATTTGATGGTAACTTTATTATTTGAGGTTATCAAAGAATAATTAGATTTTTGAGTGTGGTAGTGATATCATGATTACATATTTTTGATGAAAGCCTTATCATTTAGAAACATTTCCTATGATGCCTTGGAATTGCTTCAACAAATGGTTGGAGGACCAGTGAGGATATATAGATGGCATAAGTTCAGCTATGAGTCTGAAATTGTTGAAGCTTGATTCTGGGATCATGGGCATTCATTGTTGCATGTTTTCATTTTTCAAGTGTTTGAATTCTTTTGTTTTGTTTTGTTTTTTGGTTTCCTAGACAGAGTTTCGCTCTTGTTGCCCAGGCTGGAGTGCAATGGTGTGATCTCAGCTCACTGCAACCTCTGCCTCCCACCTTCAAGCGATTCTCCTGCCTCAGCCTCCCAAGCAACTGGTATTACAGGCATGCACCACCATGCCCAGCTAATTTTGTATTTTTAGTAGAGGTGAGGTTTCACTATGATGGTCAGGCTGGTCTTGAACTCCTGATCTCTGGTGATCCATGCACCTTGGCCTCTCAAAGTACTGGGGTTACAGGTGTGAACCACCGCGCCCAACCTTAAATTTTTTATGATTAAATTGTTTATGATTGATTATCATTAATAATGATTGTGACCAATTTAAATGTCAAGCAATTTGTTAAAATCGTAAATCGATAATACTTTAAAAATAGCAAGAGAAAAACAAAACTCTGTGAACATTATCAGAGTCTGCTAGGTCACCCACTCACTACTCTTTAAGTTGATGAATTAAAGGGAAAGAATATAAAATGCTAACTTTTCATTACTGTCTGGTGTGAACTGTGTTTCAAGGTAGCCAAGTCATCTGATAGATAAGGGAAATTCTTCTGTATAGAAATCCAACTGACAATGCAAAGAAATTTTAGAAATAGGAAAAAAGAAAATTTTAGAAATAGGAAAAAAGAACGAAATAACCAGTTCATTCAGTCTCCATAAGTCAATAGTAAACTATTAGATAAAAGTAATGGGGAACTCGATAATGAAGGGATCAGGCTGTTACCCACCTGGACCCATCAAAATAGAAATGTCAGACGTTATTTGCCTTTGAAGGAGGTTTCATATAAATATAATGTCACAGCATCACAATTAAAGTATTATTTATTTTTTGAAAAAGCAAGCTTTAAATGAAATCTCTAGGCTACAAGAAATGCAGGTGAGCAAGGAACAAGTTAAACAATAACAGATGGAAAAAAATCTAGATGACAATTAATCTAATTTCTTCAACAATAAATGCGTGAAAGGAGTATAAAAAAAGTAACAACTAAATAAAAGGAGTAAATGTTGTTGGATTCGTATTTAAACAACCCAATTACAAAATGATTTTTTGCCCAGTTGCAGTGGCTCATGCATATAATCCCAGCACTTTGGGAGGCTGAGGCGGGTGGATCACCTGAGATGAGGAGTTCGAGACCAGCCTGGCCAACATGACGAAACCCTGTCTCTACTAAAAATACAAATTTAGTCAGGCCTGGTGGCACACGCCTATGATCCCAGTTACTTGAGAGGCTGAGGCAGGATAATTGCTTGAACCCGGGAGGCAGAGGTTGCAGTGAGCTGAGATTGTGCCACTGCACTTCAGCCTGGGCAACAAAGCGAGACTTTGTCTCAAAAAAAAAATAAATAAATAAATAAAAAATAAAATAAGAAAGATAAAATGATTTTTTTAAGACAGTTGGAAAAGTGTGAATATTCGTGTTAGATAATATTAAGTAATTATTTTAAAATTTGTTACATGTGACAGTAGATAGCTAAATAAATAGATATAAAATATTCATGATGAAATGTTTAGCATAAATTTGTATGATGCTTTGGATGTACTTTAAAATGCCCCAATAGGCAAAATAAAAGATAGTAGGAAATAGATGAATCAAGGGTGGCAACATGTGAGTGGTTTTTGATGCTGTGATACAGGTATTTGAGACTCATTGTACTCCATATTATTGTGAAGGTATAAAGATTTTCATAGTAAACAGCTTCAAATTGTACCATCATAAGGTTAGAATAAAAATTTGCTACATGCCAATTTCACGCTTGAGATGGTTTGGCTGTGTCCCCACCCGAATCTCATCTTGAATTGTAGTTCCCATAATCCCCATTTGTTGTGAGAGGGACCCCGTGGGAGGTAACTGAATCGTGGGGACAGGTTTTCCTGTGCTATTCTCATGATAGTAAGTCAGTCTTATGAGATCCGATGGTTCTATAAAGGACAGTTCCTTTGCACATGCTCTCTTGCCTGCCGTAATGTAAGATGTGCATTTGCTCCCCCTTCCCTTTCCACCATGATTGTGAAGCCTCCCCAGCCTTGTGGGATTGTGAGTCCATTAAACCTCTTTTTCTTTATAAATTACCCAGTCTTGGGTATTTCTTCATACCAGTAAGAAAATAGACTAATACAATCCTCTTCTGGCTTTCCTTGATTTTTCATTATTGTTGATATACAGATTATAAACCTCTTTTTCTTTATAAATTACCCAGTCTTGGGTATTTCTTCATAATAGTAAGAAAATAGACTAATAAAATCCTCTTCTGGCTTTCCCTGATCATTCATTATTGTTGATTATACAGATTAGGGAAGAGCAACCTTCTTGTTCAGAGGAATAAGCAAATTCCTATACGGATTCTCTTTGTCATTGTTTCTATTTAGTATCTCTCTGCTCTTCAAGCTCTGCCCAGAATGTTTAATGGTAACATTAAACATTTTACTTTGCTGGAACTGCTGCCAGTGTGAGAGGAGCTGGAATGGTTTGAACTGAGGTCCCATTTTCCCGTCCTGTAACTCTTCGATCCCACCAGCCCAGGAGTTCATACTGAGATTCTTCTCCAGGAATCACCAGTTCCATCCCTCTGGGGGCTGCCCTGTCAGTCTGCTGTAGCATAAGGGAATCCAAAATCTCCTTCAGTTTTCCAAGAAGCAAAGGGTTCCTTTCTGAAAGTTTCTCTTGAGATACGAAACTTAAGGTTTTCTTGTTCAAAGGTATCTTTAGCAGGTATTTTAAAGAGGTTTTGGGAAGTCCTTTCTCTACCTTTCCTTTGGAATGTTGACTATGCAACTTGAAAGCCATCAGAGAACACTGATATGTATTTATCTTTTACATAGTCAAAATTTTTGCTCTCTATATGCCCTAGAGGTTGTGCTAGTATATAGTGCAGCTGAGCCCCTTCCTCCAGCCTAGTTTCATTCTAATAAGTCAAACAAAACCATAATGTTCTCTTTTCTCCTTAATAATTCAGGTTTATATCATTTCAACTACATTTTTATCATCCTCTATCTCTCTAGGTCTATTGATCTTTCTATTTGCTGCTCTTCAAAAGATTTTCCAAAACATTTTCTCCTCAAACCTCATATAAATCAATCTAAAACAGGTGAATGTAGGGAAAACAAAATGAAGAAATGATCCTGATGCAAGTGCTAACTCAGGCATGAATTTCCGTTTCTCTAGCTTTCCAAAAGTTTTGCAGTTATGAACATGCTCATCTTTCTTATTGCTCCATTTCTTAACACTTTTTATACCATTGTATCAATTGTCCTTGCTTGCACATTAAAACTGCAATGAGATACCATCTTACTCCTGCAAGAATGGCCATAATTAAAAAGTCATAAAACAATAGGTGTTGGTGTGGATGCGGTGAAAAAGGAACAGTTTTGCACTGCTCGTGTGAGTGTAAATTAGTACAACCACTATAGAAAACAGTATGGCAATTCCTTGAAGAACTAAAAGTAGAAGTACCATTAAATCCAGCCATCCCACTGCTGGGTATCTACCCAAAGGAAAAGAAGTCATTATATGAAAAAGACACATGCGCATGCACGTTTATAACAGCACAATTTACAACTGCAAAGATATGGAACCAACCTAAGTGACCCATCAACCAATAAGTGGATTAAGAAAATGTGGCATATATACACCACAGAACACTACACAGCCATAAGAAGGAACAAAATAATGCATTTTGTAGCAACTTGGAGCTGGGTGGAGGCTATTATTCTAAGTAAAGCAACTCAGGAATGGAAAACCAAAGATTGTATATTCTCAGTTAAAGTGGGAGCTAAGCTATGAGGATGCAAAGGCCTAAGAAGACATAAAGAACTTTGGGGACTCCGGAATGAAGGTTGGGAGGAGTGTGAGGGATAAAAGGATACTTACTGGGTACAGCGTACACTGCTCGGGTGACAGGCACACTAAAATCACAGAAATCACCGCTAAATAACTTATCCATGTAACCAGATACCAGCTACACCCCGTAAACTAATGAAATAAATATTTAAAAATAAATTGTCATTTCTGGAAGATCTTAAGTGGATTGATAAACTATCAGTCTCCCATAATGTGTGATTATTGATTTTGTTTATTGGCATTATCACTTTTACTCATAGCAGAGCTCATAGTTCTGATTCATTGAGCATATGAGAGGTTCCAGGCACACACCAGGTAGTCTGCGTGCATTATTTCAATTGAGCTTCATCACTACCATCTATGCACAACTATTATTATCTACACTTCAAAGGTGAAAAAAAAAGCTGAGGCTTGGAAAGATTAATTATGTGGCATAATTCTCTCACAGCTAATGAAAGGAAAACTCAAAATCACAATTAAGTCCCCCTGAGTCCAAAGCCAGTGACTTTAAGACCTGCACTATTAATTATTTCTAATATTTCTTACTCAAAATTCTTTCACTCCTTTCCCTCATTTAGTATCATCAACTCAGAGTGTTAAGCATTGTTAAAGCAAGTTATGTGAAAAAAAGTCTGAAAAAAATAGGGACCCCTTAGTCACACAGAGGAAAAACACAAAGCTTCAAGAAAGGCATGACATATGTCTTTAAGCACTGGCTGTCAAGTACACAGCCTACTGGTATCACCTCAGGGAAGAGATTTAGGATAGACAGGGCCCTGCTTGATTAAGTAAAACAGCTCTGACTGGACTCATGATTCTCCATAAAATTTTACAGTGAGAGTGCTAACCTTGTCAAAATATTTCAAATAATAGCTTAATTTATTGAGCACTAATTTATTGAGTTCTAAGTTCTTTGCATGTATGCTCTCATCCAACCCTCCCTATTGGCAGCCATACTTACCAGATGAGGAAACAGAGACACAAAGACACAAAATGAATTGTCCCAGATAACATGATTAGCAAGAAATTTGACCCCACATCTTTCTGACTGCAAAAACTGTGCACTTAGAGAGAACATCACTGCATTCCAGCCTGGAAAACACAGCGAGACCTTGTTTCAAAAAAAAAAAAAAGAGAGAGAGAGAAAGTCATGTCTACCCAGAAGAGTCACAAACACAGAAAAAAAGAAATCATAGAGCTGGTTACAGAGGAAATAGATAAGGTTGGGAAAGGTGGGAAATAGGAAGTGAACACTTTAAGGCTGTTTTTGAAATGAATGTAGGCTTTTCGGCTACAAAGACAAAGAATTTCGAAACCAGGGTTGATATTAGTTAGAAATTGCTTTCAGCTGCTACCAATAGCTGAAAAAGGATTATTATACTGCTTTAAACAACTAAGATTTCATTCTCCTATATAATAGCATTCTGGAAACAGCAGTTTAAAGCTGTTTGATGGCTCTGCATAGTACCACCAGGGCCTAAGCTTCTTACAGTTTTCTCTTCTACACAAATGTTTTCCATTATCCATGTACCTCTTAGTCTGCAATAGCTGCAGGGATTCCAGCCATTACATCTCCCACACAGGCAGTCTCAGCTTCCATAACCTTTCAAAAAGGACTAAGAGGCTTTCATTTAGATCTTATTGGCCAGTCACATGGCCAAACCTGTTTTAAGGTGTTTAAGAATTTAGATTGGCTCACTGTCTCTTCAGAGAAATCTGAGGTTCTTCTACAAGGGCAAAAATAAATAAATTAAATAAATAAATAAAACAGAAGGAAATGAATACTATTAGTACTTAGCAATCTCTGTCTGTTACAGGCCAGGGCTGAAAAAGTACTTTTTAGCCAGCAGGGCAAAGTCTAGAAACTGTGGTCTCAGTGAAGTGGATTGGATGAAGTGAGGAGGAAGCAGGGCAGTCCAGAGTAGCAAGCCTGTCTTAGATGCAGGGTGAATTCTTAATCACATATCTTTTCAATTTGGTTGCTTTCAAAGCTTCTGGTATATAGCTTACATTTAATTTTGTGGATTTAATTCTCCTCCCACTTCCCATCACTATCAATAAAAATCTTGGTAAGGGATAGATGCATGTCCCAAATGACATCCTACGGGACCGTGATTGAGGCTACAGTCACTTTGTCAAAAATTTCTGCATTTAAGATTCAATTATCTCAGGGTATTCCATACTTTTAGCACACCCCTTTCCTGTCTTGGACTTCTTTTCTTACCTAGTTTTACTTCTGTGTTTTCAGATGATGAATTGTTTGGATGTTGTGATATGTTGGTTCTGTCTTGACTCCCCTAGGCAATTTTGTTAAGTTCTATGTTAATTAATCCCAGCATGTGTAGTTATATATAGTTACCTAAGCTGATGAATGTATAATACCTAGAGACACTGTTCTGAGGCACAAATGGGGCAATGTTAAAAATGCAGTACTCCTAATAAAACCCTTTGGTAGGAGACAAAACATCCCAGTGGGTTTAGTGGCTCTTATTCATATTAGTTTTATTTATAATTACATTAAAAGTGAAAATCATGACTTGCATTTTTATTACTCCTTCTTGCCCCAAGAGATTTTGTTTTAATTATTTAAAGTAGCTAAAACTTTAAAGGAATTACTTTATACATATTGATAGGTATCAAGCAGACAGCATCAAAAGGGAAGAAAGAAGACTGGAAAAATGAGAGTTAGATAGAAAATGGAAAGGAGCAAGGAAAATCATTCTGAGAAACCTAGGAAATAATGTTTTGGTTGGTAACTGAAATATTAATCTTTACCTTTGGGGGATATTAGGTTATCGACAATGTTTGGGTTCAAAAAATTAGAGAGGAAAGAAGCTCCAATAGCATGCTCCTGTTTGTACTTCTAACAGCCTTACCCAGCACATAACTCTATTTTGGGTCTGGTCTTACAGATATAAAGTTCATTTTATTGGGTACAGGCAATAGAGTTTTCCTTTTGCCTGTGGTGTGGTCTTAAGAGTTTCATTTTGCCTTCTCAAACAACTCAAATCCAGGGTAGCAGGTTTAGGATTGGCTTAGTTTGAATAGGATTAGTTTGAATAAGTTCAGCAGAGGGACATCTATAGTTGTCTGGTACCTGGCTTTGAGGGATTGGAAATGGTAGATAGTGGCCCTGAGCGTGAACACTAAAGAAGGTGGGCCATCCACTCATGCCAGCCTTCCTCAGGAGCTAGAAATTCCCATGATACAGAAATTTGAAGGAACAAAAACATTTGCTTTTTGGCACTTGGAGGAAGTGGCTCAGTTGATGAATATTTCAGCTATCACAAGAAAGAATACTGAGACTAAAACACAGAATTGAGATACTTCAGGAAAATGGCAAACTGCTTGATATGCAAACATGAGCATTTCTCAGATCCAGAAGTGGGAAGTGATGTCTCCTGCCTCGAAGTCACTCTTAGGAAAGAAAACAGTTGGAGGAAAAGAGAAGCCAACATATGGCAGGTGTGACCAGCAGAGATGTGAATGTTGCCAACCCGAACGTCCAAAATAGACTGTCCTTGCTTTTATTCATCTCCTAAAATATTTCTACATGTAAATCACCCACAACTATGTCAGATCACAAGACAGTTGCAGTTATATTTAATTTTATTTAACTATAATCATAATGAACAGTATTTATATGTCAGTACAAAATACATTTTATTCTCAACCAAACGTTTTGTCAAAGGATGAAGGTCTAAGAGCAGTCAAACTCAGAATTAAGAATTAAGTTTCTAACTTGGGAATAAGGGTAGTTCTGTTACAAGCAAACTACAATGTTCGAAGTACACAATTTAAAAGAAAATGTAAAAACTATAAATAATAGAAATTAGGCAAAGAGAAGTAAGTTCCGATTGCTATCAAAACATTCACATTTTACATATTTAGTGAATGAAATGTGAACATCTTATATTTATATATAAATATTATACATTTTGTTTATCATAGTTGATTACATAAATAATACTTGAAATGTGTTTGTGTATATACGTATATGTGTGTGTGTTCATTTATTTATTTATTTGGCATTTATTACTTTTACAGGTACTATAGTAGGGACTGGAAATTCAACGTGAAAAAAAGTTAAATCTCTGCTGCCTTAAAATGTAAGTTTCATTATTTTTTAAGCATGAAGACAACTGCTGTTGAAAAGATAGCTTGCTATACTCACATATCCCATGAGGAGGGGACAGGCCACCTCATGGGGCCACAGGGAAGCACTGGGGTCTGACAGGAGGCAGAGGGGGCTGGTGAAAATGTAGCAAGAGTCTTTAATGTGGTTTTTGTTAGGAGAAGCACGGGGCAGAAAGTTCAGGTTTCAATAAGTTCAGCAGGCTCTGGGCAGAAGAGCTGTCCCTCATTGTATGGTACCTGGCTTTGAGTGATTAGAAATGATCCTGAGTGTGAGAGCCTGCTAGAGAAGGTGATCTAAGGTGCTGCCTCTGGATTGGTTGGCTTGCATATTAGAGGAGCTGGGAGTAGTTTATTTCTAGGAATTAGGTAACCCTAAAGGGGCCACGCCTCCAGTGATAACACTGTCCCAGATGTCAAAGCATCAAAATACATAAAATAAAAAGCCATGATTCATACAGCTATGTACCAGGAGTTTGTTGCATAGCAGAAAGTCACATAATAAACCTTTGATTACCATAAACTGAAATAGTGGAAATGGTGAGAAATTCTATAAGGCATTTATAGAGGAAGGACATATTCTAGACCAGCAATCAGAGAATACTTCCTTGAAATAACATCTAAACCAAGTCTTAAGGAGTATAGAAGGCAAAAGGGGGATGGAGTGTGTCTAGAAGGAGAGGGGCAGAGTTCACAGCATGTGCTGTGACCTAGACTTATGGGTGTGTTTGGGAGGATGAGTGTCATAAAGGAGTATAATATGACTAGAGTACACAGCATGGGGTGAATTAACTAGAGAAAGATCATTAGTCAGACATCAACTATTTACTGAACATCTCTTAGGTATCAAGCTTCTGCTATGAACTAGAGTTTGATGATGTGGGAAGGGCACAACTGTGGACAGCCTTGGAATTCATGTAAAGGAGCTCAAATTTTATCCTAAGTGCAAAGGGAATCCATTGAGTGGTTTTCAGGGGCAGAAGGAAAGGTTGTGTTGCAAAATGGGGATTTGATATTATCATGTAATTCCAGAGCTAGCTCTGGGATTCATTGAGCAAGAAAAAAAGAATTGACAGCAAGTGGTAGGGCAAAGGTTTACTTTGAAACGTGTTGGGTTCCTTGATTTTGCATACATGTTCTTTAACAATGGAGTCTGTAGTATGTTTTAAAGTTTGTCAAGAGAGTTGAGGCTGGGCTATAGGACATCATTGTGGCTGCTATTATCTCAATAGCAAAGGAAATGTTTTATCTGCTCTTTCATCTTGTGAATGTATTCTCAGTGCAAGTGGAAAATGATAAATTAAAAAGCATCTTTCAAGGTTGTGAAGCTGATTATTGCCTGTTTGGCAGCAATGTTGTTTTTCTCTTTATTTTTTTGTACAAAGGGAGGAATTGAATCAAAACCTTAAAAACTGCTAAAGGCATGAGTTTGGTTGTTTGCTCTTGAAGTATCTAAGTAAATTTGGGTTTTTAATAACTTTATGACAACAACCACTTGTTGAGGGCTCTCAAGAATTTTAACTGTATTACCACATTCATCCTCTCTGCAACTCTGCAAGGTAGGTAAAGGATAGGAATAACAATTTGATAACAGAGGTTGTTGGGGATTAATTTTAAACAGGAAAAACTGCTATTCAAACCAAGCTCAACCTACACAAAATCCCAGGCTTTTCACTTCCATATTATGGATCCTGCCTCCAGTGTGCGGCATCGTATAACCCATAGTCCACGGGTAAGAGAAAACCTCACAGCTAGGAATCTTGTGGCATAATTCACAACACACACTGAGGGCATCTGTTAGGTCACAGCACAGTTCCTGGCCTTGTCACCCTTATAACATTCAATTTAATTGGTGCTTTCCAGTGGCAATCATCTCATTTAGGCCTTTGCAAGGATAACCCAGTTTCCTATATGAGCTTCTGTCCATTCCATCCAGATGAATAGGTGCTGTTTACCAAGATTGCTGGAGAAAGCCAAGCAGTGGGAGCCAATGAAGTCTTCCCAACATGGTAACGATTCTAAGTGACACCCTAGGCCTCATGATATTTCTATGGTGGGGGTGGGGGGAGTATATCTTAAAGATTTATTTTCAGTCACTTAAATGACCCTCATTCTTTAATTCCAGTGCCTTCGGTAGGGTAACAAATAGCCAAATCATCATAAAAGAAATTAAAATCCAGGGGAAATAAATAATCCCTGCTAGAAAATGTCCTCGGGTATGCCAGAAAGCTAAAATGCAAAGGTTCCAATTAGTAGCCACTCATGTGTTTTAGCTTTTCAAAATACATTTTCCCTTTTGTTTATTACAGTCACTTCATAAATGTCAAGGAAATTTCTTACAAATTGCAAGAAAAAACAAAGGACAGAAAGAATGAAAGACAGATTATCTAATAAGAACCCATTTCTGAAAATTTAATTTACTTATAGAGTTTATGAAACAAAATTTTATTGGATCGTGTTCCTTTAGGAGAAAAGATAATTTTACCTAAACTTCATAGTCATATAGAATTTGCAGCTACTCCTATGAAAGAGTGCAGGTAAGGATTCTACTGTCTCAGCTGGCAAAGCATTATTTCTGGATGTATCAGTGAGGGTGTTTCTGGAGGAGATTGGCATGCGAGTCAATGGCCTGAATGGGGAAGATCTGCCCTCAAGATGGGCAGACACCATCCAATCAGCTGAGGGCCTGGATAGAACAAAAGCAGAGGAAAGGCAAATTTTTCTTTCTCTCTCATGGAGCTAGAATATCTTTCTTCTCTTGCCCTTAGACACCCATACTTGAGATTCTCCAGCCTCTGGACTCCAGGACTTCCACTAGTAGTCTACCAACCCCACCTCCCAAGTTTTCAGGCCTTCAGCTCCAGACTAAGAGTTACACCATCAGCTTCTGTGATTCTGAGGCTTTCAAATTTGTACTGAGCCAGCCATATTGCTGAATCCCTGTGTCTCCAGCTTGTACACAGCCTGTTGTGGGACTTCTCAACCTTCATAATTACATGAGCCAATTCCCCTAACTAATCCCCTCATCTATCTATCTATCTATCTATCTATCTATCTATCTATCTATCCATCCATCCATCCATTCTACTGTTGCTGTCTCTCTCTGGAGAACCCTAACTATTGCCCAACTGCACTGACGCATAGCTCCCTATTTACATTGTTACATTGTGTACAGAAGGTCATAGTCTGGAAAGTATCATTTAAAATGCACCAGTGACCCATTAGACCACATATCACCAATGACTTCAGATCCTGTCTCTCTTGCCTGTCTCTGGTTCCAGCTGCTACTGCTGCCTTGCTGCACATGGGCTCCCACCAATTGCAGGGAAGTGCCACCTGCCCCCACTTCACCTCCTGCCTAGGCTACATAATCCTCCACCTCCCTAGTATTTCTGTTGATGTGAAGAAGTGAACATCAACAAGCAAGACCCTATTGCAGCTTGTACAACTTCAACCTGGAAGTGCTAGGAACTTGATGGATGCCCAGCAGGGCGAAACTTTGACCAGTGGGAGATGAGAACAGTAGATTACTTCTTCCCTCATCCACCTCACTGAACTCTGAGACAAAGTGCCTTTTTGGAGGACGTTCTCCAGACCCAGAAATCAGCTGCATTCTTAGTTGCCTGTTTCACTTTCTCTGCCTCACTCCCCTTGTCCATCACTCCTGCCCTCCAGGGCTGGCCAGCCAAGCAATAGCACACAGTGCTGCTTCAGGCTCTGCTTTATGGGAAATCCAGACATTTCCATGAATATCTTATTTCAATTATTTATATCTATACAGCATGTTTACCAAAGTACTTTTAGAATAATATTTCATTGAAACTTTTAATAAGAGGTTTTAGAAAGAAAGTCAATGAGAATAACTAATTCATGCCCATGATAAAGTATAAACCAATTATGCAAAACAGATAAATTCAAGCTTCTCAAAGTTACATGGGTATAATCCATGCAGCTCTCCTGGGTTTTAACCACTAAGCCTCCCCTTCTTAGGTGTACTCTTCAGATACCACCATCCTTGTGTTTAAAATAAGAATTTCTGCCCATTTTTCATCCTTATTGCCTTCTTTGTTTTGTTCTCCGTCTCCTCCTTTTCATGTATTTTTTTTCAAAGAGGTTTCATATTCCCTCGTTTTACAGTCAATGTCCTAGACATATCCTGTCTTAAAAGTACTGTATGTCGATTGGGTATAGAGAATGACTATCTAGGTTCATAATTTCACCTCTGACACTAATAAACTTTGTGGTCTCGCATGAGTTGCTTAATTTCCCTGGATTTTTTCTCATCTGTAAAATTATGATAAAAATAATACCTACATCAAGACTACATAAAGATTATGTATAAATTCAATTAGAGCAATGCCTAGCAAATATTAAACCTATAACCATATATTTGTTGACTTCTTTCACTTTTGCTACTATAATTCTTTGAAGAGAGGGAAGAATCACAACTTTAAGGTTAGAAACACTTGTATTCAAACCCCAGTATACAACTGGAGAGTTGCTTCACCTGAGCAAGTGATTTAACCAACTCTGCAAGTGGACTTAATGTCATGTTCCCTTGTGAACTCCCATAGATCCACAGTCCTTTATCTGAAACCCTTGGCAATGGGATGTGTTTAGTAATTCAAAGTTGGTCATAATTTAGAAATGTAATAAGGTACACATACAGTATACATTAAATAACACCCCCAGCTGGGGACTGGAACAGTGCCTAGTAATCAAACACAGTAACATTTCTACTGAAAAACTTATGAAAATGTTTATGAGGTGGAATATATTAAAAAAAATCTAAAGAGACTTAGTGGAATCAGATCAGGTTTTACCACTAAACAAGCTTACCATATGTTTGCAATAAAATTTTGTTTTCAGACTCTCTGCTTTTCTGAATTGGAAAAACTGAACTGTGGAACTGAATTTCCAATGACCACCAGGACACAAGCCCCTCCACTGCAACATGCCCAGTATCAAAGGAAATTACTTTCCCTCTCAGGGTCTTTCTCCCTCCCTCCCTCCCGTCCTTCCGTCAGTCTATCCGTCCTTCCTTCCTTCCGGCCGTCCTTCCTTCCTTCCTCCCTCCATGCCTCCCGCCCTTCCTTCCTCCCACCCTTCCTTCCTCCCTCCCTCCCACTCTCCCTCCCACTCTCCCTCCCTCCTTACCTACCTACCTTCCTTCCTTCCTTCCCTCCTTCCTTCTTTGCTTCCTTCCTGTTACCCATGATGCTCAAGGGCAGGGTCATGCCTCTGTGTTTGCATACACTACTAACCCCCAACCCCAGGAACTTCTGCTTTTCTTTACTCATCTCCTTCATCTACTCCCTAGATACATATTTATTGAGAACCTACAATATACAAGATAAAATACTAACCTAATGAGGAACATAATTTAGTAAGACATGACTTACCATCTAGAAGGCAGAAACATATAAAACATATAGGTGTGCTGCTAGAAATAGGTAGGCATTTTATATGCCTCATTTTCCCCATTATATACTAGACTAAGCCATTTGAAAAACAAGATGTTCTTACTCATAAATAGGCACTAAATAATTGTCACAAAGCTGCAGACAATTCCTTCTTTTTAAATGCCATAAATCCTCAAGCAGTTTCTTTTTAAGATGTCTCTAAGTTTCTATGTTTTAATAAATAAAAACTATTACCTATTAAATTACTTGCCTAAACTTCTCAATTGGCATGAGACCCTAAGTGCATTTGATACATAAATGTGAAGTTAAATTCTACTGAAACTGGGATGCTTTATGTTTTTGTAATCTCTAAAAGACTAGATTTTTTCTTTGTCATTTGGACTTACTCATAGTCAAATATCTCTATAGGGATATTTTCTTATTATCTTATGATATGACATCGTTTATGAATGCTTTTAATAAAAGCCAAAGAAACACATCAAATTAACTCTAAAAAAATCAGCCAACCCCATTACTTGGTATCTATTAGAAATGATGCCAATATCGTGAAGATACAGTCTTCAGTCTTTAGTTCTCCACTCAGTTTTATGTGTTGCCTAAACCTGTTCTTTGTATTTGATTTTTTTGTTTTGTATCAATAAACATTTACCTCTGTTTGTGGTCACAGAGGTGTCCAAATATTTGCTCCATCATCTTTGCCCTCACTTGTTATTTATTGAGTACACGGCTCTGTCCCCATGGTGTTTCCAAGTGCCAGACATGCCTCATGGCTGGGCAATGTGACTCTAAAGGCATTCACACTGTTTCCCTCTCCCAACACTCACATGTCAGACAACATAAACAATCTCTGAAATCCCAGGCTGGCGATGTTAATGAAATAAAAAAGATGTACATCTTTTCAATATTCTTCCTTTTTCAGCTTCTCCCTGTTCAATTGTGAACCCGTTCAAGCCAGTTCAGTTTGGTGGATAGACTAAATACAAAAGGAACAGACTGTCAACAAGTAGCTCAGTTCCATTTTCATTTTAATTGTAAAATCAACCCCATGATTTCAGCCTTTCTTTCAAGCCTTTTTCTTCTGAGACGCCATGAAAAGCCTAGAGTGCACAGACACATATTGCACATGTATCTTGTTTTAGACCTTTAGCGTCAAGGTAATGCCTGGGGCAAATATTTAGTCAGGCAATCCCTTATCTTTAAATACTAACACAAAGCTCACAGTAATGTGATGAGTGGTACCGGGGTAATCATCTTTATTCTTCACATTGATATTTGACAACATCCTACTCAGTGACAGCTGCTTTATCACTGCCTTTAATGACCATAAACCAGAAAATCTTGCATAATTCAGCGGGAATATTCAGCAGGCCCTCCGTCTGTCTGAGGATGTCTGCTTGCTGAACAGTTTTGTATCCCAGGGTTTCTCAACTAACAGGTGCATCATTATACCCACCAGCAATTGGCTGAATAGCGAGTAGCACCATAATTCAGTGTGTACTGCCTTCTGATAACTAACATAAAGAAAAGTACTTCCTTAAGGAAGGAAAAATAGAGAACCATTTAACTTGTCCAAATGCATTTCAGCTGCTGTTTGAGGGAAGACAATTTGGATTCTGAACAGGTGTTTGTGGTTCAGTCTCAATTCTCTGTTCACACTGCTATGATTTTTGCTCACCAACATAACTACCTAGGGCAACATTATTTTTTAACTTTGGAGACATGTACGGTTTCTGTGTTAATATACTGGGAGTTCATAAAATACTGATTAAAGTTGGATCTTGAGAAACTGTCTATTCAGCCAAAAGGAAAACGAAACAAAGTTTTAACCTATGAACTTACATAGTTACAATAAGAACATATTCAAACTTTGATTTAAAGTCTGGTCTTCATTGGCTGTCCACCGCATAGCCTTTTGAATGCATTTTCATATCTCTGAACTTTTACTAGTGAAACTAGAAGCTGGAATTGCAAAATACTTAGCTGTGTGTCTTTGGAGAATTCAGAGAGGTGGGTACAGGAGCATGACACTGAGACTTTTAAAAGTATACAGAATGTGGAAAAGTGCATGAAGTATAGATTGTTAGTACAGAAAATGTAAAATGTAGACAGGAAGGCCTGTGACAATCAAGAGGTCTGAGATTCTGATGCTTCAACAGACTGACTGTGTGACTTCAGCCTCATCTTTTGGATGCAATGGCAATAATGATAGTATACCATCTACCACTTATCCTAAGGGTTTATAGGGATCAAATGGAATAATATAGAAATAAGTTAAGAAAGTATAATGTGATATATAATTATATAATAAAGTTGTTATCGATGAAGTGGATATTGATATTTTACTGAGGAATAAAGTTGTTATTGATGACTAAATCTCTCGCAAATGCAATTCTTCTTCCTTGAGCAGATGGCCACTGGCAGTGTTAGACTTCATCATTCTTTTTACTACCGCTTCTTGCAGTTGTCCCCCTGGATTCCCTCTCTCCAGTCTTCCAACACTTCAAGTCCTTCCAAGCTTCACCCAGTGGCATTTTTGATCGTGTTATTCCCTTTCTTAAAATACTTCTGAAGATTCCCTATTGCCAAGTCGTACTACTTAGCTTAGAATTACAGTAAGAGCCAACATGAAAGTTCCATCAACTCAGAGTAAATGACATGCCCAAGATTCAGGAACCAATCACCAGCACCAAACAACCCTAGCAAGGCTCTCAGCTGTTTCTCCAGCCTCTGCTCCTCCACTTAGACAAGTGCAGCTTCCGGCTGCCTGAAGCTCTGGTGGCTTCTTAACCTGGCAACACATCATTCTCAAGCAGTGTTAGCTATTTCCTCCTCCATTTCTCCAGCCAGCAGTATGTCTCTGACACAGCAGTTGAATTTTAATTCTTTACTTCTAGATTGCTCTCCACCCAAAGGCACAAAGCAAAATGCTTGTCTTTTTCTCTTTGGGCAGTGCCATTGGGTAGAAGAGAACTGGTGCCAAAGAAAGAAATAGTGCGTGTTTGTTGAATGAATGGACCTGGGGCACACCATTGGTTTCTGCTGCCTGCCATAGGGAAGAAGTACTATGGATACAATGTTTGCTTAATTTCACTTCACTTGTATTCTCTTGATCTTTCCTTATTGAGTCTCTCAAAGTCCAAGGAAGGCTCAAGTGAGTCTCTTTTTATAAGCTCAGATTATAGATTTTTCATAAATGCATATTAAATTAATGAACAAAAATGGCTATAAACTGTTGGCCCTTTTTTTTTAAATTTTATTATTATACTTTAAGTTTTAGGGTACATGTGCACAACGTGCAGGTTTGTTACATATGTATACATGTGCCATGTTGGTGTGCTGCACTCATTAACTCGTCATTTAGCATTAGGTATGTCTCCTAATGCTATCCCGCCCCGCTCCTCTCACCCCACAACAGTCCCCAGAGTGTGATGTTCCCCTTCCTGTGTCCATGTGTTCTCATTGTTCAATTCCCACCTATGAGTGAGAACATGCGGTGTTTGGTTTTTTGTCCTTGCAATAGTTTGCTAAGAATGATGGTTTCCAGTTTCATCCATGTCCCTACAAAGGACATGAACTCATCATTTTTTATGGCTGCATAGTATTCCATGGTGTATATGTGCCACATTTTCTTAATCCAGTCTATCATTATTGGACATTTAGGTTGGTTCCAAGTCTTTGCTATTGTGAATAGTGCCACAATAAACATACGTGTGCATGTGTCTTTATAGCAGCATGATTTATAATCCTTTGGGTATATACCCAGTAATGGGATGGCTGGGTCAAATGGTATTTCTAGTTCTAGATCCCTGAGGAATCGCCACACCAACTTCCACAATGGTGTAACTAGTTTACAGTCCCACCAACAGTGTAAAAGTGTTCCTATTTCTCCACATCCTCTCCAGCACCTGTTGTTTCCTGACTTTTGAATGATTGCCATTCTAACTGGTGTGAGATGGTATCTCATTGTGGTTTTGATTTGCATTTCTCTGATGGCCAGTGATGATGAGCATTTTTTCATGCTTTTTTTGGCTGCATAAATGTCTTCTTTTGAGAAGTGTCTGTTCATATCCTTCGCCCACTTTTTGATGGGGTTGTTTTTTTCTTGTAAATTTGTTTGAGTTCATTGTAGATTCTGGATATTAGCCCTTTGTCAGATGAGTAGGTTGCAAAAATTGTCTCCCATTCCGTAGGTTGCCCTGTTCACTCTGTTGGTAGTTTCTTTTGCTGTGCAGAAGCTCTTTAGTTTAATTAGATCCCATTTGTGAATTTTGGCTTTTGTTGCCATTGCTTTTGGTGTTTTAGACATGAAGTCCTTGCCCATGCCTATGTCCTGAATGATATTGCCTAGGTTTTCTTCTAGGGCTTTTATGGTTTTAGGTCTAACATTTAAGTCTTTAATCCATCTTGACTTAATTTTTGTATAAAGTGTAAGGAAGGGATCCAGTTTCAGCTTTCTACATATGGCTAGCCAGTTTTCCCAGCACCATTTATTAAATAGGGAATTCTTTCCCCATTGCTTGTTTTTCTTAGGGTTGTCAAAGATCAGATAGTTGTAGATATGCGGCATTATTTCTGAGGGCTTTCTTCTGTTCCATTGGTCTATATCTCTGTTTCGGTACCAGTACCATGCTGTTTTGGTTACTGTAGCCTTGTAAGTCAGGTAGCATGATGTCTCCAGCTTTGTTCTTTTGGCTTAGGATTGACTTGGCGATGCGGGCTCTTTTTTGGTTCTGTATGACCTTTAAAGTAGTTTTTTCCAATTCTGTGAAGAAAGTCATTGGTAGCTTGATGGGGATGGCATTGAATCTATAAATTACCTTGGGCAGTATGGCCATTTTCATGATATTGATTCTTCCTACCCATGAGCATGGAAATGTTCTTCCATTTCTTTGTATCCTCTTTTATTTCATTGAGCAGTGGTTTGTTGGCCCTTTTTCTTTCTCAATTTAATTTAGTTAATTTTTTAAACAAAAGCTTATATTGGCCCTACTTTCATGATATTTTTATGTTTCTATAGCATGTTTAAACATACCAGAGTATATTAAATCTGTTAGTACCAAGCAAGCACTACCCTTCTGCCCTTTAGCCAACCTTCTGCCTAGTTTTTCTGCTTCGGCATTAACCTTGCAACCTGCTCTGGTCCCGCCTCAGAATGCACCACATGGTAGTATCACTTTTTGTGGAGCAATTTTACCACAAGTGGATTCCAAGTAATACTGACCATGCTCTTAGAAGACCTGACTTTTCTCCTCTTCACAGGACTAGCCACATAATTTTCAGGACCCAGTGCAAAATGAAAATGTCGAGTCCCTTGATCAAAACACAGAGAAAAAAAAATTTCCTTTCTCCTGTGGTCTCTCTCTTGGGGTGCCAAGGTATCTTTCATTTGTTAATAAATCTGATAGGTTTAGCTCTATTTAATGCTGTACCGTCTGGGGTATGGAGACACACTCTCAGAGTGAATACAGCATCTCACAGTTATCCAGGATCCCTTTCGAAAATTTAGAGCTGGTGGCATACACTCAATCCTGACCTTCCCCAGCACCTACTGCCAGTTATTCTTCCCAGGGCCGAGGGTTGCCTCAGCCCTTGAGTGAGAACAGGGAAGCAGGAAACTAAGAATCAATCCTGGAGACATGGAAAGGGAAGGAAGTTGCCCCTGTACAGAGGCTCCAAGCTTGCTGTAATAATCCATTTTCCCCTCACATTTCACTCACAAAACACAGTGTAAAATATAAAACTACTTAGAATCCCAAGATGGCAACTGTAGAGCATTTAAACCCAAGCATGACTCTCTTCTGCACATCTGCACATGAAGTTCTGTGCAACTGCACTAGCCACAAACCCAAAATTGCCTTGCCTCTTCACTTTCAATACTTACTGTCTACCCTTGAGAAAAAAAAAAAATACTCCCTGAGCCTCTATCTATATGAACTCCCTCTCAATTTTGTTGTGGGGTTAAATCAAATAATTTTCAGGATTTTAACTTGCTATACCTGTTGTGAATTATCATCCAGTAAGTGCTTCACATACCAATGACTTAGGGGCACAATCTCTCTAATATGACTTCTTGGGTTCAAATCCAGATGCTGTTGCTTGCTGGCTAGAGACACCTAGAGTCATGATACTTGCCATTTACTTTAAAATACTTCAGCTTGTACAGTGGAATACTATGTATGTGTGTTACTTAGTCTAAACTGATGTCCAGGTGCTATCCAAGGAAGTGCATTTGAGAAATGACCAGCCACCACATGATCATGAATGCACAGTTCAGAAATCAGCTAGCTTTCTTTCCGAAAGGGCATAGCCTTGGTGGCTGCTAGAATCATTCCTTTTATTCAATATTAGTTATTTCTTTGCTAACAACTATACTGGATGTCAAATTATGGCATTTTAACTATGGAAAAATAATGACTTATAAATCAACATGATAAATGTTAAAAATTATCTCTCATTGGTGAAATTGAAAGCCTTCAAGATAGTTGGATTGCCTAAAATAATTTAGGAAGACTTCCCACTCTTGATGATCAGAATATAAAAACCCCAGTAAAACATACACAGTTAGAGATAATAAATCAGGCTAAATCCTTCAATCATCTGGTATCTATCCATAAACTCTGGAGTTTGGGGCCGTATGTGTGACAGAATACTTCCTGTGCTGTCTTAGAATTTTCTCCCGGAAATCCTGCAAAGTAACAGTTGGAGCATGTTAAAAAAAAAAAAGAGTTAAACATCCTTGAGCCAAAAGAGCAGATCATATAATTGATGTTTTTTAGTGAATATGAAAAAATGTTGAGTTAATATGTGACATACATGAATCAAAATATCATCTCAGATTTATGTGTTAACTATAACAGAGTGCCACTGAATGGGTGAATTAAACAATAGAAATTTATTTTCTCTTAATTCTGAAAGCTAGAAGTCTAATGTCAAGGTGTCAGCAGGGTTAGTTTCTTCTGAGGTCTCTCTTCTTTACCTGTAAACAGCTATCTTCTCCCTGTGTCTTCACGTGGTCTTCCTTCTATAGATGTCTGTGTCCACATTTCCTCTTCTTATGGGGATACCAGTTGTATTTGATTAGGAGCCATCCTAATGACCTCATTTTTTTTTTTTTTTTTTTTTTGAGACAGAGTCTCGCTCTGTCCCCCAGGCTGGAGTGCAGTGGCACGATCTCGGCTCACTGCAAGCTCCGCCTCCCGGGTTCACGCCATTCTCCTGCCTCAGCCTCCTGAGTAACTGGGACTACAGGTGCCCGCCAACACGCCCGGCTAATTTTTTGTATTTTTAGTAGAGACGGGTTTTTACCGTGTTAGCCACCATGGTCTCTATCTGCTGACCTCGTGATCCGCCCGTCTCGGCCTCCCAAAGTGCTGGGATTACAGGAGTGAGCCACCGCGCACAGCCTAATGATCTCATTTTAACTTAACCACTCCTTTAAAGGTCCTATCTCCAAATGCATTCACATTCTGAAGCATTAGGGTTCAGAACTTCAATATGTGAACTTTGAGGGGACACAACTCAAGGCTTCGGAAAATCCATGTACAGTCTGTGTGCCTCAGCATCTTCATCTCTAACATGGGGATAATAAAAGTATTGACTTTACAAGATTGCTTTTAAAATTTCATATGTCAAAGAGCATGATGTGTTTAACACATAATAAATAGTGTTTGCAATTGTAACAGTTTGAGTATCCCTTAACCAAAATGCTTAGGACCGGATGTGATTTAGATTTTGGATTCTTTTAAATTTTGGAATATTTGCATTATCATTATACCTGGTTGAGCATTCCTAACTGAAATTTTGAAATCCAAAATGCACTAATGAGAATTTCCTTTGGCCATTATCTCAGCATTCATATCATGAAGCTTTGAATTTCAAATTTTCTGATTAGGAATGCTGAACCTGTTTTTCATTTATTGAAAGAATGAGGAAATAAGTGAACCAATCAATCAATCAATAAGACCAGTTTTACTCTTTCGTTTACAAAGTAATAAATTAAAAGCAAGCAAGTGCCAATGGCATTCAGTTTTTCAAAGATAAAAACCTCTATTAAACAAGAGTTTGAGAGCTATGAACTCAAAATCCAATTTTTTTCCCCTTTTACTAAATCACATAACTGCTTTTGAATACCAACTTCACAAATGTCCACCAAAGTGATGATTTCCATCTGGTTGTACCAAAACAACAGAGAAAATGCATCTGATTTTCTGAATTGAAAATGAACTAACACCATGCTATTTCAATTACTGAGTCTTTCTGCATATTTGTATATGGTTTATTTTAATTTAGTTTAAACTATTACTCAGTTAATTTTATTAGGTACTTAATAAATACCTAATTAGGTCAAATATATTGTTGAAAGAATGTCACATGACTGATGCTGAAAAGAACTTATCATGAACTAGATTAAGCCAGTTTGATCACATCCATCTATTAGGTCCTATTTGGTGGATCTTAGCCACTAGTAACTACAGGTTAGGTGATAATTAGCTACTCCTCGACAAGACCTGTTACCAGATTTTAATGAAAGAAATCCTCAGACCATAGTCAATAAAACATCTAAACATTTTCTAGTAAGTAGGAATAAACAGTCATGCAATCTCTTTTGTCAGCTCAGTGAAGTCCCAGATCTCTGCCATCTTGGCACGTCTCAAAATTCATTGCACGAAAGAGTCACTTGAGTCAAACACAGGATTAAGCTAAACCTCTCTCAGTGTCAGGCAAATAAAACCCTACCATAATCACAGCAGAACACAAGATCATTCAGGGATCAAAGGTAGGGGACCATTCCCAAGGGCAAAACATAAAGGGTCTGCTAGATTCTATATCCTCTGTATTCATGCAAAGGCAAGGGGCTTCCTTAAGATATGTTTGACAATTCACATATTTTGAATACCACTAATTTCAGGTATTCCGCCTCTAGCATTCATTGTGCTGATTAAAAAAAATACTACAGGGATGATCTGAGATAAAGGAATTCCAAATAGTTTATTTAAAGTAGCTGCTTTGAAGTGTGTGGTCATTCTGATTAGGGGAGGGTGGTTAGTAGAATAGAATTTTATTTTATTTCTTAGAGATGGAGCCTCACTCTTTCACCCAAGCTAGAGTACAGTGGCTCGATCACAGCATCACAGCTCACTGCAGCCTTGAACTCTTGGGCTCAAGAGGTCTTCCCACCTTAGCCTCCTGAGTAGCTGGGACTACAGGTAGCACCAGGTGTAGATGTGGCTAATATTTTTCTTTCTTTTTTTTGTCTTTTCTTAGAGATGGAATCTTGCTACATTGCCCAGGCTTACAGGCATGAGCTACTGTGCCTGGCCTGGGTTCTTGATAGGGACAATTGGCTGACCCTAGGGTGTAGATAGAAACTTGGACATATGTGTGTATCACACTCTTCATACTACAGTGTTTTAAAATAAATTACACATAAAAACCTACCTTGCTATCAACTTGCCTATATGAAATTCATAGAAATGATCTTCCTAGAAAAAGCAGAAAATGCAGCCACACTGAATAATGTTTTTCCAGAAGATGCTCACCAACAGATTCATTCCATCCAGAGCAAATGAAAGATTATACCTAAAAGATACAGAATTTCTCCTAAAGGAAAGATGAATATATATGTATATATGTATATGTATATACACATGTACATATATAAATATGTATGTATACATATTTCCAAAATATATATTTGTGTGTATACTTTTTGGTTTTCTTAATAGAAATGAATATCATCCATTGCAAATGCAATTTTCTCAGTTTAATTAGTCTGAAGAATTGTAGACTTTAAAGTAGGCACTCAAAATATATTTAGAGATCTAAAAAGAGATAATGACCTCAGAGATTTAAGTGTAATATTTATTAACTGAATGTAGATTTTAGATATGCTATATGCTAGATATGAGGTATTGTGAAGTATTATATTTACTTGTTCTGTGACCATTAGATACTGACTCTGGGATTTTTAACGTATTTGAATTGAGTTTTAAAAAATAGTCCATTTAACAACAAAAACTTGCATAATCCCTTCAGTTACATAATAAGCACTTCAAAGCCTCCCACTTTCTTGTAGGAGGAATGCATTATGGATATATTCTAAGAACAGGGTAGGCACTGTTAATGCATGAGTTTATGATACTTTCTTGAATCATCATAAAGAACATTGTTACTATTACCAGTAAGGAAAAAGGATGACTCAAGTTGTACCAGAACATAGCTCCTTTGACCAGGTGCCATTTTGGATACAGGCATATATGCCCAAAAGCTTCCAGCACAATACTGCCTATATATTGAGTTAGGGATTCTTCTTTGATGGTTTGATGATGAGGGCATGGAATTCTAATTTAAGGCCACAAAGTTTCTCATTAGACATGAGAATACCAAAAAGGAAAGGGGAATTTTGCAGCTGTACCTGCTGAAGTCAGGCACTGTAGAGAACCATAACTACACTGTATACAGTGATAGTGTTTTCCTTGTTTTTGACATGAATGTGGATTTTAGAGTCCTGGAATGGAGGAGCCAGAAGGAATACTTGAAGTTATCCAGCCTAATATCTTATTGTTTGTGTCTTTTTTTTTGTTTTAGCAGTGAAAGTTGTTCTTTTAAATAAAATAAAAAGCTCCATTATAATATTAAAATACTTGAGTTATTATTCTGGTGGATCTTAGAGGGATGATTGGAGAGGTAGATCTGGAGGAAGATAGTCCATTTGACAGCGTAAGGACCATAACTCAGGTAATGAGGATGAAGAAAATGATATGAATGCAAAGGATATTTGGAAGTTAGGCTCCGGCATGTGGGGATAAAGAAGTATGTTGAGTTTGAATCCTAGGCTTCCAGCTTGGGCAACTGGTGGATGGTAATAGAGAAGTGGATTTCCATAGGAAGGAAATCCATTTGGAAGAAGAAGATTGGGGTCAAGATAATGAGTTAGATCCATCTGTGTTTTCTTTGAAAGTGTAGTAGTGAAGACTCCAGAAGGGAGGGACCTAACCCTTATACATACATATTTTGTCTTGATTTGGGCAGATACTAAATGATTTGACCTTGAATTGAGTCCCTTGTGATGAGAAACTGTCAATTGGAAAGACAGAGAACCTGAATAGATGGTTTCTCTCAATTAACTCTCTTCTCCTTAACATACTATTTCATTTCCAACACACCACATAGCTGTATGATCTCAGAAAATTGGAGGTCCTGATTGGTTGCCATGCCTGCATCTTTTATGTATATGAATATAGGTGTGTGTTTTAAATTTTCTCACTTTGTTCCAGCAATTAATCTTAGATTTTTACACATTTCCTAGGATAGCCTGAAGTCTATCCCTTAACTGATTTTGCAGACTTCTTCCCTTCCATGGTACCTGAATAATCAACCACAGCACACCCATCCTCACCCCTGTCCAAATGGGCCAGTCATTTTGAATAAGAGCTACAAATTCTACAAAAACTATAAAAATAGGCTGGTCGATACTTTTTGCTTTGGGCGTCATCAGATGGGAATTCTATTCACACTATTTGATCAGCAAGGCTCTAACCTCTGATTCCGTTCCTAAGGTGTGCTCTCAACAACACAAAAGAGCACTCTGCAGGCATTAACAGAAAAATTATTATTTGTTAGGCTCAGAGAATTGGTTAAACCACTGAGTTGCCACTACCTGACTCAGGTCCAAACATGGTATTTTTTGTCAAGAAATCTTTTGTGTTCCTTTATTTAAATGGAAGGCCATTCGAATTGTTACGTTTTGTGACTCACACTCCAGTTTCTCTTCAGATCATATAAATCTTTCACCTTTTGTGACTCACAATTATAAAAGATTATCTACATTTATCTAAAGAAAAAGAAATAGGTCAGATTCCCAGACTGGGCCATAGGCTTTTATTAGTATGAGAAGGTTTAAGAAAAATGGTAGGTAGGGAGAGAGAAACTCTGCTTTGCATAGAGATTTTTAAACAGCCAGAGAGAGAGAAAACAATGAGAAATAAAGTTCTGAGATTCAGGGGCATTCTTGGTCTAGAGATATAAATGATTTTTCATTGCTTCATTAAAGACGCAAGATCACTCAGATATTCAAGGTAGGGGCTAAAGGGAAGTGGGCTCAATATAAAATCTTGAATAATACCAACATTTAAAGTCTGGCTGATGAAGACTATCAGAAGAAAGAAATCAGGAAATGGTGGCAAGAGGTAAGAAGTGAACCAGAATAGAATAGCATTGTGGAAACCAAGGGAGAGAGGGATTCAAGATTTAGGGAGCAGTAAGACAGATTTAAAATCCATGTAGGAGTCATACAAGACGAGATGGGAAAACTGCCTGTTGAATTTGCTGTTTAGAGAGTCGCTAGTTGACTTTGCATGGTTTCCATGAGGTGGTACATCCAGGAGCCTGATTCCCAAGTCTTGTCAGGATGTGAGTAATGGAGACACTGACTGTAAACCATCAGACAAATGTTCGATTAAGAAGGCAAAGAGAAAGGTAGCATGATAGCTAGAGAAAGGTCCAAAGTGGAGATAGCTTTGTCTTGTGTGTGTCTACACACACATATACGGCTCTTTTGTTTTTAAAGTAAAAGAAAAGAATGAATGTCTAGGCTGGAGGAAAAAAGTAAATGGACAGGGAGAAAGAATAGTACAAAATGATGGTAAGGTAACTGATTGCATCAGTTTCCTGGGACAACACTGTTTTATGTTTTATTGTTTATTTTCGGCTCTTGACATTGGAGGTCCAAGATCAAGATGTCTGAATGTTTGATTTCTTTTAAGATCTCTCTCCCTGGCTTGGAGATGGCCACCTTCTTACTGTGTCCTCATGTGGCCTTTTCTGTATGTGTGCATCCGTGATGCCTCTGTGTGTGTAAAAATTTTCTCTTTTTTAAGGACAATAGTCAAATTGGATTAGGGCCGACCCTCATGGTCTCATTACAACTTAATTATTTTTCTAAAGACCCTATCTCCAAAAACAGTTGCATTTGGAAGTACCGAGTGTTAGGTCTTCAGCATGATTTTTTGGAAGACACAATTCAGCCAATAATACCGATGAAAGAGAGTGCTGGGGTGGGGTTGTGGGAAAAGAAAAACGTATTGTCCCCAAAGGTTTAGCTATTTGAAGTTGACACAATAGTTGGTGGCTGAAAAATATAACAACAAAAACATCCACCTAGACCTCCTCTCATTTCCAGTAGAATATACTCCCTCTTAGACTTGAAATGTATAGCTGGGGGTTATTTCCATTCCATAACACCTTTGAAAGCCCTTTGCATCCCATCCTCTGATTATATAGTAATTATTCCCAAATTCAGTCAACTAATACTTGTCAAGCACCTACTGTGGTGCCAGGTACCAAACATTTCATGCAAATGGAATCTCAATTTATTTTTTAATATCAAGTGTATGTCAATAAGCTAAACTTGTTGGCTTTAACTGATGCAATCTCTCCTTTTCTTTGTTGTTCTAGTCTCATCTACATTCATCCTGATGCCTATACGTTGTTATTAAAATGTTGAGTTAAATTAAAAATAAGGCATATTTAATGATTAGTAAGTTTTAGCAAAATAGTAGACTATATTTCTTTTGACTCTTTCCGTTTATTTAGCAACAGTATTTTTGTTTTATTGGTGGCTTCTGTCATTATTTGAGTCACTTACCGAGTTCAAATCCCCTATTACAAAAACCAAATGTTAAATATTTTTAATAAGCTCACAGAATATTTATATATGAATACCAAGGATGGGTATATGTGATATTAAACATAACAGTAATAAAAATTATCTAAATATTTATATAATTGCATTTTAGTCAATTAGGATTCAGGGGTTTAAAAAATATAGTAGGCTTGATTTTCTAGCCAGGACATTAGCAACATTAAGATAAGCTTGAAAAATTTATAACAAGATTAAAAATCCAAGATCATTAACTTTATTCTCTATCATGAATCTTATAACTTGGTGAATAAAA
Source organism: Homo sapiens (assembly GCF_000001405.40). Taxonomy (NCBI): domain Eukaryota; kingdom Metazoa; phylum Chordata; class Mammalia; order Primates; family Hominidae; genus Homo; species Homo sapiens. The sequence goes on from NC_000014.9 coordinate 87,325,580, forward strand.
AACACAGAAAGCAAATCTCCTGAGTAACCAAAAGTCATTAATTCTTCGTTAATGCAACATACTTCTGCTCTTTTGGCATTATTATAATGAAGAACAGTGTTTTACAAAAGCAAGTCAGGCAAATACATTAAATCATGACCTCTTTACTTTGCACTACTCTAGTTTAAGTGCCCTGAAATGAACTTTTTAGTTAATTAGCATTCTTCGGTTTGTCACTTTAAGTAATTACTCTTCTCAATTTAATTGAAGTGTTATATGTGAGGCACTAAGAGCTTGGAAACAGACCCACCTGATGAATTAAGTTCACTAGGAACAAAGCAGATAGTTGCATTCACCAGTCAAAAGAGCAGCTGTTGGGAGGTGGGGAGGGAAGTAATGGGAATAATTAACATCTCTTGCTCCAATAATTACATTGGAAGGATGGGTTTCAAATATCCATTAATTTAAGTGGTCTTTATTCCATCATTAAGCAAACTGCTTATTTGGCACCAACTTTTGCATGCGTTTAGCACAAATAGACCATGTTGTGCATGTATGCCATTGGGAACAACTCTTAGGAGAAGCTTTGGGAGCTATTTGCATCTGTGCCTCTTGTGCCTGATGTTTTAACCAGGGATGGGCTGATTACAGGGCAAGGTCTTAAGGGCACTGCTACTTTTCTGGAGAGCAGAAATTAAGTTGTTCACCTCTTGCAGCTGAAGCCTCAAGGTCTATTTATTCAAGGGTGATCTGTCCCTGAGAAAATTGCTTTGTAGCATTTAAACTCATATAAGCCTTACATGTTCAACTTAACAATTCATAAATAAAATGCCATATTTGCTTGTATCTCAGAGCATTCTTTTTCTCCCCCATGTTTTAACATTTCTGAAATAGAAATGCCTCTTATAGTTTTCTTTTCTACCCCCTTGAAAAGACATGGTTAAAAGACTGATGTCTGTTAAAAAATGGATTAAAACTTGGAGATGAATAAATACAGTGCCTCAGCTATATGGAGCTTATGCTATGAGCTGGTAAGTTTGTTCTTGTCCTCATACATACCTTATCATATGTCACAAGATCAGGTGCTTCAACATTTCTGATCTTATGTAGTCTTCCCCACAAAGGGATGCATATTATCCTTACTTGATAGAGCTAAGAAATGGTAAAGTCTGGCCAGGCAATGGTGGCTCATACCTGTAATCCCAACACTTTGGGAGGCCGAGGCAGATGAATTGCCTGAGCTCAGGAGTTCCAGATCAGCCTGGGCAAGACAGTGAAACCCCGTCTCTACTAAAATACAAAAAATTAGCCGGCCATGGTGGTATCCGCTTGCAGTCCCAGCTACTCGGGAGGCTGAGGTAGGAGAATTGCTTGAACCCAGGAGGCGGAGGTTGCAGTGAGCTGAGGTTGCGCCACTGCATTCCAGCCTGGGTGACAGAGTAAGACTCCATCTCCAGAAAAAAAAGAAAAATGGTAAAGTCTGAATTTACTCATTCATTTATTCATTGATACAGTTAATAACTGTTTTGGGCACATGCAACAGAAATAAAAATGATAATGACTATGATAAACATAAATGTATTGAGTGCTCCTTAAGTGCCAGCCACCGTACTAGGTAGGTAAAGAGAATAATGGACAGTAATGTTCCCATATTCAAACCCAGGTCTGACTGGCTCAACACGCTGGCCCTGAGGCTATGCTGCATTGAGAAGCGAAATTAAGATGAGGATGTACAGCTGCTCTGGCCAAGGCATCTGCCACTAAAATAATTAGCAGAATAAAATCTTTGGTATACAAATATCCCCCAAAGAGAATTCTTGAGACAGAGAATCAATTTTTGAATCCTGACCTTGCCTCTTATTGACTACAAAACATTGGGTACATCAATGCACCTTTCTAAAAGTGTATCTCTCTCTAAAAAATACTCCTGTGGCCCCGTGATCTTAGTTAGAGCCGCTGTTTTTCATAAGATGGTATAAACACTGTCTTCTTTTTGAGATTACACGATAGCACACACATATCTTTACTCCTGTTTTCTTGTTTTTGTTTCTTTGTTAGAAAATATAACCTAAATTTCTGGAGACCTAAACATTATCAAATGCTCACTTATGAGGAACGGTATTGATGTGTATTGTCTGAAACATAAGCAGTCTATTTATTACTAAAAGCAGCATACCTTTTATCCTTGGATCAGCCAAATTTAAATAACAACATGAGTGGACTTAATAGACCCCCCCTTAATGAATATCATATATTGAACTCTGGCTTAATTTTCATGCCTTTAGCTTACATCAAAGGATTAAGGGATCAAAGAATTACTGTAGATATATTACTAGATATATAGATGATAGAAGATGATGGAAGATAGATAGATAGATAGATAGATAGATAGATAGATAGATAAAAATGTGCTACAATGTTGGCCATTATATCCCACTATCCTTCTGAGAAGGACAGATATGAGAAATTTCAGCAGGCCCATGCAGTAACACAAAATGTATGGACAAACATGAGTCTCCTAATGCATCATATTTCCATTTCTGTGACTTGGCTTTTAAGAAGTTTGGAGCTAAATTTGCAATTTGTCTTTGGTGTTGGTACAGCGTGTTCTGGTGGGCATGTCTGTGTACTTACTTTGCCTCTCTTCTTCTTACTTCCCTGTCCTCATTTTCCCATTCCACCTACTTGCCTTGCCTATTTTTGTCATATCGTATTGCATGTATTTATATAAGTGTAACTCAGTTTATTTTAGGAATTAAGAAGGGTATAAAATTCATCATTAAATAATTAATGTTTGAGTAACTCTACAGTGGGGAAGCTTGATGAAGGTTACCTCAGCCAGGTGATCAAGGTAACATATCAGTAATCAATCATGTTGATACTATGTTACGTTGATAAAATGTAATGAGAATGGTACTTTACCTGTGTGATCTTCCTCCCCCAAACCCATAACTCCCATGTAATAATGAGAACAATATCAAACAAATCCCAATAGAGGGAAATTTGGCTAAATACCTGACCAATACCCTTCAAAACTGTCCAGGGCATCACAATAGAAAGTCTGAGAAACTGTCGTAGCCACAAGGAGCCTAAAGAGGCTTGATAACTAAATATACTGTTATTCTGGATGGGATTCTGTGAGAAAAAAAGGACAGCAGGCAAAACTAGAGACATATAAGTAAAATATAAACTTTAGTTAATAATAGTCAATATTTGTTCACTAATTATGGCAAACGAACCATTTTTAGGATGATAATAATAAAAGAAACTATTATGAATATGGGTGTGTGGGAACTACCTTCACAACTTTTCTATAGCACTAAAACTATTCTAAAATAGAAAAGTTTATAAAAATAGAAAAGATGAATATTAAAGATATGGAATGACTGAGTGAGACACTATGTATGATAGGGTTTTGCACACTACAAAGTGCAAGAAAAAGACATTTCCTATGTGTGTTTGTGACTCATACAAGTAGGTGACAGGTGATATTTCTGGCAGAGAAGACATCTTCTGTGATTAAGTTAGTTCAGTAAATTTGTGGGGAAAGGCCATGGAATGTAGGCCTAAGAACAGTGGTCACTGTGGTGTCTGCAAGTCAAGTGTCTCTTATGTGAAATCTCTTGTTAAGTAAGATGAGCAACTGAGGAGGAAGAAAGAGAAACCAGCAGGGAACACCATCTTTCCCCAAATCTAACTTCCTCAGCAGCTCTCTTTGTCATCAACGGTAGAGTCACAAAACCCTAAGTGAAAGGGCCCAGTGGTCAATGTGAGGGTGTCTTTATGAATCTCTAAGTTTCTCCTCGACATGGGAAACCTACTCTTTCCCTGTCATTTAATCACAGCTCCTTCACTCAGGCAGTTTTGACAGCTTTCAGGCACCCCCAGGATCTAGTAACTTTTCTTAATAAGCTTCTTCCTTAAAGGCAGTCAATTCAGTCTTCTGGTCTTGATTCTTCTTAGCCAGCCTCTCTGGTCTTCAAATTCATGTATTGCCTGTGGCTTCAGGAACAAAACTTCCAGATAGGTGCCAGATTACCTAGGATTGGATTTGGTTACAGTAGAGACCCAAAAGAACAGCAACATAAATATGATCAAAGTCCATTTTTTCTCCCACAAAGAACAATATCTGTGAATATTACACTGAAAAGAGTAATTTGGGTCTCATATAGTGTCTCCCCAGTTGTGTGGGATTCAGAGAAATTTTAGTTTTCCTCTCCACCATCCCCAGTGTGTGGCCTGCAAGAACATGGCCCAAGATGGAACTAGAGACATCATGTTCTAGTGCAGGTAGGTTGAATAGAGACAGGAAGAAAAGAGGTGAGGGTCATATGTCAGTAATCTTATAAGGAAGGTCCTCAGAAGCTAACTGACCACTGCTGAGGGGAGGCCGAGAGATATTGTCACTATTCTGGAAGGTGATGTTCTTTGGCAATAGAGGTTATTTCTAAGAGAAATGAGAAAAATGGACATTGAGAAACATCCAGGAGCCTCTGTTACACTAGTCATTTTTATCCTTAGCACTTATCACATTTTCTTCCAATGTTAAAAAATTTTTCTGGGAAAACTCAAGCTCTGTTCTCAGCTCTACTATGTACTAAATATATGACTGGTTAAATCACTTAACCTCTCTGAGATGTGGTTTTCTCATCAGTAAAACAAGCTTAACAATTTTTCCTCTTTCATCCTCCAAGGATTAAATTAGGTAAGCGTATGTGAAAGCACCCACAAAGAGTTGATTGCCAGTGACTATACTCTACAAAATACGGGGTGATGCCATCCTCATTATTATTCTCATTTTTCTGGTTGTCTCTATTATAGTATGTGTTTCCTGTCAACCCATTTTCCTTTCAACATGCAAATATGAATCTATGGATAATACTTTTTCCAAAATGTACACATCCTTAAATGTAAAGCATCATCTTATTAATAACAAATTTCCCAAAGTAATAAAGAAAGAAGCAATAAGAGCATTAAATGTTCACATTTCTTAAGCCCCTTCTGATTTAAGAAATCATGATATGATTAAGTAAAAGTCAGTATTTTCAAAAAATCAAAAGGAATTGGTAGGAGGCCAGGGGCAGATTTATGACTAAAAATACACAAATAAGAACTGATATCTAGTAGTCAGAGCATGGCGTATTAATGGGCTTTTAGAATTAGACACAGGTTCAAATCTGTGAACCTGTGAATCTGTTCAAGCTTGAACAATTTTGTAGATTTCTCCACTGAAATATCCCATTGTTGTTGATGTATCATGTTAAGGATTCTTGTAAGAGTCAAGTGAAATAAACTTCTAACACAGTGTCTGGCAAAAAAGGGGAAATTTAACCCCTACCTATGTCTTTTTCCAATAATAGAAGCACAGAGACAATCATGGTGATCTGAGTCTTACAAGACAATGATAAGTCACAGTGCTTGAGCCCTTATTTTGTAGTTCTCCGTGTTCAGTGCATTGCATGGGATACCTCATAGATCCACACAACTTTGGGTAATGATATTCTCATCTTTCCTGTTTTATGGATGAGGATGTTGAAGGTTAGAGAGGTTTAATTGTCAAGGTTATCCAGCTGGCAAGTGGTGAACCTGGAGAAAAGACCCCAGAAGTCAATGTCAGACTCCGACTCTTGGGTCTTCATTAATGTAATTCACTGAAAGCCATTTTGGCAAATATTAACATATAATCAATTTGCCAAAAACTCTCAAACAAAGGAGGTATACAGTTAGAGCTAGTACAGACACAGCATTCAGGCAGAGTGTAAATCTCCAAGAGATACATAGCCTTTAAGAAACAGCCCACCCATTCCCCAATAAAATGATGAGTATTGCAAAAGTCAACTATGCTGGTCTGGTAAGTGTCTTGGCATCAGTAAAACCTTTTCACAGTGAAACATTGAAGAACATCTCTAATTTGGTTAATTGGACACTTTATAAATTGATTATTTCCTGAATTAAATTTTAGTTAACTGGCCAGTATCCCCCACCACAATCTATTGCCAGGTCAGTTTCTCTTTAAATGGTAGATGCCAGTCCTGTTTTTTGCCAATGTAAATACTTACATGTCTGTTATTAATGTTCTAAGCATGTCATTTACCCAGAATGTGCATCAGAGCAAAAGAGTAGGATCCAGAACTGATTACCTGACTGCTGTGGAACAACACAGGTGGTGAAATGTTGCAGGAAAACAAGCAAACAAACAAATGACAGCCAACAAAGCTGCTCTGGCCGAATCACAAAAACATCAGGCCAGAGTATGCTGGGGTATAATCGCTAGACTGACAGGCAAAGACATCCATCTGTGTAAGAGTCAAGATTTGGACTAAATAATCCGAACAGGCAGAGGACGAAAGGAAATGGGAAGAAGAAAGGAATTAACAGGCCATGCCTTCGCTGTACATTAAATATTATCTGTTTAATTATAACAACAATACTGTTGTAAGGGCACTTTTGTCCCCATTTTATAATTGATAAAAATATAGCATGTATGATTTGCCCTTTTTTCCTAAGCAAGACAATTCAATTTGCTAAGTAAGCTTCTCTAGCCTCCACTTTTATAAACAGATGTTTTCTATTGATATAAGTACACGTCACTCTCAAACGTAATAACAATAATAATCTTGGCCACTACTGCTAACTATTCCATAGGTATGTGAGCTTGGATTCAAGCCTAAGTCACTGACTCCATGATTCATGCTCATTACTGATGCTGGAGAGAAAAAAGAAATGGATTCTGCAGCTCATTGCTCATTGTCTTAAAGAGGGAGTGGTATTCCTTGTTTTTGTTTTTAATGAAATGGTTTTTTAAAATAAAATATAATTTTCTCATTTTCATAAGCCTAAGCCTATAGTCTAAGTTCTTACTCATGATTTAGAATGATTGTTATTGACATAAAATATATTTTATGTTTTAATATGATGATAATTCTTGAGGATCTTGAGATATGTAGGTCTGCTTTTCAAACTCTTTAGCTTACCTTTTGACCAGAGAAATCACAATTTTCACTTCTCTCTGCTGGCAGTGTATTTGATAATTCTAATTTGTCTCTTTATTAAAAAGCATGTCTTTATAAATGACCTCTTCCATCTGGCTAAGTACATGGACATTTGTTGACAGAGTTCGTGGTCTTTCCAATAATTACTTTGCCCACTGTTAAATTTGTTTTAATTCATTTATATCAGGTTCCACGTTAGGACTCAGGATTTGATAGATGGGGAGTCAAGTAATAAAAGTGAATTATGAGAAGAGTTAAGACACCTAACACTTTTTCTTTTTTATAATCTTTAATGAAGTCATTTTATTAATTTAAAACAACAACTAAATCTTAGTGTTAGTAATTTGCAGCCACCCCATCCTCTCCCAAAAAAATATCAGCCAATATTCTCCCTTTTTGGCCCCAATTCAAGTGAAGTGAAATAAGCTGATGTCTTTGCCAGGCAAGTGTGCGGTCATAGTGTCCATATCAGAAATGCTTATTTTGTTCTTGTGTCCTTTAGCTCAACTCCGGAAGAGCAATCTTCCATGTCGGGCCTAATCACTAATCTTACATTAGTAAGAGCAGGGGCAGGCATACTCCACAAGGGCATCACCAGCTTCAGTGGCTCCCACAGGACAAGGCTGGCATTGAGATTCAAGAACAGATGGATCCCCAGTGGGAATCAGGAGAACTGGACCAGCTGCTAGAGGAGGGGAGGCCTTTATGCAATGTGTAGGCTGATCCTATGAGCAGGATCTCATCTCCAGGCTCTCAGGCACCAACCCCTGGGAGAGCCTGCCAGACTGAAGTGTAGACTTTTTGAGAGAATAGCCATTTTGTAAAGAGACCTGGGTAGCATTATATGGCTTTATTTCCTAAGTGTTCTTCAGCAAATGCTCTTAGCCTATTTACACGTATTAAACATACTAACAATAATTCAGGCTGAAAATCAAATTCAGTTCTCCTCTTATCTTTGCCAATTTCCTCTGCTTCTGAGTCCTTAATGGACCAGGTACAAATATGTAAATACCATGCCTTATTTAGGTAATTAATTTTTGTAAGGTCAAGACTGATAATAGCACCTTCATTTTATGAATAATTCATTTCTGTGGAAGATTTTATTCATTCAGACTTTATGGAAACAGTATAAACTTTTAAGTACACATATCTGTGACTGAATCCCAGTTATAGCTCTTTGAGCTGAGTGACTAGACAATTTACTTAATATTTCTCAGCCTCTCTGTCTCCATCTAAAAGATGAGTTTAATAATACTGCAAGTGCTCCTAGTGTGATAGAAGTTTAAATAAATAAATATATATAAAAGGTAGATGCTTCATTTATGTCATTTTACCTTCTTCCCAGACTTGGGCACCTTAAAAAAGCTCAGCTAAATCAGGATTTTTAATTTAACTAACATTTTGCTTTAAAAACATGACGGTGAACACATAAATAGCCTGGGTAGTTAAATAAATAAAGAAAAAGTAAGAAGCAAGTAGGCAAAACTGACAGGACACATAAGAATGCATTTAAGAATTTAGGAATTTAGTATCTATTTTGTGCTTAACACAATGACGAATTTTTTTTATACATCATCTTGTCTGAGCCTTATAATATATCCAATAAAGTGAACTAATACTTTTATTATCTCCATTTCACAGCTGGGAACTTTTTAGAGAGGTTAAGTTACTTGGCCAAAGTCACCCTGATTATTAATAAGTGTCAGATTTAGGTGTGTGCTTAACGTGAAGCAAATGAAGCTTAAGATCCCCCACTTTCACAAGGCCCTTCCAAATGCTGGCAGAAGCCCAGCAAAGAGTTCTGACAGAGACACACTATTGTAAACTTTGCAGAAAAGTATTACATAAATTCTAGGTAACACAACACATGTGCTATGGTTGGAATATGGTTTGTCCTCCCTAAAACTCAAGTGGAGGCTTGGACCCCAACGTGATGGTGTTGAGAGGTGGTGGGACCTTTGGGAAGTATTTGGGTTTGGAGGGATCCACCCTCATGAAGGGATTAATACTATCTCATGGAAGTGAGTTCTCACTCTCCAGGGACTGGATTAGTTTCCACAAAAGTGGGTTGTTATACCATAAAATTATCCCTCATGTTTTGCCTCTTTTTCACACACTCTTATCTTGTGGTGCCATCGGCTATCATAATGCGGCATGAGGTTTCTGGCCAGATGCAGCTGCCTGACCTTGAACTCCCCAGCCACCAGAACCATGAGCTAAGTAACCTCTTTTATCATTATTATTTTTAAAATACATTACTCAGCCTCAGAAAATGGACTAAGACAATATGCATTTGCTCCTGGCAAAATATCTTCTCAGTAAGACCTCCCTGGGCTAAACTAAAATTTTAACCTTCTAATCCCTCTTTTAATTTCCTTTTCTCCCTACGCTTATCATGATCTAATATATTTAGGTATATATTGTTTTCATTTATCTTGTTTGTTTTTAATTCCTTCATTAAAATGGAAGATAAACAAGGGCAGTTTTTTTTTTCTCTGTTACACTCTAGCACCTACAACAGTGTCTAGGACATAGTAACAATTCAATAAAAATTTGTTAAATGAATGAATGAATTGGAATTCCTCTGAGTTGAAATTTGAATTCCAGAACCTGTGCCCTTTACCACAGCATTATACTGCCTCCCTGAGGGAAACAGTCACCTTTCATCATAGACAACCTCTCTTTTTCGCCATGTGTATGTGAACAAAAATCCAACTCATAAGGCTTTAAATTGCCTCTGAGATAATGATGAATTGGTTACCATTTAATCGTATCTAAGAATTATGGAACAACATTTGAGACCTGACAGGTATAGAGCAACAGACAAAGCCCAATTAAAACAGAAACACATCTCTGAAGAAGAGGCTTGCAATAGGAAATTTGAAAATGAAAGTAACAGAAAACATTGCTCCACATGCTGAGCATGTTCCCTAAACCCATGGGAATCAGAGTTTATGTGCAAGATTCTGTTGAAAGCAGATGCTCTCTTGGATCTACTTCCCATGCTAAACTCCTTCCTCCACTAAAGGGAGCATAGATAATATTACATAGAAATCCCTTTCTGTAAGTTACTTCTGTGGTTTGCATTTCCCTGGAAATATGTCTAATAATACCAAGAGTAAAAACAATCATGTTTGTAAAGGTTAGCCATCTCATACATATAATACATTGCATGTATTATAGAGTCACAAGGAGACTCAATTTATGTTTATACATCAAAATCCAACCAACAATGTATAGTTACAATTTACTTCTAAGTATTAATAATTGATTAATTAGTTGAATCAAAATATTCTTATGAACTAATATTTGATTGATTTTTCCAGAGGAAAAACATCTATATGATTCCATGCTGTTTACAACTGTTCTAAAGGTTTCAGTTCATGTTTCTTCCTTACTATGTATTGAAGATGTAAAAATGTACCATTATAAATCAGCTGGCTGCTATTCAGGGTTACATTAAAGATAAATGTTGAATCCTGCAAAGATTTGAATGAGTTAATGCCCCTAGATCCTCCCCAGAAAATTTATTTGGGGGTGGAGGACATAAATCCCAAATTCAAAATGTTTCACTGCTAGTATATGCAATTGTAGAATTTTAGACTTTAAAGGTCTCTTAATTACCCCATTTTATAGGTGATTCTGAGACCCATAGAGAATAAATGCCCTTCCCAACATTCCACAAACAACAGTTCAGGATGGAAGCAAGCCTTCAAATACTACTTGTGTCAAACACACACCATATTCACCTGCTAGGACTCCCTCAGCCCTGGCCACCTCCTGCACTTGCTCAGCCATTTCTCTGCCTGGGTGACTCTTCCAGCCTTGCCCTGAGAGTGTACTCTCACCAGACACTGAATCAGCTGGTGCCTTGATCTTAAACTTCCTGGACTCCAGTACCATGAGAAATAAATTTCTGTTGTTCATGATCCTCCCAGTCTATGGTATTTTGTTATGATAGCCTGAAGAAACGAAGACTAGTAATGTTTTAAATCTAGAAGCTTTTTCAAAAGATAAAAGCCACCTCAAATACAATTAAGGTTTTCTCTAGTTATTCAAATCCTGCTATGAGACCATTCAGGCAATCAAGATATGAGAATAAACTTACCTATATGTAAATACATCAAGTGGAAATATCAAGAAGCCATAAAAACAATATATTTTTGCAAAAGGTATTGTACTAGCTACTAATGGCATTTCTACAAAAAAAGAAATAATTGAGGAAGGGTTGGCCTCAGTCATCTTCTTGGCTAGATGGTTCTCTGCCAGGATCACCAGACATGGGGAGTGAGGTGAAGCTGATAATGCCATCGTGGCATTCCCAGAATGAAGGGCATATTTAGTAAGAAGAAAAGGCTTCTGTATTTTGCCTTTAGAAATACATGCATAATTGGCACAAAACTCAAATAATTTCTCAAACTATATTGGGAACTTGATGTCTTGATTGTGCTACTAAAAAGTTATTTGAAATTGGCAAAGACATTTAATATTCCTGGTTTCATTTATGTCATTGAACCCTGTTTTCCTTAATAGATACCTTTGAGAATATACACTTTTAGAACTGTGGATTCTTTTTATAGGAATATGCACATAAAATCTTACTCAAAAATTATAATAAGTTACAGGGATTTTTCTAACTCTTTAAAACCCACCCATGTATTCCAAGTTACAAATTCCTCATCTCGATGATAACGATTATAAATTTGTATCAAGAAAGGCAGAGAGCTGTTACCCAGAAAAACTCAGACTGAGATAGTATGCACCATCCTTGAATCCAGTTAGCCTTGCAGTTGATAGAGCTTTCAGGAGGGAGACCAAAAGAAGGCTAAGTTCCCAAAGGCAAAGAATAAAGCTACTACATGGAAGGATCCTCACACAAAAAAAAGTGACTTCTAATATTAAGGATTACTTCTCAAGGCAGCTACCATGCTTCAGTTTCCATTGCTGCTATTGCTTCCTTATTCTACAGAAGGTTACCTCTTTTTTTCTTTTTATTAATTTTAATTTTTAATTTTTGGGGCACATAGTAGATGTATATATTTATGGGTTACATGAGATATTTTTAAACAGGCATGCATAATAATCACATCACAGTAAATGGAATATCCATCATCTCAAGCATGTATCCTTTGTGTTACAAATAATCCAATTATACCCTTTTAGTTTTTAAAAAATATACAATCAAATTATTTTGACTACAGTCACTCTGTTGTGCTAACAAATACTAGGTCTTATTCATTCTTTCTAACTATTGTTTTTGTATCCATTAACCCTCTCCACTTCCCCAGAATACCCCCACCCTCCATTTCCCAGTGATGGTAACCATCCTTCTACTCTCTATCTCCATGAGTTCAATTGGTTTAAGTTTAAGATTCCACAAATGAGAACATGTGAAGTTTGTCCTTCTGTGCCTGGCTTATTTCACTTTATATAATGACCTCCAGTTTCATCCATGTTCCTCTTGTTGATAGGAAAATTGGGGATCAACGTAGAGAAGGATATAAAAGGGCCTTTTGTACTTAAATGCTTAATGGATAATTACTGATTTTTTGCCACCAACCATCCATTTTCCTGCCTGGATTTTTACAGCAGAATTCTCTCTTCTCCATTATAGAGAGACATGGAAGAAGACAATTCCAACTTCATGAGATAAGTTCAGAACCCTCTTTCCAGTACAGGGAGGGAATGGGAATGTGGCCTAATCTTGGCCAAGCAGTCAAGCTTTCTGGGACATTTGAATACTGAGTTTCTGATGCGAAGCAGAATATAGAGCAAGCGGAGGTTTGAGTGACATGGCACTAGATCAGATTGCTTCAGCTACAAGATGTTGTTTTCTGATTCCCACTTCACATTTTGAAGAATCATGGAGTGCTTTCAGCTACACAGTCATATCTGTCAATTTGCTCTCAATAATCTCTCCACAAATCTTCTTATGCCTAAGTTAGAGTTGGTTGTTGCTTGCAACTAAGAACCTTAGTACACCTTTAGTTATGAGTTTCGAGTGTGCTCATGCCACAGTAATTTAAATTTCCTTCACGAAAGTAGAATTTTGGTAAAGAAGGCAAAAGACCAAGGTTAGAGTCAGATTTTCAGCCTAATTGTTATCGAATATATAACAATTAGCTAGCCACCCTATGCTAATACTTCTCACTCCACCTATAAAAAGGATATAATTTATTTCCCAAAATCTCATGGGTACGTCAGACAGCTTCTATAGTTTGTGATCTCTTCAGAGAACTAAAACACGATATGACATTTTAGTTGCTATGTAAATTAGATGGGAAATTTCAAAGACTGATATACCTGAGTTTGCTTTTTACTGATGTTTCTAGATGAAGCAGTCATTACAACGATTGTCAATTGTGACACGTATTTGAGAGAGTTGCAAGATAAAATACAGAATATTCAATTAAATTAAGATTTCAGATAAATAACATTTTTTCAGTATAACTATGTCCCAAACATTACATGAAGCATATTTATACTAAAAAAAATCATTGTTAATCTGAAATTCAAATTTAACTTGGAATTCAGAATTTTAATTTTCTAAATCTGACAACCCTAATTTAAGCATACATGAGTCCAAGAGTTCAAAGACAGTGCAGTTAACTTAGGAGAAAACTACATTATTGCCTCAAGTATACACAAAGACCTGAAGGAATACTTAAGTTATCAAAATCCCCGAATAATCAGGCAGGTTTCCCTTCTTTGATTAAAATGGAGAAAGTCATACTATAATTGGTTTACTGTTAAGCTCAACTGGTTCATTTGTAAGAATTATAGAGAGACACAGGGGAGACCATAATCAAAGAGATAATGAGATAACATGGTTTAGAAGAAAGAATAGAGATAATTGAGTCAGACAGACTTAAATTTGTGTAATAAAAATAATATATGCTCATAAATATTGCTTTAAACTTTTTTAAAAATTGATATTCTAAAAGGCTGTTGGATCAAATAGTTTTAGAAGTATCTTATTGTACCTTTAATTTGCATTTGAGATTTTGGAAAAATGGAGAGGGAAGTACTTTGGTGCTTAGTCTGCCATCTTAAAAGAGGTAGATAGAACCAAAGTCCCTATGGACCAGCCATGTAACCTTAAGTGAGTTTCCTTACCCTAGGCTTCACTTTTCACACGTGCTGGATGTTCATATTATGGCACCCACATTTGTTATGAAGAATAAATAAATGTATATTTGAAAGCACTATGTAAGCACTGTGTCTAAGACATAAAAGGCCCTGTATAGATATATATCTTTCATTCTTATCTTCTTCCTTTTACTTCTCCTTTTTATGATAATTGTGGTATACTTCTACTCAATGAGGTATCTGTTTGTTTATAGCCAACTAGGTGTTACCATTTTTACAACTTGTAAGCATTTTGATTATTAGAAATATAATTACTAATTATTCTATAAGGTAAAAATAGTTGTTACTATTATTATTTTTTAAATGAAAAAAAACAGAGGCCCTTAGTTCAAATGCTATAACAATTTACGTAGACTGGGTGGCTTAATAGAAATTTACTTCTCACAGTTCTGGAGGCTGGAAAGTCTGAGATCAAAATGTTGGCAGACTAGGTGTCCGATGAGCAGCCTCTTTCTGGTTTGCAGATTGCCCATCTTCCTGTATCCATATAAGGCAGACAGCATAGAGAGAGGAAACAAGCTTTCTCCTATCTCTTTTTATAAGGACACTAATCCCATCAAGAAGTCTCCAACCTCATGATCAAATTACCTTCCAAAGGCCCCATTTCCAAATACCATCACATTGGGGATTAGAGTTGGAATATACAATTTTGCAGGGGACACACACATTCCATTTGTAGCAGGCTCTGAGGGTTCTAGGGATAGGAATCCAAAACGGGATACCTCAGGTCAAGAAGAATAATATGCATGACACAAAAACTTCCTCATTGTGTACTAATTAGAAAATCTATTCCCTATTCAGTTATGCTTAATACCTGATAAGAAAAGTTAAGTAAGATATGAGAGACAAACCAATAGTCTTTCAACATGTAGATTTTCTCTTACTAATTAGAAGTCACAAAAGTAGACAAGCCCTAAATATGGTACTGAAAAATAAAAATAATGACATCAGTAACTTTCACAAATGAAACACTCACTAAGTGCTAAGATTCCACACCAAGCACTTTATATGGATGATTGCACGTAACCCTCACAATATCTCTACAATGTAGTCATTATCATGATTTCCATTTTTATTTCAGGCAGGAAGGGACCAAGAAATTAGGGAAACATGCCCAAGGTCACACAGCTATTAACAGGAAGATCTGGAATTTAACATGGGTCTGTCTGAATGTCATCTGCACAGGGAAGCATCAAGATGAAATAATTATTTCTTGGAGTATTTCCAAAAATGTAAATGAACACATAAATGTTTATTGGCTGCTTATTGGATGCCAAGTTACAGTCAGAAAGCCAATATTATGAGTTAAGTGAGGATGATGATTTTTCCCCTGATTTTACTTACAAGGAAACTGGCACTTAGTGGCATTTCCAAAATTACACAAGTATGCAGGAGTATTCGCTATGGTTCTAATAACTTTCCATACTCCACACAAACATCATTTGATTTGCACCAATTCACTCGATACTACCAATTTTAGTGAAAACCCAAACCAAAAATTTGCCAGGCAATATTCTTTACATTAAAATGGGAATAATCTCAAACTGTTTTGATATTTTCATTTCTTGATTCTGATAAGGCCACTGTTTTGTTTTGATGTGGAAAGCATGTCATATTTGCAAAGAATAGTGGAAGGGAAATGTCTTTGATCAATATGTGAGCGAAGTTGGAGGAGTGCCTGGCTTCTGAACTCAGTCCTTTTGAGTCAAGTTCCAACAAGATTCTAAAAGTGGGCATGAATCCTAGCATTGAACTGAATAAGAGACTGCAAACAAGGACATTTCCGTGATCTACATTGACCATTTGGATTTTTTTTTCTGGCTCTGACTCTAACTGTGTGACCTTGATCTAGTCACTTAACCTTGAGGAGCGTAAGTCCTTTCATGAAATGAAAGAAAATCACCTTTCCCTAGGGCCTTTTTCTATACTGAAGTAAAAAGTTCTGCTGCCATGATTTTGGCAGAAATTATACTGACACCTTAATTTATTCCTCAAAATAATCTGTCTTATTGTGGAAAAATGATAAAACTCAAGAAAAGAATTTGGCAATAATCCCACTGACACATTACCCTTCCCAAAATACTATTTGATATAGCCAACCATCTGAGAAATAAATCAGAAAGAATGAGAATAGAGAATACTTGGTACCAAAGAAACAACAGTGAGCAGTGAAATCAGTAAAGCTGGAAGTCATTCTCTAGGCTAGACTTCTTTTTAAAGGGTCAATGTGCAAGTGTTCTGGGCTGAATTGTATCACACCAAAAAAATATGCTGAAGTCCTGATCCCAAGTAAATCAGCATGTGACCTTATTTGGAAAAGTGGCTCTTCTAGATGTAATCAATCTAAAATAAGGTGATTGGCATAGAGAGTAGAAGGATAGTTACCAGAGGCTAGGAAGGATAGTTGGGGAGTAGGTGGAGGTGTAGGGGGAGGTGGGGATGGTTAATGGGTACAAAAATAGTTACAAAGAATAAATAAGACCTACTCGTTGACAGCACCATAAAGTGACTTAGTAAATCATAACTTAATTGTACATTTAAAAATAACTAAAAGAATATGATTGGATGGTTGGTAACTCAAAGGAGAAATGCTTGAGGGGATGGATACCATATTCTCCATGATGTGATTATTGTGCATTGCATGTCTGTATCAAAACATCTCATGTACCCCATCGATATATTCACCTACTCTGTTCCTACAAATATTAACAATTAAAAAAAATTAAAAATAATATGAGGTAATTGGTGTGGGTCCTATTCTGATGTGGCTGGTGTTGTTATAGGAAGGGGACATTTTGACATAGAGCCAGTTAGACATAGGGGGAAGATGGCCCTGTGAGGGAGTGACACATACACAGCCAAGCAACACCAGGGACTACCAGAAAACACCAGAAGCTAGAAGACACAGAAAGGCTTATCCCAGAGAGAGTGGGGGGTCTGCTAACACCTTTATTTTGGAATTCTAGCTTTCAGCATTGTGAGGAAATAAAGTGCTGCTGTTTCAAGTCACCTATTTTTTGGTGCTTTGATGTGGAAGCCCTAGGAAACTAATGGAGCAAGCGTCTCCTGGTTTTCTTATACCCCCGATTTACACTGTAGGCTGAACTCTGTATCAACAGCCCTTACTTGTCATGGTCAAGTGTGTGCATGCTTATACACACACACACATGCACACATACACTGACAAGTTTTATTTAATATATGTCAGTTAATTGACATTGGTCACAGAAGAAACCAGCACCCTGCTTTATTCCTCTTCATTTTAAGTGACTTCTCGTGAGCTCTGCTTGTTGTTGTACAAAACCAGTAAAAATAAGTTCCATTTAGAATTCCAAAAAAGAGCTAATGAAACTTCAACTTAAATTTATTGAGAAAATTGAACACACCTACACTATATTAGGAAAATGGGGCCGGGTGTGGTGGCTAATGCCTGTAATCTCAACACTTTGGGAGGCTGAGGTGGGCAGATCACTTGAGGTCAGGAGTTTGAGACCAGCCTCGTCAACTTGGTGAAACCCTTTCTCTACTAAAAATACAAAAAGTAGCCAGGCGTGGTGGTGCGCGCCTGTAGTCCCAGCTTCTCAGGAGGCTGAGGCATGGAGAATCACTTGAACCTGGGAAGTGGAGATTGCAGTGAGTCGCGATCATGCCATTGCACTTCAGCCTGGGTGACAGAGTGAGACCTTGTCTGAAAAATAATTAAAATAAAAGGAAATATTGCACATTGAACGTTATCATTTGTGCAGGCTTTGATTCAGAAATATGTTGAAGATTTGTCTGACAGTGATATGCAGAAAAGAACATCAGTATTAGGAGACAGCTGGCTACTGGGCCTGAGATTACTCCTTTGATGACACCCTCAGCCCCTTGGCTTGGAATTTTGCATCTCTTATAGTCCACCTGTGCCTTATTTTCCTTCCTAGAACACCTGCGACTCTGTTGTTAATACTGTTATGAATTTACTGAGGTCAAAATATTCTACACACAGGCATTGATGGATGTAGGGCACTAATGGAAGAAAATAAAGGTGCCAGTAACTGAAGCACAAAAATATAATCACGAGTAAAATATTTGGGTGTTCCAGCGTGTGACGTCAAGTAAAATGAAATCATAAACACACCTATGAACATATATAATACTTCTTTAGTGATTCATTAATTGTCTCAATCCTTGACATTTTCCTCAACTTTCCAATTTCCCCATTCCATTTGGATGATATCATTTTTGGACCTTTGCCTAATGCTGCATTCTATACTGTTGAAAATTGGTGAAACTTTCCAAATCTGACTATTCTTTATTTCACAGATCAATGCTTATTCTCTATTAGCTTATATATACTTTAATGGCAAGAAATATGTCTTGTACATATTTGTATAACTCCATATGCTCATTCCAGAACATAGCAGAGTTCCTGCCTCATAGAAACCATCCAGCAAGTGTTTGTTGATACGAGCTCTCAAGAAAAATTAGAACGACATAAAGCTAATCTAATTCCTTACATTTAGTTGGACAGTGGACCAAAAATTCCTGTGTTGAATTAAAAAACCGTTCAACTCACCTTCTCCATCCTGTATCTTGTACTGTTGTTTTTCTATTGGAATAATAGTAGAAACTTTGAGGAAATGAGACATTCTGATAACTCTCGCAGTGCTTGGCACATAGACATCATCCTAAATGTTTCCTTATTGAATAATTGACCTTTGCTATGAAAAGGTGTCTGTACCTTTCTCCCTGGAACTCTTCTCTCCTTTACTGATTATTAACACCTTTTCTAAGGGACTCACAATATCCAAACATTATATTCAGTATATTTTCTTTCTTCTCTTCTTTTCCTTTCCTTTCCTCTCCTTTCCTTTCCTCTTCTCTCCTCTCTCTTTCTTTCTTTCCTTTTCTTTTTTCTTTCTTTTCTTTCCTTCCTTCCTTCCTTTCTTTCTTTCTCTCTTTCTTTCTTTTTTCTGTTCATCTCTTTATTTCTTCCCCTTTAATGCTTAAATTTACATATTTTGGTCACTAAGTTTCATTATTTCACCAATTTAAAATTGGGGAAGCCAAATTTTCTTTAGGGATAACTTTACTTCAAATCTGTTGGCTCCAAAAGCCAACATAGGGTTACACATTTTAAGTCATGATAGGCCCTTGACAGCTGCACATTAGATAAATGAGAAGGTCAGAACTGCAACACAAAAATCAGCATGAATAGACAGCATATGCAGGAAGGATCTTCCCACAGCACATCTTGTTGAAATGATAAATGTGGAAAAATAATTTACGAAATAGCATGTAGGGCCATTTTAAAACTGAAACCAAGGATAGAATCAACCACTTCACGCCTCTGAAATGTAAAGTAGAAGCAAAAAAGGTTGCGAGTTTCTGGATGTTCTGGTTACCTGTTAATTGGATCTCTGATAGTTGTCTTACCTGAATCCACCATCTTTCCACACACAACAATGGGTGCACAGACATCAACACATTGGTAATCTTTCCAACCCAAACAGGGTCACCAGTTTAGGTGATTAGCCCTACAGTCTGCCACAGGCTCTGTTGCCTGAACGCCATGCACAGAGGCAGAGAGATGCCCACAGGAATGAGACAAGAGTGTGGCTCACAGATGGCTCCCCTGGAGGGAGGAAGAAAGTCAGTCACACGTACAGTTGGTTTCCATGCTCTTTGACTAAAAGCGTTGAAGAAAACTTCACTTAAACTACCTATTGTGTATTATGCTGATTACCTGGGTGACAAAAACAAATGTACACTAAACCTCCTCCGTGACATGCAAGTTACCCATGTAACAAATCTGCACATGTACCTCTTGACCCTAAAATAAAGAAAAAAAGATTTCCCAATTCATCTTTTTAAGTCAAAATATTTCAAACTGACTTGCTAGTTTTATAAATATAACTTCATCTTTCTTAATAACCACCACACATTTTAATGAATTTTTTCAGTTGTTATATGTGTCTTTTCCTATCAAAAGTCAGAGATGACTAATGTATTTGACAAGGTTGAAATTGGTAGCATTTTAGGTTATTGCCAGAGTATGTTCTGTAGCTTACACAGGTATATAAATATACAAGACAATGGCTGATTTTTACAAATAAAAAACTTGCTTTTTTCTGCTGAATAATGATTTCCCTAAAGACCACAAATCTATTGATTATTCAAATCTAAGTTTATTAGATTTGTTGCAGTACTGGATAACACAATCTCGATAAGGTCAAGGGGAAATAATGAGAGAGAATATTTATGGAAGGGCCCAGATTGGGTCATTTTTTAAGGTGGGTCTTGCAAGACAGAGTTTATACAATAGTAGCTTTGGGTTGATGAGAATAGGACTATGGGGATCCAGAAGGAAGTTCTGATGAGCAAACTATTAGTCTTGACAAGTAAGCTATTTTAGTTGGCTGTTGGTATTATCTTCCAAGAGCAAGGATCTTCCAGGAACTAAGTTACTGTTGCTTGTTCTCAGTGTTGTTTAATATTAAGGACCAAAAAATATGCCTGATTGTAATATTATTTAACATAAGGACAAGACATGATACCAAGTTCAATCTTTTTTCTCTTTTATTTCTTCCTTTTCCACTCCCTCCCTCCTTCTTTCTTTGCTTGTCTGCTTTCAAAACTGAATCAAGGCAGCCTGCAATGAATGTTCAGTGGCAGTAAAACTGAAAACCATGTAGTGAAACAGAGAAATCATAAATAAAAGAGGAAAAAGAAGCTCTATTAAAACTGTCATGGCCAGAGCTATCCATGAGCATCCTGAAAGTTCTCACAAAGAAGGGAATAAGATCTCTACAAAGTAAAAATTGTCTATAGCAAGGAACAGATTTGTTTCATTAATAAAAAGAAACGGTTTCCTGGCCCTTAGCTTTGTGGAACAAAACATGCTAGAGAGAAACAAAGATTTAAAAAACACGTGGAAGGCTTTACCTTACCCTGTTATGTTGAAACCTCAGGTACTCCTGAAGACTCAGTTAAAAATAGAATATGGGAGGATGTAAGTGTGCTATAATGACAACATCTTTATATGACATCCTTGAGTGGGGACCTGATTTCCGACCTTACGCTTTTCACTGGCCTAAAACATTACAGAAAGCCCTAGGTCTCTGGTTTGGGGCTTTCCTAACCAGAGAATTTGCTTTCTCCACATAGGCTGCATAACCTACCAATTCAGGAATGCCTCTTTGGCATTAGTGGTATTATTTGGCATTATTCTTTGGCATAGAATTATTGTTCCCAATTTTTCACTCCCTTGTAGTATCATCCATCCAAGTTCTTGCCATGGGCTCAGAATAGACAGAAAATGTTTCCCTGGCTGCTGACCTTTGATTTGGCCATGGAACTTGTTTTAGATAGTGGGATGTTAGTACAATTGAAATGTGATTTGAAATGTGCATGCAGGATTGGACTTGTCTTCTTGCACTTTTCCCATAGCCATGATAGAAAGTTCCTGAGTTGCCTACTCGTTACAGAACAAGAGACTCTGACCTCAATCCGTGGCCCAAAGTTTAAGTTTAGTGGAACCCAGATCAGTTTAATGAAACTCTAGCTGGCCCAAAGATGTGTGAGCACAAATTAATTCTGTGTTTTTCAGCCACCGAGCTGAGGAGTGGGGGTGGGGATGGCTGCACAGCGGTACTGTGGCATTGACTGACTTCTACAGCCTCCCTGAGGCATTTCAGAGCCTAGTCCTTCATGTATATCATTCCTGTTCTGCCTCAGTAATTAATAAGTCAGAATTGTTATTTTTAGCAATCTGAAAACCTGGTCCAGACCTTTGTGGTCTGGCCTAGCTCAGTAAAGTTTTAGTTGTCTCCCTCCAAACTCATGAATGCATTGGCCAATGACCCATCAAATTTCTGCTGATGGCTGCAACAGAAAGAAAGATTATTTGAGAAATTGCCCAAACCTTGCCCTAAGGTCTAGAAATATCTGTAGGCTTCTATTGTTCCTGAGTTCACTGACATTCAGCACACACCACACACAAACACACACACACACACAGGCACACACTTTAGTACAATTTTTCTTGTGTCTTAAATAACACTGCTCCAGGATCTGCTTACCTTTCCCTGAAATGGGGGTGGAGAATGTTGAATGCCTTCCACATGAAAGACGGGCAAGGTAGGGAGGGAGTAGAATTGATACTGTGGCTCTTAGAGCAGTCACAGAGGCAGCCAGTCCCCCAGGAGAGAAGAGTAATGCTTTGCTCTTTTTGTTGCTTCTGGGTGAAAAGGGAAAAGCTGAGGCTCATCCAGATACTTCCCTCTCAAATTCAACTAATTCGAGTTAAGAGTGCCTCTCACCATCCTCATACACCATCAGGAATCATGTCTGATTTTACCACCACCACCAACCCCTGAAAGTGATGCTTATTTAAACAAAATTCCACATAAAATAAAAATAATCTCAGAATTGGTGGGTGGGAGGGCAGATGTTGCTCAACCCTGTAATTTGGCCAACCTTGAGATTTGACAGTGTCTTTTGTTAGATATGTGCCTGGGTTCTGTCTTCCCTCAGGGATATCCCAGGTAATATTCTCACACTGGTGCCAAACCCATTACCCAGAGAAACAATCAGCTTATCTTCCACCTCTGGCAACATTTATTCTTTTATTTATTTATTTGGATAGACTTGATTTTGGCTTATTACTAATAATCTTAGTTTGCATTTTGATTAATGTTTAAGCCCCTTCAAATCCTTTTGGAAAAGGCTGAGGGCTAAAGCTTAAATAAACAATGGGATATTCTCAGACTTCAAAAAAGCATTACCTTAAGGGAACTAGCCAGGCTGTGGAGTGCTGAGCCTCTTTCTGCCTAGTCCTAATTAGCTTTGGGATCTGGCAAACCTGTGCAATCCAAATGCATTCAGCACAGTCTCTGGCATGCTTTCTCAACTACCCTCATGTCTGGGCTCACCACATCCTTGGATTATCATCTGAAGAAAACATTTCCTTCTGTTCTTGTAAAGTTCTGCCTGGGGAATATCAGTCCTTCTCACCCATATTCCCATCTTTCCTTTGAGTTGTGACAAAAATAAGTCAGGTGGTTTAGTCTTTCTTGCCCCAAATGTAAGACCTTCAGGCTAATGATTTTGACCTTTAAGAGAAGCAACAGAGAACCACCACCATCAAAACATTGGGGAATAGGAGGTCTGACTGCAAGTCTCTCCTCTGAGAGTTACTCTTATAGACCTTGAATAGGAATAGGGAGAAGACTTACCAATTTACAAGAAAAACCAAGTAAGATTCCTCTCCAATGCCCTCCATGGGTCAGCACAAGGCCTGCCCTATGGAAGTAGAACTTTGCACAGATGGAAGAAAACAATCCTGTCAATGAAGAAAAAAAAGAGCTGGAGAAGGCTGTTCACTTTTTATCTTCCTCATCATACCTTTGCTTCTGCTCTCCTTGGGATGTCAACCATTCCGAGGCTTTGCTAGCTGTAAAGCAGGTAGATCAGGGGTCAGAAAATCATAGCCCATGGGCCAAATGCAGCTCCCACCTGTTTTTTTTTTTTTTTTTTTTTTTTTTTTGGTAAATGAAGTTCTGTTGGAGCAAGCTACACTCATTTGTTAATGTACTGTCTATGTCTGCTTTCATACAGCAATGGCAGAGTTCAGTAGTTGAAACAGACACTGTATAGTCTGCAAAAACTAAAATATTTACTATCTAATCTTTATAGAAAAATTTTGTTGACAGAGGAAAGGACAAGCATAAAAGGAAGCCCAAGATAAACCTGGTTTCAAAACGCAATATAATTTCAGTTCCCATTCCTCTGGCCAGGATCATTTTTTCCATATTTGCAGACATGGAGCAGAATTCTCTCAAGAATTATACTCAGAAATCAACATAGCCCCAATTGATAATAGATATTCCCAGCAAGACATGCATTTTCGAAGAAAAGTTCCCCATGGAAATTATCTTCCAACAAGTATAAAGAAGGCCAGGATATAGCATAATTTCCATCATGCCTAAACCCATATTTTTTTTTTAACTTCTCTGCAGGTTCCTAGCCTGAAATTAAGTCCTCAGCTACTTACTGAAAAGGACTCCCCAAAGCATCCTTTATGAGATTTCACACTATGATGCAAGGGCTCTTCTAAACCCTCACGGAGAAAATACAACCACAAAAGGCCTTGGCAAGTAGATAAGAATAAAATCAATTCACATCCCTCTGTAAGATATGTGTTCTTTAGAGAGAATTAAAAACCTGTTGGGATGCTTGTCCACACTGCCTGCTTGTAAAGCATATTCAATTATTCATTTTATTCAGCTGACTGACCACTTAAAAACTATGTAGTCAGTGCTTCAGCAATAATTTTATTTCTAAGTGTTCCACCTGGTTATTTTTCTGTGTGTGCACACTATTAATTAATGACTATGGAGAAGTCCATAAATTTCAGCATTCAGTAGCAGTGGTGCTTGAATCTATTACCCATGAAAGCCAGCATCCACAGTCACTGAGTAGGCACAAAGAGATAAGTATTGATTTTATTTTTGAGTTTTAATTTCTTCTCATTGAATCTGAATGAGTGAACTGCATTTAAACAACCCTCACAGTGCAGTGAAGCAGGGCGCAATACACATGGTCATTGCTCCACGGGACGGGCTTAGCCTACCTGCTCACATTCTGAAGGCTTTGTGTGTATCACTGATGGAGATGATAAACCATTTGAGGCTCCTAAAAACGCAGCCAAATCCTCTCTAGGCATTAGTGTCTTATTAAATTGGGACAAGGGAATTATCGACCTCCTGTGTTCAAAACCTAAGGCTCCAATAAAACTACTGATGTGCTTGCATTTGGTTGATTTAGCTTCCCTGAATGTCATGGAGATGGTATTAATGAGACAGCACAGTATCTCCAACTGGCAACTGGGGATTTCAGGGCTCTAGTGTGGCCCTGTGCTTCTCTGATGCAACCTACAATTGATATGGACAGGAGACAGGGAAACACTGGGTTGAAGCTGGTGGTTCTCCAGCGAAGGCCCCACCCTCAAGGCTGGAGACCCGTGGCCCTAAATGGGGACAGGCATTCCTGTTTTTGTGCCCAAAAAGTTGCCTTTTGACCTGCCATGCCCACTATCGTGTACCCATATAAACCCCAAACCCCAGGCTCTAGAAGCAGACAGGCAGACAAGCAGATGAGGAGACAAGGAGACAAGCCGAGGAATGGTGGAAAGATGCAGCAGAGAAAGAGAGAGGAGGAGGAATGTCTGAACGCAGAGAGGAGTTCGGCTACTGGACAGCCAGGCTCCAGGGGAATGTCATCTTCCGACCCCTTCCCCCCCAGGGGATCCCCATCCATCCCGCTGAGAGCCACCTCCACCACTCAATAACCCCCTCTCCGCCACCCCGCATACCTCCTTCAGGTCCATGTGTGACCCAAATCTTGTGGGACGCTGGACAAGAGCTCAGGATACAGAAAGTTGTCACACACTGCCTTGCAGAAAGGCAGATGTCCACTGAGCTGGTTAACACTCAAACTGTCCACGGATGGCAGTGCTGAAAGGCACACTAACACATACTCACCTGAGCTCCTGTATCTATCCATCTGCATGCCCCGCCTCCCATCAGGGCTTTGAGCAGTGTCAGCAACTGAACAGGCGAGCCATACTCCTGTCACACATCCCGCCAGGGGGATCAGGGAATCTCCCATTTCACAGTGCTATAGGATAAGGCAAGAATTGCATGTGCCTCTGTGCTCCATCTGTTTCATGAAGATGAGAAAACCCAGACCACCAACCTATCTCGACCAAAATCCACATAGAGAAGTTGAAGGAAAAATTTCTACTTCTTTTAACAAAAGTGAATGCTTTTAGCTAGTATAAATTCTTGGTGTCAGATACAGAGAAATGTTTTAAAAAGTAGAATGGGTAGAAAGAAAACTCTTATAATGCTTGAGGCTTAAAATAAAATATCTGAAATCATTTTACTGAACAAATATTACTGTAGTGCTTACTATGTGCTGATGTGTGATGCAGGCAATTAATGAAAATTAATGAGTGTAAACCTCATAACAATAAGCAGATCAGGTACTATTACCATTACCTGGAGAGAGTTGTTCTGGATTTTTTTATTAGTTTATTTTCAAAAGAGTTCCCAAGAATCTACTCCACATCCACTCATACAAACTTTCTGGGAGTTATTTCCTAGAAATCTGCATTTTGTGAAGCTCCCCAAGAGATTCTGATGCAGCCAGATGAGTGTTTAGAAATCACTGAAGTTTGACACCTTCACAGAGTTGCTGCATAGCTTGTTGCTGCTTTGAAATGAATCTAGCTCCTGTTGCTTTTTCCCAATTATGACCTCAGTTCCACATCTGTAAAATGAGGGTCTTCTAACCATATGGAACCTCAAATGTTTAATCTCTAAGGCAAGGGGCTGGTGTCAACTTGGGAACACATTTCCTGGAAAAAGCAGCAGGACTGGAGTTTGCCTTGAGTGTGGGTTCTGAGGAATGAGATAGTTATGAGGGGAAGAGACATAGAAAAGGCTTTTTTTTAAATTAGTTTTTATTTTTTTGAGAGAAGGCCTCCCTCTGTTGCCCAGGCTGGAGTACAGTGGCGTGATCCCAGCTCACTGCAACCTCGGCCTGCTCGGCTTAAGTGATCCTTTCACCTCAGCTTCTCAAGTAGCTGGGACTACAGGTGTGTACCACCATGCCCGGGTAACTTTTTAAAAATTTTTATAGAGACGAGGTGTCACCACGTTGCCCAGGCTGGTCTCAAACTCCTGAACTCGTGATCCTCTTGCCTTGGCCTCCGAAAGCACTAGGATATAGGAGTAAACCACCATGCCCGGCCAAGAGAAGACATTTTTAATAACCCATTTTACTGCTCCCAAATTGGGACTTTTAAAGATGAATTAATATGTGCATCTACACCACCCGCACTCACAGACAGCTGAGGACTCCATTCTGTCAGCTAGTTTATTTGGCTTCTTTGTTTACTCAGGGAACCAAAATGTTGGCAGAAAGTACGATTTGGGACCTATCCTACCCATATGTGTACCCACAAAAATAATTTAAAGAGCTCTTTGAGACAAAATTGTTTAAAATCAATGGAATGTGTACTGGAGAAGGGTTAAATGTTTTACAAATAAAATTACCTGTGGTATACCCATAGCTGTGACAGCTATAAGGCAGCATTTTGTGGCAGAAAGAATGAAGACTTTTGAGTCCAATACTTAGAAAAACTACTTTGCATCTCTGAGCCTCAGTTTTTCTCATCTGCAAAATAAAAATAATAGGAAGATTGTAAACTGCCTTAAAAACAGATAAGGGTTCATATGAATTATTCTGTATTTGATTTCAGAAGTCAAATTCATTACCTTTTCTGGGATGACCATGGATTTTCATATTCTTCACTATTTGGTGGTCACCTATGCGTCCCATTCCTCCTTGGACTGAAATGGCCCTTCATATGAAGATGTGTCCAGTTATTCATTTGAAAGATATGTTTTATCTCAGATAACTGTCCAAATTTGCCACTTAATATTTGTTCACAATATCTTTTATGTACTGAAAATAATTATATCAACAAATAGCCCATGTGTGATTTCATCCATTACTTGGGATTCTTCTGATTCCTAATCAGATAAAGTGTTTATCTGTGTTTTTCTAGTTGTTTGATGCTTTCATATTTGGTTAACACACTGATCCATTTAATAGGAATCATGACCATCTTTAACTGGGAGTCTTTGAAATTGCTCAGCAGCCCAGAGTTGGATCTGAGTGTATGTATCTTCCAATTTACTCTTTGAATTTTCATTGCTCATAAAGAAATATAAACACTTAGCTTCTTTGTGTGCCCATGAAATAGCTATGGGCTGGGAAGGTACTGGAAAGAGTCGTTGGTAAAGGCATGACTGGAAGTAGTGTTTCAAAAGGCAGAGGCAGTATGAGGAGGAAGTGAGAAATGAGGGAGTATTATGCTCCAAGATCTTATCCTTTGCTATATCTGAATATTTGTGTACCCCCAAATTTATATGTTGAAACCTGTATTAGTCTGTTCATATACTGCTAGTAAAGACATACTTGGGACTGGGTAATTTATAAAGAAAAGAGGTTTACTGGACTCACAGTTCCACATGGCTGGAGAGGCCTCACAATCATGGCGGAAGACGAAGAGCAAAGGGACATCTGACATGGCAGCAGGCAAAGAGAGTTTGTGTAGGGGAACTGGCCTTCATAAAACCATCAGATCTCCTGAGGCTTATTCACTATCAGGAGAACAGCACAGGGAAAACCTGCCCTGGTGACTCAATTATCTCCCACCAGGGCTCTCCCACGACACTTGGGGATTATTACAATTCAAGGTGAGATTTGGGTGGGGACACAGAGCCAAATCCTATCAAAACCTAATCACCAATGTAATTGTATTGGGAGGTAATACCTTTGGGAATTAATTTGGTCATAGGGTAGAGCCCTCATGAATGGGATGACTGTCCTTATAAAATAAGCCCCAGAGAGATGCCTTGCCTTGTTCCACCATGTGAGAACACACAATAAAGGTGTCAACTTGAACTGAAAAGTGGGTCTCCACCAGACATTGACACTGCTGTACCTTGACTTGGACTTCCCTGCTCCAGAACCATGAGTAATAAATTTCTCTTGTTTACAAGCTACACAGTTTATGTTATTTTGCCAGAGCTACCTTCATGGATTAAGGCACTCTTAATATCATAAAAAAGAAGAACCTTAAAGTCAAGTAAAAGGGAAACACAGAAGGGAGGTCTCAGAAAGGTAGTAGAACTTGAGCCGGACCTGTCTGATAAGTAGGGCCTACATACATGCCAAAGATGGCTGGTGCTCTGGAATTTGAACACAGTAGACCAGATTAAAGAAATCCACACAAGATGCTATATTTAAAAATGTAAGTAGGCATATGCTTTGACTAGATGTTAAGCTGGGGCATTCAAAGATAAAATCAAGTTTATCACTGAAAACACTAATATAATTTTCATTCTTCTGATTAAATTGGACTTGAAATCAATCATTTGCATTTTAAAACAATATTTCTTTTTTTTTCATTTCACTTCTTTTTGTTTGTTTTAATTACTATTATACTTTAAGTTTTAGGGTACATGTGCACAACTTGCAGGTTTGTTACATATGTATACATGTGCCATGTTGGTGGGCTGCACCCATTAACTCGTCATTTAGCATTAGGTATATCTCCTGATGCTATCCCTCCCCCTTCCACCCCGCCAACACTCCCCGGTGTGTGATGTTCCCCTTCCTGTTTCCGTGTGTTCTCATTGTTCAATTCCCACCTATGAGTGAGAACATGCGGTGTTTGGTTTTTTGTCCTTGCAATAGTTTGCTGAGAATGATGGTTTCCAGCTTCATCCATGTCCCTACAAAGGACATGAACTCATCATTTTTTATGGTTGCATAGTATTCCATGTTGTATATGTGCCACATTTTCTTAATCCAGTCTATCATTGTTGGACATTTGGGTTGGTTCCAAGACTTTGCTATTGTGAATAGTGCCACAATAAACATACGTGTGCATGTGTCTTTATAGCAGCATGATTTATAATCCTTTGGGTATATACCCAGTAATGGGATGGCTGGGTCAAATGGTATTTCTAGTTCTAGATCCCTGAGGAAGCGCCACACTGACTTCCACAATGGTTGAACCAGTTTACAGTCCCACCAACAGTATAAAAGTGTTCCTATTTCTCCACATCCTCTCCAGCACCTGTTGTTTCCTGACTTTTTAATGATTGCCATTCTAACTGGTGTGAGTCGGTATCTCATTGTGGTTTTAATTTGCATTTCTCTGATGGCCAGTGATGATGAGCATTTTTTCATGTGTTTTTTGGCTGCATAAATGTCTTCTTTTGAGAAGTGTCTGTTCACATCCTTCGCCCACTTTTTGATGGGGTTGTTTGTTTTTTTCTTGTAAATTTGTTTGAGTTCATTGTAGATTCTGGATATTAGCCCTTTGTCAGATGAGTAGGTTGCAAAAATTTTTTCCCATTCTGTAGGTTGCCTGTTCACTCTGATGGTGGTTTTTTCCTGCTGTGCAGAAGCTCTTTAGTTTAATTAGATCCCATTTGTGAATTTTGGCTTTTGTTGCCATTGCTTCTGGTGTTCTAGACATGAAGTCCTTGCCCATGCCTATGTCCTGAATGCTATTGCCTAGGTTTTCTTCTAGGGTTTTTATGGTTTTAGGTCTAACATGTAAGTCTTTAATCCATATTGAATTAACTTTTGTATAGGGTGTAAGGAAGGGATCCAGTTTCAGCTTTCTACATATGGCTAGCCAGTTTTCCCAGCACCATTTATTAAATAGGGAATCCTTTCCCCATTTCTTCTTTTTGTCAGGCTTGTCAAAGATCAGATGGTTGTAGATATGCAGCATTATTTCTGAGGGCTCTGTTCTGTTCCATTGGACTATATCTCTGTTTTGGTAGCAGTACCATGCTGTTTTGATTACTGTAGCCTGGTAGTATAGTTTGAAGTCAGGTAGTGTGATGCCTCCAACTTCGTTATTTTGGCTTAGGATTGACTTGGCGATGCAGGCTCTTTTTTGGTTCCATATGAACATTAAAGTAGTTTTTTCCAGTTCTGTGAAGAAAGTCATTGGTAGCTTGATGGGAATGGCATTGAATCTATAAATTACCTTGGGCAGTATGGCCATTTTCATGATATTGATTCTTCCTACCCATGAGCATGGAATGTTCTTCCATTTCTTTGTATCCTCTTTTATCTCATTGAGCAGTGGTTTGTAGTTCTCCTTGAAGAGGTCCTTCACATCCCTTGTAAGTTGGATTCCTAGGTATTTTATTCTCTTTGAAGCAATTGTGAATGGGAGTTCACTCATGATTTGGCTCTCTGTTTGTCTATTACTGGTGTATAAGAATGCTTGTGATTTTTGCACATTGATTTTGTATCCTGAGACTTTGCTGAAGTTGCTTATCAGCTTAAGGAGATTTTGGGCTGAGACAATGGGGTTTTCTAGATATACAATCATGTCATCTGCAAACAGGGACAATTTGACTTCCTCTTTTCCTAATTGAATGCCGTTTATTCCCTTCTCCTGCCTGATAGCCCTGGCCAGAACTTCCAACACTATGTTGAATAGGAGTGGTGAGAGAGGGCATCCCTGTCTTGTGCCAGTTTTCAAAGGGAATGCTTCCAGTTTTTGCCCATTCAGTATGATATTGGCTGTGGGTTTGTCATAGATAGCTCTTATTTTGAGATGCATCCCATCAATACCTAATCTATTGAGAATTTTTAGCATGAAGCGTTGTTGAATTTTGTCAAAGGCCTTTTCTGCATCTATTGAGATAATCATGTGGTTTTTGTCTTTGGTTCTGTTTATATGCTGGATTACGTTTACTGATTTTCATATGTTGATCCAGCCTTGCATCCCAGGGATGAAGCCCACTTGATCCTGGTGGATAAGCTTTTTGATGTGTTGCTGGATTCGGTTTGCCAGTATTTTATTGAGGATTTTTGCATCAATGTTCATCAAGGATATTGGTCTAAAATACTCATTTTTTGTTGTGTCTCTGCCAGGCTTTGGTATCAGGATGATGCTGGCCTCATAAAATGAGTTAGGGAGGATTGCCTCTTTTTCTATTGATTGTAATAGTTTAGAAGGAATGGTACCAGCTCCTCCTTGTACCTCTGGTAGAATTCGGCTGTGAATCCATCTGGTCCTGGACTTTTTTTGTTTGGTAAGCTATTAATTATTGCCTCAACTTCAGAGCCTGTTATTGGTCTATTCAGAGATTCAACTTCTTCCTGGTTTAGTCTTGGGAGAGTGTATGTGTCCAGGAATTTATCCATTTCTTCTAGATTTTCTAGTTTATTTGCATAGAGGTGTTTATAGTATTCTCTGATGGTAGTTTGTATTTCTGTGGGATCAGTGGTGATATCCCCTTTGTCATTTTTTATTGCGTCTATTTGATTCTTCTCTCTTTTCTTCTTTATTAGTCTTGCTAGCGGTCTATCAATTTTGTTGATCTTTTCAAAAAACCAGCTCCTGGATTCATTGATTTTTTGAAGGGTTTTTTGTGTCTCTATTTCCTTCAGTCCTGCTCTGATCTTAGTTATTTCTTGCCTTCTGCTAGCTTTTGAATGTGTTTGTTCTTGCTTCTCCAGTTCTTTTAATTGTGATGTTAGGGTGTCAATTTTAGATCTTTCCTACTTTTTCTTGTGGGCATTTAGTGCTATAAATTTCCCTCTACACACTGCTTTGAATGTGTCCCAGAGATTCTGGTATGTTTTGTCTTTGTTCTCGTTGGTTTCAAAGAACATCTTTATTTCTGCCTTCATTTCATTATGTACCCCAGTAGTCACTCAGGAGCAGGTTGTTCAGTTTCCATGTAGTTGAGCGGTTTCGAGTGAGTTTCTTAATCCTGAGTTCTAGTTGGATTGCACTGTGGTTGGAGAGACAGTTTGTTATAATTTCTGTTCTTTTACGTATGCTGAAGAGTGCTTTACTTCCAACTATGTGGTCAGTTTTTGAGTAGGTGTGGTGTGGTGCTGAAAAGAATGTATATTCTGTTGATTTGGGGTGGAGAGTTCTGTAGATGTCTATTACGTCCGCTTGGTGCAGAGCTGAGTTCAATTCCTGGATATCGTTGTTAACTTTCTGTCTCGTTGATCTGTCTAATGTTGACAGTGGGGTGTTAAAGTCTCCCATTATTATTGTGTGGGAGTCTAAGTCTCTTTGTAGGTCACTAAGGACTTGCTTTATGAATCTGGGTGCTCCTGTATTGGGTGAATATATATTTAGGATAGTTAGTTCTTCTTGTTGAACTGATCCCTTTACTATTATGTAATGGCCTTCTTTGTCTCTTTGGATCTTTGTTGGTTTAAAGTCTGTTTTATCAGAGACTAGGATTGCAACCCCTGCCTTTTTTTGTTTTCCATTTGCTTGGTAGATCTTCCTCCATCCCTTTATTTTGAGCCTATGTGTGTCTCTGCACATGAAATGGGTTTCCTGAATACAGCACACTGGTGGGTCTTGACTCTTTATCCAATTTGCAAGTCTGTGCCTTTTAATTGGAGCATTTAGCCCATTTACATTTAAGGTTAGTATTTTTATGTGTGAATTTGATCCTGTCATTATGATGTTAGCTGGTTATTTTGCTTGTTAGTTGATGCAGTTTATTCCTAGCCTTGATGGTCTTTAAAATTTGGCATGTTTTTGCAGTGGCTGGTACCGGTTGTTCCTTTCCATGTTTAGTGCTTCCTTCAGGAGCTCTTTTAGGGCAGGCCTGGTGGTGACAAAATCTCTCAGCATTTGCTTGTCTGTAAAGTATTTTATTTCTCCTTCACTTATGAAGCTTAGTTTGGCTGGATATGAAATTTTGGGTTGAAAATTCTTTTCTTTGAGAATGTTGAATATTGGCCCCCACTCTCTTCTGGCTTGTAGAGTTGCTGCTGAGAGATCAGCTGTTAGTCTGATGGGCTTCCCTTTGTGGGTAACCTGACCTTTCTCTCTGGCTGCCCTTAACATTTTTTCCTTCATTTCAACTTTGGTGAATATGACAATTATGTGTCTTGGTTATCTTTGTGGCATTCTCTGTATTTCCTGAATTTGAATGTTAGCTTGCCTTGCTAGATTGGGGAAGTTCTCCTGGATAATATCCTGCAGAATGTTTTCCAACTTGGTTCCATTCTCCCCGTCAGTTTCAGGTACACCAATCAGACGTAGATTTGGTCTTTTCACATAGTCCCATATTTCTTGGAGGCTTTGTTCGTTTCTTTTTATTCTTTTTTCTCTAAACTTCTTTTCATGCTTCATTTTATTCATTTTGTCTTCCATCACTGATACCCTTTCTTCCAGTTGATCGCATCACTTACTGAGGCTTGTGCATTCGTCACGTAGTTCTCGTGCCTTGGTTTTCAGCTCCATCAGGTCCTTTTAGGACTTCTCTGCATTGGTTATTCTAGTTATCCATTCGTCTAATTTTTTTTTCAAAGTTTTTAACTTCTTTTCCATTGGTTCGAACTTCCTCCTTTAGCTCGGAGTAGTTTCATCTTCTGAAGCCTTCCTCTCACCTGGTCAAAGTCATTCTCCGTCCAGCTTTGTTCCATTGCTGGTGAGGAGCTGCATTCCTTGGAGGAGGAGAGGCACTCTGATTTTTAGAGTTTCCGGTTTTTCTGCTCGGTTTTTCCCCCATCTTTGTGGTTTTATCTACCTTTGGTCTTTGATGATGGTGATGTACAGATGGGTTTTTGGTGTGGATGTCCTTTCTGTTTGTTAGTTTTCCTTCTAACAGTCAGGACCCTCAGCTGCAGGTCTGTTGGAGTTTACTTGAGGTCCACTCCAGACTCTGTTTGCCTGGGTATCAGCAGCAGTGGCTGCAGAACAGCAGATATTGGTGAACTGCAAATGCTGCTGCCTGATCCTTCCTCTGGAAGTTTTGTCTCAGAGGAGTACCCATCCGTGTGAGGTGTCAGTCCACCCCTACTGGGAGGTTCCTCCCAGTTAGGCTACTTGGGGGTCAGGGACCCACTTGAGGAGGCAGTCTGCCCGTTCTCAGATCTCAAGCTGTGAGCTTGGAGAACCACTACTCTCTTCAAAACTGTCAGACAGGGACATTTAAGTCTGCAGAGGTTATTGCTGCCTTTTGTTTGTCTGTGCCCTCCCCCAGAGGTGGAGCCTACAAAGTGAGGCAGTCCTCCTTGACCTGTGTTGGGCTCCACCCAGTTCGAGCTTCCTGGCGGCTTTGTTTACCTACTCAAGCCTGAGCAATGGCGGGCGCCCCTCCCTCAGCCTCACTGCCACCTTGCAGTTTGATCTCAGACTGCTGTGCTAGCAATGAGTGAGACTCCATGGGCGGAGGACCCTCCGAGCCAGGTGTGGGATATCAACTCCTGGTGTGCCATTTGATAAGCCCGTTGGAAAAGCACAGTATTAGGGTGTGAGTGACCCAATTTTCCAGGTGCCGTCTGTCACCCCTTTCTTTGACTAGGAAAGGGAATTCCCTGACCCCTTGCGCTTCCCGGGTGAGGCGATGCCTTGCCCTGCTTCAGATCACACACGGTGTGCTGCACCCACTGTCCTGCACCCACTGTCTGGCACTCCCCATTGAGATGAACCCAGTACCTCAGTTGGACCCGTCTTCTGCGTCGCTCATGCTGGGAGCTGTAGACTGGAGCTGTTCCTATTCGGCCATCTTGGCTCCACCCAAAACAATATTTCTATTAGACATTCACGTTGCATTTTTATTAGCCTGTACCACATTTTAGTAGGTATTTTCGGTTGTTTTTAAAATAATTAGGACTGGTGTTGTGAACAATACTAGTACATTTGAAATAATAATGCGTAAACTTTTAAATGTTTTCTTTCTTTGAAAATACATTAAAGTTATATTCTAGGTTTACAGTAACTATATTTCAGTAAAACTAAAATGCATTGTTACAATGCAGAACAAAGTACATGTATTTCTATACCTATCTTATACTGATAACAGTTTCCTTGGCACTGTGGGAGAATACAAAAGTAGTAACACAGACTTATGGATACCACAAGCACACGGTCTAACAGAAAGCAGGGGTGAAAAAGTCTAGTGAACTAGGCTGAACAAGGATGAACACAATAAATAGGATAATAATACATCACCTGTGTAGTACAGACTGCAAGTTGCATGGACATTTGGAACTGAGGACAAAAGTACAACATATTAGGACAAACTTAACATGGGAAAATCAGGAAGTTGGTATTAGGCTCAAATATGGCAATACCCACAAGAGCACTTTATACACAGTGGGGTAAGATTCAAATCTGACACAGAAAGAGCTTCTTGTCTGCTAGGACATTAGGAATTAGAAGGCCTTCAACAGAGCCCTATCTTTGCTCCTTCTTCACTCATTCAGTGCATGTCATTATATGTAATTTATTTTTTTCTGAGGACCCATTCTCCCTTCTACAAAATCGTCACATTTCTATTACTAATTAAAACTCACTGAAAAATCAATGTATTTCACATTTTATTTTAGTTGACAAAAAAGCTCCTAGATGTGAATGTTATCATTGACCCCATGAAGACGCTGGGAGGATGAATGTGAGAAATGTGATGAAATACACAAGTTCTTCCTAAACTGGAAAATGCTTTCTTTTTTGTAAACTGGAAATTATCTCCTTTCTTTCTTACCTCCTTTTTAAATATTTATTTCGCCAAAATACTACCTAGAAAAAAATGTTGCTTTTGAATTTTCTAATGACCTTTATTATTAAGTGGCTGCTAAAAAGTTAGGAAATGAGAAGATGTAATAATTGTGCAGTCATAAGCCTTATAGTGACTGTTATTTGAAGAAGT
Source organism: Homo sapiens (assembly GCF_000001405.40). NCBI lineage: Eukaryota > Metazoa > Chordata > Mammalia > Primates > Hominidae > Homo > Homo sapiens. The sequence continues at coordinate 87,361,986 of NC_000014.9, forward strand.
CTGAAGATTACTCTCTTATTCCCTTACTAAGAGTATGTCTCAAATCAAACCTGAAGCAAAAGCAAGAATTAAGGGAAGAAAATAATTTAGGCTCAGAATAGGCAAGCTTCTATGCACACATCTCTCTCAGAACCAACGAGCCTGAGTGAATTTCCATTTAAGAATCGGAGGATGCATTTGATTTCACTTCACTCTTCCCTGCCACTCTAAATGAGAAATTGAAATGAACGCCTATGCAATTTTTACAATTTTGGAAATAGTTGCATTTGGGCAGCAAGTTTCTTGTCATTTCCCTATTAATGCCAATTTCTGAGGTAAACCATCCCATAATATTTTTAACAGGTCAATGGCTAGAGTAATAGAGAAATTTCAACATATCAGTTTTCATTGCATATTTGAAGTGGGGGAGCTGAATGTCATTCCAGCAATTTAAATTTTCTAACAAAACCTACTGATATGTAAAACTCCCATTTGGTAGGTCTCTTTCTTTGGGGAAAAATATATTTTAATGTTTAGTTCCATTTATTTATAATTATAATTTCATATCCCAAGGAATTATGTTCAATGTACTTTTAAAGTTTTTCTCCATATCTTTTATAACTATTTTTGAGGTACAGCTAATGCTGTATGGTGCAGATGCTAAGATAGCCACTTAATGACAGAGATTCATGGGGAAAAAGTAGAGAACAAATGTATAGATTTTGATTTTTCATATACTTTTCTGAGTAAAGTGAGAAAAAACTTGATAAAGGAAATGTTAACCGTTTGGGACACGTCCTTACATTAATACAAACTAGTAGTTGCTGACTTGGTTTTCCTTGCCTGAAAGAAAATAAAAATGAGTCCAACACCACGAAACCCCAGAAATCAAACTGAGCAAACTGAAAAGAGATTTCATAGTGATAAAATGCAAATTATGCTTTGGTCTCTAGTTCTCTTTAAAAAATATTTTGGAAGCATAGGAAGGAGCAAATAGCAGGAAGAAGATGAAAGGTCCTTAGAAGTACTCATCACACAGAAGAAAGTACAATTTTCACATACACTTTTGAACCTGCAAGATTAAGCCATTCTGTATAGAAGAATGTTTCAAAGTCTGGGCTCAGGAACAAAGGAAACATGAAGTCAGATTTCAATTTTTCTGCTTATAAGTAGTTTGGGCAAGTTCCTTCATCCCACCAGTGACAGGTTAGTACATTGTAGATGAGGATAATAATAGGAATAATAATAATTCAATCGTGTGAGATTTTTAAGGACCATGGTAAAAGAAAACATATGACATGCCTATCACAGAGTCTGACTCTAGTAAGTGTTTAAAAGTTGTTGACTGGTTGCATTGTACCCATTCCCCTTTCTAGTAACACAACCTCTCTTCCTTTGGGGGCACACTGCCTCATCAGTAACGCTGTGGGTCAACTAGAAATGACTTCACTCCTCTGGCTGCAAGGGTGAATGTTTGAACCAAGATTAGCCAGTCAGTCTATTTCCCAGGTTGATTGTTTGAATGATCAGTGTAGAGACTCTCTTTCTCATCTTGGTCCTGAGTGCCAAAGGCCAACAAACCTGAAGTTTCCAGAGGCTACTTTCCTACATTATGGGCAAGCATTCCAACCCACTCATGGAAGAATGAAGCAGAGAATAGAGACTGCTCTGAGAAAAACAGTAAGCCAGTTTTAATGGAATCCCATTTCATACCTTGAACTTCCTAGGTACTTGAAATGGAAAATTCTTTATTGTTTTAAGCTAACTTGAATTAGGTCTTTGTCATTAGCAATCCATACTCATTCCTTACCAGTTTTTACAGTTAGCTTAATGGTAAGAAATTCATGGCAGTAGGGATTTCAGAATAGCAAAAATGAGTAAAATCTCTAAGCTACTATTAATATATGGTAGCAAGCCTGGATGTGGTGGCTCATGCCTATAATCCCAGCACTTTGGGGGGCCGAGGCAGGTGGATCACCTGAGGTCAGGAGTTTGAAACCCAGGCTGGCCAACATGGCGAAACCCCGTCTCTACTAAAAATACAAAAAATTATCCAGGCGTGGTGGCACACGCCTGTAATCCCAGCTACTTGGGAGGCTGAGGCAGGAGAGAATTGCTTGTATCTGGGAGGCAGAGGTTGCAGTCAGCCAAGATCACACCATTGCACTCCAGCCTTGGCAACAGAGCGAGACTCTGTCTCTCTCTCTCTCTCTATATATATATATATCTATATGGTAGTAGACTAGAGGAGGCTTGGTTGGAAGGTTGCTCATATATATCTGCCATATACTTGATATCCTGAACTAACATGGTTTTCTTCATGTGCTGGAATTAGCTTAAAAAGAAAACCTTACAATAGCTCTAGACTGTGTCTTTATTATCCTAGGCTTTGGGTACTCCAGGGATAATTTTCACTAAGTTATCCCTCATTTTAATTCTTGACTTGCTCTTCAAGCACAGCAATAACACGTGTATTTTGTTTATGGTACTTTCTATGCTTTCTTTCTTTGAAAAAAATTATATATTTTTAAGGAATTTTCAATTGTTTCTAGAGGCTCTCACATCAGAAGAGTCTCCACATGTCTAACAAACTTAAGGAATTGTCTTAGTCCATTTGACTGCTATTACAAAATGCCATAAACTGGGCAGATTACAAACAACAGAAATGTATTTCTCACAGTTCTAGAGGCTGAGAAGTCTAAGATCAAGGCATCAGCAGATTTGGTGTTTGGTGAGGACCTGTTTCCTGGTTTATAGAGGGAGCCTTCTTACCATGTCCTCACATAGTAAAAGGGGCAAGGGAGCTCCGTTAGGCCTCTTTTAATAGGTTGGTGCACTAATCCCATTTATGAGAATAGAGCCCTCATGACCTAATACCTGTCAAAGGCCCTACCTCCAAATACTATAACATGGGTTAGTAGGTTTCAACACATAAGTTTGAGGGGGAAACAAACATTTGGACTATAGTATTCTATCCATGGTTCCTCAAAATACATGTTTTTCTCACATGCAAAATGCATTAATTTCATTCTATTAGCTCCCAAAACTGTTAACTCATTCCAGCATTAACTTTAAAGTTTAAGTCCAAAAATCTCATCTAAATATCATGTAAGTCAGGTATGAGTGAGACTCAAGATATGATTTATCCTGAGGCAAATGCTTTCTATCTATAAACCTGTGAAATCAAATATATTTTGTGCTTCCAGAACACAATGGTAGGGCAGATATAGAATATATATTCCCATTCCAAAAGGGAATAGAAGAAAGCAATAATAAGCCTAAAACCTAATACCGCAAAAGATATTAAATCTTGAGCATAATCTTTGTCTCAATGTCCTGCCTTCCAGACACACTGGGGTGGGTTCTGTCCTCCAAAGCTCCCCTGTGTGTTTGCTGGGCATAGCCCACACCACATTTCTCATGGGATGGACTCAGATGCCTGTGGCTCTCCTAGGCTGGAAGTGCAAGCTGATATTTTTATCATTCTGGGGTCTTGGAGAAGCCCCATTCCCACAACTCCATTAGGCATTGCCCTAATTGCGACTCTTTGCAGTGGCCCCACTATTATAGCAGCCCTTTGCCTGGGTTCTGTGTCCAAGGCTCAGGAGTTCCATCCTTCAAATTCCAGGTGAAGGTGGCCATAGCCCATTGCTCAGGCACTTTTGTGGTGATAGCAGAGATGGCACCTTGAGGTTTACAGTTTGTGCCCTCTGGTGTCGTGGTCACCCCAGCCCAAACTGCATCTGGTCCCACTGGAGTCACATCTGAGGTGGCCAATGAGTACTATACCAGAATTTGGAGAGTGCAGCTTTGAAGTCTATGCATGCTCCAGGATCTTGTAGTCTGGCTCATGCTAAGAGGGGCAGCCCCAGTGATCTCTGAAATTTATTTGGAAATATTCTTCCATTGTCTTGGAGAAAAAGTCCTGGTTTCTGTTTAGATGGCAGATCAAACTAATCTCTATCAAAAGGTCCCTCAGGGACAACCTTGTTCTCTCCCAAACAAGCTTTCTCTTTTCTTTCAATATAGATAACTGAAAATTTTCCCTTTTTTTAAGGTTCTATTCTTTTGATTAAAAATCCCAACTTTAAACTGTCTCTCTTTTCACACTTTACTATAAGTACTCAAGAGAAGCCAAGGTGCGCTTTTAACATTTTGCTTGGAAATTTTTTTCAGACAAATATCCTAATTTATTGTTCTAAATTCTACCTTCCACAAAACACTATGACACAACCACAATTCAGGCAGTTTCTTTGCTACTTTGTAATAAGGATGATGTTTCTCCCATTGTCCAATAACATATTCCTCCTTTCCATCTGAGACCTCAGCAGAGTAGCCTCCTGCCATCCACTTTTTTTTATCAATATTCTGTTCATAACCTCTTAGGTATTCTCTAAGAATATTAAGGCTTTTCTTCTGAGGCCTTACCAGAATCACCCTTAACAGCCTGTTCACGACAAAGGAGCCTTTTTTCTAGTATTTTGTCTCAAAACTCTTCCAGCCTCTACCTACGGCCCAGTTTCAGAGACACTTTTACATTTTTAGGTCTTTGTCACAGGAGAACCCCCACTCATTGGTACTAATTTTCTATCTTAGTCCATTTAGGTTGTGATAACGAAATAAGAATACAAAAGAAATAAGTGGCTGGGCGCGGTGGCTCACACCTGTAATCCCAGCACTTTGGAAGGCCGAGGAGGAGGGTGGATCACTTGAGGTCAGGAGTTCAAGACCAGCCTGGCCAACATGGTGAAACCTTGTCTCTCTAAAAATCAAAAAAAAAAAAAAAAAAAAAAAAAAAGGCCAGGCGTTGTTGCATGTGCCTGTAATCCCAACTACTCAGGAGGCTGAGGCAGGAGAATTACTTGAACCTGGGAGGTGGAGGTTGCAATGAGCCAAGATCCCAAGATGGTGCCACTGCACTCCAGCCTGGGTGACAGAGCGAGACTTCTTCAAGAAATAAAAATTAAAAAACAAATAAGCTATAAACAACATATTTTTTTTCTCTCAATTCTGGAAGCTGGAGAGTCCATCAAGGCATTGGCAGATTGTCTGGTAAGGACCCATTTCCTGGCTCATAGAATGATGCCTTCTCACTGTGTCCTCACAAGGTAGAAGGGGGCAAACCAGCTCTCTGGGGTCTCTTACAAGAATACAAATCCCACTCACCTACCAACATTATCACCTTGGGGATTAGGTTTCAACATATGAATTTTAAGAGGATATAAACATTTCCACCATAGCAGGAACCAATTTAATATTTTTTGTAGAATAAAAAAATTATCCATTCCCACTTATTTCTTTGAAAAATTTCATATGTTCCTAGTTTATGTCACAAGTTATTAAGTGTTATTTAATCATAAAAGGGGGTTTTGTTCACTTTCTTAAACTACATAATGATATTTATCATGATAGCCTTTAAAATGGATTAAAAGTTATAAGTCCATGAAAATCTGCCCTTTTAAGAACAATGTTTTATTTCCATAGCATAATGCTTAAATTTTTTAAATAAGATAACAAAGGAGTAAAATGTGACTTTAAACAGGGCTCAGCTGATTTTTATGACGTTAAAAATGAATGAAGAATAGCCTAGTTATTGGAATATAAAATAAATAACATATGTACAGCACATTGAAATTTGTGAAATTACCTACTCTCTAGCACCAAGTGTTAGATTAGTGTCTTAGTCTAATTTTCATAATCAGTATTTTCAAAATGCAAGATTAAAATAGAAATTTTTATGTTTTTCTTTTTATTTTATTTTATTTTATTTTTTTTTTGCAGTAGTGCCGGTGGAAGAATTATGGCTCTATTGTGTTTCCACTCTGCCTTTTCAATGGTCATGAATTTTATAACTATAACAAAAAAAAAAACCCTTAAAATATCAGCACCTGCAAAAGTCACCATCACTTCAAGAGCTGATGAGCTCAGCTTTAGGGACTTCATAGACTCACACTTTATCCAAAATCTTCCAAGTAAGAACAAAAGTTACTTATTCATTTTTATGCTACACCGTTTAAAGGCAGAACTTCTGAGATTAAACAGGGATTACAACTCATTCTCTATTGTCAGTCTTAACTAGGGTTGAGGGGATGTTTGAGGTGCGAAGGTTTCCTTCTCCTAGTTTAACTGAGGCATGGCACCAAGGATGGACCTGTGGATTGCACAGTGGTTGAAAGACATCATTTCTAATTATTATTTCCCAGGTAAGCTGATTTTCATCAATAGTGGCAATCAGGTGCATGAGCTGTGGAGGAAAGATTCCCTGGACAGGCGGGTGAGAGTGGGTAATGGTTTCGGGATGAAACCGTTCCACCTCACATGATCAGGCATTAGGGCATTAGATTCTCATCAGACGCACACAACCTAGATCCCTCGCATGCGCAGTTCACAATAGGGTTTGTGCTCCTATGAGAATGTAATGCCACTGCTGACCTGACAGGAGGCAGAGCTCGGTGGCAATGCTTGCCCACCCACCACTCACCTGCTGCTGTGTTACCCAGATCCTAACTGGCCATGGGCTGGTACCGGTCCACTGCCAGGGGTTGCGGACCCCGAAGTAGTTCTTAGAAAAATTAAATAAGGAAATATGTAAAATGAGTATCAAACATAATTTACGATGACTGCTGTTAATCTTTTCCTCTTCATGTGGCCCAGGGGTAAAATATGCTTAAACAACTAGTCTAATTTTTAGGTACCTGCTTTTGTGTTCTTCTTATTTGGGCAGTATTGATGAAAGTCCTGCCCATCTTCCGTATCTATGTCTTGTGTGTCTCAAAAGTAAGTAAGCAAATCTTCAGAAAGGTCTAGGCAAATTCTATCTCCCTCTCCATTTCCTTTTTTCACATTGGGAAAAGGGGTTTCAAAATGCCCTTTCTACAACTCACAGAAGACAAAAAAAAAATTGTATTTCAGATTTCCAAGATGATATTAACTCCAAACACCCTTCACCAAAACGTTCTAAGCAAAAACAAACTGTCAGAATAAGACCTTAAGATGCTTTCTGACGTCATTATATTGTAAAGTTTATATTACTAATAATATTATGTTTTAATGCTCTTAATTATTTGCATTTTTATTTATAGATCTGGGAAAAACACAATTAACAGTTTAGATTAAACTTATTCTTCCTTTCTGAGGAAATTCCTCTTCCTTCATTTTTGGAGTGAAATTACTGAAATTTGCAGTTGTTTATTGCAGTACATAGTGTTACCTATGCCAACTTTGACAGCTTCAGGGTAAAGAATTCATATAAATCATATTCAAAAACTGGTCCAAATGACTCCAACAAAATATTTTGTCCACTAGATAACTCAACGGTGGCTTTACGAGCAATTGAATAGTGATTGATTGGTTCTGAATATGAAGGACTCCTTGAGACTATTTTATGCTGGTACATAAATAATTGGATGGGCTATATTAAAGTTAAGGAAACAGTTTCCAGAACAGACAAACCCACAATCCCAGTTTGTTAACCCAATAGTTTATTTCTCCTGTGATCGGCAAATTGGAGTTGAGGAGTTGTTCAAGGATCCAGGCTGAAGGATACTGTCATTTGAAACACATGGCTTCCTAGCTTATCCTGGTGTCTGTATTTCATCAACTGACACATATTCTTCTCAGCCCAGAAGTGACACACATCACTTTCACTCATATTCCACTGGCATGGACCAGCCATATGGCCCCACCTTGACTGAGTAGAGCTTGGGAAATATAGTGTCTGTTTAGGCAACAACTCTACCCTGTAAAGGAGCATAAACTTACTGAATAATAATTACCTTTTTTTCTGCCACAAGCAAGTCATGAGTTTGGAACGTGAAGGAGAAAATAAGTTTCAGGTGAGCACGCAGCTGGGCTGGTTTCATTTACTGCTGGTCAAAGACAAGAAGTAGAAGGTGGTCAGATTCTACTGTGTGGACTCACAGTAGTCTACCAGGCAGAAGTAAATGTTTCCATTTCTGCTAAGGGTGGGTGGGATCATCTGTTCTCTCTCTGACTGTAAGGGGGTGCCGCTTCACAGGTAGTCAGTTAACCGCTGGGTTTATTCCAGACTGTCTAGTGGGCTTCATGAAACTCACACTAACAGTGTAGGGACAAAGATTGGGATACGTCTTCCTACCAGAGGTTATAGAACAATGAATAGGCCATGAACAGAAACTCCAAGATGGCTACAAACTAAAACTATTACTTCCAGAAACTATTTTCCAGGATACATAAAAGAAAGTGGTGACATTTCACATTTGTTATGGCCAACTCACAATCATATGAGACTGCTTACAATTATTACCTTCATTGTTTTCTTTTCTAGAAAGTACTAGAGCTGGTCACTAAGGCTGACTACGCTTTCTTTATTTTCCTAGAAGACACCATATTATTTTATTCTGTTTTAAATTATTAACCATTCTCTCTTATAGAGTAAAATAAAATATAACTTGCTGGTGAGAAAAATATTTGAAATCAGCTAAGTTCATGCAGCATTCATTTATTAATCCATCACATGTTTAATAAGCACTACTATATGCCAGATACTGCAATACTATTGTGAAAATAAATATGATGATAAAAATAAAACAATATTTACAGAATCAGTAATGTCCAGTGTTTATGAGGGACCAACTCTGTGCTAGACAGTGTGCTAATTGTGTTATAAGCATCACACATTTGATCCTACAAAATCGTGCATCTGCATAACTAAGAAATCCAGGTTTTAATGAAGCTGAGACACAGATAATCAGAAGAGCAGAACTTACAGTCACATCTGCATTACTCTGAGCCTCATGGTCTTGACCAATAACCAATGAACCCCAGTGACCAAAGAAAGCTTTCATCCAACACTAGTATACTACAAGGAAAGGTGGATAAATAAAGAGATAATCAAAATAAAAGTTAAAAGTGCTCAACTATTAGTTCCATATGTTTAACCACAAATGATTACATTTAGAATTTGATTCAAAACATAATTAGGATAATTGCCTTGTGTTGTTTGTGCATATGCCCAAATGTGCCCACATTTCCTTTAAAACATCTTGTTCACTGATTGGCAATATAGTAAGCACTTCAAATAAGTGAATGAAAAAAAACTGTTGAGAAAACAAAAGTGAAATAATTCTCATTGAGGAAAATCAGAAAATGTTTCACAGAGGGAATATTTGGAGGGTTTGAGAGACAAACTATGTTTGTATGGTTGCAGGGGGTAAGTAACATTTCAAGCAGAAGATCACCAGTTCACCTAAAGCATAACATAATGACAATGCATTGTAGGCTTAGGTGATTGACAAGTAGTCCCATGTGGCTGGCTGTTAACAGGAGTATTGGGATATGATGCAAGACCCATGTTAAATGCTGATGAGAATGCAGTGGTAGAAGGGAAGAAATTAATGGCATAGAAGAAAGGCAGGAGAATTGTTGTTCCTGAGGAGGCTGGAAGAGATGAGGTTTAGAACACACATATAAATTGGTCTCAGATAAGATCACTACCAGTTCACTCTAATTGCAACAGGAAAGACAAACTGTGTGAGTGGAGTCTTGAAGGCAGATAAATGTCGTGATGTAGGCTTGCATACATTGTTTTTGTTGCTTCAAATTTTCTTAGTTAAGTGGAAGGATGGCTAGAGGAAGTCAGAAGTTGTTACTGATTACTCCTTTTACTATTTTTCCAGTCCTTTCACGTGCTTTCAGTTTATTCATTTCTAAGTTTCATTGTCCATTCACTGGGAGCTAGTTTTGAAGGCTGATTTCAGCCGCTGACTCGTCATCAGGTCTGTTTGGGAAGGTTTGCTTGGCCATTCTGGAGAGGCTAGGCTATGCAGTGGAATCAAAATCTCAGAGGCTTAAACCAACACTGTTTATTTCTCATTCTTGTCACACATCCATCATGTGTTATCCAGGGACCTCTGCTCCTTGTGGTCCGTGAGGTGCCCAGACTTTTCACATGCTTCCATATTTGAAGACTAGTGAAAAAGAACATGTCTTATCATCAAGCAGCGACTCTGAAAACTTCTGCCTAAAAGTGACACATATCACTTCTGTTTATATTTTGTTAGCCATAGTTAAGTCAGTCATTGCCCTGCCTGATTTCAACAGGTTGGGCAAGTATAATTTTCTCACCAGATGGGAAAGCCAAATCTTTGACAAATAGTAACACAGTTTTCACAATTGGTATTGTGATGGTTCATTTTAGGTGTCAACTTGACTGGGTTGAGGGATATCTAGATAGCCAGTAAAACATTATTTCTGGGCATGTCTGTCAGGATGTTTCCAGGAGAGATGGCATTTGAATCAGTGTACTAAGTAAGGAAGAACGACTCTTAGGGAAGGTGGGCAGGTGCCATCCAATTGGTTGAGAGCCTGGATGAAACAAAAAAGTAGGAAGAAAGACAAATTCATCTCTCTTCTGGAGCTGGGATACATATCTTTCCCTGACCTTGGACATCAGAACTCTAGGTTCTTTAGCTTTCAGGCTCCAGAACTTACACCACTGGCACTCTCATTTCTCAGGCCTTCTGTCTCAGACTGAGATTTACCTGATTGGCTTCCAAGTTCTCAGGCCTTTAGACTTGAACTGAGCTATGCCATCAGCTTCCCTGGTTCTTGAGCTTGTAGATGGCATATCATGGGACTTCTCAGCCTCCATAATCACAGCAGCCAAGTCCCATTATAAATCCTTTATCTATCTATCTATCCATCTCCATCCATCTGTCTTATTGTTCTTTCTCTCGAGAACCCTGAGTAACACAGGTGTCCCCTGGCAATTAAAGTGAGGTAGGAACCATATGTCTCCTTCTCCAGAACCTTGCTACCAGGTGGCTTAATACAACAAAAGCAAGTTTTCAACCAAATCCTGCCATTTATTAGCAAGCAGGCCACAAACTATCACAGGACTTTTCCTTATAAATTTGAGAAATTTCCATTATCTGGCTTCAGATACTCTGACAAGCAAGTGCCTGGAATAAAAATCTCACTCTAGTACAGGTGCTACAGTGTGTCCACTTGAGAAACAGTCAACTCTATTGCTAGAGCAGGCTATTAAGGGAGACCACTGGAACCATGAAGATCTATACCACACGTACTGCTCTGAAGGTATTTGGCAGCTGTTCTACCTGAATCCTTAAACTTCATTTTCATGCAAGGATGGTGAAACACATATCATCCTAGTCAAAGACATGTCTTTCCCCTTCCTTATGTTTCTCCAGTAAAAATTATTTTTTAAGAGCCCAATGGCTAAAAATAAACTTTCTTCTATAGATTTCTATAATGATATTTGTGGTCACACTTAGAATGAGATTCATGATTAGGGTACTTAAAATGCTAACTTCACTTTGGGAGGCCGAGGCAAGGTCAGGAGATTGAGACCATCCTGGCTAACACGGTGAAACCCTGTCTCTACTAAAAATACAAAAAATTATCCAGGCATGGTGGCAGGCGCCTGTAGTCCCAGCAACTCGGGAGGCTGAGGCAGGAGAATGGCGTGAACCCGGGAGGCAGAGCTTGCAGTGAGCGGAGATTGCACCATTGCACTCCAGCCTGGGCAACAGAGCGAGACTCTGTATCAAAAAAAAAAAAAAAAAAATGCTAACTTACCACCTCCAAGAAGTGCAGTTCACTGAAACACCCCTACATTATCTGACTATATTGAAATATAAAGTACTATATTTAATAGAAAATATAATATGTCACCTTTAAATATTTATATATACATAAGAAAACATCTTCTTTTAGAGCCAACGTAACAATATCCTAACATAATTAGTAATTCCTTAATATACTTAAATACCCAATCCATATTTAATTTTTCCAACTGTCCTAAGAATGTCTTTTGTCTCTATTCTGTGCAAATCAAGATACAAAGCAAATCTCTAGATTGCATCTCTTGTTTATTCCAAGTGGCGATGACACTCTGCCTTGAAAAGAATGCATGTTGATTGTTGTATAGAACATTTACAGTGTTCCACCTTCCAAATTTCCCTGTGGTGTTATTTGGCTTGCATATTTTATCTATTGCTGTGTAACCCAAAACTTGCCATCTTAAAACAACAAACATTTATCATCTCACAATGTCTTTGCTACTGGAATCTAGACACAGCTTAGCTGGGGAAGGTCCTCTTCCAAGTTCATTCACATGATTGTTGGAAGGATTTAGTTCCTTATGGGTTGTTAGGCTGAGGGGCTGAGGTCATTGGTGACTGTGGGTAGGAGATCTCTTTTAGTTGCTTGCCACATAGCTTTTTCATAGGTCAGCTCCCGATATGGCAGGTGGCTTTCATCAGAGTGTGAAAGAGACGGAACATGCAACAGATGACAAGCAAGATGGAAGCTAGAGTCTTTTTGTAATGCAGTTTTAGAAATGAGCTGGGCACGGTGGCTCATGCCTGTAATCCCAGCACTTTGGGAGTCCGAGGTGGGTGGATCATCTGAGGTCAGGAGTTTGAGACCAGCCTGGCCAACATGGAGAAACTCCATCTCTACTAAAAATACAAAAATTAGCTGGGAATGATGGCACACACTTGTAACCCCAGCTCCTCAGGAGGCTGAGATAGGAGAATCACTTGAACCGGCAGGCAGAGGTTGCAGTGAGCCGAGATCGCGCCACTGCACTCCAGCCTGGGTGACAGAGCAAGACTCTGTCTCAAAAAAAAAAAAAAAAAAAAAAAAAAAAAGGAGTGACAGCCCATCACCTTGTTGAATTCTATTAATTGGGAGCAAGTCACTAATTCAGGCTCACACTTAATGGAAGGCAATAAAAAAACAAGAGTATGAATACAGGGAACTTCCTTCTACATCCCCTATAATTTCTTCAAAATGAAAGTTAAATATAGAAATGTGCTTAAATTGATGGTAAATATCTTTAGTAGAAGGACATGAGAGGCAACATTTTGTACATTGCATTGTATAACACCAAAAATACATAATCATCCGATTATTACCAAACCTAAAATTGATCCCTGAATAAAGGTAATGGCCACTCGATTCCTCCATGGTAAAATTATTCTTCTCCCCATTCAACCAGAATGTGATTGGTGGGTATTATTTTGGTATCACATAACTGTCCAACCACAAAATTGTTTTAACATTATATGTCAGTGATTGCAAAGTATATTTTTGTTTTCCAATTCTATTATTCATTCTACAGTACTATCTGGACTTCTGTAAAGTAGACACTTCTCTCTTGACAGAATTATCTTGAAAAACAGCATCTATTGGAGAGGCAGGAAGGCTGTTCAATTCATTTCCATTAATTACCTCTAAACTTAGTTTTCAGTACTCATAGGTTATTGAAGTGTAACTCCACACCTCCAATCAACTCTGTCCCATTTAAAATTCTCACTGGGTCTCTTTGTAATAACTCTCTGGGAAAAATAATTATGTTTTATCACATCCCTTATTTACCTCATGTTGTTATTGAAATTTCCCTGAATATCTGTATTCCTGGTAACTTTTCTTACTAAATCCCATAAACCCCAATGCAAGAATGTACTCAGCACATTTAATGCTACCCTTCTGCCAGGGTATTTCCAAACTCTGTCTTAAACATTTCAATTACATCCTTTATTGGATACTGGATTGATTCCCACAAGCTTATAATAATCTCATCCTAGTGTTCATTTCCAACTTGCTCTATCACCCCTGGTGCCATCCCTGTACATCTGGACTGGCCAGCTCATGCTCTTCTCTATGGCCTCAGTAATAATTCAGACAACTAATACTCATTAAAGTATGAACACCAGGGCTATAGCATCTCTGCCAAGAAATCATCTGCATAAAACCTCAGGATGATCTCTTATAAAATGGTCCTAAAATGGACAATTTGTGTGTTTGTAATTATGAGCCCTTATCATTTTGTTTTGTGATGTTTTGCTGAAATTCTAAGTAATATGATGTGCTCTCTTTACACCAACATAACACTTGAAACAGACTGTGGTATGACAGGCAGGATCGGTGCATAAGGAAATTATTATGGATTTTCCACAAGATGGTGGCTGTTTATAAATAGGTGTCATGGAAAACAAGAATGGAACTTGATAAGAGACTTGAATTTTCAGGGAGCCTGAGCACCTCAAGTGCCAATTCTGCTGGGCCACATATTATGGGTATTGTTAAATGTCACTTATAAAATATGGGTTAGATATTAGAGTAAGTCTGATAGTTAGGAAACACAGAGACCTGTAAATGAAATAAAAGTGCTAATGCTTTGTACTTCCACTAAAATTATATAACACTGTGAATCTTAGCTGTGGCATCCTATCTACGTAGATATTTTAGTGCAGAATCTGGCCTCTATGTCTCGCAAGTCCTCAAGTTTGTTTATTTCCTGAATTACTCCAGCAAAGTTTTTGTTGGATGAATAAATGGGTACACTTACGGTTTCATACTCATGCATTCCAGAATGACTTTCATATCCAGTTGAGTGCTACTAAAATGGTCGTGTTTTGCACTTGTCTTAATATTTTCTCATTACAAGTGGTGTTATCAAAGTGGGGAGTGTGGGATGGGGAACAATTATCTTTCAGTGATCCTACTAGTTAATTAGTTAGCCAAACTAACATCACAGGCTTCATCTTCAACATGATCAATAGAGGAAGTTGCCATTTATTTGTGTTACATGTGCACAGATTAAATTCCAGTGATCCAGATACTATTAATTAGGTGTGTCTAGCTAAAACATTTCTTCATCTGATTCTGATATTTAAAACTAACAAACATAAATGTTACTTTTTTCATATCCCAGTTCAATTTTATCCTTTAAGGAGTCCTTTCTGGACCAGTCTTTCTCAAATTTGCATCCCTCACCTGTCACTTTCTAGCACTGAACACCAGCTGATGTACCATGGAATTCACATGGTTGTATGTGTATTATCTCTCTCCTACTTACTAGAGTAGAATCTCCATGAGGGCAAGGATTTTTGTCTTCTTTTGTTCCCTGCTTTGTTCTCATGCCTCCAAAACTGCTGGGCACAGAGTTAACCAAGCAATAGTATTTTTGAGATACATAAACTAATAATCAGATAGATACACATGAGTATATAATTTTATATTATTATCAAGATGGGGTAGAATTTTAACACATATGCCTCTGAAATCCCTTACTGTCAACACACGATATTTTTAATTTTATTTTACATTTGTGAAATAAGGCAGTTTCAAAACTGTCCTCAGAGTTGCCAAGTTTCCTTTAGCATTTCTTTTAAATCATTAGGTAATTTGTACTTTTGAGTTGTTAAACAATACTGGCCATTTCTTTAATAACACAAAAGCTCCCTCTTGAGTGTTCAATGTCTTTTAAAAAATTTACTTTAATTCCTAAATTGACAAATAATAATTGTACATATTCATGGGGTATGTATTAATGTCTTGACACATATAATGTATAGTGATTAAATCAGAGTAATTAGTATATTCATCATCTCAAACATTTATAATTTCTTTGTATTGAGAACATTCAATATCCCCCTTCTTGCTATTTTATGTCTCGGTGCAGGGCTAGCATTCAGAACAGAACAAACCCGACAATAACAAGATGTATAAAATATGGTTGCCAAATTAATATTAGAAGCAAAATGATAATTTCTCCCCAGACTGAAAAACACTAAACTGTTACACTGATTCATGAGATGAGACCTGTTCTTATAAGGAACTAATTGATAGGGTGTCTCTGACAGCTCCTCATGCACATGGTCTTTGCCCTTTCTGTAACACAGGATTTTGTCCACTATGCACAAACAAAACTAGCTGTTGTGCTTGTGTATGCACCTGTGTTATTGTTGTTGTTTGTGGTTGGTTTTAGATGAAGAGGGAAGAAATTAAGGTAGTGGTGTCATTAACATTGTGCATCTGGGTCATCATATCACATGGGAGGTGTTTATGCATACAACTTTAACACTTGTTACATAAACAGCCACAGTAAAAGCAACCAGCCTGAATATCCACCAACACTGGAATGGAGCTGACACAATAATTTTTTGCTTAGACCCATTCATCACAAATTAAGGAGAATTTCCCAATGGGTCGCAAAGTGTGTCAATAAGTGCTACTGATACCACAACCTTTCTCAAAGTGTCCAAATCATTCCAAAAAGTCAATGCCAATTTTATCTATTTCATATTAAGATTCGTTTATCCTTGGTTTGTTAATCTTCACCATGTGAAAGTTGTCTGGTTTTAGTTCAATGTATTATTTCTGCTTCTGCCTCCACCACCATCTCAATTTCCTTGGTGATTTGTGTGTGTAAGAGAGAGACAGAGGGAGTTTGCATATTAGCACTTCATTAGGTTAGAAAGTCGAATGCCTCTGGTCTTTCTCTAATGGATGGCATTTAAGATACATTAATACCTTAAATAGTCCTCCTACTTTGTTGGGCCAGCTAATTTTATTATTATTATTATTATTATTATTATTATTATTATTATTAGAGACAGAGTCTTGCTCTGTCATCCAGTCTGGAGTGCAGTGGCGTGATCTCAGGTCACTGCAACCTCCGCCTCCTAGGTTCAAGAGATTCTCCTGCCTCAGTCTCTTGAGTAGCTAGAACTACAGGTGTGCACCACCATACCTGGCTAATTTTTGTATTTTTAGTAGAGACGGGGTTTCACTATGTTGATCAGGCTGGTCTCTAACTCCTGACCTCAGGCGATCCACCTGCTTCAGCCTCCCAAACTCCTGGGATTACAAGTGTGAGCTACCATGCCCAGCCTAATTTTATAATTAAAAGATGAATTCCTCAACATGTCTCACCTATGGCTTGGAAAAATTCAATTGAGTCATATCAGCTGGAGACAAAATCACCTTTGAAATTTGTTGGCAACTCCATCAGCCTTTGTGACCATAAAGAATTTTGTTTCTGGACATGTCTCGTTAGTGTTCTTTGGCGGCTGCTATGGACATAACTACTCGTGGCAGAATAGTGGCATTCCTTTGATGGCCTCTCATTTAGGTCCCTAATACAGGGTTGAAACATGTTGCCCATTTCCTGTGAAATTCAGGAGCCAAGTGTTTTCTTAATTTTCCTTAATAGGCCATTCAACTTTTCCACTATGAGGGCTACTTCATGTAACTGTGAATGACTCATTGACTATCCATGCTACTTGCCCATTCGGCATAATTTTTGCCCTGCCTTGAGTTTTCATCTCTGAATTCCAGTGTCAGAGGTTCCATATCTTGCACACAGTTTTTCACACTCTTGATTTTACTCTGGCCAGTCACAGCTGAGGAAAATATGCAGTTTCCCTCTCTTACTGTAACTCCCTCACAATGAGAAAACAGATTTTGCTGCTTTTAAAGGTACTGTATAATCCAATGGTTCCCTGAAATCAGTCCTCTGGGAATTTGGCCTTCAGTTTTATTTAAAAATCTCAGTAAATTATCACATGGGACTCTTCACTACTTCATTTAAAAAAAATTTCACATTCACAAATGGAAGTCCTTTTCTTGACAATTGGAGATGGTGCATATTTTATGCCGGAAAGACCAGATATCTCTTTGTTCTCTTCTTGACATGCCTGTGAAAGGGTCTTAGGATAGCACTATCTCCAGTTGTCCCAGGCAATTTTAATTAGATTTTAGGCCTCCAGAAATGCACTCTCTGCATTTGTTCTTTTGGAAGTCTCTCTTTTACTGTTTTGACAGATCATACACCCAAATTGGTATTGATGAATCACTTAGTGCTTTCTTTAGTTCTTTCTCCAAAACTGTTTTTCTATTACTTAGAAACTATTTCCAATTATTGAACATATAGACAGTCATTATCTAAAACCTGGAAAAGTATGAGCTTCTGAGAAATCGGATCCCTGTGCTTAATACAGCCATCCAGATTTCCTGAAATTCAAGATACTGTACTAATCGGCCTAGTTCTTGCTTTACTTAGAACTGTCCAGTATTAGGGTTAAAAGCACAGGCTTTGCCATTAACCTCCTTACTGTTGTAAGGACACAGCTTCTGTAGCCATAGTTTTTGTGTTCTCTATGTAAATCTCTAAATTAACAAGAAGTTTTTCTTAAAGTTTTATTTTACTGGTGTAAAGTACACTTTTTAAATAACAGAAGGCCCAGCAGTTCACTAGCAGTATCTTAGTATAATGTACACATTTGCATGATTTGGCCCCTTCATGAAGGTACCAATTCTATTTTAATTGATTGAGACAAACTGAACAACCTCTTTAAACAATCCAGAGTGTGAACAACCCTATATTGCTGTTGGAAGTTCTATTTATATGATCGTAGGTACATGTTCTATTAGGCCTCAGTTACAGAACGTCATCAATAGGGCTACATAAATGTCCTGGAAGATCATAATGAGCCCTACAACTTATCTACACAATTTGATTGTTGCTGTAACCTTGATTATCCAGGAAAAGGTACATTGTGTTTTTCTGCAAAGTGAAAGAAAATTATCTCTTATCAGTGTTCTGGTGAAAAACATAATAGAGCTAGAATTCAGCTTCTGGGAACAGCAGATTATTTAATTTGGCCAAACTTTTTACTGAGATTAAGTAGAAAATCTAGAAATAAATAAAAATAAAATTAAAAAATATAAATATGTAATATAGGTATATGTAAGTACACATATATATCAAGTCTCAGATTATATCTATAATGTTTTATATTAAGTGCATTCAATCAAAAATAACTGGACATACAAGGAAATGCAAACACAAGACAAAGTGAGCAGAATATATATGCAGAAATACTAGCAAAAGAGATAGTAGTGTTTTAATTATGAGCTTTATATTTCTTTTTATGTAAATATTTAAGTTCCTAATTTGTATCATGCTTCTGTATATATAATATTTTTGAAGTAACAATATTATTTTTACTTCCACTATGATTACTAAAGATATTTTAAGCTTTCTTTTTGGCTCTTTTTTCCTTAGAATATGTCCTACTTTGTATATGCAATCTTTCCATAAAGTCACTCACAATAGTCTCTCTCTCTGCCACTCCTAGTATGAGACTTATGAAGACAATTCTTCAAAAACACTCTGAATGGACTTGCAGTTGTTAAGTTTTCTAGAAAATCTGCAGAAACAATTCAGTCATTCAGCAGAGAACTCTTTGCAAATAAAAAGACAAAACTCTGGGTTAACAAATATTGAGGGAAATAGAATTGGCCATGGTTTGTATGACATATAGTCTCATATAAAACACAATCAAGGGAATCATATGGGGCTTCTATTACAAGATGAGATTTGTGTGTGATCAGTTTCCCATTAATATTATTTCAGAAAGAATCACTTTAAAAGTCCAAGTATCTTATATGGAAAATACGTCTGCTTAGTTCAAATAATGCCAGGTGCTGACATTTTCAGCAGTCTCAATCCCAGAAAACTAGTTAATTCTTGAAAGATACAATAATAAATATGTATTAAATTTACCTTCCTTGACTGAGTAAGCCACAGCAGTTAAATACAACCTCATGACTCTCAAAAACCTTCAAAAATTTTCCAAGTGCTAAAACAGCAAGATTCTAAATGATGCCCAAATCAATTTGTGATATTTCAAAAATTACAATAAACTGTATCTGTTCATGGAAAGAATCCTCTATTTCTGATTGAACAACCTACTCTTGACACAATTAGGTTCATTTTTTACATTGCATTTAAGTTTTAGAAAAAGATGTTTTCTTCTATTTGAGTTTTATTTATTTTATAATTATATAAAACATTTACATTGTACTGTTTGGCCCAGTCCTTTCCTTACTTAGGTCTTTTCAATCTTATGGTTAAAAGCATGATCCAGCTGGGTGCAGTGGCTCAGACTGTAAATCCCAGCACTTTGAGAGGCCAAGGTGGGAAGATCGCTTGAGTCCAGGAGTTTGAGACCAGCCTGGACAACATAGAGTAGACCTCATCTCTACAAAAAAAAAAATTAGCTGGGCATGGTAGTACATGCAAAGAAATTGCATTATTTTATGTGCCCACCAGCAATGATAGTTCCAATTGTTCCATATCCCTACCAATATTTGGTACTGCTAGTCTTTTTAATTTTGGCCATGCAAATTTGTGTGTAATAGTACTTTACAGCGGCTTAAACTTATATTTCTCTGATGAATAATGACGTAAAAAATCTCATGTGCTTGTTGAAGAATCTTACATGTCATTCTATTAAGAGTTTACTCATACATTTTGCTCATTTTTAACATGCTTGAAAGAATTTAAAGTTGCTTTAAGGTAAATCTTCAAATCAGGCAAAGTCTTTCAATTTTGTAGGTCTTTCAAAAATTGTTTTCGCTAATCTAGGTTCTTTGTATTTCCACATAAAATTTAGAAATAGTTTGTTAATTTCTACCAAAAAAAGCCTATTAGGATTTTGATTGATTTTTAGTTAATTGAGAAAAATTGACAACCATATTTAGTCTTCCAATTCATACATATGGTAAATATTTTCATTTAAATCTTCTTTAATGTCTCACAGCAAAGTTTTGTAGTTTGCAGTGTACATGTTTTGCATATAATTTGTTAAACTTATCCATAAGTATCTATTCCTTTTTATGTTTTAAGAGGTTTTTATTCCTATTTATAAGCCACAAGGTGTTAGTCACATGTTTGAAGAAACATTTCCACCACTTTCCCTTTAGTCTCCTGCACAATCATCTGGGTAATCAATTTATTTTTCTCCTAATTCAAAAGGTAGGTTTTTGCCCCCAAGCTATTCATTCCAGTTACACGTTCAAAGTTATGGTTATACCATTTCAAATACTCTAATTGGCTTCCTATCTTTTTCCAGTTTAACTTTAGTTTTTACTATATAAATACTACTGTTTTACCAAAATATCAGATTCTACTTTTTCTACTCTTTTAAACAACTTTAAAGAACTCTACATTTACCAGAAAAGTCATCCCATGGGTCTCAGTACCACTTAATGCTATTTTTGACTATTGACAATTTGAATGTCAGTGAATCTTTACGCTATTGTATGGGTGATTTTCTGGATTATGCATGACTAGTTTGGAGCACTCCAGTTCTCTGTGTAAAATTCATTGAATCGCTAGGTTCTGGGAGCCTCCATTGTGCCCTGTGGTACCCTGTGCCAATGTTGGCTCTGTTTCTCTGACTTAGTATGGCTGGTAGGGGTTAGTAAGTTTATGTAATAACTGCTATCTGCTGAGGCATCCTGTTTGAGCAATTTTCTCCTGAAATCTAGGATAACTTTCACTATATCACAATAATATTATTTCACATAATAATTTCCTATTATTTTTCAGGACCTCATTTTCTGCTAATTCTTCTCAACTCTGTCAATGTATTGCCTTATTTTTGTTATTGTTGTTGTTGTTGTTGTTGTTCTTGTTGAATGGCTAAGGGTAATCAAATCTTCCCAAGAATTCTAACGGCATGGCTTCTATTACAATGTAGGTGGTTTCTGTACTGCCTAATATGTTAACTCTCATCTCTATGTGAAATGCTTCTGGAACCATTGTAAGCATAATTTCCTTCATCAGAAATGATTTCCCAGGGATTCTGCCACTACTCAAGTTTTAAGAAAGTTTTCTGCCTCTTGATAAGTCCCTCCCATCCTGGCTTTCTTCTTTTAACCTTTATTTGACTTCTACAATATTTTTTCCAACCCTTTGCCATTACACAGTGGTTCTAGCTATGGGTAAGTCTTTTTGGCCTGCAAGCAAGTATATACTTCAGTAGTGGAGGCATCTCCTTCTTTGGTAAGCTCTATAAGTACATTTTCTCATTCTTGATGAGTCTAATTGATGTTAAAATTTATTATCATTTTTTATCTATATTCTGAGAAATGAGCTCTTCTCTTTCTTTTCCTTTTCTCTTCCTTTCTTTGCTTTTATTCTTTTCTTTTCTTTTTGTTCCTAACTGTATTCTTTCCATGTGGTTTGTACCT
This sequence comes from Homo sapiens, assembly GCF_000001405.40. Classification (NCBI taxonomy): domain Eukaryota; kingdom Metazoa; phylum Chordata; class Mammalia; order Primates; family Hominidae; genus Homo; species Homo sapiens. The sequence goes on from NC_000014.9 coordinate 87,383,799, forward strand.
GTAGTCTGGTGCAAGACTTTTCTCCCTCACTCGGCAGTTTCACCTCTCTGTATCATGTGGCATGTCCTGATTAATTTCTGTATTTTCCATAGGCAGCATTTTTTTGGATGGTTGACACTGTTAAAATCCTTAGGTAATGAATCAACTGGTTGGGGCTTAAAAGGATATCATCCTTCTAGCTTCTTATCACCTGGGTATTTAGAGAGTTATTTTCTATTCTTAACTATTTTCCCCCTTTCTATATTTGAAAACCCAGTTCTACTCTTTTTCTATCCTTTTGTCTCACATTTTAAACAAAGATGTACCTTCAGCAGCCAAGGTAATCAATATCCCCTAAATGTCAGAACAACTTGCTACTTGCCACTTTTCTTTTAACTTGTCTACCATTGAGTATGACAGAATCGTTTTTTAATATCCATTTAATAATCATTTTTCCTTTATGTAACACATGAATTTAGACAGAGATATGGTGACAAGACCACAGGGCCTCTGTGAGGCTCAATGTGCAGTCCTTCTCCCCAAAGACTCAAATTTAAATAGTCTGGAGGATGCCTAACCATTACTATGTTTTAAAGTCCCACAATGTTTTTAGCCATAAGTCTGGATGGAGGAAATTCATAATTGCAGAGCTCTGTAGATGGTAAGTCTGCTGCTGACTAGGACATATCTCTGCTAGGAGCACAGCAATGTTTCTAGCCAAGCACCAAAACAAACACACCTTATTTCTATAATGACTCCCATACTGATAAACAAACCCCTCGGTGTGGAGCTTGATAACAATATTTAAAGAGTTTAATTGACCTCCCTAGCATGTTTTTCTTTTAGTGTGCTTTGGGTTCTCAAACACGAATGGGCTTAAGACACAGTTTAAACTTTATAACATATGTATTCACTACACTGTTTACTCTCCAGTATTTTTAAAGTAAATGACTACCCAAGTGATATAACAAGATTCAGATTAAAATGATGAGAAACACCACTCCCCCATCTTGGAGAAAAACAAAGAGGTTCCCTAAGATAATTGAATAATTGTTTTTTCTTCATGTGTAATGATTAAAAAATGGGTACTTCAATGCTTAGTCCCTATCAAAATCTGTTGCTTCTGTATCTTTCATAAACTAGAGTGCTGCACAGTTGGTTGAACATAATTTTTGTCAAGGCTGTCTTTTTCAAGTATCTTTATCTCTGCTTTTATATTAATGCAGTGTTTTTAAACATCTGCACCAGTGTCTTTTCTTAAAATACTTTTCTATAATTGAATTTAAAACACACACATCAGAGATTTATAGTTTTCAAAAGCCTTTACTGAGAGGTCATTTCAGGTGATAAAAGTTTTAAGAAAAAACCACAGGTACTAGAAATAATGTATTACTTCATACAAAATGTCATTTAGAATGATGGCCTCTGCCCTTTATCCAAGGCAATACATTAAAAAAGGTAAGTTTGAACTTCCAGAATAAGTTTTTAAAAAGCTTAATATTTTATACTTCTGATTCAAGTATGTAGGAACACTTAAATTATATCTAATAGCAGAAAACCAGGACAATTCTTTAAAAGAATAAAATGCTTTCAAATGTATTATAATTGTACATAAGTTGCAAAGATTCTTTTAATGCCAACGATCCATGCCCCACAGAAACCACTGACTTAGATCTCTCACTGATTATAAGATATTTTAAGGGGAAAAAAGCCAAGCAATTGAAATTCTGAGGTCTAAATATGCGATGGGTAAATGCAAGACACATATGTTGGTATCCATACCCACAAGCTAGAGACTACCAGAATTCCACTTGTATTGTACAAAACTGGTCTTATTGCTTGTAATAAGAGAGACCGTATAACATGCGGAACCATGATGCTATGTTCTTAAAAAGATGCTAGTAGGGATTGGTTATAAACATTTAGCTTTGGGTAGATGGTTTTGGCAGGGTCAGGCATGATGGTTCAAGAAAGAAGTGCTTTGCTGTGGATTGGGTCATACCTAGATGTATAATAGGATATGTGTTAGGCTGAATAATTTCCCCTCCCCAAAGATATCTAGGTATTATTCCCTTGTTCCTGTGGATGTTACTGTATTTTTCTAAAACGAGGTCTTTGCAGATGTGATTAAGGATCTTGAGATGGAGAGATTATCCTGAATTATCCAGGTGAGGCCTTAATGTGATCATGAGTATCATGGGGGTGGAGGCAGATTTGACTGCAGACATAAAACGAGAAGGCCGGCCATGTGCGGTGGCTGATGCCTGTAATCCCCCCACTTTAGGAGGCTGAGGCAGGCGGATTACTTGAGGTCAGAAGTTTGAAACCAGCCTGGCCAACATGGTGAAACCCCGTCTCTAATAAAAATACCAAAAAATTATCCGGGCATGGTGGCTCACGACTGTAGTCCCAGCTGCTTGGGAGGCTGAGGCAGTAGAATCCCTTGAACCCAAGAAGAGCAGAGGTTGTAGTGAGCCGAGATCATGCCACTGCACTCCAGCCTGGGCAACAAGAGTGAGACTCAGACCAAAAAAAAAAAAAAAAGAAAGCCATGTGAATACAAAAGCAGAGATTGGTGTGATTGAATACAGAGGCAGAGATTGGCAGCCACAAGAAGAATGGCCAGAGCCAGCAGAAGTCGTAAGAGACAAGAAAGAATTCTTCCCTAGAGCCTTTGGAGGCAACTTTGCTGATCCCTTGATTTCAGACCTCTGACCTTGAGAAGTGTGAGCGAATAAATTTATGTTGTTTGAAGCCACCAGCTTGTGGTAATTTCTTACAGCAGCCATAGGAAACTAGTGCAAGTATCTTGAAAATTTATTTATCTAGGAGGAAAGAGGAAGGAAGCAGAACTAAAGCTGTCCTTGGGAAGGAAGCAGAAGTGACAAGTGTTAGCTGGGGGAGGGGATGTTTGAACATCTTTGTGTTCTGCATAGTTCTGCATACTGTTCATGTTTTGTCTGTGCTCAGACATAATTATGAGGGGTATGTTTTTTGTCTCACTCCATCATGGTCTCAGAATGACCTTCTCTGATGTGTATGCAATAAAATTGTTTATATTCAACAGGAGAACATTAAGGTCTAACTGTTTGTTCCAGGCCAGTTCCCAGCTGACAGTTCTTAAGACTATGCTTTTTTTTCTTATTACTAATTTGATGAGTGATATTGGTCCTGCTATTTAGCTCTTCTGAACATCACCATTCACTTTAATCATTCATTCATCTCATTGAGATTGCAAAGAGGGAAACAAATAAGTAAATATATAACATGCCAATAGAAGATAAGCGCTTTAGAGAAAATTTAATGAGAAAGAGGCAAGAATGCATTGGAAGGATTGCTATTTTAAAATAAGGGAGTAAGAGAAGGGCTCATTGACAAGGTAATATTAGAGAAGGAACCTGAAATAATAGGGGAAGGAAGCCAGGGGAAAGCACTGAAGGTGGAGGGAACAGTGATGCATCAGAAGATGTGTGGTGCCTTCCAGCAAGGAGGCTGGAGTGGCGACGGTAAGGAAGAGAGTAATGGGAGACGAAATCAGTGAGGACACTGGTTGCTGGGGAGGGGTGTTTGGAGGCCTCTAATAGAGAAAAAAGTCACCAGGGTGGGGTGGAACAGAAGCGTGACATAATCTAATTCACCTCTGAAAAGATCACTCTTCTTTCTCTAGAGGAAGAGAGATAATGTAGAAGAAATAATAGAATATCACCACTTTATAGCCCCTAATAAAAATAATTGATTCATAATTTCAAAACTCCTAGGTGAAAGGCTGATGGGAAATTGGATAAGTGTGTGATGTCAAAGCCTCATTACTTCTTGATCAAGTTGGGGCTAATTCAGTTTTACAGTGGGTGAACCTGGCCACCATCAGTTTAACCCTGGGAGTGAAAACAGCACAGCTAACAGTGGGAAAGTGAGACGTGAGGTGCCCACTGATAGGAAGTGTAAGGTTTTTATATCGGTTTGAACCCTGAGAGTGCGCCAACAGACAACACGAGGGGGTATGGAAAAACATGCTGTTTTAATGAGTGCCTGGGTGCAGGCAGGCTGAGGCCTAAAATGGCGTCAGCACCAAGTGAGGACAGGACAAAGGTTTTATAGTCTCCTGTAAACAAGAAGTGTCCTAGTCTGATGTAGCTGCTACGTTGTACCCAGATGGCCTCTTTCTTGATCTTCAGGAGTACGTGTCTTCTGGCCAGCTCTTTTCCTGCTTCTGCTATTTTGCTGGCGCAAGCTGCTGACACCAAGTGGCCTTGCGCCTTGGGGCTGGGCCTGAGAAGAGAGAAGTTACTCATCCCCTTAAGCTTTCAGGCCCCGGGAAGAATCTTACAGGAAGGAATATGCTATATTAATATAAAACATACTTCTGAGATGTTCTTGCTCAAAATGTTCAACCAGAATTCAAGTAAGCTTAGAGACTTGACTTCCAGTTTGCAGGAAATCCAGGGGTACAATGTCAATGACACCACAAAGAAACAATTAGACAAATTCAAAAGGTGTAACATATTATAAAGCAACCAGTCTGATCATTTCAATAGGTTATCGGCATTTATAAAAAGATGTTCTAGGTTAAAAAGGGACATGAGCCATTAAAGGCATAAAGGATCCTTTAAAAGCCTAAAGCTTCAGGCCCTAAGTGCAGATATTCTGATTCAGTAACAATCAAATGAGTTGCTGAAAGAGAGTGCCTTTGGTCTCCTCTTTGAGAAACACTGGAAGGTATATCTAAATTGGAACTCATGCTCTGGCTATTTCTCACAGAAACTCTTGGGTCCATACAAGGGGCGGAAGGCCTGTGGTTCATGAGCTCTGTATTTCTCATAATCTTCCATTCCAGCTTCCCATCAGAACCACCTGTGGGATTTTTCAAATACAATAATGTCTGGGCCTCTCTCAAGACCATTTAAATTTGAGCCCCTGGCAAGAACAAATGGGCATTGGTTTTCTTAAAAAAAAAACAAAAAACAAAAAACTAAAAAATCTTCTTTAGTGATTCTAACTGTGGCTGGATTTGAAAACCAACTAAAGTTTCTTTAAAATTTTAGGCCATGCAGTGTATATTCTAATGATAAGAAGCTAAACCTGAATTTTAATGGGAATTCATAGAATTATACCAGTTATACCATTCCAACAAATATGGCTTACATTTTAAAATGCTGTATTTGATTTTTAAAGAAAAAACAAGACTTTTTTTTAAAGCTGTGATTAGAATAATCAGGGAATAAAAAAAGAGGGTAAAATTAAACTTTACATGTCTGCTGATGTAGAACTAACTAGTACCAACAGTATTTCATCTTTTCACAAAAGGAGATTGTGTAGGTTGCCCCAACCCCTGCAGAGCCTTGGCCTTGACAGATTTGCTTCATAGTGGGGACAGTACAAAGCCAGCAACACTGTTTTGTCCTTTCCCAGGATTAATTATAATTTAAAGGAACAGCATGTATAGAAAGAAAAACTTGATTTATAGTGACAATTATGGGATAATGGGGTAGGAAAGTTATTAAAAACTAAGACACTAAGAGGGAAAATCTGAGCTATGAGTGTCAATTTGGGTCTAGTAGTAGAATGAAGAACATAAGTGTGGGGCTCAAGGAAGGAAAGGAAAACTGGCATCTGCTAGCAAGGAAAGTCAAAACCATCTTTATTTTGAAATGACTGCACTCTTCTACACACCAGAATAATATGCAATCGTCCTTATAATAAAACTCTAAAGGAGGGAAAACAACATGCATTTCCTGATAAGGCCATGGCCTATGTAGTCTTCTCCAGAAAACCAGAGGCAACATTGGTTTGATCATAGCTCATGCCGCTTAGTTTTTGGAGAGACCATGTAGCACAGAGGAAGGAAACAAGGATTTCAAATTAGACCAATTTTGTTCAAGTCTTGGCTTTGCTGTTGACTCTCCAGTGGCCTTGAGTATATTACTTAATTTTTGCCTTTTCCATTTGTCAGATGAAATTAACAAAGTCTAAATCTCCCCCATTAAATACAAGATTGAGATTGAAGTCTCAGTTTTGTAAGCTATAAACTTTGTGTAGTGGTTATTACAGCTATCTACTAGGATATTTCAGTAGCTTCTGGACTTCCAGAAAAAGGAAGGATAAAGGTCCAGTAGTGATGTTCGATAAAGATGTATTGAATGTACAAAGTATGAATGATTGAATACGCAGAGCAAAGAGGAAGGAAAGAAGAAAGGGAGGGAGGGAGGGAAGGAAAGAAGGAAAGAAGGAAGGAAGGCATTTTAAAGCATTGTAAATATTTTATTCAAACAAAGAATTATTTGTCATGAGTTAATGAGCTCTTCTCTTTGCCACGCACAATGCTGGGTACTATGATTAAAAAGGAGACATGGAACAAAAGGACTCCTAAAAACCTTACTGAGCACCCACTCAAATCTCAGTTTAATATAAGAGGAAACTTAATAATTTAGTTTTCTGTTGACATACTATGAGATTTTTAGGTCATTTTAATATCTCTCAGTAAGCATAGTGGAATTAAAATTTGCAAAGATGAGGCCGTGATACTAAGGCATCAACTTGTGTCTACTTTTCCTTTTGATTAGGATTGTATGGACTCATCCATCTCAGAAAACAAAAGATAAGTGGTCAGAGATTATACATCATGAATTTCCACAAACCTGATTTAAAAAATCTCCAGAAAACATAATTAAACTCATATAATACCCACCTTCTGCCAGAAGAAAAGCACATATATTATTGCTCCTAGAAAAGAAATATTCAAGCAAGCTCAAGAGTAGAATGTACGATCAGACAATTTAGAAAATCTGAGGGACAATCCAGCTGAGGTATTAACAGACATACCCTCTGCTTTTATCTGGTATGAAGTACTTTCTCTTTCCTGAAGTCCTTCCTCTATGATACTAACTCTCTCTTGACCTATGCGTTAGATATCTTCCAGGCACACTACTCTGTAACAAGGACCTTTTTGAACTTCAATAACTAGACCTCTTTATGAGGTGCAAAGATGCCCCATGTTATATTAAACTCAATTCTATAAGTAATAATAGGGTCATGCTATGAAGTTTTGGGATATTTAAACTGATTGACTCATAAAGCTTTGCTTTGGTCTAGCAGGCAGGGTATTAATAGTAGGAAGAACACAGCATAAGGAATCAGAAAGCCTAAATTTAGGTGGTTGTGTCTTCTGCTGATTAATAATATAATTGGTATAAGCAAGTACCTCTTCTGTATCTCAGCTTTCTCCCCTATCAGTGGAATGTGTTACTGTCACCCTTACTCACATCACAGAGTTACCATGATACAAATAATGAAAATATGTCGGTAATACATCTTACTATAAGAATGATTAATTCCTTATTATTTATAAGGATTTTACATGTGATCTATTTTCTCAGTTTCCATCAGTCCTCTAAATTTCTTGGTAAAAGCACGAGAATTGTCCCTGGTGTGCAAAGAATCATGAGACTACACTGAGCCCAGTGTTATCCCTCCTATTCACCACTGGTTTAAAGCCATCAAGATGAATCATGCCACGTGATGCCTGTAGATTGCATTCCGATTATTGAAGGATTTCCGTTTAACTTCACTTTCCTCAGTCCATTTCATACATCTTGAAACTTATTATTCAACTATTATGTTATTTCCCAATTTGTCTATTTGCTACATTTCAATGGCCTTGTCTAGATCTCATAGTCCCTTTCACTCATTGCTTCCGTTGTTATATCTACATAGGATATTTTGTATAGATTCATAAAAATGTTAAAATATATGTATACTCACTCAATACTTACTCAATTAGCCCTAATTGCCAGACACTTAATAGAATTTGGTGGGATCACTTCTGGCTTTCATAAAAACTTGGGCACTTTTCAACTACTCCCTCTGGATCTTGGTTTCCCCTTTGTAAAAGATGAAAAAAATGAAAAGGAAAAGATATCGCACAATAGTTATATTTATAAAATCGTGGCCGGGCGCGGTGGCTCACGCCTGTAATCCCAGCACTTTGGGAGGCCGAGGCGGGCGGATCACGAGGTCAGGAGATCGAGACCATCCCGGCTAAAACGGTGAAACCCCGTCTCTACTAAAAATACAAAAAATTAGCCGGGCGTAGTGGCGGGCGCCTGTAGTCCCAGCTACTTGGGAGGCTGAGGCAGGAGAATGGCGTGAACCCGGGAGGCGGAGCTTGCAGTGAGCCGAGATCCCGCCACTGCACTCCAGCCTGAGCGACAGAGCGAGACTCCGTCTCAAAAAAAAAAAAATAAAAAAATAAAAAAAAAAAAAAAAAAAATCGTAAAGCTGATTGTAAAAGTGACAGAAGAAAATATCACAGCATTGATTCTACAAAGACTCCTTTGATTAACAGCAATGCAAATCCTAAACCAGTCTTGTAAATGTACTGAAAAAAAGTCATTAAATTTCAGTAATATTCACTCTCTCCCTGGTCTTAAACACTGTTAGTAGAATTATAGATTGGTTAACTCTTTTAGAAGCTAATTTGGCAGTATATATCAAAATTACAACTGTGTTTTGCTTATGACCTAGTAATTCTACTTTACAGGTACCCAAAGATGTATATATAAAAGTGTTCTTTGTATCATTTATTGAATTAGAAAAAGGTAATGGACAATACATATTCACTGGTAAACAAGTGAAAACATTTTATTGAATATGTTGGAGGTATGAATATATTGACGTGAAAAGATCTTCAAGACTATTAAGTTACCAAAGCAAGTCTCTTAATATGTACAATGTAATCTTATTTATGCTGTATATAATTATGTACACACACATGCGTACTAGATGATTAGTAGCACACAGAATCATTGACAGTGGTTGCTTCAAGGATAGGAAAAATGTGAGCAGATAAAAAAAGATTTTTATGTTTTGTTCAAATCACTTCTCTATATTTTGAATCAGGTATAATGAGAGAGTATCCCTATATTATATATGTGATAAAATCCTAATATTTTTACAATAAGTATTTCACCTTTCTGGAATATGACAAGGACAGAAAAAGAGATACAATATTTTTAATTCCATGATTTCTTTTTGTGCACTTTGATTTATTTTAGTTTCTGAGTACACAATACAAAATGTATAACTGGCCGTATGTAGAACCATAATCCAAATGTCTCAGGCATACTCTTATTTGTTTCATTCAATAAATATTTTTGAAGTGAACATATAAATAAAGGAATTAAGAAGTGAATTGTAAATATCAGTAACACCAAGTGCCTACTAGCTTACTCAAATATCCAAATTCTTACAAAGTTCATCCACAAGCTCAGCCCCCAAAATTTCTTGGATTCTCTAAGAGACAGAATAGGACTTTGACCACCTCTATCGCTCCAGGCTTCTTCACTTTGTGTATCTTTGGTGAAGTCTCATTTATTCTCATTGAGTTTGTCCCACTTCCCATAGTTGTGGCTGTTTGGGAGAACACAAGGGGTAGAAAGTGCCTAGCACAGTGACCTCCTGTGCTGTCCAGGCCCTGCCGAGCAGCCACAGCCTGGTGGCTCCTCAACAGTGCCTCTGCCTCTCCTGAGCTACCAGCCACATGGAGGCTGACAACTTCAAACAGCTGATTTCTGCCCTGCCCATAGGCTGCCTGTGCCCTTGGCTCTGCCACCTTCCTCTAGATTTCCAGGATGTACTTGACTTGACCTTCTAAAGCTCTTAAGGGTGTGAGGCATTTGTTTCTCATCTGCCACTGCTGGAGGTTCCTCTCTACCTACTTCTGGACCCTAGAGCTTTCCAGACACTCAGGAAATTCATTCTCTTCTTGTACCCAGTTGTTAAGATAAAATAAACCTGAGCTCCTTTTGAGTTTTCTAGTTAAAGCCTCACTTACCCTAGCATCATAACATTATCCTTCTAAATCCTAGCAATCCATGATTCCATTGTGATGATGGCTAAACCAATTCTTGAGGGATCAAGGAAAACTAAGATGAATTTTGCAGATTTCAATTAACCTCAGGTTTATGATTACAGTCTTTCTTAGGACAATTTTTTTTTCTGTTCTTACATTGTAGCATTGCCAGATGATGATGAGGTTTATGATGATGATAATGGTGGTGATGGTGGTGGTAAAGATGACCCCTAGTGCCTGTTGAGCCTTTCCATAGCCCCACCTCTGTGCTCCCACTTCAAACATATAATTTCATTAATCCCCATAACAACCTGCTCAGATCAGTATTGTCAATGGTCCCACCTTACTCTTGAGAAACTAAGAATAAGAGATTTAAACAACTTGGCAAAGTGGTTTGATGCCAGAGCCGGCACCCTCAACCACCACTCTGTCCATATTAAGAAGGCTTTAGCTTAAAAGGGAGAATATAAATGAGAACAGATTTGGTACTTTAACATTTTTAAGAACAAAGCCATCAAATAGTGAAGGAAGTCATATAATGGTTTGTTTGTGCCATGCCAACATTTGTAAACAAATTGTACTTCAGTGCAGAAAAGTACATCCACATGACTTCTTTGAATCAAAAGAGGCTATTAAATTTTTTTTTTTCAGTGAAAAGGAAGAGCAGAAAGTAGAGCAAGCAGAAAACATGTTAAAAAATTTTCAGTGAGCCTGGAAAAAGTAGGTAGTGACACTTTGTGACTCTGAGAAAATATTAAGAAAGGAAATCAATATGCTTCTGTTTAAAGAGTCACAACCTTGGAGGCTCACCAAATGCAAGCAGTATGCCATCTTCCACCAGGCCTTGGTGAGGGATTCATTATCTAGCTGGGAAGCATCATTAATGTTAACTGAGGGAGATCTCAGAAACAGACAAGCTTGGGCAGTTCACATCCTCCTAATATTTCAGGTACTTATTTACCTTTTCCTTTATCGAGTCAGGCCTATAATGGAAACTTCCCAGGCACTCATCTCTGAGTAACTCTTTGAACTTAGAACGCTGCAGAGAAATGGCTTTGATTGCAGTTTCACAATGACCAACATGAGCACCAATTAATCAGTTGGCTTGAAAAGAAAATTGGAACAGGTATAGCTTGAGACTGGCTTACAGACACTGGAGTTGGAATCATTATTCTGAAATAATCTCCTGCGGTTATAAACGAGTACAGATTTTTTTTTCCACCAAACAGAATGCTAATATAATAATGCTTATTTATCTATTTAATGGAGATGTTGAAAGGTTTATTTAGTTGCTGTTTATAAAGTGTTTGGGAAATGAAAACTGCTATGTAAGTGCTAAATATGATTATTATCCAACCTAGCACTTTTATGTGAACATTCTGTTCTGCTTCCTTCTCTAAGAAGTCTATTTCAGGGAGGCTTACCACCTCCACACAGGGCTTTCAGGAAGGCTTCCATGCTGAGAGTCTCTTGAGAAGCCAGAGTCCCTGATTGCTCTAGACGAGATAAAAATTAAGCCACAGATATAATTCACAGATAAGTGAAAGCATTCTCACAATGCTTCATAATTCATAACAGGGGTCTCATTAATCAGAAAAGTATCAGTGGAAAATCAATGTAAAAGTCAAACAGAAAAATGAGTAATATCATGGGAGATAGGAGTCTGTGAGAAGAATAATACAGCCCACATTAGCCGTGTCATTGAACCACAGAAGGTAGGTTCCTCCTAGAAAGAAACATGAAAAATTAAAGTCATTTGGGCTTGGAACTCTCCACCCAAAGATTTTCACTCTTTAATTATTAAGAGGCTTCATAATGACACTTATTATCCTCACTCATGCTTATTGCAACCTTTCTGTGAGCTACAAAATAATTTCAGAAGCTGGAACACATTTCTAAGGCATGGGATCATGTAATTAAAGAGAATCTCCTTTGTTGGGAAATACTTTCGGGTTAGATATACAACCATGGGTTGAGTTCTGAAATCAAGTTTTTTACCTCTTTGAATAAAGAGCATCATAAGAATTCCTTATGACGGTACGCCCCTCAAATGTCTGCAGTGAAAATAAATTACTGAACATTGTGAGGAATCTAACGAGAAGAAATAGAAGAAATTCAGTAATAGAAAGATTTTATTAACCTGAGGAAGTATTTCTCACAATGCCTTTGAATAAGATAGAAACTATCCCACAAAATGTTGAAGTTTTATCCTTTGAACTGAATGCCCTGGAAATTATATTCATTGGAACAATAATGAGACAGTGGAAGAGTGATCCAATTGGTCTTCCTTAACTCCTATTTCTACAAGTTAGTTAGAAAGTCTGGGAAAAAAAAGCCAGTGCTCCTGTTGCAATTAACATCAGCTGCCTGCAATCAAGCTCAAGCAGCTTGCAGGTGTTTTAGGGACTTTACTTGAACATTTTTGACATTTCAGCACAGCATGTCAAACCAGGCCGTGGGTTGAAGGAGATCAAAATGAAACAGAGAGTAAACTCTTAGCAGTTGGCTAATATTGCATTCAATTAAACAAATGACAAATGTTCATTAGAAAATCTGGGGGTGGGGAGATATACACAAAAAAATAAAAATAACCATCATAATTTTGAAAGAATTTTAGTTGATTTATCTGGGTGGATGTGCATGCGTGTTGGTGTGTGAGAGGGTGTGATGTCTAACAATGTTTCCAATAACATTGTTTAAAAGTTGTTTTGAAAAAATATATATCATTCCATTATCATTGGCCTTAAAGGTATCTGTGTTTATGGCAGTGGCTTTATATTCTGCAACTAAATGCACTTGGGCAAGATTTATGACATAAACATAATGAGCATTTCAGTATAAAAGTTAAGTGGGCACAAAATTTTCAGAAGGCATTAATTAGAAACAGCTACAATGGCAAAAGGAAGACTGAAGCCAAGGTATTTGCCTTGGCCAGTTTCTAATAGCTCTCCAGAGTTCTTGTTATAAAAAAAAAAAATAAGGCATGGTTGAAGATGAAAGCATTTCCACTCCCAGATCTTCATTCAATCTTTACATCATTTACAACAGAAATGTCCACTTTCTTGATGAATATGGACTACCTAGAATCAGCATAATGTTAAGTCTTTGGTGGCCTAAAATTCCTTTTCTCAACAATCAAAAGATATTAGTCTTCCCAAGAAACTTTGGATACTTACTAGATTTCCTGCTAGTTGTTCAATATTAAGAAAAATTATTCAAAATTTGGAAATAGGTGAAAGGATGGCTGCAGGTCTTTTAATATCATACAGGAATATTCTTTAATAGCACATTCAAATAATTATTTAGAGGCTTTGTTTTCTAATTTGCTTTCTACTATAGATTAGACAGTCTAGAATCTGTCACATTTCATGTTAATTTAGAGATTTTTGTCTGCAGAGATGCAAATAATTTAGGCAGGTAGAGAAGATAATCCCAAATGGTATTGTTTCATTGCCTGGTAGGACATTAACCAATTTTGCCTTTATTTTAGCAAACACTTTCAGTATGTTTTTCCTGATGGGCTATATATACTTTGCTTCTCAAGGGTTTTTTGAATCAGCTTTCCTCATACTGCTGTTTCACTCAATAAGTTAAATTTTTGCATATATGTATTGAATATTTATATAAGATTCCTATTTTTCACTTTTTAGAAATTATACATGGACATTTTTGGAGGATTTCCCAATGACATGCCCACCAATAGATTCAACTGCCAGGGCCAATCAAAGCTGATTTTCTGAGAAATGCACCTATGGGCTGTTTAAACCTAGGGAGGTCTTCTTTGGGTCCTAGGAGTAAATCCCAAGCAATGCTAGGGCTTTACCCTTTACTGATTCTTAATTTTGCTGTTGCCTCCCCCTTCCTCCTTCTAATTCTGTGGGGTTTTCTTTGTTAGTTTGTTTAGTTTAATTTTGTTTTGGCTTTTGGTAAGGTCTGTTAGTCTGTCCATACAGACGTACATGAGTTTGTTACTCATTTTCATTTGTTTACCTGTCTATCTGTGAACTGAAAGCAAATTTAAAGAATAATTTCATAACCACTAGAAAGTGAAACTTTTCTTTGCAACTGAACCGATGGGTTTTGTTCTCTATAATTAACGTGACCTCCTGCTGAAGTTGCACGGTGGAAGCTCCTCCCTTTCTGTGCATCTGACTGTCTGTCACAGAACTAACACCATACCCCCTCTTGTGTAAATGTGAAATATTTCCTTACCTCTGAAGAGCACTAATAAATTTAATTATAAATTCTCTCCAAATAAAGGATATCTGTTCTGATTTCAGTGTTAGCATTAATATTTCCAGAATCCCAAGAAAATAAGAAAACTGAAGTTATAATACCTTAAATTTGCCAGACTTGAAATAATCTTTTTTTCATAGAAAATAAAAGCTCAGAAGCGTTTCCATAAGAATTTAGTCCATCTAATCAAGCTGACTCTTTAAACTGGTTTTTAATATTGGTTTAAAAATAGCTAAAAATGTGGCACATAATGCGAGTATACATTTCATTTCTTAATAATTTTTTGGAAAATGTTGTAACATTATGATTGTGTAATTTTTCCATGAAAAGACTATAATTATAAATGTCTTAAAGTTCTTATACTTATTGAGTTCTCAGATAAGCTGATAGTCTTTCTGTAAAATATTTAAATTAACAAAATGTAAAATGATGTTTAATTATCGTCCTGACATTTTTACATCAACATCACGTGTTCTAAACTGTATCTAATTAAATATTATTTGCAAAAAAACCTTAGTTAACTTGAACCCTTTATATATAATGTGAAATTGAGTTGGTAAATAGTCTTTGGACATCTGAATAACTTTTTAAGTGAGATAGAATACTGAAAGAGAGATCTGGAGAGCTTCTAAATAAGACAGAGTAATACAACAGTGTATATAATTCATGGGTTGTATTTTTGCTTTTCAAGAGATAAAGAGAGTAGTTTCATCATATATTAAGGATCAGATTGTTCCAATATGAAATTATTATAAAGAACAAAATGAGTTTTTATATCAAGTTATAAAAGTTTTGAAAACAGTGAATCTTATTTGTGTTTGTTTCTAACAATTGGAAATTATCATAAGAAATATAAAATATGTCAAAATGTTGCAAATTTGACTCATTTTGATTAGTTTTTTATAGTTTATCATTCCTTTACTGCCAAATATTTTATTAATGCAAATTAGAATTTTTTCTCTATGTTAAAATGACAAATGGTCTGGAAGTATTTAGTAATCTCTAAGAGATAGTAAAAGATTAGTGTTTACATTCTGTATCGCCCACGCAGATAGCAAATTCTCTATCTCACTAGATTGCTGTGAGATGTGCTATGTGCAGAATTTTATGTCCACGATTTAAAAGATGAAAAAAAGAGAAGGACATAATTTCTTCACTTCTGAAAGAGCTAAGTTTCCTTCTAATTGTTTTACATTCTAAGTTTATTTCAAATATTGCAGTGTTACTTTGATGAGTTGGTAATCTAGCTAATAGTCTCCAGACCTATGCCTCTATCTTCATCAAGAGACCAAATACCTTTTGATAAATCTTTTGATTTTGCCTTATCAAGATCAAACTCCATATTTATGAAATGTGTATGTGTGTTAAGTATCTTTTACATGTAAAACTATATTTCAGTAGGTACTCAAAAAAATTCTTCTTTTACATTATATCAAGAGAGATGTTAGAACTAACTTGGTTTGCTTAATTAATATGTCCCCTGTTTCTTAGCTGTTCCAACAAGTATAGGAGCTGCATGCTAAGAGTTTATCAAATCAAAGGAAAAGCTCAGCCTACTCCAAACTAATTCTGTGTAGGTAAAATACAGCAAGTACAAATATTTTAGAGATTATAAATGTCATAGATTTGTCATGCCCTTGCTGGCCTTGGCATGTTTTTACCCTCAGAGGAAACATTGATCTGAATCTTATAACCCAGTAGAGAATTTCGCTCTCCTCTGTTCTCATATTGTTGATTACCATAATAAACTAACCACATCCATTTGGGCTTGATGATTGAAGGTTTTGTTATAAGCCACAGGCTAGAAATCAAGCTTTTAACAAAGAAGAATAGTCTACATGCTTCAGTTAAAAGAACTCTATAAGGTGCTTTTGACTATTGATATTTTGACAAATAATCTCATGGGAACAGTCTTTCAAGCTTGAGCTAGAATCATTTAGGTAACTCTGAGATAGTCCAAAGGGATGGAGTCAAGATTTCCAGGACCCATTTTCATTCAGAAGCAGACGACCTCATGGAAGCTTACTGCTAACCTCAAACCCAAAAGATCAAAATTTAACTTACATAGTCAAGAATGGAATGGATGAGAGAAATCTAATTGTGCTTATTTTTTTTTAGAATGTTCACGGTATTAGCTCTGTGTTCAACTGTCATATTTAAAAGAAAAAGTTGTTTCTTCTCACTCGAATATCTCTCTAATCCTTATTTTGTGAATGGTATCTTATTCACTCAGACCGTGAATTTATATATTTATATATATGTTTTAAATTTATTCATAAATACATATTATTTATATATTCATATATATTAATTTATATACATATTACATATATATGTAAATTCATATGTATGTATTCCGAGTCTGTGTATTTTCTTGGAAATGTACTTATTTGCAAGAATTTGATCTCCTTTTAACCAGGATATAATTGGACAAATTGATGCTGCAATTGAGGCTATACTTGAAGTAACATATTGGAGAATAAATCTCATGGTAATTAGATATGACAAACACATCATTAAGGAATATGGATTGTATTTCATATGTGGAACTGATGCTCACAAAACCTTCCCCAGAAACTGGAACAATATCTACTCTGTCTTAAAAGGTCTCAGCTTTTATGGACAAGCCGAACCTAATCTGATTTGGCAAACTCTGAGGAGAAAGGAATTCTCTCAAATTTATAGGAAATGCAGGTGCAACCCATAGATATGAATGTTTCAGGTTTGCATTTGGTTTCCCAACCTTGGAATAGAAAATCCAATAGAAGCAATATTTTTTAAAAATCCTCAAGGACAATAGATGTTATTGAAAATGCAATCTGAGATTCCTTATGAATTTTCCAGTCCAACTTAATTCTCTGGACTCTGTTCTTGCTCCACCCTGTGAGCCTCTGGATTTGCTGACCATTAGCAAGGAGGTTAATATGGTTAGTTAACACCTCTTGCTGCACATCTATAACTTAATTCATCAAAACCAGAATAAGAGCAGCATTTTTTGTCAATAAAAATAAACTTTCAAGGTTATTTATGATCCCTGGAAGAACTATTTAAGAAACTTATGCCCAACTTGAAAAAAAGGCAAAAGAATGACAACATGTTCTTTTAGTGTCAAATTTTAACACTGGCACTTCCAAGCAATGCTTAATTCTCTAGGGGACTTACCTTTATCTAGTTTGCTTTTCACCATTGATTAGAGCCTAGAGTCCAGGAGGTTACATGTTAACTCATAGTTTTCTTCCTACAGAGATACAAGTAATATCTGTGCTATAGAGAAGAAAACTCCAAACACTAAACACTATAAGACTTAACCAGTTTTGTCCTTAACTTAGTCAACTATTTCAGTATGCTTTACCTGAGCGTGTTTATAAACCTTTGGTCCTCAAAAGCTTATTGGATCCGCCATTCTTCCGGTTCTATCATTAATGAGTTAGATTTTGATATATGTTCATTCTATATGGATTTCATGAGAATAATTTTTTATGAGAACCATTCTATGTATATGTGGGCCATGCTTTTTTACTTTATAATACTTTGATATCATCTGCCAATTGTTACTGGAGAAAAAAAAAAAAGCTTAAGTAAGCCTCATTTCTCAGAATAATTCATCTAAACTTCTTATCTCTTGAAGATATATACAAGCTTTTTGGTTCTAGATTATCTTAAAAAATTTAGTAGCACTACAAATAACTCCTTTAAGATGATTTAAAAACATAGTTTATCTCCAATGTCCTGATTATGTCCTTTAATTCACTAAAATATTCACATACTTCTTTATTCTGTGTAAAAATGGAATAGGAATAGGATAAAGAAATGAGTGCAAAACATTGTCTTAGATGTTATATCAATGTAATTATTACAAGAGAGCTGATTCAAGAGTTTTTAATGGGTACTGGGATTTATTCAATAAAGTTTATTACTCAGTCCAAAACTCTTACAAAGATAAAATGTCAAGTTTCCATCTCCCCTAGAAGGAGTGATGATGACTTCAATGGCCTAAGTGAGATAAATCTTTCATTTAGCTTACGTTTTGGGGACTTTCCTGACCCACAATTTATTTTCCCTCGTGTCCAACTCACACATTTATAAGAAAGGAACTCAGGTTGATGTATGTCAGAAGGACTATTTTAATCCAGTTCAGATTTGAAAGAAAGCATTTTCTAACAACAAGCAAAGAAAGAACAAAGCACAAGTCCATTTTATTCCACTACTATTCAGCAAAAACAACAGGAGGCATCATGGAGCGGACTGGCTTGGCTAGCATACATTTGGCTTCATAATGGTTTCTGAACGTATTCATGAATAAATATGATTGAAAGAAAACCTTGCTTGACCTAGAACCAGATGTTAATACTTGATATAGACTCAGCGATGGATCTAAAATTTTTATATATTTACCTTTATATTTCTAGTTTCAAGTAACTCTCATATCAACTCCTTTAATCATACATTTGAAAAGAATAAAAGCAACAGTAGATAAAGAAGGACTCCAGGGAGAGTAGACTATGTGTGATAGTTGGGCAACGGATTCCTGCAGACACTAAATCAGACATCCCAGATTTAGTAAAGTGGCCTTCGTGAATTGGCAATCATCTGTCTCATCACAGCAGAATCCTGACCAAAGAGAGGTCATGGCTAACCTCTAGACATGCTGGAATTTCTTACAGTTGAGGAAATAAGGCACACTCGCATTGTTGCCTGCAGCTGGTCCTTTCCTAACCACTTACCCAGAGCTTCAAATACGAATTCTTTCAGGGGCCATACGACATAAACATGTAGAACACTCAGCTACAAGGCAAAAGGAAGGTGACTGCATGTCAAGCCTGCAGGTTTTATATTCAAACATAAAATCATTAACCAGCGGCAGGTTAAATTTGGCTCTCATCCACCCCTTCCTGAGGCCTGACCTTGGATTGAAGAGCTTAATTTTCTGATTAGTAAAGTACGAGTAAGAACTAAGTTACCAAGCAGGTCAATAAGACATCCCTAATTAATCAATGCATAATTGAGCATTTATTGCAAAATGGAGACCATACAACAATGCAGAAAATAATTAACATTTGTCTCAAGCTTAATAGGTTATAGAACGTTGTGTGCATTATCACATTTAATGTAATACAATAGCGTTATTTTACTTTACTGCTGTTGTACTGTTTTTCACTATTTCTACTAATACTGGAACTTCTGCTACTACTAATCCATTGCTATGATTATGACTATAACCACAGAAAGTGCCCTATTTTCATACCACGTTAAAATCCCTAAATATGTCAGACAATGGAAATGACAGTTATACGAAGGAAATAAATTTATTCAAGATGCACATATACGATGGACCTGCAACATGATGCACTTTGTTGATGTAATCATTGAAGCTATTTATCCACCACTTATATATAGTTATTAATTCTGTCATTTTACTTCAAATTAGACTCACATCTGCACACTTTGTGTGTCCAATTGAGACTAAATGTCACCCTTTCAGCCTACCTACTTCTCTTCCTTGTGTCTAGTTCCATTAGGTTTGAGACTGAGTCTTATTTTCATGTTATCATTTTCTTATTTCAAAACATATCGTTAAATGCCAAACAAAAAATTCACATAATTTTACAAACCCTACTGTCTTAGTCAGCTTGGGTTGCCATAACAAATACCATAGACCAGGTGGCTTAAACCACAGACATTTATTTCTCACAGTTCTGGAGGCTGGAATGTCCAAAAGCAAGGTGCCAGAAGATTCAGTGTCTGAAAAGGGCCCTCTTCCTGGTTTACAGATGATAGTCTTTTCAAGATGTCCTCACAAGAAGAAAGAAAGGTAAGATTTTTTGTATCTCATCTTATAAGGGCACACATTCTGTCTTGAAAGCTCCACTCTCATGATTAATCACCTCCCAAAGGCCCCACCTCCAAATACCATCATCTTGCAGATTAGGGATTTAACGTATGAATTTTTCAGGGGACACAAACATTCAGTCCACAGCACCTACTGTAAAAAAAAGATGGTGAAATGCCCCAATTGAAGACCTGAATCGCAGGCAGTGTCACTGGAGAATAGCTTCAAATATTTATTGGTCTTCTGGTGTAAGAAAGTCAGATATGTGTTTCAGAAAACGTGTTCAGAGGTCCCCATGTATTATGTACAAAGCGCAAATTATTTGAAAGTCAAATATATAAAAATCAGACATTATCTCATTTGAAGATAACGAAATAGGCTCAGAAAGGTGGGGTTGGTTTGTAATCACATCTGGACTGGGATTTCCTGGAGCATTTTTGTTTTAATGTGACAACTGATATTGAATTGTCGATTTTTAATTTTGTCAAAAAAGTACTATGATACACATATAGTCATATACGCATACATATATAATACATATATAACACATACATATATAATCATATAATCATACACACACATATACATATATAATATGGTAATCATGCACACATATACACATACATATATAATATGGATGATATGAACATTAAATCATTATTATATATTTATATAACAATATGTATTATATAACAATACATATTATATACATATATAATACAGCTCTGCCCCCACCCAAATCTCATGTTAAATTGTAATTCCCAATGTTGGAGGTGGGCCTGGTGGGAGGTGATTGGATTGTGGGGCTGGTTTCTAATGGTTTTTCACCATCCGCCTAGTGCATTCTAGTGATTAAATTCTCACAAGATCTGGTTGTTCAAACATCCTCCTTTGCTCTCTCTTCCTCTTGCTCCAGCCACGTAGGACATGCTGGCTCCACCCTCCCCTTCTGCCATGACTGTAAGTTTCCTGAGGCCTCCCGGAGCCATGCTTCCTGTATAGCTTTCACAACCATAAGCCAATTAAACCCTTTTTCTTTTAAGTTACCCAGTCTTGGTAGTTTTTTTATAGCAATGTTTATAGCAATGTCAGAACAGGCTAATACAATATACAAACAAAATTACTATCCTTTCATAAAAGAAAGGGTGTTTTAACTCCATAACCATAAGGAATGGTACTATTCAGAGAAAAATGTAACTTATAAACAAGAACACATTTGCAGTGAATTGAATTGGGTCTCAAAGATATATGTCCAAGTCTTAACACCCAGAATCTCAGAAGGGGACCTTATTTGACATAAGAGTCTTTACAGATATAATATAGGTAAGGATCTTGAGATGAGATCACTGTAGATTAGTGTGAGGGCCCTAAATCCAATGATAGGGTCCTAATAGGAAACAGAAATGGGAAGACACTGGGAAGAAGGCCACGAGAAGACAAGGCAGAGACCAGAGTAATGCAGCCACAAACCAGGGACTCCCGGAGCCACTAGCAGCTGGCAGAGGCAGGAAAGGATTGTCCTTTTGAGCCTTCAGGAGGAGTACCGCCCTGCCAGTTCCTTGATTTCGGACTTCTGGTCCCCAGAACTTTGAGAGAATAATTTTTCTGTTGTTTTAAGCCACCCAGTTTGTAGTAATTTGTTGCAGTAGCCCTGGGATAGTAATGCAATATTCAACTGCAAAACACACACACACGCACACACACACACATATTATCATTCCCCTTTTTCTAATTCTGTCATAGTCCTCTATCTTGTCTGGTGTTGATAGCTATTCTTATCTCTAGGTTTGTTGATTCTGAACCCTGTAACCTTCCATATTCCACATTTCAATACATAGTTCAGTAAAGGAGAAAAAAAAGGCTTAAAAGTTACACAGTTTTGTGGACATTTTTAAGCTAATTGCACGTGCATAAAGGTGAAAAATCCAAAAACCCTATCTTATGAAATGCTTGGGAGGACAGAAGCTGAGCATGCATTCATTGGTGAACCTCAGGTTGTGTGTGGGTGTGGGAGAAAGAACAGCTTTTCCTTGTTTTCAGAGATGATCTTTTTCAGTAACTGTTGTAAATAACTTTATGACAGTTTTAGAACCTTGTTAAGTTAAATGCATTGGTAAAACTTACAATGGAGTAAACTTACATTATGTAACTTCAAGCCTTGTAACAGGACACAGCTGTATCAGGAAGCAGCCATGAATTTGGTCCCGTTATGAGAGCTGAGGGACTATTCGACATAGATTGAGAGTAACAGAAGACATGGTTTGGAAGGGCAGTGAGCCGGGGTTAACAGAGGTGGTACTGCAACTGTGCAAGTCACTTCTAATTGGAAAAAGACAACTACTGGGAGGAATCTTGCTAGCATATATACTAATTTATTTTGAGCTTTCTCTCTCTCTTCCTTTTTCTATCTCCTCTCCTTTTCTCCATCTCTCTGTCCTTCAGATATCTTTTTGGTTACTTCTTCAGTTGAAAGATTTGGGAAGCTGTATTTCTGATGGTGTCACAAAGAAAGCCACTTAATATTTCTCCTCTGATGAATTTCTAAACAAATGGAATGGTTGTATAGTGTAGGAAAGGGTTTTAGCAAAATGTTGGCAGAGATTATAAGCCAATAAGGTATCAATTTTAAAATGAAATATTCAAGGTGGTTAGGAAAGTCCTAGATAAGACAGAAGGCTGTGGAGCTTACCTGTGCAGATTTGAATCTTGGTTCTGCTGTGTCCAGCTGTGTGACCTTTGGCATGTTACATAAATCTCTGAACCTCACCTGTAAAGTGAGCACGGTAATGGTAGCCACCTAGAAAGATGATATGAACATTAAATCAGTTACTACATGCTTACAATGGTGACAGGCATATGGCAAGTGCTAACTGAATGTTAATTAGTTCCCAAATCTGGACAGAGCCTTGGGATTTGTTTCAGCAGTGATTATTAATAGTTTGGATTGAGAAAACAAAGCTTCCAATTGAATGAGGAGTTTATATTTTTAAAATCAGGCATAATTCTGTATATTCTTTAATGTGGTTAACAAGATTCATTAACCCTTATGTTTGTTTTCTTTAAATGCTTATATTTGTACAAATAAACTTGCACAACAGAAAACATGGTATGTATCCTCTCCTTTTCTTCTCTTTCTTATTAAGTCACACAAATAGATATCTGATTTTCAGATCATGAAATACTACCAAAGCACTAGTGTGGACAGATATCTCAGAGAGAATAAATCACTTCTTCAGAACATTAAAGACCCCAGAACATGATGGAAGTATTTTAACAACAGATTTTGATTGCAGGTCAGGTGTGTGGCTAAAAGTCCATGTTAAATTGATAATCCTTCTCATGCCAAGCATCTGGAGCATTTCTGGCCATCACCTCAAGTGTCTGAAGCTGTTTTCCTCCCAGCTCTCTTGGTTTGAAGTTGGATTAAAGCCTGATTTGAGTGGCCTGCCAGCCTGATCCATGAAATACAGATGGCTTTCCCCATGCACAGTCATGCTGGGACATCGGGCACAAATTCAATCAATATTGAAAGATCCTCTTGGGCTATAGTCATCTTTGTCATGGTTCTATTAATTATTTTTACCAGAATGTCTCTTCTCTTGTGCTTTCAAAGACCCCATTTTAGCTTCCAACACACAGAAGGCTTTTTATGGAGCTGTGATCCTATCCTAGTTGGTGAATTTTTGTTACAATAAACATAGCTCTGGTTGGTGGATGGGAAATTCTCCAGGACTTTCTTATAAATGACCTCTGCTGTCACTTGATATCAAGTAGGCGTCCTGGGTGGCAGAGATAAAACCACATGTGAGTCAAAGTGGATGCTGAGAGGGTCCAAGTCTGACCTCACCAAAAAGTGCTGATTGAACAACACTGATTTGTAGTACTTTCAGTCTGACTTGGACCTTGTGCAACATTTACAAATTTTGCCAAAATCAGTTTAAACACATTCTTTTTCTAATTGGACCGTCTTAGGTTCTGACATGAAGCTTTTTGAAAAAATAAAAATATAGTATGTTTTCTAACCTGATAATATCACAGACTTGCTATCCCCAGGTGGACATTGCAGACTTGTTTTATTGGAAATGTTTATTTTGGGAATCACTGACGAATTGTCTGTAGGCTGTGCATATAACAGAAATTAGTGCTAGTTTTAAATTTTGAGGAACTTCCAGTGATTTCTCTGGAAATGCTGGTACATAATGCCACTTGTCATCAGACCTGTTAGTAGTCTAAGGCTGGGGTCAGTCAAAAAACTAGGGCTCTAGGCCAAATCCAAACTACCGCTTTTTTTTTTTCCTTATAAAGAAAGTTTTATAAAACACAGTTAATCCATTCATTGATGTATTGTCTATGGCTGATCTCATATTACAAGTATCGAGTTTAGTAACTGCTACAGAGACCTGTGGCCCACAGCCTAAAATATTCACTATCTGTCTGATCCTTTATAGAAAGAGTTGGTCAATTTCTGGCTATGGCACATTTTAAAATGGGGTACATAGGACTCTGCAAATTGTGCAAGCACCCTGTATGTATTCAGAAAATTGACTTCCAGATTCTTGAGAACTTTCCAAAAGGCCATCTTGAGAAAGCCTCAGAGGTCACATCAGCCCTCGGCCAGCTAGAATGGAAGGAAGGAGAGGAAGGAGGAGAGGGGAGAGAGGGAGGGAGAGAAGAGGTGGGAGGGAGGAAGGGAGTGCCAAAGATTCTTTGTTTCACCAAACTTTAGTCAGGCTCTCAAAACTTCTCTTACTTCCGCCTGTGTACTTTCTTGGACCCCTGCTGTCAGTTTAACAAAAACCCCTTATCCTCCATATCTGATCACCCTTGGATATTTAATCAGGTTCCTTATCCTCCACCATCCCCCAGGTGATGATGAATCATTCCAGCATCTCTTCATCAAATATCCTGCTAGGTCACTTTAGCCAGAATCCCCTCTATCCCAGATGTTTATTTTTAGTAAATTTTTCATCCACTTACCCTCACCCTTCTCTTTGGCAATAAATTCCCACTCGCCCATGCCGTATTCAGAGTTGAGCCCAGTACTATACTGAGATCTCATTTCCCTTATTGCAATGGTCCTGAATAAAATTTGACTTTCACTGCTTTAACTACTGTAGAGGTCTGGTTTTCTTTGACAGATGAGAGGAAGAGGGGGGAGAAGGAGAGTAAAGGGATGAAAGCTTCACCCTTCCCTGAAGGGAGCAAACAAGGTGAAAGCTTAATGACTAATCAATACTTCACAAAATGGCTTCCAGTATTTTCCTGCCTTGTAGTATTGCTGTTAGAGGCAAAAAACTTTTCAAACAGGCATTGAAACTTGGAATATAATGAATTGAGATGAATGTTTGGTAGAGTGAGATTGTGAGAGTAATGACGTTTATTTCCCAGATCTAATCCTTCTATCTAGCTACTCCTCACCACCACCACCACTACCAAATGCACTATCATGTATGAATGCATTTCTCTTTAGGGAAAGCCCCTTGAGAATAAAGTACAAACCATCATTAAGAAACATTGAACACTAAAATAATTTTATCTGCTTAATATTAATGTAGATTTACCTTGAAGCTACTAAGGCTTAAGCTTCAAGGACCCTCTATTGGAATGGGATTCTTCCAAGACCCTGAGAGGGGCACTAGCAGTGTGTTTACATCGTCATATGCATTTGTAAAAATTATAGAAGGAGCTAGTTGAACTGTAACCTCTTAAAATCACCATTCATTTCCATACTAACTCCTTCAGTCATGCATCTTGATATGTATATTGGCATTCATTGGCTGTGAGCATTTTCAGGATGCACCCAAGAAAAAGTTGAGCTGGAGTTACATTCAGTTTGTCATTGGGAATGTATTCATGTGGTTTGTAGTCACATTAGCATATTGTTAAATATTTAAACAGCTTGTCTGGTGGAGAGATTGCTTCTAGGAAAGCTTTTCCCATGCTCTATGCTGACTCACCTATCATCCTGTCTGCAATGTCAGGTCATGATGTTAAAGTTTCCCTAAAGAACCTGGAAATATGTGGGTAGTGAAGGAGGAATGAGGTTTGAACTATACAGTGCCAGAGTTAGTCTACTGAAAATTCTTCCAATCATCAGACTTGAGAAGTGATAAAACAAGCACTCAATTCTCATTCAAATATTCACATATGATCAACATATAAATTCTCTTAAGAAAACTCAGTATAAAAACAATCAAAAAATATTTTTTCTTTTTTGTTGGCAAGCTGGGAAATGAAATTGATCACGAAGCTCATACTTATTAAGCTCAACCATGAAATAGTACTAACATGAGCAAGTATGTCTATAAGTCAATTTATATGCCTTACACAGCCCAACTATTTGAAAAACAAAATGACCAACATAATGACTGATTTATCTATTTCCTCTATAGAGAAAATTATATTACAAAATTTTTATTATATGGCAAAGCCCTCAAGGAGTTTACAGAAAAAAAATTTAGAAAAAAAAACACTATAGAAGTGTAACATGCAGTCAGTTAATTAAGAAAAGTATCATGACACAAGTGGATTTTGTGATGTTTGTGATTTTATCAGCTTTTTAAAATTTGTAATGTTATAATTTTTTTCTCATTCTAAATACTCATGTTCACACATAATTATATTTTATTTTTGTTACATCATTTGTCTTTCAAACACCACCCACCAAAGTTTATAAAAACTTTAGGATCCACAAAGCTTGGATCTGCCTTAAACATAAGCAGTTTTTTACAACTACTTCAAGCCTCATCATTAGAACTTGTCACTAGCTGCAAAGACAAGCTCCTTCAAACAGCCAGAGCAGTGGAAGTTAATAAAGCTGAATCTTTAAATATAATCAGAATATTTTCTAGGACTGCAAAATAGTTCCAAATATTCTATATATAAAATCAGTGGGTAAAACATTATTTCATTCATACTTGCTATGCAGTACTAAAGATAAAAACTATTTTAGCAAAATGTATCATAAAATATTTGTTCCAAATACAGTCGATCTTTATTTTGTGTCATCTTATATACTGTTTAATAATATTTACCGTCTAGTAACAGAAAGTATAATTGTATGCAAATTTTCAGAACAATTAATTTCTAGTATCATATAACTTTCATTAAATGCATAGTAAAATATTTATCATGGTGTTCTTAAGACATATATATTCCTATTTTTAAATTTTGTTTATATTCAATCATTCCCAGGAGATAAACACAAAAGTTCAATAAATAAGCATGCAGAGTAACCAAAAATATACCTTTTTTAATACTTGTTGCTTCCCAAATAATCTCATTTATTTATGCATTATATTGCATTTTTATCATTTAAGTAATAAGTAACATAGTTTATTTTGATTTGTAACATAAAAAGAAGACTTAAATTTTATTAAATTTTTAGAATTTTATCTAAACCATTTTAAATACACCATTACATAAGACTTGTTAAATAATTTCTTTCTGTACTTTTAAACATAATCTTTCTCAAAAAACATTTTAATGTGCTTACTTGAAATATAAAATGAAGGAAGATTTTTCAGACAGAAAGTAAATAATTTTCTTACTAACTTCGCTATAAGCTAAGTTAAATAGCTTAGATATTTTCCATAAATAGAAAGAGCTAAATTCAAAGCCCAAGGTTTTGACAAAGTTATTTTCAAAGTTTCCACAATTGGGATTCTCCAGAAGCAGGTAAAATCTAGGATGCAAAATGTTTTACTTTTAATCAATAAAAGTGGAAAAGAGGTGGTGGAAACAAGACTGGGCCCGGGAAGAAGCTGAACTGTGATGAAAGTCCAACATTGCCTAAGGCCGTTTTGGAGCAAGAAGTGTCTGCCAAAGTTGAGAGGTCTTAACCCCCTTCCCTGGCTCAGGACCAGATGTGGGCTGCCCTGGGAAGGATGTGTCCTTCAGGCAGGTGGCTCGCTGCAGCTAAGGCAGATCCTGATGGGGCTGGGAGCTGGAGGGGCTGTGCTGATCACACTTCCCAAGGCTGGGCAGCAAGTCCTTCCTTAAAGAAATTGTGAATCTCTATGTCCATCACAAAAAGCACATGGCAAAATAAATGCATTTTATCAAATAGAAAACAAGTTTTTGCAAAGATGTTAGCAAAAATATGAACAATAAAATTCCATTTTCCCAATTGATTATGGGCACGTTTGATGAAACAAGGTACCTCTTGTGAAAGACACACAGAAATGATTAATAGTCATTTGGTAAATCTTAGGAAAGTCTTTTCGGTATAGAATAACAAATCCTTTTATAAGTCAGAAAGCTCCTAACTTTTTCTTTCAATGACAGAGAACCTAATTGAGTCAATAGCTCAATTAGGTTGAGTCAATCTCCAGAAATACTTATATAATAGAGCACTATTTGGCTATAGATTTATGATGTGAAAGAAGTTCAAAGATTTGAATGAAATTACTACAGCAAAACCTTTTTTCTTCCCTCTACTTACTTATGGGGACAAGATCACTAGTGATTTCATCTATAAAGATATCAAATAGGATTCCACATTATTTTTTGAAATCTATCAGTCAATCACATGCATCACTGAATACAGAAAATACATTCTTGAAAATTCTCATTTGTGTATGAAATCATACTTGGCCAACAGTTTTTTACTATTTAATCTATGGTGTTTGGATCAAATGTTTATTAATAACAATTGTAATGACCCCTAAGACAGAATACTTTTTTTTTTAACATGTAGTGCCTTGTGGTCAAAAGATTTTTAAAAGTACCTTCTAAAATATGAGCTATACATGTTTATTGGTCTAAGAAAACTTTTCCATAAAAGTACATAATTTGGAAAGAAAGTCCAAAGGAGATGGTAATGGAAATATGAATTTAAGTTGAAATCATTAAGGGTAAAATGAAGAAATGTTAAAAACAGAGTTTGTTCATTTATTTAAATACATTATTGTGGGTATATGGTAATTATGGTCAGGTTCCATTTGACATATTTTAAGAATTAATATAGCAACTTTATTTTAAAATATTAGAGATGACAGAAACCATGTAGTATTTGCACATTTAATATCATAATGAAAAATTGGAGAGGTCAACTCATATATATGAGAGAAGGTACGTCAATTTTCTAATTCCTTTAAGGGGTATTAGGAAGATCATCAATTGAGAGTCCTGGTTACATGGTGAGATGGATTCTTCACTATCTACTGTTGGCCTCATTAGCCCTTCTCTAGAGAAAAGGACCCTATGATGTCTGCGTCCATTAATTCCTAGTCTGGGAGGATCCACAATGACCAGAAAGATGGCATGACCACCCACCCCTTCACTTTAGGCTCTTTTGCTGAATCCTTACTCCCAGAGTCACAGTATGATGGATATAATCCTAAACCAGTCATGCATCAAATTCTGTTTAATTCACAGTAAAGAAAGAATTGTCTTCTACATAAATTTAAAACATGTATGAGATTCTGTCACTACCCTGTGTAAGTGCATTCAATGCTCTTTTTCTCTTTGAATTAAATCTGAAGCAGGCAAAATAATGGCTTCCCATAACCTAATCCCTGGAACCTGTGAATCTATGTCAGAGATCTTGCCGATTTGATTAAGTCATAAAGTTTAAAATAGGGAGATTATTCCGGGTTGTCTGAGTTGAACCAATCTAATCACAGGAGCCCTTAAAAGCAGAGACATTTTTTCAGCCAGAAGCAGAAAGAGATGCAGCAGGAGAACTCAGAGATTACAACTGTGAGTGGGATGTATGGGTCATGGCTGTTTCTGAGATATACGAACACAAGTACAAAGACCAGACAGAGGCCTCCAAGTATAAAGGGCTTCACCTAGCTAATAGCCACCAAGAAAAGGGGAGTTTGACCCTACAACTGAATGAAACTGAATTTTTTTTTTCATTTTCTTATTATTATACTTTAAGTTTTAGGGTACATGTGCACAACGTACAGGTTTGTTACATATGTATACATGTGACATGTTGGTGTGCTGCACCCATTAACTCGTCATTGAGCATTAGGTATACCTCCTAATGCTATACCTCCCCCCTACCCCCACCCCACAACAGTCCCAAGTGTGTGATGTACCACTTCTTGTGTCCATGTGTTCTCATTGTTCAATTCCTACCTATGAGTGAGAACATACGGTGTTTGGTTTTTTGTCCTTGCAATAGTTTGCTGAGAATGATGGTTTCCAGTTTCATCCATGTCCCTACAAACGACATGAACTCATCATTTTTTATGGCTGCATACTATTCCGTGGTGTATATGTGCCACATTTTCTTAATCCAGTCTATCGTTGTTGGACATATAGGTTGGTTCCAAGTCTTTGCTATTGTGAATAGTGCCACTATAAACATACATGTGCATGTGTCTTTATAGCAGCATGATTTATAATCTTTGGGTATATACCCAGTAATGGGATGGCTGGGTCAAATGGTATTTCTAGTTCTAGATCCCTGAGGAATCGCCACAATGACTTCCACAATGGTTGAACTAGTTTACAGTCCCACCAACAGTATAAAAGTGTTCCTATTTCTCCACATCCTCTCCAGCACCTGTTGTTTCCTGACTTTTTAATGATCACCATTCTAACTGGTGTGAGATGGTATCTCATTGTGGTTTTGATTTGCATTTCTCTGATGGCCAGTGATGATGAGCATTTTTTCATGTGTTTTTTGGAGGCATAAATGTCTTCTTTTGAGATGTGTCTGTTCATATCCTTTGCCCACTTTTTGATGGGGTTGTTTTTTTCTTGTAAATTTGTTTGAGTTCATTGTAGATTCTGGATATTAGCCCTTTGTCAGATGAGTAGGTTGCAAAAATTTTCTCCCATTCTGTAGGTTGCCTCTTCACTCTGATGGTAGTTTCTTTTGCTGTGCAGAAGCTCTTTAGTTTAATTAGATCCCATTTGTCAATTTTGGCTTTTGTTGCCATTGCTTTTGGTGTTTTAGACATGAAGTCCTTGCCCATGCCTATGTCCTGAATGGTAATGCCTAGGTTTTCTTCTAGGATTTTTATGGTTTTAGGTCTAACATTTAAGTCTTTAATCCATATTGAATTAATTTTTGTATAAGGTATAAGGAAGGGATCCAGTTTCAGCTTTCTACATATGGCTAGCCAGTTTTCCCAGCACCATTTATTAAATAGGGAATCCTTTCCCCATTTCTTGTTTTTGTCAGGCTTGTCAAAGATCAGATAGTTGTAGATATGCAGCATTATTTCTGAGGGCTCTGTTCTGTTCCATTGGTCTATATCTCTGCTTTGGTAGCAGTACCATGCTGTTTTGATTACTATAGCCTGGTAGCATAGTTTGAAGTCAGGTAGCGTGATGCCTCCAGCTTTGTTCTTTTGGCTTAGGATTGACTTGGCGATGCAGGCTCTTTTTTGGTCCCATATGAACTTTAAAGTAGTTTTTTCCAATTCTGTGAAGAAAGTCATTGGTATCTTGATGGGGATGGCATTTAATCTATAAATTACCTTGGGCAGTATGGCCATTTTCACGATATTGATTCTTCCTACCCATGGGCATGGAATGTTCTTCCATTTGTTTGTATCCTCTTTTATTTCCTTGAGCAGTGGTTTGTAGTTCTCCTTGAAGAGGTCCTTCACATCCCTTGTAAGTTGGATTCCTAGGTATTTTATTCTCTTTGAAGCAATTGTGAATGGGAGTTCACTCATGATTTGGCTCTCTGTCTGTTTTTGGTGTATAAAAATGCTTGTGATTTTTGTACATTGATTTTGTGTCCTGAGACTTTGCTGAAGTTGCTTATCAGCTTAAGGAGATTTTGGGCTGAGACAATGGGGTTTTCTAGATATACAATCATGTCATCTGCAAACAGGGACAATTTGACTTCCTCTTTTCCTAATTGAATACCCTTTATTTCCTTCTCCTGCCTAATTGCCCTGGCCAGAACTTCCAACACTATGTTGAATAGGAGTGGTGAGAGAGGGCATCCCTGTCTTGTGCCAGTTTTCAAAGGGAATGCTTCCAGTTTTTGCCCATTCAGTATGATATTGGCTGTGGGTTTGTCATAGATAGCTCTTATTATTTTGAGATACATCCCATCAATACCTAATTTATTGAGAGTTTTTAGCATGAAGGGTTGTTGAATTTTGTCAAAGGCCTTTTCTGCATCTATTGAGATAATCACGTGGTTTTTGTCTTTGGTTCTATTTATATGTCGGATTACATTTATTAATTTGCGTATGTTGAACCAGGCTTGCATCACAGGGATGAAGCCCACTTAATCATGGTGAATAAGCTTTTTGATGTGCTGCTGGATTCAGTTTGCCAGTATTTTATTGAGGAATTTTGCATCAATGTTCATCAAGGATATTGGTCTAAAATTCTCTTTTTTGGTTTTGTCTCTGCCAGGCTTTGGTATGAGGATGATGCTGGCCTCATAAAATGAGTTAGGGAGGATTCCCTCTTTTTCTATTGACTGGAATTGTTTCAGAAGGAATGGTACCAGCTCCTCCTTCTACCTCTGGTAGAATTCGGCTGTGAATCCATCTGGTCCTGGACTCTTTTTGGTTGGTAAGCTATTGATTATTGACTCAATTTCAGAGCCTGTTATTGGTCTATTCAGAGATTCAACTTCTTCCTGGTTTAGTCTTGGGAGGATGTATGTGTCAAGGAATTGATCCATTTCTTCTAGATTTTCTAGTTTATTTGTGTAGAGGTGTTTATAGTATTCTCTGATGGTAGTTTGAATTTCTGTGGTATTGGTGGTGATATCCCCTTTATCAATCATTTTTTATTGTGTCTATTTGATTCTTCTCTATTTTCTTCTTTATTAGTCTTGCTAGCAGTCTATCAATTTTGTTGATCTTTTCAAAAAACCAGCTCCTGGATTCGTTAATTTTTTGAAGGGTTTCTTGTGTCTCTATTTCCTTCAGTTCTGCTCTGACCTTAGTTATTTCTTGCCTTCTGCTAGCTGTTGAATGTGTTTGCTCTTGCTTTTCTAGTTTTCTA
This sequence comes from Homo sapiens, assembly GCF_000001405.40. Lineage (NCBI taxonomy): Eukaryota > Metazoa > Chordata > Mammalia > Primates > Hominidae > Homo > Homo sapiens. Next base: position 87,416,630 of record NC_000014.9, read on the forward strand.
ATTGTGATGTTAGGGTGTCAATTTTGGATATTTCCTGCCTTCTCTTGTGGGCATTTAGTGCTATAAATTTCCCTCTACACACTGCTTTGAATGTGTCCCAGAGATTCTGGTATGTTTTGTCTTTGTTCTCATTGGTTTCAAAGAACATCTTTATTTCTGCCTTCATTTCGTTATTTACCCAGTAGTCATTCAGGAGCAGGTTGTTCAGTTTCCATGTGGTTGAGCGGTTTTGAGTGAGTTTCTTAATCCTGAGTTCTAGTTTGATTGCACTGTGGTCTGAGAGACAGTTTATTATAATTTCTGCTCTTTTACATATGCTGAAGAGTGCTTTACTTCCAACTATGTGGTCAATTTTTGAGTAGGTGTGGTGTGGTGCTGAAAAGAATGTATATTCTGTTGATTTTGGGTGGAGAGTTCTGTAGATGTCTATTAGGTCCGCTTGGTGCAGAGCTGAGTTCAATTCCTGGGTATCCTTGTTAACTTTCTGTCTCGTTGATCTGTCTAATGTTGACAGTGGGGTGTTAAAGTCTCCCATTATTATTGTGTGGGAGTCTAAGTCTCTTTGTAGGTCACTCAGGACTTGCTTTATGAATCTGTAAATATGCACCTGTATTGGGTGCATATATATTTAGGATAGTTAGCTCTTCTTGCTGAATTGATCCCTTTACCATTATGTAATGGCCTTCTTTGTCTGTTTGGATCTTTGTTGGTTTAATGTCTGTTTCATCAGAGACTAGGATTGCAACCCCTGTCTTCTTTTTTGTTTTCCATTTGCTTGGTAGATCTTCCTCCATCACTATATTTTGAGCCTATGTGTGTCTCTGCACATGAGATGGGTTTCCTGAATACAGGACACTGATGGGTCTTGACTCTTTATCCAATTTGCCAGTCTGTGCCTTTCAATTGGAGCATTTAGCCCATTTACATTTAAAGTTAATATTGTTGTATATGAATTTGATACTGTCATTATGATGTTAGCTGGTTATTTTGCTTGTTAGTTGATGCAGTTTATTCCTAGCCTTGATGGTCTTTACAATTTGGCATGTTTTTGCAGTGGCTGGTACTGGTTGTTCCTTTCCAGGTTTAGTGCTTCCTTCAGGAGCTCTTCTAGGGCAGGCCTGGTGGTGACAAAATCTCTCAGCATTTGCTTGTCTGTAAAGTATTTTATCTCTCCTTCACTTATGAAGCTTAGTTTGGCTGGATATGAGATTCTGGGTTGAAAATTCTTTTCTTTAAGAATGTTGAACATTGGTCCTCACTCTCTTCTGGCTTGTAGAGTTTCTGTTGAGAGATCAGCTGTTAGTCTGATGGGCTTCCCTTTGTGGGTAACCCGACCTTTCTCTCTGGCTGCCCTTAACATTTTTTCCTTCATTTCAACTTTGGTGAATCTGACAATTATGTGTCTTGGAGTTGCTCTTCTCAAGGAGTATCTTTGTGGCATTCTCTGTATTTCCTGAATTTGAATGTTGGCCTGCCTTGCTAGATTGGGTAAGTTCTCCTGGATAATATCCTGCAGAGTGTTTTCCAACTTGGTTCCATTCTCCCCGTCACTTTCAGGTACACCAATGAGACGTAGATTTGGTCTTTTCACATAGTCCCATATTTCTTGGAGGCTTTGTTCGTTTCTTTTTATTCTTTTTTCTCTAAACTTCCCTTCTCGCTTCATTTCATTCATTTCGTCTTCCATCACTGATACCCTTTCTTCCAGTTGATTGCATCAGCTACTGAAGCTTCTGCATTCGTCAAGTAGCTCTCATGCCTTGGTTTTCAGCTCCATCAGGTCCTTTAAGGACTTCTCTGCATTGGTTATTCTAGTTATCCATTCATCTGATTTTTTTTCAAAGCCTTTAACTTCTTTGCCATTGGTTCAAATTTCCTCCTGTAGCTCAGAGTAGTTTGATCATCTGAAGCCTTCTCTCAACTCATCAAAGTCATTCCCCATCCAGCTTTGTTCAGTTGCTGGTGAGGAGCTGCGTTCCTTTGGAGGAGGAGAGGCACTCTGATTTTTAGAGTTTTCAGTTTTTCTGCTCTGTTTTTTTTCCCATCTTTGTGGTTTTATCTACTTTTGGTCTTTGATGATGGTGATGTACAGATGGGTTTTTGGTGTGGATGTCCTTTCTGTTTGTTAGTTTTCCTTCTAACAGTCAGGACCCTCAGCTGCAGGTCTGTTGGAGTTTACTTGAGGTCCACTCCAGACTCTGTTTGCCTGGGTATCAGCAGCAGTGGCTGCAGAACAGCAGATATTGGTGAACTGCAAATGCTGCTGCCTGATCCTTCCTCTGGAAGTTTTGTCTCAGAGGAGTACCCATCCGTGTGAGGTGTCAGTCCGCCCCTACTGGGAGGTTCCTCCCAGTTAGGCTACTCGGAGGTCAGGGACCCACTTGAGAAGGCAGTCTGCCTGTTCTCAGATCTCAAGCTGTGTGCTCGGAGAACCGCTGCTCCCTTCAAGGCTGTCAGAGAGGGACATCTAAGTCTGCAGAGGTTACTGCCGTCTTTTTGTTTGTCTGTGCCCTGCTCCCAGAGGTGGATCCTACAGAGGCAGGCAGGCAGGCCTCCTTGAGCTGTGGTGGGCTCCACCAAGTTAGAGCTTCCCAGCCACTTTGTTTACCTAATCAAACAACTAACTCAGCAATGGTGGGTGCCCCTCCCCCAGCCTCGCTGCCGCCTTGTAGTTTGATCTCAGACTGCTGTGCTAGCAATGAGCGAGACTCCGTGGGCAAAGGACCCTCCAAGCCAGGTGCGGGATATAATCTCCTGGTGTGCCGTTTTTTAAGCCCGTTGGAAAAGCACAGTATTAGTGTGGGAGTGACCCGATTTTCCAGGTGCCGTCTGTCACCGCTTTCTTTGACTAGGAAAGGGAATTCCCTGACCCCTTGAGCTTCCCGGGTGAGGTGATGTCTTGCCCTGCTTCGGCTCACGCACGGTACACTTCACCTACTGTCCTGCACCTACTGTCTGGCACTCCCCAGTGAGATGAACCCAGTACCTCAGTTTGAAATGCAGAAATCACCCGTCTTCTGCATTGCTCATGCTGGGAGCCGTAGACCGGAGCTGTTCCTATTCGGCCATTTTCTTAACTGAATTCTTACAACAACCTGAATGAGTTTAGATGGAGATTATTCCTCAGGGCCTACCATAAAATCCCAGCAAGTCAACTCATTGACTTTGGCTTTGTAAATCCAGAGCAGAGGATCAAGCTGACCTGCGCCGTGTCTAAGTATCTGACCCATTGAAAATGTTAGATAATGCATGGGTGTTAGATAATGAACAGGTATTGTATTAAGCTGCTCAATTGCCGCTAATCTATTATACAACTATAGGAAACTGATGCGAAATCCAAATTGTCTGCAGAGCCCTGCACCACCTGGCTCTTGCCTACCTCTCTACTTCATCTTCTGCCACAGGCTCCTTGTGATGGGATGTCACTTGTTTCTTCATTCTGGGAATTGCCTTCTGAATTCCCAGAATTACCCACACCTTATCTCCCCAAGGATGTTTACATTTAATATTCTCCTTTGCTATCTGGAATGTGCCACTCCCATACTTTCAGATGGCTCATTCCTTCTCATACTAAATACTCCTTCCCCCTCCCTCAGGAGAGCATCCCTCTCTGCCCTGCCTAATGTAGAGCATTTCTTCAACACTAGATTATAAGCTTCTGAGAGAAGGGCCTATACCTAGATCATAACAAGTGAGTAACAAAATAATTGGTATGTAATCAGTAATAAATAAATATTTCCTAAACAAGCAAATGAATAAAACAGTAAACTACACTCTCTGTGAAATTCATGACAGCTTTAGTCTCTTGAGAAAAAGGAATTACTAGCAGAGCATATGAGGCACATCTTAGTATGGCAATAATTTCACCCGCCTTTTCTCCTGTAATTATTTTTGTTTGCACAAAGGAACAAACCAATCTTGATATATATGCTTATAAGATTTTTAAGTTTATGAAGCATTTTTTGAAATAATTAAAGTTGATTATTCTTTAAGATTCTTACTAAGGTCTCATGGAAATAAGACTAATATATTAGCCCCAGTTAATATGAGGACATAAAACATGCACTATGTATGTGAGGACATAAAACACGCACTAAATTACAGCAGTGAATAGATTATAAAGATGCTTTGATTTCTTTTTTTAAATATATAATGATTGATTGTCCATATTTCTGGGCTATATGTGACATTTTGATAAATGTTCATGGGGGTAAAACAATGGTTACCAAAGACTGGGAAGGGTAGCAGTGAGGGGAAGGATAAACAGAAGTTGGTTAATGACTACAAAAGTAGTTATATATAGAAGGAATAAGTTCTAGTGTTCCACCCCATCCACAGTGGGGTGACTATAGATAACAATAATTTGTTGTATGTATCAAAATAACCATAAGAGTGGAACTGGAATGTTCCTAATAAAAAGAAATGATACATGTTTGAGGTGATGAATATGCCAATTACCAGGATGCTCTGATTTCTTTTCCTCTTTTTCTCCCAACCTCAAGAACTGCAAATGCCTTTGAGGGCCAGGAGAGTCCTGTAAGTGGTCTGAGTGTAAGGCAATAAGAATCATGAGAACTGCATTATTCTGGAAAGTGAATATCCTGTCTAAAGACATTCAGAGGCAACTTTCAAATAAAAGTGCTTTGTTGCAAGTCATGTGCTTCAGTATATTTCAGCTTCATGGAAATTTTCCAGTTCCATATTCAAGTTTCCATTCTGTTTCGTAGGTAGTAACTTAAATTTTTATGTTGATTAAAATAATGGAAATAGAGAAATAAAATTAGATAGTATAGATTTTAAGCACCTAGACTGCCAAAAGAACTTCACAATACCTTGCTCTTTTAATCATAATAAAACGTAAATCTTAAGGAAAAAGCATGTATTTTGTCAAGAGCAAAGAATGAGAGAGAGAGAGAGAGACTTAGTCTGAGACCCAAAGTCTAAGAATTGGGGACACCAGTGTCTGAGGGCATGAGGAGATGGGTGTCCCAGCTCAAGCAGAGAGAGCAAATGTACCTTAATCCACAGTTTTATTCTATTTGGGTCCTCAAGGGATTGCATGGTGCCTAGCCACATTGGTAAGTACAGATCTTATTTACTCAGTCTACTGATTCAAATGTTAATCTCTTCTGGAAACGTCCTTACAGACTCCCAGAAATAATGTTTTACCAGCTATCAGGGTGTCCCTTAGCCAAATCAAGTTCATATATGAAATTAACCATCAAAAGATCCTTCTCAGAGAATGTATTTTATGTAATGTCCTGCAATTCTCTTTGATATGTATCATTTCTAAAAGGCCAATTACTACACGAGATATTAATAAGAAACCATTAGAAGAATACATGTCATTGTTCTGACGTACATTTGCATACTTGGAAAAAGAAAAATTTTGTTAACATTTTTCCCCATAACACAGTTAGTTAACCTTATACAGGATACTAGTGTTCACAGAACACAAATAGAAATTTGGTGGATTGGACAAGAGTTTTGTCTCTCCAGAATCTGTGAGTATCATTAATCTTTTGTTGATAAAATAATTCTTCTTCTGTATAAATCATAGTTGGGACAGAGAGCATTGCAGCCCAAGGTCCATATCTTACTTTCTAGAATGACCCAGGAACACTTTCCCTTCCTGGGACCAGGCCTAGCCTGCACTCTCCTTGTGCACAATGGTCATCTGGGAAAAAATTTCTCCTATGTCACCCACATAATCTTTCCATATTCCTTCCATTAAACTCTCTCACATAATCAGGTAATGTAAAAATTTCTTATTGTCATTTATTTCTTATTAATAATTAAAATTAACATTTGTGGAGTTTAGAAAGCATTTTAACTGTGTGTGTAATTTAGAAAGCATTTTAAGAGAATGCTTTTACATTTCGTTGACAGCCTGTCAGAGTGGAGTGAAGAAGATACAGAAATATTCCCTGACTCTCTGATGTCTGTGTTCCCTGAACCCAACACAAAACCAAGTACATCACAGGGTTTTATTTATCACCTACTTGTAGAAGTCTTACATGTGCTTATCTCCCTTCTAGAACTTTCCTCTGAGATCTACCTCATAGTCCCAGATGCTTACTTGATATGGTTCCCAACACAGTTTTCATCCCCACCAGACCTGTTGCCCCGTATGTTTTCCTTAGTTGGGGAGTGGCATGAACAGAAGTCATTATTGGTGCCTTTCTCTCCTTCCACCTCATATCCAATCTATCTTTTGGTTCTGTTGATTTTGCCTCCTCAATATTTCTTAAATTAATTTACTTCTTTTCTTTCTAACTCCCACCACATGTTCTAAGATACGACCATCTTTTTTTCTGGACCACCAAAACTGCCTCCATATTGCTCTACCCACAGCAACATGTACTTCAAAGTACTGAAGTTACTTGTAGCCACATGACTTGTCATCATCCCAGTTCCTGTAGAAATAGTGGAACCTGGCAGGTACCATGGGTGGTACCTCCTGTGAGAGCTTTGTAGGACTGAAATACAAGCACACTGGGCTTATGTATTATCTTTTTGGAAGTGCAGGTATGTACTCCTCATCCCTCACTCCCCATAACATTCTGCCCCAAATCCATTTTTTTAGGATGCTGATGTCTATAATTAACCACTTGCAGCCCATTTCTTTTGCTTAAGATTTGTTTTTACAAGAATAAATAAATTCATTAAAAAGGAGCAATTTAGGGAGGAGCCAAGATGGCCGAATAGGAACAGCTCCGGTCTACAGCTCCCAGCGTGAGCAACGCAGAAGACGGGTGATTTCTGCATTTCCATCTGAGGTACTGGATTCATCTCACTAGGGAGTGCCAGAGAGTGGGCACAGGTCAGTGGGTGCATGCAGTGTGCGCGAGCTGAAGCAGGGCAAGGCATTGCCTCACTGGAGAAGCTCAAGGGGTCAGGGAGTTCCCTTTCCTAGTCAAAGAAAGTGGTGACAGACAGCACCTGGAAAATCCGGTCACTCCCACCAGAATACTGCCCTTTTCTGACAGGCTTAAAAAAGGGCCCACCAGGAGATTATATCCCGCACCTGGCTCGGAGGGTCTTACGCCCACGGAGTCCCACTGATTGCTAGCACAACAGTCTGAGATCAAACTGCAAGGCAGCAGCGAGGCTGGGGGAGGGGCGCCCACCATTGCCCAGGCTTGCTTAGATAAACAAAGCAGCCAGGAAGCTCGAACTGGGTGGAGCCCACCACAGCTCAAGGAGGCCTGCCTGCCTCTGTAGGCTCCACCTCTGGGGGCAGGGCACAGACAAACAAAAAGACAGCAGTAACCTCTGCAGACTTAAATGTCCCTGTCTGACAGCTTTGAAGAGAGCAGTGGTTCTCCCAGCACGCAGCTGGAGATCTGAGAACGGGCAGACTGCCTCCTCAAGTGGGTCCCTGACCCCCAAGCAGCCTAACTGGGAGGCACCCCCCAGCAGGGGCAGACTGACACCTCACACGGCTGGGTACTCCAACAGACCTGCAGCTGAGGGTCCTGTCCGTTAGAAGGAAAACTAACAAACAGAAAGGACATCCACACCAAAAACCCATCTGTACATCACCATCATCAAAGACCAAAAGTAGATAAAACCACAAAGATGGGGAAAAAACAGAGCAGAAAAACTGGAAACTCTAAAAAGCAGAGCGCCTCTCCTCCTCCAAAGGAACATAGTTTCTCACCAGCAATGGAACAAAGCTGGACAGAGAATGACGAGCTGAGAGAAGAAGGCTTCAGACGATCAAATTACTCCAAGCTATGGGAGGAAATTCAAAGGCAAAGAAGTTGAAAACTTTGAAAAAAATTTAGAAGAATGTATAACTAGAATAACCAATACAGAGAAGTGCTTAAAGGAGCTGAAAACCAAGGCTCGAGAACTACGCGAAGAATGCAGAAGCCTCAGGAGCCGATGCGATCAACTGGAAGAAAGGGTATCAGCAATGGAAGATGAAATGAATGAAATGAAGCGAGAAGGGAAGTTTAGAGAAAAAAGAATAAAAAGAAACGAACAAAGCCTCCAAGAAATATGGGACTATGTGAAAAGACCAAATCTACGTCTCATTGGTGTACCTGAAAGTGACGGGGAGAATGGAACCAAGTTGGAAAACACTCTGCAGGATATTATCCAGGAGAACTTCCCCAATCTAGCAAGGCAGGCCAACATTCGGATTCAGAAAATACAGAGAATGCCACAAAGATACTCCTCGAGAAGAGCAACTCCAAGACACATAATTGTCAGATTCACCAAAGTTGAAATGAAGGAAAAAATGTTAAGGGCAGCCAGAGAGAAAGGTCGGGTTACCCTCAAAGGGAAGCCCATCAGACTAACAGCAGATCTCTCTGCAAAAACTCTACAAGCCAGAAGAGAGAGGGGGCCAATATTCAACACTCTTAAAGAATTTTCAACCCAGAATTTCATATCCAGCCAAACTAAGCTTCATAAGTGAAGGAGAAATAAAATACTTCACAGACAAGGAAATGCTGAGAGATTATGTCACCACGAGGCCTGCCCTAAAAGAGCTCCTGAAGGAAGCGCTAAACATGGAAAGGAATAACCGGTAACAGCCGCTGGAAAATCATGCCAAAATGTAAAGATCATCGAGACTAGGAATAAACTGCATCAACTAACAAGCAAAATAACCAGCTAACATCATAATGACAGGATCAAATTCACACATAACAATATTAACTTTAAATGTAAATCTAAATGCTACAATTAAAAGACACAGACTGGCAAATCGGACAAAGAGTCAAGACCCATCAGTGTGCTGTATTCAGGAAACCCATCTCACGGGCAGAGACACACATAGGCTCAAAATAAAAGGATGGAGGAAGATCTACCAAGCAAATGGAAAACAAAAAAAGGCAGGGGTTGCAATCCTAGTCTCTGATAAAACAGACTTTAAACCAACAAAGATCAAAAGAGACAAAGAAGGCCATTACATAATGGTAAAGGGATCAATTCAACAAGAAGAGCTAACTATCCTAAATATATATGCACCCAATACAGAGGCACCCAGATTCATAAAGCAAGTCCTTAGAGACCTACAAAGAGACTTAGACTCCCACACAATAATAATGGGAAACTTTAACACCCCAATGTCAACATTAGACAGATCACTGAGACAGAAAGTCAGCAAGGATACCCAGGAATTGAGCTCAGCTCTGCACCAAGCAGACCTAATAGACATCTACAGAACTCTCCACCCCAAATTAACAGAATATACATTTTTTTCAGCACTACATCACACCTATTCCAAAATTGATCACATACTTGGAATTAAAGCTCTCCTCAGCAAATGTAAAAGAACAGAAATTATAACAAACTGTCTCTCAGACCACAGTGCAATCAAACTAGAACTCAGGATTAAGAATCTCACTCAAAACCACTTAACTACATGGAAACTGAACAACTCCTCCTGAATGACTACTGGGTAAATAACGAAATGAAGGCAGAAATAAAGATGTTCTTTGAAACCAATGAGAACAAAGACACAACATACCAGAATCTCTGGGATGCATTCAAAGCAGTTTGTAGAAGGGAATTTATAGCACTAAATGCCTACAAGAGAAAGCAGGAAAGATCCAAAATTGACACCCTAACATCACAATTAAAAGAACTAGAAAAGCAAGAGCAAACACATTCAAAAGCTACCAGAAGGCAAGAAATAACTAAAATCTGAGCAGAACTGAAGGAAATAGAGACACAAAAAACCCTTCAAAAAATTAATGAATCCAGGAGCTAGTTTTTTGAAAGCATCAACAAAATTGATAGACCACAAGACTAATAAAGAAAAAAAGAGAGAAGAATCAAATAGACACAATAAAAAATGATAAAGGGGATATCACCACTGATCCCACAGAAATACAAACTACCATCAGAGAATACTACAAACACCTCTATGCAAATAAACTAGGAAATCTAGAAGAAATGGATAAATTCCTCAACACATACACTCTCCCAAGACTAAACCAGGAAGAAGCTGAATCTCTGAATAGACCAATAACAGGAGCTGAAATTGTGGCAATAATCAATAGCTTACCAACCAAAAAGAGTCCAGGACCAGATGGATTCACAGCCGAATTCTACCAGAGGTACAAAGAGGAACTGGTACCATTCCTTCTGAAACTATTCCAATCAATAGAAAAAGAGGGAATCCTCCCTAACTCATTTTATGAGGCCAGCATCATCTTCTTACCAAAGCCAGGCAGAGACAAAACCAAAAAAGAGAATTTTAGACCAATATCCTTGATGAACATTGATGCAAAAATCCTCAATAAAATACTGGCAAACCGAATCCAGCAGCACATCAAAAAGCTTATCCACCATGATCAAGTGGGCTTCATCCCTGGGATGCAAGGCTGGTTCAATAAATGTAATCCAGCATATAAACAGAACCAAAGACAAAAACCATATGATTTTCTCAATAGATGCAGAAAAGGCCTTTGACAAAATTCAACAACCCTTCACGCTAAAAACTCTCAATAAACTAGGTATTGATGGGATGTATCTCAAAATAATAAGAGCTATCTATGACAAACCCACAGCCAATATCATACTGAATGGGAAAAAACTGGAAGCATTCCCTTTGAAAACTGGCACAAGACAGGGATGCCCTCTCTCACCACTCCTATTCAACATAGTGTTGGAAGTTCTGGCCAGGGCAATTAGGCAGGAGGAAATAAAGGGTATTCAATTAGGAAAAGAGGAAGTCAAATTGTCCCTGTTTGCAGATGACATGATTGTATATCTAGAAAACCCCATTGTCTCAGCCCAAAATCTCCTTAAGCTGATAAACAACTTCAGCAAAGTCTCAGGATACAAAATCAATGTACAAAAATCACAAGCATTCTTACACACCAACAACAGACAAACAGAGAGCCAAATCATGAGTGAACTCCCATTCACAATTGCTTCAAAGAGAATAAAATACCTAGGAATCCAACTTACAAGGGATGTGAAGGACCTCTTCAAGGAGAACTACAAACCACTGCTCAATGAAATAAAAGAGGATACAAACACATGGAAGAACATTCCATGCTCATGGGTAGGAAGAATCAATATCGTGGAAATGGCCATACTGCCCAAGGTAATTTATAGATTCAATGCCATCCCCATCAAGCTACCAATGACTTTCTTCACAGAATTGGAAAAAACTACTTTAAAGTTCATATGGAACGAAAAAAGAGCCCGCATCGCCAAATCAATCCTAAGCCAAAAGAACAAAGTTGGAGGCATCACGCTACCTGACTTCAAACTATACTACAAGGCTACAGTAACCAAAACAGCATGGTACTGGTACCAAAACAGAGATATAGATCAATGGAACAGAACAGAGCCCTCAGAAATAATGCTGCATATCTACAACTATCTGATCTTTGACAAACCTGAAAAAAACAAGCAATGGGGAAAGGATTCCCTATTTAATAAATGGTGCTGGGATAACTGGCTAGCCATATGTAGAAAGCTGAAACTGGATCCCTTCCTTACACCTTATAAAAAAAATCAATTCAAGATGGATTAAAGACTTAAACCTTAGACCTAAAACCATAAAAACCCTAGAAGAAAACCTAGGCATTACCATTCAGGACATAGGCATGGGCAAGGACTTCATGTCTAAAACACCAAAAGCAATGCCAACAGAAGCCAAAATTGACAAATGGGATCTAATTAAACTAAAGAGCTTCTGCACAGCAAAAAAAAAAAAAAAAAAAAAAAAAAAAACCACCATCAGAGTGAACAGGCAACCTACAGAATGGGAGAAAATTTTTGCAACCTACTCATCTGACAAAGGGCTAATATCCAGAATCTACAATGAACTCAAACAAATTTACAAGAAAAAAACAAACAACCCCATCAAAAAGTGGGCAAAGGACATAAACAGACACTTCTCAAAAGAAGACATTTATGCAGCCAAAAAACACATGAAAAAATGCTCACCATCACTGGCCATCAGAGATATGCAAATCAAAGCCACAATGAGATACCATCTTACACCAGTTAGAATGGCAACCATTAAAAAGTCAGGAAACAACAGGTGCTGGAGAGGATGTGGAGAAATAGGAACACTTTTACACTGTTGGTGGGACTGTAAACTAGTTCAACCATTGTGGAAGTCATTGTGGCGACTCCTCAGGGATGTAGAACTAGAAATACCATTTGACCCAGCCATCCCATTACTGGGTATATACCCAAAGGACTATAAATCATGCTGCTATAAAGACACATGCACACGTATGTTTATTGCGGCATTATTCACAATAGCAAAGACTTGGAACCAACCCAAATGTCCAACAATGATAGACTGTTTTAAGAAAATGTGGCACATATACACCATGGAATACTATGCAGCCATAAAAAATGATGAGTTCATGTCCTTTGTAGGGACATGGATGAAATTGGAAATCATCATTCTCAGTAAACTATCGCAAGAACAAAAAACCATACACTGCATATTCTCACTCATAGGTGGGAATTGAACAATGAGAACACATGGACACAGGAAGGGGAACATCACACTCTGGTGACTGTTGTGGGGGGAAGGGGGAGGGATAGCATTGGGAGATATACCTGTTGCTAGATGGTGAGTTAGTGGGTGCAGTGCACCAGCATGGCACATGTATACATATGTAACTAACCTGCACATTGTGCACATGTACCCTAAAACTTAAAGTATAATAATAATAAATAAATAAAAGCAATTTAGCTTTTGTTAATAACTGATTCTTCAGAATCTACTTATTAATAACTTGTCATATATTTTTAAATTACTTTGATTTCGATCTAGATCTCCCACCTGGCTATGTGACTGTGATCAAGTCCTGCAATCATGCTAAGCCTCGGTTTTCTCAACTGAAAAATAGAGGCAATATTAGAACCTGCATTTTAGCTTGTTGAAAACTTTATAACTTTGAGAAAATATATTTAAAGCACTGAACAGAGTGCCTGCTACATAGTATGTGCCCAATTAATTTCATATTGGAAAAAATACATTTTATTTTTTTCTTTTCTTTTTCTTTCTTTCTTTTTTTCAGACAGAGTCTCACTCTGTTGCCCAGGCTGGAGTACAGTGGCGCGATCTAGGCTCACTGCAAGCTCCGCCTCCCAGGTTCATGCCATTCTCCTGCCTCAGCCTCCCGAGTAGCTGAGACTACAGGCTCCCGCCGCCACGCCCGGCTAATTTTTTTGTATTTTTAGTAGACACGGGGTTTCACCATGTTAGTCAGGATGGTCTCGATCTGCTGACCTCCTGATCCGCCCGCCTCCACCTCCCAAAGTGCTGAGATTACGAACATGAGCCACCACATCCGGCCAGAAAAAATATATTTTCTATTTGACTCACTTTTGTTTGTCACCCTTGAACACAGTGCCTGACACAAAAAAGGCACTCAAAATAATACAAGGATAACTATATGACTAAATTATATTATTATAAAAATTTCCTGACACTAGCTTTGCATAGAAAAATGATAATAAAGAAAACAGTGAACTTGATTGCAGCTGGAGAGTGTGCAAAAGAATCAAGGAGCAGAACAAAAAGCGTGAGACCACACACACCTGGGTGAAAAATATCATCAGGAATGCAGTGTCCTGTGTTGACTCTGAGCAGGATCTGTTCCCGTCATTTTCTTCTGTGCTGGATTTTCTCTCATTGTTTGTTTTGACACAAACAGGAGCAATATTGCAAGATAAATATTGTGCCATATAGCCAGACGGCTGTCAAATTTTTTAAAAAGACGGCTCTAAAGAATCCAGAGCCACCAACTCGTCAGCTCTGCAGAACAGGCAGCTTGATCATCACACTCCTCTCGTCACTCTCTGCATGCCTTTCTAATTTTATCAAGTTGTTTAGCTTAAGGGGAGAGGATAGGAAGACCATATTGTGTGTTACAGTGTGATGATTAATACTGAGTGTCAACTCGATTGTATTGAAGGATGCAAAGTATTGATCCTGAGTGTGTCTGTGAGGGTACCGCCAAAGGAGATTAACATTTGATGCAGTGGACTGGGAAAGGCAGACCCACCCTCAGTCTGGGTGGGCACCATCTAATCAGCTGCCAGTGCGGCCAGAATAAAAGCAGGCAGAAGAACGTGGAAAGACTCGACTGGTTTAGTCTTCTGGCCTCCATCTTTTTCCTGTGCTGGATGCTTCCTGGCCTCAAACATCAGACTCCAAGTTCTTCAGCTTTGGGACTCAGACTGGCTTCCTTGCTCATCAGCTTGCAGACAGTCTATTTTGAGACCTCACCTTGTGATCCTGTGAGTCAATACTCCTTAATAAACTCCCTGTTATATACACATCTGTCCTATTAGTTCTGACCTTCTAGAGATCCCTGACTAATATATACAGGAAGTGACTAATATGCTGAGCACACAGTGATAGCCCTCTTGTAATCTGCTAGCCATGTTGTCTCAGGCAGGGGTTATGGGTCAATAGTAGGGATCTGGGTTTATATGTTGGGCAATAGAAACAATACAAGTGATTTTTTTCATTGCCATGGCTTGAAAGCATGACACATTGCAAAACTTTTATGCAGTGTGTTGGAATCAACAGGGTTAGGTGCTTCCTGCATTAAATGGGAAATAGGAAAAAAATAGGATAGAAGAAAGTACATCTAAAATACAGAGCTGCTTTAAAAAAGTTTTGAAATTCTAAAACAAAAACCTGTTCCTCAGAGTGTGGCACATGGGCCAACTGCATCCGTGGGACGGTTAACTTTTATGTATCATCTTAACTGAGCCACAGGGTGCCCACATATTTAGGTAAACATTACCCATGGGTAAGACTTAAGTTGCGATTCATCCTGAGTAAAATTCCTCTCTAGCTGCAAAACTGTGAAACCAGAGGAGATTTTTGCTTCCAAAATACAAGACTGGAACAGGCATAGGAGACAGATGCCCACTCCAAAAAAGAGAAATGAGCAAGGAAGGAGAGATGATGGGTGTCAGGTCCGGAACCCAGCAAACGTTTCCTCCAGCTCCCTTCTTTTCTTCCTGTGCCCTCACCAGAATCACCACTTCCATTCATATTTCTAGCACGTTCTTTAACACTCTTCAGGATGCTACCTGTTGCCCAGGTTCAGAGCTGTCTCCACATTTTTACATATTTAGCAGAATCCTGTTTCTCTGTATCAAAATTTGTATTAGTCTGCTCTGGCTGCTATAACAAAATGCTTTAGACTTTTTTTGTTATTGGGATAGAATAAATATATTTATATATAAGAACATGAATTTTGGGAGGCTGGGGTGGAGTGCTATGAAATGAATTGTGTCTTCCCCAAATTCATACATTGAAACCCTAACCCCCAATGTCACTAGATAAGTGAAGCCTGTAGGAGATAATTAGGTTTGAGTGAAGTCTTCAGGGCAGGGCCGTAATCCAATAGGTCTGGTGTCCTTACGTGAGCTAGAGATAGTTTTCTTTCCACTTGCACATAGAGAAAAAGCCATGTGAGGACACAGCAAAAAGGCAGTCATCTGCAGGCCACGAAGAAATCCCTCACAGGGAAATGGAATAGACGTGCAGTTTATCTTCAACTTCCCAGCCTCCAGAATTGTGAGAAATAAATGTCTGTTGTTTAAGCCACCCAGTTTTGAGTATTTTGTTATGGCAGCCTGAACAGACTGACAATCGAATCGCTTTTTTGTTAACATACAAATTGCTGGGTCCCATCCCAGAAATATGTATCTGTATCTATGGGAATTGAACCCAGAAATCTATATTCTAACAATATCCCCAGGGGATTCTTTTTATACTTGAAAATTTAAAAAAATTATTAACACAGAGTACCTCTGACTTTAAAAAATGGAATAAGAAGAGAAACACTACAAGACAGAGGTTACCACATTTCTTCAGTTTAGTGTCCCAGAAAATTTTTAATGACCACAAGAAACATCTAAGGGTTTCACTTATTAAGTAGATACAAACAACCTAATAAGAATTTAATATCTTAAGAGCTTAGTAGCAGTTTGATAAAGTAGTCACAAAAAATGTTTCCTTCTTATTCACAATTACTGCCTAATGGTATTTATGTACCTGGGGACATTATACAATCTTTCAACCTTGGAATCAGTTTGGATGCCATCACTCTTCCTGTTACATGTTAGTTTTCACATGGCATTTGCTTTTTAGTGGCTGCAATCACCAAAAACACAGCTTCAAAAGAAACGATGTCATTGAAAGAATTTAACGTATGCTAATGTGGAAACTATGGATTACCTTGAGCTAGTGTTTTACTTGACATAGTGGTACTTGACATAGTGTCCGACAAATGTCAAGTACCACTATTTTCCTCAAATATTTAAACTATGCCAGCAACAACCCTATGAGTTCACTGGCATACCAGCATGCCTTGATACACAGTTTGGGAACCCACACTACAGACATTAAGTTGAGTTTTAGTCAATGAGAAGCATCGTACGGCCTTTACAAGTATAGTAAACATATATGCTCAGACGGCAATTCTTTAACTCTATGAAACCAACAGTGAACATCAACTGTCACTGTTCCTCACCTTTTCTGTCACAATTTTATAGAAACAGCCTCAATCCACTGGGCAGTACCAGAGGTCCCTGTAGATGACCCTGCAACTAGAATCATAGCTGATTGACATGGACTCAAAATATGGCAATTGGATTTTTTCTCTTCTGAATTTACAAATGAAAATAGTCACAGACTGAAGGTTAATGGAACTGGGGCAGTCATTTTTCTCATAGTCATAATATACAGGTGAAGGTGAAGGAACTGAAAGGATGAAAATAAGAGTGGAACCTCTCCTGGTTATACCTAACAAACTGCTTTCTAAAGGGTTTTTTTTTTTTTTTTTTTGGAGACAGAGTCTTGCTCTGTCACCCAGGCTGGAGTGCAGTCGCGCGATCTCAGCTCATTGCAAGCTCCGCCTCCCGGGTTCACGCCATTCTCCTGCCTCAGCCTCCTGAGTAGCTGGGACTACAGGTACCCGCCACCACGCCCAGCTAATTTTTTGCATTTTTAGTACTGACGGGGTTTCACCATGTTAGCCAGGATGGTCTCGATCTCCTGACCTCATGATCTACCCGCCTTGGCCTCCCAAAGGGCTGGGATTACAGGCGTGAGCCACCTTGCCCGGCCTCTAAAGTTTTATTTTCCATTGTCATACTGTGATCTCATTTAGAAGTTGCTAGTACATACCAGAAGAATGCTTTTACCTGTGTGGCATGATAAAGATTCCACTAACTTGGAAACTGGTTATTCTGACCACTATGAAATGTTGACTCTCAACTCCCCACAAAAGACTACCAAAGAAACCTGTGACTCAAGGAAACCAAAGTTTTAAACTCACAGCAGCAAAGGATAAAGTCACCTTGACAGATTCTCTATAGAGACAGAAAGAAGAATTTAGGGAAGAATATATATATGATTTTTGTTTTGGGCCAAAGTGGTTTAAGGCAGATCTTTCAAAGAGGGAAACTGGTTGAAATTGGGCAAAATTCATGACCTAATAGTTTAAAATTCATAAGCACAATGAGGTGAGGAATTGGAGACAATTCTTGATAAGGAAACTGTTGTCTGATAAGGAAGCTGTTTGACCAGATGAGTAAGCTATTTGCTCAGGTAATTTGGTTTGCAAGAATTTCCTGAAGCAGTGGGGTTATTTGTTAGCATACAGCTTTATTTTTATTTGTTAGTATACAGCTTTATCTTTCTTGGCAAGAATTTCCTGGTAAAACAGTTAAGACATGTTGACACAAGTGTCCTCAATCCTCAAAACTAGGCTTAAGAAAACAGTATTTCATAAAAATTGACTGAGGCGATAGATCTTGTGTTATGGACTGAGTTGTGTCTCCCTGTCAAATTCATATGTTGAAGCCCTAACCCCCAGTTCAACTGTGTTTGGAGATAGGGCCTTTAGGAAAATAATTAAGGTTGACTGAGGTCCGAAAGATGGGATCCTAATCTGTTAAGACTGGTGTCCTTATAAAAGAGAAAAGACACCAGAGAACTCTGTCTTTCTGCCTGGGCACAGACAAAAAGCCATTTGAGAACACAGGGAGAAGGTGGCTGTCTGAAAGCCAGGAATAGAGAAGCCAAAAGCCAACAGTGGGAGCACTGATCTTACAGCCACCAGAAAAAAATATTTTTGTTGTTTAAACCACCCATGCCTTGGTATTCTGTTATGGCAGCCTATGCAGATTAATGTACCCTGAGGATCAAAGGCAGATAGTGTTACTGCTATGAAATAGAGGAGGAGGAGTATGAATAGAACTCAGCATGAACTCTTGTTATAATAATCACTTAGACAAAACCTAACAAAGATTGCCATTATCCTGACAGACAGATCTACCAGGAACCACTTAAAAAGAAACGTAAGGGCTTTCTTACTAAGCAAGATTCACAATCAGTGCATTACCCATCAAAATAAGAGAAGAAAAAATAGGTGGAAGATAAAGGACATCATTAATTGGCTGCAAGAATAAGAATGATAGCCTATGTTCTATCCTTGCTTGTTATATTACTTGGTCAGGTAAGTCTTCTCCAAAACTCATCTTGTTTTAATGTGATCTCATTATGTAATGTTATTTAACCACAGATTGTACTTCCATTGCATCAAGGGTTGAGATGTGCAGTATAAATCCTTGAGAAATGCTTAGAAGTTTTCAGATGAAGAAAACTTTATGCATAGACAGCCAAACATTTCTGAGTATTCTTGGGTTTCCGAGAATGTCGTGACATCTTATATGGAACCTGCTGTGATTTCGCATCTCACTCTAAAAATCCTCACCAAATGACCGGAGACTCCAAATGGCTCCCTTTTTCAGGCTCTTCTGAATACTGCACCCAGAATAGTCAACTCATAACAACAAGAATAAAAATAAATTGACTACTCCCCTGGGCATGTATTTGTAGCAGATTCCAGTAATACAATGACAAGAACATTCTTTAAACTCTAATGTCCTGCCTTTTTGTGCTTTTATAGGTTCTGCTATTGATTTGTTTATATTCTATTTGCTTGTTAATGGTCTAGAAATATACTGTACAGTATCTAAAACACCATCATCATACTTGACTCCTCTCCTTTTTCTCTTTTATTTGTAGCAATATCTGGAATTTCTCATGAAGAATAAGATAGGAATACAAGTAGTTTTATCTTCAGTAGTGATGAAGATAGATATTTACTAGAATATATAAATGGACAAACAGGGAAACTAGAATGTTGAAATAAACTAAGATTTAATCCCTTGCCTCAGACAGGCTATAAAAATGATATTAGGGATTTGCTACAGAAACAAAAGAAAACTGCTGTTTTTAATTCTTTCTTGGCTTAATCATCCAAAAGTTTAATAAGCTGTGTACCTAAATGGGAGATGGATTTTACAATTTTGGAATAACAGTATGTTTATAAATCTCTTTTGTACCTCTTCTGCACTGAAACTAGAGAGCCGTCATTTTAATTGAGCTTCAGATGGACAAAATTCTTACTTTCCTTACAAATCAATGTTTTTAAATAACCAGGTGGAACAGTCACTATGGTTCATAGATGCATTTTCAGTTACTCAAGGATTTATAATATTAAGGAGTGGAAGCATGTTTTTTTTTTTTTTTTAATTCTTCACTGGTCCAACCATGATGCCTTCACCAAAGTTGGGGACTGTAACCGAATGCTCAGAAATGTGTTCCCCTCTTTAATCAATGCTAAGATGCACGTATTTTCATATTTTAACATTGCTTAAACTGAATTATCTACATGTAATTATCATAAGTTTTTCCTCCCCAAATATGTTAATGCATCAATTGTTTCTTCTGACTGATAATATCTTAAATTGGGGAAGGAAGGATAAGTATAAAAATTCTTTCGGCTATCACTCTACAATCTCAGGACCGAATTGAGATATCTGTCCTTTACAGTCCAATAAAAGTTATATTTATTGAGGCTTTTCCACCTGCCAGGCACTGTGCCAGATTTGTTCTTGATTGAGAATTTTATTTTATTCAATTAAATTCGAAGGCTTAGGGTTTTTTGTTGCTTGTTTCTTTTGTTTTTATGCAAAGTGAAAAATCACTTCTCAGGGACTAGTTTCTTCTCTAAAAA
The DNA here is from genome assembly GCF_000001405.40 of Homo sapiens. Classification (NCBI taxonomy): domain Eukaryota; kingdom Metazoa; phylum Chordata; class Mammalia; order Primates; family Hominidae; genus Homo; species Homo sapiens. Next base: position 87,436,681 of record NC_000014.9, read on the forward strand.
AGAACATTCTTTAGAATAGAGCAGAGCAAACCCATTCAGTGATAGATTTCCTTGACGCTTGATTCGTGACTGTCCAACCTGAAAGCACTCACTCGGAAGCCACAGTAGCATGGGCAGGGAAAATTACAGGACACAGAGCCAGTCACTACTGAAGCATGACAAATGAAGGCAGAAGGTCTCTGCCTGGTAAGGGCAAGTGGACTGCTCACCCATCTCCCTGAGCCCTGGGCTTCACAGCATCTTGTACTGCCTCGAATAGCGGGCAACCAGCAGCCCTGAAACCTACATATGATAATCTGAAATATCTGCATTTATGATTAAATGTTTGAGTATTTACCTCCCTTTGTTCCTTTCTCCCCTCCACCCCTGCCTTGTGGTTGTCTACATTCCCTTAGCCTTGCTGCACGTGCCTTCAAATGTTATGAGAAAAATGGACTAGAAAGTAGAAATATAGATATCTCAAAGTCATTTGTCTGTATGCCCTGATTTCCTAGCAAAGATGTGAAACTGCCATGATATTGCACTTTGAAATTATTGCTCCAGAATCAGGGTACTGAAGTTTGCACCCCAGCTCTACTGCTCATGAACTGTGACCTTAGGCAATTTACTCAACCTCCTTATATCTCAGGTTTTAATATTTAGGAAATTGCACAACAATTCCTTTTTGATACAGTCGTTGTGAGGATTAGGTAAGATGATGCAATGCAAACTGTTTAACACGATGCCTGACATATAGCACAGGATCAATAAATGTGATGGCTATTCTTAATGTTGAGTTTTAATTAATCTAAGGAATCTCTTTCTACTAAATCTCCATGTCAGTAAGTTACTAGCCAAAAGTAGCTTAAACTAAGGACAGCTCAACCAATAGAAGAATGATTTTCTTTAGCTGATTGCAGGATTAAATTGTCACAAAAATATCTCGATAGATAAATAAATAATGACAGCACCGGAATTAAAATTTCAATTGGTAATTAAATACAATTCCTCAAAAATTATATTCAAAAGTATTAGTCTACTGCATTATAATTAGACATTTTATACGTAGTTCACCTGCCTTTGAATTTTGACATTGCCTGAAATTCCCCTGCTTCTACATCTATTCCTCTCTCCATTATTTCCCCTAACCATTAATTCCTACATAAATTAACTTATTTATGCATTCGCTTATCCATTCAAATATTGTCATAGTATGTGGCTTTTTCTTCCCATACAAATTTTAAATTTACTTTGATTTTTAAAAATTCTATATAATTTTTCCTTGCCGATTGTAGTCTAATACTTAGTTTTTATCATTATCACATTTTTAGGCAAGGTTTGCATCGCAATTTTGTTTGCATACAAAGAAATCATAATGTCTTATACATTTATGTGTCTTAAATGCAATACTAGTCTAATTGATGTTCCTTAACTTGGATGTGATTAAAGACAATGATTTTTTTGGATTCTTTCTCCTGCCAATTCTCATTATTCATTAAGTGCTTCTTATTTCCTCTCTGCATGAAGGATACTCCTGAAGAATTATAAATGTCAGGTAACTTGAATTATCAGAAAGTCCTATTCAGATGTGGATGGCCTATGTTTAGATTTGTAATATGATCTTCTAGAGAATATCTCACAAACATGTTAGAAAGTAATATATTTTGGCTTAGTATTAGAAAGAATGTCATAAAGTGCTGAATTGCACTAGAATGAATTTTTTAAGACGACGAAGTCCCTCCTAATGAACAGACCAAGAAGAGCCTGTGATATTATTCATCAGAAGTGCTGCAGGTGAATTTGACAGAATAATTAGGCAACAGCTCTAGCTAAGGCACCTTCTTACTCAGACAGTTTGTTGTTGTTTAAGTTAGTGATTTCCACATATAGAAACCTGGTAGGTGGAGAATCTGGTAAGAACAAGATCTGGATCTCAGACATGTATTAATTTGTGGTCAGAGAGGAGAAGAAAAAAATATTTTAGGTTGGAGGCAGGGACTTGTCATTTGTTCAAGTTGGGATGCAAGTGGCAGATAAGGGTGATGGCAGTCCCAGGCCATGGTCAGAATGGCTCAAGATAGAGGAAGCTAATACTATGCTTCCTCTCTACTGCACTTCACTGCAGGAAGCAATCAAAAGGCATGCCAAGCTAAGAACTTTACAGAGAGCTGCTTTAGGGTGTATTACATCTCTGAAGCATAAACCATAGTGAAACAACAGAAGTGAAACATTTTAACATGGAAATGAATGAATCTTTTTTTAAAAAAAATATTTTGAGTTTCCTCATGTTCACCAAATAATCAGCTTCATTTTTCTTTTCCTGAATAAAATGTATTCTAAGGTTGTCTTACATCCTATCATCACCCTTTCAGGTAAAATTTGATCATTCATTCATTTGGACAACATTCATAGGCCCCCAACAATGTGCCAAGCACATCTCTAGATGCTGGGGATAAAAAGATAAATTAGATTTGGTCTCTGATTTCCGGAACCAACCTCTAAGACTTACTTATGAAAAAGTTAGTCATGTAAAATAAAAGATGAATAGCAATACAGTATGATGAGTGTTATAACTGAACTATAGAGAAAAATGGAACTTCTAAGGAATCAATTATTCACCAAATTGCTATTTCCCAAGAAAAATGTTACACTAAATAGATAATTAAACTGCCTGACTTACTGAAGTTCTAGGGGCCGGAGAATATAAAATAATCTTACATTGTTGGAAAGAACCTAAATTGTTTGCTGTTAAAATGCTTTTATGTATTTTTGAAATAGAATCACCTTATCGTTAGGGTAATTACTTCTTTTAAGATAACAAAATCATACCCTATTGAAGCTAAATTGAGTTTGTTTTCTAAGCAGTGTAGAGATTCCTTAAATAACTAAAGTAGAGCTACCATTCTATCCAGCAATCCCACTACTGGGTATCTACCCCAAGGAAAATAAGTCATTATATGAAAAAGACACACGCACACATGTTTATATCAGCACAATTCGCAAAAGCAAAGATATGGAACCAACCTAAATGTCTGTTAACCAATGAGTGGTTAAAGAAAATGTGGTATATATATACCATAGAATACTACTCAGCCATAAAATAAAAAGGAATGAAATAATGGCATTCTCAACAACCTGGATAAATTGGAGACCATTATTTTTGAGTGAAGTAACTCAGGAGTGGAAAACCAAACATCATATGCTGTCACTTGTAAGTGGGAGCTAAGCTATGAGGACACAAAGGCGTAAGAATGATACAATGGACTTCAGGGACTCATGGGGAAAAGGTCGGGGGGGCAGTGAGGGATGAAAGACTACACATTGGATATGGGGTACACTGCTTGGGTGATGGGTTCACCAAAATCTCAGAAATCACCACTAAAGAAATTATCCCCATGTAACCAAAAGCCACCTTTTCCCCAAAAACTATTGAAATATATTTTTGAGTTTGTTTTCTGTAATAATTCATAATTATTATTTATCCAGCCATATGAAATGATACTAATGATTTTTAAGCATTCTCTACTTACTATAAATAATATAAAAGTATTTTCCAGTGGAAGTGACTCCTCCAAATTCCAGGGTTCGTGTTTTCCAAATTCCTAAAAAGAAGGATAGTGAGGAACATAAATGTAGTTTAAATGTAAAGGTCAAAATCAGTTAAAGATATTTTTAAAAACCCAAATATTCAGTAATTTTAAAGGAGAAGCAAACATTTATTAACACTAGTAAAGCAAATTAGGAATATATGTCTCAAATACCCAACCTTGGAGTACACAATGTTAGATTTCACTAACAAAATATTGCTTGGATTTTTAATGAAAGTAAATCTGAAATTTTAAAAATTCAGACAATCTCTGGCAGTTGTCATCTGATCAGAGTTCTAATACTAAAGGTTTGAAGATCCACTTGTGATGGATTTGAGGACAAAACATTCTGACTGATGTGGATGCTTCTGTAACTTCTTTGAATCCTTGCAACTTGAGGTCAATACCAGGATGCTTTTTGCAAATGCAAACGAAAGAAAATGGTTTTTTAATGATATACCCCAAAATCTTATCTGGTTGAATTTTTGTTTAAGATTAAGTAATGGGTGCTTTATTTAGATTAATTAGCAAGAAGATCACAGTAATCAATAGATAACTGAAAGACACCATCTGTTCCCTTTTCCAATTGTATCTATGAGCTTTGCATGGGTGTACCAGGGAACATGGGAGAATTAATTAGGCAGCAAATGAAATCTTCTAACAGATGGCACCCATTTACTTCTTGCAAATACATACCAGCAAATTTGTGTGCTTTCCCTTTCATCTTGTTTACCTCCTAGAAAGTTTTGAAGAACCACTGGAGTCTGACCATCAGTTGCCCATCTGAAAAAAAAAGTTCAAAAATGTAGAAAAATTGTGTGGGACTTAGCTTCACGGGAAAATGACTGGTAGGAAATAACATCATGAGAACTTTATAAAGACTTGAAATCTCACTTTGATAAGAGTTTAAATCAAGTTGGTTTTAATCCCAAGATCACTGTTGCTTTCCTTTTCTATTGTGTGTGGCTTTTAGTATACACTAAGAATTTTTGTTTTAATATCTTTGCATATTAATACAGAGCTCTCATTTGTTTTATAAAAGCTGTCCTCCAAAGTTTGTGTATTGATATAGTTTACATAATACATTTCTAAATGTGGCTCTAGATATTTCTGAATCACTAAAGAAATAATATAGCAAGACCTCTAGGCCCAGTTTTATTTTATGAACTGCATCTTCAGAGGAGCAAGCTTCTGGTTTGAAGAAAAATATATTGTTCCAACAATTATCCCCACCAAAGAGCATTGCCACTTCACCATTTTTCTTTTATTTTCTTATCAGTGCGCTGAAAATAGTACTGTAAACATTCCTGCTCAATTTCATAACATGCAAATCATCCCTAAACTACTAAAATCAGGCCATACCACCCTTTTGAAATTGCTTTTTCAGAAGTCATGATTGACATCTTAATTTTCAAATGCCATAGTTTCTTCTCTGTAGCATTTTGACAAGATTCACCACTCTTTCTCTAACTTTAAGATAATATTATCTTCTAGTGTGTCTCTTAACAAACCAAATGACATTTCTACATTTCTATTGGTCCTACTTTGTTCAACAGTTCCTTTATTTTTCCTATCATAAAACTTTGAAGAAAAACAGTTGCTTAAATGCATATACTTCTAAGAAGTTTTATCACCTTCCCTGTGAGAGGTAGAATTTTAAATATGTCCCCCAAAGATTCCAGTCTACTGGTTATTCAATCAAACCCTGTGATTTAGGTCATTAATCAGAGAGCATCCCTTGGTTGACAGATAACAAGGAAAGGAAGAACTGTCTGCCAGGCACAGTGGCTCACGCCTGTAATCCCAGCACTTTGGGAGGCCAAGGCAGGTGGATCACTTGAGGTCAGGAGTTTGAGACCAGCCTGGCCAACATGGGGAAACCCTGTCTCTACTAAAAATACAAAAATTAGCCGGGCCTGGTGGTGGGTGCCTGTAATGCCAGCTACTCAGGGAGGCTGAGGCAGGAGAATTGCTTGAACCTGTAAGGCAGAGGTTGCAGTAAGCCAAGATCGCACCATTGCACTCCAGCCTGGGTGACAGAGTGAGACTCCATCTAAAACAAACAAACTGCAAAGAAATGGATTCTGCCAACAATTTGAGTTGCAAAATGGATTCTTCCCAGAGTCTCTCTCTCTCAATAAGAGCCCAGAGAACAAATGCCTTGATTTTCTTCTTGTACAAGCCAGAACAAATCAAGATAGTTCAGATTTGTGACCTCTAGAGTTGTAAGTTAAGAAATGTAATGTAATGTAAAGTAACTGGAGAAAAAACTTTTGAGGAGGTTAAGGACGGTCTTTCTGGAGAAATGACATTGGGACAATGATTTCAAAAATAAGACTAAACCAACCATTCAAAAATAGAAAAATATATGTATTTCAGGCAGAGGAAGCTGAACATCCAAAAACATTGTAGCAATAAGAGATAGATATGCTTAAGGAAGAAAAGAAACCTGTGTATTTGTAGAGTAGAAAGCAAGAATTCTAAGGCATGGAACAAGATAATGGAGAGGTGAGCAAGAACTAGAGTGTGCAGAGTTTGTAGGTCACAGTAATGAGCAAAATAGATTTCCAAGAGGTGGAAGCCATTAAATATTTGTAGCAGAGAAGTAACATTATCTGATTTGTCTTTTCAGAAGTGTGAAGTATAGATAAGAAAAAAGAGGGGTAGGGGCAAGTCCAAATACCATAACATTTATTCATTCAACAAATATTTTATGAAGGACCTATTATATTCCAGCCACTTTTTCCAAACTGGCTTGGACTAGAGTGGTGGCAGACGAGCTAGAGGGAACTGGAGAGATACAAAATACATTTTGAAGCTTGAGCAGTCAGAAATGCAGAATGAGTTATAATGAAAGGAAAAGAAAGAGAAAGGAAGAAAAGGAAAGAAAGAAAGTGAAAAAAAAGAAAGAAGAAAGAAGGAGAGAAAGAAAAAGAAAAAGAGAAAAAGAGAGAGAGTGAAAGAAATAAGAAAAGAAAGAAAAAGAGAAAGGAAGAAAGGGAGGGAGGGAAAGAAAAAAGGAAAGGAAGAAAGAAAAGTAAGAAAGAGAAAGTGAGAGAAAAAGAGAGAAACGGAGAGAAAGAAAAAGAGAGAGAAAGAAAGAGAAACAGTGAGTGGGAGGAAGGGAGGGAGGGGGGAGAAAGAAAGAGAAAGAAGAAAGAAAAAGGAAAGAAAGAGGGAGGAAGGGGGAGAGAGAGAAAGAGGGAGGAAGGGGGGAGAGAGAGAGAGAAAGGAAGGAAGGAAAGAGAGGGAGGAAGGGAGGGAGGGGGGAGAGAGAAAGAAAGAGGAAGGAAGGAAGGAGGGAAGACTTCTGGGTTGAAAGAAAGAAAAGTAAAAAGAAAGAGAAAGACGAAAGACTTCTGGGTTCTTGGCTTGAGCAACAAGGTGCAGCTTTTCTACATGGGATATATGGAAAGGGTTAGGTCAGAGTCTGGAGCAAAGAATCATGAACTCTGTTTTAGATATCACAGGTGTAAGAAGCATATTCATCACCTATGTTCAGATTTAGTGTCTAGCTTTTCCAGGATGGGACCTGAGGATGGTCTTGGAGCTGGAAAACCAGGAGCAAGCCATTGAATATGTCCATCCCATCTCAGTTTCCTACTCTCATTTCCCCAGAGCATTCAAGGATACTTCAATGTTGATTTTGGTCAGGACTTAGGTTTTCTTCCTGGAAATGTAACAGTTACAAAATCCTTGGCCTTCTTGAGTCAGGTCCTGCCTAGTCATTGACAAAACCCTCTCCCTAGAGCCATGATCTGTATCCCCTTCCAACTGAGTCACCTACCATGTTCTAAGCTCTTTTAATGAAGTCTCTTTTTTCCAGGCTTACCTCCAAGGACATGAAAAGCTGAAGCAGACTGGAAAAGTGATACCATTCAAATCATATTCCTAAAAGATTTTTAAACATTTTAATAAGCTCATCAACCTATGTCATTTCCTTCTCCTCCTCCTCCTCTTCCACTTCTTGTGCAGTTGTAATTATTATGAACAGGATATAATGGTTTATAAATAATGTTCGAGTTTCTTGGTTTTAGGACTTTTTGTAAAATAAGCACCAAAACCAAAATAGTCTTTAATGACTCCATTAAAGAAGAAAGCATATCTTTTATAATTTCTTAACACTACGTACTTCTCAACATCATCAAGTCTCCCTCAAATGAAAAATAAACTAAATTGTTTTTAATATTTTTTAATGCCATTACTAAAATACAGTGCACTAAGAAAGAACCAACTAAAATTCCTAAATTAATGCTTTATAATATTACAGTGATGTGTACTGTTTAATTAAGGCCATAGACCAGTTGATTATCAAAGATTTTTTTTTTCCTTTTGATCTAATGATTGTTTGATATTTTTTCTAATCCCATTACTAACTTGTCTCATCCATTAACCTACGTAAGTGGAGTGTGAAAAATGCATTCATAAATTTAAGTTAAATTTTTTTTAAATTGCAGCATGTGAAATCTACTTAATAAATTCACACCAACTCCACAAAGCATTGGGGCAATTTATAAACAATACATATGATAAAAAAATTTATAATCAATGAGAATTTAATAAGTTGCAGAAATATTTTTCAGGGAAAGTAAAGATTTTCAGAGTATTATGTTTTAAAATAACTGCTTTATATGGAACTATATACATAAGACTGAGTGATATAATACTCAAAAAATACATAATTGTAGTTTTTGCACATTATAAGTAATACAAAAAAGTCTATGCTAGATATGTATTATAACATAATACCATTAAACATGCTTACTAAGCTGTCCTTTTGACACCTAGTATCAACTTGTAGACACTTTTATGGGGAAGGAAAAAAAGTCACACTAAGAATAATGTATCTTGAATTATTACCAAAACAATGTCTCACATTGTGAGCACATTCTTTTCATATATTTATCTCTGTCTCTCCTCTAACCTGGAAATTTTAATATGTAGCCGAATTGTGTTGTATATTGTAAAGAACTTAAAAGCAATTATATAATTTCAATACATTTGCATTTGTTTTTCTTTGCAATCTTACACTTAGAGAAAGAACATTAATTTGCTCTTTGCCACCAAACTAAACAAAAGTAGAAATGACCCTGCTAACTCTATTTCTGCAATTTTACTTATAATAGCATTTAAAAACTCATTGATTTATATGCATTTCCATATTCCAATTTGAAATATTCACATAACAAAGCATAAATTGAGTGCCCATACTTGAAAACAAGTAAATAGTTTAAAATGTATTCCCTGAACCCACTGAGAATTCTTTCAAGCCTACATTATTCAGGAGAATGCATGCAGCTGTTTAAATTGATATCCTTATCTCTTTCTCCAGGATGGCAGGTCTGGGGTCTTCTTATTTACTACTGCATTAAGCACAGAGCCTAGTACCTAATAAGAGCTCAATAAATATATGTTGCATGGATAATAACTAAATTCATGTTTAAAATTATCATGTGCTGATCAGTTTCTATATTAATGCAGGAACTGTCTTGAGATCCATATGAGTTTTTGACCATTGTCTCCTTCACTAGGCCGTAATGAGGGTCCTTGAGGACAGGTACCACATTTCATTTTCCTTTATATTCTCAGTGCTTTGTTAATAGAAGTTAGTCAATAACTATTTGTTAAGTGGATAGTGATTTTAAACAAACATAGCTTACAAAATAATGACAGGCATAATCAACAGATTTGACAGAATAAAAATGAGAAAAAACAATGGTTGTGGCATTCCTAGATTTTATATGAAACCTACACATGCATATATTGTATAGATGTATGTCACTGTGTTTAACATATTACTATTTTATTTTAATAAATGGATCTATAGGTCAGTATATTTATTGGTTTGTTCCCTGACTCTTTTGTCAAATAAGTTGGAATCAGGAATTTACTTGCCCTATTAGGTACCATTATGTTTCTAAAAAACATAAGACAACTTTACTACATTATGCCATTGTATGTCATCAAAAATGAACATTATTTTGTATCTGTATGCCCATTATAGTGTAACCATTTTGAGGAGAGGAGATGTTACCTTAGTCATTTGTGAAACTCCAGCTCCAAGTTTAGAGTACACCATGTGTTTTACTAATAAGCCTTAGAGAATTTGGATTACTATAGAGCAATAATTCTCTTGGGAGCTGAATTGACAACTTGTTAACCATTGGAAAATACAATATTATGTGTTACTTGATTACACAAATAAAACCTGTTTACTAAAAAAGCAAAACTGGCACATGGACGTGTCAATTGCCTTAAACTGCCGGATTCAATCTGCCAATGTCAATCAAAGGTCTCTACATTGTACACTTTCTTTGAGATATCAATTTTGTTTAGAGAATTTTCTCTTTGGGAAATAATGAATGATTTGTGATTGGATTTAGCTACAGATGTTTTCTGGTAGCATTTTAATAATAAATACCTGTAAATAACTGAAGTAGCCAACATTGTATCACGGCTATAAAAAAAAACCTAAGATAATCTGCATAATGAAATAAAACTTCAATGCATATTATGTTTTAAATGAATATATATTTACAAGGGTATATGCTCATGAAACATAAGACAAAAACAAGGCCACACACACACAGACACACACACACACAGAGTATATAGCATAACCTTATCCCTACCAAATATAAAGTAATAAAGATATCTATAATAACATATGTAGAACTATTAAATAATATTTCCCTCTAGCTGATTTTCTGTATTTTAAAATATTTCTACAGTAAGTATATCTTGTTATATAATAAAATACGATTATTTTAATGGTAAAATATGGCATGTTTTTAGAGAATATTAGGAGTATTTTGAAAAACACATATAAGAAAATAAAAAGCCATAATATAATTACCCAGACATAAACACCATAACATTTCATACACATCCCTCCAGGCTTTCTAAATATATTTTTAACATAATTGAAATTACACTGTATGCTAGATGATACCTAGTTTGTAAACATTATACCTTGAACAATGCCCTAGAGTGTTTTTTTACAACATAATTTTTACTGAATGCATAGTATTTCATCATATCATTTCATAAATCTTTAAGTAATATTGATACTTTAGGGTTGGATATTTGTATTGCTTCCAGGTTTCCACCATCATAAATAACATTAAAGTGAGTCTTCTTATAGATTTGTTTTTCTGGCTGGTATTTTCTTAAAGTAAGTGTCCAGAAGAGGTTTTGCTAGGTTAAAGAATCAACACATTTTAAGACCTCCGATATATATTACCACATCACTTAACAGAAAGCTTTCAGTGAGCAACATGAAAACAAGAGAATGCCGGATCCTCTGCATTAAAAAAAAAACATTTCCTAAAAATCATTTCAATGAACATAATGATTAGTTGATTTAAAAGATATAAATTTAATGAGGCTTCCACCCATTTCATGTCTGGAATGGCTGTCAGAAATTTTGAGTATTTCTTTAGTAATTTTCCATGCAAATCTATCCATATATTTGTGTATGTACTCACAATAGCATATACTATTACGTATGTGTGCCTGCATTCTATTTACTAAGAAATAAACATGACATCTCCTATTTGAATTTTTTCACTTAATAGTACGTGTTGCCTATCTTTCTATGTCAATGTCAGCATATATATCTATTTCATTCTTTTTAATGACTTTTTACTGTTGCATAGTATATAAATTTTTTATGCTACAAAGCGTTTCATGATAAGAGCTGCCTGCTAAAAATAGCAAAACTGGCACATAATTTAACATTTTCTTATTTTTGAGCATTCAAGATGCTTCTAGAAATCATTATTTTTAAAAGTTTTATAATATGGTATACAAAAAAGGAGGGGTATGATTAATTTACTTCATTTGGCAGTAGAATATATTCATCTTTGTCATCCGCCTTCTTTTTTTTTTTTTTTTTTTTTGAGACGGAGTCTCGCTCTGTCGCCCAGGCCGGACTGCGGACTGCAGTGGCGCAATCTCGGCTCACTGCAAGCTCCGCTTCCCGGGTTCACGCCATTCTCCTGCCTCAGCCTCCCGAGTAGCTGGGACTACAGGCGCCCGCCACCGCGCCCGGCTAATTTTTTGTATTTTTAGTAGAGACGGGGTTTCACCTTGTTAGCCAGGATGGTCTCGATCTCCTGACCTCATGATCCACCCGCCTCGGCCTCCCAAAGTGCTGGGATTACAGGCGTGAGCCACCGCGCCCGGCCGTCATCCGCCTTCTTTTGTGAGTATATTAATTACATGTCTTTATAGGTAATGATTTTTATTGTTATTCTTTTCCTTGATTTTTCTGAACTCACTCAATATTTAGAATAACATTTTTCCATGCAACTAAAATATATTTTGTCATTCATCTTCTTTGTTTTTATTTTATTGTATTTTTTTGAATTTTTATTTGGCTAGATATATCAATCTCTTTTACTCAAATTTTATTATTTGTATTATACTCAGAAAGATCCAAAAGCTTATATGATCTTCTATATTTTCTGGAAGTTCTATTATAAATTATTTAAACAATTAAATTTTATTACAGTTCCACTTTTCTGGACTTCCCATATCATCATATAGCATTAGCTTGAATGTTACAGTGGCACATCAATGAAAATAAATGGTAGATTTCGCCCTATAATCGAGGCCAAAGAGATGGTGCCATCTTTCTGTATGCATTGAGGAGACTTCCCCTCATCTGCTCTTCATTGCTGATGTTAAAAAAAAAGTGGCTATAGTCATTGAAAGGGTCATGTAATTTTTAATGGGGGTAGCCGAGAGTCATGTCCAAATGCCAGCTAAAGTAATTACATTCTGCTTATAAGGAATAGCAGTATAATTTCAATTAGAATAGTACCAAATGGACTCATATAAACCTGGGGGTTTGAAATCCACTCAGGTCACCAGAAGATAAATGAGACATGTGACTGGAGACATGCCCAGAGGTAAAATTAATTTTTAGGCTGTTTCTGATGGCTAAGAGTCAATGGCCTATTTCCAAGACAGACAGGTATGGACAAGAAGGGAAGTGGTGGGAGGAGGGAGAAGGAGTGGTAGACTATCAATCAAAAATGTAATAGTAACACTTAGGACTACTCCATGTCAAATCATTGAGTACCCATAACAAACCATGAGGTAGTACTATTCTACTATCCTTATATTACAGATTAATAAAAAGGAGACTATTGAGTGATCAGAAAGATTAAGTGATTACCCAAACAACATAATTATTAAGAGGGGGGAGGTGGCACTGGATCCCAGGCATTCTGGCTCCCAGGACTGTCACTCTCCTCTGATCTGTATTGTCACGAAAATCCTACTTGTCCTCAACCTCCTGAAAAGCGTCGTCATAAAGAAGTGTTTGGAAGTTGGTCCATAATTTTACAATCGGCTCCGTGTTTGCTGTATTTTACACTCAAAAATTAAGTGAGCTATTTATAAAGGGCTTAAAACAATCCTTGACACAAAGTAAGCAACACCTGAATTTTAGTAATGAATAAAATAAATCAGCTCAATTATATTTATTCAATGCTTATTACGTTGCAGGCACTCTGCCAGGTATTGGAAACACAACATTGAGCACAAGAGACTAAGCCACTATTCCTTTAAACCCACAGTTGAGTAGGGAGAAAAATGTACATGTAAAGTAAAATTTCACAATTATTATTTCATAACTCTTGTGAAAACTGCCATACAAATAAATGCAATGTATCTTGAGGGTATATGGCAGAGAGACTCGACTCAGGGTACAAGCTCACGCAAGATCCAAAGGCACTGAGAATTGATCTAAGAACCAAGAGATGATATGGAGGTAGGCAAAAAGAGGGCTGGGTGAGAGCCTTCTAGGTAGAGAGAAACTCAAGATACAGAGGCCCCGAGGCAGAAGGGCGATTGGCAAACTGGAATGTCCAGGAATAGGACTACTGTGTTTAGTTTTTATTAAACAAAAGCAAGGGAGACATCCAAGAAAGTTTCAGATGAGACCTCTACTCTCCCCAAGGCCTCTCTCTGCACCTACCTCCGCTTTTGTTTCAGCTCACTTCTCCACCATACCAAATGTTGTGGACAACTCACTGCCTTTTTCATTGGTCTTCCTTGACAATGATCTTTCCTGGTGCTGTAGGTGGAGTTGTGACCACACCTTCTCCTCTCCTGTTAAAAGTTGCATAACTCAAACTTCCAGTCTCACCCTCTTTCTCTTACACTATGTACATTACCCAGGTGAGCTCATCTACTATTATACCGTTACTGCATCTGCTTCCTGGTGACACCCAAATCTGCTCATACAGTTTGATTTCTGCACTGAATTCAAAAGCTCCCTACTGAACAGCATCATCTGAGTGTCTGTGTAGCCTCTCGTCTTCAACATGTCCACACCTATCTCCTTTATTCTGTGCCAGGCTTTCTTCTCTCTGTTTCAATTTTTAGTTAACGGCATCTCTTTTACCCAGTTTCCCAGACAGAGTCCTAGGAATCATCCCTTACTTCTCCTCTCCTGAATGTTCAATCAGTCACTAAATACCATTGCATCTACCTTCTTACCATCTCCTGAATCTCTTCACTTCTGTCTGTGTCCCTTACTTTAGGTCCTCTCTTTATCACCAGTATTTGTGTATTAGTCATCTAAATGCTTTCCTTGTCACCAGCCTTGGTTCTCAGGATCCGTCTCTCATAACACTACCAGAGTGATCTTTTAGGTATAAAATATGTTCACATCCCTCTCTTGTTTCAAATTATTTTATGATTCCATTGCCTGCAAAATCAAATCAGAACACAAGGCCTTCATGACGGGAGTTCCATGTTTAACTCTCCATCCACTCATCCATCCTGGCCACTCTTCCACTTTATGTCAACTATCTTTTCATTCAGAACTATATGTTGCTTCTGGAGCCAAGCATGATCTTCCTCTTCAAGTCTTCTGGAAAGTCTTTCCTTCCTCTCAATATTGATCAGCCTAACCTCTACCATCTCAATAAACCTACTGTGAGCCAGTCTTGCAGCAGAACTTCATACTTCACTTGATTAACATATATCTAGCTCCACTCTAACAGGGGTGCCATGATGACACCTTTTAACATATATCTAGCTCCACTCTAACAGGGGTGCCATGATGACACCTTGGGTCCCCAAATATCAAAGCCAACTAAGACCCATATGCAACAATAATAGAGTGACTGGGTGCTCCCTTTTCCCAAGTATACCAATATAGGCATTCATAGTTGTCCTTGGGTCAGAAACATTATTATGGGAAATCATTACTGTAACACTTGCCATTATATTGCAGGATTTTTTCTCATGGATACTGACCTCTCCTTCTGTCAATGGGTTGTGAGCCAGAAGGCTGTCTTAGGTCCAGAGACTGGAAAGGTGTGAAATACATGTACATAGTTTCTCTACATGCATTACCTTTATTTATTTATTTATTTGTTTATTTATTTATTTATTTATGAGACAGAATCTCACTCTTTCGCCCAGGCTGGAGTGCAATGGCGTGATCTCGGCTCACTGCAACCTCCGCCTCCCGGGTTCAAGCAATTCTGCCTCCCTCAGCCTCTCAAGTAGCTGGGATTACAGGTGCCAGCCACGACACCTGGCTTTGTATATTTAGTAAAGATGAGGTTTCACCATGTTGGCCAGGCTGGTCTCGAACTCCTGACCTCAGGTGATCCACCCACCTTGGCCTCCCAAAGTGCTGGGATTACAGGCATGAGCCACCACACCCGGCCCATGCATTACCTGTAATATTTCAAAATATAGATGGTATTATGCACATACATGTTACCAATTAGAAAATCAAGGCTCAAGAAAGTTATGTAATTAGCCCATGCAATGCAATTTATAAGTATCAGAGACACTATTGGAAGGAAGGTCACTTCACGGGACAGTTTATTTTCCTTCCACCCCATCCAGTGTAGGCTCAATACAAACAGCATAAGAGCATGGTCTCACTGGAAAATAGCTTTACCTCTGAAGGTAAACTGTGTTTCTGTGGAACAGTTTTTTTCACTCATAAAATACCAAGAATGATAGTACATATGTGACAGAGCTTTTGTGAGGATTAAATGACATAAAGTAGGCAGAGGGCTTAGCAAAATAGTGGGCATGTAATAAGCACTGATTAAATATTAGCTATCATCAATATTGTTATTATCATTGTTAATAAGAATCGGACAAACTATAAAGCAATTAACATGACACCTAGCACAAAATTATTAGCTATTACTTTTATAGCTAATATTTTTATCAGCTATATTATTAGCTTATGTTATTAGTTATATTAGTTTAATATGACCACTAATAATATAATAATTATTAATCTTTGTGAAATATGTATAGTCCATTAATTTAATACCTCTCTTACAGTAAATTTTCCAAAAATGTTAATGTTTAATGGTGCTTCATGGCATATGATCATTGCATATATGTTGTGGAAACTTGAAAATGTTTCTAAACAAACCTACATTGTACTTTACAATGCCTTAGTTGTGGGAAAACCGTCACCATGCTGCTGTAAAAACCCTTGATAGTACTCTCAGGTGTAGCGGCAACTTTGGATATCTATGTACATTTAGTCAAATTATTCTAGAACTTTATTCAAGTCCCTAAGCTGGGACCAGTCCAACCCACCACCCACTTCACTGACTTAATCTGAAATGCAAATGTAACAACATCCTTCTGGCTCCAAAATTTGGGAGGAGCTTTATTCTAAGTAGTTAAATGGGAATATCCCAGTAGTGACAGTCTTCTGCATCTCAATTAAAATTAACAATAGGCATGCCATATTTTGCGACTTCACACGTTGGTAGACCTTCTTTTTAGTTTAAAAGAGAAAGAAACATACCATCTTCTTATAAGCACCAGTAAGATGAAGAATTTACCTTGATCTTGAACCTCACATCCATATTAGCCTTCCTTCTACATGACGCCACAGTCTGCATGAGTGAAGATCATCCCATCAGAATTATTAGCTCAGCATAATTTCCGTAACAGATTCCCAGGGAACAGTGAAGAACAACCCAGGTATAATAGCAAAGAATGCTTTTGTTCAATTTCTACCTAGAAGGTAGAAATACACACACCCATATTACCATTGTTTCCACCTCAACAATAAGATAGAAGCCAGATCATGCACAAAATGATTGCTTTTCTTGAGCCCACCGGGACCTGAGATTTGAAAGCAACAAAATGGGCAGAATTCCAAAGGGTCAGCTCCTCTGAGGAGCGAAGACGGACAAACAAACTCCTTACCTTTGATGGAACATGGGAGGAAGTGGCTGGTGCCATAGACTCAGATAAGAAAGAAATCTGCTCAAATGTTAAAATAATTCTTAAAGGCTGAATGTGGGTTATCATATCAGTTAAGAAAGACTGGAAACTCTCACATGAAGAAGTTTATAGGCACTGGCAAGCTCTTTTTCACAAGCCCCACCTAAAAAATAAAGCTCCTATGAAAGATGAAGGGATTGCAGGCAGGGCAGGAGACTGAAGAGAGTTCCCCCTCAGTGGTGCAGGTGAGCGGGTGGAAATCAGCTGCTGCTGGGGTGGGGCATAAAGCCTCGCCCACTGCCCAGGCCTCTTCTGTCATACAAGGCACCCTTCTCAAACTGTTGGTTTTTGGGAGAGTACAGGAAACACTCAAGCCACAGGGACCCAGGCAAAAAACAAATACTTCTGATAGGAGGATAAGAGTATCAGTTACATTGAATTAGGGCCCACCCTAATAGCCTCTTCTCAACTAATTACATCTGCAATGACCTTATTTCCAATTAAGGTTTCATTCTGCGATGCTAGGGGTTACCAGTACCAATTCTGAGCGGGACACAATTCAACCTCTAATAAAGTGGCAGCAGAAATGCTGAGAAAGCCCTACTTTTAAGGCCCAGAGACATGGAATCTTTCTAGTACTGAGGCTGGGGCAGAGAACAAAAATTCTTACCAACCTCCAGTGACCATAGCACCAAGTAATTAGAAATTATTTTGAATTAAATGGAAATAAAAACATACCATACCAATATTTGTGGGGTACAGGTAAAGCAGTATTTAGTATTTAGAGAGAAATTCTTAGCATTAAATACTTATAGTTGAAAAAAACAATAAATTTTGAAGTCAATGAACTAAGCTTCCACCCTAGGAAAACAGAATAAGGGCAAATTAAACACAAAGCAATTGGAAGAAAAAAAAAACATGGAAAAA
The DNA here is from genome assembly GCF_000001405.40 of Homo sapiens. Taxonomy (NCBI): domain Eukaryota; kingdom Metazoa; phylum Chordata; class Mammalia; order Primates; family Hominidae; genus Homo; species Homo sapiens. The sequence goes on from NC_000014.9 coordinate 87,454,410, forward strand.
TAATTAAAACAGAAAAATAAATACAGACAAACCACTAAAATCCAAGATGGCTCTTTCAAAGAAAACAGAAAAAAAAGAAATTAAAAATGACCAATGTCAGAAGAGAGAAAGGGGACATCACAGTAAGTGCTACAACAGGATGAGGAAAGACTACCACCAACGTTATGCCAACACATTTGGAAGTATTGATGAAATGAATAAATCTCTTAAAAACACAAACTGCCAGTGCTCACTCAAGAAAGAAAAATAGAGGAGCAGAATAACATTTTGTCTGTTGAATAAATTAAATTTATGGGTAAAAATATCAGAGAATTCCAAGTCTAGGTGATTCCCTCGATGAATTCTTCCCATCATTTAAAGAAGAATTAATACTTATTTTATTCGAACTCTTCCAGAAAATAGAAGATATATGTATACTTCCCAACTTATTTCATGAGGCCAGCATTGTCCTAATATAAAAGCTGTACCAAGGCATTATAAGAAAACTGAAAACAATATTTCTCTCATGAACATAGGCAGATAAACTCTTAGCAAAATATTAGTAAATTGAATTCAGCAAAACATAAAAGGAATTATACACCAGAGCCATGTGGGTTTTATCCTCAGAATACAAGATTGGTTCCACATTTGAAAATCAATCAGTGTAATAGACTATATCGACAGATGAAAAAGAAAAAAGTTATTGATCTTCTCGATACGCTCAAAAAATTCTACTATATTCTACATTCATTCATGATAAAAATCTCAGTAGAAATAGAAACTTATCAACCTGAAAAAGGGCATTGATGAAAAATTTCAACTACCAACCATTACACTTACCAGTGAAAGACAGCATGTTTCCCCCTTGAAGAACAACACAACGATGCTCACCCAATATTTCTATCAACATTGAATCAGACGTCCTATTGATTGTGAGGAATTTCGAAAGCGCTTAGCATAAGATTTCTTTCTTGTCTACCTTCCACCACCTTCTCTAACTGATTTACTATTTCTCCCCACATGCATTCTACACCCCAGTTTTTTGAAGATGTCAGGCTATTTTGTAACTCTTTGCCTTTATTCTTACTACTTTTGCCTTCTGAATTGTATTTTATCTTTTTGTTGAACTTAAGGGTGACATTTTAGTCTAATGCTCTCCCAATTGAGCAATTTCAGCTGACTAGAAGGGTGACTTTCATAGACACAAAATACTTTTTAGATATTCTCTTTTATTTCCAAAATTAATGTTGGGTTTCTTTAAGTTACCAATTCAAATTCTTACTTTATCATTAAGTTTTTGAGTTTAACTTGTAAGTTCAATTCTACTTGTAGGTTTAGCTGATTTTAGCAATAACTTTAAAGGACACTTCAAATAATTTTGTGTTCCATTTGGAAACTTTTAAAATAAAGCACTTTTAAATATTTTAGGTTTTTTTTTTTTTTTTTTTTTGAGACGGAGTCTCATTCTGCTCATTCTGTTGCTCAGGCTGGAGTGCAGTGGCATGATCTTGGCTCACCACAGCCTCAGCCTCCCAGGTTCAAGTGATTCTTCTGCCTCAGCCTCCCAAGTAGCTGGGACTACAGGTGTGCGCCACCATGCCCTGCTAATTTTTGTATTTTTTTAGTAGAAACGGGGTTTCACTATGTTGGCCAGACTGGTCTCGAACTCCTGACCTCGTGATCCATCTGCTTCAGCTTCCCAAAGTGCTGGGATTACAGGCGTGAGCCACCACACCTGGCCAAATATTTTAGTTTTTATATTTTAATATGTTTTAGTTTGTTTTTCACTATGTTGCCTCAACTAATAATTACAAAATAACTTACTATATTTTTGAATCTAAAATAGTGTTGGTTATAAGAAGTAACAACACTTTACACACGTCTGAAAAGAAAAATGTTGCCAGTTAAACTATGATACGTTGTTGGTCAAATGACACATTCCAATTTCAGCAATAAGTGTGTCACTTAGAATATGAAAAAAAATGTTTTTAGAATTGCTAAAGTACACAGCTGGGCATGGTGGCTCACACTTGTAATTGCAGCACTTTGGGAGGCCAAGTTGGGAGAATTACTTGTGCTCAGGAGTGAAACCAACCTGGACAACCAAGCAAGACCCTAGCTCAGCAACAACAAGAAAAATAAAAACTTAGCTGGGCATGGTGGCGCAATGCATATTGCGCCTCAGGAGGTTCAGGTAGTAGGATCCCAGCTCCTCAGGAGGTTCAGGTGGTAGGATCACACGAGCCCTGGAGATTGAGGCTGCAGTGAGCCATGATCACGCCACTGCACTCCAGCCTAGGTGACAGAACGAGAACTTGTATCAACAACAACAACAAAAAAATTGATAAAATATGGTTAATATCACTTAAAAATACAAGTTAAATCTGTAATTAGGTAACCCTTAAATATTTTTGAATTTTTCATCATGAACACAAACTTGCAACTGATTTCAACTCAAAATAAGTCTAAATAACACAATTTAATTTGGAGATAGCATATTAGGCCAAATTCAGTCAACATTATTTAAAAAATCAAGCGTACACTGTCTTTCTTAACACACATTTTTTAAAAATCACACTTTAGTTTTAATTGTGTCGCTTACAATAGTTGTCTTAGATTTGACAAAATATAGTGTTGTCCCAAGTGCCTGCAATGTACCCTACCCCTTGCTCCCTAATACACTTTCCCTACTCTAAGGTTTGGATACTCATGAATCCAATAAGTTTGTTTTGTGTCTTTAAAATCATGTTGATATACTTATATGCCTGTCTTCTCATTATGTGAACTCCCTTAGGACAAAGACCAACCTTTATCTTTGCGTTATCTATTAAAGCTATATAATCGATGTTCAATACATATTCCCTCTTTCATTTTTAAAAATTTTTTGGTACCTACTATGTGTTAGGCCCTATGCTAAATACTGAGGATAAAATGTCAGATTCGCCCTGACTTCCAGGGGCTTACAGTTTAGTAGGGAAGCAGTGGATGCTGTGTGTGAACATACCTGAGGGGCCAAATCAGATGGAAGTGCTGAGATGAAGGAGTGACATACGGGTGAGGAAAATATTCTGAAGGTAGCATTTAAAGTTTCCATGTGTGTTAACTGCATGAAAGACATCCTCCTGTGTTATCAAAAATTAAATCAGATAGTTTTAAATAAAAGAAATCTATAGTCCTAAATTTATGAACAAACATAATATATAATCAAATTTAAAGTTTATATCATTAAAAGTATAATTGACCAAAATTCAATACTTATTGAAAACAAAGTTGCAGAAAATGATGCATACACATCAGTTTAGATGACTTATGGAGGTAATTAACTTAAAAAAAAAATCCTAGAAGAGAAGCAGAGTTACCCCTCACATTGTTGGTTTGTTTTGGTAGGAGTGAGGAAGACACACTACCAAAGAAATTGAGAAATTGACGGCAATAGAAAAAACAATGTAGTTTAGAGAACAATTCAGAACTTCATCGTAAAAGAAAATGCTTTCACTTTCTATTTGGCTAAAACGGCTATTAGAGCTAGAGTCTGGACAGCCACCATGTCCTTTCCTCTGACTCTCAATGTGTGGTTTCAGTTGGAGAGGGAAGGCTCCAGAGAAGCCCGGTGCAGTTGCAGAATTTGTACATCAGGGATACATTCCCAACTCAATTGAAGGTAGAGGAGTGGGTACTCGAAACGTTGGGTATCCCACTCAACAGTTTTAGGGTCTTCTATGCCAATCAGCAGCTGAAGCTGTGTTAGGGCATTTGGGGGACAGATAAGATGCTCCACAATAAACATCTGTGCTAGCTGGGCTTCTTCTTTTTTTTTCATTTATCTATTCATATGTTAATTAAAAAATACTTATCAAGGTCTTACTGTGTGCCAAGTGGTCTTGCAGGTCCTGTCAATATGCAGTTAAGAAAGACATTACCCCCAGTGCACAGTCTAAGGAGATGTAGACATGCAAACAATTGAAATAAAATGATATCATCAACTGAAGAGAGACAGATAAACCTGGAGTGAGGTGGATCAATATAGGAATATTCCACTGGGTCTGTAGCCATTTAATATCAGTTTAAATGTTAAATAGGAGAGAAGACTTAGAAAACAGAGAAAGCTTATTAATAATCCCCTATTTCTTTTGCTTTCTTCAGTTATTTTTGGCTTTAATAATGTTCTGTGTCCTGTCACATTTGTAAAGGGCATTGCTCTTCAAAGTGTGATTTGAGGAGTTCCAGGGGGTTCCTAAAACCTTCCCAGCATTCCCAACTCAGGTTAGATAGGAGTAAGTGACAAATATATTAGAAGAGACTCACTTTTACAGCTATTATTTCCTTAGGTTTCATTGTAACATTTTATTTGGACAAATAGTTCTATGATCAAAAATATAAGAATAAAAATTCATCATAAATTATTATACATATTGATCCTTACTACTAATAATAAGCTATGTATTTAATCTAGAAAATAATAATGAGAAATAGCATGAGATTTCTATTTGCTTATAGTTGGTCTATGGTGACTACCGAATTCATATTCAAAGAACTCTACAAATCATAATAAAGATCAAGGAATTTCTATATTCAGAAAAATTGATGTGAAGAGGTCTTACAAGGCTTGAAAAATAATTGCATTAATAGCAGAAGGAAAAAATAAACTTCACAGACACGGAAAAACAAAACAATTTTGAAGTACTTTTCTGTTTTCATAACTTTTACAAGAGAAGAGATGGAATAAGATGAGGTTGGCAACTGTTGCATTCAGAGCCCTATTCATTAATACAACTAGCCAAATATGAACATCAAACAGATAAGGCAGGGGGAACCCATGCTACATTTGTAGAGAGGAAAAAAAAAGGTATATAAGTGACAACACATCTGTACATTAAAATTTAAAGAGCAAATAGAGTTAAGTAAGTGCTTTAAAAATAGTCACCAATAAATTCAGTTGTTAAGTTTAACACTGACCTATACTACGTTGCTCTTTCTCAGAACTGATATCCTTTCTTTCTTTTCCACCTCTGATTAATGCAACATTTACAATACACGGAGAAACAGTGGATGTACAGCACTATAATGAGCTGAGGTGCCTAAATCTTGTAAAGATTCCGTAACTAGCAGCTAGAAACTAAAATTAGGATGAAACCATTTAAGTCCAAAGAATGTAACTTCCCCTAGCATCTATCAAAAGCTTCGCTCTTAATCTTATGATTGGAAATGGTTATTGCTGCTTAAACTGAATCTTCCTGGTTAATTCAGTCTCTGTCAGTGTTTAAATGAATTTTATGGTAGAATTTCAGTCAGTTCTCTGAGGATTCCACCACACAGAGACAGAGGAGACCCCTGAAAAGCAAGATTTTTTGTTTTGTTTTATTTTTGTGCTACTTGCTATCATCGTTGATGAGTTTTCTGAAAGAGGAGAAGTTATTTCTGGCTTTTGCCCGGTGCTATAGAGATCTTTGCCCTGAAGAGGTCAGAGAGTTTCTCTTCGGATCCAGCAAGTTTTCATGAAGATCCTTACCTTAATTCTTGAATGCTACTCACCTTATTTTCTCAGTATTCTACGTCTCCTAAAAATCTTCTGGAAGATTGGTGGGGACCAGTTAGATGGAGGCACACTAAACATTTATTTCTAAATTTTTGAGGTTAAATACGGATGCATAGCTACATATAGATTGAAATAAACAACACATAACTTTTTTGCATAAGTATGTTACATGCAATAATAGAAATATGCTATACTAAACATTGATTTGTTATTTTTCTAAAATCCAAAATTAACTGGGTGTCCTATAATTTTACTTGCTCAATCTGGCAACCCTACTAGCCACATAGATAACAAAGTATGTTTACACATTTGGTGAAATGATAGTCAGAGGCACATGCCATACCTGATTGCATCACTATGGCAAATATATTGCTTTCTCTAAAGAAACAGAGTGAATTCAGGCAAACTATAAATTATATATATATATACACCTATGGGTTTATATATACATATGGGTTTATATATATATATATGTTTATATATGGGTTTATATATATATGTTTATATATGGCTTTATATATATATATATATATATATGGTTTTTGTTTTTTTTTTGACAAAGTCTCATTGTGTTGCCTAGGGTGGAGTGCAGTGGTGCAACCTCAGCTCACTGCAGCCTCTGCCTTCTCGGTTCAAGGGATTTTCTTGCCTCAGCCTTCCGAGTAGCTGGTATTACAGGCATGCATCACCACAGCCGCCTAATTTTTTGTATTATTAGTTGAGACAGGGTTTCGCCATGTTGGCCAGGCTGGTCTTGAGCTCCTGACCTCAGGTGACCACCTGCCTCAGCCTCCCAAAGTGCTGGGATTATGGGCATGAGCCACCATGCCCAGACTGATTTTTAATTATTGTTCATTTTTTATATTATTCATATAATTTCTCCATTAATTCAGAAAATAAGTAGTTTAGTTCTACCTTATTGCTTTGGATGACATGACTTGGTATGACTGGAAATAAAACACTGACAATTAATGATTCACTGAAATTATACCTGATATTTGTAAATAACTTCAAGATTCATAGATGAAAAACATTCCAAAAACTGCCAGTATTTTTATTACAACTTATCTATTGCCTTACAAATGCCATCATCACCTTAGCTCAGCAAGAAAGATGATATTCTCTAGCTTGGGGGCCGTAAAACTTTCATTTTTCAATAGGATGTGCAGATATAAATCATTTATTAAACTTTAATAAATCTCTGTTCCACAGGTACACACCACTCCGCAGGGTATCAAAATCTTGTAACAGTTAATTATGGAATGTGAAGGTTACATATTTTTCAGCCCAATAACTTTAAAATGCTAAACAAAAAAATCAAAAGATTAGTTTTAATAAAACTCAGTAAACCAAAGAGTGTAAATAATATGGGTGAAGAATCTTTGAAATGTCAATATGGTTTTTATATGAGATTTTACTTCTGTTATAAGTAAACAAGGAGAGGAATTTAGGCAAAACCAATTTTTACTAGTATTCACTGAAAACTTTTCTTCTATTGAAATGGTGGCATATATTATATGCTACTAAGACAGTTCAAAAAACTAGAACCTATTCAAGATATTGTTGCATAACTTTGTAGATTCCTAAATGACTGTTCTTCTTTAAAAATAAAATGTTTCAAATATATAATTTAAAATACATAAAATTTCAATTTCCCCATATTAGCTGATAAGCAAAAGATAAATAAATTAGAAAATTTTAAATAATAAATCAGCACAGGTAAGTTGATTTGTAAAAATCTAGCTGAATTTTGCTTTCTAATTACAGAATCAGAATGTAAGGAGAAAATGTTTTCAGCTGGAACTTAAATAGACCGGCCACAAATAACCCGTAATTCTCTATAAATGGACTGTCATGCTGAGAACAGCTTTATGCCACGCTGATCCTAGCTCCACAAGAGCCGGCTAAGCTACACTTACCCAGTAGCAGGTCACACTCCAGAGCCCACTGGATTCTTGCTGACACAATAAGTACGCTTCCAGCTGGGGCCAAGAACAATCTGGACTCAGGCAGAGTGTGAATTACAGTGAAGAGCTACCACCCTCCTAACCACAGCCAATCAACAGAAAATAAACACAGGTAGGAGAAGGAATGAACTCCTTTCCACAACATGAGTACATCACTTTTTCTCTGTTACAGTTTTGTGGAGGAAATCATCCCCTTGGGATCTTCAGCGTTGTCTCATTTACCTCCGCTCTCTCTAGAACTGGGTGGTGCAAAAATGCCTAAGCCTTCTTGGGAAAGGAAACTGAGTGCCACATGCATAGGAGGCGTGGCTATGGGTCAGCTGGTGTACCTCTAATGCAAGTACCTCACATGCTTAAAATGGTTCTTCCTCCTATCCCTCCTTTCCGTAAACTGCACCCTCTGTTTCACCCAAAACCAAAATGGTAAAATCACTGAGAAAACACAAGAGTTATTGAAATCAAAGTGTTAACAATTCCTTTTAAGTGTATCTTGCGTTTTAAATGGATGTGGTATCTTAATATCATATTGTGATTATATTTTTAATTTTTCAAAGCCACAACCTGACTTAAAAGAGGTCAATATTCTTTTCCTCCTTTAATAAAATTGTACTGACAAGTTTTAATAAAAGCTGTGCCTGTTTTATATTTTCTTGTTGTGGATTATATACAAAATTAAATATAGAATCATTTTATGTTCAGTTAACAACTTTTAATTTTTTTCCTAATTGAAATGTAAGAGTGTACATATTGTTACTATGTAAGGCTTTGTAAAATGTAGTCCTTTTAAAGCTAAAAGAATAGGACCAAAATAATTCAACATAAACATGTATTAATCATGTGTCAATTACCATTTAAATCTGTACTACTATTTTACTATAGATAACTTACTGAACACCTCCCTTCAAAATAAATCACCATGATTTGAGATTAACTACAGATACTTATGGAGGTATAATTTATTACAAGGTAAATAGGAGTCCTAAACCATCTTAAATATATTAAGGAAAGACAAGAAGGGGAATCTCAGGATAAAATAACACCAGTCTTCCAATGGGAATATATATTTTGTAGTACGATTGCTTGAGAATACATGGATTCATTGCTACATGGGTGGATGGATGAAGCAGACAGTTCAAGTAGACTCTGAGGGAACTTCTGGAGGCATTGTGGGTTCAGAAAGAGAGAAGGGACTTACTGAGTTGACGCAGAAGGAGAGGGCTTGGAGCAAAACTTGCTCAAGAGTCTGAAGGGCATTCAAACCTCTTATTTTGTTTTCTTGGCTATGCCATATTGGATGAATTCCTAACCCCATTTCTATCCTCCATGGCTCCATGGAAATTCTTTTTATTTTTTTCTTCCCACCCATGAAGTCTTCTACTGCATTGCTACCTGGAATTATTATTTTGGTAGAACATTCTACTCACATATATGTTAAACTATATTATTGGTGTTAAGGGGAAATATATATTTTACTCTTCTCTGTACCCACGTAATCCCATCTCATAATACCTGTGCACAGTACAGGCTAAAGTGGTAAATATTTGACAACCACGAATTTAAAATTTGTTGTTTCATCTATTTACTAATTATCCCAAATGACTATGATGACATGGCTCATAATAATGTGCTTATTTTGATGAGGTCCAAATTTGAAGTTGATGTAAGAGCACTTCACTTAATCAGTGAAGGACTTTAGATGATAACTCAATAGAGTTCATGCCTCAGCATTATTGTGTAAACCCTTTGTTTCTACTTCAGAGGAAAACATAAGGATGAAAGGGCAAGGGCTTAACACACAAAGAGCTATTTAAAAAGAAAAGGATAAAGACAAATGGACAGTATCTGTGGAAATAAATTATAGGAACCACTTTCACTCTTCTTTGACTCACCTTGAGAAGAAAAGCCTCGAAACAGTACACTGCCAAGGCAAAGATCAATACAGCTCCCTCTTCTGAGATGCCACGCGGACTATGCCCCAAGTGAACATTTCAGGGGTGCATCTGCTTTTGTGGATTGGTGGGATCTACATCCCATCTGTTAGTTCTGACCACTCATTGATGGTGCATAATGAAATCTTTCTAATATGGTTTGGCTGTGTTCCCACCCAAATTTCACATGGTAGCTCCCATAATTCCTATGGGAAGGAATCAGTGGGAGGTAATTGAATCATGAGGGCGGGCCCTTCCCATGCTATTCTCGTGATAGTGAGTAAGTCTCATGAGATCCGATGGGTTCATAAAGGGGAGTCCCCCTGCACAAAGAGAGTCCCCGCCTCTCTCTTGCCTGCTGCCATGTAAGACCTGACTTTGCCATAATTGTGAGGCCTCCTCAGCCACGTGGAACTGTAAGTCCATTAAACCTCTTTTTCTTTATAGATTACCCAGTCTCTGTTATGTCTTTATTAGCAGCATGAGAACAGACTAATATACTGTACTACCAGCAAAGCTGTAGTCGTTCACCAGGCAACCATTCCTGTGAAATGAACGTAGCATATATAATGGATGTCAAAGAAGTTTCACCACTCAGAGAACATGATGTTATTAAGTATAACTTAAACTCTCAAGATCATTTTAAATTCCCTGAAATGTCTCAGCTAACCCATGTAGCATCTGGTAATAAAAATTATTTTTCAAAATGTAAATGTCAAATTGTAATATCATCTTTAAAATTGTTAAGAACAGGCATTGGCATAAAACATGGCTTTAAAGTTACAAAGACCTGAGTCCTTCAACTCAATATGTGACCTTGGATAAATCTAATAGCCTCAATGAACTTCCGTTTTTTCATCTGCGGAAAGGGAAAAATAATGCCTATGTCATAGGTACATGGTTACTACTAAATTATGTAACCTAAATATTCTAATTTTAATGATTAATTATTAAGTAGACATTTAAAATATACTCTACATGCTATATTAAAGAAACAATCTGAGAATAATTACTTCATTAAAAAGTAAAAATATTACCATGTTCAGAAAGAACAAATTATGCTGCTGTTACAGATAACTGTTGCAATATGTTATCACAAATATTCAAACGAATGTCTTCAATGCCCTAAACTTCAGTTTGTGGTCCATCTCTGGAGAGCCCAGCCTTCATACACTACTCAAGTTGAAAGGAGATTTCAGATGAAAAAGGTTTTACACTGGCTGAGAGAATGGATGGCTGGCTTTTCAAAAACAAACCAAAAATGGATTTTCTGTCTGAGTCCTAGGTTTAACTGTTAAGCTGGCCAGTTCAAAGATAATTAAAGGTTATCTCCTTTCTACTGATTTCCAAACTGGAAAACATACATAGCAATACTTAGTAACACAATCTATGTCAAAGGTTTTAAAAAAGCAGAATGCAAAAGCCAGCTGGATTTTGTCAGTCAGAATCAAGTTTTGATGTCATAAAGGGCACTGATATTAGCCTTTAATTCAGCAGGATGGGAAACTTCTTTCGAGAGAGAGAGCATGAAAGGAGAAAAGAAACAAGAGAAACAGATACAATAGCAAATCAGGATCAGAAAAAAAGAAGTGCAAAATAGAAAGTGAAAATAATTTACCATAGTAGCAATGTTTGGGGTTCTTTTTTCTCAAAGTCAATAATTGCTTAATATAATTCCCAGGAATATGGGTACCATCATTCATCAATCCATTTACTCATGCCACCAACGAATGACCAATTCCATCTTTGTGACAGGTATCCTGCTGTCCCTGAAGATATAGAAATATTAAGAGGTGATTACAGGACTGGGTGAGAGCACAGAAGACCACATAGCCAAGGGCTCCAGCAGAGGAATACACATTAGGCTTATAAATTCATGGTAGAGAGGCATCTGCCTGGGGGAGTCGGAGGTTTTATGTCCATTTACACAAAAGATTAAGGTTAACATAGGATGCTAATTCCATTCTATATCATACAACTATTTAACACGAATATTCAATAATGATTAAAGCTTTTCCACTGGCCACACTTTTTACTTCTGCCCTCTTGCAAAACTTGAGAAGATAGATGACTGATTATATCATCAAATCCATGACCATCTCCCCACCTAATCCATAAGGATGGGTCCCTAGAGTAATCTGTTGTTCACGGAGTCTTAATAGCTCAGAGAATGAGGTTTCCACCACTTCTTTGCACGATAAGCCCAAGGAATAATACATTTTACAGTCAGAAAGTAGATCCTGATATAAATCTTCATTAGGCTTTCTTTGCTTTACATGAACTTGTGAACACATGAATAATGCATTCGTTTGTCTAGGGATATGTAAGTCACAAGTCACCCTTTTATGAATGGAACAATCTTAGTCTATTTTCTTTCAGGGATTAAGAGGAACCAAACAGCAGACACTATAGACACTGTTAGTTTGGCCTATGGATGTCTCACAGTTAAGGCTCATTTCTCCTGGAGGCCCTAAATAGAAAAACCTAACTCCATGGGAGTATATCTGGACATTAGAACAGTACCTGCAAAGCACAGAGCCTGACAACCATAAACATTCAGATGAAAGGAAATGTGCTGTTTCTATTATTACATTATGCTAAACGCTTTTTTATTAGCTAGTGAATCTAATAACACAGCATTCATGAATTCAACGGATATGTATTGAATAGTCTCCAACTCTCATAGGCCTTATGGTCTAGAAAGAGAGAGGCATTAATCAATGGTTTACATAAATGTGTGTAAAATTACAATTATGGTTAGTATTTCAAAAGGAAGGTAAACGATGCTAAGAGAGGGTATGGGAAAATAGACAGGAATTCAGTCATTGCAGGATCTCCAGAGAGGGTTTCCAAGGGAAGTGAGGCAAGACTAGCTTTTTAAAGAGGTCATCTAGCTAGAGCATGAAAAAAAAAATTGGGGGTGGGGGCGCTAAGGGTGAATTTGGATATAAAATACAAACTAGGAGGTTATTACAGTAGTTCAAGCAAACCATGATAGTAAGTTGCTCTAATCTGGTGACTGTGAAAAATAGCAACAATAGTAATAATTAGAGCAAACATTTATTGAACACTTACTTTGTAGTAGGGAGAGAAATGAGAGGCTTTAAGAGATTTTTTTCAAAGACAGGTTCGACAGACTTACTGATGGATTGAAAATGGCTGGCTAAAAACAGGAAGGTGTTTTTAGGCATCTGATATGTGGGCTTGGAATATGATGGTACTATTTATTGAACCGGGAACCACTATGATGAGTCTTCTGTCCACCTGTACAATAATATTCCAAACATCAAACAAAATTATGTTTTGAAAAATGTCACTGAAGGATCTGGTGACTTGTTAATCCATCAACTTCAAAGCCTTACTCTGGAGAACTCAAAGAATAAGAGTCAGTGATAATGTAGATTTTCTGGTCAGCTGTCAGTCAAGACTTGACAAATTTTCATTAGTATTCATTATAATTCTACTCCTCATGGTAATTACTTCTATGAGACACATAGTTTGTAAACATCTTATCATATACTATCAACAAGGTAATTCTTTTTGTAGATTCTACACAAGTGGTTTTTCTAGTTTATAAATATAGGCATAAAGAAAATCATGATTTATTCCATTTGCTTTAGTGTAAAGTGTGTATTACTTCCAAGTGTGATGCTAATTCCAGAAAAATAAGAGACTGACAAAGCAAACTGGCATACCAGTCTTTTCCTGTTGGGAGACAGTCTACACGGAAATAAAGACGCACATAGACAATGAGATCAGACGATCCTTTGCAGAAATTGGTGTGTCCACAGGGTAATTTATTTACAGTATATTCATGTTACAGTTTCTTCATCTGTGAAATAGGAATGGCAGGTTTCAGAATGATAAAGTAGGTTCTACTTCTCAGTGTTGTGAGGAATGCCAGCAATACTAATGCACAATGCTCAAGACAGTGTCTACAGAAAAATATAAGTTGCTGTCATTTTGATTGTAAGCACCAGACAGTATGCAATTAAGGAGTAATGAAGAAATATGTCAAAGAAAAGAATGGCTGAGGGGATGTATCTGTCACACAGAAAATTTTGAACAGAGGAAACATGTCTTACTCATAACTGTATAGAATATAGAGTGGTATATTTTGCAGAGAAGATATAGAATAACTGCTTGTTAAACTGAAACTACCTAGCTTAATATGTGGCATATTTTCTTTTTCTTTCCCTTTTTTTTTTGTATTTTTAGTAGAGACTGGGTTTCTCCAAGTTGGTCAAGGTGGTCGCAAACTCCTGACCTCAGGTGATCCACCCACCTCAGCCTCCCAAAGTGTTGGAATTACAGGTGTGAGCCACCATGCCCAGCCACATATTTTCATATTAAAAAGATGCAAAATGAAAATTGCTTATTTTTAAAGACTGTTGGACAGTCTAGAAAATAGAACCCATACATAAGCAGCAAAGCAAGAAAAAATATTTGATAGGCTTGTCAGTTAGGCTGGTAAATAGAAGCTGTTGTGCTTTCATTTCCATTCACATTTCTGGGTCTCCAAAGCATCGGAGAAAGCTTACCATCGTCAAATTCACCTGGGCACAAACCCCTCTGCCTGCAGTCAGTCTGTGTGGAGGAATTGACTATTTCAGGATAAACTATACATTTCATGATATAAATACCAAGATCCGAATCTGAAAATCAGTGGCCTAAAGATATATTTTGTTTATCTCACATAGTTTTCAAAAACATTTAATCAATTGTGAATTTCAATAGAGAAACTGCACATTAAAAATCTGGATTTCTGTTTTCTCTGGAGTAGGAAGTTTTAGCAATATGGGGACTGGATTTGGCATTCCCTCTGTCATCTGGTCCTGAATGCTGTCTGTCACTCTCTGTAGAAAGACTCGCATTCTCCCATGGTCTTCAGACATCACCAGGCCAGTCTGACTCATGCACTCTCCTGGCTGACTGATTTAGATATTTGAGATTGAGATCCCTGGCTCAAAGATCACTGATATGGATACCACATATTATGACAACAAAGATAGGTAACATAGAAGTAATCATTTCTTTAAAATGCTACAAATAAAGACAATCAGCTTGAGATACAAGATGTTAGATTAGATGATAAAATACAGCATGTACTTGATGATCTAAGGCTCCCTCCAGCTTTAAAATTCTACCACTTTATGCAAGGTGAGAAGGGAGTTTTTATGTAATGGGATAAGTCTTAAACATTATTAAAACATGTTTTCTTAAATATGTACCATCTTCAATTTACTATGTCATAAACAATTTATATTGCCTTAGTCCACATTAAGAGACTAACTTATGAGTCTAAAATGCAGAAAATATGCACAAGAATTTTTGTGAGATTTTATGCTTAAAGTGATAAAATAGATTAATATGTATATCTCTATTTTACTTACCTAATAGAAACTTTCTTACAACCATTTCTTTATATACAGAAAGAAAGATGCTGCCAATACGTTTGCAAATAACACTTTTGCCTTCTGCTAGAGAGAGGTGTTACAATCTAATAGGGTGAATTCAGAAAATATTATTCAAAATCTGATATTTTTCTTACTGAAATGGCAATGTTGGAGAATGCTCATGCAAACAATACTCTTGGATGGTACCAGCCTCAGATACAAACTTGTCCTTTAAAACTGTCTTCCAGCCAATACCATTTTTTAAGGAAAATTTTACTTCTATTTTAAAAGAAGTTTGAATCTTGAACTTTTAACATTTTACTCTTTTTTTCCCCACAGGGTCTCACTCTGTACCCAGGCTGGAGTGCAGTAGAGCAATCACGGCTCACTGTAGCCTCAATCTCTGGGGTTCAAGCAATCCTCCCATCTCAGCCTCCTGAGTAGCTGGGAATGCAGGTGTGTGCTGCCACACCTGACTAATTTTTTAAAATTTTTTGTAGAGATGGGGGGGTCTCACTCTGTTGCCCAGGTGATCTCAAACTCCTAGACTCAAGCAATCCTCCCACCTCAGCCTTCCAAAGTGCTTGCATTACAGGCACGTGCCACTGCGTCTGGAACGTTACTTTTTAAAATTTAGCTATAAGAGTAAATTTTTGTGGGAAAAACATTAGTATCAGAAAATAAGCAAAAGATGTCGAATCATTTGAGCTAAAGTACTAATAGCTAATACTATAATATCAAACCTGAGACACTATTAACTGTAAGATAAATCACCATATGTACTGCAAAAGTAAACCTGCTGCTAGTTAAACTGTGAAATAATGCATTCATTATTTGAAGTTTTTATTTCATACATAATGAGATAGCTCTTTAAGACTTATTTAAAATAAACTGATTATGCAGCATGACTATGCACTAAAAATGAAAATGCAAGTACAATAAATTCTTACAAGTTTTCCTAAACTTTTTCATATTCAAGACTCACATCTTCAAATCTCTTATAGACTTAGTCATGGTGCTTTGCGTTTTGCCATTGAAGGTGGTCCTCAGTGTCCTCCAAAAATGGTGGATTGGATAAAGGAAATGTGGTACACATACATCATGGAATACTATGCAGCCATTTAAAAGAACAAAATCATGTCCTTTGCAGCAACATGGAAGCAGCTGGAGGCTACTATCCTGAATGAAATACTGCAGAAACAGAAAAGCAAATATCACATGTTCTCACTTATAAGTGGGAGATAACCTTGAGTACACAAGGACTTAAAGATGGGAACAATAGACACTGGGGACTCCAGAAGACGGGAAGATGGGAGGAGGAAGGAAAGGGCTGGAAAACTGCCCATCTTGTACTACTATTATCTGGATGACGGGATCAATAGATGCCCAAACGTCAGCATCTCTCAATATATCCTTGTAACAAATCTGCACATGCACCCCCTGAATCTAAAATTAAAATTAAAAAGAACATTGGTAACAGAATTTCTCTTTTAAGAAAAAAAAATATCTTTCATATTGAGCTCCCAAGGGAGCATTCAGTTATGTTGACGCCTAATTTTGGTTCCAGCTTGCGAGTTGAGGATGTTTTGGACTTGTCAAACTTACCTCCTCTCTTCCCTTCCCCCAACATTTTTCCTTGGAATTAAAAAAACTGGCCCATATGTGTCTTGTCAACACTGCTGACACATTCTGTAAGGTTTAGCACAGGTACTTCTGGGAGCTGTCAGTTTGCCTAGCTGATAGCCATTGGAAGATGTTATCTACTTTAGACATTTCTTGATTTCTGATTTTTTTTGTTTTAATGTATAATAAAAGTACATGTATTCATTTCCTAGGACTGCCATAACAAAGTGCCACAGTTCTGGAGGATAGAAGGCTGCCATAAAGGTGTCAGCAGAGCCATGCTCCCTCTGAAGGCTTTTGGGAAGAATGCTCCTTTTCCTCTCTCCTAGCTTTTCTTTTTCTTTTCTTTTTTTTTTTTTCCTCTATCGCCCAGGCTGGAGTGCAATGGCATGATATTGGCTCACTGCAACCTCTGTCTCCTGGGTTCAAGCAATTCTTGTGCCTCAGCCTCTCAAGAGCTGGAGTTGCAGGCGGGCACCACCATGCCCGGCTAATTTTTGTATTTTTAGATGGGGTTTCACCATGTTGCCCAGGCTGGCCTTGAACTCCTCTCTCCTGGCTGCTTGGGATTGCCTTCAATCCTTGGTGTCCTTTGACTGGTGGACACACACCCCAGTCTCTATTTGTGTTATCACCTGGAATTCTCCCTAATGTCTCACTGTGTCTTGCATGGCCTTCTTATAAGTATGCCACTCTTTAGATTTACGGTCCATACTAATCCAGTTTGAGCTCATCTTAACTAATTGTATCTGCAAAGAACCTATTTCCACATAAGGTCACCTTCTGAGGTTCCAGGAATATCTAAACTTTGTGGGGAGAGTGAAGGGACTATGGCACTATTCAACCTTATACAGTACATCTTAGGCTTCATGAAAAACTGTCATTGCTATTAATACCAATGCAGACCTATCTCATTTAATAACTACAATATGCATACAAAGTAAGCAATTCAATGGAATTTTATATACCAGAAAATAAGGAAGTTCAGAGAGGTTAAATAGCTTGCCAGAGTCACACTGTCAATCATTGATGAGCCCTATTCAATGGTCCATGCATTGTCCTTTCTTTTCCAGTCACATTGTCAATCATTGATGAGCCCTATGCTTGAACATACATTTGTTTGGTGCAGTGGTCCATGCATTGTCTTTTCTTTTCCACTATGGCTTACTAAGGCTGAGAATGGTACCTTATATTCTATTTACCCTGCCAGCGTCACAATTTCATGACCCACCTTGTGCTTCTGGAGCTGGGCCCTACAAGGTGTATCATCTGGGAAGCCTTACACTTGCTTCCAGTTTGGTTTGGTCAGTGGGAGGCATGTGCAGTAAATAGGAGGGCAGGAACACACGCTGGGCAGTGTAGAGATTCCCCAGGCTCCCTCTCTGCTGGGCCATGGGTTGGCAGGGGCTTCCTATGTCCACTGAAGGTTTCCATTGGATGGCCCATCTCCAAGTGCTACAGTCCCAGTTGGGTGGTCATGACTTCTTCTCCACGCCCTTCCAGGCATGGGATGATTCCTGGGTACTTTACTATCCTCATTGCTTATTCTACCCTACTACATAACTTTGTAAATAGTTCTTTGATTAACCTTTCCTCAATCACTTCTCAAGAGTGCCATCTGTTTCCTAACAGAAACCAGGCAGATCCTGATTTCACAAATTGGCAAGATATACCATGAATTATTTCAGCTGTGTACAGACCCTTACAATTTTACTGGCCAGGAAAGAAAAGAAATCAAATAATTTTCTGAGGAAATTAGAAAACAGAAATGAGAGGGCAAACATGGATCGCCTTAGGACTAGTGGTCAGAGCTATTGGTGAGGAATTGAGCCCAAGTTTCAAAAATAGAATAATTAACAACGTCTTATTTTCGAATAGGAATTCCCCACTGTTTCACCTTTTACTCTGCATAACTCCAATGCCACAAAGCTCAAGATCTTGAAGATTTTATTTTAAGAAAGATGATAACATAATTAATTGGGTTTTCTATTAGCCAATCAATAATGCTGAGGTCAGTCTTTCTAATGCAAGAAAAAGCAAAACACAGAAAATAAAAAGTATTTTAAAAGACTTCATAGTGTAGTGGAAAGAAAAAAGTTAACAACAACATCAGCCTCCCAACTCCCCACTCTTCCCACCCCTGTCCTAAATCAATCTTTATTGACTTTAGGGGGTCTGCAGGTCTCTGACTGGGAACCACTTCTTTAGATAACTATAGATGTTTTGGAAGCAACAGTTAGGAATTAGTTTTTAAATTATGTTGTACATTGGAGCCATCTTTCTGTGCTGTCTGAAAACTGAATTCACAGTGACTATCAGTAAGAAAAAGAAATAGGACCTAAATGTTTTCAATACTCTAACTTTCTGTGAAGCTGTTGCCTCATTTTACATCACTAGATAGCAAACAAACACGAACAAATGCAAGTTACACATTCAAGCACATGCTCTTCTTGGGCTGGATGACATGACTCCATGGACAGGGAAATGAGATGTCAATTTCCAAAAGCAAATAATATTATTGCTACATTTTAAAGGGAATAACATAAGAAGGTCATCCCAAACAACTTTTATTTCCTAAGTTATCTTCCAATTTACTCTAATGTTCCCAGGGTTCATTGCCTTCTTTGTGGATTTTCTTAGCAGCATTGCTAAAACAAATTTGAATTTTAGAGAAAAGATTCAAGCGAAATTCAATTTCTATTGCTTGTATTTGGGTAAAATTCTATTTTGACGTTCAGCTTACAGGAAATTTAATTAGATGGTCTTTGCAACTAATATATGAGTTTCACACATCTGTTGGAAAAATTCAACATGGGAAACAATTATAATAAACAGGTTATATAAAAACAAACACTCTTTACAAGTGTTAGACAAGGATCTAAATTCACACATATATAATTTCTCAGGAGGGATATAAATTAAATTTCTAAATTTTTAATTTTTTTCTGAAATCATTTGAACTCTATGAAACAAGCAGAGAAACGTTCAATAACGCTTCACCATTTGGCCAAGTATGTAGTGCTAATTTTCAAATGCAGTAGCTCAGTGCAGAGCACTGGGTGTGAAAAATTATTATTATGTGACATAATCCTGTCATATTTTTGCATGGCTTTCTGCACTAGAGTTCCTTATAGTCCAGTAATAATATTGGCCTTTCCCAAGGACCTTCCTGTGATTGTCATCTGCTAATTTTGCTTAGATTCTGTGATGACCTACACACATCAACTTCCCCGTAAATATGAGAACTTGGCTCCTACACCTGATTCTACGTTGAGCCTCTCATCAAGCACTGGGTCTTCTCACCCTAAGCAGCCTATAGCTTCCCTGAAATTCTGTTTTAAAAGATAATCTAAGCAACAGGGCATACTCCATTTCATTTATAATGAACCAAGGAGCTATAACCATTAATTCAGTCCTTGCTTCTATCACTAAATAAGAGTCTGTAAGGGATAGGTATTAAAGAAGAAGCTCTTGCCGCTTAAAAACTGGGGCCCTGGTTCATATTCTTTCTTGGTTTATGACCCTCACCTATAACTCATGGAAGTTGTAGCCATTTCTAGATGAGGTAGGCTTACGCAATCTAGTGTAGGTAGATTTTTTTTTTCCTCCAAGACAGAAACGAGATAGCCTGAAGCTGCACAAACTGAGCCACCATATATTTCTCCTATTTCAGCCTAAGTATGAACTTCAGAAACATTCATCTTTGAAATGTTTCTCTCTGTGCCTTTTTTGGCTTGCTTCAGCACCTCTCTCTGCTATGTTTCTGCTGGTGTTAGTGTACTGACTACAAAGGAAACGGCAGTCTATCTCCCCAAACACTTTGGAGCACGAAAAATGTGTCACAGTAAACAAAACATGAGCAGAATATAACAACTTGCTAAGATTCATTATTTTTTCATGTTTACTCAGCAACGATAGCATGCAAAATTGCAAATGAAATCTATGCAGAATGAGCTTTTACTCAAGAAATACACTTCTGGAGACATCATTGCTCTCCATTGCATAGGCAACTGAGCACATCTGTTTATAAGAAATGTTACCTTCGGTGAGGGATAATACATCTTGGTTGGAGAGTTTAATACTGAGTGATAGAAGACATAGGCATCAGCCTTTGTATAACACCAAGTGATGCAGTGCTAGACCTTAGATCATTTTCAAGAACCCTTGGAGGCAGTTGTGTTTCAGGATTCAGTGTTTTGTTTATTGTTGTTGTTGTTATTTTGGAATTTAAAAACATAGTTGTTACCTATGTAACATATTATATAACACAACAGAGACCACAGGGAAATCTCATGAGTAAATACTGTTTCTCCAAGTTTTATATGTGAATATTTACACTAGGTAAGACAAATAAGCCTGTAAATAGCTTCACATCTGTTGTCAATTTTGCCCCAATATTGCTCCAAAGTTAAGAAAATAAATTATATTACAAAGATTGGTGGATGTGGGAATTATGAATGAGAAGAGATTTTGGATTTGTGATATTAGCACCAGCAGATGTCATAGGAGCAAGACATCAACTGTCATTTTTATTTTAGAGCATCTACTTCATGCCAATTATGATAAACACTGTATACATAGTGAACAATTCTTAGAAAATCTTGCAAGATTTGTATGCCCATTTTACAAATGAGAAAACTAGAATCAGCTCAAGTTTTTACCCAAAGTCAACTAGATCGTGCTTCAAATTGAACCTATCTTCAATACAGGGTCTTTTACGACTCTAGTAATTTATATATCTCACCATATCCTCCCAGACATAACAATTGCATGTATTAAATGTGTAATAGAGGAGCAGAGAATAAGCTAGTAACTTTCAAAAAATTTCCAAGAACACTATCTGGCACATCATAGTCACTTATATCTAATGAATACATTAATTAATTGGCTGACATTATTTTATAATTTAATATTAAATTGTGATATTACTTCCGAGTGTTTTTCATTCATTAGTGCACTTATCATAAATATTACCCATCTGGGCAAAGGCCCTGCCCCTGCTCTCACGCCTCAGAGGGCCCCATGCTTCAAAGAGCCTGCCTGAAAGCTTTCTAAGTCCCACCTGTGCGGCTGGGACTAGCTTAGGCAACCAGCTGGGAAGGTGGCTCTAACTCTTAACATAATATTAAATTGTTTTCATTCGAAGTCATTGTGTTTGTTTCATTTATGGACACTTGGTGAAAAACAAGAAGTATGAGGAACACCAATGTGGAAAAACAAGTTAATGAAAACTATTTAAAGGAAAAATCATTTAGCATAGGTGCTTCAAGATGATCTTTATCATGCCTGTATTCAAATGGCTATAATTCTTATCCAGCAAAGCAAAGTGTTTCTAGTATTTAATTTTTCAAAGAAAAAAATGGTGACAATTTAGCATATCAGTTCTTAGGATAAAAAACTAGTCACATCTGAAATGAA
The DNA here is from genome assembly GCF_000001405.40 of Homo sapiens. Taxonomy (NCBI): domain Eukaryota; kingdom Metazoa; phylum Chordata; class Mammalia; order Primates; family Hominidae; genus Homo; species Homo sapiens. The sequence goes on from NC_000014.9 coordinate 87,476,257, forward strand.
TTGGTTAGAGGCCCTATAAAACTGAGGCCCCTCTTTCTAATTTCATGACTTAAAACTGGGTATTTAAAAAGGAAAAATACAAACATTAGCCGGGCGTGGTGGCACACACCTGTAATCCCAGCTACTCAGGAGACTGAGGCAGGAGAATTGCTTGAGCCCAGGAGGCGGAGGTTGCACTGAGCCGAGATTGTGCCACTGCACTCCAGCCTGGCCAACAGAGCAAGGCCCTGTCTTGAAAAAAAAAAAAAAAAATCACCCATTCTTTGCAGTGCGTTATACTTGATCAATCATTAGAGAGAAAGGCCTGAACTTTGCATATTCCAAGTTTTAAATATTTCAGAACAGGAAGCAAATAAAGATCTGTGTAACATTTCTTTACGATGTTTTTAAATGGAAAGCCCTATTGTTGGAATATATTCCACTTATTTATTATAATTTCTATTGCCTCCAAATGAAGATCTGTATATTTGCATTAGTCCATTCTTGCACTCCTATAAAGAAATACCTGAGACTGTGTGATTTGTAAAGAAAAGAAGTGTAATTGGCTCATGGTCCTGCAGGCTGTACAGGAAGCACAGTGGCTTCTATGGAGGCCTCAGGAAACTTTCAGTCATGGCGGAAGACAAAAGGGAAACAGGTATGTCTTACATCAGCGGTCTCCAACCTTTCTGGCACCAGGGTCTTGTTTTACGGAAGACAATTTTTCCATAGACCGGAGTAGGGGAATGGTTTCGGGATGATTCGAGCGCATTACATTCATTGTGCACTTTATTTCTATTATTACTGCATTATAATATATAATGAAATAATTATACAATTCACCATAATGTAGAATCAGTGGGAGCCCTGAGCTTGTTTTCCTGCAACTAGACAGTTCCGTCTGGGGGAGGTGGAAAACAGTGACATATCATCAGGCGTTAGAGTCTCATAAAGAGTGCACAACCCGGACCGCTCACATGCGCAGTTCACAACAGTGTTTGCACTCCTATGAGAATCTAATGCCCTCGCTGATCTGACGGGAGGCAGAGCTCAGGTGGTAATGTGAGAAATAGGAAGCTGCTGTAAATATAAATAAAACTTCACTTACTTGCCGGCCGCTCACCTCGATACTGGTTTGTGGCCTGGGGGTTGGGGACCCCTGTCTTACATGGCAAAAGCAGGAAGCAGAGAGAGGAGGGGAAAGTGCCACACATCTTTTTTTTTTTTTTTTGAGACGGAGTTTTGCTCTGTCTCCCAGGCTGGAGTGTCTGGGCTAACTGCAACCTCCGGCTCCCGGGTTCAAGTGATTCTCCTGCCTCAGCCTCCCGAGTAGCTGGGACTACAAGCACGCGCCACCATGCCCCGCTAATTTTTGTATTTTTAGGAGAGACGGGGTTTCATTATGTTGGCCAGGATGGTCTTGATCTCCTGACCCCGTGATCCGCCCGCCTCGTCCTCCCAAAGTGCTGGGATTACAGGCGTAAGCCACCGAGCTGGACTCACACACTACTAAACAACCAGATCTCGGGAGAACTCCCCCACTGTCACGAGAACAGCACCAAAGGGATGGTACTAAACCATTCATGGAAAACCTGCCCCCATGATCCAATCACCTCCCACACCAGGGCCCTTCTCCAACACTGGGGATTACAATTTGGCTTGAGATTTGGGTAGGTACACAGACACAAATTATATCAATATTCAAGCCCGGGGGTTTGTTTATACGGGAGATATGGATGCCATTTTTGATGGATGCTATTCAAGAGGATGCCAGAACACGGCACTAATATACTTCTCCATGCAAGTACCAACCAACACTTAAACCACTTTGAAATTATGTCAGAGAGGCCTAACCATTCTAAGAAGAGACTAAAGCTCAGGAACTGGCCACATTCTAGAACCTCCAAGGCTGAATATTGCCACTGTGGGATACAGGGTGCCATCTTCTGTATGTGATGCTTGAGAGCTGATTATGCCCTCTGGTTAGTCTCCTTATCTCAGCATAATAATACAGGCCTTGAAAAATTGTTATGTGCATTAAATGAGATAATATATATTAGGTATCTAGCACAGTTTCTGGCACAGGTTATAAGGTAAAAAAGGTAAATAAACAAATAAATAAGCATGGATTATTAGAAGAGAAACTTGGAAGCCAGAAGCAAATTTTTCAACAAAGGCCATTTGACAAGGCAGTAAGGAAATCAGAATTGGAATAAACATATTTTCCCATCTGAGTCTTTTTACAGTAGCATTTGTTTAATGCCATAGTGTAAACACTATCATAGAATGGGCCAGAATCAGAGCATGGATGTCGGGTTGATCTTGATAAAACTAGAAGCTTCACCAAAGTGGAAACTAAGGCTCAGAGAAGCTAATATAATTGTTAAGGACACATTGATGGGTTGTGAAATTCAGAACACTTAAAAGAATGTACAACCAAGAGAGTTTAATTTTTTCAAATGACACACACTTCTTTTTTGCTCCAACCATTCTTCAAATCCTCACTAATGAAAAATTAACGAATCAACTTTCAGAATATCTAAATTATCAGAAGCATTTTATTTAGCAAACTAAAAAGTTAGTTTGACTTTTGGTTATTTTGAATTATAAATTATCTCAAACATACAGACAAAAATAGAGAATAATGTGGATACCAGAGAATTCATAACCCTGTGAACATAGATCTTAATGTTTTGCCACTTTTGCTTCATATTTATTTTTTATGAGTAAAACATCATAGATACAATTGGAGTTGCTATGTGATTCATCTCCAATACTCTCTCTTCTGTCCCACTCCCCAGAAAAAAACCACCTCCTCTGATCCTAAATGGACATTTATATAATTCCGTACATCTCCCAGAAAGTACAGCATCTCCCACACATCTTTATTTCCTCAGCCTCCGTCTCCTGTAAGAAGACTTCAGCTGCATCTTCTACTTCTTTTTTGACACCAATCTGAGGGTTATTTTCTTTTAATTTATAAGTGTATTAGTCGGTTTTCACACTGCTGATAAAGACATACCTGATTTACAAAAGAAAGAGGATTAATTGGACTTACAGTTCCACGTGGCTGGGGAAGCTTCACTATCATGGTGGAAGGCAAGGAAGAGCAAGTCCTGTCTTACATGGATAGCAGCAGACAAAGAGAGAGCTTGTGCAGGGAACTCCTCTTTTTAAAACCATCAGATCTCATGAGACTTATTCAATATCAGGAGAACAGCATGGGAAAAAGTTGCCCCCATGATTCAATTACCTCCCACCGGGTCCCTCCCACAACACATGGGAATTCAAGATGAGATTTGGGTGGGGATAAAGATTTGATATGGGAGCCAAACCATATCGATAAGTAGATATGTTTCTATTTATGGTGCTTTTGGGTATGTTTCACTTAAATCTAGCACCTTCTTTGTTTGCTTACCCTTTTCTTCTTTTAAGATAACATTTCTTTTAATACAGTTCTCTATCCCTCCAACCATTGTTTTTTTTTTTCATTTCCTGGTTGGGAAGCTATAAAATACATTCCCTTTCTTTGGTGCTGCCAATAATATTCTTTAAAACATATTTATATATTAAATATTCACCCAAAACATCCCAACGTATTCACTATTTTTATCTTCCTCCCAAATATGACATGGACATCGGGATGATTTAATTACTCATACAGTCCCACTTTTCCACTAGCACTGGTTCTGTTTTGGTTTGGTTTTTGGTGCTTTAGCTCTGTCTTTCGGTTTGTTAGGTTGGTTGGTTTTGTTTTTTTGGTAAAAGAATTTATTGCAATGTTTTAAATTATTAAATATATTTACCAACTTTTTAAAGAAACACTGCACTTAATTTTTTGATATCCTAAGGCTTTCCTCTGGGCTGGGTTTTGCTGATGGACATTTTTCATTAGCTTTTAGTAAGGTAAGTGAGTGATATCCCCTCTTAGTTCTGTACCTCTAAAATTGTCTGTATTTCATGCTCTCTTAAATCAGCACTTGACTGTGTATAAAATTATTTCTAGGTTACTAGGCTATTTTTGTCAGTATTTTGAAGATTTTACCCCACTGTCTTTATGCATGTATAATTACTCAACATTACATAATTTCACTATTTATTTATTTATTTATTCAACAAATATTTACTGAGTACCTTCCATATGTCTTACACTTTCTAAGTTTTGAGGCTGTAGCAGTGAGCAAAACACATTAAAGCCCTGCTCTTATGGTGCTTGGAATTTAGTGTAGGGAAATAAACTATAAACAAATAAGTAGATACAATTTGAAGTAATTTAAGTGCCAAGAAAAAGCAACAAAAGCCGGGCATGGTGGCTCATGCCTGTAATCCCAGCATTTTGGGAGGCTGAGGTGGGCGGATCACAAGGTCAGGAGATGGAGACCATCCTGGCTAACACGGTGAAACCCCGTCTCTACTAAAAATACAACAAATTTGCCGGGCCTGGTGGCGGGCACCTGTAGTCCCAGCTACTTGGGAGGCTGAGGCAGGAGAATGGCGTGAACCCAGGAGGCGGAGCATGCAGTGAGCCAAGATCACGCCACTGCACTCCAGCCTGGGCCACAGAGCAAGACTCCGTCTCAAAAAAATAAAAAATTAAATAAATAAATAAATAGCAACAAAAAAAGGGATAAAGATTGATGGAATCGTCTTTTCTGTCCTGTGGTTAGGAAAGGCCTAAAAGATAAGACCTGGTTGAGACTTGATGAAGCTGAGGTGTCAGCTACACAGATGTCTGAAGAAAGAGTGTTCGGGGCAAAGGGAACAGCAAGTGCAAAGGTACTGGGGTGGAAATTTCTTTTCACATTGTATTAGTCTAGTTTCACACTGCTATACAGAACTGCTCAAGACTGGGTAATTTATAAAGAAAAGAGGCTTAATTGACTCACAGTTCCACATTGCTGAGTAGGCCTCAGGAAACTTACAATCATGATGGATGGTGAAGGGGAAGCAGGGAAGCAAGGACCTTCCTCATATTGTGACAGGAGAGAGAAGAATGAAAGAGGAACTTCCAAACACTTATAAAACCATTAGACCTCCTGAGAACTCACTCACTATCACAAGAACAGCATGGGGGAAACTGCCCCCATGATTCAATCACTTTCCTCCCTTGACTCATGGGAATTGCAAGTCCCTCCCTCAATGCATGGGAATTACAATTTGAGATGAGATTTGGGTGGGGACACAAAGCCAAACCGTATCAGAAATTGTATGTCTTTTATCTACTTTTATGAGTATATAGTAGTATCTCATTGTGTGTTTAATTTGGTTTTAGTGGAGGAATTTTTTAAGAAGGAAGTAGTGCAGCATGTTGAATTCTGATTGAAATAGTTCAGTAGAAGAGGAAATTTTGATGATACAAAGAAGGCCCCTACCAGAGAGTTGTCCTGGGGAAGAGGAGATACAATCTGATGTACAAATTGAGAGGTTAACTCTGGAGTACTGATGGTTCCTTCTCTGTAAAACGAAATAAGTCAGAATATTTGAGTACAGATCAAGATAAGGTGATAGATTTTGTGATGGATATAGGTTAACTTCTTTTCTGATGAATTATATTTTCTTAGCAAACTAAGAAGCAAACTTATCAATTAATTGCAGGTGAGGAAAGGAGTCTCAAATTGTAGTCTTAGGGTGATGAATGGTATGAAATGGTTGTCTTTGAGAATACACATGCCACGGTCGATGTTAGATACTCAAGACTTGAGTCCAGAGAGGTCACTATAATGTGTTAGTAGGTGATTTATTATTTATCTTGCCTAGAACTCAGAATATTTAAATTGGCCTTCAAATCTGAAAATACATAGTTTTTGTATTGTGAAGTATTGATTCTTGGCTATTGAGTCCACCATTATTCTTCTAGAAATCCAATTAGCTATAATTTAGAGATTCCCAGTCTAAGAGTTTTGTTCCTTTCTACTCTTAATGTATTTTATTTATATCTTGCCTATACTCTGGATGAATTCTTTAGCAATAACTTCCAATTTACATAGTGAATTGAAAGTATGTGAAGATAAGAGTTTATGCTAGTATTAAGTTTTTAAAAAATTTAAATGACTATATATTTCCAAGATTTATATTTTGTTTTTCACAACTATTTTTCTAGTTTTATATTTACTGAAATTAATTTTATTATTATATTGTAAAAGTCATTCCCGCATTTATTTTCTTGAACGTCCTGAACAGTGTTTGTCAGATTGCTATATAATGTTACTCTCATAAGCAGTGAGTTCAAATTCTAATTGTTTTTATTAAAATTTTATTTCTGTTTTTGCTGTTCTTGGCTTTTGTGCTTTGCATTGGATTTTTATTATGCCTTTTATTTACTTTTTTTCTCTCCTTTCTCTGCTTTGAATCTCTTCCATGTCTGGACCTAGATTTTATGAGGACGTGGTAAAGCTACTGCCTCTCGGAAATACACAGATATCAAAGATGCAATAGGTAAGCCAGGAGTAGGTTGATTCAGGACCTAGCTGTGCTTGTGTCTTCGCCATCCCAATGTTTTAGGCTAGAGCTTCCTAGAGAGCAATATCTAGAAACCACAAGCCATCAGCAGTTCCTTTTCTTGGGGTTCTTTAATATCAGAGGGGGAAATCATCCCATACCATCTTTCAGGTTCAAGAGGTAAATGGAAATCTGGTCCTATCTTAAGAGGAAAATTTTAAATTCTTTTGAAAACACAGCAGCGGATTATCTGTCATGATTACCTGCTTCCAGCCCCAGGAACCAGCTTCCCAGGATTTCCACCATTTATACTCCTGCTTTGTGTCTGAGCCACAGAGCTGTTTAACACATTTTCAAGTCTCCCTGTGAGTTTTTCGGATCTCTGTATTTTCCTATTGGTTCTCTGTGTTTAGAGCAGAAGAGCACATCAAATTGTAAAACCTACTTCACCAACTTGACTTAAAGTCAATATTTTTAATATGCTCACAGTTACCAGAACAGAAAAATGATGAAAAAACAAGTCCCATCAGAATTTTTTCTTTAAAAAAATAGCTCTAGGAAAACACATTCAGGCCAATTTCTAGACCTTTACCATTTAACAGTCTGTGCTTATTTTGCCTGTCTGTGAAGTTTGTAAATGATGTTATTTATTTATCCATTCATTTAGTCATGAAAAAAGTAATTACTGAGAACATATTACTTGTGCTTGGCTAGGTGCTTGTGATGCAGTGACAAACAAAGACACACCAGCCCTACCCTCCAATAGAATAGATGCATAGCTAAACAGGGGTCATGACACAAACAAAACATATGAATATGATAATTATTTCAACAGTAGTATTGAAACAATAGCTAACACATATTTTGATTGTTACATTTTAGGCTCATTATGCATACAAGCACACCCACTCAGTCATATTTATGCGTATGTAATTCAATCTTTACAACAACCGCATAATTAAAGCACTATTATTATCTCTATTTCATGAATTAACAAACTGAGGCAGAGAGGTTAAGGAAGTTGTAAGGTCACACAGCTAATAAATGGCAGAGCAGGAATACAATCCTAGGCAGACAGGCTTCAGATTCTAACCCCTACTCTCTGTCTCTGGTATGAGAGTATGTATTCAGTCCTAAACATCTGTGGATTTCCTGTGTGCTGGAAAGCATACCAGGTATAAGTCATCATGATTCATAGGGAACTGAGCTTCCCCCACTCAGGAGGCTCTACTGCCTATCTCTCTGAATTAGTTTGCTATTATTGCTGTACAAATTACCTTTATTTAGCAGCTTAAAACAACACAAATGTGTTATTTTACAGTTCTGTAGGTCAGAGGTTCGGTAGGCTTGGCTGGTTCCCAAGCTCCAAGGTTCTCAAGGTGTCAGCCGGCTGGGCTCTTATCAAGAGGCTCTGGGAAGAATCTGCTTCCAGGCACGTTCATATTGGTGGCAGAATCCAGTTCCATGCGATGTAAACGTGAGATCCACATTTCCTTACTGGCTGTGATTGGAGATTTCCTTCAGCTGCCAGAGGTGCCCACACACTCCGACTCATGGTCTCTTCCTCCATCTTTAAAGTCAATCACAGCGGGGCAATTGCTTCTCTTGCTTTGAATCTCTCCTTTCTTCTTTCCTCAGTCTCCATCTTCAGCCGCATTTCTTAGATTGTTGTCTTCTTCTTCCTTGCTGTTACACTGGACCAACTCAGATAATCCCAGATAGTCCCTCTATTTTAAAGTCAATTTATTAGTGATCAGAAACATTAATTCTATCTTCAAAGCCCGTTTATAACATTAAATTAATATTTGCTTGAATAATCAGTGGACAGGCATTTTAGGACACCCTTTTTGAGCACTGCCACTGTATACCAATATCTTCTCAGACAGTACTGCTTGGCTCCTAGCAGAAGCAAGCATTCTGTAAATACAGGCAAGGGGAGATAAGTAGGGTACACTACCAGAGCATAAAGAACTGAATACACAGGAATAAAGCATAGGTAACTAAGTAACAAGGGAGGGCCAGAGATGTCCCGAGAAATGGGAAGGCAGCATCCATGTAACTGAAGGGAATGTTCAGAGGTGAGAGGGTATAGAAACTTTTAAACTGGAGAGATCAAAGTCACCACTGCTAAATGGAATCCACCATTTTGTCCTCGGCAGATCATAATCAGGACCATTCTATCAACCACTATCAGACTTTCTGAAGAAATTGAGCATCACCACATTTTCCTTCTTGCACCCCTTTTTACTCTCAAAAGAGTCCCTATTTGGGCAATAAATTACATGGTCACCACTACCCATTCACCAAGTCAGGGCAGTGGCCCCTTGAAGAATGTCAGAAGGTCAGCCTCCTATCTCACAGTGATTGGAAATATAACCTGCAAGAAAGGAAAAGAAACTATGCTTTTCTAGGTCTTGTCTCCCATTTACCACAGCTTACTTTTCACCTTCTTTACAAAACCCTCGAACATAGCCCCCTCACTGTTCACCTGCTCCTGACATGCGATTTGAGCCCTTGCAATTTTTCCCATTGTATCTTGATGGCTGTTCCATTTTCAGACTCTTACATTCACCTGCCACACACATATTGATATTTCATTATTTTCTCTACACTTTGAGATTATGGGTTTCTCTTTCATCTTGGTTGTGAATTAATATACCCTTCAAAGCTTCAGGGAAGCTGAACTCCAGTTAGCCCTCATTTCAGAGTTAGTTAGAGCTGTTCACTGATCCCTTGTCTTGGTCTCACCCTGCTTTTCATGGTCATTTTATGCTTTCAAGGCTGGCCCGTCCCCTCTCCATTCTTAGGCTGTTAAACTCCATTATTTTGTGATCAATTGCACTTCAATTCCGTCAGCTTTCAGTGTCAGATTTTAAATGGTCATACTTCACATCTCTTGTCTCCTTCGTACAAATTTTGCCTTTGACTGAGTTTGTGGTTATCTCACCTGCTTCTAATTTAGTTTAATTGGATTTCTGAGTGATAGCTACAAAATGCTTTAATTTTGGTAAATGTGCCCATAAGAACCTGAACATTTGTGCTAGAGCAGGAGAAAATTATCAATAGATGTTCAAGCCTTAAGCAGAATTCTGTGATGGGGCAGGAGGCAAGGGAGCTCATTCTACCTTGGGCAAGCCCCAAGTGAAGTCATTGTGATGGGCATGTATCTGTCCTCAAAAGGGACAAACCCACCACAGTTTCCTGAGCACATAGAATGCCCCTCTATCTTTCCCTCTATTTCCATAGTAAATAATCTGTTGGCCAATTAGGGAAACCCATTTTTGAAACTGTTTATATGATATGCCAGTGGTGTCTAGAGTATCAGTTGTACCAACAAAATTATTTCTCCCTGCCTAGTGTGGATCTGCTAAGGTTGCAGATATGTATGCTTAACTACATGGATCCCTCCGAGGGACTATGAACCATTAAAGGAGAAGAAGCTACCTCTAAAATATAGGTTTTCTATCAGCCCAGTGCTCAGATATCCAGCTATGCCTTTATTCATTTCTTGTAACAGATTAAAATCCAACACTGTTCAAAACAATATGTCTATCTGGTTGAGAACCATTGTTCTATAGTACTTATTTCCAATTGTTTTTATTTTGCATTTGTTTAAACAACTAGCACTCACCCACATCATCTTTGGATACGTCAGGATCCAAATAGGAAAATAGAAATCACTACAGGTATTTCAAACAGAGAAGATTAAGTACAGGGTTTGGTTATGGCTATGGGTAGAGTACTTCCAGTAGAATGGGTTTGGGGTAATCTGGAGCTGCACCCACTCAATCTCCCTCTTCCTTCTCTGAACATCCCATAGGAAACTATTTGAACCCCAGGGTGAGAAGAACCCAGTTTGAATATCTCCCTCTAATGGTTCTGTTTTTCTCATGTCATGAACAGAGGATTTAAGCATTTATTATTTAAGGGCAAAGAAGAGATATGGTCAGTTTTCCTTACCCAAATAAAGATTTATTATAAAGATATAAGAGATTCGGATAAAAGCTTTGGATTCTAGCATGGTTCCTGGTGTATAGCAGACACTTGAAAACTATATTTGAATGGATAAAAGCCACCCTTGTAAAGTACGTAGTAACTCTGAAGCTCAGATGTTCTAATATTGAAAGCACAGAGGGCATCAGGACAAATCGGAATAGCAGCTCCATGATGTTTGTGTGCAGATTGGGCCCAAGGGCCGCTTAGTTTTTAAAAGAGAGTATTTGAAGGGGTTCAGCTGTTCTGATACTGTGTCAATCTCTTGCTGCACAAAATCTGCCAAACCTGAAGGAGATGGTTCTTTTTCTACTCCAGGCCATTCTGGTTTACACTGACTCAGGCAACGACCTCAGAGTAAATCGGTAAAACTCAGGATTAAGTGACTCAGTTATCCTTGTGCTGTGTGGCAAAACCTGTAATAACCTCATGCAAAAAGACCCACTTGGGTCAGTTTTCATCAGAGAGCAGGAGCTTGGCATTCAGATTGTCATGAATTCCTGTCCATATTAGGATGGGCAGTTTTCCGGTGATTAACTTGGTGACACAGCAATAGTTTGTAATCATCACACCAAACCAAAGCTTTAGTACCTACTTTTCTATTATTTCATGGAGTTGTAAACCTTGGCTAAACTGTCCCTCTCCTATGTTCCTGTAGCATCTGTGCCAGACACTTATCAACTCCCATATATCGAATTGAAAGTATCTGTCGTGGTGCCCGTCTGTAAGTAGGCCACCAGTTCATAGATGGCTGGAAGCGGCTTATTCAGTTTTGTATCCCTGGGACAAAGTCTGTGTCTGACTGGCTTCTCTTGAACTAAAATCAGCCTCTGGCCTTATATTAATTGGCCCCTAATCATAATTTTCTTCTTCCTGCATAGTAACAGAATGTCAGCAGGACACGTTACTGCCCAAAGAAAGAGTGAATTCCCCAGCTCTTCTTCCACCTAACTACCGCCATGAGACTAAAGTAATGCCCATGCAATGTGAGCAGAAGTGATTATGCCATTCTGGTGTCTTGTTATTGAAGGGATTGGAGGTGAGCTCCCCTGTTTGTTTCTCTCACTATTGCTGCTGGGAGATGGGGAGAGCAGGAGCAGCCAAGTCCAATTCCCTACTTAGTGGAAGCCATGTGTGAGGGATGGCAGAGCTGTCTAACAACCCCACACTGTCTACTTCTCTGATTGCCATATGAAGAAGAAATAAATTTCAGTCCTTTATAAGCCACTCTGTATGAGGTTTTCTTTTTAGTTTATATACTAGTTAATATAACACTCCAGTTCCAAATTCTAAATAAATAAACAGTCAGGGGGACAATAGGAAACAAATGACACCCACACAAAGTAGAATAACTCAAGGAAGATGTGCTTACAAAGTGATTATTATAAGGGTGTGGTTGTAGGTAAACCAAAGGAGTAGTGCAGCACCCCAGAACTAGCAGTATCTGAGCTGTTAGCACCCCCAGCTCTTAAAAGTTGAATTAGGGGAGCAGTTCCTCAAACTTGAGGGAGAAATGGTTATGACGAGTTAGAATGCTTGAGAGGATTAGTATCTTTCAGTCAAGGGGCCTCTCTGTCCAAGCCAACCTCACAGAGAAAGTCAACACCGTGACCTCACTCTTCTCCCTCACTCCTCTCGGCCTCCAGGGCTCCCCACTGGAGAACAGGAATCAAACAGGAAGCTGGGCACACAGGAACCTTATTGCTGCAATACAGGTCAGCTCTCATGGGCAGAAAACAGCCTAGAAAAATGTGGGGAATATTTCTCAAAGAGCACATGAAATATATCCAGCTTGAAGCATAGCTCTGCTCAACAAGTGAGGAAAACAAAGGCACAGAGAGAATAGCATTATGTTCTGCTTTTATATCCTCATCTAGGTTTAAATGTGGGTTTTTAAAATTAATTTATAGGAAGCTGCCCAATTAGGAGTTTGGTAAGGCTTATTTCCTTCTGTTTATGATAATGCAATGATGGATTCAATACACAATTTAATAAGCATTCCTTAGACATCAACTAGGTATCAGGCATGACATAAGGCACTGGAAGCTACAGTCTCAGGACTAGTCCCTGAGGATCTGATAAACTAGGCATATTTCATAGCTAATGTTTTCCTGCAGTTCAACTCAGAGTATCCTTAGTGGCTTATGCCACCTTCTTAACAATCTTCTTAAGAGAGATGAAGCATGATGATGACAGCTGTCCACATGTTTATTAAACTCATATTTAGTAAATTCAGGTCCTTTGAGAGAAAGTGGTGTCTGGTAATGATATGCTGAACATAATCAGCAGAAAATATTGCAGCTAAGACGTCAGGAGAAACGAAAACACTCTAAGTCATAATATGATGGAAACCAGTCAGATTTCTTGGTGGAAATCAACAGAAATCAAAGTTGACTATCTTAAATCAAAAAGAGACCTGACTAGAGAGACATCAAGAGTGCACCACACAGATGAAGTCTGAAGGGTCAGGCATAAAAAATGGGAAGAATCTAAATACATGAATTAAGTAGAGTATACACCAGTCTGCTATCATAAAGAGATGCCCCAATGTTGAAGGTTAGACTTGACAGACTCTATTTTATTCTCCCAGAAGAGTCAGGCTAAACCACACAGTTGGGTCGGCCCTTTCCACAAAGTCAATCAGAAATCCAGGTTTCTCCCCTTTTGTTGTTCTGTCACCCTCTAATATGTTATCCTTTTTCACAAGGTCAAAGCTCTATTGTTACAATGACCTCATATATACCTGTAGAAAAGGAGGAAGAAAGGACAATCGGGGCAAGAAAAGGACTGAGTGGTTGCTCCATCTATTCTGTGCATATGCAATTGTTTGAAATTTAGTCATTTGGCTGCACCAAGATGCAGGGAAAGATAAAAATTTAAGTCTGTTTATCTTTAGCCATGTACCCAGCTTAATCTTAACCAGAAATAGATAAGAGCTCAGTCACAACAAGGGAACTCCAAATGTTTGGCTGAGCAGAAACCAAAGCAAACATTACTATGTAGAAATAATCTGGTCTGAGTTTCTCCTTGGCCACTACAATGAGACTGACCTCTTAATGTCCCTGTGGATATGCATCATCCACTGAAGTTTTGGAATTTCAAGAAAGAGTGACTTACTGACCTGGCCAAAATCAATGAGTGCCTGTATTAGTCTGTTTTCACACTGCTATAAAGAATACTACCTGAGACTGGGTAATTATAAACAACAAAGGTTTAATTGACTCACAGTTCTGCATGGCTAGGGAAGCCTCAGGAAACTTACAATCATGGCAGAAGGTAAAGGGGGAGCAAGCAATTCTTACATGGCGGCAGGTGAGAGGCAGCACAGGGAAAACTGCTGTTTATAAAACCATCAGATCTCATGAGAATTCACTCACTGTCACAAGAACAGCATGGGGGAAACCACCCCCATGATCCAATCACCTCCCAGCAGGTCCCTTCCTGGACACGTGGGGATTACAAGTCAAGGTGAGATTTTGGTGGGGACACAGAGCCAAATTATATCAGTGCCCAACCATGAGACAGGATGAAAGAGGACATATCCTCTTCAAATTTAACAGTGGGATGCACCACTAATACCTACCAAAAATAAATGTGATGAGGAATGCCCCAAATTGGAAGCCAAGGAGGAGGGTATTTGTTTTTGTTTGTTTGTTTGATTGCTTTTGAGAAAGAGAGTACTCACTCTAACTCTCAGGCTGGAGTTCCGTCCCATAATCATAGCTCCTGGCCTCCAGGATCCTCCGGCTTCAGCCTCCCAAGAAGCTGGGTCTACACACACCACCAAGCTCAGCTAAATATTTTTTGGTAGAGCAGGGGATCTCACTGTATTGCCCATGCTGGGCTCAAATTCCTGGCCTTACGTAATCCTCCTGCCTTGGCCTCACAAAGCTCTGGGATTATGGCATGAGCCACCATACTCAGGTGAAACACAGTAACTGGCATTAGAAAGATGAAATCTACTGTAAGACATATCATTATTAAAAAGTTACCTGAAAATTATTCTATAAAATTTTTGTCCTTCACTTCATCTGTTCATTCATTCTAGCTCTATGCACTATAAACTGTGACTTATTGGTGACACAATGCTGGAAATGTCATTATGAACTTTTGGCCAAATGTTTGATCCTTAACAAAAGAAAAAAATGTCATGATTTTGGTGTATTATTTAATATTCTTAATTCAATAGTTTCTAGTTAATGTCATAGAAATAATCCCCAGGAACATTGCTACAGTAGTAGAAAGAACATGATTTTGAAGTCTGACAAATTCGGATTTAACCCATGTAATGCAGTTTAGCCAAGTAAGTCTACCTCTTTGAGTTTTGTTTTCTCATCTTTACAGTGGTGCTAATAACCTTACCATATAGGGTAACTTTAAAAGCTAAATTAGAACATGAATAAAAACTGCTTAGCATGTGGTAGGGATTTGCAATTATCAGGATCCCCCAGCTATGCTTCATTTAGTTGCCAAGATAATGTGATGGCTGCTTTAGGGATACAACATATATTCCAGTTAAAAAGCATTGTTTCTGGCCAAAAAACATATGGCCAATACACATGAATAACTTGAATTGCATAGGCAGTTTTTCTAAGGAGTAATTCATCCTCATTTAAGTTATGGTTTAAGCATGTCTGGAATTGCAAACAGTTAATAGCGTGAGATCTGATTGATTTAAATAAGTGGATCGGCAAATGTGCAAAGATGACCTAACCAATTTGTATCCCAGTATAAATTTCAAAAATATAAAAGCATGACTCATACAATCATAGAGTAACTGTATGCCTAATAATTAATTCAAATCATTAATTAAAGAGGGAACCAGTAAGATGATGAAGGTCGTTCAAAGCATTTTAGGAATCATGATGTAGATTAGATAGTCAACAGAATTTTGAAATTAATTTAGATACAAAATTGAGTAATGCCTTATAGAGCAATGAAACTAAAACCTTTAGTATTATCTCTTTTTCTGGAGAAACATCCACAGGTTAATATGTAACATTTTAGTTAGTATCTGTACTCTAAACAAATAGTAAACTGCAAGTTCAAAGAAATGTCCATTCTCCAAGGTAATTAAACCTGTGCGATCCTCTCTTAGTCCATTTGTGTTGCTAGAAAAGAATACCTGAGGCTCAGTAATTTATAAATAAAAGAGGTTTATTTGACTTATGGTTGTTCAGGCTGTACAAGAAGTATGGTGCCAGCAGCTGCTTCTCATGATGGCTTTAGGAAGCTTTCACTCAGGGTGGAGGGGGAAAAAGAGTCAGAGTGGGCAGATCACATGGTGAGAGAGGGAGGAAGAGTGAGAGAATAAGGTGCCAGACTTTTTGCAACAAGCAGCTCTCTTGAGAATTAAGAGTGAGAACTGACTCACTCCCTTGAGAATGACAACCAAGCCATTCATGAAGATCTGTAAAACCGGTAAAACAGCATTCCGATATGATATTGAAAGGACATGGACTCAGCCTTTTTGCTTTATTTCCAAGGTTTTGATATATTTTTCCTAACAATAGTAAGCCCATTGTTGTTTGACTATAGCACTTAAATATGGGTACTGATTAACAGCCTTATTTGGGTTATTAAAACAAATTAACTGCATACATCGCTGTTTTCAACTTTGAGATTAACAGATGCAACAATAGTCAAAATATCACATTTATTATTTAAATAATTTGTCTAAGGGATGCAGCAACTTCTTCTTTCTCCTCACTTCCCTGTCTTGATTATAATTTTATATTCCATTAAAACCAAAATGACATACATGAAACAAGTTTTTGAACAGCAATAGAAATTAGTAAATTTCTACAAAGTTATTAGTAATGGGTTATCCTCAAACATTTGTGTACAAGAAAACTCTCATCTGCTCCATCTGCCCATAGAAACCTTTGCAACTGAAGATAAGGAAGATCAGAATATTTTAAGATTCACATCCTCTTAAATAAACTAGAAATTTAGGTTTTAAGTGACAAACTGTCTGGTAGCTCCAGGGCTGGCCTAAGGCAAAACTATAAAATCTGTGAAGTGTGATTTCCATGTTCTCTAGCCCTCTTCCTGGATCCTCCACTTTCCTCGGCCCATCTGTCCATGTCAATATTCACTGATCTTGGCTATTCAATCTACTCTCTGGTGATATCCTGCTCCGGGCTGCTTTTTCTAGCAGATGTCTGAGACATGAGAAGTTTCCCATCTGAGGGAATAAGAAATTCCTATGCCTGTGTATATCTAATTCATTGTACATGGACAAATCCTTCTATAAATAATTTCTGCTAAATATAAAAAACTGGTTGGTGCTGATAAGTCAGTTCTCTCCTCATCTAATATAATAGCATGGGGATGGGGGGGAGTATTGCGTGTGTGTGTGCCCATTAAACACACTTACCCTGTTGGTAAAAAGTAATCAATAATGTGAATTTTTGGAGGAAGTTTGCTTCGAGATTCTTCTACAATAAGCACGGTCTTATTGGGGTTGGCCCTTATTAACTTAGACAACTGCCTGTTGATGTTCAGACTAACTCTGGCCTTCATCTTCATTAATGAAGTCTTTATTATGCCATGATATGATATCAGATCAAATATCATTTTTTTCTTTCATCTTCTCAGACACTGAAGAGTCCAGACACATGGAAAGCCCTTTTCATTAAGAGAAATGACTTGAAAAGGTAATTTAAAATGACGTATCTCTTAGTAACTATGTGAGGGGAAATTTTCAGTGCATAACACAACCAGGGCACTTCATATAGCCCCACGCATGTGTGGGTGTTTCATGCTGATTGTTTTCCCATTAAAAGTCTACCATATATTTTATTTATTTCAAGGGAAAGCAAAATTATGATAAGGGAAACTCACTACTATACCATGGGCATAAGTTATTTCAAGTAAAAATGTATCAATTGAATATCTACCATAAAATTGCACTCCTCATATTGCATATACAAATACCATACAACATACAAGAGATTCCCAGACTTTCTTGGTTTATAGCACCCTTAGTCTCGCATTAGGTTTTTTTCTTCAATGAAAAGAAAAAAGTACCAGTTTCATTTATTAAATAATTAGTTCCAACACGCTTATTAAATACCATATTTATATCATAACAACTTAGCCATTTGAAAAATAATTAAATGAAAGAAAATATAACATTTTTATTTTATTCATATTTATTAATAAAATGTATATGCCAGTTGAACACAGCACAAATTCTCAAACATTGAGATCAAATTGGACACTGCTACCCTCATTTTTTGCCCGTATTACTTTTACACAGTACTTGTTTATTATCATGACCATCACCAAAAAAGGAGTTTGGGAAAAAGGTGATATTATAAACAGAGATATATCATGATCTAATATTAAAACTGTGAACTATCTGATAAATAAAATTTGGCCCAAAGCTCCCTCCATACACAGTGAATTGTAACCTAACTGAATATGTAAACAAATTGCATTCTAACTTGAGGGTATATTCTTGCAGCAAGTAACCAGGTCTCATCCAAGCAGCCAAGGTTTCAGCCAATCACATGCTGCAAACTGCTCTGACAATAAGACAAACTTGCAGCTGTGACCAATCAGGCTATTTCTGTACATCACTTCCTTTTTCTGTCTGTAAATACTGCCTGCCCATGTTGCTGGGTGGAGCTCTCTGTAGCTTTCCTAGTTCAGGTACTGCTGGATTCATGAATTGCTTCTTTGCTGAAATAAACTTTGCTAAATTAAATCTGCCTAAGAAAAGTTTTTAAACACACCTCAACCAGCTTGTAGTTAATGCAGTGACTGACAAATCCCAACTGTCATTCTTTCCCTTGAAAATTTAAAGTAACCAGCAGCATCTATGTAAATTCACTGTGATACCTGGGAGTGCAACAGTATATAGTTTGGGGGCCATGCCAATGGATACTATTATTTAAATTCTCAAAGAATTTAAAATGTATTAAGTGTTAATCATTTCAATAACTACCATGGAAATAAAAAATATATTTATTGAGATCACATTTGGAAAGATCACCGCTGGCTCAAAAAAAAAAAGGTGAATTTTAAGAAGAATCCTGAAGTTTGGGTAGCATTTTGACAGGTAAAGATGGAGACAGTAAAGATGTAGGGATTGTAATGTCAGAGTTATAGATCATTATGAATGTTCTGATGCAGGTTATGAGCAGACACTGTAGATGGAAAGACAAGTAACACACAGACACGACCCTCAGAAATCTCATTCGGCTAAAAGAAGCATAGCAATTTGCCTAATCTGATGCAGGACACATGGCGTGGGAGATAGAGAGTAGGAAGAAGTTATCAAAACTAAGGCTAGAATATGGATTTTGCCATATTTAGAATACCTTCAATGCCAGTATAAGGAATTGATAGACAATAGAAAAGAATTTAGACATCTCTTACTGTCATTACTAACAAACAATTGGGTAATATCAACTAATTATCTTACTACCCATATGTGACCATAAAAAATTATCGAGCTGGGCAGATCACTTGAGGTCAGGAGTTCAAAACCAGCCTGGCCAACACAGTGAAACCCCACCTCTACTAAAAATACAAAAATTTGCCAGGAGTGGTGGTAGATGCCTGTGACCCCAGCTACTTGGGAGGCTGAGGCAGGAGAATCACTTGAACCCAGGAGGTGGAGGTTGTACTGAGCAGAGATCGCACCATTGCACCACAGCCTGGGCAGAGGAGCAAGACTGGAGTGAGACTCCATCTCAAAAAAAATATATATATATATATATATATATTTGAGATACATATATATATATATATATATATATATATATATATATATATATATATATCTCAAGAGCAGAATTTGCTTCCTATAGCATGGACCTATCAAATTAATAAGCAAAATTTCCAAACCAGAGGAGTAAAATATCCTGAAATTAAAGGAAAAAAAATTATCATCATTGGGCTCAAGCCATCCTCTCACCATCTCAGCCTCCTGAATAGCTGAAACTACAGGCATGAGCCACCACGCCTAGATAATTTTTGTATTATTTTCTAGCAAAGGGGTTTCTCCATTTTTGCCCAGGGTGGTCTCAAACTCCTGAGCTCAAACCATCCACCCGCCTCAGCCTCCCAAAATGCTGGGATTACAGGCATGCGCCACTGCGCCCGGCCAGAAAAAATTATTATTCTATTTTTATTCATTTCCCAAATGAGTCATATTCCACCAAACTATTGCTCTCTATGATTTTCCAAACCAGAATAAATGTATAAGTTCTGGCATCATAGAACATATTAATAATTTTACCTATCACTTTTTAAGTGCTTAGGTAACACAAACACAATTTATAATTTAGGAGATACTGACTGATATGGTTTCAAGCTTAAGTGGAAATTATTATGTCCACATATTTAAATGTTTACTAAGATTTATCAGAAACTCACATGGCCCAGAAATATACACATACTGAGCAAGAAATGAAAGTAGTCCACAAAATATTATAGTACTTCATTAAAAATAATCTTCCTCAAGGTGTTATTATCCATTCATCAAATATATCGTAATGCATAAGCATGACAAATAATTTATTATGACTGTCTTAAATTAGGATGAAGTTCTTGATGGATTAAAGACTTCCAAAACAATGTCCTGAATAGATATCCTGAATAGAAACCAGAAAATTGGCCTTGGGGATTATGGTTCTAAAACCTGGCTTGAGCCTCGTTAGTAACAAGCACCAGCATAACTAAGATATATATGGATCATTTCAAATTACAAATAGGTCATCAGATCTAATCTCTACAACTATCCATAAGGGTCTACTGATGATATTTCTTTTATTGATGAGGAAACTAAAGCTCAGAATTTAATTGATGGCTGAAGATTATAGTTTATAAAAGATACTATAATCTAGGGCATCTGACTCATATTTTGTAGGTCTTCTAATAAATATCTTGTTGCAGGTAAAATAATGATAGATCACCAGCTGTGACTTGAGGAGCTCTATCATATTTTCCAGCCAATAAATGCATCTTCTCTCCCCTGACAGGAGTGCAAAGATCTGCCATTTTGGCCATTTTCTTGAATTCAATCATTAGATACCTTTCAAAATGAAAATGTTAACTTGGTTGGAGATAATATACGTGAACACTTTTAATACACTTCTTGACATATAAAAGGCATCCAATAAATGCTTGTTATTATTTTTTAATGAATGCATTAACAGTCGGTCTATTAGTAAGGAGTCATTTGTCAAATTAACTGTCACTTAACAGAGTACAGTCAGAGAGAATAGGACAAAGAGATAAATTTGATTGGGAATAGGGAAGAAAAAAATGGGTCTGTTCCAAATTGTGCACTGATTCAGAGACACTGGCAGATGGGTTAGTGCAATGCTTTCAATATTGATGTTATTTAAGAGAGAAGGATACTGCAGCCACGCTTTATCTTCTTCATAGTTTTTCTTCAGGGCGGTCATCAGGGTCGTTTTTATCCTTTCTTGCTCTCTTCTTTTTAGTATTTGCGTGCTGACAATCTGCTCTTATTTGCTGGCTCGGTGTTACGGCAAGTGACAATTGGAAGGCACCATTCAAACTTAAAGAAAACATAAGAATCACACCAGCACTAGGTTGCCAAATCCCAGATCTCCGTTGGCTCGCCTATGATATTTTCAAGGGTTTGAAAATATTGCCTTAAGAAGCTGGATGTGACATCTTGTGTGTATTCATCTTTGTCTTTCTTTTCATTCAATGTAGCTACATAAACTTCCGTTAACTCTTTTCAGAAAACATTTTCTAGGGGAAGTTCATAATCAGTCTTCAGCTACGATCTCTTTCCTAGCTTCCAATTCCTCACCCCCACTGGCAGGACCATCTGCACTCTCTCTCTTCCTGAGGAAGAGTCCTTTGTGCCAATTCCTTCTCCCTTTCACACATCTCACTCCATGGAAAGAATGTACAGATATAACTTCGAGCTGGCAGGCAACTTTTAAACACTAGAGTTTATAATAACTCTGGATAATGCCTTCCAAATCTGATTTATTTCAAATCATTTAAAGCCAAAAGAACTACTGAGTCATGTAAGCCAGAAACCCAAATTTCGCCACATAAAATCTCCTGCAGACTCAACTATAGACACAGACTTTATAATAATGAATGCCATGATCATCTCCGGGAAGATTACTGGGTTCTCTCTATCAAGTTCAAGTCAACAAATTCCTTTCCAAAGGGCTCAGTTCACTAATTTTAGGGATTTACACAGAGAGTGAATATGTTCTCTGACCACTGAAAAATTATCTGCTGTCTCAAATAGTCATATTCTCTCCTCTTCCTCCTCAAGATCATTTCACCTTTGAACACTTTAAATATTTGTTTATCACAAATACATGTTTACATATAAGTGGGTGCTTATAAAATGTTAAGCTCAATGACTTCATATGGAAACTTGAATATTATTCTCAATGACCACCTGGAGTTACAGGGCTATAATGGAAAATGAACAATTTTCAGGTCAAAGAGTCCATTCAGAGACTCTTAAATTTTGACCACACCTTGGAATCATCTCAGAAACTTTTAAAAATGCAAATACTTGGGTCTCTAAGAGATTCTGATTTAACTGGACTAGAGTGAGGCCTGAGCATCTGAACTTTTACAAGCTTTTTGGGTGATTCTAATATGCGGCCAAGGTTGAGAGCCACTGCCCCACAGCAAGGAGCTCTGCCATGTGCCTTTTGTCAATGATGGACACTGACACATATTAGACTTGTTACATGTTTTTAAAATGTAGAGAATTTAGTATGTGTACCTACTATGGGCCAGCAGCTTATATTGCAGTATCTCATTTTATTCTTAAAATAATGCTATAAAGATGCTATTTATTATAATTGCTAACTTTTGCCAAGATGACAAACTAGTAACCACTCATGTCTACACAATGAGGCTTGATACAAAAACTCAGAAACAACCAAGCTGGGGAGCTTCCAGGGTGGCAAGCACAACTTTGAGCTGGGGTTTGGGAGGGGGCCACCCTGACTCCATGAAGACAGAGGTTCCTGGGCTTGAGAAGCTTCCAGATCTTGTCCTCTGCACCTCTTTATGTAGTTGTTCATCATTATAGAGAATGCACACTTATTATAACAAACTGTAATAGTAAGTATATTAAAAAAAAAAAAACTGTTGGCTGCTTCTCCTCCTAATAAATACTGGAGAAACTCCTGAAGCAAGAGAGAGCAAGGATCTAAACAATGAACAACATACCTATCAGAAACTCTAGCAGAGTCTGAAAGCTTTTGTGTTCTGGAAGATGTGTGCAAAGACAGTAGGGGCTATGATGTAGTCTGGAGCAGAGATGGACAGAGGCAGAGAGGAAGGAGGGTTTAAAGAATATTCAGCTCTGCTGTTACCTTTTCGCCAAACCTGCACCCCCTACACATGCTCAGGAGAAAAACAGTCATTGGTGACAGCATCACCTCAGGAATTGACAGCCACCACAGCCCGCAGAGAAACGGTGGCACAGGACAAACACCCCACTGGGATGACGTGTTGATTGATGAATCAGATCTTGGTGGCCAGCTACTCTCAGTCTTGTGTTTCCCCACATCCAAACTTCTAGGGTTAGAAGAAGGCATCTTAGCACTTTTGAATGCAGAATCTTTTTTGAACTTAAATGTGAATTCCTAACTGGAAGAGACCCTCACTCAGTGGACTGAGAGCAAATGAGTGTTGTCAAGAGTGGCCCAAGAAGACCATAGCTCAGACCATTTACTTTGCTTAAAACTGGAATTCAGAGCATTCTCTTCAGTTATGAATGTGGAAAATTACAGTGATATTAGCAATACCTGTGACTGTCACCAATTGAATCACAGATATTTTCTTATCACATTGCAGTTGTTGAAAATATCCTGAAATAGCCTTTGCTCATATAACTCCTTCAAAATTACAGCAATTAATTATCGGGAATGCTACTGGATTTTATTTAATGCATCAATAAAAATATCAATAATTTTAACAATGTGTTTTAATTTTTTTTTTTTTTTTTGAGATGAAGTCTCTCTCTGTCACCCAGGCTGGAATGCAGTGGCGCGATCTTGGCTCACTGCAACCTCTGCCTCCTGGGTTCAAGTGATTCTCTTATCTCAGCCTCCTGAGTAGCTGGGATTACGGGTGCATGCCACCATGCCTGGCTAATTTTTGTATTTTTAGTAGAGACGGGGTTTCGTCATGTTGGTCAGGCTGGTCTCAAACTCCTGATCTCTGCTGATCCACATGCCTCGGCCTCCCAAAGTGCTGGGATTACAGGCGTGAGCCACTGCGCCCGGCCCGTTTTAATATTTTTATAACAATTTCAATATAATTGGTTTTCTTATTAACCACATCTTATGCATTCAAAAAATCTTTAGAAGGGTTCCATAGGTTTCTCAAGTTGCCAAAGGGGTCAATGGTCCAAGAACAATTAGAAAACCCTGCCTTTCTCACCAAAATAAACATAGAAGGATCTTTGGGTCTATTATAATACATAGTTCCAGACTATGGTAGATGGTGAATTGATAATCAGCATTAATTCACACCCCCTCATAATTTGCCTTTCTATCCTGCAAAGGCTGGAATACTATGAACCTAAATCAACCAGACTTCCAGTAGAATACCTGCTAGTTCATAAGATATGTGTGTGTGCATGCATATGTGTATATCTCTAGACCCCCTATAATCTACACTTACATCTCTCTGCTGATGCATGTGTGCACAGGTGCATGCACACACACTACTTTTCAGAGTGTGCTCCTCTATTCTCCCACCAGCAGAATTCTAAATCCCTATCATTTGGAAATGTCCAGTTTTCTAACTTCTGCAAGTCCAGTGAAGGAATTTGAGGGAATCCGGAGATTCATCACTGGAGGAATGGAGACATGAAGTATAGTGGTGGCATTACAACAGAATAAAAAGTAGATTTCTACACGCACAACACAGGTAGATCTTTTAAAACATAATATTGAGTGGAAAATATTTTAAAAAGTGAGATATACTGCACAATATAATTCATGTAAATTAAAGTTACATGCAAACAAAGCAATAATGTTTTACAAGAACAGATAAAAGTAAAATAATACGCAAAAAAAACCTTTTTAAAACTAGAGTAATGGGGCTAAACAATGGAAATAAAAATGAAATCAGTAAACATAACAAGAAGAACCTTACATGCATCGATGACAATAGTGTCCAATGAGCTGAGGAAGATGATTCATCCAGTCCTCTGCATCTTAATACCTCCCTCCACAAAACAAAACAAAAAATAAAAACTAACAACTCAAAGGTTAAGTGATTCTCCCTAACTTATACAGATAACCAGTGATGAAGGTAAGTTTCGAAGACAGATCTTGTTTTCCAAATTATGGCAAGTAAGAGGCACACCCATGGCACTATGAGAGTTTACGTTTATCTTTCGGTTTGCCCATTGGGACTACTGCCTGAGGTGGTAGTTTTATATATAAGCACTCCTGTTTTCTAGAAGAGAGCATAGATATCACCTAACAGGTTACACAGTTAGGAATTCAAGCCAAGTTTTTCTGACTTCGAATTTCATGGCTTCTGATGTACAGCATGATCTCAATGAATTCTCCTGCCACTACATCCACTGTGTAGTTTCATTAGCATTTTATATAAGGTGTGACTTTCCAAGTAGCCACACTGATAATTAAGTCTCCACAGACCTATAGAATTAACATGAGACACTAGGCCCCTGTTCGTTCCCTGTTTCCAAGATGTTCACCAATAGCAACCTTTCTTTCTTTCTTTCTTTCTTTTTTTTTTGTATTTCATCTTGGAAGTGAGTTGCCAACCATGGTTGGAGAAACATTTCTTCTAAATGGTATGGTCTGTCCATACATTTTTGTATGGCCATTAACATTAAAGAGCAGTCAGCTGCATTTAGGGAGTGTTCAGAGAAGGGTTTGGAGGCACCGATACAGAATCACCCTATTAAATGTGAAATAAAATTTGTTTTTTTCATTACACAAAGAAATAAAAGATCAGAAGTGATTCAAGGATCTCAGGTGGATTGTGAAGGAAAAAAATAAAAGAATGGGGAAAAATGGCAGGGAAGCAAAAAAAATGTTTAGTACAAAAAAATTTTTTTTTAATTAAAAGTTGTCTTCAGGGAAATTTAACTACAGAGACCTGAGGGCAGAAATTTTAAAAATAATGTTTTTCTTTCTTAGCTAATTGGTCTGCATAACATGACACTCAAGACTTCCAAGTGTTCTCCTGGAAGTCTGGGCAATATATGTTCATGGCATTCCAGCCTTTTGTCATATAAAAGGCAAATTAGGAGGAGGCATGAGTGAAGGCTGAGCATTAATTCACCATCTATCATAGTCTGCTAATGTACATTATAGTAGACCCAAAGGTCCTTCCATGCTTCCTCTAGTGAGAAAGGCAGTGCCTTCTAATTGTTCTTGGGCCACAGACCCCTTTGGCAACTTGAGAAAGCTTATGGAATCCTTCTCAAGATTTTTTTTAATGCATAAGATAAAATTCATATGATTGCTAAGGAAACAAAATAAGCTCAAGCAACTCATTTGTTTGCAGAACACACACACACACACGTTGCTATTTATGGAAGGGTTGAGAGGCTTCTAGGAAAGGACTAAAAATCATCTGGGTAAAGGTAATGTCATCTCTTCTCTAATTAATGTGAAAGATGGAGACAATTTCTAAATCTTGAAGGAATAAGAAGTTTCAATCATGCCAGAAACAGCTGCCTTCATCTGACGTTTAAGGGAGATAGATCCAGAAGGACTTGATTCTACCATCAACTTGCAAAGGATTTTCAAGGCAATCGATATTACTGTACTTAGGAAAGAAACTAGAATGTTGTAACTTTTATAAGTCTGTCTATTTCATCCTTCCTGATACCTTCTGACCACCAATGCCCCAGCCTTCCTCTTCCAGCAAAACTTCAGAGTTTTGCTATAAATGTAGAACAGGTTGAATTTTTCCAGTTCTAAAAGGAAGATTACATTTCCATTTCCAATGTGATATGTATTCCTTTCTTAGAAGAAAAGGGTCTTTGAAGTAACAGAAAAGATCAAGCAGCCAAACCCAAGGCATAGCAGGATCACACCTTGCCTCTCCTTCAACTCTTTCAATAATCCAGCAACTATCAAGCTTCACTCATACTCCCAAGAAAATAGGAACAAAAATTATTGAAATAATTAAGTACATAAATACTTAATGATTAGTTACTACAGCCAAGACACAGTGCTAGATTCATGAACTATCAAGAGCAATAGGTATATACATAGCTCTTGTCTTAATTGAGACTTGTGTTTGGCAGATACAATTTGTTTTTAATAAAAACTTTAATGAGTCCCTATTTTGTACTATATAGTATGCTAGGTACTCAAGATTATCTATTGTATTTCTCATAACAGCCCACTGAGATAGATAATACTGATGTGCTTTGCAAATTAACAAAAAAACTATGACTCAGGAAAAACAAGCCATTTCCCAAGATTACAAAACTGATAAGCAAAAGAGTCTGAATTCCAACAAAGTCTACCTGATTCCAAGTCTCATTTTGTTTTAAGTATGACCAGTTGCTTCTATGAATAGGCCTCTTTTCTTCATTCTGTTACCTATATTTTGGTTTCCTGACTTTTAGTCAGTAACAATTTATACTGTAAGATTTCTTTTTGTTTTTACTTCATCCAGATATTTCTAACAATGTCTTAAAACTAGTATCTGAATCCATAAAGCCTTTTAGTAACCACACTTAATTATCTCTCAAACTGTCTTTTCATGGTCCACCCATATATAGGGGCAGTTAGGATAGCATTTGTGCCTCTTCCATGGAATAGAAAATTTGCTTCCTTCATCCTAGAGATTAAAACAAGACTGGCCATTTGCAGTATTGCATTAGAAACTTGGATATTATTTGATTTCCTAAAGAAAATTGATAATCAACTACATGGAGATGTTTTCAAGAGTTTGCTTTGATCTAATAGTTACAACCTGATAATATGATTCTTTTAGAAATCAAATGTTATTTCTTGCAGAAAACCAGACATATGTCTAAGGATGTTTTTCATGATCTCATCGAAGCCACTCCAATGAGGAAAGAAACAGAGAATGCTGGTCCTTTTTCATCCAGCATGAGCAATATGAACTTGAATAAAGGTAATGTGCCAAGGATTCAAATAAACACACTTTCTTGTATCTGCCCTACAAATGCAAAGTTCTCTCCAGGCTTTGAACTTAATCCAGCAGTAGGCAGGACCACCTACTGTTTTCTCTCTTTGTTGACCTAGTGGAGATGATTCATGCACTGATCAAGAAGGAAACAACCATCCGTCAAGGTAAGAGCCTTTGGCTGCACCAAACATCAGCGAACCCAGCCAGCATGCTCCCTACATTAAAGTACTCTAGCACATTAATTTCAAACCTGCACCCTGTAGATATATTCGGAGCAGTCCCAGGCTACTGTTCTACAGACAAATAAATCACATTTAATAGGTACTGTGCAGCATCTAGCATTATCCACATATATAATCTATAAAAATTATCATCTTATGGCAAACTTTTCAAACACCCTATACCTTAGGGAGAAAACAAACACACACACACACACACACACACAAATATACACACACATGATATTAGTGCTAGTAGAGTTGATATTAATTTGCAGTATTAATTAGTGTTAGTAGTATTAATACACAATATTAGTGCTAGTGATAGTATTAATACAGTAAATTAAACAGTTTGGAGCATCACTCATTTATCAAGAAACAAAATCACAGACAATCAGAGTTGAAAAAGCTTATTTCTTTGTTGCTTCCTACCCAATTCAGGATCCCCTTTCTGCAACGTTAAAACCCAAAGGTCACTTGGTCTCTGGTTTTACTCTCAAACAATAGCAATAAACCTGTGTTATAAGGTCCATTTCATTTTTGGATGAGTCTAATTGTCAGAAATTTCTTCTACATAACCCCAAGACTTATCTTTTACATTTTCTAACCATTCACCCTAATTAACCCATTAAGTTTATAGAGAAAAATCAAATCTCTCTGTCACATGACAGCATGTCAAATGTGACCATGATTATTACTTTGGCAATTTCTCTGAGTATTTTCAAGGACTTCCTTAAGGTCACTATTCCTAGAGATTCCAATTACTTTGCTCTTAAACCTACCATTTCTAATAGACTTCCCATTTCCCTCAAAATGTAGCCTCTTTTATTTTTTTGTATTGTCACCAAGAATATGTAGGATTAGTCTTAGCTTTCTTGAGGCTCTCATCTTTCAGAGTTGGATGAATTTTTTTTTTTTTTAGATGGAGTCTCACTCTGTCGCCCAGGTTGGAGTGTAGTGGCACAATCTTGGCTCACTGCAACCTCTGCCTCCCTAGTTCAAGCAATTCTCCTGCCTCAGCCTCCTGAGTAGCTGGGACTACAGGCGTACTTCACCAGGCCCAGCTAATTTGTGTATTTTCAGTAGAGATGAGTTTTCACCATGTTGGACGGGCTGGTCTCAAACTCCTGACCTCAAATGATCAGCCCACCTCAGCCTCCCAAAGTGCTGAGATTACAAGCGTAAGCCACTGTGCCCAGCCTGGACAAATTTAAATAGCTCTAGTAAGAAAATTTTTAAAAAACAATTTATTTTAGAAAAATTTCAGACTTACAAAACAGTTGCACAAGTAGTGTAAAGCATTGCATTGTGTTTTTCTCCAGATTTCTCCAAATGTTAACAACATAACCAGAGTATAATTTTCAACATCAGGAAATTAACGTTAATGCCATAGTATTATCCATAGACTTTTTATTTCAAATTCATCTTTTACCCTGCTGTTTCTCATTTCAGATCCAATCTAGGATCATCTAGGAAATGAGAAATCTCACAGCTCACCAAAAGCCTACAGTGAGTGAGAGTTATTTTGTGCATTTCGCCCTATAATTCTACTCTTTACCCTACCCCAAAACAAAAAAGTTCTTCAGAAGTTTTATTTAAGAAAACATCTCTCTGATAAGAGGAATGAGAAATTAGTTCAGAGCAACTGGCAAAGCCAAGGTGGTAACCATGATAAGCAGCTTTTACGTAAGGAGAAATCAAAGGCTATTTCATGTGAATAAAGTAAATGTCCCTCAATGCTCCTGGAACTGATTCACAGAGAGGCTGAGATGTTATCATGACTGTGCAGAGGAGCAAGGGAATTTCAAAGAAACCCAAGGCATTAATTAAAGCAATTAAAACTTCTCTTTTACCATAACTAAAGGGGAAAGAGCAGCCTTCTCTCTTAGTGTGTGCCTGTCCTTGAGACATTCTTCCACCAAAACCTACAGAAGGATCAGTACCTCCTCCCTGGATAAGTCAGATGTGCACAGGAATCCAACTCAATGCCTGCGCTCGAAAGTGAAATGTTGAATGCCGGTCTACATGCAGTTTCCCACAAATTAGCCTACTTACACTCCTTCAAAAGCATTTCTAGTCAAAAAAACTTACATACCCACAAACATACATGAATTCACAAACATACACATATACATATCCTGAAGATGCTACCTGTATTTTGTAGGTTAACTTTACAAAAAAAGGGAATAATTAGGATTAACTGAAAGCAGAAAATGGTAAACCAACCACTGATTTCACTGAAGAAATTGGAAACAGCTTCTCACTAGCTGGAGAAAAATGTTGTATTGTGAATTCTACTCTTGATCTTGCAGATGACAGGCACTATAAGCCCAAAGATGCTGACAATCTAATGGCAGAGATAGATATACAAACATAATTGTAAGACTTTGTGCTAAATGCAGAGATAGAGGTGAGTCCTGGGTAAGAGAAAGTGGGACCTTGTAAAGGGAGAAGAAACTATAAATTAGAGCAGATATTAAGTATTTATTATGTGGAAAGCAGTTTCGTGACAGCCCCATTTGTTAGAGGGAAGTTGGACTAAGCACAATTTAGCCAATAACGAGCACTGGTAACCAGTATTTGACTTGTTCTCTTTCTCATTAAGAATGACTTTCTCCTCCTAGCAAAAACCTATCACAGGCCAGCCTTCCTTTTGGGCACAGGCTCTGTCTCCTCTACTTACTCAGGATCCTGCTCCAGCAACTGCTCCCTCTCTTTCCTATAGCACAACTTTTCCCTACCTTAGCAGACTATTTTCATTAGCATATATGCAAACCATCATTTTCCCATCTAAAAAATAATAATACCCTCCTCTAACTAAAGTTTCTTTCATTTACTTCCCAATTTATTTTATTCTTCTTCTCGGAAAAACTCCTGAAAAGAAATATCTATACTTGATTTCAATTTTTCTACTCCTTTTCCCTCTTAATTATATTCTTAAATATATTCAGGCTATCAACTATCAAGATTACCAGTGGCCTTTATTTTAAATCAGTAGTCAATTTTAAGCTATACATCAGTAATTAGAAGAATGCTCAACACAGGGCAGGTGCTCTAGAATTATTCGTTAGGTACATGGATACATGAATGGAGGTAACATATAGTCAAGAAGGCCTTTTGAAATTATACAACACAGGACTACATATACACAGCGTAAAAAAGTAAGGATAATATTTGCAAAACGTATTTTCAAAAATGCTTAATGCACGGGGCATGGTGGCTCATGCCTGTAATTCCAGCACTTTGGGAGGCCGAGGCAATGGATCATCTGAGGTCAGGAGTTCGAGACCAACCTGGCCAACATGCTGAAACCCCATCTCTACTAAAAAAATACAAAAATTAGCCAGGCGTGATGGTGTATGCCTGTAATCCCAGCTACTCAGGAAGCTGAGACAGGAGAATCGCTTGAACCAGAGAGGCAGAGTTTGCAGTGAGCTGAGATCGCGCCACTGCACTCCAGCCTGGGTGACAGAGCGAGACTCCTCCTCAAAAAACAAAATTGCTTAATGCATGAATAAAAAATTTTACCAACCTATCAATTTTTAGGCATGTTGGCATGGAATCTGGATCATGCAATAGTCAAGGAAGTGAAAAAATTACCTTTTGCATTTTAAAAAGCCCATGTAAACATCATAAATGTAAAATGCTGTCTTGTAACAATTAAATTATGAATTCATCTTTAGTGTTTTTAGATCCAGGGAGAAGAATATTCAAGAATCTCAGGCTCACAGAAAAATGAAACACAGAAAGAGGGGGGAAGTGAAGGGTGTGAAAGGGGGTTCTAAAATGGTTGATAGGTAACCATAAAAACAAGAACAATAATAACACAACTAACCTCTTGTGAGCATTTAACTATGATTCAGTTACTGCTTTATTCACTTTGTAGTTTTATTCAATCCCATCGCCCACTGCTATGATCTGAATGCCCCCAACATTTCATATGCTGAAACTTAATTGCCAATGGATTCAGTCATGAGGGCTCCTTTAATATGGATTAGCAACCCAATAAAAGGGCTAGAAGGAACTGGCTAGCCCCTTTTTGCCTTTCCATCCCCTCTGCCATGGGGGGATACAGCATTTGTCCCCTCCAGAGGACACAGCATTCCAGGTGAAATCTTGGAAGCAGAGATCAATCCCTCATGAGACATTGAACCTGCCTGAGCCTTGATCTTGTACTTCCTAGCCTGCCTAACTGTAAAGAATAAATTTTAATTCATAAATTATCCAGTCTCTAATATTTTTTATAGCAGCACAAACAGATGAACACACCAACTCTTTTAAATAATTGTAATTAGTTTCCCTAATTTAGGGATGAACAAACTGAAGCTCAAAGTTGAAGTTGTCTAAGATCATACAGATTATAAGCACTTAGTACAAGATGGAGCCAGGATATCATCACAAAAGAGTGTGCAGTAAGTCAGACTAACAGGACTAACTTAGAGGTCAGAGTCTACCAAAGACACAGAGCATTTCGCATAACCCTCCCATAGGCAGATCTCCAGAAACTCCCTTCAACTTTTTCTCTGTGATGAGTCAACTAGCTGACTATCAGGACATATGAGTGGCAAATAAATCAAGATGTGATTCACATTATTTATGGCCCTCACCTGATATAGGGCTTAGTATCCAAAAATGAAAGGCTGTGTCATTAGCCCACATCATTATTATAAAAGATTCCTCTAGCAACACATCTAAAAACAATTAATTAAAGAAAACCAGAGAATGCTTTCAACCTCCACAAATTAAATTAATTCATAATTAATAACATAACAGCAATTCACTAGGCTATAATATTTTAAACCAGCAAAGCAGGGTAATAATGAAATAATCAATTTTATCTCTTATAACAAAGAGACCTTAACACATAGTTTATTTATGTGAAGGAAACATGGTCAGCAACCCATAGGCAGTGAATGTAAGAAATAAATTAATCAAAAGGATCCTGAGGAGAGAGATTTTCCTGTTTCAAAATCAAAGGAGTCTTTCTTCCAATGGAATTGACATCTCTATTCTTCAAAATGTGAATATAGATAAATAATGAATAACTTACCTGCTGATAATCACCATCTATGTTACAGGCACAATTATAGAATTTCTATAGTATAGGATTTAGTGGCGGCACAAGCTGTATTGCTGTATAAGTGTAATTTTGGAAGAGCTACTATTCTGCAAATAAAATATTATATAATTATCCCTGAAGCTGTTGCATGTAAGACTACAACAGTGATAAGAAGAGTTCATGAAAAGAGAAATCAGAAATAAGTTCTAAAATGTGTCTTAAGCACAAGAACAATTGGGCCAAATTGGGGAGACAAACAGGCAGTTTATGCAGTCATGTACCATTTCAGGAGTCTAGAAGACTTCATTTTGTTCTAGAAGAGTGTGAAAGCAGATGTTACTGTAATGATAATTCAACCAAATAGAATTGGTCAAAAAAATTCTAATAAAAGATAATTTGTTGTTCTTGCAGGAAATCATTTAAGATTTAAGACTAGGTATCCACAAGCACATCTCACTATTATGATCCAATGCTGGCTTAGTGACATGAACCAGAAATCAGCAACATCAACATCCTCTTTTGCCAAACTATGTGCTCCTTCCTCCTCATATACATATATGTCTTTCAATGACATATCATTTAGGGCCATTTTCTTCCATTATTTTTCTACTGTTAGAATTTGCTATCATCAGGTGAAAAAGCTGACATTTTGGTGGTGTTCCACTGAGTGAATACTTGGTGTATTAATAAATTGACTAGCATGTTTTCAAATCAATTTATTGATACTCTGTCGGAAATGGTTTCCAGCAAAGTTTCCTCAATGTTACTCCCCCATAACCTAGCCCTACATTTAAAAAAAATTAAGTAATAAAAGCCTTTGCTCCAGGTTGGAGCAGAAAAATAATTTTTTGCTTCTTATAAGAGCTTTGTTAGTGTGTAGTTTACATGACACAAATTTCACCCAATTTAAGGAGCTTTTTAATAAATGTACACAGTTGTGCAACCATCAGCAAAATCCAGTCTTAAAATGTTGCCATCATCCCCTAAAATTTCCTTGGTCCTGGTTTCAACTTCTAC
Organism: Homo sapiens; assembly: GCF_000001405.40. Lineage (NCBI taxonomy): Eukaryota > Metazoa > Chordata > Mammalia > Primates > Hominidae > Homo > Homo sapiens. The sequence continues at coordinate 87,510,094 of NC_000014.9, forward strand.
TTATTCTCTCAACTCCAGGAAATCACTGACAATGCCTACTGTCTTTATAGGTCTACTTTTTCTAGCTGTTTTTCATAACTTAAATCATAGAATATGCGCTCCATAATGTTAGGCTTCTTTCATTAGCATAACATTTTAAAATTCATTCATAATATAGCATGCATCAGTATTTAATTTCCTTTAATTGCTGAACAGTATTCCATTGTATAAATATACCACATTTTGTTAATTCATTGACAGACACTCAGATTGTTTCCAGTTTAAACCTATTATTAATAATACTGCTAGGAACACTTGTGTACCAGTCTTTGTGAGAACATGTTTTCATTTTTTTCTAGGTAGTTATCTACAAGTTGATTGGTTGCATTTTATGGTAAATACATATTTAACTTTTCTAAAAACTGCCAAGATGTTATCCAAACTGATTGTACATCTTACGTTCCCAGCAGCAATGTATAAGAGTTTCGATTTTTTCAAATAGATACCAAAACATGATGTTTACAGTCTTTCAAAAGACATCTTCATATCCACTGCAGAGAGGATACTGATGATTCACATATTAGTTTTAATTTGCATTTCTCCAATCACTAATAATGAGCATCTTTTTATGTGCTTATTAGCAATTCATATATCTAAGCTTTACACAATCTTTTGTGGAGTGTATGTTCACATATATTACCCAATTTTTAATTGAGTCATTTGTCTTCCTATTACTGAGTTGTAAGAGTTCCTTACATATTCCAAATACAAACTATTTTCAGATATATAATGGTCAAATATTTTCTCCCATCTGTAGCTTATCTTTTATTTTTCTTAATAGAATCTTTTGAAGATAAAATGTTTTAATTTTGGTGACTTATTAGTCAGAGTTCTCCAGAGAGTCAGAACTAATAAGATTAGTTTAGTAATCCATTTTCACACTGCTATAAAAATACTACCTGAGACTGGGTAATTTTAACTCACAGTTCTGCATGGCTGGGGAGACCTCAGGAAACTTACAATTACGGTGGAAGGCCAAGGGGAAGCCTGGCACGCCGTATATGGTGGAAGGAGAGAGTGAGCAAGAAGAGGGAAGCATCAGACACTTATCAAACAACCAGATCTCATGAGAACTCACTCACTATCACAAGAACAGAAAAAGGGAAACCTGCTTCCATGATGCAATCACCTCCCACCAGGTCTCTTCCACAACACATGGGGATTACAATTGGAGGTGAGATTTGGGTGGGGACACAGAGCGAAACCATATCGATAGATAGATAGATAGATAGATAGATAGATAGATAGATAGATAGATAGATAAACATTTGTTAAGGGAATTGATTCACATGATTATGGAGGCTGAGAAGTCCCTTGATAACTGCCTGCAAGCTGGAGACCTGGGAATGTCAGTAGTGTGGCTCAGTTGAAGTCCAAAAGCCTCAGAACCAAAGAAGCTGATGGTGACACTCTCATTGCAAGGCTGAAGGCCTGAGAATCCAGAAGGTTACTAGTATGAGTCACAGAGTCCAAAGGCCAAAGAGCTTGGAGCATATACGTCCAAGTGCAAGAGAAGGTTATCCCATGTGCAGGAGAAAGAATGAATTCACCTTTCCTCTGCCTTTTTATTCTATCCAGGATGCCAGCTGATTGGATGGTACCTGCTTATTTTGAGGGCAGATCTTTCCCTCTCAATCCACCATTCACAGACCAGTCTCTTCTGGAAGCACACTCAGAGACACAACAAGAAATAATGCTTTGCCAACTCTCTAGGTATTCCTTAATTCAGACAGGTTGACAACTAACATTAGCATCACAGTGAAGAAGTCATACCTACCAAATTTTATTTCAGGAATTGTGCTTTTTGTGTCCTACAAATTATTGCCTAATCAAAGGTCAAAAACATTTCTCCTATGTTTTCTTCTACACATTCTATAGTGGTAGATCTCATATTTAGATTCATATTTCATTTTGCGTTAATTTCATAGGGTGTGATTTGCAAGAAAATGTTTGTGATTTTGCATATGGACATCCAGTTGTTGCAGCACCATTTGTTGAAAATACTATCATTTATTTATTAAAATTTATTTGCACCTTTGTTGAAAATCAATGCACTATGTATGTGTGGGTCAATCTCTGGGTTCCCTATTGTGTTTCATTGGTCTATGTATCTATGCTTTCTCCAATACCACAGTATTAGAGTGGTTTTATAATAGGTCTGCACACCAGGTAATGTGAATCTTCAGGTCTTCCCTGATTATGCCTGCAGTTTCCCATCAACCAGGAGTGTGTGGAGAGCTTACCTAGCCCCTTCTATATTTCTCAGCTCCTGAATCACTCTTAAATTTCTGTCTGATTTGCTTCTCACCTTAAGAAGGTCTCGGACCTCAGGTTAACAGAGCTATGCATTGTCCCTATTTTTTTCTACTGAGCTTGCTGCTTTTTTGAACAATGCCAGTGAGCATGAGTTTTTATTTTCTGCTCCAAGTAAAAACTGAACCAATGGCAGCAAAACTTAGGCTATAGATTCCCCTGGTTTTTATTCTAAGTTCTAGCAGCATTTCATGAATAAACAACTTTGAATTTGTTGTTTGCCCAAGGCAATCTTCAGAGCACTGAAATGGTTATTTTTCATAATTTTATTCATTTTCATACTTATGTTTTGCAGAAAGGATTCACTGGACTCTTTATATTACCATGGCTAAAAGTCTCACCCCAAGAAAAATATATTTGATATATGTCTTAGTCTGATTTTGTTACTATCACAGAATACCTAAAACTGGGTAATTTATAAAGAACAGAAGTTTATTTCCTACAGCTCTGAAGACTAAGAAGTCCAAGGCCAAGGGGCCTGCATGTGGCAAGGGTCTTCTTGCTGTATCATCCCATGGCAGAAGACAGAAGGGCAACAGCATGTGAGAGAGGAGAAGCGGGTGATGAATTCACCTTATTAGGCACTCACTCCTATGATAAGGACATTAGTCCATTCATGAGAGCAGGACCCACCCCTCAGTACCGCTGCATTGGGAATTAAGTGTTCGACATGTGCTTTTGGGGGGATATATTCAAAACATAGCAATATATATTTTTAAAAATTGAGCTATCTGTCTAGTGGGGATAAGGTCACAGTTGCAGAGTAGGTTTACTTAGGTCTATCCTTGTCTTAATTTGATGGGAAGGCTGCCTTCATACTCTCCACTCAAGAAACCTAAAGGCTTGCCTCATGATGTAGCAGAGAGAACTCTTCTCTATGAAATCAACTTAGGTCTTCAATGATAAATACAAATAGTTAACTAAGTATTAACAGACAGTTGAATTTCTAAAACACAACATCCCAAATAGAAAGGATGAATTTGTTTAAAAAAATACAAACTGAATGGCTTGCCTCAGTGGAAATAAAAAGTTTGCCTATGTTTTATTCATATTCCAAGAGAGATTTTTGAAGATGCTACATCCATGGAACAGGTTGGTATGAAAAAGGAGCAAACAGGGATAAAAATCTTTCACTGGTAAAATTAAAAATGAAGAGGCAAGAAAAAATCAGGACATAGAGAAAAAGGACAAAGAGAAAGATAACATGACAGAAAAGCCCGGGATACAGAAGACCAATTTCCATTCAATATAATTTTAAGAAGAGAAAACAGAGGAAATGGAGGGGAGATACATAATCAAAGAAATAATGGAAGATTACTGGGCACCACGTCTCACACCTGTAATCCCAGCACATTGGGAGCTTGAGGTAAGAGGATCGCTTGAAGCCAGGGGTTTAAGACCAGCCTGGGCAACAGAGCAAGACCCTGTCTTTACAAAAAAATACAAAAATTAGGCAGGTGTGGTGGTGCACACCTGTATTTTCAGCTACTCAGAAGGCTGAGTCTGGAGGATCACTGGAGCCCAAGAATTTGAGGCTATAGTGAGCTATGATCCTGACACTGCATTCTTCCAGTCTGGGTGACAGAGTTTGACCCTATCTCTAAATAAATAAATAAATATAGAAGACCATTTTTTCATAGTTGAAGAAACACATTTACATGTTGAAAAGGTCCTCAGGTGCTGAGGAAGATGCATTTTCAAAAAGAACTATAAGTTACAGAACATTGATAAAAGTATAGACTACCATAGAGGAAAACATCCTTAAGATTTCCAAAGTTAGGAGAGGACAAGTTATTTATACAAGAGCAAGAAGTGGGTTAATATCTGCATCTGCTTTCTCATCAGCAGTAACCAGTGAGTAGAAAACAAGATGATGTTGTCTTTAAATTCCTAAAGGAATTTAATTTTGAATGTTAAATCCATTCAAGCCACAGTAAAGAGGGAAATCAAAATAAAGACATTTCTAAGTGTCCATGTGCTCAAAGTCTCCAATCTGCACCCCCAATCACACCCTACTTTAAAAGGCTTCGGGTTTGGTCAGATAATTTGTTTTCACCTCTTTACTGTTCACACACCTAAAATAAGTAATTAGGAAGGTCAGCACTGACAAGAAATTTGCATGTGTGTCTACTTTTTCCATTTCATGGATCAGGCAAATCAGTCTTTACATTTTCTACAGCCAGTACTTCTGTGATAACAAGAAGAAAAGCATACAATGACTTCATAAAAATATCATATTAAAGATTTTTTCTTTTAATTTTTTTTCAGATATTCAATCAAGAATGCAATTCTGTTTTGAGGCAAAAATAAAGAATCATTTATAAAGTAGATTACTCATAAAGCTGCACTTCATTTGCCCATTCTCAAAGCTGTTTGGGATGTTAGTAATGGAGATCTAACATAGCTGTGAAAATCAGAGTACAATGCAAAAATATTTTAAAAGCATCCTGTTAACAGCCATAGTCTCTGACTCATTGGAAGAAAAATTAATTTTAACTTGATTATGTTTATTTAACTTTAGATTATTGAGTACTTCTAAATTGACACAGAAATATCACCTTAACACTGGAGAGTACCATGTACTTTATCATCTATTACAGAGGTGTATTTGTAAATTCCAGTTGTTTTGCCTCTTTTCAGTTACATGAAACTCACAAAAGGTAATTTTTCTTAAGAGATGCAAGTACAAAAGGAAAAGACTATCCATCAGCCAAAAGAAATAGCAAAGGTTGGCAGTTGGTCCTTGTCAACCTTGGATTCTCAAGAAATATGTCACATTCCCATTCGGAGGAGAAAGTTGAACACCTGATATAAGAAAGTTCCAGTCCAAGAGATGTGCAGTCAATTTTCAATAAAAGTTAAATTAACCTTTGTCTGCAAGAATCTTTCAGGCTAGCATGAAACATGAGAAACACATAGATGAGAGATTCTTTGTATTTGGAAAAAAAAAGGAAATGGAACTCCATTAGGATTAGCTAGAGCATGGAAATTTTCACACGTTTTTGATTAACACCTATAATCTATAATATAAGGTAAGTATTAATAGTCCTATTTTACAGATGAAAAGATTGAAGATTAGGAACTCTAAGTAATTTATCAAAAATCACATGGGTAATGAGGGAGTGTTCTGGCATTTATAGTGTAGCCCTTATTTAATGGTATTATAAACTTGTTTTGTCTTCCTTCTCTATTTAGAATATCAGCTTTCCTAGTGTAGAGCCATATCTCCCTTTCTCATCATTATATAACCATGGTCCTTTACAAAGTTTAATTACAGTGATAACTAAACATTTATTGATTAATGACTAGTTAGGAAACACCTTAAAATTTGAATGCAGATTTAACATGTGTGTCATCCCTCTTAACTATCACGTGTGTTGGCAGATCAAATACTGTGCTGTGTATTCAGTTACTTAATACCTATAGAACTAATATGTAAATTGAGAAATGTCATATAAATTTAATTGTTGTGTATGTTGGTTGTTTATCTATCCATCTATCATCTTTAGAAGTCTTTTGTTTAATATTGACAATAATCCAGAAGACCTCAAAGTCCCTTCTCATGTGCTCACTATTCCTATCCACCACCGTGAAGGTAACACTGTTGATTTTAACACCATAATGGGGCTTTGACTATACGCATTTGAACTCTTTGTGAATGAAATTCAAAGGTATATATGGCTTCTTTCCCTCAACCTTATGTTTGAAATAGTCATCTATGTTGTTTTTCTCAATAGTTTATAGAAGTATTCTAGTTATTGCTACGCAGGCTTCTCTACTGCTTGAATGTACCACAATTTATACATCCTAAAAGAGATAAACATTTAAGGCTTTTTTGCAGTTTTTAGTTATTGCAAAGAGTGTTATTATGAGCAATCATGATCTAACTTTTTGTGAAAATATTATGCATTTCTATATGCATAGTTTTATATGTGAAATTTCTGGATCATAAGGCATATATACAATATAGTTGTGAAAATAAAAATACAAATGGAAAAAAAATACAAAGCTTCAGCATATACCAGCAAAAAGTTGCCCAAAGTTATCAGGACCAATTTACACTCATACCAGTCATGTATGAGAATTTCAGTTGTTCTATACATCTGCCAACACTTAGCATTATCAGGCCTTTCAATTTAGCCATATTATTTGCTGTACAGTGATATATCTAATTGTGATTTTGATTTTGATTTCTTCTATGAAAAATGATTTTGAGAGCATTTTTATGTTTATTAGCCATTTGAATATTTCTTTTTGCAGCTTATGGCTTTTTAGTTGATTTGCTGAAATTCTGACAAATGTATATGTACTCCAGGGTCATAACATATTTGCCTGTGTTATTTTCTAAAAACCTTATTGTTTTATATGCCATGTTTTGTCTACAATCCACCCAGAATTTATTTTTATGTATATGGTTTCCTTTTATTTGTCTTCATGTAAACATATGAGATATTATATGGCAGAAACCCTAACACAACAAATAAATAATAACTAAATGGGAGGTTAATGTAAGAAATTTATGTTAGTATAATCCTAAGTATATGAAAAGTGAGTGGAACAAACAGGAGATAAACCCCAAACTTCCAAAAAATTAGTCATATGAAATTTTATCATCTTTAAATGGTGAAATATCACTCTCTAACTGAAAAAGAAAAAGAAAAATTAACTTATGACAACCAAATATTACATTATATAATTTTGCTGTTGTCAACCTAAGTAACAAACAAGGAGAGATGCTCCAACCATCTTAAGTTTATTTGGGGATGTGCAAGGCTTTTGCAAACCCAGGATATGCAGGCTATTTATTAGTCCTTCGGCATTGTATTAGTCCATTTTCATGATGCTGATAAAGAAACACCTGAGACTAGGCAATTTAAAAAACTTTTCAACCTCTGCCTGTTACCCAGTTCCAAAGTCTCTTCCACATGTTCAGGTAAATTTTCAGCAACGTCCCACTCCCAGTACCAATTTACTGTTTTAGTCCATTTTCATGCTGCTGATAAAGACACATCTGAGACTGGTCGATTTAAAAAAAAGAAAGAGGTTTATTGGACTTATGGTTCCATGTGGCTGGGGAGGCCTCACAGTCATGGCGGAAGGTGAAAGCCTTGTCTCACATGACGGCAGACAAGAGAAGACAGATTGTGCAGGGAAACTCCCCTTTAAAACCATCAAATCTCATGAGAATCATTCACTATCATGAGAACAGTGCAAGAAAGACCCACCTCCCTAATTCAATCACCTCCCACCAGGCTCCTCCCACGACACATGGGAATTGTGGGAGTTACAATTCAAGGTGAAATCTGGGTGGGGACACAGCCAAATAATATCATGCATATCCAAAGAGGCTGAGGAAAGGGGAAGCTTTTAAAGGGAAAAAAGAAAAATACACATACTTTGTTTTGAAACAAAAACAACATTGGTTACAGGAGTTTATCACAGGAGTCGAAGCCAGTTCATCAGTGGGGACAATATGCCAGGCAAATATTATTGTACACCAGCTGGTTGTCCTTGGGATTCACATAGCTTCAGTTTGAAAAGTTCTTGACAAAAGTTCTTGTCACAGGTGTATCTATGTAGAAGCCTGTTAGTGAGTCTTTGTAATACTTATCATACGCATGTGTACCTAAGGATTCTCCATTTTAAGCCTTCCAGCTTTTTTAGTTTTTTTATTAGTGTTTGACACAAGTGACTCCATATTGATTCTGATGACTTTCACACTGTGATATTATGATTTATCCAAATTTCAAACCTGTGGGAAGAAAATTACTTTCCACTCAAGATGAAATTGTATCACCCCCCAAAAAATTTATATGTTTATAATATTTGGAGATAAGGCCTTTAGGATTTAATTAGGTTTAGATAAGATCATAAAGGTGGGGCCTTTGTGATGGAATTAGTGTCCTTATTAAAAGTGGGAGGGGGAGAGATTTCTGTCTCTCTCAGTGTGTGCACAAGGAAGAGGTCATGTGAGCACAAAGTGAGATGGTGGTTACCTACAAGTCATGAGAACACACCACAGAATGAAACATACCCTGCTGTCCCCTTGACCTTGGTCTTCCAGCTTTCAGCACTGTAAGCAATAAATCTGTTGTTAAGCCACCCAGTCTATGTTTTATTGTTATAAGAGCCCAAGCAGACTAAGATATTTATTGATAAATATATTATCAATAAACTTAAAATAAACAGTGGGTGATATGGTTTGGCTCTGTGTCCCCACCCAAATCTCATCTTGAATTGTTATCTGAATTGTAATCCCTAGGTGTGAAGAGGAGGGACCTGATGGGAGGTGATTGGATCATGGGGGTGGTTTCCCCCATGCTATCCTCATGATAGTGAATTTTCATGAGACCTAGTTGTCTGATAAGTGTGGGGCTCTTCCCCTTGGTGCACTTCTCTCTCATCTGCCACCATGTTATATATGCCCACTTCCCCTTCTGCCATGATTAAGTTTCCTGAGGCCTCCCCAGCCATGTGGAACTGTGAGTCAATTAAATCTCTTTTCTTTATAAATTACACAGTCTCAGGCAGTTCTTTATAGCAGTGTGAAAAAGAACTGATACTGTGGGCATAGCGTCTAGAAATGTTTTTTATTTTATCTCTTTTCCTTAATTATTATTTAAGTAGTCATTACAGAAATAATATCATTTCTTAACAACTGATAAAAATGTCGTTTCTAGGTTCAGTAGAATTTTTTTTCTAGGGAAGCCTTAGTTACAAATTTAAAAAAAGAAAGCAATACAATTCTTAACTAGGGTAAAACAAAGAAAAGTTGGCTCTGAAAACAATCAGCTTTATTGTATACAGAAAAGCCTCGCTAAAAAGTAAGCTGTATTCTTAGTAAAAGATTTAATACAAAGAGTAGAACTCTTTCCCTTAAAAAGAAAAACATGGTGAAACACCATCTCCACTAAAAATATAAAAAATTAGCTGGGCTTGGTGGCGGGTGCCTGTAGTCCCAGCTACTCGGGAGGCGGAGGCAGGAGAATTGCTTAAACCCGGGAGGCAGAGATTGCAGTGAGCCGAGACTGCGCCACTGCACTCCAGCCTGTTGACAGAGTGAGACTCTGTATCCAAAAAAAAAAAAAAAAAAGAAAAGAAAGAAATAGAGAAGCTTCCAATTAACAGACAGAAATGTGAAGCTGGAAAAAGAAATCGGCATTTAGACTGAGGAAAAGAAACTGCAAACAAACAAGAAAGTTTAGAAAGAAGATATATTTGGCCTTTGCCTTTTAAATAATGCCTTGGTATTACACTGCATTTAGTTCTCACTGTAAAAACTTATCTAACCCAAGTTAATTACATTTCCAATGATGGTTGTGAGAGCAATTGCCAAGATTTACTACATAAATGACATAAATTTAGTTGCAGAATAATTAAGTCAGAATTTGAGTCCATACATTAAGCAATGGAAGCATAATTACATTCTTATGGATGCTTAAAACTTCTCTTGCAATTGTATAAAAATGGATTCAGCACAGATTCTGACTGCATTCACTTTCATTTATGCTTTCTTTTCTTCCAATTCTAATATAAAAAATGCAAACTGTAATTTGGGTGGTGCTTTATAGACCATAGCACATTTATATATGTATATTGGGAAATGACATCCCTTTGTACATTTCCTGCTAATGGCAGTACCAAGAGGTGACTTTGAAGATTGGAGTGAGAGCAAGGGGTGTTGGCCTCACAATGAACTTCATCAGCAACTTCATCTTTGCCTTTCCAAATAGCCATTCTATTAAAAATAAAACACACTCATATGTGAGCTCTCTCTCTCTCTCTCTCACACACACACACACACACACACACACACACGTTCTTGCCAGTTAATGCATTTTGAAGATAAGTCACTTGAATTTCTACCCAAATTGTCTCCCTTAAATTCCTCCTACATAAATGGATATGGAAAAGCCACATATGAATTTTAGATGCTAGTGAAATCTACGACCTTGCGTTTCCTCACTGATATATCTATCTATAGGTTTGATCCACTGTAATTTTAAATTTTACATTTTCCACTATTATTGTTGTTGCTATTTTCCAGATAGTAAGATCTACTTTATATTCAATCATTTTGGTCCTGGAACTAGTAACCAAATGTGCAACATTCTCTTATGTCTGTGTTTTGTCTTTTATAGCCTCCTGGTCCCACAGGATAGGACATGAAACAGAAGTTTATTACCCAGAGTAGGAAATTTTAGAGCTCACATTCATTGCTATCAGCTGGGAACCAATTCTTCTTTCACCTAAAAGAAATCTGCAGCTATTTAATTAGTGTATAACAAGATTGATTAAGCAATGCAGTGTCAATTAACACATTTAATGTGAAGGAAGATGATATCTAGCACTTAATTGATATCCTGTTATTCTTAAAAGTCATATGATAAATAGGAATAAAGCTAGCTAATAATTCACCTTTCTATTCCTCTCAGTTGACTACCTAACAGCTAAATACTCTAGCTATTCCCACTGTACAGTCTCATTTACTGTTGCTCCTAGCAACCAATTTATATTTAATCCTGTACAAGATCACTTATAGAGGGGAAAAATTAATGGTGATATCTGAATCACAAAGTAGAAAGGCAAAAAGCCTAAGATTAAACGTGTGTGATTGCTACATATAGAACTCAGTGACTAGTTGGGAGTAAAATTAGTATAGCTTTGCTATTGAGTTGAGCCAATGCTTTAATCCATGCAGGATTTTTATTATCTTTAGAATGCTCCTTGATTCAGCAGGATAGACATCACCTGGGAGCATGTTAGAAATGCAAATTTTCAAGCCCCACCCCAGACCTACTAAAATATGCACTTTGACAAGATCACCCCAGGTGATTTAGATGCACATCCAATTTTGAGAATCTTCTCAACTCTTCATGTCATTTTAAGTGTCTTACTGAGGGAGTCTTTCACCATTACCTTGAGAGACATAAAGAAAAAATGCTTGAAGTCGTTTCCCCATCACTACACAACCCACTTTGTTCCTAACTTCTAAATCCCCCAAGTACAATATGATTCCCCCACAATTTAGTCATCACAATGTGATTATTCTTTGTTTTGACATTTTCTTTGTATAACAGAAATAACAGACATTAAAGATATGACTAACCTCGGGACTAAAAATCAATATTTGCTCCTTTCCTTCTATTTTAAAATCTCTACAAGGGCACTGGATGATTTATTACAGCTTAATTCAATAAACACTTTGGGGCACCTACTCTTGGCCAGGCATTGCTCTGGGGGCTGGAGATTCTGCCCTGCAAAATTCACACTGTATTATGGTAAGCAGCCATATCAACAAAACATCAAAAGTCTCCCTGATTAATTTGCTTCACAAAAAGTAGAAGTAAAGTCTGAGCTGCAATTCTAAGAAAAATTAAGAGTTTGAGTCAGATTGAGAGGGTATTTCAGGCAGAGAAGACAGCATATACATGTGTACGGAAGCAAGGAACAGCTGGGGGTGTTTAGGGAGCTTCAGATGTTATTGGGGTGGGTGAAAGTTTTGGCTCAAGAGATACGCAAGTCTATGAAGATCAAGCTGATTAAGAATCCTTAATATCATTTAGGCATTCCTGTGAAAATTTTTAATTTCTTTAAGGTAGGAAAACTGTAGCCCAGAATTAAATTTTAAGCTCTTTAAAAATATTCAGAAGTCTTCTATTCTTAATTTTCAGAAACATCCATGTAGTTTTAGCACTGAGAACTTGAAACAGTAGCTTCTTTTTAACCACCTAGAACTCTTTATGATTAAAATGTTCCACATAGATCTCATAATTTTTAAACGTTTTGTCTATAAAAATATAGAATATATTTAAACATACCCTTTATGACCATGCAATACATATTTGCATTGTTGGCCTAAGAATTTTGGAGATATATTAAATAAAGACTGCTCTTGAAGACCTCCACGTTGGAAACCATGGATACCATCTAGTGAAAACCTCATTCAGGTATAGAATGTTCCCCACAGCTCTCTAAACAGTGCGGGGGAGAAAAAATATATATATATTTTCCTTTCACTCATCTTTGTTTCATTGGCTAGGGCCCTGCAAATTAGATTGACAAAAGACAATGTGTTAGTCTGCACCGCTATCAAGGAAATACCTGAGGCTGGGTAACTGATAAAGGAAAGAGGTTTCTTTGGATCACAGTTCTGCAGGCTGTGCAAGCAGAGCTGTGGTTTCTGGTGAGGCCCAGAAGGATTTTACTCATGGCAGAAGGTGAAGTGGGAGCAGGTGTGTCACAGGGCAATAGAGGGAGCAAGAGAGATGTCAGGCTCTTTTTAACAACCAGCTCTCACATGAACTGACAGAGTGAGAGCTCAACTCATTACCTCAGGGAGGGCACAAGCCCATGCATGAAGGATTTGCCCACGTGACACAAACACCTCCCACCAGGCCCCACCCCCAACCTTAGGGATCACATTTCAACCTGAGATTTAGAAGGAACACACATCCAAACATATCAGACAGATTAGCAAGAGAAAAACAAACAGAAGTTTATTATTAATAACAAGTGCATTGCACTTACACATGAAAACACTCAGAGATAAGAAACTAGAAGTGGTGGTTAGAACTGGTGGTTATATATCACCTTAACAAAAGAAAATAAATATTTAGAGAAGTGACAACACAAAGGAAGAAAACTGAGTTTTTAGAGCAACAAATAATAGGAAGGTAAGTACATGGAAGAATGAATAGAAAATAAAGCTAGTTAGTCAAGTTTGTTCTGTAGATTCCTCTGGTGCCATCTCTGGGCTGATGAGGTTGTACAATTGTCCCCAGTGACTAACTTCTTTCTTTCTTGGTAGAGAAGCAACACATTTACAAATTTATTTCCTGATTTTAGGCAAGTAGGGGCAGGGCAGAGAGTTTTTCTTATATCTATTTATTGTAAATTGCCTTCATCTCACAATAATCCATATACCAGAGTGGCATATTTGGGGTGGCATATTCTGATCGCCTTTATTGATGCCAGTAGCAGTACTTATAAGGTTGCTAGAACTTAAGTATGTCTAGGGTAAGGCAGTCAGGAACACAGAATGCCACCTAAGAGAAATAATCCATTTCTAGTCCATTCTGTATCTTTACTTAGCACAGTGCTTAACATCGTAACCATTTAGTGCACTCAGAGTGAGTAATTTGAATAATAAATACGCTTAACGCCTCAATCGATATCACTGTTTACATCTTCTTTTTGGCATTGTTTGCTAAGTTTTTTTCCTTTTAAAATATTTGTGTCAATTTCTTGTTTCCTTATAAGAAAAGGGGAGGATGAAGTGTTTGCATCCAATGTGTGATTAATAGTAAATCTTGGAGGAGATGTCATTAACCAATGTGTGGCTAGTAAATCTACTATTACCAACAGCCCTACATCCCAGGATAAGATGGAGGCTGGGATGAAAAGAGACTAGCCTTGGGTCTGGAAGAGAAACAAAACAAAGCATGCCCTGGGAGCTCCCTAATGCAAGTGAGTGAGTGAGTCTGAGACACATCCAGGATCCCCCAGGTACCAAACAGCACAATGCTGGGAGGAGACGTGGGCTCTGCTGCAGGCTGAAATCATGGACTCCAGCTTTATAATCCTCAGAGGAACTGCTCGGAATTTGAGAAGAGTTTTAGGACAACTAAATGGAAATATCCTTTACATCGTAGAAGTGATTTTTTTAAATAGTATTAGTTTCACAAGGAAGCACCTGATAAGAATATAAATAGACACAAGGTTCAACCGCAATGAGTAGTTCTTATACATCTGCATTGTTCCTCACAACCAAAATGCTTTCACATTCTTCGTCTTACTTGGATTCTAAGACCCACAGACTATCTAGAAGATGAGTATGTTTATCTTCATTTTCATAGATGAGAAAACTTAGGCTCAGAAAGGATAAATAACTTACCCAAGGTCACCTAACTTTTAAGTGGCAGAGTCAGATGAAAATCTGAGTTATGATCCTTAATGAATTAAGAATGTTGAATAAAGGGGGCAGGGAGGAATCCTGGTCACAGAGATGTGATGAGAAAGGGGAGATTCTCCTCCTACTTTTTACCCTTTTATGATTATTCTAGAGGAAGATGATGACCATCAAGCTTCAAGCTGGCTCAGTGCAGACCACTAGGTCCTGGGAGATGTTGAGGTGCATCACTGAAAAAAGCTCCAGATCAGCTGAACAATGAGAACACTTGGAGACAAGGAGGGAAACAACACACACAGGGGCCTGTCGAGGGGGCAGGAGGAGGGAAAGCATCAGGATAAATAGCTAATGCATGCAGGGCTTAATACCTAGGTGATGGGTTGATAGGTGCAGCAAACCACCATAGCACACGTATACCTATGTACCAAACCTGCACCTCCTTCACATGTATCCCAGAACTTAAAATTTTTTTTAAAAAGAGCTCCATATCAAAATAATTAGACAAAATTAGAACAATGTATTTATTAATTGTATTTAATAACCTTTAATAGAAAAAATGTGTTGTATTTCTCCAGGAGGATGTATATGTCAAAGTTTAATCAGCAAAATGCATTGTATATCTCCAGGAGGACGTGTAAGTGAGCATTTCACAAACATTTCATTTTCATGAGTGATCATAAACATCTCACAGAAACTATGAAACCAGGGGAATGGTGAGCAAGCAAAATGACAAATCTGTGCATATACGGCCTGACAAAGGTGCAACACTAATTCAGTGGTGCTGCCTTTTCCTGGCAGAGACCAAGGCAGGCTTGCAGAAGGAGCACCCCTCTAGAAAGCCTCTTTGAAACAAGCTGCATTAGGGATGTTCTTTCTGACTCTCCAGCCCATGGCTACCTGAGCACTCAGTTTGTATTCAGCAGTAGACCTTTGGACTTTAGCCAAATCTCAAGTTTTCCAAGATGAAGGACTATAATCCTGTCTTCTTTTATTTCACACATCTAACATTGATTGTGCAACTACCACCCACTCTATCAGACATTGCAAAGTGCTCGCCTGACACAGGACTTCCAAAGTGAATGAATGAATGAATGAATGAATGGCATCGTGGTTAAATATGATTCAGAATTGAGTCCCTAGTCATTTGTGACCAGACTAAAAATGCTAAGGTAATTTTTTCTTTCTTTTTATTTAAAGAGGCAGAAAAATGGACAGTGATAAAGTCTTCCTAATAATATCTGGAAGTTTCGATCTCTGTGACTTAGTTACTGCTATATATGGTGCCCCCTTTGCTATTTAAACTAAAATAGTTTAATTTGTGATTGTATTTCTTTGTTCATGTACACTAAATGCCATAAAACTGAGGACTGTGTGTCAAAAGGGCACTGCCAGGTCCCTGAAGGAGGATCCATGCTAGTGGTGAGAAGTAATTTACAGTGTTAGTGAACACTTTTGGAATTGAATATGGATTCTCCCTCCATTGCTTCCTCTGATAGTAAGGATAACAACAGCCATTATTATTATAATAGTCAACAGTTTTGAGGACTACAAAATTCCAGGCACTATTCTAAGCAATATACTGGTTTTAACTCAATCTTCACATCAAACTTAAGGAATTAATTTTTCACTCCTTTAAGCAGTGAAGGAAAATTGAGAGTCGACGCCATTGAGTAATTTGCCCAAGGTCAAGCAACTTGTCAGTGAAACCCATAGGTTCATATACTCAAAAAGCCAAATGCTATGGAACACATAGAATCCATTAAAGAATCAGGGGACATCAGTTCTCCCTGAGCCAACACCACCTCCTCTCAGTGTTTTCACTGGTGACATGAAGTTTAGATTAGAATGAAATCCTTCAAGATTGAAAACTCAGGTGAACAAATACAGATGAAGGAAGCAGAGCTAAGAGTGAAGGTGTAATGGTCACCCTTCTGTTGAGAGCTTCTGATGGAAAAAAGGCAAATTTCCTCTGGGGCTTCATTTTTCATGATTATTATGTTTTAAGGAGGTGGGGTTCTGTTTTCTAAGGCTTCTCTTTTCCTTTTTTTTTTTTTTTCCAAACAATAGCAAATAAAATGTCTATTGTAACAGGTGGCTCTTTGTACGCCAGGTACCAAAACAGAAGCAGCAGCAGCTGTGAAGGAGGGTGTTTCAAGCCACATATTAAAATGAAACATCATTTGTTTTTATAAAGAGATGGTTATTTTGTGATAATGGATACAATTAATAGCAACACATGCTGCAGGGTGCATACCCACCAGTACTTAGTGTAGCGTTAATTCAGATGCTTTTAAAGAAATGTAATAAATTTGAAAAAGGAACAGAGCTTCCGGACTCCTCTCAAACATTAACTGGCTCTGTTTCAACAACCAAGTCTCAGTCCTGTTTGGATGCCTCATACCACATGCAAGTTATTCAGCCTGAGCCTGATCCTTATAACAAGGATGAAGAAAAGTGCTTTGTGCTCCTAATTGAATATTGCAGGCATTTCAAACAGAGATCCAAGAATGAGCAGTAATTATTTAACTTAAGAACAGCTGTGAACTGACACCATTAATGTCCATCTACCTTCATTTACACTCGCAGCAATATGGCTGTTTTCAGCAAAATTTAAATTAAAGAAAACTGGATTTAAATATGAAAGTAAAGATGATCGCATGAAAAATGATACCTTAGCTGGCCACAAAAGGCACATCCCAGCCAGCGTAATTGGGCTTTAAAAGTGTAACTCTATAACTCAAAGGCGGTGGGATGCAGATAACAAAATCAGTGGCCAGCAGGGATTGCAGCCTTTCTGTCAGAACCAGGGACCAGGACTTGGTTTAATGTCTGTTTGGTTTTAACACCAAAAGTAATTCTTCTCGTCTCTGTTCTTTCCTGTTTTAGTTTATTAATTACACTTGATGCAAACTTTGCCTTCTTGCTCAAAGCTGACCCAGGGGCAATTGAATCCCAGATTGTATTTAGCTGGACAAGCTTCAGGATTAAGAATTGGCATTTAAACACCCAAGTCTGTTGAATCCTGTTCAACTCCATATGTATCTAAATTAGCAAAGCAGAAAATATTTAGTGTAGAAAGCACCAGATTATGAGCCAGGGGATCAGGAGTCCTATCTTAGGCTTTGGGTATGTCAGTTCCTGTCTTAGATCCTTTGGTAGCTATTAGGTTGTTGCCATTGAAAGTAATGGCAAAACCGCAATTACTTTTTCACCAACCTAATATACCATAATACCACAGACTGGGTGATTTATAAACAACAGAAATTTATTTTTCACAGTTCTGGAGTCTGGGAAATTCAAGATCAAGGTCCCTGAAGATTCAGTGTCTGGTAAGAACCGGCTTCTTGGGTCATGGACCACCATCTTCTCATTATAACCTCATAAGGCGGAAGGGGCCAGGGTTCACTCTGGGACCTCTTTCTCAAAGTAACATCCCATTCATAAGGGCTTCTCTCTCATGACCTAACTGGTCTCCAAAGACCTCCATCTCCTAATATCATCCTATCCAGGGTTAGGATTTCAACATATGAATTTCAGGGGGCACAAACTTTCAGACCATAGCAGCTCCATTTCTGTAAAAGAAGTTGGATCCCAAGGTTCTAAAATTCTAAGATCTGAAAAATTCTGTCACTTGAGGTCCTGACATTAAATGCCTCACCTTGTCTTGCCCACTGTTAGTTTTAGATTAAGATTCAATGTGGATTAGTCAAATGAATGCTGAGCAAAGAGAGGAAAATTATATTCTCTGGGTTGTTGATACTGAAAGTCTGTCCTGATCAACAGTAGTGACATCAGCGGGGGTATATTAGAAATGGAGAATCTCACCACCACCAGCAGCAGTAAATCAGAACCTGCCAGACAGACCCCTATATGAGTCCAAAGAAAATAATATTTGAACAGCACTGCACCCATTCCAGCCTTGCCCCTGGCTAACTAGGAATTTGGCAAGTTCTATAGACCTTTAAGTTACTATTCTTATTTTTAGAGATAAGTCCTCATCATCTTTGTTCCCAACTAGACATTGTTCTAACGAGGTAAAGAATATGAAAGCCTTGGAAAACTGCAAAGGGTTAGGCTGATGTAGAATATTGTTGAATTTTTTCCAAAGAAAATGAACTATAATATTTGGTGAACTTATTTCTGAGATTCAGATATGAGCTCAGCAATTTTAATGTGATCCCATAACCCAAGCACTGACACTTCATGTACTTCAAAGTCTGAATAATCACCCAGAAGCTCACTCATCCCCAATTCTTATACCAGTCTGGAGAATTCTCCTGAGTACCAGACTCATCCATTAGACGCCCATGAGGTTTTCCCACAGCCACAAACACTCCACTGGACCTCAACAGAACATGTCCTTATAAAGCCTTAAACCTGCTTCAGTCCCTCCTTCAGTAAACATCCCGACTTCTACCCCCTTGCTCAAGCCAAAAGCTTGGGGTCTTCCTTCATTCCTTCACCCCTTTTTTTCTGTCACCCCCATACACCTCTAATTACATTTCCTTTTGAGTTAGCTCCAAATATTCCTAGATCCCTTCACTTATTTTTAAACATCCTTGTCCCCTCCCTAGTCTGTAAATTACTCTCTTCTTTGCAGCTGCACTAGCCTACTCCACACCCGTGAACTTCAGTCTTATCCCACAAGACAGAGTGGTCTTTTTCAAACATAGATCTGACGCTGTTATTGCTCTGCTTAAAATCCTTCAAGAGCTCCTCATTATCAATGCAAGATCCAAACTCCCTCATATGGACTACAAGGACCTTCACACCCTGGCCCAGACTTCCCACCTCATTTTTTTTTACTCCCCAGTTCTTCCTTATACTAGAGCAAATCTGAATCACTTGCACTTCCACCAAACAAACCAGGCTCCCTCTTGTCTGCAAGTCCTCTCGTAGGCCCCTCCCATTGCTAACGTATCACCTGGCCCCCTACTGCCAGACCTGCAGGGTACACCTGGAGCTTCCTCTCTTACTTTCCCCGACTCCTCCCTGCCCACCCCTTACCTAAGCTATTTCTGACAAATTTCCTTTGTGATCACAGCCCTTTCTCTTTATACTTCCAAATATCAGGAATGAGACAGAGACAGAGACAAAGACAGAGAGAAAAAGTCAAGAGTACGGGCTATGGGGCTAGACTGTGAAATATTGACTCTGTCCTCCACCAGCTGTGTGAATAACTGCTTGGTGCCTCAATTTTCCCATCTGTAAATTGAAATAATGATAACAGTCCCCTCTTCAAAGAGTGATTGTGAGGATTGAGAAAAGTCAAACACATAAAATACTCAGATTGGTGCTTGGCATATAGGAAGTACTCAATAAATATCATTCATTTTTATTAGGCATTTCTTTTTTGGTTATCTTCCTCACGAAAGCCCAGGCTTTTTGACATCTGTAATTTGAGCATTAGGAGAGGCCTCAGACCACGTGGTTGTAACATTTGCTCTGGAACTTACCAGCTACATGACAGCGGACAAGTTGCTTAACCTTTCACAGCCTCAATTTCCTCAGCTGCACAATGGTGCAGAAATAGTGCCTGCCCCATGAGTTATGAAAATACATTGTAAAGAACTTACATCCCTGGAATTTAGAAAGTAAGTGATTTATCTTTCCCTTGATGGAATGATATTAGCTATTAGTATTGCTTCTATTATTGCTGGTAAATTTTTTTTTGGTTTTATATACTCAGTGTTTTATAATGTACATAATAGGTGCCCAATAAATGTCTACTGAGTTGACATTAATTAATTAGCCAGTCCACTGGATCAAGTCTAAAACTGACTCAGCTATAGGAAATTCAGCTTCCTCTTTTCTATTTCAATTCCAGTGGACGGCAGGCAATTGCTGAGACTAACACTGTATTTCCCTGCTTCAATCCACAGAGAGGTTGACAGCATTTGCCCCTCAAGAATCAGACTTGAAGGCAAAATAACTGATTCGTGGATGCCTGGAGATGGCTGGCTCCTGCAGGACACAGGCCAACATGTAATCCCTAGTCACCATAATGACTCCATGCTCTGAACCACTCTTTTTAAAAAACCTTCAGTAAAATGAATTAAGTTAAAGCTGCCACAGTCAAAGCTGTTCAGTCTGACTTGAGAAAATAAACCCATGGAGGCCTTAGGAAAAAAAAAAAAGAAATCTATCTTGGAAAGTTGGAAGAATGAATTCCTTTTTACTAAAAAATGGTGCTCTTATCCCTCTGAAGCAGTAGCCAATTTCACATCTTTCTCAGTGCTGGACACCTCCAAAGGGAAAGCCTGGGAATTTGTACTAACATTGCTATGTGTGTGTGTGTGTGTGTGTGTGTGCGCACATATGTACATGAGTGTGTATGTGTGGGTGTTGCAAGAACAAGGAGAGAGAAAAGTCAGTGGACATCTCTTTCCCTCCACCCCTGGTGGTGATATGGACAGGAGACAGGGAAATACTAAGTACAAGAGGGTGGTTCCCTGGCAAAGGCCCCGCCCTCAAGCCTGGAAACCCATGGCCCTAAATGGGAACAGGAATTTCTGTTTTTACACCCAAAAATTGCCATTTGGCCCACCACACCCCCCTATCCTGCACCCATATAAACTCCAGACCCCAGGCTCCAGAAGCAGATGAGGAAGAGACAAACAAAAGAAAACAGCAGAACAACATGGCAGAGGGAAGAGAAGGAGCGTCTGAACACCAAGAGGAGTTCAGCTGGGCAAGGTCCGAGAGAAGATTGGCTGTTGGAGGTCAGACTCCAGGGGAAGATCATCTTCTCACTCCATCCCCTTTTCAGCTCCTCATCCATCCCACTAAGAGCCACCTCCGCCACTGAATAAAACCCCCACATTCATCCTTCAAGTCCATGTGTGACCTGATTTTTCCTGGACGCTGGACAAGAGCTCAGAATACAGAAAGCTGTCATACTGGCCCTCTGCCCTTGTGAAAAGGCAGAGGGTCCACTGAACTGTCTAACACTTAAGACATCCATGGATGGCAAGGCTAAAAGAGCACATTGTAACATACACCCATTTAGGCTTTGGAAGTTGCAGACACCCACCCCTGGATATTGCCCCAGCTCCTGCACCTGCCCGTCTGCATACTCCCTGTCACATAAGGGGTTTGAGCGCACATGGCGGCCAAACAAGACAAGCCACACCTCTGTTGCACGTCCTGCTGGGGGGGTGAGGAAACTCTCCCATTTCATTGGATGTGTATTTTCTTCTTTATGCTTTTCTATATCTGGTTTTATTTCCTGCCAAATAAACACACTAATAAGCAAGAAATATTTTCAATTCCACTAGTGTACTAAGCTCTTTCTACCTTTTGGCTTTTGTGAATGACTTCTGGGAAATGCTCACCATTCCCTACTACCTCAGAACAATTTCTCCAAACCTCTTTCTCTAAATTATCCTTCTCATCCCTCTTATATTCTTGCATGACACCATTCATTTACCTTCGTAAGTAGCTCACAGTTGACACACAGTTGTTGTGTTTAGGGCTATGATTCTTTAGGAAGTATCTGTCTTCCCCTTCAGAGCTTGAGTTCTGATAGGCCAAATGCCAGCAATCCTTCATAGCCTGTAGCTCAGGCCTGGCACAGCGTGTGAATGAATAAACTCATCCTTGCATCTCCTGTGTGGAACCACACAGGCATGGCATGAATAACCAACCACTCATCTCCCTGCTACAGACGTTGCTGCTGTGGCCATCAGCACACAGAAAGTACCCAGGCCTGAGTCAGAGGAGACCTTATAGGAAGCAAGATTTAAGAAGGGTTCAGGGTTTCAACACATTTTAAGGCATGAAAATTAGGGTTTGGCTGGGGTGGCCAGTGTAGGGTAGATACAGCAATTGAGATCAGTAACTTACCTGTAGTCCTGCACCCTTACAATACAGTTCACAGTATCTGACTTCTACCTGCCCCCCGCACTTGCCTGGGTTCACCTGAGGGTTCTCTCTGGCCACCACAACCAGCTCTACCTATATACACTACAAAATGGAAATATGGGGAAGTAATTCCCAGCCAATGGAAGTTGGTTTGTAAACAGTACACCTCCCTCAACCTTGGGTGGACTAATGCTGGGATATGTGCTCTGTACTGGCTCTCAGGTTTACTCAGTAAGGTTAAACACAGGAATGTTGCACTACACCAGTGTTAAAGAGGGGTGTGTTCATCTCCAGGAATGGTGTCAACTCCCAGGAAAATATTAGACCCAGGCACTGCTGCCAAGGAACTCAAAGCCTAGTGGCCATGACAAACTCAGAAATAGATCATTATAAATGTGATATGGAGTAGCAAGGGCAATGCCAAAGGTGTATTCAGCAGGCTTGAAATCACAGTGGGGGTCCAGGAATAAGAGGATGCTGAGTGCCTTAGGAGCAGTACAGTGGAATTCCCCACCTCACAGTGGACACGTCACAACCTCTTTCCCAAAAGCACAAATTGCCTGGGACCCACCTCCTACAGAGAGCTCAGGGTAGGGAAAGAACAAGGTGGGTTTGTCACTCTAGGATTTTTGGTGAAGATTTGAAAAATTGCTAATTTCAAAACCTCACAAAGCTTCCTGGAGCATGAGAGGTTCTTTTCAGGAGCAGAAAATAGGCAAGTTTTATATTACACAATATAAATATCTACCTTAGGTCCTTTGCTTACTCCATGAAGACAGCTGGCAGAATGCTCCCTCAGAATCAAAGCATATGACTCTTCCTGAAATTGCACTTCTATGATAAAACATCTTTAGAGTACATAAAAGGTTTTTGTGGTTCAAAAACTCAATGATAAAGTCTAATTTGATACAGAGCAAATTAAATTTCTATTGAGGCATTTTGAGGAAAAGACAACATGTTATTGTAACTTATAGCTACACAAAGCATAAGCTCTATATAAATATAATACAAAAGGATTTTTCATGATTCAAACTACATGAAATGCTTCTAAAAGTTATCTTGACATGTTGTAATTACTTCTAGATTCTATTAAGTTTTGAGGCTCCAAATGTTGTTCTCCCTTTATAGGGTTCGTCACTGTTTAAAAGGGGGCTAAGGACATAAATAGGAATAGGGCATGGGAGCTATAGTAGCTACTAATATGGTTTGTGATAGATTTTCTTTTTTTAATTTTATTTGCTTAATTGACAAATAATAATTGTACATATTCATGAAGTACATAATGGTGTTTCCATATATATGTTCAGTGATCAGGTCAGGATATATATCCATCTTCAAAGATTTGCCATTGCTTTGTGTTGGGAATGTTCAATATCCTCCTTCTAACCATTTGAAACTATATTAATGTTAACTATAGTTATCCTACAGTGGTATAGAACACGGGTCTCCATTCCCGGGGCCACTGACTCACACAGGGCCGCATAGCAGGAGGTGAGCAGCAGGCAAGCGAATGAAGCTTCATCTGTATTTACAGTCACTCCCCATTGCTTGCATTACTGCCTGAGCTGCACCTCCTGTCAGATCAGCCATGGCATTTGATGTGAACTGAGCATGTGAGGGATCTGAGTTGTGCACTCCTTATGAGAATCTCATGCCTGATGATCTGTCGCTGTCTCCCATCACCCCCAGATGGGAATGTCTAGTTGCAGGAAAACAAGCTCAGGGCTCCCACTGATTCTACATTATGGTGAGATGTATAAATATTTTATTATATATTACAATGTAATAATAACAGAAGTAAAGTGCACAATAAATGTAGAGCACTTGAATCATCCTGAAACCATTCCTCCACCCCACCCCCAGGTCCATGGAAAAATTGTCTTCCATGAATCCGGTCCCTGATGCCAAAAAGGTTGGGGACTGCTGGTACACAGTACTAGAACTTATCCCTGCTATTGAGCTGCAATTTTGTGTACTTTAACAATTCTCTCCCTATCCTTCCTTTATCACTATCTTTTCCAAACTCTAATATTTTCTTTTCTGCTTTTTACTTCTATGTGATCAACTGTGTTTAGCTTCCCACATATGAGTGAGAATATGCAATATTTAACTTTTTGTGTCTGGCTTATTTTACTTAACATAATGTCCTCCAGTGCCAACCATGTCGCCATAAATGACAGGATTTCATTCTTTTTATGAATGAATAGTATTCCATTGTGTATATATACCACATTTTCTTTATCCATTCATCTATTGTTGGACACCTAGATTGATTTCGTATCTTGACTATCATGAATACTGCTGCAATAAATAAGAGGTTGCAGCTCTTTTTTTGATATAATGATTTCCTTTCCTTTCCTTTGGATAAATTGCCAATCATGAGATTGCTGGATTATATGGTAGTTCTATTAGATTTTCATTTTTTGTGCCATATTTGTTAATGTATACCCTTATTAGTTAAAGAGAAAAGGTCAGATGTAAATTTAAGAGGAAGGTAAAATCATTCCCAAGATTAATAATATCAAATATGTAAGTTACAGTATCAAATCAAGTACTTAGGTAGCACCTTAAAAACCTCTCCAGCTGTAAAGCACAATGTTAACAAGAGAAGATCTGACAATTATTAAACCTGATATGACTTTTAATTTATTATAAGTCTTTATTATCTACACTTAAAATGTGTTAATTGGGCAAGAATGCTTGCAAAAAGCCCTTTTTATTTAGAAGAAAAACATAAAAGTAATCTATTCTGTACTTGATTTTAGCATAAAAATTCATCATTTAGAAGATCCGTTTATAGAAGCAATCTAGGCCTTTTGTTGCTGCAACATATATAGCTTTACATCAATAAATATTTTAGCAGACATTATTTTCCAACACAAAACAACATGAATATTATTTTAAAATTGATTTGTTCAAAAACGTATTGTAAACTATCATAAACTCTATGTTACTTGTTACATAGCTAAATTTATTCAAGTTCATATAATTTAATGATACATAATTTAATATCTGATAATCTGTATTTTATAAAGACTTTTAAAGATTAGTTGTATAATACAATACTTACATACTGAACAAAAATAAATACTTTTACTTAAAATTACATCACAAATCATCCAAAATTATAGGGGTAAAAGCAAGTGGGATAGGATAGGGATTCAGGGTTTTTATGTTATTTTGAAACATGTAGTGAGTCAAAAATTGTATGGAACTAAAAAGGAATAAAAGATTATTTTTTAAGTGCTAAGCTAGCCAAGCCACCCTCCCTTAAAAGTCTTCACAAGCCTCATATCTCCTGCAAGTGAAGTCCAACCTCCTTGACAAGACATGGGAGAATGGTATTCATCACCTTTCACAGTTTGCTCTACCTCTCACTCCCCAGCTCCCATACCAGCACCCCACTCACCCCTGCACACATATTCTACATCCTATTTATATTAAACTATTCCTATTCCTTGGACTGAGAGTGCTGACATTTTTCACACCTCTGTGCTTTAGGTATATGTTTCTTATACCTGAAAACCATAATATTCCTCATCTGCTCATTGGATCTTCCATACCCCACTCAAGCTTGACCTCCTCTGTTGAACTTTTATGGATCTGTCCTTCTCAATCCCTGATAAATTAATCCTTCTCTCCTCTAAGCAACCCCTGCTCCCTGTAAAGCACTCCATGGATGCAATTGTCTTCTATTGTGAATGTGTCCATGCCTATCTCTCTCTGAAGTCTGTGATTCATTGAGATCAAGGACTAAAGTCATTTTTCTCTTTTGACTGAATGAATGAAGGCATAAATAACCAAACAAATGTGCCTCAATTCCCTCCTTTGGAGCTCAGGAATGTCTTCCTTCCAAACCACATGGCACTGTGCTGAAATGGGGGTAGATGGTACATACAGGAATGGCTACGTTCCTATTACAAAACATGGTCCTGGCCAGGCAAGAATTATTTAATGTGCCTGATGAATACTGATGTCTGATAAGAATGTTTTTGTAAGGAAAATTTTGTTGACCGCAAGCTTTATTCCAACCAGTAAATGCTTTGAAATTGTCACAGTATAACTAACTCCCATGCAGTCATCCATAAACTTTTTAGTGAGCAGCTATTATGAGTCTCTCAGTACCATGGGTGCTGGGAATATAGTGCTCCATGCGTCACAGAGATTGGAGTTCATAGAAAAGTAAAAGAAGCATGTCCTTACTCACAGGTTTATTTTATTTTCCAAAGTATATATTTTTTAAAAAATTCTAATTGGAGCTTAATTATCAGTAATGAGTTGTATGGTGGGTGATTTGTAGTATATTCTGAACATCTGGTATTGTGTGCTAAATCTCAAACGGTTGTTTTGACAAACCAAACACAAGGTTATGAGTACTCTTTTTATTCTGCTTCACATTTGGGTGTCTTTGGAGAATTGCTCCAAAAAATTCCAAATTAAAAAATAAAATGAGACACTTAAATAGCTGGTAAAAAATAAAATATGCTTTTTGAATTTCTTTTTATTGGTTTTTTTATTCGTCTGTGTCATGGAAATATTAGTAGTATGAAATAGACTATATATTTTTAAAATCTCTTAAATAGGATATAGTGCAGATTAGACCCATCCAGACCCAATGTCTATGGTAGCATTTTATATAGATATTTAATATAAATGGCTGAGTCTCAAGGCTGATGAGTTTTTCATTTGTTTCTAATGAGTAACATGTGCTTAACATTTCACTGCACTATAGCCCAGAGTTTTATAAAATCTGATTAAATGATTCAGTTACAGTGAAATAGACTAAAGGGTCAGATCAAAATCTTTTGAATCTGCCTCCAGCTATCTAATAAGAGACTTGGCAGATTGTTTCAGCTAAATGTGAAGCCATTCGAATGCTCAGCAAGTATTTTAAATTCGTATTTGACATTATAGATCATATGTCTATAATTAATCAAGTGTTAAAAGTCTAGGATTTTGTCTCACCAATGGAAGAGATAATTCTTACATAATATCAATCCTAGTGTCTCTGAATGGAAGAGTCTACTTATTAAATGCCTTGATAGTAGAGACAAACTACTGAGGGAGGAGAGTAAAAATTCCCACATCAATTTGTATTTAGAAACAAGCTTCAAATCTCCACCATTATGTAGCTGTCAACTGATGGATATATTCTAATCAGTGTCTCACTGTGTCTTTAAAATTAGAAAAACAAGAGAGTAATGGTGATATTTCATTTTTCAAAGATTGGCTATTGTTCAACAGCCTTGCATAGTTATCTAATTGGTGAGATTATTTCTACGGCTGAGGGGTAAGCTATCAATAAAAATAATAAAGAGTTTGTGGTAATTACAGGAGCCTATATTAGTACACAATTCTTTTTCCCCTGAAATACATTGTGCAATTATTTATACATGAAGTGAAAGAAATGGTTATTAAACCTTCACTAAAGAGATAGAGGACAGGTTATGCTTCCACTAAAAAGTTTAGTGATTTTTAAACCAAGCAACTTTTAAAGTATGGTGACAAATCAGTAGACTAATGAGACCTCATAAGATGACTTACAGGCCAGTAACAAATGGTGTGTCCCACCAACCTCAAATGAATGACACTTTAGATGTAAACACTCTTCATCCTGAAGAATTTATTTTAAACTGAGACTTTTATGCACATACTCTTTCATTCATTGAGTTCCTATTATATACCCAGCATCATTACCAACAGGGAAAAGCCTGTGTACTCTATACCATGTTTGGGAGATAAATAATTATTGTGAATAAATGAGGATATACAAACTGTGTAAAAAGGCAAAAGCTGTCATCAGTGAAAAAAGGAATTAAAAGTAAAAAGGGGTTGTTGGTGAGAGCATAAAAAAAGTTACTTTTGAGTCTAAAATGGAAAGATGGGTTAATCTTGCAGAAAATAAAATGGACAGTCCAGGTAAGAAAAGAAAATAACTGAGAAAAGCTTTTATGTTGAGTGAAATCAGTATATTTGAGAAAGCAAAACAGAGGGAGATAATTTATATAGTGGGTAGAGGGCAGTAAAGTTGAATAGGTACAATGATATCAGATTAGAGGGGACATTGAATGACAAGCTAATTTGTTATTAATTTTTTACTATACAATTTTCCAGAGAAAAAATGAGCACACAAATTTTAATAATATTAGAATTATAAAATAATATTAATAATTCTATTATTAATCTGCAAGACCATGCGCAAGCACTTCTATATATCTGCACCTCCATGTTTATCCTGTATACTTTGATCTACAGGCGTAAACACCCTTCAATATCTCAAATTTCTGCAAAAGTCTATGAACCTAAAATTTAAAAAACCCTACCAATTCAACATGATACTAAATGGACATGGAACCCAATACAATGATAGTCACAGATTTACTTGATTGTAAGAAGCCACTCACAACATGAGAAAAAGGTGAAACTAACAGGGAGTTCTGCATAAGCCATCTCCCTTCCATGGTTCCAAGGCTCTATATCTCACTGTCTATCAAACACATGGACTCCTAGTCTATGCCAGGAACCATTCTAGTCACTTTATATGAAGTCAATGCTATACTCATTTTAGAAATAAGAAAACTGAGAGTAAGAGGGAGAAACACAAAAATCATACAGTAAGTAAGGAGTCAACCTGTGATTCAAGCACAAGCCAATTCCATCTAAAGACCGGCTTATTGGATATCCTTTAAAGTTCTGTAGTGAAGGTATATGGCTGTAAGCTTTCTCAGGTTTACTTTTTAAATCTAAAAATTCCTATATTTTATCCTTGTTCTTGACAAGTGAGCTTGTTTTACAATCTCTTTGGTGTTTTCTTCTACCGAGAACCAGATAGCATTCTTTGCCCTGGGCCATGTTGGCTTCCCCCATGGTCCTAGTTTAATCTGACTGTGTTAGATTCAGCTTCTTCACCCGCCCTTGAATCCAAGACAGTCATTTGTTCCTGACTGCAGAAGTGATCCTCCTCTGTCCTTAGCCCTGTGGTGTTCATTTACTACCTTCTCCTCTTATAAGTTGTTTCTACCATTTTTTCCCTTCTTACACTTACCTTCTTGGAGACATTGTTGCCTCCCTCAACCTCCACATTTGGTCAGCTGTCGAGCATTATCAACATTACTTCATAAGAGATTTTTCATTTGTCGTTTTTTTTTTTTTTTTAGAACCTATTCCTCTCTTGCCACCCATATTTTCTTCTGTAATTCTCTGAAACTTGTCAATGGAAAAATCTTCTAGTTAATTTTCTTAAATTTGCTTATGCCTCTCTTTCTCCTTACTAACACAACACTACTATATCACACTTCCCCAACACCAGTTTGTAAATGTATAGCTTAAAAGCTTTTAATTTATTACCACTAACTACAACAGAAGTCAGCACAGTTTTATTAGAACACAGTCGTACCTATTTGTATCCCTAATGTCTATGGTTGCCTTTTTACTATAACAACAGAGTTGAATGATTGCAGCAGAGATTGTAAGGTCCTCAAATCCTAAAATACTTTAATTTAAAGAGAAGATCTTCTAATCCCTGAACCGCAGAATAAATCCAAATCCTAATCTTAATAATTCAAGGATTCCAAGAAGCTTTTCAATCTTCTCTCCCATCAGTCTCCCAAAAGAATTAACAATTTGGTCAAATTATTGAACTAGGCACATATAACCCTAGGCCTTCTACGTGAAATGCACTCCCTTAGCATATTCCATCCCATCTATTTATAAACAATCTGCAGTTCCTCCACGGATCCACTTATACATCTGTATTAGTCTGTTTTCACGCTGCTGATAAAGACATACCCAAGACTGGGTAATTTATAAAGAAAAAGAGTGGGTTAATGGACTCACAGTTCCACATGGCTGGGGAGGCCTCACAATAATGGTGGAAGATGAAGGAAGAGCAAAGGGGCTTCTTACATGGCAGCAGGCAAAGAGAGAATGAGAACTCAGTGAAAGGGGTTTCCATTTATAAAACCATCAGATCTCGTGAGACTTATTCACTACCAGGAGAACAGTATGGGGGGAACCACCTCCATGATTCAATTATCTCCCCCTGGGTTCCTCCCACAACACTTGGGAATTATGGGAGCTACAATTCAAGATGAGATTTGGCTGGGGGCACAGCCAAATCATGTCAACATCTTTCTCAACAGAGCTTTTTCTCAACCATCTCATCCCACAGCTTCACTCATATTGTAACTCACAAAGTACTGCCTCAGAATATTAGTCTATATTGGCATTTTTCTTCTGATGTATATATTCCATTTCTCCAACAAAACCTGTGGACTATAGCTTCAAATCTTTTGCATGCTCAGCACCTAGGACAGTGCCATCATGGCATAGTGGAAATGCCGGGAGGGGAGAGGACGTTTTGAATTCAGACAGAGCTGTGTTTAAAGCTATATGTTTCTTAGCCTTACTGAGCCTCACCTTCCTCATCTATAAAATGCATAATTGTATTGCTTTAATTCTCAGCACTTCTTTTTTTCCTTCTCATCACACTGATTTTTCTTGGCTTTTTCAATACCTGTCATCCACACAAAGTTTTATAGGCTCAATAAAGGAGGAGCCACAATTCACTCAGGTATCCTCCACTCTTGGCATAGGAACTGGAAAAATTTGCTGAAAGAATGTACCAATGAAAGCTCATTTTAGAAGGTTTTGTTGAAAACCTTTTTCCTTTTCACTTTCCTATACATTAGATGAAAAGAACTTAACAACTATGGTGATTTCATGTTGATCAGAATGCACAAAAACTGATACACAATTGATTTGTTAGAAAACAAATTCATAAAAATGCAAGGCCAAGATATTTAAATGTGTTACATCTGTGAAAATCATGTACTTCAGAGTCTACAGAAGACAGAAAAATATTGCTTATAAGGATAAGCATTTTAAAGAGCTCACTGTCTGGAAATCATGAAAAGCTGCACATTTGACCTCAAAAAGTAAGTGGAGTTTCATACATTCTTGACATGTCAAGGGAAAAAAATTCATAACACTAAAATGAATTGCCTATAAACATTAAACATCCAAGGATTTCCAATCAAGTTTCCTTGGACTATTTCCCTGTAACCTTTTTTTGGTGGTTGGTTGTTACACAGCAAAGATATAGATAGATGGATAGATGGATGGATGGATGGGTAGATAGATAGATAGATAGATAGATAGATAATACATACATACATAGAGATATATAGCTATATGAGGAGGTTTTCCATGAATCCAATATTTACTTTCTCTTTGCACTGTTCTTGTCAGATATTTGAGTGGAAATTGTGATTTATAAGATTAGGCAGGGCTTTGGTAGGTAGGAGTGACTGTGGTTAAACTCAGTTCAACACTAAAGAAATATCATACTATAGGTCAAAAGCCAAGGCCTCACCCTAACCTTGGAGTCTAACAGAGAGCTGAATGATCATGTTAAGTCATTTGACCTCTTTGGATTCTTCACCTAAAAAACAAATGGATTGATTTGTGTGATCTCTGATACTCCTCCTAGCACCAGACAAATCCATGAGCCTTTGCAAATGCATAGAGCAATTGGGATTTAAGAGTCATATTAGCTTTGTTTCTTTCAAAAACACCGTACCTCTCTTTCCTTCGCCAAAAAATCATAAAACATTTTTCACTAGAGAAAATCCAGGAGTGCAATGACTTACTTCCAGGCAGATTTATTGAAGATGGAAAATCCCAAACACACACTGGCATCCAAAAAATCAATGCCATACACTTCAAGGGTTTTCAGGAGCAGTATCTTTCTCTTATCTTTAGGAAAGAGGAATGGGTAAAAAATCTGTGAGCTAATAATATTGAACAATAAAACAAATCTCCCTTTCAAGTAATTTTTTCCCTAATTTTCTACAT
Organism: Homo sapiens; assembly: GCF_000001405.40. NCBI lineage: Eukaryota > Metazoa > Chordata > Mammalia > Primates > Hominidae > Homo > Homo sapiens. The sequence continues at coordinate 87,542,075 of NC_000014.9, forward strand.
ACTTTTACAGTAAACCATTTTTCTATGGATATTTCTATCCAATGGCAGATTCTATCCCCTGACCCTTTTGTCAGCAACTTATTCTAAATTTTCAAATTTTCAATGCAATGTGGCCATAGCTGCCTTTTGTATCTCTTTTTCTCATTTCTAGAGTTGGCAGCAGTTCCTGTGCATTATTTAAAGTGAACTAGGTAATATTATTCATAAATGCCGACACCCTCCTCCCTTCTCCTCACCCCCCTCCCTTCACATGATGATATAGCGGCTGGGAAGGAGAAGTCAGGTGGAGCACAAAATAATTTATTATACTTTATAATTCCTCGAAGAGCATTTTATCTCTGCTTCCCTCCCACACACATTGTATACACACCACTGCCCTGTGGGTCACTTCAGACACTCGAAGCAGAGTCAGACAAAACATATATTAACCGTAAATTATCTCTGCAAACCATGTGAATCAGATAGCACAAAGGCAAAGGGCACATCCAACAAAAAGGCTGAGCTCTGTGATTAATGAATGGGACAAACAGGAGGCAAATACAGTAGACAATTTTAATGAACCTCTGACCCACCTCCAAGATTTGTGAGGAAGCGGCACTCCCATGAAGGGTTTGGAGGAAAGCAGGAGCCAGGTACAAAAGAAAATAGCCACTTTAAGGATTCAGCACTGAGCAAGACAATTAGGAGCAAAGCTGACTTTATCTTTGAAGTTGTAGATTATGAAGGTTATATCCCAAATGTTCACTTACTACCAGCCTGTGGGCACAGATGACCCCTGAAAAGCAACAATAATTCAAATTTCACTGGACTGTTGTCCCTACCAATGTAAAGCATTCTCTCTCTACCCACCCAGGTATGCCTATGTATCTTAGTGGATATTTTACACGTATTCATGAACCCATCTACCAGTAGATTTAATGTTCTATCACTTCCCCATTGGATACAATCATGGCATTATTGCCTCACCTGCTACTTATCTGGCCCACCTTTCCTGACAGTGGCCACCATCACTCCACTAGGCAACACGGTCCATGGCAGCTCTTCCATGCCACCCAGTAGGATGTAGCATCTTCCTGTCACAGCCTGCCATCAACCCACTGAGCTAGCAATCCCCTGACCTAGTTGCTGCTCATTCACCACTCACTCATTCATTCAACCAGCGTTTTGCATCTGTTATGTTCCAACTACTGCTTAGGTGCTTTGAATACAGTAATGAACAAGTCAGATTACTCCTAAATTCAGTGAAGTAAGAAGAATTTTAAAAGTAATTTTAAAAAGAATTTTAAAAGAAGAAATTTAAAAGGAGAAGGCTGTGGGGGAAACACTCTGAAGGAGGATGGTCACATGGAGGGCAGTCACAGTGCAACCTCTCATTTCTCTCTTTACCACACAAGTCTTCTTAAAGCTGTAAAATTAAGATACTGCTGTCTCGGTGATTGCTCATGAAAGCCAGCAAGGGCCTGATGGGTGGAGCTGACAGAACCCAAACAACCCTCCAGAATACAAGAGAACCATGAAGAAATGAACTCAGAAATTTGAACTAATTCATGGGAAGTCCTTACAACATCTGTGTAGTTTTTAACCAAGTGTTTCTAGACCTTTGAGGGATAAAAAAATACCCAAGTGAACTGTGGGTTGCATGACAAAGAAAATCCCAGATATACAATGATAATGAATTCAGGTACTTTGGCACTTGGGAACTACTGTTAATTGGTTAATTAGGGAAGTTAGTGACTCCTAGACAATATGTTTAATAATAAAGAGAGAGCATAAGAGAGATACAAAGTAGATAAAGAAGAAGAAAGGAAACTAATATTGTTTACCACCTACTATATGTCAAGCTGTGTGTATCCTATATTTTCTCTCATTTAATTCTCACAACAACCCTTCTGAGGCAGGCATGGTCCCAATATAGAAATGTTAAAGCTGAAACTTAAAGAAGATAAGCATCTTGCCAGTGTCACCCTGCTTGGAATGGAGGAGCTGCCTGAGAAGGGCAAATGTTGGCTTCTGACTCAGCATTCCAACAGATCCCTGGAAATGCTTACCCACTTTCCAAGGCCCTTAGCAGTCACTGGAGGTTGGACAATCAACTGAAATGACCAAGTCTCCATAAAGGTGCCATAAATCAAAACAATAGGATCAGGCTCACTCATAAATCGTCCTGCTTCCAGCCAACTCAAGAAGATTCTATCTTCTGGCACTAAAACATTGAAGAAAGTGCTCAAACTCAATTGAGACTTACCAGATTGTCTTCACCCGGTTCTTTCTATAAGGAATGAAATGTCAAGGCAAGGTAAAGCATTTATAGCCATGGCAATGGTGTGGCTTCAAATCATCCACAGAACTTTTTCAGAATACTCAATTCCAGACCTCCCCTTCTGGAAATTTGAATTCATTAGGCTTTGGCCAGACCAGAAAAAATGCATTTCTAAAAGGTTTCACAAGGGATGTTATGTACACATCATTGTGATTCTCACATAAGCAACACAGTTGAGCTCTACTTTATTAATAAAAATAATGACAGGAAAAGCCATCCAATTTAATAAAAGCTTGGTTTAAAAGATTTTTAATGAAATTTACCTTATTTATCATGGAGATTGTTAAAGACGGGAACTATAATGCAAGATTTCATCTCTAACTACCAAGAGATCAACAGGAGTCTTGAGAGTAGCCTCTGGATATGTGATCCTCCCCACATAAGCAATAATGCTCCTGGTAAGACTATTTTAGGAGGCAGAATGTTAGCAAGTATGATTTCCTTCCTTGCCAAGCCCTGTGGTAATGCACAGCTCTTGTGCCTTGGACAAGACCTGTTTAGTTGCAGTTTTTCACCTTGAGCAGCTCCTGGAGTTCATGACCACTCCTAGACACCCGCTTCCTGGATATATAGTAGTCAATGATGTTTCACATTCAGCTGGCCTCTTCACTTTCATTGTCCAGTCCAATTTATGGTATCCTCTTAAACTCACAAGCTACTTTACCATCATACACACTTTACACGGTGATTTGATGCCAAACTTTTTCCATCTATGTTTCCTACATGTAATCCAAAACTATGTAAAGACATGTAATGGAAACATGACAGAATATTTTATGATTATTATTAAATTGAGTGTTTACTATGGACCAGGTAACTTAAGTGTGTTATGTCTATTAACTCCTTTAATCATCCCAATAAATCTATGAAATAAATACTATCCTTCATGTTACCAGTAAGGAAATCAAAGCACAGAACAGTTAAGTAAGATGACAAAAATTGCAGTGCTAGAAAATGCCAGAGGTAGAGTTTGAATTCAAACAGACTGATTCGACATGGCCCACACATACTCTTAACCTCAGCATGTTGTTCTCTTTCCAGTTTGTTCTTCACCCTGGGTATTACCTCATCTTGGCATCAAGCTTCTGTTCAAATTACTAAAATCTCATGTCTCATTTTGCAATGACCACATCACCTGCCATTGAGAGATCCACTGGGGAGAATCATCCCACTCCTTCTAAACCTGAGATACAAGGCATCCAATAATTGCACTAAAAATGTGCAAATGGAGGTTTAGTATAAATATATCAGTATAATAATACATAAAATATTATATCCAAGAATACATAATAGAGCCCATGTACCCGCTATTGGCCTTTGCTTACCAGAGTGTACATAGGGTTTTTCCTCTCTAAGTATTACAAATATTTTACTATGAAACAGTGGCTGAGTAGAAAATGTCTTGAGTCAGAACGTCTGGATTCAAAAATCAGCTCTAGCAGTTAATGTCTGTATGACGCAGCCACTAGCTGTGGCCAGTTATTTAACCTCTCTGGGTTTCTGCTTCCTCTTCTATAATAACAATAATAAGCACAACTATGGCTAGGCACCATACTAAGCGCTTTTCAGGTATTAATCCATTTAATCCCCTTTTGAAATTTATTGAGTAAGTACCAAGCTAATGGTACAGTGACTGTTACATAGAGTCCTCAACTGAACACATAATAAATGTGTGTATGTATGTGTACAAACACACAATACATACATACCTTAGTATATAATATTAAACTCAGTACAATTGTCTGTAGGTGACCACATTCATTTTAAGAACCTGATATTTTCAATTCAAACCTGAATCTTTAATTCCAGTGCTGGTGGAAGAAGAGAATAACGTGAGAGTCTCTCTCAGAATGAGATAGTGAAAATGGTAAGGGTAGGACTCAGGAATTCCCTGGTTGTCTTGGAAGAACCTGTTACCTCTTATCCCAACTCCAGAAGTTGACAAATTGGTGGTTAGTGGAGATATTGAAGGCCAGTGCTATATTTTTTAAAAGACAACAGTAAGGTAGAGCAAAAATGTATAACACAAAACATAAACCAGTATTTATCGTTTTTATAAAAGTTCTTTTGTATTAAGGGGACTACATTCAAAGAGGAGCAGGTGCTAGGTTAGCCAGAGAGGTAGAGAAACCCCACATCTTGCCCCATGGGGTGGGAGGAAACCTGTGATTTGGCTGTGCCTGCTGAAGAAGACCCCAGCTTCTTTGCCTGCATTCATTACTTGCACCAACTTCATGCCAATGTGCCACTTTACACCTTGGGAATTGATTCTTTTCTCTCCATTCATCGTTCCATTTCCTATTAGATTTTACATAAAACATTACTATCTAAGAGCCCAACCATAACAACTTTCGGGGGATCTGAGGCATCATTAGTGTGCAAGGAAACAACCATCTCTTAATAACATTTCATCTTTGTTCATACAACAATTTCTGAGTAGAAACTACAAAGAAAACTTTCTCAGATCTTTACCATGATTGTTGGAAATATAAATTATTTATAATAGGGTACTTAATCCTGAATACATTGAGCACAGTCATGAAAACTACAAGTCTATTATGAGATGGAGTAAAACCAAATTTGTCACATAAATAAAAACTAGACTATTAACAACTCATTTTAAGGGACGCTGTCATATCAATCTCAATCTCTCATACCCCCAATAGAAATCGCATTCTTAGAAAAACATCAAGTCAAAAAAAATAAGGAAAAGGAGGAACGTGGGGAGGAAAAAGACAGGAGAAACAGATGTCACAGAAAAATAGGAGGAAGAAGAAGAAAAAGAAAAAAAGAAAGAGAAGGAGAAGGATAGGAAAAGGAGGCAAAGAAAAAAAGGAAAAGAGAAAGTATTATTATATTATTATTGTTTACTTTTGCAAGTGTTCACCATTGAAATCCTGAAAGCCACTCTACTTTGAATTATTATGTGGGAACATAAAATTTTGTTAGTTAAAAATAGTTGGAGAAACTATGGAAGTAAGTAAATGACCTTCTACTTTATTTAAATGTTAAGAAAGGTGACCTTTGTAAGGGAAGTTGGCAGTATTAACAATTTAAAGCATCTTTCTGACAATACATTTAAGGGCTAGTTATTCCATAATATGGCATCACTGATTTGAGCTTGTCAGTTTGAGGGCAAACCGTTTTTTCCCTTTGCTGTTTTGCTTTTTTGGCAGATCACATCTATTTCTAGAGCTTCTGCATATAAAGTAATGCATGGAAAGAGCACTATCTCTCTGTTATTAATATCAAGCTTGTTTCATTGTGGGGTTTTTTTCCCCACTTTTTTGAAAGGATGAGCTCACCCCAAGAACATTCTTTAAAAGTGACTGACAAGTGGAGTGACGTCAGCAACATGGCTAACTAGAAAGCTCCTGACTCTTCCGCCACCCACGAATGCACCAAATAAACATCTATTTATGGATCAGTTCCCTCTGAGAGAGTGTCAGAGACCAGTAGGGAGATTTCTACCCACTAGGCCACTGAGAAAACAACCACATTGAACAGGTTGGGAAAGCTGACGCCCATTCAGGCTTAGACCCCAGCCTAGGCGCTACACCCTAACATTAGGAAAAAAATCCCCAGTACTCAGCTTCGCCTTAGGGAGAGAATCTGGGCAGTTTCCCCTTAGGGAGAGAATATAGCGCCTCTAAGGTTCCCCATGGTTTGACTCTTAATTCACTAACTTTTGGAGTGAGGAGAATTAGACACATGCGAGTCTCTCTAGACCACAGGAAAAAGTGGGCTCTTTTATATGGGCATGCAGGCACTGCCAGGGGCTTCATTCCCCAGGAGTGATGCAGAGAAGGGGCTTTAAAAATGCAGGCCCTTGTGTCTTCCTGAAAGAAGTTTAATGCACAGTATTCCAGTGCTACTTGGCGGACTGGCTTCTAACGAACTTGCGTCAAGAAGTTAAAGGCGGCCAGGTGCGGTGGCTCACGCCTGTAATCCCAGCACTTTGGGAGGCTGAGGCAGGCAAATCACGAGGTCAGGAGTTCGAGACCAGCCTGACCAACATGGTGAAAGCTCGTCTCTACTAAAAACACAAAAATTAGCCGGGCATGGTGGCAGGTGCCTGTAATGCCAACTACTCGGGAGGCTGAGGCAGGAGAATCACTTGAACCCAGGAGGCAGAAGTTGTAATGAGCTGAGATCGCACCATTGCACTCCAGCCTGGCGAGAGAGGAAGACTCTGTCTCAAAAATAAATAAATAAATAAAAAGAATAAATAAATAAAACGAAGTTAAAGTGGCAGATAAGTGTTAGTCCTCTGGCAGTCTAAGAAGAAGATCTGTACTTCTGAAGCTTTCTCCACAGTTCCCCCCAGCAATAACTCCAGGTCTCTTAATCCCTACCAGAGGAGTTTGTTCATACATCAAAAGCACCCAAACTTTTACAGCTTCAACCTGAGGGACTGCATCCTAACCCTCCTAGCTCTCAGAGCAGAGGGGACTAAGTATACGTGAGTCTCTTTAGACTACAGAAAAAAATGGCAGTTTTATATGGGCACATAAGCACTTCCAGGGGCTTCATCTCCCAGGAGCAATACAAAGAAGGGGCTTTAAAAATGCCCATATTCAGTGAAGGGATATATGCCATGCACTGAGTGTCCCAACTTTTACAGCTACCTCCAAGGACTCCATCCAAAAACTAAGATCTGGAAACATAAGGAACTAAGTATACATGAGTCTCCCTAGACCACAGAACACAAAGGCATCCTTAAACAGGCAAGCAAACAGGTATACACCCTGGAGCAGTGCAGAAAAAAGGTAGAAATGTACAGCTACACTTTTTGCTCTGAAAGGGGCTTATGGCGTACACTTCCAGTGGCTACTTGATGGCCTGGCTTCTAACGAACCTGCAACAGACAGCTAATGAGGAAAACAAGCCATAGCCCTCTGGCAGCCAGATTAGAGCTTGGTACTTTACAAGCCTTCCCTTCAGCTCACCCCAGTGACCTATTCATGCTTCCTGGAAGCAATCTGGCCATGCATCAAGTGCCACCATATCTTCTATAGCTCCCACCAAAAGGATTGTCTCCTTAGCAACATAGCTCTGGGAGTCGATGGGACTTTACATTCCTGAGTAGTCTAGATTCCAGAAAACAAAGAGTATGCATACAGTGGGCCCACTCGCAGCAATAATTTCCCAAGGATCAGAGGATATAGCCTGAACATGAGTGCAAGCATTTGCTACGGACCATCTCCCCAGCTCAGTGCAAAGAGAGTGGGAGAAGAATGTACACACACAACTTTATTTGTTTTATTTATTTATTTATTCATTTTTTTGAGACGGTGTCTCACTCTGTCGCCCACGTTGGAGTGCAGTGGCGCTATCTCGGCTCACTGCAAGCTCCGCCTCCTAGGTTCATGCCATTCTCCTGCCTCAGTCTCCCGAGCAGCTGGGACCACAGGCGCCCGCCACCATGCCCGGCTAATTTTTTGTACTTTTAGTAGAGACGGGGTTTCACCGCATTAGCCAGGATGGTCTCGATCTCCTGACCTCATGATCTGCCCGCCACGACCTCCTAAAATGCTGGGATTACAGGCGTGAGCCACCATGCCCGGCCAGCTTTATTTATTTCTTTGTTTTTAAATTTTACTTTAAGTTCTGGGATACATGTGCAGAACGTGCAGTTTTGTTACATAGGTATACAAGTGCCATGGTGGTTTGCTGCCCCTATTAACTTTATTAAGAAGATAGAAGAAATTAGAATGCACATTCAAACCCCAACCTTTCAAGCTACATCTAGAGAGTCTCGTTCCTACCTTACCAGTCTTGGGGTACTGACCAGATGTGGCACATCCTAAGGTCCAGCTGGCTACCAAAAACAGAGGCAACAATCTTGACAGACACAAAAAGTTGAGAAGCACCTAAAAATCTCTGGCCTAATAGATTCGTGAGATATGAGGCAGGTATGACAAGACTAAGAGAGGTAGTTGTATTATCTAATGCACAGAAACCAACAAAGAGAGTCAAGAAAAATGAAGAAACAGGGATTATATCCCATAAAGAAAAACAAAAAAAAGATCAATCTCCAGAAACTGACCAAAGGGAAGGGGAAATATGTGATTAACCTGAGATCAAAAACAAAATGTGGGAGGAAGAGGAGTAAAACTATACAGTTTGTATATGCAATGAAAACTAAGTTGTTATCAATTTAAAATAGCCTGTTATAATTGCAAGATGTTTTATGAAAGTCACAGGGTAACCATAAAGCAAAAAGCCTATAATAGATACACAAAAGATACAAACAAAAAATCTAAAGCATACTACTACAGAATGCAATTAAACTGCAAAGGAAGAAAGCAAGTGAATAAAGGAACAAAGAATCTATGAAACAACTATAAAACAATGAACAAAATGTCACTGAAAAGTTATTACCTATCAATAATTACTTTAAATATAAATGTATTAAATTCTCCAACCAAAAGGCAGGGTAGCTGAATGGATATAAAAAAATAAGACCCAACTATATGCTGTCTACAAGAGATTCATTTCACATTAAAGGATATTCATAGATCAAAAGTGAAGGGTTAATAAAATTCCATACAAATGAAAATTATAAAAGACCAAGGGTACTTATAATTATTTTAGAGAAAACAGACTGGGTCAAAAACTGTAAAAAAAAAAAAAAAAGTCATATAGTGATAAAGGGGTCAATACATCAAGAAGATATAAGAATTGTAAATATATATGCACCCAACATCAAATAACATAAATATATAAGGCCAACCTTAAGAGATCTGAAAGGAGACAGACTCCAACACAATAATAGCATGGTACGTCAATACCCCACTCTTAATATTAGGCAGATTATCCAGACCGAAAATCAATAAGAAAATAGTGAATTTGAACTACACTTTTAGACCAAATGGACCTAACAACATATACAGAAAATTCTACCCAGCAGCAATGGAACACACATTCTTCTCAAGCACACAGAACATTCTCCAGGATAGATAATATATCACAAAACAAGTCTTGGCAAATTTAAGCTCAAAATTATATCAATGTATTTTCCATCTACAATAGTATACAACTATAAATTAATAACAGAAGAAATCAAAGAGGATTACAAATATATGAAAATTAAAGCTCCTGAGCAACTATTGAGTCAAAGAAGAAATTAAAGGGAAAATTAAAAATATTCCTAGACAAATGAAAATGGAGACACAACATATCAAAACCTATGGGATGAAGCAAAAGCAGTGCTAAGAAGGAAGTTTATCGCAAATTGGACAATTTTCTAGAAGAAAGGTATAAATTTTTAGAAATGTACAAGCTACCAAGCCTAAATCACAAAGAAATGAAAAATATGAACAGACCAATAAAAGGACAGACCAATATAAGGTAAAGATATTGAATAAGTAATTTAAAATATTCCATTTCAAAAAACCCAGGACGAAATGGCTTCACAGCTAAATTCTATCATACACTTAAAAAAACTAATACCAGTGCTTCTCAAATTCTTCCAAAAAAACTGAAGTGGAGGGAATCCTTCCAAACTCATTTTATAAGGCCAGCATCATCCTGAAACCAAAGCCAGACAAAGACACCATAACGGAAGTATAGGCAAATACCACAGGTGAATAGAGATATAAAATCCTCAACAAAAATTAGCAAATAATATTCAACAGTATATTAAAAAGATTATTCACCATGATCATGTGGGAGTTATCTCTGGGATGCAAGGTTGGTTTAACATACATAAATTAGTACATGTGATTCACTATATTAACAGAATAAAAAAGAAAAACTATATGATCATCACAATAGATACAGAAAAATATTTGTCAAAATTAAACATCCTTTCATATTAAAAACTCTCAATAAATAGACTATAAAAAGAATGTTCCTCAACATAATAAAGGCCATATGTAGCAAGCCCACAGCTAACATCATATTCAACAATGAAAACTTGAAGGCTTTTCCTCTAAGGTCAGAAATAAGACAAGAAAGCCACTCTCACCATTTCTTTTTACAACAGTACTGACAGTTCTAGCCATACTGACAGTTCTAGCCAGAGCAATTAGACAAGAAAAAGAAACAAAAGATATTTGACTAGGAAAGGATGAACTGAAATTGTCTCTGATTACTGGTGGCATAATCTTACATACAGAAAATTTTGAAGACTCCATCAAAAAACTGTTAGAACTGATGTAAACATTTAGTAAATTTGCAGGATACAAATTCAGCCTAAAAAATGAGTAACATTTCCATGTAATACAAATGAACTGTCTGAAAATATCTCAAGCATCAAAAAAATTAAAATAAAACACATAATAGTAAATGTAACCAAGGACGTGGAAGATCTATATATACTAAAAACAATAAAACATTGATGAGAGAAATTGAGATTGGCATAAATAAATGGAAATATACCATTTGTTCATGGATTGGAAGAATTAATATTGTTAAGATGTCCATATTACCCAAAGTGATCTACAGATTCAACACAATCCTGACCAAAATTCCTATTTATTTTTTCACAGAAATAGAAAAAAAAAATCCCAAAATCTGTGTGGAACTACAAAATACCCCAAATAGCCAAAGCAATATTGAATAAAAAGAACAAAGCTGCCAGCGTCACACCACCAGATTTCAAAATATATTACAAAGCTATAGTTAACAAAGCAGCATGATGGCATAAAATAGACACACAGACCAATGGAACAGATTAGAAAACCCAGAAATGAACCCATGCATCTACAGTCAATTGATTTTTTGTTTTGTTTTGTTGTTGTTATTATGGCAACAAATATTAGTTATACATATTTCTGGGGTACATTTTTTTGATATAAGAATACAATGTGTAATGATCAGATGAGGGTAATTGGGAATGCTGCCACCTCAAGCATTTATCATTTATTTGTATTAGGAACATTTCAATTCTACTCTTAGATATTTTGAAATGAACAATACATTATTGCAACCATAATCACCTTATTGTGCTACTGATCTTATTTTTTCTATAGAACCTTTTTTTTTTTTTTTGAGATGGAGTTTCACTCTTGTTGCTCAGGCTGGAGTGCAATGGCACGATCTCAGCTCACTGCAAACTCTGTCTCCCAGGTTCAAGCGATTCTCCTGCCTCAGCATCCCAAGTAGCTGGGATTACAGGCATGTGCCACCACGTCCAGCAAATTTTTGTATTTTTAGTAGAGACAGGGTTTTATCATATTGGCCAGGCTGGTCTCAAACTCCTGACCTCAGGTGATCCACCCACCTCAGCCTCCCAAAGTGCTGGGATTACAGGCATAATCTCATGTAGCTTCTACATAGGAGTGAGAACACGCAATATTTGTCTTTCTGTGCCTAGCTTATTTCACTTAACACAATGTCCTCCAGTTCCATTCATTCTGTTGAAAATCACAAAATTTTATTCTTTATATGGCTGTATAATATTCCATTGTGTATATACACCACATGTGTTTATTTATCTGTTGATGGACACTTAGGTTGATTCCATGTCTTAGCTTTGTGAATGGTGCTGCAATAAATATGGGAGTACATATATCAGGTATTTGCAAAAATGTTCAGCATCACTAATTATCAGAGAAATACAAATCAAAACTACCATGAGATATCATTTTGCCCCAGTTGAAGTGGCTTTTATGAAAATGATAGGTAATAACAGATACTTGCAAGGACGTGGAGAACGGGGAACTCTCCTACGCTGTTGGTGGGAATGTAAATTAGTACAGCCACTATGGAAAACAATATGGAGGTTCCTCAGAAAACTAAAAGTAGAACTACCATCTGATTCAGAATTTCACTGCTGGGCACATATCCAAAAGAAAGAAAATCAATCAATTAATTTTTGACAAAAGTTCTGTGATGGTTAATATTAGGTATCAACTTGACTGGATTGAAGGATGCCTAGATGGTTGGTAAAGTATTGTTTCTGGGTGTATCTGTGAGGGTGTTTCCAGAGGAGATTAACATTTGACTCAGTGGACTGAGAGAGGAAGACCCACCCTCAACGTGGGTGGACACATCCAATCTGCTGCCAGCGTGGCTATTACAAAGCAGGTGGAAGAAGGTAGGATAAGCTGGCTTGTTTTGAGTCTTCGGCTTTCATCTTTCTCCCATGCTGGATGCTTCCATCCGTTCCTCTTGCTCTTGGACATCAGACTCCAGGTTCTTCAATTTTTGGACTCTTGGACTTACACCAATGATTTGACAGGGGCTCTCGAGCATTCAGCCACAACTAAAGGCTACACTGTCAACTTCCCTTCATTTGAGGCTTTTGGACTCAGTATAAGCCACCACTGCCTTCTTCCTCAGCTTGCAGATGGCCTATAGAGGGAATTCACCTTGTGATCATGTGAGCCGATTCTACTTAGTAAACTGCTTTTCATATATACATATATCCTATTAGTTCTGTCTCTCTAGAGAACCCTGACTAATACAGGTGCCAACAACACACAATGGGAAGATAGTCTTTTGGCGTTGCAAAAACTGGATATCCAGATAAAAAAACAATAAAAATTGACCCTTTTCTGGCCAGGCGTGGTGGCTCACACCTGTAATCCCAGCACTTTGGGAGGCCGAGGCGGGCGGATCACGAGGTCAGGAGATAGAGACCATCCTGGCTAACATGGTGTAACCCCATCTCTACTAAAATACAAAAAATTAGCCGGGCATGGTGGCGGGAGCCTGTAGTCCCAGCTACTCCGGAGGCTGAGGCAGGAGAATGGCGTAAACCCGGGAGGCGGAGCTTGCAGTAAACCGAGAGAGCGCCACTGCACTCCAGCCTGGGCGAGAGTCAGACTCCGTCTCAAAAAAAAAAAAAAGAAAGAAAGAAAAAAAAATTGACCGTTTTCTCACCCCCTCTACACAAGAATCAACTCAAAATGCATAACAACATAAACATAAAACCTAAAATTGTAAAACTACTGGAAGAAAACGTAGGGGAAAATCTCCACAACATTAGCCTGGGCAGAGGTTTCTTGGGTATGACCCTCAAAGCACAGGCAATAGAAACAAAGACAAATTGGATTGCGGCAAACTAAAAAGCTTCTGCACAGCAAAGGAAACAATTAACAGAGTGAAGTGACAACTCATGGAGTGGGAGAAAATATTTACAAATCATATATCAGATAGGGGAATACCATCCAAAATATACAAGAACACAAACTACTCGGTAACAAGAAAAAAAACCTATTAAAAAAAGCAAAGAATTTGAAAAGCCATTTCTCAAAAGAAATATAAATAGCGAACAGACTTATTTTTAAAATGCTCAATGTTTCTAGTTATCAGAGAAATGCAATTAAAACCATAATAAGATATCACCTCATACTTGTTAGATTTGCTATTATCAAAAAGATGAAAGATAACAGGTATTGGCAAGGAGGTGAAGAAAAAGAAAGCCTTATACACTTTTGGCAGTATTGTAAATTACTATAGCCATTTTGCAAAACAGTATGGAGGTTCCGCACAAAAAGACAAAAACAGAATTACCATCTGATCAGCAATCCCACTCCTGGTAATATACCAAAAGGAATTGAAATCAGTATGATGAAGAAATGCCTGCATTCTCATTTTCATTGCAGCATTATTTATGACAGCCAATGTATAAAAACAATCTATGTACATCAATGAATGAATGGATTTTAAAAATGTGGCATATACTTGCAGTGGAATATTATTCAGCCTTAAAAAAAACAAACAGAAAATTCTGTAATTTTCAGCAACATGGGTAAACCTAGAGGGCATTGTATATTAGGTGAAATAAGGCAGGCACAGAGAGACAAATACGGTATAATCTCACTTATATGTGGGATCTAAAAATGTGGAACTCATGGAAGTAGAGAATAGAATGATGGTTACCAGAGGTAGGGGGTTGAGGGAGTGGAGAGGGAAAAGGGAGATGTGGCACAAATTTATACTTCGGAGAAATAATTTCTGTGTTCTATTGCACAGTAAGATGATTATAGTTAATAATAATATATCATATATTTCAAATTGCTGAAAAGAGGGTTTTAAACATCGTTGCCACAAAGAAATGGCAAGTATTTGAGGTGATGGCTATGCTAAGTACCCTAATTTGATCTTTCCACAATGCATACAGGTATTCACACATCACATTCTACCCCATAAATATATTTACACATTTAAAAATAAAATAATTAAAGACTTCTACAATTATTTAAATAAATAATAATGACTGACACTATACATTAAAAATTGGCATTGGCCAGGCATAGAGGCTCACACCTGTAATCCCAGCACTTTGGGAGGCTAAGGCAGGCAAATCATTTGAAGCTAGGAGTTCGAGACCAGCCTGGCCCACATGGGGAAACACCGTCTATACTAAAGATACAACAATTAGCCAGATGTGGTGGTGCACATCTGTAATCCCAGCTACCCAGGTGGCTGAGGCATGAGAATCACTTAAACCTGGGAGGCGGAGGTTGCAGTGATCCGACATCATGCCACTGCACTTTATTCTGGGCAACAGAGCAAGACTGTTTCAAAAAAAAAAAAAAGAATTTTTAAAAGTATAAAAATAAAAGTAAAAGAAAACTGGCATTAACAACTAGACTTTCTCCTTATAGAAAATGACATGAAATAAAACATAAATACCACATAACTGGACTTGCCATCTTTGATTTCCAAGTATAAATTTTTCACTTTAATGTATATGAACGGGGCATAGAAATTTTGAAGAACACTGAAGTTTTATTAGACACAATTTATATATAAATAAATGAATATGTTTCTACTTATATGGTTCTATATAGACACATATTTATATATAATGTTTATATAAGTATGTCGCTATATATGTACATATGTATGTATATTTATATATCTATATCAATATATACATTATACTAGAAACATGGCCCAAATTATTTGGAGTATTTTCTAAAGTAAAATATATTTATATATATCTTTCAAAGAGTCAAGATTATTGTCCTCTTTCTCATCTTATTTGATTTTTAAACTCCTGGTATTAGTCAGGGTTCTCCAGGGAGACAGAACCACTAGGATGTCCACATATGTAGAAATAGAATTATTATAAAATATTAGCTTGGATGGTTATGGAGGCTAAGTCCCACGACCTGCAGGGTGAGTGAGTAGGCAAGCTGGAGATACAGGAGACCTGATGGTTTAGTTCAAATACAAAGGCAGAAAAAAGTTGGTGTCCAGCTTGAAGGCAGTCAGGCAGGAAGGATTCCGTCTTACATATGGAAGAGTCAGTCTTGTTCTATTCAGACCTTCAGCTGACTGTATGCCCGCATTAGGGAGGGCAATCTTTTTTACTCAGTCTACCAATCCAAATGTTCCTCTAATCCACATACATCCTCACAGACACACCAGAGTAATATTTTTCCAAATATCTGGGCAACCTGTGGTTCAGTCAAATGGACACATAAAATTAATCATCATATTCCTAAATATCACTATGCGGGGGTATAAATTTTTAATTAGAAATTAGTGAGAATACATCATAAAATTGCTGTGTGGGTTAAATTTAAAAATGAATGTAAAGCAGTTAGCAAAATGCCCAAATCATGGTGAGATTCCAATAACTGTTAGCTAGAGTCACAGCCAAGAGCAGTGGTTTTCAAAGTGAGCCCTGACATCAGACTCTCACACCCCTATCCCCAGAAAAAAAATCTTTGTTCTGTTCTTTGCTGGCTGTGTGATTTTGATCAAGTCACTAAATATGGCTCAGTCTCAGTTTTCTTGAATGCAAAGTACAATAATAAACCTACTTTACTGGGTTGTGGTGAGGATTCATTAAACTGAATGTCCGACATCAATTTAGAACAATGCAGGCACATATTAAGCAAACAGATATTGGGTAATCTTGGTAACACAAAAGCAAACATATTTTACTTTTGCAAAGAGACTTTAATTTTCTTCTTATTGAAACCTTGAAATAAATCAGGAAGGAAGATACTATGATCATCACTATTTTACAGAAGAATGAGAGTTACATTGAACGAGTTGCCAGGGACCATTTAGTGATCAGCATTCCTCCCACATCTTACTGGTCTGCTCTTTTATTCCCCCAGCGCATTGATGGCTTCCCAAGATAATTAGGAATATTTAGAAGAGCTATGGGTCCTAATCATCTCATTTTGGGAAATCCAGGTATTTATTCAGTGCTATCAATTGAGGAACTATATGCTTGACAACTCCAGATCAAGGGAAATATTGTGGAAATGGTGTGGATTGTAATGTCCTTCCTGTTACTCACTTTTGAGTGATATCCGCTACCTGACGCCCAACCCACACATACCACCTAGCAAAAGGCAGATCTTTTTCTTTGCATATTATTTAGCACTCACTATGTTAGGCATTCTACTAAGCCCTTTACATATAATATCCTCTTTAGTCATAATAACACACTGTGATTTAGGAACTGCTATTATTACCACTTTAAATATGAGGAAATGAGGCTTAAGAGGTTTCTCTGAGATCACAATGAAAATAAGTAATAAATCCAGAATCTGCATTTCATCACGCTGTCTCCAGAATGCTGTTTCCTAGGCAGCCATGCCTACTTTTGCACTGAATTTTTTTTTTTTTTTTTTTTTTTTTTTTGTGGAGAGGAGTCTCGCTCTGTCAACCAGGTTTGGAGTGCAGTGGTGTTATCTTGGCTCACTGCAATCTCCCCCTCCTGGGTTCAAGTAATTCTCCCACCTCAGCCTGCATCGATTTAATTCAATCAATGCGTATTTGTTGAGACACTGTGTTGCAGAATCAAGTTAGGCTCTGAGTGTTCAGAGGAGAAGGAACTGCTGTAACATGAGACATACATTTAAATAATTGCAGACATAAATATTTGACTTTGACTTTAAACTGTCACATGTACTGTGAAGCAAAATAGAGAGTGATATAAAAAGGAATTTAAACGAAAGAAATCTCATTGTATTTGGAAGGTCAGAAAAAGTGTTTCTGAAAACTGATGTTCCAGCTGAAATCTTAGAGGTGAGAAGGAGTTAGCTAGAAGAGATTCCTAGAGTGGGAACAGCAGGTGTGAAAGGCCTTGTGGGTCAAGTCAAGGTTGTCAAGAGAAACAGAACCAATAGGATGTGCATAGAGAGAGATTTATTTAAGGAATTGGTTCATATGATTGCAGACTTAGTAAGTCTACAATCTGCAGAGTCGGTCAACAGGCTGGAGACCCAGGGAAGAGTTGCACGTCGAGTCCAAAGTCAGTCTACAGGCACTATTGCTTCTTGCTCAGGAGAGGTCAGCCTTCACTCTACTCAGGCCTTCCACTGATTGGATGATGCTCTCCCACATTATGGAGAGCAATCTGCTTTACTCTAATTCTACTAATTTAAATGTTAATCTCATACAAAAAAACACCTTGACAGAAACAGCCAGCATAATGCTTCATCAAACATCTGAGCACTGTGGCCCATCCAAGTTGACAGAAAAATTAACCATCACATTTAGTCTTGCATTTTGGAAGGATAGAAAGAAAACAACTTGGTTGGGAAATGAGCAAGAAGGAACACAGATCTGCCTGAGGATGTACAGACAGCAGGGATAAGATTGTGCAGGGCTTTGTAGGCATAACAGAGATGAGAGCCACACTCTACGAGTGACAGATAGAAAGCCACTGAAGGATCACATGGAGGGTGAAGACCTGATGCATTTTGTCGTCACTATAGTTGTTAAGACTCATCTATGGAGGATGATAAAAGTGCGTCTGAAAGAGCAGTTGGAAAGTCTCCAGGGCAGAATGTACAGTGGCCTGGACTAGAACAATGGGGTAGAGGTGGCAAGAAGTGCCTAGATCTCATACATATTTGGGGAGCAGACTTGATTGGACTTGTTGACAGGACTGGATGTGTGGGTGAGGGAGGAAGAATCAAAGTTTGTCCTCTTATTCCTGGAATTCTTCAAGAACCCCCTCAGGCATCACTCTCTCAGTAAAGATCTTCTGGACTTTATTAACATGGGCTTCAGAAAGCTATTGCAATGTTTGTACTCTTTAAAATCTTTCTCATGCCTGCTTCCTCCATCAGTGTATCACTGCCTCCGCTTATTCACTTTTGTATGATTGATCAGTCCTGACACAGACTCATCATATGCCAAATAAATGTGTGACAGTAGAAGACAGAATTAGGAATCCTAGTTTCATCTTTAATCCTTACGAGATACCTAGTAATCATACAACTTCAGCTTGCCATCACTGAGCTTGTTTCTTCTTTTATTGAAAAAATATTATACTTATTGTATGCAACTTTTGTGGTTGCTGTATTACATAAGATAATAAATGTGAAATGTACAAAGAGAGGTACCACTATGTAGCTATAATCAATATTTCATCATTTAAAAAATAAACCAACATTAAGTCTATATAACAGTCATTTATTGCCACTCATTATACAAATAAGCCATTAATTTCACACTTCACAAAGAATATACTTTACAGTGTGTAAAAGTCATACAGGAAAATGAGGATCAGAACCACTTGGGATTTTCAAAGAAATGAAATGCACATAAACACACACACACACACACACACATACACACACACAAAGCCAATAAATAAGGTTAAATATTTCTCTTCATTAGGAACTGTTGTTTTCCTCTCCAAATAAGTTAAAACACTGAAAAAGATAATAAATATTTTTGTTCCTATACATCTTACATTTTCCAAGCATTTGTCTTATTTGATTTAGATTATATGTCATTAAGTGGGTAGAAATATATACCTTTCTATTTTACATCTTAAAAGTTAGAAAGATTAAATAACCTTCATAAAGAAACAAGTCGATATCAAGGTCAGGACTAGTGATTAATATTAATAACTTCCTCTCTCAAAATTTGACCATGGCCACTATCCATAACAAAACTTGAAAAAACACAATTGCCTCCAGTCTTCTCTATTTGAAAGTTAAATTACAGAAATGACTTAAGTATTGGGCATTGAGGATGAAACGTAAGATCATTCTGTTCATGTCTTTGCTCTTACCCATTAAAAACATCATCTAAATTGAGCATTTCTACAAGTTCCCATTATGACCATGTCATGTATTCTGGATTATACCTTTATACACACATTCAATGTATACTTCTATAACCTACTATTGATTTGGCATTTGCTTAAAAGTAAGCAATAAGGTACTGTATATTGTTATAGACTAAAGAAAATCAATAAGCAATCCCAAGAGAAGAATATCCATTCTACTTCTTGAAAGCAATACATTGTCTATAAAATGTGTTTATGTTTGGAATCTAAAACTTTAGATGACTGTCTCTTCAATGCTTTCTGAAAATTCTGTGTATTAAACTCCTACATGTATCTCTCAGCACATGTACATGCACACATACATATGTACACAAAAAAATCCTATAAAGGGAAAGATAACATAAATAATCATATAAGGAAATTCATTTTTAAATCCTCCAAAATGTGCACTACCACTATCAAATTTGTGATTTGGTGAAATAGTTCTGAATTCACCAAGTAAGCAACCTACACTCATAGTCAGTCTTCAGAATAATTCCTAGCATTCAAAACTTCCCTAAAAATAAAATGATTAACAGACTTTTTTGTTGTTCAAATCATGCTGTTATTAGTCAAATCAGTTATACAATCTATTGGGTCATCCCATCAATAATTGACCTAAATATTTCTCACCCTCCAATCATCCAGTTGAACAAAGCAATTGTAGTACAGATATAAGATCAAAATATAGAGAATGTTTTCCTATTCCTGATGTTCCTCTAACATATAGCCCCATACTTTTCTGATATTATTTTATATATAAAATAGGTAAAATAAAAAATAAATATGCCATTAATAGAAAATTCAAATTATTTTTAATCTCATAAAATGAGGAACCTAGAATCTTATAAGAACTCAGGGGGGGAAGTTTGATACCTTATTGAAATGAACAATAATCCAACTTTTTTTTGACAAATCCTAGAAGCTCACAATAGCCAATTATTCAATGGCATAGTCTCCTCAAATTCTAGCTCACGTGACACCTTCTCCTTCTATTAAAAATATGCATATGAAGAAAAGTACTAATGGTATACTGATATAGTTTGGCTGTGTCCCCACCCAAATCTCAACTTAAATTGTATCTCCCAGAATTCCCATGTGTAGTGTGAGGGATCCAGGGGAAGGTAATTGAATCATGGGGACTGGTCTTTCCCATGCTATTCTCATGATAGTGAATAAGTCTCAGGAGATCTGATGGGTTTATCAGAGGTTTCTGCTTTTGCTTCTCTCTCATTTTTTCTTGCCACCACCATGTAAGAAGTGCCTCTCACCCCCACCATGATTCTGAGACCTCCCCAGCCATGTGGAACTGTAAGTCCAATTAAACCTCTTTTCCTTCCTGGTCTTGGGTATGTCTTTATTGGCAGTATGAAAACAAACTAATACTATAAATTAGTACCAGTAGAGTGGGGCACTGCAGAAAAATTACCCAAATATGGAAGCAACTTTGGAACTGGGTAACAGGCAGAGGCTGGAAAAGTCTGGAGGGCTCAGAAGACAGGAAAATGTGGGAAAGTTTGGAACTTCCTAGAGACTTGCTGAATGGCCTTGCCCAAAATGCTGATAGCGATATGGACAATAAGGTCCAAGCTGAGGTGGTCTCGGATGGAGATTAGGAACTTGTTGGGAACTGGAGTAAAGGTGAGTCTTGTTATGTTTTAGCAAAGAGAGACTGGTGACATTTTGCCCCTGCCCTAGAGATTTGTGCAACTTTAAACTTGAGAAAGATGATTTAGGGTATCTGGTGAAAGAAATTTCTAAGCAGCAAGGCATTCACAAGATGACTTGGGTAATGTTAAAGGCATTCAGTTTTATAAGGGAAGCAGAGCATAACAGCCTGGAAAATTTGCAGCCTGACTATGAAATAGAAAAGAAAAACCCATTTTCTGGGGAAAAATTTAATCTGGCTGCACAAATTTACATAAGTAGCAAGGAGCCCAATGTTAATCCCCAAGACCATGGGGAAAATGTCTCCAGGCCATGTCAGAGACTTTCACGGTAGCCCCTCCCATCATAGGCCCAGAAGCCAAGGATGAAAAAGTGGTTTCATGGGCCGGGCCCAGAGTCCCAGTGCTTTGTACAGCCTAGGGACTTGATGCCCTGTGTCCCAGCCACTCCAGCCATGGCTGAAAAGGGGCAACATACAGCTCGGGCTGTGGCTTCAGAGGGTGGAATCCCCAAGACTTGGCAGCTTCCACGTGGTATTGAGCCTGCAGGTGCACAGAAGTCAAGAATTGAGCTTTGGGAACCTCCACCTAGATTTCAGAAGATGTATGCAAATGTCTGGATGCCCAGGCAAAAGTTTGCAGCAGGTGTGGGGCCCTCATGGAGAACCTCTGCTAGGGCAGCATGAAAGGGAAATGTGGGGTCAGAGCCCCCACAACAGAGTCTCTAATGGGGCACAGTCTAGTGGAGCTGTGAGAAAAGGGCCACTATCCTCCAGACCCCAGAATGGTAGATCCACAGAAAGCTTGCACCATGCACCTGAAAAAGCCACAGGAACTCAACACCAGCCCATGAAAGCAACCAGGAGGGAGGTTGTACCCTGCAAAGGCACAGAGATGGAGCTGCTCCAAGACCATGGGAACCCACCTCTTGTATTGGCATGACCTGGACATGAGACCTAGAGTCAAAGGAGATCATTTTGGAACTTTAAAATGTGACTGAACCACTGGATTTAAAACTTGCATGAGCCTTGTATCCCCTTCATTTTGGCCAATTTCTCACATTTGGAACTGCTGTATTTACCCAATACCTGTATCCCCATTATCTCTAGGAAGTAATAGCTTGCTTTTGATTTTACAGGCTTATAGGCAAAAGGAACTTGCCTTGTCTCAGATGAGACTTTGGACTGTGGACTTTTGGGTTAGTGCTGAAATGAATTAAGACTTTAGGGGACTGCTGGGAAGGCATGATTGGTTTTGAAATGTGAGGACATGAGATTTGGAGGGGCCAGAGGCAGAATGATATGGTTTGGCTGTGTCCCCACCCAAATCTCAACTTGAATTGTATCTTCCAGAATCCCCACGTGATGTGGGAGGGACCCTTGGAGAGGTAATTGAATCATGGGGACTGGTCTTTCCTGTGCTACTCTCATGATAGTGAATAAGTCTCAGGAAATCTGATGGGTTTCTCAGGGGTTTCTGCTTTTGCTTCTCTCTCATTTTCTCTTGCCGCCACCATGTAAGAAGTGCCTTTCACCTCCTGCCATATTTCTGAGGCCTCCCCAGCCATGTGAAACTGTAAGTCCAATTAAACCTCTTTTTCTTCCCAGTCTCGGGTATGTCTTTATCAGCAGTGTGAAAACAAATGAATACATCTATCGTCTTAAGGATGGGGGGTCAAGGCTTTGGCTAGTTTGCTAGGTCCCTTCACAGCTAATCTCAAAATCATAGCCCTGTGGCTTTCTAAACACCCACTAGAAATTGTACCTTGTACCACGTTAGAGTTATATTGTGTCTGATGATCAAAATATGGTACACAAAAAGATCCTATGTTCGTATACCTATATATATTTTTTAAATATTCAGCAGTCTAGAAGAAAATTTTTAAAACTCAAAAATACTTAATGAATAAGATATCTGATCAGTTATTTATCATCATTTCTTTTAATTTCTGGAAGATGTGTCTTCTCTTCAATCTGAGGAACCACCATGCTGAATATGTTTAGGGACAGGAATTGATTAGAAAACTTAAATACCATTATCAAGTCAAGGTTTCACTTCCAATGTTAGCTTAGAAAACCAGAATCAAACTCCTATTGAACAGCAAAAGTAATTAATCCTTCTATATTCTCCTCAAGTGCAATTATAGCACTAATGCGGAAGAAATTTTTTTCTGAACATTTTCACAGCACAGTTTTCAAATTGCCTACAATAGACATTCTATTTTTTAAAGTCACAGTAGTACCTAGGAAATTAGAAGACTTTGTGTGTTCCTTTTTTGCATGGGGCGGGTTAATATTGCTGTCTTCTTGTTTGCAAACTTTATTTATTCTACTAATAACGTGGAGAGCCAGTCAACAACAAAATACTTGAAAATTAATTACATGGTTTCTGAAGTCATATTCAGCTGCACAACCAAACTGTAGGGCCCTGGATCAAGGTAGATTTGTCTCTCATTCTCTGAGAACTTTGTAACTAATCAATTAATCCCAAACCAATTTTCAAAGGGAAATGTTAAAATTTAAACAGGAAAATGTCTACCTCTGTATGCAAGTGGAAAGATGCATTTGTATTTATCTGTGTGTGTGTGTTCTATGTATTTTACTTGTTTATGTCTATACAAATTTGTGTACATACACATACAAAAATATTCAGGATATATGTTTATTCATCCATTCATTTAGTGAATGTCTATTGAATGATAAGTGTTAAATTTTAGTATCATTGAGCTATTGCCACAAAAGTGCTGCTCAATAAAATGCACAAAACAGAGTGGTTTAAAACATAATATTTTACTATTATAGCTCATGTGTCTGGAGGTCACTGAGGGATCTACTCATCTAGGCTGGGCTCAGCAGCCCTCAGTTGTCTTGATCCTGTTTGTGAGCTGGTTAGCTCACTCCCACATGTATAGGTAAATCAAAGGCTCATGACTACAGCGAAAGTACAAAATGGAAAGCAACATTATGCAAAGACTTTCTGAGGCCTGTGCTCAGAACTAGCATGCCATGACTATGCCTTATTTTATTGGCAGAAGCAAGTCACATGGTGATATAATTGGGATATTTGTCCCCACCCAAATCTCATGTTGAATTGAAATCCTCAGTGTTGGAGGTGGGGACTAGTAAGAGGTATTTTGATCGTGGGGCGGATCCCTCGTGAAGGGCTTGGGCCAAGCACTTGGTGGTAAGTGAGCCCCTGCTCTGAGTTCAAATGATATCTGTTCTTTCAAAAGTGTGTGGCACCTCCCTGCACTCTCTTTTGCTCCCATTCTCATCACATGATATGCCTGCTCCTTTTTTGCCTTCTGCTATGATTGGGAGCTTCCTGACGCCTCCTCAGAAATAGATGCTGCTCTGCTTCCTGTACAGCCCACAGAGTCATGAGCCAGCTTCCTGTACAGCCCACAGGGTCATGAGCCAGTTAAACCTCTTTTCTTTATAAATTACCCAGCCTCAGGTATTTCTTTATAGCAATGCAAGAACCGCTTAATACATATGGGGTAGGGAATTAGATTCCACCTCTCTCAGGAGGGGAACTTCAAAATCACATAGCAAGAGGAGTGGATACAGAGACAGATAAAGGAGGCACAGCTGCAATCTGCCACATATCCCAGTACTCCCCTTAGATGTGGAAGTCCTTAGCAGTAGCCAAAAGAAGTATAATGATAATCTGGGGTGAACAACACGTTTAAATTTCTGTTTCAATATCCAGTTCTCAAGACATATTTCCTGATCCAACACAGCTGATAAGTCCTCATGTGTTTATGGGTAAAAATACGTATTCTCTTAATGCACAACATTGGGAGAGAAAGGAATTTGTTCCCTTTCTTGCTTACCCATGAATTCTGCAGAACATCACACAACAGGGCATTTGGAAACAGACAAAACTTGTATTCAGAGACACCTCCCCCACCTCTTACTCATTGTTTACATCCATTTGGGGTGTTAGAAATATTTGCTGGAAATTCTGTCAATGTTGCTTTCTCTAAATTTGCAAAAATTCCTATCCCACGTAGAGAAGTCTCATGGAGTGACTGAAAAGATCTTTATCTATGTTAGGAACTTGACAGCTGAAATAACAGAATGTAAATCCAAATTCTTCTAGCATGAAACTCATGACACTTTTAAGTCCTCATTTCTCTCCTTCTGCTTAAACTGAGCTCTACTAGGAAAAGCCCCTGGGGAACATCGGTTCCTGACTTATTTGGCTTAGTTTGAAAACTGCCAGATGCCACCCAGGATACTGCATTAGGATCCTGCCATAAAACTTCACTTTGTGCTGACTCAATTTCAAATGAGCCATGAAGTATTACATTCTTGAGAAGTGGAAGAACTTTCACTGGCTTTTCGGCAGCACATCAGCTGAAGTCATAGAAGAAACAGCAAAATAGGTCATAATGGATTCGGGGCTGTGTTTATAACCTGGACAACAACTGTCACTTTGTGTTTGGGGAATTGTTCCAGAATACGAAAACTGAATGTTAAGGTGTTGAACTGTGAGAGGTTGTCATATGAATAGGCAAGTGATTTTCTGACCAGAGCACAAAGAAGCTGTGACCAACTAAGACAGCCCTCGTGCCTCACCACGAATAGAGTTGTTTAATTGGTGACTGGATGTTCAATTGTGAGTTGGCCAAAAATGGGTCTCTTGCTTGCTATTTGTTTGCATCTTTCCAGCACTGGGTGTTTGGTGTGTGTTTTAATATCTAAATTTAAAGATGCGCATGGCACTTAACTCACAGTGGAAAATGCTTTCCAGCTGGCCCTAGCCATCAAATGCAAATATGACTTCAGCTCAGCACACTTCTGATATTATAATTGGCATGTATAGAAAATGAATTCCCACACAAAGTTATCATTTGTGGCTCCAACAGAAGCTGATAAAATACTTAATAGACTTTTAATAGAGCTTCTGAGACCCAGATCATGAAAAAGTAAGCATGCCATGCCATTCATTCTCTAACTTTCCATTGGCAGTGTGAGGCTTTCCAAAAAAAAAAAAAAAAAAAAAAAAGATTCACAGAGGTTTTTCTGTGGTGTTCACTTACAGATTGGATGAAAGCCTCGTGCAGCTGACAGCTTTTGTTAATAACTTTCCTCAGTAGAGAGGCAGGGTCACCAGATAGAAACAGCTAGAGGGAATCTTGCAAAAGCAGGCAAGATGCTAAAAAGTGGGCTGGTATGGAAAGCTCTTTAATGGCAAAAAAAAATGTGTATAAGGAGCAAGGCAAGTTTTAACTAAACCTGGGCTTCAGAATTAGGAAATAAGAAAATGAAAGGAAAAAAACTGTCTTTACTGAATAATTGTTCTCACTGCAATATTCTTTTTCTCAAAATAACTAAATTACTACTTCATTTCTTTAAAAATTTTATCGATTGAACTATGAATTATATAATCTCAATGTTACCTTCTATGTCTCTGGTCAGTAGAATAATGTCCCTCATCTCCAAAGATGTCCGTGTCCTATCTCCTAATCACAAGAACCTATGAATACGTTGCTTTACATGGCAAAGGGACTTTGAGGATGTCATTAGAGGTAAATATTTTGAGATGCAAAGATATCCTGGATTATTTGGGTGGGCCCAGTATAATCATAGGAGACTTTAAAAGCAGTGAATCTTTCCCAGCTGAAGAGAGGTGCTAAGATAAGAATAACCAGAGAAATGCCATTGCAGTCTTTGAGGATTGTTTTAGTTCGCTAGGGCTGCCATGACAATATATCTGTCTTAAACAACAGAGATTTATTTTTTCACAGTTCTAGAGGATAGATGTCCAAGATCAAGATGTTGGTGGGTTTGATTTCTCCTGAGGCCTCTCTCCTTGGCCTGCAGATGGCCACCTTCTTGCTGTGTCTTCACATGGCCTTTCCTCTGAGCACATGCATCCCTAGCGTCTCTTTCTCTTCTTATAAGGACACCAGTCACACTGGTTTAAGACCCCACCATTAACAGCCTCATTAACTACCTTCTTAAAGACTTTATCTCCAAATATGGTTTCATTTTTAGGTCCTGAGATTAGTGACTTCAACATGAATTTTGGGGAACATGTTCAGCACATAACATAGATGAAAGAAGAGTGTCATGAGCCAAGGAATGTAGGTGGCCCGAAGAAGCTGGAGAAGGCAAGGAAATGGATTTTTCCCTAGAGCCTCCAGAAGGGAAAGCAGCTCTGATGATGCCTTAGTTTTAACCCAGTGAAAACCATGTCAAATTTCTAACCTACAGAACTATTAGAAAATCAATTTATGTTGTTTTAAGCCACTAAATTTGAGATTTTTTTGTCATGTTAGTAACAGAAAGCTAATGGAATGTCAAAACTTAAGGACCAAATAAATACATCTTGAGACCCTACTCTGTATCCATCTATTATTATGGGCAGTAATCTACCTCAAAAGGCTAGTGTCCATTTCCACTTGTTCCATAAAAAACACCCCAAAACACAGTGGCTGAAAATATCACTCATTTATTTTGGGTCAAATGTCTTAGTGAGCTGGGATTAGACTGCTCAAGGGAAGGTAGTTTTGGGGGCTGGTGAGGCTCTACTTCTCCTTACAGGTCTGTGAGTTAGCTGAGGTGGCTTTGCTCCACACATATCCTTAATCTAGGACCAGCTAGCTGCCAGACGTGTTCTTATCATAATGACAGAGACTCAAGAGAACAAGCCTATATACCTCTTAAAGTCAAATCTTAGACTGAAGTACTGTCACTTCCAACCACATGCCTTTGGCCAAATATTGTCACATGGCCAAGTCCAAAATCAAAGGGCAGAGAAATATACTCTGCTCATAATGACACCCATAAGAACATGTCAAGAACATGGATGCAGAGAGAGGTGAGGATCTGGAGTCATAATGCATTCTACCAGGGATGCTGGTCCAGTTGCAGAGATAACTAATAAATATGAGACAACAAATGTGACTTGTATAATAGAGGGTGAAAGTACTGATGTACTAGGAAGTATAAACTAAAAAAGTATTATCATATTGCCTGTTCTTTTGCTTATATCTAAAAT
Organism: Homo sapiens; assembly: GCF_000001405.40. NCBI lineage: Eukaryota > Metazoa > Chordata > Mammalia > Primates > Hominidae > Homo > Homo sapiens. The sequence goes on from NC_000014.9 coordinate 87,570,063, forward strand.
GTATCTGCTCTGTCTTGCACATATATGGAAAAACATTTCACCATGTTCATATTAAAAAAATGGGGAATATAACAAGGAATTTAGTGGTCTTAAATTGAAATTGAATTTAATACTTGTTTTCATAAGAGATCCCAAATATTCTTAAAACCAACAAATAATAATCATACGAAATATCTGAAGTTTTGTTTGAATGGAAGAGAATAAGCTTGGAAAATTCTGACTCAAAATATTAAATTACTTTCTGTAGTAAATTGCAAAGTGGCCACAAAATTATCCCACCCTTATTTGCATGCTCCTTTGCAATATGACTTTGCAGCTCCTCCAATCAGAAAAATTGAGCCTTTTTTTCCACCTCTAAAATCTGGGTATGGCCGTGTGATTTGCCTTAGCCCTGGGACATTAGCAAACGTAAAGCAATTAGCTTTAAAAGCTCTTGAACATTGGGCCTGTTTCTTTCTTGCTGTGGGACCCCTTCCACAACGAGGTGAACAAGCATGGGCTGTCCTCCTAGAGGTAGCTGGAAAACCATGTCAAGAGAATTAATGGCCATTCCAGGTGTCCAGTTGTTCCATCTGAGGGTGCAGACATACAAGTGAGGTGATCCTAGACTACTGAGCCCCAGCCAAGCTTGTCCAAACCAGAAGAACCAATAAGCAACCCATAGAAGCATAAGGAATGATAAATGTTTGTCCCATTAAGACACTAAATGTTGGGATAGTTTGTTATTCAAAAACTGCTTACTGGTCAACCCCCCTGGCAAGTGAGGTCTTGTTGCTGACAAGTGTAAAAAGACCCAGAATTCAAACCCAAAACATTTCAGTCCCAACCTGGGGGACTGAGAGCTCTTAAAAGGTGGCAGAATTCATGTGCACAGCTCTGTAATACACATGTACACCATGCATTGTCTATAATAATATTGACAATGGCAATATTAATCATAGGTATCACACTCTTGCTATGTATCTAGAAGTGTATTAATGGTGTGCCTTGATTATTTCGTTTAACCCTAAGCACAAACCTAGGTGGTGGGTCTTATTACCTATTTTACAGATGAGGAAATTCTCAGAGGTAGAAACTTGTCTTGTGTCACCAACCAGCCACCTGACACTTGAGCACACACTCTTAATAAATATCCCTCACTGAGTAAAAAAATGCCTTGTGCATAAAGATACTAATATTTCTCAAATGTGCATAGATTGCATTGTGATGCATAAAATATAAAGATATTTAATGATACTCCTGGTTGTAAAATAGCATTTAAACGCTGTTTTATTTTTACATTAACATGGCATTATTATATTCAAATAACTGTCAGATCAATTTATCTATTTTTCCTTACCTATACACAGAGCCAGATAACTGAGATTCACTAATTAATATATTTATATATTTCTTTAACAGAAAATTATTAATCCTCTCCTATGCAAAATTTTCTTTAAGAAATAGATATTTTTGTAAATTTTGAATTTCCTCTTCCCCCTAATTTTGTAGATTTTTTGATAGTCTCAAAGTACATGTCAGTAAAACATGCAAATACAAAATATCTTTACAGTAATATCTATTTTTTTCTTTTTTTTTTTTTTTTTTTTTTGAGACAGAGTCTCGCTCTGTCACCCAGGCTGGAGTGCAGTGGTGCGATCTCAGCTCACTGCAACCTCCACCTCCTGGTTTCAAGTGATTCTCGTGCCTCAGCCTCCTGAGTAGCTGGGAGTACAGGCACATGCCACCATGCCCGGCTAATTTTTGCATTTCTTTTTTTTTTTTTAGTAGAGACAGGGGTTTCACCATGTTTGCCAGGCTGGTTTCGAACTCCTGACTTCACGTGATCTACTCGCCTTGGCCTCCCAAAGCACTGGGATTACAGGTGTGAGCCATCGCGCCCAGCCAATATCTAATATTTAATGAGCACTTTCAGCATATTGTCTGCTGAATATATGAACGGGTGATGCACAGGACTAAGCATTTTAAATATGTTATCACCTTTGTCCCTCCAAATAACCCACAAAGTACTATTTATAGCCATATTTTACCAATGAGAACACTGAGCCACCAAAACGTTAAGTAAAGTACTCATGGTCATACATTTAATAAGAGATAAAAATGGGAGACATGTCCAGAAATCTGCTGCCATGTTCCCCAATATGCCTCTCAAACATCACCAGTGTTCTGAATACCTGCTGCAGTCCATCAATGCCTAGACTAGCCTATACATTTACACCATTTTTCTAACCAGTAGAATCTTGTTAGAAAAATGGTGTATTATATTACCATCTTTATTTTTGTTTATGGAGAATACCAGTTACTTAAAAATTTCTGAGTATTCAACCATGAGAGGTCTCACAGGCCTTTAGCGGGACTGAGTTGTGCATTGGGTCTGCTCTTTGGTTTTCACGCCTATGTATTAACTTTGGAAAACATTTTTTGATTCTTCCAGATACTTGTAGCTAGATTGGTATCCCAAATGAAACATTCAGCAGCATCTTCAACGCATTTGGGTAGAGTGCTAAACTAGGCTCCTGTGTTTCCCACACAAACATTCACCCCCTATTTTCATTTTCTGGCTGAATTTTATCTGTTAAGCAAGTCAAGACTGGCTTAATGTTTTTGCAGATAATCCTACTTGCAGCAATGTTAACTCTTCACTCAACCTTATTACCTGAAGAACAAGCAGAAGGAGGCAAATTCAATTGAGATAATTTCTTCGATTTTTAAAAAATTCTAAGCACATCACTAGCCTTTCCATTTTAAAAATCATTAACCTTATGCTGATACAATAATTACATCACTGTTGCTTTTTCAAAAGCCACATTATTAATTCTAATTTGCTACTGCTGGCCAGAGGTAAAAGGTTTAGAGGTAATGGGGGCAATTGAAGATTTTTCAAGAACAAAATCTTACCTGCATATATTGTTGGAACTGAGCTGATGGGATTTGTCTCTTGCTCCAGATGTTTTGAAAATACCTTTTCTTCCCAAATGTTTTCTCCATGCACTCTTCTTCCTGATTTGGTCTGAGGATGGACTGCAGGTTGTAAAATTGATGAATGTCTCCCTTTTTCCATTCTCTCACCAGATGAACTGGCCAAACATAAGAGGTTTTGAGAAATTGATATGTTTTATTGTTCAGATAAAAAGTGGATCTTCTTGTCAAATTATTTTTCCATAGTAATTCCTTCCAGGATGAGATCATTGTCTGTATTTATCTTAATCAGTCCTCCACTTTAGTAGGTAAATTTGATAGTAAATTAAATATAATGACAGAATTCTGTCATTCACAACATGTCCTTCATACTCCAATGTGTTTGGGAAAATAAAGATCTGGGATATATAGTACTTCGGGATTCCCGTCGATTGAATGTTACAGAAGATTCCATGGGCATCATTCATATTATTAAAAAGTCTTGCCACACTCAAAACACCATGAACTTGGAAACAAGCTCAAGGATCCTCATTCCTAAGATGTAAATCTTTTCTAACCCTCAAATGCTCTCGAATGTACCCACTGCTCTCCTCTTTTCTTCTTAGACTTTTTAAAATAAACGAATGATACATCCTTTAAAAAAAAAACTATCCCAAACCTCTAGATTTATGTCTCTCTTACTCTGCTAAACTTTACTCTCAAGTGTTTCAGCAGCAAATGCTTCTCCCTTCATAGATACAGCAGTCGAAAAGCACCAGCATCAGGCAGGTGACATCAGGCAGGGGGCTTGCAAGAGGGCAGCAAGTCTGGAGGAAAGCCCAGGCTCTGTGTAGAGGAACACCACTCCTCAGCCACAGCCAGTGTTGCTAGGTGAGCACTGAAATAAAGCATGAAAAAATAAATATTAACTTTTACAGGAAGGATCATGAGTTTTTGATACCTGGCTTAAATTTTAAACATTCTGTAATCCATACACATACCAAAAAGTTCCTATGGTCTAAATGTGTTGTCTGTGTGTGGCTTATGCTGTCAGTCTGATTTTCTGATTACCTCTCCTCACCCCAGTAGACCGTATTCCCTCCCTCTCCTGAATTCTCATAGTACTTTATACCTCCCTTTTTTTTGCTTCCCATACTCTGCCTTACTGTTGCGGTAAATGTACTTTTTATCTGTATGCCTCTGCATTAGTAAGAAAGCAATCAATCAATAGCTGGCTTGAATATCAGGATATTTATCATGCACCATAACAGATATTCCATGGTAGGGTACCTCCAGTCTGGATCATTTGAACAACTTAAAGGTAGCATCAAGAACCCAGATTATTTCCACATTTTTGCTACCCTGTTGGCTTATCTGAAGGCAAGCTCTCCTCTGGAGAGCAAGTGAATATTGCATTTCCAGGCACACAATTCAAAAATAAAAATATCTTGCATTTCTGTGGGTTTCTTTAGCTCAATGAGAAAACATTTCCCAGAAGCCTCTGCAGCCAACTTGACCAATATTTCCTTGGCTGGCACTGAATCACAAAACCTCAGCAAACCAATCACTCATTTACCAGTACGAGTTTAGGCTCGTCTAAGTCATGCGATAAAGGAGGAGCCATCAGAACAAAATTGGCATCTTCCAGCAGAGAAGTAAAGTAACGCCTGCATGGAATTTAACCAACAGTTTCTGTGACAATCTCTTACCAGACTATAAATTTCTTGGGAATAAAGATTATGGTTGTGAGTACAATAGTTCAAGAAAGAGTGGTAAGATCTTAAAGTAAAGCAGTAGGATGGTGACAATGAATTAATTCACTGCCAGTGCACTTCAGCACATAATGCAACATCCAATAAAGATTAAGTAAATATTAGATTAAACAGATTTCAGAATTCTCTAAATAGAAGTATATCCAGGGCACTATAAGAGAAAAAGGGAAGAAAGCAGTAACTGTCTGTCTGGGTCAGGGAAGTCTTTATGGTGGAGGTAATGCACCAAAACCAACAGTTATCCAGAGTGGTATCTGTTGCTAAATGAATCTATTATCCTTCCACTATTATTGCCAGGTGGCATTATTAACACACATGTCAAGTGTACTGCAAAGTCACAGCAAGAATTTACTATTCTTCTGTTGATCTTCACTAGGCTTACAAAATTTGAACGTATCTCTTGCTCTAAAATAATTTTAACAACAGGAAAGCAAAGTCACAGCCTACCTGTGTTCCAAACAGTAAGGTCTTATGACCTTTGCATGTTACAAAAAGGTAAATCAATAAGCCTGGAATATGCTTAATATTCCTTAAATACCTGTCCTGCCCATCTCTAAATGGAAACATCTTGAAATACAGTTTTGGGGGGTTTTTTTTGGCTTTCAGAGTGCGGAGGTTTTTCATTCCTTGCCTCCAGCTTCCCCCACACTCTCCATTTTATCCCAGATTGATATGAATAAAGATTGCCACTTCACCTCAGCCTTGCATTTTTCTTCTGAATGATACTAGAATTAGGTAATCAGATCAATTTATTGTTAATCTGGAGGAATTTTCTTTCCAATGAGACTTGTCAGATCCATTAGTGTCCTTTGAAATCACTGTAATTGACCCAGCAGAGGCAAAATGGGAAACGGCACCTGTCTGCTCACAGTGAAGGCAATCATGCAATCATGACAAAACAGGCGCTATCGAAAACAGGAATCATGGCTCCTTTCCCCTCTCAGAGCGCTTGTATAGTGGCGGATGCAACTAGAACCCTAGAAGCCTCCCTAACTCGAGTGCCAACTGTAAAGGCATCCCCATGAAACAGTCTATGGATAACCAGTAAAGAGGAAAAGGAATGGCACACAGACAAGAACCAAAGCCACTGCCAACAGACCCATCGGAGCACCAGGCTGGCAGCCATTCATCCAGTGGAGGACATTTTGAATTTCCCAGCCATCCTAGGGCATCAACTGACACTACATGAGATGGAGGAAGTGCCTGGTTAAGAATCATGAGAAATCAAACATTTGTGTTTCTTGAAACCAATATTTTTTGGGGTAGTTAGTTATAGAACAACAGGTAGCTGAAACACAGAGATCCTATGAGAGAAACTGTAAGGGGCCTGAGGCTGATACAGAGAGAGCCACTGGTCCTAGAAGCTGCCTCTCTTGCTCATATTCTAAAGACCTTCCTTTTCTATTTCCAGGATTTTAGTCTCACACTGTGAGGACAAAATGTGTGTATGCCCCAAAAATTTGTATGTTAAAACCCCAATCATCAGTACGATGATATTTGGAGGTTGGGCCTTTAGATGGTAATTAGAGCTAGATTAAGTTCTCAAGATGGAGCCCTCATGGTGGATTTAGTGCCCTTAAATTATAAAAACAGGAGGAGGCCAGGCGCACTTGGTTCACATCTGTAATCCCAGTACTTTGGGAGGCTGAGACAGGAGGATTACTTGAAGTCAGGAGTTCGAGACCAGACATGGCCAACATGGTGAAACCCTGTCTCTACTGAAATATGAAATTTGAAATATGAAATACTGAAATATGAAAATTTGCTAGGCATGGTGGCAGACGCCTATAAATCCCAGCTACTTGGGAGGCAGAGGCAGGAGAATCACTTGAACCTGGGAAGCAGAGATTGCAGTGAACTGAGATCACGCTACTACACTCCAGCCCGGGTGACTGAGCAAGACTCCATCTAAAAAAAAAAAAAAAAGCTGAGAGATAAGATTTATTTTTCTCTTTCCATCATGTGAGGGAACAACAAGAATTTGACCATCTGCAACCTGGAAGAGGGCCCTCACCAGAACCCAACCATGCTGGCAGCCTGAGCTCAGACTTCCCAGCCTCCAGAACCATGAGAAATAGATTTCTGTTGTTTATAAGTCATCCAGTCTGTGGTACATTTTTGTAACAGCTCACATGGGCTAAGACACCAGTAAGTCCTTTTTGGCTCAAGATGGCTTCTGTTTTTTTTTTTTTACTAATTAAGCAACGTGAGGAAGTGACAGAGTTCAGGTAAGTAAGCTCAGCTCTGGATATTGGTTATAATCTTTGGGGCTGCGAGAGTAAAGCAGGCTCCATCCCAGAAGGGTCCAGGATACTGGTTCCAAGCCAGAAGGGAGCTGAGGAACAGAACAGAAGCCCACAGCGGCTCTAGGAGAGGCAGGCAGACAATGCCAAATCCAAAACATAAGGCAGCAGCTGCTCAGATCTCCCAGACCTAAGTCCTGCCACTGGGGAGCAGCGCTGAAGCTACATGTGGAGAGGAAGTGATCCTGAGAGCATCAGGAAGACAGACAGACAGCTCTAGAGGCAGACAGGGATGGACATAGCCCAAGTCCTTGTTTGCTTCAGCCCAATTCCCTCCCTGTGGAGCTATGTGTGCATGATGAGTTTGAGCAGCAAGTGAAACAGAACGAGAGGGAGGAAAGGAAGGGTAAGTAGAGAACTGAAGTATCTCAGAACCACCTTTCCCAGCGTGGGCTTTATTTTATGTCTATGTATTATAATTCCAGGTACAAGTTTGAGCAGCTTAGAGTCCAAGAGCATTAAGTGGCAGGAGAGAACAGACGGAGTAAGCTTGGATCTGACATAAGCACCAGCTTGTGGTCATCCTGTATGCATCTGATGACCCACTGGATAGACAGAGCCACTTCACAGGAAGTGAAGGTCCACACGGGTTGATGGAGTTGTTGGCAGACGAAGAGAACTCTAACTCAGAGCTGGAATTGAGAGAGAAGCCCTGTAGCAATCAGGAAGAGCTCGGTTATACTGTCATGACAAATAACTCAAAAATCTCTTGGCTTACAATGGTAAGGTTTACCTCTCACTCACACTATGTCTATTGTAGTAGACAATAAATCTCTGTTCATCACAGTCACTCAGGGACTCAGGTCTTGGGAAGATCCATCCTGCCATAGCTCTGTGGTTGCAGAAGCAGAGAGAAAATGGTACCCAACATGTTAGAGGCTCTGCCTAGCTATGACACACCACTTTTGCTTCTGTTGCACAGGCCAAAGTAAGTCACATGGCCATACACGCATTAAACAAGGTAGGGCTGTATAATCCTTCGACAGAGGGGGGTTCTAACATGAGTGAAGAACAAAAGCCTATTACGTGATCCAGCCTAGAGGAAAGACCCCAGACACATAAAAGCTAAGGTGCTGAGCATCTTGTCATGTCAATGATTCCAGTGTGTGAAGGGGCCAGACATGTGATTGCATCTACAGTGTTAGGGCCACAGAAAACAGGTGAAAACAATTCATGAAGTCAAAATTGAATAATAGTAATAGAAGCTGCCATCTATTGACTCTCCTCTGTTTTCGAGCCAGACTCTTTTTATGCACGATTTTAATCCTCATCGTATGAGGATCATTTTATCTTCACAAGAATTCTACCAGGGGTCAGAAAGATTATATCACCTGACCTAGGTCAAAGTCCTAGAAAGTGGCAGAGCCAGGATTTGAGCCCACTCTGGTGACTTCCAAAGCCCATGGTCTTTCTGCTCCTTCCACAATACCATTCCACCTGTCTTGCACAACTGCAGTCAGGGCCAACCACAAGCCACATGTGATCGGACCTGTCAAATCAGTGGCCTGAAATCTTTTGCAAAGATGTTCACATCAGAATCTTCAGTTTGGTGTGAGTGTACAGTATTGTGCATGAGACAGGAATGGCCCATAGGATGAGCTTAAAATCAAGTTTGTTCTCCAAATGAAAACCCACTGCCCACTCCTTATACCTACATCAAGACCTAAATGCAACAGAAACCAGCATCTAAAGAGTTATTTGTGGCAAATCAGTTTCAAACTTTTCTCTTTCATGCCTTATGGAGAGTCCGGTGAGCCCTATAGCAACAACAACAAAAAATCCCCAAGTCAGATTGCACTGCAAAGGAGTAGCTGTGAAGGCTTCTGTCACACATAGATTATCATATTCACAGGCTTCACTGATGAGCCGAGGGGATTTCACTTTGTTAGACTATTTAAGATTCACTCAGAGCATCATTTCTGCTGAACTGCACACACATAATGCAGGTAGTCACTCTTCTCCTTCATGTCTGCTTGTACTTGTTCATTTCATGTAAGCCTCTTGCCTTATAGAGTTCAAACTAAAATGCTATTTGTTATTAAGCATTAAAAATACTCTCATACTATGAGAAATAGTAGTTTAATCTGGAGATCATTGAGTGGCTTCTGGTTCCCCAGCTAAAGAAATCAAGCTCCACAGAGAACACACACATCACTTTGGCACATGCCCCAGCCTTTCTCAGAGCACGTCTGAATTGTCCACTTTTTGTTGTATAATACAAACCAATAAAAATCTTCTTGGAAGAAGACTTTGGTCACCTCTTGATGTGTATCTCTCTGGGAGTTCAAGGAATTTTCAGGAAAATGCAACATCTCACTGAATGACCCAGAAACATTCAGCAACATTAAACAAGCGTTTAACAACATTAAATGTGGTTTTCTGTACCACATATTATGCTGTCATATGCTCAGCATTAGACAAACAAAAGTAGATGAGACATTATGCCTGCCCTTAAAGACTCTGTTTGGAGGGGTTATAAACAGACAAACACTGTGCTGCAGAAATAATACAAGGTCCAAAAAGACACTATAGGAAACACCAATGTCTATAGCTTACTTCTCCTTCTTTGCAAAATTTGTAAGCCAAATTAAAATGACCACCTTCAAATAAAACAGAGGGGATTTTTGACTACATGATGCCAAACAATTAGAGATCTACATTCAATGAAGGGCGGCATAGTCTGATTGTTGTGTGTAGGCTGTGCTGCTGCCACATCGGATATGCTTTTTAGATGCTGCTAAATATTTCCCTAATAATGAGTTAATTAAAAAAAAAAAACAGTAAGCCAGGCGTGGTGGCTCATGCCTGTCATCCCAGCACTTTGGGAGGCCAAGGGGGGAGGGGGGGCCAGATCACCTGAGGTCAGGAGTTCGAGACCAGCCTGGCCAACAGGGTGAAACCCTGTCTGTACTAAAATATACAAAAATTAGCTGGGCGTGGTGGCAGGCACCTGTAATCCCAGCTTCTCAGGAGGCTGAGGCAGGATAATTGCTTGAACTTGGGAGGCAGAGGTTGTGGTGAGCCAAGATCACACCACTGCACTCCAGCCTGGGTGATAAAGTGAGACTCTGTCTCACAAAACAAACAAACAAAAACACAACATACCAGTTTCAGCTTGGACACATGCGGAGCTAGAAAGAGCATCCAAACTTAAACACTAGAAAAGCTGCAAATTACCAACTCCTCTTAAGCCCATCAGAAACGTTTAGATGGTAGTAAATATAGACAAGGTGATATCTAAGGAGAGACTTGAACTGCAGGGAAAAAAACAGGCACCAAGGTTTTGTTTTAAAAAGAAAATAGTTTAAGGCAAAAATGGTAACAATATTCTGGCTGTTTATGTAAAAGGAAAGTATATGGCAACAGTAGCACAAAGGATGGACATCGGGAGGATGGGAGGTAGGTATCATTCTAAACATGCACCGATGCCTCCACCCAATGCCTCACGCCTCAATCCTCAGAACATGTGAATATAATGAGATGTTGCTTCCATGACTGTTACCTTATATGAACAGTTGACCTTCACCAGCTTCTGCTCATTATTCAGGTGTAGCTTATCTAATCACATAAGCCCTTAAAAGCTGAGAACATACTCAGACTGGGAAGGAAGTTAGAGGCATTTAAAGTGTGAGAAGGACCCGATGTGCCATTGCTCCTTTGAAGATGGAAAGGATGCATGAGAAGGAAAGCTAGTGGTCTTGAGGAGTTGAAGACAGCCCCAGATGACAGCCAGCATGGAAACAAGGGCTTCAGATCCACAGCCAGAGGGAACTGGATTCTACTAACAGCCTGAATGAGCCTGTAAGAAGATCCCTCCCTGGAGCCACCAGATAGAAGTTCAGCTCAGGCAAGACTTCAGGTGTGTGACCATTAGCAGAGAACCCAGGCAAGCCCATCCAGATTTCTGATTTACAGAACAGTAAGATAATAAACAGGTGTAGTTTTATGCTGCTATGCTTGTGGCAATGCTTTACAGAGAAACAGAAAACTAAGGCATGGCCAATCAATGCAGACAAAGAAGAAACAAGGTTAAGAAGTAAATGGAGAAGTTTCCCAAAAAAATCATCTAAGGAAAAAGAAAGTTTTTTGAGCCATAGGGGATGTTGCTGTGGCAAGCTGGGAGTAGCAATAAGGAAGGGCATGCGTGTTAGCCAAGGAGCAGTGTCCCTGCTCATTTCTTTCTACCGCAATCAATAGGCAAGAATAATCCACTTGCACATCCACGTGTGGCTTCCTTCCTATTTCCAATACTCAATAGAGTCTCTGTTGTAAGAAAGGTGTTCCCACACTCAAAAGAATAAGGCCAGGTTGAAAAGGAAACCTCAGTTGAGAACTGAGCTCTGATTTTTTAACTTGCCCAAATTCCTATCTAAGGGGTCTAGGGAGTCATGCCTTACAAACCATAAATTCTCATCAGATGGGCTTTATTTAACCCTTTATATTGTGACTTACTTTCCAGTCTGACTCTAGCATAACATCACGTGACAAAGAAGAAAGTTGAAATTATTTTACCCCAAAACATGTTTCTTTGCCATATTTTGAAATGGTCCTGCAAAGCTGTCCTTGGTGGAGGGACAGGTGCATTTGTAAAGAATCTCTATTAACGTAGCCAGATCTTTTTCTTCCAGGCCCTCCCAATCCTGAAAAGATTAAGTAAGAGTTTAGCACCTTTTAAAGGTCTGAATAGGAAACATTTGTCATCTATTATCTCTAAGGGCAGCCACTATAAGACTTCAAAAGAACCTTGGTCTCCACAATATTTTATCTTAACCTGAACATTTCCTTTCTAATCAATCCAAGGTCTTTAGACAAACTCAACCAATTGTCAATCAGAAAATGTTTTAAGGCCAGGCACAGTGGCTCACACCTGTAATCTCAGCACTTTGGGAGGCCGAGGTGGGCAGATCACGAGGTCAGGAGATCGAGACCATCCTGGCTAACACAGTGAAACCCCGTCTTTACTAAAAATACAAAAAAAAAAAAATTAGCCAGGCATGGTGGCGGGCACCTGTAGTCCCAGCTACTCGGGAGGCTGAGGCAGGAGAATGGCATGAACCTAGGAGGTAGAGCTTGCAGTGAGCCGAGATTGCAACACTGCACTCCAGCCAGGGCAACAGAGCAAGAGTCCATCTCAAAAAAAAAGGAAAGAAAGAAAATATTTTAATTTACCTATACCCAGGAAGCACCCACTCCCCACGTCCTGAGTTGTCCCACCTTTCTGAACCAAATCAATGTATTTCCTAAATGTATATTTGATTGATGTCTCACGCCTCTCTAAAATGTATAAAATCAAGCTGTACCCCGACCACCTTGGGCACATGTTCTCAGGACCTCCTGAGGGCTGTGTCATGGGCCCTGGTCACTCATATTTGGCTCAGAATAAATCTCTTCAAATATTTTACACAGTTTGACTTTCTTCATCGACAGAGTGTTTGGATTTAACTTTTTTACCATGAACTTTTTAATAGAAAAGAAATAGCTACTCCATAAATGATGTTGAAACTCTTATTCAAGCGTTGATAAAGGTAAAATTTCCTTCCAGTTGTGTTGAATCTAGGTAGAGCCAACACAAACTACTGCTACCATGCTGCCTAGGATTTTTTCCCAACAAAATCAATGTCACGGTTTTTGAAGTGCACACAATTCAGTGCCACAAAGATCCCGGCCACTCAGAAATGTAGCTGGTGCTATTTCCAAGCTAACTGGTGACTGGTTTTACACAATATGCTGAACTTAATTATTTGAAAACAATGTTCTGTATAATACTGTAATGGTGGCTACATGACATTATGCAGTTGTCAAAATCCAGAGCATATACAACACAATGAGTAAACCCTAATGTCAACTATGGATTTTAGTTTGTAATAATGTATTACAATTGGCTGACCCATAGTAAGAAATACAACCGCAGTAATCCAAAATGTTAATAATGGGAGAGGGAAGAAAAGGAGCAGGAAGTGTATAGGAACTCTCTGTACTTTCTGCTCATTTTTCTGTTAATCTAAAACTTCTCTGATAAGATAGTCTATTAATATTTTTTAAAGTCCAGATTAAGATAACAGCTCCAGTCTTCTTCAGAGACCCATGAAAGTTCCCTTCTCCCTGCACTTAGGCACACATACAGAGGCAGGAAAATACTGAGCACAGGGCAATGTCGGCTTCGATGAGACTGTCCCGCCTTGCTGGTCAGAAGAAACAGATTGACAGCCAGACACCTCGCTTGAATCATCAAAGAACGGCCCTGGGTTTTACTGATTCTGGAGGATGCAACACCAATAGTCAAGACTCTTCATATTTTCAGTGGCTTCAACAATGTGGCAGGAAAGCACACAGCTAATTAAGAGGTGAAAAGCTGCACAATGAAGAAACACTGAAGGGCAAACACCACTGAGTTAATCAGAGAATGTTCCTGACATGAAGCCATTTTCCAGTACTTCTATTTCTGTTCATGCCTAAGCTAACAAGAAAATTATTAAATGTAAAATTCACCCTTTTCCTTGGAATAAAGTTGTGGCCCCCTTGGCTTTACAGAAAAGGGGAGAAAATCACAAGTAATAGTGAAAGAATAAACAGACCACAGAAGGTAACTATTCTGAGTTTTCAAGGCAAATGTTTCCTTTTGAGAAATATTTCTTCCAAGAAAAAAAAATTATCAGAGAAAAATTTCTGATCAATTCCATAAATCGATTTCAAGAGAGGTTTACATATATGAAGCATAACAAAATTTAAATCTTGAAAGACATGAATAGCAGAATTTAAAATGTTTTTGGTGCAATGAACAGTAGACTCTATGAGGCAGAAAACAAAATGTATTACTTAAAATATTAACTCAAGAAATCTTCCCAGAACATAAAGACATACAAAAAAGTACTACTGAAAAGAAGCTAAGAGTATGATGAAGGATTGATTCATGAGATCTAAAACAGGTAATCTTCTGGAAAGAAGGGAACAAAGCAGAGAGAGAATAAGCAATAGATCATATAAGAACATTGCTTAGGAGGAAGAAAATTTCAGACTCACAGGGTCCACTGACAACTAAGCAAAACAAAATAAAACATGCACAAGTAGGTATATGTGTTAATTTCCTAGTTTCTAAGAAAAAGAAAATATTTTATAAGCAGTCAAGAAGACAGATACAAAGAAGAAGAAAAAAAACTGAAAGAAAACAATTACTCACACACACACACAAAATGAAACTTGTTTTGACACCAAAACTGCAGTAACACTAAATGGCCTTATATTTGAGTTTACTAGATAGCTTTCATAGATGAGATTCAGTCAGCAAATTTATTTTGTGCAAAAATTCCAAGCTCTTTGAAAAATGAAAAGTTCTAAAGCAAGCTTACATTCCCTGTGATGACACTGGCAAAGCAGGGGCTGAAAAATGAAAAGAGCCATCTAGAAATTATATTTATCCCTCTTCAAAATTTTGTCATTAGTCAATTACGTGGGGTTTTATTTTGTATTTCATTTATTTATCAACTTTTAGGTTCAGGGGTACTTGTGCAGGTTTGTTACGTAGGTAAACTGTGTGCTACAGGGGTTTGGTGTACAAATGATTTTGTCACCCAGATAATAAGCATAGCACCCAATAGGTAGTTTTGAAGTCTCCAAAGACAATGCAGGTGGGCTGGGCGCAATGGCTCACACTTGTAATCCCAGCATTTTGGGAGGCCAAGGAGGGCAGATCACCGGAGTTCAGGAGTTTGAGACCAGCCTGGCCAACATGGGAAAACTTCACCTCTACCAAAAACACAAAAATTAGCCAGGTGTGGTGGCACATGCCTGTAATTTCAGTACTTGGGAGGTTGAGGCAGGAGAATCGCTTGAAGCCCGGAGGCAGAGGTTGCAGTTAGCTGAGATCGCACCATTGCACTCCAGTCTGGGCGACAGAGCAAGACTCTAAAACAAACAAACAAACACAACAACAGCAACAACAACAAAAATAATGCAGCTGTCTATAGAAGAAATGGTATGGGGCACTTTACAAAATCCTGGATTTGGAGTCAAAAGACTACCAACAAGTCCAAACGTGCCTTCTCTGCCTACCAGTTACGTGACTTCTAGCAAATTACTTTTTGTCTGGGGACTTTGATTTCCTCCACTATGATGTGGGCATTATGATTGTGTCCAGTGGTCCATGTGATGCCACTAGCAATGCACTTCTATTAGGATGCATTAAGAGAACAAAACTGCTAACAGATCCAAGAAAGTGACAAGGGATTAGAAGGCTATTTTCTAATTAAACTTGGAGGGTATTCTCAGTCTGTTTAGGCTGCTGTAACACAGTATCATAGACTAGGTGGCTTACACACAACAGACATTTATTTCTCACAGCTCTGGAGGGTGGGAAGTCTAAGATTAGGGTTCCAGCAGATTCAGTGCCTGTTGAGGACCTGCTTGCTGGTTCACAGACAGACATCTTCTCATTGCTCTGGTTCACAGGTCACAACTTCTTGTGATATTCTTACAGCAAGCTAGTGGTGAGAGATCTCTCTGGGGCCTTTTTTTTATAAGGGCACAAATCCCATTTATGAAGGCTCTGCCTCATGACCTAAGCACCTCCCAAAGGAGCCACCTCCTGACCTATCATCTTGGAAGTTAAAATTTCAATGTGAATTTTGGTGGGACACAAACATTCTGACCCTAGCAGGGTTAATCATGGAATCCAGATATTGAAAGGATCCACAAGATACTCTACTAAGTGCTGATTTAAAAAGAAGCATTATACTGCCGTATGTATTCATTAACTTGATCAATAAATGTTAGTAAGATGCTTATTACACACATAAAATTAATCTTGTCTCTGCAGTTTACAAAAAAAAATATGGCATGACCACTACTTTACAAGTGCTTATAAATTCTAGTGGAAAAAAAAGAAGAAGAAATTTTAAAAATTCTAGTGGAAAGTAAGTCACACACATCTCAATAGATAATAGTTTAAAATTAAAATATTATTAATGGAACATGTAGATTTTAAAAAACTGAATAATATGCACTATGGGAACTTAGAAGAAGACATCTCCCAGCCTGAAGAAGGTAGGGATTTAGCTGGATTCTGGAGGGTGGATAAGTGAGGCAGAGACCGACTGAACATTTGCTCTAACTATTTTCTCCTCTTCCTATGCAAAAAGATGGCATTTCTCAGCCTTTCTTGCAGCTAGATGTTGTCGTGTGACTGAGCTGAGATAAATATTACGCAGGTAGAAGTGATGTGCCCCGATCCATGCCTGGTCATAAAAGATGCTACCCATTACTCCATGTCTTGGCTTTTTCTTCATTGGAAGCTCAGAATCAGGGGTCTGGTGAAGAATTATGTGGCCCCTGGGGATGAGAAAGCCACTAGATGGAATACCTCTGACTGCAAAATGACTGAATGGGAAAGATTGCCCCCTCCCAGCCCAGCCAGCTCAGTCCACCATAGACTGACATGAGAAATAGCTTATTTCATGAAGCCCCTGAGACATAGGGTTGTTTTTTGTGAAGATGCCTACCTTGAATAATATATTTTGTGAAGTAGGGCAAAAATAAAAACAGAGCAATAACAGAAGCCTAGAATGCTCAATACTTGTTTTCTCATAGTCTCAAAACTATGAGTAATCATAGTCTTGCATGTGAATATGCATAGAGTTTTGTAAAATGCAGGTTCCGATTTAGCGGGTTTGGGGTAAGACAGAGGTTCTGTACTACCAAGCTTCCAGGGGCAGGGGATGTAGATGCTTCTGGTCCACAGAGGCTCACATCTGTAATACCAGCACTGTGGGAGGTAGAGGCAGGAGAATCACTTGAGGCCAGGAGTTCAAGACCAGCCTGGGCAACATAGCAAGACCCCATCTCTAAAAAATAAAAATAAAAATAAAAATTAGCTGGGAGTTGTGGCACACACCTATAGTCCTAGCTACTTAGGAGCTATGATTGCACCACTGCGCTTTACCCTGGGTGACAGAGTGAGACCCTGTCTCTAAAATAATTAAATTAAATTAAATATTAAATGATAACACTCATGATCAGAAATAATTGCCACTTTTCTTTTTGTTTATACTAACAGAACATTTAAGGAGCTTCAATTCTGCAGCACTGTAACAAAATAATACGTATCTAAATATAGATACCTAAAGGAAAGCAAAACTTGTGAAATTAGTTCATCTTAAAGGAAATAAAGTTTAAGTAGGCTTTGGAGTGTTTTATATTATAAAGCTACTTTGACGAAAGACTGGGTGAGACCCACACACGACTATTAACATTCAGAGTAACAAGGAAATTAAGTTGCCTTTTACACTTAACTTTTTATTATTGCTTTTCCATTTCTACTTAATCATTACATCTTTTCCTAAATGAGTAGGAGAAAAAGGTAAAAATGAAAAGAGAGAGCAAGAAAATCTCCACCCAAGTCATTTCTAGGAACTGGGTACAGCAGTTTTAAATTTGCATTGTAATTACGTATAAAGAGAAATTTAATTCATTTTCTTCTCATAACTCATTTTTCAGATATAATTAAAATGACCCCAGGAAGTGGGTTAAAATAGCAGAGTCAATTTGTACAGAGTAGATTCTAGACTTTTCAGTCTTGAGTTCTTATGAGTTCTGATTCATGAAAATGAGAAAGAATGTTCTTGTCATTCTCATCTACATAAGCACAGATTAAGTATGGCTTTTTTCCCTGAAATTATCTGTTCAAAAAGGGGCTTTTGCCCCTCAAAGTACGTTATCATTTTGAAGGCAAAGAAAAGACTGAGACTTTAAAAATCTCTGCACATTTCCATATCCTACTTGGAATGCCTAAACTCTGCACATCTTTACTCCTGACTTTCTCAGGAATTATGAGCCTCCTTTGGAAATTTGTCCCAAAGAGTAATTTCCACCATATCAGTGAGTTTAATGGATCATTTTTCAGAGCTGGCATTGGTCAAGCAAAAGTTATGTGAACACTGAAATTCTGGAACATGGATGCAGAAGAGAGGAGGCACAAAGCAACAGAAGAGGGAATATCTGAGGCTATGGGACCCACAGCTCAATTTCATCTAGGTCTTCCCTCATGGGATCTATATCCTAAAGGTAGGAATGATGAGGAGGAAGTAGGGAGACATGGACTTGGTAAACCTGTCATTTCTCACAAGGTCACCATGGACAGCATAACCTTAAAACTGTACAATCAGCTTCAGGAATCCCTGAGAATGATGGCACCTCATTTCCAAGGTGGCAACACAGGCAGATAAGGTGGAGGTTCTCTATTGCTGTATCTCTGTATCCACATAGCTCATAAATGTCCTCATGACTGTGACCCAAAAGCACTCTCATGTTCTGCTATGGTACAGATGTTTTTCCCCTCTGAAACTCATGTTGAAGCTTAATCCCCAATGTGACAGCATTGAGAGGTGAGGTCTTTAAGAGATGATTGGGTTATGAAGGCTTTGTCCTTATGAATGGGTTATTATGGAAGTGGGACTGGTGATTTTGTAACAAGAGGAAAAGACCTGAGCTAGTGTGCTCATCTCTCTCTTCAACTCTCCAGGTGATGCCCTGAGCTACCTCAGACCGCTGGAGAGAGTCCTCACCAGCAAGAAGGCCCTTGCCAGATGTGGCCCCTCAACTTGGATTTCTCAGTCTCCACAACTGTAAGAAACAAATTCCTTTTCTTTATAAATTACCCAATTTTAGGTTTTCTGTTATAAGCAACAGAAAATAGACTAAGGTGTGTTCCCTTGTGATTTCCCAGATGTTCCTGCTATTAGCTGTGGCCACCAGGAGCACCTGGCATGCTTCTTCTCATTTTAGTCTTTCAAAGAAAAACTCTCCCCGGGGGGGAACTACCAAAGAGAAAAGTCAGTGACTATTCACTAGGTTCAGCCACAGTAATAGAGAGCTCTGTGCTCTCCGAAGTTTTGACATCCCAATGAGTCAAGCCAGGGACAACGCAGGTTACCTAAATTCCCTAGATTACACCCAAAGGTGAACTATGCTCAATTCTAATCACTGTTTGGTTACTAAAATAATCCTGTAATCCAAAGCACAGCATAACACAGAAGTTAGTAGTTATTAAACCATTCTATTACCCAATTACACCTTACCTGGAAGATTTTTTTGCTACCCACCACCTAAAATACTTTTAAATGGCTCCTCTGTTTTTAGAAAAATCAACATTCTTAGACAAAAATTACTTACCATGGCACATACGACTCTTCTTCCCATTCTCTGGTGTCCTGTACTGTGGCAATACTGAAATACTTTGATTTTCCTAAACTGGCTCTATTCCCTCATGTCTCCTACTATACCCCTTTTTAAAAATGTCTTTAACTTTTTGAGAATAGACCTATTTTCTCATTCATCAATCAATAAATATATTCTACAAACATATATTAAACATCTTAATACCCGATAAATTACTCATTACTGAATATTCAAAGTGCTGGGGATTCAAAGCCAAATAAGATCTTCTATTAGCAAATATGTGTTGTAGTACTATGTGCCAGGCACAGTCTCTGCACCAAAAGAACTTAAATCTGCCAATGCCCTCAGCCAAAGACCACCAGGAAGATAATCAAAAATTGGGTTTACCTACTTGTTACAACAAGAAAAAGCATATTTATGGGAAACCACGGTGTTCAGTTAAGTAGAGCTGGGGGAAACTTGTCATTGGATTTGGGCTTGTGTTTTAGGGGGAGAGTTCAAGGAAGTGGGGTTTTGCTCTGGGTTGTATGTTGTCAGAAAGTGGGGATAATCTTATATTTGATATTTTAATCATTCTTATCTATAAAACAGGAGGAACAAATCACAGCTGGAGCTGGTACTTGGTATCAATAAAAAAAAAAAAAGGCAGTCACTTGGCCAAGGCGGATGGATCATTTGAGGCCAGAAGTTCACGACCAGCCTGGCCAACATGGTGAAACCCCATATCTACTAAAAATATGAAAATTAGCTGGGCATGGTGGCATGTACCTGTAGTCCCAGCTACTTGGGAGGCTGAGGCAGGAGAATCGCTTGAATCCGGGAGGCAGAGGTTGCAGTGAGCCAAGATCATGCCACTGCACTCCAGTCTGGGCAACAGAGTGAGACCCTGTCCACCCCCCGCAAAAAAAGCAGTCACTCACACTATCCAAGTTACAGTGGTATTTGGTCATTTTATAGTTTGGATAATATTCTTATTTTTCTCTAGCCGTAGACATTCATGATTACAGAGTGGCCTTTTAAAAATCTGTCTATCACAGTTATAGGGGCATGTCTGATGTTGATGTTCCTCAGACCAACAAAATATACTGATTTTTTTCTATTGAATGAAATCAGGACCAAGCTGCCAAGTCAGCTGTTATCAACACCAGGACCCCACTGACAGTGCCAGGCTATTTCCTTGGCATTTGATGCCAGACTGGGAAAGATGCCTTTGCTAGAAGCTTTCATAGCACCTGAAATGTAAACTGTGATCTACACTTATATCCCCCTTCAGATATAAGTGGGATCAAAGGCATAACCACAGGTGCTTCGGGTGCTGCCAGCCCTCAGCTGTTGGCCCCATTCAAGGATTGCCTCAGCTAAGACAGCCTCACCCAAAGTCATGGCCATTTCCTGAGGAGACTGTCATCAAATGACTGGTGACTGTGGGTGTACAAAGGCCCTGCACACTTGCCCCAACTTAAAACAGCTCTGCAGGGTTATCTTGTCATTGGACCATGCCATCGGCTTACTTGAGGTTTTCAGTGAGAGTCTATCACAACTTGTCTTCCCTCTCTGCCTACTCCTACTCCCATCCCTTCCCTTGCACAGGCATTGATCCCCAAATCCCTCCCTAAACCTCTTGCACTCTAATTCCTATCTCAGAATTAGTCTTCTGGCAAACTGAGCCTGGAACAGTACCTCTTACACATCTCTATCACATCCTTGTAATTTTTTGGAACAATCATCTGTTACTAGATGTGAGCTCCCCAGCATCTAACACAGCATCGACTTCGTAGTAGTTCGCAATGTATTACGAGTAAACAAAATCCCAGGGAAAAGAAACTAGAAAGTGATGTATTCAACAGGATACCATATGAGGAAGGAAAATGAGGATGGGTAAACAGGAAACAGAAAGACTTAAAAAGATCAGCATGGTAGGCAGAATAAGCCCCACCACACACACACACACGCTGACACAAATAAATGTCTGTGTCCTAATCTTCACAATCTGTAAATATGTTAGGTTACATGGCAAAGAGGAATTAAGGTTGCAGATAGAATTAAGTTGACTAATCAGCTGAGTTTAAGGTAAGGAGATTATACTAGATTATCAGAGTTGGCTCAGTGTTATCACAAAGGCCCTTGAATGTAGGAGAGAGGCAGAAGGACAGAGGCAGAGAAAGAAATAATAATAGAAACAGGATCAGACACTTGCTTCATTGCTGGCTTTAAAGATGATGAAATGGCACCATGAGCCAAGAAATATGAGTGGCCTCTAGAAGCTATGAGAGACAAAGACATAGATTCTTCCCTAGAACCTTCAAAAAAGAATGTAGCCCTGCTGCTTGCAGAAGGGATTTTATCCCAGGAAGTCTCAGATTGGATTTCTGATCCATAGAACCATAAGGTAATAAATGTGTGTGGTTTAAACCACTGTCTGTGGTAAATTGTTATGGAAGAAATCAAAGGCTATTGGAAGTAGAATGAATAGCTACAAATATTTGCAGCAATGGATGCTTTAGAATTTTTACAGATGTGGGGTTAAGGGCCTGTGGTCTAATGAAGGAAATTTCTCTAGAACTAGAGTGTGCAAACTCACTGTTCTCACAGAGACTGTGATCATATGGGATACCTCGAAACCACTTTCGCACAGCATAAACACTTACATTTAAACCAAGAATGCACGTTTATTTGAGATATGGAGTGTTTTGATGGTAATCATGAGAAAACTACAGCCCTTCTCCAAGCTACACCTTAATGTCTCCCAATTATTTTACTGCTTTCCTAAGTGGAAGGAGAAATAGAATGACCATGTGTTACTCTAAGAGCTCACATGAGTGGTGCTTTGTAGTTCACAGAATATTCTCTCCACTATGTGACTCAGAAGGACAGAATTAGGATGAGAAGGTGAAAGTTATAAGGTTGCAGATTACAGATAGATAGATTGATGGATCTTTTGCTAATGAATCCCCTTTTGCTAGTGAATGCAATTTTTTATGCTCCTTACAACTTGCAAGATTTGTAGAGTGAATGAGAGAAAAGAGAAGTATTCTAGAGAATACAAAAGCTGAATGAGAGAGCTATATATATATATATATGCTATATAAAAGCTATATATTAGTTCCTACATATATATATGTATATACATATATATATGTATATACATATATATATACATATATATATGTATATACATATATATACACATATATATATGTATATACATATATATATACACATATATATATGTATATACATATATATATACATATATATATACACATATATATATGTATATACATATATATATACACATATATATATGTATATACATATATATATACACATATATATATGTATATACATATATATATATGTATGAACTAATAGTTAGCTTTTCCCCCAAATAAGGGAGCTATTTTTTGAAGGACTATGTTACACATTCAAGGACAGTTGATATCTAGTTGAGGGGGTTAAAGGAGGACGTAACGTCCTCTTCAATTTCTTCCTTCAAGAAATTGAAGAAAGTAATCAGCCATGTTGGTTCATGTCTGTAATCCCAGAACTTTGGAAGTCCAAGGCAGGAGGGCTGCTTGAACCCAAGCGTTTGGGATCAGCCTGGGCAACAAAGCAAGACCCTGACTCTATGAATAATAAGAACAATAATTTTAAAAATAAAAAAGGAAGTTGAAGAAAGTTCATCTCTGGTGGTTTCTTCCAATATTGATATGGAAAGATTAGAGTTTTTTTAATGCGTGAGACAAGCCTAAGATGCTTTGTGGAGCCCCACCTGTCATATACCATGAAGAAAGAGAAAACATTCAAGCATTTCTAAAAGGCAAACAGAATACTTTTATAAGATTTCAAGAATGGTGCCAGTTAGTTAAATAAAGTGAAACTCACTTGTGCCATTTTAATGTTTACCCAAAGTGGTATTTGTCTTTAAGTTTCACATCTAATGTAAACACCAGAAGTCAAATGGTAATAAAGATTTCTTTAACTGAAAGTGCCAGAAAACACTAACGTGCCACACAGTTGATTCACTGGAGACTAGCTTTTTCTCCTTTTAAATTAGGTGTCCCAGTTACTCTTCAGTCTTACTGAAAATTATAAAATGTCTAAAATGTAATTTACAGTGTCTGTAAATGTAAAAAAGCATCTGGTCAACCCTGAAAGAATTTAGGAGGCAACACAGTGCAGTGAAAATGCTGGAGCATTTGAATTTAGACAATCTGGCTTTGAATCTCAGCTTCTTAGTGGCTGCAACAATGGGGAGGTCACATCACTTTTCTTAATCTCAGTTTTATCATCTGGAGAATGGATTCAATATACGTCATGCCCTTCTTCCTTTATAGAGTCTTGAGCCTCAGAGGATATCATGCTGTGAAAGTGCACAAAATGAAAATGCATATTAAATGCAAATGCATATTAAATGGTTACTCCTGGTAACCACTCATTCGAGTTGCTATCCAGTTTGTAAAATATTCTGGTGTAATGCTCCTCAAGACAGGGAGGCGAGAGCTTCTATTCCATGCTAACACCATTACGAGTGCATCACCAGTGCTCCAACAGTTCACAAAATGTTATCATACTGCTTCATTCAGCTCTGGGGAGAGAAAAAGATTGTGCTACTTGTTTCATTAACTGAAATCTTGCCCATCAGATATTAAATATCATAAATAAAAATACATGCACAGAAATGTGAAGAAACATTTCTTTACAATTGCTAATGAATCTTGTATGTTCCTTACGACTTACAAGATTTATAGAGTGAATGAGAGAAAACAGAAGTATTCTAGAGAATATAAAAGCTGAATGAAGGCCAGAAACAGCCAGCCATCAGGTGCTGCTATAGTTTGGATATTTGACCCTCCAAAGCTCATGTTGAAATTTGAGCCTCAACGTTGGAGGTGGGACCCAGTGGAAGGTGTTTGGGTCATGGGGGCAGATCTCTAATGACTGTCTTGGTGCTGTCCTCATGATAATGAATGAATTCTCACTCTGTTAGTACCTTCAAGAACTAACAGAGGAGCCTGGAACTAAGAGGAGCCTGGAACTAAGAGGAGCCTGGAACCATCCTCCCCTCTCACTTACCGTCTTTCTTGCTATGTGATCTCTGTCAATACCAGTTCCCCATCCCCTTTTACCATAAGTGGAAGCAACTGGAAGCCCTCACCAGAAGCAGATGCTGGTTCCATGCTTCTTTGTACAGCGAGCAGAATCATGAGCCAAACAAACCTCTTTTATTTATAAATTTCCTAGCCTCTGGCATTTCTTTATAGCACTGAAAATGGACTAAGACAGGTGGTCACCCATGAATGGTGAAAGAATGATCTCTCCTGCATTCACAATAAAGTGGAAAATAAAAATATCTTTAACTTTTTATCATATAATAAAGATAGATATAGTCATCTTGAAAAACAAATGTTTAAACCTTAGAGATAAGGCTAAATCTTTTGAAACCCATCCTCCATCTTGACCTTCCTCCCAACCCTTCTACAGGCACCACTCTTAAGCTCAGTGTCCATGATTGTAGACCCCTTTTTCAGCACTTGAATAGCTACGTCACATACACCTACTCAGACATCATATTGGTGTTGTTTTAAGGGTTTTTTTCTTAACATAAATGGCACCATACTAACCACATCATTCTGAAACATGAGAATGTAGACTCTAAGTTCAACCTGCCAGACTGAAATATCTCAACTTAATTTAATAGATGTTTGACTTGAGGAAATTGCTTAGTTTCTCTCATTCTCAGTGTCCTCATCTGTATCAATATTATAACCTACCTCATGAGATTGTAATAAGGATTACATGAGCCTATTTAGATAAAGGAGTTAGATTAGTGCCTAGCAGATCACATAAATTACACTTGCGTGGAAAAACCATGATGACAAGACCCAAACATAATATCAAAAAAATAAAACCACTTAAATGAAAAAGAAAGTCAATGTGAAATCACGCAGACACTCCATGTGAAGGATGACAGAAGTGTGAATTCCCCGAGGAAGAAGCCATATTGACTTAACTGATCTGGAACAGGAAATAAACAAAGTACCAATGGGTAGTAAATTAGCAGAATGTTAAACATGGTGTCAGAGGGGAAGAAGAAAACACACTGCAAACCATAGGGTAGGGTTTGGATTTTATTCTAAGGGCAAGAGCTTCTTACTAAAGTGCTTTAAGCGAGGGAATTACCAGACATCATAAGTTAGCAGCTGGGACAGACTCCTGTCATGAAAGATAGATTAACAAGAATAAAACAAGTTAGTTTATTAATGTGTGCAGTGTGCATCTCAATGAAAGGTAACTCAAAGCAGTGGCTTAGAACTCTGGCTTATATATGATCTCTAATAACAAACAATAAATTTTAGAGAAGTAGTAAGACAAAGGAAAGGAGTTCTAGGCTTCCAGAGGCAGGAAACTGTGGAAAGGTAAATATATGGGAGAAAATTAATGGAGTCAGGCTTGTTTGCAGATTCCTCTGGTGTCATATGTGAACTGATAAGAATTGTCTCCAGTAATTGACTTCTGTCCTTCCTGGTAGAGAGGGGAGAGGAATACCTTTCAAATTTATGCACTACATTTAGGAAAATAGGGAGAAAGAAGAGAGCTTTTCTGCATCTGTTTCTTCTTAATTGTTTTTAGCTCAACAACCCTTTATGTTTTAGGAAGGCATAGCGGAATTGAGGTAAGTGGAAGCTGAGAAACCAGTTAGGAAGCCTTTACAGCAGTCCAGATGAGAGGCTGCTATTTGACTTCAAGATAGAATTAAAATTGGAGAAAGGTGGTCATATTTTAGAGCTAAAAGCAACTTGCTCATAAATTAGATATCACCAGTGAGAGGAATAGGCTATTTTGGTGAAGACACTGGGGTAATGGAGACGTTAGTTACCAAATGAGGAAGAGGAAATTAGAAGTAGGCTAGAGAAAAACAAAACAAAAAACAGGATGGTCCAGGACTGAGCCCCATGGCACTACAACCTTAATAGATTGAACAGAAGAGACAGAGCCAAAGGTTAGGGTGAATAGCAGGTGAGTGTCCTGCCATGGATGTTTTGGATATAAAGTGCTTCATAACAGGAGTGTTCAACTATGTTAAAAGTTCCAGTGAGTACTAATAAGAAGAGCACAGATAAATCACCACAGATTTGGCAACCTGGATGTAATTGATGGCAGAAGAGTAGACATGACAGAAGTCTTACTGGAGTTTGGGGAAGAAAAGGGGAAATGAGAAGAAAGGGGAGACAACAGTTGAATCACCTTGAAGACATTACTCTGTGAAAGAGGTAGAGAAATAAGTTCATCCCTGGAGAAGAATATGAAGTCAATATATATTTTCTTAATATGGAGGACTTGAGAGTGTGTGTATATGGTGATGCACAGGAAATAGGAGTAGACAATAGGAAAAGAGAAAAAGCAAAGCCGTTGAGGAGATGATAGAAGACAGGATCCTGAACACAGATAACAGATTGGTCTTAGAAGCAGTGTCAAACTCCCTGTAACAGGAGAATGCATTTAAGTATCTGTGGAGGTAAGGTTGATAAATTGGGTGGTGGGAATATGACAACAGTTGTCTTAGTCCGTTTTCTGCTGCTGTAACACAATGCCAAAGAATGAGATATTTATAAGGAACAGAAGTGCATTTGTCTTACAGTTCCAGAGGCTGGGAATTCTAAGAGCATGGCATTGACCTCTGGTGAGGGCCTTGTTGCTGCACAGTTCCATAGCAGGAGGGCAAGTAAGCATGTGAAACAGAGAGAGCAATGGGGCCAAACTTTTTTGTTAATCAGGAGCCCATTTTCAGGGTAGCTAACTCACTGTAACAATAAGGGCACTAATCCCTTCATGAGAGAAGATCCCTCATAGCCTAATCACCTCTTAAAGGTACCACCTCTTAATGCTGTTGTAACAGCAATTAAGTTTTTAACACTTAAATTTCTGGGGACACTTAAAGCCATAGCAGTAGTCTTGCCTCATCATCTTTATTTTCAAGTGTTTACAACTTGACCAGCCAACTATGTATAAGCTTCACAAGAGGAGGTAGTTCTAATTTGCACACTTCTCCTTTACCCTACTTATCTTCAACCAGAACCTAACACAGCCTTCATAAGGGCTAATGTTAGCCTATTTACAGCTGAAAACTCCAACATGCTTCCTTAAAGACCTGAGACCTGCCTCCTGTTCCATATCCCCAGGGGAGTCATTTTAGGGTCGTATGTTCTCTAATTTTCCAACCTTTACGTGCATTATGACCTCTACCTAGAATGTTCTTCATCACCCCGGATAGGTCCTTCCCTGAGCACAGCTTCCACTGCAGAAAAGCTTTCCTAAGGCTCCCAGTCTGGTACTAAGGGCATGCTTATTGACCATGGAGTTGCATATGTTTCCAAAGTAGTCTTCACCATGCATTCCTCTGGAGGATTCTCTTCACAAAGGCATCAAGTAAATAATGCCGCATTGTCACTGCCTGATGGTATACTTTATTCTCCCAAAAACAGAAGCAGTGTGAGAGACGAACCTCTGTATTGCTCATTATTAAACCCCAAGACCAAAAGCAAGCATAAAGCAAATGCTTCTTCAATGTTGAATAAATGACTAGCATTAAGAGAAAAAAAGAATGACATATAATTATTGGCATGGCTTGGATGTGTATCCCATGCAAATCTCATGTTGAAATGTTATTTCCAATGTTGGAGGTGGGGCCTGGTGGGAAGTGTTTGGGCCAGGGCAATAGATCCCTCATGAATGGCTTGATGCCCTTCCTGTAGCAATGAGTTCACAGGAGAAGTGGTTGTTTAAAAAAGACTATCTCCTCCTCCTTTCTCTCTGGCTTCCTCTCTCTCTCCATGTGATATGTTGGCTCCCCTTCACCTCCTGCCATGAGTAAGAGCTTCCTGAGGCCTCACCAGGAGCAGATACCAGTGCCATGCTTCCTGTACAGCCTACAGAACCATGAGCCAAAATAAACCTCTCTTCTTCATAAATTACCCAGCCTCAGGTATTCCTTTACAGTGACATAAAAGGAATGTAGAACTCTAGTCACATACAAAATTGATAATGTAATCTTAATTAGGTATTTAGGCTTGGGAAAATGAACTAAAGTAAGGACACTCAGTAAAACATTGTAAATGGTTAGCTATAATGAAGGAAAATATAGAAAGCACACATAATTTTTTTTTTCTTTTAAAAAGTTTTCTTCCATTTCCAATTTTTCTGCAGTAAACAGTTTTCATTTTTATAAAAAAAAAATATAATTTGAAACACAAAATCTCCATTGTACTAGTCCTTTCTCACACTGCTGTAAAGAACTACCTGAGCCTGCGTAATTTATAAAGAAAAGAGGTTTAATTGACTCACAGTTCCACAGCCTGCACAGGAGGCATGGCCGTGGAGGTCTCAGGAAACTTACAATCATGGAGGAAGGTGAAGGGGAAGCAGGCACATCTTACATGGCCAGAGAAGGAGGAAAAGAGAGCAGGAAGAGGTGCTACACACTTTTAAACAACCAGATCTCATGAGAACTCACTCATTATCACAAGAACAGCAAGGAGGAAATCTGCCCCCATGATCCAATCACCTCCCACCAGGCCCCTCCTCCAACACTGGGGATTACAATTTGACATGAGATTTGGATGGGGACACAAATCAACCCATATCACCCACTTTGCTCACCTTGGACACCTTCTGTAAGCCCATTTAATGCCTCTCTACCCCTACGTGCTTCTCTCCCTTATATTTCATTCTGCATTTATTGCTGCATTTCACCCCTGAGGTGCTAGTATAGAACTTCTCCAGGTCTTTATTCTGACTTTTCTGGCCTTGCTGTCTTTATTGGCCTAGGTCAACGTGCCTGCTGGTGTGCCCAGTCTCCAGAACCTGCTGTGGAGCAAGCAGCCCCCTACGGGCACTCCAACCCCAAAAAGGCCTTCTCTCTCTCAGGTTCCAGCAGCCCAAATAGTGAAGAGGCCCTGTCTCAGGGTTTGGTAAAGCACTGGAGAGCACATTTATATGTACAAAGTGAGTTTGCTTTCCCACACATCTTCTCAGCATTTACCTAAAGATGAACAACGGGGATTCTCTTTTACCTACTATATTAAATTGCAAAATTCTATCTGGTAAACTCTCTGTAGAGAGCACATTCAATTTAGTTACAAAGCAGAGGTTATAATATGTAGCAGAACTAACTGAAGAGCAAAAGTCCCAATGCCAGGGAAGAAAACAGGAAATTTCATATATCATCTATCCTAGGAGATTTTCCCACAGTGTAGAGTTACCTTGCAGTCAATAGACAGTAAAAAGAATAAATTATTTTTTAAAAAAACTTGAGAAACTTATTTGTATCTCCTGTGCCACTAAGGTGAGTTAAAAATGCTATTTCAAGCTTTCTAAAATTTGTTTTAATGGAGTATATGGTTACTAACATACATTTTTATTTTGCATTTTCACATGAGTACTGATGGTCTAGTTTTATTTCTATTTTAAAGACATGGTCTTGCCTTTGTATTTGTGTTTTAAATTACAACCTAAAGAAAAAAATGAAATATTTAGCAGCATTAAAAGAAACCACTTTCTTCAACACATACAAACTCAGAAAGTATTGTTCTTGTTTTTAACCTCAAAGACATATTTTGGCAGAGAGACCCCATCACCAAATAGACATATCGATGGCCTTCCCTGGTCCAAGAACATGTGTGAGGAAGATTTTTGCTTTCTCCCCAATAATTTCTATATTAGAATGAATTTTAGCCAACTGATTTCCATTCCTCAGACCATCTCCCAACTCAAATAATCCTTCCAGGAGCAGATTTTTAGAAGTGAAAATGCCCAAAGGAAATCCCCCCCCAAAAAAAATGAGATAGCCAAGAGAATACTTGATGCAGAGCAATAAATCCCTACACTCTAAACTGCAAACAGAATGCCTTCAAAAAAGCCATCAGCAGCTGGAGCCTTCATATTTAGAATAATGTTTATAAATGATTTTATCTAATTCTAATTATCATGCATTCACAGCAATCTGTTAGCTTTTAGCCAGGTTAGACATCCTCACAAGCTGGAGAGGACCCTCAAATCACCAGAGAACCCAAAATAAAGGGCAAGTTAGAAAAATCCCTGCCATGCATTCCTCCCCTGCTGATCTCCAACATATTGTGGGGAGAAGCAGCTGCCTGGAGCAGAAGCTGCTGTCAGAGGGGGCTCCTCCTGCAGTGCCCATAGCAGCCACACTCAGGAGCTTCACTGAGCACTGTTCAGGGACCGTTTCAACCACAAGGCTCTTGCATCAGCTCTGCCTTCACTGAGACTCTGCCCCATTCTGTCATCAGTTCCCTGCTGACCACTCCCAAGAGGGCATGTGACTGCTGGAGAAAGACTTTTCAGAATCAAAAAAGGCAGATGGGCAATCCAAAGAACATTTCTCATTTAAGAACAAAGCAACAACAAACTTTATTGTTCTACTACCAACCAAAGACCTGCATATTATTGTCAAAGTTTCATCCTGCCTTTGTGATTCTCCATTTTCCTTCAGCTCTATAGTCTTTGAAGTCCACTTCGAAAAAAGCCTAACACAAGTATTGTCTGGATGCTCCATGAGAGTTTGAATCTGCCTACATTTCCCCATTCTCAATCGAACAAAATCCCTTCTAACACTGATAAAATGGGGCCATTCTTGGCATGGTGTGATACTCAAGGAAGACACAAGTCAAACAAATAAAGAGCATTAAGAAACAATTTAAGCATTGACTGAAGTCTTGAAGAGTGGAAAGCATAGTTTACATTTTCATGACACACATAGCAAAATTTCCTAAATATCCTCTCTGCTCATCTATTTCCCCCAAATCTTCCCAGCAGCTGCTCAACAATCTCTACCCCAGAAACTTACTTTTCCAGATTTGGTTTGTCTGCCTTTTTAAATGTGGATAAATCTAGTCTTTCTCAGCTACTCCCAATTCTGCAGCTTTAGACATCTACTCTGATCATCCAAAAAGAACCATGGCCAGACAATTGGCTGGACACCAAGTAACTCATTTCCCCCACAACCCCACCCCATCTCTGTTAAAAAGCAGAGGGATGGGAGGTTTGAATATTTATGCATCACTAGTGTTGTCCTTGTTACAAGCAGATGAGAAACCCAACTAATTTGAACCAGTCCTGATTTCTTTCAATGTCTTCCCTCCCTCCTTGTCTCCTTCCCTCTCCCTTCCTTCCTTCTTTTATTTTTTTTTCTTTCCCTCCCCAAACTCATAAATCATCAAATATTACTGCTGGAATATTCCTTACAAATCTTCTGGTGCAACTCCTCCTGAGACCCAAGGCAGCATTGTGTCCAAGGTCTCCAGCCATTCATCTCCGGCTAAGCAGTGACTGGAGACCTGGCTTGTGTCTCCAGATCCTGTGCTTGTTCCATTCTCATTCCATTACACCTTATTACCCTAAAGAAAAAAAAATGGCAACAAAACAGGTTTGTGTCAAGAATTATTTGTAATCTGTGTTCTCAGGGATAACCTGGGATTTGTACACATTCTGCTGTTTACGTATACCTTCTACAACTATATTACTACATAATGAAAATGAAGTTCAGAATGACAGTCCTCAGGTACTATAAATTTTCCAGGACAAAAAGAAAGGATTCATTTGTGCTTCCTATAATGCCCTTGTTTTTAAAAAGGGTCTCAACATTAATTGAAAGAAACAGTTTCCCGCATAAATTTCTGTAAACTAGAAAAGGCAATTAATCACATATCCTTTCCATGAGTATCTTGATTCCTTGAGGGCTTATGAGGTAATGATGCTATAATCACTTTATAGAGGACACCTCACTTGAATTGGTTTCCAAGTATTCAATATCTTGCAATATTAGGACCTCCAATAAAAGGAGACTGAAACTAACCACAGTCCTACCTCCCTCCACCTCTCTCTACACACTCAAGGAAGTGTCCACAAGGGCAGAAATAACATATCCTTTATCCAAGAAACCTTAATTATCCACCACCTCCAGTGTCCAGTTCAGCCCACTTCAGAATCTATCTAGTAATGGAGTAAGTGGCCATTTTGAAATCAAAGCATGATCTTCAGACATTGAATTCTGAAAAAAAAATTCAAGAGAATTAAGGTTTCTTGGATAAGAATATGTGAATTATTTTTGGAAAAAGAAAACAAGGAATGGAGCAAAGAATCTGAAAGGGCAGAAAGGGGAAAAGAAATATCTGTGAATTGGTAAAAATTGATTATTGATTGTTAAGTGCAATTGTTACTTCAGGGCAACATTCAGAGTTTCCTGGCATGTGACAGGCATTTTGTCCCCCATTTCTGAGTGACACGGTGCCATCAAGCCCACTGTGGCTGGAATCTCAGGCCATATTGGCAGCAGACAGCAGGGCACTCAGTCCTGAAAATATAAAAGCTCAAGGCTTGAAGACTATTCAGTTAGTTCCAGTGAAAATCTTCTCTCCATTTCAGTCTACAACAAGGAAGGGCTGGGTCATGCTCACCCACTCAGAACATGGGAAGTGCCACTCTCCCTCTTTATGAGCTGGAATTTCTTCATCTCTAAAGCAGAAATATAATGATAATACCTACCATATAGGCTTGCTGTGAGGATTAAATATTAAATGTGGCCACTAGTAAGTGCTGTAAAAGTGTTAGCAATTATTTGTTATTATCTGCCCTCAATTATCAATATAGCTGTTCTGTGCTGCCCCAAACAGAGCTTTCATCCCTAAGCTTGTGAAGTGCCTAAAGAAAGTTTGAGACAAATAAAGTCTTAGTCTCTCTCTCTCTCTCCCTTCTTCCCTTTTCTTCTTTTATTTCTCTTCTTCTTAATAGATTTAGGTGAAATGACTTCCCATTTCTTCAATGCTTCAATTCATTTAAAATGTCATCCACACATAGGAACTGTCCTGTCTACCCTTTCAGTGTCAACATCCTGGGCAAGATCTAATGCTTAGAAGGAACCAGGGCACCACTGTCCTTACAGGTCATGTTGAAATCCAATGCAATGAAGGTCAAAGCAAGAAAGCCAAGGTTTGAGAACGTGGCTTATGTGGTCAGTGAGATGCCACCAAATCAAGAGTACAGGCATATTCCAAGTTCCTAAGATCAATTGCCTGAGATCCACAAAAGGCTGAGGAAGGCAGGATCCAATCAGGCATGAAAGTTGTCAAAGTGAAAATAGAGTCGCTAATGTAAAAAGCACAAAAAAGCCCTGACAAACACAGCCAGGGAAGACCCTGAAGAGAGGGCCCTCATGAAGAAAGGGTTTTGTTGTTATACATTATAACAACAGAAGACCCTACCCTATGAAAAGTATAACCTTATGCAAAGGTCATTGCAGCCGTACACAACAATACTCCTATGAGAACATCTGCCCAGCAACTGCCTGTGCAGTCTCAGACT
This sequence comes from Homo sapiens, assembly GCF_000001405.40. NCBI lineage: Eukaryota > Metazoa > Chordata > Mammalia > Primates > Hominidae > Homo > Homo sapiens. The sequence continues at coordinate 87,603,583 of NC_000014.9, forward strand.
AGAGTGACCTTTATTATTGCTCTCTGTAGCCAAGATCATTATTTCAAAACAGTTATATAATCCTCCTTATTTTTCCATCCAAACACTTATCTTTTACCTCCCGGAAAACACATAGTTTACTGACATGTAAGCTATGTCATTACATAGTTTACATATAACTATGTAACCATTACAGCACTCTATTGTCAAATAAGCATGTTTTCTTTTACAGAACCTCTCTCTGTTTGTTATTTAGGATGACACAGACCAGACAAAGTTTAATATGCCAAACTACCAGGAAGGACTGAAAGAGCTCCCTCCAATTGTCCTAGGATAATGCTGCAGCCTATAGTTCATGAGTATGTGCCATCAACGGAAAGTACCAACTCCTCCTAAGGCAGCTCCCATGGCTGGCTCTCAGCCACTAAAGTTTGGATTTATAATGTCATGTTAAATTCTAAGAAATTATGAGGTATCTTCAACTTTTTCATGAGGGGGATTGAAATCTGGTCACTCTGTATAAAAACAAACAAACACAAAACAACAGTAGATACTGCTCAGGTGTTCATGGTCCCGGCCCCCTGAGATCTGAGGCAGTCAGGCCCACAGCTAAAGGAGAATATTAGAAGTTGTTTAAGAGGGACATGTGCTGGTCAAGAGGATTTGCCTTGGAGTCAGACAGTCCAGGGTTGGAGTCATGGCTTCTCCATTTACTGACAATGTAGCCTCTGATAAATTTATTATATAAAATGGAACAATAAGGTAAATATCACATTAATACTGTTGAGTATGTGAAATAAAATATTTTATGTGAAAGTGCTTAGTAGCATGCCTGGCTGAGTCAGTGGTCCACACACAAATACTGTTACTGCCACTTGAAACCAGGCACCATTTGGAAGCAGAGAGAAGCCCTCACCAGATAATTTAACTTGCTGGCACATTAATCTTGGACTTCCCAGTCTCAGAACTGTGAAAAACAAATTTTCTTCTTTATAAATACTGAGTCTCAGGTATTCTGTTACAGCAGCACAAAACAAAGTCCCTGGACTGAAATAAATTTGGGATGCAAATTTATTTTAAGAAAGGCACTGAGTTGGGCACATGGATTATATGAAAAGGGTTAAGAGAGCTTTCAACCTATAGTATATCATTATCTAGCTGGATTATCTCTTACTATCTTCTCTTCTCTTTGATTTTTCTCGCTCCTTTCTCTTCTCTATCTCTTTTTCTCTCTCTCTCTGTCTCTAAACACACACAAATACTACATATGCACATGCATGTATACACACACACACACACATATGCATGTATGTTGAAAAACAGAAGGTAAATAACATTTCAAACTGACAGAGAGGCAGACAGAAAAAAACCCTGGATAAAAAAGACAGTCTCATAAGTGGAGGTTTGTAAATTTTCCTCCAAAAAGCAGAATAAATAATTCATTAAAAAGGGTAAGAAAATAGTAAGATTTTTCTGGCCATGTATGGCCAGTCTCTACTCCCAGCTTTTCCTCATGTCAGCAACAGGGAGTCAAATAAGAGAACTGGGGAGAAACTTATCAAATATTGCTCCCCACCTCTGTGCTTGTTCCCCAAGGAAATCTTAGAATGCTACCCATGTGTATTAGTCCATCTTCATGCTTCTGATAAAGACATATCCAAGACTGGGCAATTTATAAGAGAAAGAAGTTTAATGGACTTACAGTTCCACGTGGCTGGAGAAGCCTTACAATCATGGCAGAAGGCAAGGAGGAGCAAGTCACATCTTATATGGATGGCAGCAGGCAAAGAAAGAGGTTGTTCAGTGAAACTCCACATTATAAAGCCATCAGATCTTGTGAGACTTATTCACTATCACAAGAACAGCATCGGAAAGACCTGCCCCCATGATTCAGTCACTTCCAGCCAGGTCCCTTCCACAATACATGGGAATTCAAGATGAGATTTGAGTAGGGACACAGCAAAACCATATCATTACACTTCTGGCCCCTTCCAAATCTCATGTCTTCACATTTCAAAACCAATCACGCCTTCCCAACAGCCTTCCAAAGTCTTAACTCATTTTAGCATTAACTCAAAAGTCCACAGTCCAAAGCCTCACTTGTGACAAGGCATGTCCCTTCTGCCTATGAGCCTGTAAAATCAAAAGCAAGTTAGTTACTTCCTAGATACAATGGGGGTACAGACATTGGGTAAATACAGCCATTCCAAATTAGAGACATTGGCCAAAAGAAAGGTGCTACAGGCTGGCCCCATGCAACTCCAAAATCCAGTGGGGACGGCAAATCTTAAAGCTCCAAAATTATCTCCTTTAACTCCATGTCTCACATACAGGTCACACTGATGCAAGAAGTGGATTCCATGGTCTTGAGTAGCTCCATCCTTATGACTCTGCAGGGTACTGCTTCCTCCCAGCTGATTTTATGGGCTGGTGTTGAGTGTCTGTGGCTTTTCCAGGTGCACAGTGCAGGCTGTCAGTGTATCTATCATTCTGGGGTCTGGAAGTTGGTGGCTGTCTTCTCACAGCTCCACTAGGCAGTGCCCCAGTAGGGACTCTGTGTGGGGGCTCTGACCCCACATTTCTCTTAGGTACTGCCCTAGCAGAGGTTCTCTATGAGGGCCCCACCCCTGCAGCAAACTTCTGCCTGGACATCTAGGCTTTTCCATACATCCTGTGAAATCTAGGTGGAGGTGCCCAAACCCCAATTCTTGACTTCTGCTTACTGGCAGGCTCAACACCACATGGAACCTGCCAAGGCTTGAGGCTTGTACCCTCTAAAGCAACAGACTGAGCTGTACCCTGGACCCTTTTAGTCACGGCTGGAGCAGGTGACATGCAGGGCACCAAATTCCTAGACTGCACACAACAAAGGGACTCTGGGCTCAGCCCACAAAACCATTTTTTCCTCCTAAATCTCCATGTTTGTGTTAGAAGGGGCTGCCGCAAATGTCTCTGACATACCCTGGAGACATTTTCCCTATTGTCTGGGTGATTAACATTCAGCTCCTCATGACTTACGCAAATTTCTGCAGCCGGCCTGAATTTCTCCTCAGAAAATGGAATTTTATTTTCTATCACATTGTCAGGCTGCAAATTTTCCAAACTTTTATGCTGTTTCCCATTTAAAACTGAATGCCTTTAACAGCACCCAAGTCACCTCTTCAATGCTTTGCTGCTTAGAAATTTCTTCCGCCAGATACTCTAAATCATCTCTCTCAAGTTCAAAGTTCCACAAATCTCTACAGCAGGGGCAAAATGTTGCCAGTTTCTTTGCTAAAACATAACAAGAGTCACTTTTGCTCCAGTTCCCAAAAAGTTCCTCATCTCCATGAGACCACCTCAGCCTGGACCTTATTGTCCATATCACTATCAGCATTTTGGTCAAAGCCATTCAACAAGTCTCTAGGGAGTTCCAAATTTTCCCACACTTTCCTGTCTTCTTTTGAGCAATCCAAACTGTTCCAACCTCTACCTGTTGCCCAGTTCCAAAGTTGCTTCCACATTTTCAGGTATCTTTTCATCAGTGTCCCACTCTACTGGTACCAATTTACTGTATTAGTCCCTTTTCTCACTGCTGATAAAGATACTTGAGACTAGGCAATTTACAAAAGAAAGAAGTTTAATAGACTTACAGTTCCATATAGCTGGGGAAGCCTCACAATCATGGTGGAAGGCAAGGAGGAGCAAGTCACGTCTTACATGGATGGCAGCAGGCAAAGAGAAAGGTTGTGCAGCGAAACTCTGCCTTATAAAGCCATCAGGTCTCATGAGACTTATTCACTATCATGAGAACAGCACGGGAAAGACCTGTTCCCATGATTCAGTTATCTCCCACCAGGTCCCTCCCACAACACATGGGAATTCAAGATGAGATTTGAGTGGGGCCACAGCCAAACCCTATCACCATGAAAACAAAGAAGGGAACCAGATGAATCTTTGTGCAGACTGAAGGATCAAAACGAAGACTTGGATAGAATTGTCAACACTCAAGAGATTGATAATAGTTTTTAAATGGGAGAGAGGAGACATATGCAAAAGTAGTCTGCAATGACAACACCAAATAGAAAGAAAGAAAAACAGCCTATAAATAAAGAAGACAATTGTGTTAAAAATTATCTCAGGAAAGAAAAGTAATATTTCAACAATGTTTCATATTCTCAAGGAAATTGCAGATAACATGTATATCCCATATTTCATATTAAAGAGGAAATAACAAAACAGTTTTCATTATAAAGGGAAATGGAATTAAAACAATTGCAGCAGCAAAATGCTGAATAAGCACTGCAGAAAAAAAATGATACTGGATTTGTAAAACATTATCTATAATAAAAAATTGGAAAAATGTCAGGTGTTGAAACTTAGTGGCCAATGTGATAGGATTGACAGGCAAGGCCTTTATGAAATGAGTAGACCATGAAGGGTCCTCCTTTAAGAATGGGATTAGGCCCTTATTAAAAAGGCTTCATGCAGCTTTTGGCCCTGTCATTCCATGGGAGGACACAACGTTCCTCCACTCCAGGGGATGCAGCAACCAGGCACCATCTTGGAAGCAGAGTGCAGCCCTCACAAGACAACTGAATTTGCTGGCACCTTGATCTTGGACTTGCCAGCCTCAGAACTGTGAGAGATACATTCTGTTCATTATAAATACCTAGTCTTAGGTATTCTGTTACAGCAGCACAAATTTAACTAAGTTCCTGAATTGAAATACATTTGGGATGCAGATTTAAAAGAATCAACATTCACCACTTAACATCTATAAACATTGAGGATTGTATGTTTATTCTTGAATAAGTTATTGAATTTGAAAACCAGCCCCAGAGTTCTTCAAACAAATGTAGATGCCAAAAAACAATGGAGAAAGTCTACTAAATTCTTTTTTTTAATAGAGAAAAGAGGTTTTATTGGCTTATGCTTCCACAGGCTGTACAGGAAGCATGATTATTGTGCTGGCATGTATAATCCAAGAATTTTCCCCAACTTAGTTTTCACTCTTTATGACAAAAACACAGAGAAATTCTCAAATATGCAGGGATTCAGGAAGCATATTAATATCTACTATTCTTTAAAATATCACAAGGACATAACCCTGCTAATCAAGGTAAAAATCAAAATAAATCACAAAAGGCGAATCTTTCTATGAAGGAATTAGGAAGACCTTAGAACTATCTCAGTAGATAATTTAGTCTAGGTGGCTATTTTGGCTATGTTTATAAAACTGAATGTGAATATTTTAATTCTTGAACAAAAAAAATTTTATTACAGTCTTACAGTATTATGTTATAGTTTATTATAGTATTTCATTTTATTATAGTATTATAGTTTATAATAGTTTCATTATACTTCATGTAACTATTTATTATTTTAATTATAATGAAGTGTAATGAAATCTCTTGAGTCTACCAATACAAGACAGAAAGTAGAAAGGGGTTGTAGGTATTCTGTGAGTCACAGAAAGTGAACTAGTTTCCTCATCTCTCATGGGAGTAATCAATACTCACCAAATCAGTTTTAATTTCAAAAACTGATAAATATTATGCATTTTAGCTAAATACTCAAATCAATTACAAGAAGAACAAAAAATTTGACTATGTATTCCAAATTACTGGAGGGAAATAAACTACTAAAAAATAAAATCAAGTTCAATGTTAAAAATAATACAATCATTAAGGAAGAAAATGTGTGGTGTTGTCTTGGGATTTTCCTGGTTAAAGATGATTGGGGTTCAAGGAGGGGAGAGTGGAAAGCAACATCTCCACTACCTTGAAAGTCAGAAAACTATGTTTTAAGTAACAAATAAAGCAATAATAATATAAGCATAATATTAATGATATAGAAGTAAATACTAAAAACATGAAAAGGAGTATAAGGAGTTGGTTGCATGTGATAAGTAACAATGCAGGTAGGGTGCAGAGAGACCAGGAAACCGATTTTTATTGTTGTTTTTTCCTTTTTTAAAATAAGCTTTTTAGCACAATTTGTTTTTGTGAATATATTACTTGGATTTTTTCTTCCTTAAAGGGGAAAAATGAAAATATGCAGATAAATTCAAACTTGTAAAAGAAAGTATTGTAGTGGTCACATCTAACAAAATTGAATTAAATATAAGGAACACTAAACGAGACAAAGAAAAATATGATTTTTAAAATGAACAAGAGGGAAAAAATGTTGAAGCCTTTGTCAGTCCTGTGAGCAAGAAAACAAGGGCAACCAGGCCTTCTAGAAGTTAGGACATATTACACTGCCTCTGTATTTCAGACAAGGTGATACTGGTACACGAATATACAAACAGATCAGTAGAACAAAATACAAAGTCTAGAAGTCAAGCCAAATACCAGTGAAAGCTTAATATAAGATAAAAATGTTATCTTAAATCATTGGAACAATGATAAACTTTTCAAATAAAGAGTTCTGGGACAACTATAAAGTCACTTAGGAAAAGATCAATACCTCACACCATACACTAGAATGAACTCCAGATGGATCAGGAATCTAAATGCAAAGAAGGAAGAAGAGAAGGAAGCATACAGGTCTCAGAGAAAAACACAAGAGAATTCCCTTTTAACCTCAGTATACAGTAAGCTTTCTAACTTAGTATAGCAATAAAAGATTGATAAATGTGATTGCATAAACTTTTAAAAATCTTTTTATAGAGGAAAAAATGTCAAATCAAAGTAAAAAGATAATTGACTCCCTGGAAGAAAGTATATGGAAAAAATACCAAAGAGAAACTTAAAAAAAAAAAAAAAAAACTCTTAAAAATTGAAAAGTAAAGAACCAAAATCCCAATAGAAAAGTGGAGAAAAGGTATCAACAGACCATTCACAAAAATTAAATAAAAATAGCCCTCAAATAATAAATAATGTTAAAGCTCACTCATAATTAGAGAAATGACAATTTTAATAAACAGTGAGATACCATTTCTCACCTATTAGACTGACAGAACAAAATGTATGAGAACACATTCTGTTGGTTATGTTTTTAGGAAATAGGCACACTCATACATTGCTGGTGGGAATGCAAACTGGTATAAACCTCCGGGAGACTTCTGGCATTGTCTAATAAAACTACATAGAATTACATTTTAACTCAGCAATTTCACTTCTAGGAATTTACAGTAGACCCCATTATACACAGGGAATATATTCCAACACTGCCTTTGGATGCCTGAAACCATGGATAGTACAAACCCTATCGATATTATGTTTTTACCTGAAAACACATATGTATGATAAAGTTTAATTTATAAATTAGGCACTGTAAGAGATTAACAGCAATAACTAATAACAAAATAGAATAATTGTAACAGAATACCCTTCATAATTTCACAAAAGAAACACTTGTTCTTAGTGAAGATTTTAGCAACCTCAGCATATGATTTTTAAAATTTTCTTATAAAGTTGCAAACTTTCATCCTTTCTCTTGATGGAAGCACTTCCTGGCTTCTCTTTGGCAATTCTGAATTACCGACATCACTCGTCTTGCACTTTGAGGCCCCTTATTAAATATAAAGGTGACTTGAGGCCGGACGCAGTGGCTCATGCCTGTAATCCCAGCACTTTGGGAGGCCGAGGCAGGTAGATCACGAGGTCAGGAGATCGAGATCATCCTGGCCAACATGGTGAAACCCCGTCTCTACTAAAATACAAAAAATTAGCTGGGTGTGGTGGCACACACTGGGGAGGCTGAGGCAGGGGAATCACTTGAACCCGGGAAGCGGATGTTGCAGTGAGCTGAGAGCACACCACTGCGCTCCAGCCTGGGCGACAGAGTGAGACTCCATCTCAAAAAAAAAAAAAAAAGTGATTTGAACAGAAGCACTACAGTACAGCGACAGTTGATCTGATCACTGAGACAGCTACTGTGTGACTCACAGGTGGTGGAATAAGCCATGTGGAGATGGCAGACAAAGGGGGGATTCACATCCTGGGCAGGATGGAGTCGGACGATGCAAGACTTCATCATGCTTCTCGGAAGGGCACTGAGTTTAAAACTTATGAATTGTGTGTTTCTGGAATTTTCCATTTAATATTTCTGGACCATGGTTGACCGCAGGTAGCTGAAATAGCGCAAAGTGAAACGAGAGACACTACTGTATAGAAAAGACCCAACAGCGAAATGTAACGTGAGATACTAGGCTAAATCGCAGACCAGAAAAAGGGAACCATATTTGTGGGGAGATCAGTGAAATACAAATAAAGTCCATGGATTCATTAACACTATTGTAACCACATCAATATCCTGATGCTAGTGATTATACAATGGTTATGTCATTTGTCAGCATTAGAGAAGGCAGGTGAAGCATGTTTGGGAACTCTGTACTATTTTTGTGACTTTCCTCTAAGTATAAATTTATCCCCCACTCCAAAAAAAAAAGGTCATACGGAATTCTAAAAATTGTGTCATGGAATAAAGCAAAAGTAGGTTTATTTTCAATTAAATAACAAAGGACTGTCTTTTATCATTACATGCAATGAAAATTAAATGTACAGGTGATGGGCTCCAGGGCAAGGAGGACAGAATCTCTCTCTCTCTCTCTCTCACACACACACACACACACACACACACACACACTTCTGCTAAGAAACACAAAGCAATAAAACAGCCAACAGGTTGTTGACCTAAGCACTGAGTAAGCCTAAGCACAGGGACGGTATAACTAATATACTTTGGGTCCAGAAGAGACAGAATGACTTACATATAGAAATGGCTGGTATTATTTATCTTGATCTAAAGCAAATGAATTATGCTATAAATAAACACCAAAAAATGCTGGCCAGGCACAGTGGCTCACGCCTGTAATCCCAGCACGTTGGAAGGCTGAGATAGGTGGATCACCTGAGGTTAGGAGTTCGAGACCAGCCTGGCCAACATGGTGAAACCCCGTCGCTACTAAAAATGCAAAAATTATCCAGGTGTGGTGGCACGCTCCTGTAATCCCAGCTACTTGGGAGACTGAAGCAGGAGAATCCCTTGAACATGGGAGGCGGAGGTTGCAGTGAGCCGAGAATGGGCCACTGCATTCCAGCCTAGACAACAGAGCAAGACTCCATCTTAAAAAAAATACAAGAAAGATAGAAACACATAAAACTGCAACTTTTTAAAAACGCTTTACATCCATGAGCATTTACTCTATTATGTTTCCATTACATTTTGCCCCTTGAGAAAATTAGAACAGCAAATGCCCTCCACACAGAACATTTCCCACCACTACAGCCACCTTCTTCAAGCATGAGGAGAAAGTGTTGCTCTATAAAACCCAATTCTCTATGAATGGCTGTCATACGAAACTGAGAAAATGGAGTGAGACAGATTCCAAAAAGATTAATGACAAGCACAATCAGCATTAATTATTGTGAGTTAAGTTTCATTTCCTGGAAATAATCACAGTGATGGAATATTTCCATTGAATTAGTTACTGCCATTGGGATTGACTTGGCTGAGTGAATTCCAAATTATATTTCTCTATACTTTTAATATGGAACAGAAAAATGAAAGAATTTTACAGTGTACATGACTTAGATTTCACCATTAACATTTTTAGCTTATCAATTATCTAACCATTTACTCTACTGTCTATACATCCATCCATCTTATTTCTGATGCATTTCAAAGTTAACTCTATACATCCATATACTTTCCCCTAAACATTCTAGGATGCATCTCATTATCTAGTAAATTCCAACATAACCCCCCTACTTTATGGGTCTATTGACTGCAATGCAGTTAGCAGCTATTGAATTTTATCCTCACCTCTGCTTCCGACCTTGAATGTAAAGGCAGCCTGATCCACAAAGACGGTCATATCGGAAGTCCTGAAATCTCAGTACTGGTCCCCAACTGCTGTGCCAGACAGACCCTTCACTTCTAGTCATTTAGAATCACTATGATGCAAGAACCCACTCACCTACATACTCTAAGGTGGGTGGAGAGAACAGGAGACTGGTTATTTTTTCATAGGCATGGACAGTGCCTGTACATCTATATATAGGACATGATTAATATGAAATTAATTCAATATTGACAGGACATTGTGGTGAGGTAAGAACATTTAATCTGTAAGAGTCTGTTCAAATTTGTATATGTATATGACTATTTCTTAGGAGAGTTTCGTAGCTTACATATTTTCAAATACATCAGTGACTAAAGATATTGAGAGCCACTGGTCTAACACTTCCCTCCTTCAGACAGTGGGCATTAGTAATTCCAGATTGCGTTATCTCTTTTGCCTGCCACATCCCACCATTGACTTATATTTAGCGTACTTCAACCAAAGCCCCAATTTATTTTCCCCACACTATACTTTTACTGTAGATCTTTTTTGTTTACTTGTCTATCCTGGTGATTAGTGAGTAACTTTGTCCATTAAGCCAACTTGGATGCATCATTAACCAGAAAAAAGAGAAAACAGGTAGTGAAAAGTCAATAGTTTGTGATATTTACGACACCCCTCAGAGTGTGAACAAAAGAAATATGGTTCTGGCATTGTGACTCCAGTCTTAACCCTATGAGTCATTATTTGGAAAACTAGTGAGTTACATCTTCCAGTTACCTTTCTGTGCAGAAAAATCCCTCAGGAAGTAATAAATACAGGAAAGCATCTTGGATTCATCCAGCCCCCTACTGTGTCGGCTGTTATGATCCTGAATTGTAGACCATTTCTTCCACACTGCCTGGATCTCCCATAGAATCCAGCACAATACTGTGTCCAGAGCAGGGGCTCAGTAAGCTCTTATTTTACTGGAATATCCAACCAAGGGCCAGTTTGGAATTTACCTATATTACAGAAATATTAACCTTCTTGAAGACCAACATTTTGGGAACAGCAAGACCCTAAAAACTTCTAATTAAAATAAAGTTGCCCAATTAAAGTGACCTTTGGCTGAAAGGTAATGAAACCATATTTTCTAATTTCATTGTTCCAAACCAGCCTCTCCTACTTTCAGAAGGAACATCACTTTTAGGCAGGGGGGTTCTTCCTTTCAACTTTTATTTTAAGTTCAGGGGTACAAATGCAGGTTTGTTACATAGGTAAGCTTGTGTCATGGGGGTTTGTTGTAAAGATTATTTCATCACCCAGGTATCAAGCCTAGTACCCAGTAGTTACTTTTCCTGATCTTGTCCCTCCTCTCACCCTTCACCCTCTGAAAGGCCCCAATGTCTGTTGTTCCCGTCTTTGTGTCTATGTGTTCTCATCAGTTAGCTCCCACTTATGAGAACATGCGGTATTTGGTTTTCTGTTCTGTGTTAATTTCCTAAGGATAATGGCTACCAGCTCCACCCATGTACCCACAAAGGACACGATCTCATTCATTTCTTACGGCTGCATAATATTCCATGGTCCACATTTTCTTTATCTGGTCTGTCATTGGCAGGCATTTAGATAGATTCCATGTCTTTGCTATTGTGAATAGTTTGGCAATGAACATACGCATGCATGTGTCTTTATAACAGAATGATTTATATTCCTCTGGGTATATATCCAGTAATGGGATTGCTGGGTTAATGGTATTTCTGTCTTCTTTAGGTTTTTTAGGAATCGCCACACTGTCTTCCACAATGGCTGAACTAATAAGCATCCTTTTCTCACCACAACCTCACCAGCATCTGTTATTTTTTGACTTTGTAATAATAGCCATCTGACTAGTGTTAGATGCTATCTCATTGTGGTTTTAATTTGCATTTCTCTAATGATCAGTGATGTTCGGCTTTTTTCATATGATTGTTGGCTGCATGCATATCTTCTTTTGTAAAGTGTCTATTTTTTTGCTCACTTCCTTATGGGGTTGTGGTTTTTTTCTTGTAAATTTTTTTTAAGTTTCTCATAGATGATGGATATTAGACCTTTGCTGAACGCATAGTTTGCAAAAATTGTCTGCCATTCTGTCTGTTTACTCTGTTGACAGCTTTTTTTTTTGGAGGGGGGTGGTTTTTTGTTTGTTTGCTGTACAGAATCTCTGTAGTTTAACTGGACCCCGTTTGTCAATTTTTGTTTTTGTTTCAATTACTTTTCCCATGTTCATCATAAAATCTTTGCCACTGCCTATGTCCTGAGTGGTATCTAGGCAGGGGATTCTTTAAGACTTTAATTCCATCTCCCGTCAGTTCTATCATCTTTAGTGAGCCAGGTCTCCTCATCTGTGAGAGGCTATTTGAGAGTGATTGCAGCTGCAGCATGTGGGGACGCAGACTGTAAACCACTTCTGAGCTCAGAAGGAAACACTACTATAATTAATTAGGAAATCTGTCCTGCACCAAGTAGTCTAAAGAAACCTTAACCCCAAACGCTCTGAACAAGCCCAGTCCCACAGAATGATTATGATGTTTACGATGGCACTGTTCACTGAGTAGCCACTGAATGCCCGTGTCTTTGTGCTTAGTGCTCACAGAAGCTCCGTGTGTTATGTGCTATTAGTAGCCCCATTTTACTGATGACAACCTTGAGGCACAGAGAGGTTTTACAGCTACAACTTCCTGAATGATAACCCGGCATCATTCAACCTCAGAAGCAGCGTCTTGATTGGAATATCTTCCCCAAACAAACAAAAACTACAACAACAACAAAGTGGGTTGGGGTGGGGAGAACATCTATCTCAGGTAGCGGGTTGATGGAGGTGGTAACCTTGGCGTGTCGAAGTCCCTCCATCAGGAGCCTCAGATCTGTTCTTAGCTCTCTGCTGCTCTCTAGTGGCCAGTGGCCACACTTTTTCTTGGATTGAAGAAAGCCCCCAGTGCATGGCCAGGGGCCATTGACTACATCAAAACAGCTATTACTTAGGTAAGCACAGACCAATACATAAAAGGCCACAGATCATTTATTCTGCCTACCTTCTCACTATTAAGTCATTTTTTGATAGTTTTGTTGTTTTAGAAAAAGCAGTTATTTGAAAAGCTGAATTTGCCTCTTCCCCATTCGACTTAAGATGACACATCCAGATGACTAAATACCTCTTGCTCTGCCGTCTTCACTGCCCGTTGGTGTAGACTTCAAATTTCACCTTGGCCTATCACTTCACTCTCTGTCTCTCTTTGACCACTCCCACACTAATTTGCACACCTAAGATTTCTCAAGTTGCTTTTTTAATAGTGGTAATAGACTTTGTCCAGTAGTACCACATAACCTCCCTATTCTGATTTAAATAAAAAGAAGCACAGCAGTGGTTGATAATAATGACTATCTTTGACCGCTTCCAAAAAGTCCCAAAATTCTATAACATGAAAGGAAATAAAAGGTACTAGGGAGAATAGAACAGTGAACTACAGAAAATGACAAGAGGTATTATGTTGATGGATGGGTACTGAAAAAGATAGGTTGCTCTCAACCTTATTCAACGACAGATGTTAAGAAAATGTATCATCTATAATTTACTTTTTGCACCTAGATGTTTTGTGGCTTTTCCAACTATTGAGTAATAGGCTCCCTAATGGTAAATATTAATCCATTGCTATAATCACTAAATATATTTCAGCTTTTATGAAGACCTTTGAATATTCATATGTCCTTGTGAAAAGCTCTCTGTTTATCTGCAGACTCCTCAAAGATGTTTCTGCTTTCCTCTGAATTACTGGCCTCTCGTGTACTTTATTAATATTTCTCTTTAGAGCTCTTTGAATTAACTTTTTCTTTTCACTGTCTCCCTGGAAACAACAATGTTGCCTCAGTGTAGAACAAGAGAAAGACAACAAAGGAAATGAACTTCCCCAAATTATCTGCAGTGAGAGGAAGTGCAGCAGAACAGAGAGGGAGGATTAGAATCCGCCAACGTTCAGGGTGTGAACGAGAGGATTGTTGCCCTTTAACAGCCAAGCTGGCTGAATAAAAACTGCATTGTAAACACAATATAACACTAAGCAAGCAGATGTACCCATCCAAGAAACCTGACACCTAGATGACAGGTTTTATATTTAATGTTCTAGAATGTTCCCAGGTCCACACAAAATCCATCTCCTGGCTACTTGCAGGTCCCTGAAAGTATATGATAGCATGGCTAAGCCTTTTGTAACTTGTGACCCTTTATGATAAACATCTCTTAAGCCCTTCTTCAATGGTATTTAAAAACTCAAACTAAAGAACTTAGCTAAAATCCTGGTTCTAGAATATCTAAGTCATAATCAGTATCTTAGACTCTCTTTCTTGGAGACTGGTCTTCCTAGAAACCAGACTGTAAAGCAAAGATTCACATGCAGAAAGGTTATTGAAGGACATCTCAGGATCAACCTTTGGGTTTGGTAGGGAAGCGGGGAGCAGAAGAGCAAGGCTGGGCAGAAAGAGAAGATGAACTGTGACGCAGGTGTGACAAAGGCCTCAGTCAATCATACATGAAGCTCTGGATCTGAGATGGCACTTCAAGTTGTCTTGAGTTGAGGCATGAAGGCTGGGCCTTTGTATCCTGTCATGAAAAGTCACTGGATAAAGGTTATACCAGGGGAAGGGCATGACCTTGAGCAATGTAGCCCTGTCCTGAAAGGAACACAGCGATGACCTGTCAATAGTTAACACTCTCAGTAGATGAGGTGATAAGTGTCTTCTCCTAAAGGGAGCATCTACTAGGCTCAACCATCAGTTTAGTATCCTCCTCCTTGCAGCAGAAGGTAATAGGAGCCCTGGTACCAGTCCTCGATTAATGGCCTGCAATTGTCATTGTTGCCATTCTATCAGCTGAAGTATCAAGGCACAAAGGTGGATTTTCTAACCAAAGTCACATAGGCTTCCAGGGCAGGTCATCAAATCCTCTTCCAGTTCTCTAAACAGTACATTAAAACCCAGACCTTCTTAGTAGATCACCCTGGCCTATCAATAAATCCCAATGAATGCCCATTGATCTCGTAACACAGAGAAAGTATTTTCAAGGAACTTGTCGTTTGCAGTCACTGACAGCCGCTTTATCTTCTGTGACCACTCCTCCAACATAATTCTTCCCTGGGCCCAATGTCCTAGAACTCAGAGTAATTTTAGTACGAATGCAGATTCACCCATTATGTAGCGGTAAGTCTTAAGTGTTACAGAAGATTCACTGCAAAAACAGGCAACTCTGGAGACTAGGCTCTTCTCCTAGGGCACGGTGCCAATATCCTATAGATATAGCAAAGTGGTGGTAGCTCTCATAGGTTACTCTCCTAGCTTGTGCAACCAGGCTTGTCCTCTGCTCATGAAGCAGAGGGACAGGGATCCCAGGTTCTATTATTAGTGGATGTATGCAGATTTTCAAATTCTTTAGGCCAGGTGTAGTGGCTCACGCCTGTAATCCCAACATTTTGGGAGGCTGAGGTAGGCGGATCACGAGGTCAGAAGATTTCAAGACCATCCTCGCTAACATGGTGAAACTCCATCTCTACTAAAAATACAAAAAATTAGCCGGGTGTGGTGGCAGGCACCTGTAGTCCCAGCCACTCGGGAGGCTGAGGCAGTAGAATTGCTTGAACCTAGAAGGCGGAGGTTGCAGTGAGCAGAGATCATGTCACTGTACTCCAGCCTGGGCAACAGAGTGAGACTCCGTCTCAAAAAAAAAAAAAAAATTTTAACCCACTTATCTCTCCAGCTGCTTCACACAAGGCAAATCACAGTAATACAACTTAGCTTTCATATTCTACCTCATTTCTTAACCCTTCTGAATTCTATTGTGTTTGTCATTTCATCAGAAACCCTCAGTCAGATTGGCTGGTCAAAATTGTCTTCCTGATCTCCTCCAAGAGACTTCTCTTGGTGTATAAGTAATAAACCAACAGGCAAATTTGGCAGTATTTTTGTGAAAATTTGCGAGCCAGTTAATAGGATCTTAATAGACTAGGCCTTGCTTTGTGTTACGTGCATTTGCTGAAGTTTTGCCCTATCATTTTGACCCTCAGCTAAATTTTTCTATTCAGAACAAACACAGAAACAGCTTTCTCTGACCCTCAGCAGGAAGTAGAGAAGGAGCTCTGTTTATGCCTCTCACTGTACGGTGATGGATTCTTAATTTAAGCCCTAGAAAACAGATTTATTTAAAACTCATCAGTGGCAAAAGAAAAACCATGCTTTCTTCCTTTAACCACCTGTGTCCATTATTTACCCCATTGTTTTTAGTCAGACAACCTGTGGACAAAGAACAATTTGCTTCTTGGTTCAAGTTCAGGCTTTGCGAAGCAAGACAGAAAATCACTACCAGCTGAAAAAAAAAGTTCAATTATTTATAGGAAATGATTAGAGGCCGGGCACGGTGGCTCATGTCTGTAATCCCAGCACTTTGGGAGGCTGAGGTGGGCGGATCACAAGGTCAGGAGTTCAAGACCAGCCTGGCCAACATGGTGAAAGCCCATCTCTACTAAAAATACAAAAATTAGCTGGGCATGGTGGTGTGCACCCAGCTACTCGGAAGGCTGAGGCAGGAGAATTGCCTGAACCTGGGAGACGGAGGTTGCAGTGAACCAAGATTGTGCCACTGCCCTCTAGCCTGGTTGACAGAGCAAGACTCCATCTCAAAATAAAAAAAAAAAAGAAAAGAAAAGTATTAGAAGCCCTCTACCCTGCTCCTATGGTCAGTTGTCCACAGTCCCCAAATCACTCCCACAATTTACATTTCGTCGGCAGAGATTATTAAACCATCAGAACAAGCCCAATACCCTGTCACAGTAAAGGTGAATGTAAAAGCTTGGAGTTCAGTGTGTCTGTGGAAAAGATCTTGAGGATGAGAGAGCAAGCAAGAGGGGTTCAACATTGATGCTCCCTCTCCAGCAGGAACTTTATCTTCTGTAGAATAAGCTGTTATACAAGAAAGTGTCCCAAGAAGGACATTTTGACATTTTTAAAGCAAGCAATGGGTTCTGCGAAATGAGTCTTCTCTGCCCTCGCTTGGCAGGAAACACTTCCATTCTTCCCAAGTATAATCTCTTAAAAACGTTGGTCTTTGTGTCCCCACAAATAAGCCTTCCCATTCTCATTTTCCACTGACAGCATCCTTGGCAATTCAAATTCTATCCATATCGCCTTAAACTTTGCCTCTTGTATTAGCCCATTTTCATACTGCTATAAAGAACTTCCTGAGACTGTGTAATTTATAAAGAAAAGATACTTAATTGGCATACAGTTACACAGGCAATACAGGAGACATGGCTGGGGGAGCCTCAGGAAACTTACAATTACGTTAAAATGGTGAAAGGGAAGCAAGAACATCTTCACATGACAGAAAGAGAGAGAGAGCAAAGGGGGAAGTGCTACAAACTTTTAAACAACCAGATCTTGTGAGAACTCACTACCATGAGAACAAGAGGGAAATCCACCCCTGTGATCCAATAACCTCCCAGCAGGTCGCTCACCCAACATTGGAGATTACAATTCAACATTAGATTTCAGTGAAGACACAGAACCAAACTATATTATTCTGCTCCTGGCACCTTGAAATCTCTGGTCCTTCTCACATTTCAAAACAGAATTATGTCTCCCCAACAGTCCCCTGAAGTCTTAACTCATTCCAGCATTAACTCAAAAGTCCAAGTCCAAAGTCTCACCTGAGACAAGGCAAGTCCCTCCTGCCTATGAGCGTGTAAAATCAAAAGCAAGTTAGTTACTTCCTAGATACAATAGAGATACAGGCATTGGGTAAATTTTCCCATTCTGAATGGGAGAAATTGGCCAAAACGAAGGGGATACAGGCTGCATGCAAGTCCAAAACCTAGCCAGGCAGTTATTAAATCTTAAAGCTCCAAAATCTCCTTTGACTCCATATCTCAAATGCAGGGTACAGTGATGCAAGGAATGGGCTCCCACACAGCTCCATCACTGTGACTCTGCAGGGTACAGCTCCCACAGCTGCTTTCATGAGCTGTAGCTTTTCCAAGCACATGATTCAAGCTGTCAGTGGATATAACATTCTGGCATCTGGAGGGCAATGGCCCTCTTCTCACAGCTCCACTAGGCAGTGCCCTGGTGGAGACCCTGTGTGGGGGCTCCAATCCCACATTTTCCTTTTGCACTGGCCTAGCAGAGATTCTCTATGAGGGCCCCACCCTGCCGCAGACTTCTGCCTGGACATCTGGGCATTTCTGTACATCCTCTGAAATATATGTGGAGGCTCCCAAAGCTCAACTCTTCTATTCTGTGCACCCACAGGGCCAACATCACATGGAAGCCTCTAAGGCTTGGGACTTTCACCCTCTGAAGCAATGGCCTGAGCTGTATCTTGGCCCCTTTCAGCCACGGCAGGAGCTAGAGTGGCTGGGATGCAGGGCACCATGTCCTGGGGCTGCACAGAGTACCAGGACCCCGAGCCTGGCCCAGGAAACAATTTTTTTCTCCCAGGCCTCCAGGACTCTGATGAGAGGGGCTACCATGAAGATCTCTGACATACCCTGAGACATGTTCCCCATTGTCTTGGCTGCTAATATTCAGGTCCTCATTACTTATGCAAATGTCTGCAGCCAGCCTGAATTCCTCCCTAGAAAATACGGTTTTCTTTTATATCACATGGTCAAGCTGTAAATTTTCCAAACTTTTATGTTCTGCTCCCCTTTTAAATAAAAGTCCCAGTTTCATATAATCTCTTTGTGAATGCGTATGACTGAACATCTTCAAAATCAGTCATGTCATTTCTTGAATGTTTTGCTGCTTATAAATTTCTTCCACCAGATATCCCAAATCATTTCTCTCAAGTTCAAAGTTCCACAGATCCCCAGGCCAGGGGCAAAATCTCACCAGTCTCTTTGCTAAGGCATAACAAGAGTGACTTTTACTTCAGTTCCCAATAAGTTTCTCATCTCCATCTAAGATGACCACAGCCTGGACTTTATTGTCCATATCACTATCAGCATTTTGGTCAAAATCATTCAACAAGTCTCTAGGAAGTTCCAAACTTTCCCATATCTTCCTGTCTTCTTCTAAGTTCTCCAAACTTTTCCAACTTGTACCTGTTATCCAGTTCCAAAGTCACGTCCACATTTTCAGGTTATCTTCATAGCAGTGCCCTACTCTGATGGTACCAATTGTCTGTATTAGTCTGTTTTCACACTACTATAAAGGACTGGCTGAGACTGGGTAATGCATAAATAAAAGAAATGTAATTGACATGGTTCCACAGGCTGTACAGGAGGCAGGCTGAGGAAGCCTCAGGAAACTTAAAATCATGGCAAAAGGGCAAAGGGAAAGCAAGCACAGCTTCACATGGCAGCTGGAGACAGGGAGAGAGTGAAGGGAGAAATGATACACACTTTTAAGTAACCAGATCTCATGAGAACTCACTCACTATCATGAGAACAGCAAGGGGGATATCTGCCCCCATAATCTAATTACCTCCTGCCAGATCCCTCCCCCAACTTTGGGGATTACAATTCAACATCAGATTTGGGTAGGGACACAGAGCCAAACCATATTACCTTTTCCAGGGAGCCCTCTCTCCCTGCCAAGCCCATGTGATCTTGTCCCGCTCTTATTTTTTACAAGAGTTTCACTGTTTAGCAGAAAAGTTGACACTTGGGTGGACCTTCAATGCCTATGTTGTTATCTTGTCTCCCTAGCATCCAATTGCTTCAGTGTCTGAAACTTTGATATTGTGGTCATGACCTACTTACTGTCCTTCTCTGCCTCAGCTGTGCCTGCTTTGCTCTGTTGGTTTTCTCTTTACTCTCACTATTTGCATGCCATTACTCTGCTACCTCATGTATTCTGTTGTCTGCCATCCCTCTGTGTGTCTTGGCTTCTACCATGTCCTACTGTTGGCTGATTCCTTTCCATGTTTCATATTCACACTTGCAAAAATGTGACCCTTGCCTACTCTGGTCACCCAGTGTACTTGTCCTCATTCTGATTAGCTATGGCACAGATGCCAGGTTCATATGGTGCCAAGAAGTGTGACCCATATATAAAGAACCACTCAGAAAGGGGTGGGCATGAGGTAAACACATGGTTGCTCTGGAGGACAAGTTCCACAAAGCCATTTCCACAACTCCTGACCTTTCTGTGTCTCAATATACCCAACACGGTATATGGAAACAACTGCTTAAAATGGGCTTCTATTTTAACTTTACCTAAAGCTCACTTTGCAGCAGACAACTAAGGATATACCTCCAAGATACTAGTAAAGTTAAATTTCTGCTGATTTTTGTAAGAATCTCATATACAACATTTTTCTGTTCTATCATTTTCTTCATATATTTCTGGAACTAAAGTCCTTGCCTCATTCAACATTTAACTCAAACTGAATGTCTTTGGGATAACTTTTCTTGGTTAAATATTTTTGGTCAGTAATGTAAAACATATGTTCATTGAAAGCAAAATATTTTCTGAGTGCTTGCATAAATTCTGACTTGCATTGCAATGTGGCTGTCACACATATTGGCCAAGGGGCCATCATGATTGTTGAATTAAATTCCATAACATTCTTAGTGTAAGAAAGAACCGTAGAAGCTGTATGGTTCAATTTTAATTTGGTATCACACCTGGAAAGTGGTCATCCAGGCCCAAAAAGGACAATTCCACTGATGGGAAGATCAACTCTTAGCAGAAAGACTTTTTGTACATTGACCTAAAACCCTTTTTTCTCTAACATCTGCTCATTTAATTCTAAATAAGATTCAACAAAAAGAAAGCCTAATTTTGTATTTCACATAAAAGTCTCTTAAATATTTAAAGATAGCAACTGAGTATTTCCCAAGTGCTTTTTCCAGGCTAAACAGAGAAAATTGGCTGACTCAGAGATTCTTTTTTGCTTGGTTTTTATATAATAATCTTTTATCAATTATAATAGCAATAACAATGAGAAATGCTCAATTAGTCCATTCATTCCTCACGTGGCAGAATTTTTAATGTTTTATCCATATCACTCTCCTCTGGATGGATGTTGTGATAGTATTTCCTAGAACTAGACATAAATCACACTATTCAATAGGACTATGTGTAAGTCTGTAATCTCTGGATTCAAACAAAATATTCCATGAACAAAGTTCACACGCTGGGCTGACATCAACACTTCACATGGCTGGGCCATGTTGTCTCTGCCATGTACACACTTTATTTCCAGTTTCTAGCACTTCCATATTCCAGATAGCAACCAGCCTTGGTGACTGGCACTTATATGTTAAGGAAACCATGCTGAATGAATGGCTTATAGCCAATTCTGACCCTTAGTTCTTTGACATAAGAACCTCTTATAATCTTATGATGCCATCCTATGATTTTACTTTTAACTAACTTTTAACCACATTAAATTTCAGCTCAACAGATTTGTTTCATTATTCTAGCCTATCAAAATAACTTTAATCATCCATTCCTAAACTTTTAGCTCTTCCATCTAACATTGCTTCAGTCACATATTTGGTAATAATGCCTGACATATGTTGAAGGAAGCTGCTGAATTAAAATATTATATAAGCCAGAGTCAACCACAGAGTTCTTTGTTGTGTCACTAGAACTCACTCTCCAAGCTACCATAATCCATACATCAAACTCTCCTAGTAAAGTCAGTAAACTAACACAAATCTTTCAGAATTACTGAAAGCAGAATTAGCCTGCTTTCTCCCTTTTCCACAAACGAGCATGAGATAATTTATCAAACACTTCCTGAAGTTAAGGTATGATAGGATACTATATTAATCAGGGTTCACCAGAGAAACAGAACCAATGGTGTGTGTGTGTGTATAGTGGATGTGGCACTTGTAAATGTACCCTACAAAACAGGAGGTTATGTGTATATATAATTTATCTTCTTTTTATTTATTTATTTATTTTGAGACAGAGTATCACTCTGTCACCCAGGCTGGGGTGCAGTGGCGCAATCTCGGCTCACTGCAAGCCCTGCCTCCTTGGTTCATGCCATTCTCCTGCCTCAGCCTCCCAAGTAGCTGGGACTACAGGTGCCTGCCACCACGCCTGGCTAATTTTTTGTATTTTTAGTAGAGACGGGGTTTCACCGTGTTAGCCAGGATGGTCTCCATCTCCTGACCTCGTGATCTGCCTACCTAGGCCTCCCAAAGTGCTGGGATTACAGGCGTGAGCCACCATACCTGGCCCAACATAACTTATCTTAAGGTTACAGAGATGGGAAAGGCCCTTCCACTATATATACATAAACACACACACACACACACACACACACACACACACACACACCATTGGTTCTGTTTATATCTATCTAGCTATCATCTATACGCATATAGATATATGTATCATCTATATACATATGTGTGTGTGTGTGTGTGTGTGTGTAATATATAGCGAGAGAGAGAGGGGAAGAGAGATGTATTATGGAGTCCAAAGACCTGAAAATCAGGGTGGAGGTGACACAGTGAGAGGAGTGCTTACCAGTATAAGTCTCAGAGTCCAACCACCCAAGAACCAGGAGCCCCAGTGTCTGAGGGCAGGAGAAGATGGATGTCCCAGCTCAAGAACAAAGAGCAAATTTTCCCTTCCTCATTTGTTTTGCTTGTTTGTTTGCTTTGCTCTATTGGGTTCCTCAGTAGTTTGGATGATACCCATCCACATTGGAGAGGGTGATCTTTTTACTCAATCTACCAATTCAAATGCTAATCTCTTCTGGAAACACTCTCACAAACTCACCCAGAAATAATGTTTTACCAGCTATCTTGGCGTCCTTTAGCCCAATCAAGTTGACACATAAAACAAGTTGACATATAAAATTAGCCATTACAGATTTATTGTTGCATGCTATTTTTCAAGTTGTTTAAAGCAAGAGTTTCTCTATACAGATATAAAGATTGTTACACCTGAAGAGCCTTTCCCATCTCTATAACCTCAAGATAAATTATGTCCACACAGAACCTCCTGTTTTGTAGGGTGCATTTGCAAGTACCACATCTACTATTTATTGAATATCTGCCTTTAAACATAAAGGACTCTGTTCAGTGAGGAATGTACCATATCTTGTGAAATGATCTTCATTACAACCTTACTCATCAAGTATTCTTCTCTCCCTGAGGAAATCAAGGCTCAGAAATGCCAAGTAACTTACCCTGTTCTTTTATGAAATATCTGTTGTCCTGTGACTTATTACCAGGGATGGCCACAAAATTTGTGAAATCCACTGAAAAATTAAAATTCAGAGCACTTTGTTCAAACAAAACAGGAAACAGTATTCTTAAGTACACTAAAATATAATGCCTTTTCTTTTCTTCCACCCTCTCTCCCTCTATATTTTATGGTCATTTTTACTTGCTACTTAATGTTATTCTCATTAAAGAAAAATTAAAAATTTAAATTATTAACATGAATTTTACCATGTATCTTTATATTATACAATGCCAGCTTTAAATGCAAATATAAGTACATTTAATTTCTATGTGAAATCACAAGATCTCTGTATTTGAGAATTCATACATGTATATACATTTCATTTAAACAGAATAAGTGCACAACTTAACTATTTTTATTTCACTTGTAGATGCCACACTCTCTACCTTTGGCTTACTGACAAATAAGGAAGGACTGAAAGGAAAATGAACTAGAAGTTATTCCTTTCATTTGATGTCATCACTTTCATAACAAGTGGTTGACTAATAGAGGGAAGAAACATGAGTGAGAAAGAATATGATAGAGTGCCTTTGTCGTTAGTGTTTTCTAGAATGCCACTGCCTTTTTTCTCTATTCAAGACAAGTTCTGGTTCCAAAGAAGTGCATGGAGAATCTAGGGCAACAGTGCCTCTGATTATAGAGTCATTAATATAGCACAATTACTTCGTACTTCTTTAAGTCTTGCTAAACTCCAGATTTCTGGGCCACCAGAAATCTGCATTGATGAGGCATCAAGAGCTCTATATACGAATGGGGTGACAACAACAGACAGACACACTGTACGTATCTCCTCTGCCCACATGCATGCTCCGTTGTCCCATCAGATATCATTTGGCAAAACACAAGTTCAAAAATAAAATTATTAAGAATTTCAAGACAGCCACAGCAGAGTATTAAACCAGAGGCAGTACCCTTCTGATTTGGAGGCCCTGTGTGACTTCACAGGTCATACACATATGAAGTTGGCTCTGGTTGTTGCCACCAATCATTGGACTCCTGCTTGCATCTGAGACCTCCTCTCTGGCTCTTCGTTCCCCTGCTTCCTACTCTCCAGACTCGGCCATTTTTAGTTGTTAAATATTTTCAAGCAATTTCATGCCTCAGCTCCTTCACACGTGCTGTTCCCTCCACCTGGAAAACCTGTCCCTGTGGTGTTCACATGCTCCTCTGCTTCTCATCGTGAGGAAGCAGATCCAATGTCCACTCTTCAAGCTTTCCCCAAGTGCTCTTTCAAACACTTCCCTTTGCTCTAACATAGCGCCCTACTTTATCTTCTTTATACAACATGTCATTATCTGAATCCATCTTATTGATGCATTCACTTTTCACTGCCTGACTCTTCCATTAGAATGTATGCTCTGGGAGAGCCACCAACTCATCTGACTTTCTCACTGCTGAGTCCAGATCCTAAAACCTGGCCTAGCACAGGGCAGGTGCTCAATCTGTATTTATAAAGTGCACATACAAATGAAAGAATTAGTGAGCTTCTGCTAGACCACACCTTATGGTTCCTTCTCAATAAATATCAATTAAATTATAAATGTGCATAAGATGATGAATATAGTGGAACTCAAGGTCCCTAAAAGAGAATCATGCAAAAGAATTAACTACAACAGGGATGAGATAACTTACTTAAAAACAGATATGTAGAAATGGCCACTTATTTCCCTCCATCCCCACTCATTTCCCTTTTCCTTTCCTTGCAGCAAAGACTTAATATAGAGCTGGTAACAGCCCAGCTGTTACCATGGCAACTGACTTTGTGGACACAAACTTTCAGCTGAGCTGAAACCACATGATGGAGAAAGAATTGTTTGGCCAAAGCCTGTGGGAAATAATTACAATGATGACAGAGGAAAGAATTAGCCAAGTAAATTGGTTTTGAACAACTGCATCTTAGGCAGATAAGAAAATAGAAGCTAAAGCTGAATCACACCTAAAAATATCTATCTTTACTGGAAAGTCACACAAAGTGAAAAAAAAAAAAAAGTTCCACTCTGTAAAGAAACGAAGTTAAATACAAGCTGATCTGGAGGAAATAGTGCCTTTTTAGACACTTTGGTCATTTCTAATTCAAGTTGAAACTGAACTGGCCTACCTTTGCCTGAGTTTCAATATGTTTTTATACGATTGAAGAATTCTTGAAAAAAATAATGGGTAAATCAAATATTTAAAAATCAAATCTGAATTTCAGTGCACTGGCTGGCATGGTTTATAAAGAAACTTTGGGAAAGAAACTTAACTTCTGTTAAGTAAATAATTCCTTTTTTATAGGAGTAGACACTCCTTCATGCATAGATCTTATAAGATTTTATATGATAAATATTTTAAAGCCAGATTCCCCCAATGACCAAACCAGCATTATTTAACTGGTTATTTTCAAATGATGTCATCTTCCTGGATCTCAGTTTATTCATGTGAAACGGAAAATTAAGATTTTCCAGCCACCGACCTCACCTTTCAACTTCTCTGCTTCTTAAAGTTCTCTGTAAAAATACACACAAACCAAATACCCTGAAAGTTGCCAAACTTGCTCTTTATTTTCTCGTACACATTTCCCCTCCCCTACATTTCTCCCTGATCACTGTCAAGCATAGACTTCACCTTTTGTGCTCTCAGAAGGTGGAGAGGTTTTGATTTCTGTATTTAGGGACTCTGTTTCCTTGATTCAATTCATGAAATTAAGCAACAACAAAATATCTTATTTAAACTAAGATAATGGCTTCTCAAGGAATCATTTCAGGATTTTCGAAGAAACGAGATTAGAGAAATTCAATAAATGTATAACCACCTAAACCATCTGTATTAATAAATTAAAGTCTCTTTGGACAGGCTTCCATTAAAGAAGGAGCAACTCACACATGGGTGTATCAAAACAGTGACTCGTTCATTTCTTTATATGCTTCCAGGAATGGTCAGTTCTTAGTTTAGCAGAGACTGTGATTCACTGTATATATTTATGTTATATTAAGCTGATTTTTCTAGATTCTTCAAAGATACTACAAGGCAAGTTTCATTGTCATGGAATATTCAAGGATCATCTATATCAATCGCCCATGTTTCTAATACTTCTTTCCTTCTTATCCTTCCCTAGTAGTTTTTTTACCAGTCATCCTGCAAGGTGCACCCTGAAACTCAACTCAGTTCAATCTAATAGTTATTTGTTTGTTTTTAGCAGTGTGCTTGGCACCAAGGATAAAAGAGAGACAGAGCTATAGATTAACCGTCTTCGAGGAGTTTGCAATCTAACTGAAAAATGGATCTGGGCCAGGAAATAATTCAATAATGGTGGATGGATATGAAGATAGAGGAACAGGCTTTGATTCAGAAATCTGAATTTCAGAAATGATGCTGTTCAGAATGGTGGAGAGACTTCAAGGAGGGGAAGAATCTGAATTGGACTTTCAGGAATGAGAAGAATGTAGTCAGCAGGGAGGAATGGGAAAAGTATCTGTAATTAGTAGAATCATTAGAAGAAGGACCCAATTCTAACGCCATCTGCTCATCTCAGTGATTGCCGACTGTGCCACCGAATACCCAGTCACTAAGTCTTTATCTCCTCTCTAGTCTATTTTTATGATGGTCTATCTTCTCCTAGGCTCTCCTTCCCCAGGGAATATTGCATCCTGCCTTGTAATCACCATAAAACAAACTATGGCCACATCATTTCCATGTCCAAAATGCTTCAGTGGCTCCAACATCCAAAAAGAATTGAAAAACTCCAGTAAGTTTATTAATAACTCACAGCC
The DNA here is from genome assembly GCF_000001405.40 of Homo sapiens. Classification (NCBI taxonomy): domain Eukaryota; kingdom Metazoa; phylum Chordata; class Mammalia; order Primates; family Hominidae; genus Homo; species Homo sapiens. Next base: position 87,630,304 of record NC_000014.9, read on the forward strand.
ACATGTATTCCTTCCTTTATCTTGCCTCTTTTTGCTCTGTCCCAAGTGGCAGAGCACAGGAGATGTGATCCCTCACCCCCTTCCTCTTTTCACAGGTTCCCAAGTGCTTTCTCAAATATTCAGTCCATTCTCCTATCCTCCCTCATCCTCTCATCTCTCTGCAGTTACAATTCTCTTCCAGAAGTAGAGCTCTGCCCTTCCCAAGGGAATTCCAGATGGTCTTCCGATTTTTCCAAACTGCCTTCTCATCCCCTTATCCTGATTTGCACAACGGGAGCAGGCAAGAGGATCCCAAATTTCCCTTAGGCAGTGAATGAGGAAAAGGCAATGAAAACACTTTAAGATTTTCCTGTTGAATATACTAACTCATTAAACAACCCAAGAGCCTTTTGAGGTAGACTCAATTATTACAGTAAGTACAGGGCCTGAGGCCAAGCTAGGCAGAAAAGAAGGGATTGTAACTTCAGTCTCTTTGACTACAATTCAAGGTCCTATCCATGACAATACACTGTCTCCTTTTTTGTGCCTTTCACAAATAGGTTTTCAAAACAGGCTTCAAGAAAAAGTGCCAAACGGTGGCTTGATAGCTCCTAGATTTCAGAGAACAGACACAGGATGGTTGAGTGGATTTTTCAGTAAGACAGTGAATCTGTCAGACAAGCAGAGAGGAAGCCCAGACGCCCAGCCTTTGCAGCTTCCTCAGACAATTTAAACAGCTTTAGAAACTTTTCACTTAGGGAAATTAGAGGCTTAATACCAGCAACACTGAATGTTTCTCAGGAGCTTGTCTTTCTAGAATCTGTAGCAGCTGTGTGCAAATTAATCAGTGATTTGCAGGCGACACAGAGTGGAGATTGGGGAAACAGCTGGGCATATTTATGAAAGTTTGTCAGGGATGTAGCAGCGTGTTCAGAGGTAACTTCTTCCTTAAGTGTCATTTTGCTGGCAAAGAAAAGGAACAAGTGAGACATATCCTGCCTGTGTCTAGAGGATTAATTAAAGCCTGGCAGAAATCTGAAGCTGAATATCTCTTCTCCTTCTAATTTAGATGAAAATGTACGTGAGAAGGTCTGCAGAGCCAAACTGCATCAGGCATGGGCATAGTGCTGATGGGCAGCTCATCTGATAATGCCAGTGGCATTCAACTTTGAATGCGTGCTGCCCGACGTGGTGCCCTGCAGCAGATTGTGACACTCGGCCAGGGGTCTGATTTGAAGTACCATGGCCCAAGCCAGCCTCATCTCTGCCTGCCCCTCCCACTGTACCTTTCCTCTGATTCCAGCCTCCACCCAAATTCACAGAAAGGATGAAAGAAACCACACCAGAGAATCCGCAGTGGGTCTAAGTCAACCTAACATGCCATGACTCACTTTTTTTAAATCTCTAAATATATATGGAGAAAGCACAGACAATAAAAAGAAATCAACAGCACACACACTGAGAAAAGGGAAGGAACTCTTTTCACAAAACTCATTGACAAGCAGTGATAACCTACTTTTGGAACCTTTGTTCTGTGTTAAGCGCATTTGCTCACTTAATTTCACCAATTTATGTGCCTCTGTCATAACAATACCCTGCTGTTTCTAGAACACTTCCGATTACTGAACTGGTATCTTCTGAAAGGTGAATCCACTCCCATTTCTTGAACACTCAGGGGGAGACCATTTCCTAACATTTGCTTCAAAGCCAAATGTCAGGCCCTGTCAATTGTTTTACATTTTGTTTCACTGCTGGACTCCAGATTTTGCATTTATCTATTATTGAACAATTCAATTTTAGGATCTAATTATGATGTCAAGAAGTAACTAGCCTAAACCCAGGTGAGAAAACCTAAGGCATAAAACAGTGCAACTTCCAGTCTCATCGTTGGATGAAAGAGAGTAGCAGATGGAACCTGAGCTCCTCCAGTCCAGGGTACAAGGTTAACAAGAACTCTTCTGTAAGACTGGACACTGAGGAAGCCATTAGTTAGTTAATATCTGAACTAGAAGGAGATCAAGAAATAGAGTTCTAGCACAGGCCTAAAAATTGGGTTGCCAGATTAAATACAGGATGTCCAGTTAAATTTGAATTTCAGATAAAATGACAAATAACTTTTGAGTTCAATAATCCTAGATATTACATGGGACATGCTTTATACTCAAAAGTCATTCATTGTTTATCTAAAATTCAGATTTAACTGGGCATCTGTATTTTTAAATCTGGCAACCCTATCTGTTAAGAAGGAAAATGGGAAATATTTGGCCGTGTCTGAAATTGCTTCTGCAAAATATGACGGAGACAGTGGAAGACATCTCATTTCACGGACTCCATCTTGCTTCCATCCTCCAAGCTGTCCTTGTTCATTCCTGGGTGTAAGCTGAACTAACTTAAGGAGAAACTTAGTTTGTAGTTTACAGTTTAAACAAAGACAGTAACAGCCCTTTCCCAAAGCAGACTTCCTTCTTGCCTGGGGATTAGACTAACATTAGCTACAATATTAGAAATTATGGTTTAGGAGTCATGCAGCTGGAGGTTACAAGATTCTGACCCTCCATAAACTGCTCCTAAGATCAGTGCTTGAGATATTTTGTAGACCCTGCACTTGATGGATCAGTTGGCACCACCCAGATCAATTAACTGCCCCATCTGATCTTGTGGTCCCCACTCAGGAACTGACTCAGGACAAGAAGACTGTTTCGACACCCTCTGATTTCATCCCTGACCAGTCAGCATTCCTCGCTCACTGGCTTCTCCCACCCACCAAGTTATCCTTAAAACTCTGCTCCCTGAATGCTCAGGGAGACTGATTTGAGTAATAAAAAAAACTCCAGTCTCCTGCACAGCCGGCTTTGCATGAACTACTCTTTCTCTATTACAATTCCCCCATCTTGATGCATCGGCTCTGTCTGGGCAGCAGGCAAGGTGAACGAACCCCTTGGGCAGTTATGTGTCAAAAAAAAAGAGTCAAACTCTGTAAAATATTTGAAGAGATTTATTCTGAGCCAAATATGAATGACCACATCTGGTGACACAGCCCTCAGAAGGTCCTGAGGACATGTGCCCAAGGTGGTTGGACACAGCTTGGTTTTGTACATTTTAGGGAGGCATGAGACATCAAACAAATACATTTAAGAAATACATTGGTTTGGTCTAGAAAAACCAGACAACTCAAAGTGGAATGGGATGGTGGTGGGGAGGAGGCGGCTTCCAGGCTATAGAAACATTTAAACATTTTCTGGTTGACAATTGGTTGAGTTTGTCTAAAGACCTGGGTTCCATAGAAAAGAAATGTTCAGGTTAAGATAAAAGATTGTGCAGACCACAGTTCTTTTGAAGTCTTACAGTGGCTGTTCTTCGGGGGAATAGATGACAAATGTTTCCTATTCAGACCTTTAAAAGGTGCTAGACTCTTACTCAATCTCTTTAGGATTGGGAGGGCCAGGAAGAAAAAGATATAGCTATGTTAATAGAGATTCTTTACAGGTATAAATTTCCCCCCACAAAGGACACATTTGCAGGGCCATTTCAAAATAAGACAAAGAAAGATGTTTTGGAGTAAAATATTTTGACTTTCTTTTTTGTCACATAATATTATGCCAGAGTCAGATTGGAAAGTCACAATATATGGGGTTAAATAAAACCCATCTGATGAGAATGTATGGTTTGTAAGGCATGACTCTCCAGACACCTTAGATAGGAATTTGGGCCAGATAAAAAAATCAGAGCTTTGTCCTCAGCAGTCATATTAAATACAACCATAGTAGACAGCTCCTCTGGTTCCTGCCCACAGCCTGGTTCTGCCACACATTTTTGTGCATGTTCTTGCTCTTTTCTTTCTAACCAAAATTTATCTTTGCACCATAGATAGGTCTCATCTATTTCTGTTTCCCAACTTCTCATCAGAGACATTCCCCAAACTTAGGTTTCACATTAATATTCTACAAAAGTGTACCAGGGTTCTTTGGGGATTGCAAATGCAAAATTGGGTTCAATGTGCTGTGTTCTTACTCATTTTCTTAGCTCATACTAAAAAGTGTGCATGCTATTTTTTAAATGCATTTCTGTATCAATTAGGAAGACATTCAGCTGCACTTAACAGACAACCCAACTTAAATAAACAGTAGTTTAGTTTCTCACATACCAAGAATTTTGGAGATAGATTGTTTACAGCGTTGATTCAGTGGTTCAACAACATTAAGGTCAACTCTTCTGCTGTTCTCTCAGTCTTTCTTTTGTGATAGCAAGATGGCTGCTGCAGCTCCACCCTTTACATTTACATTCCAGTGAGAAGAAGGAAGAGTAGCAAGAAAGCAAAAATTTTTCTAGGACCCACTCACCCAGGTCCAGGTCACGTGGATACTCTTAGCTACAAGGGAAATAACAAAAGAGACAACAGGATCTCATGATCATGACCTGAGGTTCTGGGTGTGTTACTGTCTGAACACAATCAAGATCCTCTTTATAGGAAAGAAGGTGAAATGAATATTGAGTAGGTAACCAAACATGCCACAATTCTTTATCTTTAAATATAGTTTTATCTTCATCCTATTGGAAATATTTGTTTCCCTTACAGTCCAGGATGTCCCAAGAATTTAAACATTGTAAAGGATGCCAGCTACAAAGAAACCATTCCATTGTATTTTTGGGAGAGGATCAGTGCCTAGTAGACTGCAGAACTGACACAAAGTACTGAAGAAGTATTTGTTGCTGACTGAGGAGATGAATGAAAAAATGTAACTTGGATAAATAACAAAAGCAGAATTTTATTGTCATGACCTCCATTGTTGACCACAGTCTCTTAGTGATTACATTCTTAATTTAAAAGGCTTAATTTGGTTTTATTTTATCTGTATTTTATTCAGTAATACAGCTGACGCTTGAACAACACGGGAGTTAAGGATGCCAAACCCCTGCACAGTTGAAAATCCAATTATAACTTTTCAATCCCCAAAAACTTTACTAAAAGCCTACTGTTGACCAGGCGCCTCAGTGATAACATAAACAGTCAATTAACACATATTTGTGTATTATATGTATGATAAACTGATTCTTACAATGAAGTAAGCTAGAGAAAAGAAAATATTATTAAGAATATCATCAGAAAGAGAAAATATATTTACTAATCATTCACTGGAAGTGGATCGTCACAAAGATCTTCATTCTTGTCTTCACATAGAGTAGGATGAAGAGGAGGAGAAAGAGGAGGAGTCGGTCTTACTGTCTCGGGGGCAGCAGCAGCTGAAGAAAATCCACACATAAGTGAAACCATGCAGTTCAAATCCATGCTGTTCAAGGGTCAACAAGACATAAAACGTCCCTGTCATGCAATATGGGAGTTCAATATGCAAAGTATCCCCTTAGCTGGCTCCAGCTTGTTCCTTCCACAGAGATAACCAGTGTCTCCTGTCTGAGATCTCACCACAGATCTGTGCAGCACATCCATCCCTTTTTCTTCTTTTTGAGATAGAGTCACACTGTCACCCAGGCTGGAGTGCAGTGGCTCAATCTCAGCTCATTGCAACCTCCTCCTCCTTGGTTCAAGTGATTCTCCTGCCTCAGCCCCCCGAGTAGCTGGAATTACAGGCACATGCCACCACACCCAGCTAGTTTTTGTATTTTTAGTAGACAAGGTTTCGCCATGTTGGCCAGGCTAGTGTGGAACTCCTGACCTCAGGTGATCCACCCACCTCAGCCTCTCAAAGTACTGGGATTACAGGTGTGAGCCACAGTGCCTGGCTCTTCCCATCATTTTTCTATACACTGGACACAAATGCACATGTTACTTCTGGTTTTCTTTTAAATAAAAATTCACATAAATGCAAATCACACCATACACATTGCTTTTTGTTTTGCTTAGTTTTACTTCACAATAAATCCTGAGATTTGTCCCAAGTCAGCATAGTATTTTATTTTAGACATCCCTAGTAGCAATACCTCACTTGCATCTAGCACTTAACAGTTAAGCCCTTTCACATATATTGTTTCATCAGACCTTCACTACAATGATCATTATCCACATCTTTCATAGATAAAAAAATCTGAGGGTCAGAGAGGTAGTAAAAGTCAGAAATAAATCCCAGATTCAGCCACTCCCACCCCAGTGCTCTATTTCAACAACGTGTCTGTGCCCACAAACTCTTACTAAATGTGCCTTATGGCCCCTTGACATATGTTCGTCATTAAAACATTTTTGCTTGGGCAAGTTTCTGTAATCTTTCATATCCATGACCCCAAAAATATATGACCTCCTGATCTAAATTAATAGGAAGAGAGAGAAAAAAAAGGTAGTGGAAAAAAGGAAAGGGACAAAGGAAGAGATGTCTGGCAGTAGCTTTAGGGGAATTTAAAACTATAAGGGGTTATTTCTAGTGATATTTTTTACATACAAAATTGTAAAAAGGAGCTGTGAGCAAATGTCCAAAAGTTTCACAGAGCTGAAGTACAATCCTTGAAATCAGCATGGAAAATTCAGTGCTTGAATCTGACCTGTGGTCAGAATGCTTGGCACATGAAAACACACACACACACACACACACACACACACACACACGTGCTTCTAAAGAGAGAAAGTCTGTCCCAATTTCCCTCTGCCTCATGTTCCTGACACATGGCTTTACATTAGCTCCAAGCCAAACCCCAAGTGAAAGCTGGCTCTACGTTCATGTAGCAGATTCGGATTTTCTCTAATCCTTAAAAGGCACTGTCACGTGTGCTTCAAAACATCATAAAAACAACTTGGATTGCCTCTTCCAAGGGGCAGAAGAGAAAATCAATACATTCTGATTTTCTCCTCTGTTAAACTCTCAATGACTGAAACAGCAGTGTAGCTGGGGAGAGTTTAGTAGCTCAACAACCACATACTAAATTCTTCTTCAAGATTATAGGGCCTTATTTAGGTGTCTATTGGCAGAGCTTTAGGGCTTTAATGGGTTCAAAACTGCACCAGTAATCAGCAAAAATAAATAGTGCACTCATGTACAACTCATGTAAGTATGACGATCATTATTTGTGGAACCATCTGGCATAACAGATTTCCTCGTAGCATGGGAACTAAATGATACAATGCCATTAAAGTTAATAAACAAGAGAGATTATTAAGTGAAATGGTGCCATGAAATTGGTGAGTAAGGATTTCAGAGGCACTTTGAATGTTTCTCAGCTAGAAGACAGACCACATACTAGGTAAGATGGATGGAAAATCTCAAGGATTCAGTCATCCTTATTCCCATGTCCAACCCACTGGCAAATCTCATCAAGTCAATTGTCAAAAATTCATCTGGGAATCATCGACATTTTTCTTTTTCTTTTTTTTCTCACCCCTACCTTTATAAGGCCCATCTACTTTTTTCTGTTTCCACAGCCATGACCACAGAGTCCCTGCCATCACCACCTAAGACCTGGATCCCTGCAAGTCCTAGACTGGTTTATTTTCTTCCACTTCCTTTCAATGTACTCTTTACAAAGCAGATGTCATCTTATGTAAATGTAAATCCTGTCACTCATAGACTTAAAATCCTCCAATGTCTTTTTCATCTGTATTTGTTTTCTAGGGACTATCATAAAGTTCCACAAACTGGGTGGTTTTAAAGGACAAAAATTTATTGTCTTACAATTCTGGAGGCTAGAAGTCTGGAATCAAGGTGTTGGCAGGGCCACAGCCCCTCTGAAACCCACAGGGCAATCCCTCTCTGCCTCCTCTAGCTTCTGTGGTGTGCTAGCAATTTTTGGCATTCCTCGGCTCATAGAGGAATCTTTCTACTTCTCTAGCTTCAAATGGCATTGTGTCTGTGTCTTCGTTCATCTTCTATCTATGGTTGTCTGTCTCTGTGGCCAAATCTCCCCTTTTCATAAGGACACCACGCCTTTTTATTAGGCCCGCCCTAATGATGTCATTTTAACTCTATTATATCAATAAAGATGCTATTTCCAAATAAGATTACATTCTGATTCTGAGCCTCAGGACTTCAACACATCTTTTTGAGGGGAGACACATGCAACCCACAACATCAACCTAGAGCAAACCTGAAGAGCTCGCTTACTCAGTTAGCAAGGCCCTACCTGTCTGTCTCTCTAAGCTCACTTGGCCCTCACCACACTGGCCTCTTGACATTCCTCCAGCTTGAAGCTCTTGGCTGCCGCTACCTGGAAGGCACTTCCTCTGGGACGTGCTGCCCCCACTTACCATTAAGTGGTTCCTCACTTATTACTGCATCAGCAGAGGCATGTCCAGGTTTTATGGGGTCTGAAACTTATGCACCTTTGGGAATCTTTTATGAAAAAGAGCACACAGCTACACATAAAAACACATCTGCAGCCTTGGAAGGGGCGCGGGCACAAGAAGGTCCCTGAAGCCCATGGTTCATTCTCTTTGTGGTAAAATTGCTTCTGATCCTGGGAGGGGGCATCTTTGAGTACCTTGATCCAAAGAAGTCCCCACCATGTATTCTCTAGTTACCCTGCTTTATCTCCTTATCACACTTATCGCTAGCACTTATTAAATCTAAAATTATCTTAATAACATATCTATGTTTTTTACACGTTGTCTCTGCATGCCAAATTAGAATCTCTAAGAAAGGAAAAGCTTATTGATTTTTACCACTACAGCCTAGATCCTAGCACACAGTGTCTTGTATAGAGTTGGCACTGAGTGAATATGTACTGGATTCAGAAATGGATGAATGAGTGAATAATAATAGTGTCAATAATAACAATAAGTCCTGCAGCACTACTTTGTTTCAGGCACAGCCTGCCATTATCCCCCCATCTTACAGGTGAAGAACCTTCCCTGCTCCTAGGTTAGTAGAACTTACTCCCAGCTGGATGCTGGTCAATGGCAAAGCCAGTATTTGCAGCTAGCACTCTGGATCTAGACTCCATGCTCTAAACCCTATACTATCCTGTGTAACATCAAGGAAGTTTGCTTGGCTGACTCAGTGTTCAGCTCTATGGTCCAGAGACAGAAGCAGGAGATTCCCATTTCATAGGGATGAGGATTTTAAAGAGAAGATCATGTAACTTGCCGTCCACACCACACACATAGAAAAGGGACTTTCGTCCCAGGGCTCTGAGAGAGCAATGGAGGCCATCTGAGGAGTTCAGCTCCACAAGGTCATCTCCACCTAACCTTGCCAGGCCAGACATTAAATTATGAGAGATCAAGTCCAATATGCAACCCAATAGGAACTTTCTGTGGCCTCCCCAAGGCTTCAGAATTATTATGGGACTTTTGCTATTATGATATGTGTGCCCCATCCTCTGAGTGGTATGTGTGTACACGCATACAGAAATGATAACAGCTGATGTGAAACATTCTTTAGGTGTGACCTCCTTTGATGACCCATGGGACTTTAGTCACATCACTCTTTATCCATTGAGTTTTAGAAAGAGGAAAATATTTAGTTCTTAAATTTAAAAAGTAAAATCAATAAAGACTTTCAGATTCTTCCTGGCATAAAACAAACTCTCTTTGACTTCTCTCATTGATACACTCAACAGGCCCTGTGTGCTTTGGCTCTTGCTATCATAAATAAAGCAAAAAGAGAAGTCCACAGAGGTCTCTTTTTTGAAGCATAGCAGTATCAGACGATCAACTTTATTGGAAATGAGTTGATGAGACAAGAGGGCAAAGATGATGGGAGAAAAAGGAGAGTACATATTTTTAAGCAAAACTCCCCTGTATTATGAAATATCCCTATGGAGCCCTCCTTTGAAATAACCCAGCAGATGACCATCCCATCCAGTACCACCTGCCCTGCTTGTTTTGCTCTGTTCTGTTTTGTAATCTTTCTTTAATCCATGATAACAACCCACAATCTCAAATAGCTGGAGGGGGGCATTCTCTCTCACCATCATCTAGGCCAAAGGATGAATTTTATTCCCAGAATAACTACATTCATAGAAGTGATACCAGAAAGATGAAGTGAAAAGCATGAACCCCAGTCAACCTCAGTTTTATATTTCCTGATGTTCTGATAAGAAGAAAACACCATTGGACAAGGAGAAAGATCTTTTTTTCTTTTTTTTTTTTTTTTAACAACAAGCAGTGGGGGAACAAGGGAAGACCACTTAAATCCTTTGCTCTTCCTTTGGCTAGAATTTCCCCCATTGCCTGAGATGTTTGTTATTTATCAAATAAAAATATTAACTAGGTCCCCACGCTTATACTCTGAATTTAGAATATATCATCAGAGAAGGTGCAGAAAGAAAGGAAGATTTTTTTGTCTTTTCAAATTGTTGTAATCAGTTCCTAGTGGTAAAGAAGGTTTTGCTTCATGTAGTAGGTTATTTCTTATTGTTGGAATAGAATTGTGCTTAAGGATATAAGATTCAATAATTTATTTTAGGCTTGACTTTTTCTTAGCTCACTGGAATCACAGCTGAGATTTGTGCACTGCCCAAGCTCAATAACTTGTTCCTCCCTGACCCAGAATCCATGGAGATTGTAACAAAGGCCCCAGTCTAGGCCTTGAATATACACACCTTGGACTTTGGGCTACTGGTGTTGCAATGAATTCAATAGAAAACATTCTATTCTGAGAGCAGGGCTCAAATACTGCAAAGTGATTCCCTAGTAGGGTCATTCACATTATTCCTCATGCCACTGCACAGACTGTGTCACCTCAATGGGTTTTGATGGACATGGCCAACACATCTCTTTCAGATGAAGGTGGCACCCCTTTTTCTGCTATCAAAAGGACTTTACAATGCAGCAGTTTCTCATAAATTTAGGAGTGTAGGGTCCTTCTGCCCATGATTAAATTGGGCCCAAGGCAGGTCAACACACCTTTATAACCGTCAGGCCTAGAATGCTGTATCCAGATGCTCTGGCAGTACATCTTGCACAAAGTCGCTGCCGGTTAAACACCAAAGCAAAACAGCAGATGGTGCTTGGATTCACTACATTTCTCTTTGAAGCTCTCCAGATTCACAAGCTGATGGAATCATTCTCTATTTTGAAGAGTAGGGTCCTTGACGGCAGGGGCTTTTTGCTTGTCCTTATATTTCCAAATTCCAACAAGCAACACTTCAATAAATGTGTATGCATTCATTCATTCATTCATTCATTCAAAACATGTTCATTTAATTACTATTTTCCAGAATACAGTGGTGATCAAAACAGAGTCCTTGCTCTTCTAGAGTTTAAGAACCAATCTTGATGTCAACTGAAGATTTATATAAACTGGCTATTACAATCTGTCATAAGAATTCTGAAATAACATACACAGGGCAATGAATGACTGACTGACTAGATAAAGATTCAGACTCTTACTTTCCAAGGTCCAGACAGCCATTCTGTGGTGTGAATTGAAAAGGAAAGGGCTTGTGTTTTTAACAACTTCATTACTTCATTCCAAGGCACCAGAATACAGATGGACAATCCTCTTATTACATTAAATGCATATGCATGGCTTTTGTTCCAAAACTCTCCCAAACACAAACACAAACAGAGCTCTGACACCTCACTGATGTGATAGCTTATGCATATGAGGGGAGAACAACTATTAAATTTTCCATCAAATAATTTAATTTCTATTAAATCTATATCTTGACAAAGCCTCCACCAATACAAACTTTTTGCCAAATGGCTAAGAATATACTTTGGACATTTAATACAAAATGGACAGTTTCAAATAGCTTTACACATGTTGAAAGTTTAAAAAGTTGTTTGTTAAGCACTTTAGTTATAATTCATTTAAAAATCCCATTATATTTGGTTACACAAGAGTGGCTTTAATACACTTAAAGATGCAGTACTCCTTAGCTGTGACATATTTATAGTCTGAACATTAAAAGGTTTACAAAATAAGGCTATATTTTCTCAGTGTCAAACATCCCTCAATGAAGACAATTATTCAGTCTGCCTGTTTGTAATTAGGTATGAAATAATTTATGGTTATGAAGATAAGTGAGCAAAAATTTCTGGAATAACTGCATATTGTATTTTATTATTAAAAGATTTTCATAATCTTTCCAGGGTTTGAGGAGTCATAAATTGCCCAGGTCGGATTTCCACTGGATTTCTCTTGGAATTAATAAGCATATGGATCTGATCTAAGACTGTGTGTCAAAAATATTGAAGAGAATGGCTTCACACAAAGCTGAAAATGAAATGAGATTGACATAGCTGACTTTGGTTTGGAGAACAAGAGCAAAGTGCTGCCTGTAGTCAACCCACAAAGACAGAGTCTGGCAGGTCTAAGGGACAAAGAACACCCTACTGGGGTCAGAAATGCAACCTAAGTCCCAATAACCCAGGGCTGGAGAGCTTTTCCTCTTCCACACTCCCTTCTTTTTGACAAATATTAAGAACACTTTCAGCATGTTATCTCTATGCCATAACTACACATTCCTGGGATATGTAGTTGGTTAAAAGCAAATTCAGTCTTTTTCCTCACTACTTCTGCCAGCAGAATCACCAAACACAGGATACATCAGCCTGTTTCTTCTATTTTTTTCCTTCAATTCAAAAGGAGTAGTGAAAGTATGGCACTACTACTGTTTTTATCAAAGCATTATTTTGTCTAATATGTTAGTCTTCATAACTTCTCAAATATCCATTTTTCCCCAAACCTAAGCAGATATTGTCTAATTCTCCTAATATTTTGTAGTTCCTGAAACTCCAAAAATGTTCTACGTAACTTACATTGTCTTTTCAAAGTTGAAATGAATTTAAGAAACTTTGTAGAACACATTTATGATGTTCCCAGAAATTCTTGCAATTTCCAATAGCTAGTCAAAAGCTGGAACACACAGTTTGACATAGTACAATCCCAACCCCTCATTGCCATGCCGTCCTGGAGAAAGCCTCTATTAAGCCTAAATAGAAAAATTGCCAAGCCAATTAAGTGTGAGTGAATCTGAACGGGCTACGTGGAGATAGCCTCTGAACAAATCATTTCTGCCAACTCACATTCAGTGAGTACTCACAGAGTACTTGGCCCAAGGCCAGAGATGGAGATTTCACCAAATGTGAAGATGCAGTTACTAAACAGCAAATCTACTCAGTTGTCAGAGCAGAGCTGCCGGCTCTACCTCCTTTCACAAGTGACCCCTGACACTTTCAATTATGGGAGCTCACCAGCACTCTGCAATCAACTTTTCTAGGGGAAATATATCTTAACTTAAAACTCCAAAAAGTTTGAAACTAGGCTACCGAACTAAAAGGATGCATTCTGAAATGCTTTGCAACAGCAATTTTTTTTAAGATTGTGTAGACTATGCTATCGACCAGGTGCACTGAGCTGAAGCTAAGTGAGGGTCAAAAGACAGAACAGGTGGCATGAGGCCACATCTAGCAGTCGGTCTGAAGTACATGACAGGAAGCAAAAGCCTCCTTGGTCTGATCAACTCCAAGAGACCATTTAGTATGATCTTAATTTATTCTTTCATTGATATTACAGGATAATGGTGAAGAACCAACCTATAAAAACAAGCACCCACAGTCTCCATGAATTTCTCCCACATAGGGGTGGCTTGCACATGTAAGGTACACAGGTATGGCTGTGGAACGAATGAAATATTATTGTCAGTCTCTCTGCTTCTTTGCTGAAGATTCTTTCTATTTGAGGATAACGTGCAAAAGCAAAACAGCAGAGGCATGAGGGAAAGAGGGAAAGTCAGGTAAATCGTAAGATAAAAGGAACCCAAAATATCATCTAGTCTAACTCCCCCTGCTATATAATAAACCTATCCACAATCACATTCATCAGGGTTTGTTTGAACATTTCCAAAGAAATGATAACGTTAAAGAGTACACATTTACTTCTTCACAGAGTAGACCATTGCTTTGGTGGATAGCTCTAATTATTTTAAAGCTCCTTCTTATATGGAGCCTGATTTCTAACCTGTAATTTCTAACTGTGGTTCAAATTATGACCACTTAAAGCAGAATTTGTCAGCTTTCCTTCACAGGCTTTCAAATATATGAAGGCAGCTGTGATGTCTTCCCCAAATTTTCCTTTACCTGAGCGAAATCATCCCATATCCTCCAACCAATCACTCAACCATTCAAGTGTGGTTTCCACATCCTTCATTATCCTGGTAACCATCCAGATAGTTAATGACAGTCTCAAAATGCAGCACCCAAATCTGACATCCATACTCTACACATATTCCTATGGTACCGTGGCAACTGACAGAAATTTCTTCATGCAGGGTTAATGTTATGAAACACCTTTTAAATTAGCCAAAGCAGGGGTCCATGTTTTCTGCTTGCTCTATGTCTTGTACTTAATTTACAGTGTGGGCCACTAGCCATTAGGGAGGTGTGGGGAATGTGATTGTTGCCAATAATTGACCATTCCCTGGTTCAGGAGATACATAAAATTCTAATGGAACCATTATTCTTACACCCACAGGATATATAACAAGAACAATAAAGTGATGCATTTGCAGTATCTGCTTTTTTTTTAAAAAAAAGATGCTTTATGAAAATATCCATCTATATTTTATCTCGCATGATGATGTACAAACTAACTACCTCAAAATGAGATTCTTATGTTAAGTGTTAAGAGGGGAACATACATAGCCTTGCAGGCACACACTTTTCCAGAGCACACTAACTGCTGAAACATCTCATTAATGCATCACTGTCATAGAGCTAGATGACTTTGGGCATTGTAATACTGGTTCCATGGCAACCTATTGTCCTTGCACATTTATTTGTTGAATTGTTTGTTGGCGCATGGAACTGTGCCATAACTAGAAAAGTAAGTGTTCAGTCACCAAGCAACTTTAGTGATCAGATCGCATAAGGCTCTTAAAGTTAGAGTGGTTTTATACCATGTACAGACATCTATAAGACATTTTTAATGTATTTCTTTTTTTAAAAAAGTTTAATTAACAAATAAAATCGAACATATCCCAGGTGAACAATGTGATGATTTGATTACATATGCATTGTATCCTGATTATCACAGTCAAATTAATTAATATCCACCACCATCCATAGGTATACTCTGTATGTGTGTATGTGTGTATAGTGAGGACACTTAAAATCTGCTATAGAATTTCAAGTAAACAATGCAGTATTATCAACTAGAGTCATCATGATGTACTTTAGATACCCAGAACTTATTTATCTTCCAGTATCTCCCTATTTTTCCCCACATCCCAGTCCCTGGCAGACACCACTCTCCTCTCTGCTTCTAAAGTTTGACGTTTTTAGATTCCACATATAAGTGATATCATACTGTATTTTTCTCTCTGTGTCTAGCTTATTTCACTTGTATAATGTCCTGCAGGCTCATCCATGTTGTCACAAATGGTAAGATCTCCTTCTTCTTATAAGAATAATATTCATATATATATCTTTACACACACACATACATATACCACATTTTTTAGTCCACTCATCTGTCAATGAACAGTTTGTTTCTGTATCTTCACTACTGTGAATAATACTGCAAGGAAGATGAGGGTGCAGATATCTCTTCAAAATGTTTATGTTATTTTTTGTGCACATATACCCAGAAGTGAGGACTCCAGATGACAGTGCCTTGATCTTGGACTTTCCAGCCTCCAGAGCTGTGAGAAATAAATTTCTGTTCTTTTATAAATGACCCAGGCTATGGTATTCTGTGATAACCGCACAAAACAGACTAAGACAAATGACAATCACAACATGTGTTATAGTTACAAATAATAACTAATTATAGGTGATAAACAGTTATAGATAATAACAACTAACATCACTGAGGACTTACTACATTTCAGCTCCTTTTTCATACATTTAGAGCCATCAGTTCATTGTAATGTTGTGAGAAAAAAAATTTTTTTAAATAAGAATCATTCATCTTTGGAAACTTTGTAAAAGGCATTCAATACACTTTATAACCTGAGCTTATGATTATGATTACCTGTGAATGGTTCAGTTTATAAAGATGATGTAGTGACACATGGTGTCATGCCCCTGAAATAAATGGTCTCACCATTCCACACACAAAATTTTGAACTAGTTCTGTTTTGTGTTTGTTCTGTCTTTCCCTAAGAAGGCCACTTCTTGGCACTCCTGGGGTCTCAATCTCTGCTTGTTCATTTATTTCTCTTCTCATATAAAGACTAAGGAGCCAGATAACTAAGACTAATAGAATTACAAAGCAAATGGGAAGGCTTCCAAGACAGTCCCTAAATCAAGTAAATGCATGAACGTTAATATCCGAACTTTTTAATATCTGTTCACAGACCAGGTACTTTTTTCTTCTTATTACTCTTCTTATTGGATATAGACACGAGCCAGGAGACCTGTGGATACCTAAGTGTTAAGTATTTTCTGCAGTATATCACTGCTTCCTTTTGATGACAGTCTTATTGCTGCAGACTTGGCAATCTTATTAAATAATCATCTTCAAGTGAAAGCGCTATTGAGATACTGCATTTGATGCAAAGAGTTAAACTCCTAGCCACTCTCACCGCTATTCAAAAAACCCATTGGTATTTTTCAAGGTTAGCATTTCTCAAATTCTTTTGACATTGAGAATTTTTAGTTACAATTTTTGACACAATGATGAACTGGTGCTTATCAAGTACAATGTGCACTTACAGTGAATAGCAGAAATTATTTTTAATTTCTGATAGTGTGAAATTTAAAAATAGAAATTAAATTACTTTATAAGATAATACAAACTGTATTATTCTGTTCTCACACTGCTAATAAAGACATACCCAAAACTGGGTAATTTATAAAGGAAAGATGTTTTGTTTTGTTTTGTTTTGTTTTGTTTTGAGATGGAGTCTCACTCTATTGCCCAGGTTGGAGTGCAGTGGTGCAATCTCGGCTCACTGCAACCTCTGCCTCCTAGGTTCAAGTGATTCTCCTGCCTCAGCCTCCTGAGTAACTGGGATCATAGGCATGCACCACCTTGCCCGGCTAATTTTTGTATTTTAGTAGAGACAGGGTTTCACCATGTTGGCCAGGCTGGTCTCAAACTGCTGACCTCATCATCTGTCTGCCTCGGCCTCCCAAAGTGCTGGGATTAGGAAAGAGGTTTAATTGACTCACAGTTCCACATGGCTGAGGAGGCCTCACAATCATGGAAGAAAGCAAAGGAGAAGCAAAGTCATGTCTTATGTGGCAGCAGGCAGAAGAGTATGTGTAGGGGAACTCGCCTTTATAAATCCATCAAAGTTCATGAGACTTACTCATTATCATGAGAACAGCACAGGAAAAATCTGCCCCCATGATTCAATTACCTCGCACCGGGTCCCTCCCATGACGTGGGAATTATGGGAGCTACAATTCAAGATGAGATTTGGGTGGGGACATAGCCAAGCCATATCACAAGCATATGTTGAAATTATAAGACAAACAACTACCTTGAATAGATGGCATCCATCAGCTTAACCAGTAGCAGCTAAATTTTGCTTAGGCAGCATTGAGTAGCTTAAATATCTTGCATAAATCCATCAGATAATTTCTCAGGCAACTCTTTTTTTGGATCTGACACATCATTCTTTAATGGATGATTGTAGCTTAAAAAGAACTATCATATATTGTGTGGGGTAAATATTGCCAATCATATCCCTAAAGTAAACACCCCAGGGTGGTCCCCAATGAGTCACTCTATGTATAATCCCATGCCCTTGAGTGTTGATGGAACCTGTGACTTGCTTCTAACCAATCTGACAAGAGTGAAGGGACTTTGAAGAAGCCATTAGGTGCACAATCAGTCAATTTTGAGTTAATAAAAAAGGAGATTATTCTGAATGGGCCTGACATAATTAGGTGATCCCTTTAAAAGCGGGTCCACACCTTCCCTGAAGTTAAAGATTCAAAGTAGCAGAGACAGACACTTTCTCTGTCGCTAGCTTGAAGAAGCAAGAGGTTATGAACTCTATAACCCCAGGCAAATACATTTTGCCAGCAACCTGAAAGATCTTGGAAGTAGGTCCTTTCCTAGTTGAGACTTCAGATGAGTTTGAAACCCAGTTGACACCTTCATTTCAGCCTTGTGAGAAACTGGGCAGAAAACCGAACTCAAGTATTCCCAGACTTCTGACTCATAGAAGCCATGAGATAATAAATGGATAATTGGTTTAGGCCACTAAGTTGGTGATGATATGTTGTAGAGCAAGAGAAAATGAACACATTATCGGATAGTGATTCCCTTTTTGTGGTGCAATCTGTATTTGTAGTTGAGAACATTGCTGCACAGCTAAAAACTGCTTTTACCAGACTTATCTGAAGTGAAATGTGGCTATGTGACTAAGTTCTGACCAGTGAAACTTAAGTGTAAATAATGTTGAGATATTCTAGAAGCACTTTTTAGTGAGAGTATATACTTGATATGGTTTGGCTCTGTCTCCCCATCTAAATCTCATGTGGAATTTTAATCCCCATGTGTCAGGGGAGCAACCTGGTGGGAGGTGACTGGATCACAGGGAGATTTCCCCCGTCCTGTTCTCATGACAGTGAGTGAGTTCTCACGAGATTCAATGGTTTAAAATGTGGCACTTCCCCCTTCTCTCTCTCCTGCTACCCTGTAAGACATGCCTTGTTTCCCCATTGCCTTCTGCCATGATTGTAAGTTTCCTAAGGCTTTCCCAGCCCTGAAGAACTGTAAATCCATTAAACCTCTTTTTTATAAATTACCCAGTCTCATGTAGTTATTTATAGCGATGTGAAAATGAACTAATACATAAAATTGGTACCAGGAGAGTGGGGAACTGCTATACCTGAAAATGTGGAAGCAAATTTGGAACTGGGTAATGGGCAGAGGTTGGAACAGTTTAGAGGCCTCAGAATAAGAGAGGAAGATGAGGGAATGTTTAGAACTTCTTAGAGACCTGTTGAATGGTTGTAACCAGAATGCTGATAGTCATGTGGACAATGAAGTCCAGGCTGAGGTGGTCTCAGATAGAGATGAGGAACTTAATGGGAATAGTTCCAATAGCAAGTCACTCTTGCTATGCTTTAGCAAAGAGACTAGTGCCATTTTGCCCCTGCCCTAGAGATCTGTGGAGCTTTGAACATGAAAGAGATGATTTAGGGTATCTAGCAGAAGAAATTTCTAAGCAGCAAAGCATTGAAGATGTGACCTGGCTGTTTCCAAAAGTGTACAGTCATGTAAGTTCACAAAGAGATGGTCCAAAATTAGAACTTATGTTTAAAAGGGTAGCAGAGCATAAAAGTTTGGAAAATTTACAGCCTGAACATGTGGTAGAAAAGAAAAATCCATTTTCTGGGGAGAAATTCAAGGCTGCATAAATTTGCACAAGTAAAGAGGAGCCAAATGTTAACAGATGTAACAATGGAAAAATGTCTCTAGGGCACGTCAGAGAACTTGGCACCAGCCCCTCTTGTAACAGGCCCAGAGGCCTAGGAGGGAAAAATTGGTTTCCTGGGCCAGGCCCAGGGCCCTCTGCTCTGTACAGCCTCCTGAAGTGGTGCCCTGTGTCCCAGAAGCTCCAGTTCCTGCTCTGGCTAAAAGGGGCCAAGGTACAGTTCAGGCCACTGCTTCAAAGGGTACAAGCCCCAAGCCTTTGTGGCTTCTACGTGGTGTTAGGCCTGCAGGTGCACAGAAGGCAAGAGTTTGGAGCCTTTGCCTAGATTTCAGAGGATGTACGGGAACACCTGGATGTCCAGGCAGAAGTCTGTTGCATGAGCGGAGCCCTCATGGAGAACCTCTACGAAGTCAGTGTAGAGGGGAAATGTGGGGTTGGAGCTGCCGCACAGAGTTCACACTGGGGCACTGCCTATTGGAGCTGTGAGAAGACAGCCATTGTCCTCCAGACCCCAGAATGATAGATCTGCTGACAGATTGCATTGTGTGCCTGCAAAAGCCACAGTCGTTCAACTCCAGACTGTGAAAGCAGCCACAGGGCCTGAACCCTGCAGAGCCACAGGAGTGGAGATTTCCAAGGCCTTGGGAGCCTAACTCTTGCTTCAGCGTGTCCTGGATTTGAGACATGAAGTCAAAGGAGATTATTTTGGAGTCTTAAGATTTAATAACTGCCCTGCTGGCTTTCTGACTTGCATGGGGCCTATATCCCCTTCGTTTCGTCCAATTTCTCCCATTTGGAATGGAAGCATTTACCCAATGCCTGTAGCCCCATTGTATCTTGAAAGTAATTTACTTGCTTTTGATTTTACAGGCTCATGGGTGGTAGGGATCTGCCTTGTCTCAGATGCGACTTTGCACTTGGACTTTGGGGTTAATGCTGGAATGAGTTAAGACTTTGGGGGACTGTTGGGAAGGTATGATCAAGTTTTGAAAAGTGGGAAGACCATGAGTTTTGGGAGAGACCGGGGGTGAAATGATATGGTTTGGATCCGTGTCTCCACCCAAATCTCATGTGGGATTGTAATCCTCATCTGTCAGGGGAGGGACCTGATGGGAGGTGATTAGACCATGGGGGCAGACTTCCCTCTTGCTGTTCTCACGATAGTGAGTGAGTTCTCACGAGATGTGATGATTTAAAAGTGTGGCACTTCTCCCCCCTCTCTCTCTCCTGCCACCATGTAAGACGTGCCTTGCTTCCCCTTTGCCTTCTGCTGTGATTGTAAATTTCCTGAGGCCTCTCCAGCCATGCATAACTGTGAGTCAATTAAATCTCTTTTCTTTATAAATTACCCATTCTCCGGTAGTTCTTTACAGCAGTGTGAAAATGGACTAATACAATACCCTTCTTCTTCCCTTCATTCTGCAGTATGAAATAAGATTTTGATGGCTGGATATTCAGCGGCCATCTGGGACCATGAGTATTGAATCTCCATGCTAGGTGGAAAAGTAAGCTGGATCATAGGTGATTTCATAGAGTTACTATAGCAGCACTGGAATTCCACCTATAGGCTTCTTTTATGTAATAGAGAAACAAATTTCTGTTTAAGCCATTGTTCTTGGAATCTGTGTTACTCTTGGCAGAATCTAAATCCGGTATATTTTACTTAAAAATATATACCTATATTTGAAATAAATTAATGTAAGTATTAAATAAAATGATGTGGTTTGTTTGTTTGGGTTCAACTATTAGCAGCATCTTTCAGAGAACTAGATTATGCAGCATGCTGGTCCAAATATTAACACTGACTAATACTGCTGGTGGAAATGAGATACCACATTAAGAAGCAATCAAGAGTCAAATATGTAAAAGAAGTTGTACATGAAGGTACACAAGTTGGCCCTTGTATTCAAAATATTAAAACACCCTATTTTGTTTGTAACTGGAAATAGTTATTTAAAAACAGTAGTGCATTTGCACAATTGAGTCCAGCTCTTTTTTAAGTACAACAGAGCAATATTAGGCAGATGAGACTTGGTGACCACAAATGAGTGTGGTACCGGGGCTCTAAGGGAAGAAGCAGATGTCCAAAATCATCATTCTGCCTGAAAGTTTACCAGTCAGATTGCTATCCTTTCATTTTAAGGTTTCTGCTCCTTGTTAATTGCAAATATCCATGGCACAGGTACTACTGTGAGTGTGCTTGCTACAAACAAGTAGGTGGGAATAGATGAGTAAAAGATGGGGGAAAAGGCACAGTGGTCCTTGGCAAGGACATTCAAGCTCACAGGCTCATGTTGGTGATCACAAAGGGGAAAGGAGAGTCTCCAAATATAAATAGAGTGCAATTCACAAATGTTTACTAAGCTGTGAATCCTTTCAATAAATGATTAATCGATAAGTCGCAGGCCCTGAAGATACAATGGTAAACAATAAAGACCCACGATAATGTTGCCTATATCAGAGATGAGACACCACGCCACCCACAATTTCCAGGCTGATGCCATTTAGGTTATTGAATTTGAAAGCAAGATGCATGTTAGTACCTCTTTAGATTTCAAAAATCTGGATTTCAAAAGTAAGTCCTCAAATTGTTAATCAGTTGATTAGTTAATTCAGTCAAAAATATTCAAACTATTTTATGTCTCAGAATAGATAGGATATTTAAAGTGTAATACATAAATTATATCAATACTGGGGGGATTGCTAAGGTTGTCCACATGTGCCAGCAAAATCATCTATTTCTGGTCTTTAGTCAAGTCTAAGAAAGTTCATACTGACATATTAGGAGGAAATTATTATACCTGCTTATACTGAAAAAGAAAATTCAACCATAAATATTGCAATACTATAAGATGCTATAACGTTCTGCAAAACAATCTGTTGCACATTTCTACTTGGAAGGTAGCATATTTCATGATTATGCACATCCATGACAGAGATAAGCATTTATATGGTAATAACTGCAATATGGGCAGCTACAGCCTTTCACTATAAGCCATGAGCCTTTTCATCAGAAAAAGCCACTGGGGCACAATTTATCACCAGAAAGCGTGTTTGGCTGGCTTAGATGTTCAGAAAAAATAAATATTTTCTTCATGCACATGTCTTAAGTAGTAGCAGGAGCATGGTTTGTACCTTTACATAAAAAAAACAAAATAAATGCCAGTGTTTAGGTAGTCAGACAAATAAATATACAAAAAAAAGGAGTAACAAGTTTCCTCTTCTACGCCCATACCTCAGTCAACACAGAGTCCCATGTGCAAGTGGTACAAATGCCACCATAAAGAGTCAGTGACTATAGAAAGGGACTGAAGTGCTTATTTAAAATCTTGCTATCACAGGATTAAGAGAAACCTGGGTCTAGGACTGAGAACTCAGTAGTATAGAACAGAAGAGGAAATAGTCATCTGGGATGACATCAATAATTGTTTACAATAACTCCACTGACATCAATAGTTGTTCTGATAATAATTCTGGTGGCTAATATTTATTGAATGCTTACTAAATGGACTAATTATCCTTCTGGAGGCTTTATGTATATTTTCTCATTGAATTCTGAAACATATACTATCACTTCAGGGCTCCCATTCACCCATTTTTTTAATAGCTGGTTAAATATAGGTTTAGAGATATGGTGACTTATCCAAAATCACAAAGTGGCAGATTTGAGTTTTGGACCTAATTGTGCTTGACTCCAATGCCTATGGGTTTGTCACAAAGTGGTGGAGAGAAGGCCATTATCTTCCAGTGGAGCCTCCCTGATGCCCAGGCTGGTGACCAGAGGGTAAATGCAATACCTTCTGGACAGTGGCGATATGCTGGCATCCCAGGGAGTAGGATTATATGAGAGACATGGCTGGCTCAAATGCCCATGTAAACCTCAAAATCAGATTAGGGATGAAAAGATTAAGTGAATATTTCCTGAGCATAGATGAGAAGTGTGAAGCAGGTTCACTGTGCACTGGTTACCAGCTTGTGTCAGTCTGCTGAGACAGGCCCCACTTAAGCACAAGTTACATGAAATGGATATATGATTTACATATGGGAACAATAGACAAAGGACAACAGAAGCCTAGAACTCATTGCAAGTTGGCCCCCCAAGGCTCAGGAAATTGGCCTGGGGTGAAGGGAATCTCCTCATCTGCATGTACTTCACTTACACTGCAGCTGAAGGACCTCAGAATGTAGCCTGCACTGGGTTATACATCCCAGGGACAACATGACAGGCTGGGCTAAAGCACCAAAGAGCATCCTATTTCTAGGGAGAAATGGAGCAGACCCTGAGCTGTTCTGGTTAGTTCCTGCCTATCTCAGGCTGTTGCATTCTCAGCACAATCTATAGTTATTCCTGAGAACTACAAGCAAGATTGAAGAGGGAACAGGACCAGTCCAAGGCCATCCAGAGAACTGCGTGACAAGGAACTCCTGGGAATTTTGGCAGCTGGTGGGTGGGTGGAAGAGGGAAGCTGAGGAGGGGGTCCTTGAGGTCCTGCAGCTGTGCAGGTGGGGGCTAAAGGGATGGCAAAATTGAGATAATGTAGCCGCATGGCTACCAAAATAAGGATGTTCATATTTATCAAGTGATTCAGTAAAACCATCTGGAGCTTCAGCTGTATGCTCGTGCCCTTCGCACTGGAGAGAAGACAAAAGCACCTTTTTATTCCTACCCTCAAATAGTTTTCTACCTGTGTGTGTGTGTGTGTGTATGTGTGTGTGTGTGTGTGAGAGAGAGAGAGAGATGTGCAATTGACTATAATGTACGACACAGAGGCATCACTAGAGTCAAAGGCCACTTTACATCTTAAGCCATCCATTCTGGAGGCATTAGAGACATTGCCAAAAGTGAGGGTGACTATGTACATCATTTTGGTAATTAGGAAAAAAATGTGCTATGAAAAAATAGTATGTCATTTTTACCTCTATTTTCAAGCTCTGATTTGGGGTTTTCCTCTTATTTTTATCCAGTGTGTTCCTGCTTCCCGTTAATGCCCACGCAGGAGACTGACTGCTTTCTGGCAAGAAGAGGGTAAGCACTGTACCTGTAATCTGCATTATTAGGTTCTGTCAACTGACCCCCTAATTCCAGAAGTTAAATAAAATATAGATTTTTTGTTGTTGTTGTTTATGAAAGTGACAACTCAGGTGTCTCTGGTTTGTTGGTTTTCCTGAGCAGCTCCACTCCAAGGGGTGGCTCAAGGACAAGGTTCCTTCCAACATGGCACCACTTCTTCTCCAGATTAGTGCCATGCAAACTTTCATTCACAGGCCAGTGCCAGTCCATGGCTTGGATTAGCCCAGGAGCCGCTTATGAATGGTCTCAATGAGGGAAATACGGAAATTGAGGGAGAGCATATGGAAACTTTAGAAACTGGCCATTGCTACAATATTCAAAGTTCATGGTGAGTGGATTTTTCTCACTCAACAGAGTATAGACCATTTTGGTTGTGGTCAAACTCACCCAGCACATGTGGCTTCCTAGTGGATTGGAAATTTAAGAAAACACAAATAAAAGATTGACAGCTAGAAAAAGCTACATTCTATATCCTCAGAATCCTCATGATGTCACTGGCAGATTGGAGAAAGAGAACGGTAAGCTGCCCATGAGAAGGTTTTCTATTACCCACCTGGCAGGGCCCATGTTACTTCTGCCCATTCCGTTGGCCACAACTCTGTTACATGGTTGCATCTATTTGCATGGGAGACTGGGGCATAATCTGATTGAATGTCCAGTAAGAAAATGGAAAGAAGTTGGCAGTCATCCATCCTCACTAAACCTATTGCTGCATTTGCTACCGGTTTCTGTTGACCAAATAATGCAGGCATGAAAATGAGTGATAGTTCTATGACTTCCTAGCCGGAATCTTACCACTTTGAGTGTTCTTGATGGAGCTGCCCCAACAGAGACTTTAAATCAGGACTGATTCCTGTCTCATTCCTAACTCACCTTCTCTATTTTCTTAATTTCGAGCGCTCGAAAACCTTCCAATAAACACCCTTCTGCTTAAGTTAGCCAGGATTAAGTTCTTTGTTAGGAATTTTTAAAAATCCCAAAGCTAATACAGGAGAAGTGGGAGGTAAGTAGGGAGAAAGAAAAAGGGAGAGAGGATGGAGAGAATGGCATCTAGCTAGGAAGATTCTTTAAATAAACATATTATGACCCACTTACTTTGATTCAGAACTGCCATTTGAACAAAGTCAGTTCTATAGGTCATGGACGATTCTTTACCTTAAGACGATGAGTTCTACAGTACCTCAATCACTCATGCATCTCACTGAACAAATCAATTGCATTGATTATGCTAAAAGGTGTAAGTTGCTTTGACATGCACAAATAGGACAGAATGTCTGAAAGGCAAATCATTTTATCCAAATCAAGGTTTTTGCATAATTTATGCTTAGCGACATTCTTTACCAGAGGGACTTTCATGGTCTAACCAAAAAAAAAAGCCTCAAATCAGATATATATAGATATATATATCTATATATATCGATATATAGAATATATATAGATATATATTCTATATATCGATATATATATTATATCTATATATATAATATTTTAATGTAAATTCTCCCAGAATGGTAATGGTAACCTGGAGTATAAAGGGGCAGTGGCTTAACAAGAAGAAAGTTTTCCAGAACGAGGGGAGACTCAGCCACCGTATTATGTCAGCAGCCCTGGTGAACCCCAGTGATGTTTTGTTTTATTTTATCTCATGCTCAATTTGCCATCTATAGCCCCACTCTGTGTAGAGGAGCACATTGACTGGGCTCTCTGCCCTATTTTAGCACTCCTCAGACCTCTCTGAAAATAATGCTGCTTTCAGACAAAGTCCAAAGTTCTAGGTTATTTCTTTCTTTCTCTGCTCCACAATCTGGTGCTGACCAACATCTTTCTCTGGATCTCCAGTTCAGTGGGTGGAAAACCCAGCAAAAAATGATCATCTGGATTCTAGAAGCACACACGGGTGAGTCTTACAGGACTTGGATGATAGCAAAGGCACATTGGCTGATTTTCATATCTGAGTAAAGAGATTTCTCAAGAGCTGTGTTCATGTTGTTGTCCCATATTTAGCTCTACTGAGTCATTTCTTGGTGCTTTTAATGTAAGAGATTTTTAGCACATTTCTCTTCTAGTGGGGCTACTAGCCTTTGCACTCACTCTCATTTGCTAAATGTCAGGGATTATTAGCTGGAGGCCTGCAGGTAGGAGGTAGTCTAGAGAGGTGCTTCACTTGTTCTATGCAATGTTTTCTTAAAAATTAACTTAGAGGCCGGACGCAGTGGTTCACACCTGTGATCCCGGCACTTGGGGAGGCTGAGGCGGTTGGATCACAATGTCAGGAGTTCAAAACCAGCCTGACCAATATGGTGAAACCCCATCTCTACTAAAAATACAAAAATTAGAGGGGCGTGGTGGCGCACGCCCGTAGTCCCAGCTACTCAGGAGGCTGAGGCAGGAGAATCGCTTGAACCCAGGAGGCAGAGGTTGCAATGAGCCGAGATCATGCCACTGCACTCCAGCCTGGGTGACACAGTGAGATTCCATCTAAAAAAAAATGTAACTTAGATTCCAATGTTTTTAAATTGGGAATATTTCATGTAGATATCTGATTTCTGGAATCACTAGTGGATTTGGCGATACTGGGTTTGCATTAAAGCATTCTCACATGCTTTCACCAGCCAGAGCCTTAGAAAGAGCACACTTTAGACAATGTGTGCAAGTTCCAGTTTACCAAAACACTCAGCATCCCCTGCAGTCTTTCTCTAAATCCAGGAATTTGAGAAAAGGCAGATGGCATCTGGGCAGTCTGAGTAAGCCCTAAGATAGGCAGGTCTGACTTCATGAAGGGGTGAAGGGCCACTGCCTCTTTAAAAAAAAATACCACTTTCTTCACCTTCAAAAGTCTGAAATCCTTCTAGTAAGTCATAATGTTTCCATTGAATATTGCCAGGAGACTTTTAGGGGTCAAAGCCAGTAGGTGAGGATACACAGTGCCAACAAATATGCTCAGATCCTTTCTTGGAGACTGTTTGAATAGTAAAGACGTTAGCAAAGAGGGTTCTAGGTACGAAATGAAGCCAGACATAAGCACAAGGCACGTAGATGAGGTCACAACCATCTAAAGCCAGGAGGAAGGGGCTTCAGGAGAGGTACCCCTGCCAGAGAACCATGTAGAGACCTCAGCTAACACAGACAAGAAACCCTCAGTCTATGACCTGAGTGGCAAACATGATCTGTGAAATGGTAACATCTAAATTTTACCCCTCCTGCTCTTCAACAAATACTCATTAGACAGTTCAGTTAAGCCAGGAACTACTCCAAATGTTTTCACATGCATTAAGCCACTGCTTGAAGAAGAAGGAGGTCTCACTGACCCAAAGTGGGAAATTATGAAGACCTTATCACTGGATAGAAACCAGATCTTTCCTTCACTCAGTTGTATGCTCTGCTCTATACAATCCCCTCTGAATGGGCCATTCTTTCCTGCTCCTCCATCACCCATTCTCCTTTGTTGTCCTGTTAATAATACCTCTGTTCTAATGCTCTGTTCAGGTTGCGTGAGGACCTTCCTCTATGCTTTCATTGTACCCCTAAGCACATCTCTCTACCATAGATCCTCTGAACTGCATTACAATGATATAGCAACATCTCTCTCTCCTATTAGAATCCCTGAAGGCTGCATCTCATTCACAGCAAAGAACTTGGTGCATGGTAAACATATAAGCAATCCTACTGAATAAATGAGCTCACATTTGCCCACTACATTTGAAGAGTTGGCAGAAATTCAGGGGAAAATGTGCAATCAGCAGGTGGTATGCAGAACTCAAATATGGGACTAGAAATTTAGTTTGAGTAGTTGAATATTGAGGTGTACTCATGGGGGATGGTGCAATTATGAAGGAAGATAGAAAAGATCCATTAGAGGAGAGGAAGACAACCACAAAATCAACTAACCAGAAGAAAAAGAATCAAAAGATTGAAGTGTTTTGGAAAGACAAGGAGGAAGAGCTTTGAAGATGAAATGTGTGGCTGACACGGTGACATTTTGCAAACAGGTTGGTTAAGGTAGAAACTTTTTTTTTACACTAAGTAAGACTATAGGGACCCGAGAAACAAAATAGAGAAATGGTGGTAGTGCACTATTCTTTCAAAGAATGTGGTAAAGTGAAGGATAGATATTAGGTGAAACAATGAAAAAGTAGGGACAATTTTGGATAACTTTTAGACACACACATTGGTAAATTGAAGAGGATGAGATAAAGATGACGAAGAGGCAAGATGGCTGAATGGAAGTCTCCATCAATTGTCCCCCTTGCAGGAACACCAAATTTTAACAACTAACTACACATTAAAAGCACCATCATAAGAACTAAAAATCAGGTGAGCAACCACAGTACCTGGCTTTAACTTCATATTGCTGAAAGAAACACTGAAGAGGGTAGGAAAGATAGTCTTGAATTGCCATCACCACCTCTCCTTCATCTCCTGGCAGTAGCCATATGATGTGGAGAGGGAAAGTGTGTGCTTGAGGGAGGGAGAGCACGGTCACTGGAGGGACTTGGCATTAAACTCAATGCTACCTTGTCACCACAAAGAGCAAAACACTGTTGGGTTCAGCCAATGGCTGCCCATGGAGGGAGCATTTAGACCAGCCTTAGCCAAAGAAGAATCACCAATCCCAGTTGTCAGAATTGAGTTTCTTGGCAAGCCTCACCACCATAGGCTAAAAAGCTCTGGATTCCAAGGTAAACTTGAAAGGCAGTCTAGGACACAAGGGTCACCCCTAGGCAACTCCTAGTGCTGGGCTGGGCTTAAAACCAGTGGACTAGTGCAGCATATGATGTCATGAGGTACCAGACAAGGCGAATAAGGATGTGCTTGCATTACCCCTTCCCCAGCCCCAGTTAGTACAGCTCACAGCAACAAGAGTGTCTCCTTCCTTCTGCTTGAAGCAAGGACAGTGAACAGTAAGGAGGACTTTGTCATGCATCTAGGATACCAGTTCTGCCATAATAAGACAGGGAACTGGGCAGAGTGGTGAGGCCATCTTTCCAGGCACCAGCTCCTGGACATTTCTAGACTGACCCTGGGCTAGAAGGGAACCCACTGCCTTGAAGGGAAGGACCCAGTCCTGGCAGGATTCACTGCCTACTGACGAAAGAGCCCTTGGGCCCCGGATAACCCACAGTGATATCTAGGTAGTACACCATAAGCCTTGGGTGAGACTCTGAGACGTGCTGGCTTCAAGTGAGATTCCCAGCTGTGGGGGCTACAGTGAGAGACTCCTGATTGAGAAAAGCAGAAGGAAAAGTTTTGCACCCTAGCTACCAGCTAGGCCAGTGGGGATACAGTACCAAGCAGACTACTGGGGTCCCTGAGTCCAGGCCTAGGATCTTGGACAGCATTTCTGGACCTGCCCTGGGCCAGAGGGAGCCCACTGCCTTGAAGGGTGAGTCCCAGGCCTGGCAGCATTCACCATAAGCTGACTGAAGAGCCCCTGGGCTTTAAGTGAACATCAGTGGTGGCCTGGCAGTACTCCCCATGGGCCTGTGGTGGTGGTGGTCACAAGGGACAACTGCTCTCTGCCTGTGGAAAGGGGAAAGCAGAGCAGGAAGGACTTTGTCCTGGGGTTTGAGGACCAGCTTAGCCACAGAAGAACAGAACGGCCAGTCCCTGACTCCCAGACAGCATCTCTGGACCCACCCAGGCCCGAGGGGAACTCACTGCCTTTAAGGGAAGGACACAGACCTGGCTGGCTTTCCCACTTGTTGATTGTACAGTCAAAAGCCCTAGAGTGAACATAGGCAATAGCCAGGTAGTGGTTACAGAGGTCCCTTGATGAGACCCAGTGCTCTGCTGGCTTCAGTTCTGACCCAATGCAGTCCCAGTGGTGGTGGCCACAGAAGTGCTGACATCATCCTACTTGTTGCTCCAGGTGGCTCAGCACAGAGAGAGAGAGAGACTGTTTGTTTATGAGAAAGTAAGGGAAGAGAAAAAGAGTCTCTGCCTGATAATCTGGAGAATTCTTCCAAATCTTATCCAAGACTGCCAAGGTGGTACCTCTACGAGTTTGCAAGAACCACAGCATTAATGGGCTTATGGATCAAGTCCCTTCAAATACCTAGAAAGCCTTCCCAAGAAAGATGGGTACAAAAAAAAGCCCAGACTGAGAAGATTACAACAAATACCTAACTCTTCAATGCCCAGACATCAATGAACAACCATAAGCATCAAGACCATGCAGGAAAACATTACCTCACCAAATGAAATAAGTAATGCAACAGGGACCAATCCTGGAGAAACAAAGATATGTGACTTTTCAAACAGAGAATTCAAAATAGCTGTTTTAAAGAAACTCATAGAAATTCAATATAACACAGATAAGGAATTCAGAATTCTACCAGGTAAGTTAGCAAAGAGATTTAAAAAATTAAAAAGAGTCAAGCAGAAATTCTGGAGTTGAAGAATGCAACTGACATACTGAAGAATGCATCAGAGTCTCTTAATAGCAGAATTGATCAAGCAAAACAAAGAATTAGTGACTTGACGATAAGCTATTTGCAAATACACAGTGAGAGGAGACAAAAGGAAAAAGAATTTTTTAAAAATGAAGCACACCTACAAAATCTAGAAAATAGCCTAAAATGGGCGAATCTAAGAGTTATTTGTCTTAAAGAGAGACAGAGAAAGAGACTGTGGTAGAAAGTTTATTCAAAGGGATAATATCAGAGAATTTCCCAAACCTATAGAAAGATATCAACATTCAAGTACAAGAAGGTTATAGAATATCAAGCAGATTTTACCCAAAGAAGACTACCTGAAGACATTTAATAATCAAATTCCCAAAGGTCAAGGATAAGGAAAGAATCCTAAAACAAATAGAAAAGAAAATAATGTACACTGGAGCTCCAATATGTCTGGCAGCAGATTTTTCAGTGGAAACCTTACAGCCCAGGAGAGAATAGCATGACATATTTAAAGTGCTAAAGGAAAAAAATCTTTTACCTTAGAACAAAATATCCAGTGAACATATCCTTCAAGCATGAAGTAGAAATAAAAACTTCCCCAGACAAACAAAAGCTGAGGGATTTCATCAACACCAGAACTGTCCTAAAAAAAAAAAATAAAAATTCTAAAGGGAGTTTCTCAATCTGAAAGAAAAGGATGTCAATAAGCAAGAAGAACTTATCTGAGTTTTGTACTTATCAGTAAGTCTTGTACATTCCCAGTAACTACAATAACTTTTCAAGACCAAGGCAATATAATAAGACATAAAAAGAAATAACAAAAAGTTAAAAAGCAGGGGGATTAAGTTAAAGGGTAGAGTTTTTATTAGTATTCTTTTTCCTTGGTTTTGTGTTTTTGAAATCAGTGTTAAGTTGTCATTAGTTTAAAAGATTTGGTTGTAAGATAGCATTTGCAAGCCTCATGGTAACTTCAAATAAAAAAAATACAATGCATACAGAAAAAATAAAAAGCAAGAAATTAAATTGTATCACCAGAGAAAATGACCTTCACTAAATGAAGACAAGAAAGAAAAAAAGAAGGGAAGACTACAAAATAACCAGGAAACAAATTTAAAAATGGCAGGAGTTAAGTCCTTACCTATTAATAACAACATTGAATGTAAATGAACTAAATTCTCCAGTTGAAAGACAGAGTGCCTGAATGGATTTTTTTAAAAAGACCCAATGATCTGTTGCCCACAAGAAACACACTTCACCTGTGAAGATGCATATAGACTGAAAATTAAGGTATGGAAAAAGACATTTTATGCCAGTGGAAACAAATAAAAGCAGGAGTAGCTATACTTGTATCAGACAAAACAGATTTCAAGACAAAAACTATGAAAAGAGACAAAGAAGGTCATTATATAATAATAAAGGGGTCAAGTCACCAAGAGGACATAACAATTATAAATACATTTGTACCCAATATGAAAGCACCCAGATATACAAAGCAAATGTTATTAGAGCTATAGAGAGATATATCCTAATAAAATAATAGCTTCAGACTTCAACAACCCACTTTTGGCACTGGACAGATCTTCAACACTGAAAATCAACAAAAAAAAAATAGGACTTATTCTGCACTACAGACCAAATGGACCTAACAGATATTTACAGAACATTTCATCCAACAGCTGCAGAATACACATTTTTTTCCTCCTCAGGACCTGGTTAATTCTCAAAGATAAACCATGCAAGGTCATAAAACAAGTCTTAAAACATTCAAAAAATAATATCAAGCATCCCTCTGACTGCAAGGGAATAAAACTAGAAATTAATGATGAGGAATTTTGGAAACTTTACAAACACATGGAAACTAAATGATATATGCCTGAAAGATCAGTGGTTAAATGAAGAAATTAAGAAGGAAATTGAAAGATTTCTTGAAACAAACGATAATGGAAGCACAATATATCAAAACTTATGAGATACAGTGAAACTAGTACTAAGAAGAAAATATAGAGGTATAAGTGCCTATATCAAAAAAAGAAAAGAAAAATTTCAAGTAAATAACCTAGTGATATATCTTAAAGAACTAGAAAAGCAAGTGCAAACCAAACCCAAAATTAGTAAAAGAAAATAAGTAATAAAAATCAGAGTAGAAATAAAGGAAATTGAAATGAGGAAAACAATACAAAAGACCAATGAAATGAAAATTTGGTTTCTTGAAAAGGTAAATAAAATTGACAAACTTTAGCCAGACTAAGAAAAAAAAGAGAAGACCCAAATAAAATCAGAGATGAAAAAGGAGACATTACCTCTGATACCACAGAAATTCAAAGGATCATTGTGGCTACTATGAGCAACTATATGCCCAAAGCTGGAAAATTGGGAGAAGATGGATAAATTCCTAGACACATACAACATAAAAAGATTATATCATAAAGAAACTCAAAATCTGAACAGACCAATAAAATGTAATGGGATTAAAGCCATAATCAAAAGTCTTCCAGTAAAGAAAAGCATAGAACCCAACATCTTCACTGCCAAATTCTACCACAAATACAAAGAAGAACTAATACCAATCCTACTAAAACTATTCTGAAAAATAGAGGACAGGGGACTACTTCCAAACTTATTCTACAAGGCCAGTATTATCCTGATACCAAAACCAGCCAAAGACACATCAAAAAAAAGAAAACTACAGGTCAATATATCTGAAGAATATTGATGCAAAAACCCTCAATAAAATACCAGCAAACCAAATCCAACAATACATTAGAAAGATCATTTATCATGACCAAGTGGGATTTAATCCAGGGATGCAGGATGTTTCAGCATTCATAAATCAATCAATCTGATACATCATATCAACAGAATGAAGAACAAAAGCCATATGATCATTTCGATTGATGCTGAAAAAACGTTTGATAAAATTCAACATCCCTTCAAGATAAAAACCCTCAAAGAAACCAGGTATAAGAACATACCTCAACATAGTAAAAGCCGTATATGACAGGCCCACAACTAGTATCATACTGGATGGGGAAAAACTGAAAGCCTTTCCTCTAAGATCTGGAACACAATAAGGATACCCACTTTCACCACTGTCATTCAACACACTACTGGAAGTCCTAGCTGGAGCAATTAGACATTGCATGCCTGTATCAAAATATCTCATGTACCCCATAAATATATATACATACTAGGTACCCACAACAATTAAAAAAATTTAAAAAGTAAGATGATGGAGAGATCAAGAAGGAAGAAGAAACAATTAATGGTCCAATCTTCCAGAGGAGGTAGAAAGAGATGAAATCCAGCTATCAGGGTTAATGTTGGAAAGAGTTGGGATAGCTCTTATTCTGAACAGTGGCTACAAAATTTTTTGAGATGGAAGAAAGTAAGTCTACTTGATTGAGAAGCAGTACGCTCAGCACTTAAACACACTCGTCTTCAAATGCTAGTTCTACCACCTACCAGCTGTCAGGTTCTGAGTAAGCATCTTTGTATATAACTTTCATCATATACACGTATATGTCTTTGTGTGTAGCTTTTATCATATAACCTCATTAGGTTGCTTCCAAATCTTGGCTATTTAGAATTGTGTTGCAACAAACATGGAAGTGCACATATCCTTTCAATGTATTGATTTTCTTTTTCTTTTTTTTTTTTTTTTTGAGACAGAGTCTCGCTCTGTCGCCCAGGCTGGAGTGCGGTGGCGTGATCTCGGCTCACTGCAAGCTCCGCCTCCCAGGTTCACGCCATTCTCCTGCCTCAGTCTCCCGAGTAGCTGGGACTACAGGCGCCCACCACCACGCCTGGCTAATTTTTTGTATTTTTTAGTAGAGGCGGGGTTTCACCGAATTAGCCAGGATGGTCTCCATCTCCTGACCTCGTGATCCGTCGGCCCTCGGCCTCCCAAAGTGCTGGGATTACAGGCATAAACCACCGCGCGCCCGGCCCTGATTTTCTTTCTTTTGGGTATATACCCAGGAGTGGGATTGCTGGATCATATGGGTTGTCATGGCAAATGACGTGGCAACTACTCTTTCCTCTGCCAAGATAAACTGAATTTCCAAGATAAACAAGTCAAAGAAGAAAATAGGCACGTTGTTAAGGTGGGGGACAGAGTTGCAGAGAGATAAGGGTCTGCTGGAAGGCAGAGGTCAGGCAATCCCAAATGAGAGTGGTTAACTAGAGAGACACAGCAGTGAGTCCTAAATGCATCTTAGTGCCCCTGGGAAGATGATGTGGTAGACAGAATCACGTTCCCCCTAACCCTGGCAAGATATCCACAACCTAATTTTCAGAACCTGTAAATATGTTACCTTAATAGCAAAAGGGACATTGTAGATGTGATTAAACTAAGAAACTAGATGCAGAGAGATTATCCTGGATTATCTGAGTGGACACAATGTAATCACAAGGGTTTTTATAAGAGGGAGCCAGGTGGGACAGAGGCAGAGGAGACGTGACGTAAGAAGCAGAAATTGCAGCGACGCTCCTTGAAGATGGAGAAAGGGGGCATGAGTCTAGGAATACAGGTGGCTTCATGAAGCTGAAAGACACAAGAAAATTCTCCTCTGAAGTCACCAGAGGGAGTGGAACCTGGCTGATACCTTGATTTTCGCCTCAGAAGATTCATTTTAAATGTCTAACCTCCAGAACCATGAGAGAATACATTTGTGATGTTTTAAGCTACTAAGTTTATAAGTTTGTTACAGCAGTAATAGGAAACTAATACAGGTGGAAACCTAAGGGGTTGGCTCAGCAGAAGAGTCAGTGGCATAGATTTTAGCCAGGGAAGCATGAGGCCCAGGAGTTGACTTTTGTGCATATCAAGACCTGTATTATCTCACCACGCCGCTATTTCTCATACTGCATCCCCCTCCAAACTCAAGTGGTGACACCGAAGCCAAATGGAACAACTCAGAAGGACATAAACTTTGAAACTCAAAGCAAAATAGGAACAGACATTTCCACTCAGGTTACTTAGCCAGAGCCCAGCAACTTGTCAGTGAGCCAGGATATTGTAATTAAATGCTAAATTAAATGGTTTGCATTGCTTTGTTCCTGAAAGCTTGATAAAGCCACACTTCTCTCATTGTTAAATACAACAGTGAGCTGCAGAGGATAAAAATTTGGCCCGATCTCTTCACCAGAAGATAGGCAGAACAGGCAGATGCTGCAATGGAGGGTTCATAGAACTTATACATAAATATGAGAAAGCTCAGAGTTTGAAATGTCAAAAGTTCTGAAAAACATGCCAGGTAACTTTACAGTTTCCTAAGTAAAAGACCTCTGGCTATGGGCTGGCCACTAGCAGAATACTACCATCATCACACAGCAGAACACCACCATTATCACACAGCAGAACACATATCACACATGACGTAAGTGGGCCACAGCTGGGTGATGAGGTAGAAACCCCACTTGGTAAATGAGGAAAGTGAAGCTCAGAGGCTAAGGTGATGAACCCAAGGTCACAAGGCTAGTAAGAGGCAGCATCTGATTTTCTGCCTTACTCTGGTGTTTTCTTTCCTATCATGTTGTCCCCCCGGAAGAGATGTCAGGACAAGGTCTGCAGTAGACCCTAGCAGCCCCATAGAAAGAAATATTGAACCTTGAACAATAAATTCCTAAAGAACTCTCTTGTTTTATTTCTGCCTTGCTCTGAAGGGGCCACTACCCCTTGCCATGTATTGTTAATGAATTAAGAACGGAAAAGAAAATCTGCAGCCACCTTATGGTCCCCAGTCCTGTGAGTAACCTTTTAAAAGTCTGGAGGACTGTATTGCCATAAGTAGAACTTTTCAGAGGATTTTACTGAAGGCCTGGCTCTACGTAAATGTGGTGTTTTGTGAGCCACAGGGGCCACTGGTAGGCCCCCCTAAACAACCTGTGCTGAATTAGGAGTTTACATTGGTTAATAAGAGCCAATGATCACAGGTAGAAGAATAAGCGAGAATGAGGAAAGTCCCCTCTCTCATTTTACAGAGCAGCAATCTGGGACAGTGGCTGAAGTTCCCATGCTTATGACTCCCAAGTTGGCACTTTCATATTCTGGAACCTGGAGCTCACCGGGGTGAAGTGAATGTGGCTCAAGAATGGCGACATTTTTCATTTCCTATAAATGTTGTCATGGGGAATTAGGTTGACTCCGAAAAATATCTTTGAAAATAGTAAGGAATCTGAACACATTTAACGTAATAGGTCTACCTATGCACCATCAGTTAATCAGGCCATACATTTGACATTTAATTTTATTCATCCACAGTATAATATAGCATCGTGATTAAAAGGCACAAGCTTCAGGGTCAATTATACTTAGTTTTAAATCCTGATTCTGGTCCTTACTACTGCTTTTGCCATGGACAAATTACTTAATCTCTGTGTCTCTATTTTCTCTTCTGTGAAATGGGTAGTAAATGGCTCATTTATCAAAGTTATTGTTTAGGATTTGAAATCACAAATATAAAGGACCTATTCTATACTCAGTCTTAAATAAATGTTGAGCATTATTATTAATATTGCTACCATGTTTTATGATACTTTTAAGTATGGACATATCCATATATTTGGAACTCTAATAATATGAAAGTATATGTTTAACAAAGATAAAATAGAGTTAAAGAAATACATATTTATTTCAGGCTAATGAAATCATATAATTTCTCTAGAGGAAATGAGTCATGGTATTCCTCCTTTGGTAATGTATTATTAATGATGATTTCCTTGAGATACATCAAGAGTGGATTCAAAAGAAAGAGAATGAGAATTTACCCAGTGCCGGCGCTTCAATTAATCAACTTCTGTTTCTGTAAATAGCCCTAAGTGAAAGAATCAAACTATTATGTTTTGTAGATGAATGATCAGCAAATGCTCAGAAACTCATCTGTCATGGTCTAGTTTTGCTGCCTGACAAGAATAATGAAGCCTGCATATTCTGAATTCATAAAAAGTCTGGGTTGCGGTTTACATAAAATCCACATTTAATTAGAGTGGAACCAGGAGAGAAATTGAATGCCTCGCCAGCTTGGCAGTGGGGTGGAAGGCTTTATCATCTGTCCTTCTCAGATGCAAGAGGTGAAAACCGTGTACAGAGAGGTTTCCAAGGAAAGGCTAATGGTACAGCTTTGGGGATGGAGACATATTTTCACCAGGAGTAGACTATGGTTCAGAGAAGTCTGTTCTTGCTATTCACCATGCCAAGAGGCACTTAAGACAGGGTAAGAGTAATTAGTGTTTCTTTTGCTTTCTTTTGTGGTGGCAAACAAGTAGGAAACCTAATCTTTAAATATTTTATATATCAACATTGTATAAGACACAGGTATATCAGATTTATTCCAAGTTTATAAGACTCTTTTCGGGGGCGGGGGGAATAGAAGCACTGAACTTTTCATTGCAGTTGTATTGAAAGTGATGGCAATGTGGTTTTTTATGGGCACACAGAGTTTTGTTTATTTAAATGAAGAATACCAAGCGTTAGAATCCAAAAGGATTTCTTACCTACTTTAAAATAAAAGGTATAAAATTACATAGCTAAAAAGAAATACATTGGTATTTGTGATCGCCGATATGGAATAGGCCACAAAAACAACAAATGTATTAATAAATGAAGCCCTAGACTGTATAGTGGTTCTGTAAAACCTAATGTCAGCCCTGTATTTCAGTGAATACCATGAACTAAAAAGCAGCCTACGATAGAAAGTAGGTTGAACTAATTCCATATAGTAAATGCAGCAAACGTAAATAGATCACGCGCGCGCGCACACACACACACACACACACACACACACACACACACACACAGTTACAAAGGAAATCGCAAAACCCAGTAAATTTGAGTGAATTCCTGCACAGGCAGCCACAGTACTCACAAAATGCCAGTTGTGGATGTGACATTGAGGTGACCACACTTTGCCACCTGAGAATATGCCATCAATACTGTCCTCCGGTGTAGTAAATTCCACTTGTCACCTGATTTTCCCCTAGCGTGTCCTTATTTGTTTTCTCCGAATGCCCTTTTGAATTTAGATAAAATCTAAATGTGTTTTAGAATGAGAAGAGTATTTAAATAACTTTGGAAATAAATCTGGTGTGAATTTTGATTCCTGGAAATTCCATGGAAATGAAATGAAAGGACACAAATATCCTTCTTCCGTTAGGTATGTGATCATTGTCTCTTTCAGTGTTCTGTATTATTAGTAACATTATTTTTGCACAGTTCTGGAGCACATTGGGTTGCTGTCCCTGAAGGTTACCGCTGACCTCTTAGCAGTACACTGTTGTCCTCCAGCACTCAGCCTTCCATCTGCCATCATTGTTTTCCCATGTACTCTGAGGGAGGAGAAATCCTTTCAATGCAGACAAATACAAAAACATGACTTGGTCTCTAACAATTTCATACAGACTCGAACCTCAGAGTTAACAGGGGATTCAACGTTGACACTGAGTCATTTGGAGTAAGCGGAGTGGATTTTTCTGGGCTAATTTTCCATAAGATTCTATAACAGCCTTGCCAACAGCAGGACATGAAGTTATTAGAGAAAAACCAAAAAAAAAAGAGGAACGCTTCTTATTGTCTCTTTATCACACAGGCACAAATTTCTTATTGTCTATCTCTTTATGACACAGGCACAAATATGAAGTATATAATGCCCCATGCTCTATATCCTGCAACATACTTAATAGTTTTGAGAAATGTGCTTTATCTCTCCCTCTCCCCATTTCTCTAATTTTTCTGCAAAGGTCCCAAAGAACTCTTGTTAATTTGTGAATCTGTTTAGCATTGGCTGTCACAGAGCACAGCTCCAGGTGGCATCTGTGTGAATGATGTCCCTAGAGTGGTGTGGCAGGGAGCTACCACTGGACATCAAAGGGCTTTTGGAAAACCCAAGTGACAATATAGCAGTGCTGGTTAGCCTTATTTTGCCTAGTTTGGATTTCTGTAGACATATTGAGTAAGCTCTTTCTCTTTTTTCTGAAACTATCTCTGACCTTCAATTTAACAGACTCTACTTTTGTGAACTAAAAGGAAAAATTTTAAAGCAGTGGTTTATTCATATTGGCCCCTCAAAATTCAAAAAGCAAGACCTTTGCCAAGTCTCCAGGCTTTTTGTAGAAATATAATTATTTAAACAAGTTGAATAAGAATCCATCTCATTCTTACCAGAATATAATTGGACAAGGCAGTTGTGTAACTAGGCCTTACCTAGAGTGTCATATTTAAAAATTAAAAACAGACAACCTAGAGAATAGGAGAAAATATTCACAAACTATACATCTGATAAAGGTCTAATATCCAGATTATATAAGGAACTTAAATAAGCAAAAAACAAATGACCTCATAAAAAAAGGAGGGGCAAAGAACATGAACAGACATTTCTCAAAAGCAGTCATACACATGGCCAACAAGCATATAAAAAATGTTCAACATCAGTAATCATTAGAGAATTGCCAACGAAAACCACAATGAGATTCCATCTCACACCAGTCTGAATGGCTATTATTAAAAAGTCAAAAAATAACAGATGTTGGTAGGTTGAAGAGAAAAAAGAACACTTATACCCTGCTGGTGGGAATGTAAATTAGATCAACCACTGTGGAAAGTAATTTGGAGATTTCTCAAAGAACTTAAAACAGAACTACCATTTAACCCAACAATTCCATTACTGGGTATATATCTTCACTTCATTCTATACTCAAAGGAATAGAAATTGTTCTACCAAAAAGACACATGCATCTTCAGGTTCATTGCAGTTCTATTCACAATAGCAAAGACATGGAATCAACCTTAATGTCCATCAACGGCGGACTGGATAAAGAAACTGTGTTACATATACTACATGGAATACTATGCAGCCATTAAAAAGATAAAATTATGTCCTTTGCAAAAACATGAATGTGGCTGGAGGTCATTATCTTAGGCGAATTAATGCAGGGACAGAAAACCAAATACTGCATATTCTCACTTATAAGAGGGAGCTGAATGTTTAATACACATGGACATAAAGAAGGGAATGACGGAAACCAGAGCCTATTTGAGGGAAAAGGATGGGAGGAAGGTGAGAGTCAAAAAACTACCTACTGGATACTACACCCCCTACCTGGATGATGAAATCATCTGTATACCAAACCCCAGCAACATTCAATTTATTCATTTCTGTGCCTCAATTATCTGCGCATGTACCACCTGAACCTGAAATAAACATTAAACAAAAAGAGGAAAAAAATCACATATAATAAATTTCTATTAAAAATAAGGATTGACTTCACATGTGGAGCCAATGCCTATACAGTCCCTCCAAAAACACTGGCTCAGAACCTGCTTAGAGAGGCCCAACCCCAAAGGCGGAGAGGAAGGTCATTCCCAGGCAAACCAGGAACCTTAGCAAACTTGAAAGGCCTCAAAGAGAAAAATGTATCCAACTTTACAGTAACCATGGATCAAATATGATGGAGTATCTTAGCCTTGATTTTCTAGCCTTTAGAAACAAGACTAAATAGCATGGATCTTTGAAAGTCCAATGTAAGATTCCTTATGAAAATTTTCATTCAGAGCTAATTCTCAGGCATTAGTAGATGTCAATGCTCTGGATAACTCTGGATCTGCAAAGCCAATTGAAGGAGGACTGTATGGTTAATTAACACTCTTGCTGTGCCTTTGCAAATAATCAGGCCAAACATAAGGAAACAAGACTCTGTGTGTGACCAGGAAAAATCTTTGACATATGAAAAGTTGCTCAACATCATTGATCATCAGAGAAATGCAAATCAAAACTATGTCTTCTCACCCAGTTAAAATAGCTGTTATCCAAAAGTTAGATAGTAAGAAATGCTTACAAGGATGTGGAGAAAATAGGACTCTCAAACACTGTTGGTAGGAATGAAAATTAGTACAACCACTATGGAAAACAGTTTGGAAGTTCCTCAAAATTCTAAAAGGAGAGCTACCATAGGATCCAGCAATTCCACTACTGGGAATATACACAAAAGAAAGGAAATCAGTATATCAAAGACATAACTTCACTCACATGGTAGTTCCAGCTCTGTTCACAATAGCCAAGATTTAGAAGCAACTTAAGTGTCCATCAACAGATGAATGGATAAAGAAAATTTGGTATGTACACACAATGGAGTACTAGTCAGCAATAAAAAAGAACAAGTTCCAGTCATTTGCAACAACATGGATGAAACTGAAGGTCATTATGTTAAGTGAAATAAGTGAGGCACAGAGAGACAAACTTCGTATGTTCTCACGTATTTGTGGCAGCTAAAAATCAAGACAATTGAACCTATGGAGATAGAGTAGAAGGATAGTCACCAGGCACTAGGAAGGGTACTGGTAGTGGAGGGGGTGGGTGAGGGGGAGGTGGGGGTGGTTAATGGGTACAAAAAATAGAATGAATGAATAAGATGTAGTATTTGGTAGCACAATAGGGTGACTGTAGTCAATAATTCAATTCTACATTTTAAATTAACTATAAGAGCGTAACTGGATTGTTTGTAACACAAAGGATAAATGCTTGAAGGAATGGATACCCTACCTTCCACGATGTGATTATTATGCATTGCATGCCCATATCAAAATGACTCATGTACCCCATAAATATATACACCTACTATGTCTCCACAAAAATTAAAAATTAATAATTTTGGCCAGGCACGGTGGCTTATGCCTGTAGTCCCAGCACTTTGAGAGGCCAAGGCAGGCGGACCACGAGGTCAGGAGATCGAGACCATCCTGCTAACATGGTGAAACCCTGTCTCTACTAAAAATACAAAAAATTAGCCAGGCATAGTGGCAGGCACCTGTAGTCCCGGCTGCTCGGGAGGCTGAGGCAGAAGAATGGCAAGAACCCAGGAGGCAGAGCTTGCAGTGAGCCAAGATCGTGCCACTGCATTCCAGCCTGGGTGACAGAGCGAGACTCCGTCTCAAAAAAAAAAAAAATTAATAATTTTTTAAAGTCTACATTAAAAAGAAAACAAGAAAAATATTTGAAGATCATAATCACTGGCAATGGGAAAGAGACTTATGACAAAAAATACCCTAAACTGTAAAAATAAACAAAAGGGATTACTGAGTTTTATTTCTGTGCAATCCTGGGCTTAACTTCCTATTGACTGGGTTATTTTACATCTTTTTAGGGGCAGAGATTAATTTGTAGATTTTTTCAGAAAAAGATGCAAATAATTTCTGGTCAGTGAAACAAAAACTTCAATGGTTCTGTTTATTGCTGTGTGAGATATTAATTAGTTTTCTCTCTAACCCAGTAATCTTATCTTTTTTAAAAAAGATACTTATATATGCCTAGCTTCACAAATGTTACTTGTTTCTCTCATTAACAAAATGAAGAATAAAATTTTTGGCACATGTTCATTTTGTATTTGTATGAGAGACATGCTTTTGTCTTTTTGAAAATTGTATTTCAAACCTAATACATTTAAAAAGTTGAATTTCATTAAATATAAGTCTGTAAACTATAGAAAGAATCTGGGCTATAAATATGAAGACTTAGACTTGAATCCTGGTAATCTGCAGAACTTTTATTTTTTTAATCCTTTTTATTTTAGAAGAGTTTTAGATTTATAGAAAAGTGGCAAAGATAGTCCAGAGATTTCTCATATATTCCACACTCAATTTCCTCCTGTAGTTAGTTCCTTATATAACCACAGAGCATTTGTTACAACTTGAGAACCAACACTGGTACATTACCATAAACAGAACTCCACACTTTATTTAAATGTCACTAGTTTTTTGTTTTTGCTTTTTGGGTGTGTGTGTGTGTGTGTGTGTGTGTGTGTGTGTGTGTGTGTGTGTGTGTGTTGGCCTTTTTCTGTACCAGGATCCCATTCAGGACACTATATTCGATTTATTCTTATGTCTCCTTAGGCTCAACTGGTCTATGACACTTTCTCATAATTTCCTTGGTTTTGTTGTTTGTTGGTTGGTTGGTTGGTTGGATTGTTGGCTGGTTTTTTTTTTTTAAGACTTTTTTTAAAAAGCAGTTTTATGTTCACAGCAAAATTCAGAGGAAGATGCAAAGAGTTCCCATGTGCCCCCTGGTCCCACACTCACAACCACCCACTGTGTCAACATCCCCCACAAGAGTCCTACTTTTGTTGTAATTGATGAACCTACACTGACACATCATCATCACCCAAAGCCC
The DNA here is from genome assembly GCF_000001405.40 of Homo sapiens. Taxonomy (NCBI): domain Eukaryota; kingdom Metazoa; phylum Chordata; class Mammalia; order Primates; family Hominidae; genus Homo; species Homo sapiens. Next base: position 87,674,136 of record NC_000014.9, read on the forward strand.
GTAGTTTACATCAGGGTCTACTCTTAATGTTGTAACTTCTATGGGTTTAGACAAATGTATAATGACATGTATCCACCATTATCGTATCACAGAGAGTCTTTTCCTACCCTAAAAATCTTTTGTGTATTAATCACTTCCTAACTTTCCTTGTTTTTGACAACTTGAGCAGTTTTGAGGAGTACCAGTGAAGTATTTTGCAGAATGCCTCTTCATTCGAGTTTGTTTGATGTTTTTATCATGGTTATACTAGAGTTATAGGTCTTTAGGTATAAGACCACAGAAGTTAAATTTTATTCATATCATATCATATCAACAGTGCATGCTATCAACGTGACTTATCTTTGGGAGCTAGTCATTAAACACAGTCTGCTTCAGGTGGTAGAGGAAAGATTGAGCTGCACTCCATACAGGGAACAGCAGCTCATAAATTATTTGGAATTCTTTGGTACAGAAGATTTGTTTCCTTTCCCCCATTTATTTACTTATTTGGTCATTTATTTATATCGGCATGGACTCATGGATATTTATTTTGCACTTTGGATTAAATTCAATACTGTATCACGTGTTTTATTACTCAAATCGTCCCAGCTTTGGCCACTGGGAGTTCTTTCAGGTTGGTCCCTGCCTCCCTTTGACATGCTCCCACCTTTTGTTTTGAGTGCTGCAAGGTTTTAACCTCTCTGGATCTCAGGTTTCTCATCAGCAGAAGAGAAACAGTAAAGCTAATCTTATAATATTGTCATGAAGAATAACAAAAACAATAATCAGCAATAATAATAACTCCATTCCATGTGTACTTATGATGTGCCAGGCACTATTCTAAGTACTTAACAATATTCACTCATATGAAAGATTCAGTGTCTATAAAGTGCCGAACACAGTGTCTGACAGTTTACACATGTTCAAAAAATGTAATTTTTCATCAGGGGTGACCCAGAATTTCATCCAGGTAATTTCTGACCTAGTACATAGGGGTATGCTCACTGGTGGCTCATTCCCAATGGCAAACTGTAAATGACAGAGAATATAGAAATCCAGGTCCCTCACTCTTTCTGATTATTAAACCTGTACTCAGAGGTTCTGCCCTCTCATTGACAGTTTCATTAGGTTAGATGTCATTACTAGTGTAGTCAGCATCCTCCAAGTACCAGAGCAACTAACCTTCGTAACCTTGAAGCCTTGGTCCTTAATAAGGATTTTATGTTTGACCGCAAGCTCATCCCGGAGCCCACAAGCATTTGGCAATAGAATGTCTGAGAAGTAGGCTAGACTCAGTTAGGTGGCTTCTTCATCTTCTTCAAGACTTTTATTTTTAAAGGACATTTTCCTTGAGGCTTTTTGAAGAAAATGTTTTGTATTAGATGCTCAACATCCAGAAATACTATGAGACAGAAACCTTCCTCCCACCGTGAAAATTTTGTTGAATAGTGAAGGTGTTTCCACTGATCTAGAGCAAACCTCCTCATTAATATCATCCATCACCTTTATAAGGGATAAAATTAGAAGACTGAGGCTTCATAGGTGCAACCACAGCCTCATTAGTTAAGTACCAAATATTAACGAGTGTGTATATACCACCTAGTCTCTAAGGTAAATAAAATGAAAAATGAACAGGGCTGTTGAATTTTAATTCACCTAAAGCGGCATGTGCCTTTAGCAGAAAACTTAAATGCAACATACAGGAAGAGATAAAATTAAATTATTTGCTGTACTTCAACACAGAAGTAACTGCAAGAAGGCTGCCAAATAAGAAATGCCAGAGGCTTCCTTTGCTCAGGTGAAGTCTGCAAATTTACACATGGGGTTTCAAAAGAAAACTCAAAGGTAACATGTAGACCAAAAATGATTTATTCTTTTCAATAAGCCTCTTGGAGATGAGAAAATAGGATTCAGTCCTGCTTTGTTACACAATCTATGAAAACTCCCACTTTAGGTCTGCAAAATGAGAAAAATAATCATGTAAGAATGGATAAACTGAGAAGGCAGTGAAGACATAGAGAGACAGGAAGATACAAAGAGATATTTTAGGATTGTTTCCTTCCCCACATTTCCACCCCTATTTCTACTATTGTATACTACCTGCTCTGCCCATTGCAACACATGCATCTATATAAGTAGGTGTGGTATAAAGTAAATACTAACAAGAATTAACATCTCTTTCTGCCACCATATTCCAAAGAAAAGAGAGTCTACTAGTGAGTTTTTAAAATCCATCAGCGGGGGGTTGTGCTGAGTGATCTTGGACCAGATAGGAGGGGATGGATAAAGGAGGTGCTCTGATAGAAGGCAAGGAAAAAAGGGAAGAAGTTTCCAGACCAGAGAGAAGGTTTAAGGATTTAACAGTAGGGATGGGAATGAGGATTTCCATGACATTACCTTTTCTCATGGAAGACGTATTGAAACGCTTGCAGAGGCTGTTCCAGATGGGTAAAATTAGATGTCTCCTCATGCAAGTGTGTAGACAAGAGTTGGCCACTAAAGCAGGGTGTCTCTGAATAGGCTTAACTCTCAACAATAATAGCCAGAAATATAAGGAGCAATAGCAAAGATGAACAACCTAGACAAAGGATCTGAGCTTCCCCATTCTCAACATCTGGTATTCCAGAGATTATTTTAGACCGCACAGAGAAGGAAAGAAAATCCCAATAATGAATGAGATTGAATTTCTCACCAGCCAGGTAATAAAGGACCAAAAGCAGAATAAAACTGATTTAGAGAAATAAGACAATGTGACATTTCTTGGACTCTAGAGATATAGACTAAAAATCACATAGGTGACTTATGTAATTACTCATCACTCACACTGGAGGCAGCTTCCAGGGAAACAGAAGGGGAAGAGGAGTCAAGACTCATTCATAGCTCCACCCTCCTGTATTGCTCCCCTGTGACCCACCTCTTAGGATGTGCATGGCAGAGCTGAAAAACTTAACTGCACTCCTGCTGGGAATGTGCTTTCAGAACCAACTTTTGATGGCCAATCCCAATGCTAAAATACATACTAATCATGTTTATTCACATATTCACTCATTATCTACCTCCTGTGTGCTGGATGCTCTGCTAGATACTGATGTTACACAAGCAAGTGCTCCCTAAGTGTCCAGGGAAGGCAGATATGCAAACAAATCAAACTGCAGTAGCAACACCATATGCTGGTGGGAGCTTAGGTTTCCAGAGCCTCGTGACTCAGCTTCAAACCTCTGCTCTTCCACTTACCCGTTCTGGATCTTTGATCAAGTCTTTTAAACTTTTTGGACCTCAGCATCTGCACTGTGAAATAAGGATAACAATACTACAATACTTACTTTATAGAATTGTCATGAGGATTTAATAAAATAACAAAAATAACTAACATTTATTGAGTGTTTACTAGGCACTTTTCTATGCATGATACATACCTTTAATGCATATAAATCTCATGATATCCTAAGATATATTTATTACTATTAGCCTCATTCTACAGATGAGGAAACTGAGGGACAAAGAGTTTGGCAGGTAATTTGTCAAAGGTCAAACAGTTTGGTAAATTATAGAACCATATATATTAAAGATTTAATGTAGTGCAAAAAAATTGAATGAATAGTAAGTTCTTTCATAGAGATGCAACGAAATTTTGTAGTTAAACCAAAGTAAAGGGTTACTAATATATTAGCTGATTTAGGAGAGACATAACATTCCAGCCAGGTCTTGGAATAGGAATGAGTAGGGTTTGCTAAATGGAAATGAAGAGAAAGAACATTTTAAATAGAGACAGGAACATTTACAGAGGCTGAGAGTTGCAAATTAGCCTGAAATGGAGATGCACATGGGAAGAAAGAAGGCCGACAAGGCTGAGTTACAGAGATTGGTGTAGGGAGGAAGAACTATAGCGAACAAGGGTTTGAGCCCCAGTCAGTCTTATTTTACATACACAAACTAGATGAGAGTCTCACACAGTAAGAGTCCTGTCATCATCCTGCAGGCAATGAATGGCCCCTGGAGTCTTTGAGCAAAGGAGGGACATAAATACATGGGCATTAGATGGATAATTAATAAGAAGGGGAACGACGGGTAGAGATGAGACACTAGTAGTGACAGGAAGACCGGTTAGGAGATTATTGCAACAACCAAAGTGGAATGTGATAATGTTTTCAATGGATGAAACAAGCCTGTGGATTTGAAAGAAGCAATGAAGTCAGCAGACCTTGTCAAGGTAGAATTGGCAGTAGCTGCTAACAAATTGGACACATCTGTTCTTTTACCCAACAATCATAGATGAGAACCTTTTAAGTGCTAGCTACTCTAGGTTGACCAAGGAACAGAATAGAAACCAATGTTGAATGTGCTGGGTGATGGAGAAAAGAATCCAGGCTTCCGGCAAGTGAGACTCACACAAGCCTTTAACTGAGAATGTAAAAGTAAAGGGAAGCAAAGCTTGGAATGGAAGATCTTGTTTTGAAACACATTTGACATATCGGGTTGAGTCAAGACTGGGAATATGAGTCTAAAACTGGGAAAATAGCTTAAATAAAACAATGTGAATTCAAGAGTCAAATAATTTTCACAGAGTATATCGTTTGACTTCAACATACATTCAGTAATTTGGATTAGGCTGTAACTTGTTATCTCCATTTTTCAGGGCATGCAAACCTTTCATGGCAATGTGCCATCTTGGCAATTGACCTGCTTCTTGCAAAGGCAGGATCCACATTGTTCAGCACGGGGTGATGTTCCTACAGGGATCCTCCCATCAGGGAGAGCTAGAATGTCATGTTTTATCCTCCTTTTACCCTCCACGTTGATAAGGCCAGAAGTAAACATATTTCAAATGGATGTACACGTAAAACCACTTTTTCTTCCAAATTTAACCATTTATTGCTTGTACTACAGGTTTTGACATTTTAGACTTGTTTACTGGGCTTCCCTGGCCCTTCTCTATATGTCTAGAGCTATTACTATTACAAGGGCATTCTCTGATAAAATACAATGTACATCTTGCTCTCCAGATTCCTGCAATGGAATCTCAGCCTGCTAAAGAGCAACTGACAGACTCCCAACAAAATCAAATGCCATTTATACTGTGAGCTGAGAAGTATGTTTGAGGCTGACTCCTCCTCAACAAGTCAACCTAGTGGTTTACTTCACTTGTAAAAACGTCATTCCCTGTCAGATAAACCCAGAAACAACTCAGCTGGTAGATGATGCATCCGGATAAATGTTTGCCCACCCAAACCCTTTGCTGAGGGCCACAAATACACTTGTCGGCATCTTACTGCACATTCAGCATCTCAGGATAGACTCCTTCAATCACACAACAAACTTGTATAAAACAACTTCTACTTTCGTAGCACACTTCTATGTGTTGGGAGGAATTGTAATGATAACCTCTAGTATTTACTGAGCACATGCTTCTGGGTGCCAACAACTGTGCCATGTGATTTATTTGCATTATTTGTTTTAATCCACACAAATTATTTTGGTATCTTTTGCTTTTTAGTGTTTAATAGTCTTATTTATATTTTCTTTTTTATCTGGTATATGCTACTTTATAAATAACTTTGGATTAGGATAAGTAAAATAATGGAGTGGAGGATGTCTCTTTTGTGATAGAATATTTGTTGGTCGATAGCATTTAGCAGTCTTCGACTCAGAAAGAAGCTTACAATCAGTTTGTAAATATGAAATATGCACAAATAGAACTGCAAAAACTCTTATAAAGCAATATAGAAATAAGCTTAAATCACAAGGGATGAACAAGTTATCAAAGTGCCCAGAAGACCAGGAAGGGAGGAGAGCTTGGAGCCTATAAAAGACAGTCTGAAAAAGCCACATGCAGGAGAGATTTAGAAGCAGCCAGATTTGTACAAAGCCTCATGGAAGTGGGAAAAATTACCAATGACCACAGTTGTCTTGTTTCTTGGCTAATGCTTACATCCTTGTGCCAGCAGTCACCCTGGAGATCAATAACTCCTTAACTGTTGTTCTCACATAATTGAAAAACTATAGGGGAACTTCTGGCCCACCTTTAAGGACGAGTCATGACTTGACAGCTCTATAGAGAGAAGACTTGAATTTCCTCCAAAAACGCTAGCGCTGACATCCAGCTGCCCAGAGTAAGCCTTTCAGTAAAAACTCAATAACCTCTTTTCTATACTTTATGAAAGAGGAAAAGTGAACACTTTTTCTGACAGTTACTTAACCTCTTCAAGACAGAGTTGCCTCATCAGTAAAACAGGAATGTCCTCTGTCTCTCAGAGGTATTGTGAGGAGAAACTAAAATAATCAAAGCTTCACAGATTCCAGGTGTGGAGAATCCCTGATTCTATATTATCAGTTTCTAGGGAGTTGAGATGATTTTTGAGATTAAAGTGTGGAACTTGGTGCAAATCTATGAGTTATAAGAATCCATATTAGGGTTTCTCTATCTCACCACTATTGACATTTTAGGCTGGATAATTCTTTGTTGGAGGAAGGGGATTTCCTGTGCATTGTAAGATTTTCAGCATCAACCCTGTCCTATACTCACTGGCCTGGTGCCCCTCCTTGGTCATGACCATCAAATGTCTCCAGACATATCCAGATGTCCCCTAGGGACAAAATTGTACCCAGTTGAGAGCCACTAATCTATATTACTATAGAGTGAAATATATATTACTCAGTCCCTCTTCTAGCTTTCAATGTAAATGGTAATGCAAGACATTTTGTAAATTCTCAATAAATAGAAAGTAAATGTACTGAAGAATAAATGAATAAGCAAATAATTTAGAAGGCTGGGAGACATATATACCTAAATCAACTGAAAGTGAAGTTAGGACATCATCAGACACTCCTTGCTAGATGATAAGAAAAACTAGTGTCATTACTACTTCTTTCCAAGAAAGAAGTAAAACGCAGTGGGAGAAAGAGACATGCTCAGGGAACCAAAAGCCAAGTCTAACTGTGATGACACAGGGTGACGATAGTCTAATTAGACTGTGTTTTCATCAGAGTAGATACCGTATGGCATTAATCTTTGGCACCTAAACACAAACTGATACCTAATAAATATTTTATTTTAATTAAACATCAAGAAAGTTGTCCAGGAGATCCATTTAAATACTAGAGAAGGGGGTAGGCAAAAGTGGGTAAGAGGGAGGGAGCATGCATGCTTAACTTTGGCTGCATAATCCCGTGCAGTTTGTCTGCAGCCCAGATATCATTTTAATCTACAAAATCACAAGCTAGTGGATACCATTAAAAGTGGATACACTCTGTCCTTATATTTTACGTGATGCCCAGTAACATTTAATTCCGCATGTAGAAAGTAATTAATACAATTGTGTTGAACTGAAAACAAATGGATATACCTCAACCACAGGATAAGGACTCTAGGATGAGGGATTCTTCTAGAAGCACAAGAGAGGCAATTAGTTGAGCATGTAGTAAACTGACAGTATTTCCTACCCATAAAAGGTAATAAAGGCTAAAACTATATTAATCAGTTTAAGAATAGCACAGCCATTGGAGCATCAGATGCGAAATAATTCTGAGCAAGATTTGAACCTCACTCTGCATGCCTACTTAGTAAGTGTGTGACTGACTGTGGACATGTTATCTATCCCCTCTAGGATGTTCTCTCCTTGCATGTCAATGGGAGTAATTATACCTTCCTTAAAGATTGCTCTGAGAATTACGGTTGCCATTTATTGTTTTGTGTGCTCAGTTCCTTGTTTCTTTTGGAGAATGACTCCTCCCTTCCATGTACAAATTTCCTTCCATGTAAAAGTGGAAGTTCTCACTCTTGTGTCTCTTTACCAGGCTTAGTGGCCATTATCTTTAGACCAGAGATGAAAATATAACCCAAGCCTGGCCCCAGGACTTTCAAACCAGAAGAAAAAGTGCACGTTTTGTAGCTGTCAGGACATTTCTCAGCACTATTATCAAGGGCTACAAAAAATGGACATTATTATTAGAACGGCTCATGGAATATAAAACAATAGCATTCACACATTTATGCACTTAGCAAATATTCCTTGAGCACCAACTCATTGCCTGGCACTGTAGCACTGTCATGTATTTTATACACATTTTCTTTTTTTTTTAGATGGAGTTCTGATCTTGTTGCCCAAGCTAGAGCGCAGTGGCACAATCTCGGCTTACTGCAATCTCTGCCTCCTGGGTTCAAGCAATTCTCCCGCCTCAGCCTCCCAAGTAGCTGGGATTACAGGCATATGCCACCACACCCAGATTTTTTTTTGTATTTAGTACAGACAGGGATTCACCATGTTGGTCAGGCTGGTCTTGAACTCCTGACCTCAGGTGATCCACATGCCTCAGCCTCCCAAAGTGCTGGGATTACACGTGTGAGCCACCGTGCCTGACCTTTATACACATTTTCATTAACTCCGAAGATAAACGCAGAGTAAAGTATTATTAACATCTCTACTTTACAAATGAAGAAATTGAAAACAGAAAAGTTGATTAATCTGTCTGTGTTCATCGAGCTGCTAAGTGATAGAGATTCAAACTCACATTTGTACTTGCATATTATTATTGCTATTAAACCCTTTCAGATAAGATGCATATATCATCCTTGTTTTCTCCTAAATACTTTAGTGTTTATTTCCCAAGAACAGAGACATTCTCTTACACAACTACAGTATAATATTTAACATTGATACAATGCCATTATCTAATACATAGTTTTTATTCAAATTTTACCAGCTGTACTAATAATATCTTTTATAGATTTTTAAAATCCAGAATCCAATGCAAGCTCAAACATTACATTTAATTGTGATGTGTTTTTAGTCTCCTTTGGAAAGGGAATGCTTTAAAGTGGGTACATGTCTTAGACCCTAGGGCTAACTAACATGATGTCAGCTAATCTCTGGCTGTAGCCAAAGACCTCACACTCTCAACATGCTCCTATCTTTCCTTTTCTAAAGTGAGGGAAAATCTATAGCTTCCCTTAAATTCAGGGGCTCTCTGCTTCTTAATTGTTTCTTCCACTGAGTGAGGAGGTGGCCAAGTGATGAGGCAGCCTACTGAGATAACAGCTAGGATAGCTGGGAGACTGAGGACATTCAGGGGGATTAAACAGACTAGTAAATACTGAGAACAATGGAACTAGGTTTTTACTGTCAGAGAAAGGTGTACAAATATGGAAAGGAAGAAAAACAGAATGAATTATTTAGGATCTTGGGAATTAGTTTCAAATTGAAGGTATTGATGTGAACCTCTCATGGCTCTAGATAGATAGACAGATATAATAGATAAATGTCAAAATTTTGGTGTGTGTGTGTGTATGTATGTATGTATGTATGTATGTATGTATGTATGTATGTATTTTCCACTGTGACTGCTGCTAGATCTAGAAACAATTACCTCTTCATGGCAGTGAACACACCATGTTCCCAGATTATGGTCTCTAAATACCATTCTCCACTAAAAGGACTAAGGACTTCCCAGAGAAATAACTGATTCCAGGGCTGGACCTGGGAAAGTACAAGAAGAGCCTGGAGTAGCTATCTGTACCAGAAAGTAAGGAGGGGCTCAAATAATGTCAAAGGAACACAGAAGTTATCTTGAAAAGTCTCCCATTGCTAATCTGAGACATTTTAGATTAAAAATTAAACATTGAAGTAACTGTATACCACTCATTGAATTAAATAGGACACCATGAGTCCCCAAGGATATAAACACATGAGTAAATAAATAAGTAGAAGACAAAGCCCTTTCTTACAGCCAACTAATAAATATAAACAAAAGACACAAAACACCTTTTGACAGCCATTATAACAATCATTGATTCAGGCAAGAATCATTCAATAGATGTTAAAACTAGCAAATAAACTAATAAGAAAAAGAATATGTATTAGCCAGGGTTATCAAGAGAAGCAGAACCAAGAGGATGCAGATATACATATACATATAGATATATATATCGAGATCATGGAAACCAAGAAATCCCACAATACACATCTACAAGCTGTCCCAGAGTGCCAAAGGCCTAAGAAGCAAGAGCAAGGGCAGTAGGGAATGGATGTCTCAGCTCAAGAAGAGAAAGAATCACCCTTCCTTTGCCTTTTTGTCCTATTCTAGCCTCCTGTGGATTGCAAGACACCTGCCCACATTGGGGAAGGTGGATCTTCTTTACTCAGTCTACTGATTCAAATGCTAATATCTTTTTGACAGACCCTCCCAGAAACAATGTTTTACCAGCTGTCAGAGCATCCTTAGCCCAGCCAAGGTGACACATAAAATTAACCATCACAGGATAGCTACACTGTCTCAAAGAATAGCCCCACAAAATCCTTATTAAACATAAAGGGAAAAACAGGAATATTACAGTGGGGAGACCTTGCAGAAGCCACCTTCACCACGTTAATCATAGTTAACATCACCAGTAAAGGAACAAAACAATATTGGGTGTTACCTGATTACGTGCTCTGAGAAAAACACAGTATCACTTCTACAGTATTTTTGCCAAAAATGTCAACATGAATTTAAGCATGAGGAAATATCAGATAATCCCAAGTTGAGGGTCTTTCTACAAAGTATCAAGTGTATACTCTGAAAAAAAGAGGTCAGGAAGACAATAAGACTAAGAAACTCCAGCCTAAAGGAGACCAAAGTATCCAAAGTAAAATTTGTTATAAAGGATAGTAACAGAACAATAAGTAAAATTTGAATAAGAGGATTGTAATGTATATGTATTAATTTTTGGAATTTGTTGTCTGTACTATGGCTGGGAATTGGTGTCTTAATTTTTAGGAAATATGCATGGAAGTGTTTAGGATTAATGAGGAATCATGCATGTAACTTATTCTCCACTGGTTCAGAAAAAAAGAAGTTGTGTGTTTAGAGAAAATGAGAGAGAGATTGACAAAGCAAGTGTTATGAAAGGTTAATGATAATCAGGCAATCTGAATACATTTTTATAAGATTAATATTGCAAACCTTTTATAAAGTTTTAACTATTTCAAATCATTCATTCATTCATTCATTCATTCACTCATTTGAGACAGGGTCTCACTCTGTTGCTCAGGCTGAAATGCAGTGGTGCAATCACGGCTCACTGCAGCCTCAAACTTCCAGGCTCAAGTGATCCTCCCACCTCAGCCTCCCAGGTAGCTGGGACCACAGGCATGCATCACCACACCAGGCTAATTTTTGCATTTTTTGTAGAGACAGGGTTTCGACATGTTGCCCAGGCTCATCTGGAACTCCTGGGCCCCAGTGATCTGCCCACCCTAGCCTCCCAAAGCACAGGAATTACAGGCATGAGCCACCATGCCCAGCCTATTTCAAATTTTTGAAACTTTGAAGTTAGTACTAAATTTAAGATGGTGGCTTTTCTGAGATATTTTTTCTGAGATAAGGTTACTCAATGAAAGACTTCATGATTCTTACTACAGGCATCACATTTCCATCTGAATTATATAAAAGGTTTAGAATATCTCAAGCAAATACATTATTATAATAACATAAAATAAAAAGAAAGGCAAACAACATATTTCCTTTTAAGGTTTCTTTATTTAAAGACGTGTGTTAGAAAAAATATTCTAAAAGACAATGCAAGAGATGTTAGTGTATTAAAATGGTCATTTCTTTCTAGTCATCCAAAATATTTTTAAGTGTGACAATTTTTTAGCCTCTCCTTTCCAGAGCTTGCCAATGGACAAAATCCATTTGGGAACCCTAGGAAGGAAGATATCTCCTCCAAATAAAGCAAAGGTTTCTCAGCCTCAGCACTGCTGACATTTTGGACTGGAAAATCCTTTGTTGTGGGTTCCTGTCTCATGCATTGTAGAATGTGTGGCAGCATCCCCAGCCTTTACCCATTACATGCCAGTAGCATCCATTCAGTAATGACCATCAAAAATACCTCTACACATTGCAAATGTTTAGGATTTGGAGAGGTCAAAACCATCCTGGGGTAAGAACCACTGGAATAAACCAGCACATTTTTGTCCAATGTGTGGGAAGTAACCCACTCCCCACCTCACCCTCCCTTAGGTGGTTTGTGCATTCTCACATTCTGAAATGCTCTGTCATGTGTTGCTAGAATATTTTGGATGTAACGTAGAAAAAACATTTAACACAGAGAAAGAAAAAGTAGGAGATTCTGGCAGAGTTTCAGTTGAAGTTACTGCTAATAGTGACTTTTCATCAGAGGTCAAACTGTGAGATAACAAAAATGCCATAAATAATAATACCTACCTGTGTTTGCAAAGCATTAGACATCTTTAAAAGTGGTTTCTTCTACACTGCTGCCTTGAATCATCTTAGTATCATTGACTCTTGAAAACACGGGTCTGAACTGCGTCACTGATACGTGGATTTTCTTTCACCTCTTCCACCCCAAGACTGAAAGACCAACCCCTCCTCTTACACCTCCTCCCTTGCCTACTCAACATGAAGATGACAAGAATGAAGAACTTTATCATGGTCCACTCTCACTTAATGAATAGTAAATATATTTTCTCTTCCCTATGATGTTCTTAATAATATTTTTTCTCTAGCTTACTTTATCGTAAAAATAAGGTAATGTATGTAAGTAGTACACATAACATACAAAATATGTGTTAATTGATGTTATCAGTAAGGTTTCCTGTCAACAGTAGGCTATTAGTGGTTAAGTTTTGGGGGACTTAAAAGTTATAAGCAGATTTTTGACTGAGCTGGGCTTGGCATCTCTAACCCCACCATTGTTCAAGAGTCAACTGTAATCTTATGAAAGAGGCTATTATCTCCCCTCTTTTACTGTGGAAGAGAGTAAGTCTACCCCCAATTTTAAATCATGTGGCAAACAAGAAACAAAACAAGCACTTGATTCAGATCTTTGACTCCAAGTTCAGTGCACTTTCCACAATGCTGAGCTGTCATGAGAGCCCAATGTGGATTTTTTTTGTAGTAGGCAAAGAAAACCCTAAGCCAGTTTACTGAATTGGTCTTGACCGAAAGCCAGGAAGTTCATGCTCTAGGACACTAGCAATGCAGTCTGATTACTTCCCTCATTGGAAAAAGGTGACCAGATCAAAAAGAGGTGACCTTAAGGGAAGGACTGCTTTCCCCACTACTCCGAGAGATCATAGCCTCATACTTTAATGGAAATCTTTCCTTCCATCCCCACCCCTCCATACACAGATTGCAGTATCCCTTTTAGTCCTCATATCCAACTCTGTTTTGACTTCTCATTTTATCAAAAAAGCTTATTGTTGGGGGGAAAAAAACTTGACTTTTAAGACAATGAATGTCAATAGCAAGGATTAAATTATGTGTTGTCACCTCCTTTATGATTTTTTTTCCTTGCCTTTGGTTTACCTTGTTAGATTTGTCAAGACTGCCCTATAAAAATAACTTGTCAGCACTTGAGTTTGTGTGATGCTAAACTTACACCGTTAGCTCTCTGGTTACCAGTAATAACGGGAAAGGATACATGCATATACGTGTGCATGTTTTGAGTTTGCTGAAGTGTGACAGAGGTTCTGTAATGCTTGGACGGGAGCCTTGTTCCTGTCTGCATGGTTTATTCCTGCTTTTCAGTGGTATTTAGAAGGTCTGTTTGGCTAACGGTTTTATCCTCATGCAGTGGTATTTGAGCCTGCCTGGCTGAGCTATCACCGCCTGTCAAACCTCCTACCTCACTCCCTTTACCCCTAGATAAATCAAATGATGTGATAAGCAAACGGAGTGTTAACCTAGTCTCCAGCCCACAAATGTCCTTATGAAAAATGGCAGGCAGGTTTCTCCAATTTAGACAATAGGGTGAGTGCAGTAAGAATGGATTTACCACCAACACATAGAATTTGAGAATGCTAAATGACCATCAAATTCTCATCCTGGAGGAATTTTAGATTTTTTTTTTCTTTTTCATTCTTGGAAGAGTACTTAGTGGGCTAAAAGAAACCCATTTATAAAATGGGACACAATTCAATAGTGACTCAAAGCAAGCTTGGTCAATATAATATAGAGAAGAACTGGCTAGAACAAATTATAACCTAAAAGGAGATGAGATTTATTGTGAAACACAGATCACTAAGTCAGCAACATAGCACTGTGAAGAAGAAAAACATCTACTATGATCTTCTTCTAAATAATTAGGAATATAATTATCCACTACTGTGTTACAAATGCAATAACAAGCTATCCTTACTACCTATCACATTCTTCTCCCTCCTTTTCTGATAAGAGACACTTTCCAAATGGAAGACCCTGTGATACAACCCTGGCCATATCCTTAGCTAAAGTGATTGGTTCAAGTGTGAACACTTGACTCAAGCTCAGCCAATGAGAGTTCTTCCTGCAAGTTATTTAAACTAAATCTAATGAGAAAGGCTCCTCAACTCATTAGAGCTAGAAACAAGGAGACCCGGAGTCATTAACAAAAGTATTTTTCATGTGGGCAAAACTTAGCAGCAATTTGCCACAGTCTTCCTTTGATTCTATGAATTTCTTTAATATCTTTCTAACAAATCTTCTAATGATCTGTTTTGTCTAAGTTAGTCTAAAGCTGATTTTGTCATGTGCTTCCAAAAGAGAGCTGACCCTGAAAATAATACTCTTGCTACATTCAACTCTAGTGAGCCCTTTGTTGAAGTGTCTGAATGTCAGCGTTGCATCTATTATAAAATAGGGAACAATGGAGAGGGCTCAGAAAGGGATAGTGAATAGGAACATGCAGATGGACAGTCAGGCTGTAAGGCTATGACATCCTTCGATTTGTAAAACAGAGAACTGAAAGATATAGGTTATTTTCATATGACTTCAAAGATGCCGAAATACTGCTTTCTTCATTATAAATGTTTAGAGGGAGCAAGATTTTAAGAGCTAAATATTCTTCTATTTTTATAGATAAACCTACAGGGAGCAGGGTGGTCTAAAGCATGTCTTCAGATCGTTCAGTCATCATCTGAGTTGAGTGACCATCTAAGCTCCATGCCAGATCCTGTGCTAGGTACTGGTACACACAGAGATGAACATTGTTCCTGCCCTTGGGCTTCCAAAGCCTAGGGCCTTGAAGCTTGGAGCCATAAAATTAATCAGAAAATTATATTCATGATGAAGAAAGACAAAAAGATAATTTTAAAGAAAGACTGAAGAGATGAATAACTTTTACATAATGAAAAAACAAGAATCTACTGGAAGCTTCCTATGTGCCAGGCTCAGAGTTGTCAAAAAAAAATTGTAAACATTGACCAAAAAGGATAATTTCTAAGAAATTTAGATTAACCTGAAGTAGACACAGGAGCTGCAAAGCAAGAAATCAGAGGGCCCACAAACAGGTCAATAGGGGTACATATGCATCTGGCAACAGCATGTTTCTGCCTCAGGCTGAATATATTTTAAAATATTATAAATATATATATAAAATATATTTGCACTAAAGCCAAGTAATTCCTGGGCTCATTGCTTGCTTCCTCGAAACCAACATAAGCATGACACTGTAAATGCCCTGGAGAAGTAAGTGGTCCTTGAAAGAGATCACAATATACATAGGAATCAAAGATACAAGCATCACAAGTCAATGAGGAAGAAACAGACTGGCCAACAAATGAACTGGGGATAATTGACTCCTTCAATTAAATGCTGAGGTTGTAACACCCACTGGGAGACCTGTGTACACCGTCAAGTTAGAACTGAGTACCCTCACGTAACAGGGGTGCCCAAGACCACCATCATGTCGATGCCTGGCTATAAAAACAAAACTCTGTATAGCTGTTATACTTACAGTTACAGTTTACTACAGTGGAGGAATATAGACTAAAATCACAAAGGGAAAAGGTAAATAGAAATGGAGGAGAGGTCATCAGATGAAGAGAATGAAGAGTCGATTCTCTAAAACTTGAGAAAACAGAGCAATCTGAAGACAAAACAAAGCAAATATGCTTAAAATGATTGAAAAGATAAAGAGGGAGTAGAAGTAATAAAGAAAGAACTGAATCATATGGACATGAATTTTGAATGAAGTCAAAGACCAAAAATTAATTACTTTGGAATTTTTAAAAAGTCAGAGGACAGGTTAAATAGCACTTCAGACAGCTGAACTGGACTGTGTACATTTTACTTTCAAAGATTTTTAAATCACAACTTGCTCTGCAAGCACAATCTTAGATGTATAATATTGCATTCACCTTTATTGAGCATTGACTTCTCAATTATTCAATTAATCTGCTTAGGTTGCAGTTTCTACCCTAGCTCTCTCTATTTACCTCATGGGCAGATAAGCTCTTGTAACAACTTCCTAGTTGCCTTCCTGATACAGTCTGAAAGGGGAGGAGCCAGGGATCAGTCCTAAATGGTTAATTCCCAGCAGGACCCGAGAAGCAGGCAAGTGCAGAGGAAGGAGCCAGCTGGGAAAATGATGTAGCCTCCCGCCATTCCAGAGACACATCTGCCCCTCTAGAGTATTTGCTTTGAGTAACTGGCATTCCCAAAATGTCAGACTCCCTGGTATTCAGACATAAGTGCAAAAACACCTTCCCAAACTAGCCTTGATGTTTGGATTTTTTGCCCCGCTGCTCAGCCTCCACGTGTGCAAATCATTATGAGACGGCTGTCGTCTGAAAGCTGCCTTATCTCATTCCTCTGTTCAAAGGGCTGAGGCCAAGGTGCTTACATCCCAGTGGATGTTTTACCAAAGCGCTAACATTACACCAGGGAACAAAGCAGTCCTGAAAATTGCCCAAATTTTCAAAGCTCAAAACTAACCCATCCTGCCTGGGTATTTTTACACCCACCTAAATGTTAAACACTGGGCTACAAAAAAAAAAAAAAAAAAAAAAAAACCCGAAAACCAAAAAGCTTGTGTCCCAGAAATTCGTTGCATTCAAAATTCCTACTTCCTACCCACTCCTCCTACCCTGACCACCATCACCAACCTCCCTCCTCCCCATCTTTCCCTCTGAAATAATTTCCATTTATATTAGCCTCCCCTAAGCCTTCTTTTTTAGGAGTACATAAATTTGGAAGCTTAACTAAATTGAATATGTCCCTTTCAATAAAGTCATCTCACCCTGTAAAAGTCAGCACAAAGTGACCCTCTAAGTCTAGCTGGGACCCTCTAAGCCCGGCTCTCACCCCTAGGGTTAAAGTGCCTGCTATTCAATCTGGGCTTCAGTGGAGGCTTCCCCCGGAAGGGGAGTTCTGGAAGGTATTTTGGCGTGCTACATGCAAACGCAGCAGCCAACGGATCTCATTTCTAAATGTCAGCCTTAGTATAATCCTTCTGACCCATTCCAAAGCTTATAGGTCACAGAACATTTTATCTGGCAGTGACTTTTATATATATACACATATATTTTTTTTTCAGGTTTAAAGTGTTATCCATTTTCCCTTCCCTCCCCCTCTCAAGGAGACCGGGCTCCTCTATACACATAGTGAGCAAGGCATCAAGGAATTCAAGCAAATGATAAAAATATGTCTGTAGGGAAATAAATTTCTTTTTCTGAAATCAATCATGTGCTATTCACACAAGCAGAAGAAATAGCCTGAAATACCCCTTATCTCACCGCCTCACTCCACTCAGGCGTCCTGTGCAAACACTTAAAGGCCAGAGGCTTTCTCTCCTGGTCTCCTCTCTCCCACAGCGGAAGGGAAGGGAGGCCGAGATATGTGGACAGACGGGCGGCGGGGCGTGATTAGCCTGAAATGATTGGCTGGCTGTCACAGAAATGGATAGCCAGGATGGGTCCATTATCCTGCACAGATAGTGTGCATGGCAATCAGCACCGTGGGAAGAAGAGGCATCCTCTTTTCCACAGTTCAGAATAGGAATGGGAGTTTGTGTTATTCTCTCCTCCCCATATTACCTCATTTTGATTGTGATGCTCATGGCTTCTTGCTCTATGGAGAACAAGGGTATTGCCAGAAAAGATACTTTCGAAACCTATTAAAATATGGAGGACAGTCACCTGGACAATCCATGGTTCTTAGTCATCTCGTGGACAGGGGAATCTTTGAATTTTTGTGTGTCCTCCCCAATGCCTTATTCAACAGGGCTACAAGCCAGGATGTCCAGGGGCAAACCTGCTCTTCCACTTACTAGCTCTGTGACCTTGGGGAAATCTCAGAGTCTCTTCAGCCTCTGAGATCATTCAGCATTGCTGTTTGGATTAAATGAATTTTACATGTCAGCACTTACCCCAGCGCTTAGAACATGGCGTAATAAGTATTAGAGGAGGAAAGAGATGGAATATGACAATCCTTAGAGTTGCTTATGGAAACTATTTCCAACCACCAAACATTTAAAACATTGGGGTCACTTGGTGCCAATTTGTTCCTGTCTCTGAGAACCTCATATTTTAGATGCTGAAACTTGCTTTTATGATATCTTTGGATAAGAGTGAAAGGGACAAATGGGGAAGTGAAGGCTGAGTAAATTATTGCAGACTTAAGTTGGTCATACTATGGATGACCAAAGCTTCGAGGTTGCCACAAATGTTGAGATAACTTTTTATCTGAGATTGCATGGAAAAATATTTTTGAGCCTAATTGTACACTTTTTCTTATGGCTATGATTTTTTTTATTTCTAAGAAATCAATATTTGCTTATGTGAATGTTGGCAAAATCAAAACGGGGTCACTATTTAAAAAATGACAAATAGTGATGGAGAAAGCCATCAAGAGAAAGGTCTCATACTTATATGCTAGATAGCAAAACTATCACAATAGAGTCTGCAAAAATCACAACTTTGCACAAAGGCCATCACAACCTTACACATACAATACTTCCGCAAGGACACCTGCCCAGCAACTGCCTGTCCAGACTCAGACTGGTATCACCTTTGTTATTGATCTTTGCAGCCACAGATAATTAGTGCAAAACAATTATGTAATTCTCATTTTTTCCTTTAAAAACCTCTGTCTTCCTTTATCTCCCTGAATATGAACATAATTTACTACAGCACATGTATTCCCATTGCAATGCTCTACTCCCAAATAAATACCTTGTTCTTCTAGAGAGCCTCTCTGTTAGTTATTTAGGTTGACATTTAAAAATAAAAGCGGAGGGGTAATGGAGAAACTGAACAAATTATGCCCTCAGCTGGACTCACAGAATGACTACTGATATTTTCATTTTTAATGTATTAAATTAGAGGTATTTAAAGCTGAAAAGAATAAAATAGAAAGATCCTAAAAAGAATACTACTCATTTTGCCTTGTATTATATAATCAATTAAAATTAAGGATACTTGCTATTTATTGAGTGCCTATTATAAGCTGGGACTGTGCTAGGCATTTACTTATAATCTCAAATCCTCACATAACCCTACAAAGTAGGTAGTATGTTTCCTATGAGCTAGAGAAACTCAGAGAGGTTGCATGACTTTCTCAAAGCAACATAGCTGCTCAGTGACATAGCCAAGCTTTAAATCCAGGTCTATCATACCCTGAATCCATTCCCTCTCTCTCTGTTTCTGCTACCTTTCTGTACCTTAAGGAACAATCATTCAAGGCATTTTACAGAACTGGAGTAGAATTTTAATAGCATGCAGGCCCATACCTAATGCAAAACAAAACACTACAATGTTAGATGAAGAGAGATCTTAGCAAACCTTCACTCAAGCTCACAGGCTAGCATGACCAAATGCACTTGGATGCTTACATCTGAACCCAGAGAAATTAAGCTGCAGATTCAAACCACATACTTGCAAATCTGGATAAGAATGTGTAGGCCTGGCCAGGCGCAGTGGCTCACACCTGTATTCCCAGCACTTTGGGAGGCCAAGGCAGGCAGATCACGAGGTCAGGAGATCAAGACCATCCTGGCCAACATGGTGAAACCCCGTCTCTACTGAAAATACAAAAATTATCTAGGCATGGTGGCGCACGCCTGTGGTCACAGCTACTTGGGAGGCTGGGGCAGGAGAATTGCTTGAACCTGGAAGGTGGAGGCTGCAGTGAGCCGAGATTGCACCACTGCACTCCAGCCTAATGACACAGCGAGACTCTGTCTCAAAAAAAAAAAAAAAAAGTGTAGGCCTAACTCTCAGGCTCTGGTTCTAATCATCAGGTCTCCTTTCCCAGCCCTGCTTATCCATGGGTGAGATTGAGGGCAGGTGGAGACTCGGAATCTGAATGTACTTCCATTAGTTTGCTCTTCCCCAACTCTACATGCTATTATATCACATCCTATTCTAATTATCTCCTTCACTGTCTGAATAATCTTCCATTTGTTTCAAAAGACTATTTTTATTAACCTTCCATCTATTTAATAGCTTTTTAATCCCTAGCCCCTTCAAGAGCCTTTTTACTTGCATGCTATCCTGCTTTCCTCTGAATTCGCTCCTTTCAGCCTCTTAGCTATCTCCAGATGCTGCTTGCTCCACAAACATTACAACTCGTGCCCTTCCCCTGCTCCAAAGCCCAGCAAACATTTTCTGGCAGAACTTCTCCACTAGCTAAGTGCCTCTATTTCGAATCAAATTCTTCCCCACTTTTTAAAGTGCATTTGTGCTATTGTTTACCGTATGGAGCCAGCAGAAAAACGCACCCAACACCTTTTAAGTCAGTACCATTACCACCATTTTGCATTGATGAGAAAACGGGTATTTGAGAGGCTGCATTAGCTTGTCCAATGTCACACAGCAGCTCATAGAGTCTGAACTGGGGACTAAACTAGGATCTGTATGACTTGATAGCCAAGGTCTTCTGACTGTGCTGTGTTCAGTGAGCAGGGAAACAATGTCTGTCAATCACTTGGAGTGATTGCAACACTCTCACAATGGCCAAGATTTGGAAACAACCTAGGTATTCATCAGCAGATGACTAGATAAAGAAAATGTGGTACTTATACACAATGGAGTATGATTTAGCCATAAAGATGAATGAGATCCTCTCATTTGCAACAACATGGATAAAACTGGAAGTCGTTATGTTTAGTGAAATAAGCCAGTCACAGAAAGACAAACTTGGCATGCTCTTACTTATTTGTGGGAGCTAAAAATTAAAATAATTGAACTCATGGAGATAGTAGAATGATGGTTACCAGAGTCTGGGAAGGGTAGTGGTGAGGTAGGAGGGAGCTAGGGATAGTTAATGAGTACAAAAAAAAAAATAGGTAGAAAGAATGAATAAGACCTACTTAGTACTTGGTAGCAAAACAGGGTGCCTATAGTGAATAATAATTTATTATTTTAAATAACATGTTATTTTTAAATAAACATTTAAAAATAATTCTAAGAGTATAATTGGATTGTTTACAACACAAGGATACATCTTTGAGGTGATGCACACTTCATTTACACTGGTGTGACTATTACACATTGTATACCTGTCTACCCCATAACTATATAAACCTATTAAATATAGAAACCACAAAATGTTTTTAAGAAAAGAACTTGGAGCAAAGAAGAGACTCAGTACAAGTCTGAGCTGTAACAAAGAGATTCCCATTATCTTTCCATTCAAATATGTTTCCTAGGGACAGGAGTCAAAGGTCAGAGTGAAGCATAAATCCTCAGGGCTCAGACATCTAGCAATCAAATCTGGGATTTGTGCCACCTATGGGTGAGCCATGTGGGTTTGGGGAGGTTGGTCACCCAAAAGCAACTGTTTATTTATTGAATGGCTCTCCCCACCAGAATAAAAATGCCTATTAAATAGGCACTTTGTTGTTTTTTCCTGTCCAGAGCAAAGCGTAGCCCAGAGTTGGTATTTAATAAGTATACACTGTCTGAATGCAGACTTCTTTTCTGCCACTTTTCTCTTAAGGTAATTATGTCAAATGCTTTTGTTTCCCTGCTCTGCATTGCGCCCATCCCACCGTCAATCATACACCATCATTATTATGATCCCCATCAAGAGTTTCTGGGGTTTTCAGAGTTTTCATAACAGAAAGACTTTCATGATTAGTCACATATCCTGTGAAACGCATGGTTATAATTATAAAAATATCCATAATATCCAAAACTTACTGACAGCTTATGTTAAACCAGGCATTGTGTAAATAGCTAAATAGGTAATGCTCACCACAAAAAATCCCCATTTTACAGATGATATAATTCAGGCTTACAATGAGAGCGCATAAATAACTTGTCTGGGGTCACACAGAAAAGAGTAAGGAATTATACCTAAAGCGAATTGATTTTAGACTCAATTTTGACAATTAAACTACAGAGCTTGACACAATCACAATGAGAATGTAAATCTTTTATACCAAATCCTTTGTTCTTTCCAAGACCTCCCCTTGAAAAATATGTTATGCTCTAAATCCATGGGTTGAGACTGCAGAATTTAGTACGATTTCCCTGGCTCTGAAACCAAAGGCATTTTGTCTCTTCACAAAGTGAGTGGACATAGAAAGTGCCTATAAAACAGCTGAGGGCTTGTTTTCAAGCTGTATTGAAAACCTTAGGACTGGGATGGTTCCCAGGCAGAGCATGTGAGCAGACAATCTCTTCAGTGGGCAGGTACACAGTGGCAGCTGCAGTGATTCCTGAGGAGGAGTCAGATGTCACAGCCCTCTTCAGTTAGGTTATCCCAGGCCTGCCAGCTCTGTGTACCACTGCACTTTAGACAGACTGTGACTGTTTGCAGACATGAGGCTTAGGGAAGCCACACACACCAGGCACTCCTATCAACTTCTCCATGGTAAGGCCAGAGAATAACCACCCCTAGGCATCCTGTCACCTCAGCAGGGCCGAGAACAAGTCCCTGTACAGTCACTGCAGTCCTCACTGCATAGCACTCAGAGGCAGACAAGAGAATCTCTGACCATGATTAATGCCCCCACAGTTCCCATCTGAAGAAGGAGCTGTCAGCAATTCAGATCTCCATTTCAGAAGAAATAGTATTCTGTTGTACTAGTTAGGGGACCATTTCAGCTGCTGAAACAGAAGCTAAGGGAAGAATGACTTGAATAAGAGAGCTTATTTTTCTCCAAGGTAAGAGTTCATACAGAGCAGTCAGGACTGCAGACTGCCCCACAGTGTCAAGAAACTAGGCATCTCCATCTGGTACTTTGATACCTCCAGCATGCAGATTCTAACTTGTGGTCCATAGTGGCTGCTCCAGTGCCTTCCATCATGTTTATATTCCAGCCAGCAGAAACGGAGAGGAAGGGAAGTTGAAGAGGAGGACATGTTTCTTCCTTTTAAGACTTCAGCAAACAATTAGCACTCAGACCTCCCACTCACACACCATTGGGCAGAATTTAGTCAAGCAAACAAGTGTCATGGGAGGCTAGAAAATGTAGTCTCTAGCTGGGAAGCCAAACAGTTGGGTAAATCATATGACCAAAAGAAGGAAAAATGGATATTAGAGCATGTGCTTCCCATTTTTACTGACAAAATATTGATACATACCCTTCCTCTTAGGCATGGAATACCCTCCCATCATCCCCAAGAGAGATAACTTAAAGTTCTGCCCAATTTCTGCAGGCAGCTCAAATTTAGTAACTCTGGGAGTTGCACGGTTCTCTCCATTAGGTCTGATATGGATGCCCAGAGTCTGAGCTATCTACAAGCCATTGCTCTAGAGCAACATGGTTGAGTAGAGTCAGGGCAACTGCAGTGAAAACCCCCGTTCAGGAAACAGGTGAATGGAAAGGATGGCAGTTCCTTGCCCATGGCCATTTGCACATCATGCTGGGCAGTGAAACAAATTCTTTGGGTAACCTGTCTGGCAGCTCTCTGGATTTTCTAGGAGAAACGCCCTTGTCTGTTATCTTTCATGGACTCACATACAATGAAAACTGAACAGTGTTTCTTTTTCAGGGTTGCACAGGTTTGCTGTCTGTTTCCTAGTGGTGCATATAGGAACGTCTGGGGTTACTTTAGGGGTTGAAAAATCAGACTTTTGCTGGCTGGGCTTGCAATTTCTTTGGAAAAACTATTTTCTCAAAAACATAAAGATGTATTTGCTTCCAAACACTTCCCAGTTTAAGCAACCACAACCAAAATTCTCCTTTAGACCTATCATAGTAAATGAAATTTCTTGTGTTTATGTACTTTATTTATTGGCCTTCATGCTCTACCCAACTCCCTCTACCATCCTCTTTATGGTGATTTTGAGGACATCTGAAACAAAAGCCCTGGATGGGAGCACAATGTTTATAATCTGATTTTGCAGTAGGAATGGCTCCCATTATCTAGCCAGAAGCACTGAAGAAGGTACCTGAGAAAGGCTTGGGGCCACTGAAACAGCTGCTGCTGTTGCTACTTCCTTATCACTTGAGTTCATCTCTTTGGTAGTCCTGCAAATAACAGGAACAATCATCCAACACCAACTACCACCCTGTTTTTCCAACCAGTTCTGCTACAGTCACATACTCTGGTGGCATAATGTGGTCTTCTGAGATGCTGCAGGTGACGGTTTTACTAAACGTTTTGCCCTGCCATGCCCACCTACCACGTTGTCAACTGTGAGGTAAATATGCTCAATTTTATGTCTTAGTGTGGTAGCACCCCCTGTCTAAATCCCAAATTCTCTATTAGCTGCTCTAGAAAAAGCTAAAATAATAGTGGGTTAAACAAAATCATTAATTCTCTTTCTGGGACGTTCTGGGCTTACGTAGACTAGGGCTGTTATAGCAGCCCTCTGCCAATCAGGCACCCAGGCTCCTTCTGCCCAGCTGCTGCGCCTCCTCAATGAGTCACTCCCACACTGTGGTGTAATGTTCCTGCTTTATTTGCTGATGCATTCTAATCACCAGAAAGGGGGAAGGTCATGCAGGGCACATGACCTTAATTTGGGTGTATAACATGCAGTTGGCATGCCTCACTTCTATCACACCCCATTAAGCCAGAAGTAAGCCATATAGCCACCCACAGGTTTGAGGAATTCTAGAAAATAAGGAGTCTTCAGCTAGATAAGCATAGACTCTGGAATTCTATTACAAAAAAACAAATGGGAAAAGGAATACTAGGGACAATCTGTGGTCTTCAGAGGATTAATTGACTCCAAAACTGGACTGGAGAAAGTTTTAAAAAGCTTTTCATTCAACTCTCCAGCTATAAGCATGAGAGCTGAGAAAAGAGGGCAGAACAAGATGGAGTTGGTAAATTCAGTATTTGTAATTTACGGTCTTTTTCCTCTATGGAAGCAGTTTGGAAATAAGTCAAACTCCACAAAGAGAAAGCTCAAAATCCACAGTCAAGGTAGGACAAAATTTCTTATCAACACATTGATTCTCTAACGCTAACAAATCTTGAAGGTAGAAATGTCAATTCTGGGATAATGACAGGCTGAAGGTATAGTCAGTATGTTTAAAAAAAAAATCCCTGAGAGACAGGGTAAATTCTGCTTCAATGAAAGTGAGCGTATCTTTATTAGAGTTGACAGAGATCATTAAAAAGTGAAAGCAGGAACCCGATATATTGATGACACCTCTAGAAGTTGGCCTTACAACCACAAGCTGTATTCAGCGGAGTATGTTTTTTCCTGTCTCATGCAATGAAATCCAATCTCACAGAAGTTTTTATTTGTTCAGAGTGATAGATAAGCCTCCTAAAGTATGGTTTAAATCAATATTCTATTCCCCAAGTTAACTGAAACTGCACATTCATTTAATGAATAGATATACATGCAACTTTATAAACACACAGCCATAATACAAAAAAAATGGGGAGGGTTACCCAAAACAGAACTTTGCTTTGTAGGATGCTCTTTCTTGAGTTTCTAATAATGAAATAAATAACATATTTCACATTGCCTAATGAAATATCTTATATTGTCTGTTAGTAGGCTGGCTTTATCAGCTAGCATGAAAACTGGAATCTGAGGAGATTAAAAAGAAATTGAATCAAATGATAATAGTTAACATTTATTAAGTGTTAATAGGTGTATTAGTCTGTTCTCACGCAGCTAATAAAGACATACCTGAGACTGGGTAATTTATAAAGGGAAGGGGTTTAATTCACTCACAGTTCAGCATGGCTGGGGAGGCCTCATGAAACTTACAATCATGGCAGAAGGGGAAGCAAAGTCCTTCTTCACATGGCAGCAGGGGAGAGAAGAATCAGTGCCCAGCAAAGGGGATAGCTCCTTATAAAACCATCCAACCTCATGAGAACTAACTCATTATCAGGAGAACAGGATGGGAGAAACCACCCCCATGATTCGATTATCTCCACCTGGTCCCTCCCACAACATGCGGGAATTAAGGAAACTACAATTCAAGATGAGATTTGAGTGGGAACACAGCCAAGCTATACCAGTAGGATTATTAAGTGTTAATAGGTTAACCAGCACTTAAAAGCTGCCCATTTCTGTTCATACATATATATACACACACACACATACATATATGTGTGTTCATACATATATGTGTGTGTATGTATATATGTGTGTGTATATATGTATGTACGTGTATGTGTGTGTATATATCTGTATACACACACATGTTTTACAACTCAGTTGATTCTCCCAATAATCTTAATAGTGAGATGCCATTGTTTTTCCCATATACAAATTAAAAAAAAAAAAAAAGAGCCTCAGAGAGGGTAAGAAACTTGCCCAAGGTAATACATCTATTAAGCGATGAGCCCAGGCTTCAGATCTAACCCATTAATCAAGAGATCTTGAATGCTTTACAACCCACCAACTAGAATCCGGATTTTTTTTTCAGAATTTTATGCTTAGTTATTTCTACTGGTAGTAAATTAGAATGATTAAGGGTAATTAGGCATTTTGAGGCCTTCTATGTGCTAGTTACTGCAAAGAATCTCCTAGCCTTGGTGAGTCCCCTGTATTCACCCTTCCTCGGTAGTTCAAGTACATCTTTCCTAAAACTGCACCCCTGTACAAAATGATAATCTTTAAATATATTGCCTCAAGGCACCTACAAACTCTAATCTTATACAAATAATCCACATCTCAAAAACCCCTCAATACAGTCATCAATGATTATCAGTTATGACTACTATAATTCCCTAAGACTTCCACTGTAATTGATTGACTTGAAATGTTCTAATACACCTCTTATGGGGGAGAAGTTGAGGAAACCAAGTACTAAATAAATTCCACAAATAGTCATACTGTTGTTTTCTAAAATCTAAATTACTGAATCATATCCAAACCTCAAATGAACACAAATTTGCAGACAAAAGATGTAATCATAATAGACAAGAGCAGGAGTCATTATAGACAAGAGCAGGAGTCAGCAAATTTTTTGAGTAAAAGCCAGAGGGCATATATTTTAGGCCTCTCAGGCCATGCCGTCTCAGTAGCAAGCACTCAACTCTGCCATTGTAGCACGAAAGTAGCATACAAAACCATAAAATGATTGGGCATAACCATATCCTCATAAAACTTATCTATAAAAAATAGATATCAGATCAGATTTGGCCCCTAGGCCAGTAGTCTGTAGACGGCTGAACAAGAGATTCACTAGAGTTCTGTAAAGGCACAAATATCATACAATCTTTAATTTGGGGAATTAGCTTATGAATGGCATTAGGATGTTCCTTTATTTTTTTCTGGTACAGTCCTAACTTTCAATATTATTTCCTTTTTTTTCTTTGTGTTCATGACTGTCAGAAAAAGAATCCCGTTTTATAGTTCAGAAAGTGAATTTTTCACACCATCAGTAAGTGATATGACACAGAAGAAATTGTTGCTGGAACATGCACTCTATCCCAAAAAGAGCCTCTGCTATGTGCAATGGCTACCAAAGATCCTACTTGGTTAGTTTGCTGCCAAGTCCCATATCCTGCCAAGAGGTTATAAGAGTATTGAACTTACATAAACATGACATATCCATTAGAATTTGTTTTTGGCTAATAGGAAGAGAACCAATTGAGTAAATTGAGTGCCACTGCCTATTGGGCATGGATTTCCTCATCAAGAACACAAGATGAACGCAAGCCATGATTCCAGGCAGAAACAAAAGGAAAAGCAAGGAGTGACAAGAGATTCACTCTTAGCTAATTGAGCTGAAGGTCCACACAATGACTTGAAGTTCACACAATGACTTCTACTTACAATTCATAGTCTCCCTTTAAGTGAATGATACTGGGAAATGCTATCCTTGAGATGTGCACACTACATTGTCAAATAAAATTAAAAGAATATTCTAACAGAAGATAGAGCATAGTCTGGGGAGAGGCAACCAGCCATCTCTGCCACCTAAGTTTCAAAGGAAGATTACTTCTTATCTTCTTCTTTGTTCTCGTTCTACTTATTCTCAGAAGCTAAAGTCAATTGAGTAATATGAAACTCCTCTTTCTACTTAGCATTGTTACACACAACTCTATTTCTGACTTTTCATACTCTTTTTCTCTCTTACAAATTACAAGTGAAAACTCCCGCCCAGAGGATGTGAACAAGCTGGAGTTGAAGGTAGAGCTCATTTACTTTCGAGAAAAGTCTTCTTTGAGTCTTCATTCCCCATTCCCCACACTTCCCTTCTGAGATTCATTCTTTGACCTGTCTGTCTGCTCTATGCCATGAAAAGCGACTTTCACGCATTGCATAATCTAGCCTTTGTTCAATGGATTCTGACTGGGTTTGACCAAGGGGATACATAAGCAGAAGATTGGAGACCAACAGACAAGAGAAGTCATACATAGATACTGCTTGTCCGCACCTTCCCTACTCAAGTGAGGTTCTAGTGGTAGCTATATCTATGACATCAGCTTCTGTGAGCAGCCAGCTTCCTTAGACCTCATGTCTTCTGATGCCCCTTTAGACCTGGGGTGATGAGAGCTTCCCGCTATTTCTGGGCACTGGATGCCTCAATATCCCTTGAAGATTCCTAAACCCTGCCCTCCCCACTATAAACATTATCTTTATTAGCAAGTCTCTTCAGAACTGTCCATTTTCTGCCAGAACATTGACTCTGATACATCTTGCAACTGACTTGTGAATCCATCCTCCCCATTAGGCCAGAAGATAACAAAACTTGAGATTCATTCAACATGCTCAAGGAATGCTGGAAACTTTAGAGATCACTGGAAATGGAAGTAAGACTCCTGTATGCACAGTGAATCAATACGAGCCTATGGCCATCCTGCTCCCTGCAACACTAACACCTGGCATGCTTTACTCATTCTTCCAGGCCAAGTCCAACATCACCTCATCTCTGAAGCCTTGCTCACTATCCATTCCCACCCTTAGGTGGCCTTTTCTGTGCCTTAAAATAATTTATGCATATTACATTATAATTATCTATTGACATATTTAGTTCCTGCCTCTATGTGATTCTGACAGGCAGGAACCCTACCCTTCAGTCCTCTGTCCACAGTGCTAACCCACACTCTAACACACTCCTCTCTGGGAACATGAAGAAGCAGTATCACAGTGAGTTGGAAAAGTTAACTAAAAAAACCACCGCCACCCTAAAAGAGTTTTTTTTTTTTTTTTTTTTTTTTTTTTTTTGAGACGGAGTCTCACTCTGTGCCCAGGTTGGAGCACAGTGGCACAATCTCAGCTCGCTGCAAGCTCAACCCCCTAGGTTCACGCCATTCTCCCACCTCAGCCTCCCGAGTAGCTGGGACTACAGGCACCCACCACCATGCCTGGCTAATTTTGTTTTTGTATTTTTAGTAGAGATGGGGTTTCACCGTGTTAGCCAGGATGGTCTCAATCTTCTGACCTTGTGATCAGCCCGCCTCGGCCTCCCAAAGTGCTGGGATTACAGGCATGAGCCCCCGCGCCCGGCCTGAAAAAGCCATTTTTAAGAATGTTTGCTGAATTGAACAACAATAAGATTTGGAATCTGAGCCATGAGAAGAATGGTGGAACAGGTAATAGAAATTAGGATGTCTGGAAGGCAGCAGATAATAAGCAAGGGGATGTGTGTTCAGTCGATTGTGAATAACGTCGGGGAGGTATAACTGTGCAGGAGGAATCCAGAACCTACAGACTGACATTCAGTGGGACAGGACTAGAGGTAATGACTTGGGAGTCACCCAGATGGAGGCAGTTAGTTGAAGACATGCACCAGGGAAATGTTTCCAAGGACAGGAGTGAAGAGCGGGGATCAACTCTTCAGTCACCCGCCTTGATACCTGGGTCAGTGTTCTGTTTAATGCAGGGTTAAATCCACACTCCTCATCAACATCAGCTCCATTAGATAAAAGACCAAGCTAATTTGCTAACACTATTAAATACATAAAGCCATCAGAAGTAATTTAATGCTTATCAGATATGCTTACTCCCTAATAAACCCTTACCTACCCCTTATTTCAGCCTAATGAGAAAAATGGATTCAGAAAATGAATATATAATGAAGAATCCTTCCATTTATTTTCATGAAAGAATTAGAAGGGGGTTTAGACTGAAAGGGGTGGATTGGCATTTAAGGGGGCATTTAGCTGCTTCATTGACTCCTATTTCATTTCGGAGCGTGTGACGCACGGCTAAGGTTTGTCAACCTTTCATTAGCCTGGGCAATTCATCATAGTTAAATATCATTTAAGTTACAAATGCATTCCCACCATTTAGCATGCATTGAATTTCCTTTAATTTACAAAAGAAATCACCAAACATCAGACAAATAAAGGAGCCAGTTTATCCTCTTCCATGAGGAAGAGCCCTGTGGAAGGACAGATCCTTGTGGGGCCACCAAACATATGCCCCAGGGAGCGTTTGCCATCACGAGAAATGGAGGAATGATTTCACCACTCTTCCCCCTGCGTGCTTTCCCTCAATCGATGCAAATCTCTCTCCTCTATGATTACCCCTCTGCCTTCCCCCACCTGCTGTTTAGGTGGCCCCAAAGAACCTGGGGCTTCTTAGAAGAGATGTTGGCAATCCCCTGGTAAGTCCCAAGGCCTCTGCTTTTCCAATGCAAACCCTGATGGGATCCTTGTGTCTGCCTCCAGGCCAACTCTGCTTCTTCCAGCCTTCTAGGGTTACCTGATCCTGGAACGTTTAGTTAAAAATGACAAGCTCCGATGTCACCAGGCAATCTGCTCTATGTCCTCTTATTAATTCTGCTGGTTCCCTGGAAATGCTCACTCTGAGTTTCGGTCCTCAGAGAAATCAGTCTTATTTGGGTTCTCCTCCTAAAGATGTCTTGTCTTCCTTATATCAAGCTCATTGTGGATCGTGGCTTCTGTCCCAATTGCCAAAGAACCACTAACGCAAAACTGCTCATGTATTCATTCGTGCGCTGAATACAAATCAGGTTACCTAGCAGGTTCCTGACTCTGTGCTAGGCATGAGGATACAAGGTCAAGCGGCATAGCCATAGTCTATACTCTCACAAAGAGCACAGTGGAATGGCAGGAGGTAGCCATGAAGCAAGCATGCACAATAAGACAATCATGTCATTACAAATGATGGTGGGAGCTAAGGAAGAAAAGGCAAGACAGTGTAACACCAGAGACTTCTCTTAAGCCGTGTAGCTAAAGGAGAGCCTCCCTGGAGATCTGACATTTAGGTTGAGATGTGAAGACTAAGCAGGAACCACCCCAGCAAAGTGTGTGGAGGGGGAGAAGAGTGGGAGGGTGTCTGGGGGATGTGGGAGGAGGATACTGGGATGGGAAGAGTGTGAGAATTGGAGAATGGCCCAAGTGACTGAAGCATGATGAGAAAGAGGGTGGAGGATGTGGTCAGGAAGGACTGCAAGCTGGGCAGGACTTGAGCTGATCTTATTTTTAAGATCCATCTGGTGACTTAGAAGATCATGAATTGGAGTGGGTGGGGTGCAGTGAAAACCGTGTGTGTCACTGACTTTTACATGAGGTTTGGCTTCTCATAGGATGATGACATCACTCCAAGGAACAACAAACTATTGAAAGTGGATTCTTATGCCACAAAGTTGAAAAGTTCCTTGATCTCCCTGAGGAACACACCACTCCCATTTCCAGCTAAGCATTCCCCAGGTCAGCCTCCAATCTGTTTGTCTTCTTTCCTTCTCTCAAATCCTCCCCTCCCTCTTCTTTATCTTCCATCTCCTTTCTCTCAGGCTTGCCTCTGAACCTCAGAGTTTTTTATTTTTAATTTTTACTTTAATGCAAAGGGATTCAAACCTCTCCCTTGCTCCTTTTAGACCCTGCCTTGGGATGGAGGTAGACTCAATTTCCACACTCAGGAGAGCCCACCAAGGTATTTTTCTAAATAAAGACCCATTTCTCCTGAGATGACCATCTTGCAAGCCTCATCAAAGTTATCCTCAGTCACTCTGATGCTGCGGAGCAACCAAGCTCAAAATCTAGTGGCAAATAACAAATGTCCATTGCTCACACATCTGGGGTGTCGAGCTAGGCACCTCTGCCCATCTCAGCTGAACCTGCTCTCATATCTGGGGAGTTTCTAGAGTGGCCTCTCCTGCAAGGCCACTTGGCTCCCCACATCTCTCATGTGGATGAGCAGATATATCCTTTTCACAGTGATGGCAGGGAGCAAGTATAAGCAGAAGCACATAAGCACTTTCTCAAGTCTCTGTTTGCAACAAGACTGGTAACATTCCACCAGTCAAAGCAAGCCAGAGCTCTGAGCAAAGAATCAGAGAGAGGGGACTACAAAATAACATAGAAAAATGTGTCGGTGGGAGCAAGGAGATTGGGCCCATTAACTCAATCAATCTACCATGCCTTAGCTTAGGCAGAAGAGGTCATGGTCAGTTTTTGCTTTTATTTTTTAATTTCCTACATAATTTGACCCCAAATAGTTTAAGTGACTTGCCCCAGGGCATAGAATTTGGTAGGAACAGCTGCAGGCCAGAAGTCAGATCTCTGGACTTCCAATCCAATGCTCTTTCCACTCCACTATGCTACCTCCCTGAAAGCCACCAATCACAAAGGACCATATTTATCTGTGCCTCCCCACCCCCGTAGGCCTGGCATGAAATAATTTAAAACTCCTGTGATTGAGCCAAGGGATCACGTAGCATAATTGCAAGGAGAGAGAAACACACATCAAACTTTAAGTTTGGGCCACCACGTTGTCAGAGTATTTGAAATAGCCCAATAATTAGAAATTAAAATTGCTTACCTAATTTTACTTCTCTGAGAGATTGTGATTCAGGCTTGAAAAAGCTGAAGTTATTACACCTACCCAGAGGTCCCATAAGGATAACACTTTTACATTTTCACTAACTGCACATACATCTTTTCTATTTATGCTCAACAAATCAATGTAAGCCTATTTTTTCTGCATTTCATGCTGAAAATGCTCCCTTACTCCCCAATCTGTTTAGACATATGCACTGGATACTAGGAACCTGACGACAATTCTTTATAGATTTTACTTCTGTTTTGTGAGACAGGGGGTTCTCTCTTTTTTTTCTCTCTCCTGACGGATCTCTACTCTAAATCAGTAGTACTCAAATGGGAGCAATGTCTGGAGATATTTTTCATTGTCACATGTGGGGGAAATGCTATGGCATCTAGTCCTAGTGACTAGAGGGCAGGCATGCCACTAAACATCTTATAGTACACAGGATGCCCCCCACCCACCACAGCAAAGGGTTATCCAGTCCAAAGTGTCAACAGTGCTGAGTTTAAGAAGCCCTGCTTTCAATAAATAAGATATCAGTGCATGGGTTGCAGGCATCTACCAAACTGAATACAGAAGATCTTTTTAAAGGTTAAGATCATCTGCCCTGTGAAGATAATGCTTTACTGAAACAATACAGATGGCGGCCAACCTGAACTGGAAATGTTGGTTCCATATTTCGTCATTCCTCTATCTAGTTATAATCTTCCCTTCGAGTCACATCATAGTCACAAAAGGGCAGAAGGATGTAGAGTGAGTGAGGGGGACATACAGGTCTTGGCGATAGACAGCTCTGACATTGAATCCCAGTTGGCCAATGACTAGTTGAATGGCATTTGTCAAATTTACTTATTCACCCTCTGCTATAGTTTCTCCTCTGGAAAAAAAATGGGAATATGGCCAACTACCTCACAGGATTGTTGGAAGGATTAATTTAGACAGTCTATATAAACTCTCTGGCCCAGCCTAAGTGTTAAGTAATTGCCATTTCCCACTCATTCATATGGAAACTCTGCTTAATTTCCAACCTGGATCTTATACTTTAATTCTTTAGGACAAGCCAGACTCTACTAAGAGCCAACAAGTACCTAATGAGAAAAAAAAATTGGTTAATGAGATTCCTGGCTCATATTTTTCATTCCCAAGAGATCTGGCTAGTTCAGATGGGGTTTACAGGAGCATCTGAACTAAACTCTGCCCACTTGTTACTAAGTTTCTATGCTTATATATTCAGATCACTTTCACATTAACCAGCTGATAGGTCCAATGGCCTTTAGAGGAGCAGAGGTCTCAAAAATGGTTAAATGTAAGTCTGAAAACAGATGCTGGAAGCAAATATATTCTAACAGGGTAACCATCTATGATACCTTCTGGAAAATGATTGACAATGTTGCCCAAGGCAGAAACCACTGAGCCAATGTTGGTAAGTTTAGGTGACAGCCAAGCTCATTCTTATTCCTCCTGGAGGTCCTTCAGCCTTCAGGGAACTAGGAACACCCCTCTGAAATGTACCCCCATCCCCTCTAAAATTAGTGTCCTTCCAAATATACTCACAGTTGAAGAGGGAATTTGCTATTGCAAATTAGCAATAGGTATCACATTCAAAAGCATCTTCCCTGTTTTAGTAGAAATATGTACTGATGTATGATTTCAGAGCTATTTGTAGAAAGTCCAATCACTTTTGCAAATCACATTAAGATTTCTTTCAGACAGTTTGGCAATATACGCACAATGTGATATGTGCAAGCCTTGGATCCAACAAGTCTACCTCTAAGTATCTTTCTTCTGAAATACTCATGTAGGTATGCAAGTATATACCCATTTGAATATTCATGGTGACATTATTTGTAACAAGGGAAAATTGGAGATAACTTGAACACCTCTTAGTGGTAAATAAGGTTAAGTAAATGATGGCCCAACTATTCAATGAACACTAAACTAAAAAAGAATGAGGTAGCTCCATCTGGACACTCATAGTTAAAAAGACAGCTATAAAATATTGTTGCATCCAGAAAAACAAACTTTAGAACAAAATATAAAGTATAATCGCATTTTTGTTTTTAAAGAAAGTGTAGAGGGAAGTGTGTCTCTGGAAAAAAATGCTAGAAGGCTACAAAACAAACACTATAAAATGTTAACAGTAGCTAAAATTGGGAAGAGATTTGGGGAAAGATGGAGGTCACTGGGGAGTTTGTTTTCTCTATTTCTATCTTGTTCATTTTTCAGTGACGATATATTCATTTTATAATTTAGTATGGCATCCCTCTCTCCAATTTGCACATGTTTGCATGCACACACAATACAAGGTAGCCATATTCATAGATATAGGAGTTACAGATTTCTAAACCTTTAAGTGAGCTAAAATTAGATCAGGAAAACAAACAATTGTGTTGTATATTCCAGAAACTAAAACTTTTAATAGAGGGAATTAGGGACTTAAGGTCGTGGAAGCCACCACAGGCAAACTCAGCCTGAAGCACCAAAGTTCTAAGGTGCTCACTGAGAAACCTCTAGGGTTCTCAAGATCATCTGGAAGCTCCCACCAACTTTTCAGTCTACAGCAACAAACAGAGTTGTTTCCAAGAGCTTGCTGCAAAGTTCCTATAAATTGCTATGTATATGGACAGCAACTGTCACAGAAGTGTAATGGCCTCTCCTCACATTCTGCCTAGCAAAGCTTGTATGACTTTCTCATTGGAAAACTCTGACCTAGAACTACACTGAAGAGAAACCTAGTTTCAAGCTTCCTTTCTCTGGCACAGAAGAGACAGAATAGCTGGGATGCGGGTTGTGGCTGAGCTGACAACAGATAGTCAAGCACAGTTCTCCCCTTTGTTTTCTCAGCATCCATACAAACCACTTTTATCCATATTTAATATCTGGATAAAAGTGATAACTTCTGCTTTACAACTACTCATGGTAAAACTGAAGATGCTTACATCCTGTTCCCCAAAGAGGAGACACTACATTCTTAAGCCAATTAATCCATCTCTGAATAATATTTATTCCTTTTCTACTTCAGCCACAATACCTTTCTGATGTTTTATAACTTAAATACCAAATCATGGGTTAATTACAAATAAGTCACTTTATATTTGACAATATGACAATGGAAAAAGGAAGTATTTAATAAATTCAAATATATCAAAGCAGGTATCAAGCTACTAAGAAAATAAGTACAATTACCACAGTGTTTATTTATGCAGTTGGTCACATGGCCTTAGATAGGTTTTGTAAGTCACTTCTTTCACCGCCCATTCCATATTCCCTTTGCCCTTACTCGGCACCTCAGTAAGTCATGCTGCTCTACCTGTCAAGGTGACTTGAGCTCCTATTCCCTCAGGATCTATACCTGCACTAGGTTGCCACAGTTTTCCATTAACTTTTAACACTGGGAATGAGAGCATTAAGATGTACTCCAGAGCATCCTCAGGCACACTCCTTCCTGTTTCTATCATACAGTGGCAATCCTAATTCCTGAGTAATCATATTGTGGCAATCCTGATTCCACCTCATAATCAGGATCGTCATTTCAGCAAGTGCAGGGTAGTAATCTCCTCTTTGCCTCTTGTTCACTGGTATGAGTAGCCCAAAGGGCCAAGAGGCAGTCTCCGGTTCCAACTTAATGAAATTATTATTCTATCTCTGGAGAAGGGGATCTTCTTTTGGGAACTAAGACCTCCAAAGTAGCAGACCCCAAGTTGCACGAATGAAGGCAAAGCTTTGTTATTGGATCCTGGTTGGCGGGGGAACAGTGATAAAAGTCACTATCACATATTCCTTTTGGCTCCCAGACTCATTAGTCTGCCTGTAAAAAAAAAAAAAAAAAAAAAAAGGCTATCATGTATTACATATTGGCTCAGAGCATATTCTGCATCTTGGAGGGTGTTACCCCAGTCCTGAAATGTGCTTTTATCCAACAACGTTATAAGCAAGTGTTCAACTGCCCATTCTATCGCTATATTAGGTCAAATTCTTTCGAGTGATGAAGTATGTATATAACTAATGAATTCCATGACTATGAACCCATTGCCATACTTCTTTCATTCTAATGTGAGTTCCTAGTCAGAAGAGATGTTATATGGAATATCATTATGTTAAATGAGGCATTTCAAGAATCCACACATGGTCATGCTGGCAGAAGCATTGTAAGGCAGATAAATTGCTGCCTCTTCAATGATAGTCTTCCAAGAAACAGAGACACATCAGGAGCTCAGTGTTAGTCTCTCCGGCTGGCAGCTTCAGCACTCATGTTGTGATTGTGGAAAGCCTCCTATTCAACAATTATCCTTTGCTTTAGTATTCACTTGGGTAAAGAAACAATCACACTCTGTGCCTATTCTGAGAGGTCCATTCAGATATCTCTTCCCCAGACCTCCTTGTTACTGAAGTTCCAACCTTGTTCCTTCCAAGTTCTTGACCTCTAGCCAAACCATCACCCACTGCTCAGGAATCTCTATCATTGTATAATACCATCGGTCATCTCTGCTTAGAGGCAAAGTGAATAAAAGACATGCATGGCTCAAAGTCCTGCCCATGGAGGGGATTTCTTTTTGTACTATTCTTTAGAGACTCTGTTGAATAGGGCCCCCATGCTGCAGCCATGTCCTTTTGAGTTAGTGCTAGTTTCATATATCATGCTATTTGCTTATCCAACAGCTATTTTATACTCTTTTCTTGCTAAAAAGAAACCTAATATTGTTTAGATATGAACACCAGAATGTTCAAGGGATCCAATACAAGTGTAAGGACCATAATTGATATAATTCTACCCATGTAAGTTATTCCTATATTCTAGTGATTGATTTAGGGATGGTCTGATGACCCAGTTCTGGCCATGGGACCTGGAAGGAAATCTAGGACGTTTAGAAAAGATCCTCATTTCCTGATAAATAGAAAAACACAATAACATTGTGAGACTTTATATTTCTTTTTGGACATTAGAGTGTAAAGTGGCAATACTTGGAATTATGGCAGCCATCTTATAGCCAGGAGGGGAAAGACAAAAGTATATAGGAGAAAGCTAGCCAGAGCCCAGATATCAGGAAGCTGCTGCATTACCAAACCTACAACTGCCTTCCTTCTTTATATATGGCATAATAACATCCAAATTTTAAGTAAATTTAGCCAGGTTGCACTTGAATTTATACCAGTTTAAAAACAGTATTTTACATCTCCTATTACCTTGTCATGAGGATGTTTTGTAAACGTATGAGTAGCAGCTTTGCAAAATTTGAATGCCTTTTGGATAATAAGTATGGGAATGATAGAGGGAAAATGAAACAGACAAAAATTCAGAGTATTTCTTTTTTTCCAGGGATTAAAAAGAATAGGAGGTCACCACTTCATATTCCCAAATACACACACACACACACACACACACACGCAAGTATACACACACACAGACATGCACATTCACCTTTATGTCTCGAGGTAGAATCTAGCAAGAATGGGTTCCTTCAGCTTCATGACCAAGATACATGACAAGGCTGAGGTCCAGAATGAAAAAAAATGAACTGAGAGATGTGGGCTTTTCAGGCCAGTCAGAGGCTTAGACTACGTGGTTTACATAAAAAAAGGCTCAGTAAGAGCCCTGGACTGGTTCCATACAGTGGTTATGGGTTAAGCAAGGATACTTGGAAGGCAGCTGTCAGATTCAGTAGCAATTCCCCATCTTGTGAGCATCACAGCCCATGCATATGGAAGAGATATGGATGATGCCCGCTACTGGCAATTTTATTTTTGCGCAACTCCTATATCACATTCCCCCAAAATGAACTGATGAATACAGTTGTACCGTTTATGAATTTATCTTCCTGGAATGAAATCAATATGTTTTTGGAAAGGACTTTGCCCTGCATTCACTGGTGAGCATTTGTGTCCTGCTGGGCAGATAGGGAGACAGGAGCAGCGGTGGTAAGAGCAATCTCTGCTGCCATCTTCTGATGATAGGAGCAAGAAACAGACAGAGGGAGTGAAAGGAAAGCAGATGCACAAGCCCCTTTTTCTCCAATAAACTCAGATGCCCTGAGGGAAAAGCTTGCACTGGAGGCACTGCCTCCTTGGAAGTAATAGAGATGAATTTCTAGCTCAGCCCCCACCTCACCTGTGCCATCCCATCCCATCACTTTCCATTCCATCTGGCTGGTCCAGACACAACTCTTACAAGTGACCCAACAGAATTCAGATTTAGACCCTGTGCCATTGAGGCATGTCAACCTCTCCAGGAGGTTTGTAACTTGACTCGGTAGGCATGAAAGCTTCACTTTCTTCTTATTGGTAGAGAAAAAGGCATTTTGGGCTCAGGTGCTCCAAACGGTGAAAGGGATAAACTTGGCTCTGGGCTGGTTTTGAATCCATTGAAAAGAGGAAGAAGTTGAAGCCTGCCATTGGAGGAACTCTTCACAAAAGCATTTGAAGAACAGAGGATAAGAAGGGCTATGGGTGGAATAGTTTGTCTCAGAGAACTTCTCCCCACCAACCCCACAATCTAGCCCATTCTACCACAGAGCTGCCAGCAGAGTTGTTCTCTCAGCATCCCAATGTGAACAGTCAGAAAGACTGCTCTATCCGACTGAACTTGATGGGGAAGCTGGGGGTGCACAGTGTCAATGAGGAGTCAGGAGCAGAGGAATACAACGAGACATGTTCCAAGACATATTCACCATTTCATTCTTTAGCAAATATTCATTGAAACCCTACTATGAGCCAAGCAGTGAGCAAAGGACACATGTACACACACACAGACACACACACACACACATCCCACTTGCCCTCATAGAGCTTCTAGTCTAACAGAAGCATCAAACAACTACACAAATAGATCATATGCCATATCATGATATGTATGTGAAGAAAAATAAAGGAAGGGAGGAAAATGGGTAGTGGCGGAAGCTGAATGGAATTTAAACAGGTAATTATTGGAAGGATTCACTGAGATAGTGAGGTTGGATCAGAACTCTGAAAGATATGAAGGAGGAAGCCATGCCAATGTCTCAGGGAGAGCCATCCAAGTAGAGAGAATAGCAGATACAGAGGCCTGGAAAGTGGAGCATGCCTGTTGATTCTTGGAAAAATAAAGCAGGCATCATGATGGTAACAGAGAGAGTGAGGGGAAAGAATCAGAAGAGGAAGTTGGGGTCAGATCCCACTGAGTCCTATAGAACATTGGCTTCGACGCTGAGTGAGATGGGAAAGTATTAGTAAATCTGAAGCAAAAGGATGTTCTGACTTACGTTTTAAAGAGACATTTTAGTTGTTGGGTTGAGAGTAGACAATATACAGAGAAATGTTGAAGTAAGGACACAGTGAGGAGGCTGTAGCAATATCCCAGTCAGGAGAGGAAGGTGGTTGAGACACTCCCAAAGAACAAGTAATGGTCAAGTTTCAGATGTATTTTGAGGGTACAGCCAAGAAGATTTGCTGGTCATATTGGATATGGAGTATTAAAAAAAAAAAAGAATAAAGGATGACTGGATGACTCCATGGAATTTCATCTGAACAACTAAAAAGGTGGAGTAGCTGTTTAAGGCGTTAGGAAATGTCCCAGGAGGAGCATGGGGCTGTGTGTGTGTGCATGTGTGTGTCTCGCAGGCAAGCAGGAGGCATGGTGTGCAGAGCTCAGAAATTCATTTTTTAACATGTAAAGCTTCTGGTGCCTATTAGATACCCAGGTTGTGATTTGAAAGAGACAGATATGCATGTCCGGAGTGTTCAGAGACAAGTCTCAGCCGAAGCTCTAAATCTGGAGAATCACCAGCTTACAGATGGTATTCAAAGCCATGAGATTTTAATGCAATGGACATGGGAGTG
Source organism: Homo sapiens (assembly GCF_000001405.40). Classification (NCBI taxonomy): domain Eukaryota; kingdom Metazoa; phylum Chordata; class Mammalia; order Primates; family Hominidae; genus Homo; species Homo sapiens. Next base: position 87,714,795 of record NC_000014.9, read on the forward strand.
AGAATAAATAGAGAATTGGTCTTTGGGCAGAAGGATAAAACACTGCCCTGTGAGGAGCTCAAGATGAAGAGAAACCAGCAAAGACTGAGAAGGAGCAACCAGTGGGATAGGAGGAAAACCAAGAGGTGCCATATCCTGGAGGCCCCACGAAGAGCTTTCAATGGGAGGGAAGATATACTGTAACAAGTGCTGCTGACATGCCAAGGAATCTTGAGCTCTGAGAATTAACCCCTTAATGGAGCCACGTGAATGTAGTTGGTGACCATCCACAAGTTGTCAGGACAACTCTTGAGTGAAGTAGATTAAGGAGAAAATGGAACAAAAGGAACTGAAGCCAAGTGCATAGTCAACCTTTCAGGAATTTACATAAAAATTCTCTCCCTATAAATTCTCATAACCAATTAAGAGAAAGTCATAGAAAGAGGCTGAGCCCTTCCAGTCGAAGAGCTGGGGGTTAAGAGACACTACGATGATACGATGAGTACATTACTATTAATATGTCCCCAAGTGTCCCTGCAGGCTGGTGAAATCTGGGGATGTGCACATAATGTTAATTATCGCTGTTAATAAAACTTTTGCCCAACTGACCTTCCTTCCCTCTAAAAGAAAATAATTCCAAAAGCTAGAAGTTTTCACTTGTGAGAAAGGTTTCCAGTTGTGTTCCCATATAAATTTTCCCTTTACTTATTTCATTTCACCCTTTGCTCTGAATTGCTGATACTTCTCATCTTTCCCAGTTAATAATTGGTTGGAGAACCTATGCACATTTTTATTATTTCAATTTCAAACCATAAGGCAGGGCTTCCATCCCATTAATCACTTTGCATTCTTTCTCTAATGCTAACCTTTTCCTAATATTGAGTTGTCTTGTAGGGGAGCTGAGTTTGGAGTTTTAGGTGTTCTCTCTTTGCCACTGCATGAAGAGGGTCAATGGCCTTTCAGGGCCATTTTCAGGCTTCTTTGCATTTGTAGTCGTAATTGTAGGCAGATAGGGTAATCGCAGGTTGATCTATTTCCACCAGGTACTATTTCCACCTCATCTATTTCCACTCTTTCTATCTTGTGTCATTAAATTACTTTGATATAATAACGTATGGCTATTTCTCCAATCATTTGTTCCTTTCCCTTCCTCTCATTCAGAGAGGTGCTTGGCTCTATGTTCTTGGTCCCAGCAGAAGAATGAAGCAAGGCACACCATGGACACCCTGACTTTTGTGTACAAATCCTCAAGGCTGAGAGTGAAAATATGAGTGAAAACATAGAAAAGGCATGTTGAAGAAACATGAGATAATGCTTTCCCTGAAAGCAGGATGTTGAGTGGGGATGAAAAACTTTGCATGCTGGTTGCTGACATCAAAGGATAAAGGCTAGAGGTCCCAGAATAACATTGCCTTCCTGATGTCTCTATGCAGACAACAGCACTGGTGGTATTACCACACAGAAACCTCTGTGAAAAGATGACAAATGAACAGAGGTAGAGGTCCATCCACAATACCGTGGAACTACCTAAGATCTCCAAAACTTTTGCATGAATCAGAAAGAGAAACAGAGCAAACTGCCTGATATTAAGTATCTCCTCCCAGCCCACTGAGATGGAAGCTTCATCTCAAAGTTGAGTAGTAGTAGAAAGTAATCTCCATTTACCAGGCATCCACGCTTATGAACCATGATTCAGCCCACTGTACTAGGTTCCAAACTCATATTTTCTCTTGTGACCTTGTGTATCACCCAGGACCTCCTAATGCATCTGTTTCCTCACTGCTAAAAATAAGTCAGCAAAACCTTTTCTGCCTTTTCCACCACTCTGCCCCCGGTGCTTATCACACAGGTTGATATATAATATGCATGCATGTGTGTTCTGGCCAATTTTATGTTGCTATGAAAACTAAACGAATTATTTCATGTAAAATCATTTTACACACTCTAAAGCCCTTTGCAAATGTAAGGAAGAGCATTATCATTCCCTTCTTGATTTCTACCCTCCACTGTTGTTAGTGAAAATTGATTACCTATTAAGTGCTGAGTGAGAAGGTTAGCCTTAATAATTTCATTTGGCTTGCATACAGAAGCTCAGATCCTGCCATACCTTGTATAATCATAGAAAGATATTTCAGATGCCAGCTCCCTTCTTCTGCCTATTCTAGTTGAGGGTGCCAAACCCTTCCTATAATATGTTGGATCTGAGATCCTGCAATGTCAGATCTGATCAAGAAAATGTCAAATTGAAGGAAAGGAAGGTGACTGTATCTTTCTCCACAGCTCCTGAAGATTATGGTGTCCTGTATTAGCAAATATTTATTCTGAAATATAGGTACATCAGCTGATTACAGCATCATGTTATTGTGGGTCTTTTTAGTTATTTTCCTGGTAGCAGTAATTTGTTTCCAAATACAAAAGGCATATATAGGGTATAAAGGGGTGGCAAAAGATATGAGGGGTGTGCCATTTGCCTTGGTCATTGTGCTTATATTTTTTTGCCACATAGAACTTGTACTATAATTGGATGATGCTTGGCACAGGGATGTGAAATGAAGAATTAAAATAGAATATTCTCAGTTTGATACAGTATAATTTCTAGAAACAGAATAAGAGTTGGAAAAGACTCTTACGAGTAGTTGATCTAGTCCTTTTTTCCTATCAGGTGAGCGTGATCTAGTGTAGATAGTTATATTTAAAGATATGCTAGAGTTAAAATGTTAATCCCTCACCTCCCAGTTCACTCTGAAGTTTAAAGTCAATCAAAAATCACTTTAGCATGTACTTTGTATAAGAAAATCACTGGGTTTTTTGATGAATCATTGTAAGGGCAATACTGAAATAAATAAAACAGGATTTCCAAAGTCTGATTGAGAAGAGAAGGTATATAAGCACAAACACACTGACACAGACACACATGCACAGTCCAAAACAAAGAAATATATCCCGTGGTGCCTATAATAGTCTTAAGGTTATGAATCACATAAGGGCTACAGAATGACAGGAAGGAAAATTTTACTGAGGGCTGAAAGTGGGGAAAAATGAAGACAAGTCTCAGGCAATAAAAATGGAGTGCCCACATTTCACTGAGAAGATCGAACAAGCTAATATTTATTGAGCATCAATTGGATACAGAGGCTGTGATGGAAGATATACATGTTATGTCACCAAGAAAGACCTTCAAGAATCCACAAGGTAGACATTAAGTAAGGTAACTGAGGCTGAGAGAAGTTACCTGATTTACTCCAGATGACTCAACTAAGTGGCAGAGCCCAAACTCAAACCATGGGTGTCTGACCCTGAAGTTCAAGTTCGTAAGTCTGATACAACACCCTGATAAGTTTGATATTAAAAATGTCCAAATTCTTGTACTAGATGAAATTTTAAAAATTGAAGGAAGAATGTTAATGTATGTGACTGTGTGTGAAGAAAATCAACCAAAAAAAAAAAAAACCTCAATTGTAACAATTCTGGATGGTCAGAATTTGGAAGAAATGAACAATTGTTAAATGTGCTGTCAATTTCTCACTTAGGCTTATTTCTTACTCCGATTCTACTGGGATGTTCACCTTCTTACAGCATGATTTCAACATGCTGGAAGGTACCATCTAAGGATAAGCAATGGAAGCACCTATTTCAATGCTATCTTTGCATGATGGCTTTCATTCAGGCCCATGCAAATCCACTCCTGACAGTTGGGGTCACATAAAGTCTCAGTGTGTTCAACCTTGATTCTGTGAAGCTTAGCCAAACATCCAGTAACTCAGGGAACTCAATTCTAATTACTCTATTGGTAACCTCAGATTGGAAAGAGTCTAACCTTGGTGGAAGAAGGCCCAAGGGAGAGAAAGGGCATCTCAGGTAAGTTAATGCAGGAAAGAAACAGATAGGGCGAGAACAGGCTGGGCCATACCATGCTCTGCCTCACATAGGAAGAGTAGTGCCACGAAATGTCTAGACCGGTATGTAGCCCTGAAATGGGAGGCCTTCAGCATAGGACAGTCTGCAGCATGGATTTTGAAGTCACCAAGGATGATGGCATGTGAGGAAACACATAAGGAAATATGGGTGATATCACTTTGGAAAGTGATTTCCAACACAGAAAACTATGTCAATTACTTTCCAAAAAGTTGGTTCATTCATTTATACATTCAAAACAAACATTTATGGAGCATCTATTTTGTGCCAGGAGTTATATGGAACTTTAAGAGTATGAAAATAAGCAAAAGAAAATCTTTGTCCTTAAGAAACTTAGAATGTTGGAGTGGTGACTAACAATTTTGCTGATGATGGTTTTGAGCTGTTCAAGACAGGAAGCAGAGAACTGATTAGGATCTGATGATAGAGTAAACCAACAGAGTACAGACAGATAAAGAGGGAGGGAGAGATTTTAAAATATATACTTAGGAGATGATAATCGTCAATACTTGGTAATATATTGGATACGGAAGATGATTTTATAAAAAGAGTAAAAGGTATCTTTCACAGATTTCTAGCTTGAAGAAAACAAGTGATAATATAAATCTCAGGAATCCATTCACTTGACAAACATTGATTAAGCACTTCTTAAATGTCTTCTTAAAAGATGATTTTAGCATATTTTGTCTAATTGAATCTAAATAATTGAAATGAACATCTTTCAGAGATTTAGATATTGAAAAGGAACATAAGACAAAATGTAATCCAACCATTCCAAATAAATTATGAAAAAGTAGGTTCAAATAATTATAACATTGAACAACCACCATGTGCCAAGACTATATGCTTTACTGAGGATTAGTTACAAAGCATATAACTAATCCTCAGGACAGTGACTTTCAGCATCCCCATTCACAAATGAAAAAACTGGAGCTGAGAGGGATTAAATGTCTTATCCACAGACTCATGCTATTAAGTGGCAGAGCTCAGATTCAAACCCAGACCTGCGTGATGCCAAATACCATGCACTTCTCACAAAGTTCTCACAAAGTCTTACTGCCTCCAAAGACAATCAGTTGGCACCTCAAGGTTACATAATAAGTAACAGTGTTTGAACTAGAACTTCATTTCAACTCCCTTTTTTAGCTGGCCCTTAATATAACATCATAATAACCTGTGTTATGTTTTAGTTTAGTTCTATTAATTTTAAAGGCATGCGATCCATTGAAAATATTTCCCTCCCCAAAATTTTGTTGTATAACCAGTGCTCTGCACCTAGTACTTGCTCACAAGAGCCAATTGAGTACACTTCATTCCCAACTCTGCATTCAGGGCTGGGAGCTGGTAGCTTGAAATCAGCCATGGTGTGAATATCTACACCACAGAAATTTAAATAAGCTATAAATTAGGGCTTCTATGAGTTCGTCTTGGAAAAGCGGGTTGTTAAACATTTACCAGAATACCAGTGATGTTTAAATATTTTTAGATATGCATTTGTTACATAAAAGTCAGTTGAGGACTTCAAAATCACTTCCTTAATGTGAGTGAATTGAGGTTTGGCTTAATATAAAATATTTTTATCACCTTTGATATAACCTGTTGGGTGAACAGAAAACAGTGTTGTCATCATCAGATGCTTTATACACAATACAATTAAACCCACTTACATTCAATTTTAAAATCTATTGATTTATCCCATAATTATTTTTAGTCCATATTTCTCTATACAATCACTTTTGTAAATTTCAAGTTTCTGAATCATAGCATGTTGGGAGCTACTTTTCTTTTAGTAGATTCACGAAGTTTGGGGAGAGGAGTCTGCAGTTACTTTTTCACAGTGAGATTTCAAGATCTCCCCTTAACATTGACTAAACCATCAGCTCATAGAAGTATATATACAATTACCATTATATATTACTATTACATGTGATCAAGTGGTTGGCATGATTTCTCAACTACTGCCAAGATGGAATGATTAAATGGCTTTCTGAACAAAACTACTCAAAGAAAACAGAGATGCTTTACCTGGTATCACACAGTTCATTGCTGGTGGCTACATCGTAACAGAGAAATTCTCTTTCAAATCAACGAATGCTACAGTCAAAAGAGACTTTCCATACTTCACGATGGAGATGTGAACAATAGTTCTTCCTTTCATTGGACAAAAATGTGCATTTTGATAAACTATGTAGGCACACATTAGCTCAGAATGGTGGATTCAAGGAAAGCATGAATATTAATTTCTAATATTTTCAAAGGGACATGTTTATGGCAATGGGATGATTACTTACTGGTAATTGTGTCATAATAATGTTAGTACTTTATGCACAGTCTCAAAAACAAATAACCCATGGAGCTTAGCACCGCAATATCAGCAGCCCGTCGAAAGCAAATCTTTCTTTGAAGACAAATACCTTAGAGAAAATTAAATGAGAATTTGCAAAGAGTCCTGAATCCCACAGGTACTGGCTCTCTCTAGATAAGCAGGTATCCAAAGAAGGCCGGTTCTTGCTGGAATTGCCATAAACAAGCACAATTTGGACTAAAATCCCAGCCACACTCTGGCTGCTGAAAACTACTATTGGTTTCTCAATCCTTCCAGGAAAAAAAAAGAGGAAGTTAGAATAATGGAAAAATCCTGTGGTTTGAGGGCAGTTTTGTAAAACCTATAGGATTTTTTTAAATTGGGAATTTCAAAGCTACATTTTCCAATCTCTGCAAGTCATTCATGGATGCAGGTTTGTTTTTTTTTTTTTTTTTCCAAGAAAGTAGAAGTACAGCTGTTAAAACAATAAATATTCTCTTTCAGAAAAGACCACATTGACTGCATTATAGGTGCCCTGGAAAAGAGCCCACAGTCTGCCACCTTGCATTTGAAAGGACAGGGGTCATGAATCACAGATACAGGACACATGGACATGATAGAAAGCCAACTGGATTTTCGTCAGATGTTGCCCATTTCCCAAATCATGCTTTAAAGAAGATATATGTGACAACTAGGGAGTGACAGCTTGCAGGTTACCTTCCCACCCTTTCTATCTCACTTGTATATAGATTCCACAAATATGCATTTTTGATGCATTAGCCCAACACTCTTCCTATTGACTAGAGCTACTAGCACGTGGTTCTCCTTGATCATTGAATTCCAATGCTGTTTTTTCCAGGTTCACCCTTTTCTTTTAAGCACATACTGGACACTCAAATTCACTGCTTCTCTGTCTTAGCCCAGACTGCCATAACAAAGTACCACAGACTGGGTGGCTTAAACAACAAAAAATTATTTTCTCACAGTTCTGGAGGCTGGAAGTCCAAAATCAAGGTACTTGCAGAATTTGTTTCTCCTGGGGCTTCTTTCTTTGTCTTGAAGATGGCAGCCTCTTCCTTGTGTTCCCACATGACCTTCCCCCTGTGCAAGCACCTTCCTGGTATATCTCCCTCTTAAGGACACCAGCCCTATTGGATTGGGGCCCCAACTTATGACCTCATTTAACCTTAATCACCTCCTTAAAGGCTCTGTCTCCAAATACAATCACATTGAGGGTTATCGCTTCAACATATGAATTTGGCAGGGATACAATTCTGTCCCTCATACTCCTTTCTTTCACTATAGAGGCAGTGGAAAAAATAAGAATACTGAGATATATATATCAGTATTATATACACATATAGATCATATATATGTACATAATACAGTGGAAAAAATACTGATATATATATATATCATTATTATAAACATATGTATATAAGATATATACATAGTATACACACACATAGATATATGCATATAAGATATATAAATACACACACACACACACACACACACACACATCTCACAGTGACAAATGGCATAAAATCCTGTGAAAAGACCAGAATTTAAAGTTAAACAAAGGAGCCTTCAGATATGCCCCTCACTTGCCCAGCCATGCCTTAATTCCTTATACTGCCTAGTGATGTCCAGTGATGCTCAGCAGTACAGGTTGCATTAGTTCACTGAGATCCAGTTTTCTCACTTATAAAAAGGGAAATCAATTAAGTCATTTATTCAATATCTCTTTACTGAGCACCTACTATTTTGCAGGCACTATTCCAGGTGCTGGGGATATAGCAGTGAACAAAACACACAGAAATTCTTCCCTCTCTATGCTCCCTTTCCACCCCACAGCACCTCCTTGAGCTTTTGTCCCAGCTGGGGAGACAGAAATAAACAGACAAAGTATGTCAGATGGTGCTAAATGCTATGTAGAGAAGTGAACTAAAGGAGCTGAAGAGCAGAAAGGGGTAAATTGTAAATAAGGTGGTCAAAGGGGGTCTCACTGGAAAGAAGGCATTAGAGCAAAGTCTTCTTAGAGATGAGAGAGTATCACATGGTAAGTCATGGAGGCAAGGGGACAATTGCAACTGAGTCCTTGGTGTGTTTGAGGAGGAGCTAGAAGCCAGTGCAGTGGCTGGAGAAGAGTGGGCAAGGCAGAGTAGCAGGACATGACATCAGAAAGGCAAATCACGGGTATGTTTTATGAAGTGGGGAGCATATGTACAGGACTCTTAGCTCATGATAAGAACTATGCATTTAACTCTGAAATGGGATGGAAGGGTTTTAACTGACTTTATTGAGAATAAACTTGGGAGAGGGTGTGACAAGGTAGAGGTGGGGAGAACAGTCAGGAAGCCATTCTGACAGTCTAGGACTAGAGAGTGGAGGTGGAGGTGGTTGGTTCTGGATGTATTTTGAAGGTAAAGCCAACAAGATTTTGCTGATGGATTGGGGGTGAGAGTATGAGAGACAAAGACCAAATAGGACACAAGGAGAAAAGTGAAGGAAAAAATGGGGGAAAATGGAGTCATTTTTTCTGAGATAGGGAAGAATAGAGAGAGGATAAGGAAAAGGTAATCTGAGGTGCCCCATTAGACATCCCAGTGGAGAAGTGGAGGAGACAAAACATCCCCTTTGTGTAGTTGTTATAAGAATTAATTAAGTCAGGCTGGGTGCGGTGGCTCACGCCTGTTACGCCAGTACTTTGGGAGGCTGAGGCGGGCAGATCACTTGAGGTCAGGAGTTCAAGACCAGCCTGGCCAACAAGGCGAAACCCCATCTCTGCTAAAAAATACAAAAACTAGCCGGGCATGGTGTCAGGTGCCTGTAAGTCCTAGCTACTCAGGAGGGTGAGGCAGGGAGAATTGCTTGAACTCAGGAGAAGGAGGTTGCAGTGAGCCAAAATCACGCTGCTGCACTCCACCCTGGGCGACAGAGCAAGACTCCATTTCAAAAAATAAAAATAAAAAAGGAATTAATTGAATCAAGAGATACTAACGTTAGCTAACACTTATTGACTGTTAGCTGTATCAAGTACTGCTCTAAGTACTTTATCTGTGCCATCTCATTTACTCCTCCCAACAATCCAGTGAGAAATATTATTTTTGGCCCTATCTTATTGATAAGAAAACTGAAGTTAACTATTTGCCCAAAGCCATCAGGAATCTGACAAGGCCCATGCCCTTGACACTAGACTCTCCTGTTTTTCCTGGATAACATGAAATATGCCAAGGTCATCGTGGTAAAATGTCAAAACAGAAAACCTGTGCTATCTGCAGGTTAATTCTCTAACTCAGGTCCTTTTAACTGACGGTTCATGCTGTCCTTTGTGGCATCTGTATTTTCATGGAACAGGAAGCCCAGTATGGTCTCCACCCATCTGCACAGGCAAAACTGGAGCTAATGTGCTGTCTTAGTCCATTTTGTGTTGCTACAATAGAATACCTGAGACTGGGTCATTTATAAAGAACTGAGACCTATTTCTTACAGTTCTTTATACAGATAAATCCAAGGTAGAGGGGCCACATCTGTCAAGGGCCTTCTTATACATCATTCCATGGTGGAAGGTGGAAGGGCAAGATATTGTGCAAGACAGCAAGAGAAGGCTGAGCTTGCTTTTATAACAAGCCCACTTTCAAGATAACGAACACACTCCTGCAATAATGACATTATTCCATTCATGAAAGCAGAGGCCTCATAACCCAATCGATCACCTCTCAATAGGCTCCAACACTGTTACATTGGGGGTTAAGTTTCGAATGCATGAACTTTAGGAGACACATTCAAACCATAGCATCCAGCTTCTGCTGGTTCATTTTTATAGCAAAACATACATATTAAAGAAATAGAAAAGCAAGAAACAGAGAACAGCAGAGAGTGTAAAAACACAGAAGTGGGAGAGTACAGGCCACCACCATGAAGACACAAATCTGTAGGGTCCTGGAAAACCACCCAGGTGTCTCCTGTGAGACCGTGTCTCTCATCTCTTAGATGCAAATTAACAAACAGGCCCAGGACTCCTGAGGAAGAACACCGTGCTCTCCTTCCCACGCTTCTAAACAACAGGAGAGAGACCAAGAGGACGTAAGGGGTGAAGGAGGCCATTCATCCTTGCCAGCATGAGAGTTCCCCTCCCATCCTTCCTTCTTTCACAGTAAGACTCACTCACACTTAGACATTCTCAAGAGTCAGGGTAGAAGGAGCAGGTGAGGCCTCTGGATTTAGAATCCTCAAACAGCAAAGCATTTCTGATTCTTTCTCAAAACCCACCACACCCTCACACCCCCACCTCATGAGGCAATAGCTACATTTGTGTGTGTTTCAGCCATTACAATGCAGCAAGCATTTTAGGTCCAGTTCATTTTCAGCCAAAAAGAACCCTTGGGGCATAAAGATTCTAATATCTGAAGATAAAGGCAAAGAGAAAAGAGGACTCTTCCCCAGGTGTAGTCCCAAGGTTAGGAAGCTTCTGAGTCACATTAGCCAGCTCCTGGCAGGATGTTATCTAAAGAGCCCCTCCTGACCCCACCCCCCCGGTTCCACGTTAAATGTCGTCTTTCCCAACAAAACCTCTCCATTGAGTGAGGCTCTCTGGAGAAACGTGCCTCTAATAATCACATAAGAAGCTTGGCAGACAAATGTGTGGCCACTGAATCCACTAGTAAAGGAGAATATCCAATAATTGAAAGGAGATTTTAAAAACTCACAGGAGCCTTTAGCTGCTTCCTCACAGCTGGTAGTCAGGTAGCCAGGAGCTTTCTCAGGTCACCTAGGCAGCATCCTGTGGGAACCCAGGTGCTGTCCCCTGCCCACTCTCCCCCAAGTCAACAATCCCTGAGGAAGTGTCCTTTGTTAGCCTGTCCCATGGCTTAATTTTTGCACAAAATACCAGCCTCTAGCATTTGCAGAATGTGGCATGCAACAGAAGTTGAATCTGGCACAAGACCTGGACTCACCGGATAACCTTGGGGCTGAGTCTTTTGTTCCTCTAGTCCTTCGGCTCAAAGAGGGGCTGCAATGAGAACCAGAAATGACATTTGAGCTTAAGCCTTTCCCAGGGAAATAAATCACTGTGAAAAGATATACTTGGAAACCCGATTTGGCCTTTTTTCTCTTTTACTTGAATATCCCTTCAGAGGTATAGAAGAAAGTTCACATCACAAAAGCTGCATTTAGAAAGCATTAACTCGGAGGCCAGATTCGAAGAGAAGAAAAAATTTACAGTTAAGGATTAAGCCACTAAGAGCTGGAATAAGAACCTGGCTTTGGGTAGGATCTTCTCTGCAAAGGTCCAGGTTAGTTCTTAATACAACAGCATGTGACACCACTCAAGCTGGGACTCCTAGCAGATGGCTCAGTATCTTCCAAGGTGGCCCATGGACCTACTATGGTATTAAGGTTTACGAATGAAAAATGCCCCTGCTTTGGTTTCTAGCATAAATCACTGAGGATACTTCTTTAAAAATTTTTCTTTTTGGATATGACAGATTTTTGTTTCAGGAAAAAAAAAATGAAGATTTGCATGAAGCAGAAGCCAAGAGAGTGGAATGGACTGTATTTGTTATCACTGTTATTTGTTTGCTGGTGGTAGGGAGTGCATTTTAAAGTGCAGATAGTAGGGGTTTGGTTTTTGTACCCCAGAAAAAGATTCTATAACAAGGATGTGAATGGAAATATAGTTGACTTTTGAATGATGCTTGTGGGGGTACCAACCACCCACACACTGGAAAATCTGCAAATAACTTCTGACTCTCCAAAAACTTAACTACTGATAGCTTACTATTGACCAGAAGCCTTACTGATAAGCTAAACAATTGATGAATACATACTTTCTATGTTATGTGTATTATATACTATATTCTTATAGTAAAGTAAGCTAGAGAAAAGGTTATTAGAAAATCGTAAGGAAGAGAAAATACGTTTACTAGTCATTAAGCGGAAGTGGATCATCATAAAGATCTTTATCCTCACGGTCCTTATGTTGAGTAGACTGAGGAAGAAGAGGAAGAGGAGGGGTTGGTCTTGCTGTCTCAGAGTGGCAGAGGCAGAAGAGGAGAAGGAGGTAGGAGAGGCAGGAGAGACAGGCACATTCATTGTAACTGTTATTGAAAAACATCTGCATATAAAAAAGTGGACCCATGCAGTTCAAATCTGTATTGAGCAAAGGTTAACTGTAGTTTATTTGAAAGGTGATCCCAGGATACTGTTAAGGGAAGGGGTAACGAAGTCAGACAGGGAAGGAAAGGAAATCAATAAAGTGGGTGTCACTGAGCAAGTTACCACCATAAGCAGCTGAAGCTCATCCTACCAGAAAACCCTGGGGGCTGGTGTACATGGTGCACTTCAGAATTTTTGCAGTTGAAGAGCTAAGAAGCCGAGGTATGAATACTTCCTGCCTATCTTTGCTCAAGAACTGCCTCTAGAGCATGAAGACGCCATTCTTTCAGCTTCCTCTGCCTGCTGGCTGGGTGTACCCCAGTGCCCAGATCAAAGCCCACAGCTGAAGGTTGGCAGGGGCTGGTAGCCAGCCAGCTTCAGCACATGGCATGAGTGCTAAGGAATAAGAGGGGCATGAACACTACCACTAAAAGTGGACCGGTCACCCATGTAGATTTTTGGCACATATAGATATTTTTGCCCCCGGTTGACCTTATTTATTTGACATTATAAAATTCTACCAGACAACTATGGAAGCACATGTAATACACATTATACGCATGCACACACACATAAATACACATTATGGCAAATGGTCATGATGATGAAATGTGTATTACTCAGTAACCCATACACCAAATTAAAAAAGATCAAGGTGTCTGAAATAATAATAAACTAATAAAATGAGCAAATTGTCAACTATAAGGCAGCAGGTGGGAGTCAAGAAGATTGTAGTACAATTTTTGCATTTCTATGTTATTTTTTAGGAAAACAAAAGGAGTAATTTTTCATGCACTTACATCATCTATATTCTGACAGCATCCCAATTTTACTTGAAAACAAGTATATTGCCACCAGGTAACAATGAGAATGCTACCTGGAGCTAGTGAATTTAAACTAATATTATTAAGTATATACAAAGATGCATGTATTGAAATAGCTATTTTATAAATAGAAATAAATGTAATAAGAAAAGAAAGAATTTAAGAAGGGAAAAATGGCCCATATATGATTTGGGCACTCACTTTCTTAATAGGACAAATATGATTTGCCAGAAATTTAAGCACTGAGTATATCACTTGCCATATGCCTCTGTAAAATGGGAAGATACCACTAATTATAGTGCAACAGTCCCGGTAATGAAGAGGGTTCACTCAGGATTGGTAAGTTCAAAGAAATCTGAGAACTATTTGGAAATATATTGTGTTGAAATCACTCATTATTAATGTGAAATTAGTAATGAGACCTAGTCAGACCCTTTAAAAAGATGCACAATGAGGCCAGGCATGGTGACTCACACCTGTAACCCCAGCAGTTTGGGAAGCCAAGGCAGCCGATCACTTGAGGTCAGGAGTTCGAGACCAGCCAGGCCAACATGGTGAAACCCCATCTCTAATAAAAATACAAAATTAGCCAGGTGTGGTAGCGGGTGCCTGTAATCCCAGTTACTCGGGAGGCTGAGGCAGGAGAAATGCTTGAACTTGGGAAGTGGAGGTTGAAGTGAGCCAAGATCACACTGCTGCACTCCAGCCTGGGAGACAGAGCGAGACTCCATCTCCAAAAAGAAAAAGGAAAAAAAAAAAAAAAAAGAAAGATGCTCAATGAAAAATGTATTTCCCTCCTATCTAGGGCTCACAATCACCCTCCTCAAAGATAACTGCTGCAAATGGTATTTAAGCCTCTGTTGCGAGCTAAATTGTGCTCCCCTCAAAATTTATATGCTAATACCCTAGCCCCCAGTTCCTCAGAATATGACTGTATTTGAAGACAGGGCCTTTAAAGGGATGATTAAGTAAAAATGGAGACATTGAGATGAGCCCTAATCTAACATGAATGGCATCCTTATAAAAGAGGGGATTAAGACATATAAAGAGACATCTGATGCATGCTCCCACAGGAGAAAACACGTGGGGACGCAGAGAGAAAGTAGCCACATCTGCAAGCCACAGAGAGGGGCCTCAGAATGAAATCAACCTGGCTGATGTCTTGACCTTGGACTTCCAGTCTCCAGAACTGTAAGACATTTCTGTTTTCTAAACTACCCAGTCAGTGGTATTTTCTTAATGGCACCCCTAGCAAATTAATACAGCTTTCCTTCAAGAACTCTTCTACCTGTGTTCAATATACAGAGATGGTGGATAGATGGAGACAGAAAGAGGTAGAGAAAGAGATTCATGTTTACTTTTTTCTAACACAAAAAGTTAACCAACAATATACAGTGTTCTACAGCTTGCTATTTTTACTTTACAGTATATCTTGAAAATTGTTTCAAATCAGCATATACAGATGTATGTCATTCTGTTTGACCATTGTACAGTTTTTTGTTTTTTTTGTTTTTTTTTCAGACAGAGTCTTGCTCTGTTGCCCAGGCTGGAGTGCAGTGGCGTCATCTCGGCTCACTGCATCCTCCACCTTCTGGGTTCAAGCAATTCTCCTGCCTCAGCCTCCCAAGTAGCTGGGATTACATATGTGCACCACCATGCCTGTCTAATTTTTGTATTTTTTTTTTTTAGTAGAGATGGGGTTTTGCCATGTTGGCCAGGCTGGTCTCGAACTCCTGATCTGAAGTGATCCACCTGCCTTGGCCTCCCAAAGTGCTGGGAATTACAGGCATGAGCCACCATGCCCAGCCACATTGTACAGCTTTCTATTGTATGAATAAACTATAAATTATTTAACCAGTCAAGTCTTGTTGGCTATTCAGTTTATTCTCAGTTTTTAGGAAAAGCAATATTATACCTCAGTCTTTACCCATATGTACAAGTAAACCTGGAGAATAAACTAGGTAAACAGCTACATTCTATAAAGACATCCCCCTGGCAGGGCAGGAGTGGATCTCTTTCCCTCACCTTCACTGCCCCTGTGTACTATCAATCTTTGGGTTTGTACCTTCCTTTCATTTGACCTTCCTAGCAAGCCAGTATAGGGTGTAGGACAGTATACATTAACCCAGCTAGGCAGGTATGATTCTGAGCCAAGTTCCAACAAGATTCAAGAAAGGAGGCCGGGCACGGTGGCTCATGCCTGTAATCCCAGCACTTTGGGAGGCCGAGGCAGGTGGATCACTTGAGGTCAGGAGTTCGAGACTAGCCTGGCCAACATGGTGAAACCCCATCTCTACTAAAAATACAAAAATTAGCCAGATATGGTGGCTCATGCCTGTAATCCCAGCTACTCCAGAGGCTGAGGCATGAGAATCGCTTGAACCTGGGAGGCAGAGGTTGCAGTGAGCTGAGATGATGCCACTGCACTCCAGCTTGGGTGACAATGCAAGACTCTGTCTCAAAAAAAAAGAAAAAAGGAACAGATTGTAAAAAGAATCTGTGCGGCTGGGCGCAGTGGCTCACACCTGTAATCCCAGCACTTTGGGAGGCCGAAGCAGGTGGATCACCTGAGTTCAGGAGTTTGAGACCAGCCTGATCAACATGGAGAAACACTGTCTCTACTAAAAATACAAAATTAGCAGGGCATGGTGGCACATGCCTGTAATCTCAGCTACTTGGGAGGCTGAAGCAGGAGAATCACTTGAACCCAGGAGGTGGAGGTTGCGGTGAGCCGCTATCGCACCACTGCACTCCAGCCTGGGCAACAAGAGCGAAACCCTCAAAAAAAAAAAAATCTGTGAAGGAAGGTCAAGAAGGAAAGAGGAAACACACACACATACACACACATGCACACACACACATAAAACATTCATGAACATTAGGTAGTTACATGACCAGCAGCCTTCTCTCACTTATTTTAGAAACTATGAAATTAATTGGTCCTGGCATTGAGAGTTGCAAATAGCATTATCTGTTTTCATCCCTTGGGTACTAGCTACAAGCAGCCTAATAGAAAAAGCCTCCCTAGCAATGGCCTGTTAGTAAATCGCGCTGATTCTCCAGAACAAATGCCTTCTTATGCCCTTTAATAGAACATTCCCTTTCCTGGATGCTTTATCTATATTATAAACCCACAGAAAATTATGTAATTTAAAAAAATCAAAGGACTTTTCTATCTTATAGCACAGGTAAACTATCTAATCTATTTCACCATGACTTTTTAAGAAATAAATGCCAGCTGTAATTTTGAAAGTACTAAGAACAGGTGTAATAGTGTGTCCACTGGTCATTTGTCCTGCTCAAGCCTGACTGACAAGGATGAACTTTCTATTCTTATGAATCACCTTAATGCATTCCTGCAGCAGATTTGCAACAGTGTTAGTACATTTTAAGGCCGTGGTACTGTAAAACTTGTATCCCAGCTTTGAAATATTTATCATTACTCTTCCTTCCTGTTTGCTCTGAAAATATTCCCTGGCAAACCTGCGGGAAAAGTTGAGTTCGGTGTCCTCTTCTCTCCTCAATTTCAGGAAACTCTGCCCCTATACTGCAGATAACACCAACAGATAGGTGACAATATGAAGAAACATGCTCCCTCTTTGCAGCTGCTGCAGATTTCCTTACAGAAGGAATAGGTCTGTGTGTGAAGAGAGATTGTTCTTGGAAGACCTCACCGATCAGGGATCTGGGCAGAACTTGTCCACAGAGACAAGGGGTGGAGGTGGGGGTGGGGCTAGCTGTGTCTCTAGAGGGTGGAACATATGAAGATGTGATCAGAGACGTGGGAAATATCTGGGACCCTCATCCATGCCTACTCTCCCAAACCCTTCATTAGAAGTCAAAAATTACAATGAGTTTGTTGTATTCATGTGACAAATATCAATTGAGTGCCTACTGTGTGTTTCAGGCACTGATCTAATGGTTGGATTCAGGAGTCTGGGTCATGCTAATGACCTTCTTGAGGATTGGGATGACACAGTTTCAAATCTTGGACCCAACATGGTTGTTGAAGGATTATCTGTGATTGTGTAAGTTGTGCACCTGCCACTTAGCCTAAGTCCTTTCTACCCCTCATCTCCTGAGCGGAGAAGAGGAGCTGTTAGAAAGTTCTGATAAGGGTAACACAGGCTGTAGTCAGATAACCAGGGAACATTGTCAAGAATGATCAGCCACAAATACATCACATCAAGCATAGAATAGTTTCACCTCGGGCCTAGAGAAAGACATAAAAATGGCCTTTGTATTAATAAGTAAAACACACAGGTAGACAAACCTGCAGTCAAATATTGTCTCTAGTATTGTGTGTATTTGAGCAGTTACTTAACTTCCCTGAGCCTCAGTATCATCAGGTCCTCACCTATAAAATGGAAATAATTATAGTACCCATTGCACAGGTTCATGCTGAAGATAGAATGAGGAATTACACACACACACACACACACACACATATCCCACTACCTGTCACATAATAACTCCATAAATGTTAGTTATCATTATTATCAAGTCGTACAGAAGGGCCCCTCTTCCCAGCTTTTATGCATTTTTTGCAGAACACCCACTTCCTTCTTTCAGGCACTCATAAATTGCATGGGGAGGCATACCCTGACTATCACATCGAATATCATCTTCAGCAAAAAATCCTGACCCTTCTGCAATCAGGACACCTCACTTGTCTAACGACATCGGACTCAAACGGGAGGATTCAGGGTTAGGACACTCACACATTTGACTCGAGGAAATGTAATTATTGCACACACAGACGTGCAGATACTTTCGCTTTCCTTAATGGGAAGCTGAGTACAAAGGAAGGAGCATTGGGCTTAGCCAGAAGAGGTGGGTTGGAGTTCGGATTCTGGTGCCAGCCAGCTCTGTACCTTGACCATCACAGTTTTTTTCTGAATGCCTTTTCTTACTGACCACTGTTCTAAGGTCTGTAAGATGAAGGGGTCTGTAAAGAACTCGGTACAAATGAAATTTAGGGTGGTATTATTGTTTGGATGACACAGAAAGACAGTGGTCTTGAAATCAGACAGACTCAGGTTTGCTTTCCTGGTTTGACACTCACTGGCTGTGAAAAAAAGACGAGTATCAGCCGGGCACGGTGGCTCACGCCTGTAATCCCAGCACTTTGGGAGGCTGAAGCGGGTGGACCATGAGGTCAGGAGATCAAGACCATCCTGGCTAACACGGTAAAACCCTGTCTCTACTAAAAATACAAAAAATTAGCCAGGTATGATGGCTCAAGACTAATCTCAGCTACTTGGGAGGCTGAGCCAGGAGAATCACTTGAACCTGGGAGACAGAAGTTGCAGTGAGCCGAGATCACGCCACTGCGCCCCCGCCTGGGCTACAGAGCAAGACTCCGTCCCAAAAAAAAAAAAAAATACCAAAGAGCTTTAAACTTTAAAACAAAAGCTGTGTGGTTGTTATTTGGGGCTGTGATTCAACACAATTAGAGCATTTCTTTGGGCAGCTGTGTAGCCCATAACCCAACAAGGTAGAACAGAAAAGTAAAGCCAATTAAGCCAGAAAAAGCAGGGGAAATGCCAAAACAGCAGAAGTCATTTTTCAACTTCTGGTTCCAGAATTTGGAACCAGAGAGGTGGCTACGGAGTCTACCTGTTCGTGGTGGGAAGCTCACCCATAACCTGAGGCTGCTGACAGGAATTCAACAGAGCAGAGATTCTGAGTACTTCCCCTGACCCAGCAGCCCTGTTTTCTCAAGCTCCAACAGGTGAGTTCTCTGTGGCCTCCTTCAAATGCCTAAATATCAGCACCCAGCCTGCTTGGCAAGGAGGGGACCCTGCGGCCAGAGGCACAGTTGGAGAGTGTTGATCTGCACTCGCTCCCAAATAAACATCCATGGCTATTTCATTAGCCTCACACACCTTTCCATCCTTGGTTGATTCGTTCTGTGTCCGGAATTGGTTGGTTCTCGGTCTCACTGACTTCAAGAATGAAGCCGCGGACCCTCGCAATGAGTTACAGTTCTTAAAGGTGGCGTGTCCGGAGTTTGTTCCTTCTGATGTTCGGATGTATTCGGAGTTTCTTCCTTCTGGGGGGTTTGTGGTCTCGCTCTAAGCTGCAGACCTTCCTGGTGAATGTTACAGCTCTTAAGCGGGCGCGTCTGGAGTTGTTTGTTCCTCCCAGTGGGTTTGTGGTCTCACTGGCTTCAGGAGTGAAGCTGCAGACCTTCGTGGTGTTACAGCTCATAAAAGCAGTGTGGACCCAAAGACTGAGCAGCAGCAGCAGCATTTAAGGCAAAGAACAAAAAGAACAAACCTTCCACAGCGTGGAAGGGAACCCGAGCAGGTTGCACACAGCTGGCTCAGGAAGCCTGCTTTTATTCTCTTATCTGGCCCCACCCACATCCTGTTGATTGGTCCATTTTACGGAGAGCTGATTGGTCTGTTTTACAGAGAGCTGATTGGTCCGTTTTGACAGGGTGCTGATTGGTGCGTTTACAATACCTGAGCTAGACACAAAAGTTCTCCACGTCCCCACTAGATTAGCTAGATACAGTGTCGATTGGTGTATCCACAAACCCTGAGCTAGACACAGGGTGCTGATTGGTGTGTTCACAAACCTTGAGCTAGACACAGAGTGCTAATTGGTGCACTCGCAATCCCTTAGCTAGACACAAAGGTTCTCCAAGTCCCCACTAGACTCAGGAGCCCAACTGGCCTCACCCAGTGGATCTCGCACCAGGGCCGCAGGTGGAGCTGCCTGCCAGTCCTGCGCCGTGCACCCCGCACTTCTCAGCCCTTGGGCGGTCAGTGGGACCGGGCGCCGTGGAGCAGGGGGCGGCACTCGTAGGGGAGGCTCAGGCCGCCATGCAGGAGCCCATGGCAGGGGGATGGGGGGGACGGGGGGAGACTCAGGCATGGCGGGCTGCAGGTCCCCAGCCCTGCCCCTCGGGGAGGCAGCTAAGTAAGGCCTGGCGAGAAATCGAGCGCAGCGCCAGTGGGCCAGCACTGCTGGGGGACCCGGCGCACCCTCCGCAGCTGCTGGCCTGGGTGCTAAGACTCTCACCACCCGGGGCCGGCAGGGCCGGCCGGCCGCCCCGCCGCCCCGAGTGCGGGGCCTGCCAAGCCCATGCCCACCCGGAATTCTAGCTGGCCCACAAGCGCTGCGCGCAGCCCTGGTTCCCGCCCGTGCCTCTCCCTCCACACCTCCCCGCAAGCCGAGGGAGCTGGCTCCGGCCTCGGCCAGCCCAGAGAAGGGCTCCCACGGTGCAGCGGGGGGGCTGAAGGGCTCCTTAAGCGTGGCCAGAATGGGCGCCCAGGCCAAGGAGGCACCGAGAGTGAGCGAGGGCTGCCAGCAGGCTGTCACCTCTCAGTTCTACTTCTTGAATAATGCTGTCCTTACGTTCTGCTGCAAATGCCAGGTCTAGCTAGTGCACAAACATTAATTACACTGTATTCCCCAGTGTTTCTGTAAAGAGGATTGACGGCGTCCCTTTTGAGAATGGTAGAGGAGTAAAAAAGACAGAAAAATCTCTGAAATCATCTGACTCCCCAAGGTTTTGCTCCCAAATAAACATTTAATTTGTATTCATTGTTGTGCTTTCCTCATGCTTCTGACATTAAGAAGTTTTTAGTATGATTCCACTGAAAAGAAACTTTGGGCAAAATAAATGCCAGAAAGGAAAGTGGTTGTCTCTTCAAGTGCTTCACATCCTTTTTCTTTATTTTTTTAATGCTTACAAAACAAGGTGATGGTCAGGCTAAAGGTCCATCCCACCAGGCAGACTGCCCCGCTATTTGTAGCTGCAGGATGCTCGAAAACATCTGACAAGCCCCACAGAAAGGACTATTTTCAGTGCCAAGGAGAAAGCAAAGGGCCTGAAGGCCAAATCTTGCTATCTCAAAATGATGGTTATTATTTGCCTGTGTTAGCTACAGCTGATATTTTTTTTATCCCAAGAAAACCCTGTCATCGTGGTATTTATTGTCTTCCCACTGTGGTCCTCCTTCCTAATGTCTGTTGCCCTGCCAGCTGGAGGAGGGACATCTGCCCCTTCCCTGAATGTCACTAGAAGTCTGTTAAAGGAGGAAATAAAGTGTGACCTCATCTGCAATCCCCAAATCCCAAAGGTGTTGCAGCTTCAGTGCACACCCAACAAAGGTGAGTGTCCCAGCACGAGGCCTCAACTCCTGTGCAGTCTCCATTTGCACTTATCCAGGTTCCTTTAGGACTTCACACATACACACATGCACACACACACACAGGTCCAGCCTTGCTTCCAATCGCCCTTTGGGGCAGGGAGTAAACCCTTCATCAAGACAAAGCTAGTCACACAGACTATACCCTGATGCAGAATTTTCACTGGCAGATGTCAGGAAAAGGAGTTTATCTGTAAGATTCAAAGAGCTCTTGTTAGATGATGAAACCCTTTCAAATCTAATATTTTTTATTTTCATTTTTATTTTTAAGTTCTGGGGTACATGTGCAGGATGTGCAAGTTTGTTACATAGGTAAACGTGTGCCATGGTGGTTTGCTGCACCTATCAACCTATCACGTAGAACTTAAGCCAAGCATGCATTAGCTATTTTTCCAATGCTCTCCTTCCCCCCACCACACCCCCTGATAGGCCCCTGTGTGTTTTTCCCCTCCCTGTGTCCATGGGTTCTCATTCTTCAGCTCCCACTTATAAGTGAGAACATGTGGTGTTTGGTTTTCTGTTCCTGTGTTAGTTTGCTGAGAATAATGGCTTCTAGCTCCATTCATGTTCCTACAAAAGACATAATTTCATTCCTTTTTATGGCTGCATAGTATTTCATGGTTTCATTCACATTTTCTCAGTTGCAAGGTACACAGGGCATCCAGACTAGGGGGACTGTTTTTATTTTAGTCGACCCAGTCCTGACATGAGGTCTGCAGCCTCCACCTCTGCTTCTGAGCCACGAGGTTTGTGGGAGATGGAACAGCTTCTCTGACCAGATCTCCACGAGATTGCTGGGGAAGGGGGAGGTGGCAATCAGTCTTCACAGTGCTGAGCCTTTTTTTCTAAAAGAAACAGGGAAATTGCAATTGAGAAAATGTGAAGAAAGTCAGCCTTTCTCCTCAGATTCCATCATCCTGAACACCTGGAAAGATGTCTCAAAAAGAGGAAAGATTTTCCCTGCTATCTAGACACAATATCTGATAATGAGCCACTGAAAACACATCTGTACTGCTTTGATCAGACCCTGAAACAACAGCTAACAACTGTTGCTCCTTCCAAAAGAGCCAAAATAATGTTTGTCATATGAATATCTGAGCCTTTAAACAGAATGTCAGTGGCAGTTTACAACTTTTAATTAAATTGCACTTCCTTTCAACACTGAAACATCTTTTTTAAATGTACTAATTACAAAAAGTGATATATTCTTATAAAAAATTTAATCAGTACAGCTATGAATAAAGTAGAAAGATACAGTCTTTAAGCTCTCCCATCTCCGAAGACAACCACTGTAAATGTTTACGTGTATATCCCTTGAGAATGTTTTTATGCATATATATTAGTTTTAAGTAAAACAGCAAGAATGTGTTTGCTGCATTTCTTTATTTTAATGAAAACTTCAAAAACACCTCAATGTCCATCAGTAAGAAAATAGTAAATTAAATTCTAGGACATCCATACAGTGGAATACCTTGCAGCTACTAAAAGAAAGCAAGAGATCTATATGCACTGACAATGAAGGATGTCCACGGTATATTTTTAAATGAGAAAAGCAAGTTGTAGAACAATAAATTGCATTCCAAATCTTAAACATTTGCCTGTGCCTTCAGCCCACTGCACATTCTTCTTATCTCATTAATCATGATACCTCATTTTTCATTATTTGTTTTGGGTGAATGCAACAGTTATCACGTATTGTCTTTTAGCTACCAATCCAGCTGTCTTTGCCCTGCTTTGTGATACTGGAACTGGACCCTGTAAACATTTCTCCTATGCCTGCTGCCTGGCCATGGCAAGGGAAGGAGCTTCTATTTCCAATTCTGTTGTGCTTTTGTTCCTAGCAGAACAGCTTCCAGAGGACCAGTATGCCAGAGGCCAAAAGCGCTCACTCTCTGAGTTTTTCTGCCACTCACTCCATAGGCTGCTTCATGGAAACAAGCTCTGACCCACTGGCACTCTACTGTGAAGTTCTTGGTTACCATTATACTGGCCCTGTGGACTAGCTCCAGACAACCCCACCCTTTAGTGAGCTGTTCCTACAAACTAGCCCTAGCCTGAGCCCTCTGGAAGATTTCTTCACTGCCACCAGGTTGCATGGTCTCGTGGTAACAAATACCTCTTCATCAAGTTCTGAAGCTTAACTTCATGAATATATGTGGGGGTGGAGACTGGATCTCCTAAGTTTTTTGTGTGTGTTCTCTCCCTCAGCTCTAGAAATAGTGGCTTCTCTTGCTGAATTTGGTATTCCTAATTCCACAGTGCCTTTTCTTTACCTCTTCTAGTAGTTAACCACGTGTTAGTAGTTAACCACGTGTTAGTAGTTAATAATTTTTACATTAACTTTTCCCTGTTCAAATTACTGGTGTGGTTTCTGCCTTCTCACTATACCCTGACAGATATGCTCAATATAAGTAAACAGAAGAAGAAATTCCAAAACACCAAGCATTCACTTCATGTAGTACGAAGATGAGTCTTTGGGAAAATTATGACTAGAAAATTGTTTGGCAGTTTGGAGACAAGAGTTAAAAGGCAAGTCTTGGCCTTTACAACTCAAGCATCCATTAAGCTGCCCCTCACCTTCTGTTTAAATCAATGGGCCACAGGTAAAATGGATCCCTCTCAGACTTATGAATAGAGGTAGTGTGATTTTAGGTGTCAACTTGACTGGATTATGCAAAACCTAGAGAGCTGGCAAAGCATTATTTCTGAGTGTGCCTGTGAGGATGTTTCTAGAGGAGATTGGCATGTGAGCTGGTAGACTGAGTGGGAAAGATCTGCTCTCAGTGTGGACAGGCATCCAATCATCTGGGGGCCCAGTTAGAACAAACAGGCAGAGGAATGGTGAGTTCCTTCTTTCTCTCTCCTGGAGCTAGAACATCCTTCTTCTCTTGCCCTTGGACATCAGAACTCCAGGCTCTCTGGCCTTTTGCCTGTAGAACTTGCACCAAGGGCCTCCCCATGTTCTCAGGCCTTCAGCCTCAGACTGAGGGTTACATCATCAGCTTCCCTGGTTCTGAGGCTTTCAGACTTAGACTGAGCCATGCTGCAGGCATGCCGGACTCTCCAGCTTGCAAATGGCTTATCATAGGTGATATGATTTGGCTGTGTCCCCACCCAAATCTCATCTTGAACTGTAACTCCCACAATTCTCACCTGTCATGGGAAGAACCTGGTGGGAGGTGATTGAATTATGGGGGCGGGTGGTTCCTGAGCTGTTCTCATAATAGTGAGTGAATCTCACAAGATCTGATGATTTTAAAAATAGAAGTTTCTCTGCACAAGCTCTCTCTTTGCCTGCTGCCATACACATAAGATGGGACTTGCCCCTCCTTGCCTTCCACCATGATTGTGAGGCCTTTCCAGCCACATGGAACTCGGAGTCCAATTAAGCCTCTTTCTTTTGTAAATTTTCAAGTCTCGGGTATGTCTTTATCAGCAGTGTAAAAGCAGATGAATACAGTAGGGCTTCTCAGCCTCCATAATTGCATGAGCCAATTCCCCTAGTAAGCCTCTTATCTATCTATTATCCATCTATCTATCTATCTATCTATCTATCTATCTATCTATCTATCTACCTATCTATATCGATCCATATCCCATTGACACTGTCTCTCTGGAGAGCCCTGACTAATAGAGAGAGTAAAAATAGGAAAGGCTTGGTGGAGGGCCAGCCCCATGGGATTTGTATCTGTTGAGAAGTCAGGAAGGAGCTCGAGTTGATTCAGATAAGCTCATGGGTATGATGGACATTTTCTTTCCCACAACCTCCTGAAAATATGGAGAGTCCTGTCCTAGTTTTGGGGAATGACTTTGTGAGGAAAAACAACAAAAGGGGCTGGGATAGCCACACAGAATAGTCAGATTTAATGGTTAATGGCTCATGAGTGAGTGCTGATGACAGGATGAGGAGGTGGGCTAGAAGATCAACTGAGGCAGTTCTCAACTTGGTGGGGCAAGAAATGAAATACAGTGAAAATCAGGTGATCCACAAGCGGTGACTTTTCTCCCCTGGGTTCCCCAGCACTAGAAACAGGCTGGGAAGGGAGACTAGGGGGTTCCTGGCCAGGGGCTTTACTCCTGTCCACACAGTCCCTGCACATGGGATTCATTCCCTCATCGCAGGAGCCACCAGCCCCCCATCTTTATCATATTCTCTGTATCATCTCTTTACCCTTCTCCCTCTCCAAGCCCAAAACTTTAACCCAGGGGATGAGAACCAATCATTCTTCATGATGTACTTTTCCAAATCCTTCAGTTTTCCTCATATTTGAAAAGCTAAAAATCTGACCCTTTTGTTCTGTGGGTTCACTGTAACCGTCCCCTCGTCCCCCACACCCCAGATGATGGCACCTGTCATCAGACAGCCTGTTGGAGACTCATGGGACAACAAGAGACAATAGATAGAAATTATCCAACAGTTTGGGTAAATAAGTATGCTTCGTAATTAAGCAGCAAACCAATATACTGAGATGTGAATATAAAATAAATAGGAAAAACTAACAAAATAAAGATGTAGGCCCGGTGCGGTGGCTCCCGCCTACTGTAATCCCAGCACTTTGGGAGGCTGAGGTGGGCAGATCACAAAGTCAGGAGATCGAGACCATCCTGACCAACATGGTGAAACCCCGTCTCTACTAAAAAAATACAAAAAAATAGCCAGGTGTGATGGCACGTGCCTGTAGTCCCAGCTACTTGGGCGGCTGAGGCAGAGGAAACACTTGAACCTGGGAGGCAGAGGTTGCAGTGAGTCGAGATCGCGCCACTGCACTCCAGCCTGGCAACAGAGCAAGACTCAGTCTCAAAAAAAAAAAAAAAAAAAAAAAGTAGAACAGAGGTCGGCAAGCTTTTTTTATAAATTACCAGATAATAAATAGCTTGGGCTCTTCAGGTGATGAAGCAAAATCCAAAATACATACATACATAACAAGAAAGAACACATTTTAATTAGATTTTTATTAACAAAATTCAAAGTATAATAACAACTGATAAGTATAAATTTTTGTAATACAGGTCTACTAATGAGAAAAACGGGATTCTTTGTTTTGGGGATAACCTTTCACTTGACTTGGGACTCAAAGTTTGTGTTCCTTATGATCAGATCAATTGCAAATGTTCATCAATAAGGACTATTTTTAGCTTATTTGCTGTGCAAAACAAGCAGCAGGCCAGACTTGGCCCACAGGTCGATAGGCTGTAGTTTACCAATCCCTGGTTTAAAATGATAATGGTACGGAAAAAATTGTGTTTCAATGGAAAATCATTTATTGTCTAGATAACCCATGCAATTATCTGATTCTCAACTTTTATTATTTTTGAGATATTTGATAACTCTGTAACTTACAGGTAAGAGATAGACATGCAAATTCTGTCTAGTCTGGTAGAGGTTTGACTTCTCTCACTCCCTCTGTGAAGAAAAAAAAAAAAAAACAGTTTTGTTTCAACATTTCTTACTCCATGTAAATTTGTGCTGCTTGGCCTTCTTTATTTGAACTGGTAATTATCTCTGCCTGATCCTTCATGAATCAAATCTCTAGTATGTGTTCATTTCTACATCTGTATGACAGTCAAGATTATTTTTCCAAAAGTATCTTTTAGCATTGGTAAGAAGGTATGACCATGTATTCAAAGATAGAACCATTTAAGCCAAGTGTGCTAGTGTTCTATGCAGCCATAACAAATCACCACAAACTTAGTGGCTTAACACAGCAGAAGACCAACATGAGTCTCATGGGGCTGGAATCAAGGTGTCTGCACAGCTGAGGCCTTCTGGAAGCTCCAGGAGAGCCAATATTCCTTGGCTTGGGGCCTCATCACTCCAGTCTCTGCTTTCATCATCACAGTGTTTTCACCTCTCACTCTGACTCCTCCTGCCTGCCTTTTACAATGACTGTTGTGATTACATAGAGCTCACCCAAATAACCTAGGATAATCTCCCCATTTCAAGAATCTTAACTAAATCACATCTACACAGTACTTTCTGCCATGTAAGGTAACATTCACAGGTTCTAGGGCCATGGACATATTTGGGAGCCCATTTTTAAGGCTAGCATATTAAGAAAAAGCAGGAACTAGAAAATTAAAAGGCTGAGAAAATACAAAAAAATTTTGTAGGGCTCTTCATCTAAGGCTTTTTTTAAGTTGTAAATAAAGGAATTATCAAACAAATTATAATATATATCTATAACTGAAATATTAAGACAGTTATAACAAACGGTTTGTATTGCATATTGACAATACATTTCATGGCAGAGAAAAATTTTTAAGATACTGTAAATAACAAAAGCAATATAAACAGTGTCACTCCACTTGTGTACATTGAAAAAAGAATATTATACATTAGAATTTGTGGCTAAATGGATTCAAGGCGTACCACAAACTGCTATGATGTGTGGTTATCTCTGGAGGGGAATGTGGGATCAAGCAGGGGCATGAAGGGGAACTTTCACTTTGTATTTATGTACTTGGGAATTATTTTGAATGTTTATAATATTGTATTTTACATTGCATATAATTGTTTTTTAATCACAGTAATGAAAATGTTAAGGACAAACCAGAAGGGGCAAAAATCCCTTCCCTTCCTCTTACAACAGTCCTTTTCTGGCCCCTCTAAGAAGCTAAGTGCATTAGTGAGCAAAGAAATGATCGTATCATGCTGGGACGAAATGGAAGAGGAAGGACAAGCACAGGTGAGTGGTCTCTCACCAGAGGTGAGCACATGTTTGCTCAGCTATTGGGCTACAAAAAAAACTGCTGTAATCCACAGGTAGGAGGCCCCTTGTTAAGTCCCATTCCTCTGAACTTTTTTCTTCTGCAGGCAAACTCTGAACTGAGCAGGCACCCTGGATGCTGTCAGAACATTCTACGGTGTCCATGTGGATCATTTCTTTCTTTGATATCCTGCCACTGTAAGCTGGGTCCTAATTAGCAGCCAGGATGTAACATAACATAAGTTCTAGAAATATGCAGTTTCTGCAAGCAGCCGGCTTCCCTCTTATTATGTTAATAATGAAGATATTCCCCGTGGTACCTTGGGATGGCGTATCTGATAAAAACCAGCAGAACAACTGCATGTTCCAGACATTCATGCTGAATAAACAGAACAAGCAGAGATGGTAACAGCTCTGACACAAACTTTCACAGGAATACAAATTTGTAAAACTGCCATTTAAAATCCCCTTGTGTTTGTTCCATTAACTGAGCATACTTTGCTCCACCAAACATCCAAGACTAAAACGGTACCTAAATGGGGCACAGATTAGATTTTCCCTCAGCACCTGAGGCTAGTGGAAGCCCGGGTAGCTTGCTTTTACATTGCTTGACCTAGTTCGAGGATCATAGTACTGTTTAGTAAGGGCAGAATCGCTGGTCCCACTAAAAATCTGGAAACAAGGCCCTGGTCTCAATTGGCTTGTGCATTTATTGAGCCCTGTGGTGTCTGTGCCAGGTGCTAATGGAATCATGGCTCTTGTGCCTCATGATGGTGTTCCAAGCTCCTTTTTTAAGTTTGAAGACCCACTTATACATGGAAATATTATGGATCCCTGTGGGATTAAAACACGATCTATTTTTAGCATTTATTGATTTAATAAATATACATTGAAAGAATCAATTATGAGTTTAACAACACTTTAAATTTGCATCTTATAATCCAAACAACATTTACATATATTTGAATATATATATATGCCTTAATAAAATTATTTATCTATTCCACAGACCACAGATCCAGGGTTCTCTTGCAATATTTCCTTAGCCATTGCTCCAGGAGTCCTCAGTCTGTAATTTAGGAATCATTACTATAGAGTATACAAAAACGAATACTCCCTTTTGTTTTGGTTTGTGCCTTTACAGACCTTATTTCTAAAATGACTGCAGTCAGGGAAGACTAAAGAGAGCGAGCTGATGGAAGACTAGTGGAAGCCATGGCAGAGGGGGTGGAGAGAAAGCCAACAGAATGGGAGAGATGATAAGGAAGAACAATTGTAGGAGTTGGTGACTGCCCCAGCTGTGGGTGTGAGGTAGAGCGAGGGCCTCAATGAGATGTCCCAGGCTCTGTTGTTATCTAAATGTTGGGGTCCTTCACCAAAACAAGGCCACAGGCAGAGTCAATCTACATGACTCCCTGGACATTTCTTTTTCTGAGCTCTCCAGAATGATCCCTGCTCACAACTGGGGATGATACCTTAAGTGCATTTGTAGCTACAATGAAGGACCCATTTTGCTATTACCCAAAAATGAGTCAATTTCAACTCTATTAATATCCAGGGAATTTCAGCATATCACAGGATCTTGGGAGGAATTATCTTCATCTGAAGCCTCCTGTCAAGGATAATTTAGTGTTTACACTGAATTCATGGACTGTCCTGTTCTCTGCTTTCTAGCAACACCAATGTCTTATTTGTAGGTGAAGGATGACAAAGGCAATTTCTCTGGGCACTTTGCTTTACTGTTTGCTTGGAGGCCACAGAAAAGTGGCCAGGGGGGTAATTACGATCACCTTCAGGTTGTGAACTCTACTGACTGTAGAAGAAATGATGATTATATTTATAATTCTAAGTATAACTGGATTACTGGATCTCTTACAACTACCAGGCACTGGGCTACACACTTTATATTTTTTAGCTCAAATATCACCTCCTTGGAGAATCCTTCCATAGCATTCCCCCTCTCCACTTCCTCCCCATTATTCTCTATATATCCATGAGTTTCATTTTCTGCATAGCACTTCTTATACTCTTATAATTAACTTATTGTCTGATTCCTTCATATGTCATCTCCATCCAACTCTAGTCAGTCATCTCCATAATTGGTGGCAGAACTTCTTCATCAACCTCTCTGTTCCCAGTGCCAAGAGCTTGGCATCCAATCAGTAACTTTCTTTTTTCATTTAATTGATAAATGATTGGATTTAAACCTTTCACGAGTTGTGAGTTAGGTACTAGTCCTAACTCAACATCATCTCAGTCAAAAACCATCAGTTTTTTAACTCAACATCATCTCAATCAAAAACCATCAGTGCGTTAGAGTTCATTTCCCTTAACAGTGAAAGAAAGGTGCAGGGGAGATGAGATAGAAGAATAAAAAAACAAATGCATTTATATGTTGATTTGTGGGTGTCAGCGTGTGTATACGTGTATTTATATATTATTTTGATAGTGGCTTTGGTGAAGTTGATACAGGTACAAAAACTGAGTTTGGGAATAAATTGCATCTGAATTGCTCACTCATTTACTTCATTTTGCTTTGAGATTGCTACCTTGGATATAGGATGAGAACAGAAAATAAGATTCCCGTTTATACAAGAAAAATGACCAGTTGTCCTTTAATGTCAATGAACAGAATAGCTTGTACATGATTCTCTTTATGTTATCTGTTTACTAAGAGCAGAACAGCATCTTAACAAAGCAAGGCTTTCCTTAGTCTGCTACACCTATCCTACTCCCAAAAGAGGGGGGAGGGGGAAGAAAAAAGCCTTTCCAATCAGACTTGCCGCCAGATTGCTTAACTTTGAGGATGACAGCCGATAAACCTGGCCACAAGTGCCCTGCTCCCTCCATCCAGCAGATGGAGCTCTGATTGCTCAACCCCAACTCCTAATTTCTCATCCAACTGTGTCTGCCCCATAACATAGCTATTAAGTACTATTATGAAGGCACATGACTAGGTAGCTTTGAAAGAGGTAAGAACAGGAATATCTACACAGCCTCTGAATGTTTCTAGCCCAGAGTTAAACTAATGATGATTCCCTCTCTGTCTTCAGAAGTTTGCATATTGCATAATTAAACATCCCCTTTTTAATTAAAAAAAAAAAAAAAAGAAGAAGAAAGAAAAAGGCAAATCCAATCAAACGAGAATTGGGTCAGAATCCTCAACTTTTCAACCTGCAAGCATGTGCTTACAAATGGAAAGAGAAGGAGGAGGATGACAAAATCCAAATTAAAAGGCACTGTGTAAGTGATAATGATAGCTTTGGTTGGGCAGTCAGATGGATTAATCAGGGGAATTTGAGTAAATTCAGCTGGATGATTTGCCATTACTCTGCTGAAAGCTCTGATATTTACCAACTGAATGTAGTCAGAATTGGATTCTCGGAGTAAATAGACAGGTTTTAAATGCGTGTTAATGAACCTCCCTGTGGATATAACAGTCTTGGCCTGTGTCAGGTCTTACGACAAAGGTGGGACTGTCCCAGAAATGTTCTGCTGTCCCCTTCACCTGCCACTAGCATGGCTTTCCTAACTCAGTGAAAACTGAATAGCTCTTTTCCTGCAGCTTCACTTTATGCATCAGACAGACGGACTGTGGGTAGGGCAAACAATAGGCAGTTAATCAATCAAATGACGAATAAAACCCAGATCTCAAAACTTAACACCCAAACTAAAAGATGCTGCAACTCAAGGAACCTAGAGATCTACATGTCATGTTCTCCAGCTGGGCTGGCAACTTTTACAATGCACAGGGGTCAACATGGAATGTAATGAATGGAAGATTACAGAAGCTTCAGAAGGCAGTGAGCTGAAGTTGAGTTTCATGATCTATGAGGAAGTTGCTGGCCATCGTGAAGCTAAGTCAGGTGTCTGGAAACTTAAATAAGTGTTTATAAAAAACAGGAAAAGGGCTAGGGGGTCTGGAGAAGTAATGATTGTTTGCACCTTGCAGGAACTCAGGCGGCTAACCACGCAGGCTTCACTTTAAATTGGGAAGGCAGGTTCATTCCCTCAAATTAAATTGAATTTGATATTAGGAAGGCCTGCTCCTTTCCAAAGGCTGGTTTTCCCTGCAAAGCACCAAGTGTCATTATGGAGAGGGAAACGCTCTTTAGTCCCCTATGAGCTGGTGTCCAATGAGCCACCAGCCTTCCAGAGCTGGGAATTGTGCATAATAGTAATGGAGAGAAGAGAATATGGGTTTCATAATCTGATTCTGAAATGCCATATGGTAGTTAAGAAAAATGCCTATTTAGTAGAATGTGAAATACCTGAGGATTAATATCAGCTATATTTGTAAGAATAGCTAAAAAGCTGTTAAGACCATAATCATATTCACCTATGATGCCTTTTA
The DNA here is from genome assembly GCF_000001405.40 of Homo sapiens. Taxonomy (NCBI): domain Eukaryota; kingdom Metazoa; phylum Chordata; class Mammalia; order Primates; family Hominidae; genus Homo; species Homo sapiens. Next base: position 87,747,206 of record NC_000014.9, read on the forward strand.
AAGGGGAGACTTTAAATGCCATGGTGAATATTTTCATGTATAAGGTTTCTGAATGTCAAGGTTTTTGCATTATGTGATTTATCAGTTTTTAAATACATACATAAGAATGCAAACCTAATATTCAAGTCTATATTGTTTATATATTGCTATAGCAGCTTAAAATAAGAATAAAAACCTCTTCTCTCACACAGTTTCTAAGGGTCAGAAATTCAGGAGCAGCTTAGCTGGCTTGGGTCTCTCATGAGGCTGTAGACAAGCTACCAGACAGGGTTTCAGTCACCGAAGTCATAACTGAGATGATAGACTTTACTTCCAAAATGGCGAGTCAATGCTAGCTGTTAGTAAGGAATCGCATTTCCTCACCATGTAGACCTCATTCAGGGCTACATGAATGTCTTCAGAACATGGTGACCAGCTTCCCCCAGATGCCAGTAATAGCACATGACTATACTTGCTTAGATAAATTAGAAGAGTGTACTTTTATTTAATAAAAGTCCTAAGGTAGGTGGTTCATGACTGGAATAGTAGCTTCACTAACTCATCAGGCACTCAGATTTCTTCTGTAATTCTGTTCTACTACCCTTATTAAAATATCTAAAGGTTGCCTCCTTGTTCAACATGGCTATTAGAGACCCAGCCATCTGTCCACAATCCGGCAGAAAGTAGAAGTGAGAAGGGAAAGGCAAATATGGCCCTCACCAATGGTCTGCCTCACAGTTTTGTTTTCCAGAGGCTCTATCTAATAATTTCTATTTCCACCTGTCAGGCTCTAACTGAGGTCCGAGGGGAGTCGGTGGGCGAGTGGCAGGCGGCTGGAAAAACACTCGAGGAATCGTTGATGGTTTCAACATGCTTTACTCTCTCTCTGGGCATGAGCAAACTGTATGTACAGGGTAAGCAGAGTAATTCTACCTTTTACAGACAATAGTAGCTCTGAGCCAAGCATGAGCTGATGTGGGTGATCACCTAATGCACCTCACATGACATGATTAAATAATGTGCAGTTTTTTGCGCCTGCCCTCCAAACCCACTGAATCAAGCTGTGCCAGAAGGCCAGCCTGGCCTACTCCTGACTAAAGCACAGCCATTTCCCTTACACCATCTCATTAGCCAGAATGGCCAAATCAAGTTGTAATGGAGTCTGGGAAATATATATCTCAGGCAAGCATATTGCCAATCCAAGTAAAATCAACTTTTGTAACTAAGGAAGAAGAAAAATAAAATTAGCATTAGATCAGCAACCAATAGTCTCTTTCATGTCTGTGTCATAGAGTTCTCCAGAAAGTATGTGTCTAAACCTCCACATTATATTTTCAAACACTGACTACACTTTTTAAAATTGATGATCAAAGATCAGAGTAGAGAAGAAAGGAAAGAATAGGTGGGTGGGAAGTAGCAATGGCAGAAGATGCCTGGTGTTTGATGAAAGCATACATCATCCTGGGAATTACCCCATTGTAAGGATCAGAAGGTTGCCAGGTTTCTCCAAAGAGTTTTAGTGGTTCCAAGAAATGAGCTAGAAAGAACAGCTGCATTGTAGCACTATCTGACCATAGCTGGATTATCTCTTTCCAGTGTGACTGGGGACCCATTTGAACATTAGGCTGAAATTCAAAGTTCTTTTTCCATTCCTTCTCCCTGACATTTACAGTAAAAGGTTGAATTCTCTGCCTAGTAAACTGTGAGGCACTGTCAATACTGGGTGTTAGAAAATGATGCAGAAACAAACAGAATATTATTTATGCCAATGGAAACAGTAAATCACCCTTCTTTTGCACCCAAATGACACAACAAGTGCAAATCAAAAGTTCTCACACCTCAGAAGGAAAATATTCCACAGATCTCTTAGAGGAAGGAATTACATACCTGCCTATAGAGTGCAATAAATGTCCATTTTAAAATGAAATAATTTCTCAGCTCCTCAGCACAAGACTTATGGTGTAAAAGACAGCACCAATATTAACGTTTAATATACCCAATATTGTCATGTAACAATAAATCAGCCAGTAAAAAGCAGCAGGGTTTTTTTCCCCCTACTCCTAAAAAGAGTTACAGTGCTTTAATTTGAATGGATGTTAGGTTACGATTATGGGTTAGAATGGCAAAAAAGTATGAATTTGTGTCTCTATAGCAAGCAGATGGAGTTGCACATAGCAGTTTATATAATATGCAGTATACTGCTCTGTCAGTGTCAACGAGTATTCACTTCTTTTATTAATTCAATAGACTATAAAGATGACAAGTTTAGAAGCTGAAATAATGACAAAGTGAAAGCTTTGAATAGTTCAATCTTTTCAGCCTCATGGGGCTTTGCCAAAGCTTGTCTAATTTTACTGTTAGACTTGGGTGTGTGGAGATTGGTTTGCCTTTTTGTTAATAAGAGAAGAAAACTTTAAGGCTCAGAGGAGAAAATTGTCTGGTAGGTGGACTTCTTACCCTATCGTCTAAATGCAAGGTTGACCCTGTTCAGACCATTTCTATCCATAACTGAAGTTCAGAGTCAGACAAACCTGATTTAAATCCCAGCTCTACCACTTAGCAACAGTGTAAAACCTTGGACATGCTACTAAATCTTCTTGAGATTCCATTTTTACCTGTGAACATTTAGATAAGAGGTGTCCTAAGTTGCAGGGTTGGTGGGCAGAATATCTTCTAGAAAAAAATGCTGAATCTTGTGTAGGTACTAGATAAATGCTGGTCCCTGCCCTGTCTGAATTTTAAAATCAGAATTCTGTTTTACAGTCTCATATTTGCCCACCAAATGGGTCTTTGACCTATTTCCTTTCCTCACAATTCCTAGAAGATTAAATACATCAATATGTAAAGTGATTAATGGTGCAGGGCACCTGTAGGGTTTCATAACTGTTAGGGCTCATCACCATCATCATTATTATGAGAGGTGGCTGGTTCTATCTATGGTGCTACCAGAGATCATACAAATGACCCTGACCCCACAGATTCGTTATTATGGCATGAACGGTGGGCGGGGAGGAAGGAGGAAGTCCATAACAAAGTGTCACTATTTTAACCACCAAAAATAAGTTCAAAGACCCTTTTCAAGCCTTTTATTATTATAATTAGTCATAGTAAGGCCAAACTGAAACCCCAGGAAGCCCTCCCTTCCTGACCTATGTGCTGTGCTGGGTTCTGATTTATAAGAGTTCAAGGAGGCAGAGGAACCAGACATTAAAGCACAAATCCACTCTGGCCCTAATACTAGGGCAAAGGAAAATGCTGCCACCTCCCCTGGAGAAGACAGCGGTAGAGGGGCAGCTGCAACCTCTTCCACAGAGCACCGCTTTGTGGAAACAGAAGTCTCCTGAAGCTGTGCCCAAGCAGCGCTGAGCCTGCATCATCTCCCTGTGTTGATTTACAGAGAAGCCACACCTTGGATCAAAGGCAGAGTAGGACAGCAGCAGTGCTGCCATCCAAGCTGATTTGTTAGCCAAAGATCAATCATCATGGCAGACAGAAATACAGCGGAGATTATAACACACATGGTAAACCTGAGCACCTTCCCAGGGAGGGAGATGCAAGAAGGGGTGAAGAGAGAAGTGATGGATAGGTCTACACACATAAAGTTTCTTTTCTGGTGATGTTACATCACCCTTAAACAGAAAATGTGATTTATTTTCCCCAAGACTGAGGACAGGTAAGGTAATGCTTTGGGGACCCCATTTGCTGCTAAGATTGCATTTGGTGAAAAAGTTTTTCAAGATCTTGGGTAGTGGGAACAAAAGCAGCCAGTGACCAGCAGAGCAGCTACTGTTTATCGAGTACAGAGCTTTGAGCTAGATGCCTGGATTCCCACAATTCCTAACAATGATGTTAGAAGTTAGTAATATCATCTCAATGTTATAACTGTAAATAAATTGAGGGCCAGGAAGTCAGGCAGTTTATAGATGTTTACTGAGCAACAGTTATGGACCAGGCATGGTTCTATATGCCAAGTAAACAGTGGTGAATATGAATGACATAGTCCATCACCACAAGAAATTGACATTCTAGTAGGAGAAATCAAAAATAAGCATTTAAACAAATAAAGAAGGTGATTTTAAGTACTGATAAGCACTATGAAGGGGATGAAGTAGTGTGATTTATTACCACTTCAGCCAGGATGCTGTGGGACAGAGGTGGTGACATTTAAGGAGAGTGCTCAATAATGAGAGGCCAGCCATGAAAGGAAGGTGAAGAAGGACTTTTCACGCAGAAGGAAGAGAAAGTGCAAAGGGCCTGAGATGAAAGCAGAAGAAGATGCAGAAAGCAAGCCAGCACGCTTAGGAGGCAGTGGGAAGGGGGCCAGGTGAGGTTACACAACTCATTAAAAGCGATGCAATTAGAAAGTGGCAAAGACAGATGTGTCACCCAAAACTGTCACAGAAGCTCCTGGGTGGTCCAACCTTGCACAAAACACAAAACAACATCCCCAGAAGTCCAGCCCATGGGTTTGGAGTCAACCTGCCTGGGTTTAAATCCTAATCTTACTGGGTGCTAACTCTAGGACCTAGTTTGGGGAAGTTACCTAACTTCCCTATGGCCTCAGTTTCCTCATCTGAAAAAGAAAATGATTGCAACATTAATCCCTTCTCCAGAGCTATTGTGAAAATTAAAGATAAACCATGTGAGTGTCTGGGTAAGCATTGAACAAGTAGGATTATTTTTCCTACTCTCATGGATTTTTCTAAGGATAGTGAAAGAAACCATTTTCCCTTCTTGGCCTAAGGGTCTTGCTTCTTGAAAACTAGGTTCTTTCTAGAAAAAGGCAATTTCTTTTCTTATTTGAGACAAAAAGCAAACGACGCAACAAACAAACGAACAAATTTGTTTCCCATTTTCTTGGAGACAATACCAATAAGCCTTTGTTCTTCAAGTTCTGGTCTCACAGAGGGTCATATAAAACAGATTCATTCTAAAGAATTGGCTCACATGTTTATAAAGACTGACAAGTCCCAAGACCTGCAATCAGTAGGCTAGACAACCAGGAGAACCAATGGTGCATGATGTAGTTCCAGTAGGAGTCTGACAGCCTGAGAACAGGGAGAGCTGATGGTGTAGTTCTACTGATAATCTTCATAAGCCTTTATACTGGACCCTCTATCCTCTCAGGCTGTCTGGAGCCAGGCAGACTGTGACTTCCAGGTTTCTTCCTCATTTTGTGGGGCAGTCCAAAAGCAAGTCCATATCCTGGGCTACCTTCTCTGAGCCTTCCTCATGTCTCAAGTTTTCAGGTAAACCCATTGAGTACCACTTTCTACTTCATGTGGGGAAGAATATAGGAAAGTCCAAAGAAGAGGGGAAAGAAAGAATGAATATGAATGTCTGTGTATAGAGATTTCCATTAGAGTCTTTCTTTTATACATCTCTATGTTAAGTATTTTGTTTTTCCAGTGTAGGCATCATAGTCACATGGAAAAATATCCCAATAATGCAAGATGATTATACAGTGAAACGTGGTCTGCTTCCCATCTGTACAATTTCCCAATTTATTTCCCCAGCAACAACTACCATTTGTTACCAATGCCTCAGGTATTCTTCCAGACACATTTTGTCTGCATAAACATAAACCAATTATCAGAGTCTTTCTAAACATCAATCCATAATGAATGACACATATGACATTTAAGAAAACCTGAGGCTGGGTGCAGTGGCTTATGCCTGTAATCCCAGAACTTTGGGAGGGCCGAGGCGGGCAGATCACCTGAAGTCAGGAGTTCATGAGCAGCCTAGCCAACATGGCGAACCCCATCTCTACTAAAAAATACAAAAAATTGGCCGGGCGCGGTGGCTCACGCCTGTAATCCCAGCACTTTGGGAGGCCGAGGCGGGCGGATCACGAGGTCAGGAGATCGAGACCATCCTGGCTAACACGGTGAAACCCCGTCTCCACTAAAAATACAAAAAATTAGCCGGGCGTGGTGGCGGGCGCCTGTAGTCCCAGCTACTCGGGAGGCTGAGGCAGGAGAATGGCGTGAACCCGGGAGGCGGAGCTTGCAGTGAGCCGAGATCGCGCCACTGCACTCCAGCCTGGGCGACAGAGCGAGACTCCGTCTCAAAAAAAAAAAAAAAAAAAAAAAATACAAAAAATTAGCCAGGCGTGGTGGTGGGTGCGTGTAATCCCAGCAACTTGGAAGGCTGAGGAAGGAGAATCCCTTGAATCTGGGAGGCAGAGGTTGCAGTGAGTCAAGATAGTGCCATTGCACTCCAGCCTTGGGGAACAGAGTGACAGAAGAAGAAGGAGGAGGAGGAGGAGGAAGAGGAGGAGACTTGAGATATCAAGGAAGCTAGACTAACTTGCCACATTCAAATGATGATTCTACCGACACTATTTGCCAAAAAAACTTCCTCCACACCCATCACAATGAACACACAAGGAATTCTCGTCCAGACAAAGATGAATGGATTCATCTGTTTGTTCGCTGTTTATTAAACACCTATTATGTACCAGCCATGAGCTGTGCACTTTCCAGCTCACATCTAGAAAGAAGAGTCCCTTTGAACCAGCCTCTGGACACAGCACCCATAGGAGAGTGGCCTCTGTTAACATATTGGACAAATAGTGAAAACAACAACAATCTGACTACACCAAACAGGGAATCATTTTTCGTTCAAAATAGAAAACCCGAACAAAATGACTTCTTCCCCTCCTAAACGAGACACATCATCTTACTGCAATCCAACTTTTTTTCCTATTTAAATACATCATCAAGAGGAGCCCTGAGGGGAAAAGCAGTCCCCAAAGGCAAACAGGGTCTCTGGGTAGCAAGTGTAGTCTGGGCGGGGGGAGGAGAAGGCAGAGAGCCCTGTGGTTAGCCTGCTGGTACCATCTTGTATTTTCCCTGGGTCTTTTTTAATGTGTCAGCTCTCCACAGGTAACCAGGTTTTATTGTTATTAATTATAGGAGGAATGTTTTGGAATGGATATGACACATTTATTAAAAGAAAAAAGAGCCCTTGATCAACACTTTGACAAATGCACAGTCAGATGTGTACTTAGAAGGGGGTAAAAAATTATTTCCAAAGAAGAGCCAATCAGAAGGAGGCATCATTAGGTAAAAGATGAAGATTTTACAACAGCAGCCTCAGATCCAAGTCAGCACAAACACATTCCTACTGGCTTTCAAAAGGATTGATTCTCCCAGGCATCACCCCAACCCTCACTAAAAAAAAAAAAAAAAAAAAAAAAAAAAAAATCACACAGGCTGGATAAGAGACAACTACTCTCTAAGTTCTTCTTTATTTACAATTTTCCAATCTGTTAAGTTGCTTTTACTTATAGACTATATGCCAAAGTAATTTTTCAAAAGAAATCAGCTTTGGGCAGTAAATAAAGGCTTATTGAGTGAACATGTTATAAATCTTTGAAGAAAACACTTCCCTGGTATTTTTTTTTCTTTATTTCTAATCAAAACCCATCCCCTTGTTCTCCTTTCATCCCCACCCGCGTCATCGCTTCTCTCATTCAGACACAGCTGCTGTTCCAATCCTGGGCTGAGTCAGAAGCAGGGAAAATAATCAACCCTGCTTAGACCCTCAACCCCCCAATTAAAAGAGAGAACCAAAGCCATTGAGCAATCGTGAAACTATAAACCAGACAGTGAAGCATAGCATCTCCTCCTCTTTACCCATAGGTCCTGCAGGCAGCTGTATTATCCTGGCTGGTTTTAGAGAGACAGAGAAAGAGCCTGGTTGCTTGACCTTTTTACTTCAATCCAATGCAGTGCAGAGGATGGGTCTGATGTTACTCTCATCCCCACAGTCCATCCACACAGCAGCCATCCCGTAAACGATGATTTCTCACTCTGCGCCAGGCACATGCACAGTGACAAAGGGTAAAAGGTGACCAAGACAAAGTCCAAGCCCTAAAAGAGTTCTGGGTCCAGTGGCAAAACAAGCTTAGAAACAGGCACGCTGCCATACACTGGGCCCAAAACAATTACAGGGTAGGGATAAAATTCTGGAGGGGCTCTAGAGGAGACATCTGTGGACATGAGTAGGCTCTGGAAACCTAAAGGGGTCTAAAACAGAGTCCCCAGTCGTGGAGGGTCACAGTAGTTTGTACTCATCAAATCGGGGTAATTGGTTAACTTTTTATATACAGGTTTAATTCTATGTTCTTTCACCAATGCATTTATGTCTCCTCTTCCAAACTCTCTTCTACTTGTCAAATTTTGCTCTGCCCGTATTGTTTTTACAAACATTCTATACACATATCAGAATATCACATGTACCCCCCAAATATTTACAATTATAATATAGCAATTTTAAAAATACAGAAAAAAAGGCTGAGTCATATCCAAATGGCCATTGATTGAGTAAGCATCAGGGGAGATGATGTGAGAATAAGGAACCCATCCATTATAGAAAGAAATTCAAGTCACAAGGTCTGGAGGCCCAGGGTTTTTGAATCCCACAGTTTTGAAGTTGAGCCTGAGGGGCCTCCTGGGGATGTGGATCCAGAGGAGACCCCATGGACCCTGCGGAAAAGACATGAAGACCGCTCGCTCTCCTGGAGGAGGTTCCAGCACTGATAAAGACACAAAGCAAACTGCCACTGTGTAATAAGAAACACCTAGCAGTCACACCCCAGGGCTGAGAGGACTTCAGGTCATCATCATATAAGACATGTTTTGTGACTTTCTGTGGGTCTCTCTTTCTTACCAGACAGGAGGCTCCTCAAGGGCAGAGACCACATCTTTTTTAATCTCTGACTTTCCTGGACCTAGACTCTAGATTCATGGTAATATTAAATACTAAATATATGAATAAGTCACTTTGTAGTTTTCATAAGGTTTTCATGTCTATGAGTACATTTAATCCACCCATATAAACCCCGTAAGTTAGGTTTTAGAAATTCCACTTTAAAAATGGAGAACTGGAGGTTTGGAGAGATTAAATGGCTTTTCTAAGATTACACAGCTAAGAAATAACAAGGCCCCATGTGACCTGTCTTCTTCTGTAACCTCACCGTTCACCTTCTGCCACCACCACCACATCCACCCTGTGGAATTCCAACCACGAAATATGATGTGCTCTCAATGCTCTCCTTTCTGTCATGCTTCCTTGTCTCTGCATGAGAGTGTGCGGTTTCTGGGTGCTAGGGACTGTGCTTGGACCTGGCATGCCGTGATGAATCAAAGGCCTCCCTTGTATAGAGCTTACACTCTAGGAAAGGAACAGGAAATAAACAAGAAAGGAAATTCATAAACAAAATAACTCAGAGTCATGAGAGGATGGGATGGAGAAGAGCAGTGGTACTGAGCATGGTGGTCTGGAAAAGGTTCTCTGAGGACAGACACCTGAGCTGAGACCTGGTAACAGAAGGAACTGCCCTGCAAAAAACTGAGCAGAGGGATCCAGGCAGAAGGGACACCATGTGAAAAGCCTCTCAAATGGGGACGGGCTGGACACACGGGAGGTAAAGGATAAGGGCCGATACGGTCAGGTATGAGCTAGTAGATGAGGAGGAAGAGGAGGCAGAGTTCAGATCACAAAGAGTCTTGCATGGAATGTGGATTTGAGTCTAAGTCACGGGAACTGTTAGAGAGTTTTGAGCAAGGGAGTAAAATGTCTTGACTGACATTTTCAAAATATGACACTGGTTACTGTACGGAGAATAGAGAGTAGCAGCATGAATCAGCAAGACTGGAACCACACTGTGTACCTCAAGCAGAAATGGAAGTGAAATGAGAAATGAAAGGACTGTTAGAAGGTCTAGGGGTTTGAAGTCAGAGAAGGGTCATCAGTTTTCAGGAAACCAGTAAGTGCAGGAAACCCTGAAGACCATCCCCAGGGGTCCCAGTGGCCTGGGATGCCACCTAGAAGTTTGATTCACAGAAGGACAATGGGCAGCCCCTGGTAGAACCTCCCTGATGTCATCTGCCAGGGACACAGGAGCAGGTTCGACACCACCTCTCTGCAGCCTCCCACAAAGCCAACCAGAGCGCCCCAGCATGAATTCTGAACAATCAGGTTCCCACACTCTCAGCCCCTTCAGAGACGGAGAAGCAGTCCTGTGTTGCCACTAGACTGTCCAGCACAGGGGACAGGAGTGGCAATAACTAGGAGGCTACCACAGTGGTCAAGATGAGAAACGGTGGCTTGGAAGAGGAGAGTGGCAGTGGAAATAGTGAGGGTTAGAGAGAGGTGAGATGCATTTTGGTTTTTTTGTTTGTTTAGAGATAGGGTATCGCTCTGTCGCCCAAGCTGGGGTGCAATCATGCAATCATAGCTCACTGCAGCCTTGAACTCATGAGCTCAAACCATCCTCCTGCCTCAGCCTCCCAAGTAGGTGGGACCATGGGCACAAGCCGCCATACTTGGCCCCAAGATACATTTTGGAAATAAAACCAAAAGGACTTGCTGATGGGGTAAATTCACTCATTATTGTCACTTGTAGTAATGTCCTCTCTCCTACTCATTCTAAGAAGTAATTGTTTTAAAAAAAAAAAAAATTTCATTGAGATTTAATTCACATACTGTGCAATTCACCCAGTTAACTGTATAATTCAAGAGCTTTTAGTATATTCAGAGTTGTGCATCCATCAGCACAATCCATTTTAGAACACAATCTAAAAAAGAAGCCCTGCACACTTAGCTGCATTTCCTCAGTCCTCCCACTTCCTCAGCACGAGGCAAACAATAATTTACTTTCTGTCTTTATAGATTTGCCTATTCTAGACATTTTATAATAATGGAATCATATAATAGGTGACCTATTGTGTCTGGCTTTTCTCACTTAGCATAATGTTTTCAAAATTAATCTACATTGTAGCATGGATCAGTACTTCATTTCTTTTTAGGTTCAAATAATATTTCATTATATGGATACCACATTTTATTTATTCATGCATCACTTGATGGACATTGGAGTTGTTTCTACTTTGGGGCAACTATGAATCATGTTCTTATAAATATTTGTATACAAGTTTTTGTGTGGACCTATGTTTTCATGTCTCTCAGTATACACCAAGGAGTGGAATTGCTGGGTCATATGGTAACTCTATGTTTAATCATTTAGGGAACTGACAGAGTATTTTCCAAAGTGGCTGCATCATTTTGTTCCAACCAGAGGCATAGAAGGGTGCTCAGGTGTCACCTTTGAAGCTTTTTTTTTTTTTTTTTTTTTTTTTTGAGACAGGGTTTCACTCTGTCTCCCAGGCTGGAATGCGTGGCACAATCTCGGCTCACTGCAACCTCCACGTCCCAGGTTCAAGAGATTCTTGTGCCTCAGCCTCCAAAGTAGCTGGGATTACAGGTGCCTGCCACCACGTCCGGCTGATTTTTATATTTTTAATAGAGACAGGGTCTTGCCATGTTGGCCAGGCTGGTCTCAAACTCCTGACCTCAAGTGATCCGCCCGCTTTGGCCTCCCAAAAGTGCTGGGATTACAGACATGAGCCACCGTGCCCAGCCTAAATCATTTCCTGACCTCTCCTTCCTTACATATTACCCAAGCTGAGTTCAGTACTTCCTCCATTCTCACCAACACCCTTTGCATAGCCTTAGTTCTTATATTGCCGTACTGTCTTCACTGATGTTCCTAGCTCTCTGCTGGCACCCTTGTCAAGGACTGTCTCTTTCACTTCTCCATTCCCAAAGCCTAGCACAATTCTTGGCACACGGTTGTTTTCCAATGTCTCCCACAATTGGTTCAAACAGGCAGTCTGGATTAATTGCAACAGAGTCCCAGATACTTTCAAGCCAGTCAATAATATGTCTTAGGTCTTCAAGGGTGCTCAGAAAAAATCAAAACAAAATCTAAAAGCTAGCTGCTACAGAGCTGAGGCAAAAGGGAAAAAAAATTATCTGCTTCTGTAGTTGCCACTGACAGATGTTATAAATGGGTAATTTACAAGTGTGTAATTTACAGGATATCTACGGCAGTGCCCAGAATGCTGATTCAGAGAAAACATGGGTAAGTAATGAGATTTTTATGGAACAGTTTTGTTCAGGATTTGTAGTATTGGTTTCTGAGCAATCACTAACGGCTTCCCTGGTCACTCCTCACCCCTCAGGCTGCAAAATATGAATTCAGACAGGGTCTCAATAATACATGCTTAAATAATTATTTCATATCTGACAAGGTCTGCTCTTTGGACATGATCACATGATCTGTTTTTCTCTGGCAATCCCAATAAACACAGATGGGCAAACAATCCCTTAAGCTGTTGGAATTTAGGAAAATCTATTCTTCCACAGCTTGGCACTTTATCCATTTTCACCCCTCATTCATTTTTGCATTCTTTATTTCATTTGCATGAAAACATGATCTTCCTGTTATCCAAAAGGCATTCTTAGGCTTCAGGTTTCCTAAGTTTTTTAATTATGGAGAAAATCTTGGGAATGGACAGAAGGTCGAATGAGGATTATAACTCTTCAGATACAAGTAAATAGGCTCAAGCTCTAGGGCCAGTTCCATCACCAACTCGTTGAGGAGCTCATATTTGTAAATAAGAAAGGATTGAACAAAAGTTGCAGTTTCCAGCATAAGAATTCCAGAATGGTAGAACTCCTCAAAATATTCTTTTGGTTTTTAAAACTCTATAGAAAACACAATTTGCCTGCAAATCTACCCAAATACCTAAACCATAATATTTTCAATTGACATAAAATATTCTAAGCATATTTCAAATAAAATTCCTAATTTTCCCCCCAAATCTACTTTATCCCGGTCCACCCACCCTTATTCAATGGAATGATCGATCACTCAAGTAGTTTTTCAAGCCAAAAATTTAGCACACATCTTGGGTTTCTGTCTGACCCTTATACTTCACTTCCAATCCATCAGGAAGTCCTATTGGCTTTACTTCCAAATACATCCCAGATTCAACTATTTTTCTCCATTCCCATTGTTTCTAACCCCATCTAAACCACTATGCTCTCTCACCTGGCCTAATTCATTAACCTCCACACAGTCTCCCTATTTCCACAGCAATGGTTTAACCCATGGCAATCCATTCTCCATACTCCTCAACCTGTGACTCCATTATCTCAAACCTTGCAATAGTTTCCTTTGCCCTTAGCATAAAGTCTTGTTTTCTAAAATCTTGTTTACTGCCCACAATTCTGTCCCAACTCCACCTCCTTTCATTTCCTTGTGTATTATCTCATTCTCTAATTGCTATAAGGAAATACCTGAGACTGGATAATTTATAAAGAAAAGCAGTTTAATTGGCTCACAGTGCTGCAGGCTGCACAAGAAGCATGATGCTGGCATCTGCTCAGCTTCTGTGGAGGCCTCGAGAAACTTATGATCATGGCCAGGGCAGGAGCAAGAGAGAGGGGAGAGGTGCCACATGCTTTTAAATGACCAGATCTCATGAGAGCTCACTCACTGTCATGAGAACAGTACCAAGGGAGATGGTGCTAGACCATTTGTGAGAAATCTGCCCCCATGATTCAATCACCTCCCACCAGGCCCCACCTCCAACATTGGGAATTATATTCCAATATGAGATTTGGACGAAACACACATCAAAATTACATCATTCTAACCCTGATACCTCCCAAATCTCATGTTCTTCTCACATTTCAAAATATAATCATGTCTTCCCAATAATCCCCCAAATTCTTAACTCATTCCAGCATTAACTCAAAAACCCAAAGTCCAATGTCTCATTTGAGACAAGGCAAATCCCTTCACCTATGAGCCTATAAAATCCAAAACAATTTAGTTACTTCCATGTTACAATGGAGATACAAGCATTTAGTAAATAATCCTATTCCAAAAGAGAGAAAATTGCCAAATGAAAGGGGCTACATGCCCGATGCAAGTCCAAAACCCAGCAGGGCCATTACTAAGTCTTAAAGCTCCAATATAATCTCCTTTTACTCCATGCCCCACATCCAGACCACACTGGTGCAAGGAGTAAGTTACCAAAGCCTTAGGCAGCTCCACCCTGTGGCTTTGCAGGATGCAGTCCTTGTGCAGCCTTGGGACTTGGTGCCCTGCATCCCAGACACTCTAGGTCCAGCCATGGCTAAAAGGGATCAAAGTATAGCTTGGGCCATTACTTCAAAGGGTGCAAGCCACAAGCCTTGGTGACTTCCATGTGGTGTTGGGCCTGTGGGTGCACAGAAATCAAGAAGTGAAGTTTGAGAACCTTCACCTAGATTTCAGAGGATGTTTGTTAATGCCTGGATGTCTAGGCAGAAGTCTGCTGCAAGGTGAGCCCTCATGGAGAACCTGTGCTAGGGCAATGCAGAAGGGAAATGTGGAGTTGGAGCCCCCAAACAGTGTCCCCACTGGGGCACTGGCTAGTGGACCTGTGAGAAGAAGGTCACTGTCCTCTAGACCCCAGAATGGCAGATCCACCAACAGCTTGCATCATGCACCTGGAAAATCCACAGGCACTCAAGGACAGCTCATGAAGAAGCTGCTGAAGGCCATCAGAGCCCACCCTTTGCATCAGCATGACCCAGATGTGAGACATGGAGTCAAAGGAGATAATTTCCAAGCTTTAAGATTTAATGAGTGCTCCACTGGGTTACAGACTTTCACGGGTCCTGTAGCTCCTTTGTTTCAGCCAATTTCTCCCATTTGGAGTGGAAATATTTACCCATGCCTATGCCTCCACTGTATCTAGGAAGTAACTAACTTGCTTTTGATTTTACAGGCTCATAGGCAGAAGGGTCTTGCCTTGTCTCAGATAAGACTTTGAACTGTGGACTTTTGAGTCAATGCTGAAACGAGTTAAGGTTTTGGGGGACCGTTGGGAAGGCATGGTTTTGAAATGTAAAATTGTATCAGTTTTGAAATGTGAAGAGATTTGAGAAAAGACAGATTTGGGAGAAGCCAGGGGCAGAGTGATACGGTTTGGCTCTGGGTCCCCACCCAAATCTCATTTCAAATTGTAATCCCCATGTGTCCACATGTCAAGGGAGGGACCTGTAATCCCCATGTGTCAAGGGAGGGAGGTGATTGGATCATGGGGGTAGTTTCCCCCATGCTGTCCTTGTGGTAGTGAGTGAGTTCTCACAAGATCTGATAGTTTTATAAGTGTTTGACCATTCCTCCTTCACAGTCACATACTCTCCCTCTTGCCTGCTGCCATGTAAGACATTCCTGCTTTCCCTTCTGGCATTGTAGGTTTCCTGAGGCCTCCCCAGCCATGTGGAACTGTAAGTCAATTAAATACCTTTTCTTTATAAATTACCCAGTTTTGGGCAGTTCTTTATAGCAGTGTGAGCATGGATTAATAAACCCACAAAACATTATTCTCTCCTAGACCTCCAACCTGTGATGTGAAGGGCTGCTGCAAAGGTCTCTGAAATGCCTTCAAGTCCTTTTTCCCATTGTCTTGGCTATCAGCAGTTGTCTTCTTTTTAGTTATGCAAATCTTTCTAGTAAGTAGTTGTTCTGCAGCCTCCTGCTTAGATTCCTCTCCCAAAAAAGCTTTTTCTTTCTCTGTCACACGGCCAGACAGCAAATTTTCCAAACTCTTTGCTCTGCTTCCCTTTTAAGTTTCAATTTTAAGTCATTCCTTCATTCTCACATCTGAACATGGGCTATTAGAAGCAGTTAGGCCACACCTTGAACACTTTGCTGCTTAGAAACTTCTTCCACTAGATAACCTAAGTCATCATTTTCAAGTTCAAACTTTCACAGACCCCTAGCTCATGGACATAATGTAGCCAAGTGTTTTGCTAAGGTGTAACAAAAGTTATCTTTACTCCAGTTCCTAATAAGTTCATCATTTCCATCTGAGACCTCAGCATCCTGGACTTCATTGTCCATATCACTATCAGCAATTTTGGTCACAACCATTCAACCAGTCTCTAAAACATTCCAAATGTTCCTTCATCTTCCTGCTTTCTTCTGAGCCCTCCACACTCTTCTAACCTTTGCCATTACCCAATTCCAAAGTTGCTCCCACATTTTCAGGCATCTTTATACCAATATCCCACTCCTCAGTACCAATTTTCTGTACTAGGCCATTCTTGCACTGCTATAAAAAAAATCTGAGACTGGATAATTTGAAAAGAAATTTAATTGGCTTACAGTCCTGCAGGCTGCACAGAAAGCATAATACTGGCATCTGCTTGGCTTCTGTGGAGGCCTCAGGAAGCTTACAATCATGCCAGAAGTTGAAGGAGGAGCAAGCAAATCACATGACCAGAGCAGGAGAAAGAGGTGGGGGAGGTGCCACACTCTTTTAAACAACCAGATCCCATAAGAACTCACTATCACAAGAACAGCACCAAGGGGATGGTGCTAAACCATTCATGAGAAAACCGCCCACATGATCCAGTCACCTTTTACCAGGCCCCACCTTCAACACTGGGGATTGCAACTCAACATGAGACTTGGGTGGTTTTCCAATGTATATCATATCTAATATATATCATCTTCCAACTTATTTATAGTTTTCCATTCTCACTGTCCTTCTTTCTAGTCCAAGAAAAAAGTCAAGCTCCTTCTCTCCTGTCTTAGTCCATTTTGTGTTGCTATAACAGAATACCACAGACTGGATAATTTATGAACAATAGCAGTTTAATTACCTCATGATTCTGGAGGCTGAGAAGTCCAAGAACAAGAGGTCACATCTTGTGAGGCCCTTCTTGCTGTATCATAACATAGCAGAATGCATCACATGGTGAGAAAGCCTGAGAGAGAAAGAGAGAGAGAGAGATTGAAGAAGGGAACCAAACTAATCCTTGTGTTAGGAACCCACTCCCAAGATAACTAATTCATCCCTTAATATCAGCATTCATTCATAAGGACACGAATCATCTTACCTCTCAACACTGTGGCATTAGGGATTAGGTTTCTAACACATGACCTTTGGGGGAAACATTTAAACCATCTCCTCTAGGCTATACTTATGGGAATCCTTCATCCAGATATTTAATGGCTGACTCTTTACCTTTTGGGTTTCAGCCCAGAAGTCACTTTCTTTAAAAGTATTTCACTCTCGTCTATCTGATACTGCTCTATCTAAACTGATAGAGGGACTCTATTACTTAACATTGACCACCATAGTCTTTATCTCACAATTATTATCCTCTTTTCATTTCACTTTTTACTATTCAAAATTAAATTTTATATTTTAATTAGATTATTTCCTTTTTACTGTTTTGTTTACTTTTAATTCATACTAGAACAATGCATGGCATATAGTAGGTACTCAATACAAATTTGTAGAATTTTATTGTTTTTGGTCAGAGGTGTTTTCAACTCAGTTATTAACACTGATTCTCTTGGACTGATCTAAACTCTGATGACAGTAACACATGCCTATGATGTTTAAAAAGGAGAAAAACTGGTTGATAATGGTAAGTATTATGAAGACAGCTAAAATTTTTTGAGCCCTTACCAGGTGCCAGCCATTGTGATAAGTATTGTATGAGCACATCTCATTTAATCCTCACAACAACCCTATTACATAAATACTTGCATTATCCTCACTTTATAGATGAAACAACTTGAATACAAAGAGACCTGTGGCTTCTGTGGAGTCCTCAGGAAGCTTACAATCATTGCTGAAGGTTAAAGTGAAGGAGAAAGCACATCACATGGCCAGAGCAGGAGCAAGAGGAAGGGAAGGTATCTCTGGGCATTATGAAGAAAGGTGAGAGAACAAGGGCTTCAATCCATGTTGTCTAAACACAAAGTTTAAGCTCTTAATTATTATAGTATTCTTCTTCTCCTAATGGTTCTAGTTTAATCAACTTCTTCCCCTAAAATTAAGTTTCTAGGCAATAAAAGTAATGAACGTATGCCATAATCTGAAAAAGATTCAGAAATGTGTAAGGATTATGTAAAAGTGTCATAAGAGCCCAGCTGGTCCCCACGGGGATTCCTTAATCTAACAAGGCAGACAACTGACTTGTTAGCACCTCCAGTTTCAGATACAAATCAACCAAGTTCACAAATACCACTTTGCTAATTTGTTTATTTCCAGTGATTAAATAGCCATCAAGCAGATATGATAGGGATGTTTGAGAATCAAGCCACTCTCTGTAGGCAAATCCACACAGGAAACAAAGTTATGAGAAGACATTTACTTGGTAAGCATGGAATAAAAGTACAAGATGAACGCAAAGATGCTAAAGATTGATGCTCGCAGCCCCATTTTGGTGGGGAGAGGGACAGAGGGAGGGCTTCACAGGTGGAGGTCCCTCCCACAGAATAAAGGAACCTAGCCAGGCATTACACCCCTTCAACTTCTTTCTGGTAAGTATTTTCTTTCTTTGCCTGTTTCAAAATCTACAGTCAATTCATCTTTGTGTCTTAGACTAGAAAACATTTTATTTCTAAGATGACTTTGTACTTTTTCACACTGATCTAAGTCAGTTTTATAGCGTCACTCTCAGAGAACAATCTTACCTATTTCAAATTCTTGTGGGGCATTTTTTGGTCCCTCCATTCTATCTACAAAAGAGGATTTGTTGGTCTAGACTGGAAGGGGGAGCAGTAGAAAGCACTCAGCTGGTGACCCAGGTCGCTTCCAACTCTCAACTCCACAACTTAACTAAGCAAGGGAAAAATAATGTTCCCCCTAAACCCTTTTTCTCTTCAGAGGTTTAAATCTGACACCAGCAATAAGGCACCTTCTGCTTATCACTCTGTCTTAATTCATCACTTAAAAACACTTGATCTTACAACCTTCCCTGCTTGTATCATAATGAAGAGAAAAATTGATGGGCAGTTAGGGCAAAGGCTTTGCCAACTGCTATTGCTTTTACATCAGGCTTGCCTGTGAGCATGTTTCTTTCTTTCGCGTCTCTCCCTAACTCATCACATGAATTAAAAGCCATAGGGAGCCTGCCTAAACATCTCAAGCAAGGTTCTGAATTTCAGATCTCAGAGCCATGTCTTTGGGATAGCCTTGGGCTAAGCATTCTCTGTCACTTTTTTTTTTTTTAATCAGAGAGCATGTTCTTGGTATTTGCAATATATGGAGAGACAAAAATCCTGGAAAAGAGGTTACCCTCTGAGAATTAAACTAGTAAAATATACAGTATGATTGTGATTAGCCATCTGTGATCATAAAGCAAAAGACAGCCTGTATGTGTGTCACCGAAGAATTTGCAGACACCCAAACCTCCAATAAAGATGATGGGAATAATCTCAGGGAGATGAGTCTGGAACTTGACAGCAATTTAGGAAGTGGAAAACTAATCAATTGCATTGTACTCTGCCTAAGGAAAGCTTAGGGAGGGGGTGAGACGGCCATTCCAGGGAGCATTCAACACAGGATCCCCAGGGCTATTACCATTCTGAGCTGAGGAGAAGAGAGAGCCCCAGGAAAAATACCCCACATCTTTCTTGATTTTACCTGAAGGTCTTGGGGAAATTAAAATAAATGTGAATATATTATAGAGCGGATAACTAGAGAAAAATTCTGTGAAACTTTTGGTTTATAATTGACAAGAAAAAGAATTTTTTTTACTGCTGTCACAATTTCTTTCTACAGAAAAGAAAGTCTTGCTTAAAATGTTAGTTTGATTATTTAGGGCTGTCATTAATTTGTTCATTCTCATTGTCTCTCTCTCTTTCTCTCTTTCTCTTTCTCTTTCTCTCTCCCTCTCTCTCTCTCTCCTCTCTCCCTCTCTCTCTCTCTCCCTCTCTCTCTCTCTTTCCCTCTTCCTCTCTCTCTCATAATTGCTGGCCAGAATTGTCAGATCCAGATCCTCTCCAATGGCACAAGGCATCCAAGCCAAGCCCTTGCCTAGAATGTCAGTATGGTGTATCATTTATCAGTGAGAGTCCAATCAGGAGACAGAAATCACACTGGTAATTTGGACAGGAAAAACTGAATATAAATAACTATTAACTAGCAACAGGGAATTGCCAACTAAGAGGTAAAGAGCAGGTTAAAGCAGGGGTCAGCATGCAGGCCGAATCTGGCCTTGCCCATTCGTTTGTATGTTGCCCATGGCTGCTTTTACACTGCAGTATGCAGTTGAATGATTGTGACAGAGGCAGAATGACCTGCAAAGCCTAAAATAGCTACTCTGTGACACTTTATAGAAAAATATTGTTGACCCTTGCTCTAAAGAATACAGGATAGCAGATAGGAATAATAGCAATAATAGCAAATAGGAAACAATGACTTCCTCTAGGGCAGAGACAGAGCACCCAAAGGAGAGCAACCTAAGGAAAAACCCTCCCCACCCACCTGCCTACATGCAAACACACACACACACACACACACACACACACACACACACACACACAAGACCCAGTGGTGTATTCTCAGAAGAAGTCATATGAAGAAGGCTCAAGACATTTATCAACAGAGAGGTCAGAAGTTGAAAACAGGAGTTTATGTGAAATTTCTATCTCTAGAAATAGCCCTTCCAGCCAGGAGATTAGATAAGTCCTCTTTTGAGAAACCTAAGAAGCCCAAATTAAAGGCCTCCAGACACTGATATTAGATATGGAGATAGCTGCGAATCCCAGTAGCTTGAATATTACCTATCCTTGTGTTCCATCCACGCCTTCAGTGCTTCTCATCAGCTTTGTAACCCTTGCTGCTGTCTGTTAATGGACAGCCAGATATGAGAAATGGGGCTTTCCATTGAGTCTCATCACACTCCACCATGAGAAGAACCCAAAACACAGCAAAAGCTCTCAACATTTGGGAAGATACCACAATAAAGCAACTGAAAAAAATAAAAAGAAGAAAAGAAAGCCATAAGCTTTTGTGAATAAGAGAGAATAATAAAACTGGAGAGATTTAAAAAACCATTGTGGATATATATTTTTAAAAGACAGGATGCTTCATAGCTAAGATTGGAGAAGAAACAATTAGAAGAAAACTGGGATATTATTAGTCAACATTTATTTATTTATTTATTTTTATTTATTTATTTTTGAGATGGAGTCTTGCTCTGTTGCCCAGGCTGGAGTGCAGTGGCACAATCTCAGCTCACTGCAACCTCCACCTCCCAGGTTCAAGCAATTCTCCTGCCTCAGCCTCCTGCATAGCTGGGATTACAGGTGCCCGCCACCACACCCAGCTAATTTTTATATTTTTAGTAGAGATAGGGTTTCACCATGTTGGCCAGGCAGGTCTCAAACTCCTGACCTCAGGTGATCTGCCCACCTCAGCCTCCCAAAGTGCTGAGATTATAGGCATGAGCCACAGTGCACGACCTATTAGTCAAAAATTTAAATTGTAAAACAGGTTGGATGACAAAAATGAAAAAGACGTCTCAGAAAGTAGAAGAAATAAAACAAAAAGATAAAATTTTGAGGAAAATATATGTTAAAAACTTAGGGTGTTGAACTAGAAAGCCTCAAAATAGATTAATGGAATAGAAAAAAAAATGGAAAAGAAGTAATTTTAAAATTTATAATAGAATATTTCTACAACCAAAAGGATATTAGAATCCTCAAAGTAAAAGAATAGTCCACTGTGTCCAGAATGATAAAAGGCAAATGTGAGGGGTCTTCATTATAAAACTTTGGAGCAGTAGGAAGTAAAATTAAAAAATCCTCTCATTTTCTTAGGGGTGGGAGGAAACATCCCTCACAAAGGATATGAAATGAAATAAAATCAGACTTCTCAACAACCCTGAATGTTAGAAAGCAATGGCAAAATAACTTCAATATTCAGAGGCAAAGTGATTTGCAGCCCAGCATTATATACTGAGCCATATTATCCAACAAGTATAAAGATAGATTAAAGCCACTTTTCAAAAAGTAAGATTTCAAACAAACAATTATCACCATGAACAACTTTTTAGGACTCTAAGAACATGTGCTCCAGCAAAGTGAGGGACTAAAGAAAGAATTTCCCAGGTATATTATTCCATTCTCACACTGCTATGAAAAAATACCCAATACTGGGTAATTTATAAAGAAAATAGTTTCAATTGACCCACAGTTCAGCATGCTGGGGAGGCCTCAGGAAACTTACAGTCATGGTGGAAGGCATCTCTTCACAAGGTGGCAGGAGAGAGAAAGAGTGCCCAGAGAAGGGGGAAGCTGCTTATAAAACCATCAGATTGGCCCAGCGCGGTGGCTCAAGCCTGTAATTCCAGCACTTTGGGAGGCCGAGGTGGGCAGATCACGAGGTCAGGAGATTGAGACCATCCTGGCTAACACGGTGAAACCCTGTCTCTACCAAAAATACAAAAAATTAGCCGGGCATGGTGGCGGGCGCCTGTAGTCCCAGCTACTCGGGAGGCTGAGGCAGGAGAATGGCGTGAACCCGGGAGGTGGAGCTTGCAGTGAGCCGAGATTGCGCCACTGCACTCCAGCCTGGGCGACAGAGCAAGACTCCGTAAAAAAAAAAAAAAAAAAAAAAAATTCAGGTCTTGTGAGACTCCACTCATTATCACAAGAACAGCATGGGTGAAACAGCCCTAATAATCCAGTTACCTCCACTTAGTCCTGCCCTTCACACGTGGGGATTATTACAATTCAAAGTGAGATCTGGGTGGGGACACAGAGCCAAACCACATCACCAGGTTTCCAGTGGATCCAACACAAGAACATAAAAAGAAAATTTACAGATAAGATGACAGATGAGAACAACTGTGCAGAAGGAAGCATAAGAAGGGAGAAAAGAACCCATGAAAAAATAATCAATGTATAGATTATGTATTTGACCATTTGGAAAATAGTATTGATGAATTTAGTACAGAAAAAATATATATAAGCACATAAGAAAAGTAAGCAAATGAAAAAAATGAGGAAAATATTAACTCTAGAAAAAAAAGCAAAATGATATACAAGAGACAAAACAATAATGATATAGTTCTTGGCTAGAAATTCTACTTCATAGCCATAGTAATGTCAATCCTAACTGTTGATTGAACCAACCATTTTTGTGTAATTTTAACAAGAGTTTAGAAAGAGAAGGTAAGTGGCATGAAGGTGGGAGAAGAATGAAAGAGCTAAATCCTCATCTGTCATAACAGAATGTCAATACATAATGTCTAAAATTGATACATTAACAAATAGCAATGTGGCCATTTATTTAGAAATATAGAGGAAGGTACAAGAAAGCAAGGGCTAAAAGAGCTGAAAGTCATTGCCTATGGGGAGTTGGACTGTAGAACAGGGGATGCTTAGTGGACATTTGTTTTTTATTATAAGTTATTTAATATTTGAGTTTTAAACTACTGCATACATTACTTTATTAAAAATTGAATTTAAAAAGCATAGAATTGGGCTAGAAGGAGATTGAAGTGAGAGGTGATAGGCAGCTACCTGGGAACCGAAGCACCTTTGGAATCTTATAAATATTGGAGCAAGTAGTGAACTTCCTGAAGCTCTGTGGAAATGGGGCTCATGTTATTTAACTGTAAATTACACGGAGAAAAATGAGGAGAGAAGACTGAAAGCTCAAAAATATTGAGGTGGAAGCCTAAGCCAAAAGACATGAACTTTAATATATCCTAGAGTCCTTTATGGCTTAATCTTTGCAGACTAATAATCAGAAGTAATTCAAAAATAACTCCATTCAAAAAGCATGAAAGGAAACTCAGTTCATAAGCCATCACAACCATTTTTCAAACCCTTCCTCTTGTCTTCACTTCTCTTGCTTCTCACAATGGATCTCAAAAGTCAAACCTTCCACTCTCTGCACCACCCACCTGGCTCTTGCTCTCCAGTGCCCTCCCTTTTTTTCCACTTCTGAAGCCTGTCCCTCTCCACGTATTCCTTCAATCTTATATCCACTAAGTGCTGCAGTTATATTCACTAAGTTAGCAGAATTAAGGAAGAGCAGAAACCATAATAAGATCCTAAGTCCTGTCTTTATTCCAATGCATGAGATTTTTGAGCTTAAAATCTGGGTTGAATCGCCATGTTGCTCTTTCTTTATATTACTCCTCCAAGAATTACAGCAGTATGCTTTCACTTCTGGGGTAACTTTCCGGAGCTCTGAGCAGAGAAAATGGAAAGCCAAACATTGGCTCTACCCAGGGGTGAAAGACCCAACCTCTGGGCTCAAAAAGTTAATGGAGCATAAGCTTCTTGAGGGCCGGGATTTTTGTCTGCTTTGTTCACTGCTGTGTCCCCATTGCCTAGAACAGAGCCTGCCCTGAAGTAGGTGCTCAAGTGGAGAAGACACAGTTGCCCCAGGCTGTGCACAGGTGGCCTGGTGCTTCCTTCCTCTGTGAGGCCTCCGTTTTCAGAGTAACAGTGGCCGCTAGGTGATGCCCGACGTCTGCCAATGAGAGTGTCAGCCCGGAATGAATTGGGATCCCCAGGGGTGGGGTGGGGGGAAGGATGGAGGCCCCCACAGCACAGTGGGTCACCGCGCCCTCCCAGGAGATCCCCACAACTAATCGACCAGGGCCCCTGGGGGGACACAGCCTATAAATTGTTGCAAACTTGAACTTCTGTCAGCTAGCCTTCTAGTGAGTGTCATACACCAGCCAAGCAAGCAATGAGCTACCTCACAACCCAAGTTTCTTTTTTGCCCCACAGCTCTCCTTTTTTTTCCAAGGATAGAGTGCAGTGGCACAATCATAGCTCACCGCAGCCTCGAACTCCTGGGCTCAAGTAATCATCCCATCTCAGACTCCCTTGCAGCTAGGACCACAGGCATGTGGCATCATGCCTGGCTAATATTTTATTTTTTTGTAGAAACAGTGGTGTCACTTTGTTGCCCAGACCAGTCTCGAACTCCTGGCCTCAAGTGATCCTCCTGCCTCAGCCACCCAAGGTGCTGGTATTACAGGCATGAGCCACCGCACCCGATCATCCTAAGTGTTTTGAGGGTGGTGTTTCTCTTGTGAATTGAAAAAAATCAGACCAATAGAGTCTGCCTCAGGCTCAGGAGCTGGTTGACATTGACATTGACTAGCCTGTTCTCAGCATGCTAACAGAATCAGGTTTCTGAACCTACACTGCTGTGGATGTCTGACCTCAAACCAGGGTGAATTTACCTAGGAAATGTCATTCCAGAGGCCCCTTGCAGCCTGCCAGCCTCCTCTGGTGATACCCCCAGTTTAATATGCCCTTCATGCAAACCTCAATCATAACACAGTAGCCCCCCTTATCTGCAGTTTCACCTTCCTCAGTTTCAGTTACCTGTGGTTAACTGTAGTCCTAAAATATTAGATGGAAATTTCTAGAAACAAACAATTCATCAGTTTTGAATTGCATGCCTTTCTGAGTAGCATGATGAAACCTGGCACTGTCCTGTCCAGGATGTGAGTCCTTCCTTTGTTCAGTGTGTCTACACTGTCTATGCTTCCTTGCCCCTTAGTCATTCAGTAGCCATCTCTGCTATCAGATCAACTGTTGAGGTATGGCAGTGCTGGTGTTCAAGTCACCCTTATTTTACTTTATAATGTCCCCAAAACACAAAAGTAGTGATGTTGGCCATTCGAATACACCAAAGACAGACCATGAAATGCTTCCTTTAAGTAAAAAGTGAACATTCTCAACTTAGTAAGAAAAAAAATCAGTGTTGAGGTTGCTAAGATCTACAGAAAGAACGAATCTTCTATTGGTGAAATTGTAAAGAAGGAAAAAGAAATCTGTACTAGTTTTGCAGTTTCACCTCAAACTGCAAAAGTTACAGCCACAATGCACAATAATTGCTTAGCTCAGATGGAAAAGGCACAAAGTTTGTCAGGGCAAGACATGAAAAGAAATGTGTTCCTATTGACGGCAATTGCGTTCGGTACTATCCGAGGTTTCAGGTATCCACTGGGGTCTTGAAACATATCCCTTGAGGATAAGGGATGACTATATGACCTAGTGTGGGTAGAACTAGAGCCCTGGGATAGGAACCACGAGACCCAGAACTGAAAAACAAATCAGAGTGTAGGATTTAATAGGCAGGACCTGGTGGAGTTGGAGGGGATTTACCAGGAGAACACACAGCCCAAGAGCAGGATCACAGTCCTGCTGAGCAGTGGGCGTGCAGGAGGAGCCCGGGCTCCTGTATCACTGGGAGGAAGATCCTAGTAGGGGTGAGTGGGGTGGGGATGAGAACTCCTGTTTCCTCTCCCTGGTAAGATTCAACGAGATACGATCTTTAAAGACGCATCAAAATGACAAAGGGAATTTTAAAATGCATCTTTGTCAGGGGTGCGGATGGCCCACAGACATATTTTGAAACAAGCTATTTGTTGTGAGCTCCCCGGATCCTGACCTGGGATGACTCTACTTTGTTTCCCAAGGGTAAGTGTGAAAACCATCTCTCCTTGGGAAGAAAAATAAAGGGGGAAAAATGTCCCATTATAACCTGGCCTTCTTTGTTATTTTAGTGCCTACTGTCATCCAAGTCATTTCAAAAATCTGAAAGGAAATTTTATTTTTAAATTCATAATGTTGACCAAAGAGACTTGCTTTTATTATGCTCGTAAATCATTCATACCTCCTTTATAATAAAGAATTATTTTTTAATTTTTATAATGCTTTTTTTCCTGCTTTCTTCCCATCATAAGAGGAAATGAGAATAATATTTTATGTTAATAGGAACAAAATGTTTAAAATGTATGCACTGTATAGAAATCTTATAAAATGTTTCAGTGGAACCTTTTTTTTAACCAACAAAGGAAATGAAACACAAAAAGCCACATTAAAAGAATGCTGATGATTTTTACTTTAACGAGGAACCTGAGAGGAGTGAATTATGAATGGGTGGAGGGGAGCCCCTGAGAGAAAACTATATTCCGTGGAACTCATGTGGCAAGGGGCTGTCTGAGGGCTGCAAACACCTCCCCACCTTCTCTCCCTCTGGCCCAGATCCCAATAGTAAGCCCAGCCCCGGATCTCAGGTGCACTATCTGCTGGCCAGCCACTCAGAGAGGCCAGGAAAGTCTCAGAGGGGTGGAAATCCCTGACCTCAGCCTCCAGACATGAAGGCAGGTGCTGCACTAGAGGAAAGCTTCTCCCTCTGCTAGAGAAACATCATGACTCCTTGGTTCAGGCAATTGCTCCAAAGAATCCCTGGGACTTTGCTTTTATACACTGAAGGGTTAACAAGCAAGGGAAGAGAGCCTGGAGGCCCATCAGAACCCACAGCATCAGGGGAAGTAGTGGTGGGAAACAAGAACATTTGAAACGGAGTCATGTCTTTGGCACTGACAGAGTGGCATGAGGCTGCTGCAAACACACCGGTGAGGGCAAAGGCTTGTACTTTGCAGTGGGACCATTTGCATTCCAGCGGGACAGCAGTTTGGGGCGAACAGACTTCCCAGCTTCCAGAGAAATTTATGCACTGTGTTTGCTGATCTCAGTACCTTCCTGTGGGAACAGCCACACTAAGTCCTCCTGCAAAGTGAATGGAGCCCCAGAGCAGTGCAGGAAGGACCTTACCCCAAAAGCAAAGCAATCAAAATTGGCAACTGCCCCTTGGCATGAACTCTAAGAAATGGAGAAGGGCCCTTTCCTACCTACTGTTGAATACAATTTATAGAAGGCCAATGTCTTGGAATGGGCTCTTGCACTGGGCCCAACAGACCAAACCAGTATAGAGCTTACTCACAGTAGCTGAGATTTAGTGGATTTCAGGAGGCTTTGTAACCAATGAACCAATTAAGCTATAACTAAGTTGTCTCTATACCTCACTTTGGTTTTCTATAAATATTGTCAGATCGTGCTGTTAACTGGAGTTCTCAAAACCTGTTTTGGTTCTGACAGCTACCTGATTTGTGAATTGTTTTTGTTTTATTTTTGCTTTGGTTTTCTTCGCTTTGTTTTGTTTTTAATTGCTCAGATATGCTCCACTGAGCATAAATTGGTGAAAGGTTTTTAAACCACCCACCACCAAAACACCGTTCACTGAGTTACTGACATCTAAAATATCCAAAAGGCTTTGAAAGAGTCTTATCTTTTGCTAAAATTCTGTTTTAGATATTTACAGCTAATGCAATAAAGGAATCACAACTTTTGGAGAGCAGATTTTGATAAATGAGGAAGGGGAAAGAGGTGAGAAGGGGGAGAAAACATATTCTGAAGACCCCTTATAAGCCAATTATTTTGCCTGAGTTCTTTTTACATTTATCTCATTTAATTCTCACAATAGCCCTTATAAATAGGTATTAGCTCCTGAAATGGTGTTTCTCCATTTCCCAGCTTTCTTTATCCTAAGCATTCATTTGCTGCCCTGTGGAATCCAAAGGCCCCTGTTTCTGGTAGGGATCAGCCAATGGGAGGCAATGGTATAAGATCACAAGGTAAGAGAAGAGAGAGATCGGGATTTCTTCCCTAGTCCCTCCATGTTTTCAAGCTGCATTTGTGTCCGCAGCTGCTTTTCATTACAAGCCTTTAATATTCAACTTTTTTTAAATTTTCTTCTAAATTTTTTATTTCTTTTTATTTTTTATTTATATATATATATCTTTTTATTATACTTTAAGTTCTAGGGTACATGTGCACAACGTGCAGGTTTGTTACATATGTATACATGTGCCATGTTGGTGTGCTGCACCCATTAACTCATCATTTACATTAGGTATATGTCCTAATGCTATCCCTCCCCCGTCCCCCCACCCCACAACAGGCCCCGGTGTGTGATGTTCCCCTTCCTGTGTCCAAGTGTTCTCATTGTTCAATTTCCACCTGTGAGTGAGAACATGCGGTGTTTGGTTTTTTTGTTCTTGCGATAGTATGCTGAGAATGATGGTTTCCAGCTTCATCCATGTCCCTACAAAGGACAGGAACTCATCCTTTTTGATGGCTGCATAGTATTCCATGGTGTATATGTGCCACATTTTCTTAATCCAGTCTATCATTGTTGGACATTTGGCTTGGTTCCAAGTCTTTGCTATTGTGAGTAGTGCTGCAATAAACATACGTGTGCACCTGTCTTTATAGCAGCATGATTCATATTCTTTTGGGTATATACCCAGTAATGGGATGGCTGGGTCAAATGGTATTTCTAGTTCTAGATCCCTGAGGAATCGCCACACTGTCTTCCACGATGGTGGAACTAGTTTACCATCCCACCAACAGTGTAAAAGTGTTCCTATTTCTCCACATCCTCTCCAGCACCTGTTGTTTCCTGACTTTTTAATGATCGCCATTCTAACTGGTATGAGATGATACCTCATTGTGGTTTTGATTTGCATTTCTCTGATGGCCAGTGATGATGAGCATTTTTTCATGTGTCTTTTGGCTGCATAAATGTCTTCTTTTGAGAAGTGTCTGTTCATATCCTTTGCCCACTTTTTGATGGGGTTGTTTTTTTCTTGTAAATTTGTTTGAGTTCTTTGTAGATTCTGGATATTAGCCCTTTGTCAGATGAGTAGATTGCAAAATTTTTCTCCCATTCTGTATGTTGCCTGTTCACTCTGATGGTAGTTTCTTTTGCTGTACAGAAGCTCTTTAGTTTAATTAGATCCCATTTGTCAATTTTGACTTTTGCTGCCATTGCTTTTGGTGTTTTAGACATGAAGTCCTTGCCCATGCCTATGTCCTGAATGGTATTGTCTAGGTTTTCTTCTAGGGTTTTTATGGTTTTAGGTCTAACATTTAAGTCTTTAATCCATCTTGAATTAATTTTTGTATTAGGTGTAAGGAAGGGATCCAGTTTCAGCTTTCTACGTATGGCTAGCCAGTTTTCCCAGCACCATTTGTTAAATAGGAAATCCTTTCCGCATTGCTTGTTTTTGTCAGGTTTGTCAAAAATCAGATAGCTGTAGATGTGTGGTATTATTTCTGAGGGCTCTGTTCTGTTCCGTTGGTCTATATCTCTGTTTTGGTACCAGTACCATGCTGTTTTGTTTACTGTAGCCTTGTAGTATAGTTTGAAGTCAGATAGCATGATGCCTCCAGCTTTGTTCTTTTGACTTAGGATTGACTTGGCAATGCAGGCTCTTTTTTGGTTCCATATGAACTTTAAAGTAGTTTTTTCCAATTCCGTGAAGAAAGTCATTGGCAACTTGATGGGGATGGTATTGAATCTATAAATTACCCTGGGCAGTATGGCCATTTTCACAATATTGATTCTTCCTACCCATGAGCATGGAATGTTCTTCCATTTCTTTGTATCCTCTTTTATTTCATTGAGCAGTGGTTTGTAGTTCTCCTTGAAGAGGTCCTTCACATCCCTTGTAAGTTGGATTCCTAGGTATTTTATTCTCTTGGAAGCAATTGTGAATGGGAGTTCAGTCATGATTTGGCTCTCTGTTTGTCTGTTATTGGTGTATAAGAATGCTTGTGATTTTTGCACATTGATTTTGTATCCTGAGACTTTGCTGAAGTTGCTTATCAGCTGAAGGAGATTTTGGGCTGAGACGATGGGGTTTTCTAGATAAACAATCATGTCATCTGCAAACAGGTACAATTTGACTTCCTCTTTTCCTAGTTGAATACCCTTTATTTCTTTCTCCTGCCTGATTGCCCTGGCCAGAGTTTCCAAAACTATGTTGAATAGGAGTGTTGAGAGAGGGCATCCCTGTCTTGTGCCAGTTTTCAAAGGGAATGCTTCCAGTTTTTGCCCATTCAGTATGATATTGGCTGTGGGTTTGTCATAGATAGCTCTTATTATTTTGAGATACGTCCCATCAATACCTAATTTACTGAGAGTTTTTAGCATGAAGGCTGTTGAATTTTGTCAAAGGCCTTTTCTGCATCTATTGAGATAATCATGTGGTTTTTGTCTTTGGTTCTGTGTATATGCTGAATTACATTTATTGATTTGTGTGTGTTGAAACAGCCTTGCATCCCAGGGATGAAGCCCACTTGATCATGGTGGATAAGCTTTTTGATGTGCTGCTGGATTTGGTTTGCCAGTATTTTACTGAGGATTTTTCATCGATGTTCATCAGGGATATTGGTCTAAAATTCTCTTTTTTTGTTGTGTCTCTGCCAGGCTTTGGTATCAGAATGATGCTGGCCTCATAAAATGAGTTAGGGAGGACTCCCTCTTTTTCTATTGATTGGAATAGTTTCAGAAGGAATGATACCAGCTCCTCCTTGTACCTCTGGTAGAATTCGGCTGTGAATCCGCCTGGTCCTGGACTTTTTTTGGTTGGTAAGCTATTAATTATTGCCTCAATTTCAGAGCCTGTTATTGGTTTATTCAGAGATTCAACTTCTTCCTGGTTTAGTCTTGGGAGGGTGTATGTGTCGAGGAATTTATCCATTTCTTCCAGATTTTCTAGTTTATTTGCGTAGAGGTGTTTATACTATTCTCTGATGGTAGTTTGTATTTCTGTGGGATCAGTGGTGATATCCCCTTTATCATTTTTTATTGCATCTATTTGATTCTTCTCTCTTTTCTTCTTTATTAGTCTTGCTAGCGGTCTATCAATTTTGTTGATCTTTTCAAAAAACCAGCTCCTGGATTCATTGATTTTGGGAAGGGTTTTTTGTGTCTCTATCTCTTGCAGTTCTGCCCTGATCTTAGTTATTTCTTGCCTTCTGCTAGCTTTTGAATGTGTTTGCTCTTGCTTCTCTAGTTCTTTTAATTGTGATGTTAGGGTGTCAATTTTTGATCTTTCCTGCTTTCTCTTGTGGGCATTTAGGGCTATAAGTTTCCCTCTACACACTGCTTTAAATGTGTCCCAGAGATTCTGGTATGTTGTGTCTTTGTTCTCACTGGTTTCAAAGAACATCTTTATTTCTGCCTTCGTTATGTACCCAGTAGTCATTCAGGAGCAGGTTGTTCAGTTTCCATGTATTTGAGTGGTTTTGAGTGAGTTTCTTAATCCTGAGTTCTACTTTGATTGCACTGTGGTTTGAGAGACAGTTTGTTATAATTTCTGTTCTTTTACGTTTGCTGAGGAGTGCTTTACTTCCAATTATGTGGTCAATTTTGGAATAGGTGTGGTGTGGTGCTGAGAAGAATGTATATTCTGTTGATTTGGGGTGGTGAGTTCTGTAGATGTCTATTAGGTCTGCTTGGTGCAGAGCTGAATTCAATTCCTGGATATCCTTGTTAACTTTCTGTCTCATTGGTCTGTCTAATGTTGACAGTGGGGTGTTAAAGTCTCCCACTATTATTGTGTGGGAGTCTATGTCTCTTTGTAGATCTCTAAGGACTTGCTTTATGAATTTGGGTGCTCCTGTATTGGGTGCATATATATTTAGGATAGTTACCTCTTCTTTTGAATTGATCCCTTTACCATTATGTAATGGCCTTCTTTGTCTCTTTGGATCTTTGTTGGTTTAAAGTCTGTTTTATCAGAGACTAGAATTGCAACCCCTGCCTCTTTTTGTTTTCCATTTGCTTGGTAGATCTTCCTCCATCCCTTTATTTTGAGCCTATGTGTGTCTCTGCATGTGATGTGGGTTTCCTGAATACAGCATACTGATGGGTATTGACTCTTTATCCAATGTGCCAGTCTGTGTCTTTTAATTGGAGTATATAGCCCATTAACATTTAAGGTTAATATTGTTATGTGTGAATTTGATCCTGTCATTATGATGTTAGCTGGTTATTTTGCTCATTAGTTGATGCAATTTCTTCCTAGCATTGATAGTCTTTACAATTTGGCATGTTTTTGCAGTGGCTGGTACCGGTTGTTCCTTTCCATGTTTAGTGCTTCCTTCAGGAGCTCTTGTAGGGCAGGCCTGGTGTGACAAAATCTCTCAGCATTTGCTTGTCTGTAAAGTATTTTATTTCTCCTTCACTTATGAAGCATAGTTTGGCTGGATATGAAATTCTGGGTTGAAAATTCTTTTCTTTAAAAATGTTGAATATTGGCCCCAACTCTCTTCTGGCTTGTAGAGTTTCTGCCAAGAGATCCACTGTTAGTCTGATGGGCTTCCCTTTATGGGTAACCCAACCTTTCTCTCTGGCTGCCCTTAACATTTTTTCCTTCATTTCAACTTTGGTGAATCTGACAATTATGTGTCTTGGATTTGCTCGTCTCGAGGAGTATCTTTGTGGCATTCTCTGTATTTCCTGAATTTGAATGTTGGCCTGCCTTGCTAGATTGGGGAAGTTCTCCTGGATAATATCCTGCAGAGTGTTTTCCAACTTGGTTCCATTCTCCCCATCACTTTCAGGTACACCAATCAGACATAGATTTGGTCTTTTCACATAGTCCCGTATTTCTTGGAGGCTTTGTTCATTTCTTTTTATTCTTTTTTCTCTGAACTTCTCTTCTTGCACCATTTCATTCATTTGATCTTCAATCACTGATACCCTTTCTTCCAGTTGATTGAATCGGCTACTGAAGCTTGTGCATTCGTTACGTAGTTCTCGTGCCATGGTTTTCAACTCTATCAGTCCTTTAAAGACTTCTCTGCATTCGTTATTCTAGTTAGCCATTCGTCTAATTTTTTTTCAAGGTTTTTAACTTCTTTGTGAAGGGTTTGAACTTCTTCCTTTAGCTCGGAGAAGTTTGATTGTCTGAAGCCTTCTTCTCTCAGCTTGTCAAAGTCATTCTCCGTCCAGCTTTGTTCCGTTGCTGGTGAGTAGCTGTGTTCCTTTGGAGGAGGAGAGGCGCTCTGATTTTTAGAATTTTCAGTTTTTCTGTTCTGTTTTTTCCCCATCTTTGTGGTTTTATCTACCTTTGGTCTTTGATGATGGTGACATACAGATGGGGTTTTGGTGTGGATGTCCTTTGTGTTTGTTAGTTTTCCTTTTAGCAGTCAGGACCCTCAGCTGCAGGTCTGTTGGAGTTTGCCAGAGGTCCACTCCAGACCCTGTTTGCCTGGGTATCAGCAGCAGAGGCTGCAGAACAGTGAATATTGCTGAACAGCAAATGTTGCTGCCTGATCGTTCCTCTGGAGGTTCCTTCTCAGAGGGGTACTCGGCCCTGTGAGGTGTCAGTCTGCCCCTACTGGGGGGTGCCTCCCAGATAGGCCACCCAGGGGTCAGGGACCCACTTGAGGAGGCAGTCTGCCCATTCTCAGATCTGAAACTCCATGCTGGGAGAACCACTACTCTCTTCAAAGCTGTCAGAGAGGGACATTTAAGTCTGCAGAGGTTTCTGCTGCCTTTTGTTTGGCTATGACCTGCCCCCAGAGGTGGAGTCTACAGAGGCAGGCAGGCCTCCTTGAGCTGCCGTGGGCTCCACCCAGTTCGTGCTTCCTGGCTGCTTTGTTTACCTACTCAAGCCTCAGCATTGGCGGGCGCCCCTCCCCCAGCCTCGCTGCCGCCTTGCAGTTTGATCTCAGACTGCTGTGCTAGCAATGAGTGAGGCTCCATGGGAGTGGGACCCTCTGAGCCAGGCACGGGATATAATCTCCTGGCGTGCCATTTGCTAAGACCATTGGAAAAGCGCAGTATTACGGTGGGAGTGACCCAATTTTCCAGGTGCCATCTGTCACAGCTTTGCTTGGCTATGAAGGAATTCCCTGACCCCTTGTGCTTCCCAGGTGAGGCGATGCTTCACCCTGCTTTGGCTCACGCTTGCTGCGCTGCACCCACTGTCCGACAAGCCCCAGTGAGATGAACCCGGTACCTCAGTTGGAAATGCAGAAATCACCTGTCTTTTGTGTCGCTCACACTGGGAGCTGTAGACTGGAGCCCCCAGTCTATTCGGCCATCTTGGAACCAACCGGTTGTCCAATATTCAACTCTTAAACTATTGTATTACTTTGATAAAAATTAAATTTTAGAAATTAAGAATGGGCTACAGGGAGGCCATTGGAGAGGGAGGCGACAGGTAGCTAGCTACCTGGGAACTGAAATATTACACTTGGGATCTTGAAACTGCTGGAGTCTAATCAGTTTTGTGGGGACCGACACTGCATCACACATTACACACAAGCCCATCAGCCCAGAACCACAGGTAGCCCAGGTTGGTGGCCCATGTTGTCCAGCTCTTCCCTAATCCAGGTGGGTCCTTTGTCTTCTTGCTTGGGGTAGTTTTTACCTCTTGTCTTCACTTGAAATTGATAAGCTTAATGAAGCCCACAGGCCCAAAAGCCCCCTCCACTGTTTGCTTGAGGAGAAGTAAATAGTTCTTTGATAAATAGGTAGTCTCTGTCCAGCTCTGATATCTGGCTCTGTTCAGATTCATTCTCCATCGTGACTCTTGCTGGACACAGCCTAATGATGTGCAAATGATGATCAGTACCTGTCTCTTTGCTACCGCAACGGAAAAAAAATCATAGCTTGGTTCACTAACAAAATTAAATAAATAAAACTTATAAGAACACTAAACATTGGATTTTTACTGCTCATGTAAAAATGGCACAAAACAAACATACTACATCAATAACAAGAACATCACCTGTTTTCATATCCCTGGGGTTTTATTACCTAAAGTGTGTTATAGTGAAACTGGATAGTTAATTTAAAATATAATTTTTCTTTTGTTACGCTCATTTTATTTTGAATTTGAGGGGCCTGTTTCAGACTTTTTTTTTTTTTTTTTTTTTGAGATGGAGTCTCACTCTGTCATCCAGGCTGGAGTGCAATGGCACGATCTCGGCTCACTGTAACCTCTGCCTTCTGGGTTCAAGCGATTCTCCTGCCTCAGCCTCCCAAATAGCTGGGACTACAGGCATGCGGCACCATGCCCAGCTAATTTTTGTATTTTTAGTAGAGATGGGGTTTCACCATATTGACCAGGCTGGTCTCAAACTCCTGACATCATGATCTACCCACCTCGACCTCCCAAGGTGCTGGGATTACAGACATGAGCCACTGTGCCCAGCCAAGACATGCTTTTTGATGTCTATAAATGAAGACCTTTTTAAACTACACAGGTCTTTTGACATGAACAGAATAGCTGTTAATCTGAAAAAAAGTGGCCCTTTTAAGGAAGCCATCAGAATTTTACTGTGCAAAAATCAATATCTGTGAATGGGAGTTCTGGCATGCAGTCAACCAGTAAGGGAATGTTTCACAACAGTAATAACCCCTTACCAGCTGGGACTGCCCCATGCTCCAACCTTTTAGTAGATGAGACAGACCTGGTTGGAAAGTGTTCATTGTTTTCAGAGAAGTATGCATTATTTGCATCCCAATCCTATCAAGGAGAAAATAAGTAGCTATAAATTCACAACTTTGTGTAGAGAGTGGGACTTAAATCAGGAAGGACTGTATATCTCATCACTGTCTGCAGGAAGCTTAAGAATAAAGCCTACATACGTGCTTTGTAAATAAGAGAAATGTGTTATATCTTTTTCCTAAAGACCAGCTTTATTAGAGATGCAGAGTAAAATGCTGTCAAATGAGCAAGGATATGCACAATTCTGTTGAGCCAGAAATGCCTAAGAAAGCTCTTACATAAAGTCAGAGATAATGTGCCTGATGATGACCAAGAGACACCCCATAATCCCAGGAGCTTTCTGGCTCAACTAAGGCTATGTTGTTTCCCATAGAATTTTATTGCTAAGTCTGGGTTATGACATCCCCGTTCTTGATGAAGTCATAATTTTCATACAGTGTGCATATTACTACTTCCATAGCATACAGACTATTTTAACAATCTGTGCAATTAATGCTTGAGCTAGCTCCAAGAAACTATATTTTCAAAACTTTTTAAATGAAGTTATGCATTAACATAGCCAATTCAAATCACTTTCTATGGCCGTCAATTACACTTCCTTTGTGGCAAATGTAATATCATCATCATCATGACTAATATAAGTAATATGAATAACAAAAAATAACACCAGCTAAGAGCTCCCAAATACTTAACTCTGTGCCAGCCACTTTCATGTCAAGCTTACAAGTCTGATGCTCAGTTAAGCCTTACAGACTCCCTTGAAGGATACAGGGACTACTATCAACCCCACTTTTCAAATTCAACATTCAGTATATATTTATTAAGTTCTTAATGTGTTCCAGGTGCGGATCTGAGTGTACAGCTGTAAACAAGTCTGATATGAAGCCTGTTTTGTCATGTGAAATACAAAATAAATAAGCAAACCAATAGGTAAACAAGATCATTTCAGGTGGTGAAAAATTCCATGAAGAAAATACAATGAGGTAATGTTAACGATAGTGACTATTCTCTTTCACATTACCTCATTGCGGGTAGAGATTGGGGACAAGAGAAGAGTTCTTTGAGAAATGATAGGAGCAGGAGCTGGTATTTGAGCAGTTACTCGTGTGTAGGTTGTGGGAAGATGGTTGGTCAGCCTGGCTTGGTCTCACTACTGTTTTCATTGGATATAAAATCTCCCGCACTGACCAAAGCTTTGGTGCTCCATCACAACTCACACCCACTGCATTGTTTGTCTTCTATACCCCAAAGGGCTATGTTGCTGTGAGATTTTTGTCCAATTAACAGTATTTACATAGCATGCTCATGCCCCTCCTTTCCAGTGATACATGAACAACCACTCTTTAATCTCCCAGTACTGTTTTTATATAAGCACATTTTCTTTCCAGTATCCAGCATTTTAGTTTTAAATCATCCAGGTTATAGCTACTGTGTGTTATCAGAACCAGCTGTTTGGCTCTTTTCAACTGTTCTGAACACACTGAATAGGAATAGAAGCATAGAGGTATTTCTGATGAACATAGAACACGCACACACACAAACACACACACAATCAGAGGTAGCATTAAAACTAAACAAATCTGGCACAGCATTCATCAGCTTCATAAATACCAAAACACCCACATGCTTTTTGTTCAGCATGATATATGTTTTCAAGAGAGATGCTTTAAATTTTTCATTTTGTGCCAAGGTAAGTTTTATGCCTCTGTAATGTACAACATATGGATCTTATGATATTATGCATTATTTGCATCCCAATAAAACAGCTCATTAATCAAATAGCCTATTGTAACCTCCAGCTGCAGAAACCACAAAACACACCCAAGAAGGAGAGTCATTTTTAACTCAAAATGTGTCCTTTTAAAATAATATTTTTCTGATCATGTTAAACAGTGGCCAAATATATGAGAAATGTTAGGGCAGTGGAAAAGAAATGATAGCAAGGACACAGCCAGCTCCAAAACCTACATGCTGATTTTTCTTCCTGACTTTAGGCCACATGTTCTGCTTTCCTCTGGTTGATTTTGAATGTTGTTTTCATATGGAGTCAAAACAAGGTCTTTTTGTAACAACCAACATTTAGCTATAATCATGTACAGCTAAATGGAGCAGTTTCATTGTTGAAGAGTTCATTAGAGAAGTAAATTGGAATTTTACACCCACATCAACTATTGCAAACTCACCAAACCTAATGAAATATGCAAACAAGACTATGCACCCCATTCTACTGATTCTTTCGCATCAGCTCTTGACACGCATGTCAGCCAGGGTCTTAATGGCAAGCAATAAAATCCATCTCCAACTGATTTAATCAAAGGAGGATTTTTTTGGAAAGATGTTGAAGGGAAGGTGCTGCTGTTAACAATCAGGGAGGAGGCAAAGAATCAGGCTTGGGAGTGAGTAGGAAACCAGGGAGCTACAAAGGGACCTAAGGCTAGCAGCACAAAACACAGCAACAGCTCTCAGTGCTAGAATAAAAATATATATTTGGTCTTGATCTCAGGTTCCTGGCACAGGGTTCCTAAAACCCTTGGGATTTCCTGAGTAATAGGAGTGTCTCTGTTGTTCATAATGAACCACTTTGGAACACACCTGAGTCTATGCTAATGCTGATGAGGTGACTCCTGGTGGGGTTCCTAGACGACTTCAGAATTGGGACTGGTCCTTGGAAAGACCAAACACAAGATTAGAGGCAGGCACCCTCAGTCCCACCCCACCCCCCAGCCCTAGGGAAGGGAGGAGTGCTGGAGGTTGGATTATAAAAACTCTTGAATGGGAGGCTTGGAGGGCTTTCAAGTTGGTGAACACATAAACACGCCAGAAGGATGGCGCACCCGGACTCCAAAGGAAAGAGGCTCTTGGGCTTACAACCTTTTCAGACCCCACCCTATGTACCTCTTCATCTGGCCATCCATTTGTATCCTTTATAATAAACTAAATAGTGTTAAAAAGGAAACTTGACACAAATGAAACTTCACAGAGTTTCACTGAACAAAGAACGATTCATGCAGAATTGAGCAGCTTTGAACTAGAAAAGGTTCAGAGAGACTTCAGCACTAGTGTGTGGTCGAAGAAGATTTATGGACAGAAAAAGGAAAGTGATGTACAGAAAATGAAAGTGAGGTATAGAAACAGCCAGATTGGTTACAGTTTGGTGTTTAATTTGAAAACTGAACAGTTGGCCATTCTTGACTGGCTGAAACTTGGTGCTTGGCACAAGAGTAGGTTACAGTCTGTTTACACATCCAGTTATATTACAGTTCACTATGTATGGAGAAACCTTTAGGCCAAATTTAAAATACGTAAGGGAGCAGCTTTAGGCTAAACCTAACAATAGTAAAGTATAGCATTTTCCTGAGTTCTGTGAGTCATTCTAGCAAATACACAAACACATACACACACACATGCATATTTGATATACATATATATATAATATATGAGACATCCATAGTATTTGTATATATAAGAGGGTATTTTTCATTGTGGCCAACATCTACAATTAGTTGACTCTAAATAAATGACATTATCCTTAATAATCTGGGTGGGTTTAGCCAATCAGTTGAAAGGCCTTAAGAACAAAAGAATATTTAAGAACAAAATTTAAGAACAAAACAGAGTTTTCCCTGAGGAAGAAGAAGAAACTCCACCTCCATATAGAAACATCCGGTTATGAGAGTTTCCAGCCTGCTAGCCTGTAAGAGTTTCAGACTTGCTACCCTACAATTACATCCATTTCCACTCCTTGTTTGCTGGGCTTATGAATTCTGGCTATGGAAGAAACAGAACCATATATTAAATGCTTATTTAAAGCACATACAGTCTGCTGAATGACTTCACTCCAGCACTACAAGTTATTACTCCCTGGCTGGCATTGTAAGCGAGTCTTCAAAGGGCTATTGCATGTTTCATCAAGCCAGCTGCTTCAGGAGGATGGGGAACATGGTAAGGCTTATGAATTCCATGAGCATGGGCCCATTGCCATGCTTATCTATTATGAAGTGAGCCCCTTGATCAGAAAAAATGCTATGTGGAATATTTTTATGGGAGATAGGCATCCTGTAAGTCCATAGATGATAGTTTTGGCAGAAACATTGCATGCAGGGAAGGAAAATTCATAACTGAAATAAATGTCTGTTCCACTAAGAACAAAGCACTGCCCCTTCCATGACGAAAGTGGTCCAGCATAATCAATCTGCCACCAAGTAGGTGGCTTATCAACTTGGAATAGTGCTGTATCGGAACTTAGTGTTAGCTCTTAGCATGTTGGGTACTGAGCAGTAGCCATAGCCTTGGTGAGTAAAAGTCAATGTTGCTGAGCCCACACATAACCTCCATCCCTGCCACTATGGCCGCTGTGTTCATGAGCCCACTGGGTAATGACAGGGGTGCCTGGGGGGAGAAATGTACTGGTATCCACAGAACAGTTCTGTTCACTTAATTATTAATATCCCCCTCTGCTGTGATTACTCTTAGTGACCATTCACATAGGACACAAACACCTTCATGATTTTGCCCATTTGGAGTTCATCCACATACCTCTTCCCCAGACTTCCTTGTTACCAGTTTTCCAATGATGTTATTTCCAAGCCTCTCACCATCCAGTCAAGCCATTGGCCACAGCCCATGAATCAGTATAGACTCACACCTCTGGCGATTCCTCTTTCCAAGCAAAAGGAGCAACCACTGAGAGGATTTTCCTTTACCACTGTCCTTTGGGGTGTCCCAGAAAATGACTGTAGCAGTGCAACTGTCCACTTTATCATGTAGAGCCATCTGTAAACCAATACTGAGTTTTCTCTTCTTTAGCCCAGCTGGTCATAGGAAACTCCCCCATGAAGCCAGAGGTATAGGTTTGGAGAGAGAAAATAATACAGCAAGAGAAGGGACCATGTGTATTTTGGTCACTTTCTCAAGTAATTTATTTTATGTTCAGGGCCTGTTCAAGTTCAACATTACATATACCACTTCCATTTCATAATGGAATGACAGTGTACACATCAGCTTGGCTAGGTGGGTCAGTCAACAGCAAGTTCATGATGCATAGCTCAGGTCACATGGAAATTGGTGGCCTTTGGTTAAGTTTTCTCTACTAAGGCCCAATAGCAAGCCAAAAGCTGTTTATCAAAAGGAGAGTGGTTATCTACAAAGGATGGCAGCTTTTTTGCTTCAAAGTCCTAGGGATCTGTACTGTCTAATCAGCATAATATTATCAAGGTAATGGACCAATGTGAAGTCTTATGGAAGCGAAAGACAATCAAGGTCTCTGTGGACTAAATTATGACTTAGGAACAGAGATTTGATATACTCTTGAGAGTGAAAGTGTATTGCTGACCCTACCAGCTGAAATTAAAAGGCTTCTGAGAGTCTTTACTAACAAGCATTTTTTAAAAGTATTCACCAGTTCAATAGATGCATATCAGGTACCAGGAGATATGTTGATTTACTCAAGCAATGAAAGCACATCTGGAACAGCAGCTGTAATTGGAGTCACCACATGGTTAAGTTTACAATAGTCCATTGTCATTCTCCAAGATTCATCTGTCTTTTGCATGGCCAAATAAGCGAGGTAAATGAGGATATGAAGGGAATCACCACCCCTGCCTCTTTCGAGTCCTGGAGGGTGGCACTAATCTCTGAAATCCCTCTAAGAATGCATTGTTGTTTTGGGTTCACTATTTTCCTAGGTACAGGCAGTTCTAGCAGTTCCTACTTAAATTTTCCTACCGTAATACCCTCACTCCACAGGTCAAGGAACAAATGTATGGATTCTGCCGTTTACTGAGTTTGCCTATTCTACCAGAACTGAGGAAATAACTACAGGATGGGTTCAGTGGTATTCATGGTGATAAGAATCTGAGCTGAAACCCCATTGATCACCTGACCTCCATAACACCCTGCTCTGACTTGTAGACCACAGTAATGTTTTGGGTCTTTTAGAATTAGTGTAAGTCCAAAACCAGTGTACGGTAATCCTCAAAAAGTTACTTCTTGTTCCTCAGTGCACAGTCACCCTGGTAAAAGGTCATAGGTCCCTTTGAGGAAGGCTGGAATCAAGATTAACAATATAAATCTTTGGCAGTAAAGCATGATCCTTTCTCAAGGGCACCTGACCCCCCACCCCCCGCCCCTTCATTCAAGGGATTCTGGGCTTGTAAACTTGTTTAAGTCTGGGAATTAACTGAGGACCCATGACTCTGTCTTAGTTCACTAGAGCTGCCATAATAAAATACCACAGACTGATTACTTAAACAACATAAATTTATTTTCTCACAGTTCTAAATGCTGGAAGTTCAAGATCAAAGTGTTGAGACATCTGGTTTCTCCTGAGGCGTCTTTCCATGGTTTGTAGATAGCCATTTCCCTGTGTCTCCGCACAGCCTTTTTTATGTGCTCACCCATCCCTGGTGTTGCTTCCTCTTCTTATAAGGACACCAGTCATATTGGATTAGGCCTCAATGTGTAAGAGCTCATTTAATTTTAATTACCTCATTAAGGGGCCTGTCTCCAAATACAGTCACGTTGCGGGGGCAGGGGGTGGTGGTTAGGGTTTTGTATTAATTTATTTTCACACTACTATAAAGATGCTACCCGAGACTGGGTAGTTTATTTAAAAAGGAGATTTAATTGACTCACAGTGCCACATGGCTGGGAGGCCTCAGGAAACTTATAATCATGGCAGGAGGGGAAGCAGTCACCTTCTTCACAAGGTGGCAGGAGAGAGACAAAGTGAGTAAGAGAGGAACTACTAAACACTTATAAAACTATCAGAGCTCCTGAAGACTCACTATCATGAGAACAGCATGGGGGGATCTTCCCCCATGATCCAGTCACCTCCCACCAGGTCTCTCCCTCAACACCTAGGGTTTACAATTTAAGATGAGATTTGGGTGGGGACACAAAGCCTAGTCATATAAGGCTTCAACATATAAGTTTTTGGGGGGAACACAATTTGCTCCATAACACTCTATTTTGGTAATTCAAAGTCGATTTCAGTTCCCTTGACCTAGAGCTCCTCCACTTTTACAGATCAAGTAAGAATTTGGTAGAAAGCCCTTCTATTTCTTTTCTAGAGACAGCATGATCAACTAGCCAACACCAGAGATCACTACAAATCAGAGTATTCTGATTATTGCTTTGGTAGCTGCAGTTCCCACTGTAATTACTGACCTCCAAAGAAGAGTAACCACAGAGCTCTTCAAGGGCATGGGACTGTCTTCACAAACTTATTTTTCATTGTTGTGGTAGGAGGTGGAAGGAGAGTCCTCTAGACTCTCCCAGGGAGGATGGGTAGATCTTACATGATAAGTCTACACTAACATTCCAATCTCCCTATGCCTTGAGATACCTTCCTCTGCAGTATAACCAGCAGTTCTGACATGTCGACTGCATTTAATTTAGGCA
This sequence comes from Homo sapiens, assembly GCF_000001405.40. Classification (NCBI taxonomy): domain Eukaryota; kingdom Metazoa; phylum Chordata; class Mammalia; order Primates; family Hominidae; genus Homo; species Homo sapiens. The sequence continues at coordinate 87,790,385 of NC_000014.9, forward strand.
AGACCTTTCAGTCCATGTTTCAGCTAACAACATACTGTAAGAGCCCTTTCTAAATTCTCAAGCTGAAAAATTGAATCTAGAATCTCTGCTTAGTGGGCCCATGTCAATAAATATTATCCCACACTTTTGATATCCATTCCCTCACAGATTACTGTCTGTATAAATTTTAAAATTATGTAGTTGTTTGCTGTGTAGTACCCTTCCTTCTGGGTCATACTTTGTACTTTACCCATTAGACTTGAGTCTAGTTATACTTTTAAAAGCAAAGTGGGTGGAGGGTGTGTCCTAAGGAGAATCAGTGGTTGTCTTGCCAGGCAACTACACTAGGAGAGGTCTTTACAGATTCTTCAGACAAAGCAGAGTTAACGTCCTTCAACAGGGATGGAAGGGCTGCTTCCATTCACCAGGACTTTCTTACTGGCAAAGAAGTCCTAGTGAATTCAAGCGTTCAGTATTCTCAAGTTTATTGGGATCTTTCTATACATCTCCATTATAGTTTTCTGAATCCCATTTCTCCCCAGTCAATGCTCTCACTTTAACAGAAGAAACTTTGTGAGGTTGATAATACAATTGTTCTTGTATTAAAGCTGTTCCCAGGATAAGATTCAGGGTTTGGCTTTCAGAAATTTCAGCCCTGGGACTGTAGGAGGTAAGAGTTTCTGCTGTAGATGAATGTTTATGTAACCCCCACCAAAAGGCATATGTTTAAATGCGAACCCTCAAGGTGATGGTATCAGGTATTAGGAGGTAGGATCTTTGGGAGGTGACAGGTCATGGTCAGAGCCCTCCTGAATGAGATTAGTGCTCTTATAAAAGAAGCCCCAGAGACCACTCTCACGTTTTCCACCATGTAAGGATACAGGAGAAGATCACCATCTATGAACCAGGAAGTGAGCCTTCCCTGGACACTAAATATACCGTTGCCTTGATCTTGGCTTCTCAGCCTCCATAACTGTGAGAAATAAATTTCTATTGCTTATAAAATACCAGTTTATGGCATTTTGTAATAGCAGCCTATATGAATTAAGACAGTTTCTTTTAGGGAAGATATAAACGTTTTTAGCTCATTTATTTCAAGCTGGAACTAGGAATTTCAAGCTCCTAGTTCATCCTGTTTTTCCTCTTTCCCCAGCAGTTAGCAGCAAACCAGTCAATCTCATCATGCTCCTTACTTCGACTAAAACGTTCTAAGATATCAAATACACAATCAACCAGGATTTTGCCTTTTATCTGCATTTGATCAGGAGTATCTGATGACAGTATTATATGTATTTCTATTGCTACACCATGCCATGGACTACCAGTGTCTACTTTTTCACTGGAAATAGAGTCATTAGTGCCTTTAAATCTAATCAGATTGGAGAACCAATTTATACTCTTCAGTGTCTCTAGAACCACTCTTGGTATCAAATTCTCTGTCACTCAGAGTTCTACTAGAGAAGTAAAACCAGTTATATGATTGTTGTTGTAGGGGGTGGCAAGTCTGAAATCCATAGAGCAGGCCAGCAGGCTAGAAATTATCAGCCAGGAGCTGATGCTTCTCTCCAAAGGCATAATTTCTTCTTTTTTTTGGTTCAGAGAAAACCGTTTTGCTCTTAAATCCTTCCAACTGAGTGGATAAGGCCCACCCAGATTATTAAGGATATTATCCTTTATTGAATGTCACCTGATTGTAGGTGTTAATCACATTTGCAAAATATATTCACAGCAACACTTATATGAGTGTTTAATTGAATAAGTGAGTACTATAACCTAACCAAGTTGACCTATGCAACTAAACATCATGCTATTGTCTGCTCAGAAAAATTGGGACATTAGAACACGTGACATTTCAAGAAAATGAATTCCATATGATAGTCCATCATTCCAAGTATTGCTCTGCCATTGAACTCAGTCCAGGTAATTCTGGAATTAAATCAAAATCCAATAACTGAGATGAAGCCAATGTTGACCTGTCAAAGGCAACACTAGAGCAATGAGACCGGCATCTCAAGATAGTTAAGCCTTTGGGTATGGGTGTTGGTCCCTCAGTGGATAGCAATGAAGGGACCCTCCTACCCCGAAGTAGTTCCATTGCCTTAAGGCACACTGTTTCCAGTCATTTCTTTTCAAAATGATTTCTGAGACTGTTCATATTATTAGCAAGAATTATATTAAATAGTCAACAAGACTTTTTGCAAGTATCCAAGGAAATAAAACACAGAGGTGTATTTTTTTCATCAAAACAGAAAGGGGAGAGAGGGGCTCCTGGTTGAAAATTTATTGAACTTTAAGAATAAGTAAGTCATTTACATTAATTCATCTTATCCTCAAAACAATCCCAAGAGCCACTATTATTATCCCCATTTTAAATAGGGAAATTGAGGTTAATAATTGGTACCACTGAAAGTTTCTTTATCGGTCTGACTCCAAATACCATTTCCACTACATCTAGTTCCTGCCCAAACAGAATATATCTCCAAGAAATACAGAGAGCCCACATACTTAGGGAAACAGAAATGAACTGGACTCTGTTTCACTTCTGCCCACATGGACAACTATTATTCTGTCCTTCTCAGAGAACAGGTAAGTCATCTTTGGTGGCATCCAACGTCTCAAAACTAAGAGTAGACCAAATTCTCTCTGGAAGTCTCATACATCCCCCCTCCCCAACGGCAGCCAGTCCCTGTCAGTCTTAGATCTAATATTCACAGGACCTGTGGCATGAATACAAATGAAGACCCATATACTGATGTTATCAACTGAGCTCGCAAATTCTGTATAAAACATGTTGTATCTTTCTACCTTGACAAGTATGCCTTCATACTAATCTGGAAGGCCAGTTCAAATTTACCAGTCTCAGACTCTTCAGCGTTTCATGCAGGAACGTGGTGGCAGTGTGGAGGAAGTTGGCTGGGTCCTCAGCCTAGAGCCCACCCCACTTCTATTTCTATCCCCAGGTGCCTGTTGCACCATAAGGAGGCTCACGTGTGCCCACTCCATCCGGCATCTACGCTTTGTCCACACCTCTACTAACAGCCTCCCCTTGGCTGCCTCAGGGGCCTGAGGATTCCCACCTGCAGAGTAACTTCCCCTCAGAAGAATGGACTCCAACAAGAGACCCTGGAAGTGGGATCAGGCTACTTTGGCAAGGAAGTCTGGTTACCAGGTTGCTAGAGGGTTCTGGAGAAAAAATGGGAATGGACTGTGCCTGAACACCTCCCCTTGCCCTCTGGGTTCTGACACAGCTGGAAAAGTTGCAGAAAAGGACACTGTAAAGCATGGAGACCCAGGACAGGGATGCCTTTGGCTCAGGCAAAGAGCAGTATGAAGACTCAAAACAGCCTCCTGACAAATTGGCTGTAGCTCTTAGTCCCTCAACGACTACTGTGCCTGCCCCCCTCACTTAGCCTGCTTCTCTCACTTACTGCCAATTCCAGACCCGTTAAGACAATGGATTACCACAATGTTCATTTTACAATAACATACACAAGGCATGAATTCACAGTAACCAAGCCTCAGTACACTCTCAAACAGCTATGACTAGGGGAAATGGTCTGGCAGGGTTTTGCACTGTAATATTTATCATAGCAATATCATAGTCTCCTCACCAACGCACACACACACAGGTTGTATCAGTTTGCTCCAGAATCCAATAAAAGGAAGCAACAAATAGAATACGTTTAACTAAAGTCACTAAATACAGGCTTTTCCTTCAAAACAACAAAAAAAGGAAAATGAATAAAACAGCCTACTTTGATTAGGCTTTGATTTCTCTGAATCACAGGCATTGTTTTTAATAGGTCTTGGAAGGTTCAGAAAACAGTTGTTAAGTTTCCTAACTTTCTCTGGTCTCTTAAAATCTCGGGGGTTTATTCATGGTCCCTACATTCTAAGTAGGCATTGTAACTCTGAATACTATATTAGTGGAATTTGCATAGTATTTTTTAGTTGGAGGAATGACTCCTGTGGAAGGATCATGGAAAGTTGCTGGCCCTACTCATGCATGTGGGTTCTGGGGCTGCCAACACTTGTGTTATTTCCTATAGCTATCAGTCCCACCGCACATTTTCAGCACTTTTAATCCTTTCTCGTCACATTGTCTGAATTCTCTTTCACTTTTATCTATGACATTTTTTTTTACTCACATGGTGCAGTCCCTTCTTTTTCTTTCTTGATAGGTTAAAACAATGTTCCTGTTGTAAAGTCACTCTCACCCTCTGTGTAGGCACATGATCAACTCATATATGACATTTTCAAGTCATGGGCATTTGGCTATGTCTTGGACACAGGAGATCACTCCATGCCTCCCTCACACCATAAAAACCACTTTTTTATTTTAAGTAAACCCAACGAGGATCAGAAGTATGAAAACTCATTCATGCGTGTGAATTAAAACAGGCTTAGAAACACAAGGGGAAGAATGAATCAGTGGTTAAATGCACACTGGTCATGAGTGTTTTTCCTTGCTAGTGCTCCAGGAATTAAAAACTATTTAATCCATAAAATAATTTTTGTACATGAATTTGTATTTCTTTGGGAAGTCATGGGAAGAAATACACCAGTTAAAATATCAAGTTCACACTCAACTTTCTCTATGACAGTGGGAAAAAAAAGGTAATCTTCCCAGAGAGCCTGGTCTCATAGTAAAGAGAAATAATGCCTAACTTACAGTGCTGTTTCTGGGGGAAAAAAATTAGGTCCTGATACTAAGAAGAAATTCAATAAATGTTAGTTTCTTTCTTCCCACTTGGGTACAATTAGCTAAATGTACAGTAGAAAGTATGGCATGAGGACTTCTGAAACCAGAAAGACCAAGGTTTAAATTCTGCTACTTGCTTTGCCCTCCTTGGACAAGTTACTCACTGTCTCTGAGCCTCAGTTTCTACATCTGCAAAATAGTTAACTACTCAAAGTGTTGTGATGAGGACTAAATGTGGGATGCCTTGGAATAGGGCCTGACACACAGTAAGAAATCAATAAATTTAAAAATAGCTGAATACATGGAGCAAAGTAGTTCACGTTTCATATCCTGACTCTGTCACTTCCCAGCTATGTTAACTCGGGCAAATGAACCTCTCCAAGAATCATTTTCTTGTATTCTTAAATTAATAATTTCTACTTTATCCATTTTTTCATGAGGTTTATATAAAGCAATGTAAGGAAAGTGTCACATTTAGAGTCTGGCACATATTAAGTGTTAATAAACAATAACAATAATTAATACCTTTAAAGAAGAAATTGAAAGCTGCCAGGGGAAGAACATTATTAGATCTTCTATTACAGATGTATATGGTTAAATTGCAGAGAAATAGGTAACACTCAGAATCCAAAAATAATAATATGGAGGTAAACTGGAGAGCCGTTTCAGAAAACTTCTGATGGATTCTTCTCTCTCTCTCCCTCCCTCCCCTTCCTTTCCCCCCACCCCAAGAAATAGCAATATATATAAAATACACACACACACACACATTAAGACAAGATAAGGACCAGGCTCAGTGGCTCACGCCTGCAATCCCAGTACTTCGAGAGGCCGAGGCAGGTGGATAGCTTCAGCCCTGCATTTCGAGGCCAGCCTGGGCAACATGGCGAGACGCCATCTCTACAAAAAATACAGAAAATTAGCCAAGCTTGGTGGTGAATGCCTGTAGTCCCAGCTTCTCAGGTGGCTGAGGTGGGAGGATCAATTGAGCCCAGGAGTTTGAGGCTGCAATGAGCTATAATTGCACCGGGGCACTCCAGCCTGGGTGACAGAATGAGACTCTGTCTCAAAAAAAAAAAAAAAAAAGAAGAAGAAGACAAGACATAGTGTCCTAGAATAATTGTTGAATTTGCTAAAATAAAAACTTCAGCTGAATTAAATTTAAAGGAATTTAATTGAGCAATGAATGATTTGCAAATAGAACAGCCAGAATCACAGCAGAGTCAGAGAGGCTCCAGGGGTGCCTCATGGTCAGAACAAATTTATGGACAAAAAAGTAAAGTGATGTACAGAAATCAGAAGTGAGACACAGGAATGGATGGATTGGTTACAGGTTGGCATTTGCCTTATTGGAACACTGCTTGAACACTTGGCAATGTATGAGTGGTTGAAGTACATCTTCTGGGATTGGCCAAGACTCAGCTATTGTTACAGGTGCATACTCTTAAGTTAGGTTTTCAATCTTGTCTACCTAATAAGTTAGGTTGCAGTTCATCCACAAGGACTCAAATATAGAAGTACAGAGTCCTTCTCAGGCCATATTTAGTTTGCTTTAACAAACTGAATTAGGTGGACCTTGTCAATTCTTCTGGTAAAGCACCTATCACCTTGAATGAAAAAGTGAGAGATTCTTAAGTCCAGAAAATATATGTTTTCTCCTTGTGTGCTTATCACAGAGCCTGGCACAGAGTAACTTCTCAGTAATTTTTAATCCATTTTTAATTAAATTTTTCTGGCCCTATTGGCCTGTATTCCCATCAGAACATGAGCACCTAGCATGCACGGATGTTCGAGTTCATTTCCGTATCCCTTGCATCTGATCCAGAATCCGGCACATCGTGAGTCCTCCACAAGTCCCGAACAATAAATTAATTAATTAAATGGATATCAGTTAATTTAACTGAGTTTGTGACACTGACAGCATAGCATTTTTTGTTACTGGACTCCTCGGAAGCATGAGAATCCAGCCGTGGTGTTTTCTTGTTTACGTACCTATCAGTCAAATGCTAAGCTGCTCAGCTGTACTTGTTATTGCTCTCCTCCCACTGTTATAACAAGCATCTCCTAATAGACCGTACCTTTCAGCAAACTGCCGCATGCTGTGATCACACCAGATAAACTAGAGCCATAACAATAAGGCTAATCTTGCAGAGATTAAGTCATAGCAGCTCACAAAAGGAAGATGTTGCGATGTCAGAGGCAGCCACCTACTACCGAAGCACTCAGAGGAGAAGTGGGAGGAAAGGAGGATGCTGGATGCAGATCCAGGCTCTAGGAGAACCTGTCTTGTTTCCCTGGCCCAGAAGTCAGAGGAAGGTCCATGAGGATAAGACCTGTGGTGAAGAAAGTCCTGCAACAGCAAGAGAACAAGGCTTCTCTATTTGGAATTTTGTGTTTGCAAAAAGCGAAAATAAAGTAACTTTCAAAAAAAAAATCAGCTTCGCTGGGCTCAGTGGCTCACCCCTGTGATCCCAACACTTTGGGAGGACAAGGCAGGCAGATAACTTGAGGTCAAGAGTTTGAGAACAGCCTGGCCAACATGGCAAAAGCCCACTCTACTAAAAATACAAAAATTAGCGTGGTGGCATGCGCCTGTAGCCCCAGCTACTCGGGAGGCTGAGGCAGGAGAATCGCTTGAACCTGGGAGGCAGAGGCTGCAGTGAGCCGAGATCACGCCACTGCTCCACCCCAACCCAGGCAACAGAGCAAGACTCCTCTTTAGGTCCTGCTGTCTCTCATCTTCCCTGCCTTCCTCTCCAGTAGTGGGACATCTCACTGCTCTCACATCATGCTGGGGGCGGGGGAAACCATGAGGCTAGGACCCACTGACTCTGACACCCAGTCTCTGGTGCAAAAGAATGACTATTGGTGCTGAGTCCTGCAGGGGCTTGGTGGGCTGGGTGAGTGAGGCTGTCTCAGGATCACTTACTGGACATTGGTGAGACCATCTCTGTTACAGGGGTCTAAAATCTTCCAAGTCTTTACCTAAGATTGAAACATTACACTACAGGCTTTTTCTCCATTCTCAGATCCTCCAAACCTAATTGGGGTTTATGTAAAGCTCCCCACCTGCTCCACCACTGCAAGGCTCAGGCCCCAGTGTGAGTCTTTTCCTTCTCTTCCACTTTTCCACTCAGCCCAGCACTCTGGTACCATGAAGCTGGTAATCTCTGTTTTGCTGCTGAGTTCCCTCAGGCCCACAGTCTTTGAGACTCAGAAGCCAAAAATTTGGCTACTTCGTTATGTCTTCTGTCATGCCACTCTCTTCAGAGCCATGAGTGATGCTCTGCAGGGGAGTGGCCTGCACCTGCGAGAGTACGGGAAAATGCAGGGCAAGTCTGCACGGAGATCCGTGTAGAAACTCTCCCTAGCAGCTCCAACCGGCCCTGGTGGGGGCACAAGTCGGTCCCAAAAAACCTCCCACTGAGTCTCCTCTGGCTTAGGCCTAATTTTGTTTTCCCCACAAGATGGGGCATTTCAGAAATTGTGGAGCTGAAGAACGACTGGAAAGCTGGAGGTTAATATAGGATGGGGACTATTTAGCAATTCTGACAATAAGGCTGAAGCCAGGCTGGAAGCTACAGATAAGGTTATGCTTCCCACGCTGCAGGCTGGGGGCAGCCTCCAGATCCCATGCTAAGCTGGGGGCAGGGGGATGGGGAAGATGGTGAGACAGAGACCGACTCCAATAGCGCAGACCCTGGGGCCAGCGTGTAAGCCAGAAAAATGGGAACAGGATATTGGAGTTCTGAGCCTGAGGCTGGAAAGATGACCTTCAGATTCACATGTGGCTGCTGACCCTGAATGAGCTCTCTCTTTGTGCCACCCTGGCTTGACCCAGGCTTCCTTGTGTGGACAGAAGGAGCTGTCCTTCTGAGGTCAGACAACTATGGGTTAAATCCCTGGTCTGCTCTTAACCCTAACAAATTACTTAACCTCTTGCTGTGCATCTGTTTTCTTATTTATCAAATGTGGTAAACTTTCTCCCAGCTCCAAGTTTTTAAAGTTGTCACACGCCTCCACTCGCACACATGCACATGCGCACACACACACACAATACACATGAATCAGTCACCTATTCAACCAGGGCTTTCTCTTCAGCGACTCAGGAGCTCCGCAAATGCTGGGTAAAATTAAAACAACTTCCTCTAGGCTCCCCCAGTGAGACGGGTTTGGCTCCCCAGCCAAAAGTGGTTCCTTTGACTCTCTTCCTTCTTTCCAACATCAACTCATCCTCTTAAAGAAGAATAAACTCTTTTTACTCCTGGACAGTCACAAGCCCAACTAGAAATCAAGTACTAAAGCTATAGCTTTTATTTACTGAGCTTTCCTAATTATCTGGGTGGTTGCAAACTCCACCTGTGCCATGATCAATCCTGGGCCTGCATTAGCATCATAAAACCTAACAGCCTGTATTCTAAATGCACAGCAAATGCCCAGCAAAGGTCCCTGGGGAAAATGGCATGAGATCATTAACTCATCTTAGAAATTCAGGATATTCTTCATTTCCTTTCTCTGTCTCTTCCTCTTTCTTTTCGCAATGAGCACCGGAGTGTCGTGTTGGGAAATGAAGAAGCAGAAGAAGAGAATGGTACCATCTTGGCACTCATGCCCTCCATTTGTAAATGAATAGATTGTGGTGAGTATTGGTTTCTACCCTGGCTAACCATCAGAATTACTTATAGAATAACAACAAAGTTTCCTGGGCCATCTATATCTGCCTCAGGCCTATTGAATCAGAATTTCCAGGGCCAGTGCATCTGTTTTTTCAAAGCTTTCCAGGAGATTCTTAAGATCGGTCAGGTCTGAGAACCACTGGACTCTATAGATAAAACCCAGGCCACCTCAGCTTCAATAATCACCTTCCATTAAATTTACATTCTAGTTACTGCCATCGTTAAGGATCCTGTTACACACTTGTATTTATAGCAACTAACACATGTCAGAAGGATCCAAATGGTCTATCTTATAGGAAACAATATGTCACATGGGAGGTGGCTGAGGTGCCTCTCAGAAACTTAAGAGTTTATTTGGAGCTAAAACATTTATCAGGAGGGATTCTGTTGGCATTTCCAGCTGGCCAGCTTTACCTTTTAGGAAACTGCCTCATGCATTGCAGGGCATAGAGCATCCCTGGCCTCTATTTGCTAAATATTTGTAATATTCCCAGATTCACTGTGGCTATCCAGACAGACTTCTCATATGAGGAAACTGATGCCCAGCTCACTGTGAGAGAATGAATAATAATAAATAATTCCTACTTATAGGATCTAAGGAGGATATCATTTATTAAAAATAAAATAAATAATTATTACTTGTAATTATTTATAATTAATTATAATTATAATTAATTTATAGTGTTTTATAATTATTTTAATTAACTTATAATGTTATCAATCAATATTAATTAAAATTATTATTCATAATTATTATAATATAATATAATAATTATTCTTTATTGTGAGACTTAAATGAACAAATGCATGTAAGGCACTTATTACCATAATGCCTGGCACTAAGAAATATTCAATAAATGTTAACTATTATTACTATTGTTGTTATTAGTCCAGAAACACAATCAATTTTCAAATAGGTAAAAATTCTGAAATCGTGTGTGTGTGTGTGTGTGTGTGTGTTGCAAAGAGACCTGCTAGAGTCAGTCCATTGAGAAGAATAAACCCATTTTCTCCCTTTTAAGATGTTTTTTGTCCTACACATGTTACCACTTCATATTGTTCATATTACCTAGAAAGTTATTTAGCTTTTGCTTTTCTCTTAGTTCCCCTTAATTTAGAAATCTGTAGGGCCTCCAGACAAATCTACATGCTCGGTCTGAATGGCCACCCATTCTGTTCACCGGTGTCTAGGCAGGAATGGGTATCTTACAATCAAGCTACTCTCAATATAACCTACTCATCTCTAGGAATACTAACACCCATAACCAACTATCCCAAACAAACAGCCAAACCCCTCTCAAATTATTCTTAGGGTTGGAGTCAAACAACTTATATTTTTGCCTCCCCTGGAACAAGTGCTTTAGCCATTATCTTCATTGTCCTGAACCTAAAGATACAAAAATAGGAGGCTCAGAGAGCTTTTCTGATTTGACATCACTCACAAAGGGAAAGGAGTGCAGGAGGAGAAGATCCCCCAAAGCAGTGGGTGGGGGTAGGAAGGAGACTATGTATTAATAAGAACCAACACTGAATTATTGAAGACTACACACATCGATTACAACTATGACAAGCCCTTCAGTATTTTGAGCTTCAGTTTTCACCTCTGTAACGAGGTGATAAGACAACCAGCTTCATAACATTCTTGTAAAGGTAACAAGAATGTAGCCAGAGCGTTCCCATTGTCTGGCTCCTGGGAAGGAATCCACTTATCATCTCATTTTTTTGGTATCTTTTTATTTTATCCATTTTTTTCTTGCTCTCCCTCCCCTAGTCCCCCACCCCGACAGGCCTCGGTGTGTGATGTTCCCCTCGCTGTCCACCTGTTCTCATTGTTCAACTCCCACTTATGAGTGACAACATGCAGTGTTTGGTTTTCTATTCCTGTGTAATCATCTCATTTTTTAAAACTATAATCGGTTAATAAGGTAGTTTTATTACTCATTTTAAAAATAAGAAAATTGAGATTCAAATTGGGTAAATACTTTGCTCAGGCAGCCGCCTTAGGGATAATGAGTAGAAATCGAATTTTTAGTAAGGTACCTCTGTATGTATTAATATCATATTTTAAATTTTCCTTACTATAACCCCTATTTTATTTCATCACTTCCTTTATAATGAGAATAACTGCCTTTTACCTTGTCCCCTACATCCACACACATATTTATAGAGTTATTTATCCCCTAAGTCCTCTTAACCCAAGACTGAACATGTGAAATTCACTTCCCTCTTCCTCAAGGGTCTTGTTTTTGAAACATTTCATCATTTTGTTGCTTTCCACTGTGCTTCCCTGAGTATCTTACCATGGGGGAATTTATTTCAAATTGCATCACTCACGGAAGACAATTCTAGGGAAAAAAATGTCAGGTCAACACTGAAGGCTCACTTGATCCTTCACATCTTCAAGTGGCCTTGCTCTTATTAATGGATTGTCGTGAATGATCTTTTACAATTTTGCCCCAAAGGTCAAGAAGAGAAAATTCAATAAGTAGTAAAACACTATAAGTGGAAATCACTACGTATGTTTGCATTAAGCCAGATGTTTAATAGATAAATGTCAGATGAAGAAAAACTCAAGAATATTATAGGTAGATTCCACTGTAATCTTTTTACCACATTTGCACCAAGATTGGTTCTCAAGTATAAAATCAAAATGAAAAACAGCAAACATCACTTGCTCAGAGCAAAAGACACATTTAATAATAAACATCAAGGAGGTTTCACAATAAAGTCAATGGCAATATCTCAGGACTGAAGGTAAAAAGACTTTCATACTGTGTTCAGTATCCTACAATGGCTTTGTATTCGCTACGTGGCCTTAGGCAAATTACTTAAAATTTCTGAGTGTCAGTTACTTCATCTGTAAAATAAGAGGCAATAGGATTGGCCTATTATTTTAAGGATTGACTGACACATGGATATAACACTATATCTGGGACACAGTGGGTACTCAATCAGTGGTTATGTCATTATCATTACCATAAGTCTTTTCTAACATGTGAGAAGGTGCATAGTACAGTATGAGGTAGATAGTGCCTACGTATTTTCCTAAACTATGAAATCTTTGCCCTTTGCCTTCACATGCTTCATGCAGCCTTTTAACATACAGGTGAAAAAGCTAATGAGTAATGAAGTGAATTTAAAAAACAAGGTGTTTGAGAGGATGCAGCCAGGATGCCCATTTTATTGTCATCTCAAAGTTTAAAAACTTAGTGTTAGGAAAATGCATTTGACATTGGAATCAGGGCATCTCTTGCTTCAAGTAGAATTCTGTGTGTGTTGGGCCTTTATAGAGCTCTTGAGGATCTTATTATAAGATGACATCATCTTTATCTTGCTTCCACAGACAACTCCTACAATGCTGTTTTCTGAGGCTCCAGAGTATAATCTATGCATTTTCTGCCTGCCAAGAAATTCAGCTCTTTCCTCCCTCAAGTTGCTCAATAACTAAATTGATGATTCTACTAATTTGGGCACCACCCTGTGTCTTTATTAGGACCTGCTCTCCATCGCATGTCTTAAAAGTATTGAAAAAGTCATAAGGGGTTGACATTGGAAACCACACTGTCTTGTTCCATACTACATTCTAAACATTTGCTGTCAAGGTTAAAGAGAAACTAATGAGAAATCTAAAACTCAGGGGAAAAGGCTTTCAAAAGACCTGAATCATTAGGGTACTCTGTTTAAAGCCCCATCTTTTGTTCATAATAAAAATTAGACCTTTTTTTGTCACGTTACAGAAACAATACATGTTCACTGTAGAAAACTAAATGCAGATAAGACAAAAGAAGGTAAAAACACCAATAATTTTACACACAAGTTGGGAATCCATGATTAACCTTAGGGGTGATTTATGTACATCATATATATATAAATTTATGGCCACTCTGCTTTGGGGTAAGTTGTTCTGTAGCAATAGACAGCTGGAACAAGTAGCAAGCAAGTTTCTATTATGTTGGTGTTTTAGTCAAGAATCTACTGAGGAACTGAACCAATAGGATACACACACATATGCATGCACACACACATATAGCTATAGCAGGGGGATTTATTATAAAGAACTGGCTCACAGGATTATGAAGACTGAGAAGTCCCACGATTTGCCCTCTCCAAGCTGGAGACCTAGGAAAGTTGGTGGTATAATTCATCTGTGCCCAAACGCCTGAGAACTGGGGAGCCAGTGGTGTAAATCCAAGTCTAAGAGCTGGAGATGACATGAGATGTACCAGCTCAAGAAGTGAGGCAGCAATCATGTGTGCATATGTGTGTCTTTAGGAGTACTGTATATATCAAGATAAAAGGGGCATTAACGAGTACTATCCAAGTGTGGCCATTTTCCCATTTGGGGAGAAGGTCAAGAAAGAGATGAACAAGTACCTTTCCCTAGGTTGGATGGATGTAGAGGACTTGAGCTATCAGGCTCTGCTTTTGCAGATTTCCTGTCTGCACTGCAGTCTCTGTGTGACAACTCACAATGGTTACAGTCTACTGTATATAACAGCCTTGCAGTTAAGGGAGGAGACCACCCCGATATTGTCTTATGCCCAATTTCTGCCTCCGAAGAAAAAAAGAAGTAAAAACTAAAAGGCAGAAATGAAACCCACAGGCAGACAGCCCGGCGCCACACCCTGGGGCTAGTAGTTAAAGATCAACCCCTGACCTAATCGGTTATGCTATCTATAGATTACAGACATTGTATGGAAAAATCCCTGTCCTGTTCTGTTCCATTCTAATTACCGGTGCAGGTGCATGCAGCCCCCAGTCATGTACCCCCTGCTTGCTCAATCAATCATGACCCTCTCACACGGACCCCCTTAGAGTTGTAAGCCCTTAAAAGGGACAGGAATTGCTCACTCGGGGAGCTCAGTTTTTGGAGACGTGAGTCTGTCAATGCTCCCAGCTGAATAAAGCCCTTTCCTTCTACAGTTCGGTGTCTAAGGAGTTCTTGTCTGCGGCTCGTCCTGCTACACAGTAAGTGGTGCCTTGGAGGAATGATGAGAGCCATGAAAGGAGAAAAGCTTTGGTTCCACCAATTCTCCTCCAAGGAACAATGGTAGTAACAGTAGCACAACTAGCAAAGGTGTTTTTCCCAGAGCTCCAAAAGCTCACCAGCAAAGAGACTCCACGGCAGAGCAGAAAGCAGCGATCAGTGGTCAGGAAAGAGCAGAGGTGCTGTGTGCAGCATGTTGGATGAAGGCAAAGATGTGAGAAAACATTCTCGTTTTTTGAAAAGAAAAACACAGAAGGGAAGTCATATTGTGAAGATGTAAAGAGAAGCTAAATCCTCTTATTGTCTGAATAAAGCATAGCCACAGACTATGGCCTAACTAGGTGGCCAGCACCAGCGTTTCACATACATTTTTAACTTAAAATTCAACTGCTTTCTGAAAATTTAAGTGGCTGTTCTATAGTACTGTGGTACACTGTTTACAAAGACAGCCACCATCAATCCTTTCCCTCCCTGTAAGCTCATGCTGTGTCATGGATCAGAAGGTAGAGTCTTTTTCCTCTCCCCTTAAACCTGAGTGGCTTTGTGACTTGCCTTGACCAATAGAATGCAGTGGAAGCGACACTGTGGCAATTTGGGTACCTACTACCCCTAGACAAAGACTACCAGGAGCATCACCTGTAGTCAGACAACATTGGGTTATTGACTAGCTGTAGTGAGGGGGAATGTGCACCAGGGGGCGCTGTGCAGTGTCTCGGTGAGAGGGTGTTACGTGGAGAGCTTGGGCTTGTGGTAGGCGATTTGGAGAGTTCAAGGAAGTGTGTCCTTTTTTCTGGAATGGATGCTGTCAGGCAGTGGGAGCAATTCTGTGATTGAGTATCTTAATTTTTATCTAGAAGGCAGAAAGAATGGAATGAGACACATTATAATTGGTAAAGAGGCAGTAGTCATTCATATGAGTCATAATGTTCTTGTTTTTATCTGTATTTGGACATGATTATGGAGTGATCTTTGTTCCAGCTTGGTCACAGAATAACTTTGTCTGATGTCATTCTTCAGTAGAAATGTTTGTGTTTACTAGAAAAAACAAACAAACAAAAACATGATCTAGTAGTGAGTACAAGGACAGCTCCAAGTAACACCACCGTTTAGCTGATAGTACCCAGCCAGCATTCCATGTCAAGATTGTTTCTCTTTTGTAAGAGCATAAACTTTAACAGGACTGACAACCTCCAATTTCACTTGGGATAAGCCAGCCACAGTGTAAAAAGTCCAACTATTTTGAGACCACCATGCTAGGAAGAAGCTCACACTAGCTATATGGATAAATCATGCCAAAGAAAACCATGAATCCCAGCTGAAAACAAAAACTAAGTTGCCAATCAAATGGCTGTTGTCAAGCCATCCCAGCAACCCCCTTTTGAGCTATCTCAGCTGACACTTTAGCTATCACAGAGCAGAGAGAAACAAGCTCTCCTTGATATGGCTTAATGAAATTCCTGGTCCACAGAATCCTGAGAAATAAAATGGCTATTGTTTATGGCCGCTATACTCTGGGGTAAATTATTCTACAGCGATAGATAGCTGAAACAAGTAGCAAGTAAGTTTATATCATTGTATTAGCCTGTTTTTACACTGCTATAAGGAATACCTGAGACTGGGTAATTTATGAATGAAAGAGGTTTAATTGACTCACAGTTCCAGATGGCTGGGGAGGCCTCAGGAAACTTACAATCATGGCAGAAGGCAATGGGTAAGCAAGGCATGTCTCCCCACAGTGGCAAGAGAGAGCATGAAGGAGGAACTGCCAAACACGTAAAAAACTATTAGATCTCATGAGAACTCACTATCATGAGAACAGCATGGGGAAAACCGCCCCCATGATCCAACCACCTCCCACCAGGTCCCTCCCTTGACACCTGGGGATTATAATTCGAGATGAGATTTGGGTGGGGACATAAAGCCAAATCATTTCCATCATGCTGGTGTATTACTCAAGAATCTTCAGAGAAACAAAACCAATAGGACACACACAAACACACACACAAACATATAGTGAAAGGATTTATTGTAAAGAATTGGCTCACCGATTATGAAGGCTCAGAAGTCCCACAATCTGCCCTCCCTAAGCTGAAGACTTAGGAAAGTTGGTGTAATTCATCTGTGCCCACAGGCCTGAGAACCAGGGAGCCAATTGTATAAACCCAAGTCTAAGGGCAGGATATAAGATGAGATGCACCAGCTCAAGAAGTGAAACGGGAAAAAAAGGGAGGGAGGCAGATTCCTCCTTCCTCTGCCTTTTGTTCTATTCAGGGCCTCAACAGATTGGATGACACCAGCCCTCCTTGGGGAAGGTAATCTGCTTTACTGGATCCACCAAGTCAGATGCTAATCTCTTCTAGAAACATTCTCAAAAGCCCAGAAATAATTTTTATCTCAGCACCTTGTGATCCAGTCAAGTTGACACATAAAATTAACCATCACAGCTGGTAAGATAGGCCTTGCTTAATTCAAAACTAAAGTGTTGGACACTGCAATCATCATTTAAAATTATGAAAAGATTCATCACAGGTTAATGCAAATAATCATCCCCTCCTCTTTATACCATAAGAGCAAATGTCAGTATATTATATGTCTGGGGAAGAGTATATCCTTATATTAATAACCTAACTTTATACCTCTGAAGATGTATATAAAGCCAAGCCAAAAAGCCTCCTAGCAACCTGTGTGAAATCACCCACACATCCCAAACTGTCAAGCCTAGGTTATCTCCAGGGTTGCTGTGGGGTTCTCTGATTCAGTCCAGACCAGCCCGAGGAGGAAGTTCTGAAGACTTCTAGAGAACATGCAAGAAATTGGAGCCAATATTTAGACCCATTCCAAGCAGGCCTGTTAGGATTGGGCCATCCCCAGAGCTGAGCCTGACCTCCAGCTCTGACCTGGAAGTGTCAGTGTCCAGTGGGCTTGACTCAGGTCAGAGCACATTGATCACATCAGAACAGCCACCCCATCCTACTTGAGAAGCCCTTCCTAGGGCCTCAGGAGAGAATGCATTCTCAATAGTCTTTAATTTCAGCACCAGCCCACCATAGCAGCCAACAGAGAACCATGGGGTCTCCAGTAAACCATCAGCTGGAGTGTTGGTTAAATTCTGGGGATAGCTGAGTTCTGTTGCAGCAGAAATAATGGAAAAAAACACCAGTATATTTCTCAATACTATGTTTTATTTATGACAGGAGCTTTTGCCCTTTGGACAAACTAAGTTATACAATAGCAAAAATGTGAAATAGGACACATTTCTAACACTTTTTTTTTTTGCCATTTCTTTGCTTCCCTTCATCCTTTCTGGGCTCTAGCACCAACTCTGTCATAGCATTAGCTCTACAAGGGCTTGCTCCCATGGTGGCGAGAGAGAGAGAGAGACAGCGAAGGCTTTGCCTACATGCTGTAGTTTAGCCTAGTCCAGTAGAAAAATAATGCAAGCTGCATATGGAATTTTAGATCTTCTAGTAGCCAAATTAAACTAAAAACAACAGATATAATTCATTTGAACACTGATATGGTTTGGCTCTGTGTCCCCACCCAAATCTCATCTTGTAGCTCCCATAATTTCCACATGTTGTGGGAGGGACCCAGTGGGAGATGATTGAATCAGGGGGCAGGTCTTCCCCGTGCTGTTCTCATGAAAGTGAATGGATCTCATGAGGTCTGATGGTTTTAAAAATGAGACTTCCCCTGCACAAGCCCTCTTCTCTTGTCTGCCACCATGTGAGACATGCCTTTCACCTTCCACCATGATTGTGAGGCCTCCCCAGCCATATGGAACTGTAAGTCCATTAAACCTCTTTCTTTTGTAATTTGCCCAGTCTAGGGTATGTCTTTATCAGCAGTGTGGAAACAGACTAATGCAAATACTGTTTATATAACTATGTCCAAAATTTTATCACTTCAACATCTAATCAATGTAAAACATTTAATAAAATATTTCACGTTTTGGGTTGTTGTTATAGAAATCCAACGTGTGTTTTACAACCACGTACAGCACATCTCAATTCAAACTATGACACATGCCAAGTCTTCAGTTGCCATACGTAACCATGACTACCATTTTGGACAGAACCTCTCTACTTAATTGTTACTTCTCTATCTAGTCTTCCATTTTTTGAATGATTAGCTAGTTACTCTGTCCAATGAATTAATCCAACAATGAAATAGATTCACCTTCAATGCAATACATTGGTATTAACAGGGGTATAGAATGCCTTGATAAAAATGTTCAGGATTATGGCAATCCATCAAATGCCTCTAGCGTTCTTCAAATCACACAGACGGCCTCCTATGCCTTCAGATGATATCATTGTGAAGGTAAAAATAAAAAGCCTGAGGAAAAAAAATTACAGAGCACAGAACTGATCCTAATTTGGCATAAAGTTGAGGTAATTTCCATTTCTAGGAGAATTTTTAGAGTAATAGGTAAATACATCCCTGAGAAAAAAAGAGGACAACCTTTCTGGGTCATAACAATGATGTACATTCTCACTTTTCTGAAAACTTATCTTAGCAGGAAAAAAAAAATCCTTAGGAAATTCTCCAGAGCAAAATGGTAATCAGCTGTTAAAAGCATAAATTAAAGAAGTCAAACTGAAAAGTATGGAAGGTGTCATATGGTTGTGAAAAGAGCATGGATTCCAGAATCAGACAGACCTGAATTCACAGTGTGAGTCATACGAAGATATCATATGGTTGTGAAAAGAGCACAGATTCTGGAATCAGATGGGCATAGATTTATGCTGTGAACTTGGGCAGATGCCTCCTTGGTACCAGATTCCAAGGGGAATTGGAGGGAATTGTGGGGAATGCCATTTCCCTTGCAACGTTACAGGGATTTAAATACGCCTGATACCATATGGGACCCTGAGTAGACAATACGTATTTACCTCCATATTATTTGAGTGAACGTCAATAATCTTTCTGATATAAATGCTGCTGAATTGGTCTGTGAAAACCTTAAGAATGAGACAAGTAAGCCATATTGCATTGTCTGCCCATTAAAGCCAAAATGCTGTCCTCCAGGTACCTGCCCAGCCAGTTGCTATACATTGCAGGCACACATCTTCCTGCAAGACATCCTGGGAAAGTCAGCTTCAGAAAGGTCAGCTCACTCGGGAGCAAACAAGCTCTCATGAACTATGGGTATCCTCTCAGTCATAAACCCAGTTCTAGGAAACAGTATTTACCAGTTACAATATCGCTGGAGGGCTTAGGTGAGATGCCAGTGAGACCCCAGCCCCAGCCAGTGTTCCAGGTTCTTGCCATAATCACAAGAAAGAATTCAGAGATGAGTCAGAGTAAAGGGAAGGGCAAGAAGCTTTTATTCCAAAGTACTCGAGTAGGAGTGTGAGTGAACTTGGGAGAGTGAGTTGCACACAGTGGAGTATGGGTTTCTAATTTAATGAGCTCTTCTAATTAAAAGATGGAATGATGAGGGCTTCTAGGAAAAAGGTGGAGATCTCTTAGAATTGGAGTGCCACCCATTTTTCTACTAAATATGGGCATGATCGGATCTGTCATGGCACTAGTGGGTGAGTGACTTAGGAGAGTAATGAGTGTATAATTATGTCTGGGGTAGGACGTGGGTCAAATCCAATGTCACGTCGGACTTAGCTGGTTTTAGTCAGCTTAGCCCCCATCCTGTTAGCAAGGGTCTTATCAGCCCAGGCTTATCTTTGTCCTTGTAGCTAATTTTAACACCTCCTTTCTTGCTGCTGGTGATATTGTTGCTTGATATTTTCCTGCTTCTCCTGTAAGCATCCAGCATTCCTATTTTATGGGCGTTTTCTTAAATTAGGGGGTGAAATAATCATTAGATATTCTGGAAAAGGAGGGCATTTCAGGGACCCGTGGTTACTAACCCAAACGTTCTCTCTTATTTATTTCTCTCTTATCTCTCTTATTATTTCGGTTTGCCTAGAAGAGTCATGAACATGTCACTCTGACCAGTATTTTGGCTGTTTTTCTCTCTTATTTTGAGTTTTCTGTTATCCTGTAGTTTATTTGCCTAGTTCTTATTTTAGCTGTTGTTTGGATTTTTCCGTCCTTCTGTCACCACCCAGGGCTATGCTCCTATCAGCAGAACACAGCCAACAAATCATTAGTTTGCTAATGACACAAGTGATAGCAATGCAGTCCATGGATTGACTACTTCTTAGTCACGTGTCCACCCTTCATCCAATCAGCTGTGGCCTTAGTCGGGTGTCTACCCCTCATCCAATCAGCTGTGGCCTTGCTGAAGGTGGCATTCTGAAGTCAGCTACCTGCTTAGCAAGATGTGTGGGCAGAAATTCATCCCGAAAGTGACGTGGACAGACAGTCCTCCGATCTATGGTTAGTACAGTTATGGGTCATTTAATGACAGGGATACATTCTGTGCAATGTGTCATTAGGTGATTTTGTCATCTTTCAAACATCATGGAGTGTACTTACACAAGCCTAGATGGCATCGTCTGCAACACACCTAGGCTATATGTTATAGCTTATTGCTCCTGAGTCACAAAGCTGTATGGCATGTTACTGTAGTGAATACTGCAGGCAATTATAACACAGTGGTATTTTTGTGCAAATATATTGAAACATAGAAAAGGTACAGTAAAATACAGTATAAAAAATTTAAAAATAGTACACCTGTATAAGGCAGTTACCATGAATAGAGCTTGCAGGACTGGAAGTTGCTCTGGGTGAGTCAGTGAGTGACTAGCAGTGACTGAATGTGAAGACCGGGGACATTACTGTACACTATTGTAGACTAAACACCATACACTTAGGCTACACTAAAATTTTAAAAACATTGTGCTTTCTTCAATAATAAATTCTTAGCTTACAGTAACTTTTTTACTTTGTAAACTTTTAAATGTTTTACAGCTTTTCAACTCTTATCACAACACAACTTAAAACACAAACACAGCTGGACATGGTGGCGCACTCCTGAAATCCCAGCACTTTGGGAGGCCGAAGTGGGCAGATCACTCGAGGTCAAGAGTTCAAAACCACCCTGGCCAACATGGCAAAACCCCATCTCTACTAAAAATACAAAATTAGCTGGGCTTGTTGGTGCATGCCTGTAATCCCAGCTACTGGGAAGGCTGAGGCAGGAGAATCGCTTGAAGCTGGGAGGCAGAGGTTGCAGTGAGCTAAGATTGCACCACTGCACTCCAGCCTGGGTGGCAAGAGCAAAACTCCATCTCAAAAAAAAAAAAAAAAAAAAGCCACACAAACACATTGCAGAGCTGTACAAAAATATTTTCTTACTTTATATCCTTATTAAGTTTTTTCTCTTTTTAAGAATTTTTGTTTATTGCTTTGTTTTTTACTTTTTAAAATTTTTATGAAAACCTAAGACACAAACACACACATTAGCCTAGGCTGACAAGGGGTCAGGATCAATATCACTGTCTTCCATCACCACATCTGGTCCCACTGGAAGGTCTTCAGGGGCAGTAACACACATGGAGATGTCATCTATGATAACAATGCCTTCCTCTGAATACCTCCTGAAGGACCTGCCTGAGACTGTTTTACAGTTAACATTTTGTTTAATAAGTGGAAGGCATATACTCTAAAATAACTATTAAAAATTGAGTAAATACATAAACCAGTAACACAGTTTATTATCATTATCAAGTATTATGAACTGTACATAATTGTATGTGCTACGCTTTTACACAACTGGCAGTGTAGTAGGTTTGTTTACACCAGCATCACTACAAACACTTGAGTAATGGGTTGCACTAGGACTTTATGATGGCTGCATCACTAGAGGATGGGAATGTTTCAGCTCTGCTATGATCTTATGGGCCACTCTCACATATGTGGCCCATCAGTGACAGAAACATCATCATGCAGCAGAAAGCTATATGTTGCATTTCACAGATAAGGAAACTGAGGCTCAGAGAGGATAAGTAACTTGCCCAGCTCCCTCCCCAAGTTCAGGGACTGTGTCTGGTTGCTGTTACCTAGTCGTAGTACTCACAGCACTGCCTGTATTATTGAAGAGTGCTATATTGAAGGGTGTTATTTGTTGAATAATTACAGGGACAAAGGACTCCAAAGCTGTGGTTTCTATACCCGTTGTTCTCAACCTTGGCTGTGCATTCACATCACCTGGGAGGGTTTTTAAAATCCCAGTTTTCAGGTGACACCCCCAGGCCAAATAAATTAACATCTCTACTCCTCACATGATTCTGAGATGCACCAAAACTGGAGAACTCTGGTCTAGAGAAGCACTTTTCAGATTTCAGCTTGAACTAAATCAGCTGGAGAACTTGTTAAAATGCAGATTCTGGCTCAATGAGTCTTGAATGGGCCCGAGATTCCGCATTTCTAAAAAACGTTCTAGTTGCCTCTAAAGTGCCTTTGCAATACTGCAATTATTATTTTCAGGAGGGCTCTTTCCCCCACAGCTATGATGAAGATTCAGTTCATAATGTGTTCACAGGAGAGGTGGTAGTGCTTAGTAATTAGGAGCGTAGAGACTAGGTGAGATATTCTGGCCTGGAAACCTGCTACTGCCACATAATAGCTATTAATATAAAATCTGGACAATTTTCTAAACTGCCCTGTGCTTCAGTTTTCTTATATGTAAATCAGATATAAAAGAGTACCTATAAATAAGTACTTATAGATATTAAATATGTAGACACATGCAAAAGACAGAACAGGGCCAGACATGTTGTAAGTGCTCAGTAAGAGTGAGTTCATTGTTATTATTCACTGAGTATTTCTGATCTTTCTTAAGCTGGAAATGTCAAGGGCTCTGGAGCTTGACCACCTGGGTTCAAATGCCACCTTCACTCATGTTAACAGTGTGGCTTGGGCAACCGACTTTACCTCTCTGCACCTGTTTCTTCAATGTGCAAATGGAAAGAACATCACCTGCCTCTTAGGTTGTTCTAAGGATAAATTATATGCAATGCACTTAGAATACGGCCAGACTAAAAGGTAAATGTGCAACAAATATTTATGAAGGTTGTCATTATCGTTATTATTACCACGTGCCAGGCACTGGGGATGCAGAGGTAAATCAGAAGCTTCAAGCGTAGCCCTTGTTGGAACTGAAAAGAAATTGCAGATGTAAAACCTTTGATTTAATGAGGTTTTACAGTGTCCAGTCATCCTTGAAGAGCAAGCAGAAAAAAGGAGATTCTGTCAGTTAATATCTCCTGTATCTAGAGTCATTCTCTTGGTTATTTTTACTCTTTGCTTTAGGCCTCTGATTTGCTTAAAACTGATGGCTTGAAAAGGGAAATTCATCTGGATTCCCTCACCAAGCTGACAGTCCACTGCCACTGTTATTACAATGATTTATCACTACTCTTTCCATGCGGATGGTGACAGGCAAAGGAAGGGGTTTGCCATCTTACACCCTGACTTCGATACCCATTCCCCAGAAAAAGCAGCTTGTATCTTCCAATCTCACATCGTAAGAGCTATAATCCCTGGTCCAGCTAAACCAAAATCTCCCCAAGATGCATCAGATTGTAATGCCCAACCTTGTTTTTACTAACCCTGTTTTTAACTCTCCCTTTTCCTTTAATCACGTAGACTTGTTGCCACCTGAATTGACTCTCCCTTAGCTAAGAGAGCTAGACAGAATCCATCTTGGCTCTTTCACTGGCAGCCCCTTCCTCAAGGACTTAACTTGTGCAAGCTGACTCCCAGCACATCCAAGAATGCAATTAACTGATAAGATACTGTGGCAAGCTATATCCGCAATTCCCAGGAATTCGTCTGATTGATAACACCCAAAGCCTCCAGTCTATGACCTTGTAATAGTCTTAAAGCCCCTGCACCTGGAACTGTTTACCTTCCTGTAACCATTTATCCTTTTAACTTTTTGCCTACTTTATATCTGTAAAATTGTTTTAACTAGAGCCCCCTCCCCTTTCTAAACCAAATTATAAAAGAAAATCTAGCCCCTTCTTCCGGGCCGAGAGAATTTTGAGCGTTAGCCGTCTCTGGGCCGCCGGCTAAATAAACGGACTCTTAATTTGTCTCAAAGTGTGGCGTTTTCTCTAACTCGCTCAGGTACAACAAGATAATGATTAAACTACTGTTTATGTAAGTAATTGCCAGGTACGCTACATGAAAATAAATTTATCAAATAGTTACCAAATAGTAATAACTAATATGTATTAGTGTGTTTCCTGAATAGCAGCATATTTATTACAGAGATTCAGCAAACAGAACTCCCAGTTCCTGGGAATGTCTGCTTTCTACTCAGCATACTGTAATGTCTCTCCCTCAGATTCAGGAATGCTGAGAAAATAACTCTGTGAGTAGAGATGGAGGCAAATGAAAATTATGAAGTATATATTGTTGATATTCTTTGTATGAGTTCAGACACACACATTCACTCTGTAAGCTGGCAAAAATAACGACTGAAAAAGGGAGTTGAAAATATTATGCATAAGTTGGAGTTTGAGACACTGATAAAGACAGGAGAGGGAAATACTGGGTAGAAGAGGGCGGTTCCCTAGCAAAGGCCCTACACTCAAGCCTGGAGACCCGCGGGCCTACGTGGAAATAGGCATTTCTGTTTTCACACCCAAAAAGTTGCCTTTTGGCCCACCACGCCCCCCTATCCTGTACCCATATAAACTCCAAACCCCAGGCTGCAGAAGCAGATGAGCAGGTGAGAAGACAAGGAGAAAAACAGACGAACAGAACGGAACAAAGCGGCAGAGAAAGAGAGGAAGAGAAACATCTGAACACCAAGAGGAGTTCAGCTGGGGGCAGCTGGAGAGGGGTTCAGCCACTGGACGGCCAGGCTCCAGGGGAAGATCATCTTCCCACTCTTTCCTCCCTTCCGGCTCTTCATCCCTCCCACTGAGAGTCACCTCCACCACTCAATAAAAACCTCCACATTCATCCTTCAGGCCCCTGGGTGTCTTCCAGGATGCTAGGAAAGAGCTCAGGATACAGAAAGCTGTTACACTGACCCACTGCACTTGCAAAAAGGAAGAAGGTCCCTTAAGGTGGTTAACACTTGAGCAATCTGCAGATGGCAAAGCTACAACAGCATTATAACACTGGGGCAGCAGACATCCACCCTTAGACACTACTGTGGGGCCGGAGCCCAAAGCCCTCACCCCGGCTCCTGTACCTTCCCATCTTTGTGCTCTCCCTCTTCTCAGAGGTTTGAGCAGCAGCAGCAACCAACCAGGTTAGCCACACCCCTGTCTCATGTCCTGCAAGGGAGATCAGGGAACTCTCCAATTTCAATACTTTCTGTATTTGTTTCTTAGGGGTGCTGTAACAAATTATCACAATTTGGTAGCTTAAAACAACAGAAATTGATTTTCTTGCAATTCTGGAGGTGAGATATTCAAAATCAAAGTGTGGCAGGGCCAAGCTCCTTCTGAAGGCCCTAGGGGGGCATCTGGACCCTACCTCTTCTGCTTCCCATGGATCCAGGCATTCCTTGGCTCCTGGTTGCGTCATTCCAATGTCTGCCTCAGTCTTCTCATCTTCTCTCTGTGTCTCTCTTTTGTGTGCCTCTTGTAAAAACACCTGTGTTCAACAAATTTTATGGGAGGTCATTAGTTTGGATTAACCACCTGCCTGAGGCCCCCCCGGCATCAGACCCAAGGAGAATGGAGTCACTTGTGCTAAGTGCCACATAATTAAACTGAACTTTGAAATGGGTCAGCTTTCCAAAAAAAAAAAAAAAAAAAAAAAAAAAAAACCCAGGAGATCCCAGTCAACCTGAGTCAGTTTAATTTAAAAGTCCTCTCTGTTTTCTCCTTCAAAGGAAAGTAACTTTGAAATAACCAATCTGCATTTTGTCCCAATTCTGCTTTCTCCAGACGTTTTCTGGCTCTAAAGCCAAACCCTCTTTTCTCAGCAGCTGAACCCAGCCCAACCCAGCCAAGAGTTACTTTTGCAAAAGTGGTTTATTTCTGTGCAGAAGCATATGCGTCATAAAGCTAATGAGCTTAAGCTTCACGGCCCTGAATAGCAGGGACTCTCTCAAGGGGGCTGCAGGCATTCATATCCATAATCTGTTATTATTTTTCTTAAAGAGGCTCCCAAAATTCTAGATGTTTCAGGCCTGAAAATCTTGGATCCACCCCATCTTTCATAGTATATCCAATGGCAGTAATAATTTACAGGGTACATAATAGGGGCTCAATATATATTAGTCAAACCAATATAACACCTATCCTGCACCAACACTAGATATAGGCACAGTCTTTGCCTTCAAGAAGTCCAAAGTACAGTGGAGAACAGATATATTAATAAAATAATCACTAAATGTGATGTCATGACTCATTTAAATACTATGAAGCTACATAGGTTTAAGATGGGACATGCGGGAGATCTGACGTAGGCAGAGAGGTTTCTGAGGAAGCAATAGTGGAGTCGTGATCTAAAGAGAATGAGAATTAATTAGAGGGGAGAGAAGTAAGAAGAGAATGTTCCAGGCTGAGAGGATAGAAGTGATAGAGAGAGAAAGAACATCGTATGTCCAAGGAACTGAGAGAAGGTAAATTAGCTGCTGCACAGACAGTGAGGAGGATCTTGGTATAAAATGAGCCTGGGAAGGCAAACCAACCATGCAGGGCCCCAAGAGCCCTGTGAAGATGTTCAGCCTTTATTATAAGAACAGCAGCAAGTTAGTCTGGGTGTTGGGGCAGGGTGGGGAGCACAGATAAGAGTAATGACATGATAGGATGTCTACTTATGACATGCTCTGGCCGCACTACGGAAATCAGCAGGGGCAAGGCAGGGGTGTGTAAGAAGATGCAAGTAGCAGGCTATCGGGGAAGACCAGGAAAGAGGTGACTGTGGTGTGGTGGGTGGTGGGAGCAGTAGGAAAGAAATGAAAAGCATTGCAGAGATGGAGAGACATCAAGAGTAAAATCCTCATACTTGTTGCAGGATTGGTCATGGGGAGTAATGGTGAAAGAGTTGTCAAGGATAATGTTAGGGACTGAATAATTATGTCTCCCCAAATTCATATATTAAAATCCTAACCCCTAGGATGATGGTATTAAGAGGTGGGGCCAACACAGTGTGGTGGCACATGCCTGTTAATTCCAGCACTTTGGGAGGCCAAAGCAGGTGGATCTTTTGAGCCCGGGAGTTTGAGGCCAGCCTGGGCAACACGACAAAACCCTGTCTCTACCAAAATATATATATATATATAAATTAGCCTGCCGGGATAATGCATGCCTGTAGCCCCAGCTACTCAAGAGGCTAAGGTGGAAGGATCACTTGAGCCCGAAAGATGGAAGTTGCCATGAGCCGTGATTGTGCCACTGTACTCCAGCCTGGGCAATAGAGTGAGACCCTGTCTCAAAAAAGAAAAGAAAAGAAAAAAAATGTGGGGTGGGATCTTTGGAGGGTCATTAGGTCATGAGGATGCATCCCTCTGGAATAAGATTGGTGCCCTTATAAAAGAGGCCCTAGTGAACTGCCTTGCCCCATCCATCATGTGAGAATACAGCAAGAAGAAACCTGTCTATGAACCAGTAAGCAGGCCTCACAAAACACCAGACCTGCCAGCACCCTGATCTTGGACTTCCCAGCCTCAAGAACTATGAGAAACAAATTTCTGTTGTTTAAAAGCTACCTAGCCTGTGGTATTCTGTTATAGCAGCCCAAATGGACTAACACAGAAAACTACTGGATCATTTGGGTTGCACCAATGAATAGTGATATGTTAACTGGGATGGAGAACTCTGGAAGAAAACCCATTTGTTTGGATTGGCAGGGGAAGGTTAATGAGTTTCAGTCTCTTCTGGGACTTACTGAATTCACAATGACCTTGAAGCATCCAAATGAAGATGTCAAGAGAGAGGATGGACGAGAGGATTCTGAAATGAAGACATCAATCTGGGACTGAATAAATGGTAACTGAAGTCTCGGGTGTGGATGAAACCATGTAGGGAAAGAAGACAGTGGAAGAAAAGAGATGGGCCCCAAACCAAGCCTAGAGAAGCATCATCTGGCTGGGAAAAGAAGGATCTAAGTACAAAGGAGGGAGAGAAGGAGCAGCAGCGAGAGGACAACCATGAGAATGTGGGGTTAGAACAGTCCAAAGGAGAAGTGTGTTGACAGGAAGCATGTGGTCAGTGAACGGAGCTGAGAAGGCAAGGAAGGTGGGGTCTGGACATCATTGGGTTTAGTGGCCTGAAGGTGCTGCAGCCAAGCTCCTCAGGGGAAGTGGTTAATGAGGGCAGGAGCCAGACTGGAGTGGGCTCCGTGAGGAGGGAAGATAGAGTGCGGTGCTGCAAGGATGTCGGGTTGAGGAGAGATTGTTGGGTGTGTTTGTTTCTGGTTATGTTGTTGCTTTGACTGTTTTTTTATTTCTAATGCCAAAACAAACAAACAAAACAGTTGTTTTCATAAGCCAATGGGAGAATGTATTTGAGGGAGCAATTTGATTAGATGAGAGGGAAGGGGATCATCATTGGCAGCAGGTCTGAGAGAAGGGAGGAGGGGATGGAATTCAGTTTGCAAGTGGTGGAATCGGCCCAAGGCAAGAGAAGAGACATTCCTCTGTTGTAACAGGAACAGAGGTGGGAGAGATGGAGGCAGTGAGTTGCATGGGAAGAAGGTGTCTTCTGCTGGCTTTGTTTCCTGCTGAGAGTGAGGGGGCAGCAGGAAAAGGGGGCAGCGGTTTGCAGAGAGTGAAAGAAGGGATCTGAAAGATTTCAGCAAGAAGTTAGTTCTGCAGACACCAGGTGATATGGTTTGGCTGTGTCCTCACTCAAATGTCTTCCTGAATTGTAGCGCCCATAATTCCCATGTGTTGTGGGAGGGACCTGGTGGAAGATAATTGAATCATGGGGGTGGTTTCCGCCATACTGTTCTCGTAGCAGTGAATAAGTCTCACAAGATCTGATAGTTTTATAAGGGGTTTTCTGCTTTCACTTGGCTCTCATTCTCTCTTGTCTGCCACCATGTAAGGATGTGCCTTTTGCCTTTTGCCTTCTGCCTTCTGCCATGATTGTGAGGCCTCCTCAGCCACATGGAACTGTAAGTCTATTAAACCTCTTTTTCTTTATAAATTACCCAGTCGTGGCACAGATCCCTGGGCCTCATTCCTTCCCAAAGTGCTCTTGGCTTGTATGAAAGGAGTTGTACCAGCATCACAGGAGGCCCTTGGTGTGAACAGAGGTCCAGGCAAAAGGAGTTCATTTCCAGTCTCCAGGCAGTTGTCTGCCTTAGCAGATTTGAAGATTTGAATACCTCTTTGAGGCAAACCATTTCTCTCTTCCAAGAAAACCATGAGTTTTTTTTTTTTTTTGTTTTCTTTTTTTAGGAAAATTGTAAAGTCATTGTAGAGGGAGAAATGGGGACTTGTTGGTCTAAGGATACATAATTACAGTTAGATACGAGGAATATATTTCAAGGGATTTATTGTACAGCAACGTGACTATAGTTAATACATATATAATTTATTCTTGGAAAATGTAAAGAGAGAGGATGTTATGTACTCTTGCCACAAAATAACTATGTGAGGTAATGTATTTGCTAATCAGCTATGTTCAACTATTCCACAATGTGTATATATCACAATGTACATATATGCACACAATGTGTATATATACTATGTATATATGTACTATATATTCTCCAAGATGTGTGTGTGTATACACAAACACACACACACACACACACACACACACACTGGATCATATTATATATGTGATAGAAACATACAATGTTATCTGTAAACTTAAATAATAAAAATACTTAAAGAAACCAATAAAGCCACACAAATTGGAACAGACATTTTAGAGGCCTAGCTAACTCTTCTGCCTGGTGATGTAAACTGTTGTGTGCATTTGAGCCAGAACAATGCCTCACTGGGTCTGCGGCTTTGGCTGCGGAGAAACATCGGTTTGGTCTGGTTGGATTCAGATGTCATGGGGGCTGAGCTGTCACTTGTTCTTCAGGAGATGTCTGTACAATGGTCCCCCCTATCCACAGGGGATATATTCCAAGACCCCCAGTGGATGGTGGAAACCCTGGATACTACCAAACCCTATATATACTATGCATGAATTTCTATTTTCTCCTTTACAATTTCACAGATAGAAGATTCATTCTTAGCATAGATCTTAGCAACTTCAGCATATGACTTTTTCTTTCCTTAAGTCGAGAACTTTCACCTCTTCACTTAAAGGAAGCACTTATTGGCACATTCAAGCTGGTACCATTCCTACTCTTGCATTTTGGAACTATTATTAAGTAAAACAGGGTGATTTGAACACAAACACTGCTATACTGCTGCAGTTGATCTGATCACTGAGATGGCTAAGTGTCTAACAGGCAGGGAGTGTAAACAGCATGGAGACACTGGACAAAGGAAAGATTCACTTCCCCTTGGGAAAGCTTGATATCTCATTGGCCTACTCAGAATGATGCGCCATTTAAAACTCCAGAATTGTTTATTTCTGGAATTTTCCATTTAATATTTTCAGACTGCAGTTGATGGCAGGTAACTAAAACAACAGAAAATGAAACCCTGGCTAAGGGGGGACTACTCTATTCTTACTCACACTTTGATTCTAAGTCAGGAAGCAGACTAATCCGCATAAAGCAATTAGCAAACTGTCCATGACAAGCAGAGACAGAAGTTCAGAAGAGAAAACGCAGCAGTGGTCAGAGTCACCAGGGAAGTTTCTAAAAAGCGTGTACTTGGATGAGACTTTGAAGGACAGAGAAGGCTGGGGAAGTGAGGGGGAAGAACAAGCATTTCCGGCCCACGAGGGGAGCAGCTTGAATGTGATTTCTCTGCACACTGGTCAGGCTTCATCACTTACTAGCTGCGTGGCCTTTGGCAAATTACTTAACCTCTGTCAACCTTCTTTTCCCTAACTGCAGCAAGATCATATTGGTACCTGTCTGTAAGGCTGTACTAATGTAATTCTTATGATGTTCTTACCACAGTGCTTGGGTCATATAAAGCATCCTGTAAGTATAACCAGTATTTTTTTGTTTTGTTATTATTGTGTGCTAGAACATTAAAAGGACAACTATCTCCACATTCCAAAGTGAACATGGAGGCCACCAAGCAGGACTGGCCAAGAAGGTGTAAATGGACACTTTGCAACTCCTAGCCCTCACTCATCCTGAGGGAAGAAAAGGATCATAAGTACACCATTCCTGGGGGAAAAAGTTCGTTTTAAGAGGCTGTGGGTGTGCTTTTGGTCTACCCTCCCAAGGGTAAGGGTGCACCTCACCTCAAGCTGGGGAAAGGGGCTTCATAAGGACTACTTGGATGGGCCTGGTGTCTGATTCAGCCCTGAGAAATACTAAAACCACAGACTCTTCCCCTCTGCTAGTGGAGAGGGGATGCAGCTCCTCATTGGCCTGGGTTCTGAGGGTTTACTGGCATTAAAAAAAAGGCCTGAGTGTTTTCTGTTGGCCACATCTAGGCCAAATGCAAGAAGGAGCCAGCAAGAGGACCCACGAATGTCACTGTCAATGATGACTTCAGGAAAATAAGTTGGAAATGCCTAAGAGCTGAGGAAGGAGCTGTAAGTGGCCAGTTAGAACCAAAACGCATTCACACACATCAAGGGAGAATCAGGTAGGGAATCACTAATCAAGGTATATGTTCATGTCACACTGATACAAGGAAGGTCTTAGAAGGTCTTTTCATGATCACAAAAGACATAAGATTTTTTTCCTGGATTTCATTCAAAATTTGTTTCCTGGATTCATCTAGCCCTACAGAGTAGGTATAAATGGGTGTTGGAGGGAAGGAAGAGAGTTGTTTTCTGATTACATCCCACAGTGTATGTTAGTTCAATGTGCTGATTATAATTGTTATTATTATTCTACTCTAATTACCTTCTTCATTAGACTTTGAACAACAGGAGGGCAGAAATCCCATCTTGTTCATCTGTATATCCATAGCACCAGCCCAGTGCCTGAAATACCATGAATATTTAATAAATTAATGTTCAATGGATGCACGTGTCAACATCCCACAGGAACTGGAGGCCGAGTATGATTCCAAATGGAAGCAGCCCTCATTCAAAGCGGACAACCAGATCTGCTGTCTCCCAGTCAGGGGAAACTTTTGCCAAACACAGGCCGTCTCTAATTCCCTTTTAAATTGTAGTCAATGTTTTCACCCTGAACTCCAGAATTGTATAATTATACCTTATAACATATGGCACACAAAGCTCCACGAGAAGGCATCCCCATCAAAATTTATAAGGCAGAGTTTGCATCTCTGATTTTAAATGGGCTTAACTGCTCGAATTAGAGTAGGTTTTCTATTCCTGGGAGAGAGGAGAGTGTTCAGGAATTCCAAGAACAATCAGGGCAGCAGTGCCCTCCAGCCACCGTCATATTCAATCTCAGCTCAGCTGGAACCAAAGGTGGGGCCCAAGTGTGTGTGGGCTTCTGAAAGAGGAAAGCGAACGTGTCGGCTGATCACAGCGGACTTTTGATTTTTTACAGGAAAAGGAGAAGAGGGCAACATGAAAGATTGAGAGCCAAATATAAAGAAACAATAAGGTGCCTCTTGAACACAGAGATAAAGCCACCTTCTCAGAGGGGACTGGGTGAAGTCAGCACAGGATGGATAGCAGCAGCCCCACCCAAGCCTACGATCCAGCTGCAGGGGCTCTGGAAACACTCAAAAGTAATCAGAGAGACAGGGAGGTTCCTCAGGCCTCAGATGCACCTAAGGAAAGCTGAAATCTAGGCAACTGCCAAAAACAGGATGATACTAAAGTAGACAGCCTTTGTGCATCTAGGAAGAGAGTCCAAGCTGATAAGCTGTGAAGGTTTAAATTGGCCTGGCCAGGGCAGAGACAGTACCTAGCAGATGAGAGAGGTGTATGCTCTCCTGGTCCAGGAAGATTCACATACCTGCCAATGACCTTCCAATGCTTTATCAAAAGCATCCATTCTATGCTCACCAAATAGTCTTTTGATTACCAATTTAGCTTCATGGATTTGGGGAAGAGTTTTAAATAATCCAGAAATTGGTAGGTATAATATTCTTTGCAAGTGAATAGACTTGGATTTTGGTTTATACATCTGATGTTAGAACAGCCTTTCTCTAAGAATAACTCTAGGCGTTTGCAAATCCACCAAACTGTGGTGATGCATTGAGGGCCACCCTCAGTGGATGGGCAGCCAGTAACAGGTCTCTCTGAATTTATCTTGATTGATCTCTTGTTTATAATTCATTTAGAAATACTGATACACAGCGCTAACCACACACACACACACACACACACACACACACACACACCCCACACACACACACAGAGAGAACTCCTACTCATCCTTCAAGGCCCAACTTAAATGCTACACCTCTGAGAATGTTTTCTGCTTAGCCAGTACCTTGTGGGAGGGTGGGGTGAATAAAGGAGACCACAGAATAATTAACGGAATCTTAAAGAACAACTTTTTACAAACTCTTTTTAGCTAAAAAAACTCTTGTTCAACCAAAAGCTGATATGAAAGCCAGTCGGTAAAACATACAAAGTGAAACTTCTGTGGCTGAAGAAGGAATAGGAAGCCAAGAACCTGCTCCCTGGGCTTCCCCAATCCCCCTCATCACACTGAAGCCCCTCATACCACAGTTTGAAAACCCCTTATCTAGTCTAACTCTCATCTTACAAATGAGGAAATTGATCTGGAATCTAATGTCAGAAAACAGTTTATGCAATCATGTCATGTGGTTCTCCCAAAGCATAGATGATAAATAACATGACATTTATGCTATCCATTCCCAGTCTTGGTAGGCATAAGTAATTAATCCCAGATGTGGCTTCAGAATCCTTCTCAACATACTGTTCCAGTAAACTGCTAACACTTGATTGAAGTTGACATGTAAGACACACTTATTTACCATTCCTATTTGAAAATTAATGTTTTCCTGTCCTAAATGTTAACATATTTTATATTTATCACATCAACCCAAGTAATTAATATTTAAAAGTATATAAAAGGCTTTAATATTATCCACAACCCAATAGAAATCTTTTTTTCATCACCTCTCCATTTAGGTAATGGTCTTGAATTATGCATTTTGGGAGTTGACCTTCCAAATCTAGTGGTGTTAAGTAAATAACTATTATCTAATTACATTTCCTTTACTAGATTAAAATATAAAAATAAACATCTAGATTTCTTCCTTGGTGGTGGTGTCAATGCCACCTCAAAAATAAAAAGGTTGGGGGAGTATCTTTAACTGACTCAAGTTTGGTTGATTCAAGCCTGAGATAAAAAAAAATGGCATATTAAATTCCAATTCTAGTTTAGCTATTCTCATTTTTTAAAAAATATTCAGCTCTTCTTTATTAAGATTTTTTTTCTGGGGGAAGAAATGAATGTTTTCTGCCAATTAATTTAGCTGATTTATGTACAGTGACTATGGACAATGGCCCAGGTGAGCTTTAAGACACAGCATACAGAGAGAGAACCGATCTCTTTCCCTAGGTTCCTGCCTAGGGTTTTAAAACAGAAATGTCTTTCCTCTTGAAAGAACTTGGGAGAAAAGTGATTGTCCTTTTTACTATCCTTTCACCCAGCCTGCCCCATAGAGAAGGAGTCACTTATCTGCTTGGGCAGGTTAGGACCAATCACTTACGCCCACTTGGCAGAGTCTTCAGCAGTCTCTCTCCATCTCTCTCATTCCCTGGCGCCTGCTGGAACCTTGACTGTATATAGATTCTCCCCTTCATGCAGTGATGCTTATGCAATACCTTAGCCTTCTAAATCTGACCACACTAGAGAAGACAGGCCTTTCCTTTCTCTGGAATTAGGAATGAGCCCTGCCAGAGATCTTCCTCCTACCTGTCTCAATTTTTAGCATCAAATTCATTTGGATTTTTCGGCTTTAAGGTATGAATCTTCAAAGGATTGACTTATTTGAAGGTCTACATGAATATCTGATTAGCTTCTCCATATACTGATGTATATCATGGTGAGGAAGGGAAGAATTTTCAAATCCTCAGGTTAACTCTGAAGTCAGAATATCCATCCTACTGCCATTGTTTGAGGGCTAAAATAACTATGAATTTATGATAAACTTTCTTCCAAAAATCTACATGTCAAATACTTTGACTTTGGGCCCTTATACATAAATTTTTTTCAAGATCTTGGAAATCTTTATGGAAATGTTTTCACTTCTATTTTAATAACAATAATTATAAGTGTAAAAAAGAAATTATTCATATAGTAGCACAAATTCAAGTAGTACTAAATGGCCCAAAATGAAAAATAAGTCTTCTTTCCCTCTCTGCAACCAAGAGTCCCACTATTTAGAAGTAACCACACATAAATGCTTCTTTTGTGTAGCTCTTACTGACTTACTCCTTAATATTAAAATGTTTGCATACTTTATTCTTCTTATTTGATAACTTGAAGCATTAGGTACTAACTGCATGCTTTGAAAAATGAGGAATTAATTCATTTACACCACCTCTCATACTCTTTGATATTTCTGCCAGCCACTTTTTTTTAAATTCTATGAGTTATATTCACATGTCTAAATTATGAATTTTTAGTCCCGAAACCATTGACTTTACACAAGGTTTTGACCCATTAACTTTAGACAATATGTTAGGATGAGGAAGTTAGGATACATTTGACTTAATATCTCCTCATAGCCTTCTAACTCCTGCCTCCCATCTGCCCCTCATTCCAACATGTCATTAACTTTATATGGTCAATGTCAAGGTTTGTAACATTTATATTAATGACAAAAGCATACTAAGGCTTCATGCTTTGCTTATAAGTTGATTCTAAACTGAAAGCCAAAAGCTAGCTTTAACAACACGATTATGTATATACTACTCACTGCAAGCCATGAAGTATATAATTGGACCAGCAGAGAAAACACTGTAATACTAAATCACTAAACATGTTCTGCTCAAAGGAGAAAGTAATTATCAAAACTTTGGAGGAGTAGAAATAGAGCAGCATATTTTAAATATATATATATACATAATAATTAAACCGTATACTTTCACTGTATTACTAAGATCACTCAGTGTCTTCAACCCTCTGTTGGTTGAAGGATATCATTTTTTTCTTGGACATATTTTCCAGGGATCTTTCTACTCCATGTTTTAGTGTGGACTAACTTATTTCCATACCTGCTGCATTTTTTTCATCCTGGTATTTCTTTTTATCATATTCCTAGGTTGTGTCCACATTTTCTTATATCCATGTCTGTAATTTTCTTGGATTTCTTTTTTTAATTGAATGTTTGATTTTAATTTTTTTATTATACTTGAAGTTCTAGGGTACATGTGCACAACGGGCAGGCTTGTTACATATGTATACATGTGCCATGTTGGTGTGTTTCAAGATAATTATAGATGTATATGTAGTTATAAGAAATAATACAGAGAGATTCCCAGGTACCTTTTACCAAGTTTAACCCAACGGTAACATGTTACAAAACTAGAATGCAGTATCAAAACCAGAATATTGACATTAACACAGTTAAGATTCACAACATTTCCCAGCATCACAAAGATCCTTCATGTCTCCCTTTTATGGCCACACTCTTCTCTCCCACCTTAACCAGTGGCAACCAGTAATGTGTTCTCCATTTCTATAATGTTGTCATTTTAAGCATGTTATACACATGGAGTTATACAGTATGTAACCTTTGGGAGTTTGATTTTTTTACAGTCAGCATACTTCTCTAAGGTTTACCCAATTAATTGTATATATCCACAGTTTGATCATTTTTGTTGGTGAATAGTGTTTCATGGTATCTATGTACCAGTCTTGTGTCATTATTTATAACATTAGCTGTAGGTTCTGTGTAGATGCTCTTTATCAGGTTAAGTTCCCTTCTATCCATATTTTCTGAGAGTTTGTTTTTTTCTTTTTTCTTTTTTGAGAGGGAGTCTTGCTCTGTTGCCAGGTTGGAGTGCAGTGGCACTATCTCGGCTCACTGCAACCTCCGACTCCCGGGTTCAAGTGATTCTCCTGCCTCAGCCTCCCGAGTAGCTGGGAGTACAGGCGCACACCACCATGCCCAGCTAATTTTTGTATTTTTAGTAGAGATGGATGGGGTTTCACCAAATTGGCCAGGATGATCTTGATCTCCTGACCTCAGGATCCACCCGCCTCAGCCTCCCAAAGTGCTGGGATTACAGGCATGAGCCACCGCACCCAGCCTTTTCTGAAAGTTTTATCATGAAGACGTGCTGAATTTTATCAAGTGCTTTTTTCTGTATCAATTGATAAGACTGTGATTTTTTTCTTCATTAGCTTGCTAATAATGATGGATGATACTGATTGACTTTTAAATATTGAATTATCCTTGCATCCCTGGAATTTAGCCTATGTGGTCATTTTTATATGTATTGCTGAATTTATTTGCTAATAATTTGTTAAGAATTTCTGCATATATATTTATTACAAATATTGGTCTTTAATTTTCTTTTTTTGTATTGTCTTTGTCTGATTTTAGTATCATTGAAAAATAACTTCATAAAACGAATTGAGAAGTGTGAACTCTTCTTGTATTTCCTGGAAGAGATTGTGTATTAGTGATGTTAATTCTTCTTTATGTGGATTTAATTATGTTTATTCTATTTGAGTTTGCTTAGCTATTTGAAGCTGTAGATTTATGTCTTCTGCCAAATGTGGAAAAATTTCAACCATTATTTCTTTGAATACTTTTTCAGCCCTGCCCTGCTCTCTTTTTTTCTCCTTTTAGATATCCAATGACACAAAAATTAGATCTTTTGTTAGAGTCTCACAGGTCCCTAAAGTTTTATTCATTTTTATTTTTAGTCTGTTTTCCAGACAAGGTCATTTCTATCCTTTTTTTTTTTTTTTTTTTTTTTTTTTTTTGAGACAGAGTCTCACTCTTTCTCCAGGCTGGAGTGCAGTGGCATGATCTCGGCTCGCTGCAACCCCCAACTCCTGGGTTCAAGCAATTCTCCTGCCTCAGCTTTCTGAGTAGCTGGGGTTACAGGCACACACCACCATGCCCAGCTAATTTTTGTATTTTTAGTAGAGACGGGGTTTCACCATGTTAGCCAGGATGGTCTCGATCTCCTGGCCTCGTGATCCACCTGCCTTGGCCTCCCAAAGTGCTAGGATTACAGGCGTGAGCCACCACGCCCAGCCTATCATCCTATCTTAACAATAGAAATTGCCGACTTCATAGAGGAGATAGAAATATTTTCATTCATTTTTCCCTGTCCCTTCTATTCTGCCACTGAGTCTGCCAACTGAGCTTTTTATTTTGATTATTATATATTTTACTTGTAAAATATCCATTTGCCTCTTCTTTACATGTTCTATTTCCTTGCTGAGACTTTTTATCTTTTCATTTGTTTTAAGCATGTTTGTTAATGCTCATTGAAGTACTTTTATAGTGGCCCCTTTCAAATTTAGGTAAGTCTGATATCTGTCATTTTGCTGGCATCTATTGGTAGTCTTTTTTCATTCAGTTTGAGAATGTCTTGGCTCTTGGTATAGATGATTTTCACTTAAAATTTGGATATTTTGGTTATAATATTATAAGACTCTGGTTCTTATTTAGACATTCCATTTTAATTGGCTTCTTCCAACATCACTCTGGCATGGGATGGAGGAGCACCAAATGTTATTACTGCCAAGTCGGGGTAAAGTCCAAATTTCCTACGTGGCCTCCAGTGACACCCAAGAAAGGGTGTTCCTCATTATTGCTGGGCTGAGTGGGAACCCCTTCACCCCACTAGGTTTCCACAGATATTGTCCTGTTCAGGAAGAATAGGAGTGCCTTATTGCTGTTCACCACATGGCTTCCTTAACACGTGGGTAGGGTGGGGGGAAAAATGTAGTCTCATTACCATAGAATGGTGTGAAAGTCCTGCTCTCTACTTACCCTTCTCTGACCCCATCCTGGTAGAGTATTGGGTTACCTCATTACAGCTTGACAAAGGTGAAAATCTGGGCTCCCCATGATGCTCTTTGCTGGCATGGGTGGAGGTGGAGCCTCAGTTTTTTTTGTTTTTTTGTTTTTTCCTGTGGTATTTGGCTTAGGTAGAGCAGTTATTGTCTAAAAGTTTCCTGTCTCAGTTGGCTGACTTTCCAGTCCTTTGGCTAGACAGAGCAGGCTTTGGTCAGGGCCTTTTTTGTCTGTTCCATTTATGTTACTGGGTTGCCAGCTTCTTCAATTCCAAGACTGAGATATATGAGACAAAAAAATTATTGAGGTCCTTAGCTGGTCTACCTTCTTTTCTCCAGCTTCCAGAGTCTTCTTATGTTTGTTTGATATATAATGTCCAAGGTTTTTTTGTTGTACTTGGTGGAGGAAACAGGAAAAAGTATGCCACTCCATCTTCTGAGAAATGAAGTCTGAAATTCTTTTTAATTTTTCTGGAGTATATATATTATTTTCAGACAGTAGGTCTTAGAGGTAAAATATCTGAGTCCTTGCATGTCCAAAAAAGGTCTCTACCTTTGCCCTCACTAGATACATAGTTTGTAGTGAGGATAAAAAGACTTTGGGGTGGAATCACCTCTAGTTTCAGCTTTAACGTGTAAAGAACTTGGAAATTATCACTCCCATCTTTACAATAAGAAAAGGCTGAAAAAAAAACTGAAATCAGTGACTTGTCTTGGATCCACCAGAGAACTGAGATCTCAGGGCAAATTATCACCTTGAAACCTGGAGAGATGAATAAATCCAAATCCCAACAGAGATCTGTTTGCTTGGAAGACAAGTCACTGGAGTCATAAACACGTAGGAACACTTAAATGGTAATTTTGGCAAATTGTTCAGTGCTGAGTATACTAGCAGGAGAATGAGAGCCTCCTAAGGGCCACATTCCTAAGTTTTATTTCCTGGGGTTTGACCAAGTTTTCATAATGAAAAGGCAAGAAAGATCCTGTAGTTACTCTGGCAGGGAAAAGGAAAAAGGAACCATTGTCAGCATTCTTCATAACAAAGGCCAGAGGATTTTATCAGAGTGTTATTCCACTTGGGGCAAGGGCATTTTTTCTCACTCCAGTCCCCTCTAGCTATCCTATCTCACCTAAGTCAAGGAGGTTAGAAAAACTAAGAAACACCTATGAAGGTCACAGCCCTGAGACACAGTTCTATTAAAAGAAAGAGATTTAATCGTAAGATTAGAAATGCTTCCCCTCCCCAACATTTTGCCAACAGAACAAAAGGGCTCCTGTACAAAGAATGGATTACAGCTGAAAGAGCAGCAAAGTGCAGACTCCTCCTGAGGAGGAGTACTTAGGTAAGCCCAAAGCCAACAGAGGAGATAAAACAAGGTCGCTAAAGGAATTCAAAGTCTGGCACCTGCAGCTACAGCCAATATTAAACACAATCCAACTCCTTGCCAAATTAGCATAAAATTTCCCATGAAAGGCCTATTTACCTCATTTCCTATATCCAACATGCAGAGTTTTCAACAAAAAATTACAAGTCCAAAAGGCAAGAAGAAACACAGTTTGAAGAGATAAAGCAAACATCAGAACCAGACTCAGACATGACATGGGTGTTGGAATTATCAAACACGTATTTTTTAAATCATTGCAATTAATATATTAAGAGCTCTAATGGGAAAAAATAGACAACTCGCAAGAAGAAACGAGTAATGTAAGCAAAGAGATGGAAATGCTAAGAAAGAATTTTTTAAATACTAGAAATCAAAAACATTGTGTGCTCATTTTCTAGGGCTACCATAACAAATTATCAAAAATTGTGTGGAATTAAAGAACAGAAATTTATTCCTCACAATCCAGAGGCCAGAAGTCTGACATCAAGGTCTTTTCAGGTTTGTGTTTTTCTGGAGGTTCTGGGAATCTCTTTCTTACCTACCTCCTTCTGGTAGTTGCCAATAATCCTTGGCTTTAGATGTGTCTCTCCAGTTTTTGCCTCCATCTTCAATATGGTGTTCTCCTCTGTGGCTCTTTGTAT
Source organism: Homo sapiens (assembly GCF_000001405.40). Classification (NCBI taxonomy): domain Eukaryota; kingdom Metazoa; phylum Chordata; class Mammalia; order Primates; family Hominidae; genus Homo; species Homo sapiens. Next base: position 87,831,616 of record NC_000014.9, read on the forward strand.
TTTCTCTTCTTCTAAAACTACAAGTCACTGCATTTATCTTAAGATTTAATTACATCTGCAAAGACATCTGCCATAGATGTTCCTGGTTATCCATGGGGAATTGGTTCCAGGACCCCCACGGATACTAAAATTCACAGATGCTCAAGTCTCTTCTATAAAATGTCATAATATTCGCATATAAACTGTGCACATCCTCCAGTGTAATTTAAATCATCTCTAGATTACTTATTACCTAACACAATGCCTACACATCACTTCATTCATGTGGATTCAATGGAGTACTCAGTGCGCAGTACAAGTTTTGCTTTCTGGAGCTTTGTGAAATTGTTTTTTTCCAAATATTTTTGACCCACAGTTGGTTGAATCCACCAGTGCATGCAGAAACCATAATATGGAGGGCCAACTGTTATTTCCAAATAGGTACTGGGGGTTAAAACTTGGATATATATTGTGGGAGGAACACTGTTTAACTCACTACACATTGTAAAATAAGTGGATAATATCCTTTACGTACTTATCAGTAGACTGTACACAGTCAAGAAAAGAACCAGTAAGCTTAATGAAAGGTCAATAGAAAGTTCCCAAATTAAAATACAGAGAGAAAAAAAGAATAAAAAAGAACAGAACATCCAAGAACTGTATGAAAATTCCAAAAAGTATAATATATATGTAACTTGAATAGCAGAAGAAGAGAAAAAAAGAGCAGAAGATATATTTGAAGAAATAATAGCTGGTCACTTTCTAAAATTAATAACAGATATCAAACCACATTTCTGGGAAGCTCAGAAGACATAAATCAAGATAAAAACCCCCAAAATCTACAGATAGACGTATCATATTCGAACTGCAGAAAACCAAAGACAAAGGGAAAATCTTGAAAGAAACCAGATTTAAAAAACATGCTGACTATAGACAAACAAGGACAAAAATTAATAGCAGGCTTCTCATAAGAAACCATGCAAGCAAGAAGAGAATGGAATGAAATGTTTGGTGTTGTAAGAATTCTAGATTCAAAATAATTTTCCCATTGAATTGTTGTTCCATTTTATTCTAGCCACAAATGGTGCAGGTAGATAGTCTTATGTCAATCAAAATTGTGTTCCTTTGTAGGTAATGTATTAAGTCTTTATAGATGACTTCACATTTTTCTCATTATTCTTGAAGCTTTAACATTTTAACAGTATGTATGTATTAGTGGACATTTGTTCATGTACCCTGTTCAGTGCTGAGAACATTCAATCTGAAAACATGTATTCTTCTTTAGTTCAGGAAAATATTAATTCATTATTATTGCTGCTACTGCAATTACTACTACTAATATTACTACTGCTACTATTATTAACATCATTTTCATCATGATTGTCATCATCATCATCTCTTCCTCTTCATTTTCTCCATTTGCTCCTTCTTATAAGTCCTTTCGATTCACTGAGTGTTGGAATTCCAGACTGATCTTCTATACTTTGCACTCACAATTTTAATTTTCAACAAATCATTTTATTTTCTGATTGTTCCTCTTTTAGACAGCTTGTTCATGTTTTATGGATTCAACATCTTAGAACATTTTTAAAGTTGGTTTCTGTTTCCTAAATTACTTTGTTTCCTCTGAGTCAGCTATTTTGTTTGTTCATTTCTGTCTTCTTTTGGGGGGATCTTTCTTTTTCTTAAATCTTAGGTTGTCCTTATTTATCCACTTTTAAATTGATAAATGAAAAAGTAGGTTGTTGAAATAGGTGGCTCACAAAATGTTCCTCTGCCTTATGCAAATCTATTTGTGTAAACAGTCTTTTAACTTTCACCATTGCATCCTGGTGTCAACTTTTTGTTGGGAAATGACAAGGTAATGCCCATGCTTTGGTCCAGGTCAAACAGGAGAGTGTGGTGTTTCTTACATTGTCCCTTTCTCCAAGACCAGTGTGGCTGTAGAGACACAGATGGTCTTAGAGTCCTGGGAAGTGAATGGCAACAGAATGAGCAGAATCAAAGTCCAAGCAAAACAAGCCAGTTAAGAATTAGGAGGAACTGAGGAACAAGCCATGCGGTGGACCTGTGAGAGGTCAATATACAGCAACCCTCTTTTTGCCAACTAGATTACCAAGGAAGTCTTTAGAAGAAAAGGGGGACTAGAACCTTCTGATACATGAGTAAACACTATACAGGAGTAGCTACTCACTTCCCTCCTATGTTGTTGTTGTTGAACTTCAACTTGCTTTGTTGTATCTTTTAGTGTTAAGAGACCTAAATCATTGGTAACAGGAGACAGCATAGAAGGTGAGATTTCAAACTTTATATAATAAAAAAATGATAATCTATAAGTAGTAAATTTTTACTCAGGAAAATATAAAGTAGAAGTCATGGAACAATAGAGCATAACAAGTGAGGCATGTAGATCAGCCTAATGGCCGCAATTTCCAATTTAACTTAATTTCTTAGATGCCAAGGAAAATAGGAGACCAGGCCAGTTACATAATTCTGTGGACCAGTTCTAAGTGGGGGACAAAGCATTTTGTAAAACTGAGTTTTAAAAGCAATTTCTGATGTGGTGGCTCACACCTGTAATCTCAGCACTTTAAGAGGTCGAAGCAGGTGGATCACTTGAGGTCAGGAGGCCAGGAGGCCTGGCCAACATGGTGAAATCCCATCTCTACTAAAAAATACAAAAATTAGCCAGGCTTGGTTGCAGGCACCTGTAATCCCAGCTACTTGGGAGGCTGAGGCAGGAGAAATGCTTGAACCCGGGAGGCGGAGGTTGTAATGATCCTGGGTGACAAAGTGAGACCCTGTCTCAAAAATTAAAAAATAATAATAAAAGCAATTTCTCATATCAGACTTAAGGTGGAAGAAAATAAGCAACAGGAAAGATAATAATAGCAACAATAATAGTGATGATTACCATTTTTTGAGCATTTACTATGTGCCAGGCATCATGCCATACACCCTACATGGATAAAAATCACATATCTCCATTGTGTAGCTGAGGAAAGAGACAGCCAGAAACTCTTAAGTTGCCAAGACCACAGGTCTAGTATATTGCTAAAGGAATATTTGAAACTGCATCTGTCAATCTTCAAAGACTGTGCTCTCAGTTCCTAGACCCAGTTACCTCTTCAAAAGTCATGGGGCTGTGACACTGACATAACTCAGCAATGGGGCTTCTGTGAGTGGCTGACGTCATATAATGCAGACACAGGGGTTTCATAGGACTCACCAACCCTTTACACACTGTTTCCCACTTAATTTGAACAGGTAGCACTTTTCTATAAACTGTGTCTCCCACTTATGTCAGCAATAGTTTACAAAACAATAGTTTACAAAGTGGGCACCAAGAAAACAATCACATGATTCTGGACACTTAGACACAGCAGAAAGTGGAGAAGTCCTTAGTCTTTTTTCACTTTTGCCTTTTATATGATGTAAGGTGCAACTCCTCACCCTCCATCAATTTGTGTTCACATCAATGCTGGGTACCAGGTGGTGGAGTTAGATGCCCATGACACCTTTATACACAGCCAACCCTATGCCCAACTCCCTCCCCATTAAGGCCATTGACTTTTGGCCCTATTATGTCCCCTTAATTTTCCTACAAAGCCTAGACTTGACATTTTTAAAGGGAGCATGATTCCACAAGTCCATCATTATTTCTTTATGGCTTATACAATATTATTTCAATATTGTTTAAGGTATTTTGAAGTGTTAATGAGTAGAGAATGTTTAGATGGTGGAATCCAATCTAGATAATTAGTATTAATTCTTATGAAGATATTTTTTCTTTCAACTTTTTACATTAAAAAAAATGCACCCCCCATGTACACGTAGATTCCCGTATGTCAGTTCCAGGTAGTGTCTGACCCAGCTGGCTGTCCTGGAAGACAGTTCACCAAAAGCAGTGAGGGACTTGCAGACAATGTGGAGTGAACCTGATGAGGTCAATCCAATGGAAGGAGCAAGAACAGAACAGAAAGGCTGCAAGTACTTTAGTGATAGTGATATGAAACCAAGGCCAGACTGGCTGATAGTCATAGTCTTTTATTCTCTGGCATTCAAGACTAATACAAGTCTTTATGATTCTGCACCAGTTTATTAAATGGTGTAATAGACTACTTCTCTGTGGCCTTTTTTTTCATTCATCATCATCTTTCCCCAGATGTAAAACACATAATTTTGATATTTGTCTGACTTGATGTTGGACGTGGGAAAGTCAAAAGCCGTCTCATGATAGCAAATATAGCCTGCACATTTCAGTGTTTATGGGTAGAACACAAGTTGATTAGGGCTCATAGAAAGATGATACAATGGGACTTACGAGGCCAAATTTGGGAGAAGGAGGTCATTCCTCCATCACCTCTTGCCAGTGTCAAGTTTATCAGGAACCATAAGCTATTAGGGTGATTGGGGAACAAGGGACTAAACTTGGAAAACTGCAATGAAGGGGATCGGGAGCCTTATTGTATGTATATGCCCTGCAATCAAGCCTAGAGACATCCATATAGTTGCTTCTATGATATGGCAAGCAACAATAAAATGTCCTGTGATTCTCCAAATGAGACCGGTGTGTTTTCTCCATGTTATGCCAGGCCTCCTAGTTGCCTTGGATGCTCAAACTGGGGTCTTCATACTGGGGTAACCCCTAAAGTCCTATTGCAGAATCGTTCCTGACTGAAAGCTGAATGAAATGGAATGGTTTGGGCAAAAACTTTCTCTTGGCCCTGTGAATGTCTTGAAATGCAGTGTGACTATACATGGTCAACTGATCTCCATAAATAGTTAATACCATCCCCTTTCACTTCAAAACCTATCCTGGATTGGGTAATAAAACATATGGTCACCCTAGTGGTAGGTCACCCTAACAGACATCAGATGTATATTTCTGAAAACATTTAATGCAGTTTTGCTTTCTGAACACACGTTGAATTATACTTGTGATTCTGGACACTTAGACTTAGAGAAGAAAGTACAAAACCCCTCAGTCTTTGTTACTAAAAGGACCTTTGCCGTCTGTATGGTGTGAAGGGCAACTCATTCTCCATCTGCATCTGTCCATCTCAATGGCGAGTACTAGGTGATAAAGTTACATGCCCATCGTACCTCTACTGCAGCTGATTTGGGTTCTTTTAGTTCGTTTTCTTTTTTCCAATGTGGAACTTTCCAGGTGTCCTGATTGCCCATCAAAACTATCCCAGAACATTCCCTAATTTGTGGAAATCAAATTGTTTATTGTTTGAACTCTTTATCTAAAGGTCTATCAGCCCCAAATGAAGCTAGATAGACAATCTAGTCGTATCTCTAGCCATAGATAATTTAGTCATTTTTCTAAAAGATACAGAAACTGCTAACACAAGGTTTAGAGGACACCAATAGGTTTGTCTGCCTCTTCCCTCTTTTATAACAATCTCCTGCCCCTTATTCCCACTGTGAAAGCAGCCCTTTTGTTAAATGAAGGCCTGTCCAATGGCCATAACTGATTGGTCTAGAGGCAGATGCTTGACACAGCCTGGGCCAATCAGAGCAAACTAAAGTCCTGCCCAAAAATTTACTGATTGAGTCTCAAAGAGAGTCCTTGATTCTCTGGGTAAGTGAAAGCTCTAAGGTATAAAGCTTTGGAATTGTTGGTGGTTGTGTTCTGACCTAATGGAGGAAGACAGAGAGAGGAAGGAGAGAAAAGGAGAGGGAAACAGTAATGAATGAAGCCAAAGGCAGCAAGAAGCAAAGACTGGAGATGAAGAGAAAGCCCTGGTGACCTTCGAATTCCTGCTGCTTCTCATTTCTGAGCCTAGCTGCCTCCCTCTCTTTCCTGTCACTTGACCATTTATGTCTGCCACAAAACACCCAGATTCCTGCCTATAAATTCCCACTTTGTCCTTAAGTGGAAAGATTTTGCTTTCTGTCACCTTTGATCAAGGAGTCCTATTACAAGAGGTTAATGTATGTGTCCCATTTAAGAAGAATCTTATGACAGGAAGTTCACAGAAAAACTACATAGTTAAAAGCCTTTACTTTACAGTTGAGATGCCCTTGAGCAATCTGCTGCCATTTCCCTCTTACAATTTAGGAATCTAAAGGCAATCTTTTTATATCCCCTCCTCACATTCTATGTATCCCTAGAGTCATTCAACCACCCTCATCCTCTCAACTGTTTCCATCAGGGGAAATAGCAGATAACTTTTAAAGAAAAGGGTGTTTGACCTCATAATCACCCTGATTAAAATCTTTTTTTTTTCCTATGTAGGTCATTTCCAGCATTTACTTTTGAACTATCAAGGCCTGATTTTGAAAGACTCCGGACTCCATGCAAAGTGTCTTAGCTACGAGCTGAATTGTGTCCCTACCCCTACCTTTAAATTCCTATGTTGAAGTCAACCCTCAGTACCTCAGAATGTGACTATATGTGGAGCTAGGGTCTTTAAAGAGGTATAATTAAGTTAAAATAGGTCACTGGGGTGGGCCCTAATCCAGTGTGACTGGTATCCTTATAAGAAGAGAAAATTAGGGCATAGACATATACAGAATTGAAGATGATGTGGGGATGCAAGAAGACAGTGGTCATCTATAAGCAAAGGAGAGAAGCCTGGAAGAACCAGTCCTGCCAACATCTTGATCTTGAACTTCTAGCCGCCAGAACTGCAAAAAAAAGATAAGTTCCTGTCATTTAAGCTTTTTTCTGGCAGGCCTAGCAAACTAAAACCATCTGCATTAGTCAAGGTTCTCCAGAAAAACTGAAATAATAAGATGAGCTGTAGTCAGCAAGTTTAAGACCCAGAGGAAGAGTTGATGTTTCACTTAGAGTCTGAAGGCAGAAACAAACCCCATGTCCCAGCGGAAAGACAGGCAAGAGGGGCTTCCTCTTACCCTATGGGTTCTGTGCAGGCCTTCATCTGATCGAGTGAGGCCCACCCACATTAGGGAGGGTAATCTGCTTTACCATATATTCAAATGCTATCTCATTCAGATGCACCTTCACAGACACACTGGAATAACATTTGACCAAATGTCTGGACACCCTGTGGCTCAGTCAAGTTGATGCATAAAATTGACCATCATACCATCTTACAAAATGAGAGCTATTAACCACCTAATAGCCCAAATTATTGAAACCAAGTCCCATCCAGGCTGTCTACATGTGTATTAAACGCGGCATAGGAAATAGAGTCACCTCTGACCCCGGAAAGATCCATAGATTATGCTACCAAATTACACAAAGTTCCAAGTGCAACCGTCCTGCCTGCCAGTAACTGTAAATTTCTGATTCTGACCCCATCGGGACGCATCAAAGGTACCCAACCTGTGGGGCGAGCTCTCATGCAAGGGCAGTGCTTGGAGGCACTTCACTTTTTAAGGTCCTGCTTCACTCTCTTTCCTCTAATATAGTGCAATTTATGAGGAATGAAAGGAGATTCTACATTAAAGTCATCATTCAGCAACTGGAGGTATGCCTCACTGCAGAAAAGGGCAATCCGCAAAGCTGTTATCCATTCCACATGTCCCTGTGGTTTGTCAGCACACTGTCAGCTCTGCTTATTCCATGTATTTTTGGCAGTCAGCTCCCTTCAGGGTTGGCATGTGTTATGGTAATGGCTATACCAACTGTAGTCCATGAAACATGGCTGAGTGTAACATATGGGGCTGCATAAAGGAAGCTTTGGGTGGGAACTTTGTGAATTATCAGAAAATAATTATACCCGTGCTTTACAAGTTGAAAGTGTCTGAGACTTTGACAAAATGGGAAAAGAGAAAACCAACATCCTTTCCTGCACTCATTACCTTCTTCCCGTTAAATATTCTAGATGTATGTCTTCCATCCCCACACATTAAACTACTTTCTCCATCCTCCAAGTATTTACACTTTGAAACTTCTTTATGAAACAGAAAAATAATCAATTGTTAGAGATGCTCATTTTGTTTTCAGATTCTACACAAGTATATTCAACTCTGAGATACCTGGGTAAATGAAAGATTATTAAAAATAATTGTCAGGCAAATATAGGCAGGGATCAAAGTATACAAAAAGAGAAAGTATGGTTAAACAGGCCATTAGCTCATCCAAAAGATCCTGAAAGAAATGAGATGGTTTGGGCAAAACTTTCCTTGGCGCTATGAAGGTCTTGATATGTAGATGGCGTCTGCATACTGGGTTGTCTGGACAGCCCTGGTTTACTCGCTTGCTCCCTTTATAATTCTTAATAGAGCTGCATTTTACTCTCAAGGTTTCCTGATTTGGATAAGATAGAGTTGCATTTCCCTCTCAAGGCGTCCTGGTTTGGATAAAATATATGGTGGCCCTATGATTTGTCACCCTCTAATGGAACCCTTATGGAAATTAGGCTCCGAAGCAAAACAATGACCATCCTGATGGGAATTGGGGGCTCACTTTGGACAAGACCCCCTGGATGGCTACACTTTCCAGCTATTCATGGGCCAGATTTAACCAGTCTCAGTAAGGCAGTGGCAAGAAATATGTGGTGACCCTGCTAGGTTTCTGACGTGGAGAGAACTATAGAGCCATGAAACAAACTGTTTCATGAAGCTCCACTTCCTCTGTCTTCCCAGTGTGAGGCTCCCTCAGTGGGTACTGCCTTGACTTTTGCTGTCCTCTCTCTCTTTCTGAGAGCACTCCCTGTTTATACAACCAGAGTCATTACTTCTGTGCATCTCTCTGTATCACCACCCCTTAGCAACATTTCCAGTCTCCCTCTGCAGTTACAGCCCTGCAGCCAAATGTCCACAGGACTTTCCTACTTGAATGTCCCAACAGCACCTTAATTTTCAACTTGCCTACAACTGAACTCACCCTCTCCCACAATACACTCTCCTCTCTTTTTAATGTGTTTCCATTTATCCTCCTTAAGGTTATCTATGATTTTTCCTCCTCTTTTATCTATGGTCCCCAGATAACCCCTTATGACTTTTCTTTAGTGAGGTTTCCCGCACAGGTATCCTTCCTTTCTTTCTCTTCAAGGTTAGCACACTGGCTGTATTAGTCCATTTCGCATTACTATAAAGGAATACCTGCAGCTGGGTCATTCATAAAGAAAAGAGGTTTATTTGTCTCACAGTTCTACAGGCTGTACAAGAAGCATGGCACCAGCATCTACTCATGGCAGAAGGCAAAATGGGAGCAGGCATGTCTTATGGTATCAGAGGGAGCAAGAGAGAGAAGAGGAGGTGCCAGGCTGTTTGTAACAATCAGACCTCACAGTAACTAATAGAGAACTCACTCATTAGTGTGGAGATGGCACCAAGCTGTTCCTGAATGATCCATCCCCATGACCAAAATACCTCCCATCAGATCCCACCTCCAACATGGGATTGCATTTTTACATGAGATTTGGAGGGGACAAATACCCAAACTATATCACTGGCCCAGAGCTCCCCTTCCTCCACTGCCTCTGCCCTCTTCACATTCCCAAGCAAACTTGTACTTAAGCATATCTTGACCATGACATCCACCTGCTCAAAAAGCTCAACCACAAATTCCATCTGTCCATGAAACAAAGTTCAGGGTTCTTACTCAGGGAGCTGATAGCTATAACAATCTGGCCCAGCTCCTCTCTGGAATTCCTAAACTCCTTTCTTGCATACGGGAATGCTATGACTTGTGTTAAGCGAGGGGCAGACTGCAAATCACTCTCACAGCCATGACTCCATTTACTCAAATAACAGCCCTGAGAGAATAAGGGATTCAAGCAGGGCCTCAAACCCAGGCCTCACAAAGGCTCTTGTTCTTCTCAGCATAGCCCCCATCAACAATATGTGGGGAATAAAAACTTTTCTTTTACAAGTTACTTAGCTTTAACTATATATGATACTCTTTATTTACAAAGCATGACCTAAAAAGAAAAATAATTACTATTGCTTCCATGCCACATTTTTCTCTTGCTGCTTCACCTTCAAAGCAGAATTCAGAAAAACTCACAATGGACTGAAGAGAGTTTATGTGTAAATAATTCATATTTTTAGAACAGTTTTAGATTTACAGAAAAATTATGAAAATGATATGGAGTTTCCCTATACTCCACATGCAGTTTCCTCGAAAACTAACATCTTATATGGTGCATTTGTTAAAATTAAGGGACAATATTGGTAAACTATGACTAACTAAGGCCCATACTTTATTCAGATTCCCTTAGTTCTTATCTTATGTGCTTTTTCTGTTCTGGGATCCCATCCGGGACACCACACTGGACCATGTCTCCTTAGGTTCCTCTTGGCTGTGATAAATTTTCAGACTCCCCTTGTTTTTTATGACCTTAATGATTCTGTGTAGTCCTGGTCAGGTATTTTATAGAATGTCACTCAACTGGGATTTGTTCGATGTTTGGCTGATGGTTAGGGTGGTGTTACAGGTTTTTGAAGGAAGACCACAAAAGTCAAGTGCCATTTATCTCACATCGTTGCTCTTAGCATGACTTATCACTGTTGATGTTGGCCCTGATCACCTGGCTGGAGTAATGTTTGTCAAGTTTCTCCACTGTAAAATCCTCCTTTTCCCCACATTTCCATACTGTTGTCTTTGGAAGGAAGTCACCGTGCATGGCCCACACTTAGGGAATGAGAAGCTATATATTCCACCTACCTCCTTCAGGACAGAGAATCTATATAAATTTTTTGAATTCTTCTCTGTGGGCAATTTGTCTCTTCTTCCCCATTTATTTAATCAATCATTTATATATGTCAGTATGGGCCCATAAATATTTATTTTAAGCTTTGCATTATGATCCAATAGTACTTTAGTTATTTTTTTTTCATATTGTTCCAGCTTTGGCCATTGGGAGTTCTTTCAGTTGGCTGTGTCCCTTTGACACATTCTCATCATAATGGTGTGGGTTTTTTTCTTTTGCTTTGTTTTCTAATCACTCCCTGGCTTTCTAATGCTACAAGGTGACCCATGCTCATTCTCTGTGTCTCCTCTCCAGTCCTAGAATAAGCCATTTATCCAGAGAGCCTTGGTTCCTTTTATTGGAGAATAGTACTAGAAACCAAGATTTAGGCACTAGGTATTCTCCAAATAAATTCCAATTTATCCAAATCCAACCAAATTTTTAAGGAGTGTTTGAATATATGCTTACTTCTTACACATAAGTGGTAATAAATAGGCCAACTAATTTCCCATCTTATTTACAGACATGGGTCATTTGGGGCCTTTTTATAAGAATGCTTTAATCCTAGCTTCTACTGATTGAATAACCTTAGTGAGGTAAATAGAATTAAAATGGTCATAATAATGATAATGGTTATAGCTATGAGAAAGACATTAAGTACTATATACACATTATCTTGTTGTATCCTAATAGCATCTCAGAGACAGAGGCATTATTATTATCCCATTTTATAGATGATAAAAGTGATGTCTGCCTTGATTGTCATACTGAGAACTAAATGAGAAAACACTTGCAAAGCCCCGAGTACAGAGCATGGAGAGGGAGCTCAATAAATCATTATTTTCTCACTCCCTTGCCTCTAGAAAAAAATAAAATAGGCAAACTTCAGCAACATATTAGCGGTAAAAATTCAGCTCATGGTCTGTGAGATGAAAAATATAGGGGTTATATGAGCTCATTTGTTTTCTTTGTTGCTATATAAATGTGATCTGATTCACAAGAGTCAAAAATCAACCTGTTTCATGAAAGATCTCAAACAAAATGAAGAGGTATTTATCTTGAGAGTCAAGTCTGTTTACTGAGTTGTCCTTTACATCACTCAGATTCTCAGACTTCAGCAAAACTCAGATGACCCTTTAAATGTCTTTTTGAAAATTTTCTTAACTTTTATTTTAGGTTCAGGTGAACAAGTGAAGGTTTGTTTCATAGGTAAATAGCGTCTCATAGGGTTTTGGTGTAAGATTATTTCACTACCCAGGTAATAAGCATAGTATCTGATGGGTAGTTTTCCTGTCCTCCCCTTCCTCCCTCCTTCTCCCCTCAAGTAGGCTCCAGTGTCTTTTGTTCCCTTCTTAGTGTCTATATGTACTTTTTGGAGCTATCTGAATAAACTAAAGCACTTTCCCAAAACTTTAATGTTTGGATTAAGATGGAAGAAACATTAAATAAATCCACAACACCTCCTAAGTTTTTAAAGCTAACGAAATGACACAAAGTTACCAAAATACCTATATAATATGCAGAAAAATTCTGGAAGCTTTGCTTCTCCAAGGGAGTAGTTCCACTATTCTTATAAATCTTGGGCAAACAGGTTGAACCATACGCAAATTTGCAAGCTTTCTTGCACAGATTTAGACAGACTGTTCTGAAAAATAAAAGGTTTGTTTTTCATTCTCTATTGTTTCTTCTAAGCATTCCTTCCTCCTCTTAGTATTTTGGGAAGATGAAAATTGAGAGTTGAAGGAAAAACCAAGGACATGAGTCTTATAAGCAGCAAAGACAGCAGCAGAATTTATATCTACTCTGAGAACACTTTCTAGCCTCTCTACTGCCTTCACTCCAGCTAGAAGTTTTAGTCGCTGCAGACCAAATTCCAAACCTTTGCTAGTGACATTCTTCCACTTGAAGAGCCTTTGACTTCCTTTCTGCCACTCTGGATCACAGATTACAACTGGATGTAATCCCCATGTACCCTAAAAGTCACCCCCATTGTGCAATCTACTTTTGTGTTCAGAACTCCCCAGATTTTACACTTTGAACAAATCTGCAGTACTGCCCATTACAACACAGGTGTGCCCAGTCTCTCCAGCCGAATCATAAGCTTTCTCAGACCTGTTGCTTTCATTCTCTCACCTGCTAAGCCTAGCCTAGATAGTCTTAATAAATATTTCTGAGTTCTTTTCATTGATTGATTATGTCTAGGGGCAGCTATAGCCTTGGTCTTTGGAGAAAAATATCAGAACAAGGCTGCTTCCCTCCCTAACCCTGGGCTGGCAGGGGTTTCAGAAGGCACCTGTCCTCAGTAAAGGCATTCTCCAGGCAAGCATTTTGGGAGCTCCAGAGCTCTGAGATTATTCCTTTGATCAGATTCCTTTGCAAGGGGATAATGGAGCTTAAAATATTTTTTTTTAAGTAAAAGAGCATAAAAAGTGAATTTAAAAGCAAATGGGCCAAGGTTTTTCCCTAGGAAGTCTTTCAATTTCACACATAGCAAATTCCTATGGTATGGACCTATTAGAAATGCTTTTTTTAGCCCCTTTATGCATATTTATTATGTTCCTCTATGACTTTGTTATCGCTTAATTTGACACCAAGCCTCTAAAGCCACATCTTCTTTCTTCCCAAACTATAAAAAGGGGCAAAATATTTTAATCACGAAGTTCTGTATAATTTAAAGATTATCTTCTGTCTGCATGAGTTACAGCAATAATCAAAGGAGGCTGGGGATTTGTAAAACTAAGGCCCTAATTTTTTGACAGATGTTCTGCTTGGTATGGAATTAACCTCTTTTTACATCGTATACATACATAAGAGCAAATTATTAAATATATCCTTAGTACACACAGACAACAAAGAGGCAGAATCCACTAGGTGAGAACTACCCTGCCTCAGTCTTAAGTTCCATCATTCATTAATAACAGAAAAATAAATGATGGGGGTATTCTATTAGCCGCACAGTCTGAATCTGATTGATCCATCCACCTGGTAGTCCTGGAGGGACCAGGAGTCTTGATCCAACTATTAGTTACATTCTCCATTGCAGCTAAATGAGAGATTGGAAACGGCTACCAGGCCCTATATTACCTTCCAATGCCCAGCCATTTAGGTCAGTGCAGTGATTAAACGCAGGGCAACTGGAGTCAGACAGAACTTGGTTTAAATCCTTGAGCAACTACCTGCTAGCTGTATGTCTTCTAGAAAGCTATTTAAGCTCTCAAAGTTTCAGTCTCCTCAAAGTCTGTTTATATGACAGAGACATTAATTACATCTACCTCTAGGGTATTGTAAATGAAGTAATGCATGGACATAATACCTGGAAAAATAGCAATTGCTCAACTAAAGAAATTTCTTATCTGGGAACCTGATTGGTATCTTGTTATCCATTCATTTGTTTTTATGCTCATATAACAAATATTTTTGAGCCACATACAAGTACCATATGAAGAGCACGTAGCAGTAAATAAAACAAGCCTTGTCCCTATCTTCATGGAACTCACAGTCACCAAGGTATACATGCAGGAAACAAGTAAATAAATAAAGTTTGCAATTATATAACTCTATGTGCATGGAGAAAAAAATAAGGGTCAGTGAAGGAGAGTAATGGAGAGACATATTTAGATAGGGTCGTGTGTTAATTAGGGCCCTGGCAGGAAGAGATGGCAATCTCAAATGTTGTAACTTAGAGAAAGACTGTTCAGTGAAAAAGTGTGTAGAGGATTGAGGGAAACCAGCAAGAAATAGCGAGGGTCCTTGGAGGGAAGCAAAAGAAAAGCTAGCAATTGCTGAGAGTCTTTTCCAACCTCAAAGGATGAGAGGAGGAAGCTGAGGTGGCAGAGAGCATCCTCTTGACAGAAGCTTTCAGTAGAGGTACAGAGGCCACCAACATGACTCTTCAGAGAGGGAGTCCAGGGGATAAACCCCCTGACTTCTCTCCAGCCTCTGACCTTCTGCCCCCAAGAAGAAACTGGAGTCATGAAGAACTGTCAATGCCTCTCTGAACACAGGACAGGGTGAAAAGTGGATTTCAAGTGCATTTAGAAAATATCCAACACAGGCAATCAAGAAAGGTTTTTCTGGGAGGCAGATCTGTAAGTGAAGGACAAACACTGGGGAAGGAGCCAACCGAGAGAAGTCAGGGAAGGGCATTTGAGACAGTGGTGACTGCACGTGCAAAGGTCCTGAGGAAAGAAAGAGTTCAGTGTGACAAGAGACAGAAAGGAGGTCAGCAGGGCAGGAACACAGTGGATGAGGCTGTGGAAGAGCAAAATGAGTTTCGAGGTGTTCTCAGGGGCCATTGATCTACCCAGGTCCTAAATCAAACAGGGACATTTTTCTTCCCACCAACTGAGTGCTGGCCCCTGTTTTTCGACCCCTCCCCTCGACTAGTATAGGCTAAACACATGGATTTAATGTAAGTTAAAACCTAGGAAACCTCCTGAAACTTCTGTGTGTTTCCATATACCATTCCATTTGTCTGAGATACTGATTCTTCTGCAGCCTACACCCAGTGCTAATGCCAAGATAAAGCTTGACTATCACAGTTCCTTGAAATCAGTATATTGGAGAGAAGGAGGGTTATCTTAAGCATTGCCAGGTGTCTTAAGCATTGCCAGGTATTGACATATTGGAGAGGAGTATTTTAAGCACTGCCATGCTTGATATTTTCAAGATAAAGCTTGAAAATCACCTTTCCTTGAAGTCACCATATTGGAGAGAATGAGGGGTATCTTAAGCATTGCCATTTACATTATTTCCCAATAAATATAATGTAGGCTGCCTATACCTCCCTGCCTCTTTGTTGTTGAGCTTGGCCATGTGATTTGCTTTGGCCAGTGGACTATTAGCAGATGTGATACAAGCAGAGGCTTCAAATGGGTTTGTGTGATTTGGCTTGATGGCCTACAGTCCTATGATCTCCCATGAGGACAGCATGTCCCAAGGATGCACGAGTCAACCTGAACCCAACTGGAGTCCAGCTTGGCCCTGCCATATTCAGCCTAGATCAGCCAAACTGCGGCTGACCTGCTGGCCCATGTTTGTCACACAGCATCAGCTGAGATGTTTGTTTCTCAGCAAAAACTGACTAATACTAAGTTTCTGGCAGATGTGTGGGAGACAGAGGCTGGGGCTGGTGAACAAATACAGGCAGGCTGGAGTGATTTCCAGCATATCAGACAACACATACCATTGTGTCAGAAAATGACTGGCTGTCAGCTTCCTGGTGCTTCATCGTTTTGTTTTCAGCAAGTTTGTGCATGTGAGAGGGCTGCACTTCACGGAAAATGACTATTCCAGAGCCAAGGAGATTTTACTGGCATCAGAAATATTGGATTCATGTTTTTCTTTTTAGTTGTTGTCCAAATTGTTAATTCCAAGTGTTATAAACTGCCAAGATCCTGCTTCCTCCTCAGGGTCCCCATGTGTTGGATAACTGCAGTTATTTGTATACATGCCTTTACACCCTCAATGCTTCTCTTTATAAATCAGACGGGCTGGCCCTTTGAGCATTCTTCACATCACTTTTGCCTGCCCCCTCTGTAGCTCCCAACCCATCTGGCTACATCTGGCTCACACTTCACCAAACTGCTTCAGACATGAGCTCACCAGAGTTCAAGAGAGATACCAGAAACCCTCCACTGGATGTTTGAAACAATACATAACTCAGGTGAAATGCCACATGCTTTCCCTTGGAAACACCTGTAAAAGAAATTGAAAATACATGTAAATTATCTAGCTTCTCCATGTTTCCACTGAGCCCAAAATCCATATAGCCAAAGAAATGGCTCTAATAGCTTCAGAAAAAAAACCATGCTAATGTACTACTCACGAGCTCCCTGAAAAGCCTACTATGCATCAGACACTGTGCCTGGGACTAGGAGGAATATTTTTTAAAACCACCAAATTCCCTGCCCTTGAAGAGTTAATGGATTACAAAAACAAAAAGTCTTAAGCAAAGGCTACTACTGAGAACAATGATTGGCAGTGAAAATTGGCTCATCAACTGGCCAAGCTTTTTACAGTATGTCATTGAATCCCTGAAACAGTACCCATATTATAGTCGGAACGACTGAGTCTTGGCAGCATCTAAAAAGTCACCTAAGGTCAAGCAACCTGTAAGTGGTTGATGTGAGACTTATCCTGGTTCCTGACTCTGTTTGACCCTGAAGACCATGTACATAGCCACTGCCCTTACTTCCTCTCCAAGGTCATAACGCAATTACAGAGCCCCAATAAAAGCATTTACCAAGCAAGATAGCCTTACAGTGGAGAAAGTGGCTTTCTAGGGGAGGAGAGAACCATATATCAAGGAAGATGAACAATGTGCAGGGTATTAGAGAATGCACCAGGTTTTACACATGGAAATGAAAGGAAAAGGAACGGTATTTGCAAAAGCATAGAGTTGAGAAAGGGCATGGACCAGTAAAGGAGGTTACAGAAAAGGATGTGAGGTGTATGGCAACAAAGAGGAAAGGATGATGGAAAAAAAGAGATAAAGAGCTACACTGGTACCAACTAAAAAGGACCCTGGAGCATCTTGCAAATTAAGTGAGTTGTTAGTGCCCTTATAGGAATCATTTTTTTCTTTTATTTTGTCACCTGATCTCTCCCAGTTTGCATTTTTTTTGAAAATGAATCTCATTTTGCTGTTTATTACCCATATATTGAGCCTGTCTATATCTCTTGGAATAAATTCTATCCATCATTCTTATTGGATTTATTCCAGCACCACCCCAGTTTGTATAATTTGCAAATTTCATTAACATTCTCTTTGCTTTGTCCTGGAAACCATTAATAACATTGTTGCATATGATCAGGCTTAACACCAATCTCTTTGGCACCCCTACTAATCAACTACCCCTTGCTGGATGTCATGCTATTCATCACCATGCCTTGTTTACAGACCCCCTGAAAATTATCAATCCCTATGACATTGTTCACATCCAAGCCAGTGTCAGTTAATTTCATAAGTAAAATTTTGTGATGTGGTATCAAATGCATTACCAAAATCAAGATGTATTGCAGGGACTTTGTTCCCTTTCACTATGAATTTTAAATAGCTTTCAGGTTGCTCCTGGATGATTTATTCGTGGCAACACCAAGCGGCTTATTCACTGATGATTCCATTACTTCTTAGATGTTCCGGGCTATTTTCCTCCATACACTTAAACTTACTAGAGGTAATCCCAGGATCATTCCTCTTTTGAAAAAATAAGTGAATGTATTTGTTGTTAGCATGGACTTCTATGGTCTCTACAAATATATGAAGTAATTTTAAAAAGCAATTCCTTTTCTCCTTGACTGGCAGCTTTTATGAGGTAGGTAGGTGCCTCCACCAGCCTTGCTGCTTATGGATAAAACGTCATGTTTTAGGGTGCTCCTTCCGGCCTATCTACCCCCTCTATCTTGGAATTTCCTCATTAATTCATCCCCGGGTGCAGATAGTATACACTGTGAAATACTCCAGCCAATGTACCTCACTGCCAGCTAGTGACCCTAAATGCTGCTTTAGGGACATAAATGAATCCAAATGCAGGTGACTAGGTCTAGAAATCTGCTGTTTAAACATCATAATGTATCCAGAACCTGAGCCCATATAGCATCATGGGGTTTTTTTTGTTATTGTTTTTGGTTTTGAGACAGAGTCTCACACTGGTGCCCGGGCTGCAGTGCAATGGCACAATCTCGGCTCACTGCAACATCCGCCTCTGAAGTTCAAGCGATTCTCCTGCCACAGCCTCCCAAGTAGCTGGGATTACAGGTGCCCACCACCACACCTGGCTAATTTTTTTGTATTTTTAGTGGAGACGAGGTTTCACCATGTTGGCCAGGCTTGAACTTCTGACCTCGTGGTCTTGAACTTCTGACCTCATGATCCACCTGCCTCAGCCCCCCAAAGTGCTGGGATTACAGGTGTGAGCCACCGTGCCTGGTCAGAATGTTTTTTTTTGCACTTTCTGCTCATTTGTCCCTGCCTGTGACTCCTCACCTTCACTGCCATTGACAGGGCATTTGACAGAGAATAAGATCTAAGTATGAACATCAACAATTTATATCCAAATGTCCCTTTTGCCTCAAAACAAAAAAGGAGAAAATAAGAGTGGGAAAAGCAAATGAAGAGAGAGAAAATGAAGCAGCCATTGGTTGGACACTCTTGTGAGAAGGAACAGCTTATCATGAATTACACCAAAACTCAAAGTGGGTCTTGGTAGGGCTCCAATGATTTCCAAAAAAACACTCTGAAATGATCCAAGTTACATCTCCCAAGTACTTTACACAAGCACTTGGCTGCCTGGTGGACACAGATACGGGTTTTCCCATATACATCTGCAGAGATCAAACTGCAGCAGGCATTTGTTAAGAGCTGCCCTAAATGCTTTTTTGAGTAAGCTTCGTATATTATTCAGGGTTCCAATATCCTTGATATGGTTTGGCTGTGTCCCCACCAAAATCTCACCTTGAGTTGTAATAATCCCCAAGTGTCAAGGGTGGGGCCAGGTGGAGATAATTGAATCATGGGGGTGGTTTCCTCACACTGTTCTCGTGGTAGTGAATAAGTCTCATGAGATCTGATGGTTTTATAAATGGGAGTTCCCCTGCACACACTCTCTTGCCTGCCGCCATCTAAGAAGTGCCTTTGCTTCTCCTTTGCCTTCCACCATCATTGTGAGGCATCCCCAGCCACGCGGAACTGTAAGTCCATTAAACTGCTTTCCTTTATAAATTACCCAGTCTCTGCTATGTCTTTATTAGCAGCATGAGAACAAACTGATATAATCCAATTGGCTCTATTTCTCTGGTTCTCTTTCTTTCTCTCTCTCTCTCTCCTCTCTGATTTGTTATGAGAAAATGGATCATATAATGATGGAGGCTGAGAAGTCTGACAATCTGCCATCTGGTAGCTGGAGACCCAGGAGAGTCAGTGGTGTAGCTGCAGTTGAGTCTGAAGGCCTGAGAACCAGAGAAGCTGACAGTGGAAGTCCCAGTCCCAGAGCAGGAGAACACCATTGTCCTGGCTCAACAAGGCAGGTAGGAAGGGGACAAATCCTCCCTCCCTCTGCTTTTTGTTCCATTCAAGCCCTTAATGGATTAGATGATGCCCGCCCACACTGGGGAGAGCCATGAACTTTACTGAGCCAACTGATTCAAATGCTGATCTCATCTGGAAACGCCCTCATAGGCACACCCAGAAATAATGTTTAATCTGTGTACCCCATGACCCAGTCAAATTGACACATAAAATGAGCTTTCACATTGGCTTTCCTCTACTCCATGATGAACAGCTGTGGGGCCTCAACCCATCCTTGGGAGACTCTGAGATGAGTCAAATATGTTTTTTAAAAATTATGGATACATCTTTATGCATGTATGTAAGTGTGTTTATGTATTCTTGACCTCTAGCTACCTATAATGCACTGTGACTGTGTTCATGGTGACTGAACTTTTGCCAGGGCTGAACCATAGAAAATCTCAAATGAGCCTCTCTCATTCTGGTACGTGAAGTATATGGTTTTCACTTGAACTCAAATCTTCAAGCCTAAGTCTTGCCAGGGGACATGGTTGTCCCCATGGTGATGTCTGTGGTCTGGGGCCACTTCTTGATCTGCTGGACTCTCTAGGGCCACCTTGGCACACTCCACACATACTTTGATCCCAGATCCTGTAATGAGATCAAAGTACTTCACCTTCACATTCACCCATTCATTTATTTTTCAGCTGTGTATCAAATATCAACATGCAAGTCATGGTACTAGACATTTTGGTGCTCCCAAAGATGAACATGTTTTTGTGTCTGCCCTCCAGGAGTGAGAGTTAAGATGGGAAACCTCATATGACACAAATATACATAAAACACACACACACACACACACACACACACACACTGCCAAATATGGTGCAATTGGTATTGCAGACACGAGACTGTGAGAATTCAGAGGATGAAGAGACCACAACTGGTCTTGGAAAATCCTTCTAGGCTTCATGAGGGAGGTCAATTTTAAAGGAACAATCTGGAAGTTGAGATGGGGAGGAAAGTTTTGCAGCTGGATGGGTGTTGGTCCATGTCGACTCTGGAACCACTCAGAGAACAGTGAGCAGGCGGATGAAGTGGCCTGAACTTGAACAAGTGCCATTACAGGAAATGAGTGGGGCTGGGATCTGGAAGGCCTTGAAGGTCAGGCTGAGCTTGAGTTTCATTCAAGAGGCATAAATGGCTTTGAGGAGGTGTGTAATTTAGTCTGTCTTTAGAATTGACCTGTTGAACAATGTTTCCAAATCCTGTGTGAAGTTTTGCTCTTTATGCCCTTTATGAATTCATTCATGAATGCATAATTTTATAGCACTTTACTAAGTGAAAGGTGGCATAAGGGAACCCATACAAAGACAAATCATATACATGTAGAATTTAACCCAGTTGAACCTGTTTCATTTACTGACATTCCCTTCTCCCTTGCCTTCTAGCAGGACACTCTCCCCTGGCCCTCCTCTGGCTCTCCTCTGGTGTCCTTGAATACCCTTCTCTGTCTCCTTCCTCCTTTTTTGTCCCTCTGCTTGCCTTTATACCTTAGTCCACTCCAGAACTTGCCCCTTGCCCCTTCTCCTTTTATACTTCATCGTCCCTTTAAAGAAGCTCTTCTATTTCCACAGCTTCAACCACCACTTACATGGCAATAACTACTGTCTGGCATCAACCTCTCCTCTGACCTCCGACTGACATTTTCCAATGACTCCTAACTACATCCACCAGTACACACTTCAAAAGCAATATGTTCAAAGCCAAGGTCATTTTCATCCCCTTCCAAAATCTACCCCTGCCTGACTCCATTTTCTGTGTGATTCCCTATCTTAATTAACAATATCACTGCACACTACAGTGTTCACACTAAAGATATGGAAAATTTTCTGAATCCTAGTTCTCCTTTAATCCAATATGCTACTGATACTACTATTCAAACATCTGTGGAGTCCATACTCTTTCTCCATCCCAATCTGAGTGTGTCAACATCAGTTTTCTAGAGAGTCAACTGAAGATTTCGAAGAGGGATGACATCCAATCTGCACTTTAAGGAATGTGTAGCCACCCAGTAGAGAAAGAAAAGGGAAAATGGCATTCCAGATATTAGGAGCAGTATAAGCTGGCCCAGTGGTATGATGAAGCAGGGTCCTTGAAGTTTGATGTGGAAGTAGAGATGGGCTTGTGTGTAGGAGAAACAAAGGCTGGGACTACAGAGGGGACAGCAGCCAGGTGAGGAAGTGTCTTGTTCACTAGGCTAAGTAGTTTGGATTTCTGCCTCTTTGTCACTGCCACACTAGTTCTGGGAGGGGGATAATGTCTTCTATGAGAAAAATCATACCACCCAGCTTGTACTATGACAAGTGTGGGATTCAAATTCACTTTAGATACATGGTTCAGAAATATCAAACAGGGAAATTAACATCAAACTGGTCATGGAACAGTGAAACTTCTGGGTCCTCTAGGAAAAAAAGAAGGTGATTGTCACAATCAAATATACAGCATTTCCACAGAAAAACAACCGCCACTGGAAATAAGTTCATAATCAAAACTTTAAAATCCCAAGACATATACCATCCTAAGCAGAATCAGCAGTTGCAATAAACAGTAGAACTGGCACTCCAAGAACAGTAAGTGCCTACAATACCTAAATAACTATAATTGGTATGTTTAAAATCATTAAAGAGAACAAACAAAAAAATAAATAACAAATGTTAGAATAGAACATTAGGTTTTTTTAAAAAAATGGATTTCTAATAGAATCTAATAAGACTGCAAAAATGCAAAACACAGGCAATGAAATGAAAGATGCGGTGGGCAAATTAAACAACAGATTAATGAACTAGAAGGCATTGCTCAGTAACCACGCAGGATGTGCACAGGCATCTAAAGAGATGGGCAATATAAACAAGAGGGTCAAAAATGGAGTGAATTGAATGAAACCATCTAATTTATATCTAATAACTCTAATTTACAGGAGAACATAAAGACAGGGGAAAGGCAATAATGAATTTCCTAGGATTGAAGAAGTTTAAGTTCCCAGATTGAAAAATTAAAGTGACTTCTAATCTTTATCAATAAAAACAATTACAGGAAACTATTCTTTTCAAGCATACATTGATCTAATTTTAAAAATTGTCCCGGACAATTTTGCAAAATGGGATCTCAACAAATTCCATAGACTCAGTATCATACAGACCAAGTTCTTTGCATTTTTTTGACAATTACATTTAAAAAGACAGCAATAAAAAAGAGAGTTAGGCTGGGCATGGTGGCTCATGCCTGTAATCCCAGCACTCTGGGAGGCTGAGGTGGGCGGATCACTTGAGGACAGGAGTTCAAGACCAACCTGGCCAACATAGTGAAACCCCGTCTCTACTAAAATACAAAAATTAGCCAGGCATGGTGGTGGGCACCTGTAATCCCAGCTACTCAGGAGGCTAAGGAAGGAGAATCTCTTGAACCCGGGTGGCAGAGGTTGCAGTGAGCCGAGATCACACCACCGCACTCCATCCTGGATGACAGAGCAAGACTCCGTCTCAAAAAAACAAAAAAAGAGAGAGCTAAAGGAATTTGGACTTTATATCAAAAGTGTTTTCTTTGGAGGTGGGGAACCTTGGAAGTTTGGAGCAGGAGAGTGTCCAGATTTCATGTTTTCAAAAGTTCTAGCTAGATATAGGTGGAGGATGGCTCTGCAACTAGAGACCTCATTGGAAGTAAGGAGGAATCTAGGTGAGAATAAATAATCAGGACTAAGACAAGGACAGGAGGAATGGGGAAGGGGAGTTGTATTTGAAAGGTTGTAAGGAGCCAGAAAGTGGTGACTTATTAATTGGATGTGAGGTAAGTGAGGGAAAGGGATTAGAACTCAGGTTTCTGATTTGGGTGAATGGATTTGTGGGTCTTTCATAAAGGTGGCAACCATGGGAACAAGTGGGAATCCTGTCTCACCACAGCTCAGATTCTACATGGTACTATTTCTCCTGCAGCATGTAAGCAAAAGCCCTGAGCACGAATGAGGTCACCAAGGAAAGCATATGGGTGAGAGGGGCAGAGGATACTGGAGCACCTTGGGAAACACCAACATTTGAGGTCTCAAAATTTAATGTTTCTTTCTTCTTGAAAGAAACTATGAAGAAATAGCCAGATTCATAAGTAAGACCAAAACATAATAGGTGGGGAGAACAAGTATAAGGAAGGGGGAAGGGGAAAACAAGGCCTATTGTCAAGAGAAGTCACACAAACCAAGAAGAGAGTGTGTCCATTGGATTTTCAACTATGAGAGTCTGGCCAAACTTGGCAGGAAGACTTTCAGCAAAATGTCATAAGTGGACATGGAGTTCGTTTGGATTGAAGAGTAAGTGTGAGGTGGGGAAATGTAAGTGGAAATTGAGGCTATTCTTTTATGAGACATGGCTGTGCAAGGAAGGAGAGAGACAAGATGGTAGCCTGAGGGTTACCCAGCTCAAAAGAACAAGGAGTCTTTTACATAGGTAGAACTGAATATAGTAATTTGTTGAAAGGAAAGGATGTAGGGAAGCAGAGAGGAAAGAAAGAAAGAAAAAGAAAAGAAAAGAAAGAAAGAAGGAAAGGAAGAAAGAAAGAAAGAAAGAAAGAAAGAAAGAAAGAAAGAAAGAAAGAAAGAAAGAGAAAAAGAAAGAAAGGGAGGGAGGGAGGAAAAGAAAGAAGAAAGAGAGAAAGAAGAAAGAAAGAAAGGGCAGGGCAGGGAAGGGATGGGAAGGGAAGGGAAGGGCAGGGAAGGGAAGGGAGGAAGAAAGAAAAAGAGAGAGAGAAAGAAAGAAAGTGAGAGAAAGAAAAAGAAAGAAAGAAAGAGAAAGAAAGGGAAAGAAAGAAAAAGAAAGGAGGGAAGGAGGGAGGGAAAGAGGGAAGGAAGAAAGAGGAATAAGTGATTATCATTTCATTGAGATTTAGCTCCTGGTAGACTTATGTCTCTGCAGACAAATTTGTATCTTTCAAGACAATAGAAAAATTATATAACTCATCTCTAATCTTAGTCTTACCTTGCTTTAAAAAATACATGAAAGTCATCCTATTCCAAGGTTGTCAAATATTACAACATGGGTGGCTGAAAACCTCACTACTTAGTTTCCTTCCAATCTTCTAACCCTTGTTTTATTCCTCATTGTGTTTCCAATAAGCATCTTTAGAGCTCTTATTAAGCGGACAGCAGAGTTCAAGCCAGGGAAAGGATAGCACTCCAACCAAAAAACAACATCTCAGCAAATTAACAAAATAATTTATCTAACATCCACCCCTCCCAGAGAAAACTGTGTTGAAGGGATTCAAACATAAAGTGGCCTGCCTGACACTCTCAGTTACAGATTCTTTTGATGGGTAAATGTACAGGGCTTGATTCTTTGCCTAAAGCTCTTTCTATCAAGTATGATTAGCTAAATTCAACAGATAGTCACTCATTAAAGCTCAGGGAATTGTCTTCATTTTTGTTTTGCTTGTTTGTTTGTGTGTTATAAGGAGAGAAGCAGAACAAAGAGTTCACCCCATTTGATAGTGACTGAGTGATATTTATTTATGAATACAATAGGGGCTCAGGGAAGAGATTTTAATGGGAGAAGCAGAAAAATACAGTATTAAAAACACCATTTAGAGTCATGATTTATTTCCCTGATTAGGATTTTCTTCCCTTTCCTGAAGAAAAGCGTTTATCACCTGAGATGCACCATTTGGAAAAGAAAACAGGAGAATGTATTTTTAAACCACAAATTTCCACCATGTTCACCCCTCGCATAAATGAGCAGCCCTAGACTTTGCAAGAAATATTAAAGTTCATTTAAATTGCAAATCTGACCTTATTAAAATGTCTTTCTCAAAGAGCCACAAACAAATAGAGAGAGTTGGTAATACTGCCAAACAAAAGAATACATTGTCAACCAGTTCTGTAATTAAAGTGGTAAAACAGAATTTTCACAGTTCTGAATGACTCAGAGATGGACGAAGAAAACATGTTATGACAATAAGTTAAGGTGGGGAGAATGTATCCATCTGGAAGGTCCCTTCAATAAATGTCTCAGTACAATTACTCTTTGAAAGTCAATAAAACCTCTTATGAACAGCTTGGAAATGTTATTATATTGTTGCTAATTTAATGTGTTTTGAATGCTTTTCCTTCAACTACCACCTTCCCTCTTATTGTTGGAAGCACAGCCATTAAGATTTACTATGTTTGGGGTAAGCATAAAAATGAAACAATTAAGAATAAGCTTAAATCTGTGAATGGCTCAAAAGAGCTGATAAATTTCAAAATTAAAAGCCAAACAAATAGGCTGGGCTGATTACTGAGTTTATGGGAAATCCATACCTGAAGGTATATTTAAATCAGTGGATTGTCACCAAGCAAATGGTTTCCTTTTACTTAGAAAAATAATCCAAAGTGCAGAAGGCCACACAAATCAGATGGGGTTTAGATGGATCTTAACTTGGATTTAGCTGAGTTTAGAAACTGTGGATTTACAGCTAAGTAAGTGCTTCCACAAAGATCCAGGGAAGAGTGATGAGTTTTAAAAAAAGACAAAGTGAAGATGGAGATGGACCACAAACAATTCAAGCTCTCCACTGACTTGATATGAGATCATCAAAAACACAATAACTGCTTTACACTTCATTATGTTCTATTTAGATGTGATTTTTGGTTTATTCATGGATTCATTCAACAAATGTTTATAGAACACGTACTGTGTAATAGACACAGAGCTAGGTACTAAAGATGTAATAGGAATAAAACAGACACTATTCCTGCCCTCACAAAATTGAAGACTAGTTTAATACATTCTGTTTCAGAAAGCAGGATAAGTTCCAACTCATTTTTGAAACATTGCTACTACTATTCAACATAGTATTGGAAGTTCTGGCTAGGGCAATCAGGCAAGAGAAAGAAATAAAGGGTATTCAATTAGGAAAACAGGTTTTCTTCTAGGGTTTTTATGGTTTTAGCTATTACATGTAAGTCTTTATTCCATCTTGAGTTAAATTGTTTGCAGATGGCATGATTGTATATTTATAAAACCCCGTCACCTCAGCTTAAACATCTCCTTAAGCTGATAAGCAACTTCGGCAAAGTCTCAGGATACAAAATCAATGTGCAAAAATCACAAGCATTCCTATACACCAATAACAGACAAACAGAGAGCCAAATCATGAGTGAACTCCCATTCCCAATTGCTACAAAGAGAATAAAATACCTAGGAATCCAACTTACAAGGGATGTGAAGGACCTCTTCAAGGAGAACAACAAACCACGGCTCAACGAAAAAAAAAGAGGACACAAACAAATGGAAGAACATTCCATGCACATGGATAGGAAGAATCAATATCATGAAAATGGCCATACTGCCCAAAGTAATTTATAGATTCAATGCCATCCCCATCAAGCTACCAATGGCTTTCTTCACAGAATTAGAAAAAAACTACTTTAAATTTTATATGGAACCACAGAAGAGCCTGCATAGCCAAGACAATCCTAAGCCAAAAGAACAAAACTGGAGGCATCACGCTACCTGACTTCAAACTATACTACACGGCTACAGTAACCAAAACAGCATGGTACTGGTACAAAAACAGATATGTAGACCAATAGAACAGAACAGAGGCCTCAGAAATAATACTACACATATACAACCATCTGATCTTCGACAAACCTGACAAAAACAAGCAATGGGGAAAGGATTCCCTATTTAATAAATGGTGCTGGGAAAACTGGCTAGCAATATGCAGAAAGCTGAAACTGGATCCCTTCCTTACACCTTATACAAAATTTAACTCAAGATGGATTAAAGACTTAAATGTAAGACCTAAAACCATAAAAAACCCTAGAAGAAAACCTAGGCAATACCATTCAGGACATAGGCATGGGCAAGGACTTCATGAGTAAAACACCAAAAGCAATGGCAACAAAAGCCATAATAGACAAATGGGATCTAATTAAACTAAAGAGCTTCTGCACAGCAAAAGAAACTATCAGCAGAGTGAACAACCAACCTACAGAATGGGAGAAAAATTTTGCACTCTCTCCATCTGACAATGGGCTAATATCCGGAATCTACAAAGAACTTAAATTTAAAAGAAAAAAACAACCCCATCAAAAAGTGGGTGAAGGGTATGAACAGACACTTCTCAAAAGAAGACATTTATGCAGCCAACAAACATGAAAAAAAGCTCATCATCACTGGTCATTAAAGTAATGCAAATCAAAACCACAATGAGATACCATCTCACACCAGTTAGAATGGCGATCATTAAAAAGTCAGGAAACAACATATGCTGGAGAGGATGTGGAGAAATAAGAACGCTTTTACACTGTTGGTGGGAGGGTAAATTGGTTCAACCATTGTGGGAGACAGTGTGGCGACTCCTCAAGGATCTAGAACTAGAAATACCGTTTGACCCAGCAATCCCATTACTGGATATATACCCAAAGGAGTAAAAATCATTCTACTATAAAGACACATGCACAAGTATGTTTATTGCAGCACTGTTTACAATAACAAAGTCATGGAACCCACCCAAATGCCCATCAATATTAGACTGGATAATGAAAATGTGGCACATATACACCATGGAACACTATGCAGCCATAAAAAAAGGATGAGTTCATGTCCTTTGCAGGGACATGGATGAAACTGGAAACCATCATTCCCAGCAAAGGAACACAAGATGAGCAAACCAAACACTGCATGTTCTCACTCATAAGTGGCAGTTGAACAATGTGAACACATGGGCACAGGGAGGGGAACATCACCCACTGGGACCTGTCAGGGGGTGGGGGGTTGGGGGAGGGATAGCATTAGGAGAAATACCTAATGTAAATGATGAGTTGATGGGTGCAGCAAACCCACCATGGCACATGTATACCTATGTAACAAACCTGCACGTTGTGCACATGTACCCCAGAACTTAAAGTATAATTTTAAAATGTTTAAAATAAGCTTTTGATGCTTAAGTTTGTCATGCCTCTAAAAGGTGATGAGGTAGGTCTGTTTGTATGTGTGTGTGCACGTGTACATATGCATCTATATTTTGAAGGCATTTTATTTTTCATATGTATTCTCTAAGACATTAATGATTCCAAGTCCCTTTTGCAGGGAGGAGTTTGTACCTCAGACAAGCTGTAATTCAACCCACAGACTTACATCTCTTGAAAAACCACTGCATTTGCTCACCAGCTCTTGGTAAACAGACCTGCTCCCTGAAGGGTGCCATTTGCCAACTTCCTATGTTGTCCCAGAATAAAGAGTATATAAGGCCTGTGTTAGTCCATTTTGAATTGCTATAAAGGAGTACCTGAGACCGGCTAATCTATAAAGAAAAGAGACTTATTTGGCTCACAGTTCTGCAGGCTATACAAGCATAACACCAGCATCTGCCTGGCTTCTGGTGAGGCCTCAGGAAGCTTTTACTCATGGTGGAAGGCTGACGGGGAGCAGGCGTGTCACGTGGCTGACAAAAGAGGGAGCAAGAGAAGTGCGAGGCCCTTTTAAACACCCTGCTCTCATGTGAACTAATAGAGCAAGAGCTTCCTCAGTACTGTGGGGGTGGCACCAAGCCCTTCATGAGGGATCTACCCTTAGGACCCAAACAACTCCCACTAGGCCCCACCTCCAACACTAAGGATCACATTTCAACATGAAATTTGGAGGAGACAATCATCTAAACCATATCAAGGTCAAAATTCTAACATCAAGTTCAAACTTTACAATATACAGTCCTAAGTCAACTTAGATATGTTCCTTAACCTCTCTGTGTCTCGAGTGCTTTATCTGAAGTGAGAAAAATAACTCCTATCCCCTGTGGTTTTTAGAAGAATAAATGAGATAATGCAGGAGAAAGCTTGAGTAAACTGCAATCTGTAGCTGCGGTTGCTGCACCTACCACTTTCACAAACTATCATAGTTACCACGACTACTACCACTACCTCCAATACTATAAGTGTCATAACAGAATCCATAAGAAACCTTATGAAATGCTCAACTAAATTAGCCCTGAGAACTTTAAACGAGTTCATTTGCAGGAGCAGCCAACTCTCTGACAGTCAGTGCAACTGGAAATTATACAGGTCAACTGGAAATTCATGACAGATCTATAATCCAATGTACCCTATCAGAGCAGGAGGACAATGACTCTTCAAATCACCCAGCTGTAGGTACATGGCTTCTGAGAGTAGCCTCAGATTAGGCCAAGGCTGCAACCAGGTCACATAGCAGAATGCATCTTAAGTGTGTCTGTCTTACACCAGCACATGTAAAGATAAATCGACGCTTTGAAATTCCTCAGTTTTTGGAATATCTGCCTCCATTCATGTGGAGTTGAGCTTTTATTGCCTTATCCCACTCAGTTCAATAATCAAACACTAATTGAGCACCTTCTTTGAACCATGATAGGGAATTAAGTTTTATTATAGGTGCCACAGGGACCCACTGGAGAGTTAACGTGTACACATATGTACCAAGCACATCATGCATTCAATTATCCTTAGTTCCCACAAAATTAAAGATTTGAATACAACAAGGCTACTAAAACAGAAATAGGAAATAGAAAAAGAAGCAAACCCTAAGGCCAATAAACTTACTGAATTTGAGCATTTCACTTTGTTACATATACAAGCAATTCAGAGCAAGGAATGCATGGTAGTTCCTGTCATTTTTTTCTCTCTGTAACACCAGGAGAAAAAGAAAGTTTCACATGACTAATGACTAAAATGCCCCCAGATTCCTCATTCAGAAAGGACCATTTTCTATGTTTGAAATGTAATGAAAAAAATATCCATCAATGCTAAGCGCTTGAGTGTGGCTGTTTCCAACTAATAAATCACAAACCTTGATCAATCAGTTGATCCCAAAGCCTGACCTGGGAGATAGCTGCACTCCTCCATTTTTCCAGTCTCTCCCCCCATTTCTGCACAGTCCTAGGCCTCTCAGACAATTGTCACTGTAGAGAAGTATGGGGGGGGATGAGCTCCCACTTCAATCTCAAGGAAACTGAAAGGAACGCATCATTAGAGAAGGTTAAGGAAACTATTTGAACATAATTCCAAACAACCTGGGGATTAGCATTCAAGTTAGGGGAAACTGTCTCTGCTGTAGCTTGCCCAAGAGCTGTGGGAAGAATAATCTAAGTTAATGACTGGAGGAGGTGTCTGAAAAGATGTCAAGCCCTCCTTGGGCATCAGTTACCCTGGTAAACAGTCTATCCTATTTTCTTCACTGAGGTTATGCATGTTCCCTTCCGCCTACTAATTCCAACTCAGGAAATAAAATCAAGAGACTGGAACTGAGCAAAAACAAGAAGCAAACTTGATTTAAGCTTCAATTTTCCATGTAACACAGCTTGAAAATAGCAAGCTGTATGACTCCTTGTGGGGATAATAAACAATGCAATGCATTTCTCTGAAGGCTTCGAAAAGGGCTCAGCACTCAGCTCTATGTTCTAGAAATTGTGAAGAAAACACCCTTCCCATCCATGCCATTTTACTCGAACTTATGTAACTTCCTAGAAATGCCTACTAAGCAATACCTAAAGGAAAAGGCTGTGGTCTAGTCTGAAAGTTAGTTGGATAAGCAAGTATCTATCACCTGCAGTATGCATTGTCAGATGCCAGGCAAGGTTGAATTTACAGAAGAACCTGAAACATTCTTCTTCCTAAAGAAGTTAGTTAAGGGTGGAGAAGCAGCATCTGCACACATAAATACAGAGATTGAAAGAGATGGGTGAAGAATCCAACGCTGGAACATCACACAAGGTCTATGTGCCATAAAAACAAAGATGGTCAGGAAAGAAGGAGGGGAACAGGGAAGGCATCATACATGGGCCAGGCAAAGTCTGGGCAGGCTCAGAAGAATGGGTAGTGTTCTGCTGGTGGGATTCCAGGCACTATTTGAGGGCTACTGAACACTGTGCTGTGGATTTGTGATCTATCTACTGTCACGCAGAGTTAGTCTTAGATTTCCGGATCCCAGACACATGCTATTTGCCTGCCCAAGAACCTGTCCAGATCTGTCTCTGGACCACAAAATTCCTACTGACTCAAAAACCTCAGGGTGAGTAGAAATGGGCACACTCCAGCAAATGGGGAATGTGTAAACTGGGAAAAATTATAGGAGACAGTGAGAGCAGGAGAGTTGGTAATTGGGCAGGATGTTTCTAAAACCTCAAAAATATGTCTTTTTCAACTCCATATACCACTCGGAAGAATTTATGTTAGGGAAAATATAAGGCTGTGCATGATGATGTAGCTTTATTTTTGAATATAAAATGAAAATTTGGAAGCAACCAAAACAACCAAGAACTGGAAACCAGTTAAAGAAAATTCTGCTACATTGATATAATAAGGTACTATTTAGCTATTAAAACGGAAACAGGCAAATGTTCATTGGCATGAAAAGATGTTCATGACAGCCAGGCGCAGTGGCTCACGCCTGTAATCCCAGCACTTTGGGAGGCCGAGGCAGGCAGATCACCTGAGGTCAGGAGTTCGAGACCAGCCTGGCAAATAGAGATATTTTTGTCTCTAGAAAAATACAAAAATTAGCCACATGTGGTGGCTCACACCTGTAACCCCAGCTACTCTGGAGACTGAGGCAGGAGAATCACTTGAACCCAGGAGGTTGAGGTTGCAGTGAGCAGAGATCATGCCATTGAGCTTCAGGTTGGGCAACTGAGTGAGACTCTGTCTCAAAAAAAAAAAAAAAGGAAAAGAAAATATGTTCATGACATATTAAGCATATTACAAAATTTTATGTATGAGATGATTTTAATTTTGTAATAAAAAAGTGTATAAAACACAGACACACACCCCTCACACACCTCACTACTATATATCCTTGTGTATCTATCTCTAATTGTAGACATAATAAATCACCAGAGTAGTTATGTCTGGATGGTGGGATTAGGGATGCATTTTATTTTCTAATTTTCTGCATTTTTTAATTTGCATATGACTCACATATATTGCTTTGGATATTAAAAAATGTCAAAAAAATCAAACTCTTCAGGGAAAATAGCAGATGAAACAAGTCTAAGAGCCACAGCAATGGACTCACCATATGATCCTGGGGGGCCACAAGTTGATGTATGACTGTCTTTCAAGCACAACCCCAAGCAAAAAGTGCAGCAGAAAAAACAAATGCATTTCGATTATCATTCAGTTGGCTTGGCCATTTTATCCAAGGCTTACCAAAGATGGCCTGGAAAATAAAGTTTGCAGCCATGCGAACTCAGCAGTCTTGACTGTCCTCAAGTTATTGCTGATGAATCAGATAGAGATGAGAACAGGAGACACACAGCAGGTCCAGTCATACATGAAGGCAGCAAGGGGAAGCTTGTATTTGTCTGACTTTAAGAGAGCTTGAATTGCTCCACTTATTCTCTGTGTGAACAAGTAGGGCCTGAGCAGATAATGGCAAGGCCCTTTGCAACCTGGTTGGAGCCTTCTCAGCGGGATGAAGAAGCACCCTCAGAAAAGTGGCACTGTTAGTACACAACTTAATAACAGCTTTTAGGCGGATGACAGGAAGCACATTGAAACTACATTACCTGCTGCATAGGGAAAGAAATAAACAGTTTATTGACTGGTGGAGAAAATGATTACAGGGTAAATAAAAATGACTCAGGGAAGTGGAGATGAGGATGTATTAAGGAAGAAAGAAAGATGTTTCAACCCAAGAGAGTACACAGAAGGAGGTGGAGAAAGGGCAGGCAGCTGACAAGGAACGAGACAGGATACGCTGGCTCTGAATACAATGTGAAAACTCACTCATGGTTTTCTTAATACAATGGCAGGCAAGGCAGGAAATAAAATAGAGCCCATTCATGCACACATTGTCAGGAAATGCAGAAATTAAGAGTCCTGGCATGGCCCAGCACAGGAATAGATGAATGCCTTTACAAGAAAGAATCTACAGAGGGTTAGAAAAACGCATGAGGCTGACCACTCAGAGAAGCTAAAAGGCTATTTGCCTGCTATGGAACTGGGGAATGTAACCCACAACCAGGTGGAGAAATAGCCCCCCTGGAGCCCAGCTACCTGTCAATGGCTTGGAGCACTGAGGGCTTGCTTTTCTTTTGCATGTGCTTCCATTAATTTCTACTAGTCTGGAAGAAATTCTCTAGAGAATTCCTGAAATTCACCTCAAAGACACTGCTTCCCCTCTGCCAAGGGCTCATTATTGCTTTGGGCAGATGGGTGTACAAACTCCTACTCTATGTGACATATCCCCAAGGTAAGCACTTACCTAAGTCTTTGTTGGTAAATGTAATGATACTCATGCCCAAGCTGCGTTTCCCGCCAGCATTTCTCTCCTTCGTTTGGGGGACACCTTGCTTTCTGTACTTCTCTGTACTTTCTCTACTTTTGCCAATGCCTAACTTATAATTCCCTGATCTCCTCAACACTCTTCTGCAACCACCAACCTTTGATAGAGAATTAGCCTGTGAATTAGTGAGAAGACAGGTAGTTTAAACGGGGAGTATCATCCCTATTTAAACCTGTCTTCTCACTAATTCACAGAATACATCCAAGTGGCATTTCCTCTCAGGACACTTCTGTGCCAGCCCCTCCCTGACTCTGAGGAGGGTTCGCCAGTGACCTTCATAAGGTCTTTGCATTACCAGACTGGCAGCTCCTTGAAGTCATGGATTGGGCCTTTGTCCACTTTCACATCTGTCCACCAAGCCTAGAGGCTGGGGCTCAGATGATGCTCAATAAACGTTTGCCAGATGAAAGAGTAATTGAGCATCAACATGGTTTCCTCTCAGGCCACGTTTTCCCTCTCAGGGAAAGGGAGAATGGCTGAGCTATCTTCTTGCACTGGTAGCCTCCAACTCTTCCAGAGTCACTAGGTAGATTTCATCTCCACCTCCTTGCTATTAATTATCTGCTTCAGTTTGATTGAGCGCTTACAGAGGCAAGGCCTGGCCTTGGCATAGTGGGTCTGAAATGCCTTGCACTTTAGAAGTTTATAATATAATCCTAAATGTGTGACTCACAGTACTCATACAGAGCTTAAACATTAGCTCTTACTAGTGTTTTTTTAAATTTTTTTAGTAGAAGCTAATATTTAACAACTGTTACTGACACCCTGTGTGTCAAGCTTCCTTGACTCCCCGTTGGGCCTTGCCAGCCATCATGATCATTGTGGTCTCCTGGTTTCAAATGGTTAAGCCCTGCTCCTAACCTCTAACACTTCAGTGTTCCTTCAAAAATGGAGTGCCTACAAAAATTATTTTCCCCAATTGTGCAACGTTATCATTCCCTTTTCCAGATAAGAAAGCTAAGGCCCGTAGACATGATAGAACTCACAAGAAGGAGCACGGTTAGTCAATACTGAACAAGTATCAGAACCTGTGTCTTTTCAAAATAACAGAATGCCACTCTAACTAAAAGTCCTCTTCCAATTCTTTCCTTGTGAATCCTTTTAAACATTGAAAAGAAAACCTCCAAAAACCAGTGCAATAGCTGCCACAAGACAGAGTAGTTGGTGGTAAGAGCCAAGCTAGTGGCCCAAGTAATAACAGCTCTGTGTTCTGACACTGGAGAAATAATTCTGGGCAAGGGATGCAGCTGGTCTCTTTATAAACTAGTTTATGAACTCCGCACTTGGTGTTACATTGTCAGGAGGAGAAAGAAGGACTTCAAATTGCTTCAGAAGGAAACAGATCAATGCTGAGTCCCTGGGAATGGTATTTGATTTGCTGCATCTTCACAAAAAGAAATGCCCACATGAAGAGTTGTTATCCCTGGGTATTGAAAGGACTTCTTAGGCAGAACTCACACAGCTGAAGAGCAAGCTTGAATGCTTGAGCAAGCTGCCATCAAGCAACTATTTGAGAGGATATAAAGCAAATGTGGCATTTTATCACCTCCTGGCATGACCACAACCCTCCTAGCCAATGAACACATTTCACTCTGCTGCTTTATATTAACAGAAGGAACAAATGATTTGACCTATTGCTATTAAAGCAAGACTCCAACGAAACAGCATGTTCAGTCATGGGCATAAACAAGGCTCTGCATATACCTCCTGTTGTGTTAGTTTGGGTTCTTCTAGAAGTAGATGCCAAAATGGGACTGGACATAAAAGAGATTTATTGGGGAAAATGTCCATGAGGGAAAATGGAAAGGAAGCAGGTGAAGGCTGAGAAAGCTGTCATAACACAATGCAGGTCTGACACTTTTGAAGGAGGATTTAGGTGAAATGTCCTCAACTGCCATGCAGCCTAAGGAAGTTTCCATCAGGCTGTTAGGAAGTCCTTGAGCCAAAGTTGCCCACCAGAGGAGTTCTACATCTTGCAGTAATAGGACTGTATCTGTGTCCCAGCTGTGCTTGACTATTGGTTGAGAACAGCCCAGAGAAAGCATGGAGAAATGACAACTAAGGCAGTCTATGGAGACTGTGGGCCACTGTGAGCCAGAGTTTATCTAGGATATGATTTATTAACTGCCCCCCTTAGGCCCTCTCTCTAACAAGGGGCCAGGGTCTCTGGGTAACATTGTCAACTCAGACCATATGTCTAATTGTCCTCAAAATGTCTAGATCTACCACTTTCCCCACTCTACAGTCATTCAAGCAAATGGCCCCAGGATCCTTTAGGAAAGAGCTAGAGAAATCATCATGGTGAATACTTACCATGGTCAAATGGTTCTAGATCTGAAAATTGACTCAGATCTGGAAACTTCGAAAAAGACTGGGACTTTTTCTCAGGTGAGCACATTTAGCCTCTTTCTTCTGCATTTCTGCCATGTTGTTCTTGTTGATGATGATGGTCTTAGGTAGCATCCTTGCTGGTTTCTGATGTATTTTGCCCTAGAAATGCCAAGTTATTTACCAGCTCCCCCTGTGGCTGCCCCTCAGACCTTGCTATGGTCACTGTGGCTTGCTGGCTTCCAGGGATTAAGCACTGTACCCTGAACTTCAGGGTTCCATCAAGACCATGGAGATTAGTAATCCCATCTCTGTGGCCATCTCTCTTGCCATCATTCTTGGCTTACATAGGAACCACCACCCAACTTCTTAGTGATGTTGGCACTCATCTTGCTGGCACTTTCTTGATGACTTTGGTGAAAAGCGTGACCTTTTTATCCTCCCAAGGAACAAGTCATTTGGTAGGTTGTCTGCCCTTACATAACTCACACCTATACACGTTCCAGCAAACCTGCCTCCTTCAGCCTCTTTATTCCTTCTCCAACCTACTACCAGGACAGCTCAGACATTTGACTTTGCTCAACATTGATAATTATTTTCTGTAGGATTCTATGAGCTATACTAGCTATACTGGCCATGAATTTGCTCCTGGGGTTCTAACCAGTCTTTTCTGTGCCCCTAAGAAAGTCAATGAATTTCTCTGCTCAGCTAGTCTTATATTCTGACCCCTCGATTAAATATCTTTAAAGCTCAACCCCAGGAATATTTCTCTGGCTCCTGACAGTAACTTTTAGCTAATTCTTGCCACTTTTTTGGGATATAATGTTTTTGCTCTCTCATTAGGCTCAGCATGTCCCCAACCAGATTATGATTAGACTTAGCCTTAGTTATCAGCCTGACAGTCAAAGTGTGGAGGCAGCTTTTGGGAGGGGGAGGCTGGTTGCCTTGTGAAGGAAGGGCCTAGCAGGCACTGTCAGCACAGAGAATGGATCACCTCTGCGAGTTCTGAGAGTTCAGGAGGGATATCTGCAGAGCCAACGTTCTCAAGAGCACCCATTGAGATGGTCTCATCCCACATTTCAGGGTCTCAGGTTTTCCCATCAAGGATCTGACCTCAGCAAGAAAAGACCTACCTTGATTGAGCATTCAGCACCTCTGGAGCTTGCATGTCTGACTCTTTCAGAGCTTCAGTCTGATGCTCAGCTGTGTCCACTCCTCCCACACAGGAGATAAAGAACTCTTTTGTAAAGTATCAGGGAAGCATTCTAGCACTCACACTTAATGTTTAACTCCCTGTTAATGGCCTTCAATTTCTCATCCCCTTGCAGGGCATCAATGCAACTTAGCAGCTAACGCTTCTGTCTTTGTAGGCGTTATCCCCCATGTCTTTCAACTACCTGAGCCATCACACATGCAAGGGAATTCCTTTCCAACAGGTGGTCTTGTCAGATCACTTTAGTGAAACTTCTAGCAACTGGGCCACCTCCTTGTGCCAGGGACTAGCGATGCCTGACAATCCACTCAGAATGACATCCCATTGCTCGTCAGGCAGGGAGACAGTCCCAGAACCCCGTCTTACTGCCTGTTTCTTGAGATCACTCCTGGTGCCACTTGTGTCAGTTCAGATTTACCAACAGGCAGATATCAAAACAGGATTAAATGTGCAAGAGATTTATTGGGAAAATGACTATGAGGAAAATGGGGGTGGTGGGGGGCAGGAAGAGAAGGCAGGGAAAGCTGTCAGACTGAAGGACAGGTCTTATCTGCCCTGTGAAGGAGAGAGGGAAAGAAGGGGATTTAAGAGGGAAGTCTCAGATCAAACTGCAATGCAGCTCTGAAAAACTTCAACCAGGCCAAGAGGGAGTCTCAAGCCAAAGTAGTCCATCATTAGTCATTGCCTGAGGTCAGTCATTGCCTGGAGCAGTCCATGGAAAGTGAGGCTCTGTATGAAGTCAGTGGTAGATTTAGAGAGGCTTTAGTCATTGAGTTTCTCTGCAGCATCAACTCTGAATAGTACCTCGTGGATGGTCACCAAACCTATCTGCTACAGAGATTTAATAGAAAATATAGGAAAGTTCCAGGATCAAGCAGAAAACCAGGGGATAACCAAAACTAAAACCAGGCAAAGAAGATACTGGTTCTCATTAAAGGGACTGCTAAAAACATCTACCCCTGTGGTAGGCAGAGTTCTAAGATGACTCATTCTTGTGTAATCTTCTCCCCCTGAGTGTAGGTGGAACCTGTGAATATGATATCATTCCCTGTGACTAAGTTGCATTATATGGCAAAAGGCATTCTTGCAGATGCAATTAAGGCTACCAGTAGACTCCGGGTTAATCTAAAGGGAGATATCTGAGTGGGCCTAACCTAATCATTGTCCAGGTGGGCCAGAGAATTTTCTCAGTCTGCAGCAGAAAAGAGAGTAATTAAAGGTATGAAGGAGATTCATCCACTGTGATGATGTGAGCAGTCTTGTGACAAGGTCCGTGGCAAGGAACTGCAAGCAGCCTCCAGTAGCTGAGAACAGCTTCCAGTAGGCAGCCTGAAAATGGGGACTTCAGTCCTACGCCACAAAGAACTGAATTCTATCAATGACCTGAGTGAGCTTAGATGCAGATTCTTCCCCAGAGCCTCAGGGGAGATTGCAACCACCTTGAGACACCTTGAATGTGAGACCCTGGGCAGAGAAGCCAGTGAAGCCACACTGAACTTCTAATCTAAGAAACTATGGGATAATAAATTGGTATTGTTTTAGGGCACTATGTTTATGGTAGTTTGTTACAGAGGAATGGAAAATTAATACACCCCTTCTTCCTTCCTCCCCAAAACACATCAATTAGTTATGTAGGATGATTGAATAAATAAGACAGAGAGATAGATTGTGCATGGGACAATGCTCTCAAAAGCTTGTGTCCTCAAATAAATAGCTCAAGCTGTCTTAGAACTTAGTTTCTTCTCCTTCTTCCTCTTTTTCTTCTTCTTCCTCTTCTTCTTCCATCTTCTTCCTTCTTCCTTCTTCTTCCTTCTTCTTCTTCTTCCATCTTCTTCTTCCTTCTTCCTTCTTCTTTCTTCCTTCTTCCTTCTTCTTTCTTCTTTCTTCTTTCTTTTTTCTTTCTTCTTTCTTCTTCTTCTTCTTTCAAACAGAGTCTTGCTCTGTTGCCCAGGCTGGAGTACAATGGCACAATCTTGGCTCACTGCAATCTCTGCCTCATGGGTTCAAGTGATTCTCTTGCCTCAGCCTCCCAAGTAGCTGGAATGACAGGCATGCACGATCAAGCCTGGCTAATTTTTGTATTTTTAGTAGAGACGGGTTTTTGCCATGTTGGCCAGGCTGGTCTCAAACCCCTGGCCTCCAGCAATTCACCCACCTTGGCCTCCTGAAGTGTTGGGATTACAAGTGTGAGCCACCATGCACAGCCCCTAGATTTTTTTATATGCAAAAGGTGAATATGAACCAAAGCAAAAGAATCTATCTTAATAACTCACCTCTATATATTTTTCCAATTCTAAGATCACTAAGACTCTGCTATTCTCATGATGGCATAACTTAATATATCCCATTTATT
Organism: Homo sapiens; assembly: GCF_000001405.40. NCBI lineage: Eukaryota > Metazoa > Chordata > Mammalia > Primates > Hominidae > Homo > Homo sapiens. The sequence goes on from NC_000014.9 coordinate 87,871,457, forward strand.
ATTTTATTATTTATGAAACCCCCTTTCCTAATGTGTATTCATAACAAAAATCACCTTTCTTAAGTTTTTATCTTTGTACCTAGCATATGTATCAATTCATTTAAAACTCACCAAAATCCTGTAATGAATAAATCCCATAAGAGAAAAACCATTCATTCTTACACTTTAACTCATTTGTTCACAAGTATTTATTGAGCATTTACTATGTGCTGGGTACTGTTCTAGGCCCTAGGGATACAACAGTAAATAAGGTTTTTAAACAATCTTTTCACTTCCATTAAGATTATTCTAGCAGGAAAGCCAGACAATAAATGAATAAACAAGTAAATGAATAAGACAGTTTCAGATTTAATTAATGCTAAGAGGGGAATAAAAGAAGGTAATAGGATAGTGAGTGACCGAGGTAGAGGATGGCCACTTTAGGCAGAGAGAGACTTGATTCATGAAAAGATACTATAACCCAAAGTCCCAAGGAAACTGCATTCCAAACAGAAGCTATCACAAGGACATGTGTGAAGACCTGCAGCAGGAAAGGGCCAGGCACACTCACAAACCAGGACCAGCGTAAAACTCAGGCTCAGAGGAGCTGAAGAAGTCACCCAGGGTTATTCAGCCAGTAATTTGTAAAACTGGGATTCAAATGTAGGTCTAGGTCCTGCATTCAAACACAGGGATATCCGTGGGATAGGTCCTGACCCTGGGGTAATACACACAAAGCTCTTCAGCAATGGTTTGTATATTAGTCTGTCTTCATGCTGTTAATAAAGACATACTAGAGATTGGGTAATTTATAAAGGAAAGAGGTTTAATGGACTCACAGTTTCACATGGCTGGGGAGGCCTCACAGTCATGGCAGAAGGCAAAGGAGAAGCAAAGTCACATCTTACATGGTGGTAGGCAAAAGAGCTTGTGCAGGGGAACTCCCATTTATAAAACCATTGGATCTCATGAGACTTATTCACTGTCACGAGAATAGCACAGGAAACACCCGCCCACATGATTCAATTACCTCCCACCAGGTCCCTCCATGACATATGGGAATTATGGGAGCTACAGTTCAAGATGAGATTTGGTGGGGACACAGCCAAACCGTATCAGTTGGGAAACTATGGTCCACAGACCAGATTCAGCCCACCAACTGGTCTTGTATGGCCCACGTGCCAAGAATGGCTTTTCTATTTTAACAATGGTTGAAAAAGTCAAAAAAAAAAAAAAAGCAATATTACATGACTTGTGAAAATCATATGAAATTCAAATTTTAACATTCATAAATAAAGTTTTATTGGTACATAGCCACACCCCTCTGTTCAGGAATTGTCTATGGTGACTTTTGGGATGCAACCTCAGAATAGAATAGTTATGATGGAGGCCATAAGATCCATAAAGCCTAGTATATTTGTTACTGGCTCATTACAGAAAAAGTCTGAAGACCCCCTGCTCTGTATCCCCTTATCACACCACCTAAATGAGTAGGAAATATTGTTAACAGTGAACCACTATGGCTTCTGCCATAAAACCTAATGGAAGGAGGTCTAGAAGCCAAGTTTTCCCACTGCTGAAGCTTACAGGCAGGTAAGAGTAGCTGAAGATCAATAAAAAGGGGTTCCTCTCTCTTTGTTCTGTGTTTAGAGTTATTTATGCTACTTTGATTATTATTACTGTATCTTCAGACCCAAAGATGAAATTAGGAGAAGAGAGAAGTAGGATCACAGAACTAGAGAAGAAAATGCACAAGATAAAAAGAGACATGATCACACTTCAGAAATGGGGGGAGACGAGGCACCATGTTTGTGAGCACAAGGGAGAGAGTTAGAAAACACAGCATTTTCAATGATTCCTTGGGGACCCTCTGAGAGATGATGTGAAATCACACAAATGGCAGGGGATCCCGCCCTCACTACTCATTACTAGTGAGCACAATCATTTTAATGACACTAAACCCCAATTTTCTCAACTGTAATATCTTAAAGGAGGGGTCATTCCTATAAGGTGAGGTGCTCCTACTATTTATTGTCATAACACACTATACATTTACAGGATGGCACATTTAAGTAGATATCCATGTGCCTATTTTCCTCACCAGCTCTGTGTGCTCACCTGGAAAACCCAGCAGTTTACCTAGTATCTGCTCATCAGTAGGCAGGTGATAAATATTAGCTGAATGAATACATGAATAAATGAAGGCTATGACAATTAAATTACATGTGTATGAAATTAGATGTAAGTGAAAGCACCTAGCCCAGGACCTCGAACATTCAAAAACTCTAAGAAATAACTTCTTTCATCAATGAAGAAGCAAAATCAACTTGCTCCTCCATTTGCTAGCTGTTGCAATTTCACAAGCTTGTCATGCTAAATACCAAAATGCCACCTGCTGAAGTTTCATAAACCCCAGGGAAAAGGATAGAGTCAAAAGCTGTTTCCTTGATAAATTACCCTGGGTGTTTCTTTCAAAAGCTGTTTGCAGATGACATAATCATACATAAAAATAGACTTGTATTCTTGGGCTATCATTCTCAGATACAATGACTTATTTCCTGGAGAAAATTGAAGAGGGAAAATATGTGTCATTCTTTACTGCATTTCCTCATGGAGAACAGACAGTCTACTTTTTGTTGTTGTTGTTCTTTTATTTTTAACGATAAAGATGTTGAACACAATGATCAAAAATCTGTAGCTTGCAGTGTCATCTCAGTGTAGGGCAGCTGAAAGTATAAGTGCAGCCACTAAAAGATATTTCAAAATAACTCCTGTTCTCCATGTGCATTTCCAGACCCCCTGTAGACCACAGCAAACTTCTTTAAAATCCCCCTCTACCTCCTCGTATCCACATCCTTTTCCAATTGCAGCTGCTCCCACAGCCTACATGGCTGAGACAGGAGGTACGTGGTTTGTACTTGCTTTAAAGGACACAAGAAAGTCCTGAACGACTAGGGACTTATCTTCCCACTTACCCGCTGGGAGACACTGGGAAGCTATGTAACTTTCCCAAGCCCCAGTTTTCTTATCTACAAAATGGGGGTGGCAGTAGCACAGAACTCTTGTAAGAAAGATGTATTAATAAAAAGCATTTAATACATGGCACTTACTAACTAGGGGTTTATTATTGTCATTACAAGTTATAGTAATGATGTGATTTTAGAAGCAGTCTCATGTCCTCCAGAAATTGCTATCATTGATTGAGGGCTTATGATGTGCTAAGCACTGTTCTAAATGGATTGCTTTTTTTTTTTTTTCCATTTTCTGGGTTATCCTTACAATAGTCCTAAGAGAGAAGAAGGCTTATAAATCCCTCTTTACAGATAAGGAAACTTGCCCAACGTTACTCCATGGGTGACCAGAAAGCAGAGCTGGGATTTGAACCAGGCTGTCTGGCTCCAGAATGTGACCATTAGCCTGGACAGCTCACCTGTGAATCAACATGATGATTTCACAATCCAGACACATTCACGGAGACACAAACATCCAATCAGGAAGGAAAGAATGTTCTAGCAATAATAACAGATTTCCTTTTCAAGTTTTTACAGTATGTTTCTCTGATTTCCAAGAAAGTTAGCTCCTCTCCTTTGACAATTTGGTCACATTTCATATATTTTTAATAAATGGTCACTTTACATAAAGAGGAAAAAAGAATTATTACAAATTACTTTGTGTATTCCAACATAATACAATTATGTAAAAACCAAATGCTAAGAAAAGGCACAGAATGAAACACTGAAAGAAAATACTTCAAAAGTTGATAATAATCATCTTTTAAAAGTGATTCCTGATCTACTTCTCTTTTCAAATTGTCTGTCTTTTCCTATATATACATCACTTTTTTGCAGGAAAAATATTATTTCATAGAATGAATATCACGCGTTTTATCAGTTTTTTTGCAGAAACCAGCATTTCCCTTATTATCTGAACCCTACAGCAGAGGCCAATTGTGCTTGTTTAAACACTTCAAAGTTCCCTTAAACACATAAGAAATTAACATTTTCTCCTATTTAAATTCAATAGGCTGTTCTCTTCCACTTTTCATATGTGCTAGTTTAAGCCTAACATTTAGAAACTGCTTAAAACCGTTTCTGTGAATGGAAGGCTGCCAAAAAATAAAAGTTTATTTTTTGTCTGATTTTATGCCACTGGGCTATTTTGCCCTCTCTTGTCCAGGTATTCTACAAAATTTTTTCATATTTTTACTAACCCCCCCATTACCATGGTGCTAAATTCTATAAAAACATCAAACTGATAATAAAGACAAATAAACTACATTAAATATCATTCTGCATCAGACCTAAAAGCTGGCCAACTCACTGCACTTCCAAAGCTTTAAACAATCGTTTTCTAAAATGTGCCAAGCGTGGTGCTAGGTACTTTCTCAAACAGTTAATATTCTGAGAAGCCTGTTGTATTAGTCAGGGCTCTCCAGACAAATAGAACCAACAGGATATGTGGAATGAGAGAGAAATTTGTTTTAAGGAATTGACCCACACAATTGTAGGGGTACAAGTTCAAAATCTGCAGGGTAGGCTAGCAGGCTGGAGACCCAGGAAGAGTTGCAGTTTGAGTCCAAAAGCAGCCTACTGGCAGAATTCCTTCTTGCACAGGGGAAGGCCAGTCTCCAGTCTCCATTTTATCAAGGCCTCCAATTGATGGGATGATGAGGTCCACTCACATCATGGAGGGTAGTCTGCTTTACTCAAAGTCCACCAATTTAAACATTAATGTCACCCAAAACAACACCTTCATAGGAACACCTGGAATAATGTTAAACCAGATAGCTGGGCACGGTGACCCACCCAAGTTGGACGCAAAAAATTAATCACCACACCTGTGATGCCAGCCAAGGTTAATAAGTGAGCCTCAAAGCAACTTCACCTCTCCTTACTAAACTCTCATAGAGTTGCCATTTGTTAATATTTTCAAAAGCCCGTTTAATCTGCTTTTCTCGGAATAAAATTCCTGAACGTAAAATTCAAGCATTTGAAAAGAAAGCTGTCAACAGTAAAATACAGAAAAATCTCATTAGCTAAATTAATTCTGCCCAAGATCAGTCATTTTTTTAGAATCCTGAATTATTATTCAAAGATATACTAGATTATTAAGTACTGCTACATGTTTTAGCTAAAACAGAATCACTGCAAATTAGCAAGCCAATGTCCTTCTTTCTGAATCTGCTTTAACAATCAGATTTAAAATTTCAGTAAATAGCACATTGATTATTGATATGGAAATAGATGCCAAATGAATTTTTAAATAATGTGTTCTTGGGGGAGGTCAAGCCTGGCTCATGCAGTCTAGCATTTGTTATTAACGAATGTAATTTATCAAGCCGAAGTTGGGCTTGGAGTAGATTCTACATTAATGATGTCCAAATTATTATGGCTCTTCTAAGTAGTTATTCAAAATGGCAGTGTTTGTCTAACAATTTCACAAGGCTTTGAGTTTTTTGGGTTTTTTTATTTTTTTATTTTTTAAGACACAATACTTTCCATTAATGTAATTCCAGAGAAGAGGTTGGAAAATGTCCCTTGTCTTCCACAGTGAGAGATGCTGCTTTTAGTGTGGTCAATAGAAGCCCGGAAAGGAGGAATATTTCAGAAGAACATATAAGCGAATGCCTAGCACAGGCCCTGAATAAATGCCTGCTGGATCAGACTCTGAGTCTCATACAAGGCCAAGCTGAGGAACAATTTGCAGGTCGATTCAAGTGCAATACTGTTTCCTGATGGGCTCCAGAGAGACAGGACACATTAGGTAGGTTTATCAACTGGGGAGTGAAGAGTTATTCCAACAATAAAATTAGATTGATGGAGTCTCCTTCTAATTCGTTACTAAAATTCCAAAATTCCTCCACAAACATGACTTTGTTCATGTGTAGTTTTGAGGTCTCCCTTTTTTATCATCAGAGAGATAGTCAAATAAACATTTTTTTGAAATCCTCTAGTGCATTTTACATAGGGGACCTGTCCAGTCTTACTGCTGCTTCTCTTTGACATGTCACCATGCTTACTGCTTCTATCTGATGGCCACTCATCTTCCCTTTAAGATTCTGTTTTTTAAAAAGCTTCAAATTAGCCAGGCACGGTGGCTCACACCTGTAATCCCAGCACTTTGGGAGGCCAAGGCAAGTGGATCACTTCAGCTCAGGAGTGAACAACATGGTGGGCAACATGGTGAAACCCTGTCTCTACAAAAAATGCTTCCATCTTAAATGGAAGATGAGTGGCCATCAGATAGAAGCAGTAAGCATGGTGACACGTAAAGAGAAGCAGCAGTAAGACTGGACAGGTCCCCTATGTAAAATGCACTAGAAGATTCCAAAAAAATTTGTATTTGACTATCTCTCTGATGATAAAAAAGGGAGACCTCAAAACTACACATGAACAAAGTCATGTTTGTGGAAGAATTAGCTGGGCATGGTGGCACATGCCTATAGTCTCAGCTACTCAGGAGGCTGAGGTGGGAGGATCACTTGAGCCCTGGAAGTCAAGACTGCAGTGAGTCAACATCACACCACTGCACTCCAGCCTGGGTGATAGAGTGCGACTCTGTCTCAAAAATAAAGAAATAAATAAGTCTCCAAATAAATAGCATGTAACATAATCTTTGTAGGTGATTAAGCTCATCGCAATTTCAGCGTACCCATTCTTCATCCTTTTTGCCTGTAGCCACATTATTTGATGATTCACCTTGCATCCTCCCCGTAACTTGTGTTGGCCGAGAACCTGGGATTCTGGTTGCTAAGAGAAGGATCTAGAAAAACTGAGGGTGTGGCTTGAAACCCTCTGCCGTGATTCCACCTCTGGATAGGGATCAAAGCTGAACACCTTTGAACATATGGACCAGACATTTATATTTGTTCAGAAAGGTCCCAAAATTCAGGAGCAAGTATTTCCTGGGTCCCTCTGAGGTGAGGAGCAGAAACCTCAATAAGCCTTAATAAGTGGGTTTGGAGGCCAGGAAAGCTTGGTTTCCAGCACCTGCTTTGGCACTTAGCAGAACAGGTTTCTTTTTCTTTTTTTTCTTTTCTTTTTTTTTTTTTTTTTTTTTTTTTTTTTGAGATGAAGTATTGCTCTGTTGCCCAAGTTGGAGTGCAGTGGCATGATCTCTGCTCACTGAAACCTCTGCCTCCCAGGTTCAAGCGCTTCTTCTGCCTCAGCCTCCCAAATAGCTAGGATTATAGGTGTGTGCCACCACGCCTGGCTGGTTTTTTTTTTTTTTTTTTCAGTAGAGACAGGGTTTCGCCACGTTGGCCAGGCTGGTCTTGAACTCCTGACCTCAGGTGATCCACCCACCTCGGCCTCCCAAAATGCTGGGATTACAGACATGAGCTACCATGCCCAGCCCAGACAAGGTTTCTTAAGCAAATTGGAGCCTCAGTTTCCTCACTTGTAAAATAGGATAACTAATTCCACATGCCTCAAAGACATAACTAGAAATAACGTGAACAAGTCACTGAGCACAGTGGCCATCACATAGCAGGCACTCTGTAAACGCTGGCTTCTAAATATGAGAAAAAGAAAGCAGGTTGGCTATAGAATTGAGATAGTTTGAAACAATTGAAACAATGACTATAGGTCTAGATATCAAAAAGAAAATAAATAATTTATTTCCCATATAGACATAGCTTTTTCATAGGAAGTTTAACACATGCACTTCTGGTTTTAATAAAGAGGAGAAAAACAGCTATTCAAACTACATGCCCATGAATTCAGCTCTGCTCAGCTTAGCCACAGCCATGATGACTCAGAAAGGCCAGGGCCCCTAGGGGGGCTTTCTGCACAAGGAGCATGGAGAAAGATGCACATGTTCTCCCAGGCAGGGGACAGAGGGGTCTCGGAGATCCCTGTTAATGCTGGTGCCACGGCTCAGTTCTTCACAGTTTTCTTTCAGGGCACCCACACACCTCTCTACTTTAACTGATGTTCCTTCACTCCACAAGGGATTGCTAAAGAGCCCTAGCAACTCAGTACCATGTCACACTAAAAGACTTCCAGCAAGAGAGCTAAGAACGTTAACGACCATGCCTACTTGAGCCTCTGCTGATCACCAGGATAGACACGCCTGCCCACCTACTTCTGACATCATAGCTAAAAGAATCATCTGGCAAAGGATCTCCCAAGAGGGAAGTTTCCTGCACACTCTCAAATGCTGGACAGTTGATTATGCAGAGGTGAATGCTGAAATTTGCTTGATATATTTATGGCACCTACTTGTGTGATGCCTTCAAAGAATGCGATGAGCAAATGCCACAGGCTTCCTCAAAAATGCACGATGGACTCAATAAATAATTTTATATTTCTTTGACATGTATTGGCTTCCCAGAGGCTTACAGTATATGAAAGACAGGCCACCTGAATTTGAAACAGTATCCTATTGACGTAGTTTGAGTTATTGCTTAAAAATAGTTTTAGCTATGTTCTATCCCCCCAATGCAAGTCAAATAAAAGAAATGGGTATGGAGGAACTACACACCTGGATTTTGGCAAGTGCTTGAGGATTGATGGAGACAAATATCCATTTCTTCCTTGTGAGACAGAGAAGCAGCATTGCAGAAGGGAACTGCTCTTCCAGAAGTCTGACCTTCCATCTTGTAGGAAGGGCCCCACTCCTCTAAAGGTTTAATGGCATCCAATTCGTTTGGGGTGAATTTAACACACTGTATTATCCAGTACATAAAGGCTCTATTTTGATATAGGTGACGGTTATGCAATGGATGAGTAACATCACTTCAGAACACACATCAGGTTTTTCCATTGGAACCACCTGCACCAATAGTTAACATAAAATTCTGAAGAGGAAGCACCAGGCAGAGGCATAGATGTGCTTCCTCTTGACATCTTGTACCAATATGCTACAACCAATTGAGGAAGCCGTACCTCATCTTCAAATGGCTGAGCTTTCTACTGCAGCTCTTAAAAAACACTATTTGTAATTGTAACCAGATTGTCCCTCCACCAAACACACCATAGAATCTGGTAATAAAGGTAATGTTCTTCTATAAAACAACGGTTTCATAAAATGATCAGAGCCTGGCCCAGGGTCCTAAACACTTACCTACACCTTAAAGTGTTGAATTAGATTAAAGTGCTATGGGGACATAACTGATGTAATGTTTCAAAATCATAAATGCAGGAGGAGGGATATTAAAGCTGGATCATGGAGAGAATGGAATAATGCAATAAAAGCTGGCTCAAACGGTGAGTCTGTGATACTTGATTTATTGTTTTAATATAATGCTGTAAAGGCCATGCTTGAATATACAGCAGTGTTTTATTTATCTAATAGTCGTGATCCTAACAATGGGTGTTTAACAATGGCTTTAGACTGAGATGGTGGCACACACAAATGAAGCTGGTTTCAGGATGCTCCCCAAGAAAGGTAACACAGCAGGAGGGAGGAGAGATTAAGAGGCTGTGTTTCAGGGGTACCTGAAAGACCCTCTGAAAATATAATTCCTCACCTCTCCAGCATAGCTCCACAGCATTAAGAACTGCCCCAGCCCTAGGAAGCTCAGCAAATTGGACATAAGATGAAGGTCCTGGAGAAAAATCACAGCCCACAGGACTGAACTGAACTGACGACTCTGGGTCCTCTCTGAAGCTACCTCCGCCAGAGGGGGAAAGAGGGTCACAGGAACGGAGGAAGAGATCAGCACCTATGGGTGCCCTGTCTCCCTGAAGACCCAGCTCCCCATTCCTGAAATATGCCAAAGACAATGCTATGAACCACAAAGCTGAAGTTCAACTTCATTCTGGGGATATTTTCAAGTTGTTCTATATTGAGAAATTAGGAATTGGGCTTGATACATTGAGTGACATCCTTCTTTTTTACAAAAATCAAAATCTACCATCCACGAGCTATTTCCACCATCAGCCTGACCAATGGTGGGGTCCTTCACTGCTTCCTCAGCAGCATAACACTGTGCCTAGGAGAAGTTCTGGGTCCAAACCCTCTTCTATTCCCTACAAGTCTTGTGACCTCATGCTGATTAGTGGCAACTCTCTAAGCCTTAGCTTCTTCATCCTTACAATGAGATTAAGAATAGTGCCCACTTCATAGAGGATTAAATAAAATACTATATATATAAGTAGCAATGTTGGAACAAGAGTGGTTCAGGATTTACAGTCAAAATTCAATGCTTCACTTTAAAATCGATTCAGTGGGAGAAATTTTTGCTTTGCACTTGGTAGAAGTCCTGTATGAAGCATGGCTCACAACTCAAGGGCCTCAGATAATAAAAAGTCCTCCAGTCACACCTCAAATGCAGCCTCAACTCAGAAATGTAAAGGACCAGTTCCAGCAAATAATCACATATGACTTGACTTCAAATCTTCTCCCTTCCCCAAGCCAGGATCCATTCCATAGTGAACCTGATTTTTCTAGAAGGTCCTCTTGGGCAGAGCCCTTTCAAAATGACCCCAGACACAACATTCCAGCCACAATACACACTTCTAACTCAACATTCATATACTCTGACCTGCTTCCCCACTTCCTCCTCCCTCACTACTCTCCTTCCCTCTTCCTTCACACTCTTCCTTTTCAGACCCAATCTCAATGTGCCCTCAAAATGTCAGCACACAGCATCCTCCAAGTAGTCTCACTGAAGTCCCTCACTGGAGGAGAGGAGGGGAAGGAATTTGGCAGCAGCTCTTCACAAAGAAATCCTTTTCACAAATCCATTCTTTCTATTATTTTATATCCTCTTGGTGGCTTTTCATGCCTTGTAACCCCTGTTCCTTTGAAAATCTGCCATTTGTTCTGGGATCTCCTTTAGAATTTCATATCTACAGTATCCTGCTACTGCTGTTGAAATTTTCAGTTTGCCTCCTATCACATGTGTACAGAGTAATTAGCACATGTCTGGCATTCAGTAAGCTTCTAATAAATCCCAGAGTTATAAAAATTATTAAAATAATATTAGTAAATCAATGAGTGCTTAGTTTAAAAAGACTATTTTTAAATATATTAATAAATCCAGAGTAATAATGCCAATACTAAATGACAGTACATAGAAAGCATAATAATGTCAAGTTTTAAACACTAATCAGGGCATGTCTTCTCCTTGCTTAAAGCCCTCCAATGGCTTCCCACTGCACTTAGAATGAAAATCTCCTCCTCGTCATTCTCACCCTGGCCCCTGCCCACTTCTCCTACCACTCACTTTTTCCTGTATTTCCTCTAACCTCATTGGGCTTTTTATACTGTTATTTCTCCAACACCTCAAGCTCTTTCCCATCTCCAAGTCTTTGCCCTCCCTGCTCCCACTCACTTAAACACTCCTCCCTGATCTTTGCTCTCACTTAGATCCCAGCCCAGAGAGGTCCAACCTGACCACACAGTTGGAACAGATTTTGATGCCCCAACCCAATCCCAGGTAAACAACCTCATTCTTATGAAACATTCTCTTCATAGTATGTATCACAATCCGAAAAATCTTCTCAATTTTTCCGTTTGCTAATGTTATGGACTGAATGTTCATGCCTCCCTCAAATTCCTATGTTGAAGCCCTAACCACCAATATGATGGTATTTTGAGGTAGAGCCTTTGGGAGGTAATTAGGGTTCTATGAGGTCATGATGGTGGGGCCCTTATAATGGGATTAGTGTCCTTATAAAGAGTAGAGGAAGAAAGGTGAGAGCTTTCTCTCTCTCCACATGCCATGTGAGACCACAGCAAGCAAGTAGCTGTCTACAATCTACAAGCCTGAAAGAGAGAACTCACCAGGAGCTAAATCTGCTGGTGCCTTGATGTTGGAATTCCCAGGCTCCAGAATTTTGAGAAACAAATGTCTGGTTTTTAAGCCACCCAGTATTTGGTATTTTATTATAACAGCCTGAGCTGACGTAAGCAGATTATCATCTGTGTCTTTTTCTCCCTCAAACAATGAGTTCATCCTCTATAATATCTATCTAAAGAAAAACTCCTTCTCAAATGTGTAGTAATCTCCTAAGCATATTAGACATGATAAGATGATAATTATAACTATTAACATATACTGAGTACTTACATGAGAGTCATAAATGATCTTATGGGTATTAACCCCATTTAACACAACCCTACTAAGAAGATATTATTATGCCCATTTTCTCCTGAGAAAACTAAGGCATAAAAAAGGTTAAGTAAACTAGGCCAAGGTCATATAGTCAGTAAGTTATGGCATCAGAATATGAACACAGATGGTCTTGCCTCAGAACCTGGACTCATAACTACCATGTAGCCTACCATCTTGTATTTCCAACACTCTCTGAGCACAGCAGAGGTTCTGCCAATGGGAAGCCCATTGTCTCTAACTACCCAGGCATATTCACCTCTTGCCACTCTACCCTCTCCCTGCCTTTACAAATTTGCTGCAAAGCTACAGATTTAAGACTGAATTTTTACATAAATGCACAGAGTAGTCATAAATCTATAAATTTAAGACTCTAAATTTTTACCATTCAAATTCCTTTTAGCTTAATCATCATTTTATGATGTTTCTCTGAAATATCTCTATCAACATCTGCTTGGTACTGGCTTAAATGCTAGACTACAAAATCCGCTAATTGCTTACTTGTGGAATCATTCACACATGTGTTGCTCACCCCAGGATGTGACTTCTGTACCAAGTCAACATGAACTTCTCTTGCTTTCTTTGTCCTTTCTTTCCTCTTATTATACTTTTCTTTTTTTTCTAGAGACATGAAGGGGAGACAGGGACAGAACTGTAGGAGGTGGGCTCCAAAACATTTATTTCTGAGCCTTATAAAAATAATAAAAACAGCACTTATTAAGGACTTCTTGAAGAGATACAGTATAGTGTATTGGTTAAAAATATGGGCTCTGGAGACAGACATACTTTGAACACTCACTTCAGACCTTGAGCTTGTTACTTCTCCTCTCAGTGCCTCAGCTTCCTCATCTGAAAAACGAAGATACATTCATACTAGAATATTTGAATATTAAGTGAGTATATATATATATATGTATATATATATATACACATATATTATTTAAAACATTACTGGCATAAAAATATTATATAAATGTGATGGCTCTGCCAGGTTGGGGCAAAAGATTGCAAAAAAGGGGATGCCAGAAGAGGGGGTGTCAAAATAATTGCACTGAGAGAGGGGGTCAATTAACCTCTGGACTAGTACAAAGTGTATGAAACATAATACTAAGAAAATGCATTTATAGCCAAGCATGGTGTAGTCCCAGCTACTCAGGAGGCTGAGGCAAGAGAATCGCTTGAACCTGGGAGGTGGAGGTTGCAGTGAGCTGAGATTGTACAATTGCACTCCAGCGTAGGTGACACAATGAGACTCTGTCAAAAAAAATGCATTTATAGATAAAAAGATTTGCCTAGTTGAAATGAAACATCACAGTGCAGGGCACAGAGAAAGGGGAGTACAGCATTTTCAATTTGAGGTGGTACAATATTCCTATTGTCTCCCATTTACAATCATGGATTCTAAGTGTCCCTAGGTTGTTGCTATTAAGCATATAGCCAATACAGGAATCACGCTCTACCATGGCTGACACAAGGTCCCAGCCTTTGCTTGAACAACTCAGGCCATGTGGTAGGCTGAATAATGAGCCCTCCTAAAGTCCATGTCTGAATCTCCAGAACCTGTGAATGTTGCCTCAAATGGCAAAAGGCACTTTGTAAATGCAATTAAGTTAAGAATTTCAGAGACAGAGAATAGCCTGGATTATACAAGTGAATCTAAATGAATTACAAGTGTATTAGTCTCACACTGATATAAGGACATACCCGAGACTGGGTAATTTATAAAGGAAAGAAGTTTAATTGACTCACAGTTCCACAGGGCAGGGGAGGACTCAGGAAACAATCATGGTGGAAAGGGAAGCAAACATATCCTTCTTCACGTGGTGGCAGGAGAGAGAAATGAGTGCCCAGTGAAGGGGGAAGCTCCTTATAAAACCAACAGATCTCATAAGAACTCACTATCATGAGAACAGGATGGGGAAACCACCTCAATGATTCAATTATCTCCCCCTAGTCCCTCCCATGACACGTGGGGATTATGGGAACTACAATTCAAGATGAGATTTGGGTGGGGACACAGCCAAAGCATATCAACAAGTGTTCTCATAACAGGGAGGGAGAGGGAGATTTAACTACAGAAATAAGAGACTGATGATGGAAGCAACAAGCTGGTGTGATGAGAGAATGGGGTCACAAGCCAAGGAGTGCAGGCTCCAGAAGCTAGCAAGGGCAAGGAAACTAGAGCCTCCAGAAGGAATGATCCCTGTCAATGTCTTGAATTTAGTCCAGTGAGACCAATTTTAAACTTCTAGCCTCCAGGACTTCAGGAGAATAAATCTGCACTAAATCACTAAGTTTGTGGTAATGCATTATTGCAGTGAGAGGAAATTCATATACACCAAAACTCCATTGTGATTACTGTTGACCCAGTGGTCCTCCAACGGTGCACCTAAGATATGCTTATGCTTCGAAACCTAGATATTCAATAGCTAAATTTGAATCATGAATAAAGTTATTGTAGGAAAAAATATAGTAGCTATCAGTTTTTGAGGACATATTACCATTATGCTTTTCCATGTATCATCTCATTAAATGTAATCCTCACAACAATTCTCTTCTGATAGGTGAGCAGACAGGTTTAAAGAGGCTGAATAATTTGTCCAAAGTCAGGAAGCTAACTAAGTAGCCAAACAGAGGTTCAATCCCAATTTGAGTCCAAAAATAATGACATTGAATTGAACATATAAAAATATATCAAATTTGAGTCTTCTCCCAGTGGTTTTTCTTATATTTGGAAGGGTCTACTATCATTTGTTTGCCAGCATAGGCTAGTGGCCATAGAAATGAATGAAAAACAACAAACAATATTAACAGAAAAATTCAAAATTGTCAATGCCTACGATCAAACCCCTTCTTTAAAAACACTCAGGATTTGGATTTGTAATTGTGATGTTATATTGTTTTGTAGAACATGCCATTTAGTTATATCCATATTTCTAAGGGTAGTAAACTTGAAACAATTAAATACAGAGTGCCTTTTGAGGTTGCCTCTTATATACGTGTCTGTTATTATTAGCAGATGCCAGGCTATGGTAAGCATTTAATTTTCACAACTATCCTGTGATATTGGTAATTTTTATTTTTGCATTTTACAAATAAAAAAGAACATTTAAATAATTTGCCTAAGATCACCCAGTTTATGAGCAGCAGAGACAGGGCTGGAACTAACAGCAGTCTGATTTCAAAAACTGTGCTTTTCTGCACCCCACTGAGAGGAGAATGCCCAAACTTTAACCCCCCCACCCCCACCAAAGCATCATGCAGAACATTCCATTCCATCCATACACAACCTTTATGACCCCTTTTGAAGTAACATAACAACCTATTTTATGGAGAGCATGGAGAAAGTCTCTCCATAAAAAGGCAAAAGGAGAGAAGCATTTGGTTAAATTTTGTGGTGTTGCGCAAAGAACACAGTATCTTCTAGATATGAGATATCTAAATGGCTAAAACGTTGCCCAGTTGTATTGAACCCAAGTGTGTTTACATGTGACCTCAACTCCCTTCCTTGGATCTGTCTTCTGGGGTCACAGAGAACAAGTGTACTCTCCTTTCATCCAACAGGCCTTTTATGACTTCCCAAGTTTATGTTTGTTTCTGAGCTAAACGTATTCCTGTTCTTCAATCGTCCTTGATGTGACAAGGTTTGTTTTAGGATATGCCAAAATCAGAGATGACTCCCTAACTGATTTTAGTTGTATCATCTCAGCAAGACAAAAGCCTCAGGACATAGAGAGAGTGAGAAGGAGACAGGTCAGAGATCTTGTTTTTGGTTTTATTTTCCTTTAGTTATACTATTCAAGATAGTGCAATGTAATATTTAGCTTTTCCAGCCCCTGCTTCCAGCCCTTGGCCAAAGGAGTGATTCGTTGAATGAAGGGGAGTCATGGCCTCCTAAACTGACACTGATCACTTACACATAGGGGATGACACAGAGGGGTGTCACACCCCACAGCCAATTTGGTGGGCATGACCAGGAAACAGATTTATGTGAGGAGGAGTACCTTTTATTTCCTCCCCTGGGGCAGAAACATTTCTACCTCATTTAAGTCATTAACATTTATGTCTAGTGTTCCGAATGCTAAGCATGTGGGATTTATTTATATCCTACTGCTCAAGGTCGGGGCCGAGGTCTGATTACAAAAATTCAAAAAATAGCAACTTCAGGCATAAAGGGTTAAGGGGCAGATCTTCACAAACTCCACACAAGCCAGCAAGCACAGTACCCGGGCAAACAAGTGCTACTTAGCACGGGACTGCCATAATCTTCCTGTGGGAAAAGGCACACAAACCTCATCATGAGTCCCCTAAGCACACAGACAATGGTCATACTCAGTTAAATCAATTTGTTCCCATGAAAAAGGAAAGATCATTCGTTTTTATTGAGCCTCAGTGGGGCCTTCAGGCCTCCCAAAGGAATCTGACCCTATGATCCACTGTAGCCATTTCTGTCTTCACCATCTTGGTTCTCCTCTAGTTAATTCCACTTAGAATGGCCTGATCACAAAAGCAATAAAGTCAATAGATTTATTATAAAATAATAAATGACTAACAGCACACCCTTTCCTAGGAAAGATAGCACAACAGAAAGACAACCCCCTCAAAGTCCCGTAAAACATATTTGTGCTAAAAGAAAAGGGAGAAAAGGCCGTTCTATGGCTCTGTATTTTACCACAAAATAGCCTATTTAAACACATCTGGGCCCAGGATGAAGAGTAACACTCTACAAGCCAGTCACAAGGCTCCTGATGAGAAATTCAGGACTTCTGAGAATATGCTTTGGGCTCCTGGTGGATTTTGGTGCCCTTACCCCTTCCGACCACATGATGGCGCCCTGTGCTCCGGTGGAGCAAGTAGAGTCAGGAAAGCAGGGTTCAGAGTCAGCCTCCGCTTATTTTCAATCTGGGATTTGGCACAAACACTTTACCCTTCTGAGTTTTGATGACCTCATCTGTGGAAGGGTTATTATTATTCCTCAGGATAATAGTTACCTACTGGGGCTGTTGTGAGAATAATGAGGTAACCACTAGGACGCACAGCATAGCTCGTGAAACAGGACCAAGGAGCTGCTTCCGCTCTCTCTCCCACGGGCCCTTCCAGTTCATTCCACCGGACTGGCTTTTTCTTGTCCCTGGATTCGATTAGAACAAGTTTTATAACTCTTCTGGATACTTTCAAGTAATCAAAGAAGGCTTGATTCGGAAATGCCTATCTTCTATCCAATGGAATAAATAAAACTTTCCGTTTGTCCGTTCTCACTCACACCCTCTCCATGCTCACTGCTGGCCCAAGCAGGCTGGCTGCCTGCCCAGGAGAAAGTGGTGTTTGACCTCTCTTTCTCCACCGTGCACGTTCATCCTTTCTCCTCAAACTAGTTAATCGTGGTTTCTTACCCTTCTGGATCAGAAAGTATGGAGATAAGAGAAGAAAAGGGGTCTCCTCTCAGGAAGATGGGGCATGCGCCCTCACGTTCTCTCCCCGGCTGCTCCTTGAGCCTCTGAGACGTGCTCCCCCGCCCCATCGCTGGGCTTTTTTTTTTTTTCCTGTAGTTTCATTGACTTGGGCAAATTCTTCTCTTCTGCCTGACACTTCAGGATCCTACTTCAGCTCTGTAACCCTGGAACCCCCCCCCTCCCCTAAGGAGGCTGCCATCTTGCTCAGGATCTAAGATGTCCAGCACTGTCTCAGACGTGGCCTCCATCTTCTCCATGGGACCCACTTGCTTTGCCTGGAGAAACACTGGGAGTGTAGCCCATGCCAAGGCAGCAACATCTCTTCTTCACTCCATTCTCTTAGCAACCACACAGCCTCTTTCACTCTGGATTTCTGGAGCTGAGTCAAGTGCTGGTCTGTGGAGCCCACCAAACATCCAGAGACACATCCTAGGTTCTCTGGGTAGTTTCCTCACACCCCTCAATATGGACCTGAGGTGAAAGAACCCACCCTTCAACTTACGGGAGAGATTCGCCATACAACTCCCACCTTTTTGTCCATCTTTCTAACCTACTAGAGGCTGGAGGTCAGTGCTTGGGTGTGGGGCAATATCCAGTTTTGGCTCAGCTCCTTTTGCAAGTCTCAGTTGTGGTTTTGCACCTCACTTTGGACTATAGGCTCTGTTAACTTGAGTGCACAGCTGAAACTGTGAAATTATAAAATAATAAATGACTAATGGCATGCCCTTTCCTAGGAAAGATAGCACAACAGAAAGACATCCCCTCAAACAAAGTCTCCTAAAACATATTTTAGGGGACTGGAAGACCTTCGTGTTAATATCTCTTTACCATAATAGTAGCAATGGTAATAGTGGCAGCGAGTGTTTATCTGTCATTGAGATGCATCGGGCACTGTACTGAGTGGTTTATGGGTATTTTCTTATTGAATCCTCACTACAATCCTCTGAGGAAACTCTGATGTTTGCATTTAACACAGGAGGAAACTGAGGCTCAGGGAAGGTCTTGATTAAGCTTGGGTCACAGACTTCACAAGGGGCAATAGTAGGATTACAAAGTAGGTCAGTCTGATTCTAGGGCCAGTGTCAGAATCTCTGTCCACACACCAGAATGCTTGTGCAACCATCAAATCAGTCATTTATTTGATAGGCTATGAAAAAGCCTTTTGTAAAACTATAAAGTATTCTTCAATTATTTATATTGTTATTGTAGTTATAAAAAACAATGATTTTTATTATTCCATTCCATTAGTATGGCTTTAGGCTGCTTATATAAGATACATTAAACACGCTAAAAAGATTTAAATTGAGGCTGGGGATTGGGAGGTGACAGAGTAAGTGTTACAGTGGCCATTAAAATGTCTTAAACATTAAGGTACCTAAAAATGTAATATTTAACTGAATTAAGATCGCCAAATTAAATTGGCTGTTTTCCCAAGTGTGATCTCTGGTAATTGCCACTTGATTAAATAGGGAACCAAACAGACAGAATTGTAGACAACGCAGTGATGTTCAAGCCCTCCCGCTACCCCCACCACCCTCATTAGGTACAAGTAGCTTTACCAATTGCTCAGAAAACAGAACATCCATGCTCTGCTTTAGAGTCATACAAATATCAGGAATGTTTGCATATGTTTCCCCACCACTTACAAGGATTTAAAAAGAAACTTTTCCATAAGAACATAACATGGATGAAACCAGTCATATGATTAACAGGTAACATGTAATGAAATGTTACTCTGTGCCAGGCACTGGGTTGAGTACTCCACAAGAATGCCTTATTTTATTTTATTAATTTATTTTTTTTTTGAGACAGAGTCTCACTCCATTACCCAGGCTGGAGTGAAGTCACAGGATCTCAGCTCACTGCAACCTCTGCCTCCCAGGTTCAAGCAATTCACTTGTCTCAGACTCCTGAGTAGCTGGGACTACAGTTGCCTGCCATCATGCCCAGCTAATTTTTGTATTTTTAATAGAGACGGGGTTTCACCTTGTTGGTCAGGCTGATCTCGAACTGCTGACCTCAGGTGATCCACCCACCTTGGCCTCCCAAAGTGCTGGGATTACAGGCATGAGCCACCACGCCCAGCCTAGAATAACTTATTTTAACAACACTTTTTTTTTTTTTTTTTTGAGACAGAGTCTCACTCTGTTGCCCAGATTGGAGTACAGTGGTGCCATCTGTGCTCACTGCAACCTTCACCTCCCAGGTTCAAGCGATTCTCCTGCCTCAGCCTTCCCAGTAGCTGGGACTACAGGCACGTGCCACCATGCCTGGCTAATTTTTGTATCTTCAGGAGAGACAGGTTTCACCATGTTGGCCAGGCTGATCTCGAACTCCTGACCTCAAGTGATCTGCCTTCCTAGGCCTCCCAAAGTGCTGGGATTACAGGCATGAGCCACTGCACCTGGCTTTTCAACAACACTTTGAAATAACAACACTAAGTTTTCTGATTTACAGAGGGGGCTTAGGACAGTCACTGTGGTAGGAAGAATAATTCCCCCCAAAAATGTCCAAGTCCTAATCCCTGGAACCTATAAATATGTTTCTTACATGGCAAAAAGACTTTGCAGATGTGATTATATTTAGCCTCTTGACATGGGAATATTATACTATATTATACAGGTGGGCCCAATGTAATCATAAGGATCCTTAAAAGATAGAAGAGGGAGGAAGAGAGACAAAAGAGGGAAGAAGGTCAGAGTCAAATTCAGAGAGAGATTTGAAGGTATTACACTGCTGGCTCTGAAGATAGAGAAAGGGACCAGGAGCCAAGAAATGCAGGTGGCCTCAAAAGGCTGGAAAAGGCAAGGAAACAAGATTCTCCGTTAGAACCTCCATAAGGAATACATCTCTTCTGACACCTTGATTTCAGCCCAGTAGAACACCTAGAACTGTAAGACACTGAATTTCTTGATGTTTTAAGCCACTGTATGTGTATAATTTGTTACAGTCGCAATAGGAAACTAATAGTCACCTTGCATTAGGAAATGGTGGAGGTTGGATTTGAACACTGGTGTGTCTGACTCCAAATTGCATCCCATGTTTACCAGTGTTTTGGGTTGAATTGTGCCTCCATTAAGTATTGACCCCTTAATCCCCAATATCTGTAAATGTGATCTTATTTGGAAATAGAGTCTTCACAGATTATCAAGATAAGATGAGGTACATCCTTATCCAGCGTGATTGGTGTCATTATAAAAGGGGGAAATATGACTGGTACAACGAGAAGACATTGTGATGAGACACAGGGAGAAGGTGGCCATCTACAGCCAAGGAATGCCTGAGGCTCCCAGAAAGTTAGGAAAGATGTCTTATTATATCCTCAGCCTTCAGAGGGAGCACGGCCCCGCCAACTCCTTGATTTCAAATTTCTGGCCTCCAGAACAGAGGTAATGAAATTTAGCTGTTCTAAGTCACCCAGTTTGTGGTGCTTTGTTGCAAAAGCCCTAGCAAACCAATATACCCACTCGGTGAAGTAGCCTCATAGCTGCTTGAGTCTACAATCTTGGATAGACACTCTCCACATCTAACATTAAGATGTCTTAGTTCGTTTTTGCTACGGTAACAAAATACCTGAGACTGAGTAATTTATAAGTAATAGAAATGTGTTTCTCACAGTCCTCGAGGCTGGGAAGTCCGAGATCAAGAAGTTGCAGATTTAGTGTCTGTTGAGGGCCTGGTCTCTGCCTCCAAGATGGCACCTTGAACACTGTGTCCTCACATGGCAAAGAGACGGAAGGGCAAAAAGGGCCTATGCTACTTCCCTCCAGCCCTTTCATAAGGCACCAAACCATTCATGAGGGATTTGATTTAATCACATCCCAAAAGCCCCACCTCTTAATACCACCACAATGGGGATTAATTTTCAATGTGCGTTTATAAAGAATGCCATCATTCAAACCACAGCAGGAGGCTTTTAGTAATAAATTAAAAACTACATTCCCTTACATCCTGTGGGTTTTTATTTTATAGAACACTTTTCACAAATATTATCTTATTCATACCACACTCACGTAAGCAAGCCAAGGATCATCTCTCTAGAGTGGTTCTATGGTATGGTAGTCCTGTGGTATGTATATAGTGGTTTCACACACCAGTCTTAGGCTGTCTATGTCCAAATTCTGCCCCTGTCAGTGACTCAGGAAAGTTACCAACTTTCTACATGCTTCAGTTTCTTCATCTGAGTAATAAGAGTAATAATAATAATAGTACCTACCTCATAATTGAGAGGGTTACATTAGATAGCATTGGCTAGGTGCGGTGGTTCATGCCTGTAATCCCAGCACTTTGGGAGGCCAAGGCGGGCGGATCACATGAGGTCAGAAGTTCGAGCCCAGCCTGACCAACATGGTGAAACCCCATCTCTACTAAAAATACAAAACTTAGCCAGGCATGGTGGTACATACCTGTAATCCCAGCTACTCAGGAGGCTGAGGCAGGAGAATCACTTGAACCCGGGAAGCGGAGGTTGCAGTGAGCTGAGATGGAGCCAATGCATTCCAGCCTGGGTGACAGAGCGAGACTCTGTCAAAAAAAAAAAGAAAGAAAGAAATTAGATAGCACATATGAAGTGCTTAGCCTAGCCCATTGTATGCCCACAGAAGACCCTATTTTGTAGATAGAAAAACTGAAGTTCAGAGAAGTTAAGTGATTTACCCAAGGACATATGACTGCTAAGCACAACCAGGACTAAAACCCAAGTCTTCTAAATCCCAGGACCGCACTCTTCACTATAATATCTTGTCTCTCCCTTTCCTTTCATAATCATGATTCTTTCGTGCTCTGGGTTTAAATCAAGCTGAATCTTTTTGTCCTTTAAGCAATTATAAATGTAATTCCTCGTGCCATGCCCACTCCAGTCATTCAGTAAAGATTACAGTTTCTATAAACCACAAAGTCTTCTTGTCCAAATTCTTTTACGAGAACCTTTATCCCAAGAAGTAACTCATCTTACTGCCTAACAGCAAAGCAGTTCTGTCAAGATAATACCTTCCCTAAATAAAACACCAAGGACATTTAAAGATAGAAGACACAGCAGCCCCCACCAGCAGCCACCAAACTGCTGACTCCCCCAAGTCTACCGTGTTTTGTTCCTGGGTTATCTTTGCTTAGTGAGACAGACCCTAATAGCTTACAGTTATTGTAAATAAATAAACTGAGTGCCCTGTAGATTGCAAAGCTGCCTTGGGACCTCACTTCTGCCTCATTATATTTGTTGCATTTATCCAACCATCTCAGAAAGTGGTTCTCCTTAAAATTATGGGATGCAGAATAAAAAACCCATCAGGATTTAATGACCATATTTCAGTGTCTGATTCCTTAAAGGAACTTGGCTTTTTCAGCATTTTTGCAATCATTCGAACTAGGAGGAGATTGAAAAGGTAGAGCAAGTTTTGTTTTTTTAAAAAAACTACCACAAACCATCCTTCAACATTAAACTATTGATAGGGAGAATGGAGAAGGGATGGACAGCCATGAGTGAGGAGGTTTGGAGAATATTTAAAAAGACAATCTCTCAGTCTAATAAAATACAATTAACTGAATTTCGTGAAGGCTTCTATAAAAAATACACAAAGCATCAATATTAGGCATAAAACCCAAAAGTGGGTTGTTATCTCTAAACCAGAGAAAGCATTTCATTAGTCTGGAGGATTTTATACTCCCGTTGGGAAAATTGCTTTTCCTTCACTCCCCTCTTTTGCTGACTACAGAAACTCAATTGAAAAGTCAATCATCAAAGTCACTTAGCAAATGTCAAAAGGTGCTGCCTCTTTCTAAATATATTTGCTTCCTGGTGGAAAATTCAGGCCCTAGAAACCCCGGCACCTTTCCTCCATGTTGGCTCACAATTTTCCATCATTGTGCCGTTTTTTACTCTTTACGGTTTGTTGTTGTCGTTTGTCTATTTTTGTTGTTGTTGGAAACAGAAAGCCCATTTTATAAGGTTGTGGGCAACAGCTTTTCTCTTTAACATTTCAGTGTTCTTTCACAGTCACTGCACCCGTAAGAGCACCCATTGCCCAGGTTATAAACAAGCATCACACTCCAAACCCACTCATGGCAGCAAGAAAGGCCTTCTCACATTTTATCCTTGGACATGCCTGTTGCTTAATTTACACTCTGCCCGGTAACAATGGTGGTTTCGTTTAAGACCTTACCAACCACAGATCAACAAGGCGTACCCCCTCCTTCTTCAACTCACTAAAACACAAGTCGAGCAGATACACACAGTGCACAAAGGCCCTGGGAGCAGAATTTGAAGATCAGGCACAAACAGTCCAAGCGGGAGCTTATAGAAGCATCTGAAAACCTTGAGTCATAAATGACTGAACTGGAAAGAGCATGATATAAGAGTACTGTCTGGGTACCAAACCAGGCTTCTAGTCAACAGTAGCCACAGTAAAATGGCAATTTACTGGACCTCTGATGTGCACTTGATATATGCTTTACCACTCTACCTCTGGATTCTCTTTTTACTGGCTAGCTATGTAAGCTGGGGCAGACTGCCTCTTTTTTGAACATAGGGTTGTGAAATTCATATATGATATATCTGAACATGCTTTATTAACCAAGTACTTTAAAAAGGAAAGAATTACCTTGCCAAATCTAGGAGGGTGACTTGTGCTGCTGGTTGTCCAGTCTGTGTGTATATTCAATTATCTAACTAATAAATTAACCAGATTGACTGTCTACAATTTCTCATTTACTCTATCTTGGCTATGTGGATGTGTCCTAAAGATGACAGATGGTGACAATAGCAGACAGCTGCAGTGGGGACCTGGTTCCCTCGTGAACATGGCTGGCTTCAGTCTTCTCTGAATAATCCTTAAACTTGGAAAGTCAACACTGTTGCTTTCCAGCCCAAACTTTTTGGCTGTTTGTAGACCACCCAGCTATTTTCAAAAGAACTTTCCATAATCCATAGGATAGATATCTCAACCTTGAAAGGACTTGTGAAGAATTTACTTTGTACTAAGGTGTGCACTTCATTTATGAGTCATAATATATTCCACTAGAGTGCAACCTCCATCAAAGTCTTGTTCTGCGTTCCCGACAGCTCACACATGACCTGCACTCAGTAAAAACATAATTATTTAACATATTGCATCCATGAAATATCAAAAATTGGGGGTTGTCACTAATATTAAATTATAGAAGAAGAAACTGCTGACTGCCTATAACTGAGTGAAAATCATGATAGAAGAATAATTAGTAGGATCACAGCCGTGCGGCTGATGATTTAGATTACAGCCATTTAATAAGTAAACATTCCCTGCCCTTTGAAGAATGCAGTTTTAGTTTAGCCAGGCAAAAGCTGAGATAGGCCAAGAAGAGGTGATGGTAGACAACAAAGGGCTTTCAGCTGTACATTAAACCTGCTTAAATCACATACGATTTAAGTAACGATAGTAAGAATTATAGTAAGAATGGCAGTATGATACTGTATACAATAGTATTCAGAATTCTATATTAGTTTTATATACACCTATATAGAGAGAGATATATATTCTGTAGTTTAGAATTCCTTAATAATAGATCTGTATCCATAAAATCTTTTGACTTCCAATCTCCATTCAGTGTAATAAATCCTCTTTTCTGTGCCTGAGAATGTGGGATACTTTAATCGTAGTCATGCTGCCATCTAGTGGACATATCTTAGACCTGAGGGTCTTCTGTCTTCTGGAAATTGTCAGGAAAGAATTAGAAGTTTTAAGGTTCATGTCTGACATCTATTTTTCTGTAGGAGACTAATTTTTTGAATACCTCTATAGATTTCTCTTAGTTTGGATCAGAGTATTTTTCACACTATTCCTCCTGTCTTAGTAGAAAGATATTTTCAAATGTGTCAGTCACACTCAGTGAGCTGAAAGAGAATTTCTGTTTTCTGCTTTTGTTTAAAAATGAGAAGAGTGTGACAAGAGAAAATGTGTCCCCCTGGAAAGAAGTGCCATCAGACCAGCAATAGCCTGCCTCCTTTTTTTAGATCCATGCTGTATATCTTTGAGGGACGAGGCCTCAAACAGACACACTGACAGGTCACTTCGTTTTGTTTTTTTCTTTCTGTTGTTTTCCTGAGACAATTATGAACACCCCTGTGTGACAAACACACTCCTATTTGAACAGCGACATTTTACTTTAGTCCTTCACCAGCAAGTGCGACAGAGGAAATGAAGGACAAAGCAAAGAATCTGGCTTCTTTCTCGGCTGTGAGGCCTGAATGAGTCACTTCTTTTCTCTGACCTCGGTTTCTCCCTCTGCTCAATGAATAGCGGCATTAGGCAATCTTTAAAGCACCTCCTTGCCCAAAAGCACATTAAGATATATCATATGTGAGTTAAACACCCTATAAACAAAGCCCATACTATGCAAAGCACGTGCAAACAAAATACAATTGCAAGATTTCCCTCATTTTACCCTTCTCTGTTGGTTATCAGGTCCTCAATGCTATCTGAAAAGTCCCGGAGAGAAGGGTTGCCTCTGTCTATTCAGTGGGCAGTTGACACGTAGGATTCATAATTCTGAGCCCTTCATTCACTGGAGGGCATGGATCTTAATTTTGGAGGGCACATTGGAATCACCTGGAGAGCTTTTAAAATACTGACGTTTGGGATCCACCCAGATTTAATTGGTAGGGGGTGCTTCTGGGACTTTGAAGTAGTCTTAAAGTTCTCCAAGTGATTGCAATTTGCAGTAAAGCTTGAGGCCCACTGGTCTACAGAAAATAAAACACAGAAGCCTTAGATAATGAAATGAATCTTTCCAGGGAAGAGCAGGAGAGCAAGGCACCGGCACCGAGTCGCTCATCCTCATATGACCCGCTTCTGGCTTCCTTTAACCCTTTTGCTTCCACGGGTAAATTTCAAACACTGTTACTTGGTTTCTTAATCTATCTGCATGTGCTCCACTAACTCGTTTTTTGCTAAAGGAGGAAAAATAGAAGCTAAAGGGAATATTAAATTCTCCTTGCTAAAGGCTTTTTAAGTGCCATAGATATTTTAAAGAGAAAAGGGAATTTAGAGATCATCTATTCCAAGTCCTTGATTTGACAGGCAAAGACATAAACCAGGAAAGATCAATAGCTGGATATGGGCTATGATATGCTCTGTATAAGCAGGACTCCTTGCTACCACTTTTACGTACATCATATCATTAACTCTTCACTATAGTCTTACAAGATGGTCATTTTACAACCATGTGGAGATTTCATGAGATTAAGCCAACACTGGTAACTGGAAACCTGAACTTGAATCTAGGCCCTTCCAGCTCCTCTGTACATGCAAAGTCCTGGTCCCACAGGTCATGGATGGCCAGGTGAGACCAGAAGACTACAAGCTTACAAAATAGCTATCATTTTTTGAGAACGTACTAGATACCAGACTTGAGCTCAGCACTCTGCATGCATTATCTCATTTAACCCAAACAATAATACTCATAGGATTAATTAACCTACCTACTTTTACACACAAGCAATCTGCAGCCCAGAGAGGTAATTTGCCCAAGATCAGAGAGCTAACAAGAAACAGAGCTGAGGGCCTGTTCAGCCTTCAAAGCCCATGGAGGAATTTTCCCTTATATTATATGACTCATTCCTAACACAGCCAAGCCCATAGGGAGTATCAGTAACACAAAAGTTTGGTAAAGTTTTCTTCCTCATTTCGCAGTGCAAGCATGCCCAAATACTTCATTTGGGTAATTTATATTAGTGGAAAGCGCTTAAAATCAGATTACACTTTTCTCTTTGCCTATCTCTAAAATGCATTTAATAGGCCACAGGTAAACTATGTGATACTTATTAAAATGTACTTTTAGTGCATTCTAAATAGCTGTGATAGCTTCACTGTGAATTTTAAATTTGCACTGCATTTATTTTTACTCTGGAAATACAATTTATATGATTCTTCCCTAATATATTTCTTACCTGATTTGTATTTGATGGCTCAGTCTCAGCAACTGATACATACTAATGATGATATATACTACAGTGGACTAGGGAAAGGGTAGTGTCGATCCCCTCCAAACAGAACATGGGGTGTGATAAGATTAATTCACTTCTGCAAAGCCTTTTAAGGCTCAGAAAAGCACTGTACTAGTGTTTTGTTGTTTAGCATTTCAGAAACTTACATGAAGATAGAATATGTCTTATACAACTAGTGTCCTAGTACTTTTATGTAAACCAAGTTGCTTCATTAAATTACACTTTTAATGTCCTAAGTGAAAATCCTATTGAAAGGGCCAGATATCCCAAGCCATTGCATAAAACCACACACTTACCTCTTACCATTTTGTCTGCTAAAATTAGATTAAAGTGTCTCTGATAAAGGAAGAGATGAAAAGTTGTCATAAAATGGCAACTGGAGAGGAATAAAGGCAAAGGAACAATCTGGATTATTTGCTTTGTTGAGAGTGGAGAACAGCTATGGTTGGATAAAAATCTATTAGCCTCAGGCATGTGTGTTTTACCAAGAGTTAATGGAGCTTGCAGAATGTGTAACCAGCATCACCATGCCCTTTATGATCTAGATAAGATTGGCTCTAACTCCCATTTCATCTCAGCTCCCCCCCCAGAAGATTTCTGTGTATTCATGCCTTTCTACTGCCTCTGATTTAAAATCCTGCTTCTGCAAAATTCACTCTATTTCTGTATTATCTCCTCATCCATTCCCTGTTCTGCACTGCAGCGACCCTCCTAAGGAGAAGCTCAGGTCTCTCCATCTACACAAACCATTCTCTGTCTTTCTGTTTCTGTCTCTGTCTCTTTCTGTGTGTCTCCCTCTCTCTCACACACACATACACATATTCACCACATGTATACACACATGCTTACATTCACACACATCCATGCACACATACGTGTACACATACACATGCACATCACTTACAGAAGCTGTGCATTTGGGTGAGAATTTCAGAAAACTGCAAGAGGTGGAACAGTTACATGACTAAAATGCAGGTCCTTCAAATTGACCATTTATCATCTCCAGGCACATTCCTTGGCCCTCCTTTCCACTAACAGGAGCACTTCACTAGCCTCTGGCCACCACACTAGCTCCTCTCTCTTTTCTCCATGTTCCTAACACTCAAGATCTAATGCACAACAATTTTGAAATTCCTTTGGTTGTCTTAACTCCTGCAAGCCCTCAGTTCTCCCCGTCACATCCCCAAATGACTTGTCAAGATACTTTCCTAAAATAGTTCCCATCTTGAGAATAATTCTGGTAGCAGGTGTGAAAATAGTACATTATTCTACCACCTACAAAACTCTTTCTTCCCTACCTACTTTTTTTGCGACTGGATGTCTAGTAGCTAGGACAATAAACAAATACTGTACTCTGTTTTGATAAAGCCCAGTAACAAAAATGATCATTAAATAATTTTAAAAACAATCCATCTTTATGAGCATCTCCCTAATCTAAATACTTTCCTGGTCTGAGCTGTGTTGAACACACACAGGGCATACCTGTATATTCTCTGGCTTGGAACCCAAACCATCTAGAGGCCCCATCAATTCTGTGGCTCTCAGTTGTACTCAGGGACAGCCGATCATCCACCAACCACAAGATTTGAAGCCTAGAGCACAGATAGATGTTCAATAATCCAAGAAGACCATTGACAGGAGGTGCCAAGAGCATAAGTACACGTCAAAACAGGGGCCTGCCGAAAACTGTCCTTGGCGGGAACTGGAGAAAGCCAAGCCAAATGGTGGGGATTTCAAGATAATTCAGCAGAAGTGGCATGGAGGGAACAGCTGGAGTGTCACTTTCAAACTTTCATGTCTCACACCAACACCCAAATCGAATAGGGCAGGAAAAAATAGAACAAAGTCATCAGCAGATGCAAGCCCAAAGAGCTAAATGTCATCTTTGCTGTGGCAAAAAGAGAAGAGAGGAAGAAGGGGATGGATTTCCTGGATCCATAATCTTAAACATGGGGCCAATTCTGGGTTAAAAACACTCAAGGTGATGCGCAAAAAAAGCCTGCTGCCTCCATCACCACCGTCTTCTGCTTTGATCTTTCCTTGGCCAGGCCATTCTCTCTCGCCTCTGCCCACTCTCCTCTCACCCCACATTTGCCCATAAATACACATACTCACACGCTCATGGAAGACCAGTCCTGTAACTTTTACCTCCATATGAAAGCCACGATGCTTCCTACACCTCTCAGGCGTACCTGTGCTTTTACCCTGTGAGAGGAAAAATGCCATATTGGCAGACACTTCAAGATTTCATCCCTCCTTCCCAGGGAATAGGGTAAAGGGATGTGCAGGTTTATGATGTGCCCACGTTTTTCTCAGTAAATGTTCCTGTTCATTCTAAAAATCATTCTGTGACTCCGCCGGCTTCCTTTTTCAGTACAAAGGGAGAAATTTAGCCAAGGATTATGAGCAATTTGGGAGGTATCATTTCCCTGCCAAGTTGCCAAGTCATGAAGGAAATGCAACTTGTCTAGTGACAAGGCATCTGGAAAGAGTGATGGCTTGGGAGATCTCTGAAAGCAGTGGCTGGAAACTGCAGAGGGAAATGAAATGCACATTCCTGGAGGAAACCTTCAGAGCTCTCCTGCTGAGTTCTAGCGTCCACTCACAGAAAGCCCAGTGCAAGGTCTGAGAAGTAGACATTCTCAGCCCTCATCTGGTCACCTCACTGGCAGCATTAGATGCCCCAGTAAGCTCTTCCCCTCAATTCCTTTGCCCTTGCCTCTCTCCTACCATCCTGACCACCTCTCTGTCTCCTCTCCCTGACCTCTAAACACCAGAACATCACAGGGCTCAATCCTTGGGGCTCTCTTCTACATCAAATTTCATCCATACTTCCAAGAACCATCCATAGGCTGATAGCACTCAAATTTTTAACACCAAACAGACTCCTTACCTTAATCTCAAATTAGGATATCCAACTGCCTACTCAGCATATTATTTGGATGTCTGATAGGCATCCTAGACTTCACATGTCCCAAACAGAACCCTTGGTCTCTGCCCAAAGCATGCTCCTCCTTGCTCTTGTTCATCTCAGTAGATGGAAAAGCCATTCTTCCAACTGCTCAGGCTAAAATCTTAGAGTCATTCTTGAACTTAGCTCTTTCTCATATACCTTATATCTGGACCATCAGCAAAGCCTGCTGGTTCTACCATCTAAACTGTATCTAGAATCCAACCACTTTTTACCACCTCATTCATCACTACCATTTTGGTACCAACCACCATCTCTTGGCAACTGGATTGTTGCAGTCACCTCCCAGCTGGTCTCCAAGTGTCCATACCTTCTGCAGTGTGCTCCACACAGCAGCCACATCTTCTGTGAGTCAAATCAAACCATTTCCCTGTTCAAAACTTTCCAAGGATCTCTTATCTTACTCAGCATAAATTCCTACATGATCTGGCCCTTGCTATTCATCATTGTCTTTTTTTTAATTCTTAGCACTTAGTCAAATCTGCCATATTATGTATTTGTTGTATGGTCCAGAACAGGAGTCAGCACACTGCAGCCCCTAAGCTCAGCACCTGTGTTATAAATAAAATTCTATTGGAAGACATGCATGCCCCTTAACAAAGACTGTCTCCGTGGCCAAACTTCAGTTTCTTCTCAGCCCGCTTCTTGATCAAGGCTTAACCTTAGCCTGCTTCCCTGCCCTCAGCCCCCAGAGCCCAGTTTTAGTAAGAATCCTGCTAAGTCAGTTTAACAAAAATCCTCCCATCCTTGATACCTGATCAAATTCCTCACCCTTCACCCTTGATATCTAAGTCCTAAGAATTCTGTTCTGTTAGGTTTGTTTAGCAAGAATCCTTCTTCCACTGATGTCTAATCAAGTTTCTCTTAGTAATTTTCCATCCCCTAACCCCCTCACTGTGCTATATTTGGAACTGAGCAGTTCTATACTGAAGTCCATCTCACTTACTAGAGTAGCTTGAATAAAATCTGTCTCGCCATTTTTAACAAGCATGCAGTGCAAGATTTTTCTCTTGCACCACTAATTTGCAGATTGTCTCTGGCTGCATTAGGGCTATAATGGCAGAGTTGAGTAGCTGCAACACAGATTGTATGGCCAGTAAAGTCTAAAATGTTTACTATCTGCTATTTACAGAAAAAGTTGGCCAATTGATCCCTGTTCTCAAATGTAAATTCCATGAAAACAGGGACTTCAAAAATGTTCAATAAATATTTGTTAAACAAATAATAAATGAATATGAGATAAAAGTACAAAATAGTGACTGGATTTCTAACAAAAGTGTTAGAATTTGAAATCCAAGTGAATGTCCTGCAAAAGAAAGGGATTGTAATAATAATCATAGTAAGGTAATGGGATGGTTCTCATTGAAAATGGATTAAACACTTTTGATGCTGCAAATGATTTCTGCCTTCTAAGGGAGGAGGTTTGAATTTATTTGCAGGGAAGACCATATTTTGGTTTAGGAAAACTACTCCACATAAGCAGTTTCCACGTGTTACCCCCAGGGAAGAGCTGTGTGGAGGAACCGGAATGCTGACTTTCCAGACTGTTTCATTTAATAATGCACATAGGGGGTTTCTTTCAGCAGAGCTACGGGCTCTAAGTTAAAGAAAGGAAAAAAATAAGAACAACAAAACTGCCCACAAACTCTCACTTCTCTCTGGGTGCTAAGGGAAGTATGTTCTGAGCCTAAGGAAGGAAGGTGCCTGGGGTCTTCCCAGTGCTGGACAAGGAGCTGTCCTTCACTTGTGGTGTCTGGAGGTAGGCAGGGAAGTGGACCTAAGAGAGACTGTATGAAATAGTCCTAAGCTTAGGAGTTTGTGTATAGTGACGAGTGGAGGCTTTAAGTTGTTCTCTGTGGTTTTGGGGTCTGTAAAGTGCTACCAGGAATTACAGGACAAACTTAGTCCAGGCTAGAGATGAAAGGGCAAAGGGGAGAAAGCAGCTCATGCTCCCCCAAAGCCAGAATGGGGGTACTGGAGAGGGACATGAGCACAGGGCAGCCTTGCTCCTGGAGAGGCATCCCCTGAGGCCCACCAGGAAGTGGGGCAGCAGTGTGGGCATGTCACAGGCAGGCTGGAGAACAATGGACAGAACCAGTCTTTAGCACAGTTGAGAGACAGCCCTTCAGACAACTCTTAGAATTACTCTGGGGACTGGAATTCTACAGTCAAGACAGTGTGGAGCTTACAATATGGATACTTAGAAATGTGATCTTATTTTGGATCATAGCCTACTGAGACTAGGACATTTAGTTTACAATAAAGCTAGCAATTTGAAGAACATTATTTTAGATTAAGTGTTCATTTATCCATTCAATTAATAAATATTGATTCAGTGCCTGCCACACACCCATCACTGGGCTGGGGATGGAGATCTAGTGAGGAGCCCAAGAGACATGGCTGTGTTCTGGGGAGCATACAGTCTAGTGCAGGAGGCAGACAGTAAACCACAGTTACACAAATATTTATGCATGTGTGATAAATGCTGCAAAAGAGAAACACAGGGTGGGAGGCACATGGGTGGATGGATGGATAAATGAACAGGCTTTCCAACTTTCCTATAATCCTAAGTTCATCCAAATGGTTATTGTTTCAGGGACATGTCTCATCCTAGCTGCTTGGATGGGTAATTCCATCGTACACTCTTGATGAATCTCCTTCCCTTAGTCAGATCCTGCCTCTTCCACACCATCGCTATGTCTCATACCTGCAGTAAGGAGGGAGTTGTCACTTCTCAACCTCATTCACCAGACTGGTGACTCCCAGGGAACTTTCTAAAAATGGGGAGGTGACCAGCCTCCCAGCAGCCTTCCATGAGGGCACAGTTCTGTGGGCTCCTGGATTGTTTATAGACATACCTGATATGGTTTAGATGTTTGCCCCCTCCAAATCTCATGTTGAAATGTGATCCCCAATGTTGGAGGTGGGGCCTAGTGGGAGGTGTTAGGGTCATGGCTTGGTGCCACCCTGATGGTAATGAGTGAGTTCTTGCTCTGAGTTCATGTGAAACATGTTGTTTAAAAGACCCCGGCACCTCTCCCCACCTCCTCTTGCTCCATCTCTCGCCATGTGACATGCTGGCTCCCCCATCACCTTTGACTATGATTGGAAGCTTCCTGAGGTCTCAACAGGAGCAAATGCCAGCACAATACTTCTTATAAGTCCTGTAGAACTGTGAGTCAACTAAACCTTTTTTCTGTATAAATTACCCAACCTCAGTTATTTCTTTATAGCAGCACAAGAATGGCCTAATACAATACCCAAAGAAGCTGATTCTCTAGTGGTCTCACTCATTGGTATAAAAATAAAATGATTTTACTTTCCCCAGTTACTTTCCTGCAGCAAAGAGTCTGCTCTGCAAACATCTCCATACTGGAAAAAAGGGGATTTTAGTAATATCTCAACCCAGTTCCGTCACTTCTTGATCACTTTCAATGATTAAAACAGTGTAATTCCAGTTCTTAAAAACCTGTCTTCATTGTAGCTTTGCAAACTCACGTTTGATTCAAATCCCTCCCCACAGGCAGATTAGACTTGGGACAGAGGGATTTGGCCAACTCTCTCTCCCTTTCTCTTTCTGGTTCCCACTGCTGTGGTGCTGGGGCAGGAGGATGGAGAGCGTTGGCCTGGATGCCAACTCTCGAGCTGTCTCTGGTCAAGCTGCCAGCTCCATTTTGTTGGTTGCCTCTACTTGTTTGCTTACCCCTGTCTGGACATCAGTCCACTTTATATGTAAGGGATTCAAACAGGCCCTCGGGAACACATTTGTGGATTCTCAGAGGGAGAGGGGTCTGCAGAGCCTCCTTGCTGCACAGTTCCCCTGACATAAGCCCTGCCAGATTTGTGCTTCCCTACCTCCTCAGCACCCCCAGAGACCTCAGGGATACTTCTCCTAGGCAACTTTTTTTGGGGGAGACCTATAAGACAGACAGCTGCACCTCCTGGGCATCCACTAGAACCACAGGATGCTCACAGGTCCCGACCATGCCTGCGTGCAATGTAAACAGCTTCTCCAGGGCCATGTCTGGGCTCCATCTTCTCTCTCCAGTCCCTGCCTCTACACTCCAGAAGCTTCGATGCTTGGGTGAGGAGACAACAGGTGACACCTAGTTCCCAAACTAGTGTAGTTGAGAATGCTTCAGGCACCTTCTGTGGATTTGGAGCCTCCCACCCTTATTTCGAGGAGGAGAGAAAAGGAATAGTCACTTTTCATCAACAATACCTTCCCCATCAGAGGCTACTTTTCTCTCCATGAAGGGGATCAGCCGTCTTTCACCTGGAGAGAATTGCGGCAACAGGGATAGGGCCAGTTCTCTAACTGGCGTATCTCATAAAAACACGCCTAAATGGGACAGGTCCAACTGCTGACACTTCTTTGAACTCAGGACATCGGGTGCTTAGCACCTTTGGGTCTCAGCTGTGGGGCTTTGCAGGCAATTGTAGGGGCAAATAGCCCCACTTCACACATTACCCCAGCCTGTTAGACTATTCTTTTTTTTTTTTTTAGAAGGAGTTTTCCAGGCTGGAGTGCAATGGTATGATCTCTGCTCACTGCAACCTCTGCCTCCCGGGTTCAAGCAATTCTCCTGCCTCAGCCTCCCAAGTAGCTGGGATTACAGTCACATGCCACCATGCCTGGCTAATTTTTGTATTTTTAGTAGAGACGGGGTTTCACCATGTTGGCCAGGCAAGTCTCAAACTCCTGACCTCAGGTGATCTGCCCTCCTTGGCCTCCCAAAGTGTTGGGATTACAGGCGTAAGCCACCGTGCCTGGCTTTGTTACACTGTTCTTAACAGCTTAAGACCAAACCAGATGGGAGTATTAAAATTCAAAAACATTGCACTGAAAATCTGGGTAAAGCCAACAGGAGGCCCCTGTGTGTCTCTGGTTGGAGCTCTCAAGGGTCCATGACATTTCACTGGGTAATAAGAGGACAGCTCAGGTCTGTCAGCAGGTGAACCACATTCTCACTGTGACAGAATGAAAGTGTCCCCTCCTCCAATTCTTTTTTTTTTTTTAGATGGAGTCTTGCTTTGTCACCAGGCTGGAGTGCAGTGGCGCAATCTCGGCTTACTGCAACCTCTGCCTCTCTGGTTCAAGCGATTCTCCTGCCTCAGCCTCCCAAGTAGCTGGAAATACTTGGTGGCACCCACCACCATGCCTGGCTAATTTTTGTATTTTTAGTAGAAACGGGGTTTCACCATATTGGCCAGGATGGTCTCGATCTCTTGACCTCATGATCCACCCACCTCGGACTCCCAAAGGGCTGGGATTACAGGCGTGAGCCACCGCACCTGGCCCCCTCCCCCAATTCTTATACTGAAACCCTAATGCCCCAGTGTGGTGGTATTTGGAAGCAGGGCCTTTGAGAGGCAATTAGGACTAGCTGAGGCCATGTGGGTAGGACCTCATGGTGGGATTAGTGCCCTTATAAGAAGAGGCACCAGAGAGCTTGCTCTCTGTTCAGCTTGTGAAGATGCAGTGAGAAGGCAGTTGCCAACAAGCCAGCAAGAGAGCCCACGCCAGACACAGGAGCTGCCAGTGCCTCCATAGAGGACTTCCCGGTCTCCAGTGCTGTAAGAAATAAACGTCTCTTGTTTAAGCCACCTTGTGTATGGCATTTTGTTATAGCAGCCCAAACGGACTAAGACACTAGCAGATCAGGAAATGAATGACATCTTGGGCTGCACTGGCAGATGTGCCAGATATGAGGGCCTTGCCTCCCTGCCCATTGTACCAGCAGCACCATACATTTGACATCCCAGAGCAGGCCAGGCACCGGAGAATCAGAGGTGGATGCTGTACCCATCCTGCCTTGAGTGACTGTTGGTTTAAGGAAGGAGATGGATCTGGGAACAAATCCTCACACCTCAGGGGGAATGAGCAGCAACAGAGCAAGCAGCTCTCTTCAGAGAACTGGAAACACAGAGGCATGACATTTGTTCTGACTTTTGAAGACAAATTAGATCAAAAGGACAATGTTGGGGGAGGGGTGAGGAGAGACTACATTAGTTCTTCAAACAAGACTATAAATGGAGATGTCTGATTTATTTTTACACCACTATTACCTAAGAGCCCCTAAAATCCCCTGTCAGAGAGAATACATACTTCTCCCCACATATTCCTGAGCAGTGGCCTTTATCTATTTGAAGGACTTTGGAGTGGGATAAGAATTAGACCTTCTCAGAGTTGATTCTGATCTGGAATCAGAATTAGTTGATGAAAGTTTTATAAAAGCATATTTTGGGCTCAAAACAAATGCTTCATAATGATTATAACTATATAGCCTGCTTTCTATATAGTTATAATCATTAGGAAGCATTTGTTTTCTCTCTTTAGCTTCTGTCTGAAGGATGCTTCATTCGTCTTCTGGATGAGGACAGACACCTATCAGGAGAGCATTCAGACAGCTAAACCATCATCCATGAGAGAGGCAGAAGCGGGGGTTCCCCCTCATCCAGGCTCCAAGTCAACTTTCAAATTACTCAAAGGTTTCCTAATTCTGTTTTGAAGAGGGGACCACTCATTTGGATTGCTCATTTCCAACGTGCTTATTAAACAATAATCTCCATAGAGCCCACAGGTCACCAGAACAAGAAAAGCCTGGCAAAGAGGACTGTTTATAAAAGGATCTCATATGCCAAACCATCCATTTGTTGTTTGGACCAATGGTCAAAGGATTGGAATTCTTTGCTCTGGGACTCTGGGCGTGGAGTTAAGAGGGTTGCTGTCAAAAAATATAAAATTAAAATTAAAAGCTTATTTTTATGTGATTAATGATAAAGAGAGGCACTTTCTTTCTTCAAAACTTCTTAACTTCCCATGTGGTTTCCATGGTGATCTGAGCTGGTGCCTGACTCCCGCTAGGAGAGCCCAGGCTCCCTGCTGCAGTGACGTTGAGTTTCCAGGCTTGGCTGACACTCTCGGCTTCTCTTCAGCGACCTGGGAGCCCTGTCTGCCAGTGGAGGCTGTGTCTTACTTTAGTCCAAATAATAAAAGGAGAGAATCCAACCCTGCCCTTTTGTCTTTTAAATAACTTTTAAAATAGCTTTTTAGAAATGCTACATGACACATCGTAAACACAAGTACTTATACATACACAAATACAGGACAGTGCAAATAATGTAAAATCACCTGAAATTCCATTCAAAGAGGACCACTGTTAGGATTTTGAACACGCTTATTTATGTGTGCATGCTCATACATGCACTGCTTTCTACATCAAATGGGATCATACTGTATTTGATCTTTTGAAACCATATTACTCAACATTGCTATGGTCATTAATCTTTAGCAATAAACATAATAAAATTAATATTCATTGAAAGTTAAAAAGAAAATATTGTATTACTTCATTTAATTCTCATAATACTCCAGCCAAATAAGTTACTATCTGTTATGATTATGCCTATTTTACTGCTACTATCTCTGGTTTACAAATAGCAAAAGTGATGCATTAAGAGATTAATTACCAAGATCACACAGCTACCAAGTGGTGGAATCAACTGCACTCTGCTTCCAAAGTTTATGTACTTAATTGACCCATGATACCGTCTCTGAGCAACGCTACTCTTCTTCAAAGGCAGTATAATATTTTGTGGTGTACATGTGCTATAATTTATTTACTCAGTCCCTTTTGGATGAGCAATTAGATTGTTTGCAAAACTTTGCAACTACAATCAATATTCTCATAGACATGCTTGCATATACCTCCCCTCAACCTCATGGGGTTATCTCCTTCCTTAGCAGACACTCCTTGTAGTGGGATTATTCAATCAGATGGTTTTCTCTGCCCTTTACAAAGGTTTACAAAGGTTGTCTGACTTTACAGTGGTATGAAAGTGCCTCATCTCCCGCATCTTGGACAATACCAGATTTGTCGTTGCCAATTTCAGTTGCAGTTCTTGCACTATGTACATGCTAGTGTGCACAGTTATGGGAAGTAGTAAATTAGCTCCTTCAGCACCTGTCCTAACCTCCTATTTCAGAAGAGGTAAAACCCACATGTTCCAGACTCCCTTGCAGCTAACATTTCAAATGTGATGTCATTCCACCACTTGGACATGATGGCAGGAGCCTTGAGAGAGTCAGTCCATGAGGCACATATGTTATTCACTTTTGCTGCTGTGGAGTCAGAGGGCTTGGTGTGGCCCATGATCCAACAGTTCTGGCCACAGCTTCCTGATCTGTGGCTTACAGGTATGGCCCTGTGACCCAATGACCAGCAGAAGAGATCACAGCCTCTTCAGCAGCCTCCTGGGTGAACCAGAGCAGCAGTTGGCTTGGCAAGCCAGTTTGAAAATTTTCTCCTTTGGCCCTTACAATGATTTAATAATCACGTAATTCTGTACATTAAATTCTTTCCTGCATAAAGAACCAGAGTGGTTTCCATAATCCACAACCAAACCCTGAACACTAAATGTTAAACCATGCTAAACATATCTTATGAATATTTTCCAGGTTTGTCATTTGTCTATCAATACTGTTTTCACTGCTTCTCTGCCACTTAAGTAATTGTTTGTGGTAATATTTTGAAACTCTTTATGGTTCCTGGTTATAGCATTCCTGAAAAAAGTTGTCATTCACAAGTTTACAAAAGCACTGTTTTCTCTTATTACTATTATTACTTACTAATTGCAATCTGCATGTGCTAGAGAATAAGACAACTGCCATAATCAACAGTCCCACTTATTATTTATTTATTTATTTAAACTTTTAAGTTCAGTGTTACATGTGCAGGTTTGTTACATAGATAAACGTGTGTCACGGGGGTTTGTTGTACAGATTATTTCATCATCCAGGTATTAAACCTAGTATCTGTTAGTTATTTTTCCTGATCCACTTCCTCCTCCCTCCTCTACCCTCAGGTAGGCCCCAGTGTTTATTGTTCCCCACTAGGTGTCCCTGTATTCTCATCATTTACCTCCCCCTTATAAATGAAAACGTGGTATTTGGTTTTCTGTCCCTGCATTAGATTGCTAAGAATAATGGTCTCCAGCTTCATTCATGTTCCTGCAAAGAACATGATATTGTCCTTTTCATGGCTGCATAGTATTCTGTGGTGTATAGGTACCACAATTTTTAATCCAGTCTACCATTGATGGGCATTTAGGTTAATTCCATGTCTTTGCTATTGTGAATACTGCTTTGTGAATAGCAAAGACATGGAATCATGTGCTGCAATAAACATATATGTGCATGCGTCTTTACGATAGAATGATTTATATTCCTTTGGGTATGTACCCAGGAATGGGATGGCTAGGTCAAATGGTAGTTCTGTTTTTAGCTCTTTGAGGAATTGCCACACTGCTTTCCACCGTGGCTGAACCAATTTATACTCCCACCATCAGTGTATAAGTGTTCCTGCTTCACTACAACCTCTCCAGCATCTGTTATTTTTTGACTTTTTAATAATAGCCATTCTGACTGGTGTGAGATGGTATCTCTTTGTGGTTTTGATTTGCATTTCTCTAATGATCAGTGATCTGGAGCATTTTTTCATACGCTTGGTGGCTGCATGTGTGTCTTTTGAAAAGTATCTGTTCATGTCCCTCACCCACTTTTTAATGGGGTTGTTTTTTCTTGTAAATTTGCTTAAATTCCTTATAGACGCTAGATATTAGACCTTTGTCAGATGCATAGTTTGCAAAAATTTTCTTCCATCTTGTAGGTTGTCTGTTTACCATGTTGATAGTGTCTTTTGCTGTGCAGAAGCTCTTTAGTTTTATTAGATCCCAATTGTCAATTTTTGCCTTTGTTGCAATTGCTTGTGCCATCTTCATCATAAAATATTTGCCTATTCCTGTTTCAGAATGGTATTGCCTTCCAGAGTCTGCCTTCAGGGCTTTTATAGTTTTGGGTTTTACATTTTAGTCTTTAATCCATCTTGATCTGATTTTTGTATATGGTGTAAGGAAGTGGTCCAGTTTCAATCTTCTATATAGGGCTAGCCAGTTATCCCAGCACCATTTATTGAATAGGGAGTCCTTTCCTCATCGCTTGTTTTTGTCAAGTTTTTTGATGATCAGATGGTTGTAGGTGTGAAGCCTTATTTCTGGGCTTTCTATTCTGTTCCATTGGTCTATGTGTCTGTTTTTGTACCAGTACCATGTTATTTTGGTTACTGCAGCTCTGTAGTATAGTTTGAAGTTGGGCAGTGTGATTTCTTCATTTTCTTAGGATTGCCTTGTCTATTCAGGCTGTTTTTTGGTTCCATATGAATTCTAAAATATTTTTTCTAGTTCTGTGAAGAATGTCAATCGTAGTTTGATAGGAGTAGCATTGATCAATAAATTGCTTTGGGCATTTTAATGATGTTGATTCTTCCTACCCATGAGCCTGGAATGTTTTTCCATTTGTTTGTGTCATCTCTGATTTCTTTGAGCAGTGCTTTGTAATTCTCATCGTAGACATCTTTCACCTCCCTGGTTAGCTGTATTCCCAGGTATTTTATTCTTTTTGTGGCAATTCTGAATGAGATTGCATTCCTGATTTTGCTCTCACCTTGACTGTTGTTGATGTATACAGATGCTAGCATTTTTTATGTTGATTTTGTATTGTGAGACTTTGCTGAAGTTGTTTATCAGGTTAAGGAGCTTTTGGGCCAAGACTATGGGGCTTTCTAGATAGAATCATGTCATCTGCAAACAGTGATAGTTTGACTTCCTCTCCTTTTATTTGGGTGCCCTTTATTTCTTTCTCTTGCCGGATTTCTCTGGCCAGGATTTCCAATACTATATTGAATAGGAGTGGTGAGAGAGGGCATCCTTGTCCTGTGCCAGTTTTCAAAGGGGATGCTTCCAGCTTTTGCCTATTTATTGTAATGTTGGCTGTGGGTTTTTAATAGATGGCTCTTATTATTTTGAGGACTGTTTCTTCAATTCTTCGTTTATTGAAAGTTTTTAACATGAAGGGGTGTTGAATTTTATCTAAAGCCTTTTCTGCATCTACTGAGATAATCATGTGGCTTTTGTCTTTACTTCTGTTTGTGTAATGAATAACATTTATTGATTTGCATATGTTGAACCAACCTTGCATCCTAGGGCTAAAGCCTACTTGATCGTGGTGGATAAGCTTTTTTTGATGTGCTGCTGAATTTGGTTTGCCAGTATTTTGTTGAAGATTTTTGCATCAATGTTCATCAAGTATATTGGCCTGAAGTTTTCTTTCTTTTGTATCTCTTCCAGGTTTTTGTATCAGGATGATGCTAGCCTCATAGAATAAATTAGGGAGGAGTCCCTGCTCCTTAATTTTTTGGAATAGTTTCAATAGGAATGGTACCAGCTCTTCTCTGTACATCTGGTAGAATTTGACTTTGAATCTCTCTGGTCCTGGGCTGTTTTTGGTTGGCAGGCTGTTTATTACTGATTTAATTTCAGAGCTTGTTCCTGGTCTGTTCAGGGATTCAATTTCTTCCCAGTTCAGTCTTGTAAAGATGTATGTGTGCAGAAATTTATCCATTTCTTCTAGATCTTCTGGTTTATGTGTATAGAGGTGTTCATAATATTCTGATGGTTATTTGTATTTCTTTGGGGTCAGTGGTAATATCCCCTGTGTTGTTTCTAATTGTGTTTATTTGGACCTTCTCCCTTTTCTTCCTTATTAGTCTAGTTAGTGGTGTATTTTATTAATTTTTTAAAAAAAAACCAACACCTTGAATTGTTGATCTTTTAAATGATTTTTCATGTCTCTGTCTCCTTCAATTCAGCTCTGGTTTTGGTTATTTCTTGTGTTCTGCTAGCTTTGGGCCTGGTTTACTCTTGGTTCTCTAGTTCTTTTAGTTGTGATGTTAGGTTATTAAATAGAGATTTTGCCAACTTTTTGATGTAGGCATTTAGTGCTATAAATGTCCGTCTTAACACTGCCTTAGCTGTGTCCCAGGGATTCTGGTATGCTGTATTTTTGTTCTTATTAGTTTCAAAGAATTTCTTGATTTCTGCCTTAATTTCATTATTTACCCAAAAGTCATTCAGGGGCAGGTTATTTAATTTTTATGTAATTATATGGTTTTGAGGGATTTTCTTAGTCTTGATTTCTAATTTTATTGTGCTTTGCTCTGAGAGGGTGGTTGGTATAATATCAGCTCTTTTGCAGTTGCTGAGGATTATTTTATGTCTGTGCAGTAAATTTTATAGTATGTGCCATGTGGCAATGAGAAAAATGTATATTTTCTTGTTTGGGGATAGAGGGTTCTATAAATGTCCATCAGGTCCATAAACCAGTGTTGAGTTCAGGTCCTGAATGTCTTTGTTAATGTTCTGCCTTGATGATCTGTCTAATTCTGTCAGTGGAGTGTTGGAGCCTCCCACTATTATTGTGTAGGAGTCTAAGTCTCTTTGAAGGTCTCTAAGAACTTGCTTTATGAATCTGTGTGCTCTGGTGTTGAGTGCATATATATTTAAGATAGTTAGGTCTTCTTGCTGAATTGAACCCTTTACCATTATGTAATGCCCTTCTTTGTCTTTTTTTATTTTTGTTGGTTTGAAGTCTGTTTTGTCTGAAATGAGGATTACAACCCCTGCTTTTTTCTGTTTTCCATTTGCTTGGTAGATCTTTGTCCATCCCTTTATTTTGAACCTATGCATATCATTACATGTGAGATGGGTCTCTTGAAGACAGCATACCACTGAGTCTTGCTTTTTTATCCAGCTTGCCACTCTGTGCCTTTTAAGTGGGGCACTGAGCCCATTAACATTCAAAGTTAGAATTGATATGTGGGGACTTGATCCTGTCATTGCATTGATAGCTGGCTATTATGCTGGCTTGTGTGGTTGCTTTATAGTGTCACTGGTCTGTGTATTTAAGTGTGTTTTTATAGTGACTGATAATAGTATTTCTATATTTAGTGCTTCCATCAAGAGCTCTTATAAGGCAGGTCTGGTGGTAATGAATTCCCTCAGTATTTGCTTGTATGAAAAGGATCTTATTTATCCTTTGCATATGAGTCTTAGTTTGGCTGGATATTAAATTATTGGTTGGAATTTCATTTCTTTAAGAATGCTGAATATTGGCCCCCAATCTCTTCCAGCTTGTATGGTTTCTCCTGACAGGTCCACTGTTAGTCTGATGGGCTTTGCTTTATAGGTGAGCTGACTTTTCTCTCGAGCTGCCTTTAATGTTTTTCTTTCATTTTGACCTTGAAGGATCTGATGATTATGTGACTTGAGGATGATCTTGTTGTGAAGTATCTTACTGGGGTTCTCTGAATTTCCTGAATTTGAATGTTGGCCTCTCTAGCTAGGTTGGGGAAATTCTCACGGATGATACGCTAAAATACATTTTCCAAGTTTCTTACATTCTCCCCATCTCTTTCAGTGACTCCAGTGAGTCATAGATTTGGTGTCTATACATAATTCCACGTTTCTCAGAGGTTTTGTTCATTCCTTTTCATTCTTTTTTCTCTATTCTTGTCTGATTATCTTATTTCAGAAAGCCAGTATTCAAGCTCTGAGATTCTTTCCTCAACTTGGTCTATTCTGCTATTAATACTTGTGATTGCATTATGAAATTCTTGTAGTGTGTTTTTCAGCTCCATCAGGTCAGTTACATCCTTTACTATAGTGACTATTTTGTCTGTCAGCCCCTGTATCATTTTGTTGTGATTCTTAGTTTTGGTGGATTGGATTTCAGTGTACTCCTGCATCTGGATGCTTTTCATTCTTATACGTATTCTGAATTCTATTTCTGTCATTTCAACCATCTCAGCTCAGTTCAGAACCCTTCCTGGAGAACTAGCACAGTTTTTTGGAGGAAAGAA
Source organism: Homo sapiens (assembly GCF_000001405.40). NCBI lineage: Eukaryota > Metazoa > Chordata > Mammalia > Primates > Hominidae > Homo > Homo sapiens. The sequence goes on from NC_000014.9 coordinate 87,915,654, forward strand.
GATACTCTGGCTTTTTGAATTGTCAGAGTCCTTGCACTGGTTCTTTCTCATTGTTGTGGGCTGATGTTGCTTCCATTTTTGAAGTTGCTGTCCTTTCAATGGGTTTATTTTTTCTTTTATCCTATTTGATGACCTTGAGGGTTTGATTGTGGTATAGGTGGGTTCAGTTGACTGGCTTCATTTCTGGAATATTTTAGGGAGCCAAGGCTCAGCTCATAACTCCTGTACTGCACTCTCTAACTCTGGGAAACCAATAATGGGCTTCAACTTTGTTCTCTGGCTCCTGGAGGTTAGGACCCTACCGCACTGGTGTGTGTTGGGGGGTAGGGGGAGGTGCTGAAGCGCTCCCTGACTGCTGGTCCCAGCCCTCTGATGGATGATGCCAGCCAAAGCTTTTCCTAGGACGGTAGCAGCCACATCCATCCTCGTTTGCATGTGCCAGTAGCAGGCAGCAGCAGCCCAGCAGAGCACACGCTCATGGACTGCAACAGGGTGCTAGCAGGTGCCAGGGTGCCAGCCTCTATGTAGGCATTCACAGCAGCGATGGAGACAGCACGACTCCGGGGATGGGGTCCCTGCCGGTGACTGTGCACACAGTTGCACTGGTGGTGGTGGTAGCACGGGGCTGGGGCGCTGGCGGGGCGCAAGACAGTGGGTGCCCTGTATGTTCACGCAGGTGAAGGCGGCCGCACAGGGCAGGAGAGGGTCTGCTGTTATCCATCCCTAGTTTCACTCCGAGGGCAGTGTTGGTGCAGGGATGAGGCGCTGGCAGAGGCGGGGCTGGAGGGTTGTGTGCCTGCCAAGGCTCAGAGGGCAATGGAGGTACAGCGGGAGAAAGGAGGCGGGGATGGGGGAGCGGAGGCACTCACTCTGGCAGCAGTGACAGGGCAGGGTGCACTCAAACACGCACACTGGTGGGGTAGGGAGGGAAGGTAAGATCCGCCGGGGCACACGAGCGCCAGCAAAGAGGTGTGGCGGGTGGTCCTGGGCTGGGTGAGCTGCAGTGGAGGAAGGAGCAGGCGGGCTGATGCTGGTCCCAGGGGCCGCCCTGCTGGAGGTCTCGTCAGGCGCTGTCTGCCAGTGCAGGTGCTGAGATTCAGACCCCCAGGGCACCTGAGGCTGCACTGCAAGCAGACGCAGCCAGGCTGGGGCCCCCGGGAGAAGCCAGCAGACCAAGGGTTGCTCAGGTCGGAGCAGCCCCATCTGATGGGCAACACTGCCCTGCAGAGTTCAGGTCCCACAGTTCCCCTAGAGCTAAAGTCAACTATGGGAACAAGTGGAGCCTAGGCGATGGGCATCAGCTTGCTGTGCTCTACTACAGAGGCTTCCATACCAAACCCTCTGGGCTCTTCACTGGCTGGAGTGCTGCCCCTACCACTTCTCTGAGTAGCTCTCCTTGCCAACTCAAGTGTCCGTGGCAATCGAGAGGTCTCTTCATGCTAGGATTCCAGAAGCCTGTGGCAAGGGTAAGTTGCTCCTTACCAGTTCAACTCACCCATTCTCCCTGAGTCATCGAGGGCCAGGAACCAGTCCCTCCCCTTGTGCAGTAGACCCAAGCAGGGTTCCCAGCTCCCTCCCGCTTCAGCCGGTTTCTGTGTCTTCTCTGGATCCACTCTCAGTGCCTTCCCTCTGAAGATGTTAGGAGCGCACCAGTCTTCCAGTTCCCTTTGTGGCAGCTGTTCCACCTGGCTCCATCTAGCCAGCCATCTTGCCTCAGGAGCCCCCTGATTGATTTTTAAGTGCCTTCTATATTCACTTAAGTTGGGACTTTATTCTATGCTAGGGATTGGCAAACTTTTTCTGTAAAGGACCAGAGTGTAAATATTTTTGGTTTTGCCAGCCATATGATCTCTGTCACAACTACTTAACTCTGCTGTTGCAACAAGAAAATCGCCATAGATCATATATAAATGTTGACTGTGGCTGTACCTCTTTGGGCTTTAGTTTCTCCTCTGCTAGCCTTAGTCTGTTGACACCTGTTCTATACCCTCCATTTTTGGTTTATTCCTGGGCCATTTCCATGCTCACTGCATTACCACAACTTTTAAGTCCTTTCTCATTATACTTCTTTATAGAATTTTTCTGGCTATTCTTTAGTATCTATTCATCTAGAAGAACTTTAAAATCATTTTTTAAGAACATCTTGTTGGAATTATAATTGCAGTATAATTTAATCCATAAGTAAATTTAGAGAAAATGCCATCCTTTCAAAATTATCATCGGATCTTCATTTATTGAAGTATCCTATCATCATTAATTTTCTTCCTAGAGGGGCAGTGTAGGCAGACTCAAATCCGAGCTCTGCCACTTCTGAGTAGTGTGAGTTTGGGCAAGTTACTTCTCTGTGCTATTTTCTCATCAGTAAATGGGAATAATAGTATCTCTCTTGCAGGGTTTGGGGAGGATTAAACGATTTGCAGGGCACATGGAAAGCACTGTTCACTTGGTGCTCTAAGTCTCTTGTTACATATGGTAGATAATAGTGGTTATTGCTGTGAGTATCCTCTTCTCTTTCTAACTTTAAAAAATGGTTCTAGTGCTTCACCATTAGGCACAATGGAAATAACTCATGGAAATTACCCAAATATGATGTGTTACTATTTTACTGCTTATCTAGTATATGTATTGACTTTTATCAAATGCCTTTGCCACACGTGTTGTAATCAACACTTTCTTCCCTCTTTTAGCCATCAACATGGAGAATTCCACAAGCAGATTTCCACGACTGATCCATCTTTGATTTGTTAAAATGAACCTCACTTGGCTGTGGTGCTATCCTTTTATTCATTGCTAGGTTGTTTTTGCTTGTACTTTATTTGGGATTTTCATATCAATATTCTCATAAAAGATTACATTGCATAGCTAAATTGTTTTTAAGTGCCACTCTCACTCATCTTTTATACTAATGTTATGCTTGCTTCATAAAGATAATTCAGAAGGTTCACTTTCTCTGTTCTGAAATACTTTTAAACTGCCTAAGAGCCATCTGATCCTTAATAATTTAAAATTATCCAACTGGAAACTGTTTGTGCCTGATTTTTTATGATAACTGGCTCAATTTCTTCTGCAATAATTGGTCAGATTCATTTTTTCAGTTCTTTTTGAGACCTTTTTTTATTAAAGCCTTTTTAAAGAAAAGCGTTCATTTATCCTAATTTTTCTATTTCTTGACAGATTATCTGCGTTTGGATCTACTGGTTACAGAAAATCTATAAAACTTTTCTAGTTCATACTTGTTTCATTTTTATTATTTCTTTCCTTGTTTATTCATTGATTTTTAATTAAAAAGACAAATAATTATTGTATACATCTCACTCTGTGCTCATCATAGAAACTTTACTTTACCTGTCCTCCTGACTTCAATCTAATGCACAGCCTTTAATGGTAATTAGAAATGCCATCGAGCAGAAGCAAAAGCCCTAATGCTTGATGATACAAGATACAGAACAGGAGAAAAAGGCAAATAAAAATCATGGTTTTGGGACAGGGGGCTTGTTAGGCTACAAGAATGGCACCCAACTTTGACTACAAAATTAGATTCACCTGGGGTGCTTCTAAAATAAATTATGAATGCCTTGACCCCTCACCAAACTAATCAACTCAGACTCTTTGGCAGAACCCAGGAATCAAGATTTTAAGCCTCCTCAGATTATTCTAACATACATCCAGAGTTGAGAAGAACTAGGTTCTGGAAATACAACAGGACGGGTAAAAACAAAGCCTTCAGAGGAATATGGCCACGTAGTCTCCACCCACACCCACCATTCAAAGACAAGGGCCCTAAGCTATGCCTGACCCACAGGCCTGCTTTGGGGATTCTATTCCAGACACAAGGAATTGGATCTCTCTGTAGGGGTCTAAGATACAAGATCACACCATCATCACCTCCAAAGACAGGCTTATGACATTAGAAATACCTTAGGAACAACAACAGCAAATAACAAAAACATGTGCACAGAAATAGACAAGCTCTCTCCCAGTAGACATAGAAAAGCAAGGTCAGGGCCCAGAAGCCACAGAAAGGAAATCCCTGCAGCTCTCTGCTCTCTGTTCTACACAGTCACCATTTCCTTTAAAAAAAAAACACTTAGAACCATGGAAATAAATCCTGGGATCCTGGGAGTAAGGTTCAATGTCTCTCATCCATGATCTAGATTTGATAACACTTCAGGACAGCATTTTCAAATTTAATGCATGGCTCAAAAGAAAGTCTCTCAAACAAGATAGGGTGAAAACTTTATTGAATAATGCTTCTCCACTCAACCCTATCCCATCTCCCCAAAATACTTAAGAATCTTTCACTAACCTAGCAGGTCAGCCTTTTCCTATCTTTTTCTTCCATTTTTTGTTAAGCTAATTAACATATCTTTGGTGCTAGATAACACATCAACTAGTCGGGCTTTTTACATTCTTCATAATTAATCTAAGAGTAGTTTTATTTATTTCATATGATAATCAACCCCAAAACCTCCAGCTTCCCTAGTAATTTAGGATGGAGTCAGACAGACTAGCCCAAGTCCCAACACTCACTAGATTTTTATCTATGGGCACGTTTTCCAATTTTAGTTTCAAATATTATCTACCTCATAGGGTTGTTACAAGGATGAAATGACTCATGAAGAGTGCTTAACACCATGTCTGCCACCTCATAAACACTACATCTACTCAACCAACAGCTATTTATTTGTTGGATTATGTCTTGTGCATCAAGGGGTATGTTAGGCACTACAGATACAGTGGCGTGTGAAATCAAACTTGATCCCTGCTTTCATGGAGCTTATAAACTAATTCTCAATAAATTCCCACTGTTATTATTTCAAGATGCTAAGAATGGGAACAATCCATTCACTGCTAAAACTACATAGTTTAAGTGGTACAGCAAGAATTCGCAAACTTTTACTTGAGCATGCTAATTCCCAAATGGCAGGTATTTGTACAGTGAAGTTTCATAGGCAGAAACCATGCAGCACTGAAGGGCTGGATAACTTTAATTAAACTTGAAATAACAGGGCCTACGAGTGTGTAGATGCAGCCTAAGAAGACCATCTTTCTGCTCTCAGGAAGTCTTCCCAGGGCATTCCATTTCCCCTTCAGCCACTTTACCTCTCTGGGCTTTAGTTTCTCCTCTGCAAAATGAAGTAGCTGTGCCCAATTAGTTCTAAGATCTCTGCCAGCTCTCACACTTCTCAATAATTTAAATTCTGTGGTTTTTGTTTGTTCCCTAAAAGCAATAATGATTCAGGTCTGCCAGCTTTAGTATATTAATATTGACAACAACTAGGCAAAATGCTTGTCCACTGATTGAGATTTTAAATAACATTAACAAAAATAGCACCCTATGGCAGAGGCTGCTAGTTGCCTACCCCAACATCCATTTTCCTCTCCCTCCTTAGTAACTGGGCCCCAGTTTTATTTGAAGTGTTAATGTGCCCAGCTGAAAAGTCATATTTCTCAGCCTCCAATGTGACTTTCTGGCTAGAATTCTACTAAGTTGTGGTCAATGACATATAAATTGGTCTTTCCCAGCAAGTCTCCTTAAATGGGAAGGGTCAAGTCCTTTTCCCCTAATGAGCAGCAATTTCAAAAAGAAATATGTTGAAGGTAAAATGCTACGGAAACATGCAAAAGAGAAATGTTCAAAAGTCAGTATTTGTTTTAAAAATTTAGTTAAATATCACTATAACCTGGCAAGCCATAAACATCTTCTTTAGACAACTAAATTAATGGATCTTTACACCTTTTACACTGCTAGGGAAAAAATATCATCACAGTTAGACTAATTGTAAGTTTTTTATTCAACATTCATTCAACAAATACTTATGATCATTGAAGATTTCCCAAGCATTCTTCTACCTTCTACAAAAACAGCCAAAAATTCCTGTGCTTTAAGATAGTTATATTTTTATCATAAAATGTAATGCAGTGCTCCAAATAGATTTTACCTTTCATTTAAGAATTTCGAGATGAATCTGTAGTAGTCAGAGTTCTAGGATGAAGGCATCTGTAGTAGTCAGGGTTTGCCAGAGAAAACAGAACCAACAGGGTGTGTGTGTGTGTGTGTGTGTGTGTGTGTGTGTGTGTGTGTGTGTAGAGAGAGAGAGATTTACTTTAAGAAATTGGCTCATAGAATTGTAGAGGCGTAGTGATATGGTTTGGCTGTGTCCCCACCGAGATCTCATCTTGAACTGTAGCTCCCATAATTCCCACATCGTGGGAGGGATCCAGTGGAAGGTAGTAGAATCATGGGGGTGGGTATTTCCCATGCTGTTCTCATGATAGTGAATAAGTCTCATGAGATCTGACGGTTTCATAAATAGGAGTTCCCCTGCACACACTCTTCCCTGCCGCCATGTAAGACATGACCTTGCTTCACCTTTGCCTTCTGCCATGATTGTGAGGCCTTTCCAGCCACGTGGAACTGTGAGTCAATTAAACCTCTTTCCTTTATAAATTACCTGGTCTCGGGTATGTCTTTATTAGCAGCATAAAAACAGACTAATGCATGTAGCAAATCCAAAATCTACAGGGTAGGCCAGCAGGCTGGACACCGAATTTCAGTCCAAGTCCAAAAACTGCTTGCAGAATTCCTCCATAGAGAGGTCAGTCTTTTTCTATTAAAGCCTCCAACTGATTGGAGGAGGTCCACCCACAATATGAAGAGTAATCTGCTTTACCCAAAGTCTACTGATTTAAATATTCATCTTAAAAAGACCCCTTCACAGAAACATCTAAAATGATATTTGTCCAAATATCTGAGTACTGTGGCTTAGGCAAGTTGACACAAGATTAACCATCGCATCATCTTAGTTTTATTTGCAAACCTTAATTATTTGCAAAGATAATCACAAGCTATGTAAGAGGAAAGACACTTCCTGAAGGTCTGTGGCCTGGACCTACAAGAGGGAAAGAAGACTCTCAGTCACTTTTGTGTTACTATAAAGGAATATGTGAGGCTGGATAATTTAGAAAGAAAAGAGATTTGGCCCATGGTTCTGCAGGCTGTACAAGAATCATGGCACAGTCATCTGCTCTGCTTCTAGTAAGGGCTTTTATGATGTGTGAAAAGACGGTGGAGAAGGTCCAAGGGGAAGTGGGAACATGTGAACAGAGACCAAACCTGAGGGGCATCCTGACTTTATAAAAACCCAAATGAATCCATTTCTTGGGAACCAATCAGTCTCACATGAGCAAGAACTCACTCACTACTGCAAGAACAGCACCAAGCCATTCCTGATGGATCCCCTACTTATGACCCAAATACCTCCCACTAGGCCTCACCTCCTAACACCGCCACACTTGTGGTCAAATTTCAACATGAGCTTTGGTGAAGACAAATAAACCATACCCAAACTATAGCAGGGGCTTCACCTGAGAAAGTGACCTTCAACTCACTCAGTCTTGCAGTAAATTTTCAAATTATTCTGGGATTGTTACTAGCTCCACCTAAGGAGTAGTCAAGCATATACCTAGTCTCCAGAGTCATTAGAAACAGGCAGGTGAGGAGAGACACCTTGACACCTTCCATTTGCAAAATTCCTGATCGTATTCCCACCACTATCAGAGAGTATCATAAGTAGCTAAGAACCCTTGTGAGCCTTCAGGGCCAGAAATTGTCCAATGCTACCTAGGGGGATGCCACTGGGATCCCCACACTGAAGTCCCATCTGTGCATCAGTAAGTTATTATTTACCTACATTAAAGGAACTTGTATCCTCTCCGTGTGTCTAGTAGGGTCTCTGAGTGGCAGACAGCCTGTTTATCAAATATAGTAGTAAATGCATTGTAATGAAATCAGAAATGCCAAAGCCTATGCTGATTTCCAAAGGACAAGGGACCACCTCACATATAAAATCTTTAATATGGTCTTAAATACTACCCACATCCTGTTAAATATATACCACACAATGCAAAAACATTACTCAGTGCAATCTGTTAAACAGATGCAGAAAGTAATAAACTGTCTCTTCAATATAATTTTCAAGTCACTTAATTCTATATTTTTCTCCCCTAGTGAATGTGAAAACTATAAATAACCTGGTGGAACAAAATCACTTCAAATATCTTGTCCAACAATCACTCACAATCCCTCAAAGTGTTTGCATTTTTCCTAGTTGAATAGCAATTATCAATTTTATGGAGCATCAAGTTCAGTTTTATTGGAGAAGGAAGGAGATGGAGGAGGTGACAGAGGAGGAGGAGTGGGAGGAAGAGTGGGAGGAAACACTTCAGAACAATTTCAAATTATCTATGGACTTAAACAGAAGAGCTGTTTTCAGTATAATATGATCAAACTATAATACTCCTGACCAAGAAAGCCAGGCTTTCTTTCAAGTGAATGTAAAATACTAACAAAACAGAAGAAAAATCAAGTATAAGGAAGAAATCTACCTATGAGCAAAGACTGTAGAACACCATGATTTCTAAATCATGCCTTCGTGATTTGGAGTGGTGTAAATCACATCACAATGCTTCGACCCCCCGGCCCCCATAGTTTAAAATAATACCAGTAGACCTGTGAGGATAATAAAAGATGGTCCTTTTTAAGCAGGTTACATGTATAGAGGAATGGAATCTGCCATAAAGCATATATATATAATATATATATATATATATATATATATATATATATATATATATATATAATATATATATATATATATATATATATATAATATATATATATATAATGAAGTTAAATCCATTTGCAAAATAATTTCATTTGATGAAGCCATTTGACCAAGGTGTAAACATACAAGGCACTGTCTGGTCATCTTTCATTGTGGGAAACAATAGGCAGCAAATCTTATTAAGAAAAAAAAAACCTCTTCTGGTAAGCAACTCTAGCCTAGTTAAATATTTGAATTAAATTTGAAAAATACAAATGTTTAAATCAGCATTAGAGAGTAAGAGCTGGAAGGTGTCTCAGTGATTATCCAGCCTAATTTCTTTGTTTTACAGAAAGAGCAGCTTCAGTGATTCGACCAAAGTCAGATAAATAGGCAGCAGGTCTGGCATTCAACCTAGATCTTAGGACTCAAGTTCAGTGCTTTTACCATAGTGCTTTTCCAGGTGTTGCTGTTGGTGTGTAAAGTAACTTTGGCCACTTACAAAGTGATTTCACTTAGAGGCTCTGATGAGTCTACTTAATTAATACAATTCACGGTTACTGGTAGCCATCTACCAGTACAGCCTGTCTAATCAAACATCAAGTCCTTGATGATCACCTATTAATATGTGTGCAGCAACACAGGGAATGTAGAAGTATACGACATTCTTTATATCCAAATACTTCAAAGCTACTTGAGATTAAGCTAACAGCTGAAACAGGGTCTAAAGCACGATGATGAATATGTGGTGCAAATCACAGATGATCCTCTACATACCATGGGGCTATATTCAGAAAAATCCATCATAAGCTGAAATATCAAGTTGAAAATGCATTTAATACACCTAACCTACTGAATGAACATCATAGCTTAGCCTAGCCTACCTTAAATATGCTAAGGATAGTTGCATTAGCCTGTAGCTGGCAAAATCATTTCAAAAAACACAGGCAACACAGTACACTATAGAATATCTGTTGTTTACCCTCAGGATCACATGGCTGATAGGAGATACTGCTTGCTGCCACTGCCCAGTGTCAGGAGAGAGTATTGTACCATATATCACTAGCCCAGGAAAAGGTCAAAATTTGAAGTATAGTTTCTACTGAATGTGTATCATTTTTGCAGCATCATAAAGTTGAAAAATCATTAAGTTGAACCATCATAAGTTGGGGACTATCTGTCTTAGTGTCAAAATATTTCAGAAAAGGACACCATCTCTACAAAAAAAAATTAAAAATTAGCCAGGTGTGGTAGCACATGCATGTAATTCCTAGCTACTCAGGAGGCTGAGGCAGGATAACTGCCTGAGCCTAGGGGTTCGAGGCTGCAGTGAGCTATGATGGTGCCATTCCACTCCAGCCTAGGTGACAGAATGAGACTCTGTCTCTAAAAAATTAAAAAAGGCTCATGATGGCCAGATATTCAAGTAAATGAATGGAGAGTTCCATGTCCAGCCTTGAGGGAATAAAAACTAAAACTGGACCAGTCCTCCCACTGTAAACAACAGTTTCAGAGAGTAGACAGCAGGAAGCCCAGTACTGTGATCAGAGAAAAACAGAGAAATCAGTGAGGTGCATTTTGTGATCCCCCATTTCTGTCTGGAGCCACTTACCAGATTCCAGGGCAGAGAGGGGAAATACAGAGTATATGGGTCTTGTGGAGCTGTGGAGATAAAGATCAGAGTTCAAAGAGGCTGCAGCACCTGAAATTTGCAGTGCAGAGTATCTGAGAGAAGGGTGCTATGCAGAAAAAGAGGTTCAGAAATCTCAGAGGGGGGTCTATTTGTGTCTTTAGCCCTAAACTAAGCTAAACATTCACAGTGTGAAAGCCCTTGGGCCAGACAAAGAATAATCAGGAAAGTGTTAGCTGAACAACTATCAAAATTATCAGAGGACTAGAAGATATTTAAGATGTGAACAAATATAGTGGAGAGAACTCATTTAGCTCCCAGGGAATTCCACGCCTTAAGAACAGGGCTAGACTAGAGCTAGAATGCCCCAGGAGAATCAACCTCTCAGACTGAACCTGAACAGGGAAATAGAAAACACATATTTTCTGTATTTGGAGAGCTTAACTCTTCTCACTCAGTAATTAACAGTAAATGTAGAGAGAAAATCAGTAAGTCATAGACATCAACACGATCAACTAACACGACCTAATTAATATTTGTAATACATTACAGCCAGTCACTGCAGAAGGCAAATTATTTTTATGGGTACACTAAGATAAATTGGGTCATAAAACAAGTCTAAATACATTTAAGATAGTTGAAATGAAACACAACATATTTTCTAATCACAACAGAATTAAGTTTCAATATCAATGACAAAAAGTTACCTGGAAAATCTTCAAATACTTAGAAATTAAACATTGACCTTCTACAATAATTAGCACAAAGGTCAAAAAAGTACAAGACAACTTAGAAAACATTCTGAACTGAATGAAAATTAAAACATAGATATTAAAATATGTGAGATGCAACTAAATAAATGTTTAAATTTTAGTGTTAAATGTTTACATACTTAAAAAAAGTCTAAAATCAAAGATCTAAGCTTGCATCTTAAGAAACTAGAATAAGAGTAAATTTAATCTGAAAGTAGGCTAAATAATAAAGGTACAAGCAGCAATTAGTGAAACAGAAAAAAAAAATCTAAGAAATTTAGAACTGGTTCTTTGAAAAATAAATAAAATTGACAAAATATTAATTAGACCAATAAAGATAAAAAGAAAGCACAAATTGGCCATATCAGGAATGTCTTATTGATATTAAAATAAAGGAATATTTTAAACAATGTTATGCCAATAAATTAGACAATTTAGATGAAGTTGACAAATTCCTTAAAAGACAAATTGTCAAAACTGACATAAGAAATAGAAAAATTGGCCAGGAGCAGTGGCTCACGCCTGTAATCCCAGCACCTTGGGAGGCCAAGGTGGGTGGATCACGAGGTCAGGAGATCGAGACCATCCTGGCCAACATGGTGAAACTCCGTCTCTACTAAAAATACAAAAATTAGCTGGGCATGGTGGTGCGCACCTGTAATCCCAGCTACTCGGGAGGCTGAGGCAGGAGAATCACTTGAACCCGGGAGGCAGAGGTTGTAGTGAGCTGAGATTGCGCCACTGCACTCCAGCCTGGAGATAGAGCAAGACTCTTAAAAAAAATAAAAAAAAAAAAGAAAGAAAAATTGGAATAGCCCTGTATCTGTTAAATCTTCTCAGCCTCAAACCCACTCGTTTGACCTGCTTTATGATACTGGAGCTGGGTCCTGCCAACATTTCTCCTGTGTCAGATGGCATACTTAAGCTTTATCAGTGAAGGTTATAAAGACACTGCAGGAGGAAGCAGCTTCTCTTCTCTGTCCCAGTGTGCTTTTTCCTTCCTGCTTCTGTGGCATGTGGCTACTAGCAAGCAGCATTTGGGACACCCAGTGAAGCACCTCTTCCAGTAGGAGTTGGAACAACCAGTGGCACTTACTTTGCCGGGATTTTCACCAACAATCCTACAGGTGGTTTCCCAGAAAGTTTCACCAGCACCACAAAGGGTGGTTTCCTAGTGAGTTTCAGCAGCGCCTTAGGAGGAGCTTCCCCAGGAGTCTGACACATACCCCAGAAGACAGTTTCCCACTTGCCAGCCCCAGCACACAGCATCTCAGCAAACTCTAGGCCATTCCAGGGTCACACTATATCAACACTATATCATCTGCAGTTGAGATCTGAGCCTCAGCCATGTAAGGAGGATCTCTTCCGAGTTTGTTCCCGCTGTGAGTACTCTGCCCCGGCCTAGGAAGTGGCTGGTCTCTACATCTGCTCTTCCTGTATTCTTTGGAGTTCTCTCTACCCCTTAGCTGCTAATCTCATTACTGTTAATAATTCTTAAGATTAGATTGGTCCTGGCATGGTTTCTGTCTCCTGACTGGACCCTGACTGATACAACTGATGAATTCTAAGATTTAAGAACCTCACAAACTTTCAGAGAATAAAGAAGGAGGCAGCATTTCCAAACTGAATTTATGAGGTATCACCCTGCCACCAAACCAGATAAAGACATTAGGAGAAAATAAAACTAGATCAATATTCCACAGGAACACAGACACAAACACTTTTAGCCAAATATTGGCAGATTGAATTCACCAGTACATAAACAGGGTAACAAACCCCACTTCGTCATGACATATCTCACAAATGCAAAGTTGCTTTAATATCTGAAAATCAAACCATGTGATATATCACATTAACGTAATAAAGAAGATAGTATAACTATCTCATTAGATGTAGAAAAAAAGCATTTAACATTCAGTACTCATTCATAAGCAAGCAGGAAGTATGAAAAAAATTCCCTAAAGGGAATCTAAAAAAGAAAAAAAGAAAGAAAACTCTAGAACTAACTTCACACTTAATGGTGAAAGAGACTCTTCCTAAGATGAGGAACAAGGCTGATACATCTGTTCTTACCACTTCTCAACATTGTACTTGAAGTCCGGGTCAGTGTAATAAGGCAACAAAAGCATCAGAAACACAGCAGAAATATTGAAAAGGAAGAAGCAGAATTGTCTATATTCACAGATGACATAATTATATATGTAGAAAATTCTAAAGAATTTACCCAAAAAAAGCTAAACTAAAAAGTGAATTTCGCAAGGCAGCAGGATTGCAGGTCAATATACAAAAACCAACTGTATTTCTATGTATGAGTAACAAATAATAAACACTATTTACAATAGCATCAAAAACATAAACTATTTAAGGATACATTTAATAAAAAACATCTTCAAGATCTGTATGCTGAAAACTACAGAAACTGCTGAGAGAAATTACAGACTTAATGTATGAAAAGGTGTCACTGCTCCTCAGCAAATGCCAAAGAACTGAAATCATAGTCTCTCAGACCACAGTGCAATCAAATTAGAACTCAGGATTATGAAACTCACTCAAAACTACACAATTACATGGAAATTGAACAACCTGCTCCTGAATGACTCCTAGGTAAATAATGTAATTAAGGCAGAAATCAAGAAGTTCTTTGAAACCAATGAGAACAAAGAGAACATACGAGAATCTGGGGAACACAGCTAAAGCAGTGTTAAGAGGGAAATTTATACCACTAAATGCCCACATCAGAAAGTGAGAAAGATCTCAAATTGACATTTTAACATCACAATTAAAAGAGCTAGAGAAGCAAGAGCAAACTAATCCAAAAACTAGCAGAAGACAAGAAATAACATCAGAGAAGAATTGAAGGAGATAGAGACACGAAAAGCCCTACAAAAAAATCAATGAATCAAGGAGCTAGTTTTTTGAAAAAAATAATAAAATGGATAGACCACTAGCTAGACTAATAAAGAAGAGGGAAGAATCAAATAGACACAATAAAAAATGATAAAGGGGTATCACCGCTGACCCCACAGAAATACAAACTACCATCACAGAATACTATAAACATTTCTATGCACATAAACTAGAAAATCTAGCAGAAACGGATAAATTTCTGGACACATATACCTTCCCAAGACTAAACTAGGAGGAAGTCGAATCCCTGAATAGACCAATAACAAGTTCTGAACTTGAGGCAGCAATTAATAGCCTACCAACAAAAAAGCCCAGGACAAGATGGATTCACAGCCAAATTCTACCAGAGGTATAAAGAGGAACTGGTATCATTCCTTCTGAAACTATTCCAAACAATTGAAAAGGAGAGACTCCTCCCTAACTCACTGTACAACACATCATCCTGATACCAAAAACTGGGAAGAGACATAACAAAAAAAGAAAACTTCAGGCCAATATCCCTGATGAACATCAACATGAAAATCCTCAATAAAATACTGGCAAACCGAATCCAGCAGCACATCAAAAAATTCATCCACCACGATCAAGTTGGCTTCATCCCTGGGATGCGAGGCTGGTTCAACCTATGCAAATCAATAAACACAATCCATCACATAAACAGAACCAAAGACAAAAACCACATGATAATAGAGGCAGAAAAGGACTTTGATAAAATTCAACATCTCTTTATGTTAAAAACTGTCAATAAACTAGGTATTGATGGAACATATCTCAAAATAAGAAGAGCTATTTATGACAAACCCACAGCCAATATCATATTGAATGGGAAAAAACTGGAAGCATTCCCTTTGAAAACCAGCACCAAGGCAAGGATACCCTCTCTCAACAATCCCATTCAACATAGTATCAGAAGTTCTGGCCAGGGCAATCAGGCAAGAGAAAGAAATAAAGGGTATTCAGATAGGAAGAGAGAAAGTCTAATTGTCTCTGTTTGCAGATAACATGATTCTAAATTTAGAAAACCCCATCATCTCAGTCCAAAAACTCCTTAAGCTGATAAGCAACTTCAGCAAAGTTTCGGGATACAAAATAAATGTGGAAAAATCACAAGCATTCCTTTACACCAACAATAGACAAGCAGAGAGCCAAATCATGAATGAACTCTCATTCACAATTGCTACACAGAGAATAAAATACCTACGAATACAGCTAACAAGGGATGTGAAGGACCTCTTCAAGGACAACTACAAACCACTGCTCAAGGAAGTAACAGAGGACACAAACAAATGGAAAAACATTCCATCCTCATGGATAGGAAGAATCAATATCATGAAGATGGCCACACTGCCCAAAGTAATTTATAGATTCAATGCTATTCCCATCAAACTACCCTTGACATTTTTCACAGAATTAGAAAAAACTACTTTAAATTTCATATGAAATCAAAGAAGACCCCATATAGCCAAGAAAATCCTAAGCAAAAAGAACAAAGCTGGAAGCATCATGTTAGCTGATGTCAAACTATACTATAAGACTACAGTAACCAAACCAGCATGGTACTGGTACCAAAACAGACATATAGATCAATGGAACAGAACAGAGACTTCAGAAATAACACCACACATCTACAACCATCTGCTCTTCGACAAACCTGACAAAAACAAGCAGTGGGAAAAGGATCTCCTATTCAATAAATGGTGCTGGGAAAACTGGCTAGCCATATGCAGAAAACTGAAACTGGACCCCTTCCCTACACCTTATAGAAAAATTAACTCAAGATGAATAAAAGACTTAAATGTAAAACCCAAACCATAAAAACCCTAGAAGAAAATCTAGGCAATACCACCAAGGACATAGGCATAGGCAAAGACTTCATGATGAAAATGCCAAAAGCAATTGCGAAACAGCCAAAATTGACAAACGGGATCTAATTAAACTAAAGAGCTTCTGCACAGCAAAAGAAACTATCATCACATTGAACAGGCAACCTACAGAATGAGAAAACATTTTTGCAGTCTATCCATCTGACAAAGGTCTAATATACAGAATTTACAAAGTACTTAAATGTACAAGAAAAAAACAACTCCATCGAAAAGTGGGCAAAGAATATGAACAGACACTACTCAAATAGAAGACATTTACCTACCCAACAAACATGAAAAAAAGCTCAACATCACTAATCATTAGAGAAATGCAAATCAAAACCACAATGAGATACCATCTCATGCCAGTCAGAATGGCAATTATTAAAAAGTCAAGAAAGAACAGATGCAGGTGAGGCTGTGGAGAAATAGAAGTGCTTTTACACTGTTGGTGGGAATGTAAATTAGTTCAACCATTGTGGAAGACAGTGTGGTGATTCCTCAAGGATCTAGAACCAGAAATACCATTTGACCCAGCAATCCCATTACTGGGTATACACCCAAAGGAATATAAATCATTCTGATATAAAGACACATGCACACATAAGTTTACTGCAGCACCATTTACAATAGCAAAGTTATGGAACCAACCCAAATATCCATCAACCATAGACTGGATAAAGAAAACATGATACATATACACCATGGAATACTACGCAGCCATAATAAAGAATGAGATCATTTCCTTTGCAGGGACATGGATGAAGCTGGAAGCCGTCATGCTCAGCAAACTAACACAGGAAGAGAAAATCAAACACTGCATGTTCTCACTCATAAGTGGGAGCTGAACAATGAGAACACAAGGACACAGGGAGGGGAACAACACATACCAGGGGCTGTTGGGGGGTGGGGGGCGAGGGGAGGGAACTTAAAAGAATGGGTCAATAGGTGCAGCAAACCACCATGGCACACATATACCTATGTAACAAACCTGCACCTTCTGCACATGTATCCTGGAACTTAAAGTAAAATAAAATTTTTAAAAAGGTGTAACTGCTCATGGATTTGAAGGGTCCATATTAGTCAGATATCAGTTCTCTCCAGATTTATCTATAATTTAAATGCAATCACAATGAAAATTCCATCAGGCTCTTTGCAGAAATAGAGAAAATAATTTTCAAAACTTTTTTTTTTTAAAAAAACATGTATCTGGAAGATGTAAAGAGCTCTTAAAACTCAATGGAAAAAACAGAATTTTTTAGATGAGCAAAATATTTGAATAGATATTACATAAAACAAAGTACATAAATGTCCATTAAGTCCATGACATCTGCTCAATAGCTTTAGTCATCAGAGAAATGTACATACTATACACCCACAATTAAGGGTTAAAATTAAAAAGAATGACAACATGAAGCACTGACAAGAATGCAGAGTAACTGGAACTTTTAAACATTGTTGATAGAAGTGTAAAACCATACAATCATTTTGGAAAACAGTTTGGTAGTTTCTTATAAAGTTAAACATACAATTAACATAAGACCCAGGAATTTCACTCCTCAGTATTCATCCAGAAGAAATAAAAATATATTTGACACAAAGATTGTAAATGTAGACAGTTTTAATTGTAGTATCAGAAACTGGTGGGGAGGAAACAAATTGTGGTATATTCATACAATGGAAAACTCTTCAGAAATAAGAAGGAACAAACCACTGAATCACACAACATGGACAAATCTCAAATCATTATGCTGATGGAAAGAAACCATTCATAAGAATACACAGTACATGACGCCGCTTTCATGATGTTCTGGAACAAAGAAAACTAACCTATAGTGATAGAATTCCTATCAATGGCTGCCAACAATTGGGAGTGAAAGGAACTGACTGAGCAGGTATACAAGAGAACCTTCTGGGGTGATGGAAATATTCTGAAGCTTGACTGGAGTGTTGGTTACATGGGTATATCAATTTATCAAAACTCACTGAATTGTATATTTAAAGTAGGAACATTTTATTGTAAATAAATTACACCTCTATAATGTTCGTTTTAAAAAATATTAGATACATCAGCTGGAAATCACTTGGTTTTAACAAAAAATTTTCTCTGTAATCTTATTTATTCTAGCACTTATCTTCTTGTCTTCAAAAGCAATGCAAAACTTCACTGTAGCTAAGCCTATGTTAGACTCTTACAAATTCCTAAATAGTAGAATTAGTTCAATGAGTAATTCTTATAAATAATTCTAGATTTACTTTACCTACATGAATAACTGATTTGCTACATAGAGCCACATTAATGCTTAGTATAAATCATACAACATGATGAACACGCTCACGTATATTTAAATATAAACATATTTGGACTTTAAAAAGTAAGTACATCTTAGGAGATGATCCAATTCTGGGAGTTAGCAAATGTCTAAGTGCTCCCCTCCTTCCACACATAAGGAGAGAAAAGCATTCATCAGCTGTGTGAGTCTGTTACCAGTGCACATGTGAGGACAGACCACAGCACAGTGAGATGAGGCTGAGGAAACGACTACAACAGCATTGGCTATATCAGGTTTTCTTCCTTCTTCCAGCCACCTGGAAAAACGTTCACAGAGAGTTATAGTGGTTACAAGACCAAAACTTGGAATCAAAAAAATTAAATAATGCAAATAACCCAATTAATCTGCTAATATCTATTACTGCAGAAATAGTGTTAGAGGTAGTTTATTAAAGAGGCATTTTTAAAATCATCCCACTCATCATATCCTGCATTTCAAAAGTATCATCTTAAAAAGGAAAATAAAAAAATACTTTTTAGAGCATAAAGCATAACAGGTTGAAGTGGTTTTCAAAAAGCTACTTCTAGTGTTCTTCAGCTTTCTATTATGGCAGCATCATCTTGTGATGAAGACACTGGCTCACTTGGACACACGGTCAGCATGCATAAATACATCTCAGTGATGATCAAGTTACTGCCATCTACAGGACCGCTTGCAAATAAGATGAAGAGAGCTACCTCAGTGTTAGCAGCAAGGCTTCGAGGTCTGTACTACTCAAACCACTCCTAAGGGTATGGCCAATGCACAGTTTGAATGTTAGGGAACACACCAGGTAATGTTAAAGATTCACCAGTTTTCCCCTTGGAATTAATTCTAATAAAATCTTCCACAGGGTAAATTAAAAATAAATTTCTCTCCCCTTTTACTCTTCATTATTTTTAGTCTCAAAAGCCTCATATACTGTTCCAATGAAACAAGAATTGGCTCTGAACCAAAACCAAAAAGAAGGGAAGAAAATCCAGAGTATTCTATGATGCCCTGTTAAGTATTAGCGTGTGGCTTCCACAAGAAAGTTGTCAAACTGTGCAAATTCAAAGGAGTGAGTTCCAATTGCAGCCCAGCCATTCTTTGGAAAATTCACAGGGATGTCTGTCCACAGAGACTTGTCATTCAGCATGCCAGAGGTGAAATGACCCTAGAGTAGAAAGAAACACATTCCTTGAAACCATATGAAAATGGTCCTCTGAAGTCTGTTTCTTGATCATGTATGGCCCACTACTTAGTGGAGCAAATGTACTACTCACTCAAGACTTAACCACAGCAAAACACAATTCCACAAGTTTGAGCAAAAGTTTAAAATACAGG
Source organism: Homo sapiens (assembly GCF_000001405.40). Lineage (NCBI taxonomy): Eukaryota > Metazoa > Chordata > Mammalia > Primates > Hominidae > Homo > Homo sapiens. The sequence continues at coordinate 87,935,049 of NC_000014.9, forward strand.
AAAAAACTCTAGGAAGAAATTCTTATCTACCTACTTAAATCGTTCCCAAAGTACAAGGAATACCTCAATATTTCCTGTGCTCCACCAAAATTTAAAACCAACAAAATGCAAAACTTTTCAGGCATTATTATAAAGTTTTAGAAAAAAGCTCATTAAAATTTAACAAAAGTTATTTATAAGTAGTCACATGTACAAGTGGTGTGGCTAACAGCCACCAGCTCTTCAGACATGACTGCTGGAGTCAAAACATCTGCTTCTACCTCATTGCTTCCTTAAGGTTTTCATTAAGGAGCCTCTGCCCAGCCAGAAGAAAAATAATTAACCTTAGTTTTTGTGTTTTGTTGCCATGAATAGAATATCACTTCAAAGCCATATGAAGCTCCTACCCTTAAGTTGGAAAAACAGTAACCATCAGTTAAAGTGATGCTGGAGTAGGGTGCAGCGGGTGGAAGAAGGGAGGCATCTATAAGGTGTGACTTACTGGTCACTGACAGTGAAAGAAAAAATTACACCTTCCTCCGAATGTTGCCATTCTACTTAGCTCAGTGCCTGGCACATGGTAAACAATAAATCTCAGCTCTTATTATCTTTATGATAGTACATTTATGAGCACATATTCACAGCATACTAACTACAGTCAATCATATAAAACTAGCTACTCTCAGAAGGTGAAGAGCTCAAAACTCAAAGCACTGGGCCAAGAACCAGAATAAATCTGCTTTTAAGTCTTGGAAGTATAACGTAATGGGCCTTAATTTAGTTCTTTTATTTTATGCGTGGAAACACTGAGGCTTAATAGATTAAAGCTCAAAGTCACAGGTTTTCACTCCAAGTTACCTAGCTCCAAATTCAGAGCCACATTCCTATTACTACAGACTTGCACAGCTATCTTCAGCTCTAGAAGTGCTTACTGAACATCTTCTGCTGCCATCAAACACTCAATATTAACACCGAGCCAAGGGACTCAAATCACAGATCACATTAAGCACAAAACCTGTCTAACAGGACCTTATCTCTCCTGACTCCCCAGACTTCAGCCACCCCAGCCTCCAGGCTGCTCTTCACACAATGTCAGCTACACCTGCCTTTTGCACCTGCCACTTGGTCTGCTCAAATTGTTCTTCCCAGCATTCAGGTCTGCACTCAAGTACTACCCACTCAGTGAGGTCTTTCCTCACCTCCCTGGTTAGAGAATCAGGGTAACAGAGCTACTTTATCTCATGACTCTATTTTTTCTTCATAATCATTTATAAACTTATTTACAAGTTTATTATCTCAGGATAGGGCTCAGCAAACTATGACCTACATGCCAACCGCCCTTTTTTTAATAAATAAAATCTTACTGAAACACAGCCACATCCATTGTCTATGGCTTTTTTTCTCATTATTGTCTATTGTCTATGGCTTTTTTACTCATTACAATAGCCGAACTGGGTAGCCACAGCAGAGACCACATGGCCCACGAAGTCTAAAATATTTACTATCTGGCCCTTTACAGAAAAAGTTGCCAACCCCTGTCCTAGAAGAATATATGCTCTAAGAGAGCAGGAATCTTGTCTGTTTCGTTCGCTGCTGTATCCCTAGGACTTAGTAAAGTGCATACAGTAGGGGCTTAATAAAAATGTGTTGAATATAAGAATGAAACACATTTAACCCTCAAAACAACCTCACAGAAGTTATCTCCATTTTGCAGATAAGGAAATGGATACTCAAAGAGGTGGAATAACTTGCTAGAAGTCTCAGCATGTGTTAGTGAGGAAATACGAATGCTGGTCTGTCTGGTTCCAAACACTCCTACTCCTAAAAATATTAACTTGACTCATTAAGTGCTTACCACATATCAGGTACTATATATATATATATATTTATTTATTTTCTCATTGAATCTTCATAAGAAAAGTGTTCTTCATGATATCATGGATGGGAAAATTGAAGCTGTGCAATATAAAATACTTGCAAGTAGAATATAGTAGACTTCAAAGTCCATTGTGCTACCCACCATGCAACAGAACTGGGACAAGTCACCTGACAAGTGCTGAGAAGAATTCAACAGGTGGCTGATAGTCAGTGACAAAATCCTCACATTAGCTGTAATTTGGAATATGGGCAACATAGAAGATGATGTTTTGTTTTTTTTATTTACGCAAAGAAGATTTATATGTCAAATACTGTTTAATGCACTGGGAATTTAAGATGAACAAGAAAGACAAGGTCCCTGCTCTTATGGAGCTTATATTCTAGTAGGAGATGGACAGATATGCACACACACACAAAATGAGAGCTAAAAGATAAGTAGCATGTAAAAATTAAGCCAGGTCAAGGTGACAATGGGTGCCTGACAGACTACTTTAGTGCAGATAGTTACAGAAGACCCTCAGAGTATGTGGCAAAAGCTGAGATTCAAGAGGAAACAGAATGCCCATAGTTGATGAAACACAAAATAACAGGAGTAGGGGAGTGAGGTGGGTGCAAGCCAGCAAAGTCCTATCCATCCTAGTAGCAAGACAAGAGCCAATTTTTAAAAGTAATGAATCACATTGTATTAAAGACACACCAGAAGAAACAGCTAAAATAGTGAAGAGTGGCTGTATCAGAAGTACAAGACACAGAATGGGGTCAAGAAGAAGGAACAGGATGTGAGGCAAGATGCCTCACATCCTATTGATATTTTAACCAGGTATGCAAAGTACCTGAAAAAAATTAAGAAAATTTTTAAAATCTCATTCATGATTTCAAAAAAACTCATAAAATTACTAAAACAAACCTAATCAAAAGTTTGCAAAAATAAAACTGAAGGACATAGTGGCAAATCTTAATAAATGGTGAAATATAGCATGCTTTTGTTCCTGTGTTCTCTCATGGGGAAACACATTATTGTTAAAAAAAAAAAAGTCATTTTTTCCTAAATTGATGTGTAAATTTAATGTAATACCAGCACCATTTTTCAAGTAACTGAAAGTTTGTTTTTTAAAAGTCAAATCGAATAATATATATAGTGGAATAGCAAAGATAATTTTGAAAAAGAAACAATGAGGAAGTTGCCCCACCAGATATCCATTCATTCATTTACCAAGTATTATTCGGACTCTTGCTCTGCCTGGCTGTCAGGCACTTTTCTAGGTGCTACAGAGCCAGCAGTGAGGAATATGGAGAAAAGCCTGTCACTAAAGGAGCTATGTGCTAGTGAAGGGAGTAGGAAAACACATGAACAATTAACAGAATATGTGTGATGTCAGCTTGGGATAAAACTTTTGGAGAAAAATAAAGCAACAGAAAGGAGTTAGAGAGTGAGATGGGGCGCTGTTTTCTATCAGGTGGTCAGGTAAGAAAACTCTGAAGGAAGCAAGGGAGTAGCTGTATCATCAAAGCTTTTAGAATGTGAACACCAATTAAAAGCGTGATTTTGGATAATAATAGACAAACATCAATATGGAGAACAGAAAAAAGTTCAGAAACAAGCATGTGCACATGTGCTGATTTGTTACATCAAAAAGGTAGCCTTTAAATTATGGGCAAAAGGATAGTCCATTGTAATAAATGATGGCTATCCATTTTTTAAAAAATTATATTCAGTACTTCCCCTTACAATTCACAAGTAAATTTCTGACGTATTAAAGACTTACACATAAAAATAAATCCTAAACTTTGTTTAGCTTGGGGGAAAAATGTTCCTAACCTTGAGAAACAAGAAGGCCTTATTTAAAACATGAAACATAAAAGCAATGAATAAAAAGTGAAATATTTGACAGTATCAAAATGTAAAACTTATAATCATCAAAAATACCATAAGCAAAATTAGAATACACATGAAGGAAGAGCATAGTTGTGACGTATGTAACAGACAATGGGTTACTATCCAGAATACATATTAAATTCACACAAATTTGCCAGAAAAAGACAACATGATAGAAAAATGAAGAAAGAAGTGAACAGGCAACTTCAGAGAAGAGAAAATACAAATAGCCAGTAAACATTAGATGTGCAAGCTCCCTAATTATCAAGGAAATACAAATCATATCTATGAGTTTGGAAAAAATCTTCAAATTCAATAATAGTGAATATTATTATAATTGCTATAAAATGGCTACAATTTGGCTAGTGTGGTATAGTTAAATAATCTATGCTACATCCAAACCAAATCTTCAATATACATATTGTTAATGCTAAAAAATAATTAGTGCTGTCATTTTTGGTGGTTGAGAGAACAAATTCCAAAGTTATTGGAATCTGATTTTTAATTTCTACTGCACTCTAAACAAAATTGTGAGAGAGCTATCTTGGGAGAGACCAACACATTATACACAAAAATTTATCTGCACAGCATCCCTTGGAAGCACTGTCGAGCAGTAACTCATGATCACCCAGTGATTCTCAGGAACATTTTTATATTTCTATTATACTAAAATTAATCTGGTATTTTCTCTGACTAAAATATTCATGGAAACCAATTTCTAAAAATTATGCTTATAATTGAAAACCAAATTATTCTTAACCATCAAAAATAAATGCATATGGCTTTGCTTACATCTATAAGCTCCATGTACAGTCTTGGTTCAAGCAAACTTGAAAAAAATAGTTCAATTATTGACTCTATCAATTATGCCTCAGTTTAAAAAACAAAATAAAATTTTTTAAAAAAATAGTGACCTGATAAAGTCAACTGCTGATGGTTCTCACATAGGTTACCCTCACACATGTAACTATCCTAGGGATGAGTGGCTTCCCGGCACCAAGGCAGATTCTTTGTCTCTCTTCATTATATGTCACACTTTCCCCCTCCTATTTTATAACAGAAAATTATAGAAATGCACAACAAAAGAGCATTTTACCTCCAGACTCCAATCAGCAATACTTACCTTAATAGTTAACGTGAGTGTATACCATTTTTTTGCTGTAACTTCAACACGTCCTAAAGCATATATAATCCATCCAGCTGTAACACAAAAATATTATCCCAATAGATATAATTTTGAGATCTCAATCACAGAATCATATAATTCAGTGGGGTTCTTGAGTGGCATCTGTATGTAGTAAAGTCAGCCTCAACAGAGAGCTATGTCCCTTCATTCCCAGATCTACAACTGAGTTAAGCCAAAACATTTTTCATTTAGCCATGCATTTAATAGCATATACTGAGATCCTACTCTGAGCCATATACTATATGTGAGCTCACAACAGAACCAGTGAAATAAACTTAAAAACCAGTGATAGTATGAGGTGTTAGCATCTGTAGTTCAAGTACACATTTATACATGACTGGATTGAATATGGAAGACAAGAGAGACAGAATATAAAATTTCCAGCCAGTCTAATTGGTCACATGGTAATAGTATTAACTTAGAGGGAGAAAATAGTAAGTTAATTTTTGGAATTAGTGTTATTTGAATGCCTATGAGAAACCCAGGACAAAATTTCAAGTAGGCGGTTTAAAACAGACAATAGGGACTGCAGACACAGATTTAAATTCCTAGTTCCAGTTCTGCCACTAACTAGCTTTGAGTCATTAGGCCACTCAATTAACCTCACTGGTTCTATGTTTTCGATTTCAGTATCACTGAGGTAAGTTCAGATTGGTAATGCTATGAATATGTAACTCTTGTTCTAATATCCTTACTACCTACTTCCTCTTTAATTTTTATTTTATTTATGGAGTCAAAGCAAAGAGCAGAAAACTATAAAAGAGATATTTTTAAATTAAGGTAAGACGAAAGTCAAGAGACTGAGAATCAAGAAAAGTCACTACCAGTAAGGTCTAGCTTCAAAGGAGTGGTGTGTATCAAAACCAATCTGAAGTGGACACAGTTCAATCTGAACATATTTGAAGCACCTATTCTGGATAAAATATTATCCTACCTAACACAAGGGCTGTAAAGATGACTGAGAAAAGTCAAGCTATTTTCAAGTATTAACTAAATTCAAAAATGAGATTTTTCCATTTTAAGCCGATCAATTCCCCTCCTTATATTTCTATAGGTACAGCAGCAACAGTCGTATACTCTTGCTTTTATTTATGGTGCCTCCTGAGCATTCTCTCCCTACCACCACTACCTCAGATGGTTTTGATACTATCTATGCAAATCCTATCCTCACAGCCCAGTTCAACTCTACAATACCCTTAAAAGCTTTGTACAATTATTTTCCCTTCCACAGAGCTGCCCCCATCTCTAGGAATTAAATAACTTTCTATAATTGTAAACTATTTGGTATTTGCTTACATCCCTTCCCAATTAGATGTCCAAACACCTTGGGTTGAATTCTTTTTATCACTCCCACAAATAACAAGTAGGTGCTCAAAGTAACATAGCCCATAAGTCATATGCTATTAAAAAAAAAAAAAGTCAGTTACCTAAATCACCTGTAACCCTGTAAGATCCATTTGCAAAAATCCAGAAGAAAATTCCTCTGGCACTTCTAATCAAAATACCACCTTTATTTACTCTTCCTGCAATGAACACACCTCCTGTGTCAGGGGTCTCTATGTATACATCACACTTTATAGTCAGATTGGTCCTGCAAAATAAAACGGTTGATTAGTACTCTTTAAAATATGCCCTTTGTAACATAGTACAGATATGTCATTTCACAGCACATGCTTCCAAACTTCTAATTGAGGTGAGAATGTGATTTGCTAAGTCTAAGCCTGTAGCAGAGATGGGCTTCAAGAATCTTTATTGACAACAGTTTTAAATGTTACATGACTTAAGTCATTTCATTGCCTCTTTAAATGATTACTGGACAATAATAGTTATGATTTTTAAGTTTCCTGAGAAAATTTTTTTTCTACAATAAAACAACTTCTCATCTTAAGAATACAATATTTTAAAATGCTACTATTGTCTATGAACACATTAAAAAGTAAAAAGTTCCACACAATTCTGAGGGAAAATGTTTATTCAAACTTCCATCAACAAAGAGAGGCAATGAAGGCAATGCTAGGAGCCTTTGAGAGAACACAAGCTATTCCGGGGCCAACTTTTACATTTAAATCTAACAAAACTTTAAAACTCCAGGAGAAAAGATCTAAAATTATTTTTCTGCAAAGACCACAGAGTTGACTCTCTAGGAGGGCTTCTCACACCTGAACAGCACTGAAATCACCTGGAGGGCTTCTTAAACTCAGTTCACTGGCCCTACCCCACAGCGTGATTCAGTACATCTGGGGCAGCCCCTTGAATGTGCATGTCTAACAAGTTCCCAGGTGATGCTGATGCTGCTCGTCCAGGAATGCCACTTGGAGGACCATTTTCCCCTATGAAGTATCTGTCTATAAGGAAGCAATAAAATCCTGGTTCTAGGCTCACTGATCCACAGCAGTCTATCAAAGATGGGAAAAGATTCAGCTGTCCAGGGACTACCAGAGCTTTTACAGTGAGCTCTCCTCCAGGTTTCCTCTTACAAATGCTACCAGGTACAACACTTTCCTTCTGGAATGCTACAACCACCCCAAACCAACATGATCTCTGAAAATATTTCACTTCCTACTCAGTATCTAACTGCAAGTGGGAAGAAAAAGAAAGCCTGCACATAACCAAGTCATAAATCAAGCAATATATCTCACATAAAACTGGAAACACCAAGAAATCCATTCTGGAAATGGGCTGGGGGGAATGAGATCTAGAATTATGTGGCTTTTACATTTCTGTGTCTTATCAGTGAATTTTGCACAGTGAAATTTTACTACATAAAGGAAAATATTACAGAAGTACCTACATCAGCTACACAGGGAGGACAATCCACACTTAATTATCTAAGCAGAGCTGGACTACTTTACAGGAAGATAAATGCTAAGTAACTCAAGCCCAGTCTCTCTTGTATGTCCTCTGACATCAGAGGGAGTTTTCTCTCCATAGATTATCACCAGCATGAAACCACTGGCAATCAACACTGGTACTTACATCCCTTACCTCCTTTCTGGTTCATCAGAAGTTTGAAAGTGCTACAAATACCATCAGCACCATAAAATTATTCTATTTAGAGTTGGAATGAGAGAAGATCAAACTTTCCTTTTCTATATACCACATTCCAGAATAAGTGATTCTTGCATCAGAACTTGCCAGGCAATTTCACAGATAATGAATGAAATGGAATAAAAGTGTGGTTTATTCTTCCACAGCCACAATCTCTCAGTAATGCTGAAAGAACAAAAACTAGCCAATACATAAGGCAAATTTGATCCAAGAGAGTTCATCTGTGTGCAGGGAAAGGTAATTTTGTGATTGTCTTTAAAGGATTCCAACCAATGCTCACTATCAAGATAGAAGTAGCCAGTTATAGTACAATCTATCCCATATAATCAAATTACTGTGCTGGTAAATGACTAAATCTAGGTATAAGAGAGGAAGTTCTACTCAAAACACAAGTCTAAAAACTGTGAGTAGTGTGCACTCATTGAGAGCAGATTTACTAAAATAGCACTACAGATAAACTAAACAAATTTCTCATTTCCTACCTTTAGGAAGAAGATGATTAAAATGAGGCTGTGAGATGTACTCCAAAGAGAATGGGCTACTCAGTCACACAGACCCGGCTTCTAGCCCTTGTTCTGCCACTTACAAGTGAAATATTGGGTAAATCTTATTCCAAAGATGCAGTTTCTCAGTCTGCAAGGTGGGGACGATGATATCTCCACCATAAAGTGGTTGTGTGGGAAATCCATCAAAGTGCCTACTATTACCCAATTTTTATTCCCTCCTTTTCCCACAATAAGTGGGCACAGCAGCCAGACAACAGAAATGAACAAGGGATTTGTGTGGATCTCTGAGCAGATCTGGCTGCCTCAAATAGAGGGTGGAATACTGGAAAATAACACATAATAGATGAGACCAAATTATAAAGGGTCTTGGAAATCAAGCCTAGAAGTGGAAAACACAGGTAGCAGGACAGAGTCACTGCATCTTCCTGAGCAGGGGAATAACATGATGAAAACAGGGCTTCAGAAAGATGAAGGCAGGCCTTTCTTGACACGCAAAATTGCAACTTCCCGGTTCCTTTCCTTTCAGAATATGTCACTCTCTTCCCTTCTACACCCTTCCCCATCCCTCGTCCCCACCTCCTTACCCACTGCAATAGATCCTAGTAAAAACTGAGTATTGCTATTTAAATTGTGAAGATGTATATGAAGATTCAAATATATGAAGATCTGGGGGAGTAAATCTTTGGATGGTGCTATATCTCACTTCTATACTACAATTAAGGGGCTTCTCAATCTTTTTGGAGTCCCAGCCAGAAATAAGATTGAGTTTGAGTTTAGAAAGAGCCCTCTATGGTATTCAAGTGCATGGGGTATAGGGGATGTCACAGAAAAAAAAGTTTCCTATACGGCGACTTCAAAACTGGAGATCAAAACAATGGGACCCAGGCCTTGGACACTTAAACCCAGCCACTGGACTTAAAATAAGACCATCAGTCACAAATAAGGATGCCAAGAACTCCACTACCATAACTGGAAAATCTAGGTAAAGTTTCCACCTCAGAGACAATGGGACAAGCAGAAATTCTGCGTAAAAACACAAGCCACAAATGTCATCCTAAATTAGGAAGGAATTCTTCACTGCACCTCAATAACTCTTCATAGTGTTATAAGGGTTCCAGGGGCTCTGGATAACTAAAAGTTTCTTAAGACTTATGTCAGAGCTTGGGACTAGAATCAGGATTTCTAACTGGGAGTAAGGCACTTCAGGAGGGATAAACACTTTCTGCACACTCCATAGACAGGCAATTCAAGGCTCTTTTCAGAATTCTTTTCTCTTCCCTCTCCAGTTTCCAAGCTTCGGATATGGCTTTTTGGTGGCTTGGTATTACTAGTACTAGCTCTAAACCTGGAATGTGTATGTGTTTCTTTTCCCACAGTGGAATCATACTAGTTATAGGAAAAAATGAAAAAGAAACACATGACAGGTGGAATAAGTCAGCACATAGAAATTCTGTAACTAAAGAGGAAGGGAAAGTTTTAGTTTGGCATTATATTTTATGTGAATAATATAACTTGTCTCTTTACCAGATGACTAAATAAAAAGTTAAATTCACTAGGCGACTAAAGCTGATTAGCTTTTTACTATTGCCATCTACTGTCACCTGGTAAATCTTTTAATAAGGCTAAGACGGTGTAATTCTAAGATTGGTCCACTAGATGGCAACACCAGATCAACAAATCAACTCTCCAGCAAAACAAAAACTTAAAAATACCTCACAAATCCGTCTATTTATAAACAAATATTAAATTATAATTGGGTCCAAAAGTCCTTAGTTTTTATACTGGAATCAAATTGCTCCTGTAATAATCACTATTAAATAGGGCAAAAATGAGGGAAGGACACTGGGGCAGCAAAACAATTTGCAGCTTTGTGGTCATCACCATACTATTCAACAACCCTTAATATTACATATTACACATCTATTAGGTTCTTGAAATAGGAGGACCATTGAAAACTCTTCACTTCAAAATGTACCTGACAATATTACAAGGGTATTTCAGCCAGATCCACATTGAGAACATCAATCTTACCAGTTGTAGTCTCCTATAATACTGATTGTGTTGGATGCATCGGCAGCCCATGTAATGGGTCTCTGGTTGAGAACTTGGCGTAGCGTGAAGTGATGCTCGCCAGGGTCTTCAATATTTGTAAAATATTCAAATACACCAGTTTGATCAGCAAAGTTTGGAGCTTCACTAAAAAATGGGTAATCTGTTCAGAATGTAAGAAATTCTCTGTTTAGTATCAAATCCTTCAGAAGCTCTCCTTGCTGATATTTTATAGTATGTCTGAAACACTTCTGAAAGCTTTTAAATAAATAAATAAAATCTAAACCAAAGTTTAGGGCCTAGGTCTAATAAAGATACATTAATTTTTGTATCATCATTACTAAATATCAAGATGATGAGTTCGACATATAGATGCTGCATAATATTTAATCCAGGCATCTGGTGTAGAGGAAAGGTCATGAGTTTTGAAGTAAGACCTAGATTCAAATTCGAGTTCAGTCTGTCGCCCTGGACAAGCTATTTAACTGCCCTGCATCTAAAGTTTCTTCATTTCCAGGTTTGCAGGAGGACAAGAGAATTAAAGAAAAGATAACAGGTACATAAGCCAGCACCTGGCAAGGGCTCAATAAGGGATAGCTTTATTATTTCTAATATCTGTCAAGCAAGGTTCCAAATCATGCGTCACAATCATCTGCCAAAAGAGCATAAGAAAGGTTTACTATATCAAGCATAAAATTTACAAATTTTCTTCTACTTCTAAACTGCAGCAAAAACCAGTTTTGGGCCTAAGTTATCAATCCCTTTTTAGTTTTACTAAATTAAATTATAGTCTTACAATAATGAATGCTGTAGAGGAGAAATTTTACATATCTTATAGCTCTTATACCTCATGCTTTTCCAAGTGTTTTTGCATTCATTACCTCATTTGAGACATTTAGAACCCTAACAAGTATCTCCAGAGCCTAGCTTATAATATTTAACTTAGTTTTAAATTTATATTGTAGCTCATAAAGTATTACATTTTATATTTGAAGGTTTGAAATTGCCTCTTAGTCTTCAGGGTCACAAAATATTGGTCTTGGTGCTGGCAGTTCTTCAATCTCATTATCTAGGCCATATCCCACACAGATTCCTCACTTACTGAAGGCAAAAGTCACTTTTGCTAACAGAGAACCAAGCGAGCAACAGATTTTAAAGACCCTGTGTTTCACAAAATTAATGGGTTTATCTAAGAGGCCATTTCAAAGAGTTGCAGAAAAACAAACCACCAAGCTCCCCCTGAGGATCACTGTTGTCTGTATTATAGTTGAGAGGACTCCATTACACAGTCCAAAAGGCCTTATACTCCAGCCAACTAGATCATTTCCTGAGAAAGGGAGGCGAGACCCTGTAGCAGTGACTGGGAAAGGGTGATAGGAGTGTCCATCTTTGGTGGAACAAGCAGCTCTGCAGCAAACAGGAGCTTCAAGTGATGCTCCAGCAATGCCAGCTCCCTCCCTATTACTCTCCTGCTGCTACAGATTTTAGGAGCAGATTACAAAGCCACCTGACCCTGTCTGTGAGACCCATAAACCTACAGAACACCACCAAGCAGTCAACAAATTTTGTTACTTACTCACTAGGAATATAACTACAATGACCATGTCTTCTAACTTTTTTCCAAGTGGTTTTCCTAAATCACCTATAACCAAAAACTTTTCTAACAACTTTAGGACAGATCTTCCTAGAAAACCAAGAAAGCTCAATTAAAAAAAAAGCACGGGATGGTATATAATGAGTTGGATCAGCCAAGGACAACATAACTGCCCATAAGCACTCAGTTCACTAGCACTGCAGAAAGACAGATATGAATGTGTCTTAACCTCCACACAGAAGGAAGATGTCAGTAATGGCTAATGGGGCAGTAGCAAAGTTACAAAGTTTAAGTTTCACCAAAAACAAATCAGAACTATAACTTTCATTCTAACAATGAACCCTATATTTTTTTCTGAAACTGAAAAATACAGGGTCCTCAAATTTAGATTTACCATAAAGTAATGCAAAAAATTAGCCCTCCTTTTACCGCATATGAGATGTAGGAGGTAAATGAATGTGCTTTTGACAGCCACTCCATCATGCACCCAGTTTGACAGGTAGAAATCAACACACTACTGTTAAATATAGAGACCAAGTTAAGTTTTAGTGAAAAATACTCACCAACATTGAAATCATCCTTATAGGTACTTGGGAAGGGCTGGGATTTTGGAGGAAGCGGGTAGCTGCCTTTGCGACCAGTGGTGAGAGTGGTGAGTGTGAACAGCTCATCTTCATGCAGGCTCAGTGTGAAACTGCCATCGCTGTCAAGGAGCTGAAAAAGAAGACACTACTGTATTCAGGACCAGGTACTATAGCTCATCTCATGTGGACAGAATAGCTTTAAAAAAATTAGCTTAAAGAAAAGTCCAAATCATTTCTGTTAGAACTTCCTAAACATTTGTGGAAAACTCACCAATATCAAGGCCCTTGGAATCTTTTTTTCCTAAGTATTTTAGAAAACTTTATAAAATTATGCTTTATAATTTTAAACAACCTTACTTCATGGAAGGAAGGACTAAATAATCTCAAAATCTATTTCTATTAGCCTATTCTTTTCCACTACACAGTAAGCTCCTTAAAGCTTGGATATATTCGATACATGCAACTAAGAGACCTGCTTTTTTCTCTCAGTAATTTACTAAGGTAAAAAAATTCATAAAATATCACTGTCGACCCAGCTGTTAATCACAGAAATCCTTTTACAATTAAGAGAGAAAAATCCTGCTCATTTTATGATCAATATATATTTCAACTAGCAAGTTAGGCTTATGTCACACTTACGATCTTGGCAACTTAATCTCTTTAAGTCACAATCTCCTCATCTACAAAATGAGGAAAAAATACATACCTTATAGACTGCTGTGAGGATTAAACCAGATAATGCTTTTAAAGTGCTAAGCTTAGTGTGTGACCAATGGAAAACGCTCCCAGTATCAAAGTTGTTCTATGCTAAATGTAGATCTCTGAAGACACTGGAATCCTTTTATGAAATTTGAACAGTTTTTTTCTATTTTGAATAAAAGGAGTTATTATCCTTGTTTTAATGGTAAATTGATGATCAGATCTATGAAATACCTGACCGTTATATTCAGGTTGAAGAATAACCCCAAATGACATTATTTTTCTTATGAGGAAAATCAATTTTATTATGCCATTCCTAGCAATTTGTTACACAAAAAGTATGAACTTTTTTTTCAGAACTTAATACATAATAAGGTGTTTTATCACTGTTAGTGACTAGTTGGTTATCAGAACATTAATAATAACCAGAAAAAGTGGTAGACTTGTGTCAATTAAGTGAAATAATGTGCTTGTTTGGGCCAATTCGTTCTTTGAAACCTTTCCCCAGAAAGCACCATGGATGAGGCACTGTGGGAAGCACCTGGGATATAAAGCTAAATAAGGCAAGGCTCAGTCTTCAAGGTGTCCAGTGGTGCAGGAAAAGCATTTAACTAGGTAAGCACATGGCCCTAGGTGAATATGAGCTAAGACTGGTGAGGAAGCGTCAGAGGAAAAGACACTTGAATTGAGTCTCAAAAGATGACAAAGTTGAGGAGAGGCCATTCTAGGTGAAGAACACAGTATGTGCAAAGTCACAGAGGTAAATAAACAGGCATGCTATGCTTTGAAAAATGTAAGTTTAGTATGTGAAGAGAGGCCAGTTTAGTAGGACACATCTCTAGGAAGAAGACCAGTCTTCTACCTTCTGGGAGGATAATGAGGGCCATGTGCTACACTAAGGAATGTTAACTTCTAAGAAAATAATCACTGAGGTCCTCTGAGCACAGTGGTCACAAAAATCAGATCTGCATTTTTGACATTTCACTCTGTAGCAGTGTGATGGGTGACCTGGAAAGTCAGACTGGAAAAACAAGAGGCAGTTTCTGAAATCCAGGAGAGCGATAATGAAGAACTGAAACAAGAAGTAACGGTGGTAATGGAGAATAAGGAGTGAGTAAGAGAAATGTGTGGATACAACTGTCTATACTTGACCACTGGCGGGATACAGAGGGTGAGTGGGAAAGACAGAGAGTCTCAAATGGGACTTAAATTTCCAACCTGGGAAGCCAGGTGATGGCGTCACCATCCACCAAGACAAACTAAATGTCTAAGAGCTAAACACATCTATAAACACACAAACTTATAAAAATAAAAATTCTTAATTAATGACATTTCTGTGCCCTTTTACTGTTTTACTGTTGGAATACCCAAAATATAAGAATTTACTTTAAAATTACCCATAGAGAATCCAGCTGCTTAAAAAGAAATCTTTCGGATGTTTTTCCAAGTTTGGTATACCATACCTGTAGCTCTGGTATTTCACTCTGTAAAGAAAAGACAAAAAAGCATGGCTGAGTAATTCATCACATCCTCTTTGAGGATTTCCAAAATCAGTACCAGCAAGAATGTACCAATGACAATATTATCTCTATTTATCAAGAGAAACACCTCAAATATTAAATAATAATATTTTTAAAAATAGGAAAACACTGTTCAAGCAAATACTTTATTCTCTAAACACTAAAGAATTTTGGCAAATGATAAAAAAATTACAGTGTCTTTGCTTCAAAAACATTCATTACTGTACCTGTGTAATAACTTCTAAATTAAAATAACTTTCTGGTATTAAAAAACAATTCTTATGCCATTAGTAATCAGAAAGGGTACTGCAGTTTGTCAATTCAAACCTAACAATTCACAGAAATAGCAAGTATCTGGTACTTTTAAACAATATTTTTGGCATAGTATACTGTAAATATCAATGCTTGAAAGTTCCCTAGACCATAAAATGCTTCTACCACCAAGAACAACTTTCTTGCAAGTGACTTTTGTAAGTGTTCCTCAAAGTCACAGAGCATTTTACCTCCTACTGGCTTCTGTCCTGCTAGATTAAAGCAAGTCGGAAGACAGAAGACACCAGGGCCTCTGTCAATTCATATGCAAACTGTTAAAAGTTCATAATATAAGGCTTCACTTAAGAACTACTGGCCTGTGACAGAATATATAAATTCTTAAATCAAAACTAAAATAAAGTTAAACATATTTACTTACAAAAGATCCCTTAAGAACAAAGGTGGCAAATTGTTGTGACACATTGAAATAAGGAAGAAATGGCCGTATGCACTTAGAATGTTTATGACTCTGAAAAAAAAAAATCACATACATTATCCAAATGATGTATAAGCTACCTTAGGGGAAAAAAAGTTCAACAGTTAATGCCCAAGATTAACAGAAATTTACATATACTAGATAACAAATATGAGTTTATTTCACATTTTTAAAGACTTTTTTACAATATAATATTTACTGAATGTGTATTGTATGTTCCTAGTCAAATACAAAGGTCAATGGCGTTTCAACTGGATCAAATTTTGAATTCGTAGCTAAACTGTAGAGACATATATGGCATACAGATTAATTTTTTGTTATAACTGTTTTCCAACTAAAATACATCAAATAAAAAGCAAAAGTAAGGATGTTTTCACTGAAAAGACATCTCATCTAAATATAACTTTCGTTCTCATGTAAGAAGTAAAAAATATATATATATATGTATGGGTGTGTGTATATATAGTATATATAGATATCAAATACACACTAAGGTCAGCTAAATATATGTAACATAGTTCTCACATTGCCATCACTGTTTACTAAATAGTCACAACTATGGGCTGGGATCAAAAGAAGTATGAGACATAATCCCTACTTTAAGAGATTCCACAGTCACAGAATACTTATAGTACACAGTTCTATTTCAGGCTTTGCAGACCATTAAAAAATTACTTTCATAATCAGAGATTTCAATATCCATCTCTTAGTAATTGATAGTACAACTAGATGGACAATCAGCAAGGATATAAGAGATTTGAACAACACTACCAAACAACATGCCATCTATAAATGCCTCCATCTAGCAACAGCAGGATGCACATTCTTTTCAAGCGCACATGGAACACTGACCAAACTACACCATACTCTGATCCATAAAGCAAGTCCTCATAAATACAGGAAGATTCAAGTCACACAAAGTACTTTTTTAACCACTATAGAATTAAATCAGAAATGAATAACTGAAAACCTTCTGGAAAAGTCAAAAATATTTACAAACTATCAAATTTCTAAATAATCAATAGATCAAAGGAAAAATAAAAAGAGAAATTAGAATTTTCAGCTTTATGAAAATGAAAACACAACATATCACAATTTGTGGTATGCCACTAAAGCAATACTTAGGAGGACATTTACAGCACTAAATACCTAGATTAGAAACCAAGAAAGGATTTGAGAGTTCAGCTTCTGTCTTGAGATACTAGAAAAATAGGAGCAAATTTTAAAAGATTACAAATTGGGTTCAATGTATACTGCTCGGGGATGGGTGAACCAAAATCTCACAAATCACCACTAAAGAACTTATGTAACCAAATACCACTTGTTCCCCAAAAAACTGTGGAAATAAAATTTTTTTAAAAAGTAAAAATAAAAATAAAGAAAAAACCAAAATAGGCAAAGAAAATAATAATGAGCAAAGAAGAATTAAACAAAAACAAATTTAAAAACCACAAGAAAATAATAAAACCAAAAGCTGATTCTTCGAGAAGATCAATACAGTTGAAAAACTTCTAGCCAGACTAATAAAAAATCAGGTTAAGAGAAAACATACACTTCAACAATAAGAAAGGTGACATTACTAGAGATTAGAGATTTACCTAGGGGGAGAGGCAAGGCATGAAATAGCTTCAAACCTTTTCTTAAAGGAATTGATATTTGACACAGAGCATAGAGAGGTTTAAGACTAATGTTGTTCTAAAAAATAATGGAGGTTTTGGTGAAAAGAAAAAAGAAACCAGTGGCTTCACTATAGGCATAAGCTAAACCACAACCCTGCCTAATATCCTGTTGAGAACCACCCAGCCTAGTATCCTGTTGCTCCACTAAAAATGACAGTATCACAACACACAGTTTCTTTAATGTCCGTTGCTGACCCCCGGAAAAAAATTCAGCTTTTATACAGTCAACATTCTTTATATCTGAAGGATGAAAAACAGCACAAAAATCTTGAAAACTATGAAGTCCCAGAATCTATTGGTCTCCAGATCTTAGTGGTCATTTCTTACTTAGCAAACTGTATGAATAGACATGTTCATGTGAAAGATTACTTTGTACATTCTGTTTCTGAAACACAGAATATAGAATCCCAGAAGATTCACTCCTCTAGACTGAGTGAGGTAACGAGCTCTAATATGCAAATATGTGGATTTGAAAGCATAGTTCTGCATTTAACTGAAAAGTATCAAAAGCTTCTCAGTGAAAATAAAATTATAGATGAACAGCCTAAACATCAGTCAGATATCTGTGGTCAGAACTTTCACTCAAATTTGTTTCAGTTAGACCACAAATGTGCAGCTATGTTGGATTTGGTTTGTAGTACTAAACAAATTAATATAGGGCCTGAAGTGGTACAAAGAGAGTGTGTGCCAACAGAATATCATGAAATACAAAACCAGTGTTTGGGATTATTTTCCTTGAACACAGTAGATAAGCCAAGGTCTGAAGTCTGAAGCAGCAGTTAGGAAGGTCTCAGACCTTAAAATGTCAACTGATACGGAATTTCTCTGTATAATTACCTCCAGCCAGGTTGCTTTTTTAGCTCAAAAGAAAGATAAAGGGCGGAGTCCTATAAATAAAGGGAATGTAAACATGGAGACTGAACCAAAGGCAAGTTACGGGAAGATAAGAATATCTGAAGAGAATTCCATTCAACTTGATGATTTTACAGAAGCATATGAAAGTGGACAAAACCAAGCATATTCTCTTGAACATTTTAGTCCTGTTTTTCCTAAAACAGAAAATAGCCACATTCACATAAACTCTGACAAAGGTCCTGAAGAAAATACAGGATCTCAAGAACTTTTCAGTTCTGAAGATGAACTGCCACCAAATGAGATACGTATTGAGTTGTGTAGCTCAGGAATACTGTGTTCCCAACTAAACACCTTCCACAAAAGTGCTATTAAAAGAAGCTGCACCTCTGAAGATAAAGTGGGCCAGTCTGAAGCTCTATCTAGAGTCCTTCAAGTAGCTAAGAAAATGAAGTTGATTTCTAATGCAGGAGATTCTGTTGTAGAAATGGATCAGAGGAATGTGTCTGAATTTAAGGGTATTAAAAAAAGTCATTAATAAAAAACTGTGATTCTAAAAGCCAGAAGTATGATTGTTTAGTCATGGTGCTATCTCCATGTCATGTGAAGGAAATAAACATAAAATTCGGACCAAATTCTGGCTCTAAAGTGCCTTTAGCAACAGTTACAGTAATTGATCAATCAGAAACTAAGAAGGTTTTTCTGTAGAGGACTGCAGCATTTTGGGCATATACAGTGTTTCTTGGAGATATAATTTTACTCGCAGATGTTGTTATTCATGAGGACCAATGGGTTGGCGAGACAGTACTACAATCAACATTTAGCAGTCAGTTATTAAATCTTGGGAGTTATTCATCTATTCAGCCTGAAGAATATTCCAGTGTAGTTAGTGATGTTGTACTTCAAGACCTACTGGCACAGGTGTCCTCAAAACATTCCTACCTCAGAGATCTTCCTCCGAGGCAGCCTCAGAGGGTGAACAGTATAGACTTTATAGAATTGGAGCACCTTCAGCCTGATGTATTAGTCCACACAATACTAAGAGTTGTTGATTTCACTATACTGACAGAGGCAGTATACAGTTATAGAGGACAGAAGCAGAAAAAGTTATGTTAACAGTGGAACAGGCCCAAGATCAACATTATGTGCTTGTATTATGGAGTCCTGGAGCAGCCTGGTACCCTCAACTGCAAAGGAAAAAAGGTTATATTTGGGAATTTAAATATCTTTTTGTTCAGCGCAATTACACACTAGAAAACCTAAAATCGCATACAATGCCTTGGTCATCCTGTGAGTGCTTGTTTGATGATGATGTAAGGGCAATTACATTTAAAGCAAAATTTCAAAAAAGTGCACCTTCCTTTTGGAAGATATCAGACTTAGCAACCCACCTAGAGGATAAATGTTCAGGAGTGGTTCTAATTAAAGCCCAGATTTCAGAGCTGTCATTTCCTATTACGGCAGCTCAGAAGATAGCTCTAAATGCTCACAGTTCTCTGAAGAGTATTTCTTTTCTTCTCTTCCCAACATCATATATACTGGCTGCGCAAAATATGGATTGGAACTAGAAACAGATAAGAACAGGATCTACAAACAATGTTTTAGCTGCTTGCCATTTACTATGAAGAAAATATACTATAGGCCAGCTTTAATGACTGTAGTTGATGGAAGACATGATGTTTACATCCGTGTAGACTCAAAGCTGATAGAGAAGATTCTTCTCAACATTTTTGCAGACTGCCTCAACAGAGTGATAGTTACTTCCTCAGAGATCACCTATGGGATGGTCATGGCAGACCTGTTACACTCCTTGTCGGCAGTCAGCGCAGAACCTTGTGTATCAAAGATTCAGAGCCTTTTTGTGTTAGATGAAAGCAGCTATCCATTACAACAAGATTTCTCCCTCCTGGATTTTTATCCTGACACTGTAAAGCATGGAGCCGATGCCCTTTTCTGAGGCCAGAGGAAGAAATGGCAGGCATTTCAAGGAAGAAGTACTGAAATGATTTGTCTTTTGAAGTAAATAAACGATAGGGTTTTTGCTTTGGATTTTTTATTAAATACATTTTACAAAGAGAATTTCAATTAAAACTTTTTTCTAAGAAAATCCTGTGAGGTTTAAAAAGATTATTTTTGTTTTTTGGTTTCTTCCTTTCTTCTGGAGAAATGATCTACCAGTCAAGGCAATATGTAGCAGATCCCTGGGAATTAAAGGTTTGCCCATTTGTTCACTGTATTTAGTCCCTGCTACGTTCCAGGCATTGTACTAAGTATGAGGAACCACAGGGAAGACATTCCCTCAGAAACTGCTGCAGTGCTTTTACTTATCCCTACCTAAAAACCGTCAATGTGAAATCATTTCCTTGATTACAACTATACATGATAATGGATTAGTTTATATAAACCTCTGTTTAGACAAGTTCAAGACAAGCGTGTCTTTCTATAAAAAGCATTGAAAACGAAGGAAATGAGATCATGTTTCAATTTATTAAAGCGGGGAAGAGCGTTCTGTGGTTAGTTCGTGTCTAGGATTTGAGTGCCTTACTGAATGTATTTAGCAAACATGTAGCAATCTGTTCTCTCACTGTGATTGTAGAAGAAGCTCATGTAAAATGATAGTCATTAATGAGGAAGTATAGAGTGGTACTTATTCTGTAAGTTCAGAGTATGCCGAGTATTAATAGATTATCATACTGCCTGAAAATAAATTTATGATGAAATGAAAAAAAAAAGTGACAGTTTAAAAAAAAAAATCTCCTGTGGTCAGAAGAAAACTAAAACACTAACTTCAAACCACCCCTGAAAATGAGCTGGAATTTAATTGGATCAGTCTTTGGAACAATTTAAGTCCCCAGGGCATTGTTTAAAACAATACAGAAATCCACCAGCAATTAGTGTAACTTACAGTGAGGTGTGATCAAGGAACCAGACAGAGTCCTGGAAAAACAAATCCCAGGGTGACTGTGGATATGCCCAAAACCACATTCTCCAAGGAGCAACATTTCAGGCTTTACAGTGTGTGGAGGGGAAGAAGGAGGGAACAGAGTTAACTAAAATACTCCAGCAAATCACTAAGTAAATAAATAAACAACAACAAGCCTCAAGGGGGAGAGGATCAATGCCCAGAGTTGATAGCATATATTATATACGAGTTGCTACCATATATTATATATAAGGTCCAGTTTCCAACAACACACACAAAAAATGAGACATTCAAAGAAATAGGCATTATTTCATTCTTTCTATGCTGAAGAGTATTTCATGATGTGTGTGTGTATATGTATATACATACACCATATATATATACACGCACCATATATATATATATACACACACACCATATATATACACACACACACACACACACACACACACCATATATATATGGTATATATATATTTCCTTTATCCACTCATCAGTTGATGGGCACTTAGGTTGATTCCATATGTTTCAATTGTGAATTGTGCTACATAAACATATGTGTGCAGGTGACTTTCTGATACAGTGACTTCTTTTCTTTTGGGTAGATATCCAGTAGTAGGATTGCAGGAATGAATGGCAGATCAATCAATTTAGTTCTTTGATAAATCTCCACATTGTTTTCCATATAGGTTGTACTAACTTCATTCTCACCAGCAGTGGATAAGCATTCTCTTTTCACCACATGTATGCCAACATCTATTGTTTTTTGATGTTTCTTAATGGCCATTCTGGCTGGAGTAAGGTGGTATCTCGTTGTGGTTCTAATTTGCATTTCTCTGATGATTAGTGATGTTGAGCATTTTTTTTAACTGTTTTTCTGGCTATAGACATATCTTCTTTTAAGAAATGTCTATTCATGTCACCTGCCACTTTTTAATGGGATTTGTGTTTTTCTTGCTGGTTTGAGTTCCTTATAGATTCTGGATGCTAGTCTTTTGTCAGATGCATAATTTGTAAATGTCTTCTCCCATTCTGTGGGTTGTCTGTTTACTCCAATGATTCTTTGCTTTGCAGAAGCTTTTTAGTTTAATTAGGTCCCATTTATTTATTTTGGTTTTGTTGCATTTGCTTTTGGGGTCTTAGTTATAAATTATTTGCCTAGGCCAATGTACAGAAGAATTTTTCCTAGATTTTCTTCTAGAATTTTTATGGTTTCAGGTCTTAGATTGAAGCCTTTAATCCATCTTGAGTTAATTTCTGTATACGGTGAGGTGAGAGGTAGGGATGCAGTTTCATTATTCTATATGTTGCTATCCAATTTTCCCAGAACCATTTATTAAATAGGATGTCCTTTCCCCAAATTTATATTTTTGAATGCTTTGTCAAAGATCAGTTGGTTTTAAGTATTTGGCTTTATTTTTGGGTTCTGTATTCTGCTCTGTTGATACATGACTGCTAGATCTGATAAATGAATTCAGTAAAGTTTCAAGTTACAAAATCAATGTACACAAATAATGTATATAAATCAGCAGCACTGCTATATACCAATAATGACAAAACTGAGAATCAAACCAATAACTCAATCTCTTTTAGAATAGCTACAAAAATATATAAGAATATACTTAACCAAGAACCAATAGTTCTAAAAGGAGAACTATTATACAAAACATGGCTGAAAGAAATAATAGATGATGCAAACACATGGAAATACATCCCATGCTCATGGATTGGAAGAATCAATATTGTGAAAATGAGACCACAATGCCCAAAGCAATCTACATATTCAGTGTAATTCCTATCAAAATACCAACATCATCTTTCACAGAATTAGAAAAAACAATCCTAAAATTCATATGGAACCAAAAAAGAGTCCAAACAGCCAAAGCAATCCTAAACAAAAAGAACAATCTGGAGGTATCACATTATCTAACTTCAAATTATACTACAAGGCTATAGTAACCAAAACAGCATGTTACTGGTTTAAAAACATATAAATTTATGTATAAAGTAACAATGTCCTATTGAGTTCGCAGCACGCAGTGTTGTGACATGTGTGCTAATAATAGAACAAAAGGAGAAAGGGAACAGAGCAACAAGGGAATTCAGCATAATCTACTGTAATTCGGTTAGTTTAAATCTGAAGTGAGTCCAATAAGTTAAGATGTATATGGTAAGCCCCAGAATAATCACTAAAAAAAACTCACAAAAATATAGTGAATAATTAATATTGTTAACACAGCCATATTACCCAAAGCAATCTACAGATTTAATGCAATCTGTATCAAAATGCCAAGGACATTCTTCACATAAATAGAAAACACAACCATAAAATTTATATAGGAACACAAAAGACCACAAACAGTCAATGCAACCCTGAGCAAAAAGAACAAAGCTGAAGGCATCACACTACCTGACTTCAACATATACTAAAAGGCTATAGTAACGATTAATAAAACAGCATGGTTTTGTCTAAAAGCAGGCACACAGACCAATGGAACAGAATAGAAAGTCCAGAAATAAATTCATGCCCTATGACCAACTAATTTTCAACAAAGGTGCCAAGAACACGCTAGGAAAAAGGACAGTCTCTTCCATAAACAGCACTGGGAAAAATGGATAGCCCCATGCAGAAGAACGAAACTGGACTCCTGTCTCTCACAATATACACAGTCAACTCAAAATTGATTACATACTTAAATATAAAACCTGAAACTATAAAACTAGAAAAAAAACAAAGGGAAAGTGCTTTATGACAATGAGCTGGGCAAGAATTTTTTAAATAAGACCTCAAAAGCACAGACAACGCAAAAATAGACAAAGGGGATGACATCAGACTGAAAAGCTTTTGCACAGCAAAAGAAACAAAGTAAAACAGCCTACAAAATGGGAGGAAATATTTGCAAATTATACATGAGACAAGGGGTTAATATCTAGACTATGTAAAGAACTTAAACAACGACAACAAAATAGCCCAGTTTAAAATTGGGCAAAAGACTGTAATAGACATTTCTCAGAAGAAGACATACAAATGGCCAATGGGTACATGAAAAAATACTCAACATCACTAATCATCAGGGAAATGCAAATCAAAACCACAATGGGATATCACTTCCCTCTACTTAGAATGGCTATTACCAAAAAAACAAAAGAAAACAAGTGTTGGTGAGGATGTGGAAAAAAAGAAATACTTACTTCATGTTGTTAGGGTTGTAAATTGGTACAGCCACTATAAAAAACAGTGTGGAGATTCCTAAAAAATTAAAAATAGGCGGGGCACGTGGTGGCTCACGCCCATAATCCCAGCATTTTGGGAGGCTGAGGCGGGCAGATCACTTGAGGTCAGGAGTTTGAGACCAGCCTGGCCAACACGGTGAAACCCCGTCTCTACTAAAAATACAAAAATGAGCCAGGTGTGGTGGCAGACGCCTGTAATCCCAGCCACTTGGGAGGCTGAGGCAGAAGAATCACTTGAACCCAGGAGGCAGAGGTTGCAGTGAGCCAAGATTGCACCACTGTACTCCAGCCTGGAAGTGCAGAGTAAGATTCTGCCTCAAAAAAAAAAAAAAAAATTAAAAGTAGAACTACCATATGATCCAGTAATCCCACTACTGTGTATATATCCCCCCAAAATAAAATATATATGTTAAAGAGGTATCTGCACTCCCATGTTTATTAAAACACTATTTACAATAGCCAAGATATGGAATCAACCTGAGTGTTCAACAATGAATGCATGAATAAAGAAAATGTGATATATATATACACAATGGAGTACTATTAGTCATAGAATGAAATCCTGATATTTGCAACAAATGGAGGAATATGGAGGATATGATGTTAAGTGAAATAAGCCAGACACAATAAGACAAATACCTCATGATCACACTTACATGTAGAATTAAAAAAAAAGAAGAGTTGATATCACAGATGCAGAAAGTAGAACAGTGGTTACCAGACACTGGGGTGGGGCTGGGAAGGGAAGGACAGGAAGAGGTCGGTCAACGGGTACAAAGTAACTATTGGACAGGAGGTGTAAGTTGATATCACAGATGCAGAGAGTAGAACAGTGGTTACCAGACACTAGGGTGGGGCTGGGAAGGGAAGGACAGGAAGAGGTCGGTCAACAGGTACAAAGTAACTATTGGACAGGAGGTGTAAGTTCTGGTGTTTTCTTGCACACTAGGGTGAAGACGGTTAACAGTAAGGTTTTGTGTATTACAAAACAGCTAGAAGAGAGGCTTTTGAATGCTTTCATCACAAAGGAATGATAAATTCATGAGGTGATGGGCATACCCTGATTTGACCATTATACCACATGTATGTATCAAAACATCAAATTGTACCCTGTGTCAATAAAAAATAAAAATATGACAAAGTTGAAATACTCACATTTCCTCACTTCAAAATTTATCAGACAGCTACAGTACCTAAGACAGTGTGGTGCTCACGTCAGGACAGATATATAAGTCAACAGAAAAAAATTGAGGTTCTAGAAATAAACCCTCAAATTTATTGCCAATTGATTTTCAACAAGGATGCCAAGACAATTCAATGAAAAAGGAATAGTCTTTTCAAAAAATAGTGCAGGGACAACTGGATATTAAAATGCAAGAGAATCAAGTTGGACACACATATAACCCCAGTTAAGAAAGAAAATGGACCAAAAACCTAAATTTAAGATTTAAAACTCTAAAACTCTTAAAGGAATACATAAATATAAATCTTCAGAACCTTGAATTAGGCAATAGCTTCTTAGATATGACACCAAAAGCACAAGAAACAAAAGAGAAAACAAAGTGGGCTTCATCACAATTTAAAACTTTTTTTAATTCAAAGGGTACCATTAAGAAAATGAAAGACAACCCATACAAAGGGAGAAAATATCTGCAAATTATATTTCTGATAAGGAATTTTTATATAGAACAAAGAACACTTATGACTCAATAATAAAAACACAAATATCCCAATTTAAAAATGGGCAGAGTTTAAATAGACATTTCTCCAAAGAAGATATACTACTAGCCAATAAGCACATGAAAAGATCCCCACATCATTAGTCCCTAGGAAAATGCATATTGAACTACAATAACATAGCACTTCACATTCACTAGGATGGCTATAATCAAAGGCATGGACAGTAAGAACTGTTAGGGAGGATGTGGAGAATTGTAAGTTTCATAAAACTGCTGGTGGCAATGTAAAATGGTGCAGTAACTTTGGAAAACAATTTGGTAGTTCCTCAAAATCCTAAAGACAGAGTTACCATGTGACCCAGCAATTCCACTCCTACATACATACCCAAGAGAACTGAAAACACGTTCACAGAAAAACTTGTACACATATGCTAATCCACACCATTAGTCATAACAGCCATGATGGGGTTCAAGACACACTCCCCGCAAATATTTTAAAGTGAAATAATTTGAGAAAAATGTAGAAGCAGGAAGTTTACTCTCTGACCTTCTCCTTTCTCCTCTGAAGCAGGTCATAAGACCCTCACTCAACAGGTGCTCTCCCTATTTTCCTTATCTCTGAAGACAGTTTCTGGTGAAGAAGATGAGATGCCTACTCACTCTAAGAGCCTGCAGATGAGATCCTGAGACACTGACAAAAAGGTGGCAGAAAGGTTAAGAATTCTCACCAAGGCCTGCTCTTCTGGATCTCTGCCTGAAGTACCCGATCGAGAGAAGACAATTAAACAAACAAACAAACAAACAAAAACCTCCTCATCCCTTCCTCTCCAAATGCAGATTCGCAGAAGAAAAACATTCGTTTGGTTTGTGATTCCTGTATAAATTTAGTTTTGGGTGCTCATTACCTGTAGATCCCTTCCTTCCCAGGGTCAGCTATTGCTTTCCTATTTGTCTCATTTTGTGTACTGAGAACCTGGCTTGACTTCCCACCTGTTAGGGATGTGTGAGCTGTCAGTTTTGTGTATGCAGGCAGCCAACTTCAAGTTGGGGGCCCCAAGAATATAACCAGACAAAAATGTGATTCGCACCCTATTTGCAGCCAGTTTACCAACTATCGCCAGCTCTGACAGGGAGTGGGGAGTAGGGAGGTTATCTGGGTCTTTCTTTTGACTATCCTTGGGAGTGGTTCTAGGTCTTTGGAGGATCACTTCTCAACCTTTTGACTACGATGAAGTGTAGATTCTGGGAGGGCTGCATCTTTTTACACCCTCTTTTGAGGATCCTCTTCATCCACGATAAGACATAAAAGGCTTATTGGTTTGTGTTGTGAGTCACTTAATAGACACCTTTGGTTTGAAAAGGTCAATACTGCCAGGAATATTTACTGTTTGTCCTGGCTCAAACCTGATAGTAGGATATTTGAAAGAATTTGTTTTTTAAGAGTCTATGGTCAGGAGTTGGCCAAACTGTAGGCTGACATTCAGAACCTGATATGATACACACACACACACACACACACACACACACACACACACACACACACCATTTTTTTAAGGCTACTCTGTTCTCTGTTTTGGATCTTGCTTCTCCCATGGGAACTTAGTTGCTAGAAATCCTTCTTCACAAAGCCCTGCTGACTATATGCACTTCCTATTCTGTCTACCTCCTTCTTGTTGGAACTTCATTGACCTCTTTGGGAAGCTTGAGATCTCCCCACACTGGCACCTCTCAGACTTCTTCTTCTCTCCACTGGCTTCTGCTTCTGCTTCCATGTTTTTTCACCTTCATTCTTTCATTCAGTTCCCTTGAATCCTTGATATGTCTGCTTTCAAGCCCCTACCTCCTCCCATGCCTCTGTCCACCTGTCAGACCTATTCCCTTCCTACTCAAGCCCCTCAATCACTTGAATTTTAAGCTCGTTGCTCTCAACAGACTTAAGGTCTCCCCAAAACAACCTGAGGATGAAAAAGGAAAAAGCCACAGCCTCCATATACATATCAGGGCAAGGGAAGGTCGTGAAGGTCGTCTCCACAAATATTGGTACACAGGTAACCTTAATTTTATCCCAACTGCCAGGAACAAAGTGGAGAAAAGATGAGAGCCAACTATTTTGTACAAATCAGTGAGTTGTGTGCTATGTTTTACGACTCATGGCTAAAATTTTTTAAATGAAAGCCATAAGATCTTGGCATCTGTCTGTATGCTTATGTATTTACATGTAAAACAAAAGTATTCAGTTTTATATTTTATTTTTCCAATAGTAAAGAAGTGAGTTAATCCAATAGCAACAACAAAAGTTTACCATGGTTTCAATGATGATGGTGAGGTTCCCTAAGCCATCAGTCAGAGCTACGTAGCTTCCTCCTTTCTCTAAATGGCCAACTGTCTTCAGGTAATACCAGCCAGGTTGAGTAAACTGAGTGGTATGAGCTATAGAAAAACAGAAAGTTCCAAATAAGACAAAAATGGTAATAATAGTATTTCTTTTGGGAAAAAAAAAAAGCTGTATATCAATTTGAGTCTGATTCATCCAAACAAGCTATTTTCTATTTTGCAGGAATATATCCGTCAACCTCATGTTTAAATTTTTAAATAATTAATCTAGATAAATGGTACAATTGCAAGAAGATTCCTGGAATGATGGGTAAAAATAAATGAACCTGTCAGTTCAAGAATATGATCAGTCTTTTTTTTAAGAATAAAATAGTTATTCCCCCCCCAAACTTGGTTCATCACTATTTAATCCATCCTAAAATAGCTACCAAAAAAAGGTTTAAAAAGTTAATAATGAATTTCAGAAACTAACTTTATGGTTTCAAACATATTTATTTCCACCACATGTACATTTATTGGTCACCTCCTAAGCTCGTCCTGAAAATGCACTAAGCAATATACCATGTCCCAACCCTTGGAAAAATCACAAAATTAAGAGTACATTAGTTCATCTAGATAATGTGGGGCCAACAATTTCAACATTCAAGGCGCTGATATACAAGTCTAACCTTAATTTTCTCATATAATTCTCAATATTAGAATATACAAGTCCAATATACAAGTCTAACCTTAGTTTTCTCATATAATTCTCAATATTAGAATATACAAGTCCAATATACAAGTCTAACCTTAATTTTCTTATATTTTTTGGAGGACAATTTAAGGAGTTTAGAATAATATCATGATTACATGATTAATATGATTACAAATCTGTCTTAGGAGAGCACAACTAAAAGGGAAAACCACCAAATTTAAGTTTAAAATAAAAACAAATTCACTCCAAATTCATAATTTTCTTCTGAAAGCATTTTACCTTTAAAGAAATTAGCTTTTTAGAAAGATTGTTAGAATTTTAAAACAAAATGGTAATAAATGTTTATAATCTTTTACAAAAAAACTGCAGAAAAGTTTCAACATTATTCAGCAATAGATTTTGTTACTTTGTTTAAAATATAATCACTATTAGTATGGTTATTATCTCCTCATGAAAAAGTGACACTATGCCATCCATCCCTGCATAATCTCAATTTCCCTTGTGACTAATGAATGATACTGTAGTAAAACTTTTGTGTTTCAATAAAAACGGATGTATTATCTATAGCCCTGTTCATTGTCTCTGAGCTATGTAAATTATGTCTTGTCTGGTAGAAATTTAATTAATTTCTTCCCTGTTGTGGGAAACCCAATTTGCCTCCATTGACAATTCATCTCCAATTCCCTTACACTACGAAAATTTGTGCTATGTTGACTTTTCATTTCAACTGTTTCTAACATCTACCATCTATCTGCCAGGATCCTTCATATCATATGAGTAACATAAAATCTTCAGTACGTGCTCACTTTTAAAATCTTTTGAGCTTTACATTGTTACCTATTTTGAAATTTACCTTTTCACAACCCACATTTCACAGATTTAGGGGACAATATAAAGCCATATTTCACATAACTTTCATATTTACTTATTCATTTGATGATTCAATAATACAGTATTTTTAATCATCTCCCTTTGATTTTGCTAGCATACGATTGTAATTGAAACTCTATTAATATAAGAGAACAAAATGTCTTCAAAGCTAATCTTAAGACTTCTACTCTGTTTATAAATACATAATCTTATTAGCAATTATCATCATTTGTAATTATATCCTTAGATGATTATTTATTTGTGTCTCTATCACTACACAGCTCCTCCTTTTCCTCTCTCTCCCCCTCCTCTCCTACACTTTTCTAAAAGCCTGGTCTTAGAATAATCAGAGAGTAGTCTAGTTACCCAAAATATTCTTATAAAACACTGGCAAATCTTGCTTAAAACTTAAATCTATACTTAAAACACGCATAGACACACAGTTTATATAATCTTCTCTAAGTTTTTTTCTGCTTTGTCTCTTAGAGAAGAATTTAGGGAGTGAGAGATGGAACTGAACCATACCTGATACCCAGACAGGAGATTCTACCACGTAGTGCCCACTCCATGGCTCCTGGGCCGTCATCAACCCGCATCTCCCATAAGGCAACTGTTCATAGTAACTAGCCACTAAATTCCATGCGATTGTGCTAAAAGATTTGATAAAAAAGAAACACCAAGACAACTTGTGATAAAAATGTAAATGTCTAAAAACCTGGAGTAAAAAGACTTTATCATAGTAATACACATCTACATAAATGACAATAAAAGGATCACCCAAAATAAGAAAATATAAGTTGTCTAAATTTATTCACATTTTGAAAAATCCAGTGTGGGGTACATTGTAATATTTTTAATGGTGAATCACATGATAAAAAATACAAATGTATTATGTGCAAATTTTTACTGAACTGTGGTATAGCCAGAAGACGAATCATGCCTTACCAATACCCAACACATCACAAATTTGAGTCAAATACAAATAAAGGCTTTGTGCATACCTACTTTCCTTTCAACAGTCAGCCTTCTTAATGCCCCAGTTTTATGACATAATTTTTATGAACTTGA
The DNA here is from genome assembly GCF_000001405.40 of Homo sapiens. Classification (NCBI taxonomy): domain Eukaryota; kingdom Metazoa; phylum Chordata; class Mammalia; order Primates; family Hominidae; genus Homo; species Homo sapiens. The sequence goes on from NC_000014.9 coordinate 87,966,048, forward strand.
CTCTGAACTGTTCCAAAGTTTTACAATTGAGAATTATTGGAGTCAGACTGCCTGGGTTTAAACCATGGTTTCACCACTTAACCTCTCTGTAAAATGAGGATAATAATTATATCTCTCTCACGTGAGTTTGTAAGGATTAAATGTACTAATGCATAGGAAGAGTATGGAACAAGGTCTGGGCCGTAGTATTGCTATTAAATATGATTCCACTTCATCTATAAGTAGTAATTGGATCTAATTGCTGATCTGCTTTGTGGCCCATTCTTTCTCAGATGATCAGGCCCTAACAGTCCAGAGCAGGTGCTAAACCCTAAAACTTTGACTCTCTGCTTCTCAGGAAATCCAAGGACAAAAGGGAAGTTATTGAACTTGGTATTGTTGGGTCCCTCACAGATTAAAAAAAACAAAGCTTACCCACAGAATTTTATTTTTCCTATCAAGTCCTCATCCAGTATAAAAAAAAGAGACTGACATTCTTAGCAAATCAAAGCCTTCTAATTCTATCAGTACAAAGTAGAAATAATAGTCCTAATTTTCAAAACACCTTACTACTAGTGAATATTTTAAGTTCTTATAATTTTGCCCATGGTTTGCAAGATGTGTGGTATCCTTTCTGGCTAGTGATAGATGTATAACTCAAGACAAGCTTTCTGGAGGGCATTTTGTAAAATACATACAAAACCCTTCAAAATCTATGTATTTCTGACCATTCCATTTCTAAGAATACAGCCTAAGAAAATAGTCATGGGCATATACAAAGATATTTGTATACAATTGAACATTTCAGTTTGTACAAAGCTATTAATTAAAACAGAGACAACTTCCAATTCTAAAAGAGGAGAATATTCAATAAACAATAATATATTTTCCACATCAGTGTTTCCCAACTTGTGTGGCATCAGAATCACTTGAGGGCACTGACTAGATGGACAGAATACCAGGAGCCTTCCCTGTAGATTCTGATTCACAATGTCTGGGCAGCTGCCAAGGAGAAGGTATAACAACGAGTGTCTCGGGTGCTTCTTAAGGCAAGTCTGGGAAATGGTGCTTTATGTAACAAAATATTTTAAAATGCATTAAAAATGATGAAGTAGAAATATAGGTAAATGTGAGAAAAAGTTCCTAATGTCGTCTCAAGTGAAAAGCAGTTTTTTAAACAGATTCTATAGTATGGTCTCAATTTTGTATTTAAAATGTATACATGCCAATATAAAACAGGAGGACATTCACTAAAAATGTTTAGGATGGTTAGCTCTGGATCATAAGACTGTAGGTGATTTTGCTTCTTTCTTTGTACCTATCTTCAGTTTTCTAAATTCTCTGCCATGAAGATGCCTTACCTTTAAGACCAAATTAAGTTATAACCAAACTCTCCTAAGTGTCTTTTCTTTCACAAAGAGAAGAAAAAGAACAAATACAATATACAGCAACCCACATTAACATCACAACAAATACATAAATATTGGTTTGTTTTTGTTCTATTTATCATTGTTTAAAAAAAGCTAATTGGAATCTATTCACAATTCAAGTGTTTTTCAAAGCATTTAAGAAATGCTTCCCTTAGGAACAAAAATAGTTGTGTTCTCCCTTAAGAACATCTGTTTTTTAAACAAACAATTACACATATCAAGTGATGCCATGAGGAATCAATCAGACAGGCTGGGAAGCAGACAGTCCACAACACAACCAGCCTGGTCTTTTCAACAGATCACTGTCATCAAAAATGAGGAATAAGGAAACCACTCTAGATTAAAGGAGACTTGAGGGGTGTAACTTTTAAATGCAATATGTGTGTGCTTGACTATTCCTTTTCTTTAAAAAAGCTACAAATGACATTTTTGGGAAACAATTAGGAAAATCTGAATATAGACTGAGAATTAAAAACACTCTCATGTATGAAAACATGATACTGTGATCATGTAAAAGAATATCCTTATGTTTTGGAGACACATGCTAAAATATTTAGAGATAAAGTGTCCTTACATATACTATTTACTTTATAATTATTAAAAATACAAGTAGCTTGTCAAAAATCAGAGAGCTGCATGTATTTTGCTACATATAAATTATACCTCAATAAACCTGACTTTATTTAATATAGACTATATTCAAATATAGAAAATTAGATATAGATTAGGTATAGGTATACAAATAGATGACGCTAACAAGGCAAAATGTTTACAATCATTGAATCTAGGCTGGAAGAATAAGGAATTCCATTTTTTTCTAACTCTTATGTTTTTAAATTTTTTTTGATAAGAACTCTAAAAGGTTTTTAATAACTTACGAAGTCATATAGCCATTGATATAATTCTGATTTAAAATGCGACCCCAGCAGCCTGCACCCATGTCACTATTTAAAGTGCTAAAGTCTTCAGAAGACCAAAGCTTCTTCCCAGTCAACTTTGCATCTTTTGCTGAATGGGTTCCAGGATAATGAGCCCTAGAAAAAAAAAGGGTGGAAGTCAATGAAAAAAGGTCACGACGTGGCACTTATATACGTATAGATTTGTTGAGTATATAAAAATACGAGTCTTCTCCAAGGTTTTCTATTTTAAAACAGTTGGGTAGCTTCCAGGTAGATAATGAATCTAAGCATCTGCTTTATGCCCTTTTGTCTCAGCATGCCATTAAAATGACAGCAAAGAAAACAAAAGGGGATAAACCTACAACAGCATACAGGATAGGAAGGAAAATCATCAATAGATAAGAAATTTCAATCTATTTCTGGAGCTCACAAGATGGATGGAAGCATGTTGAAGGATGGAGGTAGCAGAGAGGGCCACAGCCTAGAACACTCCAAGAGGAGAATGAAGTAAAGATAAGATTCAGACTTCCCAGGGGAAGCTAAGGAGCTTGGGGCAATAGTAAACGAGTGAGGAGGAGGCCAAAAATAAGACTAGTGAAACCTTTATATAAAGTAGTACTCTCCCCACTACTCCTGTCCTTAGAACACAGAAAGATAGCTTGGCATTTACTCCCAGGCCAAAAACAAAAAACAAAACCCACACATGGTTATTTCTTGAATAAAAAGAATAAGCTACCTTGGGAAAACTAAATTACTGTATCAGAGCAGTGGCGGTTCTCAACCCAGATGATTTTTGTCCCTGGAGGGAATATTTGGCACTATCTGTAGACATTTTTTTCAACCGTCCCACCTGGGGTCAGGGATATTTGCTACTAGCATCTAGAGAAGAGAGGCCAAAAATGCTGCTAAACATCCTACAATGCACAGGACCAACCCCTACAACAAAAAAATTATCCATTGAAAATATCAATAGTGCAGCAGGTGAGAAACTGCCCCAGAAAATGAATGCCTCCTTCACTCTATCATTCGATGGGAGGGGAGTCAGTTGGTGGAAGTATAAATGCATATTCATTACTGCAAGAGTAAAATACTCCCATAATGATGATTGTGGAAGACACTGATTATAGGAATAAAAACAATAAATTTTAAATGTAAAATAGAAAATAGATTGACAATCCAATAAGAGAGCACACTAGCTAAATAACTGTAGGAATAAGAGCATCTACTTTTTAGTTTAAAAATTATTTACAAAAAACAATGCAAGCAAAATAATGGAGATTAAGTTATATCATAATTCTAATCTTTGTAGTTTGGTGTAGTAGTATTTATAACATCAAAAGAATGATTGTGAATACTTGTTTTACTTTTTAGTTATTTAATTCCCTTTTAGGTCACAAATCTTTTAGGAAAAAATCCTATTTGGTAATTCTTTATACCTAGTGAAGATGAATTAGGGCACAATATCAATTTGGCATCCCAGGATTTCATGAGTAAGAAAATAATATACAATATATACTGGAGAACATAAAAAGAAGTATTAGAGAAAAATGAGGTTCCACTAAGATTTTACTGAGTCACTAAACTCAGGTGAAAGCAGGCATCTATTCAATATTGCAAATCTACACTACAAAGATACCAACAGAAATCTAGCATCTAACAGGGTTAAGCAATCATTGTTCTGGAACTATAACGCCCAACCTGAAAAATCTGGCTACTAGTCTTTTAAATAATATAAATTCAAAAAATTACACTTTAGATTTATTCTTCTATCCCACAACTCCATTCTATTTCCATGAAATTCAGCTTTGGTACCTCAGCCAAATGTTAATTTTTAATACTCATCTAGTTGTCATCCAGTTGTCTAGTTGCCAAATGCATGTTTGGTGTATTTGGTTAAAATATATTTCTATATTAAAGAAAACACTGTAAAGTAATATGCTAGCATGTTACCAATAATCAGTAGATGTTAGGATTATGAGGAAATTCTATTTTTATACTTTTCTACATTTTCCAAATTTTCTATAATGAGCATATTATATTTATAAAATGAAAAAGTAACTTTATTGAAGTTATAGGAATAGGTGATATATCCTTCATTCAGAAAATGATGAAACTGTTACCACATTCAAAACCCAAATGATTTATTACATGATATGAGCAAAGAAAGGCAGAACTAATACTAAAATCTGGGTCTTTCTTAATGTATAGATTTATTACTAGTGCAACAAAATGTAAAGGCTCTTTAAGAATATAAATTTTTATTGGGAGGCCAAGGCGGGCGGATCACGAGGTCAGGAGATTGAGACCATCCTGGCTAACATGGTGAAACCCTGTCTCTACTAAAAATACAAAAAAAAAAAAAAATTAGCCAGGCGTGGAGGTGTGTGCCTGTAGTCCCAGCTACTTGGGAGGCTGAGGCAGGAGAATGGCATGAACCTGGGAGGCAAAGCTTGCAGTGAGCCGAGATTGCGCCACTGCACTCCAGCCTGGGCGACAGAGGACAGAGTGAGACTCTGTCTCAAAAAAAAAAAAAAAAAAAAAGAATATAAATTTTTAATGTATATAAGTAGGCAAACATTCTCTATCACTTCACAGCATTATTTTTCAAACTTCAATAACAGACAAAATTAAGATCAATGAAAGTAAACCAACTTTATAGTTTATCCTAACAGAGGAACATATTTGTACTTTAAAAAATTAGAATTTCTGGCCAAGGCAGAACATGACAGCAGCCCAGTTTCTGAAGCTCCTCAGTACTCCTCCTGAAACCAAACTGACCAACCAGATAAGGGAAAGGAAAAACTCACAGATAACACTGCCATCAAACCAGGTGACAGGGACTCTCCCCAGGAGCCTCGCAGCATCAGAAATGGCCCAGGATCAGCAGATGGTATATGGAAACTAGAAGTGAAAGGGGACTGGCCGGTACTCACACAAAAGGAGTAGACCCTACCCTAAGGGGGAGCATAGAAGACCAACTCAGGAAGATGGGAACATCTTCACAGGCTTGAAGTTAGGGGTCAATGCTCAAAACAGTGAATTCATTAGGAGATCAAACCCAATACTGTAACAGTTCAAACCAGATCTGTCTGGTAGAAATATGATATGAACCACACATAGACAATTTTAAGTTGTCTAGCAGCCACATTAAAAACCAGCAAAGGTCTTTACCACAATAAAACACATAAATGGAAAAAATTTAATTGAATTTACAAAGCAGAAAAACATGGAGAACATAATTTTAATGATATATTTAACCCAATATATCCAAAATATTATCACTTAACATGTAATCAGTGTAAAACAATTGTAAATAATATTTTTATATTCAATTTTCAAAACCCAGTGTATATTTTATACTTATTACACACCTAAACTCAAACTAGCCACATTTCAAGTGCTTCCTAAACATATGTGTCTAGTGGCTACTGTATTGAACAATACAGGTTTAAGCAATAACAATTTCAGGAGAAGGTAGCAAATAATCAGGAATGGTAGAGCTTCAACATGAAAATAAGCTGTTTGAAGTAGAATCCAAGTTGAATAAGGCAGGAACGCTTTGTTTGAGGGAGAACAACTTTCAGTCACTAAGAAGAATGGGGCCCAGCAGAAACAGACCCTAGAAAGTACTGTAACTGTAAAACAAAAATCTGCAGATATAGCACAGGCCAAGCACAACATGAATGAGGCAGGGAGGAATAGTCTTCCTATGAAGATGTGAGCCAAGAAATATCTCCTGAACAAAATTGCAATAGCCCAAAATTGGAAACAGTCTAAATGACCATTAAAAAATAATACACAGATAAGTTGTGGTATGCTACATTTAGCATCCAACAATTGGATGCTAAACAATAAATATGAACTACCTCTATATATAACAACATGCATTAATCTCACAAATTTATATAATATTGGCTGAAATAACAGCTACTATAGGATGCCATTTAAATAAAGTTTTTAAACCGGCAAAATTAGTCCATGGTGTCAGAGGTCAGATTAGTAGTTACCTTTAAGGCAAAAAGAGAGCTTAATTATTGGAAAGATTTCCAAGGAAAAATCTTTCCAAGAGGAGATATCAGTAACCAAGCTTCTTGGGCACTGATAATTTTCTGGGTGGCTGTTACATAGGTACGTTCACTTTGTGATAATTCATTAAGCTATTATCCGATGATTTTTGTACTTTTATATATGTATGTATGTATGCTGTACTTCAATTAAAAATTTTAAAGATGAATTGTTAGCAATATAGGAAATTAAAATGAGAGAATTATAGAAGAATTATTTTCAAAAACACACTTTGGAAATGAAGGCTAAACTAGAAGGAACATAAGACAGAACAGACACTGTGGAAAACACAGTGAGGAATATAGAATAGTAAGGATAAAATAATAGAAAACATAAATAAAGAGATAGAGAAAAATTCAGAGAAATACAAAATAAAGGCATATGCAAATAAGACCAAAGTATAACTGGTGCTTCTAAAAAGAAAACCAAAGTAATGGAGTGGAATAATGATTTAACTTATAACTTAAGTAAACCTTACTGAAATAAGAAAATACTTAAATATAGACATTAAGAGAGCATATACTATATATCTGGAAATGGTAAAGTGTATACAACAACTAAACTTTAAAGATGAATAAAAATATTCTTTGGGCATAAAGGAATTGTGTCGTTACTTATAAGGAAAAGGAAATATCTCTGGAGTCAAAATTCTCAATAGCAACATTTTATGTAAATAACTAATGGAGCAAATTTTATGATATATTTACACATATTTGAGAATTAAAAAAGGATTATATCCAGTCAAACTGTCCTTCAAGTATAAAGGTCATAGATAAACATCAACAAACATCTGAACACATCAAGAAATATTGTTTCCATTAGCACTTTCTGAGACATTTAATAGATAATTACACTTCTGATATCCAAGAAAATGAGGGAGAAACTTTGGCAAAGGACTTGAAGGTGAGCATTTAATATGTTTAATGGTAGAGTGAGATTAAAAGAAATAGTAATTAAATTATATATATAACTATTACACACTTGGCTAAAGTACAACTAATACAGCTACATGAAGTAGGACAAGAAGGAAAGAAGGTGAAATGTAAACTAAGTTTGCAGATTATTTGGGAGTAAACAGTTAAAACTTGTAGCTGTCAAATCAATATAGTAGAAGCTTAAGTTCATGTAAGAGTACAAAAATTAAAACTAAGATAATTCTGGTAATTAAAATTCCACGGTAGGGGAGAAAAAGGGAGGAAGAAGTTATCAAATAATTTTAGTATTGCTCATAGTAAACCAACAGACAATAACTAAACGAAGAAGAAACCAAGAGTATTAGTATGAAGCAGTTCCTCAACCTCAGCACTATTAACATTTTGGGCTGGATCATTTTTTGTTATGGGAAAACTATCCTGTGTACTAAAGGATGTTTAGAAACATTCGTGGCCTCCATCCATCGGATTCCAGTGGCACCGCCCTACCTATTTGTGGCAATTAAAAATATTTCCAGGCATTGCCAAATGTCCGTCTGGGAGGCAAAATTATTCTCAGTTGAAAATACTGGTATAAATCAGTATAAATGTAATTGACAGAACAAAAACCAAACCTTGCTAAATAACAAAAGAAACACCTCCTTAAATAAGTGCAAAGTAAACAAATCACATAGCAGAATAGCTTGTATTAGTACATGGATAGTATAAATCATTCAATAACAAAAGACAATATAGTAGTATAGAAAACACAAACATCAGTTATATTTAAAAATGAGTTTAACTCATTCATTAAAATATAAAGATTTTCAGAGGAACTTTAAAAAAGCAAAATCTAACTCTATGCTATATGCAAGCAATGCACATAAAAGAAAACGGCCTTGAAAGGTAAAGAATAAAAGGGCAAAAATATATTAGGCAAATCCTAATGAAAAGAAAGCATAGATCTCTTAGTTACACAGAAAGCAGAACTCAGGCCAAGAAGCTTTAAACGAGACAAAGAATGGCATTTTCTAATGATAAGAAATAAATCATAATGAAGATAAAACATTCATCAGTATTTACATACCAAATAACAAAGCAGAAGCTTCCAGTATTTACGTACCAAATAACAAAGCAGAAGCTTCCACACAGCAAAAACTGCCTAAGATTGAAAGGAGAAATAGACCCCACTAACATAAGGAAACAAACACACCTGGGTAGCCCTGAACAGTTCAAGTGGACAAAATCGTTAAGATACAAAATACCTGAACAATATAACCAAAAGGTTATATATAAACTCAATTCTGTATCCTAATAAAGAATACATCTTAATAAATCAAAATATGCTCTTGAGATAGTCAAGAAAAAAGCGAAGGTATTTTTTCAGATTTTTTTTTAATAAGCTCCTGAGAAATTTCCCAAAAAAATGTAAATAATACATTTGGTATTAAATGGCCACAGTGCAATAAAATTAGAAATTAATGATAAAACAGCCCTATGAGATAAAACTAAAGCAGTACTCAGAGGAAAATTCATTACATTAAAATACCTATATCAATAAAAAATGAAGTACATATCCAAGTCCTTCATGAAGATACAGTAAAACCCATATTTTCATGCAATATTTTTATAAGAAAATATATTTAAGATTAACACAACTTTGTTTTCCTTCAAGACTTCAACTATTTATGAAAGCTTTAACAACAGCAAAACTTTCATTTTAATTTCAATGTATAAAATGTTTAAATATAATTAAGAAATTTTATCTTGCAAAAAAAAATTAAGCCTAAATCTAACCTAACCTAAATCTAACCTAAACTACCAATTTCAAAAACCATTGAAAAAGGATAGATGAGCAAGTTATATTAAACTGTAGGGGTTGAAATCAGTAAAATCCAGACTGACACAAAGTTTGTAAGACAAACAACCCCGTTCTTCAACAAATTAAAAGAAAGAAAAAGAGCAAGAACATAAAGATTAGAATAGATTTAAATATCAACCAATCACCATGCATGAATTTTAAATGGATCTAGATTCAATCAAATAAAACTATAAGATAATAATGGATATTTAATATCAAAAACTATTACATTTTAGGTATAATAATGGTATTGTTTATGGTAAGTAGAAAAATAATCCTTATCTTTGGAGACACATACACAGTAATATTTTTATGGAAGAAATAATGTCTGGGATTTCTTTCAAAGTAATGTAGGCAGGAAAGGAAGAGGAGTAGATAGACGCATGGATGAAGAATTGGTCATGGATTCACAGTTCAAGAGGTTGAGTGATAAGAACATAGATATTCATTGTATTATTCTGCCTATTTTTGTGTACATTCAAAATTCTTCATTAAAAAAATAAAGCACATGGAGAGATCAATCAGTCTTCACACTGGATAAAGAACAAATTCTACACACATACATACACACACACACACACACAAACATACATATCCTATTTTTCAAATGTTTATATCCTGAGTCATGGTAGAAAAAATGTAAATTCACTTTTTAAAAAAAATGAACCCAATGAGGTCAGGGCCCAGAGTGCTAAAAGGCAGAAATGGAATAAAGAGTAGGCATCAAAACTATACTACTAAGGAGGCATGACAAAAGTTATTGTCAGTGATCACAATGAACCATTTACAAAAGTGTTCATGCAAGAACTTCCAACCACAGAATATCTGAGAGTTTGAAACTAATTTCACAACTTTGCCTTTATAATTTCTAAAATTAAATACAGGTATTACTCTGCCCCTTAATCTAAAACAAAGCCCTGTTTTATTATTCCAAACATCAACATGCTTTTTAAAAGCTATCAATACTTGTTTGTCATAGAAAGATCCTAAAATATATTTAAAAGAGAAAATAATGAACTATGAGCCATGCATGCTTCAGGTAAGTGAATACAGGAGAGCTACCTTCTGAGAATGTAATCAAATGGGGAGAAGGCAAGAAAAAGATAGTCAATACACAGAGCAAGCAATCAGAAACTGCTAGTTTTCCAAGTAAAACATGCCTTACCCTATAACATCAACCACCTTGAAGAGTTCGGCATCAAGGAGCATGGATGCAGAGATGGACTCCCAGAGATTATCACTTGCTATGATTTTCACTCGCTGGAGACCTTGATAATTCAGCATTTTTCTTAATATCTTTTGGAGTAAGAAACAGAACATATGAAAGGATACAAATGAATTTTTAGCTGTTGAATTTATGACCAAGATAGATAAAGTTATCTTTACAAATCAGCGTTCTGGATAATAGCTTCTTTTGTTTGTTTGTTTGTTTGTTTTTCTCAGACAGAGGCTTCTCTCGTCGCCCAGGCTGGAGTGCAGTGGCAGGATCTCAGCTCACTGCAACCTCTGCCTCCAGGGCTCAAATGATTCTCCTGCCTCAGCCTCCCAAGTAGCTGGGATTACAGGCACGCGCCACCACGCCTGGCTAATTTTTGTATTTTTTAGCAGAGACAGGGTTTCGCCATATTGGCCAGGCTGGTCTTGAACTCCTGACCTCATGGATGATAATTTCAATACTATATTTTCTCAATAGAAACATCCCTCCTATGGAAAATAAAAGCATTACCTTTAAGATAACCTACTTCACTAGGAATGTAAAAAGAAAAAAAAAACACAAGGGGTAAAATGTTTTAGAGGATTTTCACTTTGACTTTAAAATTACGTTTAACCATAGAAATATGGGGGGGGGGGGATGAAACAAAAATAATCAAATGGTACTACCCTGAAATAACCACCATTATTTTGCTATGCATTCTTCCAGGAAGTCTCCTATGCAGACACAATAATCAAATGGGTAACATACTAATCATACCATTTGGCAAAATGCTTTAACTTATCATTTTAAGTATTTTCCACGGTCTTCAAATATTCTGCCATTATTAAACAGGAGAGCAAATAAAATTTACCTGTAGGACTGTCCACCCACAAAAATTAAAAGTAACAAGCTAAATTTTAACAGGAAATAAACAAAGCACAAACAGTACCTACTTTACTACTCAGTACTATGCTTGGGCCCCATGAGGACTCTAAAAGAAGTATCAGAGGGAGCCCTCACCCTTAGGTGGCAAACACACTCAACAGGACACCAAAACTAACAGGGCATACTAGAAAATCAAAGGGCAAGTACATACCAAAATGTATGGATTGCCTATATGCAAATCAAGAGCAGAGAAAAGGAGACATCATTTTACTCAGGATCAGGAAGATCAGATTTCATACCACAAGCAGTTCTTGATGAATGGATACAAATAAGCCCACTACTATAGCCCCCAAGGACTCGGAAATCTCTGGCACATAGCAGCAGATGCTCAATACTACTGGTTGAAGAAATTAAGAAAGAACAAAGAATTTCACAAGCTCTCTCTTCACATTCCAACTTCTCTGAACTAGGGCAATTTCCAATTAATGTGCTCTTTTAGGACGCAAATAATAAAAGCTCCAATTAAATCCATGGTATACTTTTCAACAGACAGTTTCTTAAAATAGATATATTATAGGATTTTAGAAAACGGGGTGAAAATTAGAGGTGGCAGTCTAAGTTCATCTTTCAAACTGGATCAGTTGAGTTCTAGGACACCCTAGAAGTCTACAGCATGAACAGATCCTTTGTAGCAAACCGAGACCAACTCTCAAGATTCAGTAGGATTGAGAACCCCTATCCCTCTAGCAGGAGGATCAATCCTGAATTTCATCACCCTGAAGTTCTTCCTTTTCTTTGAGACGGAGTTTCGCTCTTGTTGCCCAGGCTGGGGTGTAATGGCATGATATCGGCTCACTGCAACCTCTGCCTCCCAGGATCAGCAATTCTCCTGCCTCAGCCTCTCAAGTAGCTGGGATTACAGGCATGTGGCACCATGCCTGGCTAATTTTATATTTTTAGTAGAGACAGGGTTTCTCCATGTTGGTCAGGCTGATCTCGAACTCCTGACCTCAGGTGGTCCGCCACTTTGGCTTCCCAAAGTGCTGGGATTACAGGCGTGAGCCACTCCACCCGGCCTCTTTATTCTTACAGAGAAGAGGAAGAGCAACTTAGTCAAATTTGCATTTTTCACTACGGATGGATCTAGTCTTTCTAGTCCTAGTCCTAGAAAATCCCAGTAAGACTGCTTACTTTTTTATACATTGTATTTGAATAACATTCCAAAATTTACAAGTCTACATGCTATGATTTCTAAATAAGTTTCCATCCATAAGTCATTACGAACAGCATTCTTTTGAGCAGTTTTATCTAACATATTTTCAGATTATGTTTTTGTTTTGGAACTTTCTCATCCAGAAAAAGCTTAAATAGAAGCTCTATTTATAAGACAAATGGAAATGAACTTGTTCTGGTTGAAGTGAATGAAGGTCCAAAGACCCAGGCACTTCCATTTCCATCCACTATCCTCAGATCCTAGATGAGATTTTCCAGACACAATTTAGAAAACTTAAGAACACCACTGAAAACCACGATAAATCTTACATATCAGTAGCAAAAAAAAAAAAAAACTTCAAAGAAACAATACCCTTGTCATCTTTATATAAATTGCTCCTTTGTATTATATTTATTTCTACTATTAAAAACAAATCCTTATTCTTTCCAGGGGTCATCTTATTATCCCATAAAGAATATACATTCATTAAGGTTATCCAATCTGAGCACCTACATTCGTCATTATTGAACTCTTTGTGATAGGCATTTCTTTTTTTTTCTTTTCTTTTCTTTTGAGACAGAGTCTCGCTCTTTTTGCCCAGGCTGGAGTGCTCACTGAAACCTCTGCCTCCCAGGTTCAAGCAATTTTTCTGCCTCAGCCTCCCAAGTAGATGGGATTACAGGCGTCTGCCACCATGCCCGGCTAATTTTTTTGTATTTTTAGTAGAGATGGGGTTTCACCATGTTGGTCTGGCTGGTCTCAAACTCCTGACCTCAGGTGATCCACCTGCCTCAGCCTCCCAAAGTGCTGGGATTACAGGCACGAGCCACTGAGCCTGGCCTGCAACAGGCATTTCAACAAACGGAACACAGATCCCAATAAAATCTTGCTGGAAAAAAATGGCAAACACAAAGTAAAAAGTTTTTGTATCCTGAGAGATTTTACTGCAAGAAAACTCAAGGTTCAAAAAAAAGGAAATGAAGTCTGAACTGTCTGAAACACTGAAAATATGTCTTAGAGCAACAATTAGTCTTTCAAACCAGGTTAGTTGAATTAGAATGCACTGGAGTCAGCAACAGACTCTTAATAGTAAAAAAGTTCAAATAACATAAAATATAGCCCTGTCTTATTTCATTAGTTTAAAAGAAAATGGAAACCGTAATACTTTTAATGTTTCCCTCAAATGAAATGACCACAAGAGAGACATGTGTACAATCACAAGAAAATAAAACTTAAGCTTTGAAATGTCAAATTTGGGTATTTAAAAAGTTCATCACCTTTCACTATGAAGATGCTGTAGCAACACCATCTACCTCATTACAGAGTTATCCAGTATACATGCACCAACTTGGCTTCTGCTCTGTCCCCTTACTGCTCTTATCAGACCTGTGCTCACAGCAGGCATGACTTTCCACTTACAATCCCTGTGCTCCAATCTTATTAATAGCTCCACTGCCCCACCTCCCCCACCCAATCTGCTCCCACCACCACACTCCCATCAGCATACTTCAACCTGGAATTGCCCTTGAGTACCTAGCTCTGGCTGCAATAGATCTTCTCAATCTATGCCTTCTCCACGCCTACAACTACAGATTAATTAAAATATGCCATTATTGGCTGGGCGCAGTGGCTCATGCCTGTAATCCCAGCACTTTGGGAGGCCGAGGCGGGCGGATCACAAGGTCAAGAATTCAAGACCAGCCTGGCCAAGATGGTGAATCCCCGTCTCTACTAAAAATACAAAAAAATTAGCCGGGCGTGGTGGTGGGCACCTGTAATCCCAGCTACTCAGGAGGCTGAGGCAGAGAATTGCTTAAATCCGGGAGGCAGAGGTTGCAGTGAGCCAAGATGGCGCCATTGCACTCCAGCCTGGGTGACAGAGAGAGACTCTGTCAAAAAAAAAAAAAAAGCCATTATTCCAGTGAATACATTAGCTTACTGATGGGGGTCAGTGCCCCCACTCTTCCTCCATTGTCTAATCCATCTTTCATGACTTGTTTTTCCCCCATATCCCTTTACCTCTCAATCTTCAGTTCTTTGCACATGATATGCCCCTGCCTTAGCAAAGTGGAGAGTTCCTATCCATCCGTTCTTGAAGATTCAAATTACACATCACCTCCTCTAAAAGACTTCCCTAATCAACCCAGGGAGAGGTGTCATCTCCTCTGTGCGCCTTTTAAGAACCCTGTAGGTGTATTATTCCATTATTTGACACATTCCAAATTATGACACATTTTAATTGTCTATATCTGACTTTATAACCACCCTCCCCAATACAAAAAATCCTTTTGGGCAGAAAACAGTATTCTCTATCCTTATATTATAACCATACACACAATGCCTGACAAACCAGTGTTGAGCAAATAAATGCTCTATGATTAACCGAATGAAGAGATGAAAGAAATGTATTGAACCTTATCTACTTAAGAACATAAAACATCCAATTCAAAGAAAATTTTTTTCTATAAACACGCATGTGCAAGTATCTTTTTTGTATAATGACTTCTTTTCCTCTGGGTAGATACCCAGTAGCAGGATTGATGGATTTGTGAAAATATGGAAATAGCCCAAAAACCCATCAATCAGTACGAGTGGATAAAGAAACTGTGGTGTATGTATACAATGGAGTACTACTCAGCCACAAAAAGGAATGCATTAATGGCATTTGCAGCAAGCTGGATGGGATTGGAGACTATTATTCTAAGTGAAGCAACTCAGGAATGGAAAACAAAACATCGTATGTTCTCACTCATAAGTGGGAGCTAAGTTACGAGGATGCAAAGGCATAAGAATGATACAATGGACTTTAGGGACTCGGGGAAAGGATGGGAAGGAGGTGAGGGATAAAAGACTACAAATTTGGTTCAGTGTATACTGCTCCAGTGATGGGTGCACCAAAATCTCACAAATAACCACTAAGGAACTTACTCATGTAACCAAATACCACCTATTCTCCAAAAACCTATGGAAATAAAAAAAAATTAATATAAAAATTTTTGAAAACTTGAAATAAAATACTGTCCCAAAATTATATTTCTTAGAGAAAAGATACATACAAGAAGACAAAAGGAAGTGAAAAGTAAACTAAAGATTAGCTCCACCTGAAAAGTGAAACTGCCATTTTTTTTCCAATGGCAGAAGTTATTATTCTGTTTTTCCTTTCCTGGAAAATAGCAATTACAGTAGTTACCTCATAGGTAAGGTTGTGAGAATTAAATGGAGATAAATAGGAAAAGTGGAACAAAAATAACACAATTGGCAGATGTTACTGCTACCTCTTTGCTAATCACAAAGAGAAACATGTACTATAACACACTCCAATAGAAAACAAGAATTAGAATATATGCCATAAGTTTTGACAAAAGACAAAGAAAAAAAGCTACATTTCTTGAAGTTCTAAAAATCTAAAATGATATAATTGTTTCATAAAATTTATCAGAATTCCAAAACTAATGAATTTTAAAATAGAAAAATTCAACACAACTCTTTAGACAAAGGTAATTCGGGGCTCACAAAGAATTACATATGCTTTAATATCAGGAATATAAACATTGTTAAGATTTTGCTTGAATTTTATGTCACAACCAGCAAAATAAATAACTGTAGTATAAAAAATACGGTATTTCCAACACAAATTTCCTACTATTTTCTGTGTTAGGAACCATAAGGAATTATTCACTAAAAAGTTAAAAACAAAAAGATACTAAAGTTGTACACACCTTAATATAATTGGCATTATATGACCTCTCATTCCAAATCTGCAAAACAAAAAGTCAAAAAAGTCTGAATTGAAAGTTACAAAATGTCAGAAAGCAGATTATCGTTACGATACCATTTCTCTCATCATCTTTCATATTATCTGATACGCCATTTTTTAACTTTATGGGATATCCTGCCATAGAATTTATAGATAGTTATAAGATAGCACAACTTTTTAAAAATTAAAATATTATTTTTAAAAACCTTAAAATATTTAGTGGGTATTTTTCAAAAAGTAATTTATTCCAAAGATTTTCAACAATGGAATATTCATTAATTCATTCAACACATACTGACAGTACAATGTGTGCCAGAAACTATACTAGGCATTGGAGAACTAATAGACAGGGAAACTGTTACAACAATTATGACAAGATCCCTGAAAGCCAAGTATTAATATGTATACTGTATAGAAGGCATATTTTTAAGCATACACAGAGAATCACAGTAATACACTAGTCACAAAAGCAACTCTGAATGAGGATGGATAAAAGGAACATATATACATCTATTAGGTTTAGAGTCATGAAGCATGGGGTTTTAGAATTGAAAGAACTTCCATAACTCCACAGTTGAGAAAACTGTTAATAACAAGAGACGATTCTAGAATCCAGGTGCAGGTCTTTTTACTCCAATGATACAGGAAAGAGTTTATCAATGAACCTCCTCATCATAGCATTTGTTATCATGAGTCTAAACAAGATGTGAATCACCCATTACTTGTGACTGTACCATAAGAGAAAGCTATTAGACCAAACCTACATTTAGTCTCACTACAGGTTATAAATGTCCTGACATTTAAGAAAGTTCTCCGGCCAGGCGTGGTGGCTCATTCCTGTAATCCCAGCACTTTGGGAGGCCGAGGCGGGCGGATCACGAGGTCAGGAGTTTGAGACCAGCCTGGCCAACATAGTGAAACCCCGTCTCTAATAAAAAGAAAAAAAAACTAGCTGGGTGTGGTGGCGGGTGCCTGTAATCCCAGCTACTTGAGGCAGGAGAATCACTTGAACCCAGGAGGCAGAGGTTGCAGTGAGCCAAGATCACAACACTGCACTCCAATCCGGGTGACAGTGTAAAAAAAAAAGGAAAGTTCTCAAATATAAACTAATTTTTCAGTCATAATTTGGAAAAGGATAGCAAAAACTAGTATATTCTTTCTTCTGACTTCCTCCAGCCCTTGGCTCATCCTCATGCCCTGTATCATCATGTAGTATTACAGTTTATATGTTCCAGCATCTACTTCTCTTACTGAACACAAGAGCTTATTAATCTTAGTAGCCCTCAAATATTACAGTCACAGTTCCTGCAACACAGTAGGAACTCAATAATTGTTTGCTGATAATCTAAGTCATGATTGCATGAAAATGTTTAAGTATTAGTTTTAACTGATGGTATATTAATAAGCAAATGATTATGGAGACCCACTATGTGTGTGTTAAGGCCCTGTGGGGTACGATGCAGCCTGGGGCATGCCTCCACCCAGCCAAGAGACAAGCTGGACATGATATCATTTTTCATACTTTTCAAATCCTTAAAAGGTGTTAACTAACAGTTTGTGACAGGTGAACGCAGATTTCAGCCAGCCTGCCAAATCTGGCCCATCATCTGTAATTTTACAACTTGAGAGCTAAAAGTGTTTTTAGTTTTAAATAGTTACATTTTAAATGGCTATATATTTACCTCAAGATCCTCAATATTGCCTTTTGGCCCACAAACCCAAAACTATTTATGCTCTGGCCCTTTAATAAAAAGTTTGCCAATCTTTGGCTTAAGACAACAAGAGGATAAAATGAGACTAACCCCCCATAAGCTGTATAGGAAACACAACACTGTTGTAGGAACCAGAGAAAGCAGGGAAAGCTTTGAAGGAGAATTTGAGTTGGGTTGATACAAAAAAAAAAAAAAAAAACCCAGCTCAGAGGAAGGAGGTATACACTCAACACAGTTTTCAAAAGTGGGAACACTGGGATGGGCAAAGGGGAGCAATTAAAGGTCACAGGTACTTAGTTTGTGTTATTATCAGACACCATTAGAACAAATTAGCCTCATGGCATAAAATGGTTAGTCAAAAAGTACCACAGAATCAAATTATTTTCTAAATTACAAACAAATGTCCAAAACTGAATCATATTTTAAATATATTACTAACTCCAATATAATCAATGTCCAAATCATGGTAACGCTTGGCGCCCACAATCCAGGTCACGACATAATAGGCAGTCAGCTGAAGATTGACATAAGGCCAGTCGAAACCTTTTCCCAGCCATCCAGGGAATGACCATGGCAACCCTGCAGAGAGAAGGGAGGAGGCAAAGGTAGAGGAGGTATAACGGTGCTGGCGCTATTGAAAATAAAACAAATTTTTTTTAAGAAAAGCATTCAACTAGCAAAAAACCAATACAGATCTGACTAAAGGAAAGTTTATATACCATATAAAAATTATTGAAATCCTTTCCAATCTATAGACACTATAATTCCTTATTGATCCCTAGAGTCAGGTCCCATAATTTCAAATGTTCTTTCCAAGAAGAAGAAAAATAACAAATACAAACACCTCTCTCCAAGACCCTTACCAATAGAAAGAAATGTACCATATGTTTTAACTTAACATGTCCACTCACTGTTGGAATGTTCAATATTCAACTTCTGTTCTTTGAGGTCAAATCAAAGAATTCTAAAAGGCTTATGCCAAACTACTCTTGAGTTATGTATAACACAAATTTATCATTCAATTGTACATCTTCTTACAATTTAGGGTCCTTAAAATATTAATCAGTCAGGCAATCTAATTTAGCAAAACTAGTTTGTTCTTATATCACTATAAATGACAATGACTCCATAGAGAAATATACCCTTGTTAAGTGATACACATCAAATAAGTCCATATTCTTCCAATAATCCTGATTATGTTTAAGTAAAAAAATAAGAAGAGTAGAAAAGTACTTATTATAATTCTAAATTTAACTTGCTACTAATATATTAAAATAGGCTCAATAGTTAAGTTCCTCAGCAATAAATATATTACCAAACTAGTTCACCACTGAAAAAAATAAAAATCAAAATGACAAAATGCTTATTTTCTAAACTCAGGAGGAACACCCAAGTGTATTACATAAGAAATGTGACATTAAAGTAATAGAATTCTTGAAAACAATGAAATGCTAAATGCAATCTGAAGGCCTACCAAGTCTTTGTTAGGACATGGTTTAGCATGCCATATTTTCTACATTTAAATGAGGTCTGACCTTGGAAGCAGTCTAGTGGATATGTGCTGAATTCAGTGATGCTTTTACTGCTCACAGCATTTCTGGAATCTCTTACAAAAGCCCATTTATAAAGAACATACTTACTCCTAATTTCTTTTAACTTAGAAAATATTACTTTTCATTAACCTGATTGTTGAGAAAATTATTTTTTAAATAACTAGAAATCAGGTCTTTAAAATGAATCATTAATTTCATTTAACTTAGTTTGAATTTAAGCCTGTTTCAAAAAATCAAATTCATTTCAAATGATGAAAGTATCCCATCACTCTTGATGTTTGAAATACTTCACAAGCTCTGTACACATTCTCACAGAACTGTGAAATGTACATAGTCCCATTTAAGCAACTAGCCAATGATCCTCCCAATAGAACCTAAGCCCCACAGGTGCAGGAATTGGGGACGGGATTGGCTTCCTGAGTCCCAGAACAGTAACCAGCACATTATTGAAGTTCAAAAACTAACTAATAAACAAAAAACACTTTTGTATGTACCTTTTCTAAAAATAGGGTTCACTACTACATGCAATATACAATTTTGTAACTAGTTAGGTGTACTACTGCATGTAATATACATTTTTGTGAACAGTGTTACCCTTTTATAAATACTGATGACAGATCTTGTGAAGGAAAGTAGTTTAGCATCATAGGAAACATGGAATTAGGTGCTAACACCGATTTTGCCATTTACTAACTGTCTATGACCTTAGGTCAGTGGCATAATCTTCCTAAGCTTCTACTGCTTCTTCCTGGAAAATGGAAAGAGTCATGCCTTACTCCACAGGTATTATAAGGATTCAACATAATATACAAGGGCAAAGAAAGGATCACCCCTGGCACATGCTTTGCTGCTGGTAGCATACTGGTAGCATTAATGACATTATGAGTACTTCCGTATTAATAGAGATTCCACCAACACGATTCAGAATTTAAAAGTTAAAGGAAAAGAGACTGAAGAAACATTGCAAACTTCATTTCTTACCAATGAGTGTAATATTGGGATTCCTCTTCTTAGCTTCTTTCATCAACCACCACTCGTATCCTCGGAAATAATTCTCATCTAGTGCATAATGCATGTGGGAGGGCTCAGTGCCGTCTGAATAGAGGAGAGCAAAAACGGAAGTAATGATCCATGAATGGTACTTCCTAGGACCATCTCACTCCCCACCCCCACCCCAGACACACACTTCACAAAAGCAGTATTCCAGTTCTAATCCTGAAGTTGGGGAAATCATAATCTTACACAACTAAAGGATGGATGATAAAAGCATATCATTTCATCCTTTTTTTATTATCTTAAGCATTGTAAAAGTCTTAATAAAACCACAACCTTCTATTACAAGCAGTACTGAGAGAAATGTTATCACCTCATATAACTAAAAATTCCCAGTATTCATGCTTCTGGGCTTTTGATCTCTCTGTAGTTTTCAAATCCCCATGTCCAACTTTAAGTTCTGATTACCTCAACTTTCAGCTTTTCAACGCTGGATATGAATCCCTGGACTCGTGAGCCCTGTTCTCAGAACCCACACCTTTAGCCTATAATATGTCTTGATATAGGAAGAGTTTTGAGGAAAAAAAAAGGAATGAGTATACATATCCACTCTAAAAATAACAAAATTCTATACTAACATCTGCAGTTAGTAGAGGTTACATTGTCTTAGCACTGAGGTAGGTAATTGCTATCAAAGTCCTCGTATATTCCCACAGTTCACCAACATCTGCCCTTGCTAAGTAGGGCCTTCCGAGAGGCCCTTGCCCATTTCTTCTTAAAGGTAAACATCAGAATTCACAAGAACTGCCTGTTTATGTACCTCTACCTCTAATTTAGCTTCAGCAAGTGAAATTAGTCCATCATTGTCAATTCTGCCTAAAAGGTTTTAACAGTAAAACGCAATAGCTTGAAGAAAGTTTCTGTTATGGGGGTTTCTTTTGTTTTTGCTTTGCACTTTTTCTTCAACATAAACACTAATACCACCACATAGACATATCTGTTCAACAAAGAGTTACTTCCAAATCACTAGCAGGAATACAAGTAATACTCTAGAGTTCATTATAATGGAATCTGTTCTGTAAATAATAAGCTATATCTAATCATAGAGAGAATTTCTTTTCTTCTTCCTGGAAACAAAAGGCCTATAAACTGCCAGTTGATAACATGGACTACATAAAGCCAATCAAAATAGTGACAATGAAGACTGAAGATTTAGTGATTAAAGATAAGTTTTGTTTTTAAAAGAAAAAAAAGCTGTATCATTTTTACCACATATTTTAAGTTAATAACACTTTTTTTGTTCTATACGAAATTAAAATCTTTCTAACTGCTCAATAAAATTCAAAACTGTCCCTATGCTCTGTCCTGTATATATAGGTTTTAGAAAACTGTGGATTTGTTTACTACCGATTACTTCAACTAAATAAGCAATTTGAAGTTTGAATATTGTTTTTGATGGACCAGTCATATTCTATATAATATTTTTAAATAATTACAGTTAAAAAATGAGGAAAACTCTAATAAGCAACAATCAATCTCAAAAGTGTTGGTATTGTTTACACATATTCTGAAATCACAGTCCATATGCTGAGGTATAGATTAAAATGTTGATGGGAGAAATCCTATCTCCCAAATTCTCCTACCTGTTGTCTGCCCATCACCACCTATTTCCACTTTTAAAATATGCAAAGAGGCACCAAAATTCGGCTGTGAAAAGAAGTAACAGTATTAACATAGTGTTGTATTGTATGAAGCTTCAAGACAATTACTAATTACTGCCTTAGGTTTTACAGACGCAAAAACAAAAGCAAAACTTCAAATAGCAATTTATTCCAAAAGTAATGTGCCATTTTTTCAAAAACTAGAATTGTGAGGCTAATAAATTCTATGGTGAAATTCACCATCCAATTTCTAAAATATCACAGGTACCATGAAATAATTATGTTTTCATTACCTTAAAGAGATAATCCAATATCTGAGAACGATAGGGCTCTGGGTAATTTACTAGAAGTCGGGAGGTTGCCTAAAAAAAAAAGTTTTCAAAAGTATGAATAAAAGAAATCCAGTCATGAATATCTGTCTACAGTGTTCACGCACACCACCTGGTATACACATATTTAGCCTCAGGCAAGGTCAGGCTGAGGAAAAGTTCCTCACAAGTTGTCTGTCTGCCCTTTCTGTGCCAATCATTGGGCAAGTAGGGCTGCTGTCTGTCCGACAGCTAAAAAAGTTCTCTTCTTCTGGCATGAGGGCTAACTGGGAGGTAAGCTTGCTAACCTCATGATCACAAACTTATCTTGAAACTCAGGTTTTCTATCTTGAGACCACTTGACAACAATATCTCAGGACTAAAATGGGAGGGATGAATGTCAGGTAATTTTTCCCCTTAACATCTTCCGGAAAAACATCACAAGCAGCAATGCTGAAAGGAAGCACTACTTTCCCCATCCTCATAAATTCTACCTGTTACTATTAAGAATAACTAGCAATAATCTCCAGACCAGGCTGTACTAAGAAAACTTAACACAAGAGTGGCATCAGAATGCATGGAAAGACAAGGGTAGACAGCGCAGGGACCAATACTGGATCATGCCTGGACCACGGCATACAACTATTTGAAAAAAGAAATCACAAAACCAGTAACTGACCCATAATCTATCCTTTGGGAGGCAATATAAGCAAAAAATAAATAAAAAGAGGCCGGTTTTTGGCATGAAACAGTAGCCTCAGGCTTGTAAACCAGACAGTCCTAGGTTCAAACTGCTGACACTTTGCCAGGTGTATGTATGATGGTTGGGACAAAATACTTTTATGGGGTTCAACTTTCTATTTTATATTCTCATATATGCTACCACTGACATTCTGGTAAGTGCCCATATCTACTCTGTCACACCCAAAACATCCCCAGTCCCTACCAGTGAGGCAAACACCCATGGAGCTGCTCTCTAGCCACTCTTTCCATCTACCTCAATATATCCCAAACCAAACATAGCACTTTTGCATGTATCTGCTCCTTTTCCTGAACTTGCTGTCTCAGTAACCAACACTTGCCGAAACCATAAACTTGGGCCACCTTTTGTCCAAACTTCCCATGTACCCTCAGTCACCAAGATATCCTCAATAGCTCTCAAATCCCTCCTCTACTCTTCAACCCCACTGACTTACCCAGGCCCTCCTCACTTATGAGAACAGTATAAGTGGTCTCAGGACATCCCTTCTGCCTCTCCCTGTATTCTATCTTCCATGCTACTTACGAGAGTAACCTTCCCAAAATACAAATGTAATCACGAAACTCTTCCATGTAAACATGCTAAGACCGTCCCTTTCCCAAAAGCTTTCAGGATAAAGTTCAAATCGCTCAATTTTGCACCCAAATCCCTTAATTATTTGGCTCCTAACCCTGATACTTTATCCCTTATCACTCTCACACCTTCTACCTAGATGTATCAAACAACGTTTTCTATTCTTATGCCTGGAATGCACCCCACATCCTCTCTTGGACAACTCCAATTCACCTTTCAGCTCAAATTCCACCTCTGGAATTTGAAGGAAGGATGCCTTCTGGCCCTGCTCACTGATTTGATGTAAGCGCCTCTCCTTTGGCACCAGGTCCATATCTTTATTACAACACTTTGAACCCCGGCACTCCTTTATTTTTCTGACTCACCTCTTAGTTCCTTAAGGACATGGACTGTATCTTATTCAAGTTTGTATCCTCATTCTTTGTTATTCAATAAACACTTATTAAATATTTTATGGGTCTTTTGTTGCACTGGTACTGGCAACATAAATAGGAGTCTTTGAGTCAAATGGAGTTTGTATCCTGATTTCATCATTAATAAGCTATGTAATCATAGGCAAATTATTGTAAAGTGGGCTATCTTACTCATTCAACTGCTGTAAGACTAAAATTAGATGTATGTAAAGGACTTGGCACATTACCTGGCACATAGTAAGTTCTCAATAAAGGCAAGTGTTATATACACAAATTTTTTAAAATACATATTTCTCAAAGAGCTTACAACCTAGCAGAGGCTCCAATATTAAAATAGGCACTCTTTAAATGAACACTGTATAGGCACACTAATATATCCTTGACCCTAGGTAAACAATGCTTCCTGTCCTACGCTACGCCATTAATACTGTGCGTTTTGCTGTCTAGGGTTTCTTTTGCCCTCTATGCACTCCCACATTTAACAGAGAAAGTATCGGCTTTAGGCAAACACACCAATCATGTTATTGCAAACCTATAGCCACACCTAACACAACAGCATAAGTCAAAGGCAATATAACCAAATGTTAAAATGCACCATCTAGCAATAGCAAATCACGGGATTACTAACCACACTGCCTGAATGAGGCCTGGAACTGTTTACAGGCCCAGGAAAAAGCCTTGGGGACATTTCATCATTCAGTGGCCTTGAAATAACTTCCTCCTCCCTAATCCCTGAAAATGGTTATTAACCAAAATTAGTAATGTGCAAGACATCATCCTAAGTACTTTAGGTCTATCCTCACGGCGCTCCTACCATGCAGGTATAACTGTATCCCAAAAAAAGAAAGTGAGGCAGAGAGGAGTTATAATAGATAACCCACCAAGGCCACACAGTGAAGTGGCAGAACCCAGAAGACACTCTTGGCAATCTTCTCTTTAGTCTACATTCTTTTTGTTTTGTTTCGCTTTGGTTTGGTTTTTGGGTTTTTTTGTTTGTTTGTGTTTTGAACGGAGTCTCACTCTGTCGCCCAGGCTGGAGTGCAGTGGTGTGATCCCGGCTCACTGCAACCTCCGCCTCCCGGGTTCAAGCGATTCTCCTGCCTCAGCCTCCCGAGTAGCTGGGACTACAGGCGCGTGCTACCAAGACTGGCTAATTTTTTGTATTTTTAGTAGAGACGGGGTTTCACCGTGTTAGCCAGGATAGTCTTGATCTCCTGACCTCGTGATCCGCCCGCCTCGGAAGCCCGAAGTGCTGGGATTACAGGCGTGAGCCACCGTGCCCGGCCCTACATTCTTAACTACTTACTGTACCATACCGCTTTCCCTCTCTGACATGAAGATTAAATGACAGCACTCTAAACACTTACTGGCACAACCTGGGCTAGGAACCAAGGACTCCACAAAGAAGTTTAAAGTGGTATGCAAATATAATGTTGCAAGAATTTTCATTATTTAGTGAGTTCCTATGAGGAGTAATGAACTATATAGGGATACTAATAATTGTATATTCTATCAGATTAGGTAGGAGTTTCCTACTTTGAATTACGAAATGATTCTTCTCATCTTAGTAATTTTAAACTGGGCTTAATAAACCTAATGGAAACAAAGACTTCCATTTTTCGGTAAGCTCTTACCCTAGATATAGTATCACAAGTAAAGCTATAAAAAAGATGGGGCCTCACTCCATGAAATATTGGCTGTTTCAGGTTTAGCCCAAAAACATAAAAAGGAGAATAGTAGTAGCAAAGAATAAATGCATTAACTCATCGGCCCACAGGTTTCCCCTGAAATACACATCAGCACGGCTGGAGAGATTGCAAATTAGGGAATGAAAACATAAAAATCAAAAAGGATCAGCTAACTCCAGGGGGAAAAAAATTTCCCCTAGCAGAAGGTTATATCTTGTGGTCACACTACAGACCAGGTCATCCTTGCAGCAGGCATTCAAGCTTGTTCTGAGTTGAATGTAAGGATGCAAGCTCCATCCAACTCAACCCCAAAAATCCGAGTTCAACCTTAACATTTTCAAGAAACATTAGCCCTAGATGTAATTTCGGATACAAAACCAAAAAACAAAAACCTTCTCACCCAAAGGTCGGCCACCATGAAGCCCATGGGCCCAGAGGGAGTACCCGGTAGTTTCAGGCCGCTCGCTTATCTTCCTTTTAAAGAGACCTTGAGGCACCAGTCCTGCCTCCAAACGAAATCCTATTCGGCGCTACCCTCTCTGGAGGAGCCCATTCTTACCCTGCACTAACAACTGCACGGGACTTAACGACTCCACCACCCACCAACTCCTCCAAAAGGGAGAGACACAGCCAAAGCATCCCACTGGGGCGTTCTCTTTCGCACACGGACGCTCCCGCACTCCCTGGCCCTTTCTGGAGCGACGCTCCCCGACTGCCATCTCCGCGATGAAGACAGCCTGTGCCCCACTGCCTGGGACGAGGGTTCCAGCCCCGGCTACTTCACTACTTAGACCTGTCACTTTACTCTCTGCACCTATACTCTCTGGACCTCCGGATCCTCATTTGTTCAAACCTAACTGCCTGTCTGGTTCGTGTTAAACGAGAAAGCACCCGCCCCAGCCCCGCAGCGGGCCCGCCCCAACCGCCTGCTGACTGGCACCCTAGGGGAATGCGGCGGAGAGTGGAGCCGGTGGAAACGCAGGGCAACGCCGCGGGGGCTTGTGGGGCTGGCCCCACGGGGCGGGCTCTTGCCGCCCCCCGCGTATCCCCGCAGCTTGCCGCTCACCCCGCCGCCGCTGACCGCGCCGATGCCGTCGAACTCCCGGCCCAGCCCGTCGGAGTCGTCGAGCACGTACGCGCCGCCGGGCGCCAGCAGCGCACACAGCAGCAAGGGCACCGCGGCGCGGCCCGCCGAACCCGCGGCCGCAGTCATAGCTTTCGCTCGGCGTTGCCAGGAAGCCGAGAGTAGCCACTCAGCCATTGTGTGGGTCACATGACTCCGGCGCCCAGGGAGGCGGGTCCCGTCGCCGCCACGATAGATACGGGCAGGAGGCCGCTGATGCTGACGCCGCCGCCGCCATTTTGAGTGCGGGTCAAGGGCCTCTGACGCAGCTGGCGGAGTGTTGAGAAAAGAAGCAGCGAGCTTTTTCTTATCGCTCGCGTGTCTGTGGTCAGCTACTGGATTTCACATGTACTTACTGCTGGCTTCTCTTCCGGCGTCACCTGGTGGAGCACTTTAACGCAGGGAAGGTGGATTCCAAGGTCCGCCAAAGGAAGAGGGCCATGAGTGGCCCTACCATGGCTCTTCCCCAGCATCTCAGGGAGTATCTACCTCGTGCGAGGACCAGGCTTGGACACCAGGTCCCGATTCCATTGTCATCTTGGTGGAATCACTTTGCTTTTGGAGCCTGAGTTTTCCCTTATGTGAGATGAGGCGAGAAGAGCAGCAGAGTGAGGGACTGAGAGAAAAGTTAATAAGCACTCAGTACATTTGAATGCATTCCACAAGTGGCAAATAGCTGAGAAGGTTCTCCAGTCTGGTAACTACCCCGGCATATTCAAAGCTTTTAGCCTTGAAGGAGTTAATAATATACCACCTCAAAATATGCTGCTGTGGCATATTGACTATTTTAAATTAAAGGCACTTAAAAACAGCAGGTGCAAGATCACTGTCATGGATATTATGTGTCTTAAAAGGAGGAGATGAAATTCCCATGTGAAAGATGTCTTCCCTATAAAATAACATTGTTATCTTCAAGGACAGAAAGTTGAAGTCGAGGGAAATCTGTCCAAACAAAATTTGTTAATCCCTATCTTTCTAGTCGCTTCTTTACCCCAAGCCCCTTCGCCTTATCATGTTTCACAACTACTATTTTTTGTCCATTTCACTCTATAAGCAATTGGCTCTTAACTGCTGCTTTAGGTCTTTTTTTTTTTTAATGAGGGCCCCCGTGCTATGTAAAATAAACATTTGTGTGGTTGTCTCCTGTCAGTCTATTAATATCTTAAATCAATTTAATACTAGGGCCATGCTGGGACCCTACAGGGACGAAGGTGAAATTTTGCCTCCCCTACAATTTTATAAACTATCTTCCACTGTCAGTTGAAGTGATTCCAGACAGGTAACTCTAAATTGGTAGGAAAGTTGTGAATTGCCCTGAATTTCTGCCACATCCAGCACTGTCCTGAGATTTCTGATTTCCTTGTTATTGAAGTAAATTAAAGAGACTCTGAAGAGCTGCAGAGAAAGATTTTCTGATCCCCAAATTTCTCTTAGCAGAAGTATGGAACTGGTTATCATTGCCTACACAAGCCCCTGAGATACCACAATGGCAAGGAAAAGACCCAGAGACTTTAGGACCTGTGGGATTTGTCTGCAGAACCCTATTTGGAATCTGATTATTTTGCCCCTTAACCACAAACCTAAATCTAAGTTTCAAGAACTCAATTATACTTGAAGGTCAAAGCTCTGGGCAATCCAATAAATATGCACATTAAGAACCCGATATCCCTGGGTTCTTAATGTACATTAGATATGTTTGTTCTTTCTTTCTTTTTGAATTGACTCTACGTCTATCCTGGTTTACTAAGGACAGTCACAACTTTTGTCTAAACATAATTACTGATAATGCTCCTTTCACCCTCAGTAGTCTTCTGGCTTGGATCAGTTAAATAGTCCCCTGTGTATGAACCACTTATTTTCTTTGGTTTCTTCTTTCCCCAGTACAACACGAATCTGAACTCTCTGCCTTGCCACTGCAACCAGTTTATGATGCAAGTCAGTAATTTTCAGTTCTGTGGATTTACTGTTACAGAATTCACTCTGATCCATTTGTTCTAACACAGTATTTTAAGCATGAGCTGGAGCTCCTGTGGATACAAGCCACAGTAACCATTCCATCAAGTGAATGTTAAGCTTCTCTTACCAGCTCTTAACAAGCGCATAAGACCCACTTAATACCGTGACTAGATGGGAAATACCAAGGTGATGACAGAGGAAACTACCTTACACATAAAACTAGGAAGTTGCATGACGATGTATGAATACCCAGCATACACCATCCTGTAGTACGTCATTGTGAAACGGGTCAGTGGTCAGTGGTCTCGTTGTCTGAGGTGTTATCCAAGCTTGTTGTCTCACAACCAAGAGAATTAAGGAGTGTGGACACCAGAGTGAGGTTGAAGAGAAAGTTTATTATATGAAAGAAGAAAGCTTTCTTTCTTTGCCATTTTGCCACTTTTACAGTTGAATCCAAAAGCTTTTATAAGAAACTCCTCTCATCTCTGTAGCTGTTTGTGTAACTTACTTGTAAAGCTATCTGTGCAGCTCCCCTTATCTGTGCAGCTGTGGGTATGTCTTGGGTAAGGATAAAGTTCAGCTTCTCTTGTTTGTGTAACTGTGGGTTCTAGGTAATCACCCTCTCCACCCCCATGCAAGTTCCCACAGAGCCCACCATGTATGTGCCTGAAAAGGGGAAGAAACTTTTTCCTGGGAACCTGCTAATCACACAAAGAACAAAAGGCTTCTATGTTGGGCCTTCCTTTCTTATCAGGGCAGCTGTTGCCTGAGTTTTCCCCAGGCCACTCTATGTGTGCCTGTAGCTTGATTTTTCAGGCTGTCTTTCTGTTTAAAAGAATTTTACCAAAGACCAACTTTAGCTGTCTGCCCAACTAAGTTTTCCCTTTTCTCGTCCCTCAATTGCACCTTGTAGTTGGAATGCACGCCACAAATATTTGAGCAATGTGTGAAGTCTACAAAAGAGGAAGCATAAACTCTAATGGAAAAGGTAGCCTCACTTCCAGGAAGTCCCAGTAGTTCCTATTAGTTCAGTTACCAAAGAAATTGCTTACCAGATAAATATTTTTTGTTTCTAATTTCTGATCTATATTCATGAGAGCAGACATGAGGTAAGAAAGTTTCTAATAAAAGGCCAATAAATACATGCTGACAGAAATCCTTGGAGTGCTGGGCACGGCACTCAAATGTGCTCAAGATGTGAGATAAAGAAAAATGACAGTTACCCCACGAGTGATCATATGCTTAGCTTCCCTTGCGTCTGTGGATCAGGGTCAGTGAGATAAGACGGTAAGAAAGGAAGGTCCCAGTTTTCAGATTTTAAATGAGTTTAAAAAGTAATGACAGTGTTTCTCTCTCTGTCTTTTTAATCTGAAACACTTCAAGAATTTGCATGTCATCCTTGCTCAGAGGCCACACTGATCTCTGTAACATTCCAGTGTTTGTAAATGTGCTGCCAAAGGAAACACGATGATTTTTCTCTTAAATAACAGGTGTTTCTAAGTATCACAACTATACTTCAGCCACCCCAAATCTCTCCTTTTTCTAAATAAAATAATGTGATCAAAATCAAATAGTCTCTTGAGAAGGATCAGAGATCTTGCCTTTTAATGAAAATTTATTGATAAACTCTAATAGCAGTCTGGATTTTTTTTTTTATTTCCCCAAGACTATCATAAAACGGTATGATAGCAGTCTGTTGTCTCACTTCAGGAAAAGGCTTTACTTTTATAAATCAGTCCACCTCCCCTTCAGTCTACCATTGATGGGCATTTAGGTTGATTCCATGTTTTTGCTATTAGGCTGTCAGAAATTCCAGGGCAGAGGCCAAGTTTATTTCTTCTTTGTATGTCTTAAGCACAGTGCCCAAACTGTGCTAAGTACTCAATAAATATTAGTTGAATTGAACTAAAAGACAAATCACTGAATGGTCACATAAGGGGATACGAATAAAGAATTATTTACAAAAGGAGTTGGAAACGTTTCTTAAAGTAGGAATCCCCTGGGACATAAGAGTGTGGAGTGTTTTCTTGAACTGTCCTGTAACATCTGCTATATTTTTTACCTTTTATTTTAGGTTCAGGGTGCATGTGCAGGTTTGTTACAAAGGTAAATTGCATGTCCTAGGGTTGATGTACAGATTATTTCATTACCCAGGTAATAAGCATAGTACTCAATAGGTAGTTTTTTGATCCTTCCCCATCCCCCATCCTCCACCCTTAAGTCGGCCCCAGTGCCTGTTGTTTTGTTGTTGTTTGTGTCCATATGTACTCGATGTTCAGCTCCGTCTTATAAGTGAGAATATGCAGTATTTGGTTTTCTATTCCTGTGTTAGTCTTCTTAGGGTAATGGCCTCCAGCTCCATTCATGTTGCTACAAAGAACATGATCTCATTCTTTTTTTTTTTTTTTTTTTTTTTTTTGAGACAGAGTCTTGCTCTGTCATCCAGGCTAGAGTGCAGTGGTGCGATCTCGGCTCACTGCAATCTCTGCCTCCCAGGTTCAAGCGATTCTCCTGACTCAGCCTCCTGAGTAGCTGGGATTACAGGGTGTGCCACCACACCTGGCTAATTTTTGTATTTTTAATAGAGACGGGGTTTCACCATGTTGGTCAGGCTGGTCTCGAACTCCTGACCTCGTGATCTGCCCGCCTCGGCTTTCCAAAGTGCTGGGATTACAGGCCTGAGCCACAGCACCTGGCCTGTCATTCTTTTTTATAGCTGCATGGTATTCCAGGTTGTATATGTAACACATTTTCTTTATCCATTAATAGACCACTGATGGAGATTTAGGTTGATTCCATGGCTTTGCTATTGCAAATAGTGCTGAAATGACCATCCACTTGCATGTGTCTTTATGGGAGAATGACTTATATTCCTTTCAGTATATATCCAACATCTGCCATTTGTCTGGTCTTTCAACTCTGGACGTGTTTCTTGATGGCAACTGTTAGTTATACTGCCCTACTGAGTGACTTCTCTCTAAAATATGTTATAAGGCTCTATTCATTCAAGATTTTATATAAACAAAATGAAAATAAGTCAAAGGACAGAATCCACCTAATGAAATAAATTATAAATTGCTTACTGAACATTTTCTTAAGTATAACTACAAATAAAAACTTCTATAGCAAAGAGCAGTGTAGTATAGTAGTTAGAATACTGGCTCTGGAGCCCCAGGTCTCCTGGCTTCAAATCTTTCTCCTATTGCTTAGCAGCAGTGTAATTTTGGTTAAGTTATGTAACTTCTTTGGGCTTCAGTTTACCCATCCATAAAATAGAGATAATGATGGCAATACATTAA
This sequence comes from Homo sapiens, assembly GCF_000001405.40. Lineage (NCBI taxonomy): Eukaryota > Metazoa > Chordata > Mammalia > Primates > Hominidae > Homo > Homo sapiens. The sequence goes on from NC_000014.9 coordinate 87,998,282, forward strand.
TGTGAACATTGGACAAGCTAATATTTTTATAGCACTTAGAAGAGTGACCCACACATCCTATGTGTTATATAAGTGCTTATTATATAAATAATAACATAAATGACATACCTATATAACTATCGTACAACTTTTGAGTTTACTGCTTTCCCCACAATTAATTCTGCAAAAACAGATTATTCCTGTCTTTGTATTGGTCTCAGTTTTTCTTTTTGCTGGGTTGTTGTCCACAGTCATCCAAATCTATGTTGTGTGTGGCTGATTCCTCATAGTGAGAGTCTTGGTGTGAAAGAGAATTCTGCCTCCTTCAGAAGTTAAGGAGCCAGATCCTCTCTCTTACTGTCCTTATCAGTACAGGCTCTGACAATGACCAGGCTTTCTCAATCAGTTTCTTGAACCTGCAAATTTGACCTTGGAAGAGTAACTAGATGTATGCACAGTTGAGAAATCCCACAAGAGCCATATCAGAGTCCAGAGGAGGCAGCTGCATAGAGGCTCCATCAGAGGTGGCCTCAGATACCTAAAGTAGTGGGATCAAGCAGTGCCATTCTCACCTGAATGCTCAGACAGAGTGACCTGGCTATCTTTTTGGTCCTTGGACTCTAGCCCATTTTACAAGTCTTATTCTGAAGTTTCTGCATCAATTTGTTCCATATCCTCATTTCTTTCTTTCTAAGTCATTCATTTTCTGCTCAGGTAACCCACAGATGGTTTCTGTTACCTGCAGCAAGGAACCCTGATGGACACACCCGGTTATAATCCAAAGCTGATGTGATAATTGTAAAGAATTATCAGGCTCCATGTCTGCATTTCTCCACTGTAAAAACTGCCTTCACCACCTGTAGTCCTTTTGCTGGTAATTGTTACAGCATAGATTTGCTCAAATAAAGGAATTCCAAGAAATTGTACTGTCCTCCTATGCTTTACCTGTGATATTTCTACTCTTCCTTGTATTGCAAATACTCACTTTATTGCACTCCCGCCAGGAAAAGAATTTTAGAGTCCACCTAGCGCCAGGTCTCAGACATGAAGAAAATGACGGTACAAGAGGTTCTCACCACTCAAAATATTTTTGAAACATCTATCACAATGCTCTTCAACAGAAATATACCCAGTAGTGAGACTGCTGAATCACATGGTAGTTCCATTTAGTTTTTTGAGGAACTGCCAGTTATCCACAATGGCTAAACTAATTTACATTCTCACCAACAGAGTGCATGGGTTCCCTTTCCTCTACATCCTTGACAAAAACATCTTCCTCTTTTTGATCACAGCCATTCTAACAAGTGTGAGGTGATATCTCATTATGTTTTCAATTTGCATTTCCCTTATGATTAGTGATTTTGAGCATTTTTTAATATACCTGTTGGGCTTTTGTATGTATTCTTCTGAGAAATGTCTATTCAGCTCCTTTGCCCATTTTTAATCAGGTTACTTATTTTCTTGCTATTGAGCTGAGTTCCTTATTTATTTTAGATATTAACCCCTGAGATGTGTGGCTTGCAAATATTTTCTCTCATTGTGTAGGTTTTCTCTTCACTCCATTGACTGTTTCTTTGGATATGCAGAAGCTTTTTAGTTTAATGTAATTCCATTTGTCTGTTTTCACTTTTGTTGCCTGTGCTTTGGGGGCCATATCCAAAACGTCATTGCCCAGACCAATGTCATGGAGTTTTCTTCTGTGATTTCTTCTACCAGTTTTACAGTTTCAGGTCTTACATTTAAGTCTTAACCCATTTTGAGTAAATTTTTGCATATGGTGTGAGATAAAGGTCTTATTTCATTCCCCTGGATGTGAATATCCAGTTGTCCCAACAGCATTTATGGAAGAGACTGCCTTTCCCCATGTGTTCTTGGCACCTTTATCAAAAATAATCAATTAACTGTAAATGTGTATATTTATTTCTGAACTTTTTATTCTGCTCCATTGATCTATGTTTCTGTTTTAATGCCAGTACTCTTTTGATTACTGTAACTTTGTAGTAGATTTTGGAGTCAAGTAGTGTGATGCCTCCAGCTTTGTTCTTTTTGCCCAAGATTGCTTTGGCAATTCAGAGTTATTTTTTATTCCATATGAATTTTATGGTTGCATTATCTGTTTCTGTGAAAAATAGCATTGGAATTTTGATAGGAATTGCATTGCATCTGTAGGACATTTTGACAATATGGACATTGTCATTTTAGACATTTTGACAATAGTAATTCTTCTAATCCATGAGCATGGGACATATTTCCATTTATTTGTGCCTTCTTCAATTTCTTTCATCAGTGTTTTATAGTTTTCAGCATACAGGTCCTTCATCTCCTTGGTTAAATTTATTTCTACATATTTTTGTAGCTCTTATAAATGGCATTGTTTCCTTGATTTACTTTTAGGATAGTTCATTGTTAGTGTATAGAAATGCTGTTCATATGTGTGTTGATTTTGTATCCTGTGACTTTACTGAATTTGTTTATTAGTTCTAATGATTTTTTGGTAGAGCCTTTATGATTTCTTATATATAAAATTATGTCATTTGCAAACAATTTAACTTCTTTTTTAATTTGGATATCTTTTATTTCTTTCTCTTGCCTAATTGCTCTGGCTAGGACTTCCAGTACTATGTTAAATAGAAGTGGCAAGAGTGGACATTCTGTCTTGTTCTGATCTTAGAGGGAAAGCTTTCAATTTTTCACCATTTAATATGATGTGAGCTGTGGGTTTGTCGTGTATGGCCTTTATTATGTTGAGGTACATTCCTTCTACACCTAATTTGTTGAGAGTTCTTGTGAAAGGATGTTAAATTTTGTCAAATGCTTTTTATGCATGTATTGAGATGATCAAATGGTTTCTGTCCTTCATTCTGTTAAAGTGATGTATGGTGAAAGATCCTGTTAATGTGCTATTGTATTCAGTTTGCTAGTATTTTGTTGAGGATTTCTGTATCTTATGTTCATCAGGACATTCGCGTGTAACTTTTTATCTTGTAGTGTTCTTGTCTGGCTTTGCTATCTAGGTAATGCTGGCCTCATAAAATAAATTGAGAAGTATTCCCACTTCTCCAAATATTTTGGAAGAGTTTGAGAAGGATTGGTATGGCTTCTTTAAATGTTTGGTAGAATTCAGCAGTGACGACTTCCTGGGCTTTTCTTCGGTGGTAGAATTTTTATTACTAATCAGATTTCCTTACTTTTTATTACTCTGTTTAGACTTTCTGTTTTTTTTTTCATGTTTCAGTCTTGGTAAGTTGTATGTGCCTAGGAACTTCTCCGTTTCTTCTAGGCTATCAAATTTCCTCTTCCTATAAGGACAGCAGTCAGATTGGATTAGGGCCTATCCTTGGGGCTTTATTTTAATTTAATCACCTCTTTAAAGGCTCTATATCCAAATGCAGCCACATTCTGAAGTATTGAGGATTAGGGCTTCAGCATATGAATTTTGGGAAAGGACACAGTTCAGTTCATAACACCAGCTAAGATTTAGGGACTTTTCATGTTGCCAGGACTGGAAGGTGGCTTGACCCTTGGTTCTCAGAACTGCCCTCTATCAATGCTGGCATCCCCTGAGACACCCCCTTTCCCTTCTGGTCTTTGGTAGTTAGCCCAGGTAGTATTAACCTGAGTTGTCCCTCATCCGTGACACAAAGTGCCACACTGGGCCACTGAAAGTGCTGTGAGATGGGCTGAGGCTTCCCATCACTTCTTTGTGCCCCTCATTCTACTCCACCTGTGCTATACGGGCACAGAGGGACTTGATGAGTGTCTTAGTTTGTTTTGTGTTGCTATAAAATAATACGTGAGACTGGATAATTTATAAAGAAAAGAGGTTTATTTAGCTCATGATTCTGTAGGCCAAGAAATTCAAGGATGTGGTCCCAGCTTCTGGCAAGGGATTTCATGCTGCATCACAGCATGGCAAAGAAAGTCCAAAGGAAAGTGGACACATGCAAAGAGGGCCGGAGAGGTATCCAGGCTCTTATAATAGCCCACTCTCTCGAGAACTAATCCATTCCTGGGAGAACTAATCCAGAAAGAGAACTCGCTTACTACCTCAGAACAGCACCAAGCCATTAAGGAGGGATCTACCCCCATTGCCCAAACGTCTCCCACTGGGCCCCACTTCCCACTACTGCCACACTGGGAATCAAATCAACACCAGCTTTATAAAGACAAACAAACCATACCCAACTATGACAGTGAGGTCTCTCAGGTACATACTCCTGAGTCTCTCCTTGGAAATGAGGCACAGGTTCACTCTCCTCCCCAGATCACACAACTCATCTAGGGTGTTTGTCACCCACCCCTACCTCAGGGCTTGCTTGGAAGTGAGTACAGCAATCAGGATGCAGGGCCCCTTTCTCAAGCACTGACCACATCTAACTCTTGAACATACTTCCTCTCTCACAACGTTAAACCCAACCCCCGCCAAGCAGGACAATCTTTTTCAGTTTTGGGGGCTGGGAAGCTTTACTTTATTTCAGCACATATTCTCCCAAGCATAGTGTCTGTGCCTCAGTCTTTTCCAAGGCCTTGAATTTTTGAAAGTCAAAACTCACATTGTCTTCTTTTTTTCCCCCCCGCTTGTGCCAGAAATTTCCTTGAGGCAATAAATGCAAAATGGCTCACTGATTGTGTAAGGGTAGGGCTAGAGTGAAAAGAAATGTGGCTGGGAAAATATAGCATTATTTCAAAATCTTACCCTGCCATATTTAGTTGCCGCTTTAGCTAGTGAAATTACACCTAGCAGATAGTGTGGCCTCACAAAGGACCCCTTCATCAGTAGAACACACTCTTGCACTGTCTGCCCAATGGAGAAGTTGGAACCAGGTAGATCCACAATCTCCTCCCCATTACCCCATGAGTAGCCCAACTGGCCAGTGTTGGGTCCCCAGATTGTGACCACAGAAAACCAAATAATTGACTGGTCAGAAATGCCAACCCCGTTAAGGCAGTGTTCTGAATAACTACTAATTGTCTTTATCTCATTGTTATGTTGTTAAAATGTCACAGTGACTCAATGATTTAAAATTTCTAACCGTTCATTATAAAAGATAGCCCTATAGTTGAAAATACAGTATTGCCATATTTTCCATATTAAGAAGCAAATTTCTTAAAAGCTGGTAAATTTCTTATTGTGTAGAGTTGGCAAGGTTTTAGCATAGGTCAGCTCCAGCTTTTTCTCCTCTTTAATCAGAAGTGAAAGTTTGTGTTTCTTATGTTTCTTAATGATAATCTTTTTCTTTTGAAAAGCAAAATACATGAATATTAGATATGGACATGAAAATACCCTTTCCCTAAAAGCAGAAGTATAGTCTATTCAGATAAAGTAAGAGATCATCAGAGTAATGAAATACCTACGTAACAATGCACTTGTACCCCGAACTTAAAAAAAGATATATCATGTATAGAAACCACAGATAAGCAGATGTACGAAACCAAGCAAAAATGAGAACTTTGAATTACAGTCACAAGTAAACTGAAATCGTTACTTTTCATTTTTGTAAAACTTCAAGACATTTATTGTTAATTTTTTACTTTATACTTAATTTTTATTATTTCAGTAACAATATATTGATTTATAATTTACTATATGCTAAATTACTTTATAAACTATCCTGTGCTTTATAAATGTAAGGTATTAGTTTTATTATTCTCAAAGAAAGACCTACAACGGAAGTATTGAAAATCTTTACATTCCTGATATACCCTGATCAACTTCAATATGGAAAGCCTTGCTTATATACAGGCTAATCTTTTCTATCTCTGGGTAGGGAGAAAAAAACAACAAAAAAAAAACACCAGCAACAACCCTTAATGTCCTTTAACAAACACAGATTCAAAATGTCCTGATTACATCTTTAAAATTAAGTCAAATGTTTTCATCCCAAATAAATTCTGTTCTTTCAAATAATATTTTCCCTTCATTTCTAATAAAAGTTTATGAGGGCAAGATTCAAAAGTGATATTTCTGACTTTTTTATATATCAATAGTAAGAAAGTTATAGGAGCTAATTTCACTTCATATTAAACCACTTATAGATTTGGCATTAACTTTAACTTGCTAAAGTACAAGAGTTTTTATAATAACAATGTAAGTCTTAAATAAAATTTTCAAGTTTCATAAAATTATTTGTCTCAGCTAGTTAATTCAACTGGTTTTTAGCCATCTCTGTTTCCAAGAGGAGAGAATCAAAGGAGAAAATAGTTCTACAATCAAATACTATATATCTAATCCCATTAGTCTCTCAAAAAAAAAAAGAAAAGAAAGACGGTATGAGGTTGGCTACCTTAACCCCTGCCTTAAGCAGCACAATATCCATCATTAAACCCCTCAGCCTCAATTCTCCCTTTTCTGTTTTTGTCCCAGGAACTTTATCACCCTGAATCTACCTACAATATCCTCCCCTATCTCACACATCCAAATGGTTCATTCTATTTTATCTGTACCCCTCTTGAAGTACTTCTTCATTTTGCCATTGCATTACAATCATTATTAAACATGTCTTTCTCCTTTACTAGGTAAAAAAAGCTGCTTTTGGTTGATAGCCAGTTCGTATACATCTCCCCGCACACTGCTGGCATGATGAGTGAATGAATGAATGAATGAATGAATGAACAAAGAAATAAATAAAATATTTAACATATATTCCATTAAGTAAAGGGCATATAATATAATATCAGTACATACTTGTAATTAAGATGCAATGAGACAAGTGAGTTATAAAAATTACAGTACAGTAAACAATAAATAAAAACATCTTTAAAAGTATTTAAGAGACTTTTTTTGTTCAAACTTGGATAACGCACACCCTTCTCATTGAGATGCTGCTTCCTCATTGGTTTGTGCTGAAATATGAGTGCAATTTCCTGTCCCCTCAGCAGTGTTGGTTTCTCTTCTTGACTTGATGCAGGCACAGATTTATCAAGCTCCTCAGTCAACAAACACATCACCGGAAGAAATATGGGTAAGTATAAGATTAAAAAATAAAATAATATTTTAAAGTAGATAACATGCTTTGGCATAATTGTCAGTGATGTTCGCAACATTCTTCCTGGTTTAGGCTGTATAAATGTGGTAATGCAAAGCATGATAAGAGAGAAAGAAATGAGGAAGACACATGGTTTCCTCTACTTTGAGCAGTGGTAAAGGGCCAAACTTTAAATTTAGAACTAATTAGGCAAAACCATAGATATAGAAAAAGGGGGTTGTTCATACTTTATTTTCTTTTCAGGAAACAGTGCTTTGGCAAACTTCATTCAGTATTAGGAAGAAGCCTACCAGCCCCTGGCTTTAGAGCTATCTGGCACCAATCCCTCATCTGTACAATGGTCCAGTAAATACTTTTTATATCCATCAGAAAAAAATGTGATATTAGGAAAGAATATTTCCAGTATTAATAAATGTCAAGTAATAATTATTAGTTAATAAGTGACTACCACAGTGCCTGAAATATATAGTAGAGTCTTAATAAGTAACTATTAAACTGATAGATGAAAGCAAGCATTTTCTATAACACTGTAGGAAAATATTGTACTTTTGGTCATCGTCATCAATGATTTGTACTATTTTTAGATCTGTTCAAGAATAGATATACTTTAATATACTGTAGATTGTCTTTTTTGACATCTGGTAAAAATTAAAAAATTAAAAACTCACCAAAATTTCTCAGTGCTTGTTCTAAAAACAATTTTCTCAAAATTTGATTAAAGGAGGCAAAATAATATCTGAAAAGATATGTGAATACTGTAATAGGAATTATATACAGTATTCCACTAAAATCTCAGATCCACCCAAATTAAATGAACAACTATTATCTGCAGAGCCTAGTATTATACGTGAAGTGTTACCATATAAATTACACTCTGAGCACCTCCAGCTTTTCTGCTATGCTGTGGCTAGATGACTAAAGATGATTTCTTTTCAGAAAATGTAGGGGACAGCACAAAGATTGGTGCAGACTACCAATGTCATTAAAACAATATTACCAGCTAACGTACAGTGAATGCCTCCCATGTGCTAGGAACTTTGCTTCATATGTCGTTTCATTTAACCCTCACAACAATCTTAGAAACTGGGTACTAACTTACACATGTGAAAACTGGAACTTAGAGAGGTGAAGAAACACCAATGGGCCCAGAGTGCTGTTGAGAGGCATTCGAATTGTCTCCAGAGCCCACGCTCTTAACCACAAGCCTGTACTGCCTCTGCGTCACTACAAAGAAGAGGGCCTCTGCTTCATCAACCCATCCTGTCTTGTGGTTAAGTCAAGGCAGGAAATGCTTTTACAGCTAGAGAAATGTATTCCATTGAAAACTTTATAAACCTTTCTAAAAATCATTTTTTCATTTAATCTGTCATACCATTTTTAAAGAAAATGATGACTATCTATTGAGTAACACGGACAAAGGAGGAAGAGGCACATGCTGCCCATTACCCGACTTTCTCGGTCCTGGTCTTAAGGGGAGGATGTTTTCATGGTTCAGGTGTTCTTCCCAAGACACATGAGCCTGGTGTTGGACGTGTTGTGTGTGCATCAGAGTCCCATCCGCGGGGGCTGATTCAATCTTCCTGCATCGCAGACATTACCCTAGTGTCCTTTTCCTACTTCAGTTATATCCTTTAGAAGTTTCTTTAGTGGGGATTTTGGATGTAAATGTTCTGAGTGGTAGTTTACCTGAAAATGTCCTAATTCTTGCTCTGGTCCTTGAAATTTAGTTCTGTTGAGTATATAATTATAGGATGACATATATTTTCTTAGCAATTTGGAACTTTTAATCTTCTGCTGTCTGTTATCGCTGTTGAGAAGTCTTTTGTCCGTCTAAATTCCATCCTTCATAGGTAGTCCATCTTTCCTCTCTGGCTCTTTTTTCCTTAGTCTTTGGTGAACTGCAATTTTATTGCAATGTGTCTAAGTATAGGTTTCCATTTTTGTGTTTTTAATCCTATTTGGGATTTTCTAAGCTTCATAAATCTGCAGATTTCATGAGGATTGAAGATGCATGAGGATTCTTCATCCATCCTCAAGATTCCTTCATCAGTTCTAGAAAGCTCATCATCTTTGTGAATATTGCCTTTTCAACATTCTCTCTTTTCGATCTTTATGGAATTCCAATTATGTATATGCCACCCTTTTCACCTTTTCTCCATATCTCTTATATTTTCCCATGTCCTTAACATGCTGATAATTTTGTGTTATTTCTTTATCTCTATCTTGCAATATACAAATTTTCTCTTCAGCTGGATCTAATCAGTTGGTTACTCCCTGTGTTTATTTTTAAATTTAAATTATTATTATTTTTATTTTTAGAAAGTCTTTTTCAATCTTTCTAAAAATATGGCTTGTCATTTTTTAATCTCTTCCTCCTTACTCATGTGTTTAAATCCCTTCTTTTGTTTCTTTAAACATATTAAACATATTTTGTGTTTTTTATATATATATATATAAATTTTATCTCTAAAGTTTTGTGGATCTGGTTTACTTTGTTGTTTCTGCTCAATCTGACACGTAGTTGCTTATTATTCTCTCTGTGTGTATGTGTGTGTGTGTGTGTGTGTGTGTGTGTGAATAAGGTCATATTTGTTAGAACTCTATCTGTAGGATTCTTTGAGGCCTGAGTTAAAGAGGACTTGTTCAAGGGGGGATCTGTGTCAACTTCTTCCAGGAGCCTAGAATTTATTTTTTCATATATAGTTAACCTTTATTTTTGGTGAAGTTATTTTCATAATTAGGTAAATTATTTATTTATTGTTTTCTCTCAATTACATTTTATGTATGAGGATAGAAATAAGATCAGATTTCTTAAAAAGGCATATATGTTCCATCTGTGGGTAAAACAGATGTTTGTTTGTCAAGATGCTCTACATGCCATCTCACACAGCCTTTTGATTCCACTTTTTAATGTTTCCATTGCAATACAATACACATGCAGCAAAATGCACATATCCTAAGTGTACAGCTTGATGCATTTCTACAAACTGAGCATGCTCATGGAACCAGCCACCCCTACCAAGAGATAGAACATTGCCAAATCTCAGAAGTCCTCCTCATGCCCTCTTCCAACAGTACTCAGCCTTTCCCCAGAGGTAGCCACTACCCAGACTCCTAACATCATAGATTAACTTTGCCTGGTTTGTATCAGATAATACATACTCTTTTGTGTCTTTTTTTTTATCACTCAGAATTACATTTGTGATCTTCAACCATGCGATTGCATGTAGCAATAATTTATTCATCTTCATTGAGGTGTAGATTTCAGTGGTGTTACTATATCCCAATTTACTCATCTATTATACTGCTAGTGGGCATTCTAGTTAAGGGATATTACAAGTAGTGTTACTGTGAATATTCTAATTCTAGTACCTGTCTTTTGGTTAACATATGTATGCGTTTATGTTGAACAAATACCTAGAGGTGGAATTGCTGGATCATATGGCATGCATAAGTGCCTAGTGTTTTTTTACTCAACAGCATATGAGTCAAGATGTTCTATTTCCTTCCTAACACTTGATATTTTGTCTTATTTTCATTTCATTTGTTGTGTTGGGTGTGTAGTGGTATATCATTTTAATTTTAGCTTGAATTCCTCTGATGACTAATGAAGTTGAGCATGTAGGTTGGCCTGAAGTTTGCAGGATCAAACTAATAATGTAGACCCAGACCTAGTTTCCAAGTGAGGACCCCACAGGCCACAACTACTTAGGGTAGAATTTTTTATTGTAACTCCTCACAGAAACCAAGCAGAGGCAGGGAAATTGCCATCTTTTCTCTACTGTCTGCAAATGTCTGTGGAATTTATTTTATTTTGTTTATTTTCTAGTTCACCCTTTCCCTGACAGCAGAGGTTCTGGATCCCATGTGTTTGGGATGGTCAAGGACCCCTTCTTACCTGCATAGGCCCAAGTTTTGTCTCTAGTTTCTCTGATCCCTAGTGAGTTCCTCCAGATCTACATATGTCTTCAGGCCATCCAGAGCTCCGGCGCTCACTCACCTCCCTGATAACAGCTCCCACCTCCTTTCTTCCATCACAAATTTTCCCCCCCTTTGGAAGCTTCCCTATTTATTTAAAAGGCTGTTTTTCACATTTTATTCCTGTTTTTTAGGTTGATAAAGCTAAAAGTTTTCAGGAGTTTTAGTTACCTGTTTAAGAGTGAAATATGATATATTTTCCCATATGATTTACTCTGCTAGTAGAATTCTTGTGACTTGTGATGGCAGGTCTTTTTGTGCTCAGGATTCATCAACAGTTGGGAGGGAGTGATTCTGGTGCCCTGAATAGTGTTTCTAGAAAGCTTTCTGTGAAGGTATTCACCATGTAAATGATCTCAGCCACCAGTAGGCCTCAGCAGCAAAGGGATATAGACAAAGTATTTCTCTACTCCAGTATGGAGAGAAGGATGGAACCTTTACTCTTATGTGAATCTATGACATCATAGCTTTAAAAAGACACTAACCTCTTAAACCATCAGATATAAAGGTGGAAATTAATGATTCCAAGATTTTACCCAGAATAAGAACATTCTGTCCTCTCATTTATAAAAGTATAAGAAAAATAAAGTGAGTTAGTCGACAAAGGAAATAAAAAGATAAACAGAAGTAGGATTGTCTAATTATATGCTAAGGCTTAACAAACTGCTACATTTTAAAATTCTAAAACTTTATTGTATTTCTATTATAGTATTTCTTTGGATAATAAGGTGATTTTTGAAAGTGCCGTACACCTAGATTGAATATGAAATTAGAAATTTGAAATCACATAACCATACAGTTGATCACACATGCAAAAGTATTTACCAATCACAGACAAATAACAGAATTTTTTATCTTTAGCTGCTGAAATGACTTTTTAAATTGAGTTTTGTGTTCTTGGGTTATATCCATTGAGAAATATAATTCGCTCTAATCTAACATGCCTCAGGTAGTTCTTATTTGATATAAGTAAAATGTCTTGACTTGATTTTATTTACTGAAGTCAATAAGATAATTTTCCCATTTTAAACACCTTCACTGTAACTTAATGCATTTTCAATATCTTCAATACATGAAACAAAAAGGGATTATTTCAAAATCCTGATTGTAATGAAGTCATGCATCTTAAACATCTAAACAATTTTAATTCATCTTTCATTACAGAAGGAAAGGAATTTTAAAAGGAAATACCAATCTCTGTGCAAACAAAGCCTTGTATATTCATGTTTGCACCAATCTACTGTGAGATTTATGAAGAAAAACAAATTGCGGACAACTCTCTATGTACACTTACAAATGCCTCAGTTGATGCTTGTGGGCTGTTTGTCAGCGTTCTGTGATAATGAACACATGGACTTCTGTTTATTAAATTCAGTTGACCCCTTTAGCCAATTGCCAGGAGCCTGGATTTTTACTTCCAACTGCTGATATCTGTGTAAAAATTGATCTACATCCACCCTTTAAAAGCATTGATGAATTAATTAGAACTTTAGACAACAAAGAAAAATTGAAAAAGAATTCTCAGTAAAAGCGAATTCGATGTTCAAAACAAACTACAAAGAGACAAGACTTCTCTGTTTACTTTCTAAGAACTAATATAATTGCTACCTTAAAAAGGAAAAAATGAACAGCACATGTATTGAAGAACAGCATGACCTGGATCACTATTTGTTTCCCATTGTTTACATCTTTGTGATTATAGTCAGCATTCCAGCCAATATTGGATCTCTGTGTGTGTCTTTCCTGCAAGCAAAGAAGGAAAGTGAACTAGGAATTTACCTCTTCAGTTTGTCACTATCAGATTTACTCTATGCATTAACTCTCCCTTTATGGATTGATTATACCTGGAATAAAGACAACTGGACTTTCTCTCCTGCCTTGTGCAAAGGGAGTGCTTTTCTCATGTACATGAATTTTTACAGCAGCACAGCATTCCTCACCTGCATTGCCGTTGATCGGTATTTGGCTGTTGTCTACCCTTTGAAGTTTTTTTTCCTAAGGACAAGAAGATTTGCACTCATGGTCAGCCTGTCCATCTGGATATTGGAAACCATCTTCAATGCTGTCATGTTGTGGGAAGATGAAACAGTTGTTGAATATTGCGATGCCGAAAAGTCTAATTTTACTTTATGCTATGACAAATACCCTTTAGAGAAATGGCAAATCAACCTCAACTTGTTCAGGACGTGTACAGGCTATGCAATACCTTTGGTCACCATCCTGATCTGCAACCGGAAAGTCTACCAAGCTGTGCGGCACAATAAAGCCACGGAAAACAAGGAAAAGAAGAGAATCATAAAACTACTTGTCAGCATCACAGTTACTTTTGTCTTATGCTTTACTCCCTTTCATGTGATGTTGCTGATTCGCTGCATTTTAGAGCATGCTGTGAACTTCGAAGACCACAGCAATTCTGGGAAGCGAACTTACACAATGTATAGAATCACGGTTGCATTAACAAGTTTAAATTGTGTTGCTGATCCAATTCTGTACTGTTTTGTAACCGAAACAGGAAGATATGATATGTGGAATATATTAAAATTCTGCACTGGGAGGTGTAATACATCACAAAGACAAAGAAAACGCATACTTTCTGTGTCTACAAAAGATACTATGGAATTAGAGGTCCTTGAGTAGAACCAAGGATGTTTTGAAGGGAAGGGAAGTTTAAGTTATGCATTATTATATCATCAAGATTACATTTTGAAAAGGAAATCTAGCATGTGAGGGGACTAAGTGTTCTCAGAGTGATGTTTTAATCCAGTCCAATAAAAATATCTTAAAACTGCATTGTACAGCTCCCTCCCTGCGTTTTATTAAATGATGTATATTAAACAAAGATCAATATTTTCTTAATGACTCAGGGTCTTTATTGTTAATGCCAATTGTTTTTGTATCTGTGCTATAATCCCTTAGAGTCAGTAAAGTATGTAGGGGACTGTTTCTTCCTTTGTGTCTGGGTTTATGATTTTTCTCACTCTTTCTTTGGACTCCAGGGTGTCAGCCATCAGGTCTCCTAATTTTGTGTACCGGTCTCCAACAACCCCAGCTACTGAATACTGCTTCTAATCTCCTCATTCATTAACAAATCTTTATTTTTTTATCTTGTATAAAATAACTGCTTTATTGACACAAAATTTACATAACTTAAAATTCAACTTTGTATTGTGTACAATTCAGTGATTTTTTGTATATTCACAGAGCTGTGCAACCATCACCACACTCAAAAAATTTTCATCACCCACCAAAGAAATCTTATACTCTTAGCAGTCGCTCCCTGCTCTCCCGTCCATGCCAGTTATTAATTTACTTTCTGTCTCTAAGGATTTTCATTACTCTGAACATTTCATATAAATAGAATTATACAATATGTGGCCTACTGTGACGTATTTCACTTAGTATAATGGTTTCAAGTTTTATCCATGTGTAGAATGTATCAGCACTTCATTTCTTTTTATGGCCTGATAGTATTCTGTTGCATGGTTATACTCCATTTTGTTTATCTAATCACTTGGCTTCATTAACAAATATTTATTGAATCCATTCCATAAACTAGGTTTTGAGTTAAGTACTGGGGCTATGAAAGAAATGGTCTCATGAAGCCTCACGAAGTTTACATTAGTTCAAAAGCCTAGTCACCGAGCTTGAAAGATTTCTATATAAAGGAAAAGGAAATAGGCTCTGAGTTTTATTTTGATCTCTTTTTAATTTATAACTGGGTATAACATAGCTGAAATTACCAGAAGTTTAATGCATAGACAAATAAATAGTTCTATTATATCTTTCTTTTTGGACTTAGAATGTTAGAATATTTTGAGAGTTCTTTTTTTTTTTTTTTTTGAGTCAGAGTCTTGCTCTGTAATCCAGGCTAGAGTGTAGTGGTGCGATCTCCACTCACTGCAGCCTCCACCTCCCAGGTTCAAGCGATTCTCCTGCCTCAGCCTCCCAAGTAGCTGGGATTACAGGCACCCACCACCATGCCCAGCTAATTTTTGTATTTTTAGTAGAGACGGGGTTTCACCATGTTGCACAGGCTGGTCTCAATCGAACTCCTGACCTCAAGTGATCATCCCACCTAGGTCTCCCAAAGTGCTGAGATGACAGGCGTGAGCCACCATGCCTGGCAAAGAGAGTCTTGATACAACATATTCTTTTGAATCCTCATTGTGTAAATTGCCTCGTTGTAAATAGACACTCAGTAAACATTTTCCTCACCAAAATATTTTTAAGGATTTTTCTACCCTTCTCCTTTTCTCTTTGCTTTCCTTTTCTTGCCTGTTCTTTCCACTCCCCCCAAAATGATCAGATAGCAAATGTCTTGATAACATGAGGTGCCCTCACATTAAAAAACAAAATATTGAGCCGGGCGCGGTGGCTCATGCCTGTAATCCCAGCACTTTGGGAGGCTGAGGTGGGCAGATCGCCTTAGGTCAGGAGTTGGAGACCAGGCTGACCAATATGATGAAACTCTGTCTCTACTAAAAATTCAAAAATGTGCCAGACCTGGCCTGGTGGCATGTGCCTGTAATCCCAGCTACTTGGGAGGCTGAGTCATAAGCCTGCAATGGGAAAATGGATCGAATCTGGGGTGAGGGGGAAGTGATGTGGGGGTTATGGTACCTCTTTTCTCTTCCAAAGATGCTGTTCTTACTGCATCACTTGTGGCTGGCCAGGAAAAGCCATGCAGGAGTTTTGTTTGTGGCCACTAGGTGACGATCGTGTTCTGTACGGGACCTCTTATTAATAGTTCACCACTAGCCGCCACTCCAGAAGAGCGGAGGAACCCAGGATAATATTTTGTCAACCAAGAAACAAGAAGTCCCTCCCAGGAACTGGAAATGAATGGGGAAAATGCTGAAATCTCATTTGCACTATTCATTTCTCTTCTCTCTGGAAAGCTCGGCAATCATCAGGTCATTTCATTTGGCTTAAATTCCATGTGTCTTTCCAAACTTTTAAAAGCTGGTGAAAATTGTTCCACCCATATGTAAAAGAACATAGGTTAAGTTGTCTAATTCTTGCAGGAATGTGGATATAGCATTAAAAATATGTCTTTGTATACTTATCTTACCCATGTAAGAAAAGAGTGGCCAACTTTCATATAAATAGAAAGAGAACATTTAAGCTATATGCAGTTTGCATTTTTGTCTACTATTATGAAATTATTATCTATGAAATTCAAGCTGTAACTCAACATATGTATAATTTTAATTTCTAATTTATTGTTAGATCTCAGCACTTAAAAAATTACATCTTGTATTTGAATTGTTAAATCTGTTCCCTGCAAAGAACAGTAATACAATCATGTTCTAATTTACTAGCATTTGCATATTTTAGAAATATAATGGCCTGTAATTTACTTTTCTTTTGCCTATAATTTTCTGAAGCTCTTTATGATGCACCGGTGCATTTTTATTTAAAAAATAGATTGTGACTCCTCAAATAATGTTACAATTCGATGTTCAAAAAGCAATCCAGGTACATAGCCATAAAGGGATGAGCTAGAGAGGTCTCCATATTATCATTCAATGTGAGAATAAAAATTCTATATTTTATTCTAGAATAAAATTATAAATTTCTTTATCTAGGAAATGTGTGTTCATTGAACTTCAAATCTAACACAAGCAAGAAAGCTTACCCTGCAATGACTTGATTTGCCAATACTGTTAAAAATATTAACTTTAGTTCTCAGCATTTCATTGAAAGCTGTTAGATATTTGCTTGAGCTTGTAAGCATCCTTCTAAAAGAATTATTTTCAGAATTACTCTAAAATTTCTGGTATTGCCTCCAAGACTGTTGACACTAACAAAAAATTTAACTTGGAAACCTCGATTGAAAATTTAGAAACAATTCTTGTTCTGATCTCCAGAAAGGACAATTTTAAGGGTATTCTCACTGGTAATCACAATTGTTTGTTGGATAAATAAATAATAAGTTAATTAATCAAACAAACTAAAAATGCTGCAGTTTTACAGTTTGTCCTAACCTCAGGATTCAGTTCCTAAAACCTTTAGGGCTATTTGTATTCCTGGTGGAAAATTTTAAGATTATATGGGAAAGTAAGGTTAAAGAGAAAGAGTCTCCCTTTAGGAAAGCTGTTATTAATAATTTTTACATTTGCTGAACTAAAATAGTAGGAACAAACATTAGCAAATGACATTTTATTCATCTTAAATTAGTAGTAACAAGAATTGTCATGTTAATTTCCAGCTATCATTCCTTGCTCATGAGAAATGTTTTTAGGATATCCCTTCCTTAAATTTTTAGTAAGCTGTTCATCAGTTGACTTACTTTTGTTGCAGACTACACAGTGGCATGAATCTCTGTTCATGGAATCAGTGCTGCGAGAAAACATTGTTACATTTTCTTTATCAGCTTAATTGTAAATCCCAGCCCACATACCACCAAGCTATAGGAAATTCCATCTCAGGCATTATGGGATTGTCTTCCCCTTTTTGGTTTACACCAGAATCGGGAGGTTTACATGATGCTAAGAAAATGAAAGGGGTCTTTGATTTATAGTCACCAGTGATGGTAATATTGCCTAACCTTTTAGTGGTTGCTTGATTCCTTTACGGCCTCCCTGAATCTCTTGGGGCACAGGGCAGGACCTGATAGGAGCCAGTTAATGGCCCAGATTCTTGTGCATCAGGTAGAGTTTCCTTCAAAATGTCGTATATCCTCATGCGAACTAAAAATAAAATCCTAAAATTCTAAGCCCCCCAACTGACTGAAAAGACCCCTCTTGGCTGGGGGACCCCAGAGAAACCTTAAAAACTGAGTTCCTAGCCATGACAGAATGGGAGCTTGTACACACCTCATTGCACCCACTCTGTTTTACAACTTAGACACAACAACTGACCAGTGTTAATGTTAAAATGGAGATCATAAGACTGACAAAATGGACTCTTTATGGCTATAAGATACTAAATTGTAAACAAGACCTAAGGTCACGCCAAGCAAGAGTTAAGTCACATACCCCCGTACTTAAAGAATAAACTATGTTCCACCTGCCACAAGATTTTTCTTTTTCTCTAGCAGCTAAACAAGCACTGGCCTCGAGATAAGAAATATTGAAACAATTACAGCTCACCAATTGCCAGATGCAGCCTGATTTCACCCCTCTGTTCCACAAGCCATCACTACAGCTCTGATGTGACAAGAGGTTGATTTTGGTAACTTTCTCTTGATGAAAGACCACCAACCATGGACTGGTTCTGGCTGGTTTACAGAGGCTGCGCACTTGAATGCCTCTGTGTCTCTGCTTCACCTTTTGACATACAAGGCCTAATTGTAATGCATTTATATGTTAAGTCTCCACACAAAAGTGAACATGCAACATGCATGTTTATTCAGTGCACACGCGTTAGGACACCCTTCATGAATATTTATAGCTACTCTTATAACCTGCTAAATATTTATACTTGGCTAACCTGTTCAGCATAAATCCCTGTTCCATCCTCCCCTCCCTCAATGTACCTGCCTTCTGGCTTCTACCAGAGGCTACGTTTCCCAGCCTGTCAAAATGACCACTCTGCAGGCTGTAACCCTTTATGAGAAATCAACTCTCCATTCTAAATGTAACATCTCATAATGTTTCAGCTGACACTTCAGAGCTGCCTCTTTTTAGGAATGCCTGACATCCAGACCTACATGGTTCTTGGCTTTAGCAATGGAGCACGTAGTACCTAAATAAGTCAATCAAAGCCACAGTGATTGGTTCAGTGGTGGGCATGTGACCGAACTTGCTTAGATTCTGGGACAAAGACTCTTTCTTTTAATCTGGATGTGGTGGTATGTGAATGAGATGCCTGGAATCCTTGTGGCCATTTTGTTAACATGAAATAGCCAATGCATGGGAAAAAGGAGAGCTCAGGGAATCACACAACACTGGAGCTGTGTCCTAAAGATACAGAGAGTCTTGAATATTGCAGGTACATGAACCAAATACACTTCCTTATTATTTTAATGTGAATCTGGTATTTTTGTTCCTTGAATCCTGAAGGATCCTAATGGAATTTGGAACATGGAAGTGAGGGTGATGTTACAGACTCCAGACTGTTGAATAGGCAGAGCTGAAGAGCTGCAGTGGAGAAGGCAATGCCAAGATAGAGCTAGCTTGTGATGTTAGTAACCCATGTTAAGTGGTAGCAAAATCTCTGGTTAAACTATTTCCTGCTATATCCCGAGACTCAGATAATGTCCACCAAGGGTCTGGAATCAAGACTTTGGAAGGAAAAATTCAAAATGTTGGTGGTTTTTGGCTTCCTCTTATAGCTTTCAATAAACTGCCACAAAAGACAGATAAAATAATACAATTTTTTGAGAGCTTTTCTGTTAAATTTTTCAAATCCAGAAAACACTGCTGCCCTGTGGGGCCTACACACAGAAACAGTGTGTTTTATGCTTCAGGAAAAGGGTAAACTTTAGCTAGAAAAAGCAAGTCAGCATTGTTTGTGAGTCACTAGTGAGTGGAGTCTCAAAAGCCAGACACTATGGGGAAATAAAAGAACTTTTTAAACCTCTTAGGCTCCCATCTCATATCAAGAAGTAGGCCTGGCTGACTTAAAATTGGAGTTTTCTCTATGCCAGGGGGTAGTGAGAACCAATCATGATGTAAACGAAGCTTCTATTATTCAGGGAAATGAAAAAGCCTGGGCTCCTGACCGCAGTGGTCTAAGGGGAGGAGGCAAAGAAGAGTTAAAATGAGGATGTCGGAGACAAATGTTGATCCTCATGGCCTGAGATCAATAGAATTTCCAGAGTTGCCAGGATGGTCAATGCCAATAGTCTGCTTTTCCTGAAGATAGCTGCAAGCCTCTGGGGAAAACCCCATATTCAGCCTTATGCATGCACTTTACTGTGGTACAAAAATAGAGACTGGCATACAGTTGTGCAGGTTGAGTGTTGCACAAGAAATCCATGTCTAAGAGGGCACCATTCATTTAACAGACATTGAAGATTTGCACATTTATTATGTCCATTTTAAAGCATATGGCAACAAGATGCTTGCTCTAATAAAAGCAGCACGACAACTTTCCAACAACTGGAAGGAAGGTATCATAAGGAAGACACATCTTACTTTTACAGAATGCCCCATGAGCAGCATAGCCCTGCCTCTGCCCTGCTACCATAAGGTCACGTAAGCCTCTCCAACCCCGGAACCACCATGGGAGGAGCTAAGGTAAGTGGAGTATATCTGAAAGACTGAATGTTTAGCCCAGAGTAGCTGAGCTAACCTAAAAAGACAGTTTAAGCAAGAAAACGTGGTGATATCATTAATTCGCAAGTAAAATAATTTTTTGCACTGATACCCAGTAGGTTGGTAAATCAGAAAGAAGAATAAGAATAAGGAGTAGAAGAAGAAGAAGAAGAAACAGTCAGAGAAAATAAGCTACTGTTTTAGGTGCACATGCAGTTGAGTTGTTGTGTGACCACTGTCTCTCAGATGTCCCAGCTTTGACAGGAGGTGGCCTCCCTGGAAAAGAGAAGAAAACATAACTTTTAAGAAAGGATGAGTTCATGTCCTTTGCAGGGACATAGATGAAGCTGGAAACCATCATTCTCAGCAAACTAACACAAGAACAGAAAACCAAACACCACATGTTCTCACCCATAAGTGGGAGTTGAACAATGAGAACACATGGACACAGGGAGGGGAACATTACATACCGGGGCCTGTCGGGGGTTGGAGGGCTAGTGGAGGGATAGCATTAGGAGAAATACCTAATGTAGATGACGGTTTGATGGTGCAGCAAACCACCATGGCACATGTATACCTCTGTAACAAACCTGCACGTTCTGCACATGTACCCCAGAACTTAAAATATAATAATAATTTAAAAAATGATACTATCCACCTATGATCTAGAATCCAGGTTGAATATAGGTCCAATCACCTAGTGCAATGGTTCTCAAACTTTAATGTTTATAAGAATTAACTAGGAATCTTAGTTTAAAAGATTCTTATTCAATACATCTGAAGTGGGGCCTGAGATTCTACATTTCTAAGAAATTCTCAGGTAATGCCAGTGCTGCTGGGCCCTGGGTGTGGGTGTGGAGTTACATAATTTTAGAGTCTAGAGAAGAGGTTCTCAAACTTTAGTATGGATGAGAATCACCTGGAGAGCTTGTTAAGACAGAGCGCTCAGACTGTAGTCTACTCTTGTGTCATCACTGAGTCTTGGCCAATCAAAGGTGACCAACTCTTCAAACTGTGTTCAAATGATGCAAACATCAAGTAGCAACCCATCTGGTTGTTTCTGTACCTCACACCATTTTCTGTATGTCACTTTCTTTCTTCTATCTATAAATCTTCCACCATTTGGCTGTGCTGGAGTCCCTGAGCCTACTCTGGCTCAGGAGTCTGCTCAATTTGCAAATTGTTCTTTGCTCAATCCCTCATCCCCAGAGATTCTGATTCAGCAGGCCTAGGGTGGGGCCTGAGAATTTGTGTTTTTGACAAGTTCCCTGATAACACTGATGTGAGTGGGACACACTTTGAGAACTACTGCTCTCAAATAGAGTGCAGCCCTTTCCTAAGTACCTCCTATTAATTGCCATCTACCAGAAAAAAAGGTACAGTCCCACCCAGTGAAGAGATGGATCCCTCCCACCCCCAAGTTCAGGCCCAACCTGATGTTTGCTGAGACAGAAATTCTCAAGCTAAGGTCTAGGCTCAAAGACTGCAGCTAATCAGGTTTCTGGCTGTGGTCTCTAACCTGCAGAATTGAGAAGAAGCAAACTGAAAGCAGCCAGCTTTTTAAGGGATCTATGTGATCTTTCACCCCTGTCTGATCTCATCACCCAGTGGTGCAGGCCACATTTGGTTCTTATGCCATGCCTTGGCCAATGGTGTTCATATCCATCTCTTCCTCCAAGTTGAAAGCTATTTAAGAACAGAAATCATGTTTAATTCACGTCTTAATTCCCTCTGAGCCTATCCTCAGCTCCCTTCCTAGAAACTAGCAGAGTTTTACATATTCTAGATGTAACAGGAATCCTATTTAGAAGACATTAAATTGTTACATTTTCCATTCCCATATAAGTGATTGTTCTCCCAAAGGCTTTCCATCATTAAAGCCCAGTTTATTGCCCAGGAAAAAGGAGGAAAGTATCAAAATGCCACAATGCATGAAGGAAGATATTACTTGGTGATGCCCTACTGGACAGTGTTAAATCAAGTTTAGCTTAAAGCTGCCTCCTTGTGTATTTTAAGTTCAGCCTAAAGGTTTCTGTGTACATCATGAACTATAACCTAAATGGAGTTGCACTCAGACTGTAGTCTACTCTTGTGTCATCACTGAGTCTTGGACAATCAAAGGTGACCAACTGTTCAAACTGTGTTCAAATGATGCAAACATCAAGTAGCAACCCATCTGGTTGTTTCTGTACCTCACACTAGTTTCTGTATGTCACTTTCTTTCTTCTATCTATAAATCTTCCACCATGTGTCTGCACTGGAGTCCCTGAGCCTACTGTGGCTCAGGAGGCTGCTCAATTTGCAAATTGTTCTTTGCTCAATTAAACTCTGTTAAATTTAATTTGGCTAAAGTTTTTCTTTTAACAACAAAAAGATGAAGTAGATATACCTTCTGATTCTACGAAGAATCCATGAGGTACAGAAAGCGAGAGCAAGAGATAGGACATATTTCCGGATTCATATTAAGAGAGATCAGCAAGGAAACCCAGAAGCAGAGCGGCAGAGGGGACTCATGCCTTGTTTGGGGTTCAGGGAGGAGATCACCTTTTAGGGCACCCCTGCATTAGTAAAATTGCAACAGAACAGAAAAATCGACATGGTGGTATACCATGGTGGTGATACTTAAGAAGAAAAGATAACTGGGAATAGGTCCTCTGCTGTGGGATAGGGAAGGAATCCAAACATTGTCACTTGCTCCCAGAGGAAGAAGAGTATGGAAGAGAGATGAGGGCCAGTGGGCCTCCCATGGATCCCAGTGGGAGGGAAACTTGACCCCATGGCAGAGGCTGCTGGGTGGAGAACCAAGGCCCAGGGTGGATGGAGGAGGCAGCTGAGACCATGGGGAGCTGCTGCTCTAGCAAGAACCAAGACAAGGGAGTATAACTGGAGGGGACACAGTAGACCCCCAGCAGACCACCAGATCACCAATTATACTGACTGTGGTCTCAGAAGCTTCTGCCAGGGGGATGCCTAATGGACAGACAGGACATCATCTCAAAGGCCAGAGGGGACCAGAAGACAGTATGAGGAGCAGCAGGTTGACATCCTCACAGCAAAGAGGACAGGTAAGCTTTCCTCTCCATCCAGTTGCCATCTTATGGAAGACTACATCTTGTGAGAGGCACCTCTTGTGGAAAGTGCCTTCTAGTGAGTGGCTCTCCAAGACGAGAAACAGTACTAAGAGGGGCATGGAACTTAAACTTGATTGAGTCTTTATCCAGAAGACATAAACAAGTCTTTAAAAGACTATTTAAGCCAGCAGACATGGAAATATCTTCTATGCACAAATTTAGGGTTTTTATTTCCCCACCAATGGTGGGAATGAGGTTTTCAGGGCGCAATGATGATAGTTTCTTTCCCACATCTAAATGTAGTGTGCAAATATGTCACCTTTCAACTCATCAAATGCTTGGCAAATTATGCAGGATTGTGCTATTACATTGATTTTACATAAGCCTAGTTTGTTTAAGCTAAATTTTCATCAAATAAAAAACAATAGCAGAAAATAGAGCTACTGTGAACAGCCCAGAAACAGTGCCTTGGTCATTGGATAGTGGAACAATGAATGGATGAATAATGAGGAAATTAAGTACTTTTCAAAATTTTCCTTCATCTTTACTTTAAAACTCATTTGTTTTTCTGGCATCCTTTGATGAAAATAATTTTCATCAAATGGATGCCAGAGGAAAGTATCAAAAAGCCACAGTGCATGAAGGAAGATATTACTTGGTGGAAACTTGGAGGGCTTGGAAGGGTTTTTTGAGTCCCTTTCAAGGAGGATAGACATAAAGATGCAATGCTAACAATCGCAATAACTATCACCACATTTCACTTCTGGTAAACATTGAATATTTCTTTGGACATTTGGTGTGCTGATTAGATTTTAAGAGAGGTATTATGAAAATTATATAGTGTATTGGGTTAATTGGACTGAAGTGGGAAGATGGTATGAGCTCTCCTGGGAGTTATCAATAGGGCTGACCAGGGCTGGGTAGGGCCCTTATTTGTAATGATGTCTGTCCTTTATTGGGTGGACAGCAGTGCTGCAGTGAACGTGCTAGGAACAGAGAATGAGCTCACTTTGAGGCATAACTGTTCTTTCAGTTCTAGCTGACCTGGAAGATTGGCTACTGTTGATCCTTGTCCATGTTTAGCTCTAGAAAGGCATTTGAAGAACATCCAGTACAAAACCCTCATTTTATAGGTGAGGGATCTAAGCCCAATTCCAAGTCTCCCAGTTCATAAATTTTTTCTTTACTGTAGATTTTTCTGGATAAAGGTGACAACAGATCACACACACACACACACACACACACACACACAAAGATTATTGGTCCAGGGGAGAAAAGTGCAGGGACACTTTCAGGTATGGCTGAATTCAAATGCTCAACCTCTGTGGCCAGGAGGACATTTTCACCATCTCTCAGTTCCACCTTTTGCTATTTTATTTTGGCTTTTATATGATGTCAAAGATGGTTAACAGCATCTCCAGGCCCAGGTTCCACAGATTAGAAAATCCAGCGGGAAGAGAGCCTCTTTCTTGGTATCTCTGGAAAATGTAAAGGTTCCCCTGCCCTTGTTCCTTCCCATCTTTAAACTGATCACTGTGGTTAGGGGTGTATAGTTTTCTCATAAGCCAGGGCAGGGCCCCATGCCTGCCCTGGAGAGTAGGGTCGGTCCCACCATAATAACAGAGACTGTAAGGAGAAGAGAGGATCGTTTCTCAAGGGAAAATCAGGATGCTGTTACCAAACAAAGGAGAGAAAAGAGTCTGTTTCTATGACTACATCTTTCTGGGCTGTGTGGTCCAAACACACCTGTGACACCAGACATGTCCCCTACATTATTTTCCATTGAAAACGATGTTTATTTCCTTTTATACATGGTGAGAAATTGAGTTTCTTTGCATAGAGAATAGACTCCTTCAGAAATATTCATTCTGGAAGGTAATGTCAGGAAGGATCCTGGCAGGCAATGGAGAGATCACTCAAATTCAGGTATTCTGAGGAAAGTTTAGTAAAGAGATATTTACAAAGGATGGGCAGGGTACAAGGAAGCCACAAGGATGATGCGTGAACTGGGGATAAGAACATCTGGGCACCCTGAGGCCCCTGGCTCTGAGAGGGCAAGCAGAGGGGGTGGTTACCAAAGCTGGAGGCACAGAAGTCTGTCTGCAGACCCCCAGGCATAGCCAGCCTATGGCCAGGCATTAAAATGAGAACTAGGGAAAGAAACAAAAATCCATACCTGCTTCTCCTCCCTCCCTCCAACTTGCTGCAGGAATTCCCTATTGAATGAACCACCAGGAAGCCAGTGAGAAATCTCTTTGTTGTAGGTCCTAAGATCAGCCTCCCAGGGCACAACGGAAGAAGGACAAAAAGTGGGAGCAGAGAAACAAACAGGAAGTCAGTTTCTTATCTATTTTTACACTCTATTCATGGGCTCATTCAGGGAAATACCCATAAGATGTCTAAACACATGCCCTGGTCTGATTTCCAGTGGCATTGACTGCTAAACATGTATGTTAAAAATGGCCTGTGTAAACATCAAAATACATGAGACGGTGAACATATCTAACAGCAGTATCAGTGTGGTCCCTTGAGGCTTCCTCTTGATTTGGAGGCATGAGGTTTGTTTGAACTTTTGTTCTTTCATTTACAGGCTACGTGACCTTTAACAAATGAGATAACCTCTCAGAGACTGTGTCCTTGTCTTTAATAGGAGGATATTTCCCCTGCCCACCTAATGGTATCTGTTATTCAGTGCAAATGAAATATTGGATATAAAAGTATTTGAGAGTGATAAAGTACTAATGTTATATTGATCTTTTCAACCTTAAAATATGAGCATAAGAAATACAGATTAATATTTTTATGGGTATGATTTTTTGCAATGTTTATTTCAGAGTTCTACGTGGGGAAAAGAAAGAGAGATCAGACTGTTACTGTGTCTATGTAGAAAGAAGTAGACATAAGAGACTCCATTTTGTTCTGTACTAAGAGAAATTCTTCTGCCTTGAGATGCTGTTAATCTGTAACCCTAGCCCCAACCCTGTGTTTGCAGAGACATGTGCTGTGTTGACTCAAGGTTTAATGGATTTAGGGCTGTGCAGAATGTGCTTTGTTAAACAAGTGCTTGAAGGCAGTATGCTTGGTAAAAGTCATCGCCATTCTCTAATCTTGAGTACCCAGGGACACGATACACTGCGGAAGGCTGCAGGGACCTCTGCCCAGGAAAGCCAGGTATTGTCCAAGGTTTCTCCCCATGTGATAGCCTGAGATATGGCCTTGTGGGAAGGGAAAGACCTGACCGTCCCCCAGCCAGACACCCGTAAAGGGTCTGTGCTGAGGAGGATTAGTGAAAGAGGAAGGCCTCTTTGCAGTTGAGATAAGAGGAAGGCATCTGTCTCCTGCTTATCCCTGGGAATGAAATGTCTCAATGTCAAACCCGATTATACGTTCTATTTACTGAGATAGGAGGAAACCGCCTTATGGCTGGAGGTGAGATATGCTGGCGGCAATACTGCTCTTTAATGCACCGAGATGTTTGTGTACATGCACATCAAGGCACAGCACCTTTCCTTAAACTTATTTATGACACAGAGACCTTTGCTCACATGTTTTCCTGCTGACCCTCTCCCCACTGTTACCCTATTGTCCTGCCACATCCCCCTCTCCGAGATGGTAGAGATAGTGATCAATTAATACTGAGGAAACTCAAGAGACCAGGGCTGGCGCCCGTCCTCCGTATGCTGAGTGCCGGTCCCCTGGGCCCACTGTTCTTTCTCCATACTTTATCTCTGTGTCTTATTTCTTTTCTCAGTCTCTTGTCCCACCTGACGAAAAACACCCACAGGTGTGGAGGGGCTGGTCCCCTTCAGTTCTAAAGCCCACTTGGCTCATTCCACATGTGGCAGTATTTTTTTACCATGTGAACACCAAAATGAATTCGTGGCAAATGCACCTCCCGTTTATTGCAGGCTTGCATGAAGGAAATGATTTCCTATGATTCTGCTTACTGCTTAAAAAAATTAATCAAGTTTTCTGCCTGACAAGTAAGTAACTGTGTTTATTTTCTGTTCATGACTAGGCAAAAGCACATAACATCCCTATGTGTCCAGTGAGTTATGAAAGTTCTTTAAAAGCAGTGCATTAGCCATGGATCTTCCTGCTATCTCTCCCCTGCAGTTTGCTGAGAATGTTTTCCATAATAGAACCAGGCTTATCACAATTTATTCCTGCCTTACTGACTACTAGGTCATTGCCTAGAGTTCTGAACCCCGGGTTGGAAGCTGTTAAAATTTAATAAAAACTACTTTAGAGAAAATGGTCACTCTCCCTTCATCCTCTCTCACCTCCCTCTGGCTCCTTGACCCCCATCCCTCCCTGAAGATGCTGGTCGCTAAGGCTCTTTTAATAGACTTCCTTATTGTCCCAGGTTTCTGGGAATTCATCAGTGATAGCTGCCATGGGTATGTTGAGAGGATACTATATGCTGAGAACTCCACATCTGATATTTTACTTAATTTCCCCACAATATTATGAAGTAGATGTTATTTTCCCCATTGTACAATAAGAGATGGAAAGCTAGAGAGGCTAAAAGCAGAACAAGAATTTGAACCCAAATGCCTGTGACTGTAACCACCATACATATAGCCTACCTGTTTCCATGTTGTTCTAGCAGGATCCTTGTTTTCTTCCTTCTTACAGTAAAATCTGACTGATCACTGTTGAGTAACGGATCTTAATTAGGTCGAGATGCGGAAGGAGTTTGCTCCTGTAATTTCAGGAGGTCTTTGCATATACCTATTATTGCAAATAGATTTCGCTTTATTGGAAAAAGGCTATCAGTATTCCCTGGGGACTCTATTTTTACAGCTGAGACTGCTGCTCTCTATCAGTCACTATGAAGTAGAAATTCTGATTATGATATCACATAAGATTCAAGGCCACTAGTGATAAATGTTCAAGAGGAGGTGTGTTCAGCTTTGTGATACACTATTGTGATAAAAATATGGCACAGGATTTTAAAAATATGAAAATGTAAAAGGAATACAAATATGATAAATGATTATAAGTCTATGTATGGAATTTAATCTATTTTTCCTAAATGCTGACTGTAAGCGGTTTAGCCCAGTGATATAAACTGTGCCTGAGAAAGGTCCCAGTCAATTTCATGCTGTTCATGTGCCATTTATTTTTACTTTTTAAGTACATTGGGAAAATACATAAGAAAAAATGTACATTCATCTTTTTAATGATACTATAAAAGATGGTGAACAAGTTAATCGGAAGAAAAGAAAAACAATTCATCTAGACATTCTTGCAATGAATTTTTGCCAAATGCTTAATTTTTACTAGATGCTAGGAGAATTGGGAAGCCTTAAGTCTGACACAGGATCCAGAGACAAAAATTACAAAGTAGTGAGTGCTATGGTAAGAGTTAAGTAAGAAGGTTGGATAAGATGTCCACTACTAGCTCAATCTTGAAAGCGTCCAGGACACTTGCCTCTGAGACCTAAACGACTGAGTGGGCATTGATCAAGAGTGGGAGGTTGTTTCAGGGTCAGCACATGCAAAGGACAGGCTCCATTTTAGGAAAATGAAAGTAGTTCAGTGTTATTGAAGCTGATGGTGAGGGAGGAAGTGGCAGAAGATAAAGGCTGGAAAGAAACAAGTCAATAAGAAGCCACAAAAAAGTTGTAAGTAGATGAATGACATGATCCAATTTGTGCTTTAGGAAGATTACTTTTGTCTCAGTGTCCAATATAGGTGGAGGGAGGCAAAATGAGAAGCAGAGAGTTATTTGATGGTGGAAAGAGAGAGCTGTTCAAACAAACAGGCAAGATTCAGTGGAGACCTGAACTAGGCAGGTGGCATCTTGGGTTGCAAGAAATGGACAGGTACAAAAGATATTTAGAAGGACAAGAAGGTATTTTAGTTGGATGACGTACATTTCAAAGGAACAAGGAAGAAGAATGGTCTGGGAATAGTATTGGTGAGCCAGGAGTCTTCATTTGAGTGGGCTGCAGGGAAAGTTGTGTCCTCAGAAGATGCCACATTTCAGTTATGGTACAATGGGAGGGAACATTCACTGTGGCAGTGGAATCACCAGA
Organism: Homo sapiens; assembly: GCF_000001405.40. NCBI lineage: Eukaryota > Metazoa > Chordata > Mammalia > Primates > Hominidae > Homo > Homo sapiens. Next base: position 88,027,543 of record NC_000014.9, read on the forward strand.
GGGCCACAAGTGGATCAGATTGGGAAGTGGGATAATATTCCAGCCTGAATTAGATTGTACAATCCCAGGGAGCAGGAATGAGGAAGGAAAGGGAGTAGAATAGAGAAAAAGGGGGAGTAATATGAGGATGCATTATAGGTCTAACTGCTTCCAGGTATGACTGATTGCTCAATCCCATAGGACCATCTTCTAAGAAGTTGTAATAATTTAATCACAGAGAAAAGTGAAGAATTTAGCCACTGGCTGCAGCCTCCAATTGGTCAAAGGTTTGTCTCACAGAGCATGAACCTCCCTGCACCTCCATATAACACATATTTGAGTGCAACAGGGTTCTTATATAAGTATCATCAGGGTGGCCCCAGGGAAGGAGGTGAGAAGTTGCAATAATGTCAGGTTGCGCTTGCATGCAAGTGATCAGAATATACCCTAAGAGCAAGTTATCTCAGTGGCAGCTTGAATGAAATCGGTGAGCCAAAGCATATAAATTAGCACATAAAAGGTGCATAATACAGTCCACCTTCTGCACTATTCAGGGCCACTTTCCCCCATCATTATATCCAAATTGCATACTACAATATAGGCCCCCATTTTTGTGAGAATAAGTTGTCCTTATCTATTCTACAAGAGAGGAAGCACTCGTCCAATCTGTCACAAGGTCCCCTTCAAGGGAATGGTCCACCAGAGTCTGATTGAGGATAAGTAAGACAAACTTCTGTTCCATAGCTGAACCTGGATCTGAAGTCATAAGTTATATTTATCTCCAACCTCTTCCAGCAATTCTATATTTCCCTCACTATGGGCCAGCACATTAGCTATCTGTGTTGGTCTCCCGGTGGGATGACACAAACATTCATCGTTGAGAGGCTTGAACCTTTATTTGCCTTATCCTTTTTGGGCCATAGTTGTTGCAATACAATTACGCATCAGCTTTTGACAATACAATTATGTAAGTACAATACAAACTATGTACAAATCTGTTATCGCTGGACACAGGAGCACCAAGAGATACCCTTGTGAAACCCTTGGGTTCCAGATGTGTTTCTTCTTGTCCTCACTGGTAACAGCAACTCTAGCTATTCAGCAGAGTCAGGGGCTATTACTTTTAATGATGTGCTAACTATTTATTCCCTGCTGGCCCATAAGCATGAGGAGTTCAACTGATATTTTCAGCTTCAAATTCAGGGGACCCTTACATTTTATCTGGCAGAATTATTCTCTTTCCCATCCACAGTCACAATTAAGATTTCTAATCCAATAGAGGCTAAAGTTGCAAGATGGAAGATAGTAAACACAAATTCCGTAATCACTTGGTTCCCAGTTTTATATAATTGAGCTACTGGGGATTCAAAACCATATATTGGTCATTGGCTTAATGTATATGCCATATCCTGGAAGATCACATTCAACCCTGCTAGATGTTGTCCCCAAGCTGGGATCTTAATGAACCTTTAATATGATTTCTACCATTCTCTTAGGATGGCTGCTTCTGGGTGATGGGGAACAAGGAACAATTATTAGATTCTGTTTCATGCACTCATTACCTTGATTCTTATAAAACAGTTCCCTTGGTGTGTGGCAATGCTGTGTGAAATATGTGTTGATAAGTCAAGCATTCTAAAAACTTTTGGATGGTAAGCCAGTGGAGGTACTACAGACAAGGAGGGCAAACCCAGGGTCTATTCACATTAAGGATCAATTCCTACAAGGACAAATTTCTGTCCTCCCCAACCCCCAGGGTAGAAGATGTCTAATTGTAATCTACCTGATACCAAGAGACTGGCTGATCTCCTCAATCTCTGCTGTTGACAAATTGAGCATTCAAGACTACCATTAGCTAGACTAGAAGGAATTCATGCAAACCTTTATCTCTGCCATGAGACCACCCTTTTCTTGGGCTCACTGTCCAGCATAGAAGCAGTCAATGAGAGAGAGATGAAGTGACATACATGATGAGGTAGCCTTCCCCACTGGTTGCTGAGAGAACTGTTGGTGGTAGATGTTCTCTGGTAGGTAGTAATAGCTGCAAAATTTGTGTCCATTTTTATAGGTCAATCTATATGCCTCATCCTGTGACATCATCATTCCCCAGTTTTCTATTTGATTCCTTCCAGACTCCTCACCAGTTATTCATGTCAAGTGGATGACAAATTTACTGCTCACCACTTTCCCGCTGGCTAATTTACTTTAACCGCTGCTCTTTAGAGATACCACTGAGTGGATCTATAATATGTCAGCAGTGTATTTTTGACTAGCATCTGTTGACACACTTGTGAGCCAGGCATGAAGTTTTTTTTCAATCTTCTATCAGTTGGTCATAGGGAATCCCCTATAAGCCATAAGTGCAAGATGAGATAAAAGGTATCAGAGTGATAGAAACAGATGACATGCAAATTTGTGCCACCTCTTTGTGCAATTTACTCTTGCCTTTTGGACCTGCCTCAGTCCCATTTCCAGGCACGACATTCCATAATGTAGATTGCTGCTGTGGCTAACCCAATCTATGATTTAGTGGATTTAATCATACACAGTTGGCTGTAGTTCAGATATTTGCTCCTTTCAAATCTCATCTTGAAATTTGATTTCCAATGTTGGAGGTGGGCCCTAGTGGGAGGTGTTTGGCCCACGAGGAGTGGATCCCACATGAATAGCTTGGTACCACTCTCATTAGTGAGTGAGTTCTTGCTCTTTTAGTTTCAATGACAGCTGCTTTTTAAAGAGTCTGGCACCTCTACTTCTCTCTCTCTCTCCTTCTCTCTCTCTCTCTCTTACTTCCTCTCTTGCCATGTGATCTCTGCACATACTGGCTCCCCTTAGCCTTCCACCATGAGTGGAAGTAGCCTGGGCCCCTCTGCAGAAACAGAAGCTAGCACCATGTTTCTTGTACAGTTTGCAGAACAGTGAGACAAATAAATTTCTTTCCTTTATAAATTACTCAGCCTCAGCTATTCCTTTATAGCAATACTAAATGGACTCAGAAACAGCTCACACTTGGTGTCTTGTGATGTTATAATTAGGCATTCAATCTCTACAAATATCCGGTAGCAGGCCAGGAGCTGCAAAAGAAATTGCAGTCTGCAAAAGCCAGATAACTCTTTGTCAACTTTGAAGGAGATTCTCATTTCCTACAATTCCTTCATCATGGAGAGCTCTATCACGATTACATCTATTGAGTTTTATAGTTCAATAGTCTGGCTCTGCAGAAGGCTCCTGCAGAGCCTTCTGTTAACTATGGCCCAGGAAAAACTTCCATATCTCCCAGAATATAGACCAAAGCAGTATTTTTAAATGCAGTCTATTCTTCCACCAAAATTCAAAAAGGCTCACCAAGCAGTGTACCTCTTTCTTAGTGGTAGGAGTTGCAAGTAGAACAATGTGTTTATTTCTTTGTAAGAATGTCCTAGCATATTCTGGATTGCTGGATATCTACTAAGTTGACCAATATCATGGGAACCTGAACTTCATTGGGTTTATCACCTACCCTCTGATATGCATGTATCTTACTGGGTCACCTAGGGTATTAACATTTCCAATAACCATGACATCATCAATACAGTAGACAAGTGTTATACCATGACGTTCTGCAGAAGGCTAAGATGATGGAAATACCTAGCTATTATGTTGTGACAGGGAACAGGATAGTTAACACAAGAGTGAGTATGTAGAGTTGCCCCTCTAAATGTAAAGTCAAATTCCTTTTGATCATTTTTGCTGATGGAAATCTAGTCAACAAACATTTTCTGTAAAGGGTCATACAATAAATATTTTTAGCCACGTGGTTCTGTTATAATTATTCAACTCTGCTTTTGTAGTCTGTGGTCATATTTGGCCCATGAGCTGTAGTTTGCCTACCCCTGACTTAAAAACAAAGTGTTTTCCAGATTAGTAGCTGCATATAAAACGCCAAAGACCATGTTGATCTTTTTCATGAAAGGTACCACATTTTGTCTCCAATGACCCATATGTTTTTTTCAGGATACACATAAACCAACTGAATAGGGATATGATGAGACCACCACACCTTCATCCTTTAAATCTTTAATGTGTAATAAAGATTTACACATTAAAAGAATTACACATTGTGTAATTCCTTTTAGGATGCAGATTGCTTCTTATTTACCATATAGGGCATGGATGTGTACATAGGGGTGTGTGTGTGTGTGCACGCATTTGTGTATATGTAGGAGGAGAAGGAATTGCAGAAATTTCAGGGGTTTCCACAGAGCCCTTGCTACCATGATGGCCCTTAATCTACAAGTCGGAGAAACAATGGGAGGGTTCTGCCAGATGCTTAAAATAACTGTGTATTTGGAGACTAGAAAAATAACTGAGAATTTTTGTCCTTGCGATTGAACAATGAGAACACATGGGCACAGGAAGTGGAACATCACACACCGGGGACAGTTGTGGGGTGGGGGGAGGGGGGAGGGATAGCATTAGGAGATATACCTAATGATAAATGATGAGTTAATGGGTGCAGCACACCAACATGGCACATGTATACATATGTAACAAACCTGCACGTTGTGCACATGTACCCTAAAACTTAAAGTATAATAATAAAAAAAAAGAAAAATAACTGAGATAAACTTGAGCTAACATTTCATTTATCACCTAGCTTCCATATACCCACTCTAACTGGAATTCCATGATGAAGACTTGAGTCCACTAGCATCGGAAAACTCGGATCCCATATTTAACAGTGCTCAAAAACAAATATACGTACTGCCTTCCCCAGTGTACAATAGTCTATCAATGGCCACAGGTCCCTTTTGGGAAGGATTACAAGGAATATTTCATATTTATATATATTTTTTCAATAGCATTGCAATGTTATTCCTTAAGGGAACTCAGTCTCCTTTTCAATTAGTGGGTTCTAGGTCTACAAAATAACTTAAATTTTGAAACTGGAAGAAAGACTACAGATTTCATTGCGGTGACTGATGTTAACACTTCTATTCTGTAGTTCTCCATTTTTTAAAATAAAATAGTGCAAGTCAGCAATCCTTGTCAGCAGTCTAGCTATCTCACACCTAAGAACACCATGGTCTATTAGCCAACACCAAAGATCCCCATTAGGGCATTTTGATTGACAGCCTGACCTTAGTGCTCATTATAGACATTATGTCCACCATGTTTCTTATAGTTCAACTATCAGAATCCCAAGCTCTGCCACTCTGGAATCCTGTCATCCCTGCTGATAATATACAGCCCAATTTAATGGCAGCATCTCCAACCCTCAGTCCTTTTACAAAGACAATTTCCATTAAACTTCTAAACAATTGTCTGTACCCTCTGACCACCGCATTCCTTATTTCTTTGGTTAATGGAAGATATTCTGTGTTCCCTCAATGAACACAGCCGGGTGATATGTTTTTAGATGTTACATAATAAATTAATTCTTTTTTTTAATTATTATTATACTTTTAAGTTTTAGGGTACATGTGCACATTGTGCAGGTTAGTTACATATGTATAGATGTGACATGCTGGTGCGCTGCACCCACTAACTCGTCATCTAGCATTAGGTATATCTCCCAATGCTATCCCTCCCCCCTCCCCCACCCCACAACAGTCCCCAGAGTGTGATATTCCCCTTCCTGTGTCCATGTGATCTCATTGTTCAATTCCCACCTATGAGTAAGAATATGCGGTGTTTGGTTTTTTGTTCTTGCAATAGTTTACTGAGAATGATGATTTCCAATTTCATCCATGTCCCTACAAAGGACATGAACTCATCATTTTTTATGGCTGCATAGTATTCCATGGTGTATATGTGCCACATTTTCTTAATCCAGTCTATCATTGTTGGACATTTGGGTTGGTTCCAAGTCTTTGCTATCGTGAATAATGCCGCAATAAACATACGTGTGCATGTGTTACATAATAAATTAATTCTAACAGCCCCATCTTTAGGATCCTTCTGATCCTTTCTTCAATACTATACATCAAGAAAGTCCTAGCATCTCTACCTCATTTACTGAAGGCCATCATCCTGTATAAGCTTAAAGAATCCATCCAAACAGATTTTCAGAATCATCTTGAGATATTTCCAAAGCATTGAAATCCAAGTGATGAATGAGCTCTCCCTTGCTGAAAATGCTCCCTACGCAGCCTTATATCTGTCTTCCCACTCCAGGCCAATGCTCTCTAGATCTACTTCCACATGTGTTCCAGGTCCTGAAAATCCTTTTCAGTATAGACTATTCCTCCTGGGGCAGAGGTTGTACTTCCCTGATCAGACTGTGCTGAGACCTGACTCTGGTCATTGGCCTGAAACTAATGAGAATTGGATCTGGAAGAGAACTAGTGCCATATTGCAAAGCACCTGCCTTAAGTGGTGTCATTTCATTGCCTCCAGAAAAGGGGAGACTGTTCCCCTCAGGCAAGTTGGAATCAGTTGCTTCTGCCATCCTGGGGAGTTCAGGGTCATCTCGGAGTTCAGAACTCTCAGGATAATATACCCAAATATTCCTAATACAAGTTAGGGGTCCCACTCTTTTCCCATCAGGGCAATAACTTTGACAGATGAGATCTGTTGGGGCTATGCCTTGAGTCACCTGTGCAGCTCTGCTACACTGAAAACTAGATGCTGGGCCTGCTTTTCAGCAGTCTGCAGGAAATAAGAGTCTCCTTCAAAGTTGCCATAGAACACTTTGACTTTTTAAGGGTGTCTTTACTTGGCAGTTGGCTGTCATGAGCTTCTCGTTTTCTTGTGCCAAGTCTTTCATTGCAGTTAAGAAACATCCCACTCAAAATTTTGTGTAATTATCATTGCCCTCATAACATTCAATTACAACATATCCCAGTGCCACATCTTCTGCCTGCACCTCACTCCCAGTTACTCTCGGGTCAAGGGCAAAAAATTACATGGAGGTATGGGGTAGGAATGCAGGAAAGGAAAATGGCCATATGCAAATTGAAAACTTAGGCCTTCTGAATAAATTGGCCTAGAGATGTATTTTGTTTGGCAGGCTCAACTTCCAGAAAAACTTCTGAACTTAAATATCTTTAGGCAGAGCATGCGTTTTTCCTATTTGCCACAGTTCCTACCAATCACGACGATGTTACTCCACATATTCTCCTTCCCTGCCTGACTTCTGAGGGCATTTGGGCTTAGCATCTCTGGGTGTCAGGATCACATCTGGTAAGAAAGCATAGTGGATTTAGCTAGCTGCAAATTTTCAAGAGGAGTTACTCTCAGCAGCCTCCAGATAGGAATGCCCCATGCCTCCTGAAAACAAGTGAGCAAAGGCCCAGATTCCCTGAGCTCCTTTGAGATTTCCAGCACAGGTGAGCAGGGAAGCAACAGGGTTAGTTGATTCCCAGAACCCTGGGCACATGTTAGAAACCGCAGCAATCTCTTTTTAAGAAAATGCTTAACATTTTCAGGGGATGAGAAGGCACTGAAGTATCTTTATGCAGATGAGGTTTCATCTTGGTTCTGATTAAACAAAACGATGTTGTACCTTGTTCTCTTCCCTACCATTTTTTAGTGGCCTTCAATTTAGTCATCATTTTCCCCCATTCTCAAGTGAGATAAGAGTTAGAGTTGTTATATATCCCCGAAGCAGAGCTTGAGGTTGATTGTCTGTGCATACTGATAATATGGTAATGCCATTCTGTTAAGTGAATGATCTAGATTTGTAAGAGATGTTGAATTTCTTAAATTCACTCTGAGATAGACAATAGATACCATAGACATTTTATTAGAAAATTTATATCATAGACATATTTGAGGCTTACTCTGTGCCAGGCATTGTATTGGGCTCTGTTGATGCAAAGAGAGTTAAGATATGGGTTGCCGCTCTCGGGGAGTTCAGAATCTAGTAGGAAAACACATGATATATGTGAAGTCTAAGCAGAGTATTATGGAGACACCAAGGAGGGAGAGAAGGCTTCACTGAGGAAGTGACATTTGTCCTGAATCTTGAAGGATAACTTGCTCCTGAGGCAAAAGTGGGAAGATAGGATGGCAGTTCAGAACAGTGAGTTAGGGACAAGATGTGGGACTGCTTGCCCCTGTCTTACTGAGCTGCCTTTACCCCATCACTCCTGTTCAGCACCTCACTTTGGTACTACTGCAGCTACCTTCATGAACAATCTCTGATAGACTCTGCCTCCCCACACCTCTGAGATGAGCAAATTGTACCAACTGCATACAAGTAGCAAGCCAGTCACTAGTGCCCTCGACTGGGCACATGGAAGCTGGCTGAAAATCCATCCCCAACTGTAAATTTTAAGTGTAACATTATACCAAGGACATGTATCAGTAAAGTGCCTAGACATTCCTTATTTTCCCATTTTCACAAGCTTGGAGATCAATGGGCAGGAGCAGGAATAAATTACTATGTTATCACACTTTTCTGAGCATCTGGAAGAAAAGCTGTATCTGAAGAGCTGTGGGTGAACAGAATAGCTGAGTGGGTACTTGGGTGATCAGGTGTATTATCAGTGGAATAGTTATTTCATCTTTATGATGATTTGATAGTGAATGGCATTTTCTACTTCCAATGACTCCATGTTCTCAATCAGTTATATTGTACTCTGATATGCACACAATGGGATTGCCTTGGTGCTTAAAAAGTAGATGCATGGACTCCACCGTTTAAATCAGAATCTCGGAAATTGGGGCCCAGATATCTGTATTTTGAAGGCTGCTCAAAAGGTTGTCGTGTGCAACCAGGGTTGCTTACCACACTTCTAGACCAACAGAGAGATTAAAGATAGGGGAGCTTACACTCAAGGAGCAAGGACCCTTATTGGCATCTTCCCACTTTATATAGATACAGCTTCCATAACAACGACATGGAAAAATGTAATCAGAATTCTTCTTGGAGCAGCATTCCACTAGTTTGACAGAAATACAAAAATACTTTGATAAGCTGCTGGGGGTAAGGGGTGAGTCCTCTCAGGGGCATGCTTAGGAAACAAAGTAGTTCCCAAAATCTATGCATATGACAGAGAAGAATTAGATGGCCTTTGAGAGACCCAGAAGAAAATGCAAAAAGGAATAGGGAAAAAAAGGGCAAAGCAACCTGCTGTGAGCCTCCTAATCTTCCATGGCCTGAATTCCCAGCGCTTGAGGTAAGGATTTCAGTGCTGAGGGTGAATGGGCAATGTGAAGCAGGAGCCAGAGGATCAAGATTGTCTCTGCAGAGGTCTGGGTCTCAACCATGGTGATGGCTAATATGCATTGAGAGTTCTTTAGACATTCAGGAGTAGGGGGAAAGTGGAAAGATACTGTCACATTGTGACAAAAGAGAATTTGGTGATGTCGGTGGTCACCTTGGTGACAGGCTCACAGCTAGAACTGCATTTATGAGGTTCTACAGAGAGTCATTGTGACCAAAAGTCCCCCTCCAGGGTGTTAAACTCCTGGAGGATACTCATAAGCCAGGACTTCCCAAGAGTGTCCCATGGAACCTGAGTTCTAAGGACGGTACATGAAAAAAATCAACATGGGTTCCATGATCAAAGAAGTTTGGGAAATGGGCTAAATGAAAGGACTTCCAAGGCCTTTTATCTGCTAATGAGAAAGGTGATGTTTCTAGAGGCAAGAGACAGACTGCAGCTCTCTCTGCATGCTCTCATGAAATATCTCAAAGAAACAGAATTCCTTAAGGGTCCCTTTGGGAAACACTACTGCCGGTCTATGTGTGAATGACTGGAGCCACATAGAATGTTTTGCAAGAAATAACCAGGACACACAAATGTATAAGAATACATACCGATGCATTTTAAATTTGCCCACTTTTTCGATCAAAAACAAACAAGCGTAAGTTGTTTTCCCTTTCCATGTCCATTTCTAGAACAAGCCCTGTGAAAAACAAGCTGCTGTCCCTGCTAGAGGCATCCTGCAATCCATGGATGTTTATCACCAAGCCATTGTTAACATGAGGTAATGGCTATGCAGAATTTGTTTCACTCACCCCTTGGAACTCAGATTCCCTGTGGAGAGTTGGAGTAATATATATGAGGACAATAGGGAGCCTGAAAGTTAAGAATTCATCCTGTTGTATTTCTCCAATGGCACATTCACGATGTGGCTCCATGGTTTAATGCAGACTGAAAAGCAGTTGGCATTTCACAGCAGGAGGTTAGACATGGAGTGTGCTACTGGGTCAGGGTAGCTTGACTGGATATAAGTGTGTGTGATGGATGCTGTAATGAGGTGGGAGGCAGGTGACCTGAATTTTAGTCCCAAAGATACCACACTAAACTCTTGCTATGTGACCTTAGCCAAATTCTTAGTTTTCTTATCTGTAAAATGAGGTTTAGATGGTCCTGAAACCACCCACTCATGCTCCTCCTCCTCCTCATCTTTCCTGGCTGACTGGGATGATGACCATGAGGCAATGTTGGCAGCCAGGAGTAGAAAATGGCAGACTCACTAGAACATCTGAATCCCTGAAAAACAGTATCGCTGTTGCTGCTGATTAAACCTCCCCCTTGAGAAAGGAAAACATTTTTTGTAAGCTACTGGATGTTTTGGGTCCCTGTGTTTGCCATCTTCCTTATTTCATATGAGAACTAGTACCGAAAAGTAAGCACTATAACAAACATCTAAAATGGAAGGTATTAGCTTAGCATTCAGACTGAAGGCAGGAATAAAATGGTTATGAGTGGCTAGAAAGTGAAAGCCTCATGTTATCCATGGATAACTTTAAAAATTATCATCTGTGATTATTTGGAAGGTAGACCAAGAACGTATTGAGTCTGTGGCTTTAGGGAAAGCAGGTGAAAAGAGTAGGAATATTAGTGTATGTCAACTGCTATTTGTTGTTTTTAATCAAGTGCTACAAGAAACAGATAAACTCAAGCAAGAATTGGTTAGTTTGCCAGCCAAAGTGGAACTGGAAAAAAAAATACAAAGCTTCTTGGGGCTGAAAAAACTCTTGGGTTCTATACCTCAAATACGAAAAGATAAGATTTGCAGATCAAAAAAAAAGAGAGAGAGAGAGAGAGAGAGAGATCCAGCCAAGTGGCAAAGATAATATCAATAAAGTTGCTTTGCCACCCAGGCTATTTTAGACTTCAATGTGGATTCCATGATGGCGGAATAGATGGTATGCTCCAGGAAGACAAACCTTAGATCAGGTCTAGAAAAGAATTTGGGGGTTATTTACGAGCACATGAAACTGACTGGAAACAAATAGGTCAGATACCTATCGAGTTTTTGAGAAAACCGTAATGCCCAGGAAACCACAAGCTTGAATCTGTAAAATTACCCTCATGTAACAGCAGAAAGTGGGCTCTGGGAGATGTGCAACTCCTAGTAACATACTCCTCAATATTCACCGTATAAGGGTCCATGGAGGCTAACGGACAAAAATATTCTCCAGGAGGTCAGAGCCAAGAGACAGAGGAAAATGAGGAAGAAAGTTCCTTGCAGAGGACAGACCCAGGGTCTATCAAAACATTTTCTTCTAGGGTTTGGGGATCTTTGCAATACCTACCCTACAGGATTCCATTATTGCTCTGGACCAGGGAATTCTTTAGGCATTTTTAGTGTGGTTAGCCAGTCCACTTTTGTGTATTGAATAGGCAGATGGAGCAAAGATAACTGGTCTTTTAGTTCAAAGGATGCTGAACTTCAAGGAACTGTATCTGGACTTTCAGAAGAGGCCAGAGCATCATTTGGAGATCCTCGACTTTGATATCAACAAGTAGACAATTCAATAAGTGGACAAAATTTTGGGTTTTCTCCCCAGAGTAATATGCACGTATGTTTTATGTAAAGGATGATAGCAGCAAAAGGGGCTAACTGTGATAGAGGTTGCTAGCTACCTACTAAAAATCCATTCTCCCCTTCTTACTGGCACAGAGCTAAACTGCATTACTCAGCCTCCCTCGCAGTGAAGTGGCCAAGTTTTCTTCAGTGAAACATGATTGCAGTGACACATGTCACCTCTACGTTTGGCCCATACAAACCTCACACTTATCCCAATATGTTCTTTCTTTCTACTGGTTGATTGGTGTGGCAAAGCTTTGTATAACTTCTAGATGCCACATATTGAGGATGGCAGAGCTATCCCCAAATGGCTCTATAGGGACCACTAAGTGACTGTGGAGGAGAGCTGACATCAATCCAAATCCTATTATAAAAACTTTTTGTTTTTAAGCCACTGGAATTTGGGTTTTATTTCAACTGCAGTTCAGAATACTCTAACACATCACTGTAAAAGTAACAATGTCTATTTATGCAGAATATGCCAACTTTTCCAAGGAAGTCCACAGTTGATCTATTGAATCTAAGAGCTTTACACTGTCTAATCTGATCATCACTCTTGGTCAGATTAGATTACATGGTCCCTTCTTATGACTATTTTAAATAAATACACTCAATCTCTTCTCTCCCATCCTCTCTTCTCCTATCTTTATCTCTCTTCCCCGACTCCCCTGTTGCACTCTCCTGGCAAAACCCCAGCTCTGGTTTCATCCAACTCTACCTATGCCCACACTCACAAGTTTCCTGTGGCTAGTTTCACTTTAAACTCATGACTGCTGATGCAAAATAAATCCATAGTGCTGCCCAATAATCTCACTACATTTCCATAATTCATTCATTCATTCATTTAATCTCATGCACAGCTATTTCATACTTTCTCTTCTCTCCACAACTGTCCAGTTCCTCCTCACTCCTCTTCTTTCTCAGCTGATGAGCTAGAATTCTACTTAAATAAGAAAAAAGAAGCAATCAGGGAGAAATTTCCGTTGGTTCCCAACACTTCCTCCACTGCCTACCTGCATCTGTTCCTATGTAATTTGCCATCCCTCCTGGGTGAATTGTCTGTGCTCCTTTCTAAAGCCAAAACCTCCATATGTGCACTGGGCACATTTCCTCTTATCTACTTAAGAATCCTACTCCAACAATTCTCTCCTCTCCTGCATCATCAAAATTTCCCTCTATGCTGGATCTTTCCTTAACTCACAGAACATCTTAATATATATCCCATCTTTCAAAACAACAACAAAAAACCCCCCAAAAATTGACTTTGCATTATCTTGCAACTACCGTCCTATTTTGTTGCTAGCTTTTATACATATATTCCTGAAAATAACTGCCTATATTCACTGTCTTCCTTTCTCTAATTTCTTTCTCTTTTGAGCCTACTCCAGGCAGGTTTTCATACTCACCATTTCACTGTGTTCCACCTATGACCCCAGCTACCGGGAAGGCTGAGGCAGAAGGATCGCCTAAGCCCAAGAGGTCAAAGCTTCAATGAGCTGTGTTCGTGCCACTGCACTCCAGCCTGGGCAACAGAGCGAGATTCTGTCTCAAAAAAAAATTTTTTTAAACCAACTTACATCAAGATCACCAGTGATCCTCATCTTACCAAATCCGGTGGCCAATTACTAATCTTCAGTTTAGTCATCCTGTCAGTAGTATTTGATACAGTGTATCCTTCACTTCTTGAAATACTTTTTTCTCCATGGACTATTCTTTCTTGGTTCTTTGCTTTCCTTACTGGTCTCTCCTCCTCATCTCCCCAACCCTTAAATGTTGGAGTGCCCCAAGCTCAGTTCCTTATGTTGATTCTTTCCCATCTGCACTCATTCTCCAGAAGATTTTGTCAAATTTTATAGGTTTTCATACCAAATCTATGCAGATGGATCCCAAATTTCTAGCTCTAAGCCAGACGTCTCAGTTGAACTCTGGGCTTGCATATCCAACTGCCTTCTTGACATCTCTACTTGGGTGTCTCATTAGTATCTTGAAATTAACATTCTTCAAAATCAAACTCCTGATTATCTTTACCCTCAAGGTTGCTCCATAAAAGTAGCTCCATTTCTCATTTATTTAAGCCCGAACCTTCATGATCTCTAGCTGTACTCTTTTCCTTACATCCTACAGCCAGTGCATCATCATATCCTGTTGCCTCCACCTCAAACCATATCCAGAATCTGACCATTTCTCATGACCCCCTTACCATCACCTCCCACCTAGATTACTGCAATAGTAGCCTGTGGACAAAACTACTTGTTCCCTCCCTATATCCTGTGCAAATACAATTTTCATCTGGGTACTTGGTCTTCCAGAATGTAGATTATATTTCCTAACATTTCCTGTAGCTTAGTGTGACCAAGAGGATGTAATCTGAAATATCTATAGAGCCTTTAAGAGATAGCTCCAAGGTATCCTTTCTTCCTTTTTTTAAATCTGTTCTTCCATCCTGTTTTTCAGTACAGAGATGACCACTTAGACCACAGGGATACATCCTTATGTTTATTCTTTTCCACTGTACTCATGGCAGTGAGTTGGAAGGTCTTGGGGTCCCTGAGGACTTGGTGAAACAGATCTGTCATCTACTTTTGGATTTTGATGTCTGAATCTATAAATAAGAGAGAAACTAACTTCTACCTAAAGCCACTGTCATTTGGGTTTTCCTCTCACCACTGAACTTCATCCAAATCAATACGCTTTCTAACTGGTTCTCTTCCTGCTACTTTATAAATGATTCTCCCCACAGCATTAGCAAGAGTAGACCCTTTAAGACTCAGACTGGCTCATGCTACTCTTGTCCTCAAAGCCCTCTGGTAGCTCCTCTTCTTTCTCCCATTCTGCTCTCACCAAAGCCATTACTGGACATCTCTGTTCTTCCATGCTGTGTTGCCTGCTCCTCCTCTCCTCTCATCCGTGTCCACTCTTCATCCCATTCCTTCCATTCCAGGGCAATAATCTATGCACTGCCTTGCAAGCACATTCCTGCTGCAGGGCTATGCAATCCTTTCTTTTTCCTGAAAGCCTCTTGGCCCTGTTATGTTATGACCCACTCACTCACTTTCCTCAAGACTGTACCCAAATATTATCTTATCAAACAGGCCTTTTCCACCCACTCAGTCTAAACTATCACCGCCACCACCAGAACATATTCTGTAAAAATCAGAAGGCTCAGCTTCTTTAGAGAAAGCAACCACTATGATAAAACTGGGCCCAAATTCTCAAAGGGCAACAATGGACTTGATCCAGGGAACACCAAGGTGGGGCTTAAGGCAGCTCTAGTTATTCTTTCCATATAATTTCCATCAGGACTCTGTCCTCATTCCTTGGTATGGAGAATGGCTGTTGTGTTATATTTTTTTAATGTAAACTTCTATGCAAAGTTAGCTTCGAACACCAGTACCCCATCCCATTCTCTCCATTCCTCTTCTGCCAACCCATTCCCATTCCTGCCCAGCTAGACGGCCATCCTTCTAAATGAAAAGCATAAAGTTGCTATTGGCTAGAAATTGGATGGCACAGGTACTTGAGAGTTTACAGTACCCCAAACTCCCTGTTTCCATGTACCTCTCTGCTTCACTAATTCATCTTTGTCTGGTTTCTAAAGGCATATGATTAGCAGATAACACATTAGGATATTTCAGTCCTCCCAGGTTCATAGGAGAAAAATCAGAAGATTAAAAGGCACTTCGAGACCCCAAGGAATGACTCATCAATATGGAATTCTAGATATCAAGAGACAATCATTCCACATAGTAACTTTCTTTTTTTATTATTATTATTATACTTTAAGTTTTAGGGTACATGTGCACAACATGCAGGTTTGTTACATATGTCTACATGTGCCATGTTGGTGTGCTGCACCCATTAACTCATCATTTACATTAGGTATATCTCCTAATGCTGTCCCTCCCTCCTCCCCCCACCCCACAACAGGTCCCGGTGTGTGATGTTCCCCTTCCTGTGTCCAAGTGTTCTCATTGTTCAATTCCCACCTATGAGTTAGAACATGCAGTGTTTGGTTTTTTGACCTTGCGATAGTTTGCTGAGAATGATGGTTTCCAGCTTCATCCATGTCCCTACAAAGGACATGAACTCATGATTTTTTACGGCTGCATAGTATTCCATGGTGTATATGTGCCACATTTTCTTAATCCAGTCTATCATTGTTAGACATTTGGGTTGGTTCCAAGTCTTTGCTATTGTGAATAGTGCTGCAATAAACATACGTGTGCATGTGTTTTTATAGCAGCATGATTTATAATCCTTTGGGTATATATCAAGTAATGGGATGGCTGGGTCAAATGGTATTTCTAGTTCTAGATCCCTTAGGAATCGCCACACTGATTTTCTATACTTTCTACTCTTAAGACTGAACTCCTTCTACCAGATTATTTTACAAAGCCAAATGGCTCACTCCTGGAGAGTTGTTTGATTTGGTTCAGAATCCAAGTCTGTTTTCTTTTGAAATGTCAATACAGGCCAACCAGGTTTTGAACACGTGCAAAGATTATTGAAAACAGATTAATTTTTCCTAAGAAAGGATCTAGCCTTGTACGAAGGAACTACTATTTTAAATGACTAAAAGAAGAATTGCATTGTTTAGCTTGCAAATACTATATTTAAAAGTTACTAAAGATATAAATTCGAATCATTGCCAGGTCAAGTGAAGTTCAAATCTGCAAAGTGAATAGCTTCTAAGAGGTTTATACAGAGCTTGGTAGTTCCCTGTTACATATTTATGTTGCATTTTTATTAAAGAAAAGTGTTGGTAAAATTAGCATGCTTCCATGTTAATTTTATCATGTCTTTATAAATTCTCTCAAAACCAGATGCTTGGAAATGGTAATAAAAACTACTTTGAATGGAGTTTATGGACTTTTCTTTTTAGCAGTTTGTCCAGGATTAAGCAATTTTTGTGAAATAATCTCAATAATTAATTCTTTCAGCAAAATCATGCAACAAATATTTGCACAGTGACTAAATGCTAGTCACTGTTCTG
Organism: Homo sapiens; assembly: GCF_000001405.40. Classification (NCBI taxonomy): domain Eukaryota; kingdom Metazoa; phylum Chordata; class Mammalia; order Primates; family Hominidae; genus Homo; species Homo sapiens. The sequence goes on from NC_000014.9 coordinate 88,044,266, forward strand.
TGCTCCCTGTTCACAGGGGTAAACAAAGGGCAAAGTCTGTGCTCTTTTGGAGATATGGTCTGATTGAGGGGAGAGGTGATTAACAATTGTGTAATATGTATGGACTATGAGGAAAAGTGTTAGCAAAGCAAACAGGGATGGAGTTTTATTCACATTTGCATCACCAGCATCTGGGGCTTGGAAAGGGTCTTAAGGGATGAATGGATTAATGACTCAATATAAACTGTACCTGCAGAATCTCTGATCAGACAGAACATTTGCTCCAAAGCCATTGAATGGGCTGGGATGGAGCATGCATGGTTTTAGCTTCATCTCCCACAACTGTGGCTTTGTTCTGTGTTGGTGGCAGGTGGTTTCCAAAAGGAAAAGCTTTGGGAGATAGAAGTCCTCGTTTTGACCTCTGCCCTCCTTGTACACCAGGAGCCAGAAAAACTTCATCTCTTTTACAAGAAACATTGAGATTCCTGTAAAATTAAGAAATCACACAATTTGATGGTCTACATTATCTAAAGCAAATGAGACTTCTATTTGGAACAAAGACTACCTTGTTGGGAAATGAGTCTGCAAGTTAAAGTGTTTTCTGGTAAGTTTCTTTGGTCCTTAGCTTCCTTAAAGGGGAAGTAATCATTGCCCATGGGCCCCTTTTAATTTCCCCAAGTTAGTTTATCTATTGAGTCATTTATGATAGTTTCGAATTGCCTCATAGAACAAAGTCAGCACTTCTTGTTTACGCATACTGTGCCACACTGGCAGAGTTATCTGGGTCTTCTCTCTCTCAACATTTCCAGAAAGATGGTATCTGTATCATCTAGACTGTGTTTGCCCTGAGGAGAAACTAAGACAGACATGCCCAAAGGCTGAACTCAATATCTTTGTAGAAATTATTAAAAGCAATATCACCTTTAGCCTTGTCAAGAACCTCTAACAAGACCTTTTCAGACCAAAGTGCCCTCAATATCAGAGCATGTAGTCACCCACCCCAGGTTGACCCCGGAAGTATGAGAGAGCTAAGGTGGGAGCCAGAGGCTGAGAGAAGAAAGGGGGTGACCTAGTTCATGCCAAATGAATCTCACAAGCAAGACTAGATTGTAAAATCAGCAAAGTCGCTCACAGCTGCATTATGTCCTCCCTGAGCTCTGGGCACTTTTGCCTTTGTGACCTCCTTCCTCCAACAATTAACATTAAAAATTGTATTTTATTATAAAGACAAACATAATCATGACTGAATTTATTATTACAGATATGTTATGATTAGAGTAATTTTTATTCTAACTTTAAAAGAAATGAAAATTAAACATTTTTGTGGACCCCAGGCACTGTACCTTCTGTGGCTTATGGAAAAGTGTGCCTTAAAGTTGGTGCCTTAGCATCTTTGCCTCCTCTTATTTTTCCTGTGTGTGTCAACTGTCACTTTGCCCTTCTTTGGGACACCACTTTTTACAAACGAATGTCTCAGGTATCTAATACATTTGTGTTTCCACTGCCTCTCCTGCCCGCTGACCTGACTGAAATATTTTGGCCAGCAACAGAGTTAGGAGGGGTGTGATTCCCAATGCACTTCCCATTTCTACTTCCTCATTGCCCACTTGGCGCTAGCTTTTGCTGCCACTTCTCCACTGAAACTGCCCCTGTAAGGTCATCAGAGTCCACTAGATTGCCAAACTCATGGATGATGGGCAATCTCTAACTTTAGACCTTCCTGTTGCATTTGACACTATTCTTCATTTAACTACTTTTTGCTGAGTACCCACAATGCTTCAGCCTGTGTGCCAATTTGGGAGGCATAATTATCAAGTAATCAGACAAGATTCTGGCCCTCATAAGGCTTTTTGGCTAGTAGGAGATACAGATAAATAAACAGCAAGTACAATACATTTGGGGATACTATAGAATCACCTAATTGGAACTTGAGAAATCAAGAAATGCCTCCTGGAGATTACACTTAACCTAAGACCTGAAATATGAATAGAAGCTAGCCTGGTAAGGGGAGGAAGAGTGTCCTAGGTGGAAAAAGCAACATACACAGAGCCCTAGTGATAAAAGGAATAGCTGCACACTCTGGTAATAGAAAGTAATTCCACATGGCTAAGGCCTAGATATATATGCATGAGAGGGGAGTTTGTGCTGGGTAGTGTCATGAGCATATTGACACTATATGAAGATGGCTCTAGTGTCAGTGTAGAGAATGAATTGGGTTGGAGGTGACACTGGGGTCAGTGAGAGCCACCAGAGAGCTGCCGAAGGGATGTGGTGGCTGGAATGTGGACAGGACATGGTAGGGTTCTGAACCAGGGAAGCAGCAGAGGAGAAGGAGAGAAGTGAACAGATTGAAAAGATCTGTCTTAGTAATAAATTGGATTTGGGGGTGCAGGGGAAATAGGAATCAAGGACAGCATCTGTATCTGGGCTGTTAGTGGCAAAAAAAAAAAAAAAAAGAATCCCTTTGCTGATTAGTCAGAAAGGAGTTTGAGGATATTAAGAGGCAACTCAATCTTTGGGAAGGGCAGAAAAAAACAACACCCAGTTAGGAAAGCTCACATCCAGGACCACCGTAGCCAAGAGCAATCCGGCTGAACACCACGCCACTGAGCAGAATTATTCTTCTTGTTCTTTGGCTCCCATAATACTAGGAACTGGACACCAAGAGCTTTCCCGCAGCTATCCCAGAAGAGCCTAATTCCTCCACATTTGCCATTGTCACAAGAGGCTACTTCCCCTCACCCAACAGCAGGTCCTGTTGCTCACTTCTGCCTCCTATATTTGTGCAGGTGGAAGTGCTTGACCAAACCTGGGTCCCATGTTGAACCAAGTGGTAAAGAAGCTTGGAAAACATGGTTCCTAGCTTTCCAGGGAGGCAACTACAGAGGAGTTGAGATGGATGCTGAATTCTTTATTGTATCAGCCATGATTGGTGGCTCTAGGGCCAGGCACATATTTTCTGGGGTTCTTCCCTGAGTCACTTCAATCATATACCATCTGGGCCATCTAAACTTGAAGCTCCCTCTGCTTCTGGCCCTATGTTAATTTTTGAATTGTCACCAAGTAGTGTTTTTGAACAGAAGTTCAACATATTCAGACTCACTGAGTAATCCATGTTCACAAGGCTCTCAACCTCACCAGCATATGAAACTTCCACAGTTAACCTGCCCTGCATACTTTTCTATTTATTATTAAAAGTTGCACACATGCACAAAGCAGAGAGAATGGTGTGATGAGCCCCTGTGCACAGCAACCAGCTTTGACAATGATTTGCATTTTGCCATGCTTGGTGTCCAGCATTCTTTCTTCTGCCTAGATCCAGACTCCTTCCATGCTGGGCTTTGTTCAATCCCAGTTCTCTGTTCTGTCAACTTCATCCTCCAACTCAGAAATCCTCTCAAGCTGATGATACCACGTGTACACAAAGTCCTCCTACCCCAGCTTTTTCCCAAGCAGCTGAAATACATTCTACTTTGACTGTGGCTCCCATCCTACCAAACTCATCTTTCTCATTTATTAAGTAAAGTGGTATTGTTGGACCAGATGATCCTTTTCCACAACAAAATTCTAGGATGGAGTGTGAATTTTCACTTTTTGGCTTTAGACTCAATAACAATCTTGAATGATTTTAATTGGATTCTTGAGAGCCAGGACTCATTCTTTTACAATTAATACTCCTCCCCATCCCCGTCTTCTGGGAGCCTCTACCAACCGCATCAAGCAGCTTCCCCCAGCTTGGCCAGGCACCCTCTGTCCACCTCTTCCACAATATTTAGTACTCTCATTTGCATTCATATTTGTTTCCCAACAAAGGCACCTGTGCAATTGTTTCCTACTACCCTGCGTGCTGCTTAAGTCTGATGAAGACATTCTTCTTTGGAGTCTGACATTAGGTAATAAGGACACATAAGGTGATTTGAGTCCCTAACTGGACTCAAAAATGAGATGGCTTTTGTTTGGGAAATGCTTTCACTTCACACCAACCAACCTACTTACAACAAATGATATATAGCAGTAAGCACGTGAGCCAGAATCCACTAATCCTATCATACACCACACCACTTAGAGCAATGGGACAGCTCTTTAAATGTACAGCTGAAGCACTGGATTGGAGATAATACCCTGCCAAGTGGGTGCCATCCTCCAAGATGTGGTATTCTCCCTAAATCAGTGACCATTAAATGGCACCATGTCCTCAGTAGCTAGAACACACAGGTTTGCATACCAACAAAGAGAAGCAGGAATGCCCTTGCCTTACCATAACATCTGGGGAAATTTGTGCTCTTGGCCTTGGTTGCCCAGGGCAGTACTTAGTCATTATCTTATTCCTTCTTGGCTTCCTCCCTCCTCTGTGTCACTTCCTAGTACCTCGCTGTACTCTCCTGACATTCCCTCCAAAATAAGCTACTTGCACCTGAATGTATGTCTCAGAATGTGTTTTGGGGAGATCCATGCTGAGGTGTGGGGTTAATGCTAATATTCATCTCACAGATTTGTTAGGAGGAACAAATGGAGAATGTACCAAGCACCACGTCTGGCTTTGAGTAAGTGCTTGGTAAATGACAGTTATCATTGTTGGTGACATCATTATCATTATCCTCTCGCAAAGAGAGCTGAGGCTGGGCTTATTCAAAGTTCTAAGAGAGGCAACATTAACACACCGGCTTACTCTTTCCACATCTTCCCTCCAATAAGTAAATTATTGATTATATTAGTAGCTGTCTTTTGTCTACTCTGCTAGGTACTGGGCTAATTGCTTTGTATGAATTATTGCAGTACAATGTTGTCTCAATGGCCTTACCAGATTACAATAATCAGGAGTATAATTGTAATCCTCATAATAATAGACAACATGTGTTGAGATTTTTCTATAAACTGGAAGAATCTTCTGAGTGTTTCACGTGTGTGTAGTACTGTAGTATCTCTCTATTTTACATGTGTAGGAATAGGCTCAGAGAGGAGAAATGGTTTGCCCTTGGCCACACAACCTGGACAAGGAGGAATCTGGATCGGAACCCAGACCTAACTGATTCCAGAGAGCTTGCTCTTTTTAGAAGACCACAGTCTTATAATCACTTCTTGTATTTCTCTAGATGTGACTGTATATTTGTGTGATTTAAACTTTTCAGGGTAATGAAACATTGTCCTTCACAGGAGCTAAAAAGAAAACTACAACTCAACATAGACAAGCAAAGTTCACAGGAAATCTGACCCTGTGACAATAATTTTAAGGAACAAGAAGGCATGAGTCACAATCCAAAATAGCAAGAATAAAGCATAGGATTCTGCTTATGCCAAAATATTCCTCTGTGATTTAAACAGAGGCAGGGACTTTGTTTCAACCATAGTGGATATGGGAGGGAGAACGTCTACTGTAAGTTGGGATGTCTACAGAAGAAATGGATATCCAAGACACAAATAACTATTTTTAAACAAGTACATAAAAGACAGGGATGTGTCTATTAAATAAATTCTTATCATTTTCTACCCTTAGAAAAGTTTTACTTAATCAATAATTTATGCTAATGTGGAATTATTCTTAGAAAATTAAAATTCAACCTTATGAAATAATCCACTGAAATCTTCCAAGTTAAGATTACACGTAATACAAAAACATTCTTACTAACTACAATTACAGAAGGAAAATGGAGTCATTTTACCAGCTCTTCGAGCTATAAAAAGTACATTTGATAGATTCTCCCTGCCCTGTATTATTTTCAATCATCACAATGGCTACTATTTTTCAGAGGCTTGTCATTTGCTGAGAACTGAGTTAAGACCTTTACATTATTTCATTTAATTCCTATAATAACCCTAAGAGGAATATACTATCATTATTTTCATTTTACACAAAAGGGAACTACGGATTAGAGAGGTTAAAATCTTGCACAACATCACTCAACTAGTATGTGGAGGAATCAAGACTCAAAATATGATTAACCAATGTTATTGACTGAAAGGATTATTCCCTCATTGTTCTTTCTACGTAGACCCAAACATCTAAGTTCCACAATGGCTGGAATCAGGGTAGACAAAAGTACAATGACAAAAGACACTGTATTACTGAGTTCTGAAAATAAAGATTCAAGGCCCTTCTAAAAGTGACATCTTAATAAACTGCTCCAAGAATTGGCTTTTCTTGGGGACATGCAAAGAGCTCACTTTTTGGCACTGTGATTTACAGATAAGTAGCCTCATTGTCAGGCTGTGGCAGCCATCACAATGAGTCAAAAACACAGGCTCAAAAATGTATACTTCTCCAAAAACAGAGTCAGAATTCACACTCACGGTAAAAAATTATAAACATCCTGCACCACCCAGTGACCCTGAGCCAACTTGGTGATCAAAGGTGATTCTGAATTTAGTAGGAACCAAGAAGTAAACTCTATTAAATACTATAATTTCCTTAGTCCATCTGTTACATGCAAATACTAATAGTTTCCAGGTTGATTGTTGAAAACCAAAATGAAAATTTGAAGAAGTAGAGGCAAGGGACATATAATGAATGTGTCTTCATCATAAAGATCTTCAATTCAGCCTGATCTATGACAATGATCATAGATCATTATATTGAGATATAATTCACATACCATAAATTCACCCATTTAAAGAGTACAATTCAATGGTTGTTAGCATATTCTCAGAGCTGCACATCCATTACCACAATCAATTGTTGAAATTTTCACCACTCCAAAAAGAAACCCCATACCCTTTAGCAGTCACCTCCCATTCTCCACATGCCTTCAGCCCTAGGCAAGCCCTAGGCAGTCTGCATTCCATCTATATAGATTTGCCTATTCTGGATATTTTATATAAATGGAATCATATATGTAGTATTTTGTGGCAGGCTTCTTTTACTTAGCACAGTGTTTTCAAAGTTCACCTATGTGTTGCAGCAGGTATCACTATTTCATTTATTTTTATAGCTGAATAACATTCTATTGTATGGATATGCCAGATTTTGTTTGTCCACTCATAGGTGATGAACATTTCAGTTGTTTCCACCTTTTGGCTATTAGGAATAATGCTGTAATAAACTTTTTGTGTACAAGGTTTTGTGTAATATGTGTTTTCAATTCTCATCAGTATATACCTAGGAGCGGAATTACTGGGTCATAAGGTAATTCTATCTTTACCTGTTTGAGGAGCCACCAAATTGTTTCACATTTCTGCCAGCAACATATTAAGGGTTCTTATTTTCACATCCTCATCAACATTTGTTATTATCTATCTTTTTAAATTTTATTTTTTATTCAATAGTTTTTTAAGGAGCAGGTGGTGCCTGATTACATAAATACGTTCTTTAGCAGTGATTTCTGAGATTTTGGTGCACCCATCACTCAAGCAGTGTACACTGTACCCAAAGTGTAGTCTTTTGTCCCTCATAGTTTAGCTCCCACTTATGAGTGAGAACATACAATGTTTGGTTTTCCATTCCTGAGTTACTTCACCTAAAATAATAGTCTGCAATTCCATCCAGGTTGCTGCAAATGCCATTATTTAATTGCTTTTTATGGCTGAGAAGTATTCCATGGTATGTGTGTATATATACACACACATACATATATATATGTGTGTGTGTATATATATCACATTTTCTGTATCTGCTCATTGATTGATGGACATTTGGGCTGGTTTCATATTTTTGCAATTGCCAATTCTGTTGCTAGAAACATGCGTGAAACATGCATGTGTGAGTATCTTTTTCATATAATGACTTCTTTTCCTCTGGGTAGATACCTAGTAGTGGAATTGCTGGATCAAATGGTAGATCTACTTTTAGATCTTTAAGGAATCTCCACACTGTTTTCCATAGTGGTTGTGTCAGTTTACATTCCCACCAACAGTGTAGAAGTGTTCCCTTTTTACCATATTCACGCCACCATCTATTATTTTTTAATTTTTTGATTATGGCCATTCTTTCAGGGGTAAGGTGGTATCACATTGTGAGTTTAATTTGCATTTCCCTGATAATTAGTGATGTTGAGCATTTTTCCATATGCTTGTTGCCCATTTATATATCTTATTTTGAGAACTGTCTATTCATGTCCTTAGCCCACTTTTTGATGGGATTGTTTGTTTTTTTCTTGCTGATTTGTTTGAATTCTTTGTAGATTCTGCATATTAGTCCTTTGTTGGATGTATAGATTGTCAAGATTTTCTCCCTCTGTGGGTTTTCTGTTAAGTCTGCTGATTATTTATATTGCTGTGCAGAAGCTTTTTAGTTTAATTAAGTCCCATTTATTTTTGTTTTTGTTGCATTTGCTTTTGAGTTCTTGGTTATGAAGTCTCTGCCTAAGCCAATGTCTAAAAGGATTTTTCCAATGTTATCTTCTAGCGTTTTTACGGTTTCAGGTCTTAGATTTAAGTCTTTGATCCATCTTGAGTTGATTTTTGGATTTTTGAATAAGGTGAGAGACAAGGATACAGTTTCATTCTTCTACATGTTGCTTGCCAGTCATCCCAGCACCATTTGTTGAATAGGGTGTCCTTTTCCCATTTTATGTTTTTGTTTCCTTTATCAAACATCAGTCAGCTGTAAGTATTTGACTTTATTTCTCAGTTCTTATTCTGTTCCATTGGTCTATGTGACTATTTTTATGCCAGTACCATACTGTTTTGGTGACTATGGCCTTGTAGTATAGTTTGAAGTTGGGTAATGTAATGCCTCCAGATTTGTTCTTTTTGCTTAGTCTTGCTTGGCTATGAGGGCTGTCTTTTGGTTCCATATGAATTTTAGGATTGTTTTTTCTAGTTCTGTGAAGAATGATGGTGGGTTTTTTTTTTTTTTTTTTTTTTTTTTTTTTTTTGAGACTTAGTCTTGCTCTGTTGCCAGACTGGAGTGCAGTGGCGCGATCTCGGCTCACTGCAAGCTCTGCCTCCCAGGCTCATGCCATTCTCCTGCCTCAGCCTCCTGAGTAGCTGGGACTACAGGTGCCTGCCACCACACCTGGCTAATTTTTTTGTATTTTTAGTGGAAACGGGGTTTCACCGTGTTAGCCAGGATGATCTTGATCCGCCTGCCTCAGCCTCCCAAAGTGCGATGGTGATATTTTGATGGGCATTGAATTGAATTTGTAGATTGCTTTTGGCAGTGTGGTCATTTTCACAATATTGATTCTACCCATTCATGGTCATGGGATGTGTTTCCTTTTGTTTGTGTTGTCTACGATTTCTTTCAGCAGTGTTTTGTAGTTTTCCTTGTAGAGGTCTTTCACTTCCTTGGTTAGGTATATTCCTAAGATTTTACACTTTTTGCAGCTATTGTAAAAGGGGTTGAGCTCTTGATTTGATTCTCAGCTTGGTCGCATTGGTGTATAGCAGAGCTACTGATTTGTGTGCATTAATTTTGTATCCTGAAACTTTGTTGAATTCCTTTACCAGTTCTAGGAGCTTCTTGGATGAGTCGTTAGGGTTTTCTTGACATGCAATTATATAATCAGCAAACCGTGACAGTTTGAATTCCTCTTTACCAGTATGGATGTCCTTTCTTTCTTTCTCTTGTCTGATTGCTCCGGCTAGGATTTCAAGTACCATGTTTAATAGAAGTGGTGTAAGTGGGCATCCTTGTCATGTTCCAGTTCTCAGGGGGAATGTTTTCAACTTTTCTCCATGCAGTATGATGTTGGCTGTGGGTTTGTCATAGATGGATTTTATTACCTCAAAGTATTTCCCTTCTATGCCAATTTCACTGAGGGTTTTAATCATAAAGGGATGCTGCACTTTGTTAAATGTTTTTCTGCATCCATTGAGATGATCATGGGATTTTTGTTTTTAATTATGTTTATGTAGTGTACCACATTTATTGGCTTGCATATGTTAAGCCATCCTTGCATCCCTGGTGTGAAACACACTTCATCATGGTGGATTATCTTTTTGATATGCTGTTGGATTCAGTCAGCTAGTAATTTATTGAAGATTTTTGCATCTGTGTTCATCAGGGATAGTGGATTGTAGTTTTCTTCTTTCGTTATGTTCTTCCCTGGTTTTGGTATTAGGGTGATGCTGACTTCGTAAAATGATTTAGGGAGGATTCCCTCTTTCTATATCCTGTGGAATAGTGTCTATAGGATTGATAGCAATTCTTCTTTGAATGACTGATAGAATTCAGCAGTGATTTTTGTCTGGTCCTGAACTTTTTTTTGGTTGGCAAATTTTTTAATTACCATCTCAACCTTGCTGCTCCTTATTTGTCTGTTCAGAGTTTCTGTATCTTCTTGTTTCAATCTAGGAGGGTTGTATATTTCCAGTAATTTATCTATTTCCTCTAAGTTTTCTAGTTTATGTGTGTAAAGGTGTTCATAGTAGCCTTCAATAATCTTTTGTATTGCTCTGGTATCAGTAGTAATATCTCCCTTTTCATTTCTAATTTATTTAACTCCTCTGTTCTTTTTTTGGTTAATCTTGTTAATGGTCTACCAATTTTATTTATCTTTTCAAACAACCAGCTTTTTGTTTCATTTATCTTTTGTGTTTTGTTTGTTTGTTTGTTTCAATTTCATTTAGTTCTCCTCTGATCTTTGTTATTTCTTTTCTTCTGCTGGGTTTGGATTTGGATTGTTCTTACTTCTCCACTTCCATGAGGTGTGACCATAGATTGTCTGTTTGTGATCTTTCAGACTTTTTGATGTAGGCATTTAATGCTGTGAACTTTCCTCTTGGCACTGCTTTTTCTGTATCCCCGAGGTTTGATAGGTTGTATAACTATTCTTGTTCAGTTCAAATAATCTTTAATTTCCATCTTAATCTTATTGTTTACCCAATGATCATTCAGGAGCAGGTTATTTAATTTCCATGTATTTGCATGGTTTTGAGGGTACCTTTTAAAGTTGATTTCCAATATTATTTCACTGTGATCAGAGAGAGCACTTGATATAATTTTGATTTGCTTATATTTGCTGAGATATGTTTTGTGGCCTATCATATGGTCTATCTTGGAGAATGTTCCATGTGCTGATGAATAGAATGTATATTCTGCAGTTGTTGGGTAGGATGTTATGTAATTATCTGTTAAGTACATTTGTCCTAGGGTATAGTTTAAATCAATTGTATCTTTGTTGACTTTATGTCTTGATGACCAATCTAGTGCTGTTAGTGGAGTATTGAAGTCCCCCACTATTATTGTGTTGCTGTCTGTCTCCTTTCTTAGGCCTAGTAATAATTGTTTTGGAAATTTGGGAGCTCCAGTGTTAGGCGCATATATATTTAGGATTGTAATATTTTCCTGTTAGACTAGACCTTTTATCATTATATAATGTTCCCCTTTGTCTTTGTTAACTGCTGTTGCTTTAAAGTTTGTTTTGTCTGATACAAGAATAGCTACTCCTGCTTGCTTTTGGTGTCCATTTGCATGGAATATCTTTTTTACCCCCTTACCTTAAGTTTATGTGAGTCCTTATGTGTTAGGTAAGTCTCCTGAAGACAGAAGAAACTTTGTTGGCAAATTCTTATCCATTCTGCCATTCTGTATTTTTTAAGGGGAGCATTTAGGCCATTTACATTCAACATTAGTATTGAGATGTGAAGTACTATTCTATTCATCATGTTATTTGTTGCCTGAATACCTTGTTGTTGTTTCTTCATTGTGTTATTGTTATATAGGTCCTGTGAGATTTATCCTTTAAGAAGGTTCTATTTTGGTGTATTTTTAGGATTTGTTTCAAGATTTACAATTCCTTTTAGCAGTTCTTGTAGTGCTGGCTTGATAGGGGCAAATCTCTCAGCATTTGTTTGTCTGGAAAACACTGTATCTTTCCTTCATTTATGAAGCTTAGTTTTGCTAGATACAAAATTCGTGGCAGATAATTGTTTTGTTTAAGGAGGCTAAAAATATTACCCTAATTCCTTCTAGCTTGTAGGGTTTCTGCTGAGAAATCTGCTGTTACTCTGACAGGTTTTCCTTTACAGGTTTCCTGATGCTTTTGCCTGACAGCTCTTAACTTTAGATAACCTTCATCTTGACTTTAGATAACCTGATGACTATGTGACTAAGCAATGATCTTTTTGTGATGAATTTCCCAGGTGTTCTTTGAGCTTCTTGTATTTGCGTGTCTATATCTCTAGCATGGCCAGGGAAGTTTTCCTCAATTATTCCCTCAAATATGTTTTCCAAACTTTTAGATTTCTCTTCTTTCTTAGGAACATCAATTATTCTTAGATTTGGACACTTAACCTAGTTGCAAACTTCTTAGAGGCTTTGTTCATTTTTAAAATTATTTTATCTTCGTCTTTGATGGATTGGGTTAATTCAAAAACCTTGTCTTCAAGCTCTGAAGTTCTTACTTCTCCTTGTTCGATACCATTGCTGAGACTTTCCAGTGCATTTTGCATTTATCTAAGTGTGTCCTTGATTTCCAGAAGTGTGATTGTTTTTTATTTATGCCATCTATTTCACCAAAGATTTTTCCTTTCATATCCTGTATCATGTTTTTTATTTCCTTAAGTTGTACTTCACCTTTCTCTGGTGCCTCCTTGATTAGCTTAGTAATTAATCTTCTGAATTCTTTTTCTGACAATTCACAGATTTTGTCTTGGTTTGGACCCATTTTTGTTGAGCTGGTGTGATCTTTTGGGGGCATTAAAGAAACTTCTTTTGTCATAGTACCAGGATCCTTTTTCTTGTTTCTTTTCATTTGGGTAGACTATGTCAGAGGGAAGATCTGGGACTCAATGGCTGCTGTTCAGATTATTTTGCACAACAGGATGCTCCCTTGATGTAGTGCTCTCCACCTTCCTCTAGGGATGGGGCTTCATGAGAGGTGAACTGCAGTGATTGTTTTTACTCTTCTGGGTCTAGCCACCCAGTGGAGCTACCAGCCTCCGGGCTGGTACTGGGGAGTGTCTGCAAACAGTCCTGTGATGTGAACCATCTTCAGGTCTCGCAGCCATGGATACCACCACGTGCTCTGGTGGAGGTAGCAGGGGAGTGAAGTGGACTCCATGAGGTCCTTGGTTGTATTTTTGTTTAGTGCACTGGTTTTGTGTTGATTGGCCTCTAGCCAGGAAGTGGTGCTTTCAAGAGCACATCACCTTCAGTACTATAGGGAGGATGCAAACTTGCCCTAGGGTCACCTGGTTAGGTATCCAGGTTTCTCAGGTGGCGGGCAGGGCCATAGAGCTCCCAAGAAATTATGTCCTTCATCTTTGGCAACCAAAACTGGTAGAGAAAGACCACAAGATTGGGGCAGGGATAGGCATGTCTGAGCTCAGACTCTGCTGGTGTGGGGCTTGCTGTGGCTGTGGTGGGGGGTGGGGGTGTTGTTCCCAGGCCAATGGAGTTATGTTCCCTGGGGGATTATGGCTGCTCTGCTGAGTCATACAGATCCCCAGGGAAGCGGGAGAAACCTGGTAGTCACAGACCTCACCCCACTCCCATGGAACCTGCAGTCCTATAGGCTGTATGGAAATCAATCTATACATCTACAATAAACTCATTTTTGACAAAGTCACTCATTTCTACCATGCCCCGAAACGAGGGAGCACCAAGTCTATTTCCAGGCATCCAGTGACCAGGGAAAAGAACTTGCCCCAGACCACCAGCCTCCCCACTGAGAAAGCAAGCAGACTCACAGTTTTTCGGCATCTCAGGGAGCCTGCTATGGCGATCCAGTTTCTTCAAAGGGTCTGTAGATTCTCTCAGCTTTCCTTGTAGGTTCCTTTAGTAGTTCTTGAAGCAAAAGATCACAATGTGAGTCTCCACATGCTGGCTGCTCTTTCTGTCCAAGCAGGATCTGCAAGCTAGTCCTGCCTCCTATCCACCATCTTAAACCTATCTCTCACCACTGTTATTCAACATAGTACCAGAGGTCCTAGGTAGACCAATCAGGCAACAGAAAGAAATAAAGGGTATCCAGATTGTAAAGGAAGTAGTCAAATTATCCTTGTTTGCAAATAATATGATCTTATATTTGAAGAAACTTTAAAACTCTACCAAAAAACTATTAGAACTGACAAATTCAGTAAAGTTGCAGGATATAAAATCAACATACAAAAATTAGTTGCATTTGGCCAGGTGCGGTGGCTCACACCTGTAGTCCTAACACTTTGGGAGGCCGAGGCAGGCTGATCACCTGCGGTCAGGGGTTTGAGACCAGCCTGGCCAACATGGTAAAACCCCGTCTCTACTAAACACACAAAAATTAGCCGGACGTGGCAGCTCATGCCTATAATCCCAGCTACTCGAGAGGCTGAGGCAGGAGAATCTCTTCAATCTGGGAGGCAGAGGTTGCGGTGAGCCAAGTTCGTGCCACTGCACTCCAGCCTGGGTGACAGAGTAAGATTCTGTTAAAAAAAAAAAAATTAGTAGCATTTCTGTATGCCAATAACAAACAAACTGATAAAGAAATCAAGAAAAAAGCTCATTTAAAATAGCTACAAATACAATAAAATATCTAGAAATTAACTTAAAAGAAGTAAAAGATCTTTGCAATGAAAACTTTAAAATACTGATGCAAGAAATTGAAGAGGACACAAAAAAACGGAAATATATTCTATGTTCATGTACTCGAAAAATTAATATTGTTCAAATGTCCGTAGTACTCAAAGAAATTACAGGTTCAGTGGAATCCCAATCAAAATACCAATGACATTCTTTGTAGAAACAGAAAATCCTAAAACGTATATGGAACGATGCAAGACCCAGAATTGCCAAAGACATCCCGAGCAAAAATAACAAAACTGAAGGAATATCATTACCTGACTTCAAATCATACTACAGACTATAGTAACCAAAACAGCATGGTACTGGCATAAAAGCAGGCACATAGACCAGTGGAATGGAATAAAGAGCCCAAAAATAAATCCATACATCTACCATGAACTCATTTTTGACAAAGTTGCCAAGAACATGCATTAGGGAAAGGGTAGCCTCTTCAATAAACGGTGCTGGGAAAACTGGATACCCATATGCAGAAGAATGAAACCAGACCCTATCTCTCACCATATTAAAAAAAATCAAAATAGATTAAAAACATAAATCTAAAACCTGAGACTATGAAATGACTAAAAACAAACACTGGGGAACCTTTCCGGGGACATTGGTCTGAGCAAAGATTTCTTAGGTAATACTGCACAAGCACAGGCAACCGAAGCAAAAATGGATAAACAGGATCACATCTAGTTAAAAAGCTTCTCCACAGCAAAGGAAACAATCAACAAAGTGAAGAGATGACCCACAGAATGGGAGAAAATATTTGGAAACTATCCATTTGACAAAGGATTAATAACCAGAATATATAAGGAATTCAAATCTATAGGAAAAATATCTAATAATCCAATTTGAAAATTAGCAAAAGATCTGAATAGATACTTCTCAAAAGAAGACATAGAAATTGCAAACAGGTATATGAAAAGATGCTCAACATCATTGATCATCAGAGAAATGCAAATCAAAACTACAATGAGATATCATCTCACTTCAGTTAAAATGGCTTATATCCTAAAGACAGGCAATAACGAGTGCTGTCGAGGATGTGGAGAAAAGGGAACCCTTGTACACTGTTCATGGGAATGTAAATTAGTACAACCACTATGGATAACAGTATGGAGGTTCCTCAGAAAATGACAAATAGAGCTACCATATAATCCAGCAATCCCACTGCTAGGTACATACCCCAAAGAAAGGAAATCAGTATATCAAACAAGTATCCACAATCCCATGTTTATTAAAGCACTATTCACCATAGCCAAGATTTGGAGGCAACCTAAGCATCCATCAACAGATGAATGGATAAACAAAATGTGGTACAAATACAAAATGGAGTACTATTCAGCCATTAAAAAAAATGAGATCCTGTCATTTGCAACTACATGGATGGAACTGGAGGACATATCGTGTGTAATAAGTCAAGCACAGAAAGACAAACTTAACATGTTCTCACTTATTTGTGGAAGCTAAAAATTAAAACAATTGAGCTCATGGAGACAGAGTAGGAGGATGGTTACCAGAGGCTGGGAAGGGTAGTGAGGGGAGGGGAGTGGCGATGGTTAATGGGTATGAAAACATAGTTAGATAGAATTAATAAGATCTAGTATTTGCTAGCACAACAGGGTGATTACAGTCAACAAAAATTTATTGTACATTTTAAAATAACTAAAAGAGTATAACTGGAATGTTTGTAACACAAAGAAATTATAAATACTTGAGGTGCTGGATACCCCATTTACCCTGATGTGATTATTACATCTTGTATGCCTGCATCACAATATCTCATGTACCCCATAAATATACATACCTACTATGTACCCATAACTATTTTCAATTTTTTAAAAAAAGAAGTTGTTTGTGGAAATCCAGAGAGTGTTTTGTCCCCTCCCCTTTTTCCTTCTTAAATTGTTGATTAATAACTTGATCCCATTCATAGATTTGCCACCTTCTAAGAAACAAAAAAAAAGGGAAAATAAGCATCCTTTCAAATATGTATGATGTGGTTCTTAAGATGTATGAGTCTTAAACCAGAAGGACGTTAACAGATGATCTCATGAGATAGTACTTACCAGAAATAGGCTGCTGACCAGCTGGCCACCATCTGAGTTCTATTCCTTGGTTGAGTGCCTTCTCTAAGAGATGTCCTGTTGTCTTGCTAAATCATCAAAAACACCTGGGCTACATAAGCTTTATTCTGGCCGAAATACTTCCCTTAGCTTTCGATTTATTTTGAGGTCCTTGGCCATAAGGAGAATTTTTCTGCAAGTTGTAAAAAAGTAAAACTGTTGTTGACAACCCTTTCAATGTCCTTCATTTAAGAATGCATGTTTTAAATTTCTCTTACGATTTAGGGAGAAAAAATCATTTAATACAAATGAGTTTACAATGAAACCAAAGTGTTTCTCTTGGTTTTCAGAAAGATGAGAAACAAAAATCAGTAAGCATTTTCTTCTGCTTAAAATAATTATTTGCGGCCAGACGCGGTGGCTCACGCCTGTAATCCCAGCATTTTGGGAGGGCGGATCAAGAGGTCAGGAGATCAAGACATCCCGGCTAACACAGTGAAACCCCGTCTCTACTAAAAATACAAAAAATTAGCTGGGCGTGGTGGCGGGCGCCTGTAGTCCCACCTACTTTGGAGGCTGAGGCAGGAGAATGGCGTAAACCCAGGGGGCGGAGCTTGCAGTGAGCTGGATCACGCCACTGCACTCCAGCCTGGCGACAGAGTGAGACTCCGTCTCAAAAATATATATATTATTATTATTATTGTTATTTGCCTGTTCTCCTGAATGATTTCCAATTTTCCTTTTATTTCTATTTAACTGTCTTTTATGTATTTTACATATAAGGTACATGTTTCTATGGCATACATATATTTTTTATAAGTCTTTACAAATCCTTCTACAAATGATAAATAAATACATATCTAGATACCATATGTAGAAGATAGTTCACCGTAAAAACTCCAGAGGTGATAGAAGCAACGACTATTCATCCAGGTCTCTTGAGCTAATCCAGCTCTTAAGCTAGTGTCAGGTAAACTTGTGAAGGAGGCGAAGATGTTCTGAATCCTAGCCTCTCCCAGGCCCCTTGATTATCTATTACTGTATATCAAATCACACCCAAACAGTGGTTTAAAAACAATAGCCTATCACTCATTTCATTCATGAATCTGGAGGTTCACTGGGATCAGCTAGCCAATAGTTCTCAAATATGAAAAACCACTTTTTCCCTGGAGGACATTTGGAAATGTCTAGAGACATTAGCTGGTGTTAATGAAGTAGCACCATCAGATAGGTAAAAGCCAGCTAAAACACAAGATTTAAATAACATGCAGTCTTAAAGCAAAATATCCCAAATGTCCAAGTTTCAATCAAAAATCTCATATACCAAGAACTATTAGGAAGATCTCAAATCAAATGAGAAAAGACAACTGACAGAGGACAACACCCAGATGACACAGATGTTAGAATTATACAATAAGGATTATAAATCATCCATCACAAAAATGTTTCAACATGCAATTATGAAAATGAGAAAAATATAGAAAGTCTCAGCAAAGACTTAAGAAGATATCAAGAAGAACAAAATACATATTTTAGAACTACAATAAAATACAAAAATCAAAATTAAAAAACTAAATGTATGACCACAACAGAAGAATGACTGGAACAGAGGAAAGAATCAGTAAACTTAAAGATACCTAATTTGAACAACAGAGAGAAAATAGATTGAAGAAATGAGCAGAGCCTCGGAGACGTGGGACTATAACAAGTTTCAGGAGAGCAAAAGAAGGTGGGGACTGAAAAAATATTTCAAGAAATAATGGCTGAAAAAGTCTCAAATTTGGCAAAAAAACAAACCAACTACAGGTTCAAGAAGCAAAGTGAATCCCATACAGGAAAAATTCAGAGAAATCCACAGCAAGACACATCAGAGTCAAACTTCTGAAAACTAAAAACAAAGAAAAAATCTTGAAAATAGCCAGAGAATAACAATACATTATCAACAAGGGAAAAAAACAACTGGAAGGACAGTGGATTTCTCACTAAAAAGCATGGAGGCCAGAAGAAAGTGGCACATTTTTCAAATGCTGGAAGAAAAGAATTGTCAACACAGAATTTCACATCTAGCAACAATATCCTTCAAAAATGAAGGAGGAATCAAGATACGCTCAGTTAAAAGGAAACTAAGTGAATTTGCCTTGTCCCCAGCACACATACATTAAAGAATGGCCAAAGGAAGTTCTCTAAACACAAATTATAAAAGAAAGAGTCATGGGGACGTCTGGAAGTAAGGAAGAATATTATAATAGTAAAAATATGGTAAATAAAATTTCCTTCTCCTCTTGAGGTTTCCAAATTATGTTTGATGACTGAAGCAAAAATTTTAACACTGTCCAATGTAGTTCTCAATGCATGTAGATAAAATATTTATATTATTAATGAGAGAGGGTAAAGGGATATAAATGAAGGCAAGGTTTCTAAACTTTACTTGAACTGGTAAAATATCGATGCCAGTAGACTTTGATAAGTTATGTATGTAATACCTAAAGCAACTACTTAAAAAGCTGCTCAGAGATACATACTGAAAAACACTAGAAATAGAAATGGGATTCTAAAAATGTTCAACAAACCTATATAGAGCCAGAAAGAAAAAAAAACTGAATTTATTGCTCACTATGGTAAGGGAGAGGTAAACCGGTTAGACACAGTTTCTCTGAGCAAAACAAAGCATTGATTTCATATTGGGTTTTTGGGAAACATGGAGTTCAAGGCTCGGCAGACTTTAAGAGGTGTGAGGGGTTAATATCATTTGTAGAAGCACGATTACTGGGGTGAGACCCTTGTTGATTGGTGTGCTGTCCCTGGCGTGTTTACAGGAATGAGTCCATCACTGATTGGCGAACTTTTAGAGGCAAAAGACTGACACTGATTGGTTGGCTATATGCATGTTCAGTGAGATGAGTTGTCTTGTCTGTGGAACAGGTTTAAAACTGGCCCTGGTAGCTACTTCTTACCACGGCTAAAGAAAAATCCATCTTTTCCTAACTTTGTAACAAATTTTAAATTGTCGCTGGTATTGCTATTTGAAAGTATGTATTTTAAACTTTATTTCTATTATTTCAGTTTTTTGTCCCTCACATCTGGTAGAGTGGGGAATGTTTGTGAAAAAAGATTAAAGCATATCCTTTCTTCTTGCCTACTCATAACCAACTTTTCCCCTTCTGATAACAATATTCATCCCTCCACCCACACTCATCTGACAGATCTTTGGGGAATTCTTCCTTTCCTACGTCAACCATGTGGTTCTGATGAGGGCTGACATTGTCCCAGCCACATAAATGGACATGTGATCCAGACCTAGCCAATCAGAATACCACACTTCCTTGATTACAGTGATTGGTCCAGAAATGAGCATATGACTCAGGTTAGGCCAATCAGTATTTTACCCTTGGAATTTTAAGTAAAGTTTCCTTTTACTGTTGAATCACTAGGCAGAAATACAGTAAGACCCAAGCTATTCGTGATAGTGTTTACCCCTGCAGAAAGAAAGCACATCTGCAGGAGAAAAAAATGAAGTTACCAGCAGAGAAAAACGGAGCTGAGAAATGGGGTGGGGAGAGGTGGGTGGAGAACGGCGTCCACAGCATTCCAGACCCTGTTTCCACATGTCAGAGGCCAGCTCCACCCATGCCCTTCTTAATTTCATGGGCCAATAAAGTCATTATTTGATTAAACTAGTTTAAAAGTGAAGGAATAAGGAAAGGCTGGAAAAAGAGAAAGCTTCAAGGGTGCCTTGAAATAGAGGAGGACAGGCTGGGGACAGTGGCTCACGCCTGGAATCCCAGCACTTTGGGAGGCCAAGGCGGGCGGATCACTTGAGGTTAGGAATTTGAGACCAGCCTGACCAACATGGTGAAACCCCGTCTCTACTAAAAATACAAAAATTAGCTGGGCGTGGTGGCACATGCCTGCAATCCCAGCTACTTGGGAGGCTGAAGCAGGAGAATCACTTGAACCCGGGAGGCGGAGGTTGCGGTGAGCCAAGATCAGGCCATTGCACTCCAGCCTGGGTAACAGAGTGAGACTCCGTCTCAACAACAACAACAACAACAAAAAGAAACAGAGAAGAACAAAGCCAGCACTTGGTCCAAGTGAATATGCCATCCATATAGAACTAAAATAGCTTTTAAAAGATACTTTGGGCAGCAGTAATGAGAAAGCTATTGTTTCAGTAGGTAGTTGCCTTGGTGAGAAAGGTCATTGCGAAGAGTTTAAACCACTGAGTCTCTAGACAACAAGATTATCATGGTTTTTGCTGTGTGCAGACTTTCCTGTCAGATTATCTCTCTCACACTCAGCTACCCTATGAGAAAAACCTTTAGAAGCAATATTTATTAGCAGTCATGTAATATATGAGTCATAAGCGGGTGAGACCATTGACCTCGTTCATCTTCGACCACATGGTAAGGTTTTTTGAATAAAATCAGTCCTCCCTGCTCTAGAATGTTCTGTATTTTTCTCTATCATATCACCCTGTGACACTTCATTGCATGGATATTGTTCTGTGACTGCCTCCCCCAGTAGACTGAGTTCCTGGAGGGCAGCGACCATGTCTGACTCATTGGTGTATATCTAGAGCTTATCATCATGCTATTAGGTGCTCAATAAACATTTCTTGATTGCAGGAATAAAGGCATGAATGGGCAATGGGTCAATAATTGGGTGAATACTCAGCTATTATTTGTGAAATAAACAACAGATGTAGAAACTCTTAGAAAATCTAGGGTAGGAAGATATTTAGGAGGGCTCATCACCCAATAACCAGTATTGCAGAGATTGTAGCCCACAAGTGATTAGGTTCAGGAGCTGACCATTTATAGTTTTTCTCTCTAAAAGGAACCACCAAAGCCCTTGTCTCCTATGGGGCATGGAGCGGGCAGGGGAGTAGTGCTTAGCTGCCACAATCAGATAGCCTCACATTTGTACAGAATTTTCTAACTTTCACAATGCGTTTTACTTTGCAGTCCTTCATTTGATAGCCTGTGCAATTGGAAGGACATTCCCAATTCTTCTGATAGAGCCACTTCGGCACCTTGCTCACACTCATGCAACTAGCACAAGGAGATCAAGTCTCAAAGTGGCTTTCAACAAGTCCTTCTGGAGGTTCACTGTGTACCACACATGGTGCTAAGTCCAGTGTGTTTGGTTTTTGTTGTTGCTGCTACAACAATTACTATAAACTTAGTGGCCTAAAACAGCACAGATTTATTCTCTTACATTTCTGGAGATGGGAAGTCTGAAATCACTTTCACAGGGCTAAAGTGAAGAAATCATCAGGGTTCCATTTTATCTGGAGGCTCTGAGGGGGAGAATTCATTTCCTTGTCTTTTACAGGTCATAGTGGCTGCCTGTGTTCCTCGACTTATGACCCCTTCCTTCATCTTCAAAACTCCTCACTCCAATATCTGCTGCTGTCATCACATTGCCCATTGCCTTTTCCTCTGACTCTGACTCCTCTGTGTCCCTCCTATTTGGATTCTTGTGGTTACACGGGGCCCACCAGGATAATCCTGGATAACATCCGCATCTCAAGATCCTTCACTTAGTCACATCTGCAGAATCCCCTTACCGGGCAAAGTAACATATTCAGAGGTTCTGGGGATTCTAAAATGAACATATTTAGGGGCCATTATTCAGCCTACCACATCCAGTAAGCAAGTAAGTCTGCGCATCCTGAAGCCCGTACATGGGCTCCTCTATGACCCCTAACCAGATACCAAGGGCTTGGGTCTTCATCTCAGCAGTTGACTTATTTCTTCTTTATGTGCCACACGCAGGTTTGCCAAAATCAAAAGTAGTGATCCCAATTGGTGGTCTCTTAAACACAAGGGGATGCACCATTAGGGTAAAATACCAAAGGTACCAGAAGAAGACACAGCTCTGACTGCAAGTATTATCAGAGCCTTTCCCACCCTCCCCAAGGAACCCCATCCTGTTGCAGTTGCTAGAATGGTGAGGCCAGTGTGTCACCCAAGGAGAGATATTGGGGCTGCTGAGTCAAGTGGATGTCAGCCAGCTGTGTCATGTGGGACAGCTCTGTACTTTCTGCAGACATTAGGGCCAGTGCTCAGACTGCCCTCTATTTATATCCCTTAGTAATTCTGAGCATGGGATACAATTGCTCCTCTAAGAACTCTTGAGCAAATAAAGAGGTAGTAACATCAATGACCAACTGGGTAGACCTCAAGTGTCAGCAAAACTTTGTAACTGGCTGCTACCCATGCCATATTGGTGTGTCCCAGGAAGGCTGAGGGAAGACAGCAAAGATATAACTTTCTAGGATCTAATTCCTACTGAAAACTCAGAGTAAGGATTGCAAAGTTAGGCTAACAAGAGTCCAGTAACTTAGGTCCTAGTAATCTTGAGCAAGTCACTTAACTTCTGTGGTCCATAGTGCCTCCATCTGATAGTCAGTCCTTTTCATCTCAAAAACCCACCATTGTACTGCCTCTAAGTTTCAAGATGGGAAAGCCGGTCCAGTCTCCAAGGCTGGTGCCATGGCCAAAAGGTCACCCCAAGTCTGAGCAAGGTGGAGTTCCTTTCCTGCAGGCTTTTGTTTCGTCTCCTACCCTTAGCCTCTTTTAACAGAATGTTCAACGGTTGTGGCATGAATTGAGTAAAAGCTCCCAGTAATTCAGGATCTGTCCACTTTGGAGAACATCGACTCCAAAGTCCTTGACCGTGAGAGATGCTACTTTAGAATTGATTGAGTACATCAGTGACTGCCTGGCTTCCACAGGAAAATGTCTCTGTATTCAGGATGTTTCCTTCAGATTCTTTCTCATGAACTTTGTGTGTTTTCCTGAATGTACTACACAACAGTATTACTGGAAGTGTAATGATAGAGGATTTGGACAGTCTTTGATGATGTATTCCAATAAATGATGATGATACATAATAATAAGGTTCATGTTTGATGACATTGGCTGAAAATATAATTATGATGAGGAATTAATAATGCTGACAGAAATTATTCCCTCTAATAACTCTCTAGAAGTTATTAAAAATGTTATTTTTGGAAAGCATGATGAGTTTAAAGTCTTGCCTTCTGTACTTCCTTCAAACACATAAAATGTATTCCAAATTTAGTTTTCATTCCTGATAAGAGGTTGGTTTGTTGGGAAAAGAAGTGCAATGTCACAAAATCTTGGAGCAAAAGAATTCTCAGGAAAAGTTAAATTCAATATTTAATTTTGCAAATGAGAAGACATGTTTATAATGGACATTATGTGAGTTGCTCAAAGTCACACTATAGCTGTCAGGACTAAACATGACTCTCTCTATACACAATATGTCTCCATATCTATGTCTACCTATATCCAGGGCTTTGTATCTACCCTGATACCCACTATCTAGTAGATATCTATATTCATTGCACCAGTATTTTCCAGATTTCAGTACTTCGTAATTCTCAATCTGTACCATATGTACTCACCATCTTCCTATTATTTGTTTCCTTCAAGTCAACTCAGATTTTCCCTCGTTTATTTAAAAACAACATTTGTAACACCAGTGTAAATAAAAAACCAGTTTACTTACCATAAAAGACTGGCTAAATAATCAATTTTTGTCTATGTACTAGAAGAAGTTTATTTTCCAAACCTTGTGAAAATCTGTCTCCTCCCAGGGTGCCTTGCCTATGAAATAAATAGAACATTGAAATTCTTAAAAGACTAGGAATCACTGGCCTAAGATAAAAGTAATCAACAAATAAACTTGTAGGCTTGAAACAGTTCTAATGTACTGAAATATCACAGAAAATTGCTATTTGTTTTATTACAATGTCTTGCCTTACCAGTTCACACAATTTTCACTTGGCTTATAGGGATGATATTGAAACACTTCATTGTGTGCAACAGGGAAAAGTAGGTCTTAGGGAGAGGTAGGTATTTCACAAAAGAAAGCTGAAGCTAGTAAAACATCTCCAGTTGGAACAATTATGCTATCTGTGTGATATTAGACTCATTTTAATGTCTCAGAGACTTAGATTTTTCTCATTTTAAAAATGTGAACAATTGGTACATTTCAGAGTTATTGTAAGGATTAATGAGAAAATATAAATAAACACACAAAATAATTAGCACACATAAAACATAAACACAAATAAAATAATTAGCCTGGTATAAAGAACAAAATGGAATTTCAATACATATATTTATATGGCAAGTTGGGTTGCTTTCCCTGTTCTCCCTTTTCTGGAGTCTGATGCCTTTTATGGTTTTTGTAATGTAATTCAAAAATGAGAAGCAGAGAAATATTGTTTTAACATCATAAGGTATAGTCATTTTTATTTCATTTTTCAGACAAAGAAATTGAGATGTAGAATTAGTTTAAGTAATGTGTCTATCCAGGTAGTAAGTTCTGAAGCCAAAATACTCTCCATCTTCAGAGCTTAAGCTCCTAACAATCTATACTATCTATTGCATAGTATCCGATCTATACTACGAGTCATGGCAGATTAAGGTGACCACAAATTCTTTTGACACTCCTCCCACTGAAAGATGGATTTTATGTCTCCTTCTCTTAAATCCAGGTTGGTTCTCTGATTATCTAATGGAATATAAAGGAAATGATGTTGTACCAGTTTGCTGGCCTAGGTCTTAAGAGACTAGTAACTTCAGTGTTCTATTTCTGTAATTACTTATTCTTAGAGCTCTGAGGATGCATGTAAGAAATCAGACTATCCTGCTAGAGAGACTATGTGCTCTCCAGTTCAGGGCACAGGCTTACCAAAAGACTGAGACCTAGCCATAGGACTATGGAATGCTTCCCACTCCCCAACACCTTGCCAATGCATTACTAAAGGCCTGTTTACCACAATTCCTCTTACCCAGTACACATCATGTTCACCTGCTATGGTTTTCATGTTTGTCCTCTCCAAACCTCATGTTAAAATTTGATCCCCAATGTAGCAGTGTTGGGAGGCGGAGCCTGGTGGGAGGTGTTTGAGTCATAAGGAAGGATCCTTCATGAATAGATGAATGACCTCCCTTGGGACTGAGTGTGTTCTCCTTCTAATAGTTCCCAAAACAGCTGGTTATTAAAGACGCTGGCACCTTTTACCACTCCTTCACTCCAACTTCCTCTTTTACCATGCAATGTCTTAGCATACACTAGCTCCATTTTTCACTTCCATTTTTCACTGTTAGTTGAAGTGGCCTAAGGCCCTCACCAGATGTAGTTGCCCAATTTTGAACTTCCCAGCCACCAGAATCATGAGCCAAATAAACCTCTTTTCAAAATAAACTACCCTGTCTCAGGTGTTCTGTTACAACAATGAAAAATGAACAAAGACACCACCTTTCATTGAAAAATTACAAGGCTAAAGAAAACATAGTTTGAAGAGTCTAAACAAGCATCAGAACTAGAGTCAGATGTACAGAAATACTGGCATTATCAGACTAGGAAATTAAAATAACTATGATTAATATGCTAAGGGCTTTAATGCAAAAGTAGACAACATGAAAAAACGGATGATGTAAGTAAAAAGATAAAAATTCCGAGAAGGAAAGAAACAAAATGCTGGAGATGAAATACAATGTAACAGAAGTAAAAAATGTCTTTGATGGGTTCATTAGAAACCTGAACATGACTGAGGAAAGAATCTCTGCTCTTAAACATTGGGTGTACATGGACATAAAGACAGGAAAAATAGATACTGGGAACTACCAGAGAGGGGAGACAGGGAGGGAGGCAAGGGCTGAAAAACTACCTATTGCATACTATGCTCACTACCTGGAGTACATTCATACTCTAGTCCTCAGCATCATACAATATATCTTTGTAACAAACCTGCTCAAGTACCCCCAATTCCAAAATAAAAGGTAAAAAAAAAATGAAAAAAGGATCTCCGAGTTTGAGGATATGACAACAGAAACTTTTAAAACTAAAAAGCAAAGAGAAAAAAAGATTGAGAAAAAATAGGACCAAATAGCCAAGAACTATGAGAAAACTACAAATGGTATAAACTACACATACTGGTAACACCAGAAGGAGAATAAAAAGAGAAAGGTACAGAAAAAAGTATTTGAAGCAATAATGACTGAGAAATTCCCAAATTAATGTCAGACACCTAATCAACAGATACAGAAAGCTCAGAGACGATCAAGCCAGGTAAATGCCAAAATAAAGTACACCTCAGTACATCATATTCAAACTTCAGAAAATCAAAGATAAAGAAAAAATCATGGAAGAAGTCAGAGGAAAAAAATCTTACCTATAAAGAAGCAAAAATAATAATTATATTTGACTTCTTTTTAGAAACCATGCAAGCAAGAGAGTGGAAGGAAATATTTAAAGCATTTAGAACCAAAAAAAAAAAAAATCCACCAACTTAGGATTCTGTATCCCATGAAATTATTCTTCAAAAGTGAATGAGAAATAAAGACTTTCTCAGGCAAACAAAATTTGAGGGAATTTGTTTCCAGTAGATCTGCTTGCAAGAAATGTTAGAAGTTTTTCAGAGAGAAGAAAAATAATGTAAGTCAGAAACTCAGACCTACAAAAAAAAAAGCATCAGAGAAGAAATAAGTTTAGATAAAATGAAAACATTTATGTTTCTTAATCTTAATGATCTAATAGATAGCAGTTTGTTCAAAATAATAACAAAAATATGTTTGATTACATATGCTCATGTGTGTATGTTTATGTGTAAGTGAAATGAATTACAAGTTACAAAGGACAGGAGAGAGGAATTAGGAATATTTCGTTGTCATTATTATAAGGTACTTGCACTACCTGTGAAGGGGTGTAGTGTTACTTGAAAGTGGGGTTGGATTATATATGTACATTGCAAACTCCAGGGCAAGCACTAAAAATAGTTTTTTTAAAAAAGCATAGGGGCCAGGTAGGATGGCTCACACCTGTAATCCTAGTGTTTTGGGAGGCCATGGTGAGAGGATCACTTGAGCCCAGGAGTTCAAGGCTGCAGTGAGCTATAATCACACCACTGCACTCCAGCCTGGGGGAGCGCAAGGTCAAACAAACAAACAAAAACCATAATTGACTATAAGTGATATGCTAAGAAAGGAGATAAAATTGAATCTCATACAATGCTCAATTAAAACCACAAAAGGCAGAAAAAGTGTGGAAGGCAAACTAGGAAGAAAGAACAAAAACACAAATAAAAATGTTAATGAATATGATATATATTAATCAAACTATATCAATAATCATTTTAAATGTTAATGATAGAAATATACCAATTAAAAGACAGAGATTTTTAGAGTGGATCAAAAACAAGACCAAACTATATGCCGTCTAGAAGAAACCCACTTTAAATATAAAGACACATGGAGATTAAAAGTGATGAGGGAAAATATAATATGCTAACACTAATTTAAAAAAAGAGGAAGTAACTATACTAATTTCAGACAGAGCAGACTTTAGAGCAAGGAATGTTATCAAGAATGGATAGAGTTATTACATAATGATAAAGGAGGTAAATACTTCATGGAAACATAATAATCCTCAATATGTATGCACTTAACAACACAGTATCAAAATATGTGAGGTAAAAACTGATAAAACTGTAAGGAGAAATGGGTGAATCCACTGTTAGGGTTAGACATTTTAACATGTCTTATTAGAAATGGACTGATTCAGGCAGAAAATCAGTAAGCACATTGTTGAACTCAACAGCACCATCAATCAACTGGATATAATTGAAATTTATAGACTACTTCATCCAACAACAGCAGATTACGTATTCTTCTCAAGCTCACATGGAACATTAACCAGGATAGACCACATTTGGGGTCATAAAACATGCCTTAACAAATTTTTAAAGATAAATATCATAAAACATCTACTTCCAGACTACAGTGAAATTAAACTTGAAATCAGTAACAGAAAGACAGCTGCAAAATCCCAAGATAATTGAAGATTAAACTGCACTTCTAAATAACACATGCCTCAAAAAAGAAATCTCAATTTTTTAATTTGGAACTAAATGAAAATACAACTTATCAAAATTTGCGGGATGCAGCAAAAGCAGTGCTTAGAGAGAAATTTATGGCATTGAATGCATATATTAGAAAATAAAAAGTATCTAAAATCGATAGTTTATGCTTCCACCTTAGGATACCAAAATAAGAAAAGCAGCTTAATTTCAAATTGAGCAGAAATCAATAAAATTGAAAACAGGAACTCAATATAGAAAATCAATAAAACTAAAACTAGTTCTTTGGAAAGATAAATAAAATTGATAAGCCTCTAGCCAGGCACCAAGAGTAGAAGAGAAGACACAAATTGCTAGTATCAGGAATGAAAGCGGGAACATCACTACAGAACTCATAGACATTAAAAAGATAATAAGGAATAGTATAAACAACCCTATGGCCACTACTGTGATACCTAGATAAAATTGACCAATTCCTTGAAAAATAGAATATACCAAAACTCAAACAAGAAAAAAAAGACAATCTAAATAGCCCTACATCTGTTAAAGAAATTAAATCAATGATCAATAACTTCCCAAAACAGACAGCACCAGTCCCAGAGCAATCACTGGTAAAATCTACCAAACATTTAAAGAAGACACTATGCCAATTCTCTACAATCTCTTCCCAAAAAAAGCAGACGGTATCCATCCTAATTCATTCTACAAGGCCAGCATTACCCTAATATCAAAACCAGACAGAGACATTTTAAGAAAATAAACTATAGATAAATGTATTTTATGAACATGAAAGATGAGATGCAAAAATCTTCAACAAAGACTTAGTAAGTCAAATCCAAAAATGTGTTAAAATAATTGTATACCACTACCAAGTGGAATTTATCTCAGGTATGTTAGGCTAGTTCAACATTTGAAAATGAATTAATATAATCCATCACATCAAGAGGCTAAAGAAGAAAAATCACATTAACATATCAATAGATGTAGAAAAAGCATTTAACAAAATCCAATATCCATTTATGATTTTTTAAAAATCTCAGCATGCTAGAAATAGAGGGGGACTTCCTCAATTTGATAAATAAAATCTACTAAAAAAAAAAAAAAAAAAGCCTACAGCTAACATCATGTTTAATGGTGAGAAACTCAAAGCTTTCCTGATAAGATCAGAATCACGACAAGGATGTCCCTGCTGACTACTGCTTTTCAACATGATACCAGAAGTTCTAGCTAATGTAATAAGACAAGAAAATAAATAAAGTTATATCAATGAGGAAGGAAGAAATAAATCTGCTTCTGTTTACAGGTGAAATGATTGTCTATATAGAAAATTCCAAATAATTGACAAAACTAATAAACAATTATACAAAGTTTGCAGGATAGAAGCTAATATATAAAAGCCAATCACTTTCCTTTATACCAGCAATGAATGAATGAAATTTGAAATTAAAAACATATTACCATTTACATCAGCATCCTCACAAAAATTCTTAGATATAAATACAGCAAAATATATACAGTATCTGTCTGTGGAAAACTAAAAAACTCTAATGAAAGATACCAAAGCAGAACAAAGTAAATAAAGACATATTCTATGTTCATGGACAGAAGACTTAATATTGTCAATATGTCAATTTTACCCAAGTTGAATTAGAGATTTAATGCAATCTCAATTAAAATCTCAGCAAGATATTTTATAAATATCAACAAATTGAATCTAAAATGTATATGGAGAGTCAAAAGACTCAGAAGAGCCAACTCAATATTGTAGAAGCAAAACAAAGTCAGAAGACTGACAGTACCTGACTTCTATATTTACTACAGTAATTAAAACACAGTAATTAAAGCTACAGTAATAAAGACCATGTGGTATTGATGAAAAATTAGAGCAAAACAACAACAACAACAACAATTAATGGGATGAGTAGAGAGCCCCAAAATTGAACTGCATGAGTATAGCCAACTAGCTTTAACAAAGGAGCAATGGCTATTCAATGGGAAAAAATATTGTGTTTCAATGAATGGTATTAGAACAACTAGACATCCACATAAAAAAACAGAGACACAGACCTTACACTCTTCTCAAAAATTAATTCAAAATATATAAAAGACTTAAATTCAAAACTGTAGAATTCCTAGAAGATAACATAGGAGAAAATCTAGGCGAACTTGGATGTGACAATGACTTTTTAAATACAACACGAAAGGCATGACCCATAAAATAAATATTCGATAAGCTGGACTTCTTTGAAATTGAGAACTTCTGCTCTGCAAAAGACAATATCAAGAGAATGAGAAGACTAGCCAGAGACTAGGAGAAAATATTTGTGAGACACACATCTTATAAAGGACTAGTATCCAAAATATACAAAGAGCTAAATTCAGCAATAAGAAAAAAAACTAGTTGATTTTAAAATAAGAAAAATACCTGAACAGACACCTCACCAAAGAAGATGTTAAAGTAAACATATGAAAAAATGTTCAACATCAAATGCCATTAGGGAATTGCAAATTAAAACAATGAGATACCACTGCACACCTATTAGAATGGCCAAAATCCAAAACACTGACAACGTCAAATGCTGGGGAGGATGTGAAAGAACAGGAACTCCCACTCATTGCTGGTGAAAATGCAAAGTAATACAACCACTTTGGAAGACAATTTGGCAGTTTCTTACAAAACTAAACATACTCTTACTATACAATCCATCAATCAATCATATTTTTTACCCAAATGATTGAAGGCTTATGTTCACACAAAAACCTGCACTTGGATATTTATAACAGCTTTGTTAATGATTGCCAAACCTTGGGAGCAACCAAGATGTCCTTCACTAGGTGAATGAACAAATAAGCTACGATACATCTAGACAATGGAATACTATTCACAGCTAAAAATAAATTAGCTATCAAACCATAAAAAGGCATGGAAGAAATTTAAATGCATATTACTAAGGGAAAGGACACAATCTAAAAAGGCTGTAAACTCTGTGATTCCAACTATATGACATTCTGGAAAAGGCAAAACTATGGAGGCAGTAAAAATATTAGTGGTTGCCAGGGGCTACAGGGAGGGAGGGATGAATACATAAAGCACAGAAAATTTTAGGGTAGTGAAACTATTCTGCATGATACCGCAATGAGGAATACATATCATTATACATTTGTCCAAACCCATAAAATGTACAAAACCGAAAGTAAATGCTAATGTAATCTATGGACTTTGGGTGACAATGATATGTCAATATAGTTTCGTCAATTGTAAAAAAGGTACCACTGTGGTGTAGGATGTCCACAGTGGGGGAGCTTGTGACTGTGTGGAGGTAATGGGGTATGTGGGAACTCTCTGTACTTTCTACACAAATTTTCTCTGAACCTAAAACTACTCTTTGAAAAAAAAGTTTATTAACTTGAAAAACATTTAATGAAAAGACTTTTAAATTCCTTCAATAAGGTCATTCATTTCTTGAATACTTTTATTAAACATATTCTCTGTGCCAGTGTATCAGTTTGGGTCCTCCGAGAAGCAGGCATCAAGACAAGACTAAATGTGCAAGAAAGTTATTAGGGGAATGTCTGTGAAAGAAATTGGAGACTTCCAGGAAAGGCTGAGAGAACCATTAGACTGTGATGTAGGTCTGACTTTGAGTAAAGAAGAGAGAGAAGGAAGGAAGGCTAGGTAGAAGCTTGCTAGATTGCTATGCAGTCTAAGGAAAGTTGGACAAGGCCATTGCAGAGCTCTCGAGCCAAAATTGCCCATCAGTGGAGTCTTGCATCTCTCAGAAATGGGTCTGCTTCAGTGTCGCTGCCGGGCACAGCCAATAGCTGGGAAACACGGATTTGACACAAACTCAGTGATGGATTTCACAGCCAAGCAGCTGGAGCCCTTGGTCCCTACAGTTGGAGATCTGAGAGGCACATTCTCATGGCCACCACAGAGAGGAACTTTTTTATCCACCAAAAAATGAGAAGAGAGGTTCTAGTGTGGAAAGGAGGGGAGGACTTAGCCTAACCCTGCTTCTAACCCAGTAGCTATCCCCTAGAAGCCATTCTGGTGAGACAGCAAAAGCCTGGGCCTTTACACCAATTCTCCCAAATATGGAGAGATGCAGACAGAGCGAGAGGATTTTGTCTAAGTTTATTCAATCAAATTGTTGATATATTTTTGGCTGGTTTGTACTCTCCCCTGCCCCCTATTTATTAAGTATTGGAGAATAGAGATCCTGTGAGTTCATTTCAATTCACTATTTTAAGTCGTAAGTCCTCCATTAGCTTTCTAATATCACATCAGCTACTATTAGGGGAATGGGCTGAAGCAAAGAGACAATTAGGAGCCCAGACTAAAGTAGTGGCAATGGAGGTAAAGATAAAAGAATCGGGCTGGACACACTGGCTCACGCCTGTAAATCCAGCACTTTGGGAGGCTGAGGCAGGTGGATCACTTGATGTCAGTACAAAAATTAGCCAGGCGTGGTGGCATATGCCTGTAATCCCAGCTACTTGGGAGGCTGAGGCAGGAGAATTGCTTGAACCCGGGAGGCAGATGTTGCAGTGAGCCGAGATCTTGCCACTGCACTCCAGCCTGGGCAACAAGAGCCAAACTCCAACTACAAAAAAAAAAAAAAAAAAAAGAGAAAGAGAAGAGAATTGATTGAAAATATATTTTGGAGACGTAATCAACAGGATTGCAGGTAGATTAAATGTCCCTGTCTTCAAAATTTGCACACTTGGACAGACTGCTGAAGTATAGACAGTCAAAAGGCCATTACAATGTGTAAATATTAAGTGCCGTAACTCCTTAGCTTCTACCACAATCTTACCATGGAAAAGCCATCTCAAAGGATGCTTTTAATTGCATCATTTCCTATCCTCTTGTGATTCCCACACAAAAAAGACCTATCACTGTCATTTTCATTTGCTAATATTGTGTTTAAATTTTCTTTTCCAAATGAACTCATCTACTAAAAGCAAATGAGAACTCAAAACCATTTTATAAAACCATCTGGGTAATAATGTAAGAGCTCAGCAATTTTCAATTAGGTGGAGACAATGTCCCCAAATAGGAAATTCGCCTGAATGTTGGAAACAGGGTATTAAACAGCACATACCAAACATCTTGTGAGCCTTCCATATCTAACACCCAAGAGATCATACTGCATTTTTCAGTGAGAACCCAGGATTACTCTAAGAAGTTGTCTTTGATTTCTTTTCTGAGCACAATACCTGCTTTAATTAGCCTAAATGAAAGTGTCTTCTATTAGACCACGCTCAATCTCTAAACCTGGCTACTGACATTCTTGGAAGAAGGGTGAGTGTACATGAATGTAAGCGGCCTTCCCATGCACAGTGACCTCAATGCCATGCTCTTCACATGGGGTCTCACTAAAGTGTGTTCTGAGGAGGGGTATGCAAGTTTGCATCCAGAGAGGAGACAATGAGCACCATGAGGGAGAGTAACCCACCAGCTCCACAGAGCTGGTGAGATTCAGAAAGGAAAAGCACATCTAATGAGGCTGCTGAGGTGTGATGTAAGTGGGCCCTGGGAGATATAAGTCCCACTTCCATATCACCTACGAATTCTTCAGTGACATCTACATCGTGCATGGAAGCATTTTAATGAATAGTCTGAACTTAGTAAGAATACAAACAGTAATAGTTTTATTTTTCTCTTTCCACTGCTTTCTGCATATTCTGATGGATCGCCTTTCTCTACCTTTTAATGACATCCCAGGTAGATGCAGTGATTATCTAATCCCTTTTGTTTTTTTACAATCTCCTTTCTAAAGGAGATTTTTACATACTCTAACATTCTGTCTAATCTAAAATAAAACTTGAACCTCACATCTAATTTCAGGCCCTTTCCCTTTCTTTTCTCCTCACTACCTTCCTCCACTGCCCACTCCTCCAGTCAGGCTTGAACTTGGCTTGGGACTTGCAGTAGAGGTTGAGCATGACCTGTTCTTCCACCTTCTTCCCTCTCTTCTGCCCTTTTTGGGGTCAGTGCATGAAGAGGGATTAAAGGAAGAGGCAAAAGTCTCTTTTCCCCCTTAGATAGTCACTGTTATCTTTCTCCCTTGGCTGACACTAGGTGGCCCTTCTGTGTTGCCCACTTTCAAATGCTGGCTTCTTGTGAGATGTGTCTGAGTTCTCAGAGTCACAGTGGGAACTACCTTACTATTCAGGTCCTGGAGGGGATGGCGTGCTCTCCAGTTGCTCTCTTTGGACCATCTCTTAGCTCCTGCCCCCCACCATGGTACTTTCCACAGTTGAGTCCCCACTCACATGTGCTGCCCTCTTAGGAAGATGCTTTCTAGATCACTTAAGCCTGGCCAGCTCCTGTGGCAAGGAAAATGCTTGCCAAATGCTGGCCCTCTTATCCTTTTTCTCAACCCAGCCATTGCAGGCTGCACCATCCATCCTCATACCTCCACAATCGTCCAGGTTGTAATTATGCCCCATTCTCTATATGCAGGGATCACTCTAAGCTCCAGTGTCAAGGAGTCAAGTCCTTCAGGAATTCTCTGCCTCCACTCCCTGTGGCAGAGCTAGAGTGGCTGCCATGCTTCTGAGCTCAGCCAGCATCCAGAGAGAGAGTGAGATACAGCCTCCTCTTCTTGAAGCACCCACTTCTAAACTCTGTGACAGTTTTCTTGGAACTCTGTTATGTGGATCTGGAGATGACAATGTCACAGCACTCCCCTCTAAGCCTAAATTCCCCCACACCGATGAACTATTAGGTGAGTTTCCTTCAAATGTCATGTCTTCACTTTATATAGGATAGTTAGGATGTGGTGGGCGGTAGTGATAGTCAGAGTATCAATAGATTACCCAGAAAGCCATAGAGGGCACCTCTGCCAGCTTCCTGACACTGTTGTAAAAATATGGGGGAACTTGCCTGCTCTCTTCAGCTTTGGGGCTTTACAAGAAACTCTGAGAAAATAGGGAAAGTCTCATGCATAAGCAGGTTATGCACACTATTGCATTGGTGTGAATGGGTCATTCACTGTAAATATAAGAGCTGTGGAGGACGTGCGTTCAAGATTGGTACTAGGTGAGAACCAAAGCCTCTGGGGTGAGGGGGCACATATAATGCATATATACAAAAAGGTAATGTTATAAGCAGTTTCTGAGCATCCTGTGCTGGGTGGACAAAAGCACATCAGAGACTGCATAATGAGGGAATTTCTAATGAATCAGCAAATATTAACAAAACCCATCAATGTGCCAGGCAACTGTGACAGGTGCTAGAGATATAGAAATGAATAGAACCCAAAGGTGGTGGAGGAGTCTCACTTGAAAAACATTGTCCAGGCAACTAATGGTTAGGTGAATACAAACAAAAGTCCCAATCACACTCTTTCCTAAATGGATTTGTAATTGCCTCCATTGGGAGCAGATTGCAATATCAATAACTACAGTATAATGAACTGACTTGCTATTCCATTTTCATGGGGAACTTTGCAGTTTCTCCACTAAGCCATGAATCATGTTTATTTGAAGACCAATTTCACTCCCACCCAGTATCCACAGGAAGAAGTGCACTCATCCCAGAGGCTCAATTACTCCCTCCCGCTTCCCAGCACTAGCCTGGAGAAAGCTCCGAGAATCATACATTATTGCCTCTGAACTGTGGCTAATTTCTTAGAGTGTTTAAGAATTTGTATAAATGGTTATCTTTAAAGATGCATCAAATTAGAGAAAAAAAATAAATAATATCCTGAAGTTTAGAACTTCATCAACTCAATCAGTGAGCATTTCCTTTTGCCAGTTAACTCTTCACTTACTGTGATTTGTACCTCCCAATTTGTATACATAATGACTAAGTTTCATTGGCTTGCATAAGTAAATGGTTTTTGTTTTGGGGTTTTTTATCTACATACAATTACTATGTATTAAAATCTTCCAGGATGCTAGGAACTTTGTATGGATTAGTTCTTACAACAACTGTAGAAATAGGTAGTGTTATCCCCATTTAATAGGTGATTAAATGAGGCCCAGAGCCATTAAATAATTTGCTGACACTCATGCAATTAGCATTGTGGACAGAGAATTTCAAGCTAGGTTTCTCTAATCCAGATCTTAGAGTCTTCCCCTACTGCATCTCTCTAAAGAAGATTAAAGAAAAATATTCTGAGAAATGTAGCCAAGAAGTGAAAAGAAAAGCTTATGCATCTCTACTAAATAGGTCAACAGTAGCAACACACCACCTTGGATATGCTATGTGCCAAATACTCTGGAGTCCTTGTCTGAAAAGCTTCAAGAAGAGTGACATAACTGTTAATTTTCTCTACCTTAGTGGTGTAACACCAAAATGAGAATATCCACCGTTCTCATTACTGCCACATTTCCCCAAATCTCCAAAAGACATCTAAGTGTCATCTGGTCCCACGATCCCTCCCTAGACCCACCACATTTGCTCTGAGAGGTCCTCTAGTCCCTACTGGAACACAGTCGGGAATGGGAACTCACGGCCTCCCCAGGCAGCCCCTTTCATCTTTGCATGGCTCAGAGATAAAATTATTCTGAGCCTGGATCTCATGCCCTGTGGTTTCTGCTCATGGTTCTGCCTTTCGAAATTCAGAATAATTTTAATCCATCTTTTACATGACAGCTGTCATATATTTGAAGGCATCTCTCTATTCCCAGTTGAAACATCTAAGCATCTCCTGGCTTTTTAAGTATAAATATGATATGATTTTAAATTCCTTCATTATTCTAGTCATTCACCTCTGGTCTTGACTGCTACCTATATGTCCCACCTGGACAATTGCAGTAGCTTCTTGGCTAGTCTTCTTCTTTCATTCATAAACTATAGTCTAAACTCCACTCAGCACCTGGGATATTTCTTTAAAATGTATGATCCTGTCTTTCTCCAGCTGAAAAACTTCCAATAGCTTCATTTAGAACAAAATCCATACTCCTCACTTCAGTGCATTAGGCACTCACTGTTTTACTCTCAGAGTGACGGTTAACTGACCTGAAACAATAAAACTTCATCCTTGCTGGATGATTTTGCAACTGCTCTGTATTTTATTGACATTCAGATAAATACTCATGTGAAATATGTTCAGAGCAGATTCAAGGGTACATTTAATTTGTCATGAAATGCAAGCATGATCTGAAATGCAAACGGGTCCTAAAGTAAAATACTCTAACCTCTGACCCTGACGCTTGGAATATTTTATGAACTTTTCAACCTCTTATAGAAGCTAGCTCTTCTGACACAAACTCTAGCTTTTATGTTATTATAAACATCTAGGATGTAGAAGGTTTTTTATCTTCTCATCAAAGAAGGACATTCCGTAGCCATTCTAAATAAATCCAAAATAATATAAATAAAAATATAAGTGCAGTATGTTTTATGCTGTAACACCTAAACTAGGTGTTCTTGATCTGGAATCCATGAGGCTCTGAAATTCTCTCTCTCAGTAAATTTTGATTTTAAAACGTAATCAGTGAATGAAAGGGAGACTCCTCTTTGTAGAAATCTCTGCGCGAACCATAGAAGCTGGTTGGCAAGATCAGATATGTTGATGTTAACCACTCACCTATGTCTTCATTCCACTATAACTGTTGCCTGTTGTCTTACTGAGAGCCAGCACCAAGCTAAGTGCAGGGAATCAGTGGGGAGCACTCAAAGCAGAGCACCTGGAGAGGATGTGGAGAAATAGGA
The DNA here is from genome assembly GCF_000001405.40 of Homo sapiens. Taxonomy (NCBI): domain Eukaryota; kingdom Metazoa; phylum Chordata; class Mammalia; order Primates; family Hominidae; genus Homo; species Homo sapiens. The sequence continues at coordinate 88,082,305 of NC_000014.9, forward strand.
ACACTTTTACACTGTTGGTGGGACTGTAAACTAGTTCAACCATTGTGGAAGTCAGTGTGGCAATTCCTCAGGGATCTAGAACTAGAAATACCATTTGACCCAGCCATCCCATTACTGGGTATATACCCAAAGGACTATAAATCATGCTGCTATAAAGACACATGCACACGTATGTTTATTGCGGCACTATTCACAATAGCAAAGACTTGGAACCAACCGAAATGTCCAACAATGATAGACTGGATTAAGAAAATGTGGCACATATACACCATGGAATACTATGCAGCCATAAAAAATGATGAGTTCATGTCCTTTGTAGGGATATGGATGAAATTAGAAATCATCATTCTCAGTAAACTATCACAAGAACAAAAAACCAAACACCGCATATTCTCACTCATAGGTGGGAATTGAACAATGAGAACACATGGACACAGGAAGGGGAACATCACACTCTGGGGACTGTTATGGGGTAGGGGGAGGGGGGAGGGATAGCATCGGGAGATAAACCTAATGCTAGATGACGAGTTAGTGGATGCAGCACACCAGCACGTCACATGTATACATATGTAACTAACCTGCACATTGTGCACATGTACCCTAAAACTTAAAGTATTAAAAAAAAAAAGCAAAGCAGAGGACCTGTCCTCAGAGAGTTCAGTCCACTGTTGAAGACATATGTTAAATCAATAATCATAGAAATATGCCATTACAAACTGTGATAAATGCTATAAAACCAAAATGCTGGAAAACCTAATTTAATGACAGAGCCTTGGACAGCCATCCTAGGGAAAGTAATGTTTTAGCTGAAAGCCAAAGGTTGAAAAGTAGTTCACCAGTAAGGAATTCCTGCTAGGCCCTGCACTAAAGGTCTCCAGTGCTTCTCTGTGGGTATGTTTCCTGGGAAACTTCCCAAGGGGTGGGTACCTGTGTAGTAGTTTGTCTCCAAAGACAGCCCCCATCCTATTCCTAATGGGTTCCTCTTAGTACCTACAGGTGACTCCAATCTCTGGGTGAATTTGGGTTGGCCTTTCGCTGTTTAGAACAATAGAACATGGCAGAGGCGATGTTGTGCCATATTTGTCACATGGAAGGGCATTAGGGACCGGACATGTGAGTACCGAGGCCAGGCTGATATCTATTTCATTTAGGCCTTCTGATGACGCCAGCTCCTGCAGCTATCTAAGTGCAACCATGTGAGACAGCCCAACAAGAACTGCCAAGCCAAGCCCATCAACCATCAACAGAGAATCATAAGTCATTATTTCAAGCCAACACGTTTTGGGATATTTGGTTACACAGCAAAAGATAAGCAGAATACCTGTCCATGATCTTGAAAGACTCTTTTGGGGGGCTTAGCCTAAGAGAACTAAGTTTAGATCAGCTGACAGGGCCTCCTGAATAATGTTTATTCAGACGTTCTTACTCCAATGGCAGGAAAAAAGAGTTTGTCCTCCCAGTGGACCCAACCCTTACCTCTCCACATGCCAAGCCTCCCCTTGTTCAGGTCTGGAAGGAAGTGACCCAGGATGTCTCTGACAAGATCCTACCCTAACACTTGACTGGACTCTCCGTGAGAGCCTTTACCAGTTTTGTTTAATTTCTTCCAGTTTCTGCACTGCCATGGTTTCCAAACCTTTCATAAAATTCCAGCTCCAAGACAGATAAAAATGGTGTTTCTCTTTCTCAGGATGGGTAATTTTATTGTCATTGTCATCTCTCGCTTTTTTAGGATCCAGTATCTGCCGGAGGAGCCCCACCTTCTGCTACTATTATGTTCTTCAGATGAGTAGAAGAGAGTGGGGAGGGAGAGAGCAGGAAGAAGAAAGGAAGAATAATGTCTTGAAATTGGTAAAAGCGTTTTTGTTTGCACATCCTGCATTATTAATATTTCTTGTTTAGCATAATTAGCTACCCTCTCAAGCTTACACACAACCTGCAGTGTTTATGCCTTCCGATGATAGCTAAACCATCAGCAAAGCAGTCCAGGTCCCTGAAGGCTGAATGCAGGTGGTTCTGAAGGCTGCAGGATGCATTCAAAAAGCAGGATACATAAGCTTTAATTGTTGCTAAAAATACATTCACTAGAAGAATCGGACTCCTTCTATCTGTCTGGAGTGGATAAAAGCCAACTATGGATTCAGTAGTCTAAAGAAAGTCGCAGAAGAACAAAGAAAAGGTAGACAAATGGGCCCAAATGAACTTCATTAATGAGAAAAAAAGATAACTAATATAAGACAATACCACTTCTCTTTATTCAAATAATTGGCAGTCAATTTTACTTGGACAATAACTATGGCCTCAAATGTGATTTCAGGCTCAACAAAGCAGTGCAATTTAAGGTCTATCATGCCTTGTTGTCATGCTTCACGCAGCCTGGAATAAGTAATTCAATACCCCTTACAGGATCACCAGCTATTAAACCAGGATAAGAGCTTAGAGGCAGAATTACACATTCTATGATATATTATTATTATATAATGTATTATTTGTATTCTATTATTACATGTATACTTCAGTGGCCTGAGTTAATATTTTTCCACCAGCCACTAATTCCATACTCAAGAGTTATTCATGAAAGAAAAAAATGAACTTTTTTGACCTGTTAGAAATGGGTCAATATGAAAAGAATGTACATGTATGGGAGTGTGTGGAAGTAACTGTCCTCAATTTGATTAGCAGAACATTCAGCAGGAACTGTGGAAATCCAAGTCAAGTAATATTCTCAACAGGTATTAACATAGTGCTAATTATTTGCTAGATACTGTTCTCAGTCTTATCTATACATTAATTCATTCAATCCTATAAAAAATCTCTTTGAGGTAGAGACTTGACTACCTCTCATTTGTTAGATAAGGAAATTGGGACATGGAGGTTACATAAATCACCTAAGTTCACATCATTAGTATCTGCTGGAGTGAAGGTTTGGACCCAGGCAGTCTGGTTGCAACCATCTGTGTGTTTAAACACCACACTAAATTGCCTCCCAATTCAAAGTTGAATGTTTCCATATTTACAAGTTATCAGGCTTATTTACGCTAAAACAAGTCATTCCTTCCTTTTTAGTGTACAGAGTGCTTTCACATATATTTTTTCATTTGATCTTTGCATCAGCTTTGAAAAGTAAGCATGGCAAGAACGATTATCCCGATTTACAGATGAAGGAACTTAACAAGCATCTTCCCCAATTCCTTTATACTTCTGGCAAGAAAAGTAAAGCTGAATGTCTAAATAATGCCTACACATAAATATTAAAATAAGACAAACAATTCAATAAGAAATAGGGAAATCCATGGGCAGATGTTCTGCAGATGAAACACATGGCTTGCAAACATTCAAAGAGGTGTTGAACATTATCAGGGAGCCGGGAAATGCAATTAAGGCCAGAATGGGGTACCAATTCCCATGGCTTTTTCAGGCAAAAATGTAAAAATCAATCTATACCAAGAGATAAAATAGAGCCTCAGGATCTGTATGTTGCTGATAGAAATGTGAATTTAGAAAAATTTGACATTCTCTACTAAAGTTGAAATTAATATATCCTGTGACCCAGAAATTTCACTCCTACATATATCCTCAAAATACATTCTTATACATCAACAAGAGACATGTGCAAAAATGTTTGCATCAGCATTTTCACAGTAGCAAAAAATCTAGAAACAATTCAAATGTCCATCAACATGAGAGTGAATTAATTCATCGCATAAAAATTCACTTAATGGAATATTAAGTAGAGTTTAAATGAATGGATTATAAAAACATATGTCAATATGGGTGAATCTTAGCAGTATAATACCAACTGACTAAAAAGCAAATCTCAAGGTAAATAAGTTGATAGAGAAAGGAAAGCTAAGGAATGACGAGATTTGGAGGGAGAGAGTCAGGAGTGTGGGAATTTGGAGGAATTCCATAGGGGTAGTGTGGCAGGCAGAATTCTTAAATGTCCGCAGGTGACCCACACTCTTGTATAATCACTTCCCCTTAAGTGTAGGTGGGATCTGTAACTTTCTCCTAACCAATACAATGTGACAAAGGTGATGGGGTATCCCTTCTGTAATTAAGTCCTGTTGTATGGTAAAGATGAAGGAATTTTGAAGATGTAATTAAAGCCCCTAACAATTGGATTTAAATAATCAAAAGATAAATTACCCTGGGTGGGGCTTACCTAATCAGGAGAGCCCTTAAAATGAGTTTAGAAGTCAGGTACTTAAAGCAGCAGAAACTCTTTCTCTTCATTGCTGATTTTTTTTTTTACTTTTAATTTAAGTTCAGGGGTATATATGCAGGGGTGTGATATAGGTAAAATCGTGTCACAGAGGTTTGTTGTACAGATTATTTCATCACCTAGGTATTAAGCCTAGTATCTTTTAGTTATTTTTCCTGACCCTCTCCCTCCTCCCATTCTCCATCCTCCAGAAGGCCTCAGTGTCTGTTGTTCCCCTCTATGTGTCCATGTGTTCTCATCATTTGGCTCCCACTTGCAAGTGAGAACATGCAATATTGGTTCTCTGTTCCTGTGTTAGTTTTCTAAGGATAATGGTCTCCAGCTTCGTCAATGTTCCTGCAAAGGACATGATGCTGACTTTGAAGATGCAAGCTTCCACATCTACAGCCTCAAGGAAACAAATTCAGCCAACCAACTGAGGGAGCTTTCCTTGTCCTGCCTCAAGATGAGATCACAGTCTGCCCAACACCATGATTTAGGCCTTGTGACACCTGGTATGGAAGACCCAGTTAAGTTCTCTCCAAACTCTTGACCCACAGAACCTGTGAGAAAATATATGGATATTATTTTAAACTGCTAAATTTGTAGTAATTTGTTATGCAGCAATAAAAAAAACTAATGCAAGGAGATATCAATTATTGTAAAAAGCTTAGCTTTTGTTTTAAAATATAGTTCACCAGTAGTAAGTTACTAATAAGTAACTAAACAAATAAAAGCAAGCCATTTACAAATCAATAATAAGAGTAAGTCATGAACTAAAGATTGTAATTAATCAATTTCTGTACGCCTGTAATGAAAATAAAGGAGGAAAAGAAAATGAAAGAAAAGAGACCAGGGACCCGCTCTCTTCCTTTGTCAGGGAGCTCAGATTAGAACTTCCAGTCCAGTGCTCTTTTCTACTATAATTGGTTACCTCCTAATTCAAATTCTAAACACCTAGAGTCACTAAAAAGTGTTCAGAAATCAATGGTTATGCAAAAATTATATTCAACCCATGAAACCTTGAGTGAATCAACCCATCTTTCCCCACGCCAAACCTTCCTATGCCCTGTCTTCTGCTACTATTCTTAGAGAAGAATCTATGAAGAAGACTACAGTCTCCATACTTGTTCATAACCAATACTCTGGTCACAGCAGATTGAACCAGAGTAGCCACTGATCCAAAGGCATTTAGTGATAGGCTGGCCAACCACCTATGAAGAAGACTGTGCAATGTTTAGACTAGATGTAAGAGTTGAAAGATATCTTTGGGTACATGTCCAAAGCTTATTCCATTTTCTTTTGATGATATATAGGAAAAGAAAAGGCATACATTGAATAGCCCATTCAAACACTGAATATCCCATGTCTTTGGTTATTATGAAAACAATTCAGACTTCCCCTCACACTCATAGGATATAAAGAGAACAAATAATGAGGAGAAAATAATAGGGACAGCATATCCAAACTCCCTGCTGACCATGGCTCCTGCTTAGAGAAACTGAGTGAGAAACTATATGGCAAAGAGTCTTTGAAGGTGAGACATATTCTGCAGCACTCTTGGTGATCTTGAGAGGCTGGGCAGACTATCCAAAAACGGTGACTGGCTCAAAAGCCTTACCCAACTGGACATTCAGTACTGGAAGACAACTGGCTGATTTCATCAGTTCTCTGTTTAGAGAAGACTATTTATTGTTAATGGAAAATAAGATAAGCAGAAATGTGTACACATTAAGAAGACAAAATTAGGAAGCCATGGGTAGCAGAAGACATGTATAAGATGTCATATGGTAACTGAGTAGAAACAGCCAATAATTGAGCGAAATAAAGACGAGAAGCCTGAGAAGTGGTGATTGGCAGCAGTAGGAAGTGACTGAGTCACCATATTGGTGCCACAAAAGTAGCTACCAGCTCATGCAGCTGAGGAGATGACCAGACACCAGGGCATCTCAGGTGATCACTAAGACATTTTTCTCATTTTTCTGACCTCTCCATTGATTCTAAATACAGTCTTCCCTTACTGGAGGTAACACGAGAGTGTCTGTTCCTGTCTCTCACAAGACACTGCATAAGGTAGCAATGAAAAGCAGGAGCTCTGGAGGTAGACAGCCCAAGCTTTTACCCAAACTCCATTACTTCCAAGCAATGTCACCTGGCGCAAGTTCCCTAACCTGCCTGTGCCTCTGCTTCCTCATCTGTGAGATGATAATATTATTAGTGCCTAGCTTATAGGAGCACTATGAGGATTAATTTAATTATTGTAAAGTGCTTAGAGCAGTATTTTGCACATAACAAGTGGCATATAATAATTTGTTGAATGAATAAACTTGTCAGAGGGGGAACTCTCCTCCCCCACTCCCAACTCTCCCTTCTGTGTGGAGGGATATCAATTAGTGTAACGTTCTGTCTGGAGGAGATGGAATCATTCATTTGATTGGAGAGTATATAGGTTAGAATAGGACCCAGCCTTAAGGGACAGGAAACTCCAAATAATAGTGACTTAAACAAGATAAAGGTCTTCTCTAGCCAGGCACAGTGGCTCACACTTGTAATCCCAGCACTTTGGGAGGCCAAGGTGGATCACTTGAGATGAGGAGTTCAAGAACAACCTGGCCAACACTATGAAACCCCATCTCTACTAAAAATACAAAAATTAGCCAGGTGTGGTGGCGAACATCTGTAATCCCAGGTACTTGGGAGGCTGAGGCAGGAGAATCACTTTAATCTGGGAGGTGGAGGTTGCAGTGAGCTGAGATCATGCCACTACACTCCAGCCTGGGTGACAACAGTGAAACTCCATCTCAAAAAAAAAAAAAAAAAAAAGAACTAAACTAAAAAAGGTCATCTCTCTCCCATAAATAAACGTTGAGGTAAGCCATCTAGGGATAGCATGATGTCTCCAGGGCCGCAGGTTCTTTCCAATTTGCTTGTCATTCACAAATTCCAGTTTCCATTTCATGATCCAGAATGGACACCCCAGATCCACATTCTTGTCAGAAGAAAGAATAAAAACTAGGGAGAAAAGCATGTCTTTACTCTGCCTAAAAATTGAGCACAACATTTCCCTTACTTCTGTCCACTTAAACCAAGCCATATGGCCACACCTAACTGCAAAGGAGACTGGGAAATGTAGTCTTTATTCTGGGGAGCTGCCATGCCCCACTAAAAAGTGGAAGTTGTATTCCTCAAGAAGAAGAAGAAGAAGAAGAAGAAGAAGAAGAAGAAGAAGAAGAAGGAGGAGGAGGAGAGATTTGAGGGAAGAGGTAGCAGTCCCTGCCATGGTGAGTTTGTAAGGAGAAACTGAGCATGCTTAATTCATGCACTTGCTAGGGAACAAGCTTATCCTAATCTAGCCTGGCTAGGGGATGTCTGTCTAATTCTAGGGCTCAGTACTAGGAAGCTGCCTTGGCCACAAATGTAAGCCATACTTTTCCATATTATCTTTCACACCAATAAAGCTGATAGGCTTAGCTCCATCTGCTAAACAACTTTGTCTTCTTTTCAATTGTTTCAGAGCTCAGATGGAAAAGAATGGTGTTACTGAGACCCTTCAAGATTCCCAGTGTAATTCAATAAAGAAAAGGCAACACAAAGGGGTTGTATAGAATTCGCCACATTATGGACCCATGTCATAGAGAGAATCCACGGTGCATTTGTTAGCTGCATTTAAATGACAACACTTTCAGATCCAAGATTTATTTGGTAGGCAAATATATCTGGATGCAGCCTTTTAAACAATGCCATTTCACATCTCCATTCTGGAATGGTTTTACACTGAGTGGGATCCAAAGCTTTAGTGTTTATCCTTTAGTGGAGTGAGGATTTTGGGATCTAAATTGACTATTCTCCAACATGTACTGTTTTAACATTTAGAAAGTGTCCATTTTTAGCAAAATCACAGCTGTGTGAATGTAACATATTGGTGTGGAGGAGGGTTACATTTCAACTTGCTATATTATAAAAATAAGAAAATTACTAACTTTTAGATCTGGAAGAAACTTACAGATTATTGAGCCAACCCTCCTATTAAGGATGAGAAAGCTGAAGCCCAGAGAGGGAATGTGATATGTCCTTGGTCACTCAGGCTAATAAATTATAGGATGGCATGAAAGCCCAGTAACTGCTAGTCCAATATTCTTTCTAGCATATAACACCATGCAAAACTCTACTTTCCTCTCTTTCACTGTCCACTGCTCAGTAGCAAGCACCATACTGAGCTCTGAGGATATCTGAGTTGAATCCGATCATGTTCATGATGTGAAAGAGATGATAAGTACGTGAACAGATAAATGACTACATAATATATTAAAGGCAAAAATAGGCAAATGCACCTATGAGGTGGCAATGAGTGACCAATTAATTATCTTGGTTAGTGGTGGGAGATGGAAGGTTAACAAAGACTTCTTGATGGAAATGACTTCTGAGCTTAGCTTTTTAAGTCAACTAGAAATTCATCAGGTGGAATACCATCCCTAAAGAAGCAGTAGCATGTACTAAGGTGCTGAAGCAAGAAACCCCATTTTATTCACTAAAAAATACCAGAGTGCAGTTAGAAAGTAAGTTACCGAAGGGACAGAAATAGGAGGCAGCTTGGGCAGGAACCAGAACATATAGACCATTCAGTCCACCCTGGGAGCTAAAAGTTTATCCGTCAATAGAGAGGAGCTTGTTGAATGTTTTTGAGCAGACAAAGGTATGACCAGATTGCCTTTGTTATGAGTTGAGGAAAAGGGCAAATTAGTTGAGGCCAGGAGCAGGGAAGCCAGTTAGGAGATAAGGTTGAGGGTTCAGGCTGCCCACCAATATCCATTCTCTCTTCTTCCATAGGGATAAAAATTTACCTGGATGCAAGGCTATTCAGAATGAAGATTAATGATATGGTTTGGCTGTGTCCCCACCCAAACTTCATCTTGAATTCCCACGTGTTGTGAGAGGGACCTGGTGGGAGATAATTGAACCATGGGGGCAGGTCTTTCTCATGCTGTTCTCATGAGAGTGAATAAGTCTCATGAAACCTGATGGTTTTATAAGGGGGAATTTCCCTGCACAAGCTCTCTCTCTGCCTTTTGCCATCCATGTAAGACGTGACTTGGTCCTCCTTGCCTTCTACCATGATTATGAGGCCTCCCCAGCCACGTGGAACTGTGAGTCCATTAAACCTCTTTCTTTTGTAAATTTCCCAGTCTCAGGTATGTCTTTATCAGCAGCATGAAAACAGACTAACACAATTACATTTCCCAGCTATCCCCTTGCACTGAGATGAGCCATGTTACTAATCCTGACAAATGGGATGTGAGTTTAAATTACATGTGAAACCTCTGGGTTTCACAAGAGGAATCTGAACCCCTGCAAAGAAAGAGACCCCAAACAGTCCTGGATCATTATGTGACAGAGAGAATCACTTCTATCTTGTGTTTTAAAATACTGTTATGTTTAATCTCTGTCATGGCAGTAAAACCTATATTGGAACAAGTCCCTAAGGCTGCCTAGGTGAAAGGCGATGGTCTGAGGCAGGAACAGGGTGAATGAATTAATGGAGATAATAGATCTGAGAATAGTTGTTGGACTTATTGACAGGATGTAGGAAACAAGAGAGAAGAAGGTGTTAATTGCACCCTCCCGCCCCATATGCTTTCACTCCAAGACTGGGTAAATGGATGGTGAAGTCATCAATGAAAAAAGGAGGATGTGGGAGAAGTAAGATTACTTCCAAACATTTTAGAGGAGTTGGAAGTTTGCTGGGAAAAACCTGTTTTCAGTTCATTTGTTCATCAATTCAAAAGAATTTTACTGACCTCTTACTATGTGTAAGGAACAAAGGATTTTTTTACAAAAAAAAAAATGTTCATTAGCAATAGCGTAGGTTTTTATTACAAAAACAATAAAGATGGGAACCTCAGCTGTAAAAGTAGTAAAAATACAGAACTCTGTAGATTATGCACAGATTTGTCAGGCCCTTCATTGCTTGAGCTGTTTACAGATCATCTAACATCTCACTTAGTGTTGTCTCAGGTTTGCACAAGCAGCCAGCCTGGACAAGGGAAGTGTGTGAGGCACACTTTTAGCTTTAAGATTTTATAAAAGTCCACCTGTTTGGAGCTGAGGTTCATATAAGAAAGAGAAGGCCCCTACAGTGAGAAGAATTTCACATAGCCACTCATGTAGTTGTACTGTAATCCCAAATATCCTTAGGAGAGTCATTCCAAATAAACATATGTACATGTACATTCAGGGCAAAGAGTATGTGTATGTACATTCCATACACTTCAAAACACAGTCCTGTTTAAATCATCTCTGCACATTTTCATAGCAGACTTTCTTTTTGCCCATTTATCCTCCTACATAAGCAGTTTAAATAATCACCCTACATGATATTCTGAACTTCCTGAGTAGAATAGTTTGTCTCATATTGACTAAAAATTCAAAGTATGTCTATATATCAGGAAAGTCATTTAACATTCATGTTAACAGTCACAAATGTTAGGCCGCTTCAAACATATCCTACCATAGATTTCTTAAACATAAAATATATATGAAGGAAATCAAACTACTTCACTCTCAGTTTTTTAACAAATGGTCTGGGATCATGTTAACTCCTTTGATCTCTGCTTCCTGCAGGGTGGTCTGCTGCTGATCAAATGAAAGTATTCCCCAGCTAAGTCAGACAACAGGAAAGCATTCATTTAATTAACAGGCATTCAATGCAATTCAATGGGTTATTTCTTAAACACCTACTATGTGTCAAATCCTGTCCTGTGCCTAAGTGGATGCAAAGGTAAGTAAGATTTAACATGGCTCTGACGCAGGTTCATCGAAGAGCCCTAGGACCCTGAAGGGAAAGGTTAATTTCTTGTGATTGTGATGAAAGGAAAAAACACTTCCTAAAGATTCCTACGTAAGAGCTAAACTTAGAAAGAAAGAAGGGTGGGAGTGAGGTCTCAGAAGAAACAACTGACACCTTGATCTCAGACTTCTAACTTCCAGAACATTGAGAAAATATATTTCTAATGTTTAAACCATCCAGTCTGTGCTACTTTGTCATGGCAGCCTAGCAAACTAAGACAAGGCATAACTCTCCAACATTTGTAAAGGAGTGTCAAATACGTCACTGTTGATCTTCACATTAACCCTGCAAGGTATATATTATTATGCGCATTTAAGGAAACTGAGGCTCATCAGATAAGTAACTTGCCCAAAATCACACATCTACAAGTAGCAGAAAGATACATAGAGAACTGGGAGCATACTGCACATATTTTTATCTGCCATTTTTAACTCAGTTGTTTTATCATGGACATTTCCCATATCACTGAAAATCAAAGTATGTCAGTTTAGGTTTGCTTATCTCAACTTTGAATAAGCTGCCTAGGAAATCTATGTAACAGAGGAACATCTTGAAAACTAACATTGGAAAAAATAAAAATGAAACATAACTTGTTAAAACCAGCAAGGAATTTAGTGATCACCCAAGAAGGCCAAACACTATGACAGGTGACAACAAGGCTATGGCACATCCTGGGTCCTAGAAAGGCTGTCCTAGTTCATGTGAATATTCTGGGAAGGACTTTCTCATCCTCCTTGACCCCAAGAACTATGGAGGGCTGAACAGGCAGGTTGATCCCTCTCTAGCTCTGGGTCTCATAGAGCAAAGAGGATGATGCTATTAGGGTTCACCTCACAGTGTATTAAAGGAGGGAAAGACTTAAAATGGTTTACAGTGAGGTTTGGGAAACATTAGCAATGATTTCTGTGATTTAGAAGATAAAAATAAAAAATTCTATTCTTGCTTTTTATATATAGATTATCCAGTTTATTCTTGATAACCATTTTCAGAATGACATGGATCATCACTGCAAGACCGTAGGTGTACATCCAGTAGAACTCGGGGAAGAACCAATATCACGGAAGAAGAAAGAGAAGAAAATTGATGTATTCATTACCTCTAGAAGCTTACTATCCAGTTGGGGATATGACAAATCTTAAAAACAAAAATTGGAAAGAAAAAAGACTTGCTTAAAGTAGCCACCGATTGTTTTTAAAAGACCTAATAAGAATTTGTGTGAATATACTTTATAAATTTTGAAGCACTGTAACAGGTTCTTAAACTACTACATGTTTTAAAAATACTGATTTTTTTCTGAGTTTCAGGCACTATTTTGTAATTATTAGTAACTAGTGCATGTAAGTTAGCATAGCAGAGTTGAAACTGAGTTAGTAGTTGCCTAGGAGACCTAAAATAAAGAAGCAACTCACAAGAGTTGGAGGTTGCCCTCGCTCACACTGCCACAAACATTTTTAAACACCACCACGGCTTATGGACAAAGTAGACACGGCACAGGTTTAAACTCAGGGCTGGGGCTGGAATCCCAGCTCCGCTACTTAGTAGTTATTTGACCTAAGATAAGTCATGAAAATGCCATTGATGATAATAGACCTTGAAGCGCTCTTAAAAGATTTCATGATAATGCATGTAGAGTACCTGGCCCACAGTCAGGGCACTATAAATGGAAAATCTTATTACTCTTAGGAGCTATTATTAGTTTTCTAGGGCTGCCATAACAAAGTTCCACAAACTGGGTGGCTTAAAAGAAATTTATTTCTCACAGTTCTGGAGGCTAGCCATGCAAAATCAAGATGTCAGCAGCGTTGGTTCTTTCCGAGGGCTCCCAGGGAGCATCTGTTCCATGCCTCTCCTAGCTTCTGGTGATGGCTGGCAATTCTTGGTGTTCCCTGCTTGTAGAAGCATCACTCCAGTTTCTGTCTTCTTCTTCATATGGTGTTCTCCTTGTGCCTCTGTGTCTTCACATAGCCATCTTCCCTCTGTTTCTCTCCTTTTCTTATAAGGACACCATTTGTATGGATTAAAGGTCCACCCTACTCCAGTATGGCTTCATTTTAACTAATTATATCTGCAATAACCCTATTTCCAAATAAGATCACATTCTATAGTACTGGGAGGCTGGACTTAAACATATCTTTATGGTGGCAGGGGCCACAAGTCAACCCATAACAACAACTTAAGTTCAGCTTCTAGTCCCACAAACCAGCCAAGTGACCTTGAATGAAGCACTGCCTCCGATACTCAGTATACTCAGTATCGTCATTTATAAATTAAGACAATAGTATCTCTTTATAGAATCTCCCATAGAGTCAAAAAAGACTATAAGTGAGAGTGCTTTCTAAACTATAGAGCATTATATAATTTAATTATAAGTATTTCTATAAAGATTACAGAGTATTTTGATGCCCATTTTATTCTTAGCTTAGCTCCTATAACCCCTCTGAATCGTCCATTGCCCCACAGTTCCTTGCTTGCCTTCAACAAACTCAAATAGGACATTTTTTAAATGATTTGTCCTCTTAACTCTAAGCGAACTAAATTATGCCTGTGTATTATTGGGCTGGGGCAATTGAGTTACCTGACCATTTCCATGAAGTCACAGTGCTAACCTAATGCAATGTGACAGCTTTTTCCTGTAGCACATTCTTAAAATTTGATTATTCTGAGTAAGAAAATATTCATTGAGAGGCTCACCAGGATTGCACCAGGCCTGTTTAGTATCCATATGTAAAGGTTAAGCTCCAGGAGTGAGAGCCAGAGGGCAGCTGAGCTGCCATCAGTCATCTTTCTCAGGCTCCAAATTGAGGAGAATTAATGTGTACCTGCTTCTGTAACCTTCCGCTGCAGAATTAGACCATGAATAATAAAATCCACGATTAGTCATAAATTGGAAGAGATGGGTTTTTTGTACTGCAATAAAACAATTGAAAAGTAAACAGGCCTTTTATACTTTCATAAAACAGGCACATTAGAGCATCCGAAATAGCCTTCACTTGGGTTCTTCATTACACTGATAATGACTGCATATTGCCAGTATGTGCCCTCTTAGTGAATAATTTTTTAAGGGCAAAAAACAGAGTACATAGGTATTTGGTTCATTCTCATTAAGTTTTGTACTGAAAAATGTAACCTCTTTTTTCTATTTTCAGATGATGCATATCATAAATTATTACTCACCCCATGTTCCCACCCTCGAGAGACCTCCAAACAATCACCATGCCACAGTGAACATTCAGTAACAAAAATTCAGCCAGGGTTTTCACCAGCATGAATGGCAGTGATTCCAATCAGGAAAACAGAAAGAGGAGAGTTCAGAGCCACCTAGAATGGCTCTTGCAAGATACGAAATCAAGGCAGCAGCAACAGGGCTGAACATTCCTCATCCCTAACTCTCCCTTCACCAGTAGGAAACCCAGGATAACTGCAATCACCGCAGGCCCATCTGGCCTGAAGTTCTACTACTAGTAGCCCTCCATGGGACCTTCTTAAGGAAGCATGTCAACTCAGGTAAGGGATGTAAGGGGATGGATGACCCTTTGAGGCCAAAGTTGGAGCAAAAAACACCAGATGTTCCTGTGCACTGCTCCTAAGAGATGGTTCTGAAGACCAGTTCGGGGAGAGGTCAAAATACTGGACAGAATCTCAGCAACATGGAACCTCAAACTAAGTGACAGTCACAGACAACTCTTCCCCAAAGAAAATAAGCACAGACATGGTTTGTGGTAAGCAGAATTATAAAGATGAATTCCCATCTCCCTGTCAGATTACCAGTATGGTAAATTACCAGATTACCTGGTTATTTATTCAAACACTAATACAGTTATTGCCTTGATGGAAACATACAGATACAATTAAAATCCCAAGTACCAAATAAATTGACCTTAAGACAAAGACTAAGTAAATCACATGAGCCCTCTACAAGCAGAGAGTTTTTCTCCAGCTGGTAGCAGAAGCCAGAGATTTGAAGCATAGGAAGTATTCAACACATTATTGCTGGCCTGAAAATGGAAGGGGCCACATAACGAGGGAAACCGGTGGCCTCTAGAAGCAGGGAGCAGTCCCCTGCTGACAGACAGCAAGCCAAGACCTCAGTTCTACAATTGCAAGACACTCAATTCTGCTAAGGACAAAAATGAGCTTGGAAGTGAACTCTGAGCTTCAGGTGAGAACACGGCCAAACAACACCTTGATTTCAGCTTAAACAAAGAATGCAGCCACTCCATGCCAGAATTCTGACCTGTAGAAATTTGAGCTAATAAATAGATGTTTTAATAGCTTCATCGATACATACTTCACTTACTGTAAAATTCATTATTTTAAAGTGTACAATTCAGTGGTTTTCAGTATATCCACAAAATGCAACCATCACCACTATCTGATTTCAGGATTTCTTTTTCTTTTCTTTTTTTTTTAATCCCATAAAGAAAATCCAAACCAATTAGCAGTCTTTCTTCCTTCTCCCTGCTCCCAGCCCGTGAAAACCACTAAATTACTGTCTGTTTCCATGGATATGCCTATTCTGGATATTTTATATAAACCAAATCATGCAATATGTGGCCTTTTGTATTTGGCTGCTTGCACTTAGCATAATGTTTTCAAAATCCATCCATGTTGTAGCATTTCTCAGTATTTCATTCCTTGTATAGCTGAATAATATACCACACAAATATATCACATTTTGTTTGTCCATTCATCATTTAATAGATGCTTAGGTTTTTCCATTTTTTAAGTATTATAAATAATATGGCTTTTAATATTTGTGTACAAGTTTTTCTGTAGGCACAGGTTTTCATTTCTCATGGATATAAACCTAGAGTGAAATTGCTGGGTCAAATAGTGGCTCTATGTTTAACAATTTGAGGAACAGCCAAACTGTTTTTTGAAATGGCTGCATTATTTTACAATTCTGTCAACAATGTATGAGGGTTCCAATTTCCTGACGTCCTTGTCAACACTTGTTAATGTCTGCTTTTGTATTTTAGGCACCCTAGTGGGTATGTCATAATATTGCATTGTGATTTTGATTTGCATTTCCCTAATGGCTAATGTTGTACATCTTTTATATGTGCTTATTGGCCATTTGTTTATGTTCTTTAGAGAAATGTTCTGTTCAAACACTTTGCCCAAGTTTTAACTGGACTAATTATCTTTTTATTGTTGCGCTGCAAGAATTCTACATGTATTCTGGAGTAGTTGTTTATCCGAAATACAATTTGCAAATATTTTCTGTCACTGTATAGGTTGTCTTTTTACTTTCTTGATAGTGTTCTTTGAAGCAAAAAAGTTTTTTTATTTTCTTGAACCCCAGTTGATCTATTGTTTCTTCTTTTTCTGCTTGTACTTTCGGTTTTATAGCTAAGAAGCCATTGCTTAAATCAAGTTCACAAAGATTTACACCTCTGTTTTCTTCTAAGAGATTTACAGCTTTCTTTTTTTTTTTTTTTTTCTTTTTTGCTAGAGAAAGGATCTCACTGTTGGCCAGGCTGTTCTCAAACTCCTGGGCTCAAATGATCCTCTTGCCTCAGCCTCCCAAAGTGCTGGGATTACAGGCATGAGCCACCACGCCCATCCAAGTTTTACAGCTTTAGATGTTGCATTTAGATCTTTGATCCATTTTGACTTAATTTTTATATATGGTGTGAGATAGAGGTTCGGCTTTATTCTTTTGCCTGTAGATATCCAGTTGTTTCAAGCCACAGTGAGATACCACTTCACACCTACTAGGATGGCTACAATAAAAAAAAGACAATAACAAATATTGATGAGAATTTGGAGAAATTTGAATCCTTCAATTTGCTAATAAGATGTAAATTAGAGGAACCACTTTAGAAAACATTTTGGCAGCTCCTCAAAATGGGTATATACCTGTAATTTTATGTTTAAAACATAACTGTAATTTTATGTTTAAAATTACTGTTTGACTCAACAATTCCACTCCTAGGTATATACCAAAGAGAAATGTAAACAAAGGTTTACACAGAAACTTGTATAAAAATGTTAATAGCAGCATTATTTATAATAGCCAAAAAGTGGAAACAAGCTAAATATTCTTCGACTGACGAATGGATAAAGAAAATGTGGTATATCTATATGATGGACTATCACTCTACCATTCAAAGAAACAAAATACTGAATCATGCTACAGTATGGATGAATTTAAAAACATTATGCTAAGTGAAAGAAGCCAGACACAAAAGTCCACATATTGTGTGATTCCATTTATATGAAATGTTCAGAAAAGGCAAATCTATAGAGACAGAAAGCAAATTCGTGATTGCCTAGCGTGGGGTGCAGAAAAAAGTGGGGATTGGAGGGTGATAACTCAGGGGTGCAGGGTTTCTTTGGGGGGTGATGAAAATGTTCTAAAATTAATTATGGTGATTATGGTTACACAGCGTTATGAATATACTAAAGACCATTAAATTATATACTTAAAATGATTGTATTATGTGGTATATGAATTATAATTCAATAGAATAGTAGTAAAAAAACAGGTGATGGAAAGCATTTGCCTGCAGTCTATACTTTTTCTACTCCTGGTATAGGAGAACAAGAACAAAGAAGTCACTCAGATTGTTTTAATTGCCTTTGTACTAAGGAGAAAAATAAGACCTATGTCAGGCACATGGGTAGATGGTTCCTCATAAAGGCTTAAGACAAAACCCAAGTAAATAAAAATGAGTTTGTATTTTTCTGATGAACTTTTTTGTATATGTTTTATGTGAACTCATGTGAGGCAGAGGCAGAGAGTCACTATACATGATTTCTAGATACTGGCCATAAAACTTTCTTTCTCATCATTGCTAATAGGAGAATCAGAGAGCATATAGTTACAACTAGTTTTTTAATTCAATCTGGCAATCTCTGTAGTTTAATTGAAGTTTTTTATAAAATTTATACTTAAGGCCAGATGAGGTGGCTCACGCTTGTAATTCCAGTACTTTGGGAGGCCGAGGTGGGTGGATCACGAGGTCAGGAGTTCGAGACCAGCCTGGCCAAGACAGTGAAACCCCGTCTCTACTAAAAATACAAAACTTAGCTGGGTGTGGTGGCAGGCAGCTACGCGGGAGGCTGAGGCAGGAGAATCACTTGAACCTGGGAGGCGGAGGTGGCAGTGAGCCAAAATTGCACCACTGCACTCCAGCTTGGTCAACAAAGCCAGACTCTCTCTCAAAAAAAAAAATTATAGTTAATGTAATTTTTAACATTCTTTTGTTTTAAACCACATATTTTCATCTAGTTATTTATCCTTTCTATTATTCTTGTGTTTTAAACCCCCATATTTCCACCTAGTTTTTGTTTAATCTCTATTTTTTCTTCCATTTGCCTCTTTTTCTGCCTTCATTTGGATGATTATTTTATATTTGATATTAGCTTATTAATGACTATGCTTTCTATTATTTTAAGTGGTTGTTCTAGGTCTTAAAATACATATATTTGACTTAACATAGTCTATCTCCAAATATTACTTTAACCGCTTCACGTATATTGTAACAACTTTACAAGGGTATAATTCCATTTTCTTTCTCCTGTCCTTTATCCTAATATGTATACTTCTATAGGTGTTATAAATTCCACAACACATTGTTATTATTGTTGTTTCAAGCAGTGAATTTTTTAAAAAAAATTTAAAATTAGGACAAAAGTCTGTTATATTTAACCAGTATATTTACCTGTTCCAACATTCTTCAATTCTTTGCATAGAGCCAAATTTCTTCCATTATTTTCCTCCTGCCAAAGACCTTTTCATAGCCTTCTTACATTGGAAGCCTGCTGGTAATGAATTCTTCAAGCTCCACTTTTATATTAAAAAATTCCTTTTTAAAATCATTTTTATATTATTACATGTTATTGAATTATCATTTAACAGTATTTTGTTTGTTTTTGTTTTGTTCCCTCCACCCCTTTCTCATGAAGTAAAAATGTTTCTCAATTTTCTTTTGATTTACATAGTTTCTGATTTAAAGTCTGGCATCAGTCTTATCTGGTTTGTAATGTTTATTTTTCTCTGGCGGCTTATAAAATTCCCTTTATCACTGATTTTCATCAATTTGATTACAACATGGTGGTTCTTTTATACTTATTCTGTTTGGGATTCATTTATCTTTTTGGATTGCTTTATAAATTTCATCTCTTACGGAAAATGTTCATTTACTATTTCATCTCTTTTTTTGTTTTGTTTTTTCCACCCTGGGACTCCAATGACATATATTTTAGACCATTTAGTGCTTTTATACAGAAAAACGATGCTCTGTTTATTCTGTTTTAAGTATTTTTTTCTCATTATGCTTCTTTTTGGATAATTCCTATTGCTATACCTTTGGGTTCACTTATTTTTTATGGTATCTAATCTGCTGTTAATCTCATCCAGAGTCTTTTTTATTTCTATTACATTTTTCATCACTAGAAACTCTATTTGAATCTTCTTATAACTTCCATTTCTCTCCTCATTGTGGTTATGCTTTACTCATTTTTCTTAAATCAATGAATGGGGCATGTTTATAAGCTGGTTTAATTTTTTATTAATTTCATGTTTTATATCATTTCTGGGTCTGTTTTACAGACTAGGTTTTTTCGCTTGCTATGGACCTGATTTTCCGAAAATACTTGGTAATTTTTGATTAGTTGATCTACATAAATATTAGGTTTTGAGGTGTGATATTTTGTTTTATTGCTTAATATTATATTGGACCTTATTCTGGTTTGCACTTATTTTAAATCAATTTGATCTTTTTCAGACTTGCTATCATACTATGTTAAGGTTGATCCAGAGTAGCCACTATTTTAGAGCTAATTCAGCCCACTATTAATATTACACCCTTCTGAGGATTCTATCCAATGTCCCATGTATTATGATATCTTCCCATTCTCAGTGATAGCAACGTAAGCTTTTCTTCGCCATGTATGAATTCTAGAAATTGGTTACATTAGTGTTTTCTGGTGTTGTTTTCCTTGACCTAGGGTAATTTCCTCTGCACTTACGTGCAGATTAATAACCAAAGGCCAGGTGCGGTGGCTCACGCCTGTAATCCCAGCACTTTGGGAGGCCGAGGCAGGTGGATCACGAGGTCAGGAGATCGAGACCATCCTGGCTGACACGGTGAAACCCCATCTCTACCAAAAATACAAAAAAATAGCCAGGCGTGGTGGCGGGCACCTGTAGTCCCAGCTACTTGGGAGGCTGAGGCAGGAGAATGGCATGAACCTGGGAGGAAGAGCTTGCAGTGAGCTGAGATTGTGCCACTGCACTCCAGCCTGGGCGACAGAGCGAGACTCCATCTCAAAAAAAAAAAAAAATTACTCGACCAAAGATACAAGGGGACTTCTCTACAGATCTCTGGAGCTCTCTATTGATCTTCCTCGTCTCCAAATTCTAGCCTCATTGGATTCCCAAATTCTTGGCCCTGTGTCCTTCACTCAGCAAGACAACCAGGATTTGGGTTTGAGTTCCTCCATCCTGTGCTGCAATCTAGAAACTGTATCTAGAAATTAAACTGAAATGATTATAGGGCTCACTTTATTTGTTTTTTTTTTCTTGGAAGTTCGAGTCCAGTGCTGCCTCTTTCCCATTGTCATAAATTATTGTATTACAGAGTTTGTCTTCATTTTTAGTTGCTTGAAGTGGTAGGGTAAATTAAATCTCTTATCCCATCATGACTGGAAGCAGGAGTCCAGTTTTGCCTGTTTTTGAACTTTACAGAAATGGATCTTTGCAGTATGTTTTCTTTTGCCTCTGGCTTTTCTTGCTAAACATGACGTTTGTGAGTGCTGACCATGTTGTTTCAGGCAGCATTAGTCCATTCATTTTTACTGCTGTTCTTTATTCACAGTTCAACAAATATTAATTCATCTTTTGCTATGTGTGCTAAGAACTGTGTCAAGTTCTAAGGATACAAGTTTTACCAAGATAGGCGTAATTCTCACTCTCAAGAAATGTATAATCTAGTGCAGGATTCAGCAATCTATAGCTCATGGGCCAAATGCAGCCTGCTACCTGTTTATACAGTAAGGTTTTATGGGAACACAGCCACAGCCATTCATTTATGTATTGTCTATGGCTGCTTTCATGCTACAGTGACAGAATTGAATAGTTGTGACAGGAACAATATGGCTCACAAAATCAAATATATTTACTTTCTGGCTGTTTAAAGAAAAAGTTTGCTACCTGTATTAGTCTGTTTTCATGCTGCTCGTAAAGACATCCTTGAGACTGGGCAATTTACAAAAGAAAGAGGTTTATTGCACTTGCAGTTCCACGTGGCTGGGGAAGCCACACAATCATGGTGCAAGGTGAAAGACATATCTCACATGGCAGCAGATAAGAGAAGAGAGCTTGTGCAGGGAAAGTCCCATTTTTAATATAACCATCAGATCTCGTGAGACTTATTCACTATCACAAGAACAGCACAGGAAAGCCCTCCCTGAATGATTCAATTACCTCCCACCGGGTCTTTCCCACAACACATGGGAATTCAAGATGAGATTTGGCAGGGGACATAGCCAAACCATATCACTACCCCTTATCTAATAAATAATATTAGTAACTTCTTGCTATAATAGAGTACAAATGTGGACAGACACTGTGGCTTAGAAAGAATAAATTACTTACTTAAAATTCTTGTAACTTAAACCTAGATCTGTCCAGCAGTGTGCTGGTAACTGTTCTCTAAAAAAATTATGTATATTATACATTGTATCTTTATTATAAATTATAAAAGATATGTATACCACAATTTATAAATAATAAATAAAAGCATAATATTCTTTTTAACAGCTTTATACAGCACTTCTTTTGCTGTATCCCATAGGTTTTTGCAAGTTGTGTTTTGATTTCAAGAAATCATTTGTTTCTTTTGTTTCATTTGTTTCAAGAAATTTGTTTATTTCTTCCTTAGTTTCTTCCTTGACCCGAAGGATATTCAGGAGCATGTTGTTTACTTTCTATATATTTGTACAGTTTCCAAAGTTCCTCTTGTTTTTGTTTTCTAGTTTTATCCCACTGGGGTCTGAAAAGATATTTGATATAATTTCAAGTTTTAAAATTTGTTGAGACTTGTTTTGTATCCTAACATATGGTCTATTCTGGAGAATGTTCCATGTGCTGATGAGAAGAATGTGTATTCTATAGCTGTTAGATGAAATGTTCTGTAAATATCTATTAGGTCCATTTGGTCTAATGTGCACCCTAAATCAACCATTTCTTTGTTAATATTCTGTCTACATGATTTGTCTAATGCTGAAGACGGGTTGTTGAAATTGCCAACAGTTATTGTATGGGAGTCTTTCTTTTTCTTTGGCCTACTGTATCTGAATGTCTAAATCTCCTGCTAGACTTGAGAAGTTTTCATCTGTTATTTCGTTATGTAGTATTCCTAACCTTTTAGTTTCCACTTCAGCCTCCGGGTCACCAAAAATTTGAATCTTTGTTTGCTTTATGGTGTCCCATATGTCACATAGGGTTTGCTTGTTATTTTTTAATCTTTTTTATTGTTTTTGTCTGACTGGGTTATTACAAAAGATCTGTCTTCAAGTTCTGAGGTCCATTCTTCTGTCTGATCTAGTCCATTGTTGAAGCCTTTGAGAGTACTTTTATTTTATTCAATACATTCTTTAGTTCCAGCATTTGTTTGGTTCTTTTTTGATGTCTATCTCATTGACAAACTTCTCATTCATATCCTGAATTATTTTTCTGATTTCTTGGTATTATTCTTTAGTATTTTGTTGTATCTCACTGAGATTCTTTAGTATCTATTTTGAATTATTTATTTTTCTGGGATTTTATACATTTATTTTTTATTGGGATCTTTTACTGGAGAATAATTGTGCTCCTTTGGAGGTGTCATATTTCCTCGCTTTTTCATGTTTCCTGTGTCCTTACATTGATATCTACACATGTTGTGTAACAGTCCCTTCTAATTTTTGAATTTGCTTTCATAGAGAAGAACATTTTCCTGGAGATGTATCTATGGTACTGGTTGGGTAGGACCCTTTGGCTTTGATTCTGAGTGTGTACAGTAGTGCAGATTTGTTTGATTTCTTCAGCTATTTATATTTATTAGCAGTGGCTGATATTTCCTTGGTAACTTAGGGTACACTTGTTAGTAGAGGCTGTAGTGAAATTTTGTTGGGGACTGGGATGCCAGGTCAGATAGTCTTTGAGCTTCATTAGTGGCAACAGTGGACTAAGCATGGCTATCTTTGGGACCCAGGGTGGCATACACTAGCAATGATGTTAGTGGTTCCAAGCAGGCCCATTCTTGGATCTCCAGGTGTCTTGTTCAGGTGCCAGCAATGGCAGTGGTGGGCCAAGTGTTGGGTGGTTTATCAAGCCCCTGGGCAGTGGATATAGCATGGGAAATGGCAGTAGCAGTGGTGGTACAACCCTCTGGGACCAAACCAGTCTGTGCCATTGTTGTGATGGCTGCAACAGACTGGGCAGGCCAGTCCCCAAACACACAGGTAGTGTATGTGCGTGGGTGTCAGCTGTGGTGGTAGTGGCAGTTTGAGTGGGCACAACTTCAGAGCCCCCCACCCCACCCAGGAGGAGTGCTCAGGTGTCAGCAGTATTGGACTGAGATGGGTAATCCCGAGGCCCTTGTATGGCATATTTGAGTATGAGAGGGTGGGGGAACTGGGCTGGGTTGACCTGCCCTCAGACCCCTATGCAGCTTGCAGGTGCTGGTTGTCATAAGCAAGGGTGGGGTGATGCCCAGGCCCCTGGTGGAATGCTCAGGTTGGGGTATCAGCAGCTTGCCATAGCCCTGCTACTGGGGAGGGTGGTTTGCTTTCAGTGGGAGCAGCTGCAGGCAGGTGGCAGAAGGGTCCATGCTTATTTTGCATCCTGGCCATGCGGCAGCCCCCAGTCGCAGTGGTTGCAGGCAGTGGAATTTGGGGCATATGAAAATATGCAGCCATTCCTCTGCTTGGGGGTGGAGTGAGGTTCCTGCCAGTGCTCCCCACCCCTTGGCAGTGGTAACTGCAGGTGGGGAATGTCAGCGGGGCTCTAGGAATGTGGAGATGCAGAAGTTGTTGAGCCCTAAAGCAAGACACAGTCTACTGGGGGCCAGGCTCTCGAAATGGCATGGTGCTGCAGCTGCTTAGGACCCAGTGTGAGCTCTCTCTCTCTTCGAAGCAATGCCTTCACATGGACTGTAAGTAGCTCACTATGTTAGCCTCAGGGCCTGCAAGGGCCAAGAGGCTATCCCGTGGCTAGGATTGTAGAAGTCTACACTGGGGATGTGGGCCTGTGGGAGTCTCTTATTTACCCTTTCCCCACATGAGGGAGCCTTTTCAGACTCCCAGCAGATCCTGGCTGAACAGACTGCCTCGCTTTTCTCTCCTTCCTTGCTTTCATCACTTCCCATCAATTATCTGTTTAATTCCAGTGTTCTCCCTTAGATTATCTATTCAAAGTGTGATTATCTACTTGCTATTTTGGTTCGTGTCCATGGAAGAGGCGAGTATCAGATGCATCTAATCAGCCATCTTGAAGCCCCTCTTTCTTTATCACTGTTTAAGTCTAGACCAGGGATCAGTAAACTTTTCCCTAAAGGGACAAATAGGAGATATTTTGGGCTTGTGGGCCAGTTTACTGAATAAGGTTTTACTGGAACACAACCATAATCATTCATTTGTGTATTATCTGTGGTCTCTGTTGTAACCACTCAACTTTCCCACTGTAACATGGCAGTAACCAAAAACAATAAACAACGTATAGTTATTTAACATAACATAAACAATAAATAAATAATACAACATAATAAATAAATAACATAACATAACATAAACAATAAATAAATAAAAGGAAGTGGCTGTGTTCCAGTAAGTAAGACTTAATTTACAAGAACAGGTGGCAGGTCTGCAGGCTACAGTTTGCCAATCCCTGGTCTAGACAATCAACAAAACAAACCAAGACCTAACTTTTAATGTTTACCAGTTTCTGGGGTGTAAATACTCCCACCAATGCTACAAGGATTTCAAACTATCAACATGACATCACTGAAAGCAGAATTATCAAGAGAGGCACAGTAGCAAACCATTATATGGCATTCCCATCATAGTTATATGAGGATATAAATAACTTCAACAAAAAAAATAATAGAAAATTGAGATAAAATAACTAGGAAGCAATACGTTTATAGTATTTCTGACTTTTGTTTTTAATGTAATTTATTTAATTATAAGTTTATATAGTTTAATTTTTCTAATGCTGTGTTTAACAACTAACTCTCAAAGTTCCTGAAAATTTAACAATCAGCTCTAGTAGCTGATACAGAACAGCACTAGCACATTACTGGATCTGTCTGATTCCACAAACTGAGGTTTTAACTACTGATGTAACTAAGAGCTAAAACACGAGAAAAAAAAGTTCAAAAGGTCACATAAGGCTTCAATCCTGCCTTTTCCCTCCTCATACAAGACCTGACTCCATCAGTGATTCTCCCTCCGTCCCTGGACTGTTTTGCATTGCTGGTTCCTCCTTCCCTGGTTTCTCACCCTCTACCCATGCACATTTTCAAAGCTACCCCACACTAGAACATTTCCCTAATATATCTTAAATTCAATCTTCCCTCTCCATTTCTACCAACACTAATCTAGATAGAGTCTTCATCTTGTTCCAAAATTATTTCAGTGAGATCTCAATTGATATTAGGTTTCAGCTCTCTAATCCATCTTCCATACTGCACTACTGCCTTCTGAATTTATTCTATTCCTTGATTGTTAAGCCACCTGCTTTAAAAACAAACAAACAAAACAAAAAATGAAACCTTCAAGCTCCCCAATGTCTATGATGTTGATTCGCTATTCTCTACCCTGGCATTCAGAGTCCTTCAGGATGTGGTTCCAATCACCTTTACCGTGATAATTTTTGAAACTTAATTTCAAGCCAGATCCACCAAACAGTCTAAGGCAGGTGAGCCTCTCTATTCCACAAGATCCCAAGGGGACGCAGGTATCCTCCATCTTGTTGCTCAGTCATCTTCTAAGGATATGATCAAAGATTTTCTATGATCCAAAATTGTTTGCTACCATGTCTGCCTTCCAACTGACGAGAAGGAGAAAATGGGGACATAGAGAACAAGTAATTTCCTTTAATGGAGGTGACACAGAAATTGTATATATTCCTTTTGTTCACATTGTATTGGGGAGATCTTATTCACATGGTCACGTCTAATTTCAAGTGAAGCTGAGAAATACAGCCTCCATCTGTGCATGCATTGTTCTTCCAAAATTCAAGGATGGGAGAGTGGCATGGTATTCTATTAATGAAAGGAAGATAAAATAATCAAGTATTGAAAGTATAGTACTTAAGATATGAAATCCATGGAATATAAAGACATCTATCTTCCTGCATCATTATTGATGATCTTTGTTCTATATCTTCATTGAGCTAATAAACTTTTTGATTGGAGAGAGAAGACATGCCCTCTCTCCTTTCAATTTCCACTTCTAATTCCCTAGTCCACGCCCTGGGCACTCATACCAGGAAGATTGCAATTGCCTTCCGATTTGGGTGTGTGAGGTTGGTGCACAAGTAATTGCAGTTTGCGGTTTTTGCCATACTTTTAAGGTCAAAAACTGCAATAGCTTTTGCACCGACCTAATAACACCACTTCTTACTCTCTTCATCTCACCCTGTATGCGATCTGGTCAATATTCCTAAAACCCAACTTTCATAATATCACTTCCATGTTCAAATACTTTAACATCTCCCTATACTACAATAAACCACAAATGTCTTAGCTGGGCATTCAAAGTCCTCAACAGTGAAGCTCCTTTCCAATCTCGTCTCCCACTTCACGCATTTTGATTCCAACTAGTCCTTGACCATAAATACATCTTTGGAATTGGGGCCACCTTCCTTCTGATCATCTCCTTGCTTGGAATAGAGTACTCTGCAGCCAAAGAATCCTCCCCATCCTTCTAGATCAAAGCTTTATTCAAGCTTCTCATCTTACCTTGCCTATCTATAAGGATCTCTCTAGCTCTGACTTCCTGTCATTTGATCCCTACCATTATCTGTGCTATGCATGGAAAAATTAGCTTGGACTATTAACTGTATCAACTGTATTAGTCAGGACTCTGTTGAAAATACAACTCAAGCAAGCTTTGACAAAGAAGAATGCTATTTATTGAAGGAATACCAGGGTAATTTATATTACTAAAGGATTCAATATTCAAATGGCAAGATCAGGGGTGAAGCTGGGCTTCAAAAACAATTTAAACTGAGTATTTCCTGGGCTCTTCTCTGTATCTTGTCTCTGCTTCTCATGGGTGGGCTTGGTTTCCTGTCAAAGCAGATGGCTTCCTCCATGTGCCAGGAAATAGGGCATCCAACAACGTTGAATACCCCACCTAGTAATGTCTCCTTCACCCAGACTAGAAAAACAAAGTTATTTTTGTATACTTCCAGCTGGAAAAATCCTGGAGAAGCCTTCAAATTGGCCTGACAAAGGTCATATCTCCATTCCTGAATCACTCAGCTGCAGCCAAAGGAGCAGTGTTATTCAGTATACATGTGTCACTGATAAACCATCTCCTATAAAGTAAGAGTTGTTCCCAGAGTAAAAGGATTATTTATGAATGAGACACTAATTCCAAAGTGTGTCTTGTACATTCTAACCCTTATTTTCCTAGCATTAAATGCATGTTCATACACACACACACACACAAACACACATAGACACACTGATTTCAGGAGACCTGAGTGCCATTGCCATAAATGAGGAAGCCAGAGTTCTCACTGAAGTGCGTGCAAATACAAACACATCCTCTGGAGCTGAGGTAGTTATCAGGATGTTCCACAATGCCCCAGTGCCATTCCCATGATGCCATGTGTCAATTTCCTCAGATCCCTGAGAGCATAGCCACTGCTGCACACTCCTGCTTCCTCAATCTCTGTGCCCCCTACTCCTATAAAGCTCTAGGACCTTATCCCATGAGCCTTACTGGGGCCATGACTGTCTTTGATCCCATGCTATTCAGAGCTACTGGATAACCCTCATTTCATCTCCAGATCTGATCCCCAAGCTGCCCATGCCCTGTGAGACTGATCTGGATGGACTGAAGAAAAGGATTGCCTTTCCTTCTAGCTTCTAGTTTATTACAGCTAAGGGGGGATGCCTGCAGAAGGCCAGATAAATAAAGAGAAGTCAAGTCAGAGTATCTATTCCCCAGCTCCCTTCCTATGGGATTGCCATAGGCTGACTGCATTTGTTGGCTGAAGGACGCAGTTCCTTTCTGTCCACAAAACCTCTCTCTCTTCAAGTTCCACTAACCTGTCATAGTTCTATTATCCATTTCCCAACTCTTGTCTTGGGTCATGCCATGTAACAAAGCTAGAATAATATAGTAGCTTTTGGCAATTCCACTCAAGGTGGGGGGGGAATCAAAGACTCTTTGACCATAATTCGTTGGAATTATTAAAAGAGGAGGTTCATGTTGGCAATGTCAAAGTGCTGTTTATCTTATAGTTCTACCCAAAGGACCTGAAGAGCTCTCCTCCTGCTTCACAACCAATCACCATCACCATTTCATTCTCATCCAGAGGAGAATCAAGTAGAACTGAATGACTAGCCTGTGACTGAGAAGAAGATGGGGTAGTTTCCTGCAACTGAGGAGACTAGTAAGGGAGCAGCAGGGGTATAAAGATGAGGGTGGTTTTCCCAATTCACTTTAAAGGGAATGGACATCAGGGACTGCCTATTGGACTGAGTACATAGGACTCAGGACCATGGAGGAGCCTGGGATGAATTGGATAGAACAGGAACCACCTGAAAATCCTCCCTCTCAGCATAGACCAGGAATAGACTCAAGTAAGAGACTTGAACCTAGAGTAAAGCGCTGTTTTGAATATTTTTCTGAACTCTTGTGTTATGATTGACCTCCAAGTAGTTGAGGCTGTTTAATAATGTAGTATTCCATTTCTCCCTTCCATTGCGAAGGACCTAATGCTCAGTTAAATAATGTTGAGTCCAGGTTTAGTGGACTCATTTCCCAGAGCTGTGGCCACTAACCTTCCAGAAAAGTAGCCATCCCTGAATTTTTAGGCCATTAAATAATAAATAAGAGGACTTCTAAAATTAATCTCCTTGCATTTTGCTTCATTTCAATTGAATGCTACTAGAGTCATTACAATGATGACACAAGAGGCCCACAGTGTGACTGAAACATGGACAGTTGTGTTTTTCTCTGTAAAGACCACTTTCCTAGGTGGAATAAAATAGAAAGTTAACACACCAACAAGCCAGTTGCAGGAGTTACTCTTTCTTGAAAGCTAGGAGGCACATATTCATTTTTCTATTGCTGCTGCAATTAATTACCACCAATTCAGTGGCTTAACACCACACAAATTTATTATCTCATGAGTATGTCATTCAGAAAACTCTCTGTTCTGTAGGATGGGCTCGACTGGCTTCTTTCCTCCCAATCTCAAGGCCAAAATCAAGGTGCTGCCTGGCCTTGGCTCTTCTGTGGAGGCTCTGGGAGAGAACACGCAGCCTGGCCCACGCAAGTTGTTGGCAGAGTTCAGCTCCTTTCAGCAGTGGCACTGAGGTTGCCATTTCCTTGCTGGCTGTCAGTCACAGGTTGTTATCTGCTCCAAGAGCCTTAATTCTGGATGCTGTCTTCATATTTAAAGCCAACAACAGTGAGTAAAATGCTTCTTATGCTTCAACCCCCTCTATCTTCTGATACATCCTCTGTCAACCAAGCTAGGGAAAGTTCATTTCTTTTAAAGGCTCACGGGATAAGTTTGGGCCCACCTGAATAATCAAAGATAATCCCCCTATTTTAAGGTTCATAACCTTAATTACATCAACAAAGTCCCCTTTACCATGTAATGTAACATATTCAATTTCCAGGGATTGGGGCATGGACATATTTGGGGGTCATTCTTCCTGCTGCAAAAGACACTGAAGCCAGTTTATGGCCAAGTGCAGAGAGGAGATAGCTTAGACCAACTGATGGCATTTTTGCATGTGATTTTTTTTTTTAGTTATCTTATTTAATTCAGTGTACTTGGAAAACGCTATGAAAATAAATTGTTTCAATATGCTTTTTCTAATTACATATGTAAATATATGATATACTGATATACATGTAGAATATATATATATAGTGAAAACCTTGGAGCTACATATTTAGCTCATTCAGTTTATAAAAAAAAAATCTACCACTTAGCCTCGTTAGCAAAGCCAGTACTCCTTCTCAAGATAATCAATCAGCTAAATCAGTCTGACTCTCAGAAAAAAAGACACTGAGTTAATTTTTTATCCAAAAAAATGAATTCTAAAATCCACTGGAAAAGGCATGAATCATATAACTTTATAATACCATAATACAAATTACTAGAAGTTGTTAGGATTAAAATGATATTGATCTAATGTAATTAGTTACACATTATAATTATAAAAATCATTCATTATATTATAATTTTTATAAGTTATAAAATTAAGAATATATCTATATGCTGTTTTTCATTAACTTGCAATGGTGTAACATTTAATAGTGGTTAAAATGATAAATTCTTTACTAAAGGGGGCCTAGAATAAAAGGGAAGGTACTCATTGTTAGGCTGGTGTCCATGTGTGTACTAAATGTGGATGTTTGGCTTTGGGGAATGTTGTGGGGAGAATTACCTTGATGCAATGGTACCCTCCAAGTATGCTCTCAAGCAAGCTATCTCAAAGGCCATGGAACAGAAAGGCTCACCAACCAAATTTAAATACTTGAATCACATGAGCTATTTAATCAATTTAAAATATAGCAAGAGGCAAGGGAAAGAGATGGGTTAATACACTTAGGATAGGGTATAAGAAGATTGAACCAGGGTCAGCTTCTCCCCGAGGCACCGCAGACACACTGTCCAGGGACCATCCATTTTTAGGAGCCCACAAAACTGTTTTAATTTTTTTAAGTCAGAAAAAAAGAATGAATGTAATCTACCCTGGATTATACTAGTCTTCATACTAATTCAGTAGTAAATATTTTTAATATTTCTTCATGGAGGAAGAGCCCCAGAAAGGCTAAAATGCCTAGAACCCAGACAAGACATCCCCATACAGACAAGGATTGGAAGACCACACTATCCAAAGTTTGGGGGTCACACAGTGTTCACATAGTGTCTTTTCCTGCTTCAATCTCCCCCATGGGTGGTGAGGTTATGAAGACCAGAGCTGAGGTTTGAACACGGGGTTTAGGCCAGGTGCAGTGGCTCATATCTGTAATCCTAGCACTTTGGGAGGCTAAGGCAGGAGGATCACTTGAGAGCAGAATCTGAGAGACTCAGGGCCAAGTGTGCCTGGCCATAGCTAACACTTGGGAATTAGCCAGCTCAACAGCTTTAGGCTTTGACTGAATTTCTTAGGCAGAGCACATGTGGGGCCAAAATAGGGCCATACTGGGAGTCGCCGGTGGATGGACAATTTAAGTATGACATAGTTGTCAGGCCAGAAGTGGCAGCATCATATTTTATGACTTGGTCTTTCCGTATCTTTGTATCTGTTAGTAAATCTCTTGTTTTTTCCATCATGCATTCCATTTCTTCTGTTTAACTAGAGATGGGGTCTTGCTATTTTGCCCAGGCTAGTCTTGAACTCCTGGCCTCAAACAATCCATATTTTACAGGTTACTACTATTATATTTAACATACTTATGGATTTTGCCTGTCTCACAAGATATTTTTTGGCCATTATCTATTCTTAACATGTCCTGTGAATGTTGCCTGCATCTCATAAGTTACTAGCTTATTAGAAAAATTAAATAAGAATAATGTATGAGATTAAGAAATTTCACCATTTACTTCATTAAATGTAATCAAACCTGTTTTATGTAAACAAAGAGAAAGTTATATACCATAAAAAACTGTACTTCATTAATTTTTCCTCATGCTTTCATCATGTTTTTATTTTATATCAAAAAGTAGAAAATATTAAACATTTTATAAGGTGAAATTAGGTGAACATTGTAATTTAAATATATGTTTAGTGTTATAAAGTATATTTAAAGTAGAAGAAATCACATATAAAAAAATTTATTAATAGGCTTTCTCCAAGGTAACTTGAAAATTTGATAGTCCCTAAAAATACTCCAGTTACATATTTTAAATTAATCATCACTAACTTATTCTACCTGCGCTGTTAACAGGGGCTTTTCTTTTTAGTTAGTGACTTATTCTAGGGATAAGCATTGGGATGTAGAAAAAATCAATTTCATGAAATATGTCTGCAGGGAGGTAGAAAGGGGGAAGCCATTTTTAACTTTATTTCTTAACAATGCTTTTTGCTTTATCTTTGTCAAACTCTCAAGAGCTGTGGATTTCTTGATAATGGTGGGGGATGAAAGAGTAGGTCATTAAATGAAAGTTAGGCCCATGACTACAGTTAGTATTTCTGACTTCAGAACACACAACAAAGGCCAAAATATCCCCATTTCTAATGCCATACTTCATCTTTAACAGAAATACGTTCAAGACAGTAAAAGAAAGATTTTGAGAATCTTTGATTTCATCAATTAAAAGACCCTTCTTTCAAGTCAGTATTTCAAATTATCTGTGCCCTGGGAGACCTTACAGCCCAGAGCAATGAGCCACAGTAAGAATTGGAAAGGTGAAATGTTTACCTTTCTTAGATGAAGAGGTAGGCTATAGAAAAAGGAAATGGGAAAAGAGAACTCTGTAATGCCAGGAAAGAAGACCCCAGGGGTCTAAGCACCCCAGTTTGAAAGCAATGGTCTATTCTTCACAATTCAACTGATAATTGTCTATTGACATCATCATCATAAAGTATTTTAATTTTATGAGATTTTAAGAATCTTAAATTCAAGGTCCACTTCTTATATTCACTCATTACCCCACTGTGCTCCACATGTAACAGAGGCTCCATAATACCTCTTTGTTGTTTACCCAATTATTCATGCCTTTGTCAAGGACCTACAATAAATCGGGTACTGAGATGACAATTAATCCAAGGAGAATTTACCATCACAGACTCTGTGACAAGCAGTGTACTAAACACTGGAGATAATAAACAAAACTGTTTCTTTGAGAAGTTAACTGATTAATACCTGTTATTATTTATAGACTCAATACCTGGAATAAAGTCTCCTTGATTCTGATCTCACTACCACTTTTATGCTTTATATATTAATTGAGAAGGGGCAAAAGTAAAGCCATTCGTAGAGCTTGCAGATCACACACAAAAAGGAGATGGGCCAGATTTGGCCCATGGCCATAGTTTGCTGACCCCTGATTTGAGAGAAAAAGGGGGGGAAAAACAGGGTAAAGTGTTCTACAGCAGCAATGATCTGTATGTGCTGAAATACCGTGACTAGTTCTACAAAATTGTCTGAAAAGACAGGGAAGAACAGCAAGTGTGCTTTTTGGTTTATTCAAGAAGAAACCATGGACAGGAACATCATTTTTTGAGCCATCTGTTTAAGTCAGAAGGTGTACAGGAAAATGGAACAATGTAGATAAACAAGGTAATGAGACATTTGACTGTCAGGACTTTTTTATACCTCCAACACAACCAGGTTTATTTCTCTCAATGGAATGGCTGAAGAATGGCTACCATCAAAGCCACTGTCACAAAATTAACCATTGAAAGCAGTTCGTTTTGTTTTGTTTTTTGTTTTTTTTGAGATGGAGTCTCACTCTGTCTCCCAGGCTGGAGTACAGTGGCACGGTCTCAGCTCACTGCAACCTCCGCCTCCTGGGTTCAAGCGATTTTTCTGCCTCAGCCTCCCAAGTAGCTGTGACTACAGGTGTGTGCCGCCACCCCAGGCTAATTTTTGTATTTTTAGTAGAGACAGGGTTTCATCATGTTGGTCAGGCTGGTCTTGAACTCCTGACCTCTTGATCCACCTGCCTTGGCCTCCCAAAGTGCTGGGATTACAGGCTTGAGCCACCATGCCTGACCTGAAAGCAGTTTTATCTAAAATTTTTTTCTCCTCTGACATGAAAGAATGTCAGAAGAGAAGGCTGACTATATTATCTCCAATACAACTACAAAGAATGCTAGGATATGTAGTCTTCCTGTGTGCTGAGAAGAGGAAATCGTGTGGTAAACACATAGAATTGTCTCTGACACAACATACCTTCCTATTTCTCACACTTTTTTCTTGATGCTATGCATCTTTCAGTAGCTTCTTGAGAGGGTTAGATAGAGGCAAAATGTGGGGACTCATGTGTCTTAAAATGTCTTTATTCTAGCTTCACATTAACTAATAGCATGTCTGGGTATAAGATTCTTGGCTAGAAATTTTGATTTCCTTCGGAATGTTGTAGCAATTGCCCTAATATATCTAGCTTCCAGTTTTGCTGTTGAGAAGTGTCTCATCATCTGGATTCTTTTGTTGCTGTTCTTCTTCTCTCCCTTCTCCCTGGAAGTTTGTAGAAATTTCTCCATGGTGCTCTAGTAATTTGATATTCCACATAGGTTGTCTCTATATGGATCTATTTTCAGTCATTTTTCTGGATAGTGGTGAACTTTTCAATCTGAGAACTCATGCCTTTTCATTTTGGAGATTTTTCTTGAAATTATTCAGTGTATCACATTCTCTCATTTTTTGTGTGGTTTTGTCCTTTCTGAATGCCTTTTATTCTTTGGGACTACTTTTATGATTTTTTTCTCACCTATATGTTATATGTTTACCTTTTTTTTTTTTTTTTTTTTTTTTTTTTTTTTTTGAGATGGACTCTCGCTGTCGCCCAGGCTGGAGTGCAGTGGAGCGATCTCGGCTCACTGCAGGCTCCGCCCCCCGGGGTTCACGCCATTCTCCTGCCTCAGCCTCCCAAGTAGTTGGGACTACAGGCGCCCGCCACCTCGCCGGGCTAATTTTTTGTATTTTTAGTAGAGACAGGGTTTCACCGTGTCAGCCAGGATGGTCTCGATCTCCTGACCTCGTGATCCGCCCACCTCGGCCTCCCAAAGTGCTGGGATTACAGGCGTGAGCCACCGCTCCCGGCTGTTTACCATCTTATTCTACTTTCTGAAGAGGTTTCCTCAATGTTATTTTTTAACCCTTTCTTGGAATTTTTACCGTCGAGTTTTAAATTTTTAATTTCCAAGAGCTCTTTTATATTCTCAAAACATTTCCTTTTATGGAAGACTGTTCTTTATCCACAGGTGCTATCTTTTTTAAAAGATTTATTTAAGGATATTATTTCTTTGAAGTTTGTTTCATGTGCAATTGGTTTCCTACAGAAAGCTTTATTCTTCTTTTCTTTTTAGAAGATTTCTTCAGACATCTGCTAATCGTTGGTTGTAGAACACTAAAAATCTGACTGGAATTTTTAACCAGATGAGGGGAGCCTGTTGACTGCAAAGATCTGGTCATGTTTTCCAGAGAAGATGTAATGTTTTGCCTCACTACAAAGCTTCTGAAACAGAATGGGGGGAGAGGACTGGAGGTACAAGTGGGGTCTCCACTTTCCACAGACATAGCTTGGTTTAACTCTCATCTTTTCAGTGTGGCACCCTGCCTTCGATCATGCCTGCCAGGCTCCTCCTGGTCCACAAGCCTTTTTCCCTGTCCAGATAATAAGCTTAGTTGCCTTCCTCAGTAGGAAAGGAGAGGTTTTCCTACAAGTATGGAGTAGGAAAGAGGAACTAGGAATCTTAACACTTCTTAACCAACTCTCAACCCTTCCTTCTTATTGGAAAGCCTCACTTCTGGAAATTCCTGAACCGAATACCCTCCTCCCAATTCCAGAGTCTTAAGGATTTTCTCATGTAAACCAGGTTGGTTCTTCCCTTTCCCCACTGTTGTTTGATAATTGAGCCTTTTTGTGTCTGCCAAGTCAGTTACTTCCTATCCATTCATTTTCCAGTTTCAGAAATTGTGTTCCTTTGGACTGTAGTTCTTCCCATCAGTATCAACTCAGATCTGGGCAAGAGGGGGCCTAGCTCTGAGCTGCTCCCATCATATAGAGGCAAAGATCTCTTGAAGCAATGGGTATGCCCACCTAGAGTCTGGACCATCCCTTTTGGGATCACATTCTGTTTATAAAAGATTCCCAAATTCCCTTTCCAAGCAGTCTTCAGGACATCTAGGAGCCTGCAAGGATTTCTTCCTGGGGCAGTCAAGCAGACTGCATTGCCCATGTGTACACTCTAAGCCTGAGGGATGGCCAAGAAATGACTCTCTGCAAGGAGTGGGAATGAGCTGCAGCGTGCTGGGGTTGGGATGCTCATGTGTGTGCACCACCACCTCTTCCCAAAGCAAGTCACAGCTTTGACAACAGTAAAATAAATTTTCAACTTGCACTGTCCGCATTTATTTGGTATCAACTGGTATGCATATGTACATACATATTAGTCAGTTTTCACACTGCTGATAAAGACATACTCGAGACTGGGCAATTTACAAAAGAAAGAGGTTTAATTGGACTTACAGTTTCACATGGCTGGGGAGGCCTCATAATCATGGTGGAAGGCGGCGAGGAGGAGCAAGTCACATCTTATGTGCAAAAAGAGCTTGTGCAGAGACACTCCCGTTTTTTAAAACCAGCGGATCTTGTGAGACCCATTCACTATCACGAGATCAGCATAGGAAAGACCTGCACACATGATTCAATCATCTCCCACCAGTCCCTCCCACAACACGTGGGAATTATGGGAGTTACAAGATGAGATTTGGGTGGGGACACAGAGCCAAACCATGTCAACATATATTTCAATGTTGTCATTATGAGGGTATATTTGTCAAAGTAGGAGGATATACTAAAACAGTTTGTGGCCAGGCATGGTGGCTCACACCTGTAATCCCATCACTTTGGGAGGTGAAGCAGGAGGATTGCTTGAGCCCTGAAGTTTGAGGCCAGACTGTATAACAAAGTGAGACTTTACCGTTACAAAAATTTTTTTTAAAAAAAACTAGCTGGGCCTGGTGGCACATGCCTGTAGTCCCAGATGCTTAGGCTGAGGTGGCAGGATCACTTGGGAAGTTGCTACTAATCCTTTAACATATTTGTGCAAAGGTGTGGATAATCTATCAAGTTCAGTGGTGCTCGAGGACAGTCTCCCAATCATTGTGGCACATGTTGTCCATGCTCCTACCCTTGCCACAGAAGCACATGTACCTGCACTACTCATTTTTTACAATGATGATGTTAGACATTGCCATTCTCCATTAACTATTTATATAATTATAGTATGCTGTGTTATACCCTCATTAAGAAAGCATTTCCAGGCCAGGCACAGTAGCTCACGCCTGTAATCCCAGCACTTTGGGAGGTAAAGGTGGGAGGATTACTTGAGCCCAGGAATTCAAGACCAGCCTGGGCAACATGGCAAAACCCATCCCTAACCAAAAGAAAAATAGAAAAATTAGCCAGGCGTGGTGGCGCATGCCAATAGTCCCAGCTACATGGGAAGCTGAGGTAGGAGGATCACCTGAGCACAGGGAGGTCAAGGCTACAGTGAGCCATGATAGCGCCACTGCACTCTAGCCTTGCAGCCTGGGTGATACAGCAAGACCCTGTCTCAAAAAACAAAAAAGAAGAAAGAGAAAGAATTTCCCTGTACTGACTCACCTGAACAAACCCAACAGAACTCCAGTCACTTGGCTTCCTATAAGCTATGGAACGGAATCATGTCAAATTGTACTGGTCACTGGCGATGCAACCCACCACCTTGGTCTTTATCATGCTGCAATGAACATCATGATAGTGTCTTCTGTGATTTACAAGATAATTCACGTATAAGAGCTACTGAGAGCCATTTCAAAAAGTATATACTGCTGCAGGAGTTAGCATATGCATGTCAATTTCTCACAACTTGATGTCTCAACGTAGGTGTCTAAGTTGGCAGGATACAACTGGTGTCATCAAGCCCTCATAGGAATTCTTTCTACAAATGTTGGAGGGTTTGAGCAACCATTCATGGTTCAGATTCATCTTGTCACACGAGAATTACAGATGACTACAATGATCAGCATTTTATCAGCAACTTTCTGTGAAACTTCAACTCTGCGTTGATCCTCATTCCTGGGGTAATTGATGAGACACCCCAGTTCAGAGATGCATGCCTCAAGAATGCAACTGGGGTGAGCTGAGATCGCGCCACTGCACTCCAGCCTGGATGACAGAGCGAAACTCCGTCTCAAAAAAAAAAAAAAAAAAGGGTGGAGTGGCTCACACCTGTAATCCCAGCACTTTGGGAGGCCGAGGCGGGCAGATCACGAGGTCAGGAGATCGAGACCATCCTGGCTAATACAGTGAAATCCCGTCTCTACTAAAAATACAAAAAATTAGCCAGGCGTGGTGGCAGGCACCTGTAGTCCCAGCTACTCGGGAGGCTGAGGCAGGAGAATGGCGTGAACCCGGCAGGTGGAGTTTGCAGTGTGAGCAGAGATCACGCCACTGCACTCCAGCCTGGGCGACAGAGCGAAATTCCATCTGAAAAAAAAAAAAAAAAAAAAGAATGCAACTGGGCCTGAGTGGTTCCTGTATACAAAGGCAACTTGTCATCTTGATGCTTCCAAGATCGTAACAACAGCATTTCCGCTCCTCGCCACAGTAGCCCTGTATCATGCAGCTGAAACTAGTTCAGCCATGGGAAATTATAGACAAGGAATGCCAACACTAGGAAGTATTCCTGAAACTCAGCTAAGAGATGCATACAGAAAAAAGGTTGAAGCTCTCTGGTCAATCCGCATTTACTGATGAACAGTGGGAGATTCTCAAGTCCTGCAGGATAACGCATGAAATGGTTTAAGCAACAGTGGAATCCAAGAGAAAAAGAAGAAGCAAGTCTCCCACATCGATGACAGGAGATACTCCCTAAGTACTAGCGAGAATAAAAAACTGAACTTGATAGACCAAGACAAAGACACCAAAACACCGGAAGACCCGTTCAGATGAACACTCGAGTTGTCACAGCCAATGGATGCAAAAGAAGCAACTCCACACAAAGATTAAGATTACAAGACGCCACCAATGCTGTTGGAAAATCTCCCTCAGGAAGTACTTGTTCCCACTTTGTCACTGGCTACGTCTTAGGATGAAACTGGGATGGAATCAGATTCGACAGAAGAGTGGACACTCAAGATGTTTGCGAATGAAACAAAAAAGACGATTCCAGCAATGAAAGCAATAACGTGCTAAATAATATTCAGGCAGTGAGACATCCGTTGGCTGGAAAAATTTATGCCTTGCATGACGCTACTGAAAACTTAACACAAGCAGTTGGAAACAGATTCAAAGTGATCGATGCCAAACTTGAGGAATTGCAAATGGATATCTCTTTTATGCACTCTAGATCCACCCAAAGCAGGCCACCTATTGTGAAGCTATATCCCACTTTTTTCCCTGATGCCTCTAATCCACCACCAGCTGTTGCTGTGGCTTCAGCTTTTCCTGCCTGCATTTATT
This sequence comes from Homo sapiens, assembly GCF_000001405.40. Classification (NCBI taxonomy): domain Eukaryota; kingdom Metazoa; phylum Chordata; class Mammalia; order Primates; family Hominidae; genus Homo; species Homo sapiens. Next base: position 88,121,725 of record NC_000014.9, read on the forward strand.
CTCATCCAAACAAGGAATGGAGTGATTGGTGACTGTGATACTATGACACAAGTATTGACGTATCCTACAAATGAAAAATTGCACAAAATCTACCTCACTGGTGAATTCTTTGTGCTGACAATCTTAAATGGAAAACTGATTTATAGCATCATTGTGAAAACTACTGGGACAATGCGCTATATATATCAATGGATAAGTCCCTTTGCCTTCTGGAGCATTTACAATGAATCTTGTCTAAGCTCAAAGACAATTGAAAGACCAAAATATGTTTACACATTACAGACCCAAGAAGACCACAATGAATGTGACCAGAAGCACCATGACCACATCAATTCAGAATGAGTGCAGAGCCCAGCCCCAGGGGCAGCCTCAATGCACAGAATGCCAAACTTTACAGCATTAGTCCTTTCACTTACCTAAAAAAAAATTACTTTAAAGGCTCACCATAGTAGACTTTTTTACTTTTTTATTTATTTTATTGTATATATATTTTTCTTTATACTTTAAGTTCTAGGGTACATGGGCACAATGTGCAAGTTTGTTACATATGCATATATGTGCCATGTTGGTGTGCTGCACCCATTAACTCAACATTTACATTAGGTATATCTCCTAATGCTATCCCTCCCCACTCCCCCATCCCATGAGAGGCCCCGGTGTGTGATGTTCCCCACCCTGTGACCAAGTGTTCTCATTGTTCAATTCCCACCTATGAGTGAGAACATGCAGTGTTTGGTTTTCTGTCCTTGAGATAGTTTGCTCAGAATGATGGTTTCCAGCTTCATCCATGTTCCCATAAAGGACATAAACTCATCCTTTTTTATGGCTGCGTAGTATTCCATGGTGTGTATGTGCCACATTTTCTTAATCCAGTCTATCATTGATGGACATTTGGGTTGGTTCCAAGTCTTTGCTATTGTGAATAGTGCTGCAATAAACATACGTGTGCATGTGTCTTTATAGCAGCATGATTTATAATCCTTTGGGTATATACCTAGTAAGGGGATGGCTGGGTCAAACGGTATTTCTAATTCTAGATCCTTGAGGAATCACCACACTGTCTTCCACAATGGTTGAACTAGTTTATAGTCCCACCAACAGTGTAAAAGTGCTCCTATTTCTCCATATCCTCTCCAGCATCTGTTGTTCCCTGACTTTTTAATGATCGCCATTCTAACTGATGTGATATGGTATCTCATTGTGGTTTTGATTTGCATTTCTCTGATGGCCAGTGATGATGAGCATTTTTTCATGTGTCTGTTGGCTGCATAAATGTCTTCTTTTGACAAGTGTCCGTTCATATCCTTTGCCCACTTTTTGATGGAGTTGTTTGATTTTTTCTTGTAAATTTGTTTGAGTTCGTTGTAGATTCTGAATATTAGCCCTTTGTCAGATGGATAGATTGTAAACTTTTTCTCCCATTCTGTAGGTTGCCTGTTCACTCTGATGGTAGTTTCTTTCACTGTGCAGAAGCTCTTTAGGTTAATTAGATCCCATTTGTCAGTTTTGGCTTTTGTTGCCATTGCTTTTGGTGTTTTAGTCATGAAGTCCTTGCCCATGCTTATGTCCTGAATGGTATTGCCTAGGTTTTCTTCTAGGGTTTTTATGGTTTTAGGTCTAACATGTAAGTCTTTAATCCATCTTGAATTAATTTTTGCATAAAGTGTAAGGAAGGGATCCAGTTTACAGCTTTATACATATGGCTAGCCAGTTTTCCCAGCACCATTTATTAAAAAGGGAATCTTTCCCCATTTCTTGTTTTTGTCAGGTTTGTCAAAGATCAGATGGTGGTACATGTGTGGCATTATTTCTGAGGGCTCTGTTCTGTTCCATTGGTCTACATCTCTGTTTTGGTACCAGTACTATGCTGTGTTGGTTACTGTAGCCTTGTAGTATAGTTTAAAGTCAGTTAGTGTGATGCCTCCAGCTTTGTTCTTTTGGCTTAGGATTGTCTTGGCAATGCGGGCTCTTTTTTGATTCCATATGAACTTTAAAGTAGTTTTTTCCAATTCTGTGAAGAAAGCCATTGGTAGCTAGATGGGGATGCCATTGAATCTATAAATTACTTTGGGCAGTATGGCCATTTTCACAATATTGATTCTTCCTAACCATGAGCATGGAATGTTCTTCCATTTGTTTGTGTCCTCTTTTATTTTGTTGAGCAGTGGTTTGTAGTTCTCCTTGAAGAGGTCCTTCACATCCCTTGTAAGTTGGATTCCTAGGTATTTTATTCTCTTTGAAGAAATTGTGAATGGGAGTTCACTCATGATTTGGCTCCCTGTTTATCTGTTATTGGTGTATAGGAATGCTTGTGATTTTTGCACATTGATTTTGTATCCTGAGACTTTGCTGAATTTGCTTATCAGCTTAAGATTTTGGGCTGAGACGATGGGGTTTTCTAGACATACAATCATGTCATCTGCAAACAGGGACAATTTGGCTTCCTCTTTTCCTAATTGAATACCCTTTATTTCTTTCTCCTGTCTGATTGCCCTGGCCAGAACTTCCAACACTATGTTGAATAGGAGTGGTGAGAGAGGGCATCCCTGTCTTGTGCCAGTTTTCAAAGGGAATGCTTCCAGTTTTTGCCCATTCAGTATGATATTGGCTGTGGGTTTGTCATAGATAGCTCTTATTATTTTGAAATACGTCCCATCAATACCTAATTTATTGAGAGTTTTTAGTATGAAAGGTTGTTGAATTTTGTCAAAGGCCTTTTCTGCATCTATTGAGATAATCATATGTTTTTTGTCTTTGGTTCTGTTTATATAATGGATTACATTTATTGATTTGCATATGTTGAACCAGCCTTGCATCCCAGGGATGAAGCCAACTTGATCGTGGTGGATAAACTTTTTGATGTGTTGCTGGATTCGGTTTGCCAGTATTTTATCGAGGATTTTTGCATCAATGTTCATCAGAGATATTGGTCTAAAATTCTCTTTTTTTGTTGTGTCTCTGCCAGGCTTTGGTATCAGGATGATGCTGGCCTCATAAAATGAGTTAGGGAGGATTCCCTCTTTTTCTATTGATTGGAATAGTTTCAGAAGGAATGGTACCAGCTCCTCTTTGTACTTCTGGTAGAATTTGGCTGTGAATCCATCTGGTTCTGGACTTTTTTTGGTTGGTAGGCTATTAATTATTGCCTCAATTTCAGAACCTGTTATGGTCTATTCAGGGATTCAACTTGTTCCTGGTTTAGTCTTGGGAGGGTGTATGTGTCCAGGAATTTATCCATTTCTTCTAGATTTTCTAGTTTATTTGCATAGAGGTGTTTATAGTATTCTCTGATGATGGTAGTTTGTATTTCTGTGGGATCAGTGGTGATATCCCCTTTATCATTTTTTATTGCATCTATTTGATTCTTCTCTCTTCTTTATTAATCTTGCTAGCAGTCTATCAATTTTGTTGATCTTTTCAAAAAACCGGCTCCTGGATTCATTGATTTTTTGAAGGGTTTTTTGTGTCTCTATCTCCTGCAGTTCTGCTCTGATCTTAGTTATTTCTTGCCTTCTGCTAGCTTTTGAATATGTTTGCTCTTGCTTTTCTAGTTCTTTTAATTGTGATGTTAGGGCATCAATTTTAGATCTTTCCTGCTTTCTCTTGTGGGTATTTAGTGCTATAAATTTCCCTCTACACACTGCTTTAAATGTGTCCCAGAGATTCTGGTATGTTGTGTCTTTGTTCTCACTGGTTTCAAAGAACATCTTTATTTCTGCCTTAATTTTGTTATGTACCCAGTAGTGATTCAGGAGCAGGTTGTTCAGTTTCCATGTAGTTGAGCGGTTTTGCATGAGTTTCTTAATCCTGAGTTCTAGTTTGATTGCACTGTGGTCTGAAAGACAGTTTGTTATAATTTCTGTTCTTTTACATTTGCTGAGGAGTGCTTTACTTCCAACTATGTGGTCAATTTTGGAATAAGTGTGATGTGGTGCTGAGAAGAATGTATATTCTGTTGATTTTGGATGGAGAGTTCTGTAGATGTCTATTAGGTCCACTTGGTGCAGAGTTGAGTTCAATTCCTGGATATCCGTGTTAACTTTCTGTCTCATTGATCTGTCTAATGTTGACAGTGGGGTGTTAAAGTCTCCCATTATTATTGTGTGGGAGTCTAAGTCTCTTTGTAGGTCTCTAAGGACTTGCTTTATGAATCTGGGTGCTCCTGTATTAGGTGCATATATATTTAGGATAGTTAGCTCTTCTTGTTGAATTGATCCCTTTACTATTATGTAATGGCCTTCTTTGTCTCTTTTGATCTTTGTTCGTTTAAATTCTGTTTTGTCAGAGACTAGGATTGCAACCCCTATTTTTTTTTTGTATTCCATTTGCTTGGTAGATCTTCCTCCATCCCTTTATTTTGAGCCTATGTGTGTCTCTGCACGTTAGATGGGTCTCCTGAATATAGCACAGTCATGGGTCTTGACTCTTTATCCAATTTGCCAGTCTGAGCCTTTTAATTGGAGCATTTAGCCCATTTACATTTAAGGTTAATATTGTTATGAGTGAATTTGATCCTGTCATTATGATGTTAGCTGGTTATTTTGCTCTTTAGTTGATGCAGTTTCTTCCTGGCATCGATGGTCTTTACAACTTGGCATGTTTTTGCAGTGGCTGGTACTGGTTGTTCCTTTCCATGTTTAGTGCTTCCTTCAGGAGCTCTTGTGAGGCAGGCCTGGTGGTGACAAAATCTCTCAGCATTTGCTTGTCTGCAAAGGATTTTATTTCTCCTTCACTTATGAAGCTTAGTTTGGCTGGATATGAAATTCTGGGTTGAAAATTCTTTAAGAATGTTGAATATTGTCCCCCACTCTCTTCTGGCTTGTAGAGTTTCTGCTGAGAGATCTACTGTTAGTCTGATGGGCTTCCCTTCGTGGGTAACCCAACCTTTGTCACTGGCTGCCCTTAACATTTTTTCCTTCGTTTCAACTTTGGTGAATCTGACAATTATGTGTCTTGGAGTTGCTCTTCTCAAGGAGTATCTTTGTGGCGTTCTCTGTATTTCCTGAATTTGAATGTTGGCCTGCCTTGCTAGGTTGCGGAAGTTCTCCTGGATAATATCCTGCAGAGTGTTTTCCAACTTGGTTCCATTCTCCCCGTCACTTTCAGGTACACCAATCAGACATAGATTTGGTCTTTTCACATAGTCCCATATTTCTTGGAGGCTTTGTTCATTTCTTTTTACTCTTTTTTCTCTATAATTCTCTTCTTGCTTCATTTCATTCGTTTGATCTTCCTTCACTGATACCCTTTCTTCCAGTTCATTGAGTCGGCTACTGAAGCTTGTGCATAAGTCATGTAGTTCTCGTGCCACGGTTTTCAGCTCCATCAGGTCATTTAAGGTCTTCTCTATGCTGTTTATTCCAGTTAGCCATTCGTCTAATCTTTTCTCAAGGTTTTTAGCTTCTTTGCAATGGGTTCGAGCATCCTCCTTTAGCTCGGAGAAGTTTGTTTTTAGCTGGGAGATGTTTGTTATTACCAATCGTGTGAAGCCTTCTTCTCTCAACTCGTCAAAGTCATTCTCCATCCAGCTTTGTTCCATTGCTGGTGAGGAGCTGTGTTCCTTTGGAGGAGAAGAGGTGCTCTGATTTTTAGATTTTTCAGCTTTTCTGCTCTGGTTTCTCCCCATCTTTGTGGTTTTATCTACCTTTGGTCTTTGATGATGGTGATGGACAGATTGGGTTTTGGTGTGGATGTCCTTACTGTTTGTTAGTTTTCCTTCTAACAGTCAGGACCCTCAGCTACAGGTCTGTTGGAGTTTGCTGGAGGTCCACTCCAGACCCTGTTTTCCTGGGTATCACCAGTGGAGGCTGCAGAAAAGCAAATATTCCAGAACGGCAAATGTTGCTGCCTGATCCTTCCTCTGGAAGCTTCCTCTCAGAGGGGTACCTGGCTGTATGAGGTGTCAGTCGGCCCCTTACTGGGAGGTGTCTCCCAGTTAGGCTACTTGGGGGTCAGGGACCCACTTGAGGAGGCAGTCTGTCCGTTCTCAGATCTCAAACTCAGTGCTGGGAGAACCACTACTCTCTTCAAAGCTGTCAGACAGGGACATTTAAGTCTGCAGAAGTTTCTGCTGCCTTTTGTTCCACTATGCCCTGCCCCCAGAGGTGGAGTCTACAGAAGCAGTCAGGCCTCCTTGAGCTGTGGTGGGCTCCACCCAGTTCGAGCTTCCTGGCCACTTTGTTTACCTACTCAAGCCTTGGCAATGGCGGGTGCCCCTCCCCCAGCCTCGCTGCCACCTTGCAGTTCGATCTCAGACTACTGTGCTAGCAGTGAGCGAGGCTCTGTGGGTGTGGGACCCTCTGAGACATGTGTGGGATATAATCTCCTGGTTTGCCGTTTGCTAAGAGCATTAGAAAAGAGCAGTATTAGGGTGGGAGTGTCCCGATTTCCCAGGTACCATCTGTCATGGCTTCCCTTGGCTAGGAAAGGGAATTCCCTGACCCCTTGTGCTTCCCTGGTGAGGCGATGCCCTGCCCTGCTCCATGGGCTGCACCCACTGTCTGACAAGCCCCAGTGAGATGAACCCAGTACCTCAGTTGGAAATGCAGAAATCACCCATCTTCTGCGTTGCTCACACTGGGAGCCGTAGATTGGATATGTTCCTATTCACCCATCTTGGAACCTTCCTTGTAGATTTTTTTAAGTACATAATCTAAAGAGCTGAAATTCTGCCTCTGCACAGATTCCCAAGAGTAGAGGCCACCTAATGGAAAAATTTCTGAAGTTCTCAAAAATTACTGTTCTCAAAAAATTTCTTTCTGGATGCATCCCCTATGTGTCACTACTCTGATGGAAGTAACATTAAGGCATACTGTACACCTTTAGCTGTAGCCTACTGGGAACAGAGAGGCTAGCACTGTGAAAACTAGGGGAACTGACTTGGTTGTAGAGGTCAAGACACCCTTAACAAGAGACTCAAAACAGCAGCCAGAAGCTAAGACACAGCCCCCAGAGGACATGATGAATCCAGGAAATGTTTCAACTAGCATTAATACTTACAGCTGTCAGACATGTTAGGTCAATCATAGTTAGAAGTTTTCAGAGAGCATGACAATTGGAATTCAGAAAGCCAGCAGTGGAGTGAATCTAGGTCATCTATTGTTTGCAATGGGCTACTCCAGTGATCACTTGGGGATATCTGGATGGGTCTGCTCTCCCAAAATAAAAATATCTAAGAAAAGTGTCAGCTAGCCAAGAAAGCTGCAGGCTCAATGCAAGATTCTGATGCCAGCAAGGAGACTGGAGGTGCTTGTCATGAATGCAGGCTGACTTCCGCCTTCAGTGACCCTTGCCCCAATTTCTTGGCTACTTGAGAAGTCTCTATTCAAGACTCACTCCCTCATGGAGTACCTATGTTTCAACTTCCCCTTCATTCTCAGTTGCTTAAAACAAAAGTAGCAATCCCAACTCCCTGCCTTTAAAAGTAAAGGAGATGTACTAATTTGAGCCAAACAGGAGACATTTGCTGCAGGAATTTTCAGTATCAACCAAAGCCAAATCTAGGTATGAGTTGGCCAACCAGGCCTCTTAAATTAAGGTTGATTTTTTGATGGGATGGGGAAAAACAGACCTTGAGTCCCCAAGCAAGAAAGTCCAGTTTAAAAAAAAAAAAAAAGAATTTGCAGGATGAGGAAAAACAGACCTTGAGCCCTCAAGCAAGAAATTGCAGTTAAAAAAAAAAAAAGTTTTTACAAGTTTTATCCTATGGTTCCTGCAAAACCAGGAACTGCCAACCAAGATGACTTCATCCATTGTCTTTTCTGGCCACACATTGCAGTGGTTCCTCCAGATGCTAAATTTTTCTGCTTTTGGGAGCCAAGAACATGCTTCCCATGCTTTTTCCATATTATTTTAAAAAATAGTTTGACTCAACCTTTAAGAATTTAAAATATTGCATTAGTAATGAGAAATCTGACTAGTTCCAGAGAGGAAAAAAAAATGAAATGAACAAAAGCCAGATTTTAAGCATTTTAAATTAAGAAAAAAACTTTATAGACTAGAATTTGGGCGTTAGGAACTGACTTCTTTCAAAACAAGAGGGAGCATAAGCATAGCTTCCAGGAAGGCTCTGAATGCCCTCTATGCAGCAGCTCCCTCTAGCTTTAAATTACTCATGGCTATACTTGGCTTTGAGCCTTAGGTTTTGTTGGAAGTCCATGGCAGATTTGGAAAGAGAACTTCAGATTTCTCACTTCTGAAACCCTGCTCATCTGTTTCTCCTGTCTCTGCCTCTGCAAGGAGGAAGCATGACTCAGGCAACACTCTGTCATCAACAGAAGAGAGGACTGACAAAGAACAGCTCCGATAAGTCCCTGGGGACTTGAACAGTGCCTTCCTATTCTTTAAAAAAATATCCTCTTAAGACATTTAACGTGGAGCCACCAGCACACAACCAAAGAAAATGGTCTTCAGGTTGAGATATGGCCAAGTGAAGCAATTTGTGGGAGAGGAAGAGACCCAACCATTAGCACAAATTATTCTGTCATTCAGGAAGGAAGCTGTGGAGGCTTCCTTATTTCTCATTTGTCTGGGTTTAAGTATCAGTCTACTAAATGCTCGTGGAGTGAAACCCTGTCTGTTTTTGATTCTTGGTATGAATATAGATAATGAAAGAGAGTTTCTAGATTATTTTCAGGAGTTTTCAATAGAAGATGTCAGAAATGTTTCCAAAGGCATAATAGGCTTGTGGCTGTCCATGTTCCAATAAGGAGCTCAACTTGATCCTTTAAAGTGATTCTTCCTGTGAAGAAAGCGGGCTCAGCAAGCACTGGATTGGTCACCCCAGTGGAGACAAAGGGGGCTACGTAAGTCCATGGAGAAGGGATGAAAACTATCTTGGAAAAAATTCAGCCAGAGCCCAAAGAGTCTTCTCCTGGCTTTGCAGAGGGCAAGACCGTCTGTAATGGAACTTCCTCATGATACTTTTGCCTTGGAAAGCATTATGTTTCTCTCCCCCTTGGGTGAATTCTTGCCTACTTTTAAATATCCAGAGTGGAGATAGACATTTTGTGCCTGAAATTACTGCTGTCTTGGTAGGTCTTCAGAATAAAACCAATGTAGCTAAGGGAGTAAGAAAGCTGCATTGGTATATATGGAATGTGGATTTTTATCAGATTGGTACAGAGTTTAACTGGGTATGATATAATCAGGAAATATTTTTATTTTTTCCCACCAATGCCTAGGACAGATTGCATCACTTTCAGTTCCATTTTAGCCGCTAATAAGTTGTCCCATCTTCAGGAGTTAAAAAAAATCTAATCCAGATCATTCTTTATATATATATACTTTAAGTTCTAGGGTACGTGTGCGTGTGCACAACGTGCAGGTTTTTTACATATGTATACATGTGCCATGTTGGTGTTCTGCACCCGTTAACTCGACGTTTACATTAGGTATATCTCCTAATGCTATCCCTCCCCACTCCCCCTACCCCATGACAGGCCCCGGTGTGCGATGTTCCCCTTCCTGTGTCCAAGTGTTCTCATTGTTCAATTCCTACCTATGAGTGAGAACATGCGGTGTTTGGTTTTCTGTCCTTGAGATAGTTTGCTCAGAATGATGGTTTCCAGCTTCATCCATGTCCCTACAAAGGACATGAACTCATCCTTTTTTATGGCTGCATAGTATTCCATGGTGTATATGTGCCACATTTTCTTAATCCAGTCTATCATTGATGGACATTTGGGTTGGTTCCAAGTCTTTGCTATTGTGAATAGTGCTGCAATAAACATACGTGTGCATGTGTCTTTATAGCAGCATGATTTATAATCCTTTGGGTATATACCCAGTAATGGGATGCCTGGGTCAAATGGTATTTCTAATTCTAGATCCTTGAGGAATCGCCACACTGTTTTCCACAATGGTTGAACTAGTTTACAGTCCCACCAACAGTGTAAAAGTGTTCCTATTTCTCCACATCCTCTCCAGCACCTGCTGTTTCCTGACTTTTTAATGATTGCCATTCTAACTGGTGTGAGATGGTATCTCATTGTGGTTTTGATTTGCATTTCTCTGATGGCCAGTGATAATGAGCATTTTTTCATGTGTCTGTTGGCTGCATAAATGTCTTCTTAAAAATCTAATCCAGATCAGTCTTAATCAAAACTTTAACCCTGCATCCAATTAAAACTTCTTTCCCCACCCAGCTCAGTCTTGCTTGGAAATTAGCATCTGGGGAGGAGTCATTGTCTTTTCCTATCACCTCACTCTACTCAGTGCCTACTTCTGGGTTCTCTAGGTACAAGAGTGATGACAGATAAAAGATAAAAGAATGTTTACTTCATTGGTGCTGTTTGCAGTGTTCTCTTGACTCCTGAAGAGCCTCTATTGTGTAAATACTGGCTTATTTTGTGAGAGACAGTAATGGGTACATTGAAGACCACTAAGAAGACCTCCTGTGGTACCATCTCTTAACCCAAACAATGCTTCCTCTGGTGAAGTATGGTGACCCCAGCCCCTTCAGTTCCTGCCCCATCAGTGTAACTCTGGGGACCCCCCTACGCCAACCAACAGTCTTTCAAGACAACTTGATCCTGGAACCTTTTACATATTTGTCTGATGCCTTGCGGGGCATACATTCTTGCCCCTCAAAACAATGCAAGGGAAGCTTACCCAGCCACTACCCCAGTTCTTCTTGCCCTACTACTGTGCACTGCCCCAGCCAACCTCCCACATTTAGACTTCTTCAGGGGACACCTGTGAAGCTTTCTAGTGAACTTGGCTCTTACAGCAGCCCAAGGCAAGCTAATGAGTTTCTGAACCCCAAAAGACATTCAGCTAGGGAATGTCATGTGACATGTTTTCCCCTTCAAGCAGACAACCCAAAGCCCATGAGAAGTTATCGTGGTATAACCCCAAAGTCTATGAGAAGTTATCATGGTTTTATTGCATCCTCTTCATTTGGCTAATGAAGGAGAGCAAAAAGAAATAACAACCTTTCCTCTTCTCTTGTCTCCTCCAAGTGGACTTGGATGATGGGTGCAGATATTACAAGGATAAGTCTGGTTCCTCCTGGAAAGTCCTGAATGCCGAGTTATTTTTCACCCATTGCCCTTGATAGTGAGGCAGGTTCATTCTGCTCATCATCTAGAAAGCCAATCACTGAGACAACAAGTTTTGCAGTATAGAATATATTGATTCACAGGGCAATCCAGTATGGAGATGAGAGAATAGCTCTCAAATCCACCTCTCCAAAGATAGGGTTGAAGGATATATATGGGGTAAAGAAGTGGATTGGCCTAAGACATAGGGAAAGGTGAACAACAGTGGGAAAAATGAGGTGGTCTGTGATCTGCCAAACAGTCAGGGTTCATGGCTCTTCATAAGACACATATTCAGAAAATGGTGGTGTTAGCATGATCTGAGGGAGGAGTTTTTGGCTCTATGACATCAAAAGGCCACCACTTGGGCATTTGCACAGGCCAAGTGGTCTCAACTGGTTCAAGCCGGACAAGAGCTGACCCTAAGTTCCTGAGAAACAACTTAAGCAATCAATGCATCAATACATCAGAGGTATTAATACATTAATCAATACATCAGAGGTATTATCTATAAGGAAGCTTGTGAAGGCTAAGTTACAGCATATAGCAGCCTGCTTTTCAGCAATGTAGGTTAAAAAATCAACAAGAAGCAAGTAACTAAAAAGATTAGACCTTGGTTTCACCATCAGCTTTAAGGCTTTAGCTGAAGTTGCAGTGAAGACAGAAAAATATCTTTCCATAGGCTGTTACACAGATTCTTCCTCTTTATGAATGAGGATTTACCCCAACTAGGACAGAAACATCAGAAGATGAAGTGACGGAGATGTCTGCTTCAGTGGTGATCTCCCCATCTCTACTGGATTTCTCTTTGGCTAATGCCAAGGGGTCCTTAGCTCTGGCCCTCCACCCAGAGTGATGTGTCTAATCCCAACCCTGTGTACCTTGATCCCTCTGCAGGACATTGGGTGTCCATTCCCCAAAGAAGCACCAACCAATTTTCAAGGGGCTTTTACACCACTTGGATGGGTCTTCAAGACTTTACTTCCATAAGACACTAAAACATTACATTATGAAAACTGGCTACATAAATACTAGAAATTGAAAATCCATAACCAGCAACATACATTCGTTCATTAAACATAAAATGTTTCTTTTAACTCCAAAAAACATCATCTGAAGCATTCAACCTAAAGCATACCAAAAGATGGGAGACAGTGTTGAACTTTATAAATGACATCCACTCTCAGTTACCCCCATGTGATTTATTGAGAGGAAAATGTTCATCTTCTCCCAGTTCAGTTTGTGCCTGGCTCACCTGCCCCTTGTGTTGGTGTGACATTAAGGAATAAAATCTAACTCAATATCATGCCTCAGAAGGAAGTAGATCGTTGATCTGCTCAAGGAAAAAGCCACATAAAGCACCCTAAAGCCAAATACTTGTCATTTCCAGGAATTTTTAGTAGAGAAAAGATTTATTCACAGTGCAGCCCAGCACAGAGATGGGAGCAAAGCTCTGGAGGAATCCTGTGACATTAAATTGTCTGTAACATAGTGAATTTGATAGGAAAAACCAAAGCAGTCATATGCTTGAATTCTTATACACATCAAACCTATTGAAAGTTGAAGGGATGGTTATATGTCATAACCACAGCATAAGGCAAGTTTAAGTTTGACCATTTCTTTTTCACGGTTCCCAGCACTGACAAAATAGGCATACACATGAATTATCAACTGGGATTCATTCTACACACTCTCGCAAGAAATGGGGACCATGACAAGGATATGGTGAGTAGGAGGGCAAGTAGAGGAGCTGAGCCTCAGCCAAGGTACACCACAGGACACTTTTCAGTCTGGGCCAGCCCTCTGGTATTAGTGCTCAATACCAGGAAAGGAGGAGAAGAAACAGTTGAGAGGGCAGGATACACAAGCTCTACCTAGCGTCACTCAGTGCCTTCAGAGAGATCAACTAGCTCCACCAGCCATATGAGTGGCAACAGGTTGCCTCAAGCCATTTGCACTATGGCTCTGCTCATTGTCCTCACTTGGGCACCTGCCTGGCCTCAGAACTCACAGTTCCCATCTGTCCCTGAACCCTGGCCTGGTCTCACTTTTCAGCCCACTCCCATTCCCAGGTTTCACATGTCAATGTGTTCTTCGCACTTGGACCTTTTAGGAAAGGCTTTAAAAGGCTCAAATTCACTAGTGCCTACTTGGAGAGGTCTAGTCAATTGCCCCTCACCATCCTATCCCCCTTTTTATTGACTGGGACTGACCCCATCTGGGAGTGTTTTCTCTGTCTCATTCACATCCTTTAAGATGCTATTCGTTTCCCAATTATTCTAAGCTAGGTGGAGCTGATGTTCAAAATATTCAACAACTGGTATATGGTACAGGCACCGACCAATCAGAACAGATTCTAACCATAAACAATCATCAGGGAAGGGGAGGCACACATCTACTAAATATATAGACCCCAAAGAAAGGACAAAGAAACTTAGGCTTGTGTTTGTGCCCATGGCTTTTCTTCTGCTGTTTCTCAAGTGTCCCACAACTGTGTAAAATTACAGCTAGCTTGACCAAGCACATCATTCAGAGATGAAACTCTGTGTTTGTGGGAAGAAAAAGCATTATATCTATATTTTTAGGTTTGGGGCTTTGTTTTGGGTTTTTTTTTATGTTTAGGTAATATAACTCCTAAATATGCATCTTCACATGTAGAAATGTCAATTTTAATAACAAAAGACAAACCCTGTCCACATTGCCATCATATCATGAAGCTACTAGGATCTCTCAAGAAAATCCATCCTCTGAATTGGGGTTTTGTCTACATTCAGGAGGTCAGGAAGAACTCCACTAGCCATCATAAGTTGTCCTCTTTACCACTCCGAGGGAACTATGCTAGCTGTCTTATTCCTCTCCAAATAAGAAAGTCTGATTGCTATCTGAGGAAGAAGCCCCCATCAAATACAGTTTCTCAAATATAAATTCTATTTTAGTGGGCAAAGGCTGCTTATTTGAGCAATCACGATTAAAGCAACAGCATTTCCTGGAAATAAAAGTGCATGCAGAGGTGTTTGGGAGCCCAAAGCATTATTGACACCAGCCGGAAATTAATCTCTAGAGGAAGCTCTTCTTCAAGTGTCTCTGTTAAGGGCTAAACACACCCTAAATGTAACTTCAGCATAGCCATGCTAACTGTTCCTCACACTCCCTGAGCTACCAGCCTGAGACAGGCATCAGCCCAGCAGAGCTTGGCATTATAGGACATCCATGGAGGCAGGGCCTGACTCTATTAGGTCATCTGCCCAACTTCTCCAGACTCTGCATATTTAAAACACACAAATTTCCTTTCCCTCCAAAAAAAAAATCCATGAATTTCTTGAATAATATTTACTGGAGAATAGGTATAGCAAAACATGTATAAATCAGGCTACTAATGTTAATTGTAAAACTGAAATTATAAACTTACCTGTTTTTGCCATAGTGTTTTGCCACCTTTGAAGCTTTGGTCTGAAATACACATATACACACATATATTTAGTCAGAGTATTTGAATAACCCAAAAGACAAAAGACTGCCAGTGGACAGCAACGTCTCACTAGGGCTATAGAGTACGATGCCTCTATCAGAGACCGAGGGCCTTGCTCATTCAATTCAGCATTTTGTGGGCATCTCTGGGGTACAATTAAGCCAATTTAGTCTGAAAGGAAAGCTGTTGGATCAATTAAAGGATAAGAATAAAATAACACATAACAAGAGTATTGGAAATGGTTTTGATTTTTTGGAAAACACGTAAGTGCATAATCTGAGGCTGGCAAGAAAACAGCCACACACGGCAAGAAATAAGAAGGAAGCCAACCACCACTGGAACCTCAGACATGAAGAGAAATGCTATTTCATACCAGTTTTGTTTGAATCGATGGGCCAGATTTTATACAGACTCCAAGAACCTGATACTGCTGTTAACAAGCTGCTTGTATCCATGGTTTTCTAAGAGATGCTCTGGACCTGAATTTAAATCTCACCCAAAAGATAATTATTATTCTTAGAACTAACTCCCTCTTCCTCATAAGTGACTCATGTGGGCCAGGTATGCAATATTTTGCTCTGAATATTTACATCTTCCTCTGGCAGAGGTTTGACTTTGGCCTTGGAGAAACGCCATTGATGAAGTTATAACCGAGAACACAATTTGGATCGGAGGCAGGTTTGGCCAAGCTGAGTTCCAGGGTCAAGTGTCTAGGAGAGGCAGGAATAGAGAGATAGATTAAACAGTGGTCAGGATGGGAGGGAACCAAGGATTCAAAGGCCTAATTCTCATCGGGCAAAGCTCTGGAGCCAAGTATCAGGCCAGATTGCAAGATGCACAGGGTACAAGTAGAAATGGGCTGCCTGGATGGGGTGGGTTGGGGGGACCCAAGGTAAAGAGGCAAACAATTGTGGATTGAAGATAGTGCACCAGCTTCCACCATCTCCTAGGAGGCGTTCTAAGTAGGGAGAGGCAAACAGCAAGGCAGCAAACCCTGGGATCAGATTGGACAGACGGTTTGCCACTTGTCCAAGTTTGATTGGGTAAACTCTGAAAAGTCTTCTTCCTTTTGCTACTGCTCAACTTTATTATCAACCTCTACAAATACATCAAGCATCTCTCTCTACATCACTGTTTTCATACAGTTTGACTTTCACCAGAGAAGTTTCCTGCTTTCCAGAACACTGGTGTGAATAACCTCTCAGTGCATCCACATTCCTACGCCAGCTCTCCATTTCCCCTTCCACACTCAGGCTCTCCAAACCCTAGTCTAGTTCCAAACTAAGCCAGGCCTGAAAGAAGGAAGTGGTTGAGTTGCTTCTGTTCACCCTCCTGTCCCTTCTGACCCCATCCCCCATCTGGTAGGGCATAGTGTTAAGCTGCCTGCCTGGAGACAGATGGAGGAGTGGTGCCCAGGCCACAACATTGTGCCTGGATCCATGCTGGCTGCTATTCCCTGAATTTCCTTGAATTTCCCTGACCTAGATACAACCTCATGATAAGAGTTTGCTGAGCCTTCCAGGAAAACTGTGCCCACCTACATAAACCTCAGCTGCAAGGATCTGTGGCTGGACTCAATGGTCCATAGTCTACCCTACCACACAGGTGATATTGGTGAAGGATCTACCCCTTCAGACACTCCCTACTGTGACCATGTCTTACAAAGTATAAATCACCTGATCGTGCTACCAAATTCTAATGTGTAACCCATCACCCTTTTAAGTCATGGCGTAAACTAGTACCATTTTTGTAGAATGGCATTGACATGTGTCTCCTTAAATAATATTCCAATAGCAACTGACTCCTTTTTCAGAAACAACAAGTTCACAGGCTCTGGAAGAGAAGGGAGGAAGAGCAAAGAGGAGTATTGTATAAATCATTCAACTAACAAGTGCCAAAAAGCTTTTTACATTCTTAATCACTGAACAGAAACATATGCATAGAATTTGCATTTAACCATGACTGTAGACAGGTTTGGGTGTATTTTGGTGTATTTGTCTCAGTGCCTCATGAGAGCACACAGTTGAATAATCAGGGAACTTACTTTAGAAGAGCACATTTTATTTGGGAGAAATCTGGAAGGGCACCGGCGTCAACGTATGGGACCCCTCCTCCCATGCTAAGCTTTCCAGAACAGTCCTGATTTCAAATATTCAGTCCTGTTGTATAACCAATTGATACTTCAACACTTTCTCATCCAAACTGCATCTCCTGACCATCTCACACACATAGGAGTCCATGTATCCTGATTTAGAGAGTTGGAAAAAAAATAGTGTCCATGGATACATTTCAGTAGAGATGTTTCTCCAACTTTGGGCTTTTCTAGCTAAAGCAGCCCTCTCTGCATAAGACTCTTCACTGCACAGATAAGAAGAGAGCTTCTCAAGCTTTTCTGAGAACCCTCAGAGAGCCAGTAGAAAACACCAGCCCTCTGACAGGAGTTGGGAGAGCATTAAAGCAGAAGGCTCTAGCGAGCACTCACACCAGCAGAAGGTGGGCAGAGGATGTGTGCCCTGGCACGAGGCTTGTCCAAGGGGGCAGGAAACTGGAAGAGACTTTGAACACTGGTAAGCTGCAATCATTGACAACTCAAATGAGACTGCCTTCTAGGGCCACTAAAAGCCTCCTTTTGACAAATTGGAATCAAATTATTTCAAGTGTGAAGTACTAAACTGTCCAATAGGACATATCCACAGAGTTTCCAAGTTGGCTCTCCCAGACACACAGGATACTAAGAGAACCATGTAGAAGGGTGAGACTCCCTGGCTCTTCCTTTACTGACCACTCAGCAAGATCCTTGACCTTGGCATTATCTGTATTATTGCAGTCTATCTTCCCAAGTCACGAATTTGCTACTTTTCTCATTCTGGGTCTGGGTGTAACCTTTTGGAGGTGCTCCTCTCAGCTTTGTAGTCTTCTCTAACTCATCCAGCAGCCACAGGGCCAGGTGAGAGGTGCTCCACTTTCCGTCTATTTCTGTTGGAGTTCACTCTGCTGGTAATGTGGCACCAGCCACTGCTACCTAGTTTGACAAGGAACTCTCCAATATGCATTCACCATACAGCTAGCATATCTCCAACCTTAGCATCCAATAGGTATCACAGATTTTGAGGAGCTATTAAAGGCATCTATCTATCCACTGTCCTCCACACATGGTGCAGAAGACAGATGGTACATGTTCTGGGGAGGGAAGAGTATCTTGCAAACAACAAACCAGGTCTGCCCACGAATAGACTTTTTGCACAACTCGCTGGATTTCTCCACCCAGAACATCCCTTCTGACATCAGCTCCATCACTTCCTAATATTCCCATTAACACTTCGACAACTGGCCAATACCTTAGGAGATTCCTAAACACCTCTGCTGTGCCAAAAAAAAAAGGTGAAAGTCAGTGGTCCTCAAATCAGGACCCATAGGTGGGCATCAATGGGTTGCTAAACACACTGAAATGGTATGCAATGTTTCTCATTTTTTTCTGCAAAAATGTTCTATAGCTTTCATCAGCTCTTATAGGAATCCATGACCCAAGTGATGTTAAGTTCTACTGCTTATGATATATTCCAGTCAAGTAGAAATTATCCTTTTTCTTTTTATGGAAAATAGGAGATACACCATTTTCCCGTGCCTAAACTGGGAAACCACTGCCAGAAGCCTTTTGAAGTAACCTAGGTCATAACCCAATAGCCTTCCAGTTCTGTCAAACTTTCTTCACAGGCACGGTCCTGTGACCAGCTGTCCATGGGTGCTGCTGTGCCTGATTCAATTAGTTCCTGGCTCTCTGCCCACATCTTCCGGTGACCCAGCTTGGGGTCCTAGATTTCATCACTAGGGAAGCATCTGTCTCCATGGGCACCATGGCCAACTTTGGTACCTACTTCCACCAGGAATGGCATAGACCACGAATTTCTGGGTGGTCTCTTTCCCATCTCTAGCACACCCTTCCATCAGGGGATACAGGAGCAGCCTGTTGTGATCGTTAAGTATGTTACTTAAAGGTAAGAGAGGGGTCAGCCCTGTCCCTGAACATTTAAATACAGCAAAGTGCACCTGTGCATTCCTCTTAAGAAGGCATATAGAAGACCACTGCATGCAAGAACAATACCCCATTAGTGGATTCACCCGGTGATAGCCTCCTGCTTAGTCCTGCCAAGACCTAACTGACTAATCATTTTCCCCTTCTTTCTGTGGCTCTTGATCTCAGGCAGGGACCCATTTCAATCACCTTATCTGGCTCAACAACCCATTCTGCTCTTGCCTTGCATGTTTCCTAGGTTTAGGCCCTGGCAAAGCACACTCTCTCAAACATTTTACCATATAGGAAATTCCACAGCCCAATCCTTCTAGACTCCCTCACTTCCCACCCTCTTTCCCCTCAGATCTACCTAGGAAGGTTTTTGAAAGAGTTTTCATATTTATGTGTTTTTCAGATACTTAGACCATTTAAGAGGAAAGGAGGGCATTTCAAGCATCAGTCCAGGCAGTAGATTTGCCCTCATTTTGCCATTTCAAATTTTTAAAAGCAAAGAAACTGAGTATCACGCTGAAGTGATTTTTTTTTCTTTTTCCCTGATGCAAGTTGGGGCTCGGGCTCTCGTGGGGTGGATGTTCAAATGCTTCCTTTTGATTTTGAGTAATGCAATGTCCAGGGAAGGCCTCCCTGTGCCCTGCGTTCTCCAGACCACCTAGCAGGCCAGACCTCATCCTGAAGTTGCTTCTTTCCCATATGGCTTTAGTGGCTCAGGATGACTGGTGGGACACCTATTGAGAGATAATTCCTAGCCATGCAGCTTTGCCCCCACATGAATGCCTGCTCCCTCTCACAGAGCAGAAATCCCCTGTGGGCCTCTGGAGTGCTGTCCCGGGTCCTGGTCTGCACATTCTCCTGAGGCACTTCGCAGCCCTTCCTGGGAATCATCCAAAATGAGGTGATTCCAGCCAGTTTAAGGTAAGAGCAGCCAGCAATTCAATCTACATACTGTTTCTTTGGAAATTAAACATGTATATAATTCAATGAACTGATCCTGAATAAATAGCATATTCTGATATACGCTACGGAGACAGAGGTGGAAAAGAAATCTCTGACTTAGCCCTGAGTTTTGATTTTTAGCCATTTGTTCTGCAAATGGAATTGAGTATACCACAAATTCTGTTCCCTCTCAGAGGCACCTTTCCTCACTTCCACCTCACAAAAGGATAACTGGGGCTGCTCTTGATTTTGGCTCTTCCTGGTCAGCGCATGGGGTTATCATTGCTCCAGCAGAGGCTGTCATGGTTTCTAAGAAGTTAACATTTTGCTGAATGAAACCATGGCAGAATTCCATCTGGGTGGCAAATTAAGCAGCCTGTGCATCCTCAGGGTGGGTGTGGGAGGGTCTAATTTCCATTGGCAATTTATGAAATAGCAGGAAAGAAAGGTTACTGGAAAGTAAGCCTTACAACAGATGCAGAGTTGATGGAGGCTGCAAAAAAGAAAAGGAAAACCACAACTCTCAAGCAGCCTTTTATTCCTTACTTTACTCACTTAGGAAAAGTTACTGTCACTGGCATGCCCAGCACTGGGTCCCTGCTCACACAGTGAACAGGCTCCATAGAGAAGACATTTTGACGGTAACATGTGAGAAAGGAGGCAGAGAGGAGGCAGGGGTGGGCTTGTGACATATGAGGCCCCATGTATGAGCAGAATCTCTTAGGGAAAGGGTCACACTTATAAAGCGAAGGCTACTGTATTTGAAACACCATTTCCCTTTTTGCTAAGAACTCACCGAAGGTCACGTTGAACAGAAGTCTTGAATGATCAATTCCATGAAATTTCCCAAGTTATCTATTTGAGTAGCACACTCACCACCAACACACAGCAAAGGTGGTAAATCCAGGAGAAAACCTAACAAGAGCAATTCATAGTCTCCTGGGTCCTAGCAGAGCTGGGAGCTGGGTGCACACTCCTCTAACCTTTGTATTCTTTTCATTCTTTCATGCCCAGTCTCAACATTTGAAGAAGGAAAAGAAATGTTATTTAAAATAATGGGGGATTACAGCTGCTTGTCTTCAAGGGGACATGGCATGATCCATCTCCCCATAGGTGGTTTTTCTGTACAGCTACCAATTTGGTGGATCTTGATGGAGCTTTTAGGATGTGAGAAGTTAAAGCCACTGAGTTAGTCTAAATGGGTGTTGATGGCAGTGACTGCTGCTGATACGGAAGGGAAGTGCTGGGAAGGGAAGAGTGTGGTCCCTTTAAATGATACAGAAGAGGGGAAAGGAAGTGCTGGCTAGAGGAGGGCATGGTCCCTGGCTAGGGCTCCACCTCTGGGCCTGTGCCCATGGACCTAGTTGAGGACAGGAATTTTTGTTTTCCTGCCCAAATGTTGCATTTCCCAAGACCACCCTGGCCTACCATGACCCCATCCTGTGCCTATAAAAACCCCCGAGAGCCTAGCGGGGAGACACACAGGCAGCTGAAGTCAAGAGGAGCACATCAGCGGAGGAACACACGGGCAGCTGGATGTTGAAAGGAACACACTGACAGGCACCAGCATCCCAGCAGGCCACCAACTGGCAGAATGACGGCAGAGTTTGCCTGGGGAAGTTGGAGGAGAGCTCTGGGGAAAACCATCCCCGGAGAGACTCCAGGGGACAATCCATCTCCCTTATGGCTCCTCCATCTGCTCAGAGCTCTTCCTCCAGTGACACTTCTCAGTGAAACCCAAGTGATTCTCCAAGCCCATGTGTGATCCAATTCTTCCGGTACACAAAGGCAAGAACCCCAGGATACAGAAAGCCCTCTGTCCATGTGATAAGGCAGGGGTCTAACTGAGCTGACTAACACAGCCACCTATGGACCCTAACAGAGTCTACTGTAACACATGCCCACTGGGGTTTCAGTTGTGAACACTCAAGCCCTAGACGTTGTCGTGGAGTCAGAGCCCCACAGCCTGCCCGTCTGTATGCTCCCCTAGAGGCTGGAGCAGCAAGGCACTGAAGAAGCGAGTCATATCCCATCATATGCCCTGCGAGGAGGACAAGGAAACTTCCCATTACAACTGGGGATCGTCTGGGATCGCAGAAGGTAAGTGTGAGCAAACATGAAACTGTCAGGTCTGCCTTTCTTTCAAAACCCTGCCACCTCTCTCTCTTTCCTGCAGGTAAGAGGCTCTGTTTTTCTTTCGTCTCTTTCCTCTCTCACACACAATTTGAAATGGCTCTTATCTCTTTCTTTACAATGTTAAGAGTTTTGCTACAGGCTGCAGCAATGTTACTAAGTAAAATAAGTGTTTGGCTCAGCCACAAAGGTGCAAATCAGACCAATTTTTTCTAGAGGTGCCATGTATGCCTCCACCTTGGCAGCTGCAGGCACACACGGTTCAAGGCACCTCTTCTTACTCTTTCCCCTCCCAGCTTGGGCACCTGGGTGTGCCCACAACAGGCAAAGGCAGAGTCCAACAACCATGAGGGGGGCGGGAGGAAGCCGAGGTGATAGCCAGGACCCTACAGGGTGCTTCTTGCCCACTGAGTCAATGGGAACCTTTCCTCCCCTGGCCAAGAAATTCAACCTGGTCTGAACTGGGAAAAGGATGGGAAAGTTATAAGGATTAGAGGGGCCCACTTGCACTAAGCAAGGGGTTCTTCCCCAAGCATTCTCCCCTTTTTTGCCCCTTTAAATGTTTTTCCCTTTTTTTCCTTTTCTAAGTGAGAGGGCCTCCCCCCGCCCACAACACTCTGTTTCTAATAGGGAAATTAACAGAGGAGCAACCCCTGCTGGCTAGAAGAGCAAATTCTGCAGGGCTTATTTGAGACACTAAGTGGATACAAACATCCTCCGAGATGACTTTTTAGTCCCAAACTCAATTCCAAGCTTAGGCTGAGGCCCTAGAAAGAAAGAACAGGTCTGAGGAATCCAAATTCAGGCAAACAGGCACAATGTAAATGAGCAGGACCAATTTCTGCTGACTGAACCCCACCTCAAGGAAGAAGGCCATGCTTCATGGCATAAACAAGCCCAGGGAACTCGAAGTTTGCCAACAGCAGGGAGAAAGGAAGGTACAGGTGAGGGTGGTTAATTCCTATTATCCAGGTTTTCCCTGCTTCATGGGTACATACTACATTGTTACCTGGGGCCAGCCAGCACCTGCCAAGGTCGCCGGGGCTCAGGGACAAGAGGTGGAAAGTGAAAGGAGGATGCTCGCGTTCTCTCTCCATCACGCCCTGAGTTTTCACTGGAAGGAGGAAGGGAAATGAGGGACACTTCTATTCTCTGTCTTTCAGAATGTGCAACCAGTTCTCTTCACCATCCCCAGCTTATACTCCTCTAAAGTGTATCCTGAACAATTGGGACTGCTTTGATCCTCAGAATCTGGAGGAAAATGGCCTCATAGCCCTCTGCACAAAGGTTTGGCCAAATTATGATTTACAGGAAGGACTGGCTTGGGCTCAGGAAGGAACCATTCACTACAATGGCATTCAACAATTAGAACTCTTCTGTAGATGTGAGGATAGACAGTTCTGAGGCCGATATGTACAGGTTTCTATACCTTGCAAGGCAATACAGACCTTTGCCAACAATGTAGGATTGATCTAGCCCTCCTGTTTGCCATCTCAGGAAAGGCTGAAAGGGGCAAGCCCAGGGAATTAATTAAAGATACTAGTCCCAGAGGCACTCCCAGCAGAGGAGCCAGCTCCCTCAAGCCCTGCTCCTCCGGGTCCACCCCAACCTCCCTATCCAGCCTCAGCCTCTCACTTGCCCCCTCATAGAAATCCCAAATTATGATTTACAGGAAGGACTGGCTTGGCCTCAGGAAGGAACCATTCATTACAATACCATCCAGCAATTGAAACATTTCTATAGATGTGAGGATAGACGGTTCTGAGGCCCATGTGAGCAGGCTGTCTATACCTTGCAAGGCAATCCAGGCCTTTGGCCAACAATATAGGATTGATCCAGACCTCCTGCTTGCCATCTCAGGAAAGGCTGCAAGGGGCAAGCCCAGGCAATTAAAGATACAAGTCCCAGAGGCACTCCCAGCAAAGGAGCCAGCTCCCTCAAGTCCTGCTCCTCTGGGTCCACCCCGACCTCCCTATCCAGCTTCAGCCTCTCACTTGCCCCCTCCAAGAAATCCTCACCCTAAACAAGCCCCAGTCTCACTCTTGCCCCTACAACAGATGCCCAGTGAATTTAGGCCCAGTGATGTCCAGGTCCCCTTCTCCCTACAGGACTTAAAGCAAATTAAGGGGGATCTTGGCAAGTTTTCAGGTGACTCTGATAGATATACAGAGGCTTTAATGGCCACCATGCAAGCCCACAAACCCCAGAATTCCAGGGGGCACCTGTTGACTGCTAAAGATATGGCAAGAACAGATATCTCTCTTCTAAAGTTTATCTGCTCCAACACAAGGTTTAATTTCCTTCACCAGGGTGAAACAGCCTGGGGCACAATGTTGTTGTTATCTCTGTAATCTTTGGCACTAAATTCTTTCCTTGTATAATACACATGTTGAACCCACGCATACTTAACCTTATGAAACTTTTTCTTCCTCTCACTCCTAGAATCCATTGGCTCCCTTTGCTTGGAACCCTTAGATAGACCTCTGGGAGGAATCTGACTGCCGTTCTCCCCAAAAACAAATGCCCCCTGTCTGTGGGAAGCACTTAGGACTAATCATCATCCGTATTCTAATGGCAATTAGGTGTACCTCTTCAGAGGGTAGAAATGATCCAGAAGGGAACTGCTGGAAATGGAAGAGCATGGTCCCTTTAAATGATATCGAAGTGGGGGAAGAGAAGTGCTGGGTAGAAAAGGGCATGGTCTGTGGCTAGAGTTCCATCCCCGGACCTGTGCCTATGGATCTAAGTGTGGACAGGAATTTTTGTTTTCCTGCCCTATGGTTGCATTACCCAAGACCAACCTGGCCTACCATGCCCCTATCCTGTGTCTATAAAAACCCCTGAGACCCTAGCTACTTCCACTCAATAAAACCTGGCACTCATTCTCCAAGACCCTAGCAGATAGACACACAGGTGCTGGACATAAGGAAGAGCACCACCAGTGAAGAAAGACATGCACACGGGTATCGGGACATTGAGAGGCGCACACCGACAGGCACCAGCGTGCTGGCAGGCCACCAACCAGCGGAACAATGCGGAGTTTGGCTGGGGCAGTTGGAGGAGAGCTAGGGCCACCAACTGGCCCAACTCCAGGGAAAAATCATCTCCCTTCTGGCTCCCCCATCTGCTGAGAGCTACTTCCACTTAATAAAACCTTGCACTCCTTCTCCAAGCCCACATGTGATCTGATTCTTCCAGTACACCAAGGCAAGAACCCCAGGACAGAGAAAGCCCTCTGTCCTTGGGATAAGGCAGGGATCTAATTGTGCTGGCTAACACAGCTGCCTATGGATGGCAAAACTAAAAGAGTATCCTGTAACACACACCCACTGGGGCTTTAGCTTTAAACATTCACCCCTAGACACTGCTGTGGGATCAGAGCCCCACAGCCCGCCTGTCTGTATGCTCCCCTAGAGGTCTGAGCAGCGGGGCATTGAAGAATCAAGTCACACCTGCATCACATGCCTTGCGAGGGGGGACAAGGGAACTTTTCCCATTTCACTACTACCATGCTGGCTGCAGCAGGGAGTTGCGACTCAGCCTGTACACTCCATGGAGTTCCCTGGGCACCACTGCAGCAGTCCCAGGCCTCCTGGTCTATGGGCCAAGCTGCAGCTGCAGATCCAGGCCTCCTGGTCTATGGGCAGCCGCCCAAACTACAGCTGTGGGTCCGAGCCTCCCTGTGCTCTTGTGGGGAACCGGAAGCAGGCAGGATCTGCCCTCTGGGGTGCAGCTTCAGCTGCCCAACCAGCAGCTGCAGACCTGGGCCTCCCACTCCATGGAGCAGGCAGGAGCCAGGGACAATCGGGAGCTCTGCCCCTTCCAAGTTGGTGGGGTGGGAGCTCCCTGGGTGTAGCTGCAGCTGCCCTCCCAGGCACGAGACCTGAGCATCTCTGTAGTCTGCCTCCTTGGGGGTGGGAAGGCCCTCCCCACTGATGGCCCTGTTGGCTCTGGGCTGTCTGCTCCCATTGTCTGGCCTCGTTCCTCTCCTGGCACCTGCTTCCATCCTGGAGTGAGGTTGTGGCTGAGCCCTGGGGCCATTAATACCAGCAGAAGGCAGATTGATTCCTCGGTGGGAAAGGGTTGGTCTCCAGTAAGGCCCCACTTTCAGGCCAGGAGGTTGGGGGCTGGGCTGCCAGTCCCACTGACCAGAGTGGGGTCTCATAATACCTCTTCTGGACCCACCCGTGGCTGCCCATGGATCAATCAGCAGACACTTTTTCCCCTCTGAGGTCCATAAAAGCCCAGGGCTCAGCCAGAGTAGGGCACAGGATGGCCTGAGTCAGAGAGACAACTGCAGAGGAGGACCAGCTGCAGAGAGGAGGTACCCTCTCTGCTGAGATCAGGAGAGACATCAGGATGACCAGTGAGCAGAGAGGAGCTACCCTCTCCAGGGCCTCTGCTCTGCTGAGAGCTGAACACTCCACAGGACAACCAGCCTATAGAGAGGACTTATCCACTCTAGGCCTCCTCTGAGCTGTTCTAACACTTTATAAAGCTCATCTTCATTTTGTTCACCCTTCACTTGTCACTCTTCATTTATCTATATACCTCATTCTTTCTGGATGTAGGACAAGAACTCAGGCAAACGCACCACTGGCGACAGAGGTTTCTGGCCAGAAAATTGATGCCCCAAAGATCCCATAACAGTGTGGTTTCTTGTGGAAGCCAAAGAGAGCTAAACTGCTTTGCTTAATGGAGCAACCAGAATCTTGGAGCTGTCTGTAGATGCCACCAGTTTGGGGAGTAGTGGGTGGAGTAGGGATCTTAGAAGAAATGGATGAGGTGGACAAGTAGTAAGGAAAACAGGAATGAAGGACACCTAGGGAGAGTGCCAGTTAAGTCCCCATAGCCTGAAATAATTTATGAATTTTGTTTTCTATTCTATGCAGTGACAAAAGCCCTTCTGTTAACCCAAAACCTTCAGCTACAGAAACAGAAGTAGCTTTTTCACTCTGGGATGACAAGAGCAAAAAACAAAGAGCTACAAGGTGCCAGGAAACTGAAAAAGGGAATTCAGTAGGATCAGGAAAATGGATAAATGAAAGAACTGGAGAAATTCAAGGCTCATAAGAAGTCCTTGGATGCATTTGGGAAGATGCAATCTCTGCAGGGTCCAAGAATGGGGGCTCCAGCCAGGCAATTTTGTTACTATAGGAGAGAACTGTTGATCTGGAAGACAGGAAGATCCAGGGCCTGAGTTACTAAAACATGAAAGTTGCTAAGTGCAGTGAAGGTTCTCCCTGCTCCTTTCATCCAATTCTCATGTTGCTTCTGCTGTTTCAATCTAATCCCTTATCCTCAACCTTAGTCAGGGGCCCTCTTTCTTTAGTGCATTCTTCTAACATTAAATCAACATGAGGATCATTCCCTAATTTGGGAAAGACAGTGATTGGAAATCAGCATTACTCTTTTCATCCCCAAAATATCACATTCTACTCCATCCTTGGATATTAATGCCTTCCTTGCCTTCTGAGGTGCTTGTCCTTGCACCATTTCTAATCCACATATTCTCAGATTTCTCTCTTCTCCCTTTTCTTCCCTTTCTTCTTTCATTCTACTATCCTATTACTAACTATATTCAGAGCATAGGACCTCAATGTAACCTTTTGTATGACTTTCCTGTTCAATGCAATTTGATTACAAAGACTTTCATTGACTTGAAACTTCTGTCTTCCCACAGACCTATTAAATGGTGAAAACAAAAAAGATTGATCTGGTATCTAATGCTGACTTTCTTTTAGAGTATGTAGGGGAACATTACTGAAACAACCATTTATCTTTTTCATTCTAAGGCTTTGTCCCCTGAATATCTGACATTCAGGCTGTCTAATGACTATACAGACTGGATGGGGCTAAAAGTCACCAATTCAGGGCAACTTTTATGTCTGAAGTCTTGATACATGTTTTTTACCAGCCTACCCCAGCTCTTCTCTGAAGTACTTCCATAAGCCTGTCATTTCTAAATATTCTGATTCATCTAGGCAAGGTAGATTCCACAGAATTCAGGGCTGAAAATGATATAATCATAAGTGTCAGGAAAGACTGAAAACCCAATATTGCTCTGAATAAAATCTAATTCTCCAAAATGCCCATTTGCTTGCCCAACCTGAAACCCAGCATGACAGTTTTACTTCTGTAGTCAAGGCACAGAAGCAATATGAGAGTGTCCCCAAAAACTGTTCTGGTGTCAGGCAGACAAGGATGCTGCCACTTCTTGAGCTGTGTTTACCTTGGGTGGGTCTACTTATCCTCTCTGAGCATCGGTTTCTGCATCTGTAACACTGAAATAATTAGTCTTCTTGCCAAAGTTTGTATAAAAATTGAATTATATGTGTCAGGTGCCTAGCTGAGTGTCAAGCAATGAGTGGCTCCTTAACAAAGGTGACAGTCCCGCCCTCTACCTCCCCTCCTTCTTTCCTGCTAAATAGACTGTTTCCTTTTATCCTTTGACATAAGGGTCATTTCCTACTTTGGAAGAGAAAGAGAGAGATTAGAAATCAGCATTAGTCTCTTCTTTTCATTCCCCAAATACCGCAATCAACTCTATCCTTGGATACCGATGTAAGGAGATGACTTTAGTGCTCCAAATCCCTCACAATCAGTAAATGACCTTATCTTCTAGCAAATGGCAGGTGCAAGAGTCAATCCTTCACTAACAATGCTGTCCATAGCACATGAATTTCCAATTAGCTTTAATGGCAGTAGCGCTCTCTGGCTTCATACAACCATGATGATTTGCCGGCCTCTTCCTCCGGGAAGAATAAGTTAACAGAAACGCCAATTCCTTTATTCAAGCATTTGACAGTAGGCCTTTGGGTGTGCAGAGAAGCACAACAATTGTAGACCCCTGTGAAGCTCTGGAAAATTTGAGAATTTGTGAAAAGTAGAAGAGTAAAGTTGTTAGTGTAGTCAACCAGTCACATAATGAGAAACCCTGGACCCAGTTATTCCTAGGCAAATATGGCACAAATTAACATAAAACCAAACAGAAAGGAAATACTCTTGGTAGGAAACTTAATGGGTCAATTCAGTAAGTATTTTTTAAATTTGTATACATTTATGGGATACAAGGGAAATTTTGTTACATGGATGTATTGCATAGGGGTGAAATAGGGCTATTAGTATATCCATCACTGGAATGACTACATTGTACCCATTAAGTAGTTTCTCATCATCCACCCTCTCCAACCTCCAACCCTTCCTAGTCTCCATTGTCTGTCATTCAACACTCTATGTACATATGTACACATTATTTAAGCTCTCACTTATAAGTGAGAACATGCAGTATTTGTCCCTGTTTCTGAGTTGTTTAACTTAAGACAATGGCATCTAGTTCCATCTATGCTACAAAAAACATGATTTCATTCTTTTTATGGTTGAATAGTATTAATATATTATATATATATCTTACATTTTCTTTATCCAATCATCCATTGATGGACACTTAGGTTGATTTTATGCCTTTGCTAATGTGAATAGTGCTGCAATAAACATATGAGTGCAGGTTATCTTTTTGTTATAATGATTTCTTTTTTGGGGGGTAGACACCCAGTAGTGGGATTGCTGAATCAAAGAGTAGTTCCATTTTTAGTTCTTTTAGATACTGTTTCCCATAGAGGTTGTACTAATTTACATTCCCACCAGTGGCATATAAGTGTTTCCTTTTCTCTGCATTCTCTCCAACATCCTCTCCTACATTTTTGTCTTTTTAATAATAGACAGTCTGATGTAAGTTGGTATCTCATTGTGGTTTTAATTTGCATTTCTCTGATGATTAGTGATGATGAGCATTTTTATATGCTTGTTGGCCATTTGTTTGTCTTCTTTTGAAAAATGTCTATTCAAGTCCTTAGCCCACTTTGTAATGAGATTATTTGGGTTCTTTGTAGTTGTTGAACTTTTTTAGTTCCTTGTAAATTCTGAATATTAGTCACCTGTTGGATATATAATTTGCACGTATTTTCTCCCATTCTGTAGGTTTTCTGTCCACTCTGTTGATATTTACTTTGCTGTGCAGAACCTTTCTCAGGTAATATAGTCACATTTGTCTATTTCTGTTTCCTATGCTTTTGAGATCATGAATTCTTTCCCTAGACCAATGTACAGAAGAGTTTTTCCTAGGTGAGGAAACACCTAAAAGGTGTGTGTGTGTGTGTGTGTGTGTGTGTGTATGTATGTATGTATGTATGTATATATAGTTTCAGGACTTACATTTAAGTCTTGAACCCCTCTTGAGTTGATTTTTGCATATGGTAAGCAATGGGGTGCAGTTTCATTCTTCTGCATATGCCAATTGAATTTTCCCGGTGCCATTTATTGAAAAGAGTGTCCTTACACCAATGTACATTTTTGTTGCCTTCGTGAAAGATCAGTTGGTTATTCATATTGGGCTTTATTTCTGGGTCCTCTGTTCAATCCACTGGTTTATTTGTCTATTTTTATACCAGTACCATGTTGTTCTGGTTGCCATAGCCTTCAACAAATATTGCCTACTTTTTCCTTCAGCCTTGAGAATATAAAAAATAAATCAGGTAAGATTCCTGTCCTCATGCAGTGGCCTTTAGGGGAGACCATAATGTAAACAAAGAATGAGAATGACAGTACTAAATGCATTCATTAAGTAGCAGAAGATAGAATTAGGAAAGGCTTCCCAGAGGGAGAAACTTCTGAGTTCACTCATGAAGGAAAAAAAAAAAAGAGGGTTTTCTAGGCCCAGAAAGTTGGGCAGGTCATTTCAGGCAAAGGGAAAGCCAAGTACAAAATTTCAGCAGGTGACACAGCTGTACATATTTGGAGAACATAAGGACGTTTATATAGCTGAAGACCAGGAGCCAAGGAGTGCAGCAGGAATGGAGGAGGCAGGGGCACCAGGCAGAGGCAAGGCCACAAGGCAAACTAGCAACTAGGCAAACTAGCAACTGTGCCCACGAGAAAAGACTTGGTGCCATAGATGGTGGGGAGCAGTTAGAACTGCTTCTCCTCATCTTAGCAGAAGTGTGAAGTGTGAAGAATGAACTAGAGAAAAGTGAGAGTCAGTGTGCCCCCTGCGAGTTCATGCTTCAGAGCAGGAAAGCTGGAGAACCAATGCCAGGAGTGGCCTTGCTCTGTGACACTGATACTATGATCTTCAGAAAATAAGAAAAGTCTACTTTGCTGACTCCTCTTAATCTGGAAGAGTTGCTAGAGGGTAGGTATACAATTTGTCCTCAAACTAAAGCTTTGATTGGGAGCCTTCCAGATGATGTGGTTAAACTGACATCTGAATAATTCAGATGATGCCCATATTGGCAAGACCAGCATGTTACCCATCTACTTGTACACTTCAGTCCAACATGAGTTCAAAAAATCCAATGAGGCAGTTCTTGTCTCAGTGTTCTTGGGCAGGAGGGAGAGAGGCTTTGCCTGGCCTCCCAAGTATACTAGTATAAAGTGTAAAAATGAGGGAGTCACTGAACATCTCTAAGGTCAGAAAAGTGAACCAGAGAAACAGGAAGCTCTCTCCATTTCCAAGTTTATTATCTATCTGTATGTGTGCTGAGAGGCCAGAGAGTGATTTCAAATTCACAGAAGTGGTTCTCATTAAAAAGTGCTGCCTGCTAAGAAATGGGGTGGGAGGAAACTTGCAAAGAGAGGGGAATCCAGGTGCCCTGCCTGAGAAGGCTGCCAAGAGGAGGCCTGGGTAAGGGCGATAGGGAGAATCTTAAATGCAGATGCCAAGTCCTTTATATCCACTGATTTCTCTTAAAAGTGGAATACTGATGCTGACAGAAAAGGAGGAAGGTTTGAGGTCATTAATACTTGGAAGGCAGAAAAGAGTTTTCTTCCCTCTAAACCCAAAGGGCTTGTCTGGGCCTCTGGCTTTCTCTCTTTCTCCACTATCCATAGTGAATTTTCTGTACTCTCAACATTTATTCTTTTAGCCCCATTTCAGGGAAAGGAGGCTCCCAGCAATCCATCCATATTTAACAATCTGCCCATCTTGCCAAGGGCTATTCCCACCCCGGCCACTGTGAGCACTACCATAAGACTCAACTTAACAAGGTTGCTAAGGGGTCTTGGCTCTACATCTCTGCTCCTATATGAAGCCTCTATTGGCAAGAATCTCCCAGTGAGTTGCCCCCAAGCCCGCTATCCCCAGAGAGGGCAGAATCTCTTCATGGGAATGTGTGGTCATATGTAAGTTTGCATCTGGTAGGACATTAGCAATAACTATGCCTATGCCACTAGCAGCTTGCTACAAACAAGAGTCCCTACTACCCTATTGTCCAGGTGCCTCAATCCATTTCATTAGACAGCTACTGGGAACACACAAAATCAGTAGCATGGCCCCATTGTTGGGGTCTCACAGTTTAGCTCTACAGATGTTCCCTGGATTATGAAATTCCCATGAGCAAACTTCCCCTTAACAAATTGTTCTCAGAGGCACTGGATACAGTTTAAGAGATGGGTAACAGTATACATTACTCAAGTAGACATAAAGCACTCTTGAGCATAGATGAAAACCAAAGAGAGGAGGCAGGAGCAGGAAGGAGGAGAATTTTGCATCCAGCCCCACGTTTCTGAGTCATCTAAACTTTTCCTTCATCAGCTCACATTATTTCTGTGTTTGTGTGTTATCCCTCTCCGTCTATCCACATGCATGCACCGTTGTTACATTTTCATTGTGATTGGAAGCTACAGTTCGGGCAAAGGGTACAAATCTCTTTAAGAAGATAAGAAAGAAAATGCAGAGATCCTAAGTCAATGGGTGGCTAGCCATGGCTGACACAAGAGATTTAAAACCCATGCTCATCTTTCTGTTGTCGAAGTGATTTGTAAGGCTTTTGGGCTTCTGTGAAATGAAAGCAAAGAAATATATCCTTAAGCCCTTTCATCAATATATGGGAAATCTGACTTGTATACGAAAAGAGTTATTGCTTCAAGTGGGGATGTGTCTGTACACAAAGGCATATAACCAAGTGTACACACATAAACATGTAATCAAGTGACAAAAGTACATGAGGAATACCAACTGGGAGAGGCCCATCTGCGGCAGTATGCTTCCTGAGTAGAGAGCCTGTAAGGCTGTGTGGCTACAGGGAGGAACTGAGTCTTGTATAAGGATGGTTGCGATTTACAACGGGGAAGGGAAAATGGGGGCTACTACTGGAGAAGGTCTGCCAAGGATTTCTGTAGACAGAGGAGCTAGTTTCAGGGATATGAATGGGCCCATTTTGATGCAAGATCAATGTAGGCAAGCACCATAAAATCAGGGTAGACACATGGGGCGGGGCCATGTGCTTTGATGTTTCTCCAGTGAGAAGTTAGTGGCCAAGTTCAAATGTTCAGCAGCAGAGATTCATGACAGCAGCTGTGCTTCTGCAAGGCTCTCTGGCATACCTTACAGTCATACAGTCCCAGGCTTTCAGAACCACCCAAAGTGAATGCAGAGAATAAGAGATAGTAAATCATCTTTACCAACTGAGATAGGAACTAATTCTCCTTCTCTTTGCTGGTTCCTCTCCCTATTCCATACTAATTTACATAGTTTAGTCTTTGTACCTGTATTCTTTAGGTACTTCTAGAGGCAGACAGAGAGCAGGAGGTAAAGACCCCTGAGAGTCTTAGAACAAGAAAACGTTCATAGCCCAACAGCATTTTCAAATGAGACGGATGGAAGTAGCAGGAGGTGATAATAAGAGACCACACAACGACCACACTAAGAGTAGGGTTTACATGTGCATTCACAAGATACTAAACAAGAAACGCAATTGCCATTCAGTCATGTGATATCCCAGTGGAAATGAAATGTATTTAGTGAACTTCAGTGTTCCTGGAACTAGGGGATTTTTTGGTTCTTGTTCCCTATTTTAATTAGACCGATGCCTACAGTTATTCTCATTTTTTTTAGCAGATCCAAACGACATAAGGTAGTTTAAAATCTAGTTAAAAATCATCTAGAGATCTGCCTGAGCAACATAGCATGACCCTGTCTCTACCAAAAAAGAAAAATTTAATTAGCCAGGTGTGGTGGCATGCGCCTATATTCCCAGCTACTCGCGGCGATTGAGGCGGGATCCCTTAAGCCCAGGAGTTCAAGATTACAACACTGCACTCCACCCTGGGAGATACACTGAGACCCCATCTTTTAAAAAACATCATATAGAACAGGGCATTTATTAATGTGACAACATGTAATGCATCACTAAATGCAAAAGCAAGCAAGAGAACAGTCTACACATAGTGCAGTAACATTACACAGTATTGTAATTATTACATAGTGTGCTAATAGTATGGAAACAATATCTACAAATACTGTATGTGTTTATGTGATTTTTGAGAGGGAGATGCTATATATAACCCAATATATTGTTATTTTTGGATGGAGGTGACTGCAGGTGATTTTTTGTTGTTTTTCTCCCCTTTAATACTAGTCACATTTTATGTTGAACATGTATTTTAAAACTAATCAAGGACTGTGCTATTTCTCAAAACAGCATAGGAAATTGGGGTGAGACAAGCTCCAAAGGTTATAGTTCGGATTACAGGAGATTTCTGAGTCTTTTGCCTTTCTCCTTCTAAGCAATTTGACAATAGAAAGAGTCAAAAGAAATCCCTGGTTGATTTAAACCTGTTATCAGTACTCCACTACTGCCAAGACAAGCATTTTTACAGTTTCTCTCTGGGAGATCAAGAATCCAGGCATTTTAACAAGTGATTAAATGTATCTAGCTAGGGTGAGAGGGAGTGTGATGGATACCAGTGGGATAAAAATAGATATTTTTACAAGAAGACAAATGATACATTATTCAAAACATTTAATTCAAGCTTTTTGTGTGCTCTCACATGCCCCCAAACACCTAGTCACTTCCAAGGACTAAGTTAATGGCCACCAAAGTGATGTGCATTTCATTTAAATGATAGATCACTTATTTCCCCCATTCTCCAAACAGAAGCAGTTGCAATTAATGCATTTCACCACACTATAATGCAATGCAGAAGAGAAGGGCTTCTTGGTGAAAGCCTGTCCTATTTCCATCCTGGGCCATCACCTGTGTGGGCTCTCAGTAGGAGACCACAGACAGATGAGGCGCTGCCTGCTGCTAGAATGCCATAAAACACACTAGTGTTATTTCTCTTAATGGCTTCCTCCCATTCCTGTCCAAAATGAACTTGCTAATATATCATAGGAGTTATCAAAACAGGTTTTTGTTTCTTCCTTAGTACTTGAAACTCCATTGGTAATTACCATTATGGGGTTGCATTTCGCATCTGTAAGTCTTAGGATGAAAACTAGAGCTCCCTCACATGTTTTCTATTTACACATTTTTCTTTTCTCAGAAAACTGGGCCACATGCATTCACAAGAGGTGGGCAGCAGGATGACAGACTCCACACCGAGCAGATGAGACATATTCCTATAGTCCCATGACCTCCAACAGGGTTTCCCTTTATCTGCAGACTCAGTAATCTCCTTTTCTGTCCCTCTCTGAAAGAATGAAAAGAACCCAACCAAACAATCTCTGTGGTAGTTCAACCCTGGCTATCATAAATCAAATAGGGTGAAGGATAAAACTGTGTACCTGAGCCAATGGGTTTCTTTGGAAACCTGCTAAGATGGAGCTGTTACATACTCGCCATCTAACTGATGCTTTTCAAACTTTAATGTGCTTATGAGTCACCTGGGGATCTTGGTAAAATGCAGATTCTTAGCCCCAGTCTGGGGAGCCCAGGAATAGGGATTTCTAATGAGCTCCCAGATGATGCTCAAGCGATGGCTGGTGCTTTCCAGTCCTGGCATCTTCTGGATACCATTGGTTGAGATAATCCATTAAAACCAATTTTGCCTGATAGTGATCCAAGGTAAGCAAAATTTAATCTGGTGATGAAGGGCTCACCCCTGATCAGGGAATATTATAAAAGAAGCCCAAAAGTGTAAGAAGCTAAAAGAGTTTTAAAAAATGACACATTATTCATTGGAACCAAAGAAAACCAGGCACCAAGACAACCCCAGAGACAGAACCAGAACAAAACTGAAACAGAACTACTGGTTTTATTAACCACTTTGTCTTGGAATCCAAAATGTTGAGAAAATGAGGAAAGCTTTTTCGGAGGAAAAACGAGGACCATGTTGCCACTGCCTCTGTAGGTGATTTATGCCTGCTGAAGGCATCAGGAAACCAGTAGCCAGGCTCTCCATGCACTTAACACTAGAAATGCAATTGTACAAACAAATGAACTACAGGGCAGATTAATTAAGTAGGCTACAGTAGTGAGACTCTTTCCTTTCTAGTTTCCAAGGTTTTATGATTCCAGGACATACACAAATTAAGTACACCTGGGAAGATATATTTACATCTTTTCTAAATGAAGTATTGCATCCACCTGTTTCCTGAGTCTATCAAAGAAGCCCATACTGCCATGGTTTCCATTTATATAAAATGAATAAGAGTGTACAGGTGTGCTCAGACATCTAGCCTTGCAAGGTTAGAAGGATTATACTCCCAGACTCTCAGGTCCACAGAAGACTCTGAGGCCCATAGTGACTTGTCTAAATCCAACTCCCAGTTGGGAGAATATTCTGCCATACTAGGAAGAGGGAGTCATTCATGGAAGAATCACAGAGGCTCCAGACCATCTGGATGTATGGATTCATCTTGACTCAAATTCATAACTCATTTTTAATTCCATTGTCTTTCCAAATTGTGAGCTACCGGTAAGGAGCAAAAGGCCGAAAAGAGAAGTTGATCCAAAATGTTTACTCCCTCTGCAATGACTGCTTATAGAAAATAGCAGATTCTCCAAAAGAGGTGCAGAGTCTGAGAATCCAGATATGTATGATCTTCCAGAGGCAAGACGGGTGGCCAAATTGAGGACCAAACTATATGTCTCCATGGCAGATAAAGAGGCCACTTCCAGCACCTGTGTGAAAGATGGTGCTTTTGCTTATAGGATATTCTTTTTATTGTCCAAAATTAGCATAGCCAGAAACAAAATCTTGGACCTGCCTAGCTGGGCAAGAATCTAATAATGAAGGTAGAGGGAAGTACTTGCATATGTTCAAGGTCTATAACTTTCTGTAACTGTCTTCTTGTAATTATTCAGTATCATAAAAGGAAAGGAAGAGAGAAAGACAGAGACTCATACTCAGAATCCCTAAATGCTAGGGAAGAAAAATAGTTTTGAGTGCCCTAACCTTCATTATCATAATTTCTTGGGGATGTAGATTACTCCATCAAGATTTAGAGAACTGTAGTTACAGTACTGAATTGAACAATAAGCAAGCCCAATAAAGGTCTGCCGAAAAATTCACAACTCTATTCCTCCAACAGCCATACTCTCTGTGTAGACCTTGCCACTCCCTATCATAGCACTGTCTTGGAAATGTCAGATTCCAAGACCTGGCTACCTCTCATTAACCGTCCAACTCTTATTTCTTTCCTCACCTTACAACAGGTCTTCAGGCTCATTGATCCTATACTTCCCTCCATACTTCCCAGCCAATCTCCCTTTTTGTGGCTTCCCTTTTTATTTCAGAAGGACCCAGAGTGAGACCCTTTTCCATTCTTGGTGAGATCCTCAATTACCTGGCCCCTTCTATTTCAGGCCCACCAGCGCTATTACCGATCTTGGACAGGTCCAAACCTTCTCCCTCTCCAATGCTCCTACACCTGCGCTGCTGAACACTGCTTGAGAAAGTCATACACAGGGCCTCCAGCCTCTCCCGGGATCACAGCATCCCGTAATAACCCTCACCCATATCCCACCACAGCTATTCCAAACAGTTACCAGTCTTACCAAATCCCCATCCCATCCCCACTTCATGCCTCAGGAAGTTGGCTTTGCCTTCCACCTCACTGAGGAAAACGAAGCCCTCAAAAGGGCCATGCAAGGTCCCCTAAGCCTATGAATGGGTCTAATTCTGTGTCTGTCTCCTCCCCATCCCCTTTGGTGAACTTTGTTTACACTCAAACTCAAGTTCAAGGCAATCCCACTACCGATGCTCTGCAAATGTCCCCCTCTCCCCTTTTCTTGGCCCAAGACCCTGTTTTCTGCCCAGTGTTTCCTTTCCCTTCTGCGTTCTCACCCTCTCTCATCAGGCTCTCTTTGTGCAGCTTATGAAGGTGCCCCAGAGCCTGCCACAGTTGTGGAGGAAGCAAAGGTCTCCCTTGACCTTCCATCGTCTCTAGCAACTGCTCCATCTTCCTGGCCAAGCTTGTTAAAGAAACCTAACTGGGCTTGCTCCCTTCACTGGGAGCCAAAGGTCTCACTTCTTCACCACTGAAAATGCTCTGGCAAAGTTTACAGTAGGTCACCTTCTAGATAACAAACCCAGGCTCAGTGGACACCTTTCAGAACTTATCTAATGTGAATGCTCTGCTACTCCTTTCTCAAAAGTCCCTTACCCTGTTCTTAGCCCTGGCCTCTGGCTTCTGCAACGTCAATCTTGCATTCTTCTTCCCTTACCCCTCCTAAGTTAACTTCCTCTGTTTTCCTGGTTTCCCCTCTTCCTTCAGGATCCCCCAAGGTTCTACTCTTTTCAGTCCACATGCTCAGGTAGAGAGCTCTTCCCCGCGCTCATGGTCGTATCCCATGGATAGACAAAATGGACCCAAAGTAACCAAGTCCTTTTTTAGCCATCTACTGGCTGAGTTTGCTAAAGAGCCTACTGACACCTCATTTCCTGACTGATTCTCCCTTCCCACAACTTCCAAGTCACAAAGGGAAACTCACTAAGTCTAGGTGCCTTCATACAAGAGGAAGTTAGAAATTTTGGAGATGCAAGAAAAAGAGGAGAAAAATATCTGTTCTGTGTGTCCAGCCTCAGGTTTGCCTGGTTTGTCTTGGCCACAAGGGACATAGGAGACCTCTTCACCATTGAGCTGAGCCCATTGCATTCTTCAGAGATTCCACACAATTTTCTGGCATTTCGGCTGTCTCTTGAGCCGGGTCCTGCTGTTCATTTGATTTTTGTTTCATTTGTTTCTGTACACATGCTTTCAACACGCTAAGCTCCTCTCTCCCTCTATCCCTTCCCTCTCTCCTTTCCTTCCCATCCTCCCTTCCTTTCTTCTGTCCGTATTCATTGACTGTCTACTACTTGCCAGTGTCCACTGCGGCACTAAGATAAATTAAGTTGCCCATAATCAAGTGGGAGATGAACAGGAAAAATGAGTAGTGACTGTAGAAAAGTCACGTTCACTTGGAGTTTCAGTGTGATCAAAGTCCAAAGCCCCCAAAGACCCTCTCCCAAGATTTGGGGGTTGCTGTGGCACCTTGCCTTTGCCAAAGTTCCATTCAGTTAAACTGCCCTTTGGGCCATTCCTCTTAACACTGCACTTGAATCCCACTCAGAGACACAGCACTAGCTTCTCTCTGTTGAATCTCGGGGTTAAGATCTAATTTTTCCAACTCTCTCATCATTTTCGTTTCCTTCACAAGTGATTCTTATGGGTTTTGCTGCATCCTTTAGTGTGAATTTCATTCTTCAGTGTGAATTTCACAATGACTTGGGGCCACAGGTTTTCCCTTCCCTCCCTCCTGCCATTCCTCCTTTCCTTCCCATCCACCCTTCCTTTCTTCTGTCCATATTCATTGACTGCCTACTACTGGCCAGGCTCCACTGGGGCACTAAAATAAATTAAGTTGCCAATAATCAGGTGGGAGATGAATAGGATTTCAGGGGAACAGGTAACCTATTCTCTAATACAAGCTTGAGAGAAAAGTGACTTGAAGAGTTGGCAAAAAATGTGGAGTTTTCTAGGCAACTTGTGGGTGGGTAAGCAGAGCCTGAGGGGATACAGGAATTATAGTTCTTGCCCTGTATATCACCCCAAATTTTCAGGTCTAGTTGGAAGCAACCATTAGGCAAGGCGAAAAACAGTAGAACATCAATATAGCGTGCCTCAGTTAAATATTTTTTGAACTGTTTTTGCACTGCAGAAGTGTTTGTTGAATAGCTAACAGAATCTAAGTTGAGAAGTAAACTTTAAGAAATTGGACTAATATTGTGATTTTTGATATTATTGGTCAGAATCATTTCCCATTTCTCATTATAATAGTTAAAGCAAGTACCTGATTTCTTAGTTTTTAATTCTCCTATAAGAAGTTAACCTTGCAGGAGAGGTGGTTTTCAGTGGTCATTCCCTGAGGAAAAATGCCTTCAGCCCAACCTCAGTATATACACATGCGCGCGCGCGCGCGCGCACACACACACACACACACACACACACACACACACACACACCACTCCACCATATACCCACCAACTATCCCTGAACCATCCAATGTATTTTTTGCTGGTCTTATTTCCAAAGCTAAGCAAAAGAAGAAGAGATTGCTCTCCTGGCTGATAGAAAATCATAGTAAGTTTTGAGAAAAAGCCAAGTAAATAGTTTTCTGGAGTTCTTATTCCATCTCCCATCCCAAACCTACCGTAAGAATCCAAAAAATTATAGAAATGGCTGGGATTTTTAATTTCAAAAGTCAGTGATGTGAGTGAAAGGCTGTGATCAAGATTAAGCTTCAGAAAAGTATCTCCGAGCTCCCAGAGAGTTGCTGTAGTGAGTGCTGAATGTCTATGGCACTAGTACTGGAAAGCAATGTGGAGTGCACAAAATTCCCTCATCACTGTAGACAGCTGAAATGCTCAGAAAATTTTGAGGAATCTCTGAAAAATGCAATGGGCTCAGCCCAATAGTGAAGAGGTCTCATGTGTTTCTGGTCTTGTAAAGACCAGAAATGAAATTTAACATGCATATTTTTAAACACATCATTTAGAAGAGAAATACTACTGAGCCAGATAACTATTGAATTTTATGAGTCCTAATAAAAAAAAGGGAGGAGGTTGGCTATAGGAAAATAAGATTTTTTGTGCTTATTCTATTTTGTGACGGTCCTTCCTTTTTTCCTTCTACTCATATTCATATTCGGAAGTTTGTGAGACTTCTCAATTGCCCTTCTCTCCACCTTGGCATTTTTCTTCTCTCTAGGATCCTGACGTATTTCTCTCGTGCCTCAAGGACGTTGACTTTGGAGAGAGCTGTTTTGAGTTTGAATCATGATTTTGGCACTTACTGGCTTTGTGACTTGGGAAAATTCTCTTGTTTGGCATGTATTTTCTCTTCCATAAAATAAGAATTATCATCCTTACCTCACAGGATGGTTATGAGTATAAACCAAGCTAATATATGCCAAGTGCT
Organism: Homo sapiens; assembly: GCF_000001405.40. Lineage (NCBI taxonomy): Eukaryota > Metazoa > Chordata > Mammalia > Primates > Hominidae > Homo > Homo sapiens. The sequence continues at coordinate 88,162,515 of NC_000014.9, forward strand.
TCATACTTGCTGGCACCTATAGACACTCAATAAATATGAGTTTTCTTTCTCAGAAGAATAACTGTTGTTTTTTATATTCAAAGCTATATTCTCTGTCAGTGTCCTCAATAGTCCCAAACTGGGCAAACCTGGGGCTGGACACACAGAACACTGTGCCCTATCCTTTGTTCGCCTGAGAGCCAGGGCCAGAAGTTAACACACAGCTTAGCAAACAAGTATTTTCTTAAAAAAAAAAATGTGGAGTGACTGCAAAGCTCACCTCTAAGGCTCTTTTCAGCTGACATTATGACATTACGGGACTCTGCCTTCTAGGATCTCCCATGGCAGGCAAATACCTCTGACACACCTCCACCCCATGCATACATCTGACAAAACGGAAAAGAATAAAGCTGCAATTTGGAGGCCAAAGTGAGGCAAAAAGAAAGGCTGATGTTGAGAAGCAAACTTACTGTTCCAGCCTGGGGTCCTCCCTGCTATTGTTAACCAAATTGATGTTTTCTTTGGAAGACCACTCTGTCAGTTGATGGCAGTGGACACTGTGTTGGGAGAAGAGTCAAGATTCGACATCTACCTCCTGGTTACCTACTTGATTGATGGTCTACACCACAGAAATGTCCCACATTTTTCCCACACCACAGCCCCTCATAACCAAACTCTATAAAGAGGAGGACTAGCTCCCACCCTCAGGCATATTTTCACTCTTCATCCCATTCTCTTCTCTTCTTACGATGGAGCCCAGTCTGTTTGGCCTTGCCTAAGTAAGAATGGCATAGAGAAATCTCTAAAAGGTCAGGGGTTCCCTGGGTGGAAAGAATTACTGATGAGTTTTTGTTCACATTGATGAATGGGCAGTCAATCAATATGAAAGGAAGGGAGGGAAGGAGGGGTAAGGAGAAGAGAGAAAGGGAGGAAAGAAGGGCTTGTAGACAGTAACTGATGAGCATGTATATAGTTGCTGATGAAATGAGGACTGAAATGTGCTAGCAGCTCCTGTCTCAAATCCACAGCTAAAAAAACCCAGAAAATTTTGTAGAATTTGTTTCTGAGAAACAGAAGCCACTGAGTCAAAGTTCAAAATAACTAGGTTTGCATCTCTGAAAAGCTGTTTTCTAGCTGGGCGAAGAAGTCTCTTTCACCCAATCGTATGTATGAACTCTTGCTTTCCTCCCTGACGGGACTGGAAGCTCTTTTTACAGTCACGATATGGCTCTGGTCTGTGGTCCTAGACCAAGTTTTCATGGTACTCCCCTCTTTGGCCTCACACTTCCTCACGAAACTTCAGTGCTGCCTCATGGCCTGCAGGATAAAGTCCAAGTTCCTCAACATAGTATTTGAGTGGCCATGGGCCTGGCTACCCCCGCACCCTTATCTTGGTCTTTCCATTATAACAGCTCCCCATGGCTCATAGTTCACTGCTGCATCTCTGTGCTTTTGCTCATGGTTCCACTCTGCCTAGAACCCTCACCTACCCATACCCCTAGGCGAGCTGCTACAAGGTTCCTGCCTCCTTCCTCTGTGTGTGACCTCTGCCCCAACACTTGGCATCCCTCTCTCATTGCACTGGCCACATCCTGTAACATTGATCAGCTTCATGGTTTTACTCTCACTAGACAGTGAGGTCCTTTGGGGAGAAACACTGTCTTACCTCTCTCTCTGAATCTCCACCATGGAGAACCACGCCCAGCACACAGTAGGCATTCAGTAAATATGTGTTGGGTGAAGGGGTAAATGAAGGAAATGTCCATGTTCTCCCTTCAGTTGAAACTCAAATGTCCTTTAGAAGATTGAACACTAAGTTTGAAACCACCCTGACTGTTGCTGCCTCCATCCAACCTCTTGGCAGGTGTATATTTTGTGCCTTTTATCCTCGTAACCTCATTTCTCTTTTTATTCCCCTCTGTCACTTCAATGGCGTGCCAACCTCCATGCACTGAGCAGCTGATAAGGCTGGAAGCCTGGCAATGGTAACTACCAGAAAGTTTCGACTCCCAGAGATGGTCATGGACTTTCCCAAAATATGTTCCTGGGGCCCCAAAGTGTGTGGTGGGAGACAATGCTTTCTATTTTATGTAAACCAAGGAGAACTTGGCATGCAAGTGTGGGGGTGCCACAGCAGGAATATGGAATTCCATCCCAGACTCTTCTCACTCAGGTTGGAAATGTGCAAACAGCAGCTAGAGAAATATCCATCTGGATTACTGCAGACACGATCAGGGCTTTGTGTGGAAGGTTAGGCTAAGTGACCTCAACATTCTCTGTCCCTATATTGGCAGGTCTCGGTCTTTGAGTTCAAATTTGATAACCTGCAGTGAGTTTTTGCTGGGACTGTGATTTGGACCCAATTATCTCATTTCCCATTTCTTCCCTCCCCAGTGGAGACTGGAAAGACTCTGAGCCCCTGCACATCCCTTCTCCTGGCTCTTCACTACAGAGGGCTTGAGGCTTCTCCTCTCCTTGGTTCTTCCAAGGTCCAACCTATGAAAACAAAAGTGAAAATTTGAGTTATAAATACCGTCACCAAAATGTAAATGACTAGAAATAGCCACTCTTGAGTCTTACTGACACACATACAGAAAATATGTGACATCTCCCTGGTGACTCAAGGCAGTGTGAACAGCAGCAGCAGTGGGCTTGATAGTGATGCTTTACATGCCTTTGGCACAAGCACCTCCCTGGAACTTAGCTAGGCGTCTGTAGCTAATCTTCAGCCACAGGACCTTCTGGCATCTTCCATGGCCTACCTGTCAGTTTGAAGATTGACAGCAGCTTGGAGCCCTCACCCAGACGAGCAGCAAAAGAGGAAAATAATGAGTAATTCATGAAAGAGTCACCATCAAGGGACTCTTGGGACTATTTGAGAGAAACCTGGGCTGGGGGGAGGGGAGTGCTGGAGCCCTACAGAGCAGCAGGGGGCAGTGCCAGAGAAATATTATTCTGTGGCTGTTACCACAATTCTAAGCCACAGCAAAATGGATGGTTTCCCTTTATTGTTTTGTTGCATTCAGACAATCTGGACTAAGATGGCTGGTTCCTGAGGAGGAGTTTGGAAGTAAAGAGGAATGGTGATTTGGGACTCATAAAGACATCCCGAAAGTGGGGGTTGGGAGAGCAGGATAGCAGAGACCTGCCACTGGCAATGCAGGGCTCTCAGTGGAGTGTCCTGGCAGACTGTGAGGGCAGGGAGGAATCTGTTGTTTGACAGCAGTGAAGGGGGCAATACCCCTTTTATTGTAATTATCCAGTGGCTGACAAAGGAAGGTTTTCTTGACTCATGTGAACCCAGGAAATAGGGCCTTCGAGTCCTTTGCCTGGCGTGGCAGGGCAGTGGCACAGGTTCTGCACAAGGCAGGAAAATGGGACCTGATGCCACTGCCTGTCACATCCGTGCTAAAGAAAGGCACAATGCTCAAGGCCCATCGCACGTGATGCCCATTTCTGCACCATTACTACCCACCCCTCCTACACCCTGCAAGACTCATGGGATGGACCTTTTAGGGAGTAAAAAAAGGAAAGAAAAACTGTAAACATTCACAAGGCATAGAGAGACTGAATCCCAAAGTGCACACAAATACCATTAATACCCCCAGCTCCCAAATCTCCCCCAGGCCAGTCTTCCTGGCCTCCCAAGACCAGAGAGAAGTGGCCTCTCTCAATGCGAAATGATCTCTAAATGCCAAGAGGTGTTTTTGAATAGAATCATGCAAAACTTAAAAGGGTCCTCATGAAACAGATGAAGATGATGGATACAACAGTACCACCTGCAGTCAAACCATCTCAACCTGCAAGAGGAGCCTCTGGCTAAAGGTCAGTTATTTCGCAGGCTGGAGATTAATCACAGAGCTCAAGAATATGAAAGCAAAGAGAAACAGAAAGGAGGGAGAGGTGGAAAAGGAACCTGTAACCTCCATTTTCTCTCTCTGGGAGCCACATATAGTGAAGAAAAAGCATCAGGGTTGGGAGGTCTGGTGTGGTTAGGAGGTCCAGTGTGGGTGGTATTCTAAATGTCAACATAAACGGTAAGTCCACCCACTTCCCTCTACCAGAACTTTGCCCTTTACTGCTTCTAAAAGGATGGGTCATAGGGAATAAAAGAGGGAGACAGGATAAGAGGAAAGCAAAGACATGACCTCGCCTTTTCCCTTTAAGACCTTGGGCAAGTCACACTCCCTATCCTGGGCTGCCTGACATGCTAGCTGGGAATTTTCTGACTTTCCCTGGCATCACTGTAGTATTACAGCCAGATCATAACCTGAGAGCTGATGCGCTTCCTCACCTAAAATGGAACAGACGGGAGGGAGGGTGGAATGCTGTTTGTGTTCAGGTATGAGTCATTACCATGCATCCCACTTCCTTGAACCTGACTCTTAATTGCATGCTTTAGCCAAGATTCAGCAAAAGGAGAGCTTGGGAGTAAGTCTCCATTGGCAGAGAGCACCCATGTTGTTTGCTGCTCATTTTTCTACCCATGGGAAAAAGAACTCCTAACCTCTGGAGTCAGTAGTCTGGCCACGAAAACTCATCCAAGTGACTTGGGGAAGAGATAAGATTCCCTGGCCCCAGGTGGTGCAGAGAAGTGGGTGGTACCTCCTGGAGTCCCCATTCCTTCTATTATATGTGGTTTTCATAGTGGATTAGAGGCTTCATGGCAGTGAAGTGCCAATAAGAAGAAGGTGAGATCTGGAGTTAAACATGTCTTGATTTTATATCCCGGCCCCATCACCCACCGCTGGTGGGTGTGACCTTGAGCAAGTCACTGAAGTTGTCTGGTACCTAGGATGCCACACACACCCACCCACCCACCCACACACACATACACACACAGAGCAAAGAGTAATTGCATTTTGGTTCTGATGCACATGAGAGACTGGCAGGTTTAAACTCCTCGATGGGCCAGCAACTGTTGAAAGGCTCTTCAGTTTCTCTTTGGAATAAAAATAAACAAGTTCAAAAAGAAAAGAAAGCAAGTTGAAAAGGGACATGTATTCTTTGAGGAAGCAGATTTGCCTTCAGTGGCCAAACAATGAGTTGTGAGGTTTTTCCACTGGATCATTTATACTTTTTTGTATAGATAACAGCAGAGGATAAAACTAGTAATAGTAGAAATAATTAAATGTTTACTCTTTAATAGTAAATAATAAGTAGTTAAATATTTAAGAATAGAGTCATTAATTTTGTGTGTGTGTATGTGTGTACCTAACACAGAGGCAAGGGCTTCATGTACAGTATCTTTGGGGGATTCTAACCCGGAAAATTCTAACCTCTTGATTTTTTTAAAATCTTTTTAAGAGGCCTCCTCTTACTTTGTTCTAATCGCCTTTGGGACATCTATGGGTCTCTTTGTCAGAAAAGACCCAGAAGCCTGGGCTTATAGTATAGAAGTGGGGAGAATCCCCTACCACTGTAAGCAACGAGCATTGTTTTTATTTAATGGGAGTCACATTGTGCTGTCTTGCTGCACGGATAGCCAATTCTCTACATCTTATAACACAATAAACCAGGGAGGAGAGGGGAAGGGAAAGTACAAGTCCCCTTTGGTGAAAAAAAAAAAAAAAAAGAACACACTGGGGTGATGCCAGTTGCTAAAGGGGGCAGCACCAGGGACCAGGGACAAACGTGGAGAGGGCGTCATCTTCCGCTCCCCCTGTCCACCATTGCAGTCACAGCAGAGGCTTTCCCTGATGGGGGCTGGCGTGAGTGCACTTAGAGACAGCCTTTCCAGGGCTCTTTGCAGCAACGGTACCCCTGTTAAAAGTGAGCCCATTATACCCCAGGCTTGCATGAAGGGCGGGACCTATCTCTCTCTTCCTATACAGAGTGGCAGCATCCCAGAAATGGATGGCAGACAAGCTGCAGCGCTGTCTGTCCTAGACTGGGGGAAGAGGCTCTGTCCCAAGCCCATTTCAGTGGTAGCCACCAGAGGAGGATTCCTGCAGACCTCACTCACACTGCAGCCAGAAGCTAAAGGACAACGTCTATACAAACGGAAAGTCTTGAGCCCTGTGACAGGGGCATGATAGGGAAACAGATTGTGTTCTTGCCTGTCCAGGGCAAGGAGCTGGTGCGGCCCCCTACCCCTGCCCCCAGCCCTGAGACCTCAACATATCCCAGCACAACTCCCCCACCACCCCCTCACTCCAACTCCACTCCACATGAGGGCAGATGCCTACACTCATCACCAGGCTACTCAAGGGCTAGCCAGCTTTTACTCTTTAGTGCCACCTACTGGCATGGAGACCAAACAGCACCACCAAATAAGCCTGCCAGAAGGGCACAGTGCTAGCGTGGGAGACAAGCTTCCTAAGATCTCCACACTCCCAGCCCTGCAGAAGATAGTGTGTCAATATGCATCAGTCTTGTGTGTTATAGACCCAATACATCACTCCAACAAGCAGTATTTGAAAAAACCACTGCATAAAAGCTTTCCATAACCAAGGAACCCATACAGAGACTTGGTCCCCTGAAAGCACCCAGAAATGAAACCAAATGGTCATACACAATATACAACACAGTCATACCTTCTAGGGAAAATAAATTTTTAAAAAGTCTTAGCCAAACAATAGCAAATTCAAAAGTTAGAAGCGACAGTTTCTTTAGTTGAGAAGGAATCACCTCAAGAAATCTAGCAGTACAAAAAAACAGTTCTGACACAAAGGATCAAACTAGCATTCTAGCGATGGATCCTTACCAACATGAAAATTCTGAAATGACAGAGAACTCAACATATGGACTGTAAGGAAGACCTCAATGCAATCAATGAGATCTAAGAGAAAGTTCAAGGATCAATGAGATCCAAGAGAAAGTTGAAAACAAACATAAAGAAATCGGAAAAACAATTCAACATATGTATGTCTCGTATATGTTATATATATATACATATTTGAGACAGGGTCTTGCTCTGTCACCTAGGATGGAGTGCAGTGGCACGATCTCAGCTCACTGCAACCTCCACCTCCTGGATTCAAGGAACTCTCCTGCCTCAGCCTCCCCAGTAGCTAGGACTACCGGTGCTGGCCACCACGCCTGGCTAGCTTTTGTATTTTTAGTAGAGACAGTTTTACCATGTTGGCCAGTCTGATCTCAAACTCCTAAACTCAAGTGATCTGCCTGCTTGGACTCCCAAAGTGCGGGCATTATAGGCATTAGCCACCACACCCGACTGAGGTGGCTATATTTAAAAACAAGCAAAACTTCTGGAAATAAAAAATTTGCTACAGCAATTTCAAAATACAGTTGAAAGCTTTAACAATAGACTAGATCAAGCAGAAGAATTTCAGAGGTTGAAGACCAGTCCTTTGAATTAACTCAGTCAGATAAAAATAAATAAACATATTTTTTTAAAAAAATGAACAAAGCCTTCAAGGAATATGGAATTATGTAAAAATGACCAAACCTATGACTTATAGGCATTTCTGAGACAGGAGAAGAAGAAAAAGTAAGCAATTTGGAAAAGATATTTGAGGCAATAATTCAGGAAAATTTATCTGATCTTGCTAGAGAGGTAGACATTCAGTTACAAAAATTTCAGAAAACACCTGCAAGGTACTATATAAGATGAATATCACCAAGGCATACAGACATCAGACCATCAAGATCAATGCTAAAGAAAAAATCTTAAAGTCAGCTAGATAAAAAGGTCAAATCACCTATAAAGAAAATCCCATCAGACTAACAGCAGACTTCTCAGGAGAAGCTTTACACATCAGAAGACATTGAGGGCTTATCTTCAGCCTTCTTAAAGAAAAAAAAATGCCAATCAAGAATTTTATATCCTAATAAACTAAGCTTCATAAACAAAAGAGAAATAAAGTCTTTCACAAACAAGTAGATGCAAAGGGAATTCATCACCACTAGACCTAGCCTACAATAAATGCTCAAAGTAGTTCTAAACAGAAACAAAAAGACAAAACAATACTCACTAACATAAAAGCACACATAAGGGCAAAGTTCACAGATCCTATAAAGCAGTTATACAATTAAGACTACAAAGCAACTAGCTAGCAACACTAAGAAACAAACCTCATGTGTCAATATTAACAAAGAAACAAACCTCACATGTCAATATTAGTCTTGGATGTCAACAGCCTAAATATTCCACTTAAAGTATACACATTGGCAAATTGGATTTAAAAAATTAGACCCAACCATCTGCTGCCTACAAGACACCCACTTAATGTATAAAGACACCCATAATATCAAAGTAAAGGGATGAAAAATGTTTTATCACTCAAATGAAAAACAAAAAACAGTAGGGAATTGCTATTCTTAGATAAAACATACTTTAATTAGAAAAGAAGACTTAACTATCCTAAATATATACACACCCAACACTGGAGCACCCAGACTTATAAAACAAATTCTGCTAGACCTAAGAAAAGATATAGACAGCCATACAAAAATAGTGAAGGATTTCAACATTCCACTGACAGTACTAGATAGATCATCAAGGCAGAAAACTAACAAAGAAACTCTGGAATTATACTGGACTCTTGACCAAATGGACCTAATAAACATCTACAGAACATACCACCCAGCAACTGAAGAATATTTTTCTCATCTGCATATAAAACATTCTGTAAAATTGACCATATCCTTAACCGTAAAGCAAGTCTCAATAAATTCAAAATAATGAAATCCTATCAAGTATCTTCTCATATCACAATGGATTAAAATCAAATATCATTACCAAAAGGAATTCTCAAAACCACACAAGTACATGGGAACTAAACAACTTGCTCCTGAAAGACTTTTCAGTACACAATGAAATTAAGACAGAAATCAAAAATATTTTTGAAACAAATGAAAATAGAGACACAACATACAAAAACCTCTGGAACAGAGAAAAAACAGTATTAAGAGGGAAGTTTATAGCATTTCATGCCTTCATCAAAAAGAAAGATCTCAAATTAGCAACCTAACATCACACATCAAGAAACTATAAAAATAAGAATAAACCCAAAGCTAGCAGAAGAAAAGAAATAACAAAGATTGGAACAGAACTCAATGACATTGAGACCAAAAAAAACTATACAAAGGATCAGTGAAATGAAGTTGGTTCACTGAAAAGATAAACAAAATTGATAGACCACTAGCTAGAATAACCACATTAAAAAGAGAGAAAATGTAAATAAACAGAACCAGAAATAATAAAGATGACATTACAAATGCACAGAAAGTAAAAAGGATCATCACAGACTACTATGAACTTTTCTGTGCACACAAACTAGAAAATCTAGAGGAAGTTAATAAATTCCTAGAGACATACAACCTTCCAAGACTGAATCAGGAAAAAACAGCAGTCCTGAACAGACCAATAAGAGTAACAAAATTGTATCTGTGATTTAAAATATTTCAACAGGAAAAAAAAGCCCAAGACAAGACAGATTCACAGCCAAATTTTATCAAATGTAAAAAGAAATGCTGGTACCAATATTATTGAAACCATTCCCAAAAATCAAGGAGGGGAGATTCCTTCCTAACTCATCCTATGAAATCAGCATCATCCTGTTACCAAAATCTGGCAAGGACACAACAGAGAAAGAAAGATACAGGCCAATATCTTTGGTAAATATAGACATAAAGTTCCTCAACAAAATACCAGTGAACTGAATCCAATAGCACATCAAAAGAAAATTCTAGGGATACAAGGATGGTTCAATATACACAAATCAATAAATGTGATTCACCACATAAACAGAAGTAAAAACAAAACCCATATGATCATCTCAATAGATACAGAAAAGGCATTTGATAAAATCTAGTATCCTTTCATGAAAAAACATCCTCAACAAAATAGACATCAAAGAAACATACCTCAAAATAGTAACAGCCCATATATGACAAACCCCCAGCCAACATCAAGAATAAGAAAAAGTTGAAATTATTCTCCCTAAGAACTGGAACAACACAAGGATGTCCACTCCCACCCTGCCTATTCAAAATAGTACTGGAAGTCCTAGCCAGAGAAATCAGGCAAGAGAAAGAAATAAAAGGCATCCAACTTGGAAAAGAGGGAGTCAAATTATCTATTTGCTGATGACATGATTTTATACCTAGAAAACCCTAAAGATTCCTTCAAGACTCTTAGATTTGATAAACAATTTCAGTAAAGTTTTAGGATACAAAATTAACATCCAAAAATCAGTTGCGTTTCTGGACCCCAAAAACACTCAAGCTGAAAACCAAATCAAGAACTCAATCCCATTTATCATGGCCACGAAAACATATAAAATACCTAGAAATACATTTAACCAAGGATGTGGAAGGTCTCTACAAGGAGAAATACAAAACTGATGAAAGAAATTATAGATGACACAGATAAATGGAAAAACATCCTATGTGCATGGATAGGAAGAATCAATAGTGGTAAAGTGACTGCCCAAAGCAATCTACAGATTCAGCATAATTTCTATCAAATTAACAATGTCATTTTTCACAGAATTAGAAAAAACAATCCTAAAGTTCATATGAACAAAAAAGAGCCCAAATAGCCAAAGCAATCCTAAGCAAAAGAAACAGAGCTGAAGCTATCACATTATCTCACTTCAAACTATACTACAAAGCTATAGCTGTAACAAACAAAACAGCATGGTGCTGGAATAAAAAAAAAAGTCATGTAGATCAAATGGAACAGAATAGAGTACCCAGAAATAAAGCCACATACCTGCAACCAACTTTATCTTTGGCAAAGTCAACAAAAACAGGTAATAGAGAAAGGACATAAATGGTACTGGGAAAACTAAATAGCTATGAAGAATGAAACTGGGCCCCATATCTCTCATTATATACAAAAAATGACACAATATGGACCAAAGATTTAAATGTAAGACCTGAAACTATAAAAATCCTAGAAGAAAACCTAGGAAAAACTCTTCCAGACATTGTCCTGGGGAAAGAATTTATGGCTAAGACCTCAAAAGCAAATACAACAGAAACAAATATAGACAAATGTAACTTAATTAACTAAAGAATTTCTGCACAGCAAAAGAAACAATCAACAAAGTAAGCAGACAATCTTACTTTAAAAAGGGAGACCATATTTGCAAACTATGCATCCAACAAAAGACTAATATCTAGAATTTATAATGAACTCAAATGAACAAGAAAAAAAAAACAACCTCATTAAAAAGTGACATAGTAGACACTTCCCAAGAGAAGACATACAAGTGGCCAACAAATATATGAAAAAGTGTTCAAGCATCAGAGAAATGCAAATTAAAACCACAATGAGATATCATTTCACAACACTCAGAATGGCTACTATCAAAAAGTCATAAAAGATGTTGGCAAGGAAGTGGAGAAAGGGAACACTTATACACTGTTGGTGTGAATGCAAATTAGTTCAACTCCCATGGAAAACAGTATGGAGATATCTCAAAGAACGAAAAATAACCATTTGATGCAGGAATCTCACCACTGGGTGTCTACCCAAAGAAAAGAAATCATTATATCAAAAAGATACCTGCACTCATATGTTTGTCACAGCACTATTTACAATAGCAAAGATATGGAATCAACCTACGTGTCTGTCTATCAACAGATGATTAGATAAAGAAAATGAGGTATATATTCACCGAGAAATACTACGCAGCCATAAAAAAGAATGAAATCATGTCCTTTGCAGCAACATGGTTGGAGATGGAGGCCATTATGTTAAGTGAACTAACTCAGAAACAGAAAATCAAATACCACATGTTCTCACTGATAAGTGGCAGCTGAACAGTGGGTACACATGAACACAGAGATGGAAATAATAGACACTGGGGACTCCAAAACTGGGGAAGGCTGGAGGGGTTCCAGGTAAAAAGTTACCTAGTGGGTACAGTGTTCATTACTTGGATGTAGTGTTCACTACATATCCATGTAACAAACCTGCATATGTACCCCCTGAGCCTAAATAAAACAACAAATAAACTAGGGAGATACATGAGCAGAGGGCCTGCTTTGTAGCTTTAATAAAGTCACTGACATTTCTATATGTTTGTCTCCCTATTCCATAACTACAAAAAACATTGTCTGTCTCACCTTCAACAGATGGGAGCTTCTTGGGCAGAGGTACAAAATCTGACATATTGCTTGGGCTTGGCATATGATTTAGTGCTAACTGACCCCCTCTGCCTTCACACTAGTTTGAGATGTATTGAATTGAAGCCAAGCATTTTCAGCGTCTGCCTTGAATCTTCTTCAAAGGTCCTCTGGTCAAGCTGGCTTCACACATGCCTCAGATGCCATGGATGAGTTATTTTGTCTAGAGCACTCAGTTGGCCCCTTGGAGGGGCTGGTCTCATAAGGTCCCCTTCTCTGTCCCAGCCCTTCCACGTGTGGGCAGAAAATTGGTCCTGCATCCCAGCTCCCACAGGGCTGAGCTATTGAAGCTGCCCAACAGTGGGCATTCAATATAAGTCTAGCTTCCCAGAGGGCAACCAGGCCCTGAGGGGTCTGGAGCCAGGACCTGGAAGCTGGTTTGGCTATGGGACCAACTGGATCTCTCTCTCCACAGCAGGCCCACTATTCTGCCCCTATTCCCTTTCCTCTTTGCCTAAGAGGGGAGGCAGATTCGGCTCAGCATTTGGGAGTCTCTTGTCTCTGGCACCCACACCCGCCCACCAAGGCAGAAAGAGGTTGGAAAACAGGAGCTCAATTGCAGGTGCTTCTGGCCTCTAGCTACAGGAAACTGCCTCCCCAACCCTTTCTCAAAAAGAGACTGTGCATTTCATGGCACAACGCACGAATACAAAGTGTTTCTATGGTGTGAATCTTCCACAAATCAGGGAGAAAAATGATCTTCTGTTTCTACCCAAGAAACAAAATCATTCAGGTTCAAACCAAGAAGAGAACCATTTTGGTCAGAAGGAGAAAAAAACGGTTTAGATATGCACGAAGTGGTGAAGAACTTTATTTTCTGTAGATCATCATGACATCAGTTTCAAGACCCACCCAACTGGGAGCATGTGAAATTTTTTCTTAGAAGGTTTGGACTGGGATCTTGGGACTCTGCACCTACCCACACTGCCCCTCGCCCTCTGGCAGGGCTGCCCTGGGTCTTCTATGCTGAAGCCCACTGTGCTGTCCTTTCTTTTCAGGGGCTAGACACAGGCCCCCTGTGTGGGACTCCAGACTCCTCTCTGCCCTGTCCCCAACCTGAAAGGGAAACCTCTCTTTCCCATCACTGCATTCCAAATCACTCTACTCCCTGTCAAATGAAATCTTGTGAGACTGACTTTTGAAACAAACAATGAGGAATACTCCTACCATTGTGTTTCTCCCTAGAATGAAGCCAAAATCTGGGATCTGCTTGATGCAAGATAAGAGGAAAGGGGGAAGTAAAAGGAGAGGGGAGAAAAGTTAATATACTGTGTATTATTCAATCACACTTGCTTTCAGAAGGAGTTACAATTCCTGTTGTAGCTGGTGACCAGTAGCACCGATTTTCTGTTTATCTTTTAAGCTTGGCTTAGAGTTTGTAATTTGTTTTAGTCATTTTAAAGCATTCCCCCCTTCACAGAAAATGTCTTATAACAAAGTAATCTCAAATGAGTATATATTTGAAGTATTCTCTGGACAAACAGATCAATCTTAGATATTGATCAGAATATTTAATTAAGCAGAATTATGCTTTGGAGCCATTCAGGTTTCTCTGCTACCTAACAAGTCCTATACCATCTTTAAGATGCCCTGTCTTACAGGAAGCCTGCCTTGACTGACAAAATGCAAACTGATCCTCACACTCTCTTAATTCCTATCAATTTTGTGGTAATTTCTTGTACTCTTGAACCCAATTATATACAGTCTTACTGCCAGCTCTTTACCTCCCCAGAGCACATTGCTCAAAGCTACCTAACTCTACTGTGCAAAACTTTGAGGGCCGTGAACATGACCTAGTTGTTCCATCATTTTCCCAGGGCCTCATACATCACAGGGTTCCATAAATATTTATTCAATGAATGAATGGATTATACAATCTTAACCAGTTGCTATTGCCATTAGCTATTTCTCCTATTTTCCTCAGCAATAATTCACTGGGAAAAAATGTTTGGGGTTCATATTCGCTCACGGAAATAATGAAAAGGCCCGTTACTTTTCTATGAAATCAAATAACTGAAGAACAAAATGTTATTTAAGGTATTGATTAATGTTCTATATAAAATACTGAAACGCACAGCCATAAATTATGCTGGCATTATGTGTATTTCTATTTCTTATGTTTCCAACTAAGGCTGTTGATGCTAGAATGTTAAAAAACGTTCTTCATTTCAAAATAAATTCGTATCTCATTGAGGTCCTGTGATTGTTTTTTGCTTCAAGCATTTGCAAAACAATTCAAAAGAGCCATCAATATAGGCACTTTACAGACAACAGCATCAATTATTATGTTGGAAAATATTTTAATATTATCACATTCCAAGTGAGGAAAAATCTTTACTTATCCTGCATGATTCCAAATAATGAATAATGACCTTTAAAATTCATTTAATAAACAGTTGTCTTAATAATAACTTGTGTGACAATGTTTTTTTAGTTTTAGATTCTTACATCTTTTTAAATATATTTCTAAGAACAGGTCATCCAAAATTTGAGATATTTCACATGAAGAACATGTATGGAGGCTGACCTGTATGCCAGTTCAGATCCGTAGAGCCAGGTGTGCACTGCATTTTAAAACTGGGATAGTTTGGTTGGAAGAGTATCTGCGCCACTCTGGCTTCTTTGGTTGATGCAAGTTCATGGAGGTGACCAGATAAAAAGCTGCCATTGTGGTTGGTATTCTGTCTTCAGAAATCTCCCAACATATTTTCCATTTGTCTGGACTGCTATCCTTTGTCCTGGACTCCTGTCACACACTGCATCCTCCTGACTTCCCCTCTAGCTCACCCCAAATTTGGGCTCCCTTCTGCTCCGACTCTCTGCAGAGCCCCTTTGCTCAACACCACAGTTTTGGATTTGCTCTGTATTCAATGACTATCTTCCAAGTTCCTGCCACGTCTATTCACTGTGCCAAGCCCATGAAATTAATGAGAGAAAGAGAGCTCCCTCTAGGAACTCTCGATGTGGGGAAGATGACAAATGTCAAAAACCGGGGGACTGTTCTTACCAGGGGATCATTGGAAGGCCATCTAATCCAGTCATGGAGTTGCTGAAAGGCTTCTAGAAAGCTGGTGCTCTTGTGGAATGATGGCCAAGAAATAGCATATGTGAGACCTCTCTAGGGACTCTCGGAACTAATTGGGGAGAGACTGTAGGGACTGGAGGCCCACAGAGAAGCTAGGGCAGGGCCAGATAAATATTGTTTTATGGTCATTGTTATGATCCACTCCTATGAGGATAAGCAAGAAGCCCTTTCTAATACAATTATTTTATATCCAGGTACTTTTGAGTTCTCTAAGAAATACAGGCCCATTTACTATCATTTTGGAAAATTCTTTTGATGGTCAATAAAGTGTCAGATTACCTTGCTGCTGTTACTCTAAGTGACTAATGCTACTTTATTCTAAATACTGTACCCTCATGAAAAAATGAGAGGAAAAGGCAAATAATACCTTACTACTACTCTGAAAATAATTCTGACTTCATGGACTCCCTGAAAGAATCTCAGAGTCCTACTTGGATCACTAGGCCATATTTTGAGAACTGCTAACAGGGAATGTAACCTTAAAATAGATTTTAAGAATGTGCCTGGATTAGTAGGGAAGGAATTATTTGATTGATGAATGATGCCTGCCTTGGGCACAGGAGCAAAGCATAATCTCATATTTCCTAAGTATACAGACACTCAAACTCTATCTACAGTAATACGATTGGTTTTTAAATAAGCATTCCATTATCTATACATACAAATGAAAGCTGTCCTTCATAGTAGTCATGTTTAGAATCTAGTTATTTCAACAACTATCACTGTGATTAAACTATTGGAGTTCACTGTAAATCCGAAATACAAATCAAACTCATTACTTTATAGGCAAATTTGGTTTTGACCAAAATGATACTTAGGAGTTGGATAAGTTACTTACGCTGCCAGTCTTGGCTCCAAATGACTTCCGCTTCCTGAACAAATTAAATCTGCCTTGAAGGATGAAAATGTGTGATTAATAAGGTAATAAGATTATCCCACCAAGGCTGGGCACGGTGGCTCACACCTGTAATCCCAGCACTTTGGGAGACTGAGTTGCATGGATCACTTGAGGTCAGGAATTCAAGACCAGCTTGACCAACATGGTGAAACCCCGTCTCTACTAAAAATACAAAAAAAAAGTTAGCTGGGCATGGTGGGCACATGCCTGTAGTCCCAGCTACTTGGGAGGCTGAGGCGGGAGAATCACTTGAACCCGGGAGGTGGAGGTTGCAGTGAGCTAAGATTGTGCCATTGCACTGCAGCCTAGGCAACAAGAGTGAAACTCCGTCTCAAAAAAAAAAAAAAAAAAAAAGATTATCCCACCAATAATTTGAGTTTCTATAATGTATCAGGTACCCTGTTGAGTGCTAAGGATGGAAATGAAAGGCACAATCTCTGCCCTGAGGCATTTATAATATGCACGGAACAGACGAGGAAACTAGCACTTAAAACCCAGCATAAGCAGCACTATCACTGAGGGGAGCTCAAGCTGTGTTGAAAGCAGCTAACTCCAAGGGGATGGAGAGAAGTAAGGAAAGACTTCCTGGAGCTACCTCATCAGCTGAGTTCTGAGGACTTGAATGAGTCAGGTAGTAGTGGAATGGGGGAAGTGGCGCATCAGTGAGGACGACTTCCAGAGGGATAGCAGGTGCAAAGACATGAAGATAGAAGAACTGTAGACCACTTACACTTGCTCTGACACACAGTTGGGAATACACCTTTGAAACCATGGCATGTCTCCCTCACAAAAAGAAGAGGAGAGACGGTGAAGACAAGTCAGAAAGAACCACATCACATTCTCTGGAAAAGTCATGAAAGCATATGTCCCCTGCAGCCACATGGCCTAGTGAGATACTCAGGCTTGGAGCTGATTAACTTGGGTTGGAGGTTTCCTATTCTCTTTGAGCCTCAAAGTTTTCATCTGTAAAATGAAGATATTCAATTTATGGTTGCATTTGCAAGGGTAAATGGGATGTTTGTAAACTGGTAGATAACAGGTGCTCAAAAATGGTCAGCATTTTGTTTCTGCTCAATATTAATAAGCCCGTGGCTGGCAGATGCATAGCAAGAGCAAAACCAAACACAGCATGAAATGTCGGCATCCAAGGGGTTGTTCATTTTATACTGGAAGACCTGGCGCGATGTCTAAACTTAGTGTTTCACCAAGAAAATGTGATTTATCATGCTGGTGTAGTCCCGGCAATGTACAATCAAGATCAGGTTGAAACAGGGAAATGAAAGTAAATGTGCAGCAACAATTCTGTTTTTTTTTTTAAGGTTTCTCTTCATGGATTGCTTTGCGCTCCTCCTCCTGCAAGACAGTGAGTCTCCACAGGCCCATGAATGTCATAAGTGAGTGCAAGCTTGAAGAAGCACCTATCCTGTGCTCAGGACAAAATATCTGTGGTCCAGAGCAGAGCTCCCAACCCAGCTACTATGAACCACGCTAGGCCCCAGAAAAGAAAGGAAAACAGAAGAGACATTGGATTGGATCTTCCAGAAGGTCTTTGTTGCAATTTTTCTCCATCATTGAAAAAAAAATTACATCATCAAATAAAGACAATAGCAGCACAGCTTATTGAAATGTCACAAGCAAATTTGTTTTGTACTTTCCCTAAGAACATTATGAAATCTCCCTCCCCCCACATTATTTTCTGTAAAATGCCTTTTTTTTTAAAGCACCATGAAATCCTACGGAAAGAAAAATAAGTAAAACACCTCCACACATGGATTTATCATCATTGTCACTGGGTCCCCTGTCTGTGACTCTGGGATGGGAAGGAGGCCAGAGGCTGGCATGTGAGGTGGTTTGCATATCACTTCTAGGCACCACTGCACCTTCTCCCTTCAAGCTCAGAGCCCTGACAGCAAAAGAGAGCTTCCGCAGTTACCTTCTGCAGCATAGGTCTGCTGAATCGACGGAGCAGGAGTCCTCTCAAAATAATTTATTTTAATGCACAGGGAACTATTTCAGATTTTTCACCTAAGAATCAAGAACACAAAGTAGATACCAAATCTCAGGCACCTGTGAAAATGATAATAACTTTCAGTAAAATCAGAGACACCTCTCATTTCTCCTCAATGCCACTGCACTGATGTCAACTGACTTAGGGCAGGCATGAGAGAACTGAGGTTTACATGGAGTATGGATGGGTTGGTGAAGTCCAATGAAGGTATGGTGCAGAGACAGAGGACAGGGCTTTGCTTACAGCCATGTAATTAGCATGCTGTTCCAAAGTTTCCCTATGCAGAATTAACAGCATCCACAATGCCACACTAAAGTGATCTTTGTTTCAGAGAGTTACCCTTTTTCTTTTTAAGGCCATTACTAGCCAGCTCTTACTGTTCACTCAGCCACTGTCTTTGCACACAATTGCATCCTAACAGTGAGAAAGAATAACCCCATATTAGCAAAATGCAACAAGCAGAGATGTGGAATGCAACACTGGCTGGTTTTTCCTTTCTCGTTTTACAGGGGCTCTGAATGTTTGTTTTCCTACGCCTTTCCCGTGGTTCAGAAACCCTGGTACACACTGGATGCTTCATATTCTCACCAAATCCAGTGGGTAAAAACCAGCCCCACCCAAACTCTGGTCACCTTCTCACTAGTCCTCAGAACCCAGCATGCAAATAGACAGGCAGCATTGACGAAGCCAGGAAATGATATCATCTCAGAGGGAGGCAAGGGGGCAGGTTCTTAGCATTCAGCTCAACTAGGACTTTAAACATGGAATGGTCCTTATAGAACCCAAAGCAGCCATTTCCTCAGGTGTGTGTGTGTGTGTGTATGTGTGCGTGTGTGTGTGTGTGTGTGTGTGTGAGAGAGAGAGAGATGTCTGTCTGATCATAGTACTTGAATTCATGATACATGAAGTACTACAATTGACTGCAAATAACAACAGCTTAAAATTTCTTTAACTAGTCTTAACACCATGCAAAAAATGCCCTCACAGCATGAGCCCTCCCGGTGACAGTACACTAAAGAGCTATAAGGGAGGATAGAGAGAGCCTACACAGGGCATGATCCGAATTTGGACACCAGTCTCCCAAGTACATCTGGTCTCCATTAATCCCCCAAAAGACAAATCCCAAAGGGCAAGAGACTAAGCTCTCACCTTAACCTAAAATGGGCAAGACAATTAATTAGTCATTATTCACAAATCCAACTTATAATTTAATCTTAATAAATTTTGTGAACTCATGGACTAGGGAGTGTTTCATTAGAGAACTGCACAACTACAATGGCCCTTGACAAGTATCTGTGCTCAACTCCCTCCCTTGATGTGCAGACAAGGTAACAAGAGATCTAGGCAGAGAACTGATGCACCCACAATCACAGGCTATGACTGCTGGAACACAAATAGTCCTAGTTACCTTAGTAACAGGCCAGAGATGGCCCAACACCACCCCAACCCGCACACACACACACACACACACACACACACACACACACACACACACACACTCTATACAGCCCTGCCCCAAAGTGATAAATATCACTGTTGGGTTAGGACTGGGTATGGAGCTGTACTCTTTCCAGGAAAAAATGCCCATTGGCTCTCTCACCAGTAAACCTCCAGATTTGTCATGCAAGAAAAATTCAGTGCCTGCTTGCCAGTGAAGCAAAAGACAGCCCCCACTGAAGATGGTGGACGTGTGCTCTTTCTTTGTGTGAAATCGAAACATTTCTCCTAGGTTTATGCTGGAATGGGAGTGCAGATTGGAAAGGGGGGGCTGTGCTGATGCATGTATAGAATGTGTAGCAGCTTTGACCTATCACGTGTATTCTACATGCCATTTGGCCCCATCTAAAAAAGGTAACATTCAAGTAACTTCAAACCAACTGGCCTCCTCCAAAATTAGTTTATATGAAGAGGAATCCAACCTCTTATTCTCTCTCAGCATCTTTGCGAGAGTATTTCATAGGTTTCTAAACACTTTGCACACATATTTAATCGATCAATCACCATAGAGGATCTTCTTTGATTTTGTTCATCACATTCTTGGCCAAATGTCTCAGGGAATGGGTTATGTAGAAAATTTTCCCACCCCCAGCCCAAGGTTATGTTTGATCCCTCTGTGTGACTGATTTGACTCATTTGGGGAAGCATCTATGCACATACCAACACATGCACCTGTTCCATTTGGTAGAGTATGCAGCTTAGTGCTTTGAACTATTTTATTCCTGCTGTATGCAGAGTTTCTACAAAGTTAGCAAGTAAAGTGCAAAAGAGTGCTTTCAAAGGGCATTTTTTAAAGGGTGCCACATACAAAATTTCCAAAACCAAATAAATGTACAGTAGGTGTCTGCAGGGGCAACCCTTTGAGCCATGTTTACACAAAGACCTTGTGCCCTCTTGGTGGTGGAGATTCCACCATATCTGCTCCCCACATCTGTAAGCTGTGTCCATGAAGCTAGAAAGACACACATACACACAAACACACACAATCACAAGGATGCATGACACAGACACTGTAGTGAAGTTGAAAGCAGACTTTGGTCAGACTTTGAATACCAGCTCTACCACTTTCTTGCTGTGTGCCATTGGATAAATAACATAGCTTCCCTGAGCCTCTGTGTCCTTGTGTATATAATGGGTTTGCAAATACTTCCCACATAGTGTCGTGAAGTTTCAATGAGCTGACGTTCATAAAGTGCCTAATCCTGTGCCTGGCCCACAGAAGGCACTGGATAAATGAGAGGGAAGCCTCTGCCAGATTTGGCCGTAGGGCCTGGAATTTTAACACACTGCTACAAAGAACGTACCAGATAACACAGAGTGGAAACCAAATAAGTGAGATCCATGGACAGTTTAATTAGGAAGCTTCGACTTGTTAGAATAACAGAGGAAGTCCCAGTTATCTACCTATTCCTTAAAACACATTTTGTCAGGCTGGAATGATTCCCATAGTAAAACTCAACATCCACACCTGCATAAACATCGCCTCCCAAGTGACTATTTATTACTGAGTCGACACAGGATGTCACCAGTGAGCCTCATCTCCAGTCCAATGGAGGAGTTGACTTAGACCTTCCTTGGACAGGAAGGGTCTCATAAGCAATGCCAGAACTTCAACAGAGCCTAAAGGTCTGGGGACAGGGAGATGGGACTTCATGTGCTCCAGGCAGGGAAGAGCTGTGCATTTTTGAGAAATGGGCAGGGACAGGTCTTCCATGGTACCAGTGGTTGAGGATGTCGTGGGTACAACTTTCCCTGGAGGTCAGAAAGCATGAGACAGTTTCTGGAAGTCTCCGCTAGTGCTGTGATCTTTTGGTAAATCCACACTGCGGGTTAGTTACGTAAAATCCCGTGAACTCTGTAAAAGGTAGCAGTGAGCCTAGAACACCCATAACCAGCAACTGCCTGGTGTTGCCAGGTCCAAATGCTTTCACGTGTGGCCCAAAGAGCTAGCTGTGAACCAGCCAATTATGATAAAGACTGAGGCATACACAGGAGTATGTATTTTCCCCTTTCTGATACAAACCCATTTAAAATCATCATGCAACCTATGACTAGCCATTCCCCGACTTTCCTCTGCGGGATGTTCTAGCCTCACAGACCAATCATAATTATGATGTGTTAGCTTATCGTTTGCCTGGGAACAATCAGTCTAGGGTGTTCCAGTTTTAGTGAGTAACCGATGTGAGATGTAGAAACAAGCAAGGAGCAGTGGTGACTTTTTCAGAATAAAGGAATGCCCAAACATAAAAGTAAAATGAAATATTTTAAATATTTCTAAGTATCATTGTTAAATGGAATTAATGGCACTTACGCTGCAAGCAATAAAAACATTTCAAGCTTACTGTACAAGGGGTACATTTTCTTTTTGTTTGGAGATAGCGAGATTGGATCTTATCACTATGTCTACCCTAAGACACCCAAGGGACAAAAAGCCCTGAGATGGAAAGATGCCATGGTCCTCCTCAGTGTGTCTCAGAAATGCAGGATGTCTACTTTTGTAAAAATGTAGGATCAGCTAGACAGAACAGCAAGCCACTGGCATCATGCAAGGCAATTGTTTTGGTATTTCTACCCCTCTTATCAAAACAAGTTATAACCAAAGTACATGGACATTTCCAAATCAGTTTATTGTCACCATTGCACCCACTGAGGAAAATGCATGATTGGCCTTTAACCACGCAGCAGTTGATGTCATGTTTTCACCACTGCTCGCCAGTTCATGTGGACTACCTACCCCTGTGAGAAAGACCAAACTCAGCAGGCTTCTGTCATTGGTTAAGGTGATATCCACAGTGTGATGTGTTTGTGATTATTTTTTTTCTTTTGTCATGAGAAAAGCAATTGCACCTTTTCGTACGTGTGCTCTGATCTGCTTCCAACAAATTCCAGGTGCTCTCAGGTCCCCACAGACATTCATTTGGAGCATAGAAAGACTAGGTATGATGCACTGAATGGTTGGTATCAAAATTCAAGCTCAGAGCACATGCCAAAATGTCAACTCCAACGCTAGTTACACATAACCAGCTCCCACCCAATCAGGTCCCCTTCTGTGTGTGCACATATTACTACGACTCCACTAAAAAGACACACCTGTTTCTTTCAGGAGGCTGGTCTAAGGAATAGCTGCCCTTGTCTACGTGTGTGCCCAGGTAGCACTGCCCAGGGGTACAGCACTGCCACTGAAATGCCCTTAACATGTACGGCCAGAACCGGCTACGTGCACGGACACTCTTGGTGTGTCCTGCGTTTGCTATCTGAAATGAAGTTCTTGTTCTCTGATTCCTTTTGGCAGAGCAAGCTTTCAGTTGTTTATGGCACAGTGAAATATATTCTTCAATGCTATGTAATTTTGGACTAAAAAGTCTGTTTAAGGCACATGTCTCAGTGTGAATATTAAAAACACACACACACACACACACAACGCTCAGTCCAAGACCAATGTCCTTCACATTTAGTTTCTGTCTTCAAGTAATGAGTTGTTCTCCGGCTCCCGGTCTTTGGTGTCCGTGGGTATCATTCCGTTCTCCAACTCAGCGTGCTGCTGGATACAGTCCGTCAGCATGGCTGTGCTGGAGTTGTCTGAGTTACACATCTTTTCCGTCTCCTCCTCTTTCTTCTCCTCGTCCAGGGAGTAATTCCGGAAGGTCTTGTAGATTTTCTGAACGTCCTCGGGCAAGGTCTTTTTGAGGTCCTTGTTTTTCCTCTTGGTGAGTCTGGAGGTGGACCCGAACTTGTTGATGATGTTGTCCTCGGACGCACCCTGCCCATGCTTGTTCAGCTGCTCCGGCCCCTTCAGGCGCAGGTTGTTGGGCCGGTTGTTGATGCTCTCCTGGGATGAGGCCTTGAAGCGGCCGGTGTCCAGGGCAGCAAAGACAGAGCGCTTCTCGGGGGACAGCATGTCCAGTGAGTGGGCCCGCTGGTCCAGGCCCAGCCGCCGGCGCTCCATGCTGCGGATGGTGGCCGCCCGCTGCAGCTTATCGTGGATCTCCACGCTGAGCCTTCGCCGTGTCTCCCGGAACTCAGCCGTGACATTGGCCTTCCACTCTGCCGCATGGGCCTTGATTTCACCCACCTGGCCAAGAGACAGAAGAGCAACAATATGCTGACAAATGCCTCCCTGCCTTGGCCTCCCAGCACCCACAGCCCTCGGGTGTCCCCACGGGGAGGCCAGGAGGTGACGGAGCACATGCCCAGGGGGAGGTGCAAATGCTACCTTCTGCCCTAGTACTTCTGCCACCTGGACACCCATCCCTAATTGGCTAGTAAATAAGGTGGCTCAGGGAGACACACGTGGTGGGCAACCCCAAGAAGCCTCAGATTTGGAGATGGTGACTTAAAGAGAGGGGGACGGCATCCTGCAGGAGAGGTTAAAATGTGGAGTTGGACAGGCCTGGCTTCCAGCTCTCTCTTATCAATTGCATGGCCTCATTCCCCCAACATACACTTGAGTGACCATATATAGCTCACCTGAGACAAGGAAATGCACCTCACTCAGTCCTGGGCACAGCAGATGTTCAGCAGGCCTTCTGCCCTCCCTGCCTTTCTGGTTTTCTATCCTGGCAGGGTGACCAACTTGTTCCAGTTTGCCTGAGGCTGTCCCAGTTTTAAAACAGAGTCCTGTGTCCTAGGAACTCCCTCAGTCCTGGGAAAACTGGGATGGGTGGCCACCCTATCTGGGCCATGCTATGGTCATGTGCTGTGGGGCTTTCCCTGGTTTAAGAAGATGCTCCAGGGCACCTGGTAACCCACTTCCCCCAGTCAGGGTGCAGGAAGACGGCCTATTCTGCCAAAGCCCACAGAACAGGCCTCCTTAGAGTGGAGTTTTGCCTGAGGATCAGCACCAAATTTCTTGGCTCTTAATGAACAGGGCAGACAGTATAAGTCCCATGCTTCCCTCTGCAAATGAGGAACTCAAATTTGTGCATCCAGGAAAGTCAATATTCATGTTGTTCCCTTCTCTTTTGTTATAGCTGATTTTCAGCAGGTCAGTTAGCTGTCTGGGGAACCGGTCTGGAAATTGCATTGCTTACTTTCCTGGCTTACTTATATAAACCAGGAAAATTAGCATATGGGCCCAGGAAACTGATGTGGGAAATCTCTCCATTCAGCAACTTTCTCCTGGGGCCTTTTATACAGAATGAAGCAAACAGAGGCTGGCCCTCTATTTCTTTGGTTTTTCTTATCTCCCTTCCTTTCTTTTAGCTCTTTTTTTTCTCCTTCCTTGGCCTTCCTCCTTTCTTTTCCTCTCTTCCTAAGAGAGCTACATGAATATTTATTTTTTAATCACAAAATCTATCTTTCCTTCATATGTCTTCCTTTACTTCCCTTCATGTAAAGTTACATGCACGGCCCTTCCTCAGGGATGTATATTTGTCTCTATGGATGTGACAACCAAGAGGGGATAAGTGAAAGAGGCCCATTGGGCTCACTTCCCCGTAGCTGGTCAATGTTCGATGATTTCAGTTTCTTACTGAATCAGGAAAGATTCTTGGCGTTCAACTGCCTTTCTGCACAGACCCTGAGACCGGAAGGACAGGCTGCACCCCCCCACACACACACTCAGCCATAGTCTACCTCTCCTATTTATTTTCATTTTCATTTTTTTAAAATCAGCTGTTGTTTACTAGTTTTTCCAGGATTTATGGGCTGGTAAACGAATCACCATATTTTCTCACCTGCCAAAAAAAGAATCCAGAAATAACTGTATTCTATTCTCCTTAGCTTTGAAGGACTGATTCAACATGAGGAAGCCTATGACCCGCCCCCCGCTCCCCCTGCAAAACCGAGCCAGAAACACTCCAGCCCACAGGACAGAGACAGGCAATTCTGGACACAAGCTCATCTGTTCTCAGGAACATTCATAGGGTTAGGAAGGGGTCCTACCTCTTCTTTTGTCTTTTTGGACAGAACCCGTAGCCAATCTCCGATCATACTGAGGACAGCTGCAAAGTAGGCAAGGCCAACAAGGATCCAAAACCACACTAGGGGCTTATACCACTCCCGATAATTGATGCCAGCGTTTCCCCCTGAAAACAACCAAATGTTACTTTAACCATGATCTAGCATATGGTCTTTGCAGAGAACACATATTCCATTCCATGTAGTGAAGACGTCATCCATCATTGTTTAACACTCAGCTGTTAGGTTTGCTGTGTACAAGGTGGACCGGGGTTAGAGGGCAAGGGGGGTACCCATCCCTTACCCAAAAAAGCCTAACTTAAGGCTTTACTTCCCTCGATTCTTGACCACTAACCTTAATACCAGAAATAAAAAACGCCAGTGGCCAACTTGACCTACTAATGCTTGACCTGAGCGTTAAGGATGAATAACTCTGAACTACAGGACAACAGATCAGGCCTGGTTGTCATTGTTTTTTCTTAAACTTCTCTAAATTTATTTTAATAAAAATCAAATATAATCATATCACCCCCTATGGTTTGGAATTCTTGGAACCATTTCCATCTTAAGCACCCATACATTTACTAAGAGACAAGTGGATGTGTGAAAGTAAAATTAGCTTTAATGGCATTACTGGGATTTTGATGCAAGCAATAGTGATTTAATGCTAACTGAGGAATGGTGTTTACATAGTGCTACTCCAAAGGGTCAGTTAGGCTGAGTAATTAGAGTCACCATAAACTAGAACTAAAAGGGACCTTTGAGGCCAATCCCTTTATTTTATAAATAAGGATTACAGTAAAAATCCATCAAACCAAATTGGCCAGTTGCCTGATTGCATTGACTGGCTGTTCCATTGAAAGGACCAGTCATTTATTCTGAATAATTAGCCTATTTATTCTAACCTTCCTACAGACACTGCTGGAGGCAGCCATGCAAAACAGGTTGCAAGCCCAACCCACCGTCCTAAAGAAGTGAGGAAGCTCCTGGAAATAACGGACATCAGCCTCAATCTCTCTCTGGGAAACGCTATTGCCTAAGGAAGCAGGCAGTGGCCATTTCTAAGATGACAGATACTAGCAATGGATTGGTAACTATCGTATTAGGTGATGAGTGATTACAGACTTTCCCACCAGACCAAGGTTGTAACCACATCTAGCGCCACTGAGTCTTACGGCAAAGGCAGCTGGGCAAGAAATGTGACCTGTGGCTCCTCTCGACAAGCTCAAACCCAATCAGCAACACAGCGCAGCAGACCATGAGGCTCGACAGCTGCTGCCACTTCTTAACGTTAGAATTCCAACTTCTCTGTGCCAAGCCCCCTTCGGTTTGGTGCAGCTGCTTTTGGTTTTTCCTTTCAGACAACTCTCTCCTGCATCATTAGAGCTGTAGGATACGATCTGAGTTCCCGCACCAGTAAGTGGTTTTTGAGGTTCATTTCGTTTCTGTGCTACGCCAGAGAAATCTGTAGCTTTCTCCTGTGGGCTATCTGGGAGTAAATATTTACCTTTGCAAGTCACTATTACCCAGCAAAGATGGTCACTAGGGTGCGCTAGTGAACAAGGAACAATGAAGCAGGCAGTCAACACCCTTCTAAGTATCCCTTTATGAGCTGCTTATCTGGATTCGGAGTTCTGTGTGTGCTCCCAGACAGAGTTGCGAAATATTGTAAGGCTGTCCTAAAGTGAGTCAGCTGCAAAATAAATCAGCAATCAATCCTGCAGGATCAATGATCTGATTACATTTCTAGTAGAGTTCATACTATGTCGAATCACAGCAACCATCAACTCTTGTTAATGTATCGTTTTCCAATGATTGGGCAACCTTCCCTATCACTCGCAGACTGTTACCAAAAGATAGAGATAAACTTCCAGTCTTTTCAGGCATGCATTCTCCAGATTGGTCTGTGTAAGCTCGGAAAACTGGAGCTTGGAAGGGGTCTGGCCTAACTGCAGTCAGCACTGTGACTTTTAAGAGACCGTGGTCTACAGAAACCTCAGGACAAAGGAAATATGGCTCTGTAATCACTGACAAGGGCAGTAAAACTGTGGATGCCTGGGACTGTGTAGGTTGTGCCCTTACTAGGTAAGTAAAGATAAGGTAAAGTACTAGTTTGTACTAAGTGCTCAGTCCATGGTAGATAACAAATAATAAAAGCATCACTTAAAAAATCTCACTCCCAGGCCTCTGCTATTTGTGCCTCAGATTAACAGACTGAACTGAGCCATTGGTTAGAGATCTGTGTCTGTCACAGGTATCTTATAATAGACAGTCCTCAGGACAGCCCAG
The DNA here is from genome assembly GCF_000001405.40 of Homo sapiens. Classification (NCBI taxonomy): domain Eukaryota; kingdom Metazoa; phylum Chordata; class Mammalia; order Primates; family Hominidae; genus Homo; species Homo sapiens. The sequence goes on from NC_000014.9 coordinate 88,190,271, forward strand.
TGCTATCCCAGAGAGCTCTAAATCACCACCCACTGCAGGTTATGCTTTGGATACTTAAAGATGTTTGTGAAATAGTTCAAAATTCCAGCTGCCACTACATGTGTTTGCCTTAGATTGGAAACACCACTGAGTTTTCCCACGGACCGGCTACGGATGATGCCAAGGGATTAACTGGAATACATCTATAACTGTTCCTCTTACTTTTCTCAGTTTCTCTGTACAGTCTCTCTTCGGAGCTTGAGGCCACTAACTAGACATCCATGGTTGAGCACTGTGCGTAAGGGGAAAATGGGTAGAGTCCCAGGCTACAGGCTTTCTGTAAATGATTTTTAGTCACACTGACTAAAAATCAATTTTTAGTTAAAAGCTAAAAAAAACTAAATTTAGTCACTTTGCAATTCTTAGTCCTTAACCAATAAAAAGGAAGGGGAAAAAAAACCCTATTATTTCTACAAAGTGGAATTCAGTCTTTGTCTGCCCAATTGGAAGAGCTACAAAACCACTCTGCCAGTTATTTGTATTATAAAATTAACAGGGAGGCACGCATGCCCCTATTGATGAGCCTTCAGCAATCTCTTCCAGAATTTCCTGTTTGCCAGACTCCCAGAGACCAGAACCCATCCTCCTGATGTGCACAGTATTCCATGGAGAAATCAAGACACTGCTGGGATCACACGCCAAACAAGAACAGTCTGGCCAGGTGCAGTGGCTCACACCTGTAATCCCAGCACTTTGGCAGGCCGATCACATGAGCCCAACAGATCAAGACCAGCTTGGGCAACATGGCTAAATCCCATCTCTACGAAAAATACAAAAAATGAAAATAAAAAATAGCCAGGCATGGTGGCACACGTCTGTAGTCCCAGCTACTCAGGAGGCTGAGGTGGGATGATCACTTGAGCCCCAGAGGTCCGAGGCTGCAGTGAGCCATGATCACACCACTGCACTCCAGCCTGGGCAACAGAGGGAGACCCTGTTCAAAAAAAACAAAAACAAAAACAAAAACAAAAAAAAACAGTCTGCTTAGGGCTCAGGTCAGGCTGCCACTTCACCAGGAACTGGTAAAGGAAACACACACACACACACACACACACTCCATCCAGACATTTCAAACTTGTGACAGATGATAGAGTTGTTTGATCAAAGTGTTCACTTCTTGTAGTAGAAACTGATCACTTGTCTGAACATCTAGAACTATCCTATTAGAAAAAGAGAAGGATGGCCTCTTCCTTCTATCCGTACCTTTCTACCACACTTTTGGGAAACTGGTGCACATATGAAACTAAATCTCATTTCATTTGCAATTTCCCTGGCCCTAGATGAAATTGATGATTTTTTTTTCACTTCCTTAAACATAGCTCATCCACATTTATTTTTACAAGGAAGGCTATTGCTTGTATATACACTCCTGCATAATCCATGAGCTTATATTCCCTCTGGGCAGTTCTCAGCTCCCCATAGTCACCAAAGTCCTCAGCTTTGTATCTGGGCATGTGCAGGACAACGTTTGCAGAGACAATGGCTCTCACCTGGGAGTCAGGAAGCTGAACCTGCAGGTCACTGCAGACCAAATTCTATGCTAATCTCATCTGAGTTTCCTATGTGCCACTTCCTAACACAGCCTTTATCATTGGATTAGAGAGGTTTAATTCAATTCAGAAGTTCAAGATTTAATGAGAAATTCACTTTAGTCTTGCATAATTTGTGTGACGATAAGGGAAATAAGCATCCTGAGAAGGAAAGGGTTGGCTTTCTTTTCATAGCAGAAAAAAACCTATGGTATTTATATTACATAGGACTAGGGATTTGAAATGAGCCTCTTCACAGCAGTAGTGACACTGAGTCATCTTCATTTGCTTCTCCCGCAACATCTTTTATCGATTGCGAAAAGCACAGCCAACAGATTATTTTTCCCGCCAGAGCCCCAGTGCCTGGCCTGCCCAGGGTGCTTACCTGCCACAAAATCACCAAAGCCCACCGTGGTCAGAGTGACCACCACAAAGTAAATGGACTCCAAGGCCGTCCAGCCCTCGATGTACTTAAAGATGACAGCAGGGATCGTCACAAACACAATGCAGCCGGCCAAGATGAACAGGATGGTTGAGATGACCCGGATCTTGGTCTGACTCACTTGCTTTTTCTAGGAAGAGCAAAGGAGAAAGATAGGCAAGTCAGCGGCATCACCCTGGATTCAGGATATAGATGCACAGAAAACGGTACTGTGTCAGTGACTTTTAACCTTTCTCTGGTCATTGGCTGCTTGGAGGAAATTTGATGAACGCTGTGAACTCTTTCCTAGAAAAGTGCATTCAGAATTTTTCAAGTGGTCTAGGAGGTTCTCAGGCTCCCTGAAGCCTGTTCGTGGACACCAGGTCAAACAAACAAAAAAATCCTGCTTAGCCAATGCTTTGAATGTTTCTTGCATGGTTCCATGACTGCAGCCCAAATGCTGATTCTGACTTCTCACTGGTGCAAATATAATGGTTTCCCAAAAATGCTACCATTTGTCATGTAGTATTACTGATCCACCATTCGTGAGAATGAGTTTGGAGCTCTTTCCACAATGGTGGTGATGGATTTGCACCGTTTCCCTTGTGTCAAACAGAATATGCTGGAAAAAAAATTATCTGAGTCAGGCCAAAATGTTTGGATGAAACGGAAAACACAGTCATCCCCATCTTCACCTGTGACCGACTCTAGCCAAGTATTTGTGTGTTTCTTCGCCCCCACATTTTCCCTGCTGAGGCTGTACATTTATAACACACTTTTGTTTTAAAACACACCTGTCTGAGCTGGTGCTGTGATCATCATGTGTGTTGACTGTATCACTCACAAGAGACAGGATAGGAGTTAGCATAACAGGGTCCCCGTCTAAATGGGTAGTAGGACGACAATTAGATGGACTTAATGATCTGTGGTGAAATCTCCTTTGGGGCTTTGAAATTTTTATACATCTCTGCAAACAAATCTCATCTCATGCCAGCTCCTGAAGGAGTCAGTTGTTGGGTCATTAAGAAAAAAGCATCTAGAATGGGAATTAGACTGATACTGGGGCAAAGGAATCATACCAGTGGAGTCCAGGAGCAGGACTGGTAGCATCGGTCATATTCTCTTTGGATGTGCTGAAGGCGACACTGGAATTGACTCTAAGCTGAAAAACTCTAAGCTGAAAAATCCTCGCAATTCTCAGAATTGGTGCTGGAGACTGTCATCAGGAGGCCCTGGTATCATATACTAGCATAAATATATGAACGATGTGTTTAACACCAGAATGTATGGCCTTTCTACATTGCCTAGATGAATTTTCTGCAAACGTACACCACATTTGGGGCAATCAATATAGGAAATCCGTACCATGAGACCTGCATCCTCTTCATCGCACCAAGCACAGAGAGACCTTTGCTTTATATACTTCATTTTACACATGCAAAACTGAAGCCAAGAGGGGTTAAGGGACTTGCATAAAATGATGCCACTAATGAGCCGAGATTAGAATTCTGATGTAATTAATTCTCAGTCCAGTGCTTAACAACGGAAACAGCTTTTCAAGTAATTCAACAATTCACCAACCCAAAGAAAGTTGTCAAACAAAGTCGTCTGCATCTAACAGAAGAAATCAGACTAACTCCTGCTGAAAATGGGCAGTCCTCTGTCCCTTCTGTGAAGGAAGACTGAGAATAAAAAATGGTCACCGGGTGATCTGTCCAGGAAAAGCTAAAGAAATGCCATCCTTCCTTGTAAAAAGGAGGTACTTTTCTAACTCCTAAGAAGGCATCTGGTATATAAAATGGGAACAGGGAAAAATAATTTGATCTATGCTTTGATATAGAAACCCTCCTAATCTCCTCAGAGAAGCCATCTGAAAAAAAAATTACAATTTATTGATATTGTTGAAACTATATATGAAAATATCGACTTTTCCACACATGAAAGTGTCGTAACAAGATAAATTACCTGAAAACTGCAGGGAAAGTTTTGTCTATTTCATAAATTTCCATGTTGGATATTACAGGAGGATTTTGTGAAGGCAGGTAAGCCCCTCTGAGAATCCAGGAACTTACTTTAATTAGCCTAGTTTTGTTTGCAGAAATGTATGAAAAGTTCAAAGCCCAAAAGGAGATTTCGCCATAGATCATTAAGTCAATCTAATTGCTGGCAATGGGAGTACCATTCCTCCTCAAATATTCCTCCTCAAATGCATAGTGAAGTTAAAGTGAATTAAATGTTTGTGAGATGCTTGTTAAGTCATAAATTAAGATGTGAATGTAATTGCAATCTAAATGAGGTTGAGGTTGGCAAAAGAGGACTGCAAGTACGTAGGAAGCTGGAGACGTTCCTGGACTTCAGGAGATGGGCAGGAGGGAAGATGGGGAAGGACAGCGGTGGATTTGTTTGACGGCAGACAAGGAGGTGTATAACAAAGGCTAGATCGTGGCATCTTAATTGCATCATCTACTGGAGACTTTATCAGCAAGGTAAACATTTCACCACTACTCATTGCCCCGGCTAACAAGTGTGTTCCTGGGCTGCTTCTCCTAGACATCCAAGGGTCACACTCAGAGAATGTTTGGAGCATTTAATTATCAGGGTATTTTAGGGACTTAAGAAATGCGCGTCTTGCATGTGTATGTGTGTGTAGGTGTATGAAAATATGTGTATACCCATACTTTGCTATAAAAAGAAGTGCTGTGGGCGTAAGGTTTTAGCAATATCTGTTATTCTAGATACCCATGTTTTTGCTGCCCTCTAGGTATTTAAAAAAAAAAAAAGTTGCCTTAATTGAACATTTTAAACTGCAGCTTTCACAATGGAATCACAAACCATCTCATGTGCCGTGTGGTGATCTTCAGTTTTCTTATCCCCATTAGCCCTGTAACTGTTCACTGCTGCTGAAAAACCATAGTAGTGTTTAAGAGCACAGAGTCTAGGGAAAGACTGCCTGAGACACATCCCAACCCCACTGCTAAATAGCTGAGTGACCTTAGGCAAGTTTCTCAACCTCTCTGTGCATTAGTTTTTTTCCTCTATAAAATGGAGATAAGAAATCCCACCTCATCGGATTGTTTGGAAGATTAAACAAGTGTGCAAACACTTAGCACAGTGCCTGGTTAATATTCAATGCTTGTTAACAGGCCATTTTAATGTAAATGCTCAAATTTTTCCTTAGACGTAGACAGTCCCAGATTTAATGCTTCTCTTTGCCATTGAGGAATGTTCCCTCATATGTGGCTTAAGATAATCTCTGTTTAGCTTCAGGAGGTCGCTGCTGGTTGTCCTTTCCTGGATATATTGTATACCTCATTGTCAATGACAAAAAATGTCCTCATTCTCCTTTGGTTCCTCTTGCCAACTCTGGTTTGAGCTCTCAGACAGTCGCAGCTCACAATCTTGGAAGCTTTTTTATTTGCCTTCCAATTAATTCCATCCTACTTCCAAAACCCCAGGCTCAGCCACCTCCCCGTCCCATTTTTCATCATCCTTCCGAAACTGCCAAGAATTGCAGATAACGTTTGCGATGTCAGGAACCAGCTGCAGAGGGATTCTGAGAGGCACAAACCTCACTCTCCCTGCCTCCCTGCCACATCCCCCTGCCACTTACAGAATGGAGCTGTGTTTCCACGGTGGGGTTGCTAGGCAAAATTGCATGGCTTACTTACCAGTAAGCAGAGCCGCTAGCAGAAAGCTCTGTGAGAGCCCAGATCTAACTGAGCTAATGTGTCCTTAGGCTAACAAAACTGTTATCAGGGAAGAGATGGTCTGATATGATATTTGGGTAGAACTGATAGGATGGTCGTTGTACTTCTGTCTAAATCGTGTTTTCACACTTTGTTGATTGGTTAGACTAGAGCGCATGTTCTTCCCTTCTCTTTACACAAACAGTATTTTGCAAAACTATCTCCCGTATCTGATTGATACAAACTATAGGAATTTTTTAAGTACTCAAAACCCATCTCCTGTAGAGTTCATTTAGTTGTTAAAATTATATGTGCAATTGTTCCAAAGACCAAGTAAGCTTCGTAAACAGGAGGAGAGGGAGCCAGTTCTAAGAGCTCTCTTTTGAGAGAGGGATGTATGGACTGACAATTCGGGAAGTGTTTACTTGTTTCAGGCCTCAGAGGGCTAAGCCACATGTCCAATTCTCATTAAGCATAATTCTCTGTCTGTTTTTGTTTACTTCCACAATGTTATTTTGGAGAGCATGTATATTTCCATTCATTTGTGGGCTATTTTTTCATTTAATTTTTACCCCCTCTTTAATCCCCATTGTTTGCATCTTTATGTAATTTCTTAGAATTCTGAGATTAGCAATTCAGATTGTTTTGTCTGGCTGGGAAATTATTTATTCATTGTGATTTCTAGCCAGGATGTCGGGGATTTTACTCAAGAATAAAGACACTGCGGTAAAAATCCTAAGACAGAAGCTAAACATGCAGAGCTCAGTTTACGGCTTGGTTTGGTTTGTTGAAATGCAAACACATCACCATAGTAATACATCTGAACTGAGGATAATTTCTCAAAATGGAAAGATGATGGGAACTGCCTAGTAAGAGGACTGACTTCATTTTCTTATAACATGTTTTCTTCCAAGATTTATTTTAGAAGGTTCACTTATAACTAATAATTTCATCATCACAATGAATGGCCTTGTGGCACTAGCAATTCTATAAACTATGAGTAGAGCTTTTAAACACTCTCTGCCTAAAATCTCCATGGCAGAGATGCTGTAAGCACACATCAGTGAGAATAGTGAAGTGGAACCTTCAAGAAGCCTACTGAAAAAGTCCCACTCAAAAGCCGAATACACAAATGGATCATATATACACACACAGAAAAAAGTTTATATCCAGCTTCTGACTCTGAGTCATGTTGCAAGACACCTATGACAGACTGGCCAGTTCAGTACTTTGCTGGTTTCACTATGCAAAGTTCTTGAAAAAGATGTTGGTATATATGGGTAAATTGTTTTTATCACTAGACTACCAATATAGGTGCATCTGGGATGGAAAAAAATAAAATTCACAAATAATAAAAACTCAGGCCAGGCATGCTGGCTCACACCTGTAATCCCAGCTCTTCAGGAGGCTGAGGTCAGGAGTTCAAGACCTGCCTGGCCAACATGGGGAAACCCCAACTCTACTAAAAAATACAAAAATTAGCTGGGCATGGTGGCAGATGTCTGTAATCCCAGCTACTTAGGAGACTGAGGCAGGGAGAATCACTTGAACCCGGGAGGCAGAGGTTGCAGCGAGCCAAGATTGCACCACTGCACTCCAGCCTGGGCAACAGAGAGAGACTCCGACTAAAAAAAAAAAAAAAAAAAAAAAAAAAAAAAAAAAAAAAATCAACTGTTCCACTGCAGGAAGACTTTAATTAAAATTTTCAAAAGTTTTCTATTCTAAAAAACTGGTTGCTGTTAACATTTGAAGATAATACGCTATTGGAACACAAGATTTGGCATTTAATTCATTCTGCACATAATTATTTAAAACCTTAAATGTCAGGGACCATTCTAGTTGCAAGGGACATGGCAGTTCGAGGGAAGGAGGGAGGGAAGGAAGGAAGAAACAGAAGGAAGGAAGGAGGGAAGGGAGAGAGAGAGAGAGAGAGAGAGAGAGAGAGAGAGAAGGGGAAAAAAGAAAAGAAAAAGTTCCTTCCTCTTGCACACAAAGTCCAGCAGGAAGATCTGAGCCTTTGTCTGAAAAGGTCTTTGTGGCACTGTCCATGGTGCCCCACCCTGGTAGATATTGAAGGCAAAGCTTAGTACCTAATGACACCTAGGTGACCAAATATATCACCTGGGAGAGAAGAAAGGAAATAATAACATTCTTGTAGCTCTGGCATGTGGAATATAAAAGCATGCCAACTGTAATGGACGACCTTTAAATCTTTGTCAGTCAGGCATTCAGAAGGTAGGTCTCAGAGGCAGGAAAACTCATAAGCGATCACACCACATGTAGAAAACATCCAGACAAATCCTTAACTGAAGAAGGGTCCTTCTCTTTGGTTGAAGCATGAAAGAAAGCCCATGGAAAGGTAAGGAGAATGGGACACCTGCTGATGAGCCACATCAACTGAGTAACTCCTGACAATCCCAAAAGATGCCCCTCCCAGCTGCTCACCTATCCAAATTCTAAATTTATCCTACTCAAATTTCAGCAGCATGATGAACAATGCCTCCATCTCAAATGGCCTCTCCACCATCATAAACAGAAGCATACAATAATACTACAGTAACAATGCTACAGACAGCTAAAAGGTAGACTCACTCTTCTTCCACTGGCTAACAAGGTGTAAGGGCACAGTTCCCTGGCTAAGCAGTGCACAGGAGTGAAGGCACAAGACCATTCTAATAGGATAAATGCTCATTTTCCGCCCCAGTGCTTTCCTTGTATAGGGAGCTCCACCTGCTGCAATACACATGGCCACTCAACTCTTATTCTGACCCAGGAACTGTTAACCCAGCCCCTTCCTCTCCCCTTCCTTTTGGGAGTTACCCCTTGTGATCTCCTATCTAATTCTGAGGTTGTATTAGGAAACTCATCTTTCCACAGATATAAACCATATTCTTCAGTATAAAGGGAATATAGTAATGTTAGGCTTTAATTTATCATCTCCTTTGTCTTATTTTATTTTATTTTATTTTATTTTATTTTATTTTATTTTTTTGAGGCAGAGTCTCACTTTGTCGCCCAGGCTGGAGTGCAGTGGCGCAAACTCAGCTCACTGCAACTTCCGCCTCCCAGGTTCAAGCGATTCTCCTGCCTCAGCCTCCCGAGTAGCTGAGATTACAGGAGCGCACCGCCACGCCCAGCTAATGATTGTATTTTTAGTAGAGATGGGGTTTCGCCATGTTGGCCATGCTGGTCTTGAACTCCTGACCTCAAGTGATCCACCCGCCTCGGTCTGCCAAAGTGCTGGGATTACAGGCGTGAGCCACCGTGCCCGGCCCATGATTTTTTTATTCTAGCAGAAAGCTCAGTGATTATTCCATTATGAAGGGGGAAAGAGGTGAAATCCTCTGGTGTTCAGCAAGCTCTCCTCAAGGGAAGGTGAGTTCCCTTCTTTAGCTTGTGAATGTTCACCCGGAAGGAAGACATGTTGTAAAAGCAGAAAAGTAGGGTGAGATTACAGTGGGTTTCTTGCTAAGGGTGCTCTGCTAAAAGAAGAGTGGATTGGGACAGCCATTAAGGAACCCTGAGCCCTGGCTAGAGCTGTCTGGGAAGGACAAGAACCTGGAAAAGCAGCCAGGGCAAGGGGAGAGCAGTGTTAGGGTTCTCATGTAGCCATAAAACAGACTAGGTCAGTAAAACACCCCTTGCCTCGCTGGCTCCTCTAGGAACACTTTACTCTTTCTTGTCCTTCCCACCCATCTCTTAGCTATGCAGCTGTTCCCTGGAACCAGTATCCAAGAGTACCCAGAACACGTAAAAGAGAAGAAAGTTGTCATATGATCCCTATCCCCACTCCCATGAGTAGCCCAGAGGCTACTAGACAGAAGAACTATCTATAGGCCCAGGAATAAAGGTAAATGACAAACAGGTATGCATTTTCTGTGACCTTATTTATCTTGCCTGTTAGAAGATTTGAAGACAGCCTTCAAGGTCAGATAGATTTAGGTCAACACCTATACAAATACCTGGGTATTGCTGGATAAGCAGTAAACAACGCCCTTCCCAATAGACAGTTTCTTTCTTTCTTTCTCTTTCTTTCTTTCTTTTTCTTTCTTTCTCTTCTTTCCTTCTTTCTCTTCTTTCCTTCTTTCTTTCTCTCTTTCTTTCTTCTTCTTTTCTTTCTTTCTTCTTCCTTTCTTTCTTCCTTTCTTCCTTTTTTTCTCTTTCTTTCCATATTTATCTCTCTTTCTTTCTTTCCTTCCTTTCTTCTTTCCTTCCTTCCTTCCTTCTTTTTTTAGACAAATACTTTTAATGTAAGCATCTAGGGATGCTTGTCCACATAAAACTATAAATAATAATAAAATAAGCATTAAGAAATCTTACAGAGAAAGGTGTGTGAACTAGAAGAGAAAAAGGCAACAAGAAGCAAACAAAATTAGAAAATCTTTCAGAAGGATAATTTAAGAGCATAATTGAGAAAAAAATTGGGGTACAGAAAGAAGAGATAGAACAATAGTTTGAGGGATCTAGAATTTTTCTGGAGGCATACAAGAAGGCTTCCCAGCTACGTGTGTACCTAATTGTTTCAGAGATAAAAAGAAAATGGAGAGAAGGGAGAAAGGGATATGCATGAACTTTCTAGTTAGACTAGGAACGAGAAGTTAGATAAGAAGGAAATACAGCTTTATAGAAAGTCATGCAGAAATAAACCCTACACTGGGAAGGCCTGCACTAAGGGAACTGGACAGGAACACCTACAAATGAGAAAATTCCTTTAGCATATTTTTCAAGCTATGAATATAGCTGAACTCTATAACTTTTCTATTCCTTTTTTCAATGAGTATTTATCATGTACCTACTCTCTGTCAGATATTGAGCTAACTTCACCGGTGAGTAAAACAAAATGGCCCCCAGTCTCACAGAGCTAGTAGGAGTTGAGACAAGCATTAAACAGTCATGCAAGGAAATAATTAATCACAGCTTGTGATAAATCAGACGTGTTGTGAAGGGGAAAGAATCCACAGAGTGAGAGAGTGTAAAAGGGACCTCATGACACTGTGGAACTGTTTGCCTACCACAGTCTCCATATTTACTGCTCATACCTCAAGATTCCCTCTTCGTAGTAAAGGGAGTTGTTGCAAATGATCCAAAACAGGGGATTAGTGATGGAGAGAAACAACCCTGCAAGGAGGCTAGGGAGGTGCCAATGAACTTGGACTTCACATACATTGGCTGTTTTCTACTCCTGACAAAGTTTCCATTGGAGGCCTCATGGCAGAATCAGGGCAAGTACCTTGACATCCTAGGGGACGTGATCTCATCTAAGTTTTATACAAATGCCTCCAGGAAATGCCAGCTCCAATTGTGTGTTGTGGACAAATAAATGCATACATGATTCATTTCCTTATTCATCTATCACTTATTTATGATTATTAAAGAGGAGCACTGTTCCTTCATTTGATTAGAATGGATTTGCTTAGAAGGACTACACTGGGCCAGGCACAGTGGCTCACGCCTGTAATCCCAGCACTTTGGGAGGCCGAGAGGTAGGTGGATCACTTGAGGTCAGGAGTTCGAGACCAGCCTGGCCAATATGGTGAAACCCTGTCTCTACTAAAAACACAAAAATCAGCCAGGTGTGGTGGCAGGTACCTGTAATCCCAGCTACTTGGGAGGCTGAGGCAGGGGAATCGCTTGAACCCGGGAGGCAGAGCTTGCAGTGAGCCGAGATCATGTAACTGCACTCCATCCTGGGCAACAGAGTGAGACTACGTCTCAAAAAAGAAAAAAAAAAATAGAAGGCTACACTGAAGCCTATTTTGATTGCTGAACATGCATAATAAATGTCCTGGCTTTTAATTGGTACATTTTTTCCTCTTAAAACAATTAAGTTATATGCAAACTCTTTCATGGAGCTAAATGTAATGAATAAAGTAGACTATTACCTTTCATGAAGAGACTGGGCTGTTTAGCTATGCAAATGAAAGCAGATGTAGGCATCCCAAGGCTGTGACTCCAGGGACACATGCTCCATAAGATAAAGTAGTCAACAGTGCCCTACCCTTTGGTAGGGTTGCATCTCTGTAGATACTATTTCCTTTACAAGAGTATTCTCTTTAAAATGCAGTTCTAGATTCCATTGCTCCTGCAAAGTGTTTAGTAGAGATATGCATGAACAGTTTGAACAGTTCTTCTCAGAGGACCAGAAACTGAGAATCTAAAAGCAACAAAAGAAGATCTCCAGGCCTCCTGATGTTCACCCCATGTTAGGAGAAAGATTAGAAAATGGAATTGGATCAACCCTGGTGACGCTCAGCCTGTGGTGTATGGTAAATGATTATCAATGATACTGCCATAGGTCGCCCAAGCCACTCCACTATCATGCTGTGACCAAACAGAGCTAATGTGATCACAGGGCATGTCCACGTCAGAGGATCCTTGTCATTCTTTTTGCCCACCAATAATTTGAACATCCTTCTTTAGTTTGGTGAAAGACAGAGACCTCCTCCCAGTACAGAAGCTGCAATGTACCACCTACTGACTTTCCCAGCCTCTCCTGCTATGAGGAGACAAGCATGTGACCCAGGCTTTCCCAGCCATAAAGACATAATTCAGACTTTGAACCACACCCATGCAGATGTAACAGGGTTAAACCTTGAAGTAGTCATCTAAGAGTCCTCTGTCCTCCGTCCTCCTCTTTCGTCTCACTGGCACCCGCCACTCCCCAGACCATTCTGAAAAGAGGTGTGGAGATTCTCAGAGGCAGACTTACAGAACCACTTTCTCCTCTTCCAGACAGTAGGCAAGACCGGGTTAGGAACACAGACAGAGAGAAGGCGGAATGGCCACTCAGCCTGGAGCAAAAGTACAGTGGGAGGGACGAGATCTTCCTAGAGTCTTCCGGTTGCGGGGGGTGGGTGGTGGGAAGCAAAACGTCCAGTCTGGAGGCCAAGAGGAAGAGACTAGATGCAGAGCTTTCTGCTGGTGATTCACCACCTGTGCACAGCCCAGCTCTCAAGAGTCCTGGATCCTCCTAGGTCCTCCGACAGAGGGTGAGGGACTGGAACCCTGAGTGGGGTGGGCATGGAAGGTAAACCTTGCCCTTGATCAAGATGGAAGTGAAAGCATCAGCGGGGAGCTTCCATGGGAGGTGGGGTGGCAGGCAGGAGCAGACATATCTTGGATGTTATATAAAGAAACAGGGACCCTGTGGAAGCCATTCCAGGGATGGTGGTACCAATGTTGGTATGCCCCACTCCAGGAGCAGTCACAAGGATGGTTCTTGCAGCAGCATCCAGGGGCCACCGCCCTGTATATGCCCGGGCAGACACAGCAGTGGCTTCCTCCGGGACCAGTTCCATGGTGTGATTTGGTCATTGTTTTTAACAAGGTACCTTCCCAGTTTGGGTTTCCAACCATCCCAAGGATTTGGTAGCTATCCAATATCCTTTTTAAAATTATTTTCATTTTTGTTTAAATTAGCCATAGTTTCTCTCATTTTGAGCTAAGCTGCCTGCCTGCAACAGCTACTCCTGGAGGTCAGGGCAAGCTGGCTTCAGCTGCCTCGAGGCAGGTCAAGGACACAGCTCAATTGGACACCCTGGAACAGGCCTGGAATTCTGGGCTCCAAGAACAGCCAGACTGTAAGCAGATGTGATGTAACTGCTGTGGGTAATATCTCTCTGACATTCCTAAATCTTAAAAGTCTTGTTACAATGTACAGCTGGTGTCAGCTGCAGTTTGGAAGGTGTTGTATCTATTCCTGAGAATCTAGTGTTACCGGGGAGAGTGGTGTCCGTCTCCCTCAGCTCTAGGACAGCAGGACAGTAGCACTCCCCCTTCTGAGGCAGAAGGATCTGTCACCTGCAGAAGGTGGGTAGCAAAATTGTCATGAACGATCAGTGGTTAGAGCAGAGGTCAGCAATCCAGAAGGAGCTGATGGAGTAACACAGGGAAGGCACAGGCTGTGGCCAGGACACGGTGACAACCCCTGCCAGTACCCGAGGGCAGGGAAACTTGGACAGGGTAGGTAGCAGGTGGGAGGGGTACTGTGGGGCCAGTGGAGCACCAGGCATTGGGGCCAAATGTAGATGCAGAGAAAAGATTCAGAAGTACGATTATCAACGTGTTAGTGGTGGATTTCTTTGGACAAAGGATATTTACAGGATTTTACTTTCTTCTTTGCACTCCCCTGCATTTTCCAAGGCCTCTACAGTGACCATGTATACTCTTTGTAGTCTTTGTGATGAAAGAAAAAGGAAAAGGGGGAGAGGTAGGAGAGAGCGAGAGGGAGAGGGCTAAGAAGAGAAGGGAAGGAGAAAACGAGCAACATGCTCAAGAACATGGCAGAGGTTCCCTCGAGAAATAACAGCACTGTGCCCTTGAAAATCATTCACTTGGTCCTTCTTCCTTTTGGAAAAGGAGTGACAACCCTTCCTTGGAGGGAAAACTAAAAGAGAAAAGGAGGAAGAGATAATCCCCATGGTAACATAAGAGGGATGGGCCTTGTCTGAGCCTTCAGGATCCCAGGAATGTTTGCCAAAGGTGGCAGTGGGAGAGCTGTAAGGACCTGGCCATGATCCAGTTCAAGAAATGCATCCTGCCTGCTGCCTCATGCTGCCTCCTCCTCCTCCTCCTCCAGAATACGTCAACCCACTTCTGAGGAAACTGTCAGGGACCCCACCCCCCGCCATTTCCCCCAACTCCCCCCTACCCCCGCTGCAGGCAGGTAGTTGCTGACCCCTCTCTCTTGCTGTAGTAGCAGTTAGTTTGCAGTTCTGGAGAGACTGGATGGTTTATTGGTGCCCCAATACTGCTCCATTTTATACTTCAGTGCCTTTTTCAAGATTTGATTTTTTTAGAACCATTTTTGCTTCACAGCAAAATTAAGAGAAAGGTACAGAGATCTCCCATATAGCCCCCGCCCCAAACATGCACAGCCTTCCCCACTATCAACATCCCATGCCAGAGTAGTGCACTGGTTACAAGTGATGAGCCTATACTGACAATATCATCCAGAATCCATAGTATACATTAGGGTTCACTGTTGGTGCTGTACATCCTATGGGTTTGGACAAACGTCTGATGACATGTATCCACCATTATAGTATCATACACAATAGTTTCCCTAGCCTAAAAATCCTCTCTGCTCCACCGATTCATCCCTCTCTTCCCCCAGGCTCTTGGCAATCATGGATCTTTGTAACTGTCTCCATAGTTTAGACTTTTCTAGAATGTCATGTAGTTGGAATCATACTGCATGTAGCCTTTTCAGATTGGCTTCTTCCACGCAGCAATATGCATTTAGCATTCCTCTACATCTTCTCATGGCTTCATAGCTCATTTCTTTTTAGCTTCTGTGCCCTTTTAAGGGCTGTTCCATCTGCTAGGATAAGGTTCTTCGCCCTTTTTAATGCTTGTCAGACTCCTGTTCATTCCTCACACACAATTCTGACATTACCTCTTGCAGGAAGCCCTCTCCAGTTCTTGCTCTCTGCTGTCCATGTTCCTTCACCCTTGCATGGTCCCCTGTCCATAGAACTGCTCAACCTGCATCACTGTCTGTCCATCCATCCATGTGTCTCCCTACTACACAGTGTGCTCCTTCATCTCAATGTTCTAAGTGCCTGGCACAGTGCATTTTTCTTTTCTTTTCTTTTCTTTTTTTTTTTTTTTTTTTTGAGATGGAGTCTTACTCTGTCACCCAGGCTGGAGTGCAATGGCGTGACCTCGGCTCACTGCAACCTCTGCCTCCCGGGTTCAAGTGATTCTCCTGCCTCAGCCTCCCGAGTAGCTGGGACTACAGGCATGCACCACCATGCCCAGCTAATTTTTGTATTTTTAGTAAGATGGAGTTTCACTATGTTGGCCAGGATGGTCTCAATCTCTTGACCTCATGATCCGCCCACATTGGCCTCACAAAGTACTGGGATTATAGGCATAAGCCACCATGCCTGGCCCGTAGTGCATTTTTCTACAGCTGCCTCCTCTATTTTAGCACCTCAAGAAAATATGAGAGTACTGTTTAAAGCAAATATTCTATAAAAACAATAAAACCATTCATCTAGCAAGAGATAAACTGACAGGATTTTATAATTTGGAATTCTAGTAAAGGTACATAACATAGAAAGGTATAGTCAGATGGATGTACACACACATATGCATATAATAAATATTTGTGGAATAGAACTGAATATTAATGGCATGGGAAATACATCAAGGGAAGAGGCTTAACTATTGGAACATGGCCATTTTCACGAGAATAGAAATTAAATATGTAAATTCTTGAAAGTTACATGGGAGCCCCCTGGAAGCTCTGTTTATAACCCTGTTTAGATTACAACACCCTAGGAGGTGGTCTCTAAACTTGTTAGGGTGTTTGCGGTTGTCACAACTGGAGGGGCACGTTTGGCATGTACTGGGAGGAGGTCAAAGACGTTCAGATGTCCTGCAATACAACAATCAGTGCCACAAATCACAGAACCATCCCACATTTAGCATGAGCTTTGAATGTCCCACTGAGAAAAACTCATGTCTACAATTATCTGAGCCAAGAACCTAACTCCCTTTTACATGTGAAGACACACACACAAATTGTTTGCATCTTTTCAAAGTTGACCAAATTTTTTAAGAATCTGACTCTAATGTAAATAGATTAGCTGGAACCTTGCTGAGAGTTGTTCTCTATTTTGGAAAACCACACCACTGGAGAAAAAGTCCTTTGTGACATCTTAGTCATCAACACAACATACCTGAACCAATCTGCATTTGGAGATATTGCATTCTACGTATAGATGCCAAGACTCACTGCTTCAGCAGGTCTCCTAGGGTTTCATAACAGAGCACCTATTATTGAAACATTACTTTCCATTTATTTCTCCTTTATATTATAGCTAGAAAATTTGCATTGAATTTTTCAGAATTATCTGTATTGGCAAAGTGCACTGTCTCTGAAATTCATTTCAATGTAGTAAAGGAGTATTCATAAATATATGCTATAAAAGAATATTGGATATTACAGGGTTCAGAACCACTGGGTGAAGGTAAATTGTATACTGTATTTAAGAAGATTGACTTGATAAGTCTGTAGAATTACACTTCTAAGTATAGCCTGATGAGGTAAAAGTGTCTGCATATGAATACCATTGGCAATAAGCATTAGCAGGGAGCAGCTCCCTACAGACCCATCTTTTATTCAAAATAATTGTACTTCAAAGCCTAAGAACTTTTTTTCCCCATTGCCATTTATTTGCATACAATACTAGTTTCGATTTCAAGGTCACTCTCTTTTTTTTTTTTTTTTTTTTTTGAGACAGATTCTCACTTTGTCGCCCAGGCCGGAGTGCAGTGGTGCAATTTCGGCTCACTGCAAGCTCCGCCTCCCAGGTTCACGCCATTCTCCTGCCTCAGCCTCCCGAGCAGCTGGGACTACAGGGGCCCGCCATCGCGCCCGGCTAATTTTCTTGTATTTTTTAGAGGAGACGGGGTTTCACCATGTTAGCCAGGATGGTCTCGATCTCCTGACCTCATGATCCGCCCGCCTCAGCCTCCCAAAGTGCTGGGATTACAGGCGCGAGCCACAGCGCCAGCCCAAGGTCACTCTGTTTATCTTTTTTTAGAGGGGGATTGTGCAGGATTAGGAGAGTAGGAGGGATAGGGGATGTCTCACTATGCTGCCCAAGCTGGCCTGATCCTCCAGCCTCAGCCTCTCAAGTAACTGGGACCTAGTCCAGCTTCAAGGTCATTTTCTATATCAAGATGTATAAGGTTATGTCTAGCAATGTTCATTCATTGATTCATCAAGTATGGATTAAGTGCTCTCTGGGTTCCAGGCCATGTGCTAGCACCTGAAGATGCAGTGGTGAACAGGCAGATGGGACCCGACCTCACACAACTCATAGGCTGATGGGGATGCCCACCATCAATACAGTGAGATGAATGTTATTCTTGGGGTCTACAAGATGTTATTTGGGGGGGGTGTTGACCTCATTTAGAAGTCAGGAAAAGCTCCCCAAGGAACTGACATTTGAGCTGAGACCAGGAGGAGGGTACAGACATTGTTTGAAACACCATAAATATCACACGCAAAAGTCTGGAGATGAAAGAATGTGGCACATTCAGTGCAAACGCAGAGATCCACTGACATTCCCGTGGTGAAGCAGAGATTTCTCCCCAAACACGATCACCAAGGCTCTTACTTTAGGAAATATTAACTATGACAAACTTTTAACATTTTGACCCATATAATCTTTTCAGAAAATTTGGTTGGTGGGTTCCTTTTTTATTTCCCTAAAAATAGAAAATAATTTGAATTCAAGACATTTCTAGAAACATCATTAAAGGCACATGATCATTTTTTAAAAATAGAAAGGAGAAGAGAAGCAAATGTGTGCTCATCTTCTAGACAGGGGACAATACCATCAACTCTTAAACTCTTCCAATAGTGGCTCACGGAAGCAGGTGTCACATATTTATACAGCCATCTGTACAGGTCCTCTTCTTCCTCTTCCTTGGGGAAAAGGTTGATAAGCCTCCAAAGGGTAGATAAAAGAGAGAGACACCTAATATAAATACAGAATTAAAGGGCTCAGGACAATTGAGGCTTTCTGAAGAGCAGCAGAGTCAAGAAGCATACAGCAATGTCAGGAAAAGGATGCCAGAAAGAAAGTGGTAATAACATTGCAAGAATACCATATGGCATTTACATGTCATGTACTGCATTTTAAATGTTGATACTTGCTTTTTTTTTGTTAGCTCTGGTGCCAACTCTGTTATAGTACACAGCAAAATTTATTTTTTAAAAAAAATCACATGGAAGTTCTCTGTAATCTATTTTCAAATTGTAGATAAATTCCCTTTTATTTTAACCACATGATATCTATTCCTGATTCTAATTGCTCAAGCTAATCTGCAAAATAGTTTAGAATGAGAAGGGACAGTCCTGACAACTGAGACGAGATGCCCGATACACCCATTTGTGACTACTCGGGAGTGAGAGGGGACCTGGGGGTGGGGAGTGGATAGGTAGACAAACAAATATTAATAATAATAATTTAGTATCAGTTCTTTCAAGCATTCCCCAGGCTCGTATAGAAAGACTGCAGATGTTGTTCATGGTGAAATTCACTTCTGCCAAGGAACGGAACAAATAATGGAGGAAACATCACTCAATCTGAGAGGGGAAATGATGTAATAATACAGTATCTAAACAGAAGAGACAGTGTTTGAGCTCAGTAAAACCCATCTTCCGAGGATCCCTTGTTGGTATTTGAAGGGCCAGGCTTCTTTTCGGAGGAAACTTTAGTCTTCCTTTAGGATCTTTTAGTAACACTTTGATGCATTTTTATAAAAATACAAACTGGCCCTTGTTTTCAAGATCTGGTAAGAGCACGGGCAAGCTGAGAGGCAGTCAGCATGTAGCTAAAATAAATTCTCACTCATTCTTGGATTTTTTCTTCTTTTTTTACTAGAATCTGCGTATGTGGTAAGATCACATGAGCACATCTGCGTGAACACTTGCAGCCAGTGAAGTGTGGCCGACGACGAAGAAGACAACCTGCCTCCTTCACGCAGACCGAATGGCAACGGCATCCCCTGGGGGAGCCCCAGAGGAGCCGACGAACCTGCCGTCTGCACTCTTGCTTGTGCTGTTTGCCTTTCGAAAGGGCTCGCTGCATCGCGGCCAGTGCATCTTCTCCTCCCAAGGCCATGCTTGATGGCTGAGGTCCCGTCCCAGATACAGACCCTGTTGCCCATGGGTTTCTTTCTCTCTGTCGCTACCCTTTCTGGGGCCCCCTCCACTTCTCCAGCCCCACCCACCTCCATGCCCATTTCCAGGAAGGGTAGGACAGAGGGCAGCATCAGCAAGCATCTCTTCATTTGTGAAGCTTACACATCCTGGGTGCTTGGAAAAAGACCTGGTTCGTGTCTCTCTCCTCTCTAATCAATTCACAATCAATAAATATTTACTGAACACCTCCAAAGCACTTAGCACTGAGCAGGTCCTACAGGGATACAGGCCAATAAAGGCACAGTAACATTTAGCTTTAAGCCCCTATGCTTTACTTGAGCAGAACAATCCATTGGCAAGACAAGGCAGGTGCTTGTGTGATGTGAAATATACAAGCTAGACTTAACAAGTCCCTCTCTGGGCTCCCATAGCTAACAGTGTTCTACAATAATAGTGAATAGCATTGATTGAGGCTATGTGGCAGACACTGCTCTCAAGTGTCAACTAAGTGCCAAAACAGACAGGAACCATTATTATCCTCATTTTTTCAAATAAGAAAACTGAGGCACAGCCTGAGGTCACATAGCTGATAAGAAGTAGACATAGCATGGATCATTCACCCAAGGTGGTGTGACTTCAGAGCCTGCCTGCCCTAGCCCTGGTATCATTCTGCACAATATTATGGACACTGGTCTTGATGCATGGCTGTTTTCTCCTTAAGAGAAAGGACTATCCCTTGTTTATTGCCACATATCCCTATAGTGTTGAGAACACACACAAAAAAGTGTTATTCGATAATTGTTTATCAAGTTGACCTAGCGAGGAGCATGAAGGAACAGCCACAGTGAAGAACAGAAAAGTGAATCATGATTGGGTGAATAAAAGGATTTCAGAGTAGAAAAAAGGTCTGGTGGAAACTGGATGTCATCCGTATGCAGAGGCCCTAGTCGGCCTGGCACTGAGCCACCCGTCCTCCCACCAGCTCTGCGCACAGGGCCCAAGCTGACGAGTAGGAAGGAAAGACTCACAGGGACACAGCTGTAGGTTAGGGCAGGGAGGGAGACAGGGAAGGTGCAAGAGGGAAGCAAGGCTAACGGCACAGCCTCTCCACTTAGTCCCCAGAGTGATAGAACAGCAGCTATGGGAGCAGCCAGGACTTAGAGGCAGTCAGACAGCAATTTACCAAACGCTGTCATTTGGGCCTATAAAAGTTAAAGGAAAAAAAAAAAAAAACAGAAAAAAGCAAGTGTTGGTGAGGAAGTGGAAAGACAGAATCCCTGGGCATTGTTGGTGGGAATGTGAAATGGTGCAGCCACTGTAGAAAACAGTGTCACGGTTCCTCAGAAAAATTAAATCTGTAATTATATGTGACTCAGCAATTCCACTGCTGGGTATATGTCCAAAATAATTAAAAACAGGGACTTGAATAGATGTTTATACACCCATGTTCATAGCAGCATTATTCATAACAACCAAAAAGTGGAAACAGCCCAAAAGTCCATCAACAGATAAACAAATAGGCAAAATGTGGTATATACAGACAGGGGGATATTACTCAGCCTTGAAAGGAAGGAAATTCTGACACATGTGCAATATTCATGAAGCCTTAAAGACACTGTGCTAAGTGAAATAGGCCAGACACAAAAGGACAAACACTATATGACTCCATTGACATGAGGTTCCCGGAGTGGTGAAATTCATAGACACAGAAAGTAGAATGGTGGTCACCAGGAGCTGGGGGAGAGGAAATGAGCAGTTATTATTGAACAGACTCAGAGTTGTCATTTGGGAAGATGGAAAAGTTCTGGAGATGATGGTAGTGATGGTTGCACAACAATGTGAATGTACTTAATGCCACTGAACTGTACACTTAAAAACAGGATGGTAAATTTTATGTTGTGCACACTTTAACACAATTAAAAAAAGGCATAAAGAAAATCTTGAAGCAGGCTCTAAAGTATCCTACCAACTCCTGGGAGTAACTTAGAGGAAAAGAAAACTTCTGGCCAGGCGCGGTGGCTCACGGCTGTAATCCCAGTGCTTTGGGAGGCCGAGGCAGGTGGATCATGAGGTCAGAAGTTTGAGACCAGCCTGGACAAAATGGTGAAACCCCGTCTCTACTAAAAATACAAAAATTAGCCAGGCGCAGTGGCAGGTGCCTGTAATCCCAGCTACTTGGGAGGCTGAGGCAGGAGAATTGCTTGAACCTGAGAGGCAGAGGTTGCAGTGAGCCGAGATCGTGCCATTGCAGTCAAGCCTGGCAACAGAGCTAGACTTCATCTCAAAAAAAAAAAAAAAAAATCTTTGTAACAATGACTATGGCCAGGATGAAAATGTTAAATCCACAGAAAAAAGAAAGCCCAGAATGTCATGGAAATTGATGCTAACTTGAAAGACCAGTGATCTCAACTTTTGAGTATGGCACTCCCTTCTGAAGGTTAAAAATATCCTTGATCCCCACACAACAATAGAACTTTTGGTACTAACTGATAGTGAGAATATATATATATATATATATATCGAGAGAGAGAGAGAGAGAAAGAGAGAGGCCGGGCATGGTGGCTTATGCCTATAATCCCCACACTTTGGGAGGCCAAGGCGGGCAGATCACTTGAGGTCAGGAGTTCAAGACCAGCCTGACCAACATGGAGAAACCCCATCACTACTAAAAATACAGAATTAGCTGGGCATGGTGACACATGCCTGTAGTCCCAGCGATACAGGAGGCTGAGGCAGAAGAATCACTTGAACCCGGGAGGCAGAGGTTGCGGTGAGCCAAGATCGCACCATTGCACTCCAGCCTGGGCAACAAGAGCAAAACTCCATCTCAAAAAAAGAAAAAAAAAAGATACTATAGATACTATGAATTCGGGAGTCACCCTTTAAAATGAACTGAAATGAATCATTGATGACAACCCCTCTACACACATTTGGAAAAGGGCAGCACACATGTTAAGGAGACATATTGTTTATTCTGTCCACTGGCAATGCTTGAAACACAAAAGGATTCACTGATCCTTTAAAACGACACCTCAGGCTCCTAGGGGTCCACCACCTATAGGATGAGAACTACAGCTATCTATGAGCAGGAGCCTAAAACTCAGCAGTAAACTTCCAAGACATAGTGCAAAACCATTAGGTCAAAACTTATGATGCACAAATGCAGCTCCTCTCAGAAAATACAAAGCAATGCATTCTCCCCCAGAAATACAAAGTGCACTTCTAACAGGAATGCACATTTCCTGGGCTGGATTCAGTTCAGGAGAGTGCAGTTTGTTGGCAGCCCTTCACTATGCAAAGCCATCAGAGCCTGCTCAGCATGGGGCTGCACATGCTTGTCACACTGTCACCTCCCAGGGGAGCTGGCTCTTTGGGGTGTGATGGTTCAGAACACTGGCACACCTTTCAATAATGATGTGTATTCTAAACATTTTCCCTTCCCTAAGGCAAAAAGTCATAAAGCTATCTAGAAAGTATCAATGACTACTGACATGCCAGTCATCTAAAACTTATCCTACAGTGAACACATAGATCACACACCCAGCTCCGTGATGAGCACACTCAATTCAATAAGGGCACCTCTCAATTTTCAGGAACCTAATTTGTTAGAAGCTACACCAAAGTAGGTCATTGCTTGCTTGGCTCACAGAAGTAACATGAGGCTAAATGTAAAAAGAAAAAAAAAATTACGATAATTTTTTAAAAAGTTCTCTATAAGAAGAGAGCAAAGAATTAATATTTTATTAAATCAGTGCATTCCAGAGGAACCAAACTAACCTGTGAAAATTGGTGATAAAGCATGAACATAGGAAATCATTCACCTATTATGCTGATTTTATAATACTAGTAAAAATGTGATTGCTAATAGAATTCTTGCATTAAATTCATAACTCAAAAGCACCTGGAATCTTTAAATACAGTTTACCATGTTGTAGACCTAAAGCATCACTAGACTTTCACTAGCCCCAAAATGCAAAAATATAAAACCTTTTATTAATACTTAATGAAACCCCTGGGATTCTAAGAAGTGATTATCTCTTCAATGAGAAAGACCTCACTGATAATGAATACCCATAAAATTTTCTAGATAGTTTCCTCTATCAGAGATGTTTTAAGAGTTTCAGAAGCCTTAGGGAAAACCAGCCAAATCTGAAAGATATGAGGAAAGAGCTAAAATGGCTCTTAAAAGGAAGAGATATTTAATACTACTTGACATAGCAGACCTTGAGTTTAGGACTGAGTTAAATCCCCAGTGGGAATTAAAATCTTGGTGGTGATGGTCTCAAACTCTATGCTCTTTTTATTTTACTTTATTATTATTATTATTATTATTATTATTATTATTGAGACAGAGTTTCACTCGTGTTGCCCAGGCTGGAGTGCAGTGGTGTGATCTTGGCTCACTGCAACCTCCGCCTCCCAGGTTCAAGTGATTCTCCTGCCTCAGCCTCCCAAGTAGCTGGGATTACAGGCATGCACCACCACACCTGGCTAATTTTGTATTTTTAGTAGAGATGGGGTTTCTCCATGTTGATCAGGCTGGTCTTGAACTCCTGACCTCAGGTGATCCGCCCACCTCAGCCTCCCAAAGTGCTGGGATTACAGGCTTGAGTCACCACACCAAGCCACTCTATGCTCTTAAAACCATCGAAGCAGAGCATTGAGGCATTCTGATGAGCCCAGAAAAAGAAGAATGCTTTGGAGGACAAGGCCAGCTATCTCAGGGCACCAAGAGGCTTGGCTTTGAGCTGTGCATTTCCTCCTGTTTTTAACATTAAGCAGGTTGTACAAAGTAGAGCAGTGGATGGAAGAACAGAGTGGGGACTATCTTTGCCTGGCAACTGCTCTCGCAGAGGTGGGTCAAAACAAGTCAGCTATTGGTACAGTATAGGCCCCTCTTTTATTAGGTTGGTACAAAAGTAATTGTGGTTTTTGACATTACTTTTAATGTCCTATAGTGATACCAGAATATAAACCCATCTTTGTATTAGTCACATAGCAGCAGACATGAGCAAGGGGACACCTAAATCTTAGATTAACCTCCAAGAAAAGAGAACACAAAGAAAGAGATATTAACTAATAATGAGCTGGTATTAGGGAACTAAAGCAGATACATAAAGAACCAGAGGCTATGATGCAATTCAACACACTGAGAGAGAGCATGAAGTCAGAAAACTAAAATCCTTTTAAAGCAGATGAAGACAGGCCCAATATCTTTCTCTCAACTAGCCATTTTTATCTGTCCCCAGGTCTTACTAAACCTTTTGTGAAGGCTCCTCTGAGCCATCAGATGCTATGCCTACATTGCAAGAGAAAGAAGAAAGGGCATATAGTGGAATGACTAAGTCTATTCATGCACTCTGGGGCAGGGAGACCAAGTTTGGAAGTCTAGTTCTGTCATTTATGGGCTGTGTGACCTTGGACAAGTCACAGAACCAGTCTAAGCATTCCAAACTCATATAATTAAGAAACAATAATGATCTCTTTGGCAGGGTAACTTACTGTACAGCTTACTCTAGGTAAAGCCCAGATAGCCCAGTATCTGGCATAATAAACCCTCAAAACAGATTAGCGACTCTATTAGTCCATTCTCACACTGCTATGAAGAAATACTCGAGACTGGGTAATTTATAAAGAAAAGGGGTTTAATTGACTCACAGTTCCGCATGGCCGAGGAAGCCTCAGGAAACTTACAATCATGGTGGAAGGCACCTATTCACAGGATGGCAGGAGAGAGAACGAGTGTCAAGCAAAGGGGTTAAAGCCCCTTATAAAACCATCAGGTCTCATGAGAACTCACTATCACAAGAGCAGCATGGGAATAATCTCCCCCATGATTCAATTACCTCCCACTGGGTCCCTCCCACAACACATGAGGATTATGGGAACTACAGTTCAGATGAGATTTGTGTGGGGACACAGCCAAACCATATCAGTGACTTATATCTAGGCTTTGGTATCACAGTGCCATAATACTCAGTATTATCTCAACAAAATCCTCTCAGACAAATGACCGATCCAAGGCTCCCTACAAAGGTTCTGGCATGCAGATGTTCATGAATAACTTCCCACCCCAAAGTAACAATCAGATTCCCAGAAGTTACCTGTGATCAAAGCTTGCCGGGGGGAAAAGAGAGAGAGAGAGACAGAGAGACAGAGAGAGACTCTGTTAAAGCTACCTGGAAAATGTTTAAATGATAAACGCTATCCAGGCAGTATTTTAAGTAGTTCTATTTTAGGCAATGTTTGATATCTTTACTGTGCATAGAAAAGAGTGAAGATGCACTTTAAAGGCCATTAAAACGTTCTATAATGACCTCAGAAGACAACAGGAAACACCAAAGGGATACTGGCCAGTTATGAAAGGTAAGCCAAGAAAGAAGAACCATACATTAGATAAGTCCCTATGGGTCAGTTAAAGTTAGTGCTGAGATGGTTTGCCTAGTGAAGAATAATAGCAGAACAATTTGTCATTATGTGTACTCATCAGAGTCAAGTCTCCAGGCATTTTTGCTTTCTTGGTGAGAAATGATCTCATTCCCGGAGTATAAAATCTGCAAAGCCCTCTTTAAGGACCCATCTGAAGGAGGAGAGTTCTGAGTCGGAATGGCGCTAGCACTGAAAAACTGATTAGGATCATTGGTGGAGGCACCAGAGCTCGTGTGGAAGATTTGGACAGGGGACCAGGGCATGCACCTGGTAGTCTTTGGGGCAATTGTCCCCTTATATCCCAGTATAGCTATGGTCAAATTAACTAGGGCGATTTTGCCCCTGAGGACACATTTAGTAATGTCTGGAGACATTTTGGCTGTCATAACTGCGGGCAGTGATGATGCTGGCATCAAGCGAGTAGAGGCCCAGGGATGCTGCTACACATCTCACAATTCACAGGACAACTCCTATGACAAAGAATTATCCAGACCAAAATGTCAATAGTATCGAGGCTGAGCAATCCTATGTTAAATGAAGGGAGGAAAGAAGGAGCCGTCCATGGAAAAACTGTCATGGACTGTCATTAAGAAATGTTGTGTAGTCTGTTTTGTGGATGTCATATATGTAGGTCACCCCAAATGTACATTCTGGCCCTATCATTAAAGCTACAGAAAATCCTTAAACTAATTTGGAACAGACTTGATTGATAAAGCTTTAAAATTATTTGCATTTTCAAATAATTACTTCCTACCTTCTTGCCGCCTAGGAAAAGGAAGAAAGCAATTGTTTACATTAAAACCAGGGCCTTCTCTCTGATAAAAATAAACTCACGGCAGGGCGTGGTGGCTCATGCCTGTAATCCCGGCAGTTTGGGAGGCCAAGGTGGGCAGATCACGAGGTAAGGAGTTCGAGACCAGCCTGGCCAATATGGTGAAACCTCGTCTCTACTAAAAATATACAAAAATTAGCCAGGCATGGTGGCACGCGCCTGTAGCCGCAGCTACTCAGGAGGCTGAGGCAGGAGAGTCGCTTGAACCCAAGAGGCGGAGGTTGCAGTGAGGCGAGATCATGCTACTGCCCTCCAGCCTGGGCAACAGAGTGAGACTCCGTCTCAATAAATAAATAAATAAACTCACATTATTATGTAACATTAATCCTACTGAGTTAGTTGTTAGGAACTTATAATATGGTATGTACTAGGGCAGGCATGACATAGAAGCAGATACTCCAGAGACATATGGGCACTGGTAAACTGAAGTTCACTGATATTGTGTCTTTTCTACACTACTGAAAGGCAGCCATTTCTTAAACTAAAGCCACAGCCTACCACTCTGCCCTCCTCCCCTGCCTCTTTGGGTGCAATGCTGATGTGCACAGCCAAGACCCTTGAACATTTTCATTACCAATAGGTATTGGAAACTGTAGCTGAACCTACAATGCTGAAAATAATACCCAGTTTCCAAAACAGGGATTTTGATCTGTTTGAAATAATAATTTTTATTTTTTTATTTTACTTAAAAATATTTTTAGAGACAGGGCCTCATTCTGTTGCCCAAACTAGAGTACAGTGATGTGATCCTAGCTTACTGCAGTGTCAACCTCCTAGACTCAAGCAATCCTCATTCCTCAGCCTCCTGAGTGTCTAGGACTATAGGCACTTACCACCTCACCCAAGTAATTTGAATCTTTTTTTTTTTGAGACAGAGTTTCACTCTGTCACCCAGGCTGGAGTGCAGTGACACAATCTCAGCTCACTGCAACCTCTGCCTCCCCGGTTCAAGTGATTCTCCTGCCTCAGCCTCCCGAGTAGCTAGAACTATAAGCACACACCACCATGCCAGGCTAATTTTTGTATTTTTAGTAGGAACAGGGTTTCATCATGTTGGCCAGGCTGGTCTCAAACTGCTGACCTCAAGTGATCTGCCTGCCTCTGCCTCCCAAAGTGCTGGGATTACAGGCATGAGCCACCACGCCCGGCTCGATTTTCTTTTTTTTTTCAGAGATGGGGTCTCACTATGTTGCCCAGGCTGGTCTTGAACTCCCGGGCTCAAGTAATCCTTCTGTCTTGGCCTCCCAAAGAGCTGTGATTACAGACGTGGACCACTGCGCCTGCCTCTTGAAATAGTAATTATTTTAAGTTAACCCTTTTGCTGCTGAATGCTAGCTCAAAGATGCCTTGGGAGAAACAGAAGCTTCCTGCCAATTGTGTTCTTAAAAGCCTCTCCTTGATCCATGCCAGGCACATGGCAGAGGCCTGCAGGAGTCTTTGGCTTCCGCCACATGCCCCTTCCTGGAATCTAAAGTGGTTGATCAGTCCACTAATTTAACCGTATTAGCACTTTGAGATTGTCATCACTTCCATCTTAAACATGTGGCCTGTTCTAAATTTTCCAAGTAATTTTGGCACTCGTAAGTCTAGGGTAATGTTTTATTATTTGTCAGTGACACCCAGAATCATTTGGATCCATAAGCAAATAAACATTTCTGCCATATCCTTGGGGCGGGGGGAAAGCCAAAAAAAGAAAAAGAAAAAAAAAAAAAGGTGTCCCTTGGTTTTACAGGAAATACCAGAAAGCCTGCTGATCCGAGCCGGAAAAAAAGAAGCAGGTACTTCCTACCAGAGGCCAAAGTCCAGCTTGGAGCCAAGAAAATGAGAATCAGTCCAGAATTTGACTGGTTTTCCTACAGCATCCTATCAAGTGATAATCAGCCTGGCCCAGCAAGACAGCTACCCCACAGCAGGGGAGAAAGAGGCCGCCTGCTTCCAAAACCTGCTTCAGAATCCAATGTCAGCCCTCCTTCATCCCAAATAAGCAGATATTTGGGATGCTAACTGCCCAGATATTTCCCTGGGAACTCAGGAAGAATTATTTTTACTTTAATTAGTATGGTATACTAAAATATTCTAAACTCCACATTGGTTTCATGGTGTAGATTAATCTGACATTAATATTTTCAGCCCATCTGGAAGAGGTTAAGGCAGGATTAGTGGTTCTAATCCAGGTCCTACCACCAATTCACTGTGTGGATCCAGGCAAGTCACCTCACAGGCTCCATTTTCTCAGGTGTGAAATCTATGAGTCTCACAATAGTAGTATTCCCCCCGAAGAGTGATGCACAAACGACCTGGAACTAAATTCCTGAAAGGCTGGTCACCCTAGAGTGGGACCCAGGAGTGCATCTTAGAGCATATGAACATGACTATACCAGTGCGCAACAATTTTACCATCCACTACTATTCTTGGAGATAAAAGAATGCATTCCAAACCCCCTTTGCAGCTACGAATGGGACCTGGTAACTAGCTCGGGCCAATGGGCTCTACCTGAGGGACAACGCTCTGAAGAGCCAGCAAGCAGCGCTCAGCTGTTTCCCCCACCCTATCTAGCCCCTGAGCCTGAGAAGCTGCCTGGGTTGCAGCAGATCTGGCAGGAGTGGGAGTAGGCTGTTTGTGATAGGCTAGCTTATCTTGATTGATTCAAGGATCCCAACAGCCACCTAATTTATGACAAGGAAGAGTGAAGACATCTTCTCTATGAGTGATCTCAGTGGCTAGCAGTTAATTGACATCTATGTGAGACGTTATCATTTGCTTACTCCAACTTCTTCGCTAACAGAATTCTAATTTTGTTCATCACAGCAATGTGTTCAGCCCCAAGAGATGAAACATGATTCCTCTGCTCCTTAAGCATTGGAATCACTTGGACAGCTTGGTAAACACAGATTGCTGAGCTCCAGCCCCACCGCCCCCACCACGACCACAAATAATTTTCATTTCTAACAAGTTTCCAGTGGATGCCGATGCCGATGGTCCAAGGGATACTGATGCCTAAGGTTGAGGGACCAAACTTTGAGAATCACTGGTCCATTATGGCAATACTATCGTCCTTTGTCCGATACTTCCTTTCCTATCCTCCCTTGCAGATGCTAATGTGATCTCATTCTGGTCAATGAGACAGAAGGGGAAATCTACAGGGTAACTTCTGGGAAAGATTTTTCTTCCATAAAAGGAGCTGATGTCAACACAATATTGAAAAAGAAGAAAAAAATTGGAGGACTGACACTAACTGGCTTTAAGAATTACTATAGAGCGTGGCCGGGCGCGGTGGCTCACGCCTGTAATCCCAGCACTTTGGGAGGCCGAGGCGGGCGGATCACGAGGTCAGAAGATCGAGACCATCCCGGCTAAAACGGTGAAACCCCGTCTCTACTAAAAATACAAAAAATTAGCCGGGCGTAGTGGCGGGCGCCTGTAGTCCCAGCTACTTGGGAGGCTGAGGCAGGAGAATGGCGTGAACCCGGGAGGCGGAGCTTGCAGTGAGCCGAGATCGTGCCACTGCACTCCAGCCTGGGCGACAGAGCGAGACTCCGTCTCAAAAAAAAAAAAAAAAAAAAAAAAAAAAAAAAAAAAAAATTACTATAGAGCGAAAGTAATCAAGACAGTATGATATTGGAGAAAGAATAGACAAATAGGTCAATGAACTAGAATAGAGAGCCCAAAATAGAACCACATAAATATAGTCAACTTACCTTTGACAAAGGAGCAAAGGCGACAACATGGAGAAAAAAAAAAAGGTCTTTTCAACAAATGGCACAGGAACAACTGAACATACACATGCAAAAAATATGGCTGCAGACACAAAGCTCACACCCTTCACAAAAATCAACTTAAAAGTGATCACATACCTACATGTAAAATGCAAAAGTATAAAACTCCTAGAAGGTAACATAGGAAGAAATCTACATGACCTTGAGTATGCCAATTACTTTTTAGATACAACAAACACATGCTCCATGAAAGAAATAGTTGATAAGCTGGACTTCATTAAAATTAAAACCTCTGCTCTGTTAAAGACACTATCAAGAGAATGAAAAGATAACCCACAGATTGGGAGAAAATATTTGCAAAGGATATACTAGATAAAAAATGCAAAGGATATACTTGATAAAGGAATATAATTCAAAATATATAAAATATGGCCAGGCACAGTGGCTCATGCCTGTAATCCCAGCACTCTGGGAGACCGAGGCAGGTGGATCACCTGAGGTCAGGAGTTCAAGACCAGCTTGGCCAACAAAGTGAAACCCCATCTCTACTAAAAATACAAAAATTAGCCAGGCATGGTGGTGCATGCCTGTAATCCCAGCTACTTGGGAGGCTGAGGCAGAAGAATCACTTGAACCTGGGAGGCAGAGGTTGCAGTGAGCCAAGATCATACCACTGCACTCCAGCCTGGGTGACAGAGTGAGACTCTGTCTCAATAATAATAATAATAATAATAATAATACATTACACATTATACATTAAATCTCAACAATAAAGAAACAAATAGCTCAATTAAAAAATAGGCCAAAGACTTTAACAGACACTTCACCAAAGAAGATATACAGATGGCAAGTAAGCATCTGAAAAGATGCTCCACATTATACATCATCAGAGAAATGCAAATTAAAGCAAGATACCACTACACACTTAGAATTGAGAAAATTCAGAACACCGACAACAGCAAATGCTGATGAGGATGTGGAGCAACAGGAACTGTCATTCATTGCTGGTGGAAGTACAAAATTGTATAGCCACTTTGGAAGACAGTGTGGCAATTTCTTATACACCTAAGCATATTCTTACCATCCAATCCAGTCATCACACATCTTTGTATTTAACTAAAGGAGTTGAAAACTAATGTTCAACCAAAAAACCTGTGCACAGAGGTTTATATCAGCTTTATTCGTAATTACCAAAACTTAGAAGCAAACAAGATGTCCTTCAGTAGGTGAATGGATACATAAACTATGGTACACCCAGAAAATGGAATATTATTCACCACCCAGCAGAAATGGACTACAAGCCATGAAAAGACATAGAGGAAACTTTTATCCATATTTAAGTGAAATAAGCCAGTCTGAAAAGGCTACATACAGTATGATTGCAACTACACAACTGTATAAGTCCGTTTTCACGCTGCTGATAAAGACATATCTGAAACTGGGAACAAAAAGAGGCTTAATTGGACTTACAGTTCCACATGGCTGGGGAGGCCTCAGAGTCATGGTGGGAGGTGAAAGGTATTTCTTACATGGTGGCAGCAAGAGAAAAATGAGGAAGAAGCAAAAGCAGAAACCCCTGATAAGCCTATCAAATCTCGTGAGGCTTATTCACTATCATGAGAATAGCACAGGAAAGACTGGCCCCCATGATTCAACTACCTCCCCCTGGGTCCCTCCCACAACACATGGGAATTCTGGGAGATATAAGTTGAGATTTGGGTGGGGACACAGCCAAACCATATTAATGACATTCTGGAAAAGACAAAACTAATAAAAACATGAGTCATTGTCAAAGGTTAGGAGAACGGGATTGATGAACAAGCAGGGTACAGAGGATTTTTAGGAGAGTGAAATACTATGTATGATACTATAATGGTAGACGCATGTCATTATAAATTTGTCCAAATTCATAGACTCTACAACACCAAGAGTGAACCCTAATGTAAACTATGGACTCTAGGTGATAATGATGCATCAATGTAGGTTCATAAATTGTAACAAATGTACCAGTCTGGTGCGGGATGTTGATAATGAGGGAGACTGCACATGTGTGTAGGGGCAAGGGGATATGGGATATCTCTGTATCTTCCCCTCCATTTTGCTGTGAATATGCAACTGCTCTAAAAAAAGATAAATTTTAAGGGAGTTCCTTTTGTATTTCCTGATATGAGGTTGGGTGAAAACGTGCTATTTGGTCATGAAGCAGCCATCTTGCAATGTGAGTGACAAGTCTGAGGATGAAGAGCTACCATGCCAAGGAAAACAGAGCAGAAAGAGGTAACAAATCTGGATACACCTGACATTGTGGAGCTGATAGCACAAGCCTGAGTCAACGTACCTCCAGGCTTCTTGCTATGTGAGATAAGGGTTCAAATTCTTAACCCATTGTTAATGAGTGTTGGGAGTATGAAAATTGTCAGAATCAAAATGGGGTTACTTGTGCTTAAAACTCTGACAAACAGAGTCAGGGAAAGCCAGGAAGGAAGGATTCTCATGCACAAATGCCTGATTACAAGAGCTATCATAAAAGACTGCAAAAACTACAACCTTGCACAAAACCCATCACCTCGTTATGCAGAAAAGCATTTCTGCGAAGACATCTACCCAGCAACTGACTGTCCAACCTTGGACTGGCATCACCCTTGTTATTGATCCTTGTATTCAAGGATAATTAGCTCAAAACAATTATGTAATCCTGTTCATTTTTCCTTTAAAAACCTTTTTTTTTTTTTTTTGCTTTACCTCCCTGAATGCACACATAGTTTAAACTGGCATGTATGTTACCACTGCAATGCCCATCCCTGAGTAAATATCATTTTCTTTCAATGAGCCTCTGTCTGTATGTTATTTAGGGTGACATAAATGGTGTCAGAAGTGGGATCAAAGTGAGTGCACCTCAGAGGAATGAGAGGTCCCTGGAACTGAGTGCAGTACTGACTGAGCCCTTTCTGCTCTCTGCTTCTGTCTGTTGCCTCTTCTGTCTGGGTGACTCTCCTCTCAGATTCTCAGACTCCCTCCCTTTGGCGAGTTCTTTTTGACTTTATATGTGATTTGATTTGGCTAAAAGGTGCCTTAAGTAAAGAACTTTGCATCCCTCTTGGGTCTGTAAAAGGCGTTTTTGTTTGTTTGTTTGTTGGCAAGCACTTTCTGGTAGAAAAGTATCCTTCTGCATTGAGTACTCTGGTTTCTACAGAATTTACATTCTGTCTTAGTGGCATGTCTTTTCTGGTGAATTCACTTTTGGTTCTTTCTTTACATCTAGTTTAATATGTTATTTGGTCTGTACACCCGGCTTAAAAAAATGTGTGTGGCTGGGCGTGGTGGCTCACGCCTGTAATCCCAGCACTCTGGGAGGCCAAGGAGGGCAGATCACCTGAGGCCAGGAGTTCCAGACTAGCCTTGCCAACACAGTGAAATCCCATCTCCACTTAAAAAAAAAAAAAAAGAAAATTGTGAGCATTCTTATTTTAGTTTCATTTGGGTTTGGTTATGCACATCTGCAAATAATTTGGCACCTTTACTTTTACCTTTCCTTTGTTTCTGAACATCATCTGAGAGCAAAATTAAACATTTTAAGTGGTGGTGCAAGAAGGCCATTTAAAAGTGTTGTTTTAAGCTTCTATGATTGTAGTCATATGTTACACAGCAATAGAAAAACTAATGCAGCAGCAAGGTCCTAATTCAGGGTAAAGTGACTGTAAGCCCTTTCGGAAACAAAGCTAAAGCTATATTCTCTGATCAGCTTATAAGCAATAAAGCTGGCAATTTGATCTCCATCTGACTCCTCCATTTCACAGTTAGTTCTGAACTCCAGAGGAGAAGAATTCTTATTTATTCATGTCATAAAAACTCCAATAGTCAGGCATTTTATTATTCTGCAACCAAAAGCATTTCTAAGTAATCCAATATCCCTCAGCAATTCTTTAAAATGAGGATCAGACCTGGGATGTGTTGGAAGGACCCAAAACAGGGTCACCTCAGGATTCAGGCATCTTGAAGACCAACTTTATATTTACTTTATTTATTGATTGATTGATTAATACAGGGGCTCACCCTGTCACCCAGGTTGGAGTGCAGTGGCACGATCTCAACTCACTGCAACCTCCACCTCCTGGGTTCAAGCAATTCTAATGCCTCCGCCTCCCAAGTAGCTGGGATTACAGGCATGCACCACCGTGCCCTGCAAATTTTTGTATTTTTAGTACTGACAGGGTTTCACCATCTTGGCCAGGATGGTCTTGAACTTCTGACCTCAGGTGATCCACCCACCTCAGCCTCCCAAACTGCTAGGATTACAGGTGTGAGCCACCATGCCCGGCAGAAAGCCAACTTTAGATTTTATTTTTACTCCACCGTAAATCCTCTCTTCCCAAGAGCTGAGAGAAAACATAACAGATCAAGAGAAGGGCTTAACACTCATTGAGCAGAAGAAATACATAAACCTTCCCCCATGAGAACTAAAAATTCACAACCCCAAGCTTTGTTAGCTTATACAATTTTCATTTCTCAAATAACCACCTAAACGTAATTGGACTTTTAAATGTAGTTTAAATCAATGGCAGAAAACTGAGATTTTCTACCAAAACTTTACATGCAGCAAGCAAACTGCTGCAGGATCAGTTGTTCGTATATTTAGGAAGTGTGCTTACATTCCCCCTGGAATTCGGTCACCCTTTCCAATAGCACCCTCCAATACTCAGCAAATGCATTCATTGTGCACTGCCAATTCAATAATATGCAACTGTCTCGCCTTCCTAAAAGAATCTTGATCTTTGATGGTGCTGCAAGGAGCTGAGTGGACAATCAGCATAAAGATGAAATGTGAGGTTTCTAAGGCTCTGTATCAGAATCTGTTGATGGTCCATTTGAGACGCAGCTTCAAGGGGAAGGAGAACCATATACTCTATTTGTAGTCGGAAATTCATTAGGGGAGACTAAGTCCCTAAATTTAGTAGCAGATGTCCAGATGATTGCAACCTCTTCCATCACTTCAAATATAGTAACTAGAATTTTTTCTGCTAAGGAGGATTTCAAAAACTTTTAGTCCAATCCTTTCTTCTACAAATAAGGAAACTGAGCTCTAAAGAAGCTACATAAAAATAAAAATGCCAGATCAGTCATTTCCCCAATTGAATCCTGTTCTGAGTGTTCAAACTACCAGATTCTTTTTTCTCTAAGTCAGAGGGCCATGAGGCAGCAGCTAAAAGGGTGCTTCCAAGAAGTTCAAAAGAGTTCTTGGAGACAGGGCTGCTATGTCTGGTTTAGGAAGAACTAAACATCTGAAAAGCAGGGAAGCTGAGCACTGATGGTTTCCATGGAGACTACTGGGGAGCCCAGGTGCACGGTCTAATGAGGCCACCGGCCAGCCAGCATGAAGGAGCAAAGGCTGTGGGACATTCCAGTAAAACTCACACACCACAGAGCTCCTCAGATGAAACCCGGATGAGTGGCTAGCCTGCCCATGAGGGCTTCTCTTGGAGAGAAACACAGAAGCCCTGGGCTCTATATGTCTGCCCTATATGACAAGCTCTTTTCCACACATCATTTCATTTAATCATCACCAAAACCTGACAAAGTAGATTCAAATTCTATCCCCTTTTGTGGATGAGTAAACTGAGGCAGCTGACCCAGGATCAGTGAGATTATAAAATGGCTCACCCAGCTATGGTGCCTCGTTCCTCCCATTCTACTCTTTTTAAAAAGCCTCTGAAACTGCTCATCTGAAAGCTCCCTTGCATTCTTCTAAAGAGAAGTATGAGCCATTATTGCAGAGACAGCCTTGAACTCAAAGTTTAAGAGTTCTTAGAGGGGGAAAAAAGCACAGCTTTAGAGCTTCCAGCTGATCTGCCTTTGGCCACCATTCCTAGATCCTGGAAAAGACCTCAGAATGTCATTTGTAAATATTAAGTCATCATAAGAAAGCATTCCCTGAGGAAGGTTTGAAAGACTTGAGAATTAGGTCAGCGGTGAGTAAGAGGGCAGAAGTGACCTTACATCTGAGCAAAACAGGTGTTCTGTGAAAGCATACAAATGAGTGCGAGTTAAAGGGCATTGGGAACCCCGGTTTAATCACTCAGCCACTCATGCCTGCAACTAATGCCAGGAATAATTTATTAATTAATTTTAATTTTAGTAAATAAATTCCTTGAGTTGAGATAGTTGTCTCTTGTTTAAAGATAAATATTCCAGAAAGGAAAAAACCCACTAAGGCAATAGCAATCATCAACAGTTCAGTAGGAAGTAGTACATCAGGATGCCATTTCTGAGGGAGCACTCAGCAGTGAGAGATGGGAGAGAGAGAGACCATTAGGAGACAGGTGCAAAGCACAGAGCAGTGTCTGGAGAAGTCAGGCTTCTGGAAGAAGCAGGATTAGCCTAAAGACACTGTGCTTGAAAATAAAACGGAGTAAGGGAGTTCCAACAACAAAATGGATGGATTTACAGTTTTCTACATCATTACAAACACAATGAGGAACCCCATCTTCCATCTTGAAGGAGAAACTGAACTTGTCTCACCTCTTCAAAAAATCTGTGTTGGCAAATCCATACTTAACCCTCTTGTGTTGTGATTGCAGAAATATCACTCTAAAATAGGAAGCTACTCAAAGAAGGGAGTTTAGGTGCAAGATGTTTGACTTCCATTGGCCAAAACAGAAAATACAATCATAACATTAAAATTATTCCATTAAAAGCAGACAATGCCCCTGATACTGCCTCCTGGATCCTGTCAGGCTAAAGCCAACTGGATCACAGTGGTTAGAATTTAAATATGACACAGTACTCACTCGAAAGACCTTCTCCACTCTTGCAATGCTTTTCCCAAAGATGGTTCCAAGTTGGTCTCCAATTCCAGCCAATAAGAAACCAAAGAGTGGAATTCCAAAGATGGCATATAAAATACAAAAGATTTTGCCTCCTTCAGTGCTCGGAGCAATATTCCCATACCCTGGTGAGAAATATGAAAAAGAGGGAGAGTGGCAGAGAAATTAGCATACTGACCAAAGAACTCACAGACTTTTTTAAAAGTTTGTACATTCCCCCACCTTATGAGCTTCAGGGAGTAGAACTTCATTTCAAAGGCCCTCTACAATTCGCAACATTGTTCCATTGCTTCTCTTCCTTCTCCCCTTATAAACGGTTTTAAGGTTTCTTGGATATTAACACATTTTAGGAAATTCATGGTCACTCAGAACTTTCATTTTCATTTCTGACAAAAAGTGATACCACCTTTTTCTGAAACACCAAGCATCATGGGCATGTCTAGTTTAGCGAGACCTGAATGCGTGGGAAGGAATCACCACTGCACTTATTAGATTTGACAAGAGCTTCTTTTTCACAGTCTTACCCATGGGCTCCACCTGGACCGACTGTGGCTGTCTTGAAGGGTAATGGGTACCCCATATTAAAGAGGAAATGTGGTCTAGTACAAGGTTAGAAAGGACTCATGAATTGTACAGCCTTACCCTGGGAAGTCTAAAAACAGGAAAGAATAGGGAAGGGAAGGCTTTGTGCTGTCTCTCCCCACCGCCAGTGAAGTTTCGCCCCATCTGGTTTTTTTCTCTTTACTGGGAACTCCACATCATCTCTGAGTCCTACCTCTCCGCCCAACTACCTCTTGCATTGAGGG
Organism: Homo sapiens; assembly: GCF_000001405.40. Classification (NCBI taxonomy): domain Eukaryota; kingdom Metazoa; phylum Chordata; class Mammalia; order Primates; family Hominidae; genus Homo; species Homo sapiens. Next base: position 88,228,217 of record NC_000014.9, read on the forward strand.
TAATAAGATGCTAAAAGTTTATTGATGGATGTTTGAATACAAGAGAATCTTTTTATAGTCAGGTCTACTAATATGTATTTCAAATAGTGCTTTGAAAATACCCGCAGCAATCTTAAGAGTACTGCCATTACATAAGTAACTTATGTACAATGAGTACTGGGCTTACCCTATATGGATGAGGCTAAAGAAAGTATTGCTGGAAGAAAAAGTCCTATAGCATTAGCACACTTTATATGGAGATGAAAGTCTAAATTAATTAATATTCATTTTTGTGCCAATTGATATTACAATCTTATGTTAAAAAGTATCTAGACAGTAATCTAACCATTCTCCCAAATCTGGGTAAATCATGTGGGGCCTGTTTCTGAATCCATTCAATGAGTGAGTTATTGGGTCCATGGTTATTGACAGGTTGGGAATGCAACATGATAAAAAAACGTTGATGGTTAGTCCATCATTCAGCCACCCACAGGCCTGCAGAACTCACGGTTGCCTTCTGCCTTCGGGAATGAGTCACCTGGATACTTTCTTTTGCAATCTTCTGTTCTGAATCATTCAAACCTCTTATAATAATCTAAATTACAGCTTCCATTTCTAAAATGAGTGTTCAGGCTAGGCTTCCTCATCTTGTATTTCCTTTACTCACCAGGATTTTGATTTAAATATGCAAAAAAGCTCTCAGAACTTTTTTCAGGTACTTTCAGGAACTTGGACAAAATCATTTTTCCAAGAATACCCCTCTAGAATGGTCAAGCTGACATTAAGCTAGCCCTATTGAAAAAGAAATAAATGAGCCTCTACAGTTTCACTTTATGCAGGTTTATGGTGACTCTTGGAAACATTCAAGTAACTTGTGAAAACACTGAAGACCCCAGCTTGACTGTCTCACAATAGCCTAACTTTGGGGAATATAGGTTGTCCAAGTGTCTCAGAAAGAAATATATTGCAGACATAGGCAAACAAGTGGAGGCTTGGAACTGGATGAACAGGCATCTCATTAATCCTGACAAGTGCTACACCCCCTTCCTCCAGCTTTCAGAGATGACCACCCCCACCCACCTCCTGGGTAAGGCACTGTGGCTTACCACGGAGCATCAGGGAGAAGTGAGGAGATGAAAGATCTGGATCAAATTCCACCTCACACTACCTGGTTCTCCTTAGACCCACTTAACATCTGCAAATCCTAGTGTCAGAGGTACTCAAGGAAAATGCAGGGAGAAAAAAATCAATGGACTGTAAAGTACTGTACCAATGCAAAGTATTATTATTATTATTATTATCACAATTGGTTCCTTATTTGTTCAGTGTTTTGTTGACTAGAACACAAAAATAATATTAAAGCTAAGTTCTTGGGTAAGAGCATGAGTGATGCAATACTCAAACAAGCCTTTAAATATATTCACAGCCATCTTTCTTTGGTGACACACTGCCCAGTGGACAGAAAGTCATCATTCTTGAGTGATGCTGTATCTCATGCATGGGCGTGTGTGTGAGTGTATTTGTGCTCCATGCCTTTGGTGAACTATAAGGAGAGACTGTTTGACCCTCAACACTGTCACTCTGGGAAAATTCCAGCACTTACACTTTGGAGCTTTGCTCTGAGGCAATGGGAAGACCACATTTCTGGATTTGGGGATCTAGTTACACCCCGCCTCTCTGACTGCCCTGCTCATCCTTCTAGAATGCTTGGGTAGAACTTTGAAGTAAGGTGTGACAGTTGTCTGTAGGCTCTAGAACTAGAGACTACACAGATTTCTGTTCTGATTCTTCTATTTACCAACTCTCAGGTCATAGGCACATTCTTAATCTCTCTCCCTCACTTTCTTCATCAAAAGACAAGGCTATTAAAGTGCCTACCCATAGCTATTAAAGATTAAATGAGTTACATGCAAAGCAAGAGTTACATGTGAAGATTAAATACCTGTGAAATATGATGCAAACTAAGCACCCCGTTTGCCTTGTGCTTTACTGTGGGAAGGAATTGTTTCTGAGCAATATGTCTCCAGGAAAACTCAGTCCCAGGAGAAAACAGGCGGTTGATTCCTATCTTCCCTCCAGAAACTTCACTGTTCTCCCATAGCACCCACAGCATCAGGTGGTGACTTTCAGCAGAAGACAACCAACTCCACAAGGGCAAACAGCCAAGGGGAGGCTGTAATGAACGCACAGCACCAGGATGAGCTCAGATCTGTTCACCTCTGGCTAGAAAAGAGTTCCCCGTTTTTCAGGAAGAGAAAGCTGGCATTTAAAGAGGACTTGTGCCTGAGGAGTGCACACAAAGGCTTCCACTTGCTGTTTACGTGCCAAAGTCAAATCTTGGCCCAACTGTGTGTTGTGCAGCCCTACTTGTTTAGTTGAGAGTGTGCTTTCTTATTATGGTCACCAGTCTGTCTGCGCAGGCAGGGCTGCTTTATGGATGTGCACCCTGTGCAGTCCCACAGGGCCCACGCTTAGATGGGTCCTGTGCTTGGTTTAATGCTCTAAGGGACCCCACTTCAATTTGTACTGGGTGCCACAAATTATGTAGCTGGTCCTGGTGAATCTAGCTGGACTCCACTGCTTACTAACTATGAAATACCGGGCAAGTTATTTAACTTCTCTGGGCCTCAGTCTTCTCATAGATAAAATGAGGCTAATAACAGTACCCACCTCATGTGGTTATGCAGGATTAAATGAGATAATGTATGTGGAGCACAATGCACGTTAACTAGTAAGAACTCAGTAAATGTTAGCCATGGTGATTGCTCTTTTCAAAGGCACAGGTTAAACATCCCATCTAAATCAAGTGGGGCTCACACTCATAATCTCAGCACTTTGGGAGGCCAAGGTGGGAGGATCACTTGAGGCCAGGAATTTGAGACCAGCCTGAACAATATTGTGAGCCCTTGTCTCTACAAAAAAAAAATTTTTTTAATTAGCCCGGCATGGTGGTGCACAACTATAGTTCCAGCTACTTGGTTGGCTGAGGCGCGAGGACCATTTGAGCTAGGAGTTTGAGGTTACAGTAAGCTATGATCACACCACTGCACTCCAGCCCAGGCAACAAAGCAATACCCCTTCTCTGAAAAATAAAAATAAAAATAAAAAATAAACATCCAATCCAGTGCTGGGTAAGTACCAACAGGTGCCTCGATAGTTTGATAGGGACAACCCTTAAATGAGGCTGCCAGGCTAGTGACGCAGTGACTGGCTACCACCTGGTCCTGACCAGAGGCTCTCTCTCTGATGTGGGCAGAGTCAGGTGGCTCAATCTGAAAATGCCTCACAGACTAAAATCTAATCGCATTTCACAGATATTGGTAAGAACCTGATCGCTCGCTGTCCTTCTACAAATGACAGCTTGTGAAAAAGCATCTGCACATAGAAGTGAGCATCATTCATCCAGCTTAGAAAAGCTAGTTACGGGGGACCCACCAGCTGAGCCAATAATCAAAGGCAGGTGGGACTTTCTCACGTTGAATTAGTTACTGAGAAAGGGACTAGGGTGCAGTGCAGCCCTGTCATTGACAGAGCAGAGTCTGCTCTTCCTTCTGGCGTGGCTACTGGTCTGGAGAAGTGCCTGAAGGTATTCCGTTTGCTATACACTTGTAAATCTTTCCATATATCTCAGCACAAGAAAAACCTTCTTCAAAAAGAAGTGCTTTGATATCCTCAGATAAAAGGGATCTCTGATACTAAGGAGTAGCGCTGCTTTTCAGAAAAGATTCTATTATTCACAAAGTGTGTCTATACACATTCTACCTAATAAACACATTTTTTATGTCTGAAAAGTACATAACCTTAAGCTGCTCATGAGAGCCTTTCTGGAAAGAAATTTGGCAAGCCTTTCATTTCCTTTGACAGAGCAAACCCTTGGTAACCTTTCCAAGGCAACAACCAGAGATGAAGACCACACTTCACAACGTTAACACCATGGTGTTACATTATTACTAAAATAGAAACAGCTTAAGTTCCCAGGAATATGTGATTATAGTGTGAATAGTGGATCCAATAGAAACCATCAAAGAATACACTTTTCAAAGAACTTTAGTAATATGCAAAAATGTCTGCAATATTACGTTGCAAATTTTATGATCGCAAGGGAACAGGCCAATATTTGTGTATTTCACAATTAATGAAATACACAGCTCCTCAGCTCTCACGGTTCCTCTTTCCTGACTCCTAACTAGTGGAAAATTGCTCAGGAAGAACTGGAAGAATTGCTGGGCTCTGAGTTTTCTTATAAACCTTGCGACCACATGCAACAAATGAATTTACCACTAAGTAACTGGAAAAACAATTATTTCTGCACCTCATTATTCTTACTTACATTGTATTAAGGGCTTCTTTGGAATTCTCTAACTGTATGACTCTATAAAGATCCTCCACTCTGGAGTTAAAATTTAGCCAGCTAAATGGTGCTCAACTTACAATACATTATTTTTCAATTAAAAGAAAGAAAGAGTGAGAGAGAAAATTGTGTTTTCTAAATTAAATAGAACAAGGACCCTATCTCTAGTGTTAACACTGTACAATGATACTGAAGTGGACTTTGCATTTTACTTTTGGTTTTGATGCACATTTGTTTTGCAGTAGTTTCCTGTTCAGCATCCACCTTCCTTCTGATTTTTGGGAAAGCCCCCCTTCCTGTGCATAATTGGTATGACACAGTGTCCTGCCTCCCACCACAGAGGAAACAGCTCCTAGGCAGCCAGGATGTGTGCACATGAACAAATAGGATGGCTCTGCCTAAGACTTTAAATCAAGAGTCAGTGGCTCAAAGATGATGACAGATGGCAGCTGCAGCAGCCAGCAGGCTCAGTCACTAGCTGTGGAGGTCAGAGGATATTCACTGGCCCTGCATGAGCTCTGACCCAAAGCATGTATTGGGATGTTCTCACTTGCAGGTAATAGAAAGCTCAACGCACACTCGCTTAAACAACGAAAGAAAATATATTGACCCCAGTAAATAGAAGGGGGTTTAACATTTATTTCTTAACACTTCCTGGGTAGCACCATCCAGAGCTCAAATGATGTAAACAAGACCCCATTCACCACTCCTTTTCTTCACTCTGCTTCTTTAGTGTTTGATGAATTCTAGGCAGAACAACCCAAGGGGAAAAAAATGACTGGCAGTGCCTTAGGCCTGTCTCTTTCCAGACTTACCTTTAGTAAGAAAGAGAGGTCATTTCCTCCAAAGCTCCGGCAAAAGCCCCTAATCCAGATCATATGTCCATCTTTGAACTAATAATTGTGGCCAAGCACTGGATTTCTTAGTCTAGACAAGGTGATTGTTCACCTGAGGCCTGGGGACAAAGCATGGGGAAGGGAACCACTGGGGATATGACAATGAGGACATGGGTGAGTAAGTGAATGGAATCCAGGCAACAGAATCCAAGGGCTAAGAGCCATTTGCTCAAACTCAAAGATTCCGGTGTAAGCACACACACAAAAAAGGGCAAAAACCATCGCATATCAAACGTTCTTCATTAGGCAGATGGAGCCACCATTCCTCAGTCACATAATATTATGTGGATCAATAAACATAGTTGTTCAATAAACCAAGTTCCTGGATTCCTAACAAGCTAACACAATAAATACCATTAATGCACCTTCCAATGTAGCCATAGTGTTTTTCAATGCAGCAGACAGATCATTCATTTAGCCATGTCATGAAACAAGAAAATTAGGAGTTTCCTTCAATATACACACTAATGTCTCATGAATCCAATACCGGGTATCAGAGAGCATTTTCCAAAATGTACTTCTTGAAGTGGCCCAGACTTTCTCAATTTTAATTGGTGTACAATAGATCCTCCTACAATGCGTGACACTTTTTCCCAGGTTAACAATCTGCTGAACACAATGAAACCTGACATTGGTCTTCTTGGATCCACTACAGCAACGCCCTCTGGTGTTGTTCAGGTTGCTAACACTTTTTGCCCGTATACTAAATGGTGTCAGGCCACCCAGCTTCCTTTGTTGGACGCTGTGAGTCTGTGGATTAAGCTGACCTAACCTGGCCTAGAGTGCCAGAAAAGGCTTCTAAGCCCCAGACCCACTGGTGTCATGGGCATCTTGAATACTTTTAATAGCTAACACCAATATATTTGCAGATTTGCAAGTGTAAACCTAGCATGTCATATAATTAGATTAAGAGTGTTTCTAAATAACAATGGCAATTTTCCTTCATCCAAAATGTTCTTGTTGCATATGACTTTCTGGATTTCACCTAGAAACAACATAGGTCCTGAAGGCTAGATCTTAAAACAAAAGCAAAAACCTGTGCCGCTAAACCAATCGTTAGCCTCTGAAATTTGCGCCTATAGGAAGTTGATTGTCAAAACTGTGCCTCAGAGGAAAGAACCTCTCAAAAGGCATAGCTGGGCTTCAGAGAGCAATAAGGCAGGGAGTTCCTCCTAGAGAGTATAAACAAGTTTGAATGAAGGAATTTCCCCCACCAGGAGGGCGGGGGAGCCTCTCAATGCCTGTCCCTCATTGCTGTGGACCAGTGACTGCTGGGTGTCTCTCCTGCTTCTGAATGAAGATTTTTGTTGCAGTGCTACTTCACAATTGTATGTGGGCAGAAAATCCTCAAACTCATTTTCAGCAGAGCTGGAAGAAGGATATAATCCAGAGATTCCAGCATATGTGTAAGAACTACCAAAAGAAGCGGAGATTGGACAGAAGCCATATGAACAAAAAATAAAAAGAAGAAGCTCAGAAAATGATGACAGGGCCCTAAAGTGGTAAATTTCAGAAAGTATCCGAAAATATCCAAGTATAAAGGGGAGGGTCTCACTCTGAACTTCAAAAGAGATGTCCCTGTTTTTACCAAGCATGAAACATAGGATAAAGAGGGAGAGCAGCAGAAGCCACCCTGAACTTGATCTGGTTCAGAAAACAGGGAGGTAGGACAGAAATAATACAGAAGGACCCTATTTGCAGAAACACTCTGTCACAGAAATGAAGAGAGTTAGGATGTGCTGTCTGGAAGGTGGTACCCTGACTCACCCTGCTCTCCTCTCCCCAACTCCATGAAATCATTTGGCAGAAAGCTGGTCCAGGAATATCCAGTTTGCCTGGGGCCAGGTATTTTAAAAAGAAGTTGACCCAGCATAAATATAAAACTTCCATAAGAAAAAAAATGTGAAAAGAGTAGCAAAACTTACCAATGGATGGAAAGAGGCTCACCAGAAAAATGTTTCCAAAATCAGACAAAAATTGTGACCAAGTATGAAATAATCATCTCTAAGAATCTTCACAGAGAAGCCAAAAAGTAGAAATTCAAGAAATCAGTGGAAAAATGGAACAACAAGTGAAGATGAAATGTGAGCTATGAAATTCAGGAAAGAAACAGGAAAAGGAAAAAATTCCCTATTGATCACAAAAACAAAAAATAAAATTGGAAGGAGCTCATGGCAGCACAGGCATTGTGGAAAACATACAAACTAAAGGAATAGGGAGAATAAAATTAACAAAATGAAAACTAGATTTTAAGAGTTAAAAAGTAGAAGAGAAATGAGAGACATAGAAGATGAGCAAAGAAGTTACAATATATGTATAGCTGTAATCTCCCAAAGAACAAAACCAAAACCACACAGCAAAGAAAATGTTTAAAGATGTCAATCAAGAAAACTTTAATGCAATAAAAGAGTCAAAACCTAGTAATGTTATCAGATGAAAGAGAAATAATATTTTAAGTCACTGAACAAAAAGATAAAGTCACCTATAAAAGTGGGGAAAAAAAGGCTGGCATCAGGTTTCCCCCAACAGCTGCATAAAAACTGGGAAACAGAAGAGCAACACCTGTGAGACCAGTTAAAAAGAAAATGTAAAGCCAGGCGTGGTGGCTCACACATGTAATCCTAGCACTCTGGGAGGCCAAGGTAGGAGGATCCTTTGAGGCCAGGAGTCTGAGACCAGTCTGGGCAACACAGCAAGACCTGGCTTCTACAAAATATTTTAAAAATTAGCTAGCCCTGGTGGTATGCGCCTGTAGTCCCAGCTACTCAGGAGGCTGAAGCCAAAAGATCACTTGGGCCCAGGAGTTGGAGACTGCAGTGAGCTATGTTCATACCACTGTACTCCAGCCTGGACAACAGAGCAAGACCCAGTCTCAAAAAAAAAAAAAGAAAAAGAAAATGTGAGTCAATAAAATGGATTTCATTTTGTTTCAACTATCCTTCAAATGTTAAGCTACAACTGTGAACAATGCAAGATCTCACAGAATATTGCTCCCCTGAGCCATTCTTAAGGCAACTACTTGAAGATGACTTTCAGCCAAGTAAGTGATCATGAGATAAACCACAGCAAAAGGACTAGAGATGAACATTAATGATATCTAACTATAGAGCTACGACTAAAACAAATGCAAATATCAGGGTAACAAATTAAAATCTAAATTACATACCCTGAGGTTATACAGGCATACGTCAGAGACATTGTGAGTTAGACTTCAGACCACCACAATAAAATGAGTCACACATTTTCTTTTTTGTTTCCCAGTGCATATAAAAGTTATGTTTACACTCTACTACAGTCTATTGAGTGTACAATAGCATTAGGTCTAAAAAATGTATATATACTCCTTAACTTGAAAATACTTTATTACCAAAAATTCTAATAATAATCTGAGTTTTCAACAAGTCATAATGCTTTCGCTGGCGGAGGGTCTTCCTTTGATGTTGATGACTACTGACTGATCAGGGCGGTGACTGTTGAAGGCTGGGGTGGCTGTGACAATTTCTTGAAATAAGACAACAAAGAAGTTGGCCACATCCATTGACTCTTCCTTTCACAATTTCTCTGTAACATGCAATGCTGTTAGATAGCATTTTACCTACAGTAGAACTTTTTTCAAATTGGAATCAATCTTCTCAAACCCTGCCACTGCTTTATCAACTAAGTTGATATAATATTCTGAATTCTTTGTTGTCATTTCAACAATGTTCACAGCATCTTTACCAGGCAGGAGCAGATTCCATCTCAAGAAATCACTTTCTTTGTTCATCCATAAGAAGAAGCTCCTAATTCATTCAAGTTTTATCATGAGATGCAGCATTTCAGTCACATCTTCACACTCTACTTCTAATTCCAACACATCAGCAGTGGCATCCTCTAGTGAAGTCTTGAAGCTCTCAAAGTCATCCATGAGCCTTGGAATCAACTTCTTCCAAACTCTTGTTAATGTTGGTATTTTGACCTCTTCCAATTCATCACAAATGTTCTTAATGGCATCTACAATGATGACTCCTTTCCAGAAGATGTTCAAATCACTTTGCTCAGACTCATCAGAGGAATCATTATGTATGGCAGCTACAGCCTTATGAAATGTATTTCTTAAATAATAAGAGTTCAAAGTCAAAATTACTCCATCCATGGGCTGAAGAATGGATGTGGTATTAGCAAGCATGAAAACAACATTTATCTCCTTGCACCTTTCCATCAGAGCTCTCGGGTGACTAGGTGCATTGTCAGTGAACAGAACTATTTTGAAAGGAATCTTTTTTCTGAGTAGTAGATCTCAACAGTGAGGTTAAACTCTTCAGTAAACCATGCTGTAAACAGATGTGCTGTCATCCAGGCTTTGAAGTTCCATTTATAGAAGGCAAGCAGAATCCTTAAGGGCCTTAGGATTTTCTGGATGGTAAATGAGCACTGGCTTCAACATAAAGTCACCAGCTGCATAGCCCCTAACAAAAGAGTCAGCCTATCATTTGAAGCTTTGAAGCCAGGCATTGACTTCTCTTCTGTAACTATGAAAGTCCTAGATGGCATCTTGTAATATAAGGCTGTTTTGTCTATAATGAAAATCTGTTGTTTAGTGTAGCCACTTTCTTAGCTAGACCTTCTGGATAATTTGCTGTAGCTTCTCCACTAGCACTTGCCACTTTAACCTGCACTTTTATGTTATCAAAAGGTCTTCTTACCTTAAATGTCATAAACCAACCTCTGCTAGCTTCAAACTTTTCTTCTGAAGCCTCCTTACCTCTCTTAGCCTTTATAGAACTGAAAAGAGCCCGCTTGCTCTGAATTAGATTTTGGCTTAAGGGAATGTTGTGGCTGGTTTGATCTTCTATCCAGACCACTACAATTTTCTCCATATCAGCAATAAGGCTGGTTCACTTTCTTATCATTCATGTGCTCACTCACTGGAGTATCACTTTTAATTTCTTTCAGGAATTTTTCCTGGCCAGGAACAGTGGCTCATGCCTGTAATTCCAGCACTTTGGGAGGCCAAGGTGGGTGGATCACTTGGGCCCAGAAGTTCAAGACCAGCCTGGGTAACATAGTGAAACCCCATCTCTAGAAAAAAATGTTTAAAAAATTAGCCAGGAATGGTGATGCACACTAGTAGTCTGAGCTACTTAGGGGGCTGAGGTGGGAGGATCCCTTGAGCCCAGGAATCAAGGCTGCAGTGAACCATGATCACACCACTGCACTCCTGCGTGGGTGACACAGAGAGATCCTGTCTCAAAAAAAATAAAACACAAAATTTCCTTTGCACTCACAACTTTGCTAACTGTTTGGCAGAAGAGACTTAGCTGTTGGCCTGTTTCAGAGTTCAAAATGCCTTCCTCACCAATCTTAATTATTTCTAGATTTACATTTAAAATGAGAGACATGCAACTGACTCTTCCTTTCACTTGAACACTGAGAAGCCACTGCAGGGTTATTAATTGGCCAAATTTCAATACCATTGTGCCTCAGGGATCTGGGATGCCTGAATGGCCAGCTGGTGGAACAGTCAGAACACACGGCATTTATTGATTAGGTTCACCATCTTCAAAGGGCATGGTTGGTGGCACCCCAAAACAATGACAATCATGACATCAAAGATCACTGACCACAGATCTCCTTAACAGATATAATCAAAAATGAAAAAGGTTGAAACTATTGTGAAAATTACCAAAATGTGGCAGAGACACAGAGTGGAGCACACGACGTTGGAAAAATGGCACCAATAGACTTGTTCAATGCGGGATTGCCATACACCTTAAATTTGTTTAAAAAAAAAAAACTCAACATCTTCAAAGCACAATAAAGCAAAGCACAATAAAGTGAGATACAACTTATATAGAATGACACCATGAATAAGAGTGGATAGTGGAAGAGGGAAAGGAAATTGAGATGCTAAGTTCACTGACTGCCTTATATGTAATAGCTGAGTGCCAAGAGTTATCATTTAAAGCTGGCAAATCATATAAGAGAAACATAAGCAAATTTAATCATTTAAAAGATGATGTCCACCAAAACTTTGTGTTGGAAAAAGAGAGAAAAGAGATATCATCACCCGTTATAGGGATCGAATACATGCTGGTTAACGAATAGAACACTAAAATTATTATATGCCATTATACTTATAAAGTTAACCCCTAGGCCAGGTGCGGTGGCTCACGCCGGTAATCCCAACACTTTGGGAGGCTGAGGCGGGCAGATCACCTGAGGTCAGGAGTTTGAGACCAGCCTGGCCAATGTGGTGAAACCCCATCTCTACTAAAAATACAAAAATTAGCTAGGCATGGTGGTGGGCGCCTGTAATCCCAGCTACTCAGGAGAATGAGGCAAGAGAATCACTTGAACCCGTGAGGCGGAGGTTGCAGTGAGCCGAGATTGCACCACTGCACTCCAGCCTGGGTGATAAGAGTGAAACTCCATCTCAAAAAATAAAATAAAATAAAATAAAATAAAATAAAATAAAATAAATAAATAAATAAAGTTAACCCCTAAGACAAAAATACAAAACTCACCAAGTGTCAGAAAAAAAAGACACACATACAAAAAATAAGACAAAGACTGATACAGGAAAGAGGTCATCACTGTTCACTCTATGATCAGCTGCAGAAAGCATTTATCTAGTCAAAATCATGCAGATGTTTCACTTCTATCTAATTAAATATTGGGAAGACAGGAGGACAGGAAAAGAGCCCTTCTGTGATGAGGCAGGCAGGAAGAAGGAACTAACTCCTCATCTTCCACAATGGAAAGTCAAAAAAAATCCCCAAAACTGAAAATTCCAGAAGTAGCACAAGCATGATATTTAAAGACATGGGGATGAGTGTTAAAATCAACAATCAAAACAGATGAAAGCAACAGTCTCTGGGAAGGTAAGAAAAGGTGAGACGGTCAGAATGTTACTGTTTTTTATAAAAAATTTTGTAGAATATTTTGGTTCCTTACTATATAACTTTAATAAGAAGTACAATTTTTAAAATGGAAGTTGAGCTCAAATGAGTAACCCGAGTTCAACCGACCAACTCATATTTTCCATTCTAACCTTTTCATTAGGTTTGCTAGCCTTTCATTCTGGAAAAAGAGATACTTCATTATGCTTTGGCTTTTGTTGAAAGCCACCACAATGACTGCATTAATTTAAACGACAGTGTTTCGTAAGCCTCCTCTGAACCTCAAACTATAGTGTATGCTATGAGGACAAAACACTGACTAAGCGCCCTTACTCAAGATGACCTGCAGAGGAAGAGATATTAGCAAACAAACGGGTACCTATGGTCGTAATGACAGTTCCAGCAAAGAAAAAGGCACTGCCGAGGTCCCAGTGGCTGCTGTTGTTGGAAGAGTTTCCTATTGGACTGACTCCCGCATTGTCAGCATCAAGAGCATGCTGCAAAGAAAGGGAAAAAGCATAAGACTCAGTTTAAAAGTTGTTTATTTTTTTTTTCTTCAAAAAAAAAAAAGGTTCCAATACATTATTCCCCTACTCAAGAACCTGCAGTGATCTAGAGAGAACTGGTTAAGTGGATGATGGTAGCATCCCAAAGCAAAATACTATGCACCCAGTTGTGAAAATCAGAAAATTAGTGTTAAATAGGGGGGAAACGCTAGGGTATAGAATATGGTGACATTTATAGAAAGCTTGCAGGCATGGGGTGGCCCAGATTATGCAAAATGTTACAAGTTTCTGTGCATATACACACACAAAAAATGTCTAGAAGAATGTTCACCCAAAGTGGGCATTTCCGCAAGGCAGGATTTTGGTTGCTTTTTCACTCTTTTCTGTCTTGTAAGAATGTTTTACGTTGAGCTTGTTTCCACAGGGCAGGAGTTAAGAGCCATCCTGGCTGTGGCCGTTATTAACTTCAGAACCTTGGGCAAGTTGTTTGAACCTCTCTGAGCCTAGTTTCCTCATTTGCAAACTAGAGATAATACCTTCCCCACAGGGTTGTTGTGAGGATTAAATGAGATGGTCCAAGTAACACCCTTAGCCAAATGTCTGGCTCCCAGTTAGGGTTTACCAAACAGTAGCCAATTTCATGATTGTCATTCCACTCTCCCCCACCCCCACACCACACACACACACATCGCTCTTTTTAAAAATAAGCTACAATGACTCCTTGATGATAACTGAATTGGAATTCCATACACCTTAAAATTTCCAACAAACTGGCCACAATGATGACCCATTTTCATCTCACACTGCTATAAATTCCCCACTCTGGGCAGGACACTCCATGACATGTTCCCTGTACTTATGTACCTGTGCCCTCCCACAAACGGTGCCCATCCTTCTGGGTCTAATTCAAGCCCTGCTTCTTCCAGGAGACTTAGTCTATGCATCACTGCTTCACAGTTGCCCCCTTCCCCGAGTTCATACTTCGGCAACAATTAAAGATACGCTAAAAATCCCTCCCTAGCCTCATCACGAGCAGGAGAAGGTGAAAAAACTCCGTAGCAGTTCTTCCTGAGCTGGCCCCTGCCATCTTCTTTCAAGCCAGGGAAAAAGGTAGGACGTGCTGTCATGGCAGCCGAAACACATGCTGTTCACACGGGTGAACTGGGATAAAAAAGCGACAGGTGGAAGCCTTGGAGAGGAGGTGACAGACACAGGAGCTACTTCTAGAACAACAAACAGACTCTCTGTTCCTTGGGCAAACCTGGAATAACCCTATGTAGGGAGAGCAAGACACAAATATTGAAACGTAATTACATTTATCCTAAGTAATGCCCATTAAGCTTTGTTAAAACAGGCATACAGTGGTTGTCACAAATCAGATTACAACTGGAAAAGTCAATCATCATTACATTTTGCCTTCTTTCATCTGAGTTATTTCAAACACTCTGAACCAGGGATCAACAACTTTTTCCATAAAGGGTCAGATAGTAAATATTTTAGCCCTGGTGGGCCACATATGGTTCTCTGTTGTATATTTTTCTTTTTTTAAATAATCTTTTAAATATGCAAAAACCATTTTCAGCTCAGGGGTTGTACAAAAAGATGCTGCGAGCTAGATTTGGCAGACTCATAGACAATTGACTGGATGATACAGGGGAAAAAAGCACCTTCTGTCAAGTCGTGAGTCTATTCTTTTCTGCCTCTAAGAGAACATGGAATATTATGCAAGACCGCAGCCGGCCACTGTTTCTAGCAAAACCTGGCACCCTAGAATTTAAAATCTGGCTGCATGGGATGTGTACAGACTGTCTTTGCATAAATCAGCCTAATTGACAGTGGTCACATAATCATCAGAGGTATGTTCTGCTCTGCTCTAGAGGGCAGACAGATGGTGAGTCCTTTCCACCGGTAGCATCTCCATTTTCACTGTGCCGTATGAGTACCATCAGACCAAGCCACAAAGCCTTCACCAGTGTTTATATCTTCATTATCAATTCAGCTCTGATGAGCCCACTTGGAAATAATACCGCAGGGAGGGCTCTAGGCTTCAGTCACTTAGGTTGCCTCAAATCATACCATCAGTACCTAATATTTACAACTCCTATCAAGCTGTGAAGAGAGGTTAGGCTCACTCAAGTCTCACGGTGCTGAGAATTGCACACAAATGTCATAAGCAAACCCAGCACTGCAAACAAAAACACAGATTTGCACAAAAGACAATGGGGACGATGATTTGTTTCATCAAAAAATCTGAAGAATCCTTTTCAAGTTTCATTTTTCTTGAATTATGCAATTCATAAATATTTAATGTTTACCTATGTAACCCTCAAGGAAAGTGTTTATCAGTTGAAAGGAAAAGGGAACTAACAGTTGTTAAGTGCCTGCCTTTCGCCAGGTGCACTAGAAGCGTCATTCTGTTTTATCCTTTCTACAACTTGTGTGTGATTCCATTCTATCCTTTCCATAACTTGCAAGAAAGTAGTATTATCCCCCACCTTAGAGATGGGGAAACAGGCTCAGGAAACTTAATTAACTTGTCCTAGGTCACCCAGCCAGGAAGTGAAGAGGCCAGGATTCAACCCTGTCTGGCCCAAAGCGGATGGTTTTGCCTTTCCTCTACCTTTGGTACCTAGAATGCATGTTGCCTCCCCTACTCCCATCTTCACCTCCAGACAGATGAGGAAGGAGGATAGCCATTGTCCCAGAATTTAGGCAGAAGAGACCTCACGAGAGATCATTTCTAATTAGACTACTTCCTTGAACATGCAAATGGAGACACCAAACTTCACTTGGCTGTTGAAGCTGATTAGAGATGAGTCGCTCTGTGTTAAAATAAAATTAAAGAATAAATTAATTAAAGTAGGAAAAGGTTGATTTTTATACCCTAAGAGGGAAGGATCAGAGAAAAGGGAAAAGCCCTGAAAAAGGAGGACAAGAAGAAATAAAGCGACAAAAAGGGGTGTCAACTGACAGGTGGGAAATTCAGGCTCCGTAGCGGCAATGCCCAAGTCTTTGAAGAGCAACTCCATCTAGTATCCAATTTCAGCTGGGTTCTATCTGTGACGTCAATTCCTCTCTCCCTGCCAAATCTTCAGTAAAATGGCCAATGCACCCAAATGCCCTGGGGAAGCAGTTTTGTGGAAATTATACATAAGGCTTGTTATGGGCAAAGTAGGGCCACTGATGATCTGAACTAACTCCTTGAGAGCAAGACTCAATGAAAAGGAGAAAAATAAGCTCTCCCACGAGTCACCAAATTTCTGACAAGGCTTTAGAAAGCCCCAATGCTGAGAATGAGGTTTGATTTTCTATCTGGATCTTATGACTCTGAAAAACTCTGGCAAACAACCAGAATTCAAATGAATCAGCAAACTCGGGTTATAACTGACGTTACCATTTGAATTGGCAACATCATTTTTAACTCAATAATAATAATTCTAATTGAGTTTACAGTTCTAATTTTTATTAATTTTCGAAGTATTTTCAAATGATCTTAATTGTTTGAGCTCAAGTAAAACATTTTAAAATTAAATGCATTTGCTTTTAAGATTTTTCTCAGCCGGGCACGGTGGCTCATGCCTGTAATCCCAGCACTTTGGGAGGCCAAGGCAGGTGGATCACAAGGTCAGGAGTTTGAGGCCATCCTGCCTAACATGGTGAAACCCCATCTCTACTAAAAATACAAAAATATTAGCCAGGCGTGGTGGCGGGCGCTGTAGTCCCAGCTACTCGGGAGGCTGAGGCAGGAGAATGGCGTGAACCTGGGAGGTGGAGCTTGCAGTGAGCCGAGATCGCGCTACTGCACTCCAGCCTGGGCAACAGAGTGAGACTCTGTCTCAAAAAAAAAAAGAAAAAATTACCTGCATTCAGGCTGCAGAAGTGAATGGAGGGCAGCCCATTAGAATGTATGAGCACACAGATGATGAAATGGCACAACTGAGCTCGGAACAGTTTAGCTCAAAAGATGTTACAGGGTAGAGGTTCAACCAATGTTATTTAATAATTTCAGACTCAGTGAGCATCATTTGTTCACTTACAAGTTCAACCATTATCAAGTTCAGAGAGATCTTACAAGGATCAAAAAATTCACACAGGCAGATAATTCAATAGAGGTAGACAGATAATTAGATACGAGGGGATACTGTAGATAAGAGGGCATTACTTTACATTTTAATTCCATTCCTCCTTGAATTTCCTTTTTAGCCTCTAAGCTGGCATTTCCAGCACCCACTCAGCTACCCAGTAAATGGCACGGGAGTGAATGTTTTAAGTTAACAATAAATAAATGAACAAACTAAACTAATAAATTTAGATATATTATCTTCCCAGAGGTGTGAGAGGAAAACATTTTACTTCTTTCTAAAATTAGACAAACACAAAAGCAACTCAACAAAAACAACAAAATAATAATGATTTGTTTCTTTTAAAAAGAGGTGGAGAGCTGACTTGAAAGAGGGCAGGATCTAAAAGATTCTGTGCCCCTCTTTCTCCCTTGTCCTCCCTCCCCCACACCATGCATTAGGACTACCTGACAGGCAGAAGAGAGAAACTGCAACCTCTCACAAAGTGAGGCGGGTCTGTAGCTGATGCGCTTAGAAAGAGAGGAGGAGGAGGTAACTGGACCCCTCACAGGACCCCCCACCACGTTTTCCCCACCAGTTTCCTCCCATCAGGCAACGCCAGCTACATGAATCACTGCTCCAGACAGCGTGCGATACCATCATGAGCGTTAGTGCTGCACTGGGATGAATGATGACCCACAGGGGACCACTAACTGTCTGTGGCTTTTCTCCTATGATCTGTGCACTCGGTGAGATCATCTGTTTCTCTGTTTCCTTATGTGCCACCAAAAAGAAAGACAAACAAAGGTGCAGCAGTAATCTCTTGGTTGTCTCAGATTGGCTGAAGAATACAACAGATTCGTGCTTTATGCATGGACGCTAATAGCTGGATGACCAGTTGATCTATTGTCCAAAGCAGGGAACTTGCAAATAAAAAGGTAGCTCTGTTAACAGCTATGCTGGGACCACAGGACAGGTGCAACCCAGGATGTATGGTCATTTTACTAACAGACTGTTTGTCTCTCGAGAAAGGACTTCATCTGAGGGTACAATGGTGGCTGCGTCCACCACGTTCTTACTCCCTGAACGGCACAGTCAGCAAAGGGATTATGAATTGGAGATTTAGCCAGGGATTGAGGCAGGATGAGGGCATGAATGTGGAAAGTGGTTTCTAAAATGTATTAAAAGTGAGCCTATTTTTAGTAGAGACGGGGTTTCACCGTGTTAGCCAGGATGGTGGCGGGCGCCTGTAGTCCCAGCTACTCGGGAGGCTGAGGCAGGAGAATGGCATGAACCAGGGAGGCTGAGCTTGCGGTGAGCCCAGATCGCGCCACTGCACTCCAGCCTGGGGGACAGAGCGAGACTCCGTCTCAGAAAAAAAAAAAAAAAAAAAAAAAGGGAGCCTATTCCAGCCATTAGCAGTTGGGAGGAAAGCCACAAACTCTGTGAGAAAGGCAACTGGCAGACCACATTCATTACTACTCAAAAATGCCCCTAATGATTCAAAACCCCAGCAGCAGGGCAGCAACATCTCTCCACCTCCTCACACATTTATGGCCGAAGAGCCTCGGGTTTGAAGTGGAAAGACAATATTTAATTTGCTTGCCACAATTACTTTTTCTTTCACCTGCTTCAGAAGTATTTCACATATAAATATTCCACAGCCACACAAGTGAATCTTCCAAGGGCAAGGTGAGTTCACAATATTTCAAACAACCATGGGAGGGTCTCAGAGAGGA
Organism: Homo sapiens; assembly: GCF_000001405.40. Classification (NCBI taxonomy): domain Eukaryota; kingdom Metazoa; phylum Chordata; class Mammalia; order Primates; family Hominidae; genus Homo; species Homo sapiens. The sequence continues at coordinate 88,246,630 of NC_000014.9, forward strand.
TTTCTGGGGCCACACCCAGTGAGGCACTTTTGTGGCTGATTCAGAGATGTCTTGGATTCAGTGCAGAGGAAGACAGTGGGAGCACCTCATACATTACTCTTGCAACAGGGAAAGTTCTTGGATAAAGCGGTAACCATTCAGCCTTGCAAGCTGTTCAGCTTCTCTGAACCTTGATTTCCTCATCTATAAAATGAGGACTAATACCTTCCATACAAGGTTGTTGTCAGAGTTGTCTAAAAATGAACATAAGACTTCAGGCACTGTGCCTTGTCATTTCTTATTCAGGAGTATTAGTAACAGGAACCCTTTCGGAGCACTTCCTAGAGTACAGATTAACTCAGCCCTGGTGAGGACCTAGTACAGTGGGCAACACTGCTGCCCCCAAGGGACTCATGACACTGAGAATGGTAAAGTGCTGTGTGTACAGTACACATCTGGTGCGCAGCAAAGCTAGCAAACAATGCTCTTAGAATTGTCAACAGGAAGTTCACCATCCTGAACTCTGCAAAGGCGCTTCTCTCTACTTTGAGTTCTTTTTTCTCTATCTCAGACGCACAGCTTCCCACATCTGGGAAGGGCAGGCTGGCTCACACCCAGCCTGGGACACCCAGCTACCTGCAATAGGACGAAGGGAAGAGAATGCAGGCTGACGCACGTGTGCCTTTACCTCCCACCCAGACACAGCCAATATGGCAGTCAAGCCTGGGCTGACCTGAGTGGACACACCCCAATCAAGTGGCCTTCCTAACTGCCACACCACCTCAGAGTCCCTCATAAAAAGCAGACCAGACCATAAAAAGGTAAAGAAAGAGGCACCTTCAGTGCTGTGGTGGATATTACAATGACGTGTATTTTCCTACTGCCCTAAGTACCCAGTTATGTGCAAATATTAGCCTTTCCTCAGGTCCTCAGGGAGCCAGGCAGCAAGTTTTCATTAGAACTTTACAGCCTAGTTATAAATCTAAAGTGAAGGCCACTGGCAGAAAGGACAGGGCAAGTGGAGAATCTGTTTGGAGAAGAGGAGAGAGAAACCCAGGATGGGCTAGCATGCTTGCTCATGGCGTATGGTCTTAGACACGCTAGCTTTCCTTGCTACTACAAGTTAATCCCTTACAATGGGGATTTCTGAGACTCAATTCATTAGCCCCTTGGGTATTCACTAACGACTAATCTATCTAAATATTATCTTATGAGACCAGGCCATATTTGGGGGCACTCTTGTAGCTTCCAAATTGTGCCTTATGATGGAAAATGCATTTCCTCTGTCTCTCTTTGACTACATGGAAGGATGAAATAAGACAAATTTTAAACCACGAGGAAAGTATCAAGTCCACTAAGGAATCAGGGATAGATGTGTATACTTTGATATGATCAATAAACTTTCAGACTAACAAGCTGTCACTCTTTCATCTCAGTTTGGACTTACACTCTACAGGCAGAATAACAAATTTGCCAACTGATGTTGAAAAATTGCCCTGGTCCTGAGGAGAGTGTCTGATATATGCCTTGCTCTCTCTGCACTTGAGATCATTCCCATTAAAAATGGGTCTATCCAATTTCTATTTTTAAAAAACTGTACTGGACTACAAAAGCAGCTACAAGAATTCTGATTCATTACACTGTGCACTAAATGGAAGGTTACTATTCCTTCCATTGCCATTGCATTGAACAGAGCCTGAAATTTAATATTTAGATGATTAATAACATCATGAAAAAGAGAGGCTTCTGCTATCTTGCTTTTATTGTAGCTATTTACCTTAGGGCTCTTTGTTGCTTTTGAGTGATCAATATTAATCACAAATTAAGATTTCATTTCCAGCTGGGCATGGTAGTTCATGCCAATAATCCCCATACTTTGGGAGGCTGAGACAGGAGGATTGCTTGAGCGCAGGAGTTCAAGGCCAGCCTGGGCAACATGGCAAAATCCCATCTCTACAAAAAATACAAAAATTACACAGGTATGGTGGTGCATGCCTGTAGTCCTAGCCACTCGGGAGGTTCAGGTGGGAGGATCGTTGGAGCCCAGGAAGCAGAGGCTGCAGTAAGCCATGATCGTGCTACTTTACTCCAGCCTCCACAGAGCAAGACTGCCCTTTACAGAACAAGATTCTGTGCCAAAAAAAAAAAAAATCATTTTCTGTGCCTCCTTAAGAATGAGTCACCAAATCTCCCTGAGCATAGTTTGATAAGGGGAGAAACAAGGAAGTGCAGACAATGCTAGAAACTTCAGGGAAAGTTCTAGAATACTCCTAAAATTAATCATAGCTGCCAGCACTTGCAATGTGGCAGACTCCGCCTTATTATCCTATTTAGTCCTCACAAAATCCTGTGAGGTTATAGTAGTTAGGAAGTGTCAGAGCTGAGACTGGTTAAAAGTCCTCTCTTTTAACTCTAGCCTTCTATCTTCCACGAATAGTTCTCTGTTCACCTTCTAAACATTTTTCTAAAGCTCATCTGTCATGTCACCTTCTTCCAACTAAAAAAAAGGACAACATAGAGAAGTCATAATTTGTATGTCTCATCTCCATTTTTAAAAAAACAAAAGGTTAAACACTCACTTACTGAGGAAAGTTAAGCTGCACCAGCAGGCTTTTCATCTCTTCTGCCCATTTCCATAGAGAAGGAAGGAAAAATAAATGTTCCCAATATAAAGTGACAAGCTACTCTTAATTGCAGACCTGAATGATAACCCATGGACATTGGTTTTAGATCGAAAAGGGTGACCCAGCTTCAACACCTTATGTTAAGACACAAAGCCCTGCCACTCTAAAGGACAACCAGGAGGTAATCACGACTCACTGCAGTTGACTCACAGGTGAATGAAGGTCCTCTTGGGGGTCCCATAGGTTGAGTCAGAGACTCCTGCTCTGTGACTAAGGACCTGAGTGCTTCCTTGTCTTCTAGAACCAATCTAGTAACCAATAGCTACTGGGCTGTAACTATCCACTAGAGTAGAGCATCATGGCTAAAAACCATGGATTCTAGAGCCGGACTGCCTTGGCCGGATCACAGTTCCACCTCTCACTTCAGCTTGGGCAAGTTATTTAACTTCTCTGTTCCTCTGTTGCTTACCCCACTTCATAGGATCAATGTAAAATTTAAATGAGTTACTACACGTGAAGCATTTAGAGCAGTTCCTGTCCACAGTAAGCACCATGCCAGAATTGGCTAGCGATATAATTAATACTGAACCTCAAGCTCCCTGAGGACAGGGTGGAGGCATCTTGCATTTTTTATTGTTTTTTAATCGCTAGAGCCAAACATAGCACCTGCTTCATTATAGGTACTAAGTAAATATTAGTTATATAAATGAATACATTGTATTGTGATAAGTAATAAGAGCAATTGTAGGAACGAGACACCATCAAAATCTCATTATTCCATAATGTATACAGCCACACTCTAAAGGAGAACAAACCCATGCACATTTGGAAAAAAATGCAGTCACAGGAGCATTCACTTCTGGGTTTTGGTTTTATTTTTATGGGAGTTTTTTTAGAACATTGAATTCTCATTTGCAAATTCATTTTCCAGTGGCATGCCAATTTCCATTACCTCTTTAATTTCTGGCTTAAAAGCTTTAGATCTCCTTCACTAAACAGTGATGAAATCAATAACCCCAGGGATAGAAACAGTAATAATAATGACTCGGAGGCCTGTAGACACAGGCTGGGGGCTGCAGGCCTGATCTTGCACACATTGAAGCATCTTTTGCGTGACTGCCTTGCTGGTGAAAGGGCAGCTCTTCTAAATTCAAAGCAACAGCCAGGAGGAGTCACTTCAACTCAGAGTTGTGCCCCTGGGCTCAAAGAACCCGAACCTGCACTCTCCAGAGCTCACCTGCTGCCTGAGCTGCTACCTAAACTTCCTGGACTAAAGACTGCTTGAAATAGGGGATGGCCCAGGGCAGACAAACAGAGGGCTGCTCTAGATCTGCACTCTGAAGTCACAACAAGGATTTCCATGAACATCTCAGGTGCCGTGCTTTCCAACACGCTGCTTTCCTAAAAATTCTTATGTCCCTAAATAGGGAAATACGTAAAGCTTCGACGGCTATAGATACCAAGGGAATCTGCTCATGCATAAAGAAGACAACAAGGTGAGTTTTTGTCTTAGCTGGGTGTGGTGGCACACCCCTGTAGTCCCAGCTTCTCAGGAGGCTGAGACAGAAAAATCACTTGAATACAGGAGGCGGATCCAGAGAAGTACTATTGACAACCAGACCAAAAAGAAAAGACTTGTAAAACAGAAACAAAAGAATTTTTTGCTTTCCTTCTGTGAAAGTTCTAAATGAAGGGCTCTTGGTCTTCAAACAGATACAAAGGCTGGGCACAGTGGCTCATGCCTGTAATCCCAGCACTTTGGGAGGCCGAGGTGGGCAGATCACAAGGTCAAGAGTTCAAGACCAGCCTGGCCAATATGATGAAACCCCGTCTCTACTAAAAATACAAAAATTAGCTGGGCGTGGTGGTGCACACCTGTAGTCCCAGCTACTAGGGAGGCCGAGGCAGAAGAATCGCTTGAACCCAGGAGGTGGAGGTTGCAGTGAGCTGAGATCATGCCAAGGCACTCCAGCCTGGGAGACAGAGCAAGACTCTGTCTCAAAAAAAAAAAAAAAAAAAAAGAACAGACACAAAAAGCACCATTCCTTCATTCCTCAAGCCTTTAGCATTTTCTATTGGCCAGCCACTGTGCCAGGCAGAAGGGATATATTGATAAAAGACATAGATTCAACTTCAAAGAGCTCACAGTCATGGAAAGAGGACAGAGAAAAGTAAAGGTCATCCAAGAGAGTCTAGCAAATGGGGGGCAAATGGTGCCAAGCAGGACACGACCCAACATAAAGGGCCCATAAAGGCTTCCCCCAAGAGTTGAGTTTTGGCACCACTGAGGACAATTGAGTTCAGAACTCCAGAGCAAAACACTTAGCAGAGTGCCACAGTTGCCACTCCATAAATGTTTAGTTATTGAATTAATGAACAAATAACTTAAAACCCTTTGGGTTTATACGAAGAACCAAAATGGCAATGTACTGATTGACCAGATTATATCACTCTGCTACTGAAAACATAACTGTAAGCTTCACAGTGCTCTTAAGATAAAATTCAGAATCAGCACCTGCGTGGTTTGGCTCCTGCCTGTCTCCAGCCAAATTGCTTTCTAAGTTCCCTTTGCTAAATGCCCTTTGGCCACATTTGCTCACTTCTCTCAAGTCCTCAGCCATGGCATGTTGCTTCCTCCCATCCAGGGCCTTGACTCAGCCCTCTCTGCCTGGAATCTTTGTCCTACTAAATCAGTTCTCCTATTTGGGTGTCCCATAGCTCTAGCTCCCTCTCCTTTGCAACTTTCATCTGGCTTTTAGTTACAATTATTTGTGTAATAACATGCATAAGGTTTGGCTCTCCCACTGTCTATAAGTAGGGTCACTATATATTTTATATTTCAAACCAAGACACTTTTTTTTTAATATAGATGGGGTTTTGCCATGTTGCCCAGGCTGGTCTCAAACTCCTGAGCTCAAGTGATCCGCCTGCCTCAGCCTCCCAAAGTGCTGAGATTATAGACATGAGCCACCACGCCCAGCCCCAGGACACTTCTGAGAGAGAAAGGGGCACTATTAACAATTACTCCAGAACCACAAAACCTGGGACATTTGGTCATCCTAGTTATAAGCTCCAAGAAGGCAGGGACCATGTCTGTCTTTTATTCACCATTACATCCCAGCATCTAGCACAGTAGGCAATCAACAAGTTTGTTGAATGAAAGAATGAATAAGTGAGTGAGCAAATGAGTAAGTGAGTGAGCAAGTGAGTGACTCGGGTCTTGGCAGAAGGGCAGAGCCACAGCCTTGGGAAATGTTTATGGGTCATGCAAATTACCAAGGAGATTACCAACATCTCCTTGGTTATGGAGAGAACAGTTTGACAGTTCATAATATCTAGTCCTCTCATCTGCAGAATAGCAGCTTTGGTTGCCATGACAACATCAAAGGTTCATACCCAGGACCACAGCACAATACCCACTCCTCACATGCCGCTGCCCACATCTTAGACTAAATCTTTCTCCACTAAAACATGGTAGAGTCAGGCCCAATGCGCACAGCCAATAAAATGAGTCAGTAAGCCAGAGGCCAACAATCTGGCACCCCAGCCTTGTCATGCAGGCTCTCTGTATGTCAGAAAGGTTACAAATACAGGAAGAGGACAGGAGAGAGAGCTCTGCGTTAGAAGGCAAGCACTAACTGTCACAAAGGAGCCTGCTCATCATGTTGTTTGAGTGGGTTTTCCCTTCGTCAGGAGGAATTTGTCTTGATCCAATTATGTACTCTCTAAGCCCACCGTGTCAAGCCAAGGAGAGTACGATTAAGAGAGCGTGGCCTCTGGAGTCAGAGAGATCTAGCTAGACTCAAGTCCTGCTTTGGTCACTAGCTAGATGCAAGAACTTTACCCTCTGTAAAATGGGGCAGCAACAGTGGCCGCCTCTTGGTGCAATGGAGAGAGGCAAATGAAGCTAAGTAATATATGTAAACTCTCTAGCACCCAGCCAGCACAGAATCAGTGCCTAATAAATAATGCTGACTGGAAAGAGTCAGGGGAGCAGAGGATAGGGAAGGATTTGTTAAACAGGACATAATTACAGCAAGATAACAGGAATAAATTCTAGTGTTCTATACCACTGCAGGATGGACTACAGTTAACAATAATCTAGTATATAGTTTCAAATAGCTAAAAGGAGGATATTGAACGTTCCCAACACAAAGAAATGATAAATGTTTGAGATGATGAATATGCTAATTTCCCGGATCTGATCATCATACATTGTAGGTATGGAAACATCACGAGGTACCTCATAAATACATACAATTATTATAGGTCATTTTTAATTTTTTAATGAAAAAATAATAAATCTTGCCAAATAATACTCATCAAACACAGTACTGAGCAAAGTATCTGAAACTCTATTTGGAAAGGATTAAAAAAAAAATCCTTAGCCGGCACAGTGGCTCACACCTGTAATCCCAAAACTTCGGGAGGCTGAGGTGGGCAGATCACCTGAGGTCAGGAGTTTGAGACCAGTCTGGCCAACCTGGCAACACCCTGTCTCTACTAAAAATACAAAAATTAGCTGGGGTGGTGAAGTAGCCTGTAATCCCTGCTACTTGGGAGGCTGAGGCAGGAGAATCACTTGAATCCAGGAGGCAGAGGTTGCAGTGAGCTAAGATCTCACCATTGCACTCCAGTCTGGGCAACAGAGTGAGACGCCATCTTGGGGGCAGAGAGGGGAAGCCCATAGACGTCATAAAGTGAAAACCAATGGTAAAGTTTCTGTTCACCAACATAAAGAGTCACTGGACCAGTCAGGGTGAGGGGGAGAGAGAGAGAGAGACAAAGCAGGTGGGAAGAGACCCCCCAAAAGGCTCATGCTCCAGGCAGTTCCAGACCTAGCCCCAGCCATGCAGATGAAGGCCCCGGGACTTTCTTCAGACAGAAAAACTATCATGAACAGACAGTGACCATTTTGCATTGGAGAGACCCCTCTTGCTGGAGGCAAGGACTGAAGTGAGCCAAGGAAGAAGGCAGCCTACCAGGGAGTGAGATAACCTGCTCACTCTGAGGGGATTAGACCAACCTGCCCCCAGAAACATTCTCCAGAGAGAGAGGAATAGACCCCTGTCGTTTGCTTTATGGCAAGGCACTTAGAATGAAAAATCCCATGTCCTTCCCGATGGGTGCCTCATCCAACCCTAAACCCACTCCCGTGAAATGCTATTCCCTTCAGCGAGGCTATGACCAGAAGAAATGGCAGCCATGGGACCACTCGAGCTCCCCTGAAGACACTCAAAATCTTCAAACATCTGGGAAACATCAGAATTCATAACCTGAAAAAAGACTGCTGCCAATGATCATCCCTGCAAACCGAAGCATTCATTCTACGCTTCCCCGTCAGTCAGCGAAGGCTCCTCACGATTTTATTCTTTGAGGATCACAAAAGAGGAATGTTTTATGGCTTTCTCCAAGACTAGTCAGTATAGAAGCTTCTAAGACAATTGCACTGGGAACAGGGAGATAAGCAATTGCGGCATGTGAGGACGTCAAAGATAAAGGCTTTCTTGGGACACAGTGACCGCCAAATCAAGTTCATGGAAACCTCAACTTCAAAAATACATTTAATTTACTTTATTCTACTGCCAAAGAAATGCAAGTACTCCAGGTATAATTATCTTTGTCTACTCGGTTCGCTTGAGAGAAGAAAGACGGGTGGGAGAAGGAAATAGCATTTCCTGATGCCAGTGACATGCCAGGCACTCTGCTAGGTTCACTCACTCCCCACAATCATCCTAATGAGGACTGTGATCCCTTTAATATGAGGAGGGGCCTTAGGTTTAGTGGTGTTGAGGGACCAAGTCTATCTGATATAACGTCCATGATCATTCCCCTTCTAACACACCCTTTCTTTGAAAACACAATATTCCCCACGTGGAGTGCTATAGCACCATGCCAGACAGCCCAGTTTCTTGAATCATGTTTCCTTCTCCCTCCAGCCTTTTCCTTGGAGTAAAAGCTTTATGAAGAGGTCTACATATTAGTGAGGGGATACTCACCATTGATGCAAGTAAGCAGTATGGCACAAGGGTTCAGTTGTGTGGGCTCTGGAGTCTGGCTTCCCAGGGCTCAAATCCAAGTTTAATCACTTATTGGCTGTCTGGACTTGGACAAGTTATTTAACTTCTTGGGATTTATTTCCTCATCCATAAAATGAGATGATGATTGAACCTACTTCAGACTGGGCATGGTGCCTCAAACCTGTAATATCAGCACTTTGGGAGGCTGAGGTGGGAGGATTGCTTGAGGCCAGGAGTTTCAGACCAGCACGAGCAACACAGTGAGACCCTGTCTCTACCAAAAAAAAAAAAAAATTAAAAATTAGCTGGGTCTGGTGGTATCCACCTGTAGTCCCACAGACAGACAGTGTCCATTTCACGGTGGAGAGGCCTCTGAGGACTTCAGTAACTTGCTGGAGGCAAGCACCGAAGAGAGGCAGGGGAGAAGCCAGCCTTCCAGGGAGTGAGATAACCTGCTCACTCTGAGGGGATTGGACCAACCTACCCCCAGAAACGTTCTGAGGAGGCTGAGGCAGGAGGATTGCTTGAGCCTAGGAGTTCCAGGCTACAGTGAACCATGATTGCACCACTGCACTCCAGTGTGGGTAAGAGAGCAAGACCCTGTTTTAAAAAAAAGGAATAAAAAAAAGTACCTACTTTGTAGGCTTCTTGCAAGAGTTAAATGAGCTAGAGGATTCAAGCACTTAGAACAGAGTCTAGAGGAAAGTAAACAATCAGTAAGTGGTAGCTATATTTTATTATTACACCAGCTCTGCAGGAAGTTACCCATTTACAATCATCTGCACACTCCCTCACATCTCAGGGGTAAGATTCTAGAGACGGATGCATCTTTTGTGTCCTCTATGTGCTGAACTGCTGAGCCCCAGCTCGGGTTAAGCGGCTTGCCCTAGGACATCAAACTTGGTCCTAGTGGAATTCGGATTAGCATCTTGTCTCTTTGTTCAGAAGGGTCCTTATTAAAGGGGCCTGGCCCTTCCTCTAGAAGATCCACATACCTCATTAGGGTTTAACTGCAGTCAGGCATTGGGGATATAAGCCCTTTCACTCGGTCACACCTTGGAATCTGTGGTCACTCCACTGGTCAGGTGACCTGCTGCTTTGAGGCCGCCTGAGCCCACCGGGTCCCTCAGGTTCTCTGAAACTGTGCCTCAAACCAGAGAAGCAGCGGGGAGAGAGATCAGTGGAGCCGGCCCTAGTGTCTACTTAATAAATGTGAGACTGACAGTCTCCAGTAAGACGAAGGATAAAGATGACATTCTAGATGCCCACAGTAAACCCTCTCAATGGAATAGCAACTTGCTGTGCTGATTCCCTGAGCTCAAGCCACAAAGACAGAGCATCATGGTGTGAGCAGCCCAGCCTAGCACTCTGGGAGCGACTTCTGTGATGGGCACTCTGCACTTGAACAGTAGAAATAAAATTTTTCTATGAGAAAATCCAGAGTTTGAAGCCCAAGAGTCATTTCAGACACCTTCTTCTCTTTTCCCTCAGCAGAACTCCACGATGCGCATCAGTTAGGAGTTTTCTGGTTTCTTTTTTTCTTCCTTCCCTAACAAATAAGCAGCAGCAATAACAAGAGCTCAAAGTTACTGAGCTTCTTTTGTTTAATCCTCAGACCACCATAGTGTCTAACAGGTAGACACCGTGATCGCAATCTCCATTTCACAGAAGAGCAGTGAGGCCGGGGCAACATGATATTTGCCCAATTCACTCAGCTCATTAAGTGGTATAGGATTTAACGTGGGGAGATTAACCCCCGAGTCCTGGGGGCTACAGGCCATGCAGGGATATGCAGCACATAGCAGAAATCTTTGCTGAGTCAGGTTTGAGTAATTTTCAAGTTTTCTCTGTCAACTTTCTTAAATATAGCCTTTTCTCTATCTCTCAGCATCCCTCACCTGTGATGTTGCAACATTCTAACTGGTCTTCCTTCTTCCCGTTTCTCCTTCCTCCAACCCAACTTCCTCATTGCTAAAAGGTTTTTTCAGCAGCCAATTTCCATCTTCCAAGCCTCGCTTAAAGCTTTCAGTGACTCGACATTCCACAACATAAAGGTCCTCTAAGCACCTCCTCAGCCCAGCTCCCACGACCCCCTTCCCAGTCTCATTTCCACGTACTCTCATACTTCTCAGTTCAAGCCATTCTGATCACTTTCAATGCCTCAAATCTGGAACTGATTAGTATAACATTCTTGTCACCACAAACTTGTTAGCATTTTCCCATGGGCCACATGCCAGCCATTGGGATACCCTCCAACCATGGCCTACCCAATGAATCCCTCCCAGATATCGTGTTTCTGTTCCAGTGCATGGTGGTTCAGAGCCTGGGATATGTGGTCAGACTGCCTGGCAGTAAACCCTGGATCCTCCATTTCTAACCAGGTGAACTTAAGCCATCATTTCAGCTCCTGCTGCCTCATTTCCTCGCCTGTATGTGGGCACCAAAGATTATCCTCACAGAACAGCTGTGGGGACTGAAGGAGATAAATAACCACAAAATATTCTCTGAGCTCTATTTGCCTCACTAGGGCTCCATTTTTTGGACGTCTTTCAGATAGCTCTATTCCAAAAGATTGTAATTATTGGCTTACATGCCTCTTCCTCCAGTGCTTCTCAACCTATGAGCATGTTGAACTGGATAATTCTTTGTGGGAGGGGGGGTCTATGCTGTGCATTGTAGGATGTCTAGCAGCAACCCTGGCCTCTACCCACTAGATGTCTATAGCACCTCCCCAGCTGTAACAACCAAAAATGTCTCCGGACATTGCCAAATGCCCCCTAGAGGCAACCATCCCCTCCCCGGTGACCCCACCCCATCCCATTAAGAACCACTGCTTGAAAATCTGAGCTCCCTGAATAATATAAAGAACAGTAGCAGCAATAGAAGCAGCAATAATAATCCTTTTGTGAGCATTTACCGTGTGCCAAGCACAGTTCAAAGCCTTTCTCATGAATTACTGCATTTAATCCTCTCAGCACCCTGAGGCCACATTCTATTGATGAAGAAACAAGAGGTGAGTAACTTGCTTATGGTGAGTCTTTTTTTTTTTTTTTTTCGAGATGGAGTCTCATTCTCTTGCCCAGGCTGGAGTGCAATGGCACCATCTCAGCTCACTGTAACCTCCGCCTCCCAGGTTCAAGCAACTCTCCTGCCTCAGCCTCCTGAGTGGCTGGGATTACAGGCACCTGCCACCACGCCCAGCTAATTTTTGTATTTTTAGTAGAGACAGGGTTTCACCATGTTGGTCAGGCTGGTCTCAAACTCCTGACATCGTGATCCGCTTGACTCGGCCTCCCACAGTGGTGGGATTACAGGCGTGAGCCACCGAACCCGGCCGCGTCTTCTTCTTTCTCTCCCCAACACCTGGCATGTTACCTGATACATGCAGGAGTTCAGCAGCAATTCTGAGAACAAGTGGATGGATGGATAGATGAATGAATGACTAAATGAATGGATGAGAATGTCCCCTTCATAACAGCAACCCATCTTTCTTCACCTTTAGGGATAGTGGCCCATTACTCTCCTCTGGAGTCCCACAGTACCCCATGAAGTGGTCTTACTTGTTGGAAAATCCCTCCCCACGATGGCTGTAAGAGCTACGGCTCTTCTAGGCTATCCAGCCATTTTGAGGGTATCATGCTTCTCTGGATACTCTATTTTGGTTATTAATAATATGAAGCACACATTCCAGCTTGGCTTTATGAGGGGTTCACTCAATCCAGCCAAGAGACATGATGAAATAAATACTTTCCATCTACTTTCTACTCTCCAGTCACTCCTTTCAGACTTGGGTGAGATACAATAGTACTATCTTTCCAACTTAAAACACAGCACACTGAAAACCCTTCCAGATGTGAAAACAGACTATTTTTAAATACTGTGTTTCTTGTGATCGCTACATACAGTGCTGCTCAGAGGCATAAAGTGTGAGAAAGCTCCCTGGTCTGTAAGAGTGGACACTTTCATCCTTGTGAAGGTATCAGTGAACTGAAGGGCAAAATGTAATGATTTGGTGCAATGATTTGACACAGATTCAGCAGTTAAACCTGCTTAACTTATATTGTGAGAAAGACTGTAGATAAACACAAGGATGAATCTGTAAGTCATAGTAGATGGAGATCTAAAAGCATCCCAGGTCCAGGACTGATGCTCAATGTGCATAGGGAGAAGAAACAGAAATGCTTCCTGTTAGGCAGCCAGGAACTCTAATGATTTACTTACTGAGACAAGGTCTCACTCTGTTTCCCAGGCTGGAGTACTGTGGCACAATCATGGCTCACTGCAGCCTTGACTTCCCGGGCTCAGGTGATCCTCCCACCTCAGCCTCCCAAGTAGCTGGGACTTCAGGCGTGTGCCACCACACCCATCTAATTTTTGTAACTTTTTGTACAAAAGGGTTTTGCCATGTTGTCCAGACTGGTCTCGAACTGCTGGGCTCAAGCAATCCATCCGCCTTGGCCCCCCAAGCTGCTGGGATTACCAGCATGAACCACCACACCTGGCCATCTAATGCTTTTTGACTGCTAAAATTCTGGAAAGTGTCTGATATGGTTTGGATTTATGTCCCTGCCCAAATCTCATGTTGAATTGTAATCCCCAGTGTAGGAGAAGGGGTATGGTGGGGGCAGATTTCCCTCTTGCTGTTCTTGTGATAGTGAGTGAGTTCTCATGAAATCTGTTTGTTTGGCTTTTTGTTTTTGTTTTTGTTTTGAGAGAGTCATGCTCTGATGCCTAGGCTGGAGTGCAGTGGCATGATCTCGGCTCACTGCAACCTCTGCCTCCCAGGTTCAAGCAATTCTTCTGCCTCAGCCTCCCTAGTAGCTGGGACCACAGGTGCACACCACCACGCCTGGCTAATTTTTGTATTTTAGGTAGAGATGGGGTTTCACCATGTTGGCCAGGTTGGTCTCGAACTCCTGATCTCAGGTCATCCACCCACCTTGGCCTCCCAAAGTGCTGGGATTACAGGTGTAAGCCACCGCGCCAGGCCAAGATATGGTTGTTTAAAAGTGTGTAGCATCCCTCCCTTTGCTCTCTCTTCCTCCTGCTCCAGCCATATAGGACATGCCTGCCTCCCCTTCGTCTTCTGCCATGATTGTAAGTTTCCTGAAGCCTCCCAAGCCATGCTTCCTGCACAGCCTGCGGAACTGTGAATCAATTAAACCTCTTTTCTTTATAAATTGCTTAGTCTCAGATAGTTCTTTATAGTGAGAATGGACTAATACAGCATTCAACATAAAGCACAAGTTTAAAAGAGACTGGAGCTTATTATAAACCAAGATCTACTTAAAGGGCCTGTAGACTATTTGGATGAGAGAGTGTACAGTCAGTCCAACCTTGCGCTGACTACCAGCTCTACCACTTTGGTGGTTGGAAAGTTACTCACCTCTTTAAGGAAACTGATGTTTCCTCCCCTGTAAAATGGGAATCGTGATATGAACTTAGAGTGTTGTTGATAAGATTAAATGAGATAATGGGTATATGATGCCCAGCTCATAACAGATGCCTAATAAAGAGCAGCTTTTTAAATTGTTATAAAATTATCTTAAATGCACACACGTGTGTATGTGCAAACACATTCACACAAACGCACACATACACACACATATCTCATTTCACAGAGAAATCTTTGAGGTCAAAACAGGACACCAGTCTTAATGGCAGCATCAGAATAAGGACCTCCACGCTCTCTGACCCTGTCCTTCATTCAGGTCTCTGAGCTCTCTCATAAAGATGAGGGTTAAAGAATGGGCAATACGGAAATGCCGAATTAATCAACAAATGCATGGATAAGCTCAGATAGCTTGTGACATCACCAGTGTTCTACAATTTGCTTTGATATCTTGCTCTAAAAACATTTATCTAATGGGCAATAATTAGAGGCAAAGCAAAGCATAGGTCACATGTGGAGGAAAAGGTAACACAGTGCATTCCTTTTCTTCAAGATCTTACTGCCTAATGAAGGAAAATTCAAACACAATACTAGATTCACTTCAGAACGCCTATCAGGTTATTATGACGTGTCTTACAACTAATTAAAAAGGATCCTACCTCATATCACAACAATGTGTATAAATGTAATTATACTCCTACTTAAAACTACTCCAGAATTGTTTATTCCATTCTCTATAGCATGCTAGGCTTTAAATCTGGCACTGATTAGTACAAAAATCTCATCACCACAAATGTGGTAGCATTTTCCCATGAAAGAAGAAAAGGGATGGGCGTGGTGACTCACACCTGTAATCCCAGCACTTTAGGAGGCCAAGGCGGGTTGATTGCTTGAGCCTAGGAATTCAAGACCAGCCTGGGCAACATGGTGAAAACCTGTCTCTACAAAAAAATGCAAAAAGTAGCCAGGCATGGTGGCACATGCCTGTAGTCCCAGCTACTCAGGAGACTGAGGCAGAAGGATCAGCTGATACCTCGATCAGGAAGTTGAACCTGCAATGAGCCATGATCACACCACTGCACTCCAGCCTAAGTGACAGAATGAGACCCTGTCTCAAAAAAGAAAAAGAAAAAAAAAAAAGACAAAGCCATTTGGAGAACTGACTTCCTATGAAACACTTATATGAAATGCTGCCCTTGGATTTTTAACATTTTATTTTTTTGAGAAGAATTATAGGGCATAGCTATGAAATCATATTTACTCCCAGGAAGGGAAGAATTTGTATTTCTATTTATTTAAGAGTCAAGTCATTATTAAAACTAACTGACAAGAATATGATTGCTATGAAGGTGCCAGATCATAAGCAGCATCAGAATTCCCCTACTCTATTGGTATGGTAAGAAATAAATAAATAAGAAAACAGCGCAGACTGGTAAATCCTACACTATCTTGGATTGTTGCAGCCATTAGAATTTAATGTGCATCTTCCAGAGCCAGAAGGAATTGTAAAAGCTGTCTTTTCCATCCCTCCACCTTCCAAACTTTAGAGCCCCCAGAAAGATGAGACTCTCCCTCACCTCCATAAATGTCACCGCCTTCCACCAAAACCCACTCTTTGTAGTTCAGGAGGGTGTCTGGGATAGAAAGTGGAACTTCAGCCTCAGAGGCAGCCTTCCTCCTTCACGTCCAAGGTGAAGCCCTCCAACAGGGCTCTCCACCATTTCCCTTTCTTCCTCGTGGGAACTGCTTTTCTCTCTGGCTTCTCAGACTTCACAACCCTCCTGATCCAGTCCCTCGCACCGCAGCCCCACAGATGACTCTCTGGCTTTCCTATAGCTCCTTACCGCCACAGTCCACCCCTGCCAAGTCCACATCTGTCGCCCAGAAGTGTTGCCTTGCTTCTTTAGGCTGCAGTTCAAGTTCTCTGCTTCCATTTTCCTAAGAATCTTTTTTCCTTAATATCCAGGGTATGTAAAGGCCTTAGTACAGTGCCTGATACACAGTAAGTATTCAAAAACAGCAAACCTGATGATTACTACTACTGTGATCCATATTATTTCATCCCCATAAATCCACTATAACAGCTGTCTCAGGCCACTGACAGCCTCTTCACCCACATACCTGGTGGCCTCTTCTCTACCTCATCCTCATGGACCTTGGACAGGTTAATATATCCCTGCTTATTCTAAATCTGCATATTTAAAATTCTTTCCTTCTTCGGGTTCTATCCCAGCATTCCACAGAGTTCAGAATCAAGGAGTTAATCAGCACACATAGGTGGACTTGAACTTGAAAATCCAAAGTCCATTGGCCTGCTGCCGCCTCTGACCACTCATCCAAAACCAGATGCAGAACATGGACCCTCCTTCCCCCACACTGTCACATGCCTCACTATCGCTTCTTGGAGGTCTCAGCTCACATGTCACCTCCCTGGAGAGAACTTCCCTGACCACCAAGAGCCTCTCAACTGAAGGCAAGACTAGAGACCCAGAAAGATAAAACCAACACTGCCATCCACCCCACCAGCTGGCCTAAGATGGACTCACTCCCTGCTCACCTGGATCAACGTCTCCAGCTCCTGGGGGCTCACACAGACATGATCCCGCAGGAATTCCGCCTTCTCCAAGGCGATGGTATTCTTCTGGCTGCTCTCAAAGGGCTGCTCCAATGCCCGGAAGACAAGACCGCCAGTGACAAGGTAGACCACCACAACCACAAAGATGGCAACCACCGTCTTCCACTTCATGACGGTCTGCAAGCCCCCTTGGGAGGTGCCTTCCATCCTGGCTACCACTGTGGCTCGGGAGGAAATGGACAGGCGCGGAGTTGGAGTCGGAGCCGGAGCCGGGGGTTGCCCGTTAGTGGCGCTCTTGGGCTGGCACACCGGTGCTGCTGCGGGAACGGCCACTGAGGAGTCAGGGTGGGGGACAAAGAAGAAGAGAGTTTGTTTATAAATAAATACAAAACGTGTCAGAAACAAAGCACAGATGTCTTCTTTGAGCCAGCTTTCAAATGTGAGGATGAAACGCTGGTTCACCAAGCCTGCAGTTAGGGAATTTGATCAGTTGCTAGGTACCCATTTGAGTTCTAAAAAATAAGCACCAGGGGTCCCAGTTTAAAAAAAAAAAAAGTATAAACTGAGTTTGAAATACTTACATTTTTCTACGAGGGTCCAAATTGAAAGCTATCTCTCTGCCATTTATAATTCACCTCCTCCCTTAGCTTCCTTGTTGAAACAATGTGTAAGGAATACAACAAATCATCAGATTTAAAAACAAACATGTTGTTGAACTTGGAGAGGAAGTAAATAGGAGAGGGATAACCAACTACTCTATCCAAGCACCAAGGGCTGGTGATACCAACAGCAGAGAAGAGATGAATGTCTAGAGACTTAAAAAGTCCTCTTGTCACAAAACAAAGGAAAAAAGGATGAGCTTGTTATATCTTAATAGAAGATGTGACTTAGGCATAACCACTCCTGATCTACTAGTAATAGAATTTTTCTTCTATTGTTTTCCAATAAGACGTCATTGGAAAAAAACTGTTTCCTGGTTTTCGAAGCACATAGAATTCTCTAAGGTCCCTGTTCTCTGTAGGGCAATTTCATTACTTTGGAAATAAATAGGTTCAGCTGGAGGCTTTTCTGCGATGGCAGGAAGTTTGGGGTTATGACGCACACGCAATGCTATCATGCATCACAGAAATGTCTTGTGCAACAACGAACAGCCACTGCACTTCAGTTTTGTTCTCCCTTTATTATTCCAACTCTTATTATAGTCTCTGTCATGGTGCAGGCTGGCTGTTGTGTGAAGAAGGTATTAGTAGATGATAAACCTAATTACCTAAGTGGGGTAAACAGTCCCACTCCAGCAGGGAGTTAAACTGCTCAATCACTGTTGGAAAAGTCAAAGAGCAGGCTATGTCACTGCCTGTTCAAAACACCTGGCTGTAGAGGTGATGGCTTAGAAGAATCTAAGTTTGTAAACATCTGCCTCTCCTCCTAGGCCCTCGGAATCAGTTTCTGTCTTTGGAAACCGAGCTGAACGTCAGTCTTTTATGGCATATTATCCAATCCAATAAAATCACTCCATGTTAAATTTCCCTCAGATTTACACAAACGCAAAATTGCCTGGAATCTTGATTGAAAGATCTATATGTTAGAATCAGCAACCTGGGCATTATGTTCTTGCTAACCTTTCCCTAAAGACGCTGCATTCACTTTCCCCCTTGCTCCTGTTGATGCCGAGAAGGTGAGCCTTGCCTAAGGTGGCTTTCTTTTACCACTGCCCACATCTCCCATTCATTCTGCCTCATCACTGTATTTCATCCCTTGGGCCTTTCCCTACCCCTGTGGCCAGCAGCCTCATCCAGGCCACTGTCACATCTTGCCTGGACCAGCCCAGCAGCCTCCCAAGGGGCCTCCCTGCTTCCATGTGTATCCTGCTTCTGAGCCAGAAATCTCATATTAAATATCACTTCTGGGAGCACCTTCTCCCCTCCTGCCTTGGGGGCAGGTAGAATAATGGCCCACAAAGAGGTCCACATCCTAATCCCCAAGACATATATGAATGTTATCTTACATGGCAAAAGGGACTTTGCAGATGTGATTAAGAATGTTGAGATGGGGGATGATCTTGGATTATATGGTTGGGCTCAATATAATGACAAGAGTTCTTATAAGAAGGAAGCAGGAGGGCCAGAGAGAGAAGGGATGTGAGGACAGATACACAGGTTGGAGTGATGCAGCCATGAGCCCAGGAATGTGGTCCCTCTAGAAGCTGGAAAAGGCAAGGGAAGGATCCTCCCCTAGAGCCTCCCGAAGGAACCTGTACTGCTTACTCTTTGATTTTGGCCAAGTGAGGCTGATTTTGAACTTCTGACTTCCAGAACCATACAATAATAAATTAGTGCTGCTTTAAGCCACTACATGTGTGGCAATTTGCTACGGAAGCCCCAGGAAATGAATCTGCCCTCCATTAGTTCAGGTTTCCTGATATGGTTTGGCTGTGTCCCCACCCAAATCTCACCTTAAATTGTATTCCCATA
The DNA here is from genome assembly GCF_000001405.40 of Homo sapiens. Taxonomy (NCBI): domain Eukaryota; kingdom Metazoa; phylum Chordata; class Mammalia; order Primates; family Hominidae; genus Homo; species Homo sapiens. The sequence goes on from NC_000014.9 coordinate 88,265,691, forward strand.
ATCCTTACATCTTGGGGGAGTGACCCCGTGGGAGGTAATTGAAGCATGGGGGCAGGTTTTTCCCCGTGCTGTTCTCGTGATAGTGAATAAGTCTCACAAGATCTGATGGTTTTATAAAGGTGGGTTCCCTTGCACATGCTCTCTTGCCTGCTGCCATGTAAGATGTGACTTTGCTCCTCATTTACCCTCCACCATGATTGTGAGGCCTCCCTAGCCATATGGAACTGTGAGTCCATTAAACTTCTTTCCTTTATAACTTACCCAGTCTTGGGTATGTCTTTATTAGCAGCAGGAAAACAGACTAATACATCTCCCTTGCCCAGCACTCACTGTGCTGTGCTGCTGATACAGCCTGTGCCCTTGTCCAGCACTCCCATTAGATTGAAAGCTCCATGAGGGCAGGCACCCTGTCTACCCCTCACCTCTGCACCCCTAGTGTTCTGCACAGTACCTGGCACATGGTGGGTAGACAATCAATGATGGTGGAATAAGTGAATAAAGGGTGGAAGGAATGCTGGCACATCCAAACCACACAGACAACGTGGATGAGCAGCGTCAAATGGCAAACAGTTTGGCACTCCAGCAATACTGAAAGCAGGTCCTCAAACACAGCAGTGCTCTGTTCACACCTTCACACCTTTGCAGGTGTTGTCCTCTCAGCCAGTAACCCCTTCCCCACCCTCATCTGCCTGGAAAACTCCCATCCTCTTTAGTCTCAGCCAAAAGCTACCTCCTCTATGAAGTCGTCCTGGGCTCTTCCAGGCAGGCCCAGCGTGCTGATCTTCCCCACTAGCCTATCAACTTCTTGGAGTCAGAAAGTTCATCTTTTAATCATTGGATCTCAATTTCTTGGCATAGTGCCTGGCATAGAGCAAATGTTGTTTTCCAGTGGTGGTGGTGGTGGTGGTGATAATTCCTTCACACAAAAGCCCCATCGGAATCACCAGCACTCTCAAAAACAAACATTTATTTAATGCTGAATGGGCACAAAGGGGTGTGGTATGGTGGGGATAAGGCACAGTCCCTCCCAGCCTCAGGGGCTTGCCAGTCAGCTTAAGGAACATGTTCCACAGCACCAGGTAACCAACATTAGCTTAAAGCCTCATCAGCTGACATGCAATAAATAGCATGAGCATGGAGGTGAGTGGAGGCTGGACTCCGTCACTGACCTGCATCATGGATGCTTCCCAAGCTTCTAGCATCCCTGAGGCTGGGCAGAATTGGGCTTGAGAAACGTCTCTTCAGGCCAGGTCCTGGTGCCAGTTTGCGAAGAGACTGTCCATTAGGGCAGAGTTTGAACAGAATCCACCCATGCCTGAGCTTCCAAAGCACCAGAGCAAAAACCAGAGTTTCAGTCCCAAATCCATCAGTGACAGCATGACCTCGAAACTGTCACTTAGTTTCTCTGTTTGCTTACTGTGAAATGTGAATAATAGCAGCCATCTTTTTTTCTAAACGTCCACAGGGTTCTCAGGAACAGCAAATGAGCAGCCCTGGTCTACTGGCTGGAGTATATTTGTAGTTGTCAGGAGTACCGGCACAGATCTCAGAATGTTACAAAACCTTTTGTGCATTTCACTAAAAAGGGACTTGGTTGTTTTGGCAAAGAAGACTGCACATCTCAATGGCTAGAAAAGGATCTGGATTGTGCTTAAGATGGATAAATTCTTTTCTTTTTCTTTTTCTTTTTTTTTTTTTGAGACGGAGTCTTGCTCTCTCGCCCAGGCTGGAGTGCAGTGGCACAATCTCGGCTCACTGCAACCTCCACCTCCCGGGTTCAAGCTACTCTCCTGCCTCAGCCTCCCAAGTAGCTGGGACTACAGGCGTGCACCACCATGCCCGGCTGATTTTTTGTATTTTTAGTAGAGACGGGGTTTCACCATGCTGGCCAGGCTGATCTTGAGCTCCTGACCTCAGGTGATCTGCCCGCCTCAGCCTCCCAAAGTGCTGGGATTACAGACGTAAGCCACCGCATCCAGCCAAGTTGGATAAATTTTTAAATGGCATTTTCATTAATCCATTTATTCTCCTTAGAAGCCACAGTTGTTCTCACCCTAATACAGTTGCCTTATGACCTGGAATCAACCACTGGAGTTCTCATGCCTGGAACCAACAAAGAAGCAAACTTGGCCAGATGGTGATGAGGATGGTGGTGCTGATGGTGGTGAAGGTGACAGGAGCCCTGATGGCCTACTGGGCACTTACTCATGCTGTCACTCTGACAAACACTCTGCTTACATCACTACATTCGGTCCTCACTACAAGGAATTATCACACTGCATGAGTCCAGGTAGGACCCCCAGAAGCAGATGCCAAGAAGGGATTAAATGTGCATGGATTTTATTAGGGGGAACGCATGTGTGAGAGAAAATGATAGGGAGTTGGGGAGGCTAGAACAGCCACTAGACTCTATGTAAGTCTGACCCCTGGAAAAGGAAGGAAAGAAGGAAGGAGGAGGTAAGCATCTTCCAGCCTAAGGAAGTTTAGCAAGCCCATCAAGGAGTTCTTGAGCTGAAGTTAGCTGTCTGAGGAGTCCTGTGTCTCCCAGAAACAATCCTGCCGTGGTATCCTTGCTGCGCACAGACACTGGCTGGGAGCAGCCCGGGAGCAACGTACCCGCAGTGCAAGCCCAGCTGTGGAGATCAGGGCAGCAGCCAGGGCCCTGATCACCAACACCCACTCCAGTTAGAGGCCTGTAGGCGCATGCTCATGCCCAACACAGCCCCACTTCACAGACAAAGAAACTGAGACCCAGACAGGTTCAATGGCTAAGTCAAGGTTAAGCGGCCCAAAAGAGAGAAGCCAGATTAAAAAGGGAATCATCTGACTTCAAAGTCAGTTCTGCAGAGTGTAGGAACAGGAAAAGAGGAAACATAGCAATTCCAGGGGGAAAGGGCCCTTTTATCCCAAAAAATAGGAACGACATTTGTTTCAAATAGGCATTAAAAATATTTTCCAGTCTATGAGATTGACTACTTCAGTTTCCAAACAGCAGTGGAGTTCTTCCCTACAAAACGTATCAATAATGAATGGATCTATAAAGTAATGGCCTATCACACTTCACAGCTCCAACAGAAGAGTACTGGGCAGCAAAAGTGCTGCCAAGAATTGATGAGAAAGGAAATGTTGAAAGGTAATATCCTTTCTGCTAGTTTTCATTTTAAAATGTTTCCTCAAGAATATCTGCATGGCTGGGCGCAGTGGCTCACACCTGTAATCCCAGCACTTTGGGAGGCTGGGAGTTCGAGACCAACCTGGCCAACATGGTGAAGCCCCAGCTCTACTAAAAATACAAAAATTAGCCGGGTATGGTGGCATGCACCTGTAGTCCCAGCTACTCGGGAGGCTGAGGCAGAAGAATCACTTGAACCAGGTAGGTGGAGGTTGCAGTGAGCCGAGATCGTGCCATTGCACTCCAGCCTGGGTGACAAGAGATAAATTCTGTCTCAAAAAAAAGAATACGGCACATATTTCATTTTCACCTAAATGTGGGTGATATGGAGGGGTACATGTGGAAATCTGCTTTTTCATGGTTGAACAAGCTCTTAATAAGTTGACATTATTCAGGCTTTCTCAAGCCCCACAGATATTACTGCACCATCCATTCATTCGTTCAATCAACAAACAACTGAGTTTGCCTGGCACTGCATTTGGCACTGGAGCTACATAAATTAATAAGACGCATCCCGCCTTCAGAGTTAATGGAAGAATTAACAAAGATCTTACACGTGCATGAAGCTGTTTTTGTTTTGCTTTGTTTTGGTTGAGACAGGATCTTGCTCTGTCACTCAGGCTGAAGTGCAGTGGCACAATTATAGCTCACTGTAACCTCGAATTCCTGGCTTGAGCTATCCTCCCACCCCAGCCTCCCCAGTAGCTAGGACCACAGATATATGCCACCATGCCCAACTAATTTTTTAATATTTTGTAGCGATGGGGTCTCACTACATTGTCCAGGCTGGTCTCAAACTCCTGTCCTCAAGCGACCTGCCAGCATCGACCTCCTAAAGTGCTGGGATTACAAGTATGAGCCACTGCACCCAGCCAGTGAACCTGTTTTTATCTTCGCCAAACCTTCTGTGTAAGGTGATGATTATTATCTGCCCCCATTGATAGATGAGGAAACTACGGGCCAGAGAGGGGACACTGAGCAACCTATGACAAGCTAACAAGCAGGGGCATCCTTGAATCCATCTTCAGACACTTAACCCGAGTGCCTCCATTCCTCCATGTCACCTGAAACAAATGGCATTCCAAGGGTTCAGAGTCTCTTGGAAACCTGAAATGCAGCTGCCTCAGTGCCACGGTCACACAGCAGCGTGACTCTGCTACTGACCCAGGCAAAGTGCAACTGTGACTGCAGACTCCCGGGCAAGAGGGAAAGGACAGCCTCCTCTCACCTCCCCCCTCCCCGCAGCCGACCTCCCACCCCTACTCTAGGTCTGGAATCATTCCGGGGCCACCTGCACTGATGGCTCAGAGCTTCCAAAGAGTCCCAGGTTACAGCTCAGCCTGCATAGGCATAGGCAGACTTCAGGCCGCTGGGGAGGGAGGGTGTTAGGAAGAGGGCAGGAAAGATGAGGAGCGCAGGATTCCACCTCGGGTGCTCCACCCACACCGGCCTCCAGTTGTCCCAGCAGCTCTTAGAGCAGTATCTGTGCTGCCTCTGGTTCCAGATACCCAAACAACCAAATCATGTTTTCCCTGTTTCCATGGGACAGCCCTACCTTAAAGGCAATCAAGCTGATCCCAGTAAGAATGGCAGTAACACTAAGTCTGTATGCACTAAGAGAGCAAGCCATGGTCCCAAAACGCCACCCGAGGCTCTCCCTTTGGGTGAAGCATTGCTCCCTGCTGTCTTCAAAATTTCAGGCTGCACTTCCAGATGGAAGAGATCAAGCTATGATGAAATGACTGAGACCCTATGGAGCCATGAGAAGAGGAAAACAAGGCAGACTGGGGGGAAGAGGGAGCTAGAACTGCCTGCCACCTCATCTCACATCTGTGCTTTCCTGTCCCCTTAGTCCAGAACCCCATCTTCTCTCACCTGAATCACTGCGACAGCCTTCAGTCCTGTCCCCCTTAAATCCATCCTCCATATACCAGCCATGTACATGGTGTGTCACTCTCTCAGGTGTCAGTGTGATCACATGGACCCTTGCTAACAATGCTCTGAAGGCGCCACCAACATTCAGAGTAAAGTGCAGGCTCCATGCCTTGCTCCCTGACTCTCCCTTCCAGGACCTGGCGCCTGCCTATCTCACAGGCCTCACCCACTGCCACGCCCCCACAAGCAACCTTTGCCCCAGCCAAACCCAGCAGCACCCAGACCCGCTCACACCTGTCCCAGAGAAACAGGTCTCGCTTCCCAGATTCTTCTCACCTCTTGACTCTTTTTTTGGTCAATTCCTTCTCAAACATCAAAACCCACCTTACGTGTCCCCACCTCCAAGCTGACTGCTCATCCCCCAACATTATATTATAAGATGCCCTTCCTTTGTGTCTCAATATGAAGTTTAGCAGAGAACCTACAACTAGGAGACCCCTGGTTACAGTTTGTTTCATTCCTGAATTTGTTCATTCATCCATTCTCCCATTTGCTTTGGGCCAGCATTTATGGTATCAAGTTCACACACCTGCCCAACAGAAACTTTGACTGCAGAGTTAATCCTGCATATGGAAGCACCCCTGGCACTATTGTGGTTTTTTCCCATAGGCAGAAATCCAGAGTCAAGGTGTTAACATTCTCAAAAAGCAAACAGTCCAAAGAGAGTTCTTCATGGTTTGTACAAGCGCTAGAGTGGACAGACAAGAGACAGGGCAGTATTTTACTTCACTGGGCTCCAAACACTCAGTTCGGGCCTTTCTTGTTCCTTCATGAAGAGCTACAAGCCTCTCTTTTACTCAGGGGTACAAAATACTTGTGAGATTTTAAAAATTCTATTGAATGGCATGAGTCACACTTGGTGAGTCCCCTCTCTGGTGGAAGACAGGCAGAATTTACCCTGAGTCTGCCTTCCTGGGGTCCCTCTGACTGGGGCCAAACTGCATAAACTGTGATTTGAGGACCCAAAAGACTAAAGGGCTTTTCTTTCACCCCACAAGCTGGGGAGAGAACAAGGGGTTCACATGAGACTTAAAGGAGCAGTGACTTCCTTCTCGGGACTTGTAAGCTCGACAGTTTCCCCTGATTTTTCCCCAAATCTCTTCTTGTATTTATAAACCAAAGGTATGGCAAAAAAAAAAAAAAAGTCAGAAGCCTCTCCACTAGCAGACAGGCCCCAGAGAACAAGGTTATCAGGGTTAGAGGAAGCAGGGGGAAGGTTGGACTTCAACAGCCACCCAGCTTACCCCTACCATAGGTCTGTCTTCCACGATGGCCCCACCCTCCACAGGAAACACTGGGCAGGGCTCCTAAAAGACAGTCCCTTCTCCAAGCCTCCTTCCTCCTCCCTGGAAAGGGACAGAAGCAGTAGCACTATTGGGAAGATTTAACATAAAATGTACGGCATGTTGCTCAATGCCTTGTTCAAAGCAAGTCCTCAATCAACGTGAGCTGTCCACATTATTAGGAGGTGAAGAAAACTACGTGTTCTATGCAAGCAAATGCAACAAAGCGTGCAGATGCTGTGTTTGACAGAGGTGTGGGGGACAGAAAGACATGAAGAGAGAGTGTCAGTGCCACCGAAGAGGAGACGAGAATGCAAAGACAAGGTGCCCACTGGTGTGGAAAGGGCATTAGGTGTCTGCGAGAGGGCAGAAGGAGGTGGAGAGGAAGGCGGAACAGCAATGGGGGGGCAACAGATACAAAGACACTCAGCCATGAATCAGCCTGGGGCATTTGGGAAATTACCTCAGGTCTGCGTGTCAGGACTAGAGGGTGTGAAGATGGCTACACCAAAATAAAGCTGCAAAGACAAGCAGAGGAGAGAGTGTGGCTCTTGTTGGTCTTATTAATGAGCGTGGGAAGCCATCAAGGCTAACACAGGGAGAAGAGCCAGGGGGTCAGACCTGGGTTTAGCAAGCTGACTCTGGCAGCAGTGCGTAAGAGACATGCAGCAAGTGAGAGATCGTCTGTGGGGGGTGTGGGTAGGAGTTTACTGGAATGTATTATGAGGCCTCAACTCAGGCAGCAGCAGAGGAGGAGTCAGAGACAAGGCGTGTTAAGGAAGTAAAATGTGCGGGTCCTAGTGATGGATGCAAAGGAAGAAAGGAGGCGTCTGGGATGACTCTTATAAGCTTATAACAGTATCATGCTCTGCAAGACAGAAAATGCAGGAGAGTTAGGTGTGCAGCTCCTGTAGCCCATCCAGGTGGAGCTATCCAGTTAACATGAGGCATAAGGGACCAGAACTCAGGGGAATAATCTAGCTGAATCCCTAGATTTAAGAGTGATGAGTATGTAAGTGGTACTGAAGCCACAGGACTGGATGAAGTGGTCCAGAGGGAGATGTAAAATGAGAAGAGAGTAAAAGATGATGCTCAAGGGAGCAACATTTAAGGGACAGCAAAGGGAGGGGGATGCATGACAGAGAAAGAAAAAACTAGAGAGGAAAAGGGGAGAACTGGGCTGGGCGTCAGCATCAGAGATGGTAGATCTTATCCCAGTCTCTGTCTCCAGCACCATTCACAAGGCCTGACCCACAGGAAGTCTCAGTGTGTGCCTGATGACTTCAGTACTATACCATAGCAGCATTTTGCTGTTTTTACCACTTTCTATCTCGGGCTGCCAGGAAACCCTGTTCAACAGCACTCCTGTTCCAGAACTTCTGAGCATTTTTGGTTGCTCCTGGTAGCAGGTGGGATGCCTTTATTGTTCCGATAAAATAAACTCTCACCCTCCGACCCAGGGCACAAATTGCCCAGGACCAGAGCTATTCCTTGTGTGTGCTGAGCTGGTCAGAGCAGCCCAGGCATATCCGACTGGACCACCATCTTTTGGGATTTAGAGCTGCCTACCTCGTGATTCTCCCAATAGACTCTGACTCCGCCATGTTGACGAGATGGACTTCTTTATCCTGCCTCCATGATCAAGGCCCTAAAGGTGCACACAGCCACAGCTGGGGTTCCTTGTGTCTTTTTCCAAAATGCTTCCTGAATATCATATTCTGTCTCTTGCCCTAAGTTTTTTCCTCCACAATTTAAATTAACTAGCGCACTTTATACAGGAAAGACCTTTATCCTCCTCTTGGGATTAAAAGTAATACAAGCAGTCATAGTTCTCAAAATATCCCCTTTCCCTGGGGCCAAGGGTTTTAAATCTTATTGTCAACGCCATTCCTTCCAGATGTCTTTCCCAGGTGTCTTGTCAAAAGCAGTTATCTCTCCTCACTGGCTCCCGGAGGGGTCTCCCCCCACCCCCCACCCTGCCCTAGGCTCCACTCAGCAGCCAGGTGAGCCTTCTGAAATTCCCAGCTTGCACCTATTAAAACTCCACAAGCACCGCCATGGTTCTTTCCCTGGCCTCCAATGTCCCGTGTGCTCAGGGCTCATCTCACTTCTCCAGCCCTCCCCTCTTCTTCCACACACACTTCTCCCTTCCCAGCAAACTCCTTCAGTATCTGCAATCACAAGCAAATAGACCATAAGTAGTTATACTGTGGATCTACAGATCCACAGTAGAAAGCAAAACTGAAAAATATTTTTTGGCCTATTAGAAAGATCCTTTCCAAACCAGCCTGGCCAACATGCCAAAACCCTGTCTCTACTAAAAATACAAAAATTAGCCAGGCATGGTGGCGCACGCTGTAATTCCAGCTACTCAGGAGGCTGAGGCAGGAGAATTGGGAGGAGGAGGTTGCAGTGAGTCGACATTGCACCACTGCACTTTAGCCTGGGTGACAGAGTGAGACTCTATCTAAAAAAAAAAAAAAAAAGATCTTATGGCTTAAGTCCGTAACATGTCCTATTGCATAATTCCCTAGCTTTAAGAAATCTGTTCGCTGTGTCCCACCCAATAATGGTGATAACAAATAGCTAGAGGTACTTCGATTAATTCCATATTTATCAGACCATAAAATACATGGAAGTGACAATGGTTCAGAATGATGAAAAGGTGGGGCATCTACAAACTTGATGTGTCATTCATTTGTTTATTCAACCAATGCATGCCCCCTGTGTGCCAGGAGTAGTACCAATCTCCACACCCCACATCCAGGCTGCCAAGCCACCCACCACCGGGTCTGAAGGGACCAATTCTGAGAAGTGTGAGGCCAGTGAGGCCACTTGGTGTAGCTTTGTTCTCTCTTCTGCTCTCAGCCTCCTCCCCTCTGATCCAACCTTCCCCTCACCCCTACCCCAAACCATTCCAAAGATGCCTCAGGGGCCCCTGCTGAAGATCTGAAGACTCCCTCATGCCCCCAGCCTCTTCAGGGCCCCTTCCTGCGCCTTTTCTCCTGATACCTGGGCTTTCCCTGAGGACACTGTGCTGTCAGTGTGACTCTGGGGTAGGGGCTGTTCAGTCTCCCTCGCCCACAACATCAGGGTCACATTGTCCTGGAAAACCAATACCCCATATTCTTGTGTCAAACCCGCAGTTCCTCTGAGACCCCAGCCCTCTGGCTCCTCCACTTCCTACTCTTCCCCGTGGCCATCAGTGGTAGACCTGGCTGCTCCCCCAGTTTCCTGCAGCCTTCTCTCTGGGTCCTGTTTCCCTCCTAAGTGACTTCAGCATCCCACACACAACCCAGCCAAGACCCAAGCCTCCCATTTCCTTGAATTTATCACCATTGCCATCATCTCCATTCCATCTCAACCACTAACTCAGGGCAGGTATCCCAGAAGCAGATCCCGGATGAGAATTTGTTTGTGAGTTATTTATTTAGGAGATCCCTCCAGACAAACCGTGAAGGAGTGGGTGATACAAACTCCTAGGATGGCCAGGCGCAGTGGCTCATGCTTGTCATCCCAGCACTTTGTGAGGCCGAGGCAGGGGATCACCTGAGGTCAGGAGTTTGAGACCAGCCTGGCCAACATGGCGAAGTCCCAGCTCTGCTAAAAATACAAAAAAAAAAAAAAAAAAAAAAAATTAGCCAGGCATAGTGGTGCATGCTTGTAATCTAAGCTACTTGGGAGGCTGAGGCTGGAGAATGGCTTGAACCTAGGAGGTGGAGGTTGGAGTGAGCTGAGATTGTGCCGCTGCACTCCAGCCTGGGCGACAGAGGGAGACTCCATCTCAAAAAACTCCTAGGAACATCCTGAAAATAGGCTCCGGTAGACCAAGGAGAGTCCTCTGAAAAAGGCTGTAGGTACAGGCCAGAAAGAGAGAAGCCCCCAGAAGCTAAAGGACAGGTGCACAGAACAAAACGGATCTGGGTGACCTTGGCACAGCCCCAACAGCTCCACTACAGCTGAGTCTCCCTATGGCCACACCCTAAACCTTGTTACCACAAGAACTGTCTCAATACTCAGTTGAAGCGATTACTGCTACGGTCTGAATTTTTGTGTCCCCCAAAATTCACACACTGAAATCTAACCCTCAATGTGACGGGATTAGGAGGTGGGGGCTTTGGGGGGTGATTAGATGGTGAGGGCTGAGCCCTCATGAATTGGATTCATGCCCTTATAAAAGAGAACCCAGAGAGATCTCTTGGTCCTTCCACCGAGTGAGGACACAGCAGGAAGACAGCTGTCTGTCAATCAGGTACCAGATCCTTGCCAGACACTGAATCTGCCTTGATATCTTGATCTTCCCAGCCTCCAGAACCATGAGAAATAAATTTCTGTTGTGCAAAAGCTACTCAGTCTATGGTATTTCATTATAGTAGCCCTAAGGCACACTAAGACATTGACTAGATCATCCTCTCTTTCCAGCTTGCTACCCTCATCGCTCCCACATCATACCCTGCCTCTACTTTCTCCTGTCATCCTACCCTCCCTGTGTTCTCTTTCTCTTCTCCACCCAACTTGGATCCCATATTCAACACTGCTCTTTAGCTAACAGACTCAACTTCCTCCCCTTTTGTCTTTTCCTGGAGCTACCTGGAAATATCCCTGTATAATATTCCTTCTCTCTGCTCAGAGTCACAGGCTGCTGAACACTGCTACAGAAACCAGGCAGCCTCACAGGTCGCTATCACTCTCAGTCCACCATTTCCTTCTTCAAATGGCCCTTGATGCCCCATGGCAGTCCTGCCCTCTTTCTCTGCTCAGCTACAGCTGTCATGATAAATGTCATGAAGACATCCAAGTGTACCTCCCTATAAACAAACCTGAGATCATATACAGAAATCCTACTCTGCAAGATAGACGTGTACTTTACAAAAGGATTTTCCATCGAAAGCATTTAAACAGCACAGTCTGTGTGCATCAAAAGTGGGGTATCATATGTATATTTTTAAACCATTTCTGTAGAATGAGGTGTGCCCTCACTGTTGCCTTTCCCCAGGTCACTGACATGGAGGCTCCACACCCCAACACACTGCTTTGCAAGCAGCCTCAGCCATCTCCATTTGTCAGTGTAGCTGCTCAGTGCTCCTGGTTCATTTCAAAGTCACCAAAACCTCCTATACAAAACTTAAATGGAAAAAAAAAAAACATTTGGATGGTTATTCCTTCACTGTGCCTACTAAGTCAAAAAAAAATAAACAAGATCCATCAAAGGGAGAAAACAGTTTCTACAAAATACCCTACCAAACAGCTTTGCATTTCAGCATCACCCTCTGAGTAATTTCCTCTGAAGTGGCTCCTCTAATGCATATCAGTGCTGCTGACATCAGCAACATTTCTGTGATTTACTGCAAATGCATCTATCAGAGGCTGGGAGTGGGCGCAGGTTAGAGGAAGAGAGAAACCTAAAAGGGAAAAGGATACCCACATTATTCCTCATGGGGCTAGGGAGACAGCAATGTAGAAAACCTACAAATCCATTCATCTGAAGACTGGGAAGTGTTTTTGAAATATTCATAACTGATTAGTGAAGTCTTCGAGGAATCAACAGACTTACTTAAAAACTGGGAAAGTCAATTATCTTCAATAAAACAGCTCAGTCTCTTCCCAGTAACACCTAGGTTTGGGGAATAAAATGTGGCCGAAGGAAGGCAAGAGTCAGTGCTGCCAGAGAAATCTATGGCTGAATCAACATTCTGAGGAATTTTCCATACCAGAGAGCCACTGAGCATAGGCTGAACCTGCCAGCTAGACCAACACCTCACTCCACTCCCCAAAATACCTTTTCTCATTAGCAATTTCTCCTGCTAGAGGATAAGTTCCTCTAGATGCCCCTTGAAGGTGGACCTTTTCCTCTCTAAATTTTCCATGGTCCCAATCCCAGTGCACAGTGTATAAAAAGGGCTCGATTAATGTTCATGGCATGAATTCAACAAATGTTTGCTGAGGGCCTATTGTGCTTCAGGCATCGGAGGCACCAAGGTGATGAGCAGAATCCCTGCTGTCCAGGAATGGATGAGTTGGGTGAGAGCTGGCGGTATCTTCACCTCCACCCCTATGGAATTCAGAAGAAGCCCAGCACTCAGGGGCTAGAGAAGGCACCCAAAATCTCAGAGAGCAAACAGACCCTTACATGGATCATATAGAAGTCTGCTAAGCTGCTATACTGGTACAGAAGTTGGCTTCAGTATCATTTTCAAGGATTAATCCCGTCTTCCCCATATGAGAAGTGTCCCTTCTCCTAGACCCTCAGAATCAAATCTATTACCAAAGCAGTCTCTATGTGATGGGTTAGTCACAATTAAGCAGCCACTGTGAACATATTTCCATTCAAGGAACTCCCCAGTTATAAAATTGTGGGACACTATTCGAAAATCTAAGACAAATTGGATATTGAATGCTGGCACATAGTAGAGTTCCCTAAATTAATGTGGAATGAAAGTACCACATGCAAGCTTGCCATGTGAGTGAATGCTAAGTGTTGATGCAAGATCTTCGTAAACAGCAAAGCCTGCAGGAAAACACAAGAGAAAAACCGTTTTCCTAGATAGTTCAATCTAACCTTTGAGTTCAGGTGTCAGCCAAGGAACAGAATCTTCAGCCAAGGAACAGAATTTAATTCATCAATACACTTTGGATTCAACCCATACTTAATTGCTTGGAAATTGCCTCTGAAGAGGTCACTGGAAACAGTCTTGTGGTTATGTTTCCTCCACCTCACAGAAAGGAGGAGAAACAAAGGCATAAAAACTGGTATAACCAATTAAAGTAGCAGATGATCAGCCTGGCTGTCTTGGAATTTGCAGGCATGTCTGAGAGTTGTCTGCCATTGGGAGATTTTTAATGGCCCCTCAGAAACCAGTTGCACTTGGGCTGCCATGAGAGGTGCCAAACTCACAGGCACATGGAGTAAGTACTTGGTTCCAAAAGCATGCCCAAAAGTGCCACGCCACTGAATTCATTGAGAACCTCCCATGAGGCCCATTTCATGGTGTTCTTTAAGTTGTACCACAGGTACCAGGGTAGTTCATTTCTTTCCATTCAGTTATCAACAGCTGCTAATTTTCCCCAAATGCAATTTCTATCAAACCAGCATTTGATGAGGTCCTACTATGGGCTCAGCATCCTATGCTCTAAGGGAACTTAGTAGAAGCATTAACCATCACCAGACATAATTTCCTTTGAGGTCAGATTTTCTTATTGACCCTTGTGGCTAAACCTAGAAATAGACTGCATCGCATGGTAGCTTCTACATGGTAGTTTAGTTAAGGGAGAATTGCCAGATACGTGTGTGTGTGTGTGTGTGTGTGTGTGTGTGTGTGTGTGTGTGTGTTACAATGCACATAACATAAAATTCCCTATTCTAGCCATTTTAAAGGGTGCAATTCAATGTGTGCTACCAGATTCAGGAAACAAAAATACAGGACACCCAGTGAAATTTGAATTGCAGATAAACAATAGCAACAAAATTTTTAAAGGGTAAGTATATCCCATGCAATATTTGGGATATACTTATACTTTTTTAAAAAGTTTTCTGAAATTCAAATTTAACTGGATATCTGGTATTTTATCTGCCAGCTCTAAGGTAAGGGACAGGAGGAGCACAACCATCCCCTACCCAACATAATTGGCCAAAAACATAGTGAAGTACTAAACTGGGTGATATGATTTGGCTGTGTTCCCACCCAAGTCTCAACTTGAACTGTATCTCCCAGAATTCCCATGTGTTGTGGGAGGAACCCAGGGGGAGGTAATTGAATCATGGGGGCCAGTCTTTCCCATGATATTCTCATGATAACGAATAAGTCTCATGAGATCTGATGGGTTTATCAGGGGTTTCCACTTTTGCTTCTTCCTCATTTTCTCTTGCTGCTGCCATGTAAGAAGTGCCTTTCACCTCCCACCATGATTCTGGGGCCTCCCCAGCCATGCGGAACTGTAAGTCCAATTAAACCTCTCCTTCCCGGTCTTGGTTATGTCTTTATCAGCAGCGTGAAAATGGACTAATACACTGGGTGATACCCATCCTAAAACTGCATAAAATCTACTGGTCTTCCTCTCCTGTCACTCCACTGAAACTGCTCTGCTAACGATCTCTGCTACCGACACAGGGGACACCAACACGGCCACACATCACTTGTCCTCTCAGCAATATTCTGCACAGGAGAACTTGCTCCTTCTTAAAAAGCTCCCTGCTTACAGCCTCTGTGATATCACACTCTCAAGGCTTTCCTCCACCCTCTCTCGTTGGGTCTTTTTAAATCCACTCTGCAGATACTTCTTCTTCTGCCTAAACACTGGACTTCCGTGGGTTATTTTCTGCACCCCTTTTGTTCTATATCCTCTCCCTGTGTAATCCCTACCTACATGCTGATGGCTCCCAGGTCTATACACCCAGACCCAAAATGTCCTTGGAACTCCAGCTTCACACACCCAATTGCCTACTATTGAGTTTCATTTGGATACCTCAGGTGTGTCTCATGCTTAGTAAGTGAAAATTGCGCTTGTTAGTTGACCCAACCAAAAAAGGAAGTCTCACCTCCCCGAATGATAGTAATGTTCACCCAAACCGTTCAAGCCAAATAGGCAGGATCCTGAGAGGCAGCCTTACTTTCTGTTCTCTTGTCCTGTCCCTCCCCAATAGTTCTCTCATTTCTACCGCCAAAATAGACCTGCAAACAATCCACTTCCCTCTGTCCCCCTGGCCCTCCATCCAGGCTACCTGCTCCCTACTAGGCTCCAGCCATAGCCTTCTCTCAGGTCTCCCCACTTTCCACTCTCACCCACTCCCACAGAGCAGTCAGAAAAATCTTTTCGAAACATAAATCCTCTCACATTCCTCCTTGCTCAAACTTTTCAGTGCCTCTCATCACTGCATCTAGAATAAAATGCAAGCCCCTTATCATGGCTTCCAAGGTGCTCAAACTCAGTGCCTCTCATCGTTGCATCTAGAATAAAATGCAAGCCCCTTATCATGGCTTCCAAGGTCTGACAGTAAAGCCTCTGTCCCCTCTCTAATTTCATCTCACAACATGCCCCTTTTCCCTCTGGACTCCAGTTTCCATTCAGTTTCCACTCGGTTACCACTCAGTTTCTTTCTGCCTGGAAGGCCTGTCCCCCATTCTTCCACGGCTGGCTCCTTCCCATTCTTTGGGTCTCAGTTTAAATGTTACCATGTCAGAGAGGTATCTTCTGACTACTCTAAGTAGCCTAGGATAGTTCATTTTATGTGACAACTTGACTGTGTCAGAGGATGCTTAGATATTTGGTCAAACATTATTCTGGGTACTTCTGTGAGGGTGCTTTCTGATGGGATTCATATTTAAGTTAGCAGAGTGAGTAAAGCAGATTTCTCCCACGACATAGGTGGTCCACATCCTATCGGTTGGAGGCCTGAATAGAACAAAATGGCTGACCTTCCCCTGAGTAAGAGAGAATTCTTCCTGCCTTTGGACCTGAACTGAAATATCGGCTTTTCAGGGGAATTATACCATTGGCTTTCCTGGTTCTCAGGCCTTCAGACTTGCACTGGAACTAAACTATCAGCTCTCCTGGGTCGCCAGCTTGCTGACTCACCTGCAGATCTTGGGACCTGTCCATAATTGTGTGAGTCAATTTCTTAAAATAAATAAATCTCTCTCTCTCTCTCCATATATATATATATATATATATATACACATACACACACACACATACATATGTACATATATACATATATCTCTCATATAGATATATATATACACAAGATACATTTGTGTGTGTGTGTGTGTGTGTGTGTTTGTATCCTATTGGTTCTGTTTCTCTAGAGTACCCCCACTAATACATAGGTCCTCCCCATTATTCTCTATCACAGCAAGTATGATTGTAGTTATATTATTTGTTTCTTTACTATTGATGAACCATCATCCCCAACACCTTCCCCACTAGATTATCAACTCCCTGAGGGCAGAAACCCTGCTCATTTGGTTCACTCTTATATACCCAGTACCTAGTATGGTGTCCGGCATTGGAGGGCATTTAATAAATACTTTGAATGCATGAATGAAATCAAAGAAGAAGATGTTTGTTATATAGTAATTATACTGTATGAAAAAACTAATAGTTATTTACTTAAAAAGGAATCATAGATATCAACTAGTCCAACCACCTCAACCAGAGGTTGTAAATAACTTGCCCAAGGCAAATGCTGGAACCAGGATATAAGCCCAGCATGCATCCAGCTCTAAAATCCACGCTCTATCAAGACATCCTGCCACCTTCAAGTTCTGTTACAAGAGGTTCTCTGGAAGAGAAGCTCAGTTCATGATTTTGTATTAATTTGCAAATTTAGCTTGAGTTTCTCAATTTGATGCTAATAGTCCTTTGATAATTCCAAATCTCAATATTTGGCATTCAGGACTGCATTTAGCTCAGCAGGAGCAGAGAGCGGATAGCCATGCCATACCTCAAGGCCCAAAGCTGAGGCTTAGAAGACACCTATTTTTAGGGAATATCCTGGAACAAATCAGCAAACTAAGCCAATTAGCTACTGGCATGAAGGGAACTACATCTACCCCCATGGTCCTCCATTTCAGCACAATTGCACACTGTCTCAAACTAGCTACTTTTTTATTCCTAGGAACCCTCCAAAGATTGCAGAAGAAATGCCCTAAACTAAAAGCAATGGAGGTACAGAAAGGCACCACCTTGAAAATTACAGCATGTAATACCTTCTTATTCCTAGTACTTTGAGGCTTGGTATCAAGCTCTCCCATGCACAAAAATCAACAGAGGCTGGAATCCACGACCTCCTGACAGTGCTTCCGCATAGACAATTCCAGAAGACACCATTCACAGTCGCATAGTGCACAACCTGTGCAGACATACATTGTACCCCTACCTCTTACAACCTGCTTCAGCACTATGTCAAACTGTGGTCTCTCTGCAATTTAGACATGAGCTAGAAATGTCCTTGCACCAGAAAATTCACATTTCTTTTCATCACAAGTAAACAACTGCTGTATGCATCTATTAAACTCCACTGTCTACTAAAGAAGAGAGTGATTATCACACTTTAAGGGTTTTTTTAAATCACTTTCCATCAGGAAAACTTGATGTGGAAAAGGAAAACTGGGAACAAAGATCACGATATGATCACTCTTTCTGGGACACATTTATGTAAAAAATCAGTCAAGAAAACCCAAGAGATATAAGATCTAAATCAAACTGAACTTTTAAACAGTGGAATAAACTCTTTCTCTTTTTTCTTTGACTTTTAGTTTTATGGATTTGTGCTTACATGGGCACTTTAGAGGTTATCTTCCACAGTAGATGGTAATACAGATTTGCCGGTAGAAAAGACTTTAACTAGTGACTGAGACCTTGAGCCTGAAGTTAGAATAATGATACCGATACAGCTTACAGGCCAAATCTTTAAACTAAAAATATCCAACAGCAATGTGGAATATGTCAGAGGTGTGGGTTTCAAAAGTTTACATTTTAAGTGGAAATTCAATTGAATTAAACAAAATTCAAACTTTAAGCAGAAAATGTAAACACAGATATAAAATTCCATTTGAAGGAAGGGGCTCACGCCTGTAATCCCAGTACTTTGGGAGGCCAAGGCAGGTGGATCACGAGGTCAAGAGATCGAGACCATCCTGGCCAACATGGTGAAACCCCGTCTCTACCAAAAATACAAAAAAAAATTAGCCAGGCATGGTGGTGGGCACCTGTAGTCCCAGCTACTCAGGAGGCTGAGGCAGGAGAATTGCTTGAACCAGGGAGGCAGAGGTTGCAGTGAGCTGAGATTGCACCACCACACTCCAGCCTGGTGACAGAGCGAGACTGTCTCAAAAAAAAAAGTCTGAACACCTTTTGGTGTTCCATACTGCTCTTGGATATTGTATTTTGTATGTTACAAATATATTAAATATATATTAAGTATTGCATTATACTATGTATCATATATTAAGTTTAACACAATATAATTTACCTCAAAGCATGCTACTTGGTTGGACTTTGGAGTAAGGGCCTAGAGTCACATGAGCTTTGCTTCTTCTCAACCCCTGCAGCAGGTCCCAAGACTTTTTTAGGACCCAAAAGATTCAGGAACACAATTCAAAACCTCAAGTCTAGAGGAAAGAACACCAAGAAGAAAATCCAGAACCTGGATTCTAGTGCCGGCTTTGCACTAACTAGCCCTGTCACATTGAGCATGCACCTGGGGACTGGGAGACCCTGGGTACAAACGCCAGCCTCCATGACTGCATTAGTCAGGGCTCTCGAGAAAGACAGAACTAATAGGATAGATGTACATATGAAAGGGAATTTATTAAGGAGTATTGACTCACATGATCACAAGGTGTCCCACAATAGGCCATCTGCAAGCTGAGGAGCAAAGAAGACAGCCCAAGTCCCAAAAACTCAAACGTAGGGAAGCCGACAGTGCACTGTGGCCAAAAGTCTGAGAGCCCCTGGCAAACCACTGGTGTAAGTCCAAGAGTCCAAAAGCTAAACAACTTGGAGTCTGATGTTGGAGGGCAGGAAGCATCCAGCACGGGAGAAAGATGAAAGCTGGAAGACTCAGCGAGTCTGCTCATTCCACCTTCTTCTGCCTGCTTTTTTTAGCCGTGCTGGCAGCCAAGGGGATGGTGCCCACCCAGATTAAGGGTGGGTCTTCCTCTCCAGTCCACTGGCTCAAATGTTAATCTCCCCTACAACACCCTCACAGACACACCCAGAAACAATACTTTGCATCCTTAAATCCAATCAAGTTGACAATATTAACCATCAAAATGAGAACCTCTCTACTGTTCACTCTCATCTATAAAATGGGTACGATAAAGTAACTGCTTCACTGTATTGTGCAAATTAAATACATAATACTCACAGGGTGCTTAGAATATTCAATGTCTCTAGTAAGCACTTAAATAACTGCTAGTTGTAATTAATGAAGTCTACAAAATGGAACATGTGTTCCTGAACATTAAATGCAATGCTAACTAAATAAGTTTGCATTAAACTCACTTTGTGTCTTGTTTTAAATAGTGTTTGTTTGTTTGTTTGTTTTTGAGGTGGAGTCTCACTCTGTGGCCCAGGCTGGAGTGCAGTGGCACCATCTTAGTTCACTGCAACCTCTGCCTCCCGGATTCAAGCGACTCTCATGCCTCAGCCTCCCAAGTAGCTGGGATTACAGGCGCGCACCACCATGCCTGGCTAATTTCTGTATTTTTAGTAGAGATGGGGTTTCGCCATGTTGGCCGGGGTAGTCTAGAACTCCTGACCTCAAGTGATCCGCCCACCTCAGCCTCCCAAAGTGCTGGGATTATAGGCCTGAGCCACTGTGCCTGGCCTGAATAAGTTTTATTTTAACTATCATTAGAGGTTGTGAGTGGCCTCTGTCTCTCCAGAGACTAGTTAATTGAAAGCCATCTGTATTTGTCTTCACCTTTTAGCATGCCAACTTCTTGTGGCATCTCAATATGCTCCCACAGCCATTAGCACAGGATCTTGCACAGAGTCAAGATTCAATCAGTGCCCATTAAATGAACGAAAGCTTAGCTGTTCTAAGGAGTCAATCTTTGAATTTTAATACAACTTAGGTTAAGATTACTCAGGTTCTTTAATAAATAAAAGAGATCCTGATTTTAGAGTATGTCCAAATTTAGATGTGTACTGGATCCTTTAAGCCAGACAGGCTCATAAGTGGCCCACAGGTTAAGCCTCCTGGAAGACTGTATTTACCAAAACTAGCTACAACAATCTCTCCTATCCCATATACTCCTTACTATGTGACTTTAATATTCCCCCCGTGAGAACATCGAACCTATGTTCCCTCTCCTTGAATCTGGACAGGCTTGTGACTAAAGCAGAAGTGACACTATGTGACCTCCAAAGCT
The DNA here is from genome assembly GCF_000001405.40 of Homo sapiens. Lineage (NCBI taxonomy): Eukaryota > Metazoa > Chordata > Mammalia > Primates > Hominidae > Homo > Homo sapiens. The sequence goes on from NC_000014.9 coordinate 88,285,958, forward strand.
AAATAATGAAAGACCACACCGCTTCTGCCTGGTTCTTTTGGGATGCTCACTCTTAGGATCCAGCTGCCACACTGTGAGGAAGCTCAAGCTAACCCATGTGGAGAAACACAGTGATCACATACAGATGTTCCAGCCAACAGCCACGCTGAGATCTCAGCCAAGAGCCAGAATCAACCACCAGTCACATGAGCCAAGATACCTCCAGTTGATTTCAGCCCCCTCCCCTAACCCCACAGACACCTGTAGATTTCCCAGGTGAGGCTCATCTTCCCAGGTGAGGCCCCAGACGTTGCAGAATAGAGACAAACCATCGCCTCTGTGTCCTGCATGAATCCCTGAAGCACATTATCTGAGCATAATAAAATGCTTGTTTTATGCCAATAAGTTGGGATGGCTATGCAGCAATCCCAACTTATTGCTGCATCTATATTGTGATAGAGGCATTCATCTATATTGTGATAGAGGAACTGCTCATAAAATGGAAACATGGCAAAAACCAGGACAGAACCCAAGCATCCTGCACACTGACTAATACACAAGTTAAAACAAGATTCTGAAGTAACACTCTTGTTATAACACATTGTATTAGTCTGTTTTGACACTGCTGATAAAGACATACCTGAGACTGGGTAATTAATTTATAAAGAAAAAGAGGCTTAATGGACTCACAGTTCCATGTGGCTGGGAAGTCCTCACAATTATGGCAGAAGGTGAAAGGCACGTCTTTCTTGGCAGCAGGCAAGAGAGAATGAGAATCAAGTGAAAGGGAAAACCCCTTATAAAACCATTAGATTTCATGAGACTTATTCACTACCACGAGAACAGTATGGGGGAACCGCCCCCATGATTCAGTTACTTCCCACCTGGTCCCACCCACAACATGTGAAAATTATGGGAGCTACAATTCAAAATGAGATTTGGATGAGAACACAGCCAAACCTTATCACATGCCCTACTCTTCCATCTATTGAGGTGCACCCTACGGAGAAAATAAAATAGTAACATTAAAATTGCTCATTTATTGTTCATTACAATACCAGGCACTATTCCAAGTGCTTTACATGCATTAACTCATTTAAATGTAAAAATAACTTTACAAGCAAGGTATTATTATTACTCCATTTTACAGATAAGCAAGCAAAGCATAGAACATGCCACTAACAGGCAGGGCCAGGACTTGAACCTTAGCAATCTGCCTCCAGAATGCATAATCTGACACAGGACACTAGATGCTTCTCAAGCCTTACACCCTGTGAAAAACAATACATGTGAAGCAGCTAGCATAGTGTTTGGCATTGTTTCCTTCCTTCCCCAACATGGATGCTACCATCAATTATCATCAATTAGATTGCCACAAGTTCTTTTTTATTATTATTTCTGTAGGTTTTTGGGGAAGAGGTGGTGTTTGGTTACATGACTAAGCTCTTTAGTGGTGACTTGTGAAATTTTGGTGCACCCATCACCCGAGCAGTGTACACTGTACCCAATTTGCTGTCTTTTATCCCTCACTGCCCCCACCCTTTTCACCAAGTCCCCAAAGTCCAATGAGGATGCCTTTGCATCCTCATAGCTTAGCTCCCACTTATAAGTAAGAACACACAATGTTTGGTTTTTCCATTCCTGAGTTACTTCACTTAGAATGTTGGTCTCCAATTCCATCCAGGTTGCTGCAGATGCCATCATTTCATTCCTTTTTATGGCTGAATAGTATTCCATGGTGTGTGTGTGTGTGTGTGTGTGTGTGTGTGTGTGTGTGTGTGTGTGTGTATCACAATTTCTTCATCCACTCATTGATTGATGGGCATTTGGGCTGGTTCCATATTTTTGCAATTGTGAATTGTGTTGCTAGAAACATGCATGTATGAGTATCTTTTTCGTATAATGACTTCTTTTCCTCTAGGTATGCACCCAGGAGTGGGATTGTTGGATCAAATGGTGGTTCTACTTTTAGTTCTTTAAGGAATCTCCACACTGTTTTCCATAGTGGTTGTATTCCCAGCAGCAGTGTAGAAGTGTTCCCTTTTCACCACATCCCCGCCAACATCTATTATTTTTTGATTTTTTTATTATGGCCATTCTTGCAGGGGTAAGGCAGTATCGCTTTGTGGTTTTGATTTGCATCTCCCTTATCATTAGTGATGTTGAGCATTTTTTCATATGTTTGTTGGCCATTTGTATTAGATTGCCACACGTTCTAAAGCAAAAAGTATGCCCCTTCTAAAGCAAAATGTACAGCTCTAACGTTTTGTTCCACTCATTGTTCACTATTTAATTTTTACACTTAGTTGTCCAATTAGCTGCTTGTCCAAGTAGCACATTGAACATGATTCAAAGAGAAATTTTGTTTTCACTCATACACATTCACATCCCAACTCTGCCTCTTCTCCTAGGCTTGTGCATCTCAATTCATGGTACTGCTATTCATCCAGGGCTTGGACAGAAAATCCAGAGTAGTCTATGGCTCCACCCTGCCCTGACACCCACAGCCAGTCCAGCCAACTCTCCCTTCCAAATACATCCTGATTTCATTCCACCACTTCTTTCATTCCCACCTCAACCAGCCCATTAGCCATTGTTGTTTCTGCACAACAGTGTCCTAACCTGCCTGCCAAAATGTAAATTCGATCCCTCCACTGCATGCTGAAAACCTTCCAGAGGGTTCCCACAACTCCCTGAGGAACCTCCAAACTCCTGTCCTTAGATCCCCAAATTCTGGCCATGGCCCACTTCTCCACCTTCATCTCCTACCATCTGTCCCTCAATACCGCCCAGCCACACTGGTCTTCTCATTTGTCCAAGTTAGCTCTAGTCTCAGGGACTGCACGTGTGTTGTTCCCTCAACCTGGAACAGTCTTGCCCAGGGCCTTACAGGGTAGCTCCCTCTCAGTGCTCAATGCTGCCTCCTCAGCGAGGACTTCCTTCCTCACCACCCCACTGCAGAAGGGCCATTCTCCCCTCCAGTCTCTTCCTAGCCCACCACCTGGCTTGATTTTCCTCAAAGCAACTTAGTGCTAGCTGAGATTGTATTCTGTACTGATTTGCTCATTCCCTGTGTGTCTCCCTCATTAGAATATAAACTTCCCATCTAGAATATATGATTCAACCCAGCACCCGGGTTGGTCTCATTATAACACCACTCAGTCTACAGTCCAACCTTCACCCCACCTCTGCCCTCCATGTAAAAATTTCCATTTCCCTAAAGGAAATCCTGGAGAAGATCAAGAGTAACATGGCCTTTAGGATTCAAATGCTGCCTTTTCTTTCTGACTCATCTGAATGTACCTCCTTCTTTGCCTTTTAAAGTCACCAGGTGGTTTTTCTATTAATCATGAAAGAAGAATCTCACTGGGCTTCTTCTCTTTTATTCACACAGTTCCTCAGGCTGAAGCAGGGCCCCATTAGTGTGGTGTAAGTGATCTTGGGGAGAATCCAGTTTGGTGGAATTAATCATGCCCTTACACAGTTTTTTAGATTCACTTGAAGACAAGGCAACATTTGCCCAAGTGCCAGGGCCATGGACTTGCAGCTTTGGGTGATGGCAGGAATGGGAGCAATGTTGCATCAGCCTCCTCTGGGAGCTCTGCCCACTGGCCCTCATCATAGCTGCTTGTGTGATCTGCTCCTCTTAAGCTGGCCAATCTTTAGCTACACACACAGTGAAGAAGAGAGCCTGAGGGTAAACCCACCCATCTTTTAAGGGGGCTGTGATGAATTGTTCAAGCTTAGAATCAGATAGACCTGAGCTCATGTCCTTAGCTCTGTGGCCTTGAGAAAAAATACTTAAGCTCTCTAAGCCTCAGTGTTCTTATCCTTAAAATGGAAATTATACCTTTCCCTTAGTGCCATGGTGAGATTTCAGCAAGATAATTCACTTGAAGTGCCTGGCACAATGCCTGGCACATAGTAAATACTCAGTAAATGTCAGCTACTGTGATTATTACTAAGGGCATCGTGCTTGTGTATCTATTTTGGCATAAGCATTGTGTCTTATTCACCTTGTATGCCCAGCACACAGCAGAGGCACACTGTAGATACTTACAGGACAACTTTTTAAATAATTGGTAGGATCAGCAGGATAATGTTCGGTCCCCCAAAGATGTCCATGTCCTGATCCCTGGAACCTGTGAGCACATTACTTTACTACTTTACACGACAAAGGGATTTTGCTGATGTGATTAAGATCTTGAGATCAGGAGATGATCCTGGATTATCTGGGTGGGTCCAGTGTAATCACAAGGGGGAGCGGGAGGGCCAGAGAGAGGAGGCATGTGAGGACAGATGCAAAGGTTACAGTGGTGCAGCCATGAGCCAAGAAACATGAGCAGCCTTTAGAAGCTGGAAAAGGCAAGGGAAGGATTCTCCCTAAAGCCCCCAGAAGGAAACAGCCCTGTGGACACCTTGATTTTAGCCCCATATGACCCACTTAGGAAGTCTAACATGCAGAATGATATGATAAACTTGTGTTGTTTTAAGCTATGCAGTTTGTGCAACTTGTTATAGCAGCAAGAGGAAACTAATGCAATTAGTAACATGTTCTGGGTGCTTGCTCTGTGCCAGGCACTGTGTACATTTCACATGAATGCCCTCACTAAGCCTCACCGCAGACCAGGATGGAGGTTCTACTCTTGCTCCAGTGTTACAGATGGAGAAATCGAGGCACAGGGAAGTTAGGTACTTTGCCCAAAGCCTCAAAACTTATAACAGATGGAACGAGACTGACGTTCTAAGCTCTCTACTATGTGCAAAGATGAAAATTTACAGATGAAAACCTTTTGAGAAAATTCTTGCCAATGTCCCTATAAGGTACAAAGCCCTAAGCTAACATGGCCACAAGGAAACAACAAAATTATTTCTGCAGGTCATGCAGTTGCTATATTCAGAGCCAGAGGAAGACCTTTTCATTCACAAAAAAAAGGCACCCACCATGCAAGTTGTGCAGAAGCAAAGCATTCACCAGAAGCTTCTAGGTCAGCGTCAGGAAACAGGCAGGGAGGTATTCAAGTGGCAGAACCGTGCTGTGGGAAGAGGCCCACTAGGGCAGCCTGACAGGTGGTCCCTCTGCCGCGGAAAAGGGCAGCACCTGGACTATTTTTATTCCCACACGTCTTGTACAAACTATTGCTTTCACCAGCAGAAAATCATGAAGAAGCCAAACACTGCAGAACTGTAAATAGTGGGAAACTCCTGGTCGTGGAAACCACGGTTGGCTTTCTCAGGCACAGGAGTTTTCTAACTGTGCACAGAAGCCAGCCTTGAGCACCCCGCCCCTCGTTCCCCACCACCCCAATGGAGCACCATGTCACCTGCTTTATATACTGAGCTTCCCTGACAGCTTTCATTCAAAGAGAGGGTTTCTCTGTTACAAGGCAATGTTAAGTGAGCCCTTTCCTGTTGTCTTGGGGTTTATACTGAGATCTCTCAAAACTGAAGACTGAGGATCCATCAATGCAGAGCTTGCATATGATCTCTAAGCCATATAAGAGAATTCGCTGGAGAAAAAGCATTTCTTAGCAGAAAAGAACACATAGCATTGCAGCACTATGGCAAATGAAGGAGCAGAAAGAGAACTGCTCAGAGATCAGAGGGGTTGGCAGAAGGGGGTCTCAGCATCTGGAACCCCAGCTGGGTGCCTGCTGAACTGCATACTTCATAGAATGCACTGCTACAGGTAGGGGCATGAGAGATTTGTCTGAACTCAGGGCTGCCACATTAACTGTGCAATTCTAGGAGAACACATGTGAATGATGCCCTCTGGAGGTGTGCAATGAGACGGCCCTGGGAAAATCAGACATGGGTGCGCAGTGTTTGGCCTGTAATGCAGGCTGAGGAGGGTAGGCAACAGTGGAGTCACGTGCTTTCCCCATATATGGCAGCACAAAGATGCCTAATGGTTTCTCCTGGGCCAAGTAGGCACTGGATGGGGTCAGAAGCTACATCAAAGCCTTCAGAAAAAAGCCTTCCCCAAGAAGTCCATCCACTTGAGAAAAAAAGTTCAGGGTACACTCAAGGCAGAAGCTGAGAGGCCGGGGGTGTCATAAGAGACCAGCCAGGGAGGGCATCATCCATGTCTGTAGAGGAAAGTCTGGGGGTCTTCACAGGGTGGCCAAGAACTCACAAAAGCTGGACACCTGCAAGACAGAGACTATTTCATGACTAGAAAGAACCATAAGAAGCACCAGCTAAGTAAAACACCCTTGCTTTCTAGTCACCTTCTCCCTGCCCCTTGACTGTGGTGGAGCCAAAAGCAGCAAAGCCAGCAGGAAAGGAGTGTGCACAAGGAGGGAAAAGGAACAGCCACGGCCCCCGCCTTCCCTTTCCCATGGCTGATCTGCAGTGTCTCAGGCCAGGCCTGGCCTACAGGGAAAGGAGAGCTTTGTGATTTTGTTTTGTTGTTGTTGCTGTTGTTGTTTGAGATGGAGTCTCCCTCTGTCACCCAGGCTGGAGTGCAATGGCGCGATCTCGGCTCAATATAAACTCTGCCTCCCGGGTTCAAGCGATTCTCCTGCCTCAGCATCCTGAGTATCTGGGATTATAGGCACCCGCCACAATGCCCAGCCAATTTTTTGTATTTTCAGTAGAGACGGGGTTTTACCATTTTGGCCAGGCAGGTCTTGAACTGCCGACCTGAGGTGATGTACCCACCTCGGCCTCCCAGAGTGCTGGGATTACAGGTTTTCTTGTTTGGTTTTGTTTTGGACAGGGACTGGCTCTGTCACCCAGGCTGGGGTGCAGTGGCACGATCTCTGCTCACTGCAAAGCCCTCCCCACTTGTTCAAGTGACTCTTGTGCCTCAGCCTCCCGAGTAGCTGGGACTACAGGCACACACCACCACGCCCAGCTAGTTTTTGTATTTTCAGTAGAGACAGGGTTTCACCAGGCTGGTCTCAAGCTCCTGGGCTCAAGCGATGGCCTGCCTCGGCCTCCCATAAGTGCTGGGATTACAGGAACAAGCCACCTCACCCGGCTGAAAGAGAGCTTTGAATTGGATGAGAGGTTGATGTTTTGATTCATGTAAAACTGGACTTTTGAATATCTGAAAAAAAAGTACAATTTTTATTTCTATTTTACTTGATTTGATTTTTAAAGTGCCTGGAAAAGCTGTGAGGTATTTCTGGTGTATCATCCAGGGTTGGCCTCACAGGGCAAGAGTGAAGGTAGGAGTTGAAGATAAATGAAGTGATTTATGGTTTGTACTCTCAAGAAGGCCCGCCAATTTAATAAACTAGTTAAATGGCTTTAAAAGTAAAAATAAAAACTGCTATAGCCACCCCTTCTCATTATGGATTCATATATCCATGAATATATATTTCCAGCTCTACCCTCTAAATTCCAGACTCCTGTCTCCAACTGTCCAATTGACATTCCCACTCAGATATTAACAGGCTTCTCAAATCCCACAGAGCTAGAATAGCATAGTTGATTTTAAAATAATAAAAACCCTCCATTCTTACCTATCTCAAGAAATGCTACCACCATCCTCCCAAGTTACTCAGTCCACAAGCCTAGGAATCATTTTTAATTATTTTCCTTACCATCTTCAACATGTATTTCATCAGCAAATGCTGTGGATTCCATCTCCAAACTAGAAATCAAACCCATCCACCACTCTCCATCTCAGCAGTCACTCTGCTTGTCCAAGCCACCATGATTCTTTGCCTGGACTTCAATACCTCCAAACTAGCATACCCACTTCCTTTCTTCTTAGCCTCCTTCTCCTCCTCCTTCTTCTTTTTTATGGACAGAGTCTTGCTCTGTTTACCCAGGCTAGTGTGCAGTGGTGCAATCATAGCTCACCGTAACTTTGAACTCCTGGGCTGAAGCGATCCTCCTACCTCAGTCTCCCAAGCAGCTGGGACTATAGGCATGCACCACCACACTTGGCTAATTTAAAAATAAATTTTTTTAGAGATAGGGTCTCACTATGTTGCTCAGGCTGGTCACTAACTCCTGGCCACAAGCGATCCTCCTGCCTCAGCCTCCCAAGTAGCTGAAGTTACAAGTGTGAACCACTGTGCCTAGTCCTGCTTCCATTCTCATCCACCCTTTCTCTACATCATTCTCTCAGCATCCATGACCATGCCATATTATGTCAACAGTACCGATTTTGTTTAGGGAAACCACTACAGCCCACTCTCAGCCCTTGAGTTGGGCTTCACTGGGCTTCTCTCTTAGGTTCCATGAGTGAAGCACACAACCCAGGCAAAGCCAATTAGCACATTCGATTCCCCCAATCACCACCATGATAATTAAAGAATGAGTATCTGACCCTAGACAGGCCAATCAGGACCAAAAAGATGCCATTGCAAGACTTTTGTTTCAGCCTTAGGGAACTGAGCTTTCGCTCTCCTGAAGGATGTAAATCTGGAAGACAGAGGAGGGTCTGCAGCCTTTGGCAGCCACCTTAGGATTTCCAAGATGGAACTTGCCTAAGAATAGAGCAATGCAAAGAAGACGAATCAAGAAATGAAGAACTATGCAGTCCTGGATGCATGATCTGAGCCCTAGATTGAGCTTTGCCTGGACTGTTCAGTTTTGAAAATCAACAATTCTCTTTTGGGCTGGATCCCACTTGGGCTGATTTCTTGGGTACAATGTATCCAGAGCAATGTGTCAAGCAACAGATACATGGGTTGATCCAATGACTCTGCCTATGCCCATGACACTCAGGCCTCAAGCAATCCAAATATACAAACGTCCTCATAGGGCTACATGGGCAAAGGACCACAAGAGATTCTGGCTGGTCTTTAAAATACAAATTCCAGCAGCAAAGTATTGCCTTAAGGATCAGTTCCAGACTTGAAATATTGCCAGCTTTCTCTTTCCTCTCTTAAATTTAATATGCTACTTCAAGGGCACGGTCCCAACCTTCCCCTCTCAGGTATTCTAATAATGTTGCGTTCTACCCTTAGAAAATATTTAAATGAAGTCAACTATGACCCTGTATAGGTTAAGAATTTCTCACTGTACATTCATGAATATTCTAATTCTCTTCAATGTATTTCTTATATGTGTTTGCTCATCTATTTGTTCTTATACTGGAAACTCTAAAAGACAGAAAACGAGACTTTATGACCCTCTTTGTGAGCTATCTTGAGCCAAACAAGTATTTAAGTACCTAATAAATACCTATGATGACAAGTACAGCCGTGACAAGGGTGACAGTAGCGTTGTTCTGTGTGTCATTAGAAAGGTTATTGTTCTGGCCATTCAGTGGAGATTATTTCCCCTAAATTAATAGAAATCAACTTTGCTCTGTCACCCTTGTGGGAAGGCATTAGAAACAGGCATAGGTGAACAACTTGGAATTCTTCCTAGTTCCCAGATATGAATAGCCACCTTGGACATTTGAAAGCTTGGGCTCTTTCTCATAATTTGCAAAATTCTTCTTGGCTCTTCAGTAGCAAACCCAAACATTTTAAATTTCCTTGAGATGGTGGCTCACCTATAATCCCAGCATTTTGGGAGGCCGAGGCAGGCAGATCACCTGAGGTCAGGAGTTTGAGACCAGCCTGGCCAACATGGTGAAACCCCATCTCTACTAAAAATACAAAAACTAGCCAGGCGTGGTGGCGGGCACCTGTAGTCCCAGCTACTCGGGAGGCTGAGGCAGGAGAATTGCTTGAACCAGGGAGGCAGAGGTTGCAGTGGGCCGGGATCGTGCCATTGTACTCCAGCATGAGTGACAGAGCTAGACTCCATCTCAAAATAAATAAATTAATTAACTAATTTATTTATTTATTTATTTCCTTGAGATCTACATGGGGTCAAAATCTAAAAGGAATTCATTGACAGGAGAACACCTCCACTAGTATCAGAAACATAATTAAAGTTGTTCATTAGCTCCCAACTATGGACTGTGAGCTCATCCATTCAGCAAGTTCCTCTTGAGATCATGGGCTTTATTAAAATATCCTATCACTGAGTTCCAGAGTCTTAACTACAACAGCACTTCTGCTCTTTGGGGGGTCTAATTAAACTAACAAATTCTTGATCCTCAGCCCTTAACTCACCATGCTACCAGCTCCTTCTCTGGGCCTGCTGGGCAACCATCCCCTCCCAATCTGGTCTAGTCCATGCACCTGGGCTATACACAGAGGAAGTTATTCCAGGTATTGGTAGAATCTTGCTCAGGAACCCTATTAGATTCTGAAGCTCTTTTATGTAACTCTTCATACTCTGGCCCTGTCTGGCTTCTGAGACCTCACATAACCGGACATAAAGTAAATGCATGTTCTCAGATTTGGGGAAACTGCATGGCACACTGGAAGTGGAGCAGACCTTGATGCCCCATGGAGCAAAGCCTGAATCCTGGTTCTACCATTTCCTAACTGTATGACCTTGGACAAGTTTTTTACCCTCTCTGAGCCCCAGTTTTACACATGAAACAAGGATAATATTGATGATCAATGAATACTTATCTTGTAGAATTGTTATCATTTAAAAATAGTGTTTCTGAAGTGGATAGGACACTCGATAAATGCGTGTTGCTGCTATCACTGTAACCTGGTTGTTCACTTTACCATCATTAGGTATACACACCGAGCCTAATCTCTCTTGGTATGAGTCCTATCTCCCATGCTGCAGCTGTTTCTCTTTCCTCCTGCTCTATTCTGATATCTGGCAGAGTTGCACTGCAATGAATTTATGTGGCAGGCCAGAAAGGGAGAGAAGATGCATAGACATGAGGCATCGGAAAATGTCTCTCCATTCTGCTATTATTGTCTACATGGCTTGAACCCACTGGGCTCTGCATTCACCTTCTGATTCTTCTCTCTTAGACCTGGACATCTGGGCATTTGAGTCCTAGTGTCCCTGGACCAACATCAACGCCTAAAACTAGAGGCTTAACATTAGTAGTGAACTCCAAATAGGACCATTACATCGGCCAAAGCATGGTACCAATATAGTATTGTACAAATATCTTCTATCAAATCAAGACATTGTCAATTACAAAACACATCATTATCTTATGTGCCTCTTGAAAATTTAAATTGCCAATTAAATTATGACATATTGCTAGTAAGACACATTCTGATTTCAGAAGGGTAAATAATTCAAAAATGCATCTAAGAATTAATGTAGTACAATAGAACATTTCTCTTGGAGAAACATACAAAGTACAAAATATGGCTCTTGTTCCAGTTTATCGGAGTACTGCACAGAGCCTGGTAGGTAGTAAATAAATATTTGTAAATGAATAAATATATGCATGAATAAACAGATTTCCTATCAGCCACATTATAATGAGGTTCTATCATTTTAAAAGGAAAGTTGCCACAGTGGAAAAATCATGCAAAAAAATTGAAGTTAAATACTCATCATTTCACATTTAAAATTCACTTAAAACAATAAACTTCACTTCAAACATTTGTTGCCACTAGGTTGGAGATCTAGATCCATTAATAGATTCCAAAAGTTTAGTGTCTACTTAATAGTGAGTTTGAAATTGGACACTATTTTTAAGTGCAGCATCCAGGACCATAAAACGTAACGTGCCTATTGAGAAACATCTGGCAGCATTCTCAGGGCACAGTTTTGGTTCCTATTAGCTAGGAGACAGCGTTGGTGGTTTTGATAACAGAGAATACAGATCCCTTTAACAGTAACTTCTCCTTTCATTTGTACCCTAAATTGTCTGTCGACTTCCAGCTGTTTCCTGGCACTTAACCAATCCCAGTGATGATGGGGATGAAGGCCAGTGAGTCACGATCCCCAAAAAATTTTCCTTTAAAAGAATTCAGCCTCCACTTCCTGCCCAGAGCAGCTCCCAAGAATTGCTTTGCCCTATTCATTGCAGTCAGGATTGGCGCATTTCATCCCAGGTACTACAGAGATAGACATTATATAAAATAGATAAATTAAAAAACAACAGATGAAAGAACTATGCATGAAAATGAATGGATGTGGGAGATGCAGACTTAGACGTTTCTCTGAGGAAATTTCCAGTGGGCCACCCTTCTCTTCGTTCTGCAGTGGGAATACCAAATCTCAAAGCTGCTCGTTATGCGTTCATCTGCTCTTTGCCTAAAGGTATGCCCAGGAGAGTCATTTCTGTGTAAAGGCAGAATTGCATCCACAGCCACCAACCGTAAGATCTTTTCAGGTAGAAAACAAGAGATTGAAATAGAGGAATCCTGGCATGTAAGTATCCCAAAATATAAGGAAATTGAAAAGGAACTACCTATTTTATGTATAAAAATGAGTTACTCAAATGACTTTTCATAGAATATTATTGGCCAGTTCCCAGGACACAGTACCCTTGTACAAGTCAAAATTAATATCGTCCACGTTCAGTGCAACCTCTGCACCTCTCCAGCATGAAAAGCCAAACAGAAATTGTATGGCTATTTATCCTTGAGTATACTTAAAGACAAAAATAAAAGGAATTAACTACAGTGTGGACTGCCTCTGTTCTTTCCCAGTGAATAATCTGTAAAACGCCTTCCCCTCCTCATCCATCACCTACTGGAACTGCGATCATTATCTTCTTTCCCCTACCATACAATCACCATCCTCCACTGCTCCACGCCTTAGAGATGCCCCACCTCTCCTCCTCGTAATTTCGGAGAAATGATTGACTCCACTATGCCAGTGGCTAGTGGGTCCTCAGCCCTCTCAGTGACTATTTAAACCTTTCTTTTTCACTCCTCCAGTGCCCCCCTAGCCCAGACCTTTGCTATGGTGACTACTCACAAATTCATTGTTTCTCACCCAGATTGCTGCAGTTTCTCCCTAAGAGTATTTAGCTTGCAGTTATTTGTCCCTCTGACTTAAATTATGTACGCCCAGCTAGTGTAGCCTTCCATGGCTCCTGATCATCTGTGAAAATAAATCCATGTTCAACCTAGCATGTAAGGTATCCATAAGACCCCAACCTTCCTTTCCACCTTCATGCCCCCAACATCACCACCAAACAACGGAGACTTGCTCTTCTCCTCACAGGTGCCTCAGTTTCCCTCTCTGTTGTCATGATGATGCCCTTCCCTCTGCTGAACACCCTCCATCACTGCCTTTTGTATGATCCCATCTTTTAAAGTTCATCTGAAATGACACATCTTCTAGGAAGCCTTCCCTGGTCCCCAAAGCTGGCTATAAACTCTTCCTCCCGTAAGTACCGAATACATGTCATTGCATCTCTCTTACAGTCCTTATTCCACTCTGTCTCCCACTTCATACTTTGGTTTCTGGTTTAACACTCCCTAAGACACTTTAATTTCCTTAATATCTGCAAAAGTGTCATATAGTATCTGGCAAATACTTGTTGAAGTGAACTGAATTTGAGGAGAGCTTACCCTTGGGTTCCAGAGTGGCAGCTCACTCAGCTGACCAGTGGCAGAGCTGATATCAGATGGCTTATCTAAAAGCTGCTTTACATGGCAGAGATTGGACCTGTCAGGCCTACATCTCACTTTCTCATTGGTGTGCCATTCTCTCTCTGCTTTGCTCCAAATCTATTAAGAGTAAGGACTGCATCATATGTTCATCTCCTCCATCACAAGGGCTTGCACACAGTAAGTATCTAATAAATGTATCTGGCTCCTATTTATTCAGTTTCATCATGTCACAGTTAGAAAGCTGTAACAGTGCCTTGGGTATTCCCAAAAGTGTAGCACATGAACCATAGGTACACAAGACAGCATTAGGTAACACACATATGCAACATTTTTTTAATGGCCGCAGGTTTAATTTACTGTGCATTTGGAAAAATAGAACTAGCACAGAATACCTATGATTTCATAGGTACTAGTGCTTGGGGTAAGGCTACATTTATTTAAGATTTAAGGGGTTAAATTTAAAGAAAAGCATTCAGTAAACAATGATAAGTTTATTGCATAGGGCAAAGCTAAATTTAAGTTTTTAAAAGTGAAATCAACTTACAGAAAATATTAAGTATATAGTGACACAGCTGATATCTAAATATGGCCACCAAAAAATTAAAAAGTGAAGATGGCATAGGAAAGGCCGACGTTTAAGAAACCCTTCCCTAACTGGGCCTGAATCTGGTTTTGCTCTCAAATGCACCCACTGCAATATTTATCCCTCACAAATATTCCTTCATGTAACATCAGTACTCAGAAACCCCAAATAGCTCCCGGCCAGCCTAATCTCACTTCCTCTACTGACAGTTCTCATTTCCCTAATTCTCTTTGCCGATTCCCCTCTGATTCCTCCCCACTGGGTCTCAGCCCTTTCTATCCCTTGAGCAAAACTTGCAAATATGCACCATCTTACCAGTGCTTAAAACCATCTTCCTCCCCTCTCTTCTCCACCAATCCACATACATTCCCTTCCCTGAGTAACGAAAGTTCAAAACCACCTACTTCTTCTACTTCTCATTCTTATCCATCTTGTGCCACACGTCCTTCATCAATCACATTAACTGTCTTTACTTGTGACTTTGCATTTATTCACATGTATGTTTCATCACTCCAATTACACTCTGAACTCAGCAAAGGCAAAGACTATGTCCTTGATGTTGTGTGAGGTCTCAGTCATCCTACAAGAGTAGGCTAAGCATATACCACAAGCACTAAACATATGTCCCATAATATGAGAAACCAAAGGCCAACATGCCAGAAAACATTTAACACTGGGTTCTCTCCTAGCTTGTCAAACATGAAACTTGGTTTAGGAAGCACCTGCTCACTACGTAATTCAAGTGGGGTTCTTACTGCACTCATCACAAAGACTGAGTTTTAATAGCTTTCCTGGACAATGAACCTGGCTCATCATAAGAATGCATCTTTAGGGTATTTTAATAAGAAAATTGTTCAATCTGGATTCATTCCTAATGCTTCTTTTAAAGAACTCACCTATGCCTTCAAATGAATTGAATGAATGGAGTCCAGAATTCCAAAATTCAGAAGGTTTTGGACTGAAAATTAGTTTTATTTATCATATGTTTTAAATAAATAAGAAATCATTTATCCTATATTAGGCTTCCTTTTCTCAATCTGTTAAGGGGTTCTCTGTCTTCATCTGAGCAAATATAGACCAGTGGTTACAAATACGGACTTTGGATTCAGTCAGATCTAAGTTAGACTCTCAACTCTACCATTCACCAGCTCCAGGACCTTGTGGAAATTTATTTACTCACATAGCAAACATTAATCGAAAGCTACCATGTGCCAGGCACTTTGACTGACCTCCCTAAGTCTCAGTGTTCTGAGAATGAGAATAACATTCCTTGACAGTAGAGGCATTGTCAGGACTTTTAATCTGTCAGAATTAAATATGATAATGTACGCAAAATGCCTGGCACTCTTCCAGGTTCATAGTAACAATAAATGTTAGTTATCACTGTCATTATCACCATCATCATCATCATCATTATCATTATCTTGAGTCGTTGTAGAGCCTTTAGTGCTGCTAATTAAGTTCCCCTTCTTAAAACTCTCTCCTCCCTTGACTTCACAGAGATATCATTGTACTGTTTTTAGTTTATTAATTTTTAAAATTTTGAAATTTGGTTTATAAATTTTTTAGTTTTAGTTTATTAAACTAACAAATAGAACTTTTTTTCAAAGAGTTAGAGGCATGATGCAGAGACTCCTAACAGTATGCTACAACAGAGGGTGCCCAGCAGGAGTGGGCGGTTAGAGAAAGATTCTTGGAGGACATGACATTTGGACTGAGATTTCAGAGGCGAGGAGAAGCCAGTCCTATGAAAATTGGGCAGAAGATAATCCTAGGAGAAAAAAAAAAAAGAGGTCCCGTAAAGGCCCTCAGATCAGGAGGAGCTTGTTTTATTCAAGGAAAGCAGAAAGAAGTGCAGCATAGGTTAGAGGAAGACGGCTCAAGACCAGCCTTGGAAAGGAGGTCAGCACAGCCAGCACTCAGGGTGCTGCAGGCCAGCACCAGAAAGCAGATTTTATGCCGAGTGGAAAGAGGAACCGATAGAGAATTTTAAGCTGCGGGTCAAGAGAAATCAGATTCATATTTTTAAAAGATCATTGTGGCTGTTCCACGGAGGATCAATTATTGGGAGCAAGGGTAGAAGAAAGGAGGCCGATAAAAAGGCTGTCAGCTCTCCACACAGGAAGATGCGTGGAATGAGGGTGGCAGGAGCAGAAATGGAGAGAAACAAACAGATTCTGGATGTGTTCTAGATATCGTATCAGGCAGGACTTGCTGGTGAGTGGAGAACAAAATGGCAGGGGTGGGAAACAGAGGACTCATGCAACATGCCCGTACTTTAAGCAACTATACAGATAGATGGCGGTGCCCATCAATGAGATGGGAAACTCATTCAATGAGATGACAAACTCTTGAGAGAAGCAAGTTTAGGATATACTCGGCATATAGATGATACAGAGGGACTGCTGAGATCACTCAGGAGAACCTACAGATCCTGACAAGAAGGACCTCAGGTCTAACTATTTGGGCATTCCACCAATTAGAGGTAGAGCAATGAGAAAGGAGTCAACAGGAAACAGGAGTGGCCAGAAAAGTTAAAAGAAAACCCAGAGCGGCCAGGCGCGGTGGCTTATGCCTGTAATCCCAGCACTTTGGGAGGCCGAGGCGGGTGGATCACCTGAGGTCAGGAGTTCAAGACCAGTCTGGCCAACATGGTGAAACCCTGTCTCTACTAAAAATACAAAAATTAGCTAGGTGTGGTGGCACATGCCTGTTATCCCAGCTACTTGGGAGGCTGAGGCAGGAAAATCGCTTGAACCCGGGAGGCAGAGGTTGCAGTGAATTGAGATCGTGCCACTGCACTCCAGCCTGGGCAACAGAGAGAGATTTTGTCTCAAATAAATAAAAAAATAAATAAATAAATAAAACCCAGAGGAAATGATGTCACAAAGCATGTGATGGAAATGAAGTGCTTCAAGAAGGATGGGGTGGCTGGCTGTCAAAATTGCTAGGAAGGGTCAGGGAAAATGTGGCAGACACTGCCTGGCACTTTCACCTTAGGCGCTCCCCCTTCCTTTAACAGATCCAATTTTGGTTAAATGACAACATTTCAAAGAAGATGCGTCCCATTCACAGACTCAGGGGATGAATCTTAATTGGTCCAAGCCAATAAGGATAATACCATCCCCCTTTGCCAGGGATGAGTTTAGGGGGTGATATTTAAGAAATGTGCATGGGGCTTGCAGGGCAAAAAAAACATCCTCCATGATAAAAAGAAAAACACAGAGGCTACTTCACTCCCTTCCCTGCTTTTAGACGACATAATATCTGCTGATGTGATCAAGAGAGGCAGGGCAGGAAACTGAAGTCTGGGTCCTTGAAGGTGTTATGAAACACCCAAGCCAAGCCTGGAACATCCTTGTTCAGTGAGAACGTAACTCTCTTAACAGTCAATGTCCGTATTGTGTAAGTCACTTGTATCAGGACATTCTGCAACAGGCAGCTGAAAGCATCCTAACTGGTACTTAAGATAAAAGGACAGAAAGGTGATGCAATGTCCATAAGTGGCCTCCAAAGGAGCAGCCCCCATAAAGTGGTGGTGGCTTGGAAAGAATGTGAGGGGAGGAAGTAGTGATGGTGACTTCAGACCACCCTTTCCAGCAATTTTGCTGTGAAAGGCCTAAAGGAATGAGGGGTGGCTGGCGGCAATGCGGGATCAAGGGGGATGACACGGAAGCCCATGTATACGCTAGTAGGAATATTCAAGTAGAGAGGGAGAGATCAATTCCCCAGGAGAAGAGAGGATGCCCCAAAGAGCAAAGGAGTCCCCAGCATAAGCAGAAGGGACGGCCTTAGGTAGGAAAAGACGCCCTTCATCTAGAGAGGAATCAAGGTGGGACTGGTGGGTGCAGATGCAGGTAACCTAGAAGACTTGATCTGGGGAAATGAAGTTGTTTCGACCAATTGCTTCTTTTTTTTATCAATGATGTATGAGGTGTTCAAAATGTAAAATGTTTCTCAAGACCTATCTAAAAAAACTCCCTCCAATGTGAAGTCCTTCCTGAATCGCACACTCAAGTCCCTCCTTCACGCTTTCACAGAACTCTCTTCTGGAGTAGGTATTCTGTCTTGTGTCATAATTTGAGTTCCTTGTGCCACCAGAATGGACGCTCTTTAATGACAGGGACCATCTCATTAGCATCTCAATAGCAATCAAAAAGCCTGGAACACACGTTTAATAAATATACTAAATTGTACTTTGGGAGAGTGAGAAGGGGGATGGCTTGAAAACAGGAGTTGGAGACCAGCCTGGGCAACATAGGGAGGCCGTCTCCACAAAAAAATAAATAAATTAGCCAGGTGTGGTGGCATGTTCCTGTAGTCCTAGCTATTTGGGAGGCTGGGGCGGGAGGATCACTTGAGCCCAGGAGTTTGAGGCTGCAGTGAGCTAGGATCACACCACTGCACTCCAGCCTGGGTGACAGAGCAAGACCCTATCTCTCAAAAACAAAATAAAATGAAATAAAAATACTGAATTGAAGTAGAGTCTTATTGTAATGAAGTAAGAAAGACAACTGACCCTCATTATTCACTGAATATATATTTGCAAATTCTTCTACGTGTTAAAATTTATTTGTAACCCCGAAATCAAATCAATATTCATGGTGTTCTGCAGTCATTCGCAGTCATGCACACAGCAGTGAAAAAAGTTTGAGTCACCCGATGCACATGTCCTCAGCTGAGGTTGAACAAGGCAGCGCTCTGCCTTCTTGTTCGAGCGCTCATGCTGTAAGCTAGTGTCCATTCTGTGATCTATTTAGTGCCATGTTTTTCACATTTTGTGCTTTTTTGTTAGTGTTTGCACTGTTTAAAATCACCCCCAAGTGCAATGCTGAAGTGCTATCCAGTGTTCCTAAGTGCAAGATGCGAGGTGCCTTATGGAGAAAATATGTGTGTTAGATAACTTTGTTCAGAAATGAGTCACAGTGCTGTGGCTGTGAGTTCAATGCTAACAAATCAACAGTATATATGAAATAAGATGTCTTTAAACAGAAACACACATACAACAAGGTTATGTATTTAGTTGATGAAAATGTGACCTGACCAGGTGTGATGGCTCATGCCTATAATCCTAGCACTTTGGGAGGCCGAGGCAGGCAGATCACCTGACGTCAGGAGTTTGAGACAAGCCTGGCCAATGTGGTGAAACCCCACCTCTACCAAAAAATACAAAAGTTAGCCGGATATGGTGGTGCATGCCTGTAGTCCCAGCTACTCGGTAGGCTGAAGTGGGAGAATCGCTTGAACCTGGGATGTGGAGGTTGCAGTGAGCCAAGATCGCGCCACTGCACTCCCACCTGGGTGATAGAACAAGACCCTAAGCTCGAAAAAAAAAAGAAGAAGAAGAAGAAGAAAATGTTGTGACTAGAGGCTCACAGGAACCTAACCGTATATTTCCCCTAAAAGCAACGGTTCACTATTTGCTAATTCAGGATTTACAGCAACTTTATAAAACACAAGAATTACCATAAATGATGAGAATCAACTGTACTTGATTCTGCCCTTTTCTGAGAAGGAAAATTATGGAAACAAAATAGTTTGATGAGACTGGAACATGCCTCATCAAGCTTCACCCTCTCTTTTCATGCTGCATGGATCACTCACCAGCACCAGGGTTTGTTCTGAAGATATCTTGGGGAGAAAACTGCCAATCAGCTGTGGATTGTGTCTCCTGAGAGCCATTAGCCTGCCTGAGAGGTTGAGCATCCCCTCACTCCCACCATCAAAGCTAACTGATTGGGGCAAAAGGCAGAAAGGCAAGAAAAGAGGGAAGCTTTACCATATGTCTTCATTTGGGTTTCCCCAGAAGCTGATCCTACAATTACAATTTGAGCACAAGTGGTTTGTTTGGGAAGTGAAGAAATCGCCAGTAGGGAATTAGAGAAAAGAGAAAGGGCTGGGAAGGCAGCCAAGAAAACCAATAAAAGGTGAAGTTTCTAACTAGCTACTGCTGTCGCCCAGTGGAATTTTTCCTACAGAGGAAACTGGGACCCCATGTAAACCATATTCCTGAGTTACCCTACCCAAGGCTGAGGGAATTGGGGTGTTTACGCACCATCTTCCATCAGTTATTGGTTGAGGGCTCCTCCTGGGGTCCACTAATTCCCCAACACTTCCTGCCTTCCATGGGAGCAGCAAAGTAGGCTCAGTCAAGAAAAAGGCAAAAAAAATGCCAAGTTGGCAGTCAGAAGTGAGCCAGCATGAGCTGAAGTGGTGCGAGCAGGAGGATAGGGACAGGCACTGGAACATCTGCTACATCAGACTGGGCTGCTGCTGAAAGTCTTACATAAACCCAGAGCAGGAATGGGGCCACTTCCATGAAATCCATGGTAGACGAAATTCCTATACAACAAGCACATAACCACTACCGGAGGCCTAAATTGTTCATGTACTTTCAGCTAATTATCTGATTCAGGGGCCAATTTCCACTAGTTTTAAGTCAAAGTAAGGTTTCATGGTGTTTATATAGGTTATTTTCCTCCTTCTTTGGTAGAAGCAAGATGGAAATCTCATTTGCATTTTAATGATAAAATGGGACCTTTTCCCTAGAATAGCATGTGAGAGAACAGAGCAGGACAAAAGTAATTTTGGGGAAATGTGGGGGAAGATTTGTACTTCATAGGATGTGCTCTGTCATCATGATAGCTCATTCCCTGATGATCAAGTGAAGACACACATCCCTGCCCAAGAGCCTGCTGGTACCACGCCTTTTCCTTCCATGAATACCTGTCCCCATCATCCCCACTGCTATCACAGCAACTGAGGAAGGGATACACCATCTCATGTCTCCAGAAAAGCACTGGGGCTGGGGGAGGGGGCATGGGGTAGGAGGGGAGCCAACTAAGACACCATAGTGTTTCATTACAATCTATTATTGAAGACAACACAAGAAGGATGACATTTCCTCCATCATATTGAGTGACTGGTTGCTGGGTTTCCAACCCAGAAAGTATATCTCTCCTATCACTTTCATTTCTGTAACTTTCCAAGTTCATATCATAACCCTTAGGAAATGGACAAAAGAATTAGACTGGTCAACACTATGTGAGTATACAGACATGAAACCATATCCCCCTCAAGGTAGATGGAAAATATCAGAGTTCTTGCAACCACAGCAATTCCTCAGGATGTCCACACCCAGTGGGACACACCCATCTCTATAGAAATGGTGTTCAGCATGATGCAGAGGTCCAACCAGAGACCAGTGAGTGGATGAGAAGGCCAAGGTCTTGCCTTGGAGCCAAGATGGACCTGAGCACAAATCCCAGCTCAAGCGCTTTCAAGATGGGTGGCCATGAGCAAATTACATACACACTCTCAGCCTCAGTTTCCTCATCTTCCAAATGGACTAATACAACTGTCTCAGATGACTGTCTTCATTCTTCATTCAAAATAGGTATGGATGCCACATGAGTGAACCTTGAAAGCATTATGTTACGTGAAAGAAGCTGATCACACACACACACACACACACACACACACAAATATCTACCTGTTGTATGATGCCATTTACATGAAATGCCCAAAATAGGCAACTCCATAGAGACAGAAAGTAAATTCATGCTTGCCAGGGACTGGGAGAGATAAAATGGGGAGTGACTGCTAATGGATATGGAGTTTCTTTTTGGAGTCATGAAAATTTTCTACAATTAGATAGTGATGATGATTGCACAACTCTGTGAATATACTAAAAACCACTGAATTGTACATTTTAAATAGGTAATTTTATGGTATGTAAATTATATCTTAATAAAGCTCTTATTTTTTAAAAATAGATATGGAGTCCTTGTTACATGAAGATCCTTTGGAAGTCATGAGCATCTAAGTCGGTGAGCTAAACATTAGGATATTAACCAGAAGAACAAGCAAGTGACTCAGGCTACTGTGAAGAATAAATTACATATTATATGTTAAGCACTGAGTACTGTGCCTGAGCCACTGAAGACCCTCAGCAAATGGGTGTTACCAGCAGCAGCATCATTGATGTTTATTAGGTGCCTCCTGTGTGCCAGGCACTGTGCTCTGCTCTTCGTGTGCATGGTCTCATTTAAGAGGTCTCATTTAACCATACCTACTCCCTAGGGAGCAGGTACTTTTATCATTTCCGGTTCTCAAGTTGGGAAGCAGACACAGAGAGGTAAGTTAGTGCCTAAGTTCGGCAGCTTGGGAGTGGCAGAGCTGGTGGGGCACACCTGAGCTCTTGCTCATCTTCTCATCAAACACTTCATCTCCACCTGCAGCCGTGGGAGTATGGCCACTGTTAATAATCATCAGCACCCCCAGTCAAGGTTCCCTCGATCACTAGGACGAGCTTAAAACAGTGCAGAAACCTCTGATAGATACTGGAAGGATGGCTCCTACAGGTCTCTTCCAGCCACTCAGCTGAGAGTCCTGGCAATGGAAGTGCGGCCTCAAACTCCAGGTAAGACTCTCACTACCCCTGGATTCTTAATGGACACCCCAGTCAGTCCAACCATCTGCTGCTTCCTTAAGCCCTTGTGACCCAGACTGGCATCCGTGGTTCTCTGTTGGCCTCATTCTGCCCCAGCAGCCCAGAGAAGGCCAAGAGACTGCAAGGCATATAACAGACAAAAGTCCTAATTTCCTCCTACTCAAAAGACATGTAAATTTAGACACTTTGGAAATCACGTGTAGCAAAAAGTTACTATCTGCTAGAGTGTATGTGTGTGCACGCGTGCACACGCATCCCGGCACAGGCACACTTGTGTGCACTCATGCAACGTGTACTCAAGTACCTCACATTTCAGCATCTTGCAATTCCTTGGAGATTAATTTACATGCCATCATCATGGGAGAGACACAAACTCCAGTCTCGTCCCAGTATACATGCACAAGCCACAGAGTCCTAATTAACACAGATTCTTCAAAATATCTAATTACAAACTAGGCAGCTCTGAGGCCTTCTTTGAAATCACTGAATTTTCTAACAGAATGTCACCACCTTTGACAGCATCAGCACCCATTCCATATTAAATTCCCATATTAAGCATTTTTGCCAAGCAATGGAATATCAGAATGGCCTCATTTTCATCCTTATTAATGTATTTTTGGAACCTCTTTACTTGTCAAATGTGTGCCTGAAACAGATTTCTAAAATGCAGAAGTTGACCTGAGTGTGAGAGATGCTAAGCCTTGGCTAAACGGTTAGTTTCAGGAGGGCAGAGACTTCGTCTTGTTTATTGCTGTACCTCCAGGGCCTACAACAGTGCCTGTCACGAAGAAGACTCCGGGCAAATATTCACTGAAGAAATGGATAGATGTCTTCTTCAAGAGGCTGAATATACACTCACATTTGTACTTGCTGCAGACATAGAGAATTTAATCTGAAATCTCAGAACCGATATGCTCCAGACTCTAGTAGAGCCTACTGCTCTTTCTCGATTCTTTTTCCCATAGGAGGGAGAATAGCAAAAAGGCTCAAGCAGGCAGGGCACGGTGGCTCACACCGGTAATTCCAGCACTTTGGGAAGCCGAGGTAGGCGGATTGCTTGAGCTCAGGAGTTCGAGACCAGCCTGGGCAACATGGCAAAATCCCGTCTCTACAAAAAATGCATAAATTTGCCAAGTCTGGGGGCACATGCCTATAGTCCCAGCTACTCAGGAGGCTGAGGTGGGAGGATTGATTGAGCCCAGGAGATCGAGGCTGCAGTGAGCTGTGATTGCACCGCTGCACTCCAGCTCGGGCGACAAATCAAGATCTTGTCTCAAAAACATAAAAAACTAAAATTAAAAATTAATAAAAGGCCCCAACACCCGTTGGCATTGCCATAAGCATCACTGTTGAATAATGAAGGTTAGCATTACGGGTTCATAGATATGCTTTGTCCTCTTTTTGCTGTCTGGGCAAGCACAAGTCACTTCACCAATCTAGATTCAGTATTGCCCTAAGAAGCCTCAATGGACTTGGATATCTTAAAAGTTCCTTCCACTTTATAAAGTGAGTTTAACATGAGCAGAGCAACCTCTGACAACATTTGCACAAATGAAAAGTTGCTTTCAGTGACCTTCCTGGCACTCCTGCCCTCCAGAGCTCTCAGTCTGCTCCCTACACAGCACCTGACTTCCCCCCTTCCCACTTGACACCAGCCTATCAATACATATCAGTCCCTAGTTCTGTTCTCTCTTGGTCCAGTTCTCTCATAGGAACTATTAATTTGGCTGTACCCACGGGTAATTGGAAATTAGTTTGTTACCCTGAGGAACTACATTCGCATGTTAACAAGATGTGTTCTGGAGCTGATGTTTTAATCCATATCTCTCTCATATACCATATCATATGGTATATGATATACCATATCATATGGTATATGATATACCATATCATATGGTATATGATATACCATATAAATGATATGCATTTATCATGGTATATCATAATTACTTGATGATGCACCTGTCTCAGTGGCTAGGCTGTGACTTCTCTGGGTACACGCCTCAGGTCTTTTTCATCTTTCTGTGTCCAATGCCTAGCCCCATTTCTGCAGGCACTCACTCGCTAAGTGTTTATGGAATAACCAGATGGATGAGTGACAACAGCCAATGAATAAAGTAACTGTTAAGATTGTAGGCATCCTGATAGTCATGGGAAGGAGTGGTGTGTGTCAGCTGTGGAGAGGGACTTTATAGGGCTCCTCAAATCCCACCCCCTGTGGCTGTCTGCTCTGCCTGTCTTTAGTACTGAGGCTGAATGCAGAGATTATTGCCTGAGCAGCAGGCATTCACGCTCCTATAGAAACTGCGTTCTCACCCTGCCAGAGAAAGGGATCGGCACATCAGAAGCTTTCATTAATTCAGGCTTTTGGGAGGCCTTCCAAGCTGAGGCCACAAGAACACAACTAGCAGGGGGTCCCATTAGAGTCAAAGGAGAAATACCCCAATGTTACAATACCTCTGGACACACCAGGAACAAAGTGACAGCGGGTATGGAGGGGGCAATTTTATCAGGAGCATTATGCTGAACTGAGAGCCACATGCTTCCAAAAGGCGTCTGAAGTATAACAGAATATGAGCGAGCGCACCACAGTTTTGCATGTATTGATTCATCGACTCTAGATATGCAAATTATCACAGAATCAAGGGTCATGTAACAAAGCCAGGGAAAATATCATTTTAATGAACAGAAATTGAAAATGCAATCGCCATTGCTTTAAGATACACCTCCCATTTGCAACCAGAAGTTTGGAATTGGTTGTCATAATTCAAAGATGTCAAGAAAAGCTTTTTTCTGTTAAAATATTTTAACAGCTTTTATGTAGGATTCCTACAAGAATACACAGATACCCCAGGTAAGGCCAGCACTATGCCTGTCACACAGTAAGTATCCTCTGCAAACATTCGCTGAACCCATCATTTGATTTATTAGCGATTTAAATAATCTTTTAAAAATCTGATTGTGTCATCCTCCCACTTCAAATCAATCAAGACATTCCTGTTATTCTCAGAAAAAAAGAGTTCCTTAGTAAGTAAGACCTACTATGCCCTACATGACCTGAGCATCACCCACCTCTCCCCACCCTCATGCGCCATGCCACACCTCACTTTCCAACCAGTAGCAAAACCCACATCTCCAAACAAGAGACCACGGCTCTCTTTCCTGTGCCTCATTGCCTTTCTCTGTTCATTTAAAACACATCTAAAAAAATCTCATGGTCTATACCAGACTGTGAGTGCAGGAGTGTTACTGGAAACTTTGAGTGCCATGAGCCACCGTTGTTATGCCCAGCTGTAAATAAGTCTAGAGTATGTATACTACAGGACTTAGGACCAATTTTCACAGTAAAAATGGAAAAGCGGAAGAAATTAGGTGCATGAGGCTTAGTCTGGATCATAATGAATCCTTGTGGATCTCAGAACTGAAAAAGGGGCTACAGGAAGTGTTGAGTTAGTAGGAAGTTAAAATCACCAGTGTAGAAACCACCCTGAAAGTCAGTCCCTTGTCAGGGTGGTTGGGGGCAGGGATGGGGGAATTTCTGGATGAAAGAATAGAGGGGAAAACAACAGAACCAGAAGGGGGGCACAGTGGCGTCTTGGCATCCTGAGACTTTTTCCACTCTTGGTTACTATGGTTACAGATGCCATCAGTGCTGGCTCCTGAATGTGACTGGGGCCCCAGGCATCTCCATTCAACACACTCTCACCCTGTCCCAGACCCTGTCTTTGCCATTTTGTGCAGTAAGTGACATATTCAACAATGTCCAGCTCCTGATCATTCTCAAGTCCACGGTGCTACTCAAAAGAAACCATATTCACTCGCCTCTGCCCAGAACACAGAAGCTCCAAAACTTCCTTCAGAATACAAAACTGCCTCAGGAATAAGCCAGGCATGTAATGTTTGGAAACATGGGAACCTCTAAGTCATTGGATGCATCCTGCTTCCTGGAAATCATTTTCTCAAGACTGTACAGAAAAAGCAACAAGATTGTAAAAAAATGTTTACTCAAAATATGACAAGGAGTGCTAACGGTCCTCCCTCCATCAGCAGCTTCTCACTGTGTGTTTGCCGTCACCCCCAGGCACACGGTCCCTGCCATCCTGGCTGGATGCCGACTTGCGTTTCAGTCACCATACAGACACATGGCCTGCAGGCACTGCAGGAACACACCAGACACACACCAGACACCCCATTCCCCAGCATTTCTACTGCTCGGCCTGGAGGCCATCCTGTTTTTTCTGGCTTTACCCAAGAAAGTTAAGTTGTCAGTCACTGAATCTGTAAAAGAAGGGACATTGCAAAGAAAGGGACTCTGTAAGAGAAGTGGGACCATGAGTTATCACACCCCACCTCTAGTTTCACAGTCAGAAAAAATAGGGTGGATTATGGGGTCTTTTTTTTAAATTAATGTTTACAGATTTACACATAGATGGTGCCCACACAAGACAGGCAAAATAGACACTTCCAGTATTTGAATAATACAAAAAGTTTGGACTGA
Organism: Homo sapiens; assembly: GCF_000001405.40. Classification (NCBI taxonomy): domain Eukaryota; kingdom Metazoa; phylum Chordata; class Mammalia; order Primates; family Hominidae; genus Homo; species Homo sapiens. The sequence continues at coordinate 88,312,825 of NC_000014.9, forward strand.
TAGGTATGCTGGGATCTATTATGAGACCATATGTTCATATTATACATAAATCATCATCATGCTCACTGTCTTTCTAGAATAATGTTTCAAGCCGTTGGTAAATGAAAGGGTAAAAATGGAGTTAAATGAATCATCATTCTGTGGTTAAGTAGAAAATGCAGGCTTAAACAAAATTAAACAGACTTCTGAACTACAGGATTATCAGAGAGAGGCATATGAGGCAGAGGTAAGAGTTCAGGCTTTAAATCAGACAGACTCGGGTTCAAGTCGTAGCATGACTAGGTAACTTTGGGCAAGTTACTTAAGCTCTATAGGCCTCAGCCTCCTCATTCAGAAAGCAGAGATAATAATTTCACCTATTTCTTTGGATTATGAATAGGATTATATGAGATAATAACTACAAAGCATTTAGCCTAGCACGTGGTGCCTATTCAATAAATGATAGGAAAAAATTCTTACGGTGATTTTTCAATATGTCTTCAAATTCTTTGACATGTCTCCCTTCCAACGTGAATGTGATCACCCCCACCACTCCCCAGATGTGGACTAACTTTAGTGACTGGCGTCTAATGAAAAGAACGTGGTGGTGGTAACAATATGTGATTTTTGAAGTTAAGTCATAAAAAGTGTTGCCAATTCCACCTTGTTCTCTCTTGAATCACTTGTTCTTGGGGAAGCCAGCCACCATGTCACATATGAGTACACATAAGCATCCCATGGACAGGCCCACATTGGCAGGAAATGAGCCCTCTCCCCAACAACCAGCAGCAATTTGCAAGTCACATGAGCACACCAGCTTGGAAACAGATCCTCCTGCCCCAGTCAAGCCATCAGATGACAGCAGCCCGGACAACATCTGACCACAATCAATGACAGACTCCTAGTCAGACCACCCAATTAAACTATCCCTGAATTATTGATCCACAGAACTTATGAGATAATAAATGTTTATATTGATTTAAGCCACTAAATGTTGGGGTTATTTGTTACACAATAATACAGTAACATGCTAACGTGCATGATGACTCTCTAGGAATGACTGAGCACGTATCATCCTGCAAACTGACTTTACCATGACACCACTTTTCTTCTCAGAGTATCTGATGAGTCTAGCTTATGTCTCACAGAACACATTTTGGGAAATGTTGGTCTGGAATTTAACAGTTTATGAAGTTTATTCACATTTGTCTCATTTGATCATCTCAGCAACTGTGAAGTGGTTGTTATTGTGATCTTTATTTTACCCAAAAGAAAACTAATGCTAGGAAAGGTTAGGTGACTTGGCCAAGTTCACACAGTGTTATGGTCTGAATGTGTCCCCCCAGAATTCATATGTTGAAATCCTAACCCCAAAGGTAATGTTATTAGGAGATGGGGCCTTTGGAAGGTAATTAGGTCATGGGCATGGAGCCTTCATGATTAGGATTAGTGCACTTATCAAAGAAGCCCAAGAAAGACCCATCACTTTTTCTACCGTGTAAGGACACAGCAAGAAGGCACCATCTATGAGCTGAAAAGTGGGCCCTCACCAGATGCCAAATCTACCAGTGCCTTGATCTTGGACCTCCCAGCCTCCAGAACAGTGAGAAATAAATTTCTGTTGTCTATAATCTATCTAGTTTATGGAATTTTATTAAAGCAGCCGAAATCAACTATGATACACTGCTAATAAAATGGGTACATTAACTCAGACTCAAATATTGTGATTCCAAGCCATGTTCTTTCACTGGTCTTTTCTCTGAGTTAACCAGGACAGCCTAGGTTGTTTAAATCTGAACTAAGAATACTAAGAGTCTTCCAGAGTATCAGGAGGGTTGTGCTCTGCTATGGACCACTTCCTGGATGATCCAGACAGTGAACCAGATGCTTCCAAGAGGCTGAGCTGGAGGCTACCCTGACTTCACAGGCTGCCTCCTGCAACTGTGAGAACAGCACAAGGCAGGTACCACTCATGGAGCCTTCATGATGATCCGGCATTCTTCTAAGAGCTTTGCATGTATCACTTTATGTAATCCACATAACAAACCAAAGAAGTAATGGCTGTAATTATCCCTATCTTGCAGATGAAGATACCAAGTCACAGAAAAATGAAGCAATGTTCCCAAATCAGCCTCTAGTAAATCATGCTTGGATTAGGACTCAGGCAATCTAAGACTATCAGGGAAGGAAGGGATCTCAACAACCAACAACTCAACTCCCTCCTTTTCTAAATGAGTGGCAGCGCCAGCCCTAGAAACCAGGTCTCCTATCCTAAGCTCCTATACTGTACAGAGGGTGACATTTTGCCTGGAGTCTAGGTTAAATGACTATAACATGTATTTAATCTCCTTTCAGGTTATTGTAAGAATGTAGAGGCCGAAACAGATCTATCATAATCACCTCCCATATGGCCTCAAATTCCACCATGAGGGATAAATTCCTTTGGCCTAAAGCAACATTCTTAGCCAGTAGAATCCAGGAGCTGGCCCAGGTTAGTCCACAGTTAACATGGGTAACAACACTCCCCAGTTCTCAGAGGAAAATATAAATTAATAAATAGACTTTATTCATCTCTAAGCTTTTCCTCCCATCAATTTTTCTTAAACACTTGGTGCCTGACTTTTGTCTCAGAGGACGAAGTAAGTGAATGTTGGATGTCAAACCTTTTATCACACCTAATATCAAGCATCTCTATTCTGCCTGTCAGGCTCATATCACATTAAATTTAGTAAGCTATACTATTTATCTTTATCATGCTAAATATTTGGTGTGTGATTATTTAGGGGATCTCGAGTTCTGCTTGCACATAAGAAACTCATTTTCTTGGTAGTAAAATTGTTGCTAGCTTGCATGTCAAAATTATGAATATTGGTGTTTTAGGCGTCTGCAAAGGTTACCGTGACTTCCAGGCTCTCCATCACCCGACCAAATTTTCATTTTCTATTCAAGCAACTCTTTTTAAACTGTAAATACCACCAGCCCCACCACACTGGGTAGTTGAGTAAGGGAGAAAGGACCCTTTGCACAAGCGAGAGCAATTGAGATCAAGACTCTGCAGGATTTGGGGGGATGGCGGTGGGGAGGGAACAAGGGAATGAAGAAAAGAAGGACGGGAGGAATGAAGGAAAAGTTCCCTGTGATCACCTGGCTTATGTATGGCAGTAAATCCTATGTTTTCCTTTCTAATCTTGTTTCCCCACCATTCCACTCTGCTTCAAAGTTACTTCCATGGAAAGGGTAAGTGATGAGACTAGCAGTTATTGGTAATACAAAACCTAAAATCTCCTGAAATCCCATCCATCTCCCAGCCTCATCCCCACTACCTCCAATGCCCACCCCTCCCCATCTCCCTGGCTCTGGGAATGGCAAAGGAAAAGAATGCAATGCTCCCTCATGACCGTGCCCTCCCCTGCCAGTGATTATGACCCTTACTCCCTCCCTTCAACCCTAAATGGAGGATTAGGAAGTCAGGTTTCATTTTCAATTCAGAGTACTCAGTCCTAGACACTCACAGGGAGAAAAAAAAAACTCTTAAACTGTGGCTGCAAATGACAAATAGATGTTCTAGCAAGTAAATATGAGGTCTTTATTTCCCCATTGTAGGTGATGGTAATGAGCCAGACATAGATAAACTGTAAAGTCTCCGCTGAGAGTACCCCTAGGACCAGACCCCAGAAGTGGAAGGTCCCTTTGACCTCCATGATTCTTATGGAGAGAAATCACCCAGGTGGGTGGAACCAACAGGGTGACCACACTCCTAGTGCCATGGTTAGGTAGATTCTGTAAACATGCCATGCAGAGCTAAGCCCCTAACTCACTCTAACCTCATCTGGATCATCCAGTAGGTGCCCTTTATAAGAATCAGAGTACTGAAAAAGATTGTCATTTTTATCCACCTTTCTGCATCAGCCAAGGGAGCTGTCCAAACTGAAACTTCCTAACTGGCTATCAGTAGAATGGCTTCTTTCCATTTTATCATTAAACTCTTCCTCTAATTTCCTGTAGACTAAAAGTCAAAAGGAAATCACTAGCTCACTGTGCCTATATTAAATATACTTCACACCATATCTCAGTTGTGGTTGAAGTTTCCTAATGAGGGGAAAGACTATATTATATTTTTTAAATGCATCAGATTTAAGGTGGGGTTCATATGGAGCCAAAGTACAGATGTTTTGGAAATGGTGTGGAACAGCAAAGTCAACCTGCTCAGTCTTAATTCAACCCAGTGATCACTGGGATTAGCAAAAAGGATGGTGAAGCTCCTTAGACACTGCTGGAAAAGAAGCCTGAACCAAATCTTGGCCAAGACAGTCTTTGGAACACTGTTCCTTGGTACTTTTGAGGATAATTGTGGTGATTTTGGCACATTTTAAATCCCATTTGGAACACTGATCTCCTGAAAATTGGATATTAAATCAAAAATAGATTATTTTCTTTCCAGGAAATCTAAGCTCCGCAAATGTGTGTTTGGAAACACGTTAATAAAGCTAGCACTTAAGCAACCTAGCAAGTTGAAAATGGCCCCCATTCACAAAAGACCAAAATCTTCTTTTAGCCAGTACAGCAGAAGGAAGATCTAAGGGTCTTCACCTGAGCTCATAGAATGAAAGTGTAGACCTGTACAATAAGCACAACCTGCTGAAAATAGCCATCAACTAAAGATTCACTGATCAACAGGGAGACTGCTTCCTCTAAATCTCTCAGAGAAACCTTTGAACACACTTTTGGGTAACAAAGAGCAGGAGAGTGTGGAATGAACAAAGTCGCTGGGAGGAAGGAAAGCTTGAAGGAAACTGTCATGGACGTAAGCATCAAAAGGCCTAGGGTAGCCCCAGCTCTGCCTGTTTGTTGCTTTGGGCTCCCACATAAATCATTTATCCTTTCTACATCTTGCTTTATTTGTCAGTAAATCTAAGACTCTAATCCCTACAAAAATAGGGTTTTTTAAAGTACAAATGAGATCATTCCTAAAAAGTGTTCTGTAAACTGAAAGGTGCTATGCACATAAGGTATGGGCTTCTCCAGAATTTTGCATTAAAGTGTGCACTAAAAGTGTAGCATTTAAAAAAAAATCCACCTCCACTCCTAGAGCTTTGCTTCTTTCTTAAGTGGATTAAAGTGCCTAAAAATAGCCACACTCCAATAGCTAATATGAGCCAAATTATTTATTGGACACTGACCATATCTTCAGCAGGCTAGATCAGTCCACCCATCCACCCTCACTGCACTTCTATTCAGCCTTCTTACTTCGGGTCAAAGACGAGAAAAGAAGGAAAACAGCGCACTGGAGGTTTAGAGCGAGCTGGAGCTTGCAAGGAAGTGGGAATATCAGCGTCCTTTCTGATATGCCACTATTTGGGGATATTCTTCCTTTCTCCTTATTTGTACTTTGCCATTTATAGCTGAGAGGCGTCCTGCAATTTCCATGAGGCATAAAGCCTTCAGTCCTCTCCAGTCCATCCTGCCAACCTTCCATTCATTCAGCAAAGGGTTATTGAGTGCCAGGCACTTTCCAGGGCACTGGGGTTATGGCAATAAACAAGACAGAGAAAGTCCCTGCTCATGCACCTCATATGCTAGTAAAGGAGGCTGGCATCAAATGTCACCCATGAGTAAGTGAGATGGTTTCAAATCATGACAAGTGCCAGTAAGACAATCGAATAGGTGACACAAGAGAAAATGATGGTGCTGGGGAACAGGAGGAGAGGTCTTTCAGATAAGACAGGGAATCCCTTGCTAACAAGAGGACATCTGAGCTGAGATTCAAATGACAGAAAGGAGCCAACTACGTGAAATGCATTATAAGCAGTGGGAATTCCAAGCGCAAAGGCCCTCAGACAGATGCAAGTGTGATCTATTTGAGGAATGAAAGGAAGCCAACTGGCCCCAAGATCAGATCAAGATGGGGAAAGTTGAAGAGACAAAGTCAGAGAGGTAGACAAAGGCAATGACTCCTTTCTCCATGGAAGGGAAGCGAAACCCAGAAAAGCTAAATGAGCAGCCCAAAGTCATACCACTAAGTATTGCTACAGCTGCTTTTAGAACCTAATTATTTTGCCCCCAAATCCAAAGTTTTTTTACACTGTATTCATCTGCTTGCCTCTAGTGAGAGGAATACTATTTGCAGATCTCACTGGTTTTAAAAAGATCTTAATACACATAAGCAGCAAGTAAATACCAATTTTAAGCAGAAAATCATCAACAAATGATGCTGATGATTTAAAGTGCACGTAAATTCTGCTATGAAAGCTAAGACTTAGAACCAATCTACTTGTGGTAGGTCCTACACAAACAGTAACGCTCTTCATAGAAGTCTCTGTTCCATGAATATGAAGGAAGGCCATAGCTCACCAGAGATGAACCATTTTATATTTGGGTCTTGTTTTTACCTACACCTCTTGACAATGCTTTGCTTAATCCACCCAAATGCTATCCAAACCAATCTATTCTCAAACCACCTTCATTTTTTGCTATTAAATTGTAGGGTAATAAGGCTGTAAGAAAAACATTATAATTACAACTGCCTTCCAGAACCCATGAGAGCACCTCCGCCTGAAGGGTCATGTCTGTTGATAGACATATCCTACAGTCCAAGTAATGTGAACTGTCTCTCCACTTTCCCCTAATACTGCTGGGCTCCCCTTCATCTTTTCCCTGCTAAACACATTTGGTCTGTGTAATCCAGAACCTCCAAAACAGAGACCCAAACTCTGTCCAGTAGTCACTGACTTGCCCATCAGACATGGAAATGAAAAGATTATTGTCTGAATAGGTTAGTAGAGAAAGGAACAAGTAGGGTAAGCTTGAGCCACTGTCTCCTCTTCTCCTTCCTCCTCTCTCTTCCTCTCTTTTATCCTCCTCCTATTCCATTCCCTTTTCCTCTTCATCCTCTCTCTTCTCCTTTTCCTCCTCGCAACAAGCTTCTCCACTTCCTGAGCTTTGGGAACCTTACCAGGCAAAAGCCAAAAGTCCCAATAAGAAACACAGACTTGAAGAGTGTTTAAGAGCCCAGATTCTAATCTTGTCCTACTAGCTGTGCAACCTTGGGCAAGTTACTCAAACTCTCTGTTCCTCAGTTAACTCATCTGTAAAATTAGGATAATACCTTTCTCCTAAAATGTTTGTGAAGATTAAATTAACACATGTAAAACATTAGAAGAGCACCTAGCACATAATTCTATACAGATAAGAGATATGCCACCTCACTCCTCACTCTCTTCCCTCCTCCATCCCCTGGCTAGAAAAAGACTACTGTCACCCCTACCTTTGGGAATAACTGTGCACAAAGTCAGAGCAACTCCACTGGAAGGCAGATTAGTGGTGTCATGATGGCAATCAAGTGCCAAATGGAACTATAACACTTATACCATCAGATAAGTATTGTGAAAATAATTGTATGAAACAATGTACATAAAGCACCTGGCATGCAATGGTTGCTCATTAAATGTTGTTATTTTTATTGAGGTTTTTTTCATTTTTAGCACCACTGGTTGTAACTGAAGGTGCTATTTGTATGCTTTTCTTCACTGTGTCAGGCTGTAAAATGTGTAAAATTTGTCTGTGTTCATCACTGTAACATGAATATATAGAATGATGATCACACAGAAATGTACCTTAAAACACAAAGCCAGCTTCACAAAATCAGTCTCACGGTACTCCCTCTGTTCCTTGAAGATCCTGACCCCAGCACTTAGACAGCTGCCCACCTAACACACCCCTTGGATGGCTTGGGGACATGTCCTACTCAACAAGTCCTAGATTGAACTCATGAGCTTTCCTTCAAGACTGGTCCTGCCCTGGCTGCCATCTCAGTCATTCCAATTCCTTCACTTCACTTCCACACATTATTCATGCAAAGCCTGTTGATTTCACGTCCTCTACAGCTCTCTACTCCGTCCGCTTCTCCATGCCCACAGCAACCACCCTGGCCCATGCTACCATTGTATCTGGTCCCCTACATCCACAAGAGCCACACAGCACTTGTTTTGAAACTTAGCTCAAATCATGTCACTCCTCGTCTTGAAACTCTTCATTGGCTTTAGATAAATACTATACTCTTCCAACCCCACAATGCTACCCCACCTCCAACAACACAGGGCTTGGAGGGGGGCGTCTCGCCTGTGGATCCCCCAGTCATATCTCAAAACACAAGCCCTCTTGCTCTCTGCTAGGGATAAATACATTTTTCAGGGATTTCCCAAAAGAAAGCCAAGGCATACTTCCGTATTTCCAGAGGTTTCAAATAGAGACAAAATGAAAGGTTTGTGCTGTATTTACAGTATAACAGCCTGGGTGTTTAAAAAAGGCAATACCTCTTCACTCACTCTGCCATAGCCATGGGAACCTCCTTTCAGTTCATCATATACACATACCTCTTCTGCCTCAGGCCCTTTGCACTTGCTGTTCCCTCTTCTGCAACAATTCCCCTCCTCCTTAGACAATTAACTCCTATACATCCTCCAGGCCTAAGTCCAAGTGTCATGTCCTCAGGGAAGCCTTCTCTGGTCCTTGTCAATCTCTTCTATCAGACACTTTCTTAAACCTCTGATGCTCTCCCTGGAGCATACATAAACTTTGAATTATGCATTCCTCCATGGAATTGATTTAGGTCTGTCTCCCTCACTGTAAACTCCAAGTCAGAGCTTTTATCTTTCCTGTTCTGACTGTATCTCCAGAGCTTAGGACAGTGTTTAGCATGTAATAGGTATTTAACAAATATGCTTTTCAGGGATTCTCCCCCCAAAAAAGCAAAGGCACACCTCCATATTTCCAGAGATTTCAAGTAGAGACAAAATAGAAGGTTTGGGCTGTATTTAAGATGTAACAGCCTCAGTGTTTTAAAAAGGCAGTATCTCTTCACTCACTCTTCAATAGCCAGTCAATTCCTAAGACATTTACTCAACAAATAAGATGGTTTCTTCTTTCCAGTCTGGAGAAAAAGAAGAAATGCGCTCATAAAGAACATTAAACACACACGCACCCCAAATAAACAAATTTCAATTCCAATACACACAGAGGCGTTGCCTAGCCTGACACAGTCGTCAGATGAGCTACAAGAAATGCTAAAGAGCATTCTTGTCACAACTGGACACGCGGTTCCAACTTGTTCTGCTCTCATACTGATCACTCCCTTGGAGCCTTAACATCTGTATGCTAATTACAGACACGGTGGCCGACGCTAGGCACACACAAATCCGTCTTAATCCCTCCCTTTTGCGTGGATGAAACCTGGTCCAACATTCGTAAAAGCATGCAAACCACACCATTGCTTGGGCGGGCACACTTCGTGCCCCTCCCCTATGCCTTGCCAGCCCCACCCTTCTCACAAACCACCCCTCCTCCTGCTTCTACTCTGACCTGAGCCTAACTAGCTGCTAGGTTTGGTAATAAGATTGAACGAAGACTCAGGAGGCCCTGTGGGCTCCATTATTCTGCATGCCCTGCGAGAACGGCCCACCCCTAGGGACGGCTGCTGCAACTCGAGCCCCACTTGCTGCCAGGAAACCTTTCCCACTGAGGACACCCGGGCATGCGGCGCAGCTCCAGGTCCAGGGGGAAGCACCCCACCCATCTGCCAGAGAGACAAAGATCACCAGAAACAAAGGACACACACACACACACACACACACACACACACTCGCACACTCAAAGTCAAAAGCAAATACCGACACTTGCAATTTCAAACCAAACAGTCGGCTTGGTCTATCTAAATAGATCTGGAGACAATCTAGGAGGGACAATGATTATGTGGTAATGACAGGCACTATCTGGGTTCGGAACCCACGCTGCCTCCGCCCTCCTCCCACCCGCGCTGCAGTTCCCAGGCGCATTTCCCAGCCTCAGGACACACGCTGCCAGAAGCAAGAGTGCTTCCACTCAAGGAAGCGCGCACACGCCGGAGACAGAGGCAGGGCGAGGGCAGCCAAAAGTAGGAAACACCCACCTTTAGGATCCCAGTTCACCTGTTTTCTTGGCGTCTCGATTGGAAATTTCATTGCTTCGTTGCCCAGAAGGGGAAGAAATGAAAAGAACCCAAATAATAATAAAGTCCTCAAGCTTTACACGCCTCGGTTTAGCAGTCCAACAAAACAATTTCCGAGGATGGGGGAGCCTTGGACTGGCTCGTGGAGGAACCCCAGAAAAAGACAGGTGGGAAAATATTAGCTTGGGGGAGAACTGGAGAGGGCTTGGGTGTTTGCACCGGCCAGGGGGTGGCCGGCCGCGGCCCCGTGGGTAAAAGAAAAAGTAAGATCGGCGAGGGGTGGATGAAAGGATGGAGAGGAAGGCTTGGGGAGATGGAAGAGCCAAGCTGCTTCCCAAAAGCGGTGCCGGCAGGTTAGGGGCTGCGCAGCCTGAAGGCTGGGGCTACGGAGAAGCCCACTGCAGTGTCACTCCAGCCCCCGAAGGCGTGTGCGCACACACTCCCGCACACACACACCCGCACACACACTCCCGGGCGCGCGCTTGGGCGGGCACGTCAGCCTCGCTCGGCCGCGCTGAGCGCACACGCCCCACCCCGGCCGCGGCTCCTCGCCCCCGGCGACGCCCCCCACTTCCCGCTCCCCGAAAGCCATTGGATGTAGGGGTGGCGCGGCGCCCGGGCAGCGCGCGGCGAGGGCGACCCTCCCCGCGGCGCGCCCCAGACGCCGCGCCCCGGCAAGAGGGAGCAGGGCGAGCAGCGGACCGAGGCTCCCAGCTGGGAAGGCGCGCTGAGCCCCCGGCACCCGGCTCGGGGCAGCGGGAGGCGGTCGCGGACTTGCCCGCGGGGCGGCGGGAGGCGGTGGGCGGTGGCGGGGAAGCCGCGGAGGGGCGGGGAACGAGCGGTGGGCGCGCCGCTACTTACTGGCTCGGCCGGCCGGCGGGCGGGCGTGGAGGCGGCAGCGGCGCGCTTGCTGGAGTTGCAGCCGGAGACACGCTTGGTTGCCTGGAAGGCGCTGCAGGAGGCGGAGGAAGGGCCGCTGCGGCTCCGCCGCAGACCTCGGCCTCCGGGTCACCTCTTCTCACCGCTCTCACCCTGAGCTCTCCCTCCTTCTCTTTTCTCACTTCATTTTTTTTCCTCCCGCGTCTGGCTCTCTCGCCTGAGTCCCGAACCCACGTCCCCGCCGCACTCCAAGGAGGCCCGTGCCAGCCATGAGCCTTTTGTTCTGGGACCGCTCCGCATCTGCTGCGCTCTCCCCGCCCGGGGAAGCTCGCTCCCAAGGCACAGCTTGGTCCCTTCCCCAGCTACCTGCAGCCGGACTGGGGCCGCTGGTCGTTGGCTGGAAAGGAGGCTTGAGAGAGGCACGGGGGCCCCCGGAGGAAAGCGGAGTTGCCAAGACCCGGCAGCTCCCGGAAGCGGCGGCCCCGGGATCCTGGGACCAGCAGGGCAGATGCGAAGGGACCCAGACCTGTTCCCGGAAAGGGGCTAAACCTGGAGCATTCGTCTAACGCCCTCTCACTGCCCCTGCTTGAAGCCCCACAGGGGTTTGTGGTGGGGCCTCAGTCTTCAGAAAAGCCAGGTGGTGCTGAGGTGCTCTTGAACGGGTCACTCCGAGTATCAACATGAATGATGCTGACAAATTGCTTCGGATGCCTCGCAACGGAGCCTTACACGTAGTAGGTGCTCAAGAAATACTTGCTAAATGAAGACATGAATTGCATGCTGCAGTGTTGGATAGGAAGTAGTTTAAACCCCTACTCTGGCTTCCAGATAAGGTTACTAAAATTTGTTGTTCATTCAACATATATATTGAACCCCTTCCAAGTGCCATCACTGTGCTATGTGCTGGCCATATGGCAGAGAACAAGACAGAGATCTTGCCTTCATGGGGCTTACTATCTAGTGCCATAAGGTCCTGTTAGATTGTTGTTGCCTTTACTTACGCATAGAAATTGCCCAGCTCATTCCTATGCCTGCCAGCTGGGGTCCTAAAATCCCACACTAGCAGCTGATCTCTAAGTTGCATGCTACTCTACGGCACCTTGAGGCTTCTGGGGAGCCCTATGTCAGCAGCATCTTTCTCACCATCCATCCGTCACTATCACATCAAGGTTTCTGAGTCCAAGAGCAAGACCTACAGAGGTCCGCTGTGGTCTGTGGGAAAGGTGAGTGCTTTGTCACTGGGCTGTCACAGGCACCCCAGGCTGGAGCCCTGAATTCTCTGCAAACCCCGTTCAGGCAAAACTGGTACCAATCTGATGGTGCTACTCTGACTCTTCAGCCCTTTAGGCAGGTTCCCGGGTGCTTCAGAACCATCTTCCCTGGACTCTGTAACCACACTTTGCCTCTCTCTACTAGGACTGGGAGGATGGCTAAGACATAGAAATCAAACAAACAAGGAATCTCTGCTTCTCCCAGCCATGCCCCGAGACACCAGTGTGTATGTAAATTCTGTTCTCAAGTCCAGAGGGAGATGCTTCTAAGAAAGGCTTTCGAACCTCCCTCTGCGCTCTTCTCTTTAACTGTTCACGGACAGCTGGACTCTAGCACAGTCACTGCAATACAATGTTTTTTACATGCATCAGAGTCAGAGAGGGGCTTCAGCAGAGAAAGACACCCTCTCCTGAGTCCTCAGAGCACGGGGAGGCAAGATTGACATTTACTGAATTCCCCCTCACCATCTCATATTTCCTCTCCATTCATCTTTGTTAGATCATTTTGCAGAAGCTGTAACTGGCCTCCTTTTACAGATGAGAAGATCAAGGCTCAGAGAGATAAAGAAACATTCCCAAGGTCACGATATGAGGATTCAAACCCAAGTTTGTTGACACAAAGGTCCATGCTCTCCATGCCAGAACCTTGTGAGCTCATCCAGTCCCGGGACCCATGAATCTGACCCTGAACCTGTCCCATGGGTTCGTTTGGGTAATGAAGGTCTAAATACGATATTTTCCAAGCCTCCAGGCCCTCCTCCTTTGCAAAATGAACTGACCTATGGTTGTGTTCTGGGGTCTGCATTGGGGAATTAGTTCACTGTCCAAGGCAAATTCCTGTGGCAGGAACTGCACCCTTAGGATGCAACATCATTCGGCCAATCAACAAACATTTATTGAGCATCACTTGTGTACAAGACAGGTTGCAGGTCCCCATTAAAAGTTATTTGGGGCCCTGAGTAGTGATGACCTTCCCCAGAATGGCAACAGCAGGATGGTTATAAGGGGAGGGTTGGGGATGGGGAGGTGGGGGTAGACTCTATTAGGGCAGGGAGCAGGATCAGTGTCTAGTGCTCCTGGTCTGCCTTGAAGACTTGCACTAGTCATTGGCCCTTGGGATGATCTCTCTGCTTAATCACTGGATGCCGCCCCCTCCTTTCTTTTCCCCACCTCCAACCTCTGGAGCTTTCTCTCACCTCCACTTTCATTCTCCTTTCTCAGAATGTAGACAAAAGCAAGTTACCCGCCCCCCCCCAAAAAAAAATCCACCAAAATTAGGTAAATAAATCCCAGTACCGTTTCCCAAAACGTGTCTGAAATCAAACACAACTCCTCCTCAACTGCGTATTTGGAGTGGACTGCATGGAGTGGGGATGGAGGGAGACCTCCCTCCCAAGAAAACTTAGCCCTTTGGGCTACTGCAATCCCCCTCCATCCCCTTCGGTTCTACCCTTTGGTTATTTACAAGCTGGACTTCACTTACCCAAGGAAAGAAAGAAGTCTGTGTAGAGAAAAAACATCCAAGAAAGATGCCGCTCCAAGCGGTTCTGTCTCCCTCTGTGCCGCCGCAACTTCCATGGCTATTGCTTCAGGCGGGTTAAGTCTGGTGGAAAGAGACTGCCTAGCGTTCCTGCGGCAGGAAAACAAAACATCGTGGCGCAAAGTCTCCCTGCACTCGCCGGCCCCCAGCAGGAGACCCGGGCTGGCGGCCACTGCGTCCTGGGTGCACTCGGTGGCAAAGCGCTGCTACCGGGCACGGGTCTCTGCAGCTCAAAACCTGCCCGGCTGGAGCGCACCAATAGTTGCCCCACCACTTTAATGAATGCCGTGTGGCCCGGCATGGGAAGGCTGGGAAAGCCCGAAAACCCCAGTCATCTCTGGCAACGAAGTTTCCCCGAGTTGGCTGGCTCCCTTACCCCCTCCCCACGCTCCAGCCCGGGGTAGCTGTGAGACCGGAGGAGACGATGCCTGCCGCGTGGGGAGTCTCAGGGTGGCTGGCAATGAACAGCTCAGCCAGAGAAGAGTCGAACACGGATTCCGGGGCGAGTCAGGAGAATTTCCTGGGACAGCGAATGGCAGGGAGTGATGAAGCAGCTTGGGGAATCCTCTTTAGTGCCAGTTCTGCAAACAGAAGAGGGAGGAGATGGGCTGATTAGAATCTACTTTGAATTCACAAATATTAGACTAAATTCATTAATCTGCCTTGGATTGTTTCCCTTTGGTTTCATCCTTCTTCCCTGAAGTCCAGAAGAAATCCCAGTCTTCCATCTTTTCCCCACCCCCAAGACACCTCCAAGTCCTCTTCCCAAAAGAACTGCAGTCAGGTTTCCATGTCATTTTGTGAAAATACCCCCCGCCACACACACACCCTCCTTTACCACACACACATACACACAGACACGCAAGCATCCCCTTCATATACCCACTCAGTGGTAGTAAAATTGATAGCGTTATACATTAACGTGAACTTAAACGTGCCCCACCAAAAATTTTCTTCCCCCTACCCCCACCTCGTGAAGTTTCCACATTGGTCTCAGCGTTTAAGCATGCCTACATTTGTTTTCTAGTCCCAACTGACATCTGCAAAAACACACCCTTAAATATATGTTGCTCTAATCCTGGGCTCTGCTTTTGGCTTGGAAGAACTAGAGACACATCAGAAGTGAAAGGACAGAGGGTGTCATATGTCATACACCTGGAAGCGTGAAGCTAGGCTGCTCCATAATGAACTCTGTGTGTGTAAGTCCTGCAGATTTATTTTGATGACTCAAACCTCTAATTGGGGATTAATGAGGATAATATACTATAAACTCCAAAGAAGTTGTAATTAAAGTGTCAGGCTGATGGACATGATTCATAACCAGGAACTGCATCCTCTTTCCCTATAAGTTTCTCTATTTAAAATCTTAACCCTTAGGACAATATTTTTATGCTCCTATAAAGCATTGTGCCAAACATCTTACCAAAAATGTACAGAGCTATAGTCCTTCTTCTTATAGAACAAGTTTTAGAGTTTTTCTCTCTCTGTATTACTTCCAAACCATAATCCCAGGTAATTTTTTAAAGAGATGGAGCTAGAATATTTTTGCTTTTCCCCTCCACTATTTACTTTGAAAATTTTCAAACACACAGAAAAGTTACAGTTGTTTGGTAAAAACCAGTGCCACAGTTTGAATGTGTTTCTCTAAAACTCATGTAAAACTTACTCTCCAATGTAATTGTCTTAAGAGGTGAGGCCTTTAGGAGATGATTAGGTCATAAGGACTCCCCTCCCACTTATGAATTGGTGCCTTTTAAAAAAGGGCTTGCGGGAATGAGCTTGTCTCTTATTGCCCTTCTGTCATGTGAGGACACAGCAAGGAGATGCTATCTCGGAAGCAGAGAACAAGCCTTGGTTTTGGACTTCCCAACCTCCAGAACTATGAGAAGTAAATTTCCATTATTTATAAACTAACCAGCAAAAACGGACTAAGACAAGCAGGATCCAATCAAAGATTGCATTTGCTTGTTCTGTTTAGTGTGTTTTATTCTAGAAAAGCGTCTTCATATTTTTCTAATGCCATTGATTTTTTTTTTCACAGAATCCAAGCTCATTTGCTTTCTGATGTGTTTAATGGCCTGACGTAGCTAAAGATAAGTTGAGTCAAAGGGGGAAAATTATTTCCTGGTCATAGTAGATCATTAAAATAAGTTAACATTTTCTATAAACTTGGCATCTGTGCCAGTATCCATAGAATGGAAGACAGTTGTAGCTCCACTCACTCTCCTCCTTAGTCTTTGCTTTATTCAAAGAAGTTATCTTTGTTTTTTATCCAAAAGGTCTTGTTTCAGGAATGGATGAGTGTTTTCACACATATACACCAAGTTGACAGGCACATATGGTATTTTACTGAATTTAAAAATAAGAACTCAGCAAGGTCACACACCATAATGAATGAGCTCTGATTTTCATGTCGTTCTAGGAAGGTTTTAATTTGAACCAAACTTAAAGACGTGTAGAAAGCATGTGTGCTTTCAATAACCTATTGATTTATGAGCAAGTCTTATTCTCAGGGTCTTTCAACTTGGCAGAGTTGAAAATTCTTTAGAGGGACCTACTGTCTGGGCATATGGACAGATGCTTCTCCCAGAGAGCCTATGAAAGGCTTGGAATAGCCTGGAGAGTAGAAAAAATTGTGTTCAGTAGGAAGTGAGACACAGTCTCACATTGCTTCTCAGCCTTTTAGCGAAGATCAAGTGTGAGACAGAGTCTCCACCTCCTATGGGAATGTGTGAAATAAATTCATTTCATTTTTGCTGCTCTTAAAGCTAATATTTGTTTGCTTGAATATCATTGGAACAAATGTAATATAAGAACTTTCCTCTTCTACAATTAAGTCAGCTAAATGTTTGCTGAATCATGAAACCAGATTTCAAAGAGGTCATTTCAAGATTACTGGTTCAGTCTTCTACTTCTAAATAAGAGTCCAATATATATGACTATTCAAGGTTTCTAAATATATTTAGTGAAAGATTCCAAACCCTTTGTTGATGGGCTTTTCCAAAATTTAAGAAACTTCGGTGGAGTAAAAATATTCTCTTATTTCCAGTCTAAATCTCTTTCTTCTTTAAATTTTTCAGTACTTAAGTGAAGATGAGGAGAAACCAGTCTTTTTCTGTAACTGTTATGTATTGGAGATTAAATTGTTCAATGTCCTCTTCTTCATATCAAATAACCCTTTTTTACCCCTTTACTGACATGTATAGGCTAATATGGCCAACTCATACTTTTCTTAAAAGCATTCTTTTTCACTACAAGTTTCAGAAAAAAAAATCAAAGTCTTTCTAAGCCTTACCGAGTTTCTGCATCTATAAAATAGGGGTTCATAATAAGAACAAGTATTTGGCCAGCTTATGCACATTTTAGCCCACCGTTCTTTTCAGTAGGGAGCACTGCAAAACCAACCAAGTGAATCATGCCAAGCTTTATTCAGTTTCCTCACCTGTAAAATGGAGCACTAAATATCTGGCTAGTTCTGCCTACAGGGTTGCTGTAAGGAGGCAATAGATGTGGAAGTGCTTTGTAAACTGTGTAGGAATTCACATATTAAAGGAATCATCTTTAGGATTACTTGTTCCATAAGATTCTTCTTACTATCCACCGGGCACATAGCAACCACTTTTTAAGATTATCCCATTTATTTCTCATAACAATCCTAGAAGATGGGCAATATTATTGTGATTTAATTTAAAATAATACCTGACATGTATTGGGCATATAAATATTTGTTGAGGAGAACACTGGAGCTTAGAGAGGTTACTGCTTATCCAAATAAGCAAGGCTAGTTAGAGATGGAAGTAGAAATCAAACCCGAGCTATCTGACTGAAGTTGGGGACCCACTAATCTCTAAGTCAAATTACCATTCCCAATGCCAAGATGATTACACAAAGTTTTGATCTCTGGCAATTGCAGCTGAAACACTCTTGACCCTTTTTCCTTTTCATTGTTACCTCCCCAACTCTGGGGTACTATTCCCTTGTATTATTCTCTCTATCAAAGTGTGTTGTCTGTGTTCTTTGAGAGAACTGATGCTCAAAGACAATGTTATTCCTATCCCAGAGGTATTTGCATTTTTAACACCAGGTGAACATTTAAGCCAAAGTATAGAAAAATAAATCTTAGACCATCAGACATTATGAAACAAATAAAAGAAGTATGGGGAAGAGGTGAGTAGAGAGGGAGGTGAGAAAACCTTTGTTATGTCCCTGAAATCATGGCAAATATGTGACCATCCTGAAGTATTTACCCAGATATGCAGTCTTCTTGGAATTACTTCAACTTTTATCCAGTGTAATATAAGACCACATTATGTTGCTCAACCTACTCTACTCTTTCAGTGGTCAATTAATAATGCTGAGGTACGGAAAGAGGATCTATTTCCAGTTTATATAATGCCTCTATATTTAGATTCCAATACTATGTTTTTATTTAGGTTTTTTTTTTTTTTAGATGGAGTCTTGCCTCTGTCACCCAGGCTGGAGTGCAGTGGTGCAATCTCAGCTCACTGCAACTTCCGTCTCCTGGGCTCAAGCGATTCTCCTGCCTCAGCCTCCCCAGTAGCTGGAACTACAGGTGCCCACCACCACGCCTGGCTAATTTTTGTACTTTTTAGTATGGACGGGGTTTCACCATGTTGGCCAGGCTGGTCTCGAACTCCTGACCTCAAATGATCCACCTGCCTCGGCCTCCCAACGTGCTAAGATTACAGGTGTGAGCCACCGTACCTGGCCCCAGTACTATATTTTTAATAGTCATCTAATGTTACTGATACACATTGAAATGCTGATCCTCTTGGACCTGCAAAGAATTTCATCAGGAATCAAAGTTCAGTTGACAACTGTAATTTCTAAGAATCTTATGGTATCTTTTATGAAAAACTATTCTTTTTCATTTTTTTCCAAATTTGCGTCCTTGTTTTTCAAGAAGAATTTCAAAAGAGTGATGTCTTCATGTTCCAAAGCGTTGTAAGTGACTATAATCTTCAGGTAGAAAGAATGCAACATTTTTAGAAAACCTTTATCAATTATTGCCTCACTATATAATGCACCGTAGTAAAATCTCAACTAATCAGAACTCACTCAATTAAAACTACCTCCAGCAATGTTGTAGAAGAGAAAGTCAAACACTGCCAGCCTAGATGGCCACTGCTAGCCTAGATGGCAGATAGAGAAAGGCACTCCCCTCTGGTGGGAAACAACGCACTATGGCACTGTCTTAACTTGAGACAGTATCTTTGTTCTTTGTTCACCTCAGAAGACATCCCTTGGGGACAAGGGGTGGGGTATGAGACAGGAAGGATGTGCCAATACCAGGAAGCACAGCAGTATGTCCAGAATTTGAACTGGCTCTCAGTCCCACTCACCACCTCAGCCTAGTGCCTGTATACAATGTGCAAACTGAACAATTGTACGCTCTGGCCCTCTATATAAGATACACAGATGGATACAATAAGCAAGAATATATGATGAATTCCAATCATTCAAGGTCAATTTTTGGAAAGAGAATATTTAAGTACTTTATGTCATACATGAATTCAAATTAAGTTTAGATTAGTTTTGAGGGAGAAAATATATCATTGTGTTTGTCGTTTCTGGATATTTTCAGCTTCTCTTGTTTTCCTAAGTGCTATTTTTCTCCATTGGAAAGAAATCAAAACATTATGGCTATGCAATATCATAACCATGTTCTTCCTTTAAATCATAACAGTAAGCTTGAACTTGATATTACAGGGATGCCCCCATTGCTATTGAGCCATGAATGAGGAAAATAATAAATTTAATTCTAAAATATTGGGAGTGGGGAATCTACACTCTGCCTCTGACCAGCTGGGTAACTTGTTATTTTATTAAAGAAGCTGCTGAGACCAAGTAAAGCTCATACTTTAGTGATGGTTTGCTTTGCTTTACTCTACTCCTAGGAGATAGAATAATCTATTATTTTCTGTCTTTGGTGCCAGGACTTTTATTTGTAACATGTGCACATTGGACTTGGTATATTTTTTTCTGGCATATAGAATTTGTTTCTTAGAGACAGGGCCTCACTATGATGTCCAGGCTGGAGTGCAGTGGCTATTCACAGGCACAATCATAGCACACTACTCCTCCATAGCCTCAAACTCCTGAACTCAAGTGATCCTCTAGCCTCAGCTTCCTGAGTAGCTGAGACTATGAATATGTGCCACCATGCCCAGCCCTGGTATATAAACTTTATAAGCTGACATCAAAGACTCATCCATTCAATTTTAGATTCAAGAAAGAATAAATAACCTGGAGTTAGTGCATGTATCCATTCTTTTGTCCTTTATCCATAGAAAGCTAGAGAACCTTACAATGTTTTCCATATTCGCAGTGACCCTAAGTCCATCAAACAGAAATTCAGTTGCTTTAGAAATTCTGAGCTTCCAGTGAGAAAACTGAGTCATAAATATAATCATTAGTAGGGACCATGGAGATCATGTAGTGGGAGCTTTGCAAAATTTCTTAGTGGCAAGAAGCAGATTCCTAGGTCCAAGTGCTTCCTCTGAGATCCTGTTTCAGTGGGTCTAAGGTGGGGTCTGGAGATTCATTTATGCAACAAGAGCCCCAGAGCCCCAGGTGACTTATTTTTTGAGACACAGTCTCACTCTCTCACTCAGACTGTAGTACGGTGTTGGGTTCATAGCCCACTGCAAACTCAAACTCCTAGGCTCAAGCAATCCTCCCATGTCAGCCTCCAAAAGTGTTGGGATTACAGGCATGAACCACCAAACCTGGCCACCAGGTGATTCTTCCATGCAAAGTCTGGTTACTTCTAATGTACTAGAGCCCTTTGTTTTACAGATAACAGTGAGGCCCTGAGAAGTAAGGTGACTTCCCTGAGGCCAAACAGCTGGTCTGTGATAGAATTGGGACTGGAACAGAAATATTCTGACTGGCTTCAAGTCTTCATAAAATGGACTAATGTATTTAAGAAACATTTGCAAGCATGATGGGAGTTAGGAGTTGTGAAAAAAGCAAAGTTACACAATCAGAAATTTCAGTTATCCGAAACTCCTCATTTCAGATGCATTTGGGTTAATCAAGCATTTATAACGCCTCTGTCCCTTATTTGTTGGACTATTGAAGTCTTTTCTCCACGTTTTCTCTGATTTGCCCCAAAATCCCAAAAGCCATGTGATTTACTGGGTTCCCCTTAGTAACTTTGGGCCTATTAACACCTCCATCCTTCTCATACCTCTTGGCCAATGCTCTTCCCCCTCCTTAAAATTCATATAAAGCCAGACATATCTCTCTTGACTCATGTTACACAGCTCCTTTCTATACCGTTTCCTTCGTCATCCATTCATTTAGGTGCTCTATTTCTCAAGCCCTTCGTGTTTAACTTTTTTTTTTTTTAAAGACTAAGTCTCGCTCTTTCGCCCAGGCTGGAGTGTAGTGATGCTCTCGCCACTCACTGCAACCTCTGCCTCCAGGGCTCAGGCAATTCTCGCCTCAGCCTCCCAAGTAGCTGGGATTACAGGCAAGTGCCTGGCTAATTTTTGTGTTTTTAGTAGAGATGGGCTTCACCATGTTGCCCAGCCTGCTCTTGAACCCCTGGGCTCAAGTGATCCACCCACCTCGGCCTCCCAAAATGCTGGGATTACAGGCATGAGCCACCGTGCCCAGCCCCTTTGTGTTTAACTGTGGTGCATGCTTGTTTATATGAATGTTAAGTTTTTCACATATGAGATAGCTGTCCTAGAGTGGGAAGACCACTCTAATAGAAATTGAAACTACTAATTTCTAGTCTCAGCTCTGCCACTGGTAAGCGGTCTGAACTTGAGTAAGCCACTTTGCCCGTCTGAGCTTTTGTTGTTCAAGGAAAGGGTTAAACGCTGATTTTCTGAGTCTGTCTGACTGTCTGACTCTGTGTCTGTCCCATTTCTTTAAGGAAGAAACTATCTTTCCTGATTTATCTTCTTTTCACTGAGCCTATTTCGTAAAGTTACTTAGTGTGCTCTCTCGATAAATGCTGACACTTCCTTCTTGGTCTAGTTTGGCTTCCCTTCTCCACCTGCTCCCCTCACAGATGGTGCACGAGCCACATATCTGGTCACCATTGAACTTTGATTTTGGTAAAGACTAGATTTTTAAAGCAATATTCACCGTGTGTCTTTCCAGTGTCACCCTTCCCTCCCATGAAATGGCACACCGTGTTCCTTGGCCCTCCACATTTGCCATTAAAACAAAACATTGTTTTCACATGTCCCTTCTATTTAACAGGTTATTTTTTTATTTTTGGTACTCCTGCACTTGCATTTATTGAATCATAATATTTAATTTTATTTCTGATGTCCTGGACCTCTTTCTTTAGAATTTCTATTTACAGTGAGCTTTCTGTTTAGCTGTGATTTAGGTCACATTGGTTTATGTTTTTGAGTTTTTTAAGAAAATATTTGGTCTCACAATCACAACCATTATTACATTTTTTGTTTTGATTAAGTTTTTTTAGAAAAATAGCTCTTAAAAATATGACACTATATCACACATAAAATTGCTCTATTCAGTCAGTTGATCCATATTCAAGTGGACTGACATCCTTCCTTCCTCCGTCCCTCCCTCTCTCTCTCTCTTTTTCTTTCCTTCCTTCCTTCCTTCCTTCTTTCCTTCCTTCTTTCTTTCTTTTTGATATGGAGTCTCGCTCTGTCACCCAGGCTGGAGTGCAGTGGTGCAATCTCATCTCACTGCAACCTTCAAGTGGATTAACTTTAGATACACATGAATGATAATAGAGTATAAGAAATATGAAGTGATAGAATGTGTCTGTTCAATGAGCAAACACTCTGAGTTCAAAATAATACACAAAATTGTAAACCAAGAAAATGTGGGATTTCAGGACCTTGGACAGTTAGAAGTACTCTGGCTGTATTCCCTGGTATTGCCTCACAAGCAAGTTTGTGATACATTTTTACATCTGCAGTACTATATCCGACATGGTGCCCTGAAATATCCTGCTGTTATTTTTTTTTTTCAGATGAAGCAAAATAAAATTGCCTGTTCAAAAATAATGTGGAAAATGAAGGTTTTCCTACACATTTATCTGACCTTCTTTCTAAAATAAATGTAACGGGAAAATGTATTGCTGACTATGCTAATATATCAAGTTACGTGAACTCCATGCTGAAACTTAAAGATGATCAAAACCCCAGACAATGGCAAGTGCAAATTGCTGGGCGCCATTCTGAAACTTAGATTTTAAATCTATAATTTCTTGTTTTACCACGTGTATTTTCAGAAAATGCAAACAATAACTTTGAAAACTGATCATGGAGGGTTTTCTGTGATTTATATTTTACGAGAAGAAAATCGAGGCTTCCCTAATAAGGTCTATAAAGCCCAGGCTGTATGCTCAGATCCAGGAGAGCAAACAGCTTCGAGGCATTGATGCAACTGTGCTCTCAGGCATGGTGGCGGGGCTACTGCAATTTGGCACTAAGTGGCTTTCACAAATGCTTTTTTAGCTAGTTTGCTATTTCTTTTTAAAATATAACCAAATACTTCATTACACAGTTATAAAGAACTATAGGTGAGAAATACCAGGAAAAAAAGTTCAATGTCATAACCATCCAAGAAATGCAAATTGAACAATAGGATGCTGTTTTTCATCTCTCAGATTGGCTGAGATTTAAAAAGATGTCCAGGGATGTGGGGAAATGGGCACTTTCATGCTCTGCTGGCGGGAATGCAGATTGGCACAAGTCCTGGGGCGGGTGATTAGGAAATATGGATCAAAAGCCTTAAGAAAATGATGAAATGGTATATGTAATAACATGAAAAAACAGTCTCAGTTCATTGCTAAGTGGAAAAAAACAAGTTATAATCTGGCGCAGTGGCTCATGCCTGTAATCCCAGCATTTTTGGAGGCCAAGGCAGGTGGATCACTTGATGTCAGGAGTTTGAAGCCAGCCTGGCCAACATGGTGAAAACTGGTCTGTACCAAAAATATGAAAATTAGCCATTAGCCAGACATGGTGGCTAATCCTAGCTACTCAGGAGGCTAAAGCATGAGAATCACATGAACCTTGGAGGCAAAGGTTACAGTGAGCCAAGATCATGCCACTGCACTCCAGGCTCGGTGACAGAGCGAGACTCCATCTCAAAAAAAACAAACAAGTTACCAAGTTATACAATCATACGTTTGTAATATTTAAGCACACATTCTGAACAGATATATATGAAAATATCATTATCTCAGAGAGTGGAAGAGGGATGAGTATTTATATTTTATTTACATGTTTTCTAATGTATCTGTATCCAACATAAATTACTGTTTCGATCATGAATTATTATTTCATTTAAAAAATGACAATTTGCTTAATTATCAATAGAATTCTCATAGTAAATACTGTCTGGTGTCTCCTTTTCCCAGGTCTACGTTTACTGGAGTTGGCTTTGGTGTGTTTAAGACACTGAGGAGAAGCCAGTGGGGCTGGGCAGTTGTGGGTAAGAAAGGGAATAGCCCTAGATAAGTGTAGACAAAGTTGGAGGATAAATTATTTATTCTCACCTTTGAAGCCATGGTAGTGTTTGGATTTTATTCTAGAAGCAATGGACTACCATTTCAGGTACAGAGCAAGGAAGAGATGGTGATTAGATTATAAATTTTCGTTTTGTTTTTAATTAATTATTCTGCTTGGCTCTGTGCAGAGAATGGAAGGGAGAGAGGTGAGATTAGAAGCCAGGAAGATCAGTAGGACCATCATAGAATATAGTAGATGAGATTAAAGCACTGAGAGTATAGATGGAAAGAAGTTAGAAAGATTTCATTTACCTTTTTTTTAGTGAAAATGACAGGACTTGCTTGTGCGACAAGGTAGGAAAAAAATCAAGGATATCTCACACATTTGTACCAGAAATAACTCTGACAGTTACTCCTTATTGTGAAATTGAGAAAGATAAACTGTGCTTTTTAGTTATTAGTTTTCAAATCTTTCTACTGAAATACACCATTATGGTGGGTTGGATGGTGGCCTCCCAAAAAATATGTCCGCATGTTGGGAAAAGTTTTGCAGGTGTGATTGAGTTAAGAATTCTGAGATGAGGAGATCATCCTAGACTATATGATGGGCCCTAAATCCAAGGACAAATATCCTTATAAGAGAGGCAAGAGGAGACTACATAGACAGAAGAGGAGGCAGCAATGTGACCATAGAGGCGGAGACTGGAGTGATATGGCCACAAATCAAGCAATGCCAATGGCCACCAGAAGCTGGAAGAGGCCCAAAATGGATCCTCCCCTAGAGCCACAGGAGAGAGCACACCTCTGCTGGATTTCAGACCTCTGTCATCCAGAACTCTGAGAGAGTCCATTTCTGTCATTTTAAGCCACCAATTTGTGGTAATTTGTTAAGGCAGCTACAGGAAACTAATACAGTTATTGATATGGTTCGGCTCTGTGTCCCCACCCAAATCTCACGTCAAATTTTAATTCCCAATGTTGGAGTAGGGGCCTAGTGGGAGGTGACTGGATCATGGAGGCAGATTTCTCCCTTGCTGTTCTCATGAAAGTGAGTGAGTTCTCATGAGATCTGGTTGTTTAAAAGTGTATAGCACTATCCTCTTCTCTCTCTTCCTCCTTCTCTGGCCATGTAGGATGTACCTGCTTCCCCTCGCCTTCTGCCATGATGGTAAGTTTCCCTAGGCCTTTCCAGCCATGCTTCCAGTACAGCCTGCAGAACTGTGTGTCAATTAAATCTCTTTTCTTTATAAACTACCCATTCTCAGGTAGTTCTGTGTAGCAACAGACTAATACAGTCATTGATACAAAAACCTGCACAAATCTTAAGTATGGAATTTAATAAATTATCACAAAGTGTTTATTACTTTTTCCCATTAAAAAAATTAATTAGGCAGATTTTCAAACATACACAAAAACAGAGAGTAATATAATGAATAAGGTAATATTCACTATAAGTAACATAATGAATCCTCATGTGCCCAAAACCCATTTTCTTTTTTTTATTATTATTATACTTTAAGTTCTGGGATACATGTGCAGAACATGAAGGTTTGTTGCATAGGAATACATGTGCCATGGCGCCAAAATCCATTTTCAACAATTGTCAACACATGAGCAATCTAGTTTCATGTACACTCCCACTCACCACCCTGCCACTGGATTATTTTGAAGCAAATCCCAGACATCATATTGTTCCATCTATAAATACTTCAAATACATCTCTAAAAACAATGTTTTCTGCTGGGCAGGGTGGCTCATGCCGGTAATCCTAGCACTTTGGGAGGTCAAGGCAGGCAGGTTGCTTGAGGTCAGGAGTTCAAGACCATCCTGGCCAACATGGTGAAACCCTGTCTCTACTAAAAATACAAAAAAATTAGCTGAGCATGGTGGCAGGCACCTGTAATCCCAGCTACTGGGGAGGCTAAGGCAGGAGAATCACTTGAACCCAGGAGGCAGAGGTTGCAGTGAGCCAAGATCACGCCACTGCACTCCAGCCTGGGCGACGGAGCAAGACTCCATCTCAAAAAAAAAAAAAAAAAAGTTTCCTTTTTTAACATAACCAAAATATGATACATCACCTAAAAAATTAACAAAATATTTTAATAATATCAGATATCCAATCAGTATTCAAATTTCCCCCAATTGTCTGATATTTGGTTTCTTTATTGAGTTAGTTTGTTTGCAACAGGATTCAAACCAGGTCTATACACTGCATCTGGTAACATATCTCTTGTTCTATGAATTTCTTCTTTTCTTCTTCCCTCTAAATTATTTGTTGAAGAAACCAGGTCAGGTTGTTTGCGTTGTAAAATTTCCCAGATTTTAATTTATCTCTGAGTATCTTTAGTATATTCCTATCTTCCCTGCATTTCCTGTAAATGAGAAATTAGATCTACAGCGTATTCAGGTTCAATATATTTGGAAAGAATGCTTCATAGGTGGGGTTTTGTACTTTACATCTTATCACCATAATGCCTGGGTGTCTTTTCATGTGACACTAAGATTGGCTAATGGTTTCATTTGTTGTCAGCCTGATCTACCCACTACAAAGTTCCACATTTGCTTTTCCCCTAATTGTTTTACAACTATTTGTGATCATTGCCTTGAGCCATTTTTGGGGGTTGCAAAATGATAACATTTTATTTCTACTTTTTCTGCCTTTATTAGCTGGAATTATTGTATAATGAACTCTCCTTTATACACTATTCAATTACCTTGAGGTATAGCCCATCCACAAAAAATAATGATAAATGTTCAGTTCTTTCCCTTTATGTACCAGTTGTCAGAATAAGTAGTTGGTTCCCTAGCATCCTCCAAAGGTGATTAACAGGATTTGTTTTGTTTTACATCATTAGGAAATAATGAATTTTACTTTGATTATTATTTCATTTCTTATTTTTTGAGTTCTGCCCAGAAGACACAGTGTACTATTTCCTTGGCTGTGTCTCCTAGGAGTCTATGTCAGCCAGTGTCTAGCAACCTATTCACTTTTAGAACTATACATGGATCATTGGCCCCAGCCCCTGTTAAAAGAGAGGAGGAGACGGAGGGTCAGAGTGGCCTGATAATTTGACGAAATCACTCCTGTCGTTAGTAGCAGGATCCAGGTAAGAGCCCAGATCCATGCTTTTCAACTGCAACCTAACTAAGATGCTAAGCTATTTAGATTGCTAAATATTTTGCTTCCAGATGCAGAGTAGCCACAATAATTGCAGTAATAAATATATTCATCTGGTAGTTAAAAAAGTAATATTTGAACATCTTGTGGTGTATGTACTACTTCTTATTGTGGTTTGGCCAAAAGAACTGTAAATAACAATTCGTGCACCAATAAAGTAATCTGAGTCAATTGTTAAATCAAAGGATTTGAGTTCGGTTAGGGAAAAAACACTTTGGCACTGAAAAGAATCTGTTTTGCTTACATTTTAAAGCAGAACATGAAATAGCCAGACTAAAAGAAAGGTTTTCATGGCTAGTTCTACTCAGCTTCTATTTCTATTTTAATTGTATTTAAAATTAAATATTCATTTGAAAGTAATATTTAAATTTTAATTTTAAAATAAATTTAAATTATTTTGATTAAATTTAATTAAGTTTAAAATTTTTATTTTTAAATTTAAATTATTTTAATGTAATTACATTTAAATGGTTTTAATTTTATTAAATTTAAATATTTTAAATTTTAAAATAAGTAGTAATTTAAATTTTAATAATAATTTTTCAATATTACATACAATGTAATATACACATCTGAATTCCCATATTCATGGCTCTTTATTACAGGGATTCAGATAGGATGTAGTTCAAACTATATGCCCCTCCTTCCTGAAATACAGTCAATGATGGTGAAGTGTAATGTAATACTCCTGGGGTTGTAAGAGAATCATTAGCTCTTTTTCCTAGAGCAAGATTTACAAAGTACTTTCAACATCAATTATTAGGCATCTGTTACAGTATTTAAGAACTAAGCCTGGAGTCTTTTCACATGCAAAACTGTATTTGAAGTCAACATATGTCCTCTAATTAACATGTTATATTTTACTATATATGATATGCATGCCAGTGGAGTTGAAGGAACTAGAAAATTTTTATCTGGAGATGATCAATAATAACAGTTTTTTCAATTTTATTCACTACTAAATGGATAAGGGAGTGTATGTCTTCTTCATAACTCCATGCAAAAACCAATGTGTGTGAAATACAGTAAAATGTTGAACAACATGGGTTTAAACTGCAAGAATCCACTTATACACAGATTTTCTTCCACCTCTGCCATTCCTGAGATAGCAAGACCAACACTTCCTCTTCCTCCTCCTCCTCAGCCTATTCAACATGAAGACGACAGGGATGAAAACATTTATGATGATCCATGTCCCCTTAATAAATTGTAAATATATTGTCTCTACCTTATGATTTTCTTAACAACTTTTTCTTTTCTCTAGCTTAGTTTATTGTAAGACTGTAGTATAAAATAAATATACAAATATGTATTAATCAACTGTTCATGTTATTGGTAAGGCTTTCAGTCAACAGTAGGCTATTAGTAGTTAAGTTTTGGGGGAGTCAAAAGTTAAACACAGATTACTGACTGCGCAGGGAGTCGGTACCCCTAACCCCTGCAGTGTTCAATGCAAGGTCAACTGTACACTGACACACACACACACACACACACACACACACACACACACACACATATATATATATTTAATTGAGACGGAGTCTCACTTTGTTTCCCAGGCTAGAGTGCAGTGGCGCATCTTAGCTCACTGCAACCTCTGCCTCCCTGGTTCAAGCAATTCTCCTGCCTCAGCCTCCTAAGTATCTGGGATTACAGGTGCGTGCCACCACACCCAGTTAATTTTTGTATTTTTAGTAGAGATGAGGTCTCACCATGTTGGCCAGGCTGGTCTCAAACTCCTGACCTCAAGTGATCTGCCCACTTCAGCTTCCCAAAGTGCTGGGATTACGGGTGTGAGCCACAGTGCCCAGCCCACTGACATATATTTTGAGTCAGCAATGACACAGGAAAGAGAGCTGGGATCACTTCTTCCTCATTATTTTCCCCATGCATCCAGGTAGAAACGAGGAATATACATGCACCTTTGCATTTCCAAATCTATTTATTTTTATTTATATTTTTTACTTTTTTCTTCTATAACCAATCATCTAACCTATTTTTGTTTCTAGAAACTCCAATTCTTTAAAAACAATATTGGTATAAAATCTCTTCCCTTCCCCTCTCCACCCATGCATTCTTCAGTCCTTTAGCAGTCATGCTTTTCTCATGGCCTATGTGTACCTCTCTCTTTCTTCTCTTTGTTTTATTCCCTTGTATGGTTCAAAATTCCTGGAAGAAGATAAGCAGGAGCCATCTGTGTCCCACAATTAGGAGGGGGACTCCTGTGATAAAGCATTGGTTCCCAAATCTTGGAGTTTGTTTAAAAATACAGACTATACTCATCATCCCACATTTGGTTTTCCAGATCTCCAAGGTTAGGGCCCTAAAATGTGTAATTATGGCAAGCTCCCTAAGCAATTCTGATGGAGAGAGTCCAAAAACAGATACTTGGGAACCACTCTTACGAAGCACAGTGATTATTCTTGACCATAGACAAGAGCACACATTTCTCTTTTCCCACCTATCTCCATTAAACAAAACCTAACCAAACACTTTTACCGTAATAAACTTTAATTACCTCCACAAACTCTTAAGAAACTTTAAATCCTGGTGTCTAAATTATAAAACTATTATTGGAAAGAATATTTACCTTTCAGGGAGAAGTCTCTGCTTCAAGCCATATCATTATCATACTTTGTATATCACATATAATGCTACTAACAACATCTGGGACAGGTATTTGCACCAGTTAAGGCCC
Source organism: Homo sapiens (assembly GCF_000001405.40). NCBI lineage: Eukaryota > Metazoa > Chordata > Mammalia > Primates > Hominidae > Homo > Homo sapiens. Next base: position 88,342,829 of record NC_000014.9, read on the forward strand.
TTGCAGTTTCAAGTATCAGAAAACCGAACTCAAACCATATTAAGCAGACCAGAAATGTATGGGCTCACATTACTGAAAAGACCAAGTATTATTGGCTTCAGCCTTGGCTTGATCCAAAAGACTCAAAATATTTCAATTCTCTCTCTCTCAGCTGCACCTCTCCTGGGCTGGCTCTGTTTTCAACAAGATCTTCCCTTGAGGTTGCAAGGTGCTTTGCAATAGTTCTACATCTCATTTTCCAAAGGTCAAATTCACCAGGGAAGAGTCTTTCTCTCCCTGTGTGGTCCTAACACAGGTCTTCTTACATGTCAATGCTTCTGACTGGGTCACATGCCCATCCTTAAACCAATGACTGTGCCCTAAGGAATGTGATGTTTGATTGGCCAGGTGTGAATTAGTAGCTTGCACTCTCTGCTGGAGGTAGGGATGGGGTCAATACACATAGACCAACTGTGGATCTAGGATGGCTCTCCAAAAAAATACCGGGTGCGGCTACCAAAAGAAGGACACTAGATAGTCAAAAATGGCAAATATCTTCCCCAGTATAGGTGATTACAAGGCTATTTCGACCAGAAAACACTAGTAAGTTGCAAAACTGAAATCCCAACCAGGAATTTCAATCTCTTATGAACATCACCATACATACACCCAAAATGAGACATTACTATCTGTTCTAACAGAGTCAAAGCATGTTTATTATCTTTTCCTTTCATTTTGTCCTTCTGATTTTTATATCCAGTTTTGTTGCTCTTGTTGTTGTTGTTGTTGTTGTTGTTGTTGTTATTGTTGTTGTTTTGAGACGGGGTCTCGCTCTGTCGCCCAGGCTGGAGTGCAGTGGCACGCTCTTGGCTAACTGCAGGCTCTGCCCCACGGGGTTCATGCCATTCTCCTGTCTCAGCCTCCCAAGTAGCTGGGACTACAGGCGCCCACCACCTCTCCCGGCTAATTTTTTGTATTTTTAGTAGAGACGGGGCTTCACCATGTTAGCCAGGATGGTCTCGATCTCCTGACCTCGTGATCCGCCTGCCTCGGCCTCCCAAAGTGATGGTATATCCAGTTTTAAACAATGGATCAAACAATGTTAAAAAGCTAAAACTAAAAAAAACAGATTGCGAATTTAAAATGTCATTAAATGATGATGACACATTGCATACAGTACTTTTGACTTTTAAATAAGGAAACTTTTTCTACTTGAATGTCATCTGAAGCTTTCCAGACTTCAATATACAGAGGCCTGAGGTGCGTAATAAATAGAATACCTGAAAACATAAAAACATACCAAGCATAAATCTGAACCCTTAAATATTCATTATACATAAGAAAATAAAGAAATTATCCAGTATATAAAAAGAATTCCTGGGAGGCTGAGGCAGGAGAATGGCGTGAACCTGGGAGGCGGAGCTTGCAGTGAGCCGAGATCACGCCACTGCACTCCAGCCTGGGCGACAGAGCGAGACTCCGTCTCAAAAAAAAAAAAAAAAAAAAAAAAAAAAGAATTCCTGTAACTCAATAAGAAAAAAACAGAAAATTGGGCAAAAACCTGGAAATTATATTTCACAAAAGAGGCTATTCAAATGGACAGTATAGGTGTGAAAAGGTGCTCAACTTTATTAGTCCTCAAGAAAATGCAAATGAGAAAACCATAATCTGATACCACTATTCATCCAACAGAAAATAATAAGTGTTAGCTAGTACAGATGACCCTTGAACAACATGGGGGTTAGTGGCACCAACCACCTGCTCTGTCAAAAATATGCATATAACTCTTGAATCCCCAGAAACTTAACTACAAATAGCCTCTTGTTGACTGAACGCCTTACCAATAACATAAACAATTCATTAACAGATATTTTGTATGTTATATGTATTATGTGCTGTATTCTTATTAATACAATAAAGTAAGCTACAGAAAAGGGAGTGTTACTAAGAAAATCATAAGACAGAGAAAATATATTTAATATTCGTAAGTGGAAGTGGATTATCACAAACGTCTTCACCCTCATCATCTTCACAGTGAGTAGGCTGAGGAGGAGGAGGAAGAGGAGAGGTTGTTCTTGCTGTCTCAGGAATGGCAGAGGTGGAAGAAAATTCCCAGGATTTCTTGCCCACTACTGTTGAGAATGTAAATTGATATAACCATTTGGAAAACTATTTGGCAGTCCCTATGAATGTGGACATATGTTTATTCTATGTACGACACAGCAATTTTACCCCTAGATATGTAATCAAAAGATATGATCAAGAATGTTCATTAGAACACAACTTGTAGCAGTTAAAAACAAAAAAGCACCAAAATGAATATCAACAGTAGAATGGTCCATAAATTGTGGCATAGTTGCACAATTTAATATTCTTCATCAGAATGAACAATTACAAACAACAACATAGGTGAGTCTCACAAACATAAAAGTTAAATGAAAGTAGCTGGACACAAAAGAGTACGTATTGTATTACTCCATTTATAGAAAAGTTAAAAACAGACTGAACTAATCTATCCTATTAGAAGGCAAGATACCAGGTAACCCTGGTGGAAGGACAGTGATTAGAAGGAGCAAGAGCAGAACTTAGGGAGTTTGGAGATCATCAGTTTCTTGATATGGGTGCTAATTACACCAGTGTGTTAAGCTGGTGAAAATTCAGCTAGCTGGGCCTTGTGTGTACTTTTCTGAACATGCATTACACTTTAAAAGTTTAAAATAAAAAAGGAAGAAACAGTTAAGTCTCCAGCCAGTTATTTCCTTCTATTTCCAATTCCCTTGCTGTTTTATAAAGTTGCATTTCAATGTTAAAATACTTGTTCTGTTTTAACAAGCAGTGGGTGGTTGGTGTGATTTCTCTATAAATGATTTGTATAATGGTTTGGGAAACACATAAATGTTAGGGGTGTATACAATATTTTTTTCTCATAGAGATTATGTTATTAAATCATAGTACTTTTATTCAGTTTTATTTTTTCTGTGTAGCACAGTGCCCAGAAGCACTCATAATTTCCATCTGCAGATTATAACACAATTGACTCCTGTGAAGATCACAGCTATTGAAAACATTAAAGTAAAGCAAGAATCAGACATAGCTGCCATTGTTGATCCTGAAATATTATTTGAAATAATGAAGAAAGTCTGAGGATATCTGTTATTCCTTCTTATATTATCACTGTTTCCCATTAGTAGTCTATGTCTAGTAGATACAGAATAACTAGTGATCAGGTTTTCATAAAAATCTCCATTTTGGAACACAAACCCCAGCTTCCTCCACGTGAGCTCACAAGTTTTTGATCCAGCCAAAGCTCTTCTCAATATTGCAGCTTCCTTTGTAAATAAGTGTTCTTTTACTTTTCTTCACACTAACAGAGGCTGGATTAACATTGAGGGTAAACAACTTATCCTAATAAGCAGCATTGTATTATTCAGAATATGGAGTATGTGGACTGTGCAAAGCCATAAAAAATCCAAAAGAATATAAAAATTATGAAGCGATGAGTCAATAGGCAGATGTTTGTAAAAAGACAAAGTAACAAAGGGCATGCATCAAGTAGTAAATCGTTTGATTCTGAGGTCTCATAAAAAACAGGCAGTGGGGAGGTGACTCACTTGAGTGTCCCTTGATGCCAAATACAGATAGTCCCCAATAGTACAATGGTTCAACTCATGATTATTTACTTTTTTGACTTCACCACAGTGTGAAAGCAATATGCTCAGCAGTCGAGTACTCACACAACCATTCCGTTTTTCACTTTCAATACAGTACTCAATAAAGTACATAACCAATGCTTTTTTATAAAATGGGTTTAGTGTTAGATGATTTTGCCCAACTGTAGGCTACTGTAAGTGTTCTGAGCACATTTAAGATAGGCTAGACTAAGCTGTAATGTTTGGTAGGTTAGGTGGATTAAATGCATTTTGACCTAGAATATTTTCAGTTTAAGGTGGGTTTATCAGGACATAGCCCCATTGCAAGTTGAGGAGCATTTGTATCAGGAAAGCAACAGTTTTTCTAACCCATAAAGTCAGAAATAAAATTACTATGTTTTCAAAGTTGCTATGTTTTATCTTCTTTGGTATAATATGAAAATTTCTATCTTTTTTTGTTTGTTTGCTTGTTTTTGATACGGAGTCTCCCTCTGTCACCAGGTTGGAGTGCAGTGGCATCGATCTCGGCTCATTGCAACCTCCGCCTCCCGGGTTCAAGCAATTCTCCTGTCTCAGCCTCCAGAGTACTTGGGACTACAGGTGCCCATTACCACACCCGGCTAATTTTTGAATTTTTAGTAGAGGTGAGGTTTCACCATGTTGGCCAGAATTGTCTCAATCTCTTGACCTCGTGATCTGCCCACCTCGGCCTCCCAAAGTGCTGAGATTACAGGCGTGAGCCACCAATCCCAGCCGAAAACTTCTATCTTCTAAAAAAATTATTATGGCATTATGTTTTGAGATGTCTCAGAACCACAGGCTAACTTTTAAGATAGAATGAGAAGTTAAAATTTGTCTAAACAAATGGCCCTGAAATTGTGCACTGAGGAGCGCTGTGGGCTCCTACTTGGTGTTTCAAGGGGGTTAGAAAAAGGACAAGAGAGAATCAATCGGGACCCTGCTAACCCCAGCACATCTTTAACAAGTAGAAATCCACTTCTGTTTTCATAACGGGCTTCTATGTGGGCTTTATTTGAGGAAAGCATTCAACTATTTAAAAAGAAACAAAAACTTCAAAATAGATAATTCAGGCAGGATGCAGTGGCTCACGCCTGTAATCCCAACATTATGGGAAGCCAAGGCAAGTGAATAACCTGAGGTCATGAGTTCGAGACCAGCCTGGCCAACATGGTGAAACCCCCCAAAATACAAAAATCAGCCAGGTGTGGTGGCAGGCGCCTGTAATCCCAGCTACTGGGGCGGCTGAGGCAGGAGAATCACTTGACCCCGGGAGGTGGAGGTTGCAGCGAGCCAAGATCACGCCATTGCACTCCAGCCTGGGTAACAAAGTAAGACTCCGTCTCAAATAATAAAATAAAATAAAATAAAATAGATAAATCGTCTGGTCCAAATATCCTCGAAGCTGATACGTGTATAATTAAGGAAACTGAGGCGTCAGCAGTTTAAGTGATTTGCCTCAAATCTTAAAGCCACCCAAGGATAGAAGTAAAACTGGAATTTCCACTTTCTGATTCCAATTTGAATGGGCTCTCCAAAATATGATGTGTCCATCAAAGAGCTCTTGCAGTTCCAAAACAAGGAATTGAAAATCTTGAGTTTGATGTTATTGAATGCTTATTTATCCAACTTATGTAGATTTTTGTTTACCTTCAGTGTTAAAGTCTTTGATACAGAGACCATCTGCATTTTATTTTATTTTATGTTTGTAAATTTTTTTCACTCTTTGCAGAACTCAATCTACCATCTGCATATTAATAATGTGTGGCATGCTGCATGAAATAATATAGATAATAGAATCAAGAGTAAATTATTAACAGTCCACCTCCTGTTTGCTTCAAAGTGCTATTTGCAAATGGAAAAATAAATTAGCCGCTAAAAACATTAAATTGGTTACAATCGAATCCTTCAACAGAGTAAAGCTGCCATGGGAACTGACTAGATGATTTTAAAGCTAAAATAAGCCTTTTCAATACATACTTCAGTTTTTTACAGAAAATATATTAGGATGTCAGTTCAAAATGCATATATAATTAGAAATCAGCTTTTTCTATCATGCCAGCTTACTTTCTGAAAAGAATCTATCGTAATTAATTTCTTTATTTGATTCGGAAACCAAAGGGTTAATTAAAGATAGAGACCTCTATTTTTAGCTGTTACTATAGCCAGACTCCCATTCAGTCTAAAAACAGTCATGTATTTTACACCATTTTTAACCCTGCAAAGCTGAGACTCATGCCTACCCAAATTAAGGATAAGCTTAAATAGCCCATCCTCAGTCAAAACCATGGCAACCAGTACACAGTACACATCCTGCATCTTGCCCGGTAGTCCTTCAAATTCTTTAATCACAAGACAGGAAATCTGTTTTGTTTGGATGTCACTTAAGGGCAGATTAATATTACATGATGGTCAACCATTTGCTTTTATTTAGGAAAATAAAAACCTGTTTGATGGTGTAAGCTTTACAATTAGAGAGAGACAAGAGTGCTTTTTATTATTTATTTGTTTACTATCTTTTTTCAAAAAGATCTGTGGTAAGTCCCAGAATCCCAAAAGGAGAGATGAAGAAAGTGAGAAGTATTGGGTTGTGGGCTTTCTGCAGTTATGACTGCAGAAATAACTAGCTTGGCAGTCAGGGTAAATAAGAAAAATAAAATTGGATTCTGTACAGTGACACTGCCGAAGTACCACTCTTAAACTGGGCAACATGAAGAGATCTTTGATATTTCTGTCTTTTGTTTCAAGTTGAAAATAGCTTCATGATTTTTTTCTGATTATAAAGTCAACAGATGTTCAAGTAGACCATCCATGCACTTTAGAAGAGTATAAAGAAGAAAGCAAACATCAGCCTAAGTCACCCAAAGGCAACTGTTAAAATCATGGTGACTATCATCCCAACAGCACTCTGTGCATGTATTTTTTTTTTTTTTTTTTTTTTGAGACTGAGTTTCACTCTTGTCACCCAGACTGGAGTGCAATGGTGCAATCTTGGCTCACTGCAACCTCCGCCTCCCGGGTTCAAGCAATTCTCCTGCCTTAGCTTCCTGAGTAGCTGGGACTACAGGCGCCCACCACCACAACCGACTAATTTTTGTATTTTTAGTAGAGACAGGGTTTCACTGTGTTGGTTAGACTGGTCACGAACTCCTGACCTCAGGTTATCCACCCACCTCGGCCTCCCAAATTGTTGGGATTACAGACATGACCCACTGCACCTGGCCACATGCATTTCTTAATAACTTTATATATATGAAACTACTCTGCATGATGTTTTGTGACTGGCTTTTCCCATTCAATTCATTGTGAAGGTCTTTACATTCCAGTCAATATAGATTTGTCATACACTCTACTGCATAGGTGTGTCATAATTAATTTAACTAATCTCCTGTTTAGAAATATGTAGGGCATTTCCAGCATTTTGCTATTATGAGCAATACTACAAAGAAGATTATTTTACATGCATGCTATTGTACAATTGACCAACTATCTCCACAGGATAAGTTTCTAGATATGAGATTGCTAAATAAAAATATATATATATATTTAAATTTGGTGTCCATATCATCCAGATTGTACCCTAGAAGAGTTAAGCCAATCTATACATCCACCAGTAAGGCATGAAGATAAAGCTTTTCTGCATCTTTACAGATATTGGTTATCTCAGTCTTTTTATCTTTTCCCATCTAATAGACAAGATGTCATTATATTTTGATAGAAGCAGCTATTTCCCATCAATTTATAACTCCTAAAAAAGGAGAAGTGTAATTAAATTCAATGAGATAGTTGACCTAGATGATTTTGAAAGGCTTTTCCAGTTTTAACATTCAGGAATTCTACAAAAATGGTCTTAATTCATTTCTCTATCAAGCATCTGCTATAAGCAAGTCCCCAGAGAAAGAGAAGCTAACCTTGAACACCTAATCAATGTGAAAACAACCCTTTGAGATAGTTGTTTTGATGCTTATTGTATACAGGAAAAATATGGGGATTAAATAAGAGCAGAATCAGAGCAGGTTGGTTCAACTAGAAAGCTGAGATTTTTTTCTCCCTATCCCTTGCTGTACCTCATTGTTGTTTCTGTCCTTCAGGAACATACAGTCCACTCCAAGGCAAGGTAGGGGTTGCAGGAAAAACCATATTCACATAAACATAATTCAAGTCTCATCTTCTGATTTCTATGTTCAGGCCCTGGTCTTCCTCCACCCACTCCCGCCCACTACCATCTTGTGCTACCACTTGAGCTTTCAATATTGCACATTTAATAGGTGCTTGAGAAATATTGTCCATGTTCCTCACTATCCACCTATCTGGCTGAGGGGAGGGAGATTTTTCTTGTTGTGGACAAGGCAGTCCCTACTCCCTGCACCATGTAATAGCAGCCTGGCAGCTAGAAAGCTCTTAGCCTCAGGACTGAACATGCCACTTAACTGATAGCCCCCATCCTCAGCCAAGCCTCACCAGGCTTGGAGCTATGAGCCCAGAGAAACAGACTGAACTCCAGAGACAGCAAGACACTCAGCTCCGGGGCACAAGTAAGACAGATTATACTTTTAAAGTTTTTCTTGGACTTTTCTAAAAAATCTGATTAAATCATTATTATTTTTTATCTTTGACATTTTCTCTTTTGCCCTTTGACATTCTTAGAGTGTCTTTAGACTTTGTTGAGATTATTATCATCATTATCATTACTATTCATCATTAACCATGGATGTCTTAGTCTGTTCAGGATACTATAACAAACTGCTCTTGACTGGGTGGCTTATAAATAACAGAAATTTATTTCTCACTGTTCTGGAGATCAAGGTGTTGGCTGGTAAGGGCTCACTTCCTGGTTCATAGACTGTTGTTCCTTTGCTGTGTCTTCACATGGAGGAAGAGGTGAGGCATCTCTCTCGGACCTCTTTTGTAAAAGCATTCTCCTAATCACCTCCCAAAGGCCCCATTCCTAATGCCAGGTCCCAGAGAGATACCTCCCAATAAATGTTTTTGTCCCCTCCAAAATTCACACGTTAAATCCTAATGCCCAGTGTGCTGGCATTAGGAATGGGACAGAAACATTTAGACCACAGCAATGAGTAATTCACATTTGCTGTAGTTCAATGTTACCTGAAAAATAACATTTAAACTACTAGTACTCTAGTTACTACATTCTGAGAGCTAGAGCTGACACATTATATAACAGCTCAGGACCAAGAAGTTAGCGTTGAATGGTTATGTTCACATGTGGTCCAATAGGTCAAAATGTCATTGGTTGATATGCATTCATAGTGGTGTAGGACCTAGACTCTACATATCCACTCTTGTATATAAATCATTTCATGCTCATTTTATATTTCACATAGTACAAAATAGCTTTTTAATTTGGTTTGTGTAAATATATGACGAGCTGCAATTCAATGATTTCTGGAGATGAAATACCCTGAAAACAACTGGAAAGACACATCATTTACATTGTGAAATTCATGTAAACCTCACCTGATAAATGACCACATTTCCATGCAATAATTAACTGTTCTATGTGCTTTGATTAGGCTGGGAAAATCTTGATTTTGGTGAATGCCTATGGTTCTTCCAGGCTGTTGGATAGGACAAGCCCTTGATTGTGGCCTACCTCACTGTAAGGTTAGCCTCCGTATTAAAGAGAATGGCCATGGTGAGGACATTGAGCTACAGTGACAGCCCACTCCTGGGAAGAAAAGCAGGCCTATTACATTTGCTGCAATAAACTCATGCTTTCTAATTTGCTGTCTTTTTTTTTTTCAAACAAATGTGTTATTACTCAACAACAAAGGGTCTGACAAGATCCCACAGAGCTTATACTACAAAGCTACATAAAAGCAGGAAATGATGAATGTTAAGTGCATTCTGACTTGATTCGGTTTAAAGAGATCACTTCCAAGAAACACTTGGGATCAGTACTTGTGGTGTAAGAGATGTGTCCTGACAGCTGGGGTTTATTGGAACAAGTGGAGCTTTGTTCCCTTTTATGTCCATTTATTCCCATGCATTTGTCATCAGAAACTGCTCATGCAGAGGGCAAAGCAGAAGATTACACAGTGGAGCACCCGCAAAGAGGTGAGAGATTCTCTCCAACTAATGCTGAGGAGGAGGGATTCACTGTCAGTTCTATTTTTAGTGGTTGCTGCTGTGATGATTTCTAGGGTGCCGAGTCCAGCCTGTCCCTACAAATGAATTCACACCTGGGCATTTCTATAGTTTGATTTTGTTTGTTCCCTCCAAATCTCATGTTGAAATTTGATACCCAATGTTAGAGGTGGGGGCCTAATGAGAGGTGTTTGAGTCACGGGGGCAGATCCCTCATAAGTGGCTTGGTACAGTCCTCACGGTAATGAGTGAGTTCTTACTCTATTAGTTCCTGGGAGACCTGGTTGTTAGTGGCAACTTCCCACTCTATCTCTCTTGTTTTCTCTCTTGTAATGTGATCTCTGCACACATCAGCTCTCCTTCACCTTCCGTCATGAGTAGAAGCAGCTGGGCCCCTCACCAGAAGCAGATGCCAGTGCCATGCTTCTTGTACAGCCTGCAGAACAGTAGGCCAAATAATCATTCTTTCTTTATAAATTACCAGCCTCAGGTATTCCTTTATAGCAACACAAATGGACTAAGACAGTCATTAATATCCATGTATACAACAAATCCCATAACCTCTTCTTCCTTTGCACATAGCTAGACTCTATTTGCCAGCCTCTCTTGAGGTTATAGCTAATGGAATATGAGCAGAAATGACATGGGCCACCTCCAGGCCTGGCCCATAAAAACCTCCTTGATTAATTCTCCTTGCTATCTCTTCCCCCATCTGCCAGCTGGATGTCCGTGCCCAGGTAACCATGAAGTTGTGTTTGAATAATGGTGGAGCTTCCATAAGCCAGATCCTAGAATGATTACATGGAACTCAACTTATCCACCCCTCTACCCCTGTCTATTGGAATTTACATAAAGAAAATATAATTGTCTATCATATAAGACCACTGAAATATGGGCAGGGAAGTGGGGGAGGTCTGTTACAGCAGTTAGCCTCCCCTGACTCATACAGCATTCAAGAGCCCATAGAAAGAGCAGGTGATGCTCTCTGAATGCACCTACTCTTGCAGCATTTCTGACCACCTTTTTTTAATATTCCCCTCTACTTGATTCCAACAACTGATACTGAGCTGGGGAATGATGGGGGAGAAGCATGTTGGGTTGCTACATACTAGCATGTTGATGTGACTTTGGAAAAGAAAATGTGAAGACGGCAAAGAACACACATTCCTGAGGACAGAAATGCTATCCCAACCGACAAATCCTTGTTGGGCATGTTCCCTAAAACAGTCATTCTGCTAGGTGCTGGGAATACAAAGGTATGAAACTTCATCTCCACCTTAGAATGAAAACAAAAACAAACAAACAAACAAAAAGATACAGCCCTATTCCTCAAGCTTACAAACTATTTGGGGAAACACAACTTAAAATACAGTTGACTAATCAAAGAGGACAAGCTTTACAGTCAGACAGAATTAGGTTGCAATATCAAATATGGCACTTAGTAAATAGATGGAAAATTATTTCAACACATTGTGCCTCAGTTTCCTCATCTTTAAACTTATATAATACCTGATGTATTAGTCTGTTCTCACACTGCTATTAAAGACATACCTGAGACTGCATAATTTATAAAGGAAAGAGGTTTAATTGACTCACAGTTCCACATGGCTGGGGAGGCCTCACAATCATGACTGAAGGTGAATGAGGAGCAAAGTCAAGCCTTACATGACAGCAGGCAAGAGAGCTTGTGCAAGGGAATTCCTATTTATAAAACCATCAGATCTTTTGAGATTTACTCACTACCATGAGAACAGTGTGGGGGAAACCACCCCCATGATTTAATTATTTCCACCTGGCCCCTCCCTTGACATGTGGAGATTATCACAATTCAAGGTGAGATTTGGGTGAGGACAAAGTCAAACTATATCATTCTGCCCCTGGCCCCTCCCAAATCTCATGTCCTCACATTTCAAAACCAATCATGTCCTCCAAACAGTCCTCCAAAGTCTTAACTCATTTCAGCATTGACTCGAAAGTCCACAGTCCAAAGTTTCATCTGAGACAAAGCAAGTCCTTTTGCCTATGGGCCTGTGAAATCAAAAGCAAGTTAGTTACTTCCTAGATGCAATGGGGGTAGAGGCATTGGGTAAATACACCCATTCCAAACGGGAGAAATTGGCCAAAATGAAGGGGCTACAGGCCCCACGCAAGTTCAAAAACCCAGTGGGGCAGTCAAACCTTAAAGCTCCAAAATGCACTCTTTTGACTCCATGTCTCACATGAAGGCCACACTGTTGCAAGAGGTGGATTCCCATGGTGTTAGACACCTGATAAACAGGGTTAAGCTTTCTAACATTTTATTTTGAAATAATTTTAAGCTTAAAGAAGAGTTGCAAGAGTTCCCATCTACCCTTCCTTCACCCATCTTCCCCTAACTTTAACAATTTACATAGTTGGTTCTTATTTTACAGAATTGTTTTGACTACTCTGGTTTCTTTACTTTTCCAAATAAATTTCAGAATCAACTTGTTGATTTCTTCAAAGAAGCCTACAGTTGACTCTTGTTTTTTACCCAGTCTGACAATGTTTTTCAATTAGTGTTCAAATCATTAATATGTAAAATGCATCAAATCACCTTCTTACTAGCTGTTTTCTATTTGTTTCATCATTTCTTTGTCTCATTTTTTCCCCCCTTTTTGCTGCCTATTCTCAGAATCATTGAGTATATCTTAGGATTCCATTTGATTATCTCTATAGACAATATATATAAGAATTTTTAAAGAATATTTAGTGATTACCCTAGGTTTACAACACATGCATTTAATCAGAGTCTGCCTACAAATATATTATACCACTTTATTTGTAGTATAAGGAATCTATAACAGTATATCCTCAGTGCTTTTTAACTGTGCTCCACATGAAAATCAGGAGAGGAGATCTGGAAAAAAATGCCAGTGCTCAAGCCCAACCCAAAATGAATTCAATCAGAATTTCTGGGGGTGGGAGAAGCCCAGATGTAGCTTTCAAAAAGCTCTCCAGGAGATTCTTCTCTTTTTTTTTTTTTTTTTTTGAGACAGGGTCTCACTTTGTCACCCAGGCTGAAGTGCAGTGGTGCAATCACGGCTCACTGCAGCCTCGACCTCCCAGGCTCTAGTGATCCTCCTGACTCAGCCTCCCAAGTAGAAGTAGCCAGGACCACAAGCACACACCACCACACCTGGCTAATTTTCTTTTTTTTTTTTTTAGTAGAAACAGAGTCTCACTCTGTTACCCAGTCTGGTCTCAAACTGCCGGGCTCAAGTGATCCTTCCGCCTCAGCCTCCCAAACTGTTGGGATTACAGCCACGAGCCACCACTCTGGCCTTCAGGAGATTTTTTTTTTTTTTCTGAGGCAGAGTTTCACTCTTGTGGCCCAGGCTGGAATGCAATGGCATGATCTAGACTCACTGCAACCTCCGCCTCCCAGGTTCAAGCAATTCTCCTGCCTCAGCCTCCCAAGTACCTGGGATGACAGGCATGTACCACCACACCCAGCAAATTTCTGTATTTCTAGTAGAGATGGGATTTCACCATGTTGGCTAGGGTGGTCTCGAACTCCAGACCTCAAGTGATCCGCCTGCCTCAGCCTCCCAAACTATTGGGATTACAGGTGTGAGCCACTGCACTCGACCCCAGGAGATTCATTTTTTTTTTGGAGGGGGCTTAGGGGAGACGGATTCTCACTCTGTTGCCCAGGCTGGAGTGCAGTGGAGCAATCTCCACTCACTGCAACCTCTACCTCCTGGATTCAAACAATTCTTCTGCCTCAGCCTCCTGAGTAGCTGGGATTACAGGCACCCACTACCACATCCAGCTAAGTTTTACATTTTTAGTAGAGACAGTTTTCACCATGTTGGCCATGGTGAAAACTCCTGACCTGGTCTCGAACTCCTGACCTCAGGTGATCTGCCCGCCTCGACCTCCCAAAGTGCTGGGATTATAGGCCTGACCATGCCCCACCGGCCGAGATTCTTAACAAGCAATGAGTTCTGGCCACCAACTCCTTTAGGTCATGGGTTATCACTTGGTGTTTATATGCAATGTGCAGCCTGGGGGTGTGTTTAATTATGCCTGTTACTGAAAAGGCATAGTACCTGGGCAGTGAATACACCTGGTAACAATACTATTAGCACTTATTGTCCTGATACAATTATCTCAACTCCCTACCCACTTCGGTCTTTTATAATGTCTGCTTTAGACTGTAACCACTAGAAGACACCAAGGAGTTTGCAAAAAACAAACAAACAATAACATCACGTTTAATGAAAGAGTACAGAAGAAGCTACTTATACATTCAGTACAAGATGCCCCATTCCAATCAGTGAAGGAGGTACCAGACAGAATAATTTGCTTCCTCACCCTGAAACGTTTCACTTTTTATAAATGATAGTGTTAATAATTTGAGTGTTTGAACATGATTTAAGGCCATGAATAATTTTCTAAGAACAAAATATCAGTGAAATCACTAACACTAAATCTGCCATCTTTCATAGAGCAGCTTGTGATAGCACAGGTCCTAAAATAACTCCAAAGTTTTAGAGATTTGGCCTTTGTCAGAACAGTAGGAAAAAGCTGTCTTTTAAAAATACCAGGCTTTTCATAGAAATAAAGGACTGGAAGCCACATTCATTGCAATTTAACTCTTTTATTTTAAAGGTTAGGAAACTGAGACTCAGAGATGTATCTATTCAAACTCATACAACCACTTAATACTGTAAAAGCCAAGGATTTTGATCTCATAATTCTTTACTGTGTAATGTGTCCATGCAATTGCCAAACCTTTAGCATTATTAGAACAATTATTCTGGATAATCTCAAGAGCAGAGAATATAATGGGGAAAAGGCAACCGCTAATAAAATCTGAATATGGGTTTGGCTCATTTTAAGTCAGTCCTCCAATTTCTCCAAACTATAAAAATATTCACATATAAGAGTAGAAATACTGCTATATTTTCAGTCCCATCCAAGTAGGCATTCTGTAATGTACATTTAAGAACTATTCCAAGCTGTCAATAAAAGTAGTTTCTAGGAGACTCCATTTTCATAGTCTAGTTTGAACACTACAAAAAGTCTGACTGTGATTGGCTAGGATTATGTATAACTGTAAGTAATGGAACATTTAGTTCTCTCTTCTGAAAGTCTGAAGATAGTAGCCCTTCTAGGTTGGTATGAGCTTCCATAGTATCAGGGACTCAGATTCTGATGTAGTTTGGTTCTGTGTCCCCACCCAAATCTCATCTCGAGCTGTTATCCCCATGTGCTGAGGGAGGGACCTGTAATCCCCACATATGGAGGGAGGGAGGTGATTGGATTATGGGTGACATTTCCCCCATGTTGTTCTCATGATAGTGAGTTACTTCTCATGAGATCTGATGGTTTTATAAGGGGCTCTTCCCCTTTGCTCTTACTTCCCTCTCTCGCCTGCTGCTATGTGAGACATGCCTGCTTCCCCTTCCGCCATGATTGCAAGTTTCCCGAGGCCTCCCCAGCCACGAAGAATTGTGAGTCAATTAAATCTCTTTTTTAAAATAAATTACCCGGTATCAGGTATTTCTTTATAGCAGTGTGAAAACCAAGGGAGGCAGGTCCCAAGAGAACCATTCTTTTGTAGGTGCCAACAAAAAGGGGAAATGTGATTCCACTCTCTGGTTTAATGTCTACATTAGTCAGTGGATCTGCTCACCTGCCCCTGTGATCCAGGTGGAGGGGAATGAATTAAGAAGACAAGGAATGATGGAGGGTGGTAAGACAGAGAGAGGCCACTTCCTTTCTTTGCATCCCTTCCATAGTTCCAGATCCCAAGAAGTACAGAAAAGGATCCCACAGGTACTTGTAAGTCTGTGAGTCTGTGGCCTACAGTCTCTAGCTGGGGATTGCTGTAGCAGGGGTCAAGGAGGCAAGCACACTGAAGCAGTGGGGGAATATGCGGACCGAGGGTCTTCATTTGGAGTCAAATCTCACAACATATTACCAACATCTGGGGAAGCTGCTTGGGGAGGCTGCCATCAGAGGGGCATGCTAGAGCCATCGCTTGTCTACATTGAACCCTCAGACAACAACGGTGTCAACCACCCATGAGAGCTACGTAAAGACAAGTCAAATAAGGAGCTGGGTCTTTCTTGTTCCTTTTCCTTCTCCAGCTCAGCATCAGAGAAGCAGGTGCATGGAGGGAGGAAGAAGGGGTTATATGAAAGCAGATCATGCCCCCTCAAATGCCAGCCCTGGTGCCCACTGGTCTAGCCAATGCTGGGAGGAGTGGGGGAGAAGAGCTTTGGATCTGAAAAAAAATTAAAGTTTAAATAAACAGAGCTGAGTCTTAAAAACTGAAAGTGACTTTTAATTACTGAAAATGACAAAAAGCTAAAGAATCAGGCTGAAGTGTTATAAAGAGCCCCTGTCACCCAGTGAGGAGGGGACTGTGTTAGAGCAGCGTTGAAAATAGTGGTTGGGAAAAATAAGTGTTCTTTGTTTTTACCCGCAAATGAATTGAGACTCCTTCCTCAATGAACCAAATTTGTCCTTTAGTCAAAATCACACCAGTGAAGCAGCCTATGCCAATTTGAACAGATCCTTGTCTACTCCCTCTTTCCTCCATCTGGAAACAGGGATACCACTATACTAAGCAAGTGATTCCCAAAGCTAAGACTTCTAAGTACCACCTACATGGCTTTTGCCATATTGTTATACCACCTGTACTATTATTTACTTTATAGTTTTCCCTTGAATTTACTCACTTTAAAAATTAACCATATTTTTAAAAGAAACTGGCTCAATTATAATTGGAAGAACAGTACAGTATTCCCTTCTTAGCCATGAAAAATGCATTCCAAGATCCCCAATGGATGCCTGGAAACATGGATAGTACGAAACCCTAAACACACACTGTCTTTTCCCATACGTACTACCTACGATGAAGCTTAATTTATACATTAGACACAGGAATAGATTAACAACAATAACAATAAAATAGGACAACCCTAACAATATACAGTAACAAAAGTTATATGAATTTAGGTTCTCTCTCTCTCTGTAAACATCTCATTGTACTGTACTCACTCTTCTTGTGATGATGTGAGATGATCATTGAGAGGGCTACTAAGTGACTCATTAGTGGGAAGTGGAGACAGCGTGGAGACACTGGACAAAGGGAGGATTCACATCCCACATGGGACAAAGCAGGACAGTGCAAGGTTTCATCATGCTATTCAGAATAGCACACAATTTATAACTTAGAAAGTGTTTATTTCCAGAATTTTCCACTTAATATTGTTGAAGCATGGTCGACCATGGGTAACTGAAATCTTGAAAACCAAGCCCAATTACTACTGTAGAAATTGCCATAAATGAGCACAACAAAGATGATACTCTCAAATCTTATCTAAATACTGTGGCCTGAGCCCAAGCTTTGATCTTTGTTAGAAAGGGAGATTAGCAAGGGTGAGAGGTGCTAAAGACACACTAGTAACAAACAGAGACTTTCTCCTTGATGTAATTAGGGTTGAAAGAATTGCAAAGTGAATGACTTTCTTATGGGGTAATTCAAAGTTTTTTAATGCTGTGACTGAGCAATAATGTATGAAATTAAAAAACCTCACCTGAGAGGAAGCATGTTCTGCTATATAATGATGCCAGCAGTACATACCTGCCTCCAACATCTTGCTAAGCAGCTTTTATAACTACCAGGGAACTTACACTGAAAGGTGATGTGCTAAAAGATAAGTCTTAGAATCTGAGGGCATGAAGTGCTATGGGTACATATTAAATGCTCTGACAGGTACGATTCTTTCATTGCAAGCAACAGAAAAGAATTTGTTGGCTTATGATATGGTCTGGCTCTGTGTCCCCACCCAAATCTCATCTTGAATTGTAACCCAAATTGTAATCCCCACGTGTTGGGGAAGGGACCTCGTGGGAGGTGACTGACTTGACCAGGGCAGTTCCTTTGTGCTGTTCTCATGATAGTGAGATCTCGTGAGATCTGATGGTTTTGTAATAGGCCTTTCCCCCCTTCACTCTGCACTTCTCTAATTCTTCTCCTTCCTGTCTCCATGTGAAGAAGGACGTGTTTGCTTCCTCTTCATCTGTAATTGTAACTTTCCTGAGGCCTCCCCAGCCATGCTGAACTGTAAGTCAATTAAACCCCTTCCCTTTATAAATTGCTCAGTCTCAGGTATGTCTTTATTAGCAGCGTGAGAACAAACTAATACAGCTTATATAACTGGTAGGGCCAGAGGCAGAGCTCACTTCAACCAGAGTTGTATTTGGATGATAAAATAGTCTCTTCAGGAGGTGTTCTGAGTCTCTTTGTCTCTCTCTTCCAGCTTAGCAGATGCAGCAGAAAAAGTCAATACTAGAATCTCTAGCAGCTATGTCCCAGGGAGGTTGCCGATAGGATGGTGTGCTGACCAGGGCCCCACACCCACCTGGAATGAATGCCTGAAGCCAGCTTGCCTGGGAGTGTTCTCCTGGATCCCATTCCCATTTCCTGTGATAATAGAGAGCTAGAAGAAAAGAAGGGACTGGGAAGGAGGGAAGATCAAGACCTAGGATGAATTTCCCACAGGAAGACAAGGGAAAAGGTGCTAGGCAGTCAAAAACAAGTGTTCACAACAAATGCCTTCTCTGCACCAGGCATAGCCAATATGAAAATAACCTAAAAGGTCACTTAATGATATTTTAAATTACAAAGAGTAAATGTGTGTTTAATGGTCCCTGTTGCCTGGGCAGCAGACACCGCTGATGCTCAGCCCACATCTCCTCAGCCCTTACCACTTTATTGGATGCCAATCCCAACTTCAACAGCCAGTGTGTGCACCTTACTGCTTACAGCTTTCTCTGAACATGGAAACTTACTTACATGCCAATAGGGCAAGTCAGAAGGCCAGGGAATTAGCCACCTAAGGCCCTTACAGCCCTTAGACAAGTACAGTTGTTAGATGGTGGATCAATGCCCTAGCTTCCCCACCCCTGGGGTAGGATAACTGCTGAGTTCTGTACTGTTTCCCAGCTCCTTCCTGGTGGGATTGAGTTCCAGTTACCCACAGTGGTAACTTGCTTGATAGCATTCCTTTTTTGGCTTCCTTCTCTTCTCTCTCTCACTTCCATGTCCCCCTTCTAGTGTTTATTTGGACCATCTCCTAAATAAACTACTTGTACTTGAATTCTTGTTCCAGAGGAACCCAAACTATGACAGCCAAAAGTAGTGGTAAGTTATTTAAATGTATTACCTCCTGTCATTCTCTTAACAATCACATGAATTGTACACTATTATTATGCTATTTTGCAGATAAAGAAATGAGGCCCTTAGTAAAGGCCACACTGCTGGGGAAAAGCACAGCTAGAATTCAAAGCAGGTTGACTCCAACACACACTTAACAATGGCTGCTGTGCTTCCTGACACTTTACAATATCCCTATAGACCCCCAGCTTCCAGTGATTCTATTCAAAGCAGGTAAATCCCAGAGCATCACTGAAGGGGATGTAAATGAACTGGAGAAAGTACTGTTGTTCCGTAGAATCCCAGGGGGAAACGTGACCCAAGTAGCCTTGCACGTAGTAGGTGCCCCTTAATATTTATTGAAATAACATGTGGCAGTATTTACTTTACAAAACATCATTAGTGTTATTCTTTATGCTATCCTTGAAAAAGGGAAGCTTTCTGAGGGATAATTCTCCAGTAAAATGTTTCTAAATCAATACAAATGACAGTCCCCCTGGATTACGATAAAGTAATCATCTCCAGAGTAGAAGAAAATTGGACTCAACCGTGTTCAGAATAATACATGTTGCTCTTTTACAAAAAAAATGTATAACTTCAAAATATACATATTCTTACTTATCTAGGACAGCTTAGGTACAGGTTTGCCTAAGACCAAAGACTGAAGCAAATTCTCATTGATCTTTTCCATTTTATACATCCCCAATTGCATATGAAAATCATTTTTCTATTATTTTAGGTAGCACATGCATAAGAGAGTGAACACGCCTAAGGACAAGTCACTGAAATAATTGTCTTCCTGCCTATTTCCTGATTTAGTGGAATGAGCACGAAATCAAGAGTCATAAAGACCAATTGTGTGGGCTAATTACTTATCTTTTCTGGGCTCCATAGCTTTTTCTGCAAAATTAGAACTTTTGCTTAGCAATCACCAGCATCCTCCTAGCCCCTAAATTTTCTGACAAACAAGGGAAAATATTTGCTTACCTCCAGCCTTGTGTACAAACTGAATTAAAGAGTGTCGGAACATCACTTCTTCTACCTTGTTCAGATATTGTACAGAAACATTCACTCTGCATCTTATAAATAACACAGAGGAAGTCTTTCTGTACCCAGATCACCACCAAACTTTCTATCTTGACTGTGCTTTCACTGTGGGAAATATTAATAGCTCCTGTGTTCATTGTGACCTCAATGTTATCATAATCTCAGGTTGCCTATAGGTATAAACTTCAGTGAATACTTAACGTTACAGAATGATAGGCTGTTTTCATAACACATTTTCACACTGTTGGATAATTTAGATTTTGTTTAAAAACATAATGAACACTAAGAAGTTGTTTGCAGACAAGGAAATGGAAGACTTCAAAGAGGATAAGAGAAATCTCACATTTAATTCAATTAAGTCAGAGAATGAACATGTCTAAGGATGTCAAGAACCACCCTCCCACCTCCATTTTCTAAGATTACTTACTCAAATATTCTAAAGAAATAATTAATTTAGTCTAAATTAAATCTAAGTTTCTAATAGTGTTCTTCAAATACTTCAAACTACTAGGTAGAACCAAGTGATATTGTCTAATTGACAATTTTTTATTTATAAAACAGCAATTTCATGTCATTCAATCTAATAATTTAGAGTGTTTCTGTATATTGCAGGCAGACATCTAACAAGACAAAGAACTAAAGTGTGACTGGAGTGGAGACTGAAATCCCTTAGAAAGACTAGGCAAAGTATCAATAAAGAATGGTTTTCATTGGTAGCTTACATAAATCATGGCTTTTAAAAATTGATTTGTGCGTGGCAGTTTGTGAATAGTAGATGCACTTATAAGAGCTTTTCAAAAATTCTTTAACTGTTAAAACTTCAGATTCTATTTTTTTAAGTGGAAAAGATATTATCAGGATAGATGAACAGATTGGTTAAGCTTTTTGTTTTGCTTTGTTTTTCATGGTGAAGCCACTTGTAAACAGAGAATGCATTCGGTGGAGATTATCAAAGCTTTAGGGTGAGCATCCTCCCAAATGTACTGTTGTGGAGATTGATTGACAGTGGAAGAATAGATGGAATGCTCTTCTTAAGCTATGGGGACAGGTTACCTAGTAACCACTGAATGATTAAGTTCTGTTCACAGAGACTTGTTCTGTTAATTGGACGAAAAGATTTAAAGAGCGCAGCTGGGGAGAAATGGAAAGATGGAGGACCGTGGCCATTATTAGTGGACCTGACCAGCAGCCTTAGCCAAATTGTCACAATATGAGTGAATCTTCTGTTAGTACAAAGAAGTCAGTGAAGCTACCTACAGAGTCACAATTTTGTGCACTTTTTAACTGTAGGAAAAATGAAAATAAGGTGTGGAATTACACATATTAAAAAGTGCAGTGAAAACTGTGCGGTGTTATAGTTCTGAGAATGATCATTTTCTGTGGACAAGATTATATTTGTGTTCAGATATCAGAGTTCTATTATTTAAGAGAACTCAAAATAGGCACTTGGGGTCAGTATATCCTATCACAACTCTCTTCGGTCTAATACCATCAGGCACATACTGCTTTATAGAGAATTGTGGTCACCTCTGTTCTCTCCTGCTTTTAACAATAAAATTAAGAAAAGTCAAGGTATAGATTGGTAATAATGACATTTTTCATTCATTAAGGATTAAGAAAAAGCAAGGTATAGTTTGGTAATAATGACATTTTTTATTCATTAAGGATTTTTAGATGATAGAGTACTTTTTGCCTATGCTCAAAAAAGAACTCAGTATTTATATTTTAGAAAGGAAAAAGTATCTAAGACAAGTCTCAATCAATTTAGAGATTTATTTTGCCAAGGTTAAGGGTCATGACCTATGACACAGCCTCAGGAGGTCCTAAGGACATGTGCCCAAGGTGGCTGGGTTATAGCTTGATTTTATGCATTTTAGGGAGACAGAAGTTACAGGTAAAGACATAAATCAATACATGTAAGGTATATATTGGTGTAGCCAGGAAAGGTGGGACATCTTGAAGGTGGGGGTTAGGCTTCTAAGTCATAGGTGGATTTAAAATTTTCCTGATTGGCAATTGGTTGAAAGGGGTAAGCTCTGCCTGAAGAGTTGAAATCAGCTTGAGTGAAGGTAACTGGGGAGGGGTGGGTTGTGGAAACCAAGGTTTTTGTCATGTAGATGAAGCCTCCAAGTAGGAGAATTCAGAGACAATAGATGTGAATGTTTCCTATGGAACTTTAAAGGTCGGTCAGACTATTCAGAAAGACCTAGTAAAGGAAGGAGATTCTCTACAGAATGCAAATTTCCCTCACAAGAGACAGCTTTGCAGGACCATCTCAAAATATATCAAATAAATATATTTTGGGGTAAAATACTTTCGCTTTCTTCAGGGCCTACTATCTGTCACGTGATGCTATACTAGAGTCTGTTTGGAACTTGCTGGCTTATTGCTACAGAGCCTGTTCTGTCAGTCTTAGAATTCCTGTTTTCATATTAATGCTGGTCAGTTGTGCCTGAACTTCAAAGGGAGGCGGGTATAATGAATATGTCCTACCTTCCCCTTCCTGTGATGGCCTGAACTGGTTTTTCAGATTCCTTTGGGTCCCCTTGGCTAAGAGGAGGATCCATTCAGTCAGTTGGGGGGACTTAGAATTTTCTTTTGGTTTACCATATATATATGTATGTATATGTACACATATATTATCTAATTGGAGAAGCTCTACCTTGGAGCAGAGCTTTTTTGTCTGCTTGGGTTTTTTTTTAATTTTTAATTTTTGTGGGTACATGATAGGTACATGTATTTATGAGTTGCATGAGATATTTTGATACAGGCAAGCAATGGATAATAATCACTTAAGAGTGAATGGGATATACATCTGCTCAAGCACTTTTCCTTTATGTTACAAATAATCCAATTATACTCTTTTCATTGTAAAACAAAAAGTATCTGAGGCAGGTCTCAATCAATTTAGAAAGTTTATTTTGCCAAGGTTAAGGACGTGGGCCTGGGAAGCTGCACCTGGGAAACAGATCTGTGCTTTTCTCCAAAGATGATTTTGAGGGTTTTGATATTTTAAAGGGGAAAGAGGAAGAAATTTTTAAAAGGTGTAGATAGATGAGACAAGTGGTTGCATTCTTCTGAATCTTTGATCAGCCTGTCGTCAATTACAAAATGTACATGTGAGGGGGATAGAAGAATAATCCCTTATGCCTTCTCTAGCTCAGTGATCTGCATTTTTACATCAGAGGAAGCAATCAGATATTCACATGTCTCAGAGGAGCAGAGGGATGACTTAGAGTTCTGTCCTTTGTCCTGTACCTGGGAAGATAAGCTATTATTTACATTGTTGGGATAAAATTCAACAGAGCTATTTTAGGGTAAAGATCTTGGGCCCCACAAGGAATTTCCCAGTGGACAAATTGTGAGGCAGGTGTGTTAGCTTTTTTATCTTTGTAGCTGTCTTATTTAGGAATAAATTGGGAGGCAGGTTTGCCTGATGCAGTTTCCAGCTTGAGTCTTCCCTTTGGCTTAGTGATTTTGGGGTACTGAGATTTACTTTCCTTTCACATAATTATTTTAAAATGTACAATTAAATTATTTTTTACTATAGTCACCCTTTTGTGCTAGCAAATATGGGGCCTTATTCATTCTTTCTAACTATTTTTTGTACTCATTAACCATCCCCACTTCCCCTTCTAACCCTGTTACTCTTCCCAGTCTCTGGTAACCATCCTTATACTCTCTGTCTCCATGAGTTCAATTGTTTTGATTTTTAGATCATAAATAAGTAAAAATATATGAAGTTTGTCTTTCGGTGCCTGGTGTATTTCAGTTAATATAATGATGTCCAGTTCTATCCATGTTGTTGCAAATAACAAAATCTCATTCTTTTTTATGACTGAATAGCACTGCATTGTGTATATGTACATTTTCTTTATCCAGTCATCTTTTTGTTGTTGTTGAGACAGAGTCTCGCTCTGTCACCCAGGCTGGAGTACAGTGGTGCGATCTCAGTTCACTGCAACCACCACCTCCTGGGTTCAAGCAATTCTCCTGCCTCAGCCTCCTGAGTAGCTGGGATTACAGGTACCTGCCACCACCCACAGCTATTTTGTGTGTGTGTGTGTTTATATTTTTAGTAGAGACAGGGTTTCACCATGTTGATCAGGTTGGTTTCGAACTCCTGACCTCAAGTGATCTGCCCATCTAGGACTCCAAAGTGCTGGGATTACAGGCATGAGCCACCATGCCCGGCCTATCCATTCATCTTTTGATGGACACTTAAGTTGTTTCCAAATCTTGGCTATTGTACATAGTACTTCAACAAACTTCAGAGTGCAGATATCTCCTCGATATCCTGACTTCCTTTCTTTTGGGTATATATGCTGCAGTGGGATTGCTGATTTATATGGTAGCAGTACTTTTAGTTTTTTGATGAATGTCCAAACTGTTCTTCATAGAGGCTGTACTAATTTACATTCCCACCAATAAGGTACAAGGGATCCCTTTACTCCACCTCCTTGCCAGCATATGTCACTACCTATCTTTCAGATAAAAGCCATTTTAACTGAGGTGAGATAATAGCTCATTACAGTTTTGACTTGCATTTCTCTGATGATTAGTGATGTTGAGCACACTTTGTTTAACTTTTATTTTAAGTTCAGGGGTACATGTGCAGGAATCATAGGTTTGTTACATAGGCACACGTGCATCATGGGGTTTGTTGTACCAATTATTTCATCACCCAGGTATTAAGCTGAGTATCCTTAGTTATTTTTCCTGATCCTCTCCCTCCTCCCTGCCTCCACCCTCCAATAAGCCCTGGTATGTGTTGTTCCCCTCTATGGGTCCATGTGTTATCATTTAGCTCCTACTTATAAGTGAGAAGATGTGATATTTGTTTTTCTGTTCTTGCATTAGTTTGCTAAGGATAATGGCCTCTAGCTCCATCTATGTCCCTACAAACGACATCATCTTGTTCTTTTTTATGGCTGCATAGTATTCCATGGTGTACATGTCCACATTCTTTATACAGTCTATCACTGATAGGCATTTGGGTTGATTCCATCTCTTTGCTATCATGAATAGTGCTGCAATAAACATATGCATGCATGTATCTTTATAATAGAATGACTTATATTCCTTTGGGTATATACCTAGTAATGATATTGCTGGGTTGAATGGTGTTTCTGACTTTAGATCTTTGAGGAATCTCCACACTGTCTTCCAGAATGGTTGAACTCATTTACACTCCCACCAACAGTGTACAAGTGTTCCTTTTTCTCTACAACCTCACTGGCATCTGTTATTTTTTGACTTTCTAATAATCACCATTCTGACTGGTGTGAGATGTTATCTCATTGTGGTTTTGAATTGATTTGCATTTCTCTAATGATCAGTGATGTTGAGATTTTTTTCATATGCTTGTTGACCACATGAATGCCTTCTTTTGAGAAGTATCTGTTCATGTCTTTTGCCCACTTTTTAATGAGGTTCTTTGTTTTTTTCTTGTAAATTTGTTTAAATTTCTAATAGATGCTGAATACTAGATCTTTGTCAGATGCATAGTTTGCAAAAATTTCCTGTCATTCTGTAGGTTGCTTGTTTACCCTGTTGATAATTTCTTTTGCTGTGCAGAAGCTCTTTAATTAGATTACTTTTGTCAATTTTTGCTTTTGTTGCAATTGCTTCTAGTGTCTTTGATGAAATCTTTGCCCAGAGTATACTTTCATATACCTGTTTGCCATTTGTATGTCTTCTTTTGAGAAATGCCTATTCAGATATTCTGCACACTTTTTAATTAGTTTATTAGATTTTTCTTTCTTATTGAGTTGTTTGAACTCCTTAGATATTCTAGTTGTTAATCCGTTGTCAGAGGAATAGTGTGCAAATCTTTTCTCCCATTCTGTGGGTTGTCTCTTCACTTTATTTTTTCCTTTGCTGTGCAGAAGCTTTATAACTTGATGTAATCCCATTTGTCTATATTTGCTTTGGTTGCCTGTGCTAATGGGGTATTGCCCAAAAAGTCTTTGCCCAGACCAATGTCCTGGTGTTTCCCCAATGTTTTCTTGTAGTAGTTTCATAGTTTGAGGTGTTAGATTTATTACTTAAATGCATTTTGACTTGATTTTGTTATATGGTGAGAGATAGATGTTTAGTTTCTGCATATGGATAACCTGTTTTCCCAGAACCATTTATTGAAGAGACTGTCAATTTCCCAATGCGTGTTCTTGAAACCTTTGTTGAAAATGAGTTAGCATAAACGTATGGATTTATTTCTGGGCTCTTCATTCTGTTCCACCAGTCTATGTGTCTGTTTTTATGCCAGAATCATGCTATTTTGGTTACTATAGCTCTGTAGTATAATTTGAAGTCAGATTATATGATTGCTCCAGTTTTGCTCTTTTTGCTTAGGATAGCTCTGGCTATTCTGGGTCTTTTGTGGTTGCATATACATTTTAGGATCGTTTTTTCATTTATGTGAAGAATGTCATTGGTATTTTGATAGAGATTGTATTGAATCTGTAGATTGTTTTCGGTAGTATAGACATTTTAACAACATCAATTTTTCCAATCCATGAACATGGAATATCTTTTCATTTTCTCATGTCCTCCTCAATTTCTTTCATCAATTTCTTTTATAGTTTTCACTACAGAGATCTTTCAGTTCTTTGGATAAATTAATTGCTAGATATTGTATTTTATTTGTAGCTATTGTAATTGGTATTTATAAGCTATTGTAATATTGACTTGCAAAAATTAGCCTGTAAGTACTAGACAGATGATTGGCAAGATGGCCAAATAGGAACAGCTCCAGTCTGCAGCTTCCAGCCAGACCAATGCAGAAGGTGGGTGATTTCTGCATTTCCAACTGAAGTACCCAGTTCATCTCATTGGAACTGGTTAGACTGTGGGTGCAGCCCACAGAGAGCAAGCAGAAGAAAGATGGGGCATTGCCTCATCCAGGGAGCACAAGAGGTTGGAGAACTTCCTCCCCTGACCAAGGGAAGCCATGAGGGACTCTGCTGTGAGGGACAGTGCTATCAAGCCCAGATACAACGCTTTTCCCATGGTCTTCACAACCCACAGACCAGGAGATTCCCTTGGGTGCCTATACCACCAGGGCCCTGGGTTTCAAGCACAAAACTGGGTGGCCATTTGGGCAGACACTGAGCTAGCTGCAGGAGTTTTTTTTTTTGTTTGTTTTGTTTTGTTTTTGTACCGCAGTGGTGCCTGGAATGCCAGCGAGACAGAACCGTTCACTCCTCTGGAAAAGGGGCTGAAGCCAGGGAGGCAAGTGGTCTTGCTCAGCATATCCCATCCTACAGAGCCCAACAAGCTAAGATCCACTGGCTTGAAATTCTCCCTGCCAGCACAGCAGTCTAAAGTCGACCTGGGATGCTCCAGCTTGATGAGGGGAGGGGCATCTGCCATTACTGAGGCTTAAGTAGGTGGTTTGCCCCTCACAGTGTAAACAAAGCTGCCAGGAAGTTCGGACTGGGCAGAGCCCACCACAATGCCAAAAAGCCACTGCAGCAGACTGCCTCTCTGGATTCCTCCTCTCTGGATAAGGCATCTCTGAACAAAAGGCAGCAGCCTCAGTCAGGGGCTTATAGATAAAACTCCCATCTCCCTGGGACAGAGCAACTGAGGGAAGAGGCGGTTGTGGGCACAGCTTCAACAGACTTCAACATTCCTGTCTGCCAGCTCTGAAGCGAGCAGCAGATCTCCCAGCACAGCACTTGAGCTCTGCTAAGGGACAGACTGCCTTCTCAAGTGGGTCCCTAATCCTAGTGCCTCCTGACAGAGAGACACCTTCCAGCAGGGGTCAACAGACACCTCATACAGGAGAGCTCCAGCTGGCATCTGGCAGGTGCCCCTCTGGGACAAAGCTTCCAGAGGAAGGAGAAGGCAGCAATCTTTGCTGTTCTGCAGCCTCCACTGGTGATACCCAGGCAAACAAGATCTGGAGTGGACCTCCAGAAAACTCCAGAAGGCCTGCAGAAGAGGGGACTGACCGTTAGAAGGAAAACTAATACAAAGAAAGCAATAGCGTCAACATCAACAAAAAGAACGACCACTGAAAAACCCCATGCGAAGGTCACCGACAGCAAAGACTAAAGGTAGATAAATCTATGAAGATGAGGAAAAACCACTGCAAAAGGGCTGAAAATTCCAAAAACCAGAATGCCTCTTCTCCTCCAAAAGATCACAACTCTTTGCCAGCAAAGGAACAAAATTGGACAAAGAATGAGTTTCACAAATTGACAGAAGTAGGCTTCAGAAGGTGGGTAATAACAAACTCCTCTGAGCTAAAGGAGCATGTTCTAAACCACTGCAAGGAAGCTAAGAATGCTGATAAAAGGTTAGAGGAATTGCTAACTAGAATAATCAGTTTAGAGACGAACATAAATGACCTGATGAGCTGAAAAACACAGCACGAGAACTTCATGAAGTATACACAAGTATCAATAGCTGAATTGATCAAGCAGAAGAAAGGATATCAGAGATTGAAGAATAACTTATGAAATAAAGTGTGAAGACAAGATTACAAAAAAAAAAAAAGAATGAAAACTAACAAACAAAGCCTCCAAGAAATATGGGACTATGTGAAAAGACCAAATCTACGTTTGATTGGACTACCTGAAAGTGACAGGAAGAATGGAACCAAGTTGGAAAACACACTTCAGGATATTATCCAGGAGAACTTTTGCAACCTAGCAAAACAGGCCAACATTCAAATTTGGGAAATACAGAGAACACCACAAAGATACTCCTCGAGAAGAGCAACCCCAAGACACATAATCATCAGATTCACCAAGGTTGAAAGGAAGGAAAAAATATTAAGGGCAGCCAGAGACAAAGGCCGGGATATCCACAAAGAGAAGCCCATCAGACTAACAACAGATCATTCTGCAGAAATGCTACAAGCCAGAGGAGAGTGGGGGTCAATATTCTTAAAGAAAGGAATTTTCAACCCAGAATTTCATATCCAGCCAAACTAAGCTCCATATATGAAGGAAAAATAAAATCCTTTACAGACAAGCAAATGCTGAGAGACTTTTTCACCACCAAGCCTGCCTTACAAGAGCTCCTGAAGGATGCACTAAATAGAGAAAGAAAAACCGTTACCATCCACTGCAAAAACATACCAAAATGTAAAGACCATCGACACTATGAAGAAACTGCATCAACTAACGGGCAAAATAACCAGCTAGTGTCATAATGAAAAGATCAAATTCACAAATAAAAATATTAACCTTATATGTAAACAGGCTAAATGCCCCAATTAAAAGACACAGACTTGCAAATTGGATAAAGAGTCGAGGCCCTTTTGGTGTGTTGTACTCAGGAGGCCCATCTCACGTCCAAAGACACAAATAGGCTCAAAATAAAGGGATGGAGGAAGATTTACCAAGCAAATGGAAAGCAAAAAAAGCAGGGGTTGCCATCCTAGTCTCTGATAAAACAGACTTTAAACCAACAAAGATAAAAAAAGACAAAGAAGGGCATTACATAATGGTAAAGGGATCAATGAAACAAAAATAAAGCTAACTATCCTATATACATACACACCCAATACAGAAGCACCCAGATTCATAAAGCAAGTTCTTAGAGACCTACAAAGAGACTTAGACTCCCACACAATAATAGTGGGAGACTTTAGCACCCCACTGTCAATATTAGACAGATCCAGGAGGCAGAAAATTAACAAGGATATTCCGGACTTGAACACGGCTCTGAACCAAGCAGACCTAATAGACATCTACAAAACTCTCCATCCCAAATCAACAGAATATACATTCTTCTCAGCACCACATAGCACTTATTTTTAAATTGACCACATAATTGGAAGTAAAACACTCCTTAGCAAATGCAAAAGAATGGAAATCATAACAAACACTCTCTCAGACCACAGTGCAATCAAATTGGAACTCAGGATTAAGAAACTCACTCAAAGCCACACAACTACGGGGAAACTGAACAACCTGCTCCTGAATGACTACTGAGTAAATAATGAAATTAAGGCAGAAATAAAGAAGTTCTTTGAAACCAATGAGAACAAAGACACAATGTATCAGAATCTCTGGGACACAGATAAAGCAGTGTTTAGAGGGAAATTTATGGCACTAAATGCCCACAGAAGAAAGCAGGAAAGATCTAAAATCAACACCCTAACATCACAAAAAGAACTAGAGAAGCAAGAGCAAACAAACTCAAAAGCTAGCAGAAGACAAGAAATAACTAAGATCAGAGCAGAAATGAAGGCGATACAGACACAAAAAAACCTTCAAAAAAATCAGTGAATCCAAGAGCTGGTTTTTTTGCAAAGATTAACAAAATAGATAGACCACTAGCCAGATTAATAAAGAAGAAAAGAGGGAAGAATCAAATAGATACAAGAAAAGATGATAAAGGGGATATAACCACTGATCCCACAGAAACACAAACTACCATCAGAGAATACTATAAACACATCTATGCAAATAAACTAGAAAATCTAGAAGAAATGGATAAATTCCTGGACACATACACCCCCCCAAGACTAAACCAGGAAGAAGTCGAATTCCTGAATAGACCAATAAGAAGTTCTGAAATTGAGGCAGTAATTAATAGCTTACCAACCAAAAAAAAGCTCAGGACTAGATGGATTCACAGCTGAATCCTACCAGAGGTACAAAGAGGAACTGGTACCATTCCTACTGAAAATATTCCAAACAACAGAAAAACAGGGACTCCTCCCTAACTCATTTTATGAGGCCAGCACCATCCTGATACCAAAACCTGGCAGAGACATAAC
The DNA here is from genome assembly GCF_000001405.40 of Homo sapiens. NCBI lineage: Eukaryota > Metazoa > Chordata > Mammalia > Primates > Hominidae > Homo > Homo sapiens. Next base: position 88,373,568 of record NC_000014.9, read on the forward strand.
AAAAAAAAAGACAATTTCAGGCCAATATCCCTGATGAACATTGATGCGAAAATCCTCAATAAAATACTAGCAAACTGAATCAAGCAGCACATTAAAAAGCTTATCCACCACAATCAAGTCGGCTTCATCCCTGGGATGCAAGCTCATTCAACATACCCAAATCAATAAATGTAATTCATCACATAAACAGAACCAATGACAAAAACCACAGGATTATCTCAATAGATGCAGAAAAGGCCTTCGACAAAATTCAACAGCGCTTCATGCTAAAAACTCTCAATAAACTAGGTGTTGATGGGACATATCTCAAAATAATAAAAGCTATTTATGACAAACCCACATCCAATATCATACTGAAAGGGCAAAAGCTGGAAGCATTCCCTTTGAAAACTGGCACAAGACAAGGATGCCCTCTCTCACCACTGCTATTCAACATAGTATTGGAAGCTCTGGCCAAGGCAATCAGGCAAGAGAAAGAAATAAAGCGTATTCAAATAGGAAGAGAGGAAGTCAAGTTATCTCTGTTTGCAGATGACATGATTGTATATTTAGAAAACCCCACTGTCTCAGCCCTAAAACTCCTAAGCTGATAAGCAACTTCAGCAAAGTCTCTGGATACAAAATCAATGTGCAAAAATCACAAGCCTTCCTATACACCAATAATAGACAAACAGAGAGCCAAATCATGAGTGAACTCCCATTCACAAATGCCACAAAGAGTACAAAATACTTACGAATACAACTTACAAGGGATGTGAAGGACCTCTTCAAGGAGAACTACAAACCACTGCTCAAGCAAATAAGAGAGGACACAAACAAATGGAAAACCATTACATGCTCATGGATAGGAAGAATCAATATTGTGAAAATGGCCATACTGCCCAAAATAGTTTATGGATTCAATGCTATCCCCATCAAACTACCATTGACTTTCTTCACAGAATTAGAAAATACTACTTTAAATTTCATATGGAACTAAAAAACAGCCCATATAGTTGAGACAATCTTAAGCAAAAAGAACAAAGCTGGAGGCATCATGCTACCTGACCTCAAACTATACTACAGGGCTACAATAACCAAAACAGTATGGTACTGGTACCAAAACAGGTAAATAGACCAATGGAACACAATAGAGGCCTCAGAAATAACGCCACACATATACAATAATCTGATCTTTGACAAACCTGACAAAAGCAACCACTGAGGAAAGGATTCCCTATTTAATAAACGGTGTGGGGAGAACTAGCTAGCCATATGCAGAAAACTGAAACTGGACCCCTTCCTTACACCTTATACAAAAATTAACTCAAGGTGGATTAAAGATTTAAACGTAAGACCTAAAACCATAAAAACCCTAGAAGAAAACCTAGGCAATACCATTCAGGACACAGGCATGGACAAAGATTTCATGGCTAAAATACCAAAAGCAATGGCAACAAAAGCCCAAATTGACAAATAGGATCTACTAAAGAGCTTCTGCACAGCAAAATAAACTATCCTCAGAGTGAAGAGGCAACATACATATTGGGAGAAAAATTTTGCAATCTATCCATCTGACAAAAGGCTAATATCCAGAATCTACAAGGAACTTAAACAAATTTACAAGAAAAAAACAATCCCATCAAAAAGTGGGCAAAGGATATGAACAGACACTTTTCAAAAGACATTTATGCAGCCAACAAATACATGAAAAAAAGCTAATCATCACTGGTCATTAGAAATGCAAATCAAAACCACAATGAGATACCATCTCATGCCAGTTAGAATGGTGATCATTAAAAAGTCAGGAAACAACAGATGCTGGAGAGGATGTGGAGAAATAGGAATGCTTTTACACTGTTGGTGGGAGTATAAATGACTTCAGCCATTTGTGTGTGGCAATTCCTCAAGGATCTAGAACCAGAAATACCATTTGACCCAGCAATCTCATTACTGGGTATATACCCAAAGGATTATAAATCATCCTACTATAAAGACACATGCACACGTTTGTTTACTGTAGCACTATTCACAACAGCAAAGACTTGGAACCAACCCAAATGCCCATCAATGATAGACTGGATAAAGAAAATGTGACACATATACACCATGGAATACTATGCAGCCATAAAAAATGATGAGTTCATGTCCTTTGCAGGAATATGGATGAAGCTGGAAACCATCATTCTCAGCAAACTAACACAGGAACAGAAAACCAAACACTGCATGTTCTCACTCATAAATAGGAGTCTGCATGTTCTCACTCATAAATAGGAGTCAAATAATGAGAACACATGGACACAGGGAGGGGAATATCACACACCAGGGACTGTCAGGGCATGGGTGACAAGGGGAGGGATAGCATTAGGAGAAATACCAAATGTAGATGACGGGTTAATGGGTGGAGCAAACCACCATGGCATATGTATACCTCTGTAACAAACCTGCACGTTCTGCACATGTATCCCAGAAGTTAAAGTATAATTTAAAAAATTAGCCTGTAAAAATTTACAATCTATTGTAAATGGGATTTCTTGATTTCTTTTTTGGATTGTTCACTGTTGGCATATAGAAATGCTACTGACTTTTGTATGTTGATTTTGTATCCTACAAATTTACTGAATATATATATCTCAGTTCTAATAGTTTTTTTATTCAGTCTTTAGATTTTTCCAAATATAAGATCATATCATCTGCAAACAAGGATAATTTGATTTCCTTTCCAATTTAGATGCCCTGTATTTCTTTTTCTTGTCTGATCACTCTAGCTAGGACTTCTAGAATTATGTTGAATAACAGTGGTGAAAGTGGGCATCCTTGTCATGTTCCAGATTGTACAGAAAATGCTTTCAGTTTTTCCCCATTCAGCATACTAGCTGTCTGTCAGTCATATATTGCTTTCATTATGTTAAAGTATGTTTCTTCTACACCAAGTTTTTTGAAGACTTTTACCATGAAGTGATGTTGAATTTTTTCAAATGCTTTTTCAGCATCAATTTAAATGATCATATGGTTTTTGTCCTTCATTCTGTTGATATGATGTATCACATTGGTTGATTTGTGTATGTTGAACCATCCTTGCATCCCAGGGATATATCCCACTTGGTCATGGTTAATAATATTTGTAATATGTTGTTGAATTTAATTTACTAGCATTTTGTTGAAGATTTTTGCATTAATATTCTTCAGAGATATTGGCCTGGAGTTTTCTTTCTTTGATTTATCTTTGTTATTGGAATCAGAGTAAGACTGGCCTTGTAGAATGAGTTTGCAAGTATTTCCTCCACCTTGATTTTTTGGAAATAATTTGAATAAAATTGGCATTTGTTCTTCTTTAAATGTTTGCTGGAATTCAGCAGTGAAACCATCAAGTCCTGGGCTTTTCTTTACTGGGAGACCTTTTTTTTTTTTGAGATGGAGTCTCACTCTGTTGCCCAGGCTGGAGTGCAGTGGCACGATCTTGGCTCACTGAAGCCTTCGCCTCCCAGGTTCAAGTGATTCTTCTGCCTCAGCCTCCTGAGTAGCTGGGATTACAGGCATGCACAATCATGCCCAGCTAATTTTTGTGTTTTTGGTACAGACAGGGTTTCACCATGTTAGCCAGGCTGGTCTTGAACTCCTGACCTCAGGTGATCCACTCGCCTCAGCCTCCCAAAGTGCTGGGATTACAGGCATGAGCCACCACGCCCAGCCAGACTTTTTATTAAGGCTTTGATCTCATTACTTGTTATTTGTCTGTTAAGGTTTTGGATTTCTTCATGATTCAATCTTGGTAGGTAGTCTATATCTAGGAATTTATCCATTTCTACTAGATTTTCCAATTTATTGACTTATAGTTGCTCATAGTAGCCTGTAATGATCTTTTGAATTTCTCCAGTATCTGTTGTAATGTCACCTTTTTCATTTCTAATTTTATCCATCTTCTGTTTTTTCTTACATGTTTGACTAAAAGTTTCTCAATTTTATCTTTTCAAAAAAATCAACTATTTCATTGATCTTTTGTATTTTTTCCTTAAATTTCCATTTCATTTATTTCTGTTCTGATTTGTATTGTTTCTTCTCTTCTACTACTTTTGGGTTAGATTTGCTCTTGCATTTCTATTTAAGATGCATTATTAGGTTATTTGAAGTTTTTCCTCTTTTTTGATGTAGGTGCTTATAACTATAAACATCCCTGTTAGTAGCACTTTCATTGTGTCTTGTAGGTTTTAGCATATTGTGGACTATTATCATTTGTTTTAAGAAATTTTTCAATTTCCTTCTTAATCTCTTTTTTGACCCACTGGTCATTCAAAAGCATATTATTTAATTTTCATGTATTTATATGGTTTCCAAAATTCCTCTTGTTATTGATTTCTAGTTTTATTTCATTGTGGCCACAGAAGATATCATTTCAACTTTTCAAATGTTTTAAGACTTGTTTTGTGACCTAATATATGGTCTGTCCTTCAGAGTGATCCATGTGATGAAGAAAAAAAAATCTGTGTTCTACAGCCATTGGATAACATGTTCTGTACATATCTGTTAGGCCCATTTGGTCTATAGCACAGATTAAATATGTTTTTGATTTTTTTTTTTTTTTTGTCTGGAAGATCTGTCTAGTGCTGAAAGTGAGGTGTTGAAGTCTCCAGCTACTATTGTATTGGAGGCTATCTATCTCTTTAATACTAGTAATATTTGCTTTATATATCTGGGCACTACAGTGTTGGGGGCATATATGTTTACAACTGTTACATCGTCTCGCTGAATTGACCCCTTTATTATTATATAATGGCCTTCTTTGTCTCTTCTTAAGTTTTTGTCTTAAAATCTATTTTGTCTGATATAAGTATAGCTACTTCTGCTCTTTTTTGGTTTCCATTGACATGGAGAATCTTTTTCCATCACTTTATTTTTAGTTTTTGTGTGTCATTATAGGTGAAGTGTGTTTCTTGCAGCCACAGATAATTGGGTCTTATTTTTTTTTTTATCCATTCAGCCAGTCTATGTTTTTTGATTGGAAAGTTTAGACCTTTTACATTCAATGTTATTATTGACAAGTAAGGAGTTACTCCTCTCATTTTGCTATTTATTTTCTGATTGTTCTGTGGTCTTTGCTCCCTTCTTTCCTTCCTTCCTGTCTCCCTTTTAGTGAAGGTAATTTATTTTCTCTGGTGGTAGTATTTAATTTCTTGCTTTCTATTTTTTGTGTATCTGTTGTATGTTTTTTGATTTGAGGTTACCATGAGGCTTGCAAATATTATCTTGTATTTATTATCATTAATTATTTTAAGCTAATAACACTGCTTGCATAAACTAACAAGCAAAAAAAAACCAATAAAAATTCTACACTTTAACTTCATCCCCCAGCTTTTTAACTTTCTGTTGTATCTATTTATATCTTATTGTACAGTCTATGTCTTGAAAAGTTGTAATTATTATTTTTGATTTCATCTTTTAGTCTTTCTACTTAAGGGTACTTTCCACTCTACAGTTACAGTGTCATAATTTTCTGTGTTTTCCTGTATATTGACTACTACCAGTGAGTTTTGTCCCTTCGGATGATTTCTTATTGCTCATTAATGCCCATTTCTTCCTGATTGAGGTGCTCTCTTTAGGGGAGTACTTGTAAGACAAGTCTTGTGTTGATGAAATCCCTCAGCTTTTGTTTATCTGGCAAGGTCTTTATTTCTCCTTCATGTCTGAAGAATATTTTCACTGGATATACTATTCTCGGGTAAAAGTCTTTTGTCTTCAGCACTTTAAATATGTCATGCCACTCTCTCCTGGCCTGTAAGGTTTCCACTGAAAAGTCTGCTGCCAGATGTATTGGAGCTCTAGTGTATGTTACTTGTTTCTTTTTCGTGCTGCTTTTAGGATTCTTTCTTTATCCTTGACCTTTGGGGGTTTGATTATTATATGCCTTGATGTAGCTTTCTTTGGATTAAATCTGCTTGGTGTTCTGTAGCCTTCTTGTACTTGGATAGTGACATCTTTCTCTAAGTTTCAAAAGTTCTCTTTTATTATTTATTCAAATAAACTTTCTATCCCTATCTCTTTTTCTACCTCAACTTTAAGGCCAATAACTCTTAGATTTTCCCTTTTGAGGCTATTTTCTAGATCTTGTAAGCATGTTTCATTGTTTTTTTATTCTTTTTTCTTTTGTCTCTTCTGACTGTGTATTTTCAAATAGCCTGTCTTCAAGCTCTCTAATTCTTTCTTCTGCTCGATCAATTCTGCTATTAAGATACTCTGATGCATTCTTCATCAGCTGTGTAGCCTGGGGTTGGTGAGGCGGGACAAAGAGGGAGAGGTGCAAGCACTCTTAGCTTCCCCAGCTGGTATCTTAATAGGTCACACGTCCCACCCTCCAACTCAATCTACTGGCTTTGAGCCCAGCTCAATACCAGGACTTGCATAAGAATTGCAGTTCTTGTGGCCTAAACTGCCCCTCAAGTTCACTTAGGGCCCCAGTGCCTCCAGCCCACAGTGGCAAGCCTTGCCAGAACTCAAGCTCCAATTGCTGGAATGGGCAATTACCCTCTGCCTTGGGCCGGTCCAAATGCCCCCTCCATGGGCAGGCATCAGCTGAGTACAGCTCAGTTTGCTTTCTGCTGTGATGGGGCAGCACTGAGTCTAATGCAAAGCCTCATGACCGCTGTGCTCCCCCTCTCTGAAGCACAGAGATTCTCTCCAACAGGGAGCTGCTGCTGGGGAATGGGGGAGGAGACAGGGATGGCATCAGCAATTTAAGACTGTCTTTCCTACCCTCTTTGGTGCCTCTTTCAGTCATGTGAAATCAAAGCCAGGCACTGAGAGTGCTCCCTTGATTTTTGGTTCCTATGAAGATTACTCCCTTTGTGTAGACAGTTGTCAAGCTAGGTGTTCCTGAGAAGGAATGATTGGCAGAGCCTTCTATTCGGCTATCTCACTCCGCCCCTCCCCTGGAATCACTTTTTAAAATGTTTGTCAGTTGCACGTTACATTGCTTGAATAAGATTTGTAGGTAATATTGCCTTAGCATGGCTGCTTTCCTCACAGGGATGGAGCTTAAAACTTTCCTAAAGCCCCCTCTAGTGACAAACAGCAAATTATTATCCATTATTTCATACCTCCAAGCTCTAAATACCTCCAAGCTCTAAAGTTCCATTTTCTCATTTAGTTATTAGATGAATCAATTGCTACATTATTTCAATTAGAGAATGACTGAGAAATAGTTAATAGCTCAAATTCTCAAGCATTCTTAAATCACTGAAACCTAAGCAATTTTGTTTTGAGACTGAGGTCAGCACAGTGCACATTTAACTCTATAATTTTACTCTGCCCTCATACATATAATTTTTAAGGATTCCCTAAATTTCCTTCATTTTTGTCTTTCAGGAACTTTAAGGGTTAAAATATGTTCGCAATAACTCAATAAATAGAAAAATGTTGTTTTGAACTTTGGCTTCTTGTTGTTTTCACTGTATTTACTGGAACATTTTCTAAACACACAAATATAAATTCCAGGAATCCTCTGAATTATGAAACTAAGGGTCATCCATAAAGACATAGATTAAATATATAATAATAACATAATGCTTAAAATAATAATATATAATAAAACAGAATAAACAATAAACTATATATTATTTGCATAACTATAGGTTATGGTATTAAAATATATAGTTTATTTCACTTATATAAAATTGAAATATATTGTATATTTCAAATATATAAAAGCCCATTTCCAAAGGGCTTAGAGCTCATCCAATAAGACAGGCCTAATTAAACCATTAAAAGAAGAAGTCATATTCCTAATAAAGGGAATTAACGAGATAAATTTTTAAAAGGCTATGAATATTTATTTCAACTGAGCACAAATCTTAGTTTTGAGGTTCCTGTAAGCTAATACAAAAAAAGAAACCCAGTAATTGATTAGTTCATGCCAATTCATTAAGGGAAACAAAGTATTTCCGTCTAAAACACACATATGGGTCAGGCACAGTGGCTCATGCCTGTAATCCCAGAACTTTAGGAGGCTATGGCAGGTGGATCACTTTAGGCCTGGAGTTTCAGACCAGCCTGGCCAACATGGCAAAACCCTGTCTCTACTAAAAATACAAAAATTAGCCAGGCATGGTGGCTCACGCCTGTAATCCAGCACTTTGGGAGGCTGAGGCGGGTGGATTGCCTGAGCTCAGGAGTTCAAGACCAGCCTGAGCAACACAGCGAAACCCCGTCTCTACTAAAATACAAAAGAAATTAGCTGGGTGTGGTGGCATGCACCTGTAGTCCCAATTACTCGGCAGGCTGAGGCAGGAGGATTGCTTGAATCCGGGAGGCGGAGGTTGCAGTGAGTCAAGATCACACCACCGCACTCCGCCTGAGCGATGGAGCGAGATTTCGTCTCTACAAAAATAAATAAATAAATAAACAAACAAAAACACATATGCAGATTTCTAAATGTCAATAACAAGATTATAGCATTGGAATAATTTCAGAACATGAAATTCAGGTGTAAACATATATATTCAACAAAAGGTCTTCAGAATGCCTACTCTCCAAGGCCATTGCAGCTGGTGATGATTTTCCCAATAGAAGGGTGTTTCTTGGGAGCTCACCCTATAATAAACTCATACCAGCTGTATCCATCACCCATGATCATGAATTATTTCCTGGGAATAGCAACCAGAAAGAATCTTCTCTCTTGTTTACATACATAGAGCCAAAGCAAAGGACAAATTAAATTGCACTTAGGATAACATGTTCATTGCTAAAATTTGAGAGACATAGACCCTATTATGCACACATTCTTGAAATAATTGGAACAAAATATTGAAAGGGAAATAATGAAATAGATGGCTTCAGACAAAGTTGGGTACCAGACAATATGGTCTCCAGAAGTTTCTCCCATTCTGCTGCCCTCTCCAGATCACGCACCCCCCCGTTCTACTTGAAAACAAAATCTACTTGTCATCCTAAAGTCTACTTTTCTAAGAGGAGCTGGTATCACCTTCCCTGAGTCAAGTCACTGTGTTGCTTATCCCAAGGGTGTTTGCCTTGGGTTCCTTGTTTCTAATTCAATTTAACAAATGCTTACTGGAGGCCTATTATATGCAAAGTATTTGCTAGCTGCCAGTAGTGAAATAAAGGCCTTCATGATCTTAGAAATGGATTTCAGGCAATAATGAGTACCTAGGAAGGAGTTTTTGTTCTCTGCATGATATGATTTGGCTCTGTGTCCCCCTCCAAATTTCATGTTGAACTGTAATCCCCATGTTGGGGGAGGTACCTAGTGAGAGGTAATTGGATCATGGGGGTGGATTTTCCCCTTGTCGTTCTCATGATAGTGAGTTCTCATGAGATATGTTTGTTAAAACATGTGTAGCACTTTCCTCTTCGCTCTCTCTCCCTCCTACTCTGCCATGTGAAGAAGCTACTTGCTTCCCCTTTGCCCTTCCACCATGATAGTGTTTCCTGAGGCCTCCCCAGCCATGCTTTCTGTACAGCCTATGGAACTGTGAGTCAATTAAACCTCTTTTCTTCATAAATTACCCAGTCTCAGGTAGTTCTTTACAGTAATGTGAGAATGAACTAATAGACTGCATAACATCTGACTCCCTGCCCCTGTATCCTTCCAAATTACTTTTGTTGTTGGGGCCACAGAGCCATCACACACACTTCAACATGCCTCCAATTTTGAATCATTGTCTGCCTACCCTGGGTTTTAGGAAAACAGGGGTTCAAGCGTTATTATAACCGGGTTTCTGATTTATTTCTCCTTCCTTGTTACAGAGTTTCTGACTTACTCCCTCAAGCCTGAATTCCCTGATACCCAGCTCTGCTGAGATAGGAATCTCAGAAGAGAGAAAGCTAACATTTATTGAATACATTCTTTTATTTGCCAGGCACTGTTAATTCTTTTAACTATAAAATTAGTAGCATCATTTTTTCATCCCAAGCAACAGAGAGGTAGACTGTTGATGAAAAGAGTCAAACTCTGTAAAATATTTTTAGAGATTTATTCTGAGCCAAATATGAGTGACCCTCAGGAGGTCCTGAGAACATGTGCCCAAAGTGGTTGAGGTGCAGCTTGGTTTTATACATTTTAGGGAGGCATGAGACATCAATCAAATAAGAAATACATTGGTTTGGTTCAGAAAGGTGGGACAACTCAATGAGTATGTAAATTTAAACATTTCCTGGTTGACAATTGGTTGAGTTTATCTGAAGGCCTGGGATCAATAAAAAGGAAATGTTGGGGTTAAGATAAAAGATTGTGGAGACCAAGTTTATTGTGCAGAGGAAGCTCTCAGTATAGCAGACCTCAGAGAGAGAGCAGATTGTAAAATTTGTCTTGTCGGACCTAAAAGGGTGCCTGGCTCTTAGTTGGTTATCTCCTGGATTTGGAAAGGAAAGAAGGAAAACAAAGGGGAAAAGAGATTCTCTATAGAATGTGGTTTTTTCCCACAAGAGATTTTGCAGGGCAATTTCAAGATATGGCAAGGAAATATATCTTGGGGTTAAATATTTTGATTTTTTTTTCCTTGTCTCATAATATTATGCCAGAATCAGATTGGAAAGTAAGTCATGGTATATAGAGTCAAATAAAACCCATCTGATAAGAATTTATGGTTTCTAGGGCATGACTCCCTAGACACCTTAGATAGGAATTTGGGCAAGATAAAAAAATTAGAGCTTAGTCCTCAACTCTACAGAAGAAAATGACATTTACCCAGGAATGGGCATTGCAATAGGAATATGCGTGCCATGGCAAACTGTTTGCATATTCAAGGAATTAAAGGAAAAAAAAGTTTTTTTAAAAAATAAAAAAAGGAGAGGATTACATAATTGTTTTGAGGTAATTAGCCTTGGCTCCAAGCATCAATAACAAGGGTGATGTCAGTTCAAGGTTGGACAGACAATTGCTGGACAGATGTCCTCATAGAAGTATCTTTTTGGGTAAGGTGGAGGTCTTTGTGCAAGGTTGTGGTTTTCGCAGTATTTTGTGATAGTTTTATTATCAGGCATTCATGGATGAGAACTCTCCTTCATGGCCTTCTCCAGTTCCACTTGTCAGGTTTTCTAACACATGTGACTCTATTTTTGATTCTGACAACTTTCACAATCTACATTAGAAAAGAGAAAACTGGGGCTCAGAAAGTTTTAGAAACTAATTCAAGATCAAGCTGGTAAGTAGCAAAAAATTTAGAATTAAGTTCTACATATCTGGTTCCAAAACCAGGACTCTTTTCATTACAGCAGTGGTTCTCAACAGAGTTGCGATTTTGCCCCCCAGGGAATATTTCACAATGTCTGGAGACATTTATGACTGTCAGGATTGGAGGTGGAGTGGGTGGGGTCTGCTTCTGAGAAGCTACTTGCTTCTAGTAAACGGAGGACAGGGATGCTACAAAACAGTTCATAGGGACAGCACCCCCACAACAGAGAATTATACAACCAGCCCAAAATGTCAATGGACATTTGGGCTGAGAAGTCTTACATGACAGAATGCTTCCTACCCTGATCTGACGTTATTTCCAAGGATTCAAAGGTAACTGCTTCAAAATTAAACAAATTATAGAAAGCCATCAATAAATCAACCCCTTATTCATGTTGCAGCTCTCTTCCATTATAAATAAAAATGGATTGAAACTTACGATAAAAGGGAGGCAGGGACAGGAGCGGGGAAGCTTGGCGAGCAGAAAGGAAATTCAAACTTATTATTAAGGTTAAGAATTAAGATGTAAATATGTAGATGTTTTTCACCCCTAGGATTTTCACTAATCCAAAAGTTCACGGACTGCTTTGAAATTTAATTATTTGGAACTGGTTAAATGTTACCCTGACCTCAGCTAACATTTGTGTTTCACTTTTCTCCGGGACCCAGGGGACGTGGATGCCAGATGAGTCCACCTCCTCTCCCTGCTCTTCCCGCAGGGACAGAGCCTGCCAGGTGCTGGTGACTCGGATCCTGACAGGAGGTCGCTCTGCGGAAGACTGGCAGGATCCCAGAGCAACAGACTGGGGCTCGATGCCCCTTCCCCGCCAGGTCTCTCCGTCCGCAACTGTCCTCCTAGTACCGGGTATCCCGCAGGCGGGGCTGCGGAACGCACGTCCCCTGCGCCGTGACGTCACAATAGCGACTCACTGGACCCAGCCCTTAGCAACGGCCTGGCAACGGTTTCCCTGCTGCTGCAGCCCCCGTCGGCTCCTCTTTTCCAGTCCTCCACTGCCGGGGCTGGGCCCGGCCGCGGGAAGGACCGAAGGGGATACAGCGTGTCCCTGCGGCGGCTGCAAGAGGACTAAGCATGGATGGCAGCCGGAGAGGTAAAGGGCAGCTGTCAGGGGCTACCGCCGCCTCGCCCCTCGCTCCAGGCGGCGCTCCCAGCCTCGGGTCCGGGCAGCTGAGTGCAAGGCCGCCCCTTGGGGCGCTTCCTACCCCTGGCTGAGTCGCCAGTGTTGCCTGGAGCTGCCCAGGCCTGCGCAAAGGAAGAGGGAGAGCCTGCTTGCCAGCCTCGCAGGTCCGCTTCTTTGCCCTGAATTTGTCGCCCTGACACCAGGGGCCCCTGTCTCCTGAACTCAGGGTCGTGCAGCCTTTAAAACCTCAGTAGCTCCCAGGCAGAGGAACCAGGTTTGGTCTTTGGAGTCAGACCTCCCCGGGCCCCAAATCAAACCCCTCTGCTCTCCATGGAGACGACCCTCAGTTTTCTTATCTCTTGAACGTGAGGGTCAAATACCCAGGCCATGGAGTTCTTGAGGATTAAATGCAGATAATATAGAGAAGATCCTGGCGCATTTGAAGTGGTCAGTAAATACGAAATCTCCCAGTAACGAACTACCTCCCCCAAAGCTACTGAGTAACCCAGGGTTTCTGTAACTTTCTGTGAATAGGAATCCCCTCAGGGTCATGTTAAAATGCAGATTATGATTCAGTAGGTCCCTTGGGGGTGGCTGAGATTTTGCATTTATAATAAATTCCAAGTAATGCGGTGTTGCTGGTCAGCGGACTGCAGTTTTAGCAGCAATCCGTACTCACCATATACACCTGTTCTCTACTGATTTCTTGAGTCAGGTGGACATCATGTGGTGGGGTTGGGGGTGGGGAAATACAATCTTAAATATCTACAAATCGGCCCAAACCAAATAATTTGCATTTTCACACTTTCTGAGCCAGTATCATTCTTTCCTCGAGTCAAATGAGGCAATCTTTATAGACTCCCCGCCCCTCCCAATTCAGTGTTTTTATCTATTTAAAAGACTGCCTTTAAACCAAGCTGCTAGATGATTCCTTGATGTCTTTCTTTGAATGAGTCTGCCTTTATTATATAGTCATTGATCAAAATAAGTGCTACTCCGAATGTAGGAGATAACTATTCATTGATCAGCAAACTATTCTGACACTTCACCAACCTAGGTTTCAGAAAAAGCAAATCAAAACGCTTTATGATCTTAAGAAATTTTGCATATAAACTAACATTAAACCCTTGCTATGTACTAGGAACTATTTCCAAATTATCTCATTTAATGTACAAAAATACCTTGATAGGCATTAGCCTTATTTCATAGTGAAGAAACTAAAGCAAAAGATCACAAATAACTTGCCAAGATCACAGCGGCAGAACAGGATTTGAATCTAGGTGAAGAATATAAATCTGAAGCCAATGCATTTACTTACTATCCCATGGTAGGGATGGGCAGGGGGAAAGGATAAATGTAACATTTAGAGTATGGTAGATTTAGTAAGTTGTCAGTATTTGTTTATTGAATTATTTTAAAAATTGGGTTCATGCCAAATGTAAAAAGGTTTATATTTTTACAACTTGCACAATTTAATTAGCTTCATTTTTAGGAAATAATATATGATAATGTCAAATACTGTTATTTTGAATTTTTAAAATAAATGTAATCACCAAATAACCAGGGCAGTCAGCTTTCATGTACTGTAAATTAATAGGAAACCATAAATAATTTTAGACACAGCTAAAATAATTGAGAATAAATTTCTTAGATTTCATTAGGAGGTGCTTTTAGTTATTTCAGAGCATAAAATATTAAAACATCTAAAGAAAAATTATCTTTTGTCATGCTCTTACTGTAATCACGTTTTAGACATTCTTTTGTAAGGCAAGCCTTCTAAATGGTGGTATAGTACAGCACCAGACTGAAAAACGGTTAGTCTTGTTTGTAATCTTTGTTTCCTACTAACTAACTAGGTAATCTTCAGCATGTCACTGTACGTCCCTGGGCCTCAGTTATTTATAAAATGGGGGCTTGGACTAGGTATATATAAGGCATGGTTTCCAGCTTCCTATGGGGGAAGGTGAAGAAAAGATTGAGAATAACAAACTGCCATTCACTCTAATATCAATGACCTTTAGGAAGGAGAGGAGACAACCTATTAGTATATTACTGAAAGTAACTTGAAAAAAAATTTTTTCCCAGCACTCTGGGAGGCTGAGGCAGGTGGATCACTTGAGGTCAGGAGTTTGAGACCAGCCTGGGCAACAGAATTAAACCCTGTCTCCACCAAAAAATACAAAAATTAGCCAGGCATGGTGGCGTGCGCCTGTAGTCCCAGCTACTCGGGAGGCTAAGGCAGGAGAATCACTTGAACCTGGGAGGGGGAGGTTGCAGTGAGCCAAGATCATGCCACTGCCCTCCAGCCTGGGCAACAGAGCAAGACTCCATCTCAAAAAAAAAATTGTTTTGATCTGTTGGTCTCATAGAGACACTTATCAATGGTAGATTTCCAAACCTTTGGTTTTCCAGAGAAACCTTGCCACAAGAAACACTTTCATCTTTCCTCACTGGACTTTCTTCTGGCTATTTTAATCAAATTGTGTAGGAAAATGGGCTGCTCTCATATACCAGTGAATTTCACCACTAAGACCTTCAATCTCATTGACAAGATTTTAGTCCTAATAGTTAGAGAATGATGTTCTTTTCCTTGGCATTTGGTTTGAGGCTACTTCTCCATGCCCCTTTGGCTCATTCTGGGTCCAGTCCAGTCAGGAGATAGAAACCATACAGTGATTTTTATACAAGGAAAAGTTAAAGAATTGTTATACTTTCATAAAAGAGTAACTATAAGATGTAAGGGGCTGGGCGTGTCAGCTCATGCCTGTAATCTCAGCATTTTAGGAGGCTGAGGCAGGAGCATCACTTGAGGTCAGTGGTTTGTAATCAGCCTGGGTAACATAGCAAGACCCTGTCTCTAGTATATAAAACAAATTAATGAATTAATTAAAAAGATAAGAAAACTGTATTTGGTACCTAGAATTACGGGAAAGTACTCAAAGAAGGACAATTTGAAAGAGAGTTTCTCCCAAAGACTGGGGTTCAGACCTCATTAGAGAAGGCGTGATTGTGCACTTGCCCAAAGCTTCATCACCGAGGAGTGATATCGGAGGCTTCACATTCCATGGGAAATAGACTTTGATAAATTGCTTAGCCAAGTCACTAAACAAACAAGTGAACAACAATGAAAACAAGCTCAGGAGAGGATTCTGTATCTAGAGTTGCTGCAATATATTACCTAAAATGTTAACTTTTCAACAAAAAGAAATTGCAAGTCATGCAAAAAAACAAAAACAAAAAAACAGGAAAATGTGACCTATACACAGGACACAAAGGAGGAACCAGAAACTATGAGAGGGTAGATGAATTAAATCGTCTTATTTCTCCCCTCAATTCTGTTAGGTTTTTTTTTTTCCTTTCTCTTTCTTTTTTCTTTTTTCGAGACAGGGTCTTATTCTGTTACCCAGACTGGAGTGCATTGCAGCCTCCTGGGCTCAATCATCCTCCCATCTCAGCCTCCTGTGTAGCTGGGACTACAGGCACACACCACCACACCCAGCTAATTTTGTATTTTTTTGTGCAGTTAGAGTTTCGCCATGTTGTCCAGGCTGGTCTTTGAACTTCTGGGCTTAGGTGATCAGCCTGCCTCAGTCTCCCAAAGTGCTGGGATTACAAGCACGAGCCATTGTGCTCAGCCCTAATTCTGTCATTTTTAATATGACATGTATCTATAGGAATATTAGAAACCAATGAGTATATGCCTTGGTGTACGTCTGATGGTAAATAGACAAGGGAACATAGACATCAAGGAACATCTAAATTCCATGTTTGTTCTTATCACCATCTTATGCTAAAGAGCAGCTGGATTGATTCCTGGGGCCAAATATTAACCACCTTGTTCACAGCTGTCACTTACAGATGGGTGGGGAAGCATTTCTATCCAGAGCATTATCACTAGGTTCCAGCCTTTTTTCATTCTCTTTTCATCCTTTCACACTTCTCTGGGTATACCTGTTTTTCCTTTTTCTGTGACCTATAGTGAAACATACATAGAATAGAATGGAATTTGGAGGGAATAAACTACATACAGCTGAGATATCTTCTTGGTCTGTTTCACATGATTTAGTAGCTTAGAACATGGTTCAAGTACTGAGCAGTTTATATTGGTCAAGATAGTGTAATGATTAAGACCCAGGAAACAGACTGCTTGGGTTCAGATCCCAAATCTGTCACATTCTTGTGTAATCTTTGGCAAATTACAAGTTTAACCTCTGTGCTTCAATTACCCTCATCTATAAAGTAGGGAGAATTATAGTATTGTAAGGATTAAATGAATTTATACCAGCAAAGTGCTTGGAGCACTGCCTGGCAGGGTTACCACTCAATAAATTAGCCTTTTGACTACAAATGAAGAAATCAACTCATACTGGTTTAAGCTAAAATGGGAATTTTTTTTTTTTTTTGGCTAATGTAAAGAAACGTCTAGGGAAGGAAGAGCTTCAAACATGGTTGGCCTCAGGTACTCAAATGATGTCACCAAGAAATCGCTTTCTATCTTGGTTCCACTTGACTGTGTAGGCTTCATTCTCAGACAGGTTCCTTTATAAGGTTCAGGATGGCCACCAGCAATACAGGGCTTGCTTAGACCCTTCACTGGGTTTAGCAAGCCCAGTGAAATGAAAGTACCTTTCCTAATAGTTCCTGTCAAAGGCCCAGGATTGTGTATCTCATGTTGGGACTTGGATCGCATAGCATTGCTGACGCTGTCAACACAGCTGTCCACATTTGGGTTTTATGCCTAACCCTGACAGTGGGGTCAGCTCTATTTGAACCACCTGGGCTAAGAGTAAGGGAAGAGTCGCCCAAAGGAAAGTTGAGTTGTCATTTCCAGGTGAAGAGGCATTGAATTCTGGACAAGAAAAAAGTCACAGTTCTTTCTATCTGGAGAAATGAGGTTTTTCTGAGAGTTTGTTGGTATTTTTTCTTATGTTTAGGTCTTACCCTCCTTCTTTCTTGGTAGAAGCTATGCTCATTTCATGACTATCTTTTTTCCCAGTTCAGATGGCATCACCTTGACTTGTATTGTCCTAAATATTTTTTTCCTTCCTGCACTCTGACCTGTGACATAGAAAGAGCTTCATAGATATTCTGACCTCAGTTTGTTTTTCTGTTTTAATCTATTCTGACAAGCTTTGTTCTCTGGTCTTAGATTTTAGTTCTCCTAGCTCGATACTTCTTTTTTCTATATTTAGTCATCCATATATCTTCTAGACTTTCTATGTGTCCTCCTTGTTATAGCTTTTAACAGCCCACCTGATAGCAAACTAGCCATCTTACCCTCTTAAAACATCTCTGTTTGGGGGATAAAGCATTTATATTTTGCATATTAAATTACATTTAATGCTGTAACTCAGACTTCCTGTTTTGGAGATTACTACTAAAAACGCAATCACCTTTTAGGAAAGAAATTATTTTGTGATAAATTTATTATTTAAAAAATATTGAATATTGTTGTTTTTGTAAAAGTTGTGTTTCATTTATCCTAATTTATGATTTTTTTTTCTTGTTAAAAGTCAGAGCAACCTCTGTCCTTCCCAGATATGGTCCACCGTGCCTATTTAAAGGACACTTGAGCACCAAAAGTAATGGTAAGTGAGGTGCTTAAAACGGCAGCTTTGTTAGAAGATTGTCTGAGTGTTTCCTTTACTGGCAAATTATATGACATGATGGAAAAATTGTTTCATTTGACGAATATTTGAACTTCATATTATTAATTTTAATGAAATATAGGCGTTCTTGAGATTAGAGAATTTTGGAGTCTATGATTTCAAACTATTATTGTGCCCTGGATGTGGACTTGGCTGTCTCCTGCTCCCAGCTGCTACAGCAGCCCAGCTCTACTTTTGCCAGGAAACTACCCTGATTTAAGGCATACCTGCCTTGTTAAAATGGTGAGTAGCAGGTATTAAAGACGCAAGCACTGAAAAGGAAAAGCTGTGCAGAGAAAAAGAGCACTTGAATAATACATTTCCTATTAGGAGCAAAGGCCTATGGGCCTCTTTATCCAACTGGATTTCTAGGTGCTGTGATATTTTTATATTTTAAAGCTTTCAAGGTACATTTTTAAGGTAGGTTTTAAAATAAATTTTTGTAATTATACCTTAGAAGTATAAGTCTATGTCCTTAGGCAAAATAATTAAAGCCTTATTTTCCTTATTTACAGGAAAAATCTTTGATACTGTTACCTCCAAATGTGGTGGAAGGATCTCATTTTCAGTTGCCTCACTTATTTCTTTGTATTACAGTGTATTTTTTAAAGTTTATGATTGTGGCTATGTATGTATGTAACATATATATGTATGTAACATAGCCATAATGATAAACTTTAAAAACTAAATTTTAAATAAAAAGTTAAAACTAGATTTAAAATATACATACATAGAAATCAGGATAAAGAACAATATGTAAAGTTTGCTAACTTTCTTTTAAAGAATATATATATAGAGCTGGTATAGGTATGGTGGTTTTAAGTATGAGGCTGCCTTGGATCACATGGAAGCTGCATCCTTTATCAGCAGTGTAACCTTGAAGATGTAACTCATATCTCTGTGCCTCAGTTTTCACTTCGATTAAATGATAATAATAATGACTAGATAAGTTTATACATATAAAGAGTTTAGAACAATGCATGGTAAATGGCATTTATTCAGTAAATATTTTTAGTAGTGGCATCAAGCTCGTAATTATTGCATAGGCTTGTATTATGCACAGAGTCTCTGGAAGGATGCATTTAAACAGTAACATAGTATATTTCTGGGAAGGGAGACTAAAGGTCAGGGTAGAGAAATCACTTCTTTTTCAAACTCCATATGCCATTTTAGCTGTTGAATTTTTTTAACCACATTGCGTGTATTACTTCTCAAAAACTGTTTTTAATGTTTAAAAAAGCTTTGCCTATATTTATATTTTATACTTGTGTGTAAGTGCTTAACTATTTCTAAGATTTCTTTTAAACAGTTTGAATGAGGACCAAGGAGTTTAATGTCATGGAATTTCTTTGCGATTACACTTGTTATAAGATAGTTTTAGTACTTCAAAAAGAATGTAGTAAACTGGTATGTAGATCTTGTTTTCAGGTTTAAGTTAGAAATTTGCTTCTTGGAATATAATTTTTGTATGTAGGGTTTTGGGATTTGGTAGTCATTGAATTTCTGAAATTCCGTTGATTAAGTATTAACAATGGTAACTAATTAAGCAAGCAGCTAAACATCCTTAGTTAGAAGATTGAGAGCTGTCAAAAAAAAAATAGTTCTGTAAATGTAATGACAGATCATATCCTAGAATCTCTTCCCCAGAGTCTCAGGCTTGTAAAATTTTATTCTCAGGAAGGTTTGAACCCAAATGGTCAATAGCTCATTGGCATTATCAGTGCAAGATTAAAGCTTCACATCACAATGTCATATATCAATATCTCTGGTTGAATTTCAGAACATTTTATAAGAATGAGTTAAATAATCAGTGCCTTGTTTATCTCATGATTTTTATATTAGTTTTAAATATATAATGATTATGTTTTAATTTTTAGCTTTTTGCACTGACTCCTCTTCTCTCAGACTAAGCACTCTCCAGCTGGTCAAGAATCACATGGCTGTTCACTATAATAAAATCCTTTCAGCCAAAGGTAAAAATGTGCAAATGTGAACTCTCTGTACTCAATTTAAACCTCCAGCTTCACTTCTCATTAAAATATATCTATAGCAAAAATGAATACCTTATATATATGAGAGGATTTGTATTTGTTTGGTTTAGTGTGATACAAACTATTGACTCTAGGTACTTAGCAAATTCATACCCATTTTTGTTAACTATATTTGAAATCTATATATTGCCTATTTTATTTCGTTTTTTATCTCTATTGCTAATAATATTTTGTTAGATATTGCTTTTAATATGAAAATATATAATCTGCTTTTTTGTTTACACATCTATGGAAGTTGCACAAAGAAGATGCTATTTTTCTGTTTAATTTTTTTCTTTTGTCAGCTTTATTGAGATAAAACTTACATTATAAAATGCATTGATTATAATGTGTACAGATAAATATTTTGAAAAATGAACACATTTGTATAAATACTACTACAACCATGCTGTAAAACAGGAATCAGCTAACTACACCGTTCAGGCCAAACCCTCCTACCACCTGTTTCTGTACAGCCCATGAACTAAGAATGGTGTTCATATTTTTAAATGGTAGCAAAAAATTTAAAAAAAAGTATTTTGTGACCTGAAATTCAAATGTAGTTATCCATAGACAAACAATCATTTTCAATCTTTTACATATTGTCTGTGGCAGCTTTTACACTAAAAAGCAGAGTTGACCAGTTGTAACAGACTGTATCACCCTGCAAATCCTGAAGCATTTGCTACCTGGCCCTTTGTAGAAAAAATTTGCCAACCCTTGATATAGAAAAAGTCCATTACCTCAAAGAGTTCCCCCTAGTCCTTTGCCGTCAGTCCCCTCCTGACAAATCCCTGGCAACCACTGATCTGCTCTTTCGCCTATAGTTTTACCTTTTCTATAAGTTCATAGAAATGGAATCATGTATCGTTTTGGGTCTGGCTTTTTTCAGTTATCTTAATGATCTTGAGACTAATTCACACTGTTCTGTGTACCACCATTTATTCTTTTGTATTGTTAAGGAGTATTTCATTTAATGAATAGACCACAATTTGTTTATGATTCACCAGTTGTTAAACATTTGGATTGTTTTGACTCACTTTTGGCCATTAGGAATAAAGCTGCTATAAACATTCACATATAATTTTGGCGCATGTGTTTACGTTTCACTCGGGTAAATTTATGTGTCAGGAGTAGAACTGTGAGGTAATATATTAAGTATAAGTTTAATTTTATAAGAAACTACAGTTTTCCAGAGTGAATATACCATTTACATTTCCATTACTTCTGCACCCTTACCAACCCTTGGCGTTGACAGTCCTTTTTTAACCATTCTAGTGAATATGAAATAGTATCACTTCATAGTTTTAGTTTGCATTTCCCTGATTTCTAGTGATGTTGCCTTATTACTTCCCATCTGTATATCTTCTTTGGTGAAATGACTGTTCAAATCTTTTACCCATTATTAAAAATGGGTTGTTTGTCTCTTTAGTATTAAGTTGTGAGTTTCTTTATATACAGATTCTATATCAGATATATGTTTTGCAGATATTTTTTTCCCAATCTGTAGCTGGTGTTTTCATTTTCTTGTTAAAATTCGTATTCTGGAGAAATTTTTAGACTTACATAAACATTTAAAAATTGTATAGGGAGTTACCATATACCCTGTACTCTGCTCTTCCACTAATGTTAAAAATCTTAAAAACCGTGGTATAGTTATCAAAACCAGGAAATCAATATTGATGCAATCCCATTAACTACAGACCTTATTTGAATTTCACCAATTTTTGACTAATGTCTTTTAAATTTTTATTTTCTCATTTAAATAGCTAAAGTTTTTAAATTTTAGTTTATATTTTATGATGCTTATATTTTTAAATGACTAAAAAAACAAAAGAAAAATATTTTGTGACATGAAAATCGTGAAGTCGTTTAGTTTTTTAGTTTTATAAACTAAACAGGTTATTTCATAACCTGTTCAAGAAATATTTGCCTAACCTTAGGTCACTCAGAATTTCTTAATATGTTTTCTTCTAGAAGTTTTAAAGTTTTAGCCCTTACATTTAAATTTGCGATCCATTTTGAGTTAGTTTTTGTATATGGTGTGATATAAGGGTTTTGAGGTTTTTTGTTTGTTTTGTTTTTTTGCCTCTTCATATCCAAATTTCCCAGTACCATTTGTTGAAGAGGTTATCTTTTCTCTATTTAATTGTCCTAGTACTTTTTGAAAGTCAGTTGACCATATGTGTGGGTCTGTTTCTGGACTTAACTCCTTGGTTCTGTTGATCTATATGTCTATCTTTAAGCCCCATGCCACACTGCCTTAATTATTGTAGCATTACAGTAAGTCTTGAAATCAGGTAGTGTAAGTCTTCCATTTTGCTTTTTTTTCCCCAAGCTTGTTTTGGGACTACATTATAAGTATGTTAAGTCTGTTTCATTTTGAGTAGTTTATATTGCTATGTCTTCAAGTTCACTAGTATTTTCTTCTGCAGTATTGAATGAGTTATTAATCCCAACAGTGTATTTTTAATCAAGGATCTTGTGTTTTCCATCGCTAGAAGTATGATAAACAGCTGCAAGGTCTGGAACATTTTGTGATTTCCACATTTGGTATTTGTCATTTATAAATACTGACAATATTATTAAACTATTACCTTTCTCTTTCAGCTGCAGTAGACTGCTCGGTTCCAGTAAGCGTGAGTACCAGCATAAAGTGTAAGTAATTTTTGGACATTATTACCTTTTTAAAAAAAAATTAAGGTAAATATACATAACATAAAATTTACTGTCTTAACCATTTTTAAGTGTCCAGTTCAATATTAAGTACATTAATATTGTGGTACAATGATAACTACTACCTCCAGAACTCTCTTTATACTGCAAAACTGAAATTCCTGTGCCACATAAACAATAATTTCCTCCCATAGGCCCTGGAAACCAACATTCTTTTCTATCACTATGAATTTGACTACTGTCACCATTGTACTTACTATCTCTATGAATCTATTTTAGGTACCTTATATAAGTGGAATCATATCGTGTTTGTTCTGTTGTGACTGGCTTATTTCACCTAGCATGATGTTCTCAAGGTTCACCCATATTGTAATGAGTCAGAATCTCCTTTTTAAAGGCTGAATAAAATTCCATTCTGTGTATATACCACATTTTACTTATGCATTCGTCAGTTGATGGACACTTGAGTTACAGTCACCTTTTGGCTGTTGTGAATAAACTATACTGCTATGGACATGAGTATACAAATACCTCTTCAAGACCCTCCTTTTAAAGATTTTGGGTGTATATTTAGAAGTGGAATTGCTAAATCATATATTCTATTTTTAATTTTTTGAGAAACTACCATACTATTTTCTTTTCTTTTCTTTTTTCTTTTTTTTTTTTTGAGACAGGGTCTCACTCTATTGCCCTGGGGCTAAAGTGCAGTGGAACGATCTCACCTCACTGTAACCTCCACCTCCTGGGCTCAAGCAATCCTCCCACCTCAGCCTCCCAACAGCCTCCCAAGTAGGTGGGACTACAGGCGCAAGCCACCACGCACAGCTAATTTTGCCACAGCCTTTTTACATAGAGACAGGGTTTTACCATGTTGCCCAGGCTTGTCTCAAACTCCTGAGCTCAAGTGATCCACCTGACTCAGTCCCCCAAAGTGCTGGGATTATAGGCGTGAGCCACTGCACCCAGTGACCATATTGCTTTCTATAGCAGCTGCACCATTTTCCATTATGACTAATGATGCTCAAGTATTCAGATTTCCCCATGTCCTCCCCAACACTTGCTTTTTCCTATTTGTTTAATAGTAGCCATACTAAAAGGTGTTGACACATTGCCTTTTGAGAAAGCATTTCTAACTTAAAAATTATCCAAAAATACCCAGGCACAGTGGCTCACACCTATGGGAGACAGAGGCAAGTGGATCACTTGAGCCCAGGCATTTAAGAGTAGCCTAGGCAACATGGTGAAACCCTGTCTCTTCAAAAAATACAAAAATTAGCTGGATGTGGTGGCATGCAACTCTGGTCCCAGCTACTCAGGAGGCTAAGGTGGGAAGATTACTTGAGCCAGGGAGGTCAAGGCTGCAGTAAGCCATGATCATGCCACTGCACTCTGGCCTAGGTGACAGGGAGATGCTGTCTCAAGAAAAAAAAAAAAAAAGGAAAAAGAAAACCCATAATGTTGACACAGGATATATAGAATCCTTATATATCTACCCTTTGACCAGGTTATCTTCATTTTTAAATCATCAGACCAAAAATTTGAAAACCCTGTTTAAAAATTTCTGAAGAATACCATTTGAAACCTTTGTTTTTGATTTCAATTAAGAAATGTATACTTTATGGGAGGCCGAGGCAGGCGGATCACGAGGTCAGGAGATCGAGACCAACCTGGCTAACAGGGTGAAACCCCGTCTCTACTAAAAAACAAAAAATTAGCTGGGTGTGGTGGTGGGCACCTGTAGTCCCAGCTACTCTGGAGGCTGAGGCAGGAGAATGGCGTGAACCCGGGAGGTGGAGCTTGCAGTGAGCAGAGATCGCATCACTGCACTCCAGCCTGGGCGAGAGAGCAAGACACCGTCTCAAAAAAAAAAAAGAAATGTATCCTTTAAAAATAGGCAAAAAACATGGCTGTCACAGCCTTTGATTGTCGTATTAATCATATAAAAATCAGTGTTATACGTATGTTTATTGCAGCACTATTCACAATAGCAAAGACTTGGAACCAACCCAAATGTCCAACAATGATAGACTGGATTAAGAAAATGTGGCACATATACACCATGGAATACTATGCAGCCATAAAAAATGATGAGTTCATGTCCTTTGTAGGGACAGGGATGAAATTGGAAATCATCATTCTCAGTAAACTATCACAAGACCAAAAAACTAAACACCGCATATTCTCACTCATAGGTGAGAATTGAACAATGAGATCACATGGACACAGGAAGGGGAACATCACACTCTGGGGACTGTTGTGGGGTGGGGGGAGGGGGGAGGGATAGCATTGGGAGATATACCTAATGCTAGATGACGAGTTAGTGGGTGCAGCGCACCAGCGTGGCACATGTATACATATGTAACTAACCTGCACAATGTGCACATGTACCCTAAAACTTAAAGTATAATAATAAAATTTTAAAAAAAGATAAAAAAAAATCAGTGTTATAAATTTTAAGTTTAGTGTTTTCTAAGTTTCTAAGTTTTCTAAGTTAATATTTGAATTTATGTAGAGTTTGAGAACATTTCTACATTAAAAAAGTAAATATCAGCCAGGTGCAGTGGCTCATGCCTGTAATCCCAGCACTTTGGGAGGCTGAGGCGGGCGGATCACGAGGTCAGGAGATCGAGACTATCCTGGCTAACACGGTGAAACCCTGTCTCTACTAAAAGTACAAAAAATTAGCTGGGCATGGTGGCAGGCGCCTGTAGTCCCAGCTGCTCGGGAGGCTGAGGCAGGAGAATGGCGTGAACCCAGGAGGCGGAGCTTGCAGTGAGCCGAGATGATGCCACTGCACTCCAGCCTGGGCAACAGTGCAAGACTCCGTCTCAAAAAAAAAAAAAAAGAAAAAAAAGTAAATATCAACCTAAGGTTAATTCATGCTAAATGATAAATGAATAAAAGCATACATAGGGAAATGCCTTTTGGGTGCAATCTAGGAAAGATCACAAACAGTAGGAATGGTTAACTCATCTCTGCTTGTATATCTTAGTTGAAGAGATAGAAGGTAGGGGAGAAAGTAACTACCAGCTATAGGTCATAGCTACAAACACAGTGTCTGTCTCAGGCCTTGTGCTTGACACTTTGTATTCTCCCTTTTCTATTCTTTTTATGTTTGCAACAAACCTTCGTGTAGGCTGTCATATTTTTGAAGGAAAATTAGATTCAAATAATTTTAAAGGAGGAAAAAAGGCATGTTAGGCAAGAGTAGAGACTTCTTAGTACATATTTTTAAAGACCAGTTTGGTCGCTACATACAAGTTATATGGGCAAGTCATTTTACCTCTGACCTTCCTTTTTTGTGAAATGAAAGGTAATTAGATGATTTCTAAGGACCCTTCCAGATTTTTAATTTCTGTGCTTTACATTTTTTTCTTCTGTATCATATTAGTAACTTTTTTGTAGCACAAAACTGGTTCAGTGTTTACATGCTTTAAATATCTGGATCATTTGAATTAAGTTGGTTGGGATTACAGGCGTGAGCCACCGCGCCTGGCCTTAAAATGATCTCTAGAGACAATGACAGCCATTATATAATTTTTAAAGGGTCAACTTAACAGGAAGATGTAACAATTATCTACATACCCAACATCAGAACTCCTAAATATATCATGCAATTGTGGACAAATCTGAGGGAGAAATTGACTTTAATACAATAATAGAAGACTTCAATAATCCACTTTCAATAGTGGATACATATTATAAGACCCAGACAGAAATCATTTAAACCGCTGACTTGAACAACATAATAGACCAAAGGAATTTAACAGATATATACAGACCTTTATACCCTATTGAAGAATACGCACTCCTCAAGTGCACATGAAACCTTCTTCAGAATAGATCTCATATTAGGCCATAAAATCAGACGTAACATATTTAAGAAGATAAAAATCATTTCAAGTATCTTTTTCAACCAGAATGGAATAAAACTAATAATTAATAGCTGTAAGAAAATGGGAAATTCACAAATACATGGCAACTAAACAACACATTCTTGAACAAGTATTGAGTCAAAGAAGAAATAAAAACAGAATTTTGATATCTTGAGGCAAAGGAAAACAAAACCACAATATACCAAAACTTACAGAATGCAGCAAAATTAGTACTAAGAGAGTGGTTTATAGTGATGAATACTTACATTAAAAGAGGGGATCTCAAACAACTCAACTGTATACCTCAAGGAACTAGAAAAAGAAGAATAAACTAAGCCCACCTCGGTAAATCCCTAGAAACATACAACCTTCAAAAACTGAATCAAGAAGAAATATCCTGAATAGACTAATAGAAAAAAGGAGATTGAATCAGTAATCAAAAACTTCCCAACAGAGGCCACATGTGGTGGCTCATGCCTGTAATCCCAGCACTTTGGGAGGCCAAGACAGGCAGATCACTTGAGGTCAGGAGTTCAAGACCCTCTGGCCAACATGGTGAAACCCCGACTCTACTAAAAAATACAAAAAATTAGCCAGATGTGGTGTTGCACACCTGTAATCCCAGCTACTCAGGAGGCTGAGGCAGGAGAATCACTTGAATCCAGGAGGTGGAGGTTGCAGTGAGCTGAGATCATGCCCCTGCACTCCAGCCTGGGTGACAGAATGGGATAAAATCTCAAAAAAATAAAATTAAAAATTAAAAAAAACTTCCCAACAAAGAATAGCCCAGGACCAGATATCTTCATAGGTAAATCTACCAAATATTCAAAGAAAGGATAGCACCAGTCCTTCTTAAACTTTTATAAAAATAGAAGTGGGAATACCTCCAAACTCATTTTATGAGGCTAGCACCACCCTGATGCCAAAACCAAACAAAGACAACACAAGAAAAGAAAGCTACAGGCCAATATATCTGATTGATATAAGTGCAGAAATCTTCAGTAAAATACCAGCAAACTGAATTCAATTGCATGTTAAAAGAGTCAAACACCATGACCAAGTCAGATTTATCCCTGGGATACAAAGGTGGTTCAACATATGCAAATCAACCAATGTGATATACCACAGTAACATAGTGAAAGATTAAAAACCACACAATCATCTCAATACATGCAGAAAAACCATTTGACAAAATTCAGCATCCATTCATGATAAACTCTCTCAACAAAATAGGAATAGAAGGAACTTACTTCAACAGCATGAAAGCTATATATGAAAATCTCACAGGTAACATGATGCTTAATGAAGAAAAACAAAGCTTTTCCTCTAAGATCTGGTATAAGGCAAGGATTCCTCACTTTTGCCACTTCTGTTTAACATAGTATTGGAAGTCCTAGCCAGAGCAATTAGACAAGAAAAAGAAATAAAAGGCATACGAATTAGAAAGAAAGCAGTAGAGCTGGGTGTGGTGGTTCACTCCTGTAATTGCAATACTTTGGGGGACCAAGGTGGAGAGATCACTTGAGGCCAGGAGTGGCCAGCCTGGGCAACATAGTAAGACCATGCCTCTACAAAATAAAAAAACTAAAAATTAACCAGGCATGGTGACACATACCTGTAGTCCTAGCTACATTGGAGGCTGAGGCAGTAGGATCACTTGAGCCCAGGAATTCAAGGTCACAGTGGGCTTTGACCGTGCCACTGAATTCCAGCTTGGGCAGCAGAGAAAGACCCTGTCTCAAAAAAAAAAAAAAAAAAAAAAAAAAGTAAGGTTACTTCTGTTTGTGATGACATGATATATATGTAGAATACCCTAATGCCCAATAAAAAAGAACTGTTGCAATAAATTCAATATAGTTTTAGGATACAAAATTAATGTACAAAAACCAGTGGCATTTCTGTACACAAACAACTGTCTGAAAAGGAAATTAAGAAAACAATGCCATTTGCAACAGCAACAGAAAGGATAAAATGCTTAGGAATAACCTTAAACAAAAAGGTTGAAAACTTGTACACTGAAAACTATAAAACATCAATAAAGGAAATTTTAGAAGACACAGATAAATGGAAGACATCCATATTTATGAATTGGAATAATTAATATTGTTATAATTTTTGTACTACCCAAAGTAGTCTATAAATTCACTGCAATCCCTATAGAAATCCCAAAGACATTCTTTACAGAAATAGAACAAACAATCGTAAAATTCATGTGGGACCACAAAAGACCACAAATAAAACAATCTTGAGCAAGAAAAACAAGGCTGGAGAAATCACACTTTCTAAATTTCAAAATATATTTCAAAGCTACAATAATCAAAACAGTATGGAACTGGCAAAAAAAAACACATACCAGACCAATGGAAAAGAATGGAGAACCCAGAAATAAATCCATGTGTTTATAGTCAACTTATCTTCAAAAGGGTACCAAACACACACAGTGGGGAAAGGATAGTGTCATCAATGAATGACTCTGGGAAACCTGGATAGTCCCATGCAGAAGGATGAAAATGGACTCTTAAACCATAGACAAAAATCAACTCATACAAAAATCAGCTCAAAATGGATTTAAAAACTTAAATATAAGGTCCTAATCCATAAAACTACTAGAAGAGAACATAGAAAAAAAGCTTCTTGGCTTTAGTCTGGGCAATAATATTTTTGGATATGACTCTGAAAGCCAGGCAACAAAAGCAAAAATAGACAAGTGGAATTCACCAAACTCAAAAGCTTTTGTACAGCAAAGGAAACAATCGACAGAGTGCATAGGCAACTTACAGAATGGGAGGAAATATTTGCAAACCATGTATCTGATAAGAGGTTAATATCCCAACTGTGTAAGTAATAAGTACAACTCAATAGCAAAAAAAAAAAAAAAAAAAAAAAACCCAAAACCTTGCTATAAAAATGCATGAAGGACCTGAGTAGACATTCTCAAAGGAAGACATACAAGTGGCCAATAAGTGTATGAAAAGGTGCTTAACATTACTAATTATCAGGGAAATGCAAATCAAAACCTTAATGAGATATCACTCACACCTGTGAGAATGGCTATCAAAAAGACAACATGTAACAAGTGTTGGCAAGGATGTGGAGGAAAGGGAACACTTGTGCACTGTTGCTAGGAATGTAAGTTGGTACAGCCATTAGGCAAATCAATATAGAGGCTCCTCGAGAAATTGAAAATAGAACTACCATACGATTAAGCAATCCCACTTCTGAATATATATCCAAAGGAAATGAAATCAGTATGTCAAGGAGATATCTGTTCTCCCATGTTTGTTACAGCATTATAGCAAATAGTCAAGATATAGAAACAACCTAAATGTTGACAGATGAATGGATAAAGAAAATGTGGTATGTGTATAAAGAAATACTACACACACATACACACAACCCACACCACATTTATAACATACACAGACACATGCAAAACCCACACCACATAGCCTTTAAAAAGAAGGAAATCCTGTCATTTCTGTCATTTGTGACAACACAGATGAACCTGAGGGTTCATTTTAGCTTCCACATATAAGTGAGATCACGTGGTACTTGCCTGTGTCTGGATTATTAAACATGTGTATGTGCAATCTAAAGTGGGCAACCTCAGAGAGGCAGAGAGTAGAATGGAAGTTGCCAGGGGCTACAGGAAGGAGGAAATGGGGAGATGTTGGTCAAAGAGTACAAAGTTTTAGTTAATGCAAGTTGAGTAAGTTCTGGAGATCTAATGTACAGCATTAATTAGAGTTAACAGTACTGTATAATATACTTGAAATTTGCTAAGACAGTACATCTGTGTTCTCACCACAAAAAAAAGAAAAAGTAGCAACTATGTTAGGTGATAGATGTATTAATTATCTTGATTATGATCATTCACAATGTATATCAGAATATCAAATTAAATGCCTGAAACATATACAGTTTGTCTGCTATACCTTAACAAAGCTGAAAAAATTATTACCTAAGCAACCTGATATATATATAAACTTAAATAGAATGGCCATCTGGTCATGACTGGAAAGAATATATTAACCAGATATATTTGGTTAATGTATTGACTGGACCAAAAGAAAAGGCATATCTTGTTATAAGATAGAAAGACTCTATATAATGCAAATATATTGATACATACTTTTTAAAGTATTGATACTTTTTAAAGTAATTTCTAAATTCAATGTGAGCTCAATTAAGATGCCAAAAATCAGTATTGTTCATACACTACTTGACAAAATGTTCCAAAATTAACCTACATATATATGAGAAAATAGCCAGAAATAATCTGAACATGAATAGAAAAGAGTAGTAGAGTAGCCCTACTAAGTATTTAAAAGTATTTTAGGTCAGGCGTTGTGGCTCACGCCTGTAATCCCAGCACTTTGGGAGGCCAAGACGGGAGGATCACTTGAGGTCATGAGTTCGAGACCAGCCTGGCCAACATAATGAAACCCGTTCTCTACTAAAAATACAGAAATTAGCCAGGTGTGGTGGCATGC
This sequence comes from Homo sapiens, assembly GCF_000001405.40. Classification (NCBI taxonomy): domain Eukaryota; kingdom Metazoa; phylum Chordata; class Mammalia; order Primates; family Hominidae; genus Homo; species Homo sapiens. Next base: position 88,404,590 of record NC_000014.9, read on the forward strand.
ACCTGTAGTTCCAGCTACTCGGGAGGCTGAGACATGAGAATCACTTGAACCCGGGAGGGGGAGGTTGCAGTGAGCCAAGATCATGCCATTGCACTCCAGCCTGGGCAACAAGAGTGAAACTCTGTCTCAAAAAAAATAAAGTCAAAATCACAAATTTAAAATGGTCATTTAATTTATTTTGCTAGAGTAACAAAATAACATTTAATTTAGTTTGCTAGAGTTTATTCATTGATTTATTCAGCATATATTTATTGGGCCCCTGCTATGTGCTAGACATTGTTCTAAGGGCTGGGACTAAAGAGGTGAACAGGACAAATTTCCTGCTTTTGTAGAGTTTACATTGTAGTTGGAGAAGACAAACAATAAGCAAATACAAATAAATAAAGAATATGTCATATGGTAATAAATGCAATGGAAAAAAAATGACTGAGAGTCCCTTGGAGGAGAAGCCCTTGCTGATAAGGTGACAATTGAGCAGAGACCTGAAAGAATTAAGGAAGAGGCATGTGGCTATCTGGGGAAAAAGCAATCCAGACAGAGGAAACAGCAAGTTTAAAAGCCTTGAAATGGTGTCATGATTGGTGTTTTCAAAAAACAGCAAGGAGGGCTGTGTAGCTAGTATGGAATAAGCCAACTGAAGAGTAATAGATGAAGTCACTGAGATGGGACAGAGGGATGCAGAGAATAAAAGGCAGTGGCCATTGCAAAGACTTTGGCCTTCACTCTGAATGAAATTGCAAGCCATTGGAGGGTCTTGAAGAGAGGAGTAGCAGGGCTACTTTTACTTTTAAAAGCATCCCTTTGGCTTCATAGTTGGGAATAGTCTGAAGCAGAATGACTAGTTAGAAGACAGTAAATAATCCAGATGAGAAATAATGGTGACTGGGACCAGAGTGGTTGCAGTGGAGAGAGATTGAAATAATCAGATTCTGGAAACATTTCAAATGTGTGTCCATAGTATTTACTGATGGGTTGGATGTAGATGTAGTGTGAGAGAGAAAAGAGGATTGGGTCAAAAATGACTTCCAAGACTTAGAACCTCTCAGCCAAAAGGATGGAGTTATGATTTACTGAAGTGAGCAATACCATAGGAAAAGATTGAGAGGAGAAAGCAAAGCAGTAGTTCAGTGTTGGTCATTACATTTGAAATAAATGCCTATTACATAGCCAGTTGGCAACCCTTAGGAGGCAGTTGGAGTGCAAGTCTGGAATTCAAGAGACAATTTCAGGATAGAGCTAAAAATGTGGGATTTGACAGCATATAGGGGGTATTTAAAGAATTGCTTGCACTTTTTGTTTTTAAAATGTAGATTTAGCTAGTGCTTATTTATCCATGGTATTTTCTGCTTTTAGTCAATTAAGGCAGGAATTTTTCCTTTTTGCTACATAAACCAAATTGTGATGGCTTAGAGTAATTGCAAATATTATAATCACCAAGTTAAGTGTAATTAATAATCATTCTTCATTATATATGATTTTTCATTATAATGAATTTGGCTTAGAAACAGGCTTTCTAGACACATAAAAAGAGAAGTCTCTGGATTTGAGCCATCTCTGTTTTTATAAGCTACTCTGTACTTTTCTGTCATAGCAGACTACTGACTTGATCAGTTCCTAACCTGGAATATAGTTTATTGAATTATTTAAATAATTTAATTTTTATAGAAGTTTTATTGAAAAATAATTTACATACTATAAGATTCACTGATTTTTTACTAAATTTACAGAATTGTGCAACCACAAACCAATTTTAGAACATTTTCATCATTTTATGAAGATCCCTTGTACCCATTTGCAGCCACGCTGCAAATTCCTACCCCTAGCCCCAGGCAACCACTAATCTACTTTTTTTTTTTTTTTAGCATTCTATTTTTTGTTATTGGGAAAAGAAGAAATTCTATTAAATAAATATATTTACAAATCAAAATGATCTTTAATCAATTTGTAACTAGTTTCCACAATTGCATTTGTATACAGTTTCTTTAGAGAAGAAAAATATTGACTAAAAAATGTCCAGGTGTTCTTTTTTTATTATTATTATTATACGTTAAGTTCTGGGATACATGTGCAGAACATGCAGGTTTGTTACATAGGTATACATGTGCCATGGTGGTTTGCTGCACCCATCAACCTGTCATCTACATTAGGTATTTCTCCTAATACTATCCCTTCCCCAGTCCCCCAACAGGCCCCAGTGTGTGATGTTCCCCTCCTGGTGTCCATGTGTTCTTATTGTTCAGCTCCCACTTATGAGTGAGAACATGCAGTGTTTGGTTTTCTGTTCCTGTGTTAGTTTGCTGAGAATGATAGTTTCCAGCTTCATCCATGTTCCTGCAAAGGACATGAACTCATTCTTTTTTATGGCTGCATAGTATTCTATGGTGTATATGTGCCACATTTTCTTTATCCAGAAAGAAATATACCCATTGATGGGCATTTGTGTTGGTTCCAAGTCTTTGGTATTGTGAACAGTGCTGCAATAAACATATGTGTGCATGTGTCTTTATAGTAGAATGAGTTATAATCCTTTGGGTATATACCCAGTAATGGGATTCCTGGGTCAAATGGTATCTCTGGTCCTAGATCCTTGAGGAATTGCCACACGGTCTTCCACAATGGTTGAACTAATTTACAGTCCCACTAACAGTGTAAAAGCGTTCATATTTCTCCACATCATGTCTAGCATCTGTTGTTTCCTGACTTTTTAATGATCGCTATTCTAACTGGCATGAGATGGTATCTCATTGTGGTTTTGATTTGCATTTCTCTAATGACCAGTGATGATTAGCTTTTTTTCATGTTTGTTGGCCACATCAGTGTCTTCTTTTGAAAAGTGTCTGTTCATATCCTTCGCCCACTTTTTGATAGGGTTGGTTTTTTCTTGTAAATTTAAGTTCCTTGTGGATTCTGGATATTAGCCCTTTGTCAGATGGATAGATTGCAAAATTTTTCTCCCATTTTGTGGGTTGTTTGTCCACTCTGATGACGGTTTCTTTTGCTGTGCAGAAGCTCTTTAGTTTAATTAGATCCCATTTGTCAATTTTGGCTTTTGTTGCCATTGCTTTTGGTGTTTTAGTCATGAAGTCTGTGCACATGCCTATGTCCTGAATGGTATTGCCTAGGTTTTCTTCTAGGGTTTTTATGGTTTTAGGTCTTACATTTAAGTCTTTAATCCATCTTGAGTTAATTTTTGTATAAGGTGTAAGGAAGGGGTCCAGTTTCAGTTTTCTGCATATGGCTAGCCAGTTTTCCCAACACTGTTTGTTAAATAGGGACTCCTTTCCCCATTGCTTATTTTTCTCAGATTTGTCAAAGATCAGATGGTTGTAGATGTGTGGCGTTACTTCTGAGACCTCTGTTCTATTCCATTGGTCTATATATGTGTTTTGGTACCAGTATCATGCTGTTTTGGTTACTGTAGCCTTGCAGTATAGTTTGAAGTCAGGTAGTGTGATGCCTCCAGCTTTGTTCTTTTGGCTTAGGATTGTCTTGGATATACGGGCCCTTTTTTTGGTTCCATATGAAATTTAAAATAGTTTTTTTCTAATTCTGTGAAGAAAGTCAATGGTAGTTTGATGGGGATAGCACTGAGTCTATAAATTACTTTGGACAGTGTGGCCATTTTCACAATATTGATTCTTCCTATCCATGAGCATGTAATGGTTTTCCATTTGTTTGTGTCCTCTCTTATTTCCTTGAGCAGTGGTTTGTAGTTCTCTTTGAAGAGGTCCTTCACATCCCTTTTAAGTTCTATTCTTAGGTATTTTATTCTCTTTGTAGCAATTGTGAATGGGAGTTCACTCATGATTTGGCTGTCTGTCTGTTGTTGGTGTATAGAAATGCTTGTGATTTTTTGCACATTGATTTTGTATCCTGAGACTTTGCTGAAGTTACTTATCAGCTTAAGGAGATTTTGGGCTGAGATGATGGGGGTTTCTGAATATACAATCATGTCATCTGCAAACAGAGACAATTTGACTTTCTCTCTTCCTATGTGAATACCCTGCATTTCTTTCTCTTGCCTGATTGCCCTGGCCTAAACTTCCGTTACTGTGTTGAATAGGAGTGATGAGAGAGGGCATCCTTGTCTTGGGCCGGTTTTCAAAGGGAATGCTTCCAGCTTTTGTCCATTCAGTATGATATTGGCTGTGGGTTTGTCATAAATAGCTCTTATTATTTTGAGATACATTCTATCAACACCTAGTTTATTGAGGGTTTTTAGCATGAAGCGCTGTTGAATTTTGTCAAAGGCCTTTTCTGCATCTGTTGAGGTAATCCTGTGGTTTTTGTCATTGGTTCTGTTTATGTGATGAATTATGTTTATTGATTTGCATATGTTGAAGCAGCCTTGCATCCCAGGGATGAAGCCAACTTGATCGTGGTGGATAAGCTTTTTGATGTGCTGCTGGATTCGATTTGCTGGTATTTTATTGAGGATTTTCACATCAATGTTAGTCAGGAATATTGGCCTGAAATTTTTTTTTCTTGTGTCTCTGCCAGGGTTTGGTATCAGGATGATGCAAAATGAGTTAGAGAGGAGTCCCTCTTTGTCTGTTGTTTGGAATAGCTTCAAAAGGAATGGTACCAGCTCCTCTTTGTACCTATAGAGGAATTAGACTGTGAATCCATCTGGTTTTGGGCTTTTTTGGGTTGGTAGGCTATTAATTACTGCCTCAATTTCAGAACTTGTTATGGGTCTATTCAGGGATTCGACTTCTTGTTTAGTCTCAGGAGGATGTATGTGTCCAGGAATTTATCCATTTCTTCTAGATTTTCTAATTTATTTGCATAGAGGTGTTTATAGTATTCTCTGGTGGTAGTTTGTATTTCTGTGGGATCAGTGGTGATATCCCCTTTGTCGTTTTTTATTGTGCCTTTTTGATTCTCTATTTTCTTCTTTATTAGTCTGGCTAGTGGTCTATCTATTTTGTTCATCTTTTCAAAAAAACAGCTCCTGGATTTATTGATTTTTTGAAGGGTTTTTCACATCTGTATCTCCTTCATTTCTGCTCTGATCTTAGTTATTTCTTGTCTTCTGCTAGCTTTTGAGTTAGTTTGCTCTCGCTCCTCTAGTTCTTTAAATTGTGATGTTAGGGTGTCGATTTTAGATCTTTCCCACTTTCTCCTGTGGGCATTTAGTGCTGTAAATATCCCTCTAAACACTGCTTTAGCTGTGTCCCAGAGATTCTGGTACATTGTGTCTTTGTTCTCATTGGTTTCAAAGAACTTATTTATTTCTACCTTAATTTTGTTATTTACCCAGTAGTTATTCAGGAGCAGGTTGTTCAGTTTCCATGTAGTTGTGTGGCTTTGAGTGAGTTTCTTAATCCTGAGTTCTAATTTGATTGCACTGTGGTCTGAGAGACTGTTTGTTATGATTTCCGTTCTTTTGCAATTGCTGAGGAGTGTTTTACTTCCAATTATGTGGTCAATTTTGGAATAAATGTGATATGCTGCTGAGAAGAATGTATATTCTGTTGATTTGGGATGGAGAGTTCTGTAGATGTCTAGTAGGTCTGCTTGGTCCAGAACTGAGTTCAAGTCCTGAATATCCTTGTTAATTTTCTGTCTTGTTGATCTCTTTAATATTGACAGTGGGGTGATAAAGTCTCCCACTGTTATTGTGTGGCAGTCTAAGTCTCTTTGTAGGTCTCAAGAACTTGGTTTATGAACCTGGGTGCTCCTGTATTGGGTGCATATGTATTTAGGATAGTTAGCTCTTCTTGTTGCATTGATCCCTTTACCATTATGTAATGCCCTTCTTTGTCTTTTTTTTATCTTTGTTGGTTTAAAGTCTGTTTTTTTCAGAGACTAGGATTGCAACCCCTGCGTTTTTTGTTCCCTTGCTGGTGAGGAGTTGTGATCCTTTGGAGGAGAAGAGGCGTTCTGGTTTTTGGAATTTTCAACCTTTTTGCACTGTTTTTTCCTCATCTTCGTGGATTTATCTACTTTTGGTCTTTGCTGTTGGTGATCTTTGGATGGGGTCTCTGTGTGGATGTCCTTTTTGTTGATGTTGATGCTATTCCTTTCTGTTTGTTAGTTTTCCTTCTAACAGTCAGGCTTCTCTGCTGCAGGTCTGCCGTAGTTTGCTGGAGGTCCACTCCAGACCCTGTTTGCCTAGGTATCACCAGCGGAGGCTGCAGAACAGCAAAGATTGCTGCCTGTTTTTCCTTCAGGAAGCTTCGTCCCAGAGGGGCACCCGCCATATGCCAGCCGGAGCTCTCCTGTATGAGGTGTCTGTCAACCCCTGCTGGGAGGCATGGGGGTCAGGGACCCACCTGAGGAGGCAGTCTGTCCCTTAGCAGAGCTCAAGCACTGGCTGGGAGATCCGCTGCTCTCTTCAGAGCTGGCAGGCAGGAACATTTAAGTCTGCTGAAGCTGTGCCCACAGCCACCCCTTCTCCCAGGTGCTCTGTCCCAGGGAGTTTTATCTATAAGCCCCTGAGGGAGGCTGCTGCCTTTCTTTCAGAGATGCCCTGCCCAGAGAGGAGGAATCTAGAGAGGCAGTCTGGCTACAGTGGCCTTGTGGCGCTGTGGTGGGCTCCGCCCAGTCTGAACTTCCTGGCGGCTTTGTTTACACTGTGAGGGAAAAACCACCTACTCAAGCCTCAATAAGGTGGATGCCCCTCCCCCCACCAAGCTCTAGAGTCCCAGGTCAACTTCAGACTGCTGTGCTGGCAGGGAGAATTTCACGCCAGTGGATCTTAGCTAGCTGGGTTCTATGGGGTGGAATATGCTGAGCTAGACCATTCGCCTCCCTGGCTTCAGACCCCTTTCCAGGGGAGTGAATGGTTCTGCCTCACTGGCATTCCAGTTGCCACTGGGGTATGGAAAAAAACTCCTATAGCTAGCTCAGTGTCTGCCCAAACAGCCACCCAGTTTTGTGCTTGAAACCCAGGGCCTTGGTGGTGTAGGCACCTGAGGGAATCTCCTGGTCCGTGGGTTGCAAAGACCATGGGTAAAGCATAGTATCTGGGCCAGAGTGCACACCGTTCCTCACAGGATAGTCCCTCATGGCTTCCCTTGGCTAGGGGAAGGAGTTCCCCTACCCCTTGCGCTTCCTGGGTGAGGCAACACCACACCCTGCTTCAGCTCACCCTCCGTGGGCTGCACATATACAGTATTTCATCCTGTATATGTACCACATTTTCTTTATCCAATTCACCATTAATGGACACCCAGGTTGGTTCCATATCTTTGCTATTGTGGATAGTGCTGTGTTGGATATGAGGGCATGTGTCTTTTTGGTAGAATGATTTTTTGGGGGGGGTTTATACATGGTAATGGGATTGCTGGGTTGAATGGTAGGTCTATTTTTAGTTATTTGAGAAGTCTTCAAACTTTCCTCAGTGGCTCAGTCTTCAGCTTTCCTCAGTGGCTGAACTCACATTCCCAAGAACAGTGTGTAATTCCTTTTTCCCCGCAACCTTGCCACATCTACTATTTTTTGACTTCTTAGTAATAGCCATTCTGGCTGGTATGAAATAGTATCTCATTGTGATTTTATTTGCATTTCTCTGATGATTAGTGATGTTGAGTACTTTTTTATTTGTTGGCTGCTTTTATGTCTTCTTTTGATAAGTGTCTATGTCCTTTTCTCACTTTTTAATGGGGTTATTTGTTTTTCTTCTTGCTTTTTTTTTTTTTTTTAAGTTCCTCATAGATTCTTGTATTAGGGTTCTCTAGAGGGACAGAACTAATGAAATATATATATAAAGGGGAGTTTATTAAGTATTAACTCACATGATCACAAGGTCCCACAATAGGCCGTCTGCAGGCTGAGGAGCAAGGAGAGCCAGTCTGAGTTCCACAACTGAAGAATTTGGAGTCCGATGTTTGAGGGCAGGAAGCATCCAGCACAGGAGGAAGATGTAGGCTGTGAGAGTAGGCCAGCCTCAACCCTTCACGTTTTTCTGCCTGCTTTATGTTCGCTCGCAGCTGATTAGATGGTGCCCACCCAGATTAAGGGTGGGTCTGCCTTCCCCAACCCACTGACTCAAATGTTAATCTTCTTTGTCAGCACCCTCACAGATATACCCAGTACCAATACTTTGCATCCTTCAATCCAATCAAGTTGACATTCAGTATTAGCCATCACAATTCTTGATATTAGTTTTTTGTCAGATGCATAGTTTACAAATATATTCTCCCATTCTGTTGGTTGTCTGTTTACTCTGTTGATAGTTTCTTTTGCATTGCACAAGCTTTTTAATTTAATTAGGTCTCACTTGTCAATTTTTGTTTTTGTTGCAATTGCTTTTGAGGACTTGGTCACAAATTCTTTGCCAAGGCCAATGTCCAGCAGAGTATATCCTAGGTTTTCTTATAGAATTTTTATAGTTTTAGGTCTTACATTTAAATCTTTAATCCATCTTGTAGCCTTGTAGTGTAGTTTGAAGTCGGGTAATGTGATGCCTCCAGTTTTGTTCTTTTTGCTTAGGACTGCTCTTTTTTGGTTCCATATAAATTTTAGAATAGTATTTTCAATTTCTGTGAAAAATGATGTGAGTAGTTTGATAGGAATAGTGCTAAATCTCTAGATTGCTTTGGGCAGTATGGACATTTTAATGATATTGACTCTTCCAATCCACGAACATGGAATGTTTTTCCGTTTGTGTGTGTCAGCTCTGATTTCTTTCAGCAGTATTTTGTAATTCTTTTAGATATCCTTCACCTCCTTAGATATTTTCCTAGGTATTTTATTTTGTGTGTGTGTAACTATTGTAAATGAGATTGTGTTCTTGATTTGGCTCTCAGCTTGAATATCATTGGTGTATAGAAATGCTACTGATTTTTGCACATTGATTTTGTGTCCTAAAACTTTACTGGAATCGTTTATTAGTTCAAGAAGCCTTTTGGCAGCATCTTTAGGGTTTTCTAATTATAGAATCATATCATCAGGAAAGAGATAATTTGACTACTACTTTTCCAATTTGGATGTGTTTTATTTCTTTCTCTTACCTAATTACTCTGGCTAGGACTCCAGTAGTATGTTGAATAAGAGTGGTGATAGTGGGCATCCTTATGCTGTTCCAGTTCAAAAGAGGAATGCTTCCAGCTTTTGCTCATTCAGTATGATGTTGGCTGTGGACTTGTAATAGATGGCTCTTATTATTTTGAGGTATGTTCTTTTGATGCCTAATTTGTTGAGGGTTTTTTTTTTTAATCATGAAGGATTGCTAGATTTTATTGAAGGTTTTTGCTACATCTGTTGAGATGATCATAAGGTTTTTGTTTTTAATTCTGTTTATATGGTGAATCGCATTTATTGATTTGCATATGTTGAACCAGCCTTTCATTCCAGGAATGAAGCCTACTTGACTGTGGTTTATTAACTTTTTGATGTGCTGTTGGATTCAGTTTGCTACTATTTGTTGAGCATTTTTGTGTCTATGTTAATCAGGGATATTGGCCTATAGCTTTCGTTTTTGGTGTGTCTTTACCAGATTTTGGTGTTAGAATTATGCTGGTTTCATAGATTGGGTTTCATAGAATGAGTTAGGGAAGAGTCCTTCCTCAAGTTTTTGGAATAGTTTCAGTAGGATTAATACCAACTATTGGTATGTCTGGTAGAATTTGGCTGTGAATCTCTCTGGTCCAGGGCTTTTTATGGTTGGTAGGTTTTTTTTATTACTGGTTCGATTTTGGAACTCAGTATTTCTCTTCAGGGTTTCAATTTCTTCTGAATTCAATATTGGGAAATTGTATGTTTCCAGAAATTTATCTATTTCCTCTAGATTTCCTAGTTTCTATGCATAAAAGTCTTCTTAATAGTCTCTAAGGATCTTTTCTATTTCTGTGGGGTCTGTTGTAATGTTGCCTTTGTCATATCTGGTTGTACTTATTTGGATCTTCTCTTTTATCTTTGTTAATCTTGCTAACAGTCTGTTGATCTGTTTATCCTTTCAAAAAACCAACTTTTTGTTTCATTGAACATTTATATGGATTTTGGAATCTCAATTTCAATTATTTCTGCTTTTAGATAATTATTTTCTACTACTAGCTTTGGGATTAGTTCTTGTTATTCTACTTCCTCTAGTTGCAATGTTAGATTAATTTGAGATCTTTCTGTCTTCTTGATGTAGGTATTTAGCACTGTAAACTTGCCTCTTAACACTGCTTTTGCTGCATCCCAGAAATTTTGGTATGTTGTGTTTCTGTTTTTATTTATTTCAAAGAGTTTTTTTGTTTTTTTTTAATTTCACCTTCTGTTGTTTACCCAAAAGTCATTCAGGAGCAAGTTGGTTTAATTTCCATGTAAAATTATGTGGTTTTGAGGAGTACTCTTGGTATTGATTTCTACCTTTTTTTCCACCGTGGTCCAAAAATATGTTTGGCGTGGTTTCAATTTTTTTACATTTATTGAAACTTGCTTTGTCTTCGAGCATGTGGTTGATCTTAGAGTATGTTCCACATGCAGATGAGAAGAATGTTTATTCTGTGGTTGTTGGGTGGAGTATTCTTCTGTAGATGTCTATTAGGTCCAGTTGGTCAGGTGTCAAATTTAAATCCAGAATTTCTTTGTTAGTTTTCTGCTTTGAGGGTCTATCTAACACTGCCAGTGGGATGTTGAAGTCCCCCATTATTAATGTGTGGCTGTCTAAATCTTTTCATAGGTCTAGAAGTACTTGTATGAATCTGGGTGCTCCAGTGTTGGGTGCAAATATACCTAGGATAGGTAAGTCTTGTGGAATTGAATCCTTCGTCATTATGTAATGCCCATCTTTGTCCTTATTGCTGTTGGTTTAAAGTCTGTTTTATCTGATACAAGAATAGCAACCCCTGCTCTTCTATTTACTGTTTGCATGATAGGTCTTTCTTCATCACTTTACTTCAGGCCTATAGGTGTCATTACATGTGTGATGGGCCTCTTGAAGATAGTAGAAGGTTGGGTCTTGTTTTTTGTTTTTTTTTAAATAAAATATTATTTTATTTTTTAAATAAAAAAATTAAAAAGTGGTTCTTGCCACTCTGTGCCTTTTAACTGGGTACATTTAGACCACTTACATTCAAGGTTAATATTGATATGTGAGGTTTGATCCTGTCATGGTGGTGTTTGCTGTTTGCTTTGTAGTCTTGATTGCGTATTTGCTTTATAGGATCTGTGAACCTCTGTATTTATGTGTTCTTTTATGGTAGTGAGTATCATTCTTATGTATGCATGTTTAGAACTTCCTTGAGCATTTCCTATAGGCTAGGTGATGTAGTTTGGGTATTTGTCCCCACCCAAATGTCACATTGAAATGTAACCCCTAGTGTTGGAGTTGGCGCCTGATGGGAGGTGATTGGATCATGTCTGTGAATTTCTCATGAATGGCTTAGCGCCACCCCCTTGATGCTGTCCTTGTGATAGTGAGTGGGTTCTTGCAAGATCTGGTTGTTTAAAAGTGTATGCCCCCACAGCCTTCCCCTCTCGTTCTTGCCATATGAAATGCACATTCCCTCTTCGCCTTCCACCACGAGCAAAAGCTTCCTGTGGTCTCCCCTGAAGCAGATGCTGGCATTGTGCTTCCTGTACAGCCTGCAGAATCATGAGCCAATTAAACTTCTTACCTTATAAATTACCCAGTCTTGGGTATTTCTAATAGCAATGCAAGAACAGTCTAACACACTAGGTCTAGATATAACAAATTCCTTTAGCGTTTGCTTGTCAGGAAAGACTTTATTTCTTCTTTGTTTGTGAAGCTTAGTATTTGGTGATTACATAGTCATAAATAACATGGTTAAGCATTTGTAACCTTCATATCTCTGTGAATAACTGCTAAGAGTTGCTTTCTTATGCCCTTAGGCTTGGCCAGTTTGTCATATCTTGTTGGCATTCTTTTTTTTTTTTTTTTTTTTTGGTAACTACACAAATCTCACTATATTGTTTGTATTATTTAAATAGTTAATCCATTTAGAATTTCTATAAATTAAATGTGTTAGTTAATATCTAGAGGCACATGTGAAATAAATAATTTTTAAAATGTGTTAGTAACTCTTTATATAGGAAAATAAATGGATTTTTATTTACATATCATAACATTTTAACAAGAAAAATGTTCCATTTATTACTCTAACAAGACCAAAAAACCAATTTTCTATTTTGTTCCATATTTTGAAAGATTTGTTTTCCCTTTTAGATGCAGACCAACAACGAAGAGAGAAACTCAAAAAGGAATTAGCACAATGTGAAAAAGAGTTCAAATTAACTAAAACTGCAATGCGAGCCAATTATAAAAATAATTCCAAGTCACTTTTTAATACCTTACAAAAGGTAAGATAGTATTTTTATTTTTTAAAAGCAAATGTTTCTAAGGTACTTCTTTAGTGGTACAATCTGACTTTGTTTACTATAGTTTAGGGTCAGCAAATTTTTCCTGTAAAGATCCAGATAGTTAATATTTTAAAAGGCTGTTCAGGCCTCTGTCACAACTACTCTGCCATTGGAAGGCAGACATAGACAGTACATAAATAAATGAGTATAGCCGTGTTCTGCTGAAACTTTATTAACTGAAGACATTGGGTCAGATTTGGCCTGAAGGTTATAGTTTGCAGACCCCAGTTATAGGTTTTTTGTGATACCTTCGAACATCTGGTTAAATAAGTTCTATTCCTAGTTTGTGAAGTTTTTTTTTTCCCTTTCTCCTGAATGGATATTAATTTTATGAAATGCTTTTTTGCATCTCTTGGAATGATGATATTATGATATAATTTTTCTCTTTTAATCTGTGGGGTTTTTTTTTTTTTATATATATATATATAGTCTCACTCTGTTGCCCAGGCTGGAGTGCAGTGGCATGATCTTGGCTCACTACAACCTCCACTTCCTGGGTTGAAACAATTCTCCTCCCTCAGCCTCCCCAGTAGCTAGGATCACAGGCACCCACCACGACTCCAGCTAATTTTTGTGTTTTCAGTAGAGATGGGGTCTCGCCATGTTGGCCAGGTTGGTCTCAAACTCCTGACCTCAAGTGATCTGCCCACCTCGGCCTCCCAAAAAGTGCTAGGATTACAAGCATGAGCCACTATGCTGAGCCTCTTTTAATCTGTTAATGTAATGAATTACAAACAATTGACTTTAATGTTAAACCAACTTTGCATTCCTGTTGTAAACAGAACTTAGTCATGGTACATTACCTTTTTTATTCATTGCTAGATTTACTTACTAATATTTGTTTAGAATTTTGGCATCTGTCCATTATTGATACTGGCCTGTCATTTTCTTTTTTTGTACTCCTTGTGTCTGGTTATGCTATCCTCATAAAATAAACTGGGCACTATTTCTTCTTTCTGTACTCTAGCTTGTGTACATTTGGTTTATTTGTTCCTTAAATTTGGTGGAACTCAACATTAAAATTGTCTAGGCCTAAAGTATTTTTTATGAGAAGATTTTGACTACTGATTCAATTTTTTAAGTCATTATAGAATGATTTCAATGTTAGATTTATGTAGGAAGTTGTTCATTTTATGTAAATTTTTGGCAGAGAATTGTTCATACTATTCTCTTAATCTCTTCTGAATATGTATTATTTCCCCTTGTTATTCCTAAGGTAGTTTATTTGTGCCTTCATTCTTCTTCTTCATCATTCTCATCAGAGATTGAGTCAGTTTTTTTAAAGGACACACTTTTTATTGTGTTAGTCTTCTCTATTGTATTTTGTTTTCTGTTTTGTTAATATCTGTGTTTATCTTTATTTCCCTCTCTCTGGGTTTATTTTGCTGTACTATCTCTAATTTTATTTAATTTATTAATTCTCTGCCTTACTTCTTTGCTAGTGTAAGCATTTTTAATGCTATAAATTTTCCACCAAGTACAGCTTTAGCTGCATCCCACAAGTTTTGATAGGTGGTATTTTTATTATGTTTCAATTCGAAGTATTTTACAATTTTCTTTTTGTTTGTTTGTTTTTGTTTTGTTTTTTGAGATAATGTCTTGCTCTGTTGCCCAGGCTGGCATGCAGTAGTGTGATCTCGGCTCACTGCAACCTCCGCCTCCTGGGTTGAAGCAATTCTCGTGCCTCAGCCTCCCAAGTAGCTGGGACTACAGGTGCCTGCCACCATGCCCAGCTAATTTTTGTGTTTTTAGTAGAGTCTAGTTTCACCATGTTGGCCAGGTTGGTCTCTAACTCCTGACCTCAAGTGATCTGCTTGCCTCAGCCTCCCAAAGTGCTGGGATTACAGGCGTGAGCCACCATGCCCGGCCTACAATTTTCATTATGATTTTTTTATTTAACCCAGAAATCATTTAGAACTATTTCTTAATCTCTGTATCTGCTTTTTCCTTAGTATCTGTTTGTTACAGATTTCTAGCCTAATTGTACTGTGATTAGGAAACATCTATATTATATCCATTTCTTGAAATTTATTGAGCACTTGTTTTATGTCCCAGTAGGTGGACAATTTTTTAAAAATGTCCTGTCATTATATGTTTGAAAATAAAATATATTCTATAGTTTTTGCATGTAGTATTTGATATATAGTATATTCATTAAACTTTGTATTTTCCAGATATTCAAATCTTTTATATCATATTGATTATTTTTGTCTGGTTAATCTATCAGTTATTGAGAGAAATCTTCCACATACTTACATATTTAGCTATTTCTCCTTGTGGTACTATTAATTTTTGATTTACATATTTTGAATGCATGTTATTACATTAGAGATATTAGAGATACAGAATACAGATTTAGAAAATCCTGAAGGAGGTAGTTTCTTGGTGAACTGAACCTGTTATCACTGTGCTTTGAATTTCTTTACCTTAATGCTTTTTCTATTAATATTTTCTGATAGTGATATAATTAAATTAGCTTTATTTTGACTAGTATTTACTTGGTATATCATTTTCCATTTTTTGATCTTAATGTTTTCTTCTTTTTTTTTTTTTAATGTCACTTGCCAATCTCAATGTTTTAGGTTAGTATTTGGTGGGTCAGATTATTCAATCTGATAATCATTGTCTTTTTTTTTTTTTGAGACAGAGTCTCGCTTTTTTACCCAGGCCAGACTGCAGTGGCGCTATCTTGGCTCACTGCAAGCTCTGCCTCCCGGGTTCACGCCATTCTCCTGCCTCAGCCTCCGAGTAGCTGGGACTACAGGCACCCGCCACCACGCCTGGCTAATTTTTTGTATTTTTAGTAGAGACGGGGTTCCACCATGTTAGCCAGGATGGTCTCGATCTCCTGACCTCGTGATCTGCCTGCCTCGGCCTCCCAAAGTGCTGTGATAATCATTGTCTTTTTAATGGGGCATTTAATATGTTTTTATTTCTGGCTTCTTATTTCATACCTTCTATTTGACTCAATGTGGTAGACAAAATTTGAAGACAACACCCCCACAGTGACCCACACCCTTAAGCAATCCCCTCCTCTTCAGTGCAGGTAGGACCTGTAACTTGCTTCTACCCAGTAGAATATGGGAAAGATGATAGGATGTCACTTCTGTGATTCTGTTATGTGGCAAAAGTGAAGGGATATTTTCCCCTGCAGATTAAGGTTTTTGTTCCTTAAAAGAGAATGGAAAAATAAGTCTGGGAAGATTTTCCACAGTGACTGCTGTTTCTCTCCCCAAGCCACACCAAGAGAAGGTGGGAAAGGGATTCTCTCTACTCTTCCCTATAAGCTTCGAGTAGGTTTCCTGGAGGAAAAGCCTGCAAGAGGTACAAACTCCCCAAGTCCTCAGGTCCGGTACAGACCTGAGCACATCACTAGTCCACACTCAGTCTTTAGGAAATTAACAAATATTTATAACATAATCTTATCAATTTATGTGGCATTCCATGGCATCTTTCCCAAGTAAGCAAGTGCTGGGATACTTATCTCTCTCCATATTTCAGGTTAGTTGTTTGCTCTGTGACCTCAGTTCTCTCATTAGTTCAAGAAAAATCATTAATGTGCAGATCGTTCAGCTTTTTTCTTCTTGTAATGGTGAGAGCTGTGTTCTTTCCATCTCTATCTCTCAGCTGAAACAGTAAGTTTGTTTTATTTTTATGTGTGGTTTCATTTTTTGAACTTTTAAATTTTGAAAACCTTAGCATTTACAAAAATATAGTATAATAAGCCCACATGTTCCTATCACCTAGGTTGTAGCAATGATCAGCTCAGAGCCAGTGTTATTTCACCTATATGCCCACTCACTCTCCTAGGTTGTTTTGATGCAAACCCCAGACACCATATAATTTTATCCATAAATATTTGAGTATATATCTAAAAGATAGACTTTTAAAACCACAACAATACTATTATGCCTTAAAAATTAATAACAGGCTGGGTGTGGTGGCCCACACCTGTAATCCCAGCACTTTGGGAGGCCAAGGTGGGTGGATCACCAGGTCAGGAGATCAAGACCATCCTGGCCAACATGGTGAAACCTCGTCTCTACTAAAATACAAAAAAAAATTAGCCAGGAGTGGTGGTGCGCACTTGTAGTCCCAGCTACTCGGGAGGCTGAGGCAGGGGAATCGAACCCAGGAGGTGGGAGGTCTCAATGAGCTGAGTTAACGCCACTGCACTCCAGCCTGGTGACAGAGCGAAACTCCGTCTCAAAAAAAAAAATAATTAATTAATAACAGTTCTTTAATAATAAATATCTGATGTTTAGATTTCCCCACTGTCTCCTTTTTGAGTTTGTTAGAGTTGGTATTAGAAGGCCAGCAGTCTCCTTCAACTCAGTGCCAGGGTTCAGGATGGGGAAGTTTCCTTGCAAGTCATCTAGTTGAGGAGTAGCCATTGAGAGAATCCCAGATTCTCAAGCATGATCTCTTAAGAGCTTTGTTTTCTGCCCCTAGCACCCATGATGTGGTTTAAAAAAAACTATGGACTGCTGGGCAAAAGCCAGATTGACTGCTCTGCTTACCAAATACCAAGGCTGTAATAATGAGTCTGGATTTTTTTCCTTGAGAAATGCTGGGAGCCATAGACCAGTTTTTAGTTGGGAAGTTATGTCATCATACTGACACTACACAGACTACACTGACAACAGTGGAGGACAGTTACGAGACAGTTGCAGTAATCTGGGAAGCAGTAATTAAGACATGATTCTATGACAGCAGAGAGAGCATAAGGAATACATTTAAGAAATAATTAGAAAGTAGAATCTCGGCCGGGCGTGGTGGCTCATGGCTGTAATCCCAGCACTTTGGGAGGCTGAGGCGGGCGGATCACAAGGTCAGGAGTTCGAGACCAGCCTGGCCAATATGGTGAAACCCTGTCTCTGCTAAAAATACAAAAATTAGCTGGGCATGGTGGCATGCACCTGTACTCCTAGCTACTCAGGAGGCTGAGGCAGAAGAATCGCTTGAGTCCAGGAGGCGGGGTTGCAGTGAGCCAAGATTGTGCCACTGCACTCCAGCCTGGGCGACAGAGCGAGACTCCATCTCAAAAAAAAAAAAAAAAAGTAGAATCTGCAGGACTTGGTGACTGAGTGGATGATGTGAAGAGTAAGAAGCAGGAGTTAAAATCCTAAGTTTCTGCCTTGGGCAACTGGGAGAATAGTAATATATCATTCACAGAAATATAATAGGATGAGGTGCAGGTTTTCTTTGGGGCTGGAGGTAATAAGAGATAGGAGTTTATTGTTTGGCTGTGTTTGATTTGAGATGCTTTTGGAACATCTAGTATATTTAGTAGACACTTGGATATAAGCATCTGTGTCAGCAAAGAGGTCTGGGCTGAAAATAGACTTGGGAGTCATCAGGGGAAGCAGTGAATATGATTGAGAGCCCCAGGGCTATTATGTAGATAAAAAGACCAGCAATAGAGCTGCTTCCTTTAGAATAAATCTGTTATCTGCTCTGTATTATACTTTGCTATCTGGGATTCTGTTCCTCAATATTTGAATCACAGGTGTATTTTCATTTTTAGTGATTGTACTTTTTAACAGAAAATTTAAAATTTGTTTCTATTATTCAGCATGAGTATAAATTACTAATTAAATTTTGAGATAAGAATGGGGTTTCTTGAAAATACAAATCATATATTTTAATATATCTTTTTAATGTATTTTATATATCTATTTATATATAATAAAGTAAAAATATATATTATTTACATATTATATATTTTTAATATATTTCTGTAAATGTTAGATGTTTTCATTTTTCCAATAGCAACTATAACCCTATATAACTTTTTGCCTCCATAAAGTTGTTAATTTATTATTTTATCTGTATTTTTATTGACTCCATTTAGGATTCATAGTAACTTGCACTTTGCCTACATTTTTGATAAGCCCTGATAATAAATATTTTAGATACACTCAGATTGTCTTAAGAGCCTTATTTTGGGTAGTATATTTTGATAATTGAATGGGTGTTATGGTTAACAGACACCTGTTATGGTTATAATTTGTATTCACTGTAAAGGCTGCTATAGTTAAAATGCTGGCTTTAACCTCTGAATGTATTAGCCCTTTATATACATTATAAAGGTCATATATCAAAAACCTTTTATGATAATTGCCCAATTCTCTTGCCACTTTTCTTCTCCCATACTCTGACTCACATGCTGTCACCCTCAGAACCCTCCTAAGCCCTTCCAGTCTTCACCCTGTAACTCTTGAGTCATTCACTACTTAGTCAATGCTCCCATACTACTCGTTTGCTTCACTGGTGTAGCACTTACTGTGTGCTTTTAAGATTAAGTGAATATGTGGGTGTGAGCTTTATTTCTGAATAAATCTAGAAAAGAGGCGGGAGCAGTGGCTCACACCTGTGATCCCAACACTTTGAGAGACTGAGGCAGACAGATCACTTGAGCCCAGGAGTTTGAGACCAGCCTGGACAACATGGCAAAACCCCATCTCTACAAAAAAAAAAAAAAAAATACAAGAAAAAAAAAAAAGCCAGGCATGATGGTGTGTATCTGTTGTCCCAGCTACTCAGGAGGCTGAGGCAGGCAGATTAATTGAGCCCAGGAGGTCGTGGCTGCAGTGAGCCATGATCAGGCCACTGCACTCCAGCCTGGGTAACAAAGTAAGATTAAAAAAAAAAAATCTGGGAAACTTTTTAAAAACAGTACAAAATAGTGAAAATCAAGAGCTATATTTGTTTTATAAAATATAATTTGAAACTTTTTTGCAAACAGATGTTAGATTTTAAAATAATTTTTTTTTTTTTTTTTTTTTTTTTTTTGAGACGGAGTCTCGCTCTGTCGCCCAGGCTGGAGTGCAGTGGCGCGATCTCGGCTCACTGCAAGCTCCGCCTCCCGGGTTCACGCCATTCCCCTGCCTCAGCCTCCCGAGTAGCTGGGACTACAGGCGCCCGCTACCCATCCAATTCTACAATTGAATTGACTCTTCAAGTGTTTAAAAATCCGACAATTGGAAAATTATTGTAGGTTATGTCTTCTGACATCCTTAAAAAAGATTGATTTAGTACTGAGTTCTGTATTGTAAAATTCTTGACATGAAAGTATGATGAGTATATAAACTATGTTATGGTTATTACTTTACATAAATCTTGAAATCACAGAAACAGTGCACAACAAACCTCGTAAACTAAGAATAACCTAAGAAAGTGAGTGTTCAGGGTACCACCAGACTCTTTGCTCCATTGGCACATAATTGATGAACCCTTTTCTGATTTCAGAACTTTACAGTGATCTGCTGTTCATGTTTTGGGATTCTACCAGTGTGTTACATATATTCTGCACAAATATCTTTATCCAAGTTTCATGATATTCATAGCTAAAGGAAACAAGATGCAGATTGGTACAGTGGATTTTATACTGTAGTCTACTGGTTTCCAAGGAAAGAAAAAATAGGATACAAGGTAGAAATTATAAGATACAAAAATGGGAAAAGTTTCATGCTTTCTATAAGTTCAGAAGCAATTTTTCCATCCCATTTCAGAGAGATAGCTTAACATATACTTCTACCTTTTAAAAAGACTTTCTTCAGTGTTTCATTTTGTTTATTAAATAACCATTACCGATAACATTTCTTTACAGGCAATCATAATGGCTTATGCATTTCTTTCTCCTTCCTCTGATCTCAGTTTGTGCTGTTCTTCTAAGTGTAAATAATTCCTGTGCTTATTAATTAATTGCCCTATAGGATATTTTTAGACTGTACTTAGAAATTTCTTCTTTGAGAGCTAAACTCTTCTGGTACATAAGCTGTAGTGTGAGTATCATTTAGGACTACTTATAAAAACTAACATCTTGAAGTCATTTACCAAATAGTACCCTAGTGACTCAAAATTTAATGCCAGCATACTTACTTGCTTTGAGTAATGTTGTCTTGTATTTGGAATAAGGTTATAAAACAGTTGGAAAGGAAAGGTGATTTGACATATTTTAGATAGTAGTCACAATGTCCAGTTATCTGCAATTTTTTTGCTTTGATAAATCAGCACTTTAGGTTAGCTGACTTATTTGTTCCCAGAAAAAGAGTTAAAATCAGTTTAAAATTTTTTATGCTGTAAAAAAAATCTAAAATCATATAATTTTCAAATAAGTTTTTAAGTAGACAATATGATAAAGTGGCAAAGAACATGGGCTCTGCCTCTGTTCAAATCTGTGAGACACTGCACCTCAGAGCAGTGTTTTTATCTACAAAATAGGGTAATAATTGTACTACCTCTCAGAAGTTGATGTTAGGATTAAATGAGCTATACATGAAAATGAGTACAGTACCTTGCACATAGTAAGCACACCATACATATTAGTAGCAGTGATAGAAGTTCTTATTATTCCTCTTCTATTCAATGTCAAGAGCAGTACCTTTCATACAGGAAGCCTTTTTCCTTACTCAACTTGTCCATCTTCCCCTTGTTATTC
This sequence comes from Homo sapiens, assembly GCF_000001405.40. Lineage (NCBI taxonomy): Eukaryota > Metazoa > Chordata > Mammalia > Primates > Hominidae > Homo > Homo sapiens. The sequence goes on from NC_000014.9 coordinate 88,425,348, forward strand.
CTCCCAATGAGGTAATAAGACAGATATAATTGGCTAAATCCTAGCGATTTTTAACCTCAATTTCTGTAACCTCCATGTAATTTCCCCTCTACCTAATGAAAGTGCCTCAGAGTTTTGCAAAGGATATACAGATGTGTCCGTAAGGGCTGAAGTCATAGGCAAAGCTTCTTAGACATTTTCAGTTTATAAAACAATAAAATACTATCTGTGTTTTTAGACTTTACAAATAACCTGTAGAAATGGTTTTCCTAAAGTAAAGCCAAAAAGAAATGGAGCAAGTCAAAATGCCTCCCTTTTCATAGTATTACCCCCACCCCAATGAAAAGAAGTTGAGAAATATATATGAAATTATTATGGAATAAATATTTATTAATTATATTTAAATTATCAATTACCTAAATCAGGGCTCCATACATTATGAGGAGAAGTTCCTTTTCGTTTCTTTAAAGGCTTAACATCACAAAGGGATGGCTTACACTGCACTCTCCAATAATGACAAGACAGGACAGTGAGGATGATGTCACTAATAGTGGTTGAGAAGGGCATTGGTGCTCACAATTTGTGTGGAAGCTTTCAGATAAAACTGACATCTCCCAATAAATCTTAATATGCAAGTTGAAGATCCCAAATATAGATATGTTATTCATCTTTTTTTCGTTTCAGAAAGGAAATTGATTGCTCTATTACTTATATTTGGAATTAAATGTTAATATCTTAGTTTAAATACTTGACTAGAACTTCAGATAAAATATTAACATCTTCAGGAACATATCAGTTAATTTTGTAAACCCTTGAGGCTATCATTTTTTTAATGTATAATCTCAAAATCCCCAATTACATGAATTCGTAATGCAGTTGATGACTGTCATATCGAATGTTCTTAGCCCTCAGGCGAACCGCAAATTGAGGATGACATGTTAAAAGAAGAAATGAATGGATTTTCATCCTTTGCAAGGTCACTAGTACCCTCTTCAGAGAGACTACACCTAAGTCTACATAAATCCAGTAAAGTCATCACAAATGGTCCTGAGAAGAACTCCAGTTCCTCCCCGTCCAGTGTGGATTATGCAGCCTCCGGGCCCCGGAAACTGAGCTCTGGAGCCCTGTATGGCAGAAGGCCCAGAAGCACATTCCCAAATTCCCACCGGTTTCAGTTAGTCATTTCGAAAGCACCCAGTGGGGATCTTTTGGATAAACATTCTGAACTCTTTTCTAACAAACAATTGCCATTCACTCCTCGCACTTTAAAAACAGAAGCAAAATCTTTCCTGTCACAGTATCGCTATTATACACCTGCCAAAAGAAAAAAGGATTTTACAGATCAACGGATAGAAGCTGAAACCCAGACTGAATTAAGGTATGACACATCAGCAACCAACAGTAAATCCTTCAGGAAATTAAATGAAAATTAATGAATTAATATTCCTTGTTTTCTGCTGCCAGCCTTAAGATCTGATAGTGCCCTTTTGATTGGAATGAGATGAATGTGACTTTTCCTTTTCCATGTATCACTAGAACTATCAGAGTAATTGCTGAAAAATAGCTATTAAACTGGTCAAGCACCTTATGCGTATGAATTACATATTTTATTATTTCAAGCGTGGTTCAAGAATTGTGTATGTTTTTAAATATTATACTTTCAGAGAATTCTTAAAATAGGTCATCAGACAGCATTTGTGGAAATATGCATATTGATTCATGTTAAAAGTGGCGAAACAATGGGCTATAGAGGGGAAGAAACTAACCCTTTATCCATCTAACCCTCTGCTCCATTTCCTGCAGATATTCCGGCCAGTCTTCATAGCAACAACTGCCAAGAATAATTTTAAATTGGGATAATTTCTAGAAATTAAGTATAATTTGCCTCAATAATGTTTTCAAATACAGTAGTGCCTGGCACAAGATGAATGTTCAATAAAAGTTTGCCAGATGACTAAAGAAAAAAACAAATCTTGTCAAGTTTTGAGATTTAGCAGATTTGTGATTGTGATTGTTTTTCTAGTATTACATAAACAATTTATCTGGCAGTAGGTTTTAGTTGTTTTAGAAAGTAAAAACAATTTAAGATTAGTATTTTTTTCTTTGAATATAGATAAGTACAGTGATATCAGATGAGTCTGCAGATATTTAATCAAATAAAATCAAATAATTCAAAATTATGTATTTTATAAGAATAGATGGGTCTCATTCTTTTTGAGTTTATTTTTTCTAGCCAGTAAACCTTGTTACCACAGTGCTTATATTTTGAAGGATTAACAATTATTTATTTTAAATTATTACAGCTTTAAATCTGAGTTGGGGACAGCTGAGACTAAAAACATGACAGATTCAGAAATGAACATAAAGCAGGTAATAAGTATGAAATCTTTTGGTATTGCTACATTTGAATTACAGATGTTTTTCAGTAAATAGAATATGTACAGCTATTTAGACTGTGAAGAATAATCTGTTGGTGGCACTTATCATACATGATATAGCCAGTATACAGAAGGTCTGCCTATTTACAAATGGTTATAGCTCTCTCTGAATGGCCAGGTGGATCCTGCCAAATCTGGGAAGTCATTTGTTACTAACATCTTTCCTAGATGATTGGTTGGCTGGCTGGACAAATGGAAGGATCAGTAAAATACCTTAAGTATTGTTTTCAAAGATGCAGACCTGGATTACTAGAGGAGCCAGCAGAGTAGTGCAGAAGTTGAGTTTTTATACCTTTTTTTTTTTTGTAAAGAATTGCCACATATTATATAATTGGAAATTATACATTTTATAAGAATAAGTAGCTGTTATTCTCTTATGTTTGCCTCTGCTTTTTCTAGACCATGAAGCTGTTTATTACAGGGTTTATATTTTGAATTCTTAGCATCATTTCTTTTAAAATATTGCAACTTTGAGTCTGATTTTGAGATAAATTGTTTTATTTTTGGAGTTTCAGTCTTGCACTTGTGTCCTGACTTAAATTTGTTGCTTATAAAAATGGTTTGTCTATTAAAATGTCAAACACAGATCCAGAGATAGAAGAATAAAATATAATCATACTCAACTTCCCCCTTCCCTTCTGAAAATGGGTAGAAGGTGGTAGTTTTCCATCTCAGCTATTAATCGCTGTTTGACATAGGGCCCTGCCACTTAAGGCCCAAGGACAAATCACTTATCCTCTGAGAGCTGAATTTCCTCATCTAGAAAAACTGTACTTAACTTGCAGGATTATTAGGAGGAGTAAATGATGTAGGCAAAGTGCCTAGCCTGGTAAGGGCTTAATAAATGATAGCTATTACTAGCTTGAAATTTTTGGAAAGAGTTAGCTTTGCAGATAACTACGTAAACATGAAAAAATATTTATTTACAATCCTGCAAGAAAATGTGTGTCCCCATATTCCATAGATAGTGCCATCAGTACTTGACTTGAAGAAGCCAGTAGAGTATTAACTGCAGTAGATCCATATTTTAACAGCACCTTTAAAACTGTAAAGCACTATACATAAATTGTCATTGTAAAGATTGAATCTAATGATGTGAGTAAATGCTTGGCACAGTTTGTGGTGTGTAGTAAGGAGTCTATAAAAGTAAGCTGCCATTATTTTTGTTTGTTAATATTATTGTTCATGCTGCCAGCGCTACCACTGCTTCTACATATTTGACATGTTGGCATTTAAAACAGATGAGCTATTTGAATTTCTGAATAATGAGATTTTGTTCCCTCAAACTTACTTAAAAGTTGAAAATTTGCTTCATTTTTCCCTTTATATGTTTATTTGTGGCAATTTCTTAATGTCATTTAAATGCCACTCATTAAAATACAAGAAATAAGTCATTTTATCTTTAAGTTTAAGAAAAAAGTGCTGGATGGATAGAAAAATTATTCTAAAATATTCTTTGTCGTACTGTATAATTTTTATCTACTGGATATCTCTGTTCAATCACTTAAAATTTGCTGTGTTATATTCTGCTTTCGTAATGTATTTTTAAGCAAAAATAAATATTTTTTTTATTGCATCCCCAGGCATCTAATTGTGTGACATATGATGCCAAAGAAAAAATAGCTCCTTTACCTTTAGAAGGGCATGACTCAACATGGGATGAGATTAAGGATGATGCTCTTCAGCATTCCTCACCAAGGTAAACAGTTCACAGGAGAAATAATTTCAACTGTCTTTAATTGCCTTCTTGTATAACAGACATATAGTATTTGCCGCATAAGTACTATTTAATTGCATGCTCCAATCTATTTTGGTGTTATGTAATTCAATAACAGTTTTAGTTTTACCAAGGAAATTTTACAAATTGAAGTGCTTAGTAAAAGTTGAAATGAATTAATTTTGCTAATTCATTAGTAAAGGAAAAAACCACACCAACTTGTATTATTTATTATCACTGTTCATTAAAAAAATGATTTTCCCCAAGACAAGTCCTCTGGCAGTGATGCTAACCAGTTTACATGCCACAAATAGTACTGAAGAGCTTTACCATTTGAGGAGTCATAATTTGTGATTTTGAATATTCATCATATCCTAGTGCTTGACCAATCTGTGCTATATGAAGACACTATTTATTTATTTATTTATTTATTTATTTATTTATGAGACAGTCTCTCTCTGTTGTCCAGGCTGGAGTGCAGTGGTGCGGTCTCAGCTCACTGCAATGGAGGCACTCTTTAAAAACTACTCATCATGTTGAGTAATTAAGGAATATTATACATTAATTAGCAGGTAGTAGAAAACCTAAAAGATGCCTCGATAGTTTCAGTTGTCAAATGTATTTCCAGTGTCAGAGAGTGGATATGAAATGCCGGTGGAAGGGGTAGAAGAAAGGAAGGAGTAGAGATTAAAAAGAGGGCAAGAATAAGGTGTTAGTAGCAGACCACTAGGGAAGTACACACAATCCCCTCAGGCTCTGGCTTCTCCCTCAGGCCTTTGCTAGGGAGATCTCACCTGCTAAGGCCATGGAGAGTTCATTGTTAACTACCCTGTCTTTGAAATTTCTGATGTTTCAACACATATAACTTATTATTTATTAATATAACTGCTCTTGAGCCAGTCTTCATTGAATATTAAGAATGACTTAAGGAAAGGAATATTTATCTTTTCTAATACTTTCTAAAAGAAGTAAAGTAGAATAGTATAGTTGAGTATACCTGAATAAAATTTAGCTTCAAATTAATTATTGGTAACATAACTGAATAATAACAAAATTTATCATGATGACCACCTTTAAAAATATTTTCATAATAATGTATCTATATCCAGCATTATCTATACATTAACCTTAGTCAAATTGTCATTGTTTATACTAGAGAAGTGCCGTAGTGTAGTTTTAAAAAGAATTGTGAATTTATACCTAGAAAAGTAGTTTAAAAACCTGTCTTTGCTGCTTACTAACATTAACCTTGGAAAGTTACTTAGCCTTTCTGACCCTTGGTGAACTAATCAGTAAATGGGAAAAATAATACACAGCCCACATGCCTGACTGGGTTGTTTAGAAGATTAAATTAGATATGGGTATGAGAGTGCTTTAAAAATTGCTGAAACATGTAATTACAGGTTGAGCATCCCAAATTTGAAAATCTGTAATTCACCATACTCCAAAATCCGACATGATGCCCAAAGGAAATGCTCATTGGAACATTTTTGGATTTCAGATTTTTGGATTGAGATGCTCAACTACTAAGTATATAATGGAAATATTCCAAAATCCAAATTCTGAAACACTTCTGGTTCCAAACATCTAAGATAAGGGCTATTCAGTGTGTACTAATATACAATGTTATTGAGTACTTATTGTATGCCAACCACTGTTTTGCTCAACTACTTTAACTTCCTCTTTCTAGGGCAATGTGTCAGTATTCCCTGAAGCCCCCTTCAACTCGTAAAATCTACTCTGAGTAAGATCTTTTTTAAGTCTTCGTTTTGCATAGTGGAATCAAGGATTAAGAATCAAAGAAACCATATTAAATAAGTCAGGATTGAACAATAATCTCTTTTTTTAAAACTGGCAAGTAATAAATGTACATATTCATGGAGTACCTAGTGATATTTTGATACATATACTGTACAGTGATTAGAACAGTTTAATTAGCATATCCATCATCTCGAACATTTTATCATTTCTTTGTGTTGGAAACATTGAGTATCCTTCTTCTAGCTATTTGAAACTATGTATTATTGTTAACCATGGTAGTCATCCTATAGTGGTATAGAACACTAGAACTTACTCCTCCTATCTAGCTATAATTTTGTATCTTGTAACAAATCTCAGCTTGTCCCTCATTCCCGTCTACCCTTCCCAGCCTCCAGTACCTTCTGTTCTACTTTCTACTTCTATGAAATCAACTGTTTTTAGCTTCCACATATGAGTGAGAACATGCGATGTTTAACTTTCTGTTGCTGGCTTATTTCACCAGCATCCATCCATGTTCCATCCATGTTGCCACAAATGACATGATTTTATTTGTTTTTATGGCTGAATAGTATTTCATGGTGTATATATACATTTTCTTTATCCATTCATCTGTGAACACTAATCTCTCTTACAACCAGCTTTGGGATATCAATCGTATAATACATACTAAATTTGAGAAACTGACCTGAATAATTTTCTCGAATTTTTTTGAGAAATAATAACAACTTTCTGGAATAATTATCAATCACGTCATTTTTATCTCCAGTAGAAATTTGTCCCCAGGTATTACCTGATACTTTTTAATAATCAGTATCCATGATTCTTACTTATTTTTTAAGTAAAAATAATAAAATAATAAAGAAGAGTTTTAGAGAAATGCAGACTTTTAATAGTTCAGGATACTCTTTCCAGAGGTTTCTAACCTCAGCAGTTCTTTGCAGATATTTTATTTGTAGATTTTAATGTTGTTTTAATTAAGTTACTCTTTTTAGGGAAAATAATTTATAAAATTTTATTTATTTTCAAATATGCTGTTTTTAAATAAGCAAGACCCTGTGAATCAGTTTGAAAGTGTAACTTTTTATTAAACATTTAAATCTATTATTTGATTTGCTTATTAACTCTTCCCTTATATTTGCTTATTCAGTAATTTAGTTACTTGCTACTTACATTTGGTATTAATTCACTAATTTCAGCTAATTAAAATCAAACGTACAATAATATCCTAATTTTCTTGTAATAGCTACTAAAATATAGTTATAATAGAGAAGTGTGTTCAAGTAGTTAAAAATTACCACAAGATTTATGTTCACAAATTTTCCTATGAGAATTTTTCGTCTCCAAACGTTTTGAGAGAAAAAATAAATTTTTCTGCTTAGTAAATTTCTCAACCTTAAAACAAGATGCTGGCCTAGGGCTAGGAGAGGACTTCTTAGTTGAAGCTCCTGCTTCTCTGGACAACTTTCCTCTTCCTTCTTGCAAATGCTTTGCAGAGGGACTTGCACCTCTGCTGCTGGACCTGGTCAGGAGCAAGAGGAAATTTAAAACATTCCTCGGGAGTGCTTGCTCCCAGTGGATTGCATTTGATTGCGCCTTGTCCTTCGTTGCTTTCTTTTTGTGTTGTTTAATTCTGCTTGTTTTTTACTGCTATGGATGTTGCAGATATCTGTGAAATTTTACTCTATTAGGTCATCACCTTTAGTAAATATTTATCCTTGCATAATTTGAGAAGGTAGACATGTTTGTTTTGTAATATTCCCCTTAGTAATATGAGATAGAAGTACATTGGTAATGGTAGAGATAGATATTTCTAATTAGGTACTAATGTTTCTTACAGTTTTCAGAATAAGTAAGGAATAATTTTTATGCTATATATTGCCTTCCTTTTACAGTGAAGAAGAACTGTTGTATCTGAGTTTCATTGAAGATGTAACAGATGAAATTTTGAAACTTGGTTTATTTTCAAACAGGTTAGTTTTTTTAATGGTGTTATGTTAATTCAGGAGTACATTAAATATTCTTCATATTTCTTCATATGATGTTAAAATTTTAAAGTTATTTTCCCATATTAGGAAATGAAAAAATATATTGCTTTCTTGGAAACTTATTATTATAATTGATAGCAAGTTGTAAAGAATGTTTAATTCATACTCTAGGGGAAGTTCACCACTTGGGAGAATTAAAGAATAGAGCTTTTATTCATTTTAATATTATATCCCTTGAGTTATAAGTGACTAGTGAAGGAAGATCTTTATCACTTATTTGCAAAGCTCCATAATCCCATTTTACTACCTAAAATTGTCATGAGAATCAAAAGCAAGCATTTTTGGTGCAACCATTATTAGTATTAGATCTAGTAAAATGAGAACAAATTAAGAGCTAGGTTTGCACGCTGTAAGTTAAATGGAAAGTTTGCAAAACCAGATTAGCTATTGCATAGCTTAAGGAAACTGTGTGTCCTGAATTTTGCTTGAACATTTATGTATCTAAGATTCATTGAGCACTGAGCTCTACTTTGTGTTATGTAACCTAGGACCCTATTATGTATACTACTTGCTTTCTCTGTCATAATAATATGCCAAGCATAGACATTTTTAATAAATTATTTCTATCCTCTACATCAAGTTTTTTAAAAAATTAAAGCAAACATTTTCATTATTGGTATAAAAAGGCATATCAAAAAGACCTAAGATTTTTGGCATTAATTCTGTTGACCCCTTTCATTTTAAAAAGTTGGTTAATAATATTTGCATAATATGGGTAAAGAGTTTCAGGATACATAATGAAAAGTTTTGGCAATCTGTATCACAATATGAATATACCTAACACTGCTGAATCGTGCACTTAAAAATGGTTAAGATGATAAGTTTGGTTAGTTTTTGCCACCACAAGAAAAAAAGTACACATACAAAATCATATGTATTTATGCTTAAAATTTTATGTTTTTCTCAAGATTATAAGACTGTTTATTACAGCATTTTTATAATTGTACCAAAAACCAGAATCAACCTAAATGTTTAATGGTAAATGTTTGGTTGAATAAACTGTGGAATATATATGAAATGTGAGGTCTGTTTAGGGATTAAAAATGATGTTGAAGTGAATTTACAGATATAGAAAGATGTTAAAGATATATGTCATTGATTAGAAAAAACAAAATAGGGCTGGGCGCAGTGGCTCACACCAGTAATCCCAGCACTTTGGGAGGCTAAGGTGGGCGGATCACAAGGTCAGGAGTTCAACACCAGCCTGGCCAATATGGTGAAACCTCATCTCTACTAAAAATACAAAAATTAGCTGGGCGTGGTGGTGCGCGCCTGTAGTCCCAGCTACTCAGGAGGGTGAGGCAGGAGAATCGCTTGAACCCCGCAAGGCGGAGGTTGCAGTGAGCTGAGATCGCGCCACCGCACTCCATCTTGGGCGACAGAGTGAGACTCTGTCTCAGAAAAAAAAAAAAAAAGAAAAAGAAAAAAGAAAAAACAAGATAGATACCCAAATAGTATGTATTGTTTAATTACAAGTTGGTAAAGAAATACAAATGAATAGAAAAAATGCCTAGTAGTGAATATTCTAAAATGTTAACAATAGTTGTAAAAAGTAGAATACAGATTTCTTGGGTTTTAATAAAAAATTGTGAAATAATTCAGAACTACTAACTCTGAGGTTGGTTCATAACTTCACTGATGCTAGCAAATGATAACAAAGGAAATTAGTTGTTTTTTAAGAAACTGTTGATACATTCCTGTGATAGAGAGGTGAGCATGGTGTTCTAGAATGAAGAAATTCTGTGGAGCCAGACACATCTGGGTTAAATTCTCCTAAAGGCTTTTGACCTCAGGGGAGAGGAAATTATCATCTTAGAGATGTGGCTTTCTCGTCTTTAAAATGGTTTTTACACTATCTTTCCCTCCCTACATTGGTCAGAACTAGAGGTAAAATGATTATTATGACTAGCACAGTAGCACTTAATGGAAATTAATAGGTGATAACTTTTAAATTATTATGTGGATTTACCATCAGTGGGAGTTTTTAAATTTTTTAATTATTTTTTAAAATTTTGTGAGGTACACAGTAGGTATGTATATTTAAGGGGTACATGAGATGTTTTGATACAGGCAAGCATTGTGAAATAAGAACGTCACGGAGAGTGGGGTATCCATCCTCTCAAGCATTTATCCTTTGAGTTACAAACGATCAGATTACATTCTCTAAGTTATTTTAAATGTACAATTAAGTTACTATTGACTGTAGTCACCCTGTTGTGCTGTCAAATGGTCTTATTCATTCTTTCTATGTTTTTGTACCCATTAACTACCCCACTTAACCTGCAGCCCTCTACTACCCTTCCCAGCCTCTGTTAACCATCCTTCTACTCTCTATGCCCATGAGTTCAATTGTTTTGATTTTTAGATCCCACAAATACGTGGGAGAATGCAATGTTTGTCTTTCTGTGCCAGGCTCATTTCACTTAATATAATGATCTCCAGTTCCGTCCATATTGTTGCAGATGACAGGATCTCACTTTTTTAATGGCTGAATAGTACTCCATGGTGTATATGTACTACGTTTTTTTATCCATTCATTTGTTAATGGACACTTAGTTGCTTCCAAATCTTAGCTGTCATAAACAGTGCTACGACAAACATAAGAGTGCAGGTATCTCTTCGATATCCTGACTTACTTCCTTTTGGGATTGCTGGAACATATGGTAGCTCAATTTCTAGTTTTTTGAGGGACCTCCAAACTGTTCTCCATAGTGGTTGAACTAATAGTTTACATTCTTACCAACAGTGTGCAAGGATTCCCTTTTCTCCACATCCTCACCAGCATTTATTATTGCTTGTTTTTGCATATAAGCCATTTTAACTGGAGTGAGATGATACCTCATTGTAGTTTTGATTTGCATTCCTCTGATGATCAGTGATGTGTGGAATACCTTTTCATATTCCTGTCTACAATTCGTATGTCTTTTGAGAATTGTCTATTCAAATCTTTTGCCCATTTTTTGATTGGGTTATTAGATTTTTCCCTATAAATCTAATAGTAAATAGTTGTTTGAGCTCCTTATATATTCTGGTTATTAATTCCTTGTCAGAGGGGTAGTTTGCAAATATTTTCTCCCATTCTGTGGATTGTCTCTTCACTTTGTTGGTTATATCCTTTGCTGTGTGGAAGCTTTTTAATTTGTGATCCCATTTGTCCATGTTTGCTTTGGTTGCCTGTGCTTGTGGGATATTACTCAAGAAGTCTTTGCCAGACCAGTGTCCTAGAGATTTTCCCTCAATGTTTTCATTTAGTAGTTCCATAGTTTCAGAACTTATATTTAAGCCTTTCATCTATTTTGATTTGATTTTTGTATGTGGTGAGAGATAGGGGTCTAGTTTCATTCTTTTGCATATGGGTATCCAGTTTTCCCATTACCATTTATTGAAGAGACTGCCTTTTCCCCAGTGTATGTATGTTCTTGGCAACTTTGTCAAAAATGAGTTCACTATAGGTGTGTGGATTTGTTTCTGAGTTCTCTATTCTGTTCCATTGGTCTGTGTCTGTTTTTATGCCTGACCATGCTGTTTTGGTTACTGTAGCTCTGTACTGTAATTTGAAGTCAGGTAACATGATTCCACCAGTTTTGTTCTTTTTACTTAGGATAGCTTTGGCTATTCTGGGTCTTTTGTAGTTTCATGTACATTTTAGGATTTTTTTTTCTATTTCTGTGAATAATGTCACTGGTATTTTGATAGGGATTGCATTGACTCTGTAGATTGCTTTGGGTGGTGTGGACATTTTAACAATATTGATTCTTCCAATCCATGAATTTGGAATATTTTTCCTTTTTTTTTTTTGGTGTCCTTTTCCATTTTGTTCATTGGTGTTTTATACTTTAATATAGGAATTTTTAAAAGTATAATTTAGGAAGGATTATAAAATATCTCTGTAAGAGGTTTTTCTTTAGGGTTTGGTTGTGTGTGTGTGTGTGTGTGTAAATATCGGGGTAGAGAGGCTTTGGGTGTTTGCATATGTCTGTGAGAGAAAAACAGCTTTTTGGTGGTGGGGTGAGAAAAAGGAGAATTTTATTCAAAGAAATAAAAGTAGCATACAGTCTTTCAGAAATATGTAATGTGAAGCAAATGCATAATGGAAGAACTTAGAACAGGAAAGGATTAGTCTTCAGCTTTACAGAGAAAAAGAAAAATCTGAAAAACATTTTTCAACCTTTGTAGTTTCAGTGTTACGTAGCTAGTTTATATTTAGATGATTTTCTGATTTTGAGACATTAACATTTTTGTTTATCATTTGTAGGTTTTTAGAACGACTGTTCGAGCGACATATAAAACAAAATAAACATTTGGAGGAGGTTTGTCTTTCCTTATAACTTCATTAGAAAAATTATAATGTAAAAATAATTGTATGGTTTTTTTCATACCTTCAAACAATACATTAAAAGCAAGTGCTTTTTTTTTCCCTTGAACTTTTTTGAGGGTGGTGGTGGGAGAAGTGAAAGGAAAAGTATTAATCCTGTGAGATTTTCAGCACTGCAGTCAAAATTTAATTTGACTCAATTAATGTAATTAGTCTCATCTTTTCTTAATCCTAGGAAAAAATGCGCCACCTGCTGCATGTCCTGAAAGTAGACTTAGGCTGCACATCGGAGGAAAACTCGGTAAAGCAAAATGATGTTGATATGTTGAATGTATTTGATTTTGAAAAGGCTGGGAATTCAGAACCAAATGAATTAAAAAATGAAAGTGAAGTAACAATTCAGCAGGAACGTCAACAATACCAAAAGGCTTTGGATATGTTATTGTCGGCACCAAAGGATGAGAACGAGATATTCCCTTCACCAACTGAATTTTTCATGCCTATTTATAAATCAAAGCATTCAGAAGGGGTTATAATTCAACAGGTGAATGATGAAACAAATCTTGAAACTTCAACTTTGGATGAAAATCATCCAAGTATTTCAGACAGTTTAACAGATCGGGAAACTTCTGTGAATGTCATTGAAGGTGATAGTGACCCTGAAAAGGTTGAGATTTCAAATGGATTATGTGGTCTTAACACATCACCCTCCCAATCTGTTCAGTTCTCCAGTGTCAAAGGCGACAATAATCATGACATGGAGTTATCAACTCTTAAAATCATGGAAATGAGCATTGAGGACTGCCCTTTGGATGTTTAATCTTCATTAATAAATACCTCAAATGGCCAGTAACTCAATATTACTTTTCTTCCTTTTTTAAAATGTATGTATAAGATTTCTCTATTGGTTTTCTGTGCTGCAATAATAAGTTACCAGAAACCTAGCGGCCTAATGTGCCACACATTTATTATTTATCCCACAGTTTTGTGGATCAGGAGTGTAGGCACAGCTTAGTTGGGTCCTCTGTCCTGGGTCTCACAAGGCTACCCCACAATCAAGGCAGTGGCTGGGGCCATGTTTTCATTAAGAGGCTTGTTGGCAGAATTATCCTCCTTGCAGTTATAGATTTGAGGGCTTCGTTGTCTTGCTGACCAGTGGCTAGAGGCTGCCTATAGTTCTCTGCCACTTGGCCCTTTCCTTAGGGAAATTATAACGTGGCTGCTTGCTTTTTTAAGGATATCAGGAAAACCAGAGAGATTCTGCTAACAAGATGGAGTCTTATATAATGTAACATAATCACAGGAGTGACTTTCTATCACCTTTACCGTGTTCTTTTGGGTAGAAGCAAGTCACAGGTCTTGCCCACACTTAAGGGTTGGGAATATATACAAGGGTGTGAATGCCAGAACACAGGAATCACTGGGGTCATCTGAGGACCTGCTGGCCACAATTTCTAAAATCACTTTTCAGAGGAAAACATATTTTACCTATATTTTCAGAGGAACATATTTTACCCAGACATAAGCGGTTTTGTAGGCTATGGGAAATGGTTTATGATCTGGTGTGAGTCTTGAAGCGTTGGACCTTGTCTGCAATATCTTTAATTTTGTTTTTCTCACTTTTCCTGCAATATCTAAAGCCTCAAGGACCTTTCAGTTGTCAGTGACCCAGGGAATTCTGTCAGCTGGCTGAGATGTTGTCTCTTGTTGTGAGTGCAAACATTTAGTCAGACCTGTCTGAAGCCCTCTCCTACCCTTGTAGCTCATGAATGAGACCCTTACTATTAGAACATGGCCCAGCAGATTCATCTCTAATTATACCTTTTTAACTATTTACAATAATATAATTGAATATTTGTGTGCCCATTATGTACAAAGTTTCATGCCTAGATACTGTGGAGGATAAAAACAATAACCCATTTTGTTTTTATAAGCTATATTTTAATTTTATATTTAAAAAAATACAACCCAGGTATTCTTCTAAAAACTTAACAGTGACTTCCAAGTATCCTGTTCTTTAACTCGGGTTTTTATCATCCTTTGGCCATAGCAGTGTTTCCCAAAGGGTGGTACTTACCACTGGAGACCTGAGAGTTGATTTTAGTGGTATGTGGATGACAGGTCCATCTCATTCATGGGATGCTGACCATCACCACTGTCTTCAGGATAAGACACAGGTACAACCTGCAAAGCACAATATGGTGGGACTGAGCACCCAACCCACTTTTCACCTCCACTGTCGGAATCCCCAACTCACCCTGCTACAACCCTTTTTTGGCACACCTTCCCCTCAGCCCTCACCTCTGGACTTCTTCCCTTTAACCCTGTAAGCAACACCGTCTATCCCCTCTTGCAGTCCTCTTAAACCTCCTGAAATAACCTTGGCTCTATTCTTGGTCCCCAGCCTGGGTCTCCCCATCTGTTAGATCTTTACCCCTCTAGTTGCTTCTTGGGTTCTGTTGTTCCTCAGCCCCAGGGTTCCTTTCTTCAGTCCCAGCCTCACTCTTTCACAAACCCCCTCTTCCCATTCCCCATGTAACTACCCCAGACCTACTGGCCTGGCCCAAATTTTCCTTCCTTGGCTGGAGCTACCATCTGTCTTTCCGGAGGCATTCTCAGAAACTATCTCCTGGCTGCTGTTCTCCAACACTTTGGTCCAAGCCCCAGACCTGCCCTATTTGACATTCAGTCTTCATGCTCTAACTCTGGGTACAGCTTCTTGTCTCTGGGGCCATGACCCATCCTAATTTGGATACCTATTAGGACAATTTGTTGTTATCCTTTAGTTTCCCTTTAAGTTTTAAAAGGTGAGTTGATTTAAAGAAATATTAAAAATGGTTCTTGAATGTGGCAAAAGTATTATAGTATGAAGGTAGGATGTGGGTGGTAAGTTTGGGAAACAGCACTTAAACTCTTCTAGCAGCATCTTTTTTTATCCCTAAGACATCTTGTTACAGCATCAAGCAACATCTTTATATCTTCCCCTCTTCCTTCTCACACAGCCCATCAACTGAGGCTGAGAGGCATGATGAATGCGAGTGTGTCTTCTGAGCCAGGTTGCCTGGATTTGATTCCTTTTGAGCTGTGACTTTGAGCTGGGTTACTGAGCCTGTGTGTGTTTTCTCATATCTTGGAGAGGGGTAATTATAGAGCCTTTATCATAGAATACAAGAATTAAATGAGCTTGCATGATAAATACAGGCTGCTGCTACTTTTTTTTTTGCTATTTATTTTTTATTTCAGTAGGATTTTGGGAACAGGTGATGTTTGGTTACATGAATAAGTTCTTCATTGGTGACTTCTGAGATTTTGGTGCACCCAGCACCTAAGCAGTGTACATTGTACCCAATGTGTAGTCTTTTATCCCTCACTCCCCGCCTACCCTTTCCCCTCAGCCCCCAAAGTCCATTGTATTATTCTTATGCCTTTGCATCCTCATAGCTTAGCTCCCACTTATGAGTGAGAACATACAATGTTTGGTTTTCCATTCCTGAGTTACTTCACTTAGAATAATGGTCTCCAATTCCATCTAGGTTGCTGCAAATGCCATTATTTCATTCCTTTTTATGGCTGAGTAGTATTCAATTGTGTGTGTGTGTGTGTATATATATACACACATCACATTTTCATTATCCACTTGTTGATCGATGGGCATATGGGCTGGTTCCATATTTTTGCAATTGTGAATTGTACTCCTATAAACATGCGTGTGCAAGTTATCTTTTTTGTATAATGACTTCTTTTCCTCTGGGTAGATACCCAGGAGTGGGATTGCTGGATCAAATGGTAGATCTACCTTTAGTTCTTTAAGGAATCTCCACACTGTTTTCCATAGTGGTTGCACTAGTATACATTCCCACTAACAGTGTAAAAGTGTTCCCTGTTCACCACATCCACACCAATATCTACTATTTTTTTATTTTTTGATTATGGCCATTCTTGGAACAGTAAGGTGGTATCGCGTTGTGGTTTTGATTTGCAGTTCCTTGATAATTAGTGATGTTGAACATTTTTTCATATGTTTATTGGCTATTTGTATATCTTCTTTTGAGAATTGTCTATTCATGTCCTTAGCCCATTGTTGATGGGATTGTTTTTGTTTCTTGCTGATTTGTTTGAGTTACTTGTAGATTCTGGATATTAGTCCTTTGTCAGATGTATAGATTGCAAAGATTTTCTTCACTCTGTGGGTTGTCTGTTTACTGATTATTTCTTTTGCTATGCAGAATCATTTTAGTTTACCTAAGTATCATCTGTTTATCTCTGTTTTTGATGCATTTGCGTTTGGGTTCTTGGTCATGAACACTTTGCCTAAGCCAGTGTCTAGAAAGGCTTTTCTGATGTTATATTCTAGAATTTTTATAGTTTCAGGTCTTAGATTTAAGTCTTTGATCCATCTTGAGTTGATTTTTCCATAAGGTGAGAGATGAGGATCGAGTTTCATTCTTCTACACGTGGCTTACCAATTGTCCCAGCACCATTTGTTGAATAGCTTTGTTGACAGTCAGCTGACTGCAAATATGTGGCTACATTTCTGGGTTGTTTATTCCATTCCTTTGGTCTATATGCCTGTTTGTTTGTTTGTTTGTTTGTTTGTTTGTTTTTGAGGCAGAGTCTCACTCTGTCACCCAGGCTGGAGTGCAGTGGTGTGATCTGGGCTCACTGCAACTTCTGCCTCCTGGGTTCAAGCGATTCTCCGACCTCAGCCTCCCAAGTAGCTGAGATTACAGGCACCTGCCACCATGCCCAGCTAATTTTTGTAGTTTTAGTTTGTAGTTTGTAATTTTAGTAGAGACGGGGTTTCACCATGTGGGCCATGTTGGCCAGGCTGTCTCAAACTCCAGCATAGAAGGTATGTTCCTTCTATGCTGATTTTGCTGAGGGTTTTAATCATAAAGGGATGCTGGATTTTGTCAAATGCTTTATCTGGTCTATTCAGATGATCATGTGATTTTTGTTTTTAATTCTGTTTATGTGGTATATCACATTTATTGATTTTCAGATGTTAAACCATCCCTGCAGCCCTGGTATGAAACCCACTTGATCGTGATGGATTATCTTTTTGATATGCTGTTGGATTCGGTTAGCTAGGATTTCGTTGAGGATTTTTGCATCTGTGTTCATCAGGGATGTTGGTCCATAGTTTTGTTTTTTTGATATGTCCTTTCCTGGTTTTGGTATTAGGGTGATCATGGCTTCATAGAATGATTTAGGGAGGATTCCCTCTTTATCTTTTGGAATAGTGTCCATAGGATTGGTACCAATTCTTCTTTGAATGTCTGATAGAATTCAGCTGTGAATTCATCTGGTCCTGGAATTTTTGGTTTTTTGTTAGTAATTTTTTTTTTTTTTTTTTTGAGATAGAGTCTCGCTCTGTCACCTAGGCTGGAGTGCAGTGGTGCGATCTCAGCTCACTGCTGCAACCTCTGCCTCTTGGTTTCAAGCAACTCTCCTGCCTCAGCCTCCCAAGTAGCTGGAATTACAGGTGCCTGCCACTGCGCCCAGCTAATTTTTGTATTTTTAGTAGAGACATGGTTTCACCATGTTGGCCAGACTGGTCTTGAACTCCTGACCTCGTGGTCCACCCGCCTTGGCCTCCCAAAGTGTTGGGATTACAGGCGTGAGCCACTGTGCCCAGCCTATTTTTGTTGGTAATTTTTAAATTACCATTTCAATCTCACTGCTCGTTATTGGTCTGTTTAGAGTTTTCTGTTTCTTCCTGTTTAATCTAGGAGGGTTGTATATTTCCAGGAATGTATCCATCTCCTCTAGGTTTTCTAGTTTATGCATGTAAAGCTGTTCATAGTAGCCTTGAATCATCTTTTTTGTTTCTGTGGTATCGGTTGTAATATGTCCTGCTTATTTCTTGTATTTATTTATTTATTTATTATTATTATACTTTAAGTTTTAGGGTACATGTGCACAATGTGCAGGTTAGTTACATATGTATACATGTGCCATGCTGGTGCGCTGCACCCACTAACTGGTCATCTAGCATTAGGTATATCTCCCAATGCCATCCCTCCCCCGACCCCACGACCCCACAACAGTTCCCAGAGTGTGATGTTCCCTTTCCTGTGTCCATGTGTTCTCATTGTTCAATTCCCACCTATGAGTGAGAACATGTGGTGTTTGGTTTTCTGTCCTTGAGATAGTTTGCTCAGAATGATGGTTTCCAGCTTCATCCATGTTCCCACAAAGGACATAAACTCATCCTTTTTTATGGCTGCATAGTATTGCATGGTGTGTATGTGCCACATTTTCTTAATCCAGTCTATCATTGATGGACATTTGGGTTGGTTCCAAGTCTTTGCTATTGTGAATAATGCCGCAATAAACATACGTGTGCATGTGTCTTTATAGCAGCATGATTTATAGTCCTTTGGGTATATACCCAGTAATGGGATGGCTGGGTCAAATGGTATTTCTAGTTCTAGATCCCTGAGGAATCGCCACACTGACTTTCACAATGGTTGAACTAGTTTACAGTCCCACCAACAGTGTAAAAGTGTTCCTATTTCTCCACATCCTCTCCAGCACCTGTTGTTTCCTGACTTTTTAATGATCGCCATTCTAACTGGTGTGAGATGGTATCTCATTGTGGTTTTGATTTGCATATCTCTGATGGCCAGTGATGGTGAGCAGTTTTTCATGTGTTTTTTGGCTGCATAAATGTCTTCTTTTGAGAAGTGTCTGTTCATGTCCTTTGCCCACTTTTTAATGGGGTTGTTTGTTTTTTTCTTGTAAATTTGTTTGAGTTCGTTGTAGATTCTGGATATTAGCCCTTTGTCAGATGAGTAGGTTGTGAAAATTTTCTCCCATTTTTTAGGTTGCCTGTTCACTCTGATGGTAGTTTCTTTTGCTGTGCAGAAGCTCTTTAGTTTAATTAGATCCCATTTGTCAATTTTGGCTTTTGTTGCCATTGCTTTTGGTGTTTTAGACATGAAGTCCTTGCCCATGCCTATGTCCTGAATGGTAATGCCTAGGTTTTCTTCTAGGGTTTTTATGGTTTTAGGTCTAACGTTTAAGTCTTTAATCCATCCTGAACTGATTTTCGTATAAGGTGTAAGGAAGGGATCCAGTTTCAGCTTTCTACATATGGCTAGCCAGTTTTCCCAGCACCATTTATTAAATAGGGAATCCTTTCCCCATTGCTTGTTTTCCTCAGGTTTGTCAAAGATCAGATAGTTGTAGATATGCGGCGTTATTTCTGAGGCCTCTGTTCTGTTCCATTGATCTATATCTCTGTTTTGGTACCAGTACCATGCTGTTTTTGTTACTGTAGCCTTGTAGTATAGTATGAAGTCAGGTAGTGTGATGCCTCCAGCTTTGTTCTTTTGGCTTAGGATTGACTTGGCGATGCAGGCTCTTTTTTGGTTCCATATGAACTTTAAAGTAGTTTTTTCCAGTTCTGTGAAGAAAGTCATTGGTAGCTTGATGGGGATGGCATTGAATCTGTAAATTACCTTGGGCAGTATGGCCATTTTCACAATATTGATTCTTCCTACCCATGAGCATGGAATGTTCTTCCACTTGTTTGTATCCTCTTTTATTTCCTTGAGCAGTGGTTTGTAGTTCTCCTTGAAGAGGTCCTTCACATCCCTTGTAAGTTGGATTCCTAGGTATTTTATTCTCTTTGAAGCAATTGTGAATGGGAGTTCACTCATGATTTGGCTCTCTGTTTGTCTGTTGTTGGTGTATAAGAATGCTTGTGATTTTTGTACATTGATTTTGTATCCAGAGACTTTGCTGAAGTTGCTTATCAGCTTAAGGAGATTTTGGGCTGAGACAATGGGGTTTTCTAGATATACAATCATGTCATCTGCAAACAGGGACAGTTTGACTTCCTCTTTTCCTAACTGAATACCCTTTATTTCCTTCTCCTGCCCAATTGCCCTGGCCAGAACTTCCAACACTGTGTTGAATAGGAGTGGTGAGAGAGGGCATCCCTGTCTTGTGCCAGTTTTCAAAGGGAATGCTTCCAGTTTTTGCCCATTCAGTATGATATTGGCTGTGGGTTTGTCATAGATAGCTCTTATTATTTTGAAATACGTCCCATCAATACCTAATTTATTGAGAGTTTTTAGTATGAAAGGTTGTTGAATTTTGTCAAAGGCCTTTTCTGCATCTATTGAGATAATCATGTGTTTTTTGTCTTTGGTTCTGTTTATATGCTGGATTACCTTTATTGATTTGCGTATATTGAACCAGCCTTGCATCCCAGGGATGAAGCCCACTTGATCATGGTGGATAAGCTTTTTGATGTGCTGCTGGATTCGGTTTGCCAGTATTTTATTGAGGATTTTTGTATCAATGTTCATCAAGGATATTGGTCTAAAATTCTCTTTTTTGGTTGTATCTCTGTCCGGCTTTGGTATCAGGATGATGCTGGCCTCATAAAATGAGTTAGGGAGGATTCCCTCTTTTTCTATGGATTGGAATAGTTTCAGAAGGAATGGTACCAGTTCCTCCTTGTACCTCTGGTAGAATTCGGCTGTGAATCCATCTGGTCCTGGACTCTTTGGTTGGTAAGCTATTGATTATTGCCACAATTTCAGATCCTGTTATTGGTCTATTCAGAGATTCAACTTTTCCTGGTTTAGTCTTGGGAGGGTGTATGTGTCCAGGAATTTATCCATTTCTTCTAGATTTTCTAGTTTATTTGCATAGAGGTGTTTGTAGTATTCTCTGATGGTAGTTTGTATTTCTGTGGGATCGGTGGTGATATCCCCTTTATCATTTTTTATTGCATCTATTTGATTCTTCTCTCTTTTTTTGTTTATTAGTCTTGCTAGCAGTCTATCAATTTTGTTGATCCTTTCAAAAAACCAGCTCCTGGATTAATTAATTTTTTGAAGGGTTTTTTGTGTCTCTATTTCCTTCAGTTCTGCTCTGATTTTAGTTATTTCTTGCCTTCTGCTAGCTTTTGAATGTGTTTGCTCTTGCTTTTCTAGTTCTTTTAATTGTGATGTTAGGGTGTCAGTTTTGGATCTTTCCTGCTTTCTCTTGTGGGCATTTAGTGCTATAAATTTCCCTCTACACACTGCTTTGGATGCGTCCCAGAGATTCTGGTATGTGGTGTCTTTGTTCTCGTTGGTTTCAAAGAACATCTTTATTTCTGCCTTCGTTTTGTTATGTACCCAGTAGTCATTCAGGAGCAGGTTGTTCAGTTTCCATGTAGTTGAGCGGTTTTGAGTGAGATTCTTAATCCTGAGTTCTAGTTTGATTGCACTGTGGTCTGAGAGATAGTTTGTTATAATTTCTGTTCTTTTACATTTGTTGAGGAGAGCTTTACTTCCAAGTATGTGGTCAATTTTGGAATAGGTGTGGTGTGGTGCTGAAAAAAATGTACATTCTGTTGATTTGGGGTGAAGAGTTCTGTAGATGTCTATTATGTCTGCTTGGTGCAGAGCTGAGTTCAATTCCTGGGTATCCTTGTTGACTTTCTGTCTCGTTGATGTGTCTAATGTTGACAGTGGGGTGTTAAAGTCTCCCATTATTAATGTGTGGGAGTCTAAGTCTCTTTGTAGGTCACTCAGGACTTGCTTTATGAATCTGGGTGCTCCTGTATTGGGTGCATATATATTTAGGATAGTTAGCTCTTCTTGTTGAATTGATCCCTTTACCATTATGTAATGGCCTTCTTTGTCTCTTTTGATGTTTGTTGGTTTAAAGTCTGTTTTATCAGAGACTAGGATTGCAACCCCTGCCTTTTTTTGTTTTCCATTTGCTTGGTAGATCTTCCTCCATCCTTTTATTTTGAGCCTATGTGTGTCTCTGCACGTGAGATGGGTTTCCTGAATACAGCACACTGATGGGTCTTGACTCTTTATCCAATTTGCCAGTCTGTATATTTTAATTGGAGCATTTAGTCCATTTACATTTAAAGTTAATATTGTAATGTGTGAATTTGATCCTGTCATTATGATGTTAGCTGGTTATTTTGCTCATTAGTTGATGTAGTTTCTTCGTAGTCTCGATGGTCTTTACATTTTGGCATGATTTTGCAGCGGCTGGTACCGGTTGTTCCTTTCCATGTTTAGCGCTTCCTTCAGGAGCTCTTTTAGGGCAGGCCTGGTGGTGACAAAATCTCTCAGCATTTGCTTGTCTGTAAAGGATTTTATTTCTCCTTCACTTCTGAAGCTTAGTTTGGCTGGATATGAAATTCTGGGTTGAAAATTCTTTTCTTTAAGAATGTCGAATATTGGCCCCCACTCTCTTCTGGCTTGTAGAGTTTCTGCCGAGAGATCCGCTGTTAGTCTGATGGGTTTCCCTTTGAGGGTAACCCGACCTTTCTCTCTGGCTGCCCTTAACATTTTTTCCTTCATTTCAACTTTGGTGAATCTGACAATTATGTGTCTTGGAGTTGCTCTTCTCGAGGAGTATCTTTGTGGCGTTCTCTGTATTTCCTGAATCTGAACGTTGGCCTGCTTTGCTAGATTGGGGAAGTTCTCCTGGATAATATCTTGCAGAGTGTTTTCCAACTTGGTTCCATTCTCCCCGTCACTTTCAGGTACACCAATCAGACGTAGATTTGGTCTTTTCACATAGTCCCATATTTCTTGGAGGCTTTGCTCGTTTCTTTTTATTCTTTTTTCTCTAAACTTCCCTTCCCGCTTCATTTCATTCATTTCATCTTCCATCGCTGATACCCTTTCTTCCAGTTGATCGCATTGGCTCCTGAGGCTTCTGCATTCTTCACATAGTTCTCGAGCCTTGGTTTTCAGCTCCATCAGCTCCTTTAAGTACTTCTCTGTATTGGTTATTCTAGTTATACATTCTTCTAAACTTTTTTCAAAGTTTTCAACTTCTTTGCCTTTGGTTTGAATGTCCTCCCGTAGCTCGGAGTAATTTGATCGTCTGAAGCCTTCTTCTCTCAGCTCGTCAAAGTCATTCTCCGTCCAGCTTTGTTCCGTTGCTGGTGAGGAACTGCGTTCCTTTGGAGGAGGAGAGGCGCTCTGCTTTTTAGAGTTTCCAGTTTTTCTGCTCTGTTTTTTCCCCATCTTTGTGGTTTTATCTACTTTTGGTCTTTGATGATGGTGATGTACAGATGTGTTTTTGGTGTGGATGTCTTTTCTGTTTGTTAGTTTTCCTTCTAACAGTCAGGACCCTCAGCTGCAGGTCTGTTGGAGTACCCAGCCGTGTGAGGTGTCAGTCTGCCCCTGCTTGGGGGTGCCTCCCAGTTAGGCTGCTCGGGGGTCAGGGGTCAGGGACCTACTTGAGGAGGCAGTCTGCCCGTTCTCAGATCTCCAGCTGCGTGCTGGGAGAACCACTGCTCTCTTCAAAGCTGTCAGACTGGGACATTTTTTTGTCCTGCTTATTTCTAATTGAGTTTCTTTGGATCTTCTCTCCTTTTCTTCGTTAATCTCACTAATGGTCTATCAATTTCATTTCTCTTTTCAAAGAACCAGCTCTTTGTTTATCTTTTATATTGTGTTTTTTTTGTTTGTTTCAATTTCATTTAATTCTGCCCTGATCTTAGTTATTTCTTTACTTCTGCTGGGTTTGGGTTTGGTTGATTCTTGTTTCTCTAACTCCTTGAGGTGTGACCTTAGATTGTCTATTTGTACTCTTTCAGACTTCATGATGTAGGCATTTAATACTATGAACTTTCCTCTTAGCTCTGTCTTTGCTGTATTCCAGAGGTTCAGATATTTTGATAGTTTGTGTCACTACTATCATTCAGTTCAAAGAATTTTTTAATTTCCATCTTGATTTCATTGTTGACCCAGTGATCATTCAGGAGCAGGTTATTGTACTTCCATTTATTTGGCATGGTTTTGAGGGTTCCTTTTGCAGTTGGTTTCTAATTTTATTCTACTGTGGTCTGTGAGAGTACTTGATAAGATTTTTATTTTTTAAAATGTGTTGAGACTTGTTTTGTGGCCTATCATATATGGTCTATCTTGGAGAATGTTTCATGTGCTGATTAATGAATATATACTCTGCAGTTTTTGGCTAGAATGTTCTGTGAATATCTGTTTAGTTTATTTGTTCTAGGGTACAGTTTAAGTCCATAGTTTCTTTGTTGACTTTCTGTCTTGATGACCTGTCTACTGCTGTCAGTGGAGTATTGAAGTCCCCCACTATTACTGTATTAACATCTATCTCATTTTTTTGGTCTAGTAGTAATTGTTTTGTAAATTTGGGAGCTCCAGTGTTAGGTGCATAGATACATTTAGGATTGTGATATTTTCCTGCTGGACTAGTCCTTTTATCATCATATAATACCCCTCTTTGTCATTTTTAACTGCTGTTGCTTTGAAGTTTGTGTGATACAAGAATAGCTACTCCTGCTTGCTTTTGTTGTCCATTTGCATGGAAAGATATTCCATTGGTAACAAATATCCCACTGGTATTTTGTTGGTAACTTTTTAATTACCATTTCAATCTTGCTGCTTGTTATTGGCCTGTTCAGAGTTTCTGTTTCTTCCTGGGTTAATGTAGGAGGGTTGTATATTTCCAGGAATTTATCCATCTCCTCTAGGTTTTCTAGTTATTCCATTCAAGATATTCCATCCAAATGGACATCAAAAGCAAGCAGGAGTAGCTATTCCACCCCTTTACCTAAGTTTATGTGAGTCTTTATGTGTCAGGTGGGTCTCTTGAAGATAGAATATACTTGGTTGATGAATTCTTATCCATTCTGCCATTTCATATCTTTTAGGTGGAGCATTTAGGCCATTTACATTAAACATTAGTATTGAGATGTGAGGTACTATTCTATTCATCGTACTATTTGTTGCCTGAATACCTTAGGTTTTTTTTTCATTGTGTTAAAATGAAAAATTATAGGTCCTGTGAGATTTATGCTTTAAGGATATTCTATTTTGATGATTTTGAGGATTTAAGATTTAGAGCTCCTTTTAGCAGTTCTTTTAGTGCTGGCTTGGTAGTGGCAAATTCAGCATTTGTTTGTCTGAAGAAGACTGTATCTTTCCTTCATTTATGAAGCTTAATTTTGTTGGATACAAAATTCTTGGCTGATAATTGCTTTGTTTAAGGAAGCTAAAGATAGGACCCCAATCCCTTTTAGCTTGTAGGGTTTCGGCTGAGAAATCTGCTATTAATCTGATAGGTTATCTTTTATAGGTTACCTGATGCTTTTGCCGCATAGCTCTTAAGAGTCTTTCCTTTTTCTTGACTTTAGATAACCTGATGACTATGTGCCTAGGCAATGATCTTTTTGTGATGAATTTCCCAGGTGTTCTTTGAACTTCTTGTATGTGGATGTCTAGATCTCTAGCAGAGCTGAGGAAGTTTTCTTCAATTATTCCCTCAAATATGTTTTCCAAACTTTTAGATTTATCTTCTTCCTCAGGAACACCAATTATTCTTAGGTTTGGTCATTTAACATAATCCCAAACTTCTTGGAGGCTTTGATCATTTTAAAAAATTCTTTCTTCTTTGTCTTTGTCAGATTGGGCTAATTTGAAAGCCTTGTCTTTGAGCTGGGAAGTTTCTTTCTTCCATTTGTTCAATTCTATTGCTGAGACCTTCCAATGCATTTTGCATTTTGCATTTCTCTAAGTGTGTTCTTCATTTCTAGAAGTTGTGCTTTTTGTTTTGTTTTTGTTTCGTTTTGAGATGGAGATTCACTCTTGTCGCCCAGGCTGGACTGGAATGGCGCAATCTTGGCTACCTGCAACCTCTGCCTCCTGGGTTCAAGCGAATCTCCTATCTCAGCCTCCCGAGTAGCTGGGATTACAGGCGTCTGCCACCACAGCTGGTTAATTTTTCTATTTTTAGTAGAGACAGGGTTCACCACGTTGGGCAGGCTGGTTTTGAACTCCTGACCTCAGGTGATCCACCTGCCTGAGCCTCCCAAACTGCTGGGATTGCAGGCGTGAGCCACTGCTCCCGGCCGTGATTGTTTTTTACTTATGCTATTTCACTGGAGATTTTTCCATTCATATCCTATATCTTTTTTTTTTTTTTCTTTGAAAAGGAGTCTTGCTCTGTCACCCAGGCTGGAGTGCAGTGCCACAATCTCGGCTCACTGCAACCTCTGCCTCCCTAGGTTCAAGCAATTCTGCTTCAGCCTCCCCAGTAGCTGGGATTATAGGCGCCCACCACCATGCCTAGCTAATTTTTGTATTTTTAGTAGAGACAGGGTTTTGCCACGTTGGCCAGGCTGGTCTCGAACTCCTGACCTCAAGTGATCCACCTGCTTCGGCCTCCCAAAGTGTTGGGGTTATAGGTGTGAGCCGCTACACCTGGCCCTATATCATTTTTTTTATTTCTTTAAGTTAGACTTTACCTTTCTCTGGTGCCTCCTTGATTGACTTAATAGTTGACCTTCTGAATTCTTTTTTCCTGCAGTTTAGAGATTTTGTCTTGGTTTGGATCCACTGTTGGTGAGCTAGTGTGATCTTTTGGGGTGTTAAAGAACCTTGTTTTGTCATATTACCAGAATTGCTTTTCTGGTTCCTTCTCATTTGGGTAGAGAATGTGAGGGAAGATCTGGGACTCAAGGGCTGCTGTTCAGATTCTTTTGTCCCACAGGATGCTCCTTTGATGTGGTGCTCTCCCCTTTTCCCTAGGGATGGCATGTCTTGAGAGCCAAACTGCAGTGATTGTTATTTCTCTTCTGGATCTAGTCACCCAGCAGGGCTACCAAGCTCTGGGCTGGTACTGGGGAGTGTCTGCAAAGAGTCCTGAGATGTGATTCATCTTCAGGTCTTTCAGCCATGGATACCAGCACCTGCTCAAGTGGAGGTAGCAGGAGAGTGAAGTGGACCCTGTGAGGGTCCTTGGTTGTATTTTTGTTAAGTGTACTACTGGTTTTGTGTTCGTTGGCCTCCAGCCAGGAGGTGGCGCTTTCAAGAGTGCATCAGCTGTGGTATTATAGGGAAAATCACACTGTGGGCGGGGCCATAGAGCTCCCAAGAGATTATGTCCTTTTTTTTGGAGTTCTTCTGCTGTCCCGCAGAGCCTACAGCAGCAATCCATCTCCTTCTGTCTGCTCAATTCTCTTGGCTTTCCTGGTATATTCCTGCAGTAGTTCTTGGAGCAAAAGTTCACAATGTGGGTTTCCACACGCTGCTCTGTCCATCTGAGTGGGAACTGCAAATTAGTCCTGCCTCCTATCTACCATCTTCCCTCCAGTATACCCCCTGCTGCTAGTATTTTTAAACAAACCATGCCACTCTCTTCTTTAAAACACCTGTGAGAGTTTGCACTTGCTAACACAATAAAGTCCAGGACCTTTGGCATTTTCTATGTTATATTTTCCTTCCCAGTTCATGTCCTGCCATCCTCTCCGAAGCACCCTGTGTCAATCACACCTACTCGCTTGTTCTTCACACATAGAGGTCCTCTCTCTCTCCATGTATCTGCTCAGGGTATCATTTCCTCTCTTTGGCACCCTGGAGTCTTCATTTAAATCCCAGACTGAATATAACACCTCCTGTGAAACCTTGAGGGATTGCCCTAACATTTGTCCCTCCTACCCCAACTCTGTGATCTGAAATCTGTCTTACTACATGAGTTTTATAATACTGTTTACCCAATTTGTCTCTAGACTGTAAGATTCTCAAGAGGAAGGACCTGTTTCTCTTTGGATACCCAGCTTGACAATGAATGCATTTGTTCACGGAGGAAGATAGTTTGAGCTTAATGGGAGGTTTAGCTTCAGATAAGGTTATAGGGAAAACAGGATATTTCCTCTTCTCTTTATACTCAGAAAGTTCAGGTTCCCCGTGTAGAAAGAAGAATGTAGCAGATTGCTAAGCTACATGAAAATGTGTTTGCTCACATTTTAAATGGTGTAAAATATAAATTAACATCATCATTAGAAGGCTGGCCTTAAAAAGTCACATGGTCTCTAGGAAGTCAATAAGTAAAGAACAGAGCAGCTTTTGTGGGCAAGACTATACTTTGCCAAGTGAACTAATTAGCTGTATGGTCACCAGTGAATTACTTTATCCCAGACCTTGTGTGTTTTTGATTTCTCAGACCTCACGGGGATGAAGGGCCTTGGTTTTAAAGAGCTCGGACTAAATGATCCAAAGATTTCTTTTTGTTACTAAAATTAGTTCTACTTTAATTCTTAAGGTCTGTAGAAATTAAAATGGAAATAATTTATATTTGAAGTAGAAATACCTATTCACTCTTCATGTGCTGGTGTAGTATTGGAAATCAGTCTGCTAAACCGATTCATACTTCAGTGATAGAAGATGCCACCCTGAGTTACTTTCCCCAGTAGCCAGATGGAACCAGTAAGGAATATCATATCCTAAAAGAACAAATCCATGTTTAAAGACTGGGAGGAAGATCTTTTTGGGTTGGAGTAAGGAAAGTTTTGCACCAAGGCTAAGCTTGTTGCCTTGTGCATTCTGCTTTGTGCTCATATTCGAGTTTTGAGGCAAAAACACACACCTAGCAGTTTGGGACATGAGGCCTCCATATCACCTAGTTTTTCCAACCCAACAAACCCTCAAGTTTCTCCCGAGAGAAAGAATATACCATTGTATAAGTTTCCTATTGCTGCTGTAACAAGTTACCACAAACATTAAAAAACATATCTTACAGTTCTGGAACTCAAGTCCTAAAATCAAGCTATTGCTGGAGCCACATTCCTCTTGGAGGCTGTAGGGGAGAATCTGTTTCCTTGCATTTACCAGCTTGCAGAGGCTGCCTGCGTTCCGTCACTTGTGGCATCTTCCTCCATTTTCTAGCCAATTGTGGAGGATCTTTAAATCTCTTTACTAAAGACCCTGGTGATTACTTTGTGTCCACCTGGATAATCCAGGATAATCCCCCAACTCAAAAATGCTTCATTTAGTCACATCTGCACAGTCCCTTTTGCCATGTAAAATTTATAACTTCAGGGGATTAGGATATGGACATATCTGGGGAGCTGCTATTCAGCCTACCATGACTATAAATATCATTAACCTAATTAAAATGGCCTAAATTAGCTGGCTGTGGTGGCTCACCTATAATCCCAGGACTTTGGGAGGCCAAGATGGGAGGATCGCTTGAGCTCAAGAGTTCAAGACCGACCAGCCTGGTCAACAGAGTGAGACCCCATCTACACACACACACACAAAAATTAGCTGGGTGTGGTGGCCCACAGCTGTAGTCCTAGCTAATTGGGAGGCTAAGGCAAGAGAATCACCTGAGTTCAGGAGATGGAAGCTGCAGTGAGTTGTGATCAGGCCACTTCACTCCACCCTGGGTGACAGAGCAAGACCCTATCTCAAAAAGAAAAAAAAAGAAAGCCTAGATAGACTTTAGTTTGTATTAATTATAGCTTGGCTATACAATGAGTCCCAAATTAGGACATATATTAAACGTCCATTGATTTTTAATTACTAAAGCAGTGGTTCTCAAACTTTAATGTGTATCAAAATCACCTGGAAAACTAAAGTGATTTCTGGGCCCCATCCCCATAGCTTCTGACTCAAAATATTTAGATCTGGGTCAAGGCTCAAGAATTTGCATTTCTAACAGATTCCAGATGCTGCTACTACTGGTCCGAAAACAACCCCACTGGAAGATGAATAAAGTGGACACAACAAATAGCATATGTTCTACTATAGAGGTGGCCACATGAAGAGCTCTGCAAGCCCACTGTGAAATTGATAGCAAATCTTTATTCAAGTGTATTAATTGACCCACAAATATCCTGATTAATGAAGCTGGCTAGTTTGGCAAGATGCATTCTAACTCTTAAAGTGATTGATTACTGTGGAGATGTGTGATGACAGATTGGCACCTACTAAGGAAACCTCTCTTGCCTGGTACATTATTAAAAATAATCCAGTGGGGAAATAGGACTAATTTAATTACATGCCTTTATGCAGTAAGATCCACAGTTGAAAAATAGAGGCAGTAGCTTTAATTGCACTGTAATGTTCACACACAAATCATATCTTGCTTGAAACAGTTTTATGGCAAAAATAGACCATATATTGATTTCACATATATAACATTTAACCCTTCAAGCCTTTTTGCCCATTAAATATACACACCTTTACAAACCAATAACAGTTTAGAAGAATTAAGCTCTTCTGATTATAAACTTTTACATTATTGATCAGACAGTAGCACATAAAATTGCTTTTTTTTTTAGTATTTTACATGAATAATTTTATTTGTGCTTCATGAAAACTCCATTTATCCCATTTTTTATTATACTTTAAGTTTTAGGGTACATGTGCACAATGTGCAGGTTTGTTACATATGTATACACGTGCCGTGTTGGTGTGCTGCACCCATTAACTCATCATTTACATTAGGTATATCTCCTAATGCTATCCCTCCCCCTCCCCCCACCCCACAACAGGCCCTGGTGTGTGATGTTCCCCTTCCTGTGTCCATGTGTTCTCATTGTTCAGTTCCCACCTATGAGTGAGAACATGCAGTGTTTGGTTTTTTGTCCTTGCGATAGTTTGCTGAGAATGATGGTTTCCAGCTTCATCCATGTCCCTACAAAGGACATGAACTCATCATTTTTTATGGCTGCATAGTATTCCATGGTGTATATGTGCCACATTTCCTTAATCTAGTCTATCATTGATGGACATTTGGGTTGGTTCCAAGTCTTTGCTATTATGAATAGTGCTGCAATAAACATGTGTGCATGTGTCTTTATAGCAGCATGTTTTATAATCCTTTGGGTATATACCCAGTAATGGGGTGGCTGGGTCAAATGATATTTCTAGTTCTAGATCCCTGAGGAATCGCCACACTGACTTCCACAATGGTTGAACTAGTTTACAGTCCCACCAACAGTGTAAAAGTGTTCCTATTTCTCCACATCCTCTCCAGCACCTGTTGTTTCCTGACTTTTTAATGACTGCCATTCTAACTGGTGTGAGATGGTATCTCATTGTGGTTTTGATTTGCATTTCTCTGATGGCCAGTGATGATGAGCATTTTTTCATGTGTCTTTTGGCTGCATAAATGTCTTCTTTTGAGAAGTGTCTGTTCATATCCTTCGCCCACTTGTTGATGGGGTTGTTTGTTTTTTTCTTGTAAATTTGTTAGAGTTCTTTGTAGATTCTGGATATTAGCCCTTTGTCAGATGAGTAGATTGCAAAAATTTTCTCCCATTCTGTAGGTTGTCTGTTCACTCTGATGGTAGTTTCTTTTGCTGTGCAGAAGCTCTTTAGTTTAATTAGATCCCATTTGTCAATTTTGGCTTTTGTTGCCATTGCTTTTGGTGTTTTAGACATGAAGTCCTTGCCCATACCTATGTCCTGAAAGGTATTGCCTAGGTTTTCTTCTAGGGTTTTTACGGTTTTAGGTCTAACATTTAAGTCTTTAGTCCATCTTGAATTAATTTTTATATAAGGTGTAAGGAAGGGATCCAGTTTCAGCTTTCTACATATGGCTAGCAAGGTTTCCCAGCACCATTTATTAAATAGGGAATGCTTTCCCCATTTGTTGTTTTTGTCAGGTTTGTCAAAGATCAGATGGTTGTAGATGTGTGGTATTATTTCTGAGGGCTCTGTTCTGTTCCATTGGTCTATATCTCTGTTTTGGTACCAGTACCATGCTGTTTTGGTTACTATAGCCTTGTAGTATAATTTGAAGTCAGGTAACATGATGCCTCCAGCTTTGTTCTTTTGGCTTAGGATTGTCTTGGCAATGCGGGCCCTTTTTTGGTTCCATATGAACTTTAAAGTAGTTTTTTCCAGTTCTGTGAAGAAAGTCATTGGTAGCTTGATGAGGGTGGCATTGAATCTATAAATTACCTTGGGCACTATGGCCATTTTCATGATATTGATTCTTCCTATCCATGGGCATGGAATGTTCTTGCATTTGTTTGTGTCTTCTTTTATTTCATTGAGCAGTGGTTTGTAGTTCTCCTTGAAGAGGTTCTTCACATCCCTTGTAAGTTGGATTCCTAGGTATTTTATTCTCTTTGAAGCAACTGTGAATGGGAGTTCACTCATGATGTGGCTCTCTGTTCGTCTGTGATTTGTGTATAAGAATGCTTGTGATTTTTTGCACATTGATTTTGTATCCAGAGACTTTGCTGAAGTTGCTTATCAGCTTAAGGAGATTTTGGGCTGAGACGATGGGGTTTTTTAAATATACAATCATGTCATCTGCACACAGGGACAATTTGACTTCCTCTTTTCCTAATTGAATACCCTTTATTTCTTTCTCCTGCCTAATTGCCCTGGCCAGAACTTCCAACACTGTGTTGAATAGGAGTGGTGAGAGAGGGCATCTTTGTCTTGTGCCAGTTTTCAAAGGGAATGCTTCCAGGTTTTGCCCATTCAGTATGATATTGGCTGTGGGTTTGTCATAAATAGCTCTTATTATTTTGAGATACATCCCATCAATACCTAATTTATTGAGAGTTTTTAGCATGAAGGGCTGTTGAATTTTCTCAAAGGCCTTTTCTGCATCTATTGAGATAATCATGTGGTTTTTGTCTTTGGTTCTCTTTATATGCTGGATTACATTTATTGATTTGCATATGTTGAACCAGCCTTGCATCCCAGGGATGAAGCCCACTTGATCATGGTGGATAAGCTTTTTGATGTGCTGCTGGATTCGGTTTGCCAGTATTTTATTGAGGATTTTTGCATCAATGTTCATCAGGGATATTGGTCTAAAATTCTCTTTTTTTGTTGTGTCTTTGTCAGGCTTTGGTATCAGGATGATGCTGGCCTCATAAAATGAGTTAGGGAGGATTCCCTCTTTTTCTATGGATTGGAATAGTTTCAGAAGGAATGGTACCAGCTTCTTGTACCTCTAGTAGAATTCGGCTGTGAATCCATCTGGTCCTGGACTTTTTTTGGTTGGTAGGCTATTAATTATTGCCTCAATTTCAGATCCTGTTATTGGTCTATTCAGAGATTCAACTTCTTCCTGGTTTAGTCTTGGGAGAGTGTATGTGTCGAGGAATTTATCCATTTCTTCTAGATTTTCTAGTTTATTTGCTTAGAGATGTTTATAGTATTCTCTGATGGTAGCTTGTATTTCTGTGAGATCAGTGGTGATATCCCCTTCATCATTTTTTTATTGCCTCTATTTGATTCTCCCCTCTTTTCTTCTTTATTAGTCTTGCTAGCAGTCTATCAATTTTGTTGATCTTTTCAAAAAACGAGCCCCTGGATTCATTGATTTTTTGAAGGGTTTTTTGTGTATCTCCTTCAGTTGTGCTCTGATCTTAGTTATTTCTTGCCTTCTGCTAGCTTTTGAATGTGTTTGCTCTTGCTTCTCTAGTTCTTTTAATTGTGATGTTAGGGTGTCAATTTTACATCTTTCCTGCTTTCTCTTATGGGCATTTAGTGCTATAAATTTCCCTCTACACACTGCTTTAAATGTGTCCCAGAGATTCTGGTATGTTGTGTCTTTGTTCTCACTGGTTTCAAAGAACATCTTTATTTCTGCCTTAATTTTGTTATATACCCATTAGTCATTCAGGAGAAGGTTGTTCAGTTTCCATGTAGTTGAGCGGTTTTGAGTGAGTTTCTTAATCCTGAGTTCTACTTTGATTGCACTGTGGTCTGAGAGACAGTTTGTTATAATTTCTGTTCTTTTACATTTGCTGAGGAGTGCTTTACTTCCAGCTATGTGGTCAATTTTGGAATAAGGGCAATGTGGTGCTGAGAAGAATGTATATTCTGTTGATTTGTGGTGGAGAGTTCTGTAGATGTCTATTAGGTCTGCTTGGTGCAGAGCTGAGTTCAATTCCTGGATATCCTTGTTAACTTTCTGTCTCGTTTATCTGTCTAAGGTTGACAGTGGGGTGTTAAAGTCTCCCATTATTATTGTGTGGGAGTCTAAGTCTCTTTGTAAGTCTCTAAGGACTTGCTTTATGAATCTAGGTGCTCCTGTATTGGGTGCATATATGTTTAGGATAATTAGCTCTTCTTGTTGAATTGATCCCTTTACCATTATGTAATGGCCTTGTCTCTTTTGATCTTTGTTGGTTTAAAGTCTGTTTTATCAGAGACTAGGATTGCAACCCCTGCCTTTTTTTTCCATTTGCTTGGTAGATCTTCCTCCATCCCTTTGTTTTGAGCCTATGTGAGTCTCTGCATGTGAGATGGGTCTCCTGAATACAGCACACTGATGGGTCTTGACTCTTTATCCGTTTTGCCAGTCTGTGTATTTTAATTGAAGCATTTAGCCCATTTACATTTAAGGTTAATATTGTTATGTGTGAACTTGATCCTGTCATTATGATGTTAGCTGGTTATTTTGCTCATTAGTTGATGCAGTTTCTTCCTAGCATTGATGGTCTTTACATTTTGGCATGTTTTTGCAGTGGCTGGTACCAGTCGTTCCTTTCCATGTTTACTGCTTCTTTCAGGAGCTCTTGTAGAGCAGGCCTGGTGGTGACAAAATCTCTCAGCATTTGCTTGTCTGTAAAGGATTTTATTTCTCCTTCACTTATGAAGCTTAATTTGGCTGGATATGAAATTCTGGGTTGAAAATTCGTTTAAGAATGTTGAATATTGGCCCCCACTCTCTTCTGGCTTGTAGAGTTTCTGCTGAGATTCGCCGTTAGTCTGATGGTCTTCCCTTTGTGGGTAACCCGACCTTTCTCTCTGGCTGCCCTTAACATTTTTTCCTTCATTTCAACTTTGGTGAATCTGACAATTATGTGTCTTGGAGTTGCTCTTCTCGAGGATTATCTTTATGGCATTCTCTGTATTTCCTGAATCTGAATGTTGGCCTGCCTTGCTAGGTTGGGGAAGTTCTCCTGGATAATATCCTGCAGAGTGTTTTCCAACTTGGTTCCATTCTCCCCATCACTTTCAGGTACACCAATCAGACATAAATTTGGTCTTTTCACATAGTCCCATATTTCTTGGAGGCTTTGTTCATTTCCTTTTACTCTTTTTTCTCTAAACTTCTCTTCTTGCTTCATTTCATTCATTTGATCTTCAATCACTGATACCCTTTCTTCCAGTTGATCGAATCGGCTACTGAAGCTTGTGCATTCATCACGTAGTTCTCTTGCCATGTTTTTCAGCTCCATCAGGTCATTTAAGGACTTCTCTACACTGTTTATTCTAGTTCGCCATTCATCTAATCTTTTTTCAAGGTTTTTAGCTTCTTTGCAGTGGGTTCAAACTTCCTCCTTTAGCTCAGAGAAGTTTGATCGTCTGAAGCCTTCTTCTCTCAACTTGTCAAAGTCATTCTCCATCCAGCTTTGTTCCGTTGCTGGTAAGGAGCTGCGTTCCTTTGGAGGGGGAGAGGCGCTCTGATTTTTAGAATTTTCAGCTTTTCTGCTCTCTTTTTTCCCCATCTTTGTGGTTTTATCTATCTCTGCTCTTTGATGATGGTGACGTACAGATGGGGTTTTGATGTGGATGTCCTTTCTGTTTGTTAGTTTTCCTTCTAACAGTCAGGACCCTCAGCTGCAGGTCTGTTGGAGCTTGCTGGAGGTCCACTCCAGACCCTGTTTGCCTGGGTATCAGCAGCAGAGGCTGCAGAACAGCACATATTGCTGAACAGCAAATGTTGCTGCCTGATCGTTCCTCTGGAAGCTTCATCTCAGAGGGGCACCTGGCCATGTGAGGTGTCAGTCTGCCCCTACTGGGAGGTGCCTCCCAGTTAGGCTACTCGGGGGTCAGGGACCCACTTGAGGGGGCAGTCTGTCCGTTCTCAGATCTCAAACTCCTTTCTGGGAGAACCACTATTCACTTCAAAGCTGTCAGACAGGGACATTTAAGTCTGCAGAGGTTTCTGCTGCCTTTTGTTCGGCTATGACCTGCCCCCAGAGGTGGAGTCTACAGAGGCAGGCAGGCCTCCTTGAGCTGTGGTGGGCTCCACCCAGTTCGAGCTTCCTGGCTGCTTTGTTTACCTACTCAAGCCTCAGCAATGGTGGATGCCCCTCCCCCAGCCTCGCTGCCATCTTGCAGATAGATCTCAGACCGCTGTGCTAGCAGTGAGTGAGTATCTGTGGGCGTGGGACCCTCCGAGCCAGGTGTGGGATATAATCTCCTGGTGTGCCGTTTGCTAAGACCATTGGAAAAGCTCAGTATTTGGGTGGGAATTACCTGATTTTCCAGGTGCCATCTGTTACCACTTCCCTTGGCTAGGAAAGGGAATTCCCTGACCCCTTGCACTTCCCGGCTGAGGCGATGCCTCACCCTGCTTTGGCTTACGCTCGGTGGGCTGCACCCACTGTCCTGCCCCCACTGTCCGACAAGCCCCGTGAGATGAACCCGGTACCTCAGTTGGAAATGCAGAAATCACCTGTCTTCTGCGTCACTCGCGCTGGGAGCTGTAGACTGGAGCTGTTCCTATTTGGCTATCTTGGAACCGCAAACAGTATGTTTTTCTTACATTTTTTCCTTTACCTTTTTGTTTGACTTACAGGGGTTTAAGTATTCTGTATTATCTTGTTTTTATTAAACCTGTTCTAGAAATAAACTTGTTGTCTCTGGAGAATATTCAGTTTTTTCAACCTGTTTGTTGGTCTGAACCAGTGTTGCACTGGTATTATTTCAGTAAAACTACAAAACCTTACCAAAATCCTTTCAGGACACTTAACTCTAAGATTAAATTACATTTCAATAAATATTAATCACTGTAAGTAACAAAATATTTGTCTCATTCAATGGTCCATTAATTTCAAGTGATTTCTAATAAACTTCCAGGATAAAAAAATTTGGACCGTCTCAGCATATGGTCACAGTCTGACCTGTAATATCTGTATCTTATGAAAAATGAATACGTTTATATTCCCTGTTCATTTGTTCAGTTTTTCTCAGCTGATGAGCAGACAGAAATGAAAACTAGTTATTGAATCTGTACTAGTCTCATCAACCTACTAAAAAAATTGAGGCCTGACAGACTCATATCCTGTCTAACCCAGGTAATCATCCAACCTTCTGAATTTCTTTGGCAATGGACATCTGTTTTTAAGAGTGAATACTGAAGATGTTTGTTTTACCAAGTTTTTAGAGTGTGAATTTAAGTTACACACGCACACTTAAATGTCAGTGGTTTCACATTTGACAACTGAAATTAAGTAGTAGTCTTTGTACACACTTTAAAAACCACCTACCAGTTCAGTTAAAATTGTAGGTCTATTAACACTGAAATTATGTCGCTTGTGTACTGCTATATCCAGTGCAGCTACACCACATTGTCGATTCAGAGCCAAGGGATTTTACAGATTTTAAAGTGCGTTTATTTGACACACCACAAAGTCATTTAATGAAAGTTAAGGAATAATGATCAAAACATTTATCTAGTTAATAAGTAATTTTCAGAAATTTGGAACAGTACGCAAGCCATACTATTTCTGAAGTTCTACAGAAGTTCAAACACAATGATTCCTTTCTTGTCATCCGTTTGTCCCTATTTATAATATTAAAGCATAACTCAAAAGTATATGGTTACTATCCCTTTAGTAACCCATAAAATGTTGGAAGGTGTTTAGATGTTCTTTAGATTTTTGAAAATTAAGTATTTTTTAGAATACACATGGGTAATGTCAACATTTTTGGAAATATGATGTGCAGACAGACCTTAATTTTACTTGTATGTGACCTAGGGATACCCTCTATATAATAGCATTTGCCTTGGAACTGCTGCTCCTTCAGCTGGGTGCTGAAGACCTTCACCTTCCTTCTTGGGCCATCCCTTACTTCCCATTTCAAGCCAGTAATATTAAGGAGGACATATAAGTGGCAACAGGAAAGGTAGGGGACAGTTTTGCCAATTTGCCCTCCTTCACCCCCTGCCCCACTTCAGACAGTTTCATTAGCAAGATCCCTGCTCACATTATAAGGCCCATTCTGTTCCTTACCCATGCACAGCTCAAGTTTCTGCAACAAACGCTGGCATACGTTCTGAAAAGTTTCCCATAAAACAGACACTTAACTTCAGTTGCTTTCTGAGTCTTGGTTGCCACTGCCCGACAGGAGTATTTATTCTCTGATCTCACCAGCAGGGTGCAGTAGGGAGAAAAGTTGCCCTATAATTTCTTGGAGTACAGAACACATACAGATACGGTTTGGTTCTGTACCACTGCTTACCTTTCAGGGCCCCTATGGTTTCAGTAAGCTTTGAGGGCACAAACTAAGAAGGCTAACACCAAGAGTATTGTTTGCATGGGTAAATATTACTAAAAGTCAACATACAAGTGAACTTTTAGAGCATATTTTTTATTTGGGAACTACCTGAAATACCCAGAAAACTATGCCACCACTTTAACAATCCAAGGACTTCAAATGTTTTCTAAAACTCTCTCTACCCAAGTAGACATGCAAACTTTGATCTGAATTTCCTGACATTTCCTTATTTTTCTGTTTTTGTTTTGTTTTTTTTTGAGACAGAGTCTTGCTCTGTCACCCAAGCTGGAGTGCAGAGGCGAGATCTCGGCTCACTGCAACCTCTGCCTCCTGGGTTCAAGCAATTCTCCTGCCTCAGCCTCCCTGAGTAGCTGGACACGTGCCACCATGCCCAGCTAAGTTTTGTATTTTTAGTAGAGACGGGGTTTCACCATGTTGGCCAGGCTGGTCTCATACTCCTGACATCGTGATCCACCCGCCTCGGCCTCCCAAAGTGCTGGGATTTACAGGGGTGAGCCACCACGACCGGCCTTCCTCATTTTTCTATAAATAATTTTAGATAGTAGGGTAAATGGAGTTCTTATTTCCAGGAATTTGAAAAGCTCATATTCTTTTGAGAAATGTTTTCCCAGGCAAATTTCTAATGCAGCTATTCCTCTACTTTTGAAATGTCCATCCCTCAGCTCAAAAGAAAGCACCCTGCAATTTAGATTCTTTTTTTAAAAAATTAAGTTTAAACTGGAAAGGGATAGTTTTAGCTTGTTCCACATGAAATCTTGCTGATAAGCAAATTCAACTACATTTCTATCCAAAAGAGTTCCTTTAAAAAGTCTGACTTACAGTCAGGCATGGTAGCTCATGCCTGTAATCCCAGCACTTTGGGAGGCCGATGCTGGCAGATCCCCTGAGGTCAGGAGTTCGAGACCAGCCTGGCCAACATGGTGAAACCCCATCTCTACTAAAAATTAAAAATTAGCCGGGCGTAATGGCGCACATCTGTAATCCCAGCTACTTGGGAGGCCAAGGCAGGAGAATTGCTTGAACCCAGAAGGTGGAGGTTTCAGTAAGCCGAGATCGTGCCACTGCACTCCAGCCTGGGTGACAGAACGAAACTCCGTCTCAAAAAAGAAAAAAAAAGTCTTATTTACAATAATTTCCTGTTTCCATTTCTTTATGCAAATCTCAAATAATAAACCTGCTCTTGGCAAGCTGCAGCTAATCTCCAGTTTATATTACTGTACATAGTTGTATATTTAAATTTTCTTAATATTGTGAACATTTAACATCTCAACCCTTCTGAAATGACTGATGGTGAAAGCTTCACAGAAAAGCTGGCCACGTCATGCTGTCGCCACTCAGTCCCACAACACCACACTCTCCTCCCTCCTCCTCCTGTTTCTGGCTAGACATTGCTTTCTGGACGTTTCTAAGGAAGCACAGGCCCAGCTTCTAATTCGACCAAAGGGTTTTAAAGTCTAAGTTCTAGCATTTTCTGAATGCTTCACAGTAGATGTTCCAGAAGAAATTAATGACTACAATAAGCATTCCAAATGATATTCTAAAATGAGGACTTTCTGGCTGGACACAGTGGCTCACGCCTGTAATCCCAGCACTTTGGGAGGCCGAGGCAGACAGATCACTTGAGGTCAGGAGTTGGAGACCAGCCTGGCCAACATGGTGAAACCCCGTCTCCACTAAAAATACAAAAATTAGCCGGGCATAGTGGTGCATGCCTGTAATCCCAGCTACTCAGGAGGCTGAGGCAGGAGAATCACTCGAACCCAGGAGGCAGAGGTTGCAGTGAGCCGAGATCATGCCACTGCACTGTAGCCTGGGCAATAGAGCAAGACTCCGTCTCAAAAATAAAAAATAAAATGAGTACTTTCTGTGCTCAAAACTACCAACTAAGCTAAACTATTTCATCAAAAGACCCCACTAATCAGGAAAACTGATACCAGAGATACCAAAATTGATCAGTGGAAAACAGTGGTTTATAACTCTACGTTTTGTGGAAGTGCACATTTTGATAATTCTTATTAAAAGACACTAAGATACATGAAGCATTGTGTAAGTTTGGCAGACATTAATATACTCATTTCAGAGGCAGTAAACCTATGAACCCTTAATGTTCTAGTTTGCTCTTGAAAATGATACTATTTCAAAGCTCAGTAATGTGGATAGATTTTTATTCAGAAATCCTTTCATATTCACTAACTGCAATTAAAAGTTTAAAATTACATGGCTCTTAGGAATGACGCCAAACATGCAACATTTTAAGAGTAATATTAAACAGTAATTTTGCCCTCAGAAGTTTACTTATCAAATTATTACAACAGGAACACAAATAGACCACATATTACTCTTTAATTAGATTTGTTTTACAATATGTTCTTGTCAACGAGCTATGTCAAACTGTTTGTTTAAACCTGACAGAAAAGCATTTTCACAAAAACGTACCATGGAGAGGGAGGGGGAGGGGAAGAAGCACTTTTTCTAGAGATGGAAAATAGTTCCAGTAAAAAGTTCTTATTCCTTTCTTCTAAGGAGCTCGTTCTGAATATTTTCACTTAGTTCTACTGTTCTTTAAACAGGACTTTAAAAAGAATTTTGTATTTACAAAATTTACATTTTGTTCCTACAAAATGTAATTTTTTAATTTTGTAAAATAAAAATGTAAAATTTTAATTTTGTTCCTACATGAGAAGTGTGCGTACTTTCAATTAGTTTTCATTAATATCTTCTGAGTTTTCCTCTTAGGTGGTTGGTTTCTGGGTAAGGCAGAGTTAGGCTGGTGCACACACTATTTAGGAAGTCCTGTCTCGTGGCTGACAACATACATGTAGTGCTCAAGGAAGTGAGTTAAGGAGTGACATGGGAATCAAAATGATGCCTAGAATAGTGTAATTTGGGAAACAGCCCTAGATTTGACATTTTGGAAGTTCACTGTAAGAAGAGACCCCAAAAAGAAGGAAAAGGGAAAGGGTTCCTCAGCTAAATATCCCACTCATCCATGCCTACTCAGCGGTCACTGTGACAAGGCCATCTTAATCGGGGCCAGAGATGACACTCTCCCCCTGTAACTCAGCCTGGCTCTGTCTATTGGGATGTGCCTAAATGGGATGGGTGAGGGGGCACTAAACAGCTAACACTGGCCAGGGAATTATTAAGGAGCTAAAATGCAAGTACCTCTTGAATACCACAGCAATCTCTGTGCACAAATTTGGACTGTACTTTTTGGGAGAAGAGGTGAAAACTATTATTAACTATTCCCTTCCTTCAACCAAAAGGAAAAATACGCCTCTTTAAGGCTTCTTTTAATGATACTATAATGCTGAATTTATTTATGAAAAAGAAACAATACAGGTTGAGGTGGGAAAAGCCCCAAGGAAACGGAGTAAGTCACTGGCGGTCACAGGACTTGAATTCCCTGGGGACAGTGCTGTGGGGTCCCCTGCTCGCCATCCCAGCACCTCAGTCTGAGTATAGATAATACTGCATTTTTGTAAAGACGAAGGCATCCTGCATTTACCATCACACTCCACCTACTCTTGTCCTAGTCATCTTACATACTCTTAGTCCTTAATCTCTCCCAAAACGCTTCTCAGCGCCCATTGTTATTGTGTCATCTACAAAGCAACACATATATTAAAACTCAGATTTGTTTTTAACAAAAAAGTGCTTAAAACCACCCTAGGCAATTGTTTTTCACTTCATTTTCAACCAATAAAATCAAATTCATTTAGATCTATGAATAATACTGAAAAAATAATGCTTATTCTCTTACATTTTAAATAATGTGCCTTCATCCTCAACTTTACATTAACTGACTCATTTCAGTATCTAAATGAATTGAGCTCTCATTTGAAAAACAGAAGGTACAACTATATAGAATTTTTAGGATAAAAAATGTTCTGGATAGAA
Source organism: Homo sapiens (assembly GCF_000001405.40). Lineage (NCBI taxonomy): Eukaryota > Metazoa > Chordata > Mammalia > Primates > Hominidae > Homo > Homo sapiens. The sequence continues at coordinate 88,467,530 of NC_000014.9, forward strand.
AAATCCTTTTGATGTTTCAAAATAACACAGATTCTCAGTATAGTTTTCAGTTTGGCAACTAAACCATTATTAAGTACCCAAGGTTTTTAAAAAATAACAAAAGATAATAACATGATTTTTAAATACAAAGTTATATAGGAGCAACTCATATCTGTGGATCATCCTTACACAAAGTTGTTTCTCACTAGAAAAATCCCTAAATATTTGTCATAAAATAAAAACTCCATTATCAAAAATTAGTTTAAGATAGAAATCTATGCACTTTAATGATTGCCAGAATTGCCCAGCATAGCTTCAGTAAAATAGAGAATTGTCTAGAAAATACAATCTCCAAAATGTGTGCAAGTACTGCAAACCGGACAGACCGGGGCAGGGCAAGGCCCTTGAAACCAAGTCCTCCTTGAGCACCTTTCCCAGGTTAGAAACCCCTCTTCAGCCTGTGCTTCGCACGTTTCCTTCAGCGTGCCGCCATTCAGACTGCGCCACTTACGTCCCAGTGCCACGCTGCGTGGATCAAGTGTCAACGGGAAAGTATGAGTTAGGCAAGCGCTTTTTTTTTAAGCTGTAAACGCTTCACATGACTGGCCCCGTAAGAAATTGTGGGAGCTTAGATGAGCCTGGAGCTTTTCAGGAACTGGATGAGGACTCTGTACACAAATGTGTACTGGCAGAGAGTCTGCACCAGCATCATTCTCTGTTGCCTCAGCATGTCCAGCACTCTCGGGATGTCCAGCACCTAGGTTGAGAGAAACGGTAATGAAGATAATGTGTTCCCCTGGGGAGACAGAAAGGATGGGAGGACACGAGTGTCCTGGCAGAAACCTGGTTGGGAGATGGACAGTCTCTTTTCCACCTTAGCGTCTTCTAGAAATAAGCCATGATTGCCTACTTCTGATTTTCTGATTAGTTTTAGCTATAAATAGAATGTCCATGCAGACTATTTCTTCAACATTCCCCAGGTGTAGCTCACTGACTTTGTATGGTTGGACATAATTACCATGTCTCACTAAATACCAAAATTATACAAAAACATAGTGTGCTAAGTGCTATCAGTATCTAGCTATTTCCCTCAAGGGCTCTGGGCAGCATGAATCATCCTTGAAATGTAAACAGAAAAAGAATTCTGAGCTCAAATTTGAAAAACCCTGGGCAAGTAAAACAAAATTAAACAGCTTTATTTATCGTATGACTTCTTAGTCTTTAATATGCTAATTGGTACTGAGACTCTCCAAGAAGACACAGCCTTTTGCAGGGAACATTAGTAACATCTTGAGGCCACCACAGTCCAAGGAAATGTGCGCAAAAAGAGCTATTAAGTCACTATGTCCCTCTCTTCCCCAGCCTCATTTCCACCCAAAAAGGCCAGGTGATCATAAGCGCCATCACCTCATTGTGTTCCAGGCAGGCGATCATGATCTCCGACAAAATCACCACGCCAGTCCTTCCTACCCCAGCACTGCAGTGGACCAACAACGGAGGGTTGGGGCTTTGGGGATCACTTGTGCTATTTGTATGGCGTCGAACAGACTGGATCTCTTCAAGATATGCTGTGGAAAATCAATGAAATAGAAAAGTACTCAAGGATCAAGGCGTATCACATTGTTGACTCAATCTTCATATTCTCTCCACTGATTAAGAGGACTGCAGATAAAGAGCACTGGGTGCCAGTGAACCAAACCCAACCACAAAGGGACAGTGTGACCCTGAGCAAGTCACTACCTCTGTCCACTTTCTGATCTACAAAATGAAATGACGGAGATACTGAGTCAGCTGTGGCATTCTACTCACTACCAAATCATAATTTATAAACCTCGTTAACCCTCCCCAAAACACTTGTATTCTTTATGTTAAAACAAGTCCGAAGCTTATATGAGATAACATAAAGGAAATATTTCGGAAACATAAATGTTCCTCTCTGTTTAACACCTCCAGAGGCAGCTGTCCTCGGAACAAAGTTAAAGTCACTCACATAAAAATCCCTTGAGGTCTTCTGGACAGCCATGTTCAGGCCAGTCTGTGTATTGGAGGTGCCAGACGGTCCTCTCTTGCCCAGTAAGGAGGTGCTTCATCTTCAGGCCTGTGGTGGCATAGCAGCCAGAGTCTGTGCGGAACCGGGTCGTGATCTTAAACCTTCCATAGGTGACAGTGTTGTGCCTGGAACCAAGTCGTGGCCAGTACCTAAAGCTCTTCTCCCTTCCACCCTCCTGTTAAAGATGAGCATGGTTAAATGACTCGAGATCCGGCAATGGATGCCTTTCTCACATAGACGGCACATCTGAAACAGAACCACAACCCTACCCTGCCTTTTTCTCCACAGGTCAGGATTCCAGATGATTAACATTAACTGTTCTTCAGAGGCTGAGAAAATCACTTAAGAGAAATAAGTACCTACCTCTTCTGCTGTCACCATTGCTATAATTGCAATTCCCTGTTCCCATACCATCTGCCAAAAATCTTGACAGGTATTCTGTAATGGTCCCTGTGTGGCAATATAATCCCATTCGATTCCACTGACAGAGACCTGGGATTAGAAAAGGTTAAAAAAATTGATGTGTGGGTATAATATACATAGGTATGTATGCATGCATTCATGGTAGTACTAAAAAAGTTTTTTTAAAAAAGTAAAAAGTAAAAAAGTAGTAAACTGGATTATTCAGCAGAATAAGGAAAGACTTTTCATCTTTTCCCTTGTGAATACAATTTGCATTACTGACATTTTTATAAACTTAGGTACTGTGAATATACATAATATCTATGCAACCTGTTTAACCTTGCTGAATGTCAGTTCTCATTTATACAATAAAGATACTGCCTACCGTCATAGGGTCATTGTGAGGACTGAGTCAGTATCTATGGTACCTGGCACATAACTCAATAAGTAGCTGTTATTGCAGACATGGTGCCTCTTCTTTAAAAAAAACCTTCCTACTTAAGATAGTCTCACCTCTGAACTTCTGAGTCAAGGTCACTCTCCACAATAATATTAAGTTTCCACTTCAGATTTAACTTCCTTGAGAGCAGTCTAATACAACAGTAATTACTAGATTTGTGGTTAAGAGACCTGGGTTAAATCTTGGCTTCACCAATATTGAGTGACGACAATAACTGTCTCCAAACACTCACTAAACGTAAAACCCAGTGCCAAGCCTTGTGCCACACGCACTCTCACTCAGGGCTGCCAGCCCCCTAGTCACCGCTCCACATCGTCTCACTGAGCACCCAGTGGCTGCCACTGTGGATGAGTACCAGGTTATAACAGTGAATAAACACTAGGGAGGAGGAGGGGACTAGTGAGAAGCTGGCAGGGTAGGTGTCATCATTTATTTATTTCCATGTAAGTGAGATGAGGTCCCACAACACAGCTTATAAAGTGAGGTCCCACCTCATTTTAGATCTAGGCGTCAGACCCAGGTCTATCAAATTCTTTCCTCTATTCTGCAAGTGGCTGCTGAAGATTTTGAAATATCACTACAGAACTACAGTATCATTCATTCTTATCCATCTAGTCATGAGAGACTGGATGAGTTATTTCAAGGAAATGCTCGGTTTTTAAGTAAATTATGCTGATATTATATTTAAAAACAAAATAGTATGTGCATAGATTCCCAAAAGCCATCAAGGGGTACTGGCATTCACAGGCAGACTGCCAGTCTCCAGAAAGCCTTGGTGTCAGCTTGTTCCCTTCTCAAATAATACTTGCAAACTAAAGAAAAAAACCACCACCTGTCCACAGTTACTCATTCACTCACCATGAGATTTCTCCTTCCCAAAATAAAGAATTGAATGTGGCCAGCATGAACAAAGGGTACAATGAGGAAGAGGGAACATCTGGCTTTATTCCATCATGTGTTGTGAATCATCATTTTGTCCATTTTCATAGGAGTGATATTACCCCAGATAAGGTGCCAAGAACATACACTAGGGAAGGACAGCCTCTTAAATACATGGGACTGGGAAGACTGGATATCCATAAGCAGAAAAGTAAAACTGGACCCCCTATCTCTCACCATAAACATTACCCCAGTTTAATGGCATTATACTGGTTCCAGGAAAAAAGCACTTCTTCAAAGAAAAAAAATGATACTTAAAAATTATTATAAAGAGTATGTAAAGAGAACAGATGGCACCTTGGTAAGTTGAAAGCTTTTGTGAACACCATCAAAAAGCCCAGACACTTTTGTTACATAAAAATGCATGTCAGTATGTGATGAGGAAAAACTAGCAATTCAGTGGCTCCCAGAATTTATGAGCTAAAAAGAGGTCTTCAGATTTAGAAGGACAAAGTTCTAAAGCCAGGCAACACAAGGTCAAGGCTGTAGGGAGCCATGATCATACCACTGCACTCCACCTGTCTGGGCGACAGAGCAAGACTCTATCTCAAAAAAGGCAAAAGAAAAAAAAAAAAGCCGGGCAAATAAGTGCGCCCTGAGTCCTGGTAACAGTGTTGGGGGCAGAGTGGTTTCGCACATGGAGAGTAGACATGACTTTGGCTCTGTCTGATAGACGCTTTTTATCTAGCACTGGTATGTGGATTTCCCAGCTTGCAGTACAGTTTGTCACAAATGTTTAAAACTAGGGTGTTTATCTAAAACAATACAATAAAAATAAATTTTAAAATATCTGAATTCTAAACAGACATGAATACAATTCTTACCATTCTTGTAACTTAACTGAAACTGCATGTGCTGTTGATTACTTGAGGCGTTCCTCTCACCTTAATATGTGATGCGTTGATGTAACCAGTGTTGTTTTCTTTAGTTGGGACCAACTCCACTCTCACATCATCATAAGGAAGAACATCTTGGAATCGATTTCTTTCTGCATTTTCAGGGAGTCGTGCTGTTGAGCACTCCCCATCAACTAGCCGTTTCTTAAGAATTCTTTCATATTCTGTGAATACCATTCCTTGTTCTAATCGTTGTTCCAGAATTTTACACTATAAAACAGAATATGTGTAATAACATGAATACAGCCACACGTCGTGGCTACCTTTTGACTGTATATTTGAAATCTTGTTTTCTGCTTCAAATCTAGCACTGTATAATATTGAAAATTCTAGGTTGGGCACGGTGTCTCATGCCTGTAATCCCTGCACTTTGGGAGGCCAAGGAGGGAGGATCACTTGAGCCTAGGAGTTCAGGACCAGCCTGAGAAACACAGTGAGACCCCGTCTCTGCAAAAAATTAAAAAACGAGCCAGGTGTGGTGGTGCATGCCTGTGGTCCCATCTACTTGGGAGGATGAGGCAGGAGGATTGCTTGAGCCCAGGAGGTTGAGGCTGCAGTGAACCATGAGAACCTATCTCAAAAAAACCAAACCAAAACCAAAACAGAAACAAAATTCTAGGTGAAAATGAAGTTAAAATTTTAAAAAGCCACAACAACAAGAGTTAAAAGAACAAAAGACAATCATTTTGGTGAGAAATATAATGCAAACTTTTGTTTAAAGTTGAAAATTGGCCTAAAGAAATTTGTTGAATTCATTTTCTCTAGATCTGTGGTCAATTTTGTGACCCCTAATAGATGGAATTCTCCTGGGGAACAGTAAGTAAATCTAGGGGACGGATAATGAGTTCCAACAGCTATGAACAAATGTTTCCATTTTATGTCATACGATATATAAAAGACTAAAGCAGTAGGAAATATTCGAAACTACCTCCAGGATCCCGTTGTAAAGCAAATGTATGCCTATCTGATTTTGATGTAATAAAACCTCATAGAAAATACACCTCAGGCACAAAGGAAGTTTTGAAAAATTGAGAAACTACTCTCGAGATAAACTTTCAGTATAATAAAAGTCAATGTCTGCTGCTTTTCCCCTGTATGCTCCTGTATTTTTGTAGATTTCTTCTCACTTTAAGGCCATCAAAATCAAGACTGCTCCAAAAGGCCAGGAGAAGGTAAAAAAGAACACTGAGAAACAAACAAACAAAAAATCAGCATTCGAACCTGAAATTATCTATTAAGACATTAGCTATACATTTGCCCCAATTTTGAGGCCCATATTACAAAATTCCTTAACACTCATTTATTATTAAATTGTGTTAGAAAATTCACCAAAATCTCATGAAGGCATTTGCGTAGTATTTACCGGTTGTTCCAGAGAAGGCACAAAGCCCTGTGTGTCCCATACATACCCTTTCATCATTCGTTGCTCTGGTAGCCACTTCCTTTCCTTCATCAGGCAGAGGCACTCGAGATAGGGAGAGTCCATTTAGGGCAGCCAGTTTAAGAGGACCAATTTTTTTTGCATCTACTCGAGTCTTTTTCATTCCCTGTAAAAGGATTTATATGTATATATGAAATATACACAAATACAACCCCTGTGAAAAGAAGTTTCAATGCACTGAAGACCAGGAACACACAGAGGGAGTGTTCTCCTTTGCCAATAAACCCAGAAAGATTACACTCCTTCACACACCACTTGTTTAACAAACATTAGTAGGAAGACATTCCTTTCAAGGCCAAAGCCCTGATAAAGTCTTCCAGATAGAAGGTTTTGAAACACTATTGGTTACAAAGTTCTGTTGTAATGAAAGGTGAGGCTCCAGGCAGACTGCATTCCTTTTAAAACAAGACAGACGTAACAAATCAGCTGAAGTCCAAAAAAAAAAAAAAAAAAAAAAAACAAAAGCTTTAAATGCAATCAATTGACTATAGTAAGCTTTTATAAATTTTTTTTTTGAGGGTCTCACTCTGTCACCCAGGCTGGATGGAATGCAGGGGCACCATCATAGCTCACTGCAGCCTCAACCTCCAGTCTCAAGCAATCCCACCTGAACCTCCCGAGTACCTGGGACTACCAGCACATGCCACCATGCCCAACTAATCTTTGTGTGTTTTGTAGAGATGGGGTCTCACTATGTTGCCCAGGCTGGTCTCAAACAACTGAACTTAAGCAGTGTTGGCCTCCCAAAGTGCTTGAGATTACAGGCGTGTGCCACCATGCCCGGACAGCTTTTTATAATTTTTAAAATATATAAATTCTTTAAGTCATTCTGAAAAATTAAATGGTTTCTGCAGCAGCCCCCTTTGTGTGTTAAGCCCCCTCCTCATATGCTACTCTGCATTCTAGTGCAGACTTAGATGACCCGGGTTAGATCACGCTACCTCTCAGAACGGCTACGTTTTTAAACAAGGAAAATAAAACAGGGCTAAAATCTCCATCATGACACCAGGAGGATAGGACAGAAGAGAAAGCATCAACAAAATCTTGTCTCCTGAAATCAAGTGTTTCCTAAAATTATTATTAGAGCATGATTTTCCTCTCTGAGAATAGTAAGCATAAGAACACTAAGTTGACCAGGTGCGGGGGATCACGCCTGTAATCCTAGCACTTTGGGAGGCCGAGGTCAGGAGATTGAGACCATCCTGGCCAATATGGTGAAACCCCGTCTCTACTAAAAATACAAAAATTAGCTGGGCGTGGTGGCACATGCCTGTAATCCCAGCTACTCGGGAGGCTGAGGCAGGAGAAAGGCTTGAACCTGGGAGGTGGAGATTACAGTGAGCTGAGATCGTGCCACTGCACTCCAGCCTGGAGGCAGAGTGAGACTCCGTCTCCAAAAAAAAAAAGAACACTAAGTTTCGTTGGATATACTACACTTCCTTGGATGATATCAATATAATGAGTAGCCCCAACTGGAAAATAATGGTTCTGCCCTGTAAACAAAATCCGTGTTATTCCAGCTCTCTCAGCCTGTAACAGGCCATGAAGCCCCATGATAATGGTGCAAGAACAGAGGGAAAAGGCAACTTGGTGAGAGAGGAAAAAAATCCTAAAAGATTGCTGCTGTAATTGGAGACTGTGATTGGTACCTAACTCAATAAGCTAAGTGGATTAATTTTTAATTTTATAATTAATATTTGATCATGAGCTCCCCACATAATGCAGTCTAGACTATAAACAGCAGAGGCCTGGGTTCACATCTGGCCTCTAACTGACCAACTTCTTTCAGGCAAGTCACCTTTCCTCTGTAAGCCTCACCTAGACAGAAAGAGACAGATATATCCAGACACAGGCATACAGACTAAACACTTCCTGCTTAGGCTGAAATTTAATGATTCTAACGTGCAGAAAACAGTGATGTGCTGGTAATATTTAACAACAGGCTCTTGGAAGGAAGTTTTGATCGGTGTTTGCCCATATCCATGGTGTAAATACTCCCATCACAGCCAATTTCAAACTGTTAATGTCACATCAATTGGCTCACAAGGTTCCTGAACATTTAAGTCGGCTCTTGCTAGTCAATATGAACTAGCTCTGGCACTTCTCTGCCTGAAAATGACTCAAAATATCCCACACTGGGACACGCTGGATAAAGCTGATTGGCTGTGAGGTCAGTTCAAAAGCCAGTATTGGAAGAATGTTGTATGTAGTCAAAACTAGCCTTGAATATGCCTTAATTAGCCCTTAGAATATAAGCACAGGATTTTAATGCATACCCTGCACAGTGATTTCTTATGTGAGAACCACTGCACTAAAGGGTACAACAAAAAGAAAATCTTTATGTAGATATATGAGCACCCAAACCAGTCTGCCTTTAAGATAACAATCAGGTTGCTGGAGGTGGAGATGGGTGGAGAATTCTAAAATCATTCCTACTTGTCTACAGTTTATTTCACTGTTTTTAATACTAAACCTCCATAACCTTAATTCACATTAGGAAATTTGTTGTAACGATTAAGATAATGGCAACCCCATGTTACTATGAAAGGTCAGAGGGTACAATAGGGAATTGGCCTCTTCCACTCTTGAAAGCCATTAAGTTAAATATATGATGCCACCTCACAGTAATGTTAATATTGACTAATCTCTTTCAATGTGCCAGAACCTCATTTTTATCCCCCCAACAACTCTCTGGGGTCCTCTCATTTACAAATGTAAAAACTGAGTCACAGATTAAATAGCTTGTCTGAGGTCACATGGCTGCCTCTTTTACAAGGTAATCAGTGTCAAAACAAATAAAAGCAAATCTTTGGTTAAAATCAGTTACACTGAATCATGTAATTCAGGAGGCATTTTTTCATGCCTAACTGCATGTGGGACATAATGCCACGAAGCAGGCAGCGAAGGGATGACCGTCCTCATGATCTGAGGTTATCTGATGTGGAAGCTGAGGTTCTGACGCATGAAGGGTCCTGACCGTGGTCACAGAGAACTAACAAATGGCAGGCTCTAGACTCAGCCCCAACGTTCTTAACTTGTAGGACCTTTGCTCTTTCCTCGTGACCACAGCTGCCATACCCATTCCTTAAGTAGAATCCTTTAAGCAAAAAGGACCAAAAACATAATCCAATCACATAATTTTACTAGTATTGTGGTCTTAAAAGTCAATGGGAGAGAAAAGTTCTTTTAAGAGAACCAAATTGATCAAAGTCCTCAGATTTAACTGAACCTACCAGACCCCATTCAAAACATACAGGGATAAAATAGGCCTGAGTACTGAGCTGTACTCAGATAGCATTTGGGGAAAGTACGTGAGTCACACATAAAAACAGACCGTTCTTAATGCAATGGGAAGGGTGTTAACTATAAAAGGACCCTGTCCAGCTGGCTCAGGGATTCAGGTAGAGTTACTTTGGAAAATCTACCCACACCTTATCCTGAATCACTGCTCCCTACACTCTTAAATCTGTGTCCACTGAAGGCATTGGCCTTTACTGTTCAGGGATGTGAGTTATGTTGCATACTTGTGAAAAATTTAAAAATCAACTTAAAATTCAAACCCAAAACTTATTAAAAGAAAGCAAATTTAGGCCAGGTGTGGTGGCTCACACCTGTAATCCCAGCACTTTGGGAGGCTGAGGCAGCCAGATCACAAGGCAGGGGAATCGCTTGAACCCAGGAGGCAGAGGTTGCAGTGAACTGAGATCACACCACTGCACTCCAGCCTGGGCAACAGGGCAAGACTGTTCTAAAAAAAAAAAAAAAAAAAAAAAAGCAAATTTAAATCTGTGGTACTTTTTTTGTTAAGTAGTTTTTGTCTATGTACATTAATCTCTTTCATAAGTACTATAATAGTGTGCGTTTTTTCCTGTTTAGCAAGATGTTTGCAGCATCTTAAAGGATGTCATACACTAGGCCAGAACCACACTTGAGATGAGCCGTCCTGTCGGAGTTTGCAGTTTAGCAGCGATGGGGGGAGGAGAACCCTAGTTGCCAGGACACTGGAAGCCAACAGGAGATAGGATGGAGGCCCTAATCAAGTTAGCCTGGCTCAAGTGCAGGGCATGAGGAGTGGAGATGTGGGCCAGGAAGAGCTGGAAGCCTGAGCACTGCAACAAAATCACTTCGGTGGACACACTTCATGACAAGGCCGCAGATGCTTAGTCCCAGGTTAAGGACTGAGTTTAAAAGTTTCAGTGAAAGACTAGCAAGGCTTCAACAAGCAATTATGACTTAATAGAACATATACAGTATACTTCAATGCAGAACATACATCTACAGTGTAGATGATAACAGAATGGGCTTCTAAGTATGGGTTTAAAATTCCAGTTCAGTCACTCACTAGTCATGTGACCTTGGAAAAGTTAGTTAATATCTAAGTCTGTTTCTTCATCTGTAAAACAGGCATAACAATAGGCTTACTGTAAATAGGCCACAAAAGTAGAGGAAATGCTTGGCCCATGGCAAATGCTCCAAGGATGGTAGCTAGAGATGATGCTACTATGCTTTTTTATATTTTGCTTCAAAGTAGGTAAAAAGTGCTTAATTCATATTTATTTATTAGGCTGAATATTAAAGAACTGCATCTTCTACCGGGGACTTTCCTTAGATTCTCAGCTGAATTCATCTTTCTTTTAAATTTAAGAAACCTGGACGTCTCAGGATTTGCCTTAACAAAGTGCCACCTTCCCAACTCCAGAATCACTCTGGAGAATCACGGCCAAGATATGTAAGCTGTATCCACACACACTCCAACCTGGAGAATTATATTAGGATTGGGTACACTTTCCTGGATGCTTTTTTCAGATATCTCTTGAGCAAACTAAACAAATGCACCCCTGGGGTGCCACATCACCCACAGTATTTTTAATGGGTGGCTAAAGCAATCGTGGCTAAAGTAATGAAATCTTAACTGTCTTTCCCTTAACAGTGCATTACTAAAACATTTCATTCATCTTTTCCATTTCGACAAAACCCTGTGAATTTACCTTTTCACTTCATCTATAATAATTATCTCCAGTAAAACCACTAAAATTCAAGTGGATCCCCATGATTTCCATAAATTTAAATGTGTTCAGAATTAGACAAAAAGAGAGTGACGTGGGGGAATGAAGAACGTTAAAAGAACAAGAGGAGCTGAAAAACACGGGACGTGATGAGTGAAAGAAGCGCCAGGGCGAACGCGCGGTCCCCTGGCCCGGCACTGCTCGCCGCGTGGCTTACCCCTAGAGGCGGGAGCCCTTCCACGATGTTCTTCTTCCCAGAGAGAAGGTCCGACACCGGCCTTTTCTTCAGAGAGTCCCTCCGGGCTCGGTAGCGGCCTGACGTGGTGAGGTCGGACTCCGACATGGAGGGCATCAGCAGCCCGTCTCTCCAGGGCCGCTGGGCCTCTGCGGTCGTGCGGACGGGGCTGCTGTCCATCATCCTCTTCTCCGCGTCTGGGACGTGGGCCTTGGGCTCCAGGATGTGCAGGGGCCCGGCGAGCAGGACGCGAGGGCAGCCAGGTGGGTCCTGGGCCAGGCCGGGCCGAGGCTCGCGCGCACGTGCAGGAGGCGCCCGGGCCCCGCTCTCCTCCTCGAAGTCCTCGTCCTCCTCCTCCTCGCTGCTGTGGATTAGCATGGTGGCGTCCGACAGGGACTTCTTATGGCCGTACCTCAAGCCCTCCGCCTCCTCCGGCCCTTCTCGCTGTGTCCTCTCGGTGAAAACGCTGGGCTGGGAGCCCACCGAGACGGCTCGCGGCGCCACCTCTGCCGCCGACGCGGATAGGGTGCGCTCCTTGAGCCGCAGGCCCTCCAGGCCGTGGCTGAGCCCGGCCACCTCGATGCTGTTCCGTTTGTGCAGCTGCGCGTGGCGCGCGGCGGTGAGGGGCTCGCTGACCTCCTGCAGCGAGTGCGCCACGGGCAGGCTGTCCTCCTGGAACGTTTGCACCGAGTGGTGCACGCGCCGCGTGATGAGGTCGGGGTTGCTGCTGCTGATGTAAAGGTGGCGGGACAGGTCTGGCGTGCTGTTGGCGGGCCTGGGGGGCGGGTAGGGTGGGGGTGGCCGGTACACCTGCGTCCGCATGATGTTGGGAGACGGGTAGTCCTGCGCCTGCAGCTGCGCATTGGTCAGCTCCGGCACGCTGACCGCGCCCACCACGGGCCGCCGCTCGGCAGGGTAGGGGTAGGGAGACGGGCTGTGGAAGCTGTAGCTCAGGCTGAACGGGCAGTGTGCGGCCGCTGGCGAGGGGAGCTGTGCGTGCTCGCGGATCTCGGGCTGGCTGTAGACCAGCGCCGCGGGCCTGCTGTAGGCGTACGAGCTGCCGATGTTGAGGTTTCGCAGCGAGTGGCTCTGCCGTTCCGCATGCACCAGGCCCCTGTTGAGCTGCTTCATCACAGTCTCATAGTCTGGGGTGGGGCGGTAGGACGGGGGTATCACGGCGCTGTGCCGATGGGACGGGAGGTAGTCAGGCCTCATGACGTCACTCCCGGTGATGCTAGGGTTGGACGACATCGGCGAGGGCTGCAAGTAGGGCTGAGGATTATTTAAGGAGTTGGTGCTGTGTGCACTGTAGACACTGCCATTACGGATCCGACCGTTGAGGTCAATCTGGGCTCTATCCAAGCTTGTCTGAGAGTGACAGTAGTATCCGTTCTGGTTGGGCACAAAGAGGTTATCTAGAAAAAATGAGTTCAAAATGAGATTTTTTTAAATGGACTAATTACTCCAACCAAATACTGAGATCGGCCCTTACCTCTGATGACATTTTTAACACAGCTTGTAAAAATCCCCGCTAGAATGACCTAGCTTTAGCCACACTATCTGAGTGACCCTGGGAGCTTCGGCTTCCTCATCTATAGGATGGGCATGGCTCTGCCTACTTAAGGGGTGGCATTCATTGGGTGACAAAGTGAGACCCTGTCTTAAACGAACCACACCCACAGCAGACTAGCAGACTTTTTGGAACTCTGGGGAAGTTGAGGCAGAGATACCATTCAAGGCACTGGGCTGGGGACTCTGCCTTTCTTCCCTGGGTAGGGATGTGGCCTTGCTGCTGCTGAGCTAGTTCAAGCACCAACTGTCTGTAAGCATTTCCTTAACTGGAAATTTTTATTGTTCTTCCCAAATGAATATGAGAGCTTCGACTGTAAAAGGGTAATGGTATAGCAGGATCTGAACTTCTCTGGTCCAACAGTGTCACCAGCAGCCACACAGCCCATAAAGTGTCCAGAAGCCAAGAGGAGCCACATTAAACAGCTGCAGCTGCCCCCTGCCCTGGCCCCCATGTTTCAGGAAGATCCAGACCTGCAGCTAACAGAATCAGTTTAACCTAATCTTAAAATAGCTATGCATGTGTCCCTGCCCAGGGATGACAGGGGCCATGTTTCTTCTAGTCAATTTGTAGCTCACCTGCCCTCTGTTACTGAGGATGATTTCTAACCCTAGATGATTTCTAACACTCAGCAGCCAACTCCTTCAAATAACAATTTCCTCTGAAAGGCATTCTTTTTGTGCTTCGAAAGCTCCATGGTGATTTATGTGATCATGGTGATACTTAAGTAATACACCACAATCCAGTGGGTACACTTTATTCTGGTGGCACATGCAGCTGTGAGGAAATAGCACTCAAATCTCCATGGTATTCTTCTGCTGACACACAGCACTTCCATGTCACTGTGCTTTCCTCATTTATGCAAAGCTTGGTCATGGCTCCATCTCTGCAATCCCCCTTTCCTCACTGCTGCCACAGCTCGGGCCCCTACCCCAGCTTGTCTGAACTAGCTCTATATACACCTAGTCTCCCTGCTTCTGCACCCCACAAACCATCTAGCCATTTATGAGACTGTTATGTGGAAAAGGCAATACTAAGAATAGAAGGAGGAAAAGATGGTTGGAATACAGGCAAGAAAAGGGGAAAGGTATGCATGAAATCACCATAATTCAAGGAAGGGAGAAGAGATGAAGGGTTACAGGAGTCCAGAGGAAGAAATGCTCATTTCCAGCCTGAGTTGGGTTGATGGGGACAAGGAAGAGAGAACCAAGAACCACCTCACAAGATATGGCAGTTAAGGGGACTTGAGGGGTAAGTGGGTGGGGTGGGCGTGTCCAGCTTCCATCAGAAGTGAGGTCTCTCCACCTCTCAGAGCACGCAGGGTTACCCCTCCTCACCCCTTGATATCAGGCACAACAATGCGACTAGTAATGGTCAAGGGAAAGTGCACAGAGGGTTAAAAGCCAGCTTCCAGGCTCTCTTCCAACTGCAACACTGACCAACAACATTCCAGAGAGAAGAGCCTCTCCAGCTCAAGCCCCTACGGCAGACTCAGACAGGGCAGAGCCCTCCTGCTAGTACAGTGTGCAACGGACAGGTGACCTTTATTATTACTTCCCTGAGAGTTTGGAATGGAGTATTTTGTCAGCACAGCATAGCCCTGCCTATCCGGTCTGCATGGCAGCATGTGAACGGAAGGGTGCATGGGGTAAGGGCACCTGAGGGTGCAGAGCGGCACTGGCAAAGCCAGGGTGCACCCCTGGGCAAGCTGGGGTGGCTAGAGTGTCAGATAGCTACAGAGGAGTAAAATAACTTGGGAAGTAAGGTTGGAAGGGCAGGCTCAGGGAATATTGTGTGGAGTCTCGAACACCAGGCAAAAGAATGATCCTGCACACAGCCGTGTGCAGTGGCTCACACCTGTAACACTAGCACTTTGGGAGGCCAAGGTGGGCAGATCACCCAAGGTCGGGAGTTTGAGACCAGCCTGACCAACACGGAGAGACCCCATCTCTACTAAAAATACAAAATTAGCTGGGCGTGGTGGCGCATGCCTGTAATCCCAGCTACTTGGGAGGCTGAGGCTTGAACCCAGGAGGCAGAGGTGGCAGTGAGCTAAAATCATGCCATTGCACTCTAGCCTGGACAACAAAAGCGAAACTCCATCTCAAAAGAAAAGAAAAGAAAAGAAAAGAAATGTTAAATGTAGATGAGATCCCTGGGAAGCTCACAGAGGGAGGGAAAAAGCCACAGGACAGACCTGCAGAGCTCACCAAACAATACTGATGGGAAGGAGGAGGGAAAAACCTAGCATGCCAGGAGAGTTTCCAGAAGGTACAAAGGCTTGAATGTGATGGTGAGGGGATGTGGGGGTGCTGGGAGGCTCCCAGAGGGCCGCTTTAACAGAGTGGCAAAGACAGAGGAGTGGGCGGGTAACCAGCAAGCAGAAGCAGCACACAGAGAGTACTCTTATAAGTCAGTGAGAAAGGGCTGGGCACAGTGGCTCACACCTGTAATCCCCACTTTGGAAGGCCAAGGCAGGCGGATTACGAGGTCAGGAGATCAAGACCATCCTGGCTAACACGGTGAAACCCCGTCTCTACTAAAAATACAAAAAATTAGCCGGGCGTGGTGGCGGGTGCCTGTAGTCCCAGCTACTCAGGAGGCTGAGGCAGGAGAATGGCGTGAACCCAGGAGGCAGGGCTTGCAGTGAGCCGAGATCGCGCCACTTCACTCCAGCCTGGGCAACAGAGTGAGACTCCGTCTCCAAAAAAAAAAAAAAAAAAGTCAGTGAGAAAAGAAAGCAGATCACTCAAACCATTACTTAAAGGGAGGAGAATGAACAATATTAAGATGTTTATAGACAGAGGGAAGAGAATGAGTGGCAAAGTGAGACTAACAATGCAGAGGACAGCCAGGTCCTGGAAGTGGGAGGGGCCGGGATTGCAAATACCAGACAAGGGCAGGGTGCAAGAGGGAGGAAATACAAGAACATGGTGAGGGGGATGCTCTCAGGCTCTACACCCAAAGCCCTGCTCTCTACTACCCACCTCACTGCATGAAAACCCTCATCTTTTACACCAGGGCCGACACAAACAATACAGTCACATCCCACCTTCTGGTCCCTTCATGCATCACTCCCTACCAGTTCCTTACCCGAGAGGAAACCTGGACCACTCTACTCTCCAAACACACCCTGCTTCATTCTGTGCCTGGCGTTCACTATCCCCAAAACTAGGAACAGCAACCCCAGTCAAGTTCCTGCCTTTCTACCTGCTGAAATCCACCCATCTTTTCAGATACAGAAAGTTCTTCTCAATCTCCCCAATGTGATGAGTCTCTCTTCCACTGAGGAGCATGGTAATTGCACATGCTGTCTCAGAAAAACTATCATATTCAAGTTATTTGTGCCAGGAGTGGTGGCTCAGGCCTATAATCCCAGCACTTAGAAAGGCAGAGGCAGGAGGATAGCTTGGGCCCAGGAGATTGAGACCACCCTGAGCAATATAGCAAGACCCCATTCTCCACGAAAAAGGGGTTCAGGGGAGAAAGACAAAGTTATTTGTGCACTTGTCTTATCTTAAACTATTAGATTCTAAGGTGTTTTTTTTTTTTTTGAGATAGTCTCCCTCTGTCATCCAGGCTGGAGTGCAGTAGCACAAAATCTTGGCTCACTGCAACCTCCACCCCCACCTTGGGCTTAAGCAATCCTCCTACCTCAGCCTCCTGAGTAGCTGGGACTGGAGGTGCATACCACTACGCCCAGCTATTTTTTTTTTTTTTTTTTGGTAGAGACAGGGTCTGGCCCTGTGGTCCAGGCTGAAGATAAACTTCTTAAGATGTGGAAATACTCATCTGCATAAACCTCCTTAGCATTTGGTATAGCCCCATACAGAGAGAGTATAGAGTAAATGTTAATTGACTGCTTAAACTTCAGCTTGGGGGTTTGTTATAAATACAATTCCTTATACTTCTCATGTGAAAACTGCAGTAGTCATGTGTTTAACTTTTACAATAGGAAAGCCTCTGGCAGGGAAAGAAAAGTAACCCTGGGAATTCTTTGTCAGATAGCAAAGAAGCACTTAAAGGCTAATAGGGTGGTGGTAAAAGGACACAGGAACCAGCTTGATAGTTTCCCATTGGCCAAATTTGAGACCAGTGGAGCATCAAAATTTGATACTGCATGTTTTTACATACATTCAAGAACCCAAATATACCTGGATCATCTGAGGTCAGGAGTTTGAGACCAGTCTGGCCAACATGGTGAAACCCCATGTCTACTAAAAAATACAAAAATTAGCCAGGCGTGGTGGCGTGCCTGTAGTCCCAGCTACTTGGGAAGCTGAGGCACAAGAATTGCTTGAATCTAGGAGGTGGATGTTGCAGTGAGCTGAGACACGCCACTGCACTCTAGCCTGGGTGACACATTGAGACTCTGTCTCCAAAAAAACAAACAAACAAACAAAAAACAATATATTGGCTTCTTTTATGAATCCAGGATAGCTATTATCATGATGCAATTTGGGGTGCAACTTCAGCCAAAAACTGTCCAGGCTTCATGATCTCCAAGCATTCACAGATTTATCCATAGTCATAACTATGTAAGGCATGGCAGAAACAGTGTACTTTACCTTGGGAAGAAGCATATGGTTCTGTATAATGTCCATTATAGTGCAACTGCGGTGGGGGAGGCATCACGTAGGGCTGGGGTTTAGGCTAAGAAATGGAGAGTTTGACACAGGGTTGAAACACATTGCTTATGTAATACAGGTAAAGTTATTATCCACTGGATTCTTTCTGTTAAAAAAACTTCTAAAGGAATTAAATATATTATATATGGAAAATAAACATGAAGACACAGTAGTTCTTAACATATCTAGCATTTCTGTTTCCCCAAATGGCAATGTCAAGCCCTATGACTGATACCAAGGACATTAGGCTCCACCAGAAAATCTGCATCTAAAAAGCTAAGAGCAAGAAGCAATAGATACACATTTCCTTGTAGAAACATTTCAACATAAGAAGCTTATAGGTATTATAGTCAATCTTATTAAAGGCATCTAGTATTTTAAATATATACCAACTTAGGATTACTCTTGGCCAATAGTCTAAGTTCTTAATATTAAGGTCAGACCTAATATTCAAATATGTATAATATAATAATATAAATATTAGGTTGGACCTATGGGAAAAAATTACCATTTCTTTGGTTAAAAATGATGAAATATCAATACACTTTTATGGTTCAAACTCAAAATTAACAGCATTGAAAGCATATTTTATTCAGGAAAAACATCACTAAAATAAAAAAGCAATCATATTTTCCTTGTTTCTTACCAGAGACATCCTTGAAGAAGACCTCCTCCTGATTGGGTTCACTGTGACAGTCTGAGTTTGCCTATAAAATAGGATGACTCTGAGAAGAGCACATACACACTCTCTCTTAAATTCTACCAAAACAAGATATAGGAATGTAAAATAATAAATCTTCTCAGGCAAAAAAAAAGACAAGCTATCTAAGTCATGAAGTCAAAGAAAAGAAGGGAGGTTCTCTGTCGGCCCGTGGGGCCTCAGCCCTTTCCTGCTGCCCCAACCCGTCAACCTGCCCTGTGGTTTCAGGCTCCCCACACAGCATCATCGCCTGGACCCACAAGGGGATCAGAGCATACTTCCCAGGCCCATCCAATAAACCTCTGGATTAGCCATAAGCAGTGGGGAAAGAGACAAGGCTACATCACCCACACACTTGTCGCAGGAGAAGCTGGATTCAGTGCAAATGCAAATGTGTTTCTCCTATGCGCTGGGGGAGCCCTGGGTCCCTCCACTAACCTTCCTCCCGGGGGACCATCCACTGTCAACCCAGAAGCCTCAAGCAGTAAGAACTGCCTTTAATTAAAAGTCTGTTAACCACAGACTACAAACATAATGAAGAAATGAATTTATGATTTTAGTGACAAGAATCTACATTTCCAAGTGCAGTAAGCATGCTCCTGTAGACCCGCCTCTTGGGAGCATCTTGGGCCCAGGAGTTCAAGACCAGCCTAGACAACATAGTGAGACCCCATCTTTTAAAAAACTCAAATATAAAAAAATTTCAAACCTACGTATTTTTTAAATCTACATTTCCTCTAAGGAACCAAGGGAAAGCAAAGCACAAGACTTGGTTCAGTGAGCCGATGGTAAACCCATTTACCTTTCTTTGCAAGAAATTTCTGATTTGTTTTGAATATACTTTTTAAAAAAACACCTAAGGCCAGGCGCAGTGGCTCACACCTGTAATCCCAAACTTTCAGAGGCCAAGGCGGGTGGATCACCTGAAGTCAGGAGTTCGAGACCACCTGGCCAACATGGTGAAACCTCATCTCTACTGAAAATACAAAAACTAGCTGGGCATGGTGGTGGGTGCCTATAATCCCAGCTACTCGGGAGTCTGAGGCAGGGGAGTCACTTGAACCCAGGAGGCAGAGGTTGCAGTGAGCCGAGATTGCGCCATTGCACTCCAGCCTGGGCAACAAGAGCGAGATTCTAGCCTCAAAAAAAAAAAAAAAAAAAAGTACCTAAACGTATTAGGGAGTGCTGACAAACACTAATGTGATAATGTGAGATTTTCAACTACTCACACAGCAAGTTCTATCTTTAAAAAAACAATAAGGTAAAAAAAGGAAACAGACACAGAAAAGCCCATTTGTAACTATTGTTTTCAAATAAAGGCAAGATTTTTTTTTCTTCTGTGTGGTCAGTTTTACTGCAAGATCTAGGAACCTAAACACACTGGATTCTTGGCTTTGTTGATGACATGTAGTTTTGTCAAAGCACTTTTTCTTATACCTTTTACCACCTATTCCTGGTTCATGTACTTATGTAACACATAATCACTGATTACAAAAATATTTTGTGACCTTTGGTTACAGTGTTCTAAGGACTAATTACTAGAAAATCCATCATGACAAAGTGAATATTCAATCCATTTAAGCAAATTTACCATAATATCAAGCCTCATGTCTCATAAATTAATATTACTCTTAGCACTCTGAAAACTAGTATCTTATATTCAAAAACCCTGAATATTAGCTTATTTTTATAAGACTCTTGAGATAAAAAGAAAACTAGTACATACTAGTTTTAACATCAGGTGATTACAACTGCTTTTACTAGCTTTTATAAATAATTTCATTTCTTTGTTACTGGAAAGTATTCAGGCTGTTAATGAAAAATAAATGTCTCTTTTCCAAAAGATATTCCATTCTTCCAGTATTTATTTTGGTGACACAAGTCTGCATGGCGTGTCTGGGTTTTAAAAAATAAAAAATAAAAAATAAAAAATACTCCTTAACTGCACATTAATATATTCCTTAAAATTAGTGCCCACAAATTAGCCAGGCGCGGTGGCAGGCGCCTGTAATCCCAGCTACTCAGGACGCTGAGGCAGGAGAATCGCTTGAGCCAAGGGGGCGGAGGTTGCAGTGAGCCGAGATCACGCCACTGCACTCCAGCCTGGGCGACAGAGTGAGACTCCATCTCAAAAAAAAAAAAAAAAAAAATAGTGCCCAGAATTTGAAGACGCTGCATTTTTGCAGCCTTGAAATTTACTTTGTCTCTGGTTATTCTTCATTGTCAGGACTAGGTTTAGGCAAACTGGGTCCTCTGAACCCTGTGTTCAGTCTAGCAGAGACTCACTGTCTAGATGGACTGAACTTAAGAAACTTTTAAAGTACTACAAATTCACAAGGATTGCCAACAGAATTCTCTGTCAACAAACTCCAACAACATGTCTACAGTTGCCCAGCCTGGGGCAAAAATAAAACACAAAACCCAAGGATGCAGAGCTTCAGCACATGGGCGGCCCTCCCACACTGAGAGCTTATCTTGGCGCTCTTGCCGCAGCACCCAGTGTGGAGGCGAACACTGCCCACTGTAGTAGCCGGCTCTACTAAGAAAACAAACTACAAAAGCGTGTACCTGCCAAAGTGCTTGACCCAGGCAGCCACGCCATCAGTTCTAATAGTCTAACCTTCTCTTTCTTCTTGGCATTGTTCTTATAAATGCAGTTTACTCTGAGACCAGCTATCCTCAGCTTGGCATACAAGAGAAAACCATGTAACTGTTGGCTGTGGTTTCCAAACTTTTTGGGCAGTTACTATGTTGATGGGTGCTGCTAAATAACTGAGAAGAAATCACTAGAATCTGTGTGCCAAAGAAGACAAAATAAAAATTAAAAAGGCTGAGCCAGGCGTGGTGGCACATGCCCGTGTAGTGCCAGCGACTTGGAAGGCTGAGGCAGGAGGATCCCTTGAATCCAGGAGTTCATGGCTGTAGTGCACTACGATCCCATCTGCGAATTCCCACCATATTCTACCTGGGAAACTGGGATACTAGGACCTGGTGTCTTTAAAAAAAAGAAAAAAGTCTACCAGCCCAAGTAAAATCAATATTATTTATTGAAACTGTGCTAAGGACTGTACATGATTATCTCGTGGAATGTGAACACCAAACCCATAAGGGAGGTCCAGTTATTATCCTGATTTTACAGATAAGGAAAGTGATACGTAAGTTCAGTAAGTTGCTCCTGGTCACATGGCAAACA
The DNA here is from genome assembly GCF_000001405.40 of Homo sapiens. Lineage (NCBI taxonomy): Eukaryota > Metazoa > Chordata > Mammalia > Primates > Hominidae > Homo > Homo sapiens. Next base: position 88,489,029 of record NC_000014.9, read on the forward strand.
AGTAGTAGAACCGGCATTTGAACCAGCAGGTCTGTCAGATTCCTGAGTGTATGTGTCTAACAATCATGTGTCCAACCTGCTCCCCAACCCCAACTAATCTGTAAGCTCCGTGGAGGCAAGATGTGGTATCCCTGGTGCCTTTGCTGAGCAAATGAGTGACTAACAAGTGAGGACTAAAGTGATGCTTATTACTAAGCATTTACAGCTGAGCTTGTATTTCTAAGCCTCGTCTGAATTTTGCTTTGTAAGTTTCCTTTCTTATACGATGTAAGGGAGTTAAGATTTTGATAAACAAAAAGATGCCATTGAAAGCTCATGCACTAATAGATAGTTCAAGGAATAGATTCCTTCCTGTAATCCCAGGTACTTAGGAGGCTGAGATGTGAGGATCACTTGAGGCCAGGGGTTTAAGACCAGCCTGGGCAACACAGCAAGACCCCATCTCTAAAAAACTAAAAAAAAAAATTAGCCAGGCATGGTGGCACACGCTTATAATCCTGGCTACTTCAGAAGCTGAGGGCTGAGGCCAGTGGATCCCTTAAGCCCGGGAGTCTGAGGTTACAGTGAGCTATGATCACACCACCACACTCCAGCCTGGAAGACAGAGCAAGACCCCGTCTCTTTAAAAAAATAAATAAATAAAAGTGTTAGATGGTGGAAATACCTAGCAAATGTTTGTCTCAATGACTTACACCTTTTGAGCTCACTATAGTAAGGGTAAGGAAGAATAAATGCTCTCCTCCCAGCCTACACTTGGGTAGACCAGGGCTGCATCCAAGCTGCTTACAGGTCACTGACTTGGCTCTGGGATGCCTGCTTCCACTGTTCACCCCCCTACCAAACCCCGCCTTAGGTGTAGCTTCCTGGCATTGTGGGATGGGAGAGGAACAAAGCCAGCAGAGACCATCTCAGGTAACTGGGAAGGAATACTGATGGAGGGAGAGGCCCTAGTGTCACTCCAGCCCCATGAAATGTGTGGTTTTCTTTTTTTTTTTTTGGAGATGGAGTCTTGCTCTGTCGCCCAGGCTGAAATGCAGTGGTGCGATCCTGGCTCACTGCAACCTCCACCTCCCAGGCTCAAGGGATTCTCCTGCCTCAGCCTTCCGAGCAGCTGGGATTATAGGCGCCCGCCACCACGCCAGGCTAAGTTTTGCATTTTTAGTAGAGACGGGGTTTCACCTTGTTGGCCAGGCTAGTCTTGAACTCCTGGCCTCAGATAATCCACCTGCTTCAGCCTCTCAAAGTGCTGGGATTACAGGCATGAGCCACCGTGACCGGCCGACATGTGTGGTTTTCCAGGGTGACACTGACCTTTATCCATATAAGAACCTACTCAGAAAAAGCCGCTGCCTCTCCTCGGCTCCACCAGGGGTCCATGTCCCCATACCCAGAGGTCCCACTGTTTGGCCTTGTGGCTGCTCCTCCTCTCCCCTCCCACCTCTTCCTGCCCTGCTCCTTCACATGGATCCATGGGAACTACTGGGTCCTCTCTACACTTCTGGGGCTCAGGGGACTGGAATGGGATAGGGGCTGCTCCATCTTCTTCCAGACTTCCTATAGTCTCTTCAAGCCCTGCAGTAGGCCAAGAAGATGGGTAAACTCTTTCCCTTTCCAGGCAGGGCCTACTCTAGTCAGTCTCCTGATTACAAAAGTCTCCGGAACCAAGGTGGACACCGGCTGCTATGTTCACCAACACCCCTGAGCTGCAGGGAGCACTCACCAGCCATCTCACTGCGCTCAGCGAGTGGCCTGCTGCAGTCTGAAATACAAGTTTCCCTTCTGGAGAAAGTCTCTTGAACCCTCTATCACTTGGCTTTGCAGGTTGAAGGATACCATCCTCCCTTTTCCTCACAGAAAAGAGCAGGGGAGCCACCTACACCAAGGGGCCTCTCATGACTCCCCAACTCTCTCGGCATTTTCCTTATATAAATCAGGGAGGGTGCTTACAGCATGACCAGTTCTGGGGCTTAGAGTGAGAGACAGTGGGTTTGAAGCAGATTTCTGATCTAACAGGTTGACATTATTATGTCATTTAATTCCCAATTCAACCATAAAGGAATATTAAGTATAAAAGTCTCAATATCCTCACTTTATAATTTTAAAAGACAGATTGTTATCCATCTAACATTTTTAAGGTTTGGATAACGATCATTCTGTTATCTAATGCACTTTGTTAGGGGGTGGAGGGAGAAGGCTGTTGGATTATGCCATTGTATAAATACTAAAATATAGTTATCTGGGTCAAGATTAGATGAGTCACATAAGGCCATCCCAAGCAGCAATAAACTACAATAGATCAGGACTGGGGGTAAAGGGGACACCCTGGGATTACAGTTCCCCTTTCTGTGCAAGTCGAGTCTATCTCCTGGGCCACCAGTCACCCCAGCCCAAAGCAGATGTCCAGAAGCCACCGTCCAGTTCCAGGCCAGGGGCAGTTTTGTTAAATGCCTATCACGCTTTAGTTTACCCATCTGGCCCATGACAACAAGTCTACCAATACTTCAGAATCATAATATTGGAACATGACTAAACAGTCTATATTGAGAGCCTTTAAAACATGGCCATAACAATTAAAGTTCTTTTCATTTTATTATCAAGCAAAATTTTAAAAGCTAATATTAAAAGCTTCATTTACTTTATGTGGGAAACAAACGCTCACAATGAAATATATTAGTTCCCTACAGAATGAATCATAAGTAATTACATAGGAATAGCTCATGGAAATCGACTGCCACAATCTATTGGATATATAGAGATTGAAAGCAAACTTTGGAAAACAGCCCTTTAAACATAACTATTCCATTTTAAAAAGATTCAGGTGTTCCTTATTTAGGTATAGCATATGCAACTGATGACATTAATGTAGTTTTGTTCACACTTGCCAATAAATAGCAATATTCCAAAAACTAGAGCTGAATTTCTAAGACTCATTCACCATAATCAATCATTTGTTGCTTTTCCCTCTTCCCTCTTTTACTTATTACAAGTTGTTAATTTGCAAAAAAAAAAACACAAAACAAAACAAACAAACAAACAAAAAACAGGCACTAACCACCAACCAATATGGATGCCTCATGGAAAGGGATTATGTTTTATGGTTTATTCAAAATGTAGACTCTCCACTATTTTCCAGAGAAGAAACAAACTGAGGTAATAATGGCTCAATATTATGAACACTCTTAACTTATTAAAGTCTTTAAAATGAAAATGCTGTGGTCCAACAGACTGCATTATCTACTGCTTGAATCTTAGAACTTACTTCTGCATAGAAATCATGCCACATATGGCTGGATAACCAGGCCAGCCCCAGGGAACCCCAAAGGCAAGTAGCACTACTGAATATCACCACCAGGGGGAACACTTTCATATGCAAATACACCCAGGCCCCTAGCAGAAACCGCTTCCCATATTTACAAAGAAAGCAGGTTCCTCCTCCCTGTCAGTGCTTACGAAAATCCCATCACCAGACCAGCGATGGGGACTCGGATGCAAACATGGTGCAGGGGAAGGCAGAGAAGAGACAGGGACTGGGCCATACATGCAAACCACTGGCCAGCTCCCCGTCCGGGTGGGCATCCCCGCATGTTATCTTTACACTGCTGCTCCTGCCCAGAGTTTCTCTCACACCCTGCAAGACAGAAGGCACTTCCACAGCCTTTCTCCTTCCTTCCTGGTGCTAAGGGACAAAATGCCCTTGTTAGACTTTGCCTCCACCCCATGCCTCATTTACAATCTGTAATAAAAGGAAGAGACAAAGGAGCAAAAGTGCTCTTCTCCCCTGTGACTCCCATCACTGCCACACTCCGGCTCCCATTGTTCACTAAGCCCTTATGCACCGGGCACCTTGCCAGACAGGGGACACGAAGATGAGGAAGAGGAGACCCTGCCCTCATGGAGCTTCATCAAACAAGAGAGACAGATCAAATGAAAATGATCTGTCAGTTGATATCTGTCAATATGAAAAAAGCAGGCAGGAACTACTCTAACAGGCTAGCACAGCGGCTAAGAGCACAGGCTCGAGTCTTGCTGCTCCACTTACTAGTTGTGTGGCAGGGCAAGACATTTCACTTCTGTAAGTCTCCATACCTTCATCAATAATGGGATAGTAATAATTGTGCCCAACAGGGTTACTGTAAGGATTAAAGAAAATAAAAGCTCTCAGTATAATGCTTGACACAGAGCAAGCATTTACTAAATTATTGTTATGAATTATTCAGGTCATTGTTATAAAAGAGGTAGAAAAAACAACTTTCAGAGTGGTGTCAAGGACTAAGCAAACTGAATGTTTGGTGGTGTCTATGGGGGCTGTATTTTAAACTCAATCTTGAAGAATGACTAAGAGTCTGTCAGAGAAGGGAAGGAAGGGCATTTTAGCAAAGGCCTGGGCTGGGGGCATTCACATGATAAGGAAAGATGCCTTCCTGGAGTCAGACTCCAAGGCCAACTGGGCTGGGGCAGCTAAGTCCAGAGAAGGACCTCAGGAGTCTGCCCTTAATCCTGTACCCAGGACGGGGCGGGTGAGAGGCACATGCTCAGATTTGTTCCTGACATGTAACTTCAAGAGCAGTGCTACATATTTTGCTTATCTATCCAGAAGACTGACTGCATACAGATGAGATAGGGCGTGGGGGGCCAAGTGGGAGGGAGCTCCAGGAGGTGCCTCCAGACATGGACCAGGGACAAGAGGACAGCTTAAAGAAAGGTTGTGGGAATTGAGTGCAACATTTCGGGTCTCAGCTTAGATGTCACTTGGCTGGGTAGCCTTTCCTATCTTGGCAGTTCTGGGTGACGTACCATTTTCCTAAGGGATCTTACAGCACCAAGACATCTTGAATCAGAGCTCTTAACACCTGTATCTATAGATTAGCTGAACAAATTCATTAAGGCCGACAGTGAGCCAGGCCCTTGCTTGGCATGGGGAATATAGCACTGAAGGCAGGGAAGAGTGTCTGTCCTCAAGCACTGCTCTAGAGCTAACCTGCTGGCAGGGGATACAGGCAAACAAACAAACAAACAAATATAGAAATTCACATGGTGCTAAGTGCTATAAAGAACAAAACAAAGTTAGAGGGTAAAGAGACAGATCATAGTGGAAGGGGGGTACCATAGGACAATCAGGGACAGCCTCTGAAGAGGGTCATATCTGACCAGACAGCAGGCTGCAATGAGGGAGCAAGGCAGGTGGAGACCTGGGAAAAGAGCAAGGACAGCATCCCCTAGGGTGAGGCACATCTGCAGCCTAGCCAGGATACCACTGTGGCTGGAACAGAGCAAGCAGGGAGGAGGATAAAAGACATAAGGTTGAAACCAGGCAAGGACCACACTGTGTATGGCCTCGTACTTTTATTAGAAGTAAAATGGGGCCAGGCCTGGTGGCTCACACCTGTCCAGCCCTTTGAGAGGCCGGGGCAGGAGGATTCCTAAAGTCCAGAAGTTTGAGACCGGTGTGGGTAACATAAGGAGATCCTGCCTCTATAAAAAACACCAAAAAATTAACCAGGTACACACCTGTGGTACCAGCTACTCAGGAGGCTGAGGTGGGAGGATCACCTGAGCCCAGGGAGGTTGAGAGGCTGCTGTGAGCCATGATCATGCCACTGTACTCAGCCTGGGTGACAGAGCTGTCTCAAAAACAAACTAAAAAAATTACTTAAAAAAAGAAGTGGAATGCCAAAGGAGGGTTAAGAAGAGTGAAAGGATCTGGGCAGGGTGCGGTGGCTCACACCTGTAATCCCAGCACTTTGGGAGGCTGAGGCAGGTGGATCACGAGGTCAGGAGATCAAGACCATCCTGGCCAACATGGTGAAACCCCATCTCTACTAAAAATACAAAAAATTAGCTGGGCGTGGTGGCATGTGCCTGTAGTCCCAGCTACTCAAGAGGCTGAGGCAGGAGAATCACTTGAACCCGGGAGGCGGAGGTTGCAGTGAGCCAAGATCGTGCCACTGCACTCCAGCCTGGGTGACAGAGCGAGACTCTGTCTCCAAAAAAAAAAAAAAAAAAAAAAAAAAGAAGAGTGTCAGTGTCAGGATCTGATTCAGGTTAAACTAAGATCATTCTGGCTGACATATGGAAAATAAGCTACAGGCAGCGAAGGCACAGAAACAGGAAAGTCAGAAGGCTACCTCAGTATTCTGATGAGAAGTAGTGGCAGCCAGCACTAAGCTGTTAACACGAGTGGTAAAAATGGTCAGGTTTCATACCACATCCAATTCATCAGCAAGTTCTGCCAGCTCTACCTTCAGAATATACAGGCAGTAGTATATATTCACCACAACTTTCAGAGTGGTATTGAGGACTAAGCACACTAAATGCTTGCGGTAGGATGCAGGAGTCAAGAGCTCAAGGAGGGCCGGGCACGGTGGCTCACGCCTGTAATCCCAGCACTTTGGGAGGCCAAGGCAGGCAGATCACCTGAGGTTGGAAGTTCAAGACCAGCCTGAACAACATGGAGAAACCCTGTCTCTACTAAAAATACAAAATTAGTGGGGTGTGGTGGCGCATGCCTGTAATCCCAGCTACTCGGGAGGCTGAGGCAGGAGAATCACTTGAACCGGGGGCTCAGGGGGAGGACAGGTCAGGAGAAGCCCCCTAGACGAAAGGATTTGGAGAAAAGGCCTCAGGACCAAACCAGCAAAGGTGACTGAGAAGAAACAGCCTAGAAAGAGGAAGCCGAGCAGGGGGTGGTGTCCTGGCAGCCGAAGAAGAGCAGGATTCCAGAAGGATGGAAGGAGCTGTCGGAGGATCAGTACTGCGGAGCGGTCAAGTGAGAGAACTCATGAAATGATCACTGGACGAAAGTCACCTGACCACAACAAGCAGCATCAGTAACGTGGAGGCTTAGGGAAAATGGGATGGAAGGAAGGAAACATACAAGCATACACAACTCTCTTGAGGAAACCTGCTATTCAGGAAAGCAGAGATATGGTGCAGAGGCTGGAGGGGAGTATAGATGAAGGACAATATTTTATATGTGCAATATCACCGTGTGCTTTATTGATCTGGCAAACAGTAAGAAACCCATGTGGGCTAAGAAAAATGCACACCAGGAAGGAGGGGCAAAAATTCTTCAGATAGCTGGAAAAGCTGAATAATCTTTAATGACTCAAAATGCTTACCAGAGGATTGATTTAAACAAATAAAGGATATTATTCCCTTTTTACCTTTCAAGAATTACAATGGTTCTTGTAACTAGTTGAAATAAATCTTAGAGGCATACAATGTAGTTATTACAAGTTGGTCCAAAGCTAAAATAGGAAAACAGCTATAGGATCAAGAAAAGATGTCAACTGATAAAATGTCTTTCTTGATGATACAGTATACTCAAGATTACAATTTCTAAATTCATTATTTTTGATAATTTCCATGAGCAGGACATACTTACAGGTTACACTGGTTTAGTCTGTAAAACTTGTGTCGCGCAACACAGAGTCTCCAAATGTATTTTGCTGTTTCCATGTCTTCCTAGCAAACAAAATAGGCATAAAGCAATATGAAAGCACACATACAACTTGATACGTTTAATGCAGAGTTTGTCTAAAGACATAATGGGTGACATCATATGACAAAGTCACTTTCAGAACACTATAAGCCTTTCATTTTCCAACACTGTGCCCATGGTATGAATACCACAAGTAGGATTTAATTTATGAAGACAAAACAATCTGTTCTAACAGTGTGATTCTCATATTAAACAGTTTCAAAATGACTTGGGAATCTAAAAACTATAAAAATACCAACTTTTATTCTTGCCAAATATACTCAAAGACATTTTTAAACAAAAATATGACTCAGTAACTCAATATTGCCTTTGTCAAGAGAGCAAAAGCAAGTAACTGTTAAATAACATTTCTTCAGAGCTATTCATTTATCAATGAAATTTAAGATATCAGTGCTTACTTTCTCCCCCACATAATCCCTGAAGTTTAATTTAAAGGTTATCATGATCAGACAGTAGTTATCCAAAGACTCATTCACTCAGCATTTACTGAGCAGCCATTTTTTGCTAACTGCCATTTTGCAAAATGCTATATGATAAAACTGCATGTTTTATACAATTACAAAATATTATCATTTTAATGCTGCCCTGCCTCCAAACACATACAGGCACGCAGAAGTAGAACTTGTTAACTTTTAGGAAAAACATTCCATGCAGACCCCTAATGTTTACTCACAGTTTGAAATTGAATGGTCTCCTCTTTATTTGCCAGCTCTAATGCAAAAAAGGACTTGTTGTGGGACATGTTGGCAATGTCATGCCACCTAAAGAACAGCAAATAGAGAACTGGCAATGTGAGTGCCCATGGGGGAAACAAGGAGATAGAATACACAAGTTTTCCCTAAGCCTGACGTGTAAGTTAGCATTTGGTAACATTTTTGAGAAAAACAAAAAACAAAAAACACGAGACCAGCCTGGCCAACATGGTGAAACCCTGTCTCTATTAAAAATACAAAAACTAGCCCAGGCGCAGTGGCTCACGCCTGTAATCTCAGCACTTTGGGAGGCCAAGGTGGGTGGATCACGAGGTCAGGAGATGGAGACCATCCTGGCTAACATGGTGAAACCCCGTCTCTACTAAAAATACAAAAAAAAAGAAAAAACTCGCCAGGCGTGGTAGCAGGTACCTGTAGGCCCAGCTACTCGGGAGGCTGAGGCGGGAGAATGGTGTGAACCCGGGAGGCAGAGCTTGCAGTGAGCCGAGATCGCACCACTGCACTCCAACCTGGGCGACAGAGTGAGACACTGCCTCAAACAAACAAACAAAGAAACAAATAAAAAACAAAAACTAGGTCAGGCATGGTGGCTCACGCCTGCAATCCGAGCACTTTGGGAGGCCGAGGCAGGTGGATCACCTGAGGTCACGAGTTTCAGACTCCTGGCCAACATGGTGAAACCCTGTCTCTACTAAGAATACAAAAAAAATTAGCTGGGCATGGTGGTGGGCACCTGCAATCCCAGCTACTTGGGAGGCTGAGGCAGGAGAATCGCTTGAACCCAGGAGGCGGAGGTTGCAGTGAGCTGAGACAGCACCATTGCACTCCAGCGTGGGCAACAAAAATGAAACTCTGTCTAAAAAAAAAAAAAAAATTACAAAAACTAGGCCAGGCGAGGTGGCAGGCACCTGTAATCCCAGCTACTTGGGAGGCTGAGGCAGAAGAATTGTCTGAACCTGGGAGGCAGAAGTTGCAGTGAACCAAGATTGTGCCACTGCATGCCAGTCTGGGCAACAGAACGAGACTCTGTCTCAAAAAAAACCAAAACAGAAAAAAGAAAAAAAAAAACAGTGGTTTTAATCAGCTAGCATGAATGTTCTAATTGAAGTAACAGCAGCTAGTTCAAAAAGTAAACTCATGTATAATAAATGAGGGAAAAGAGAATTTAAAAGATGTAAAATGTATCATTCTCATGTGTCAGATTTGCTTGATGGAAGATCCCTCTCTTAGCTGATTGCCAATGCCCCATTTATTCATTCAACAAAATAAAAGACACCTATTATAACAATGCCAGAAATTGCAGTAGGTCCTAGGGACACTAAGATTAGTGAGTTACAGTGCTTCCCTCAAATTCGCACAGTTGGAGGGGAAAGGTGGGAGAAAGAACACAGAAGCAAACAAGAACTTTTAAGTGCTGCAGGTATTAAAATAAGGCACAAAAGTGGGGGAGGTGTGCTCTGAAAAGCTTCAGGGTGAAGATAAATTTGAAATGCCAGGAACTCAAAGAGTGAACTATTCTGGAAGTGATCACTAGGATTCAAAATCTTATACTTTCTAATTTTATCGTATTAGCTTTTATATGTTAATATTTGATTTTATTAATCACAGAATTTTATAAAAAGAAAAAATTATGGAAGAAAAAATTTTATCCTTCTCCATTAGATTTATTTATTTTAAATGTATTAAAATAAAATCAACTTAGTACGGATTCCGTTGTTTGTTAAATCTAAAGATTATTAGCATCACATTAAGGCAACTGTGAAAATTCCTATCCAGTGATAAAGGAAGCCAGGTAGAAGCCTCAAGTTTCCATGTGACACTTTGGGCACCATCAGAGCCCTGCTCTTCAGGTGAAGCCACGGATCCATTTTCCTCTCCTCTCCCTGACCCCCAACTCAGCATGTTGGGAAGGGTTAATATAAGTGGCTTGGGGACGAGAGAGCAACTGCCAAAGGGGAGCCACCCAGCCCAGGGCAGTGCATTCTAGGAATGGGGTTCTGCTCCCCAAGTGATGCGTACTCTCTGAGGTCATAATCACCATGGAGAATTCATGGCTCAAGAGGCAGTAAAGCAAAGGAAGTGAGGGAGGAGATGTCAGTTTAGAGAAAAAGCTCTTCAAAGGCCAAACTAGTTCTCAAGAAGAAATGGTAGGAGTGGTTTAGAAAGCTTGAGTAGTGTGTGTGTTGTGGGGCGGGCAGTGAGTAGGCGGTGGAGAGAATAAAAGCTGTTTAATACAGCGATTAAGAGCCCACGCATAAAGTGGAGGATCCAAGTTCTAGTCCTAGTTATGCCAGTTAATAACTGGGTCACCATGGACAAATCACAACTTTTCTAAGCCTCAATTATCACACGTGCAAAGTGGTGGTAATACCTACTGCTGACAGTGTTATGAAGATTACACTAAAAAAAATTCACAAAAAATGCTCAGCATAGTTTATCTGACTCATGATAAGCACTCAACAAATGGTAGACACAAAGGAACCAAAAAACAGAAGTGATAGAATATGTTTTCCTGCCTTATAAAAACAATATAAGCTTTTGGTTGGACATGAACTTTGGGTTTTCCAGATAACAGATTTTAAGGAATTAAAGGTAGGGGATTGTACAATATGGTCCAACTTACTATCTTTAAGATACAAATTAGAACACAGAATACTATAAAGGAAATTAAAATCACCTGTACTTTCATTGTTCAGAGTCAGTTACTATTAGCACATCGCTATATATTCTTTCCAACTTGCTTCACATTCCAAGATTTCCACAAATGAATAGTATCTTTTTTTATATCAGCAAAAAAAACCAACATTATAAAAAATAATTGAAATTTGCTTAGATACTGGTATTTTAGGAATTTTGGTACAAAACTAGAGTCAAAACAAAGCTCTATATTTTTCATAGGAAAGAGCCCTTCAGGCTGGGCACAGTGGGCTCACACCTGGAATCCCAGCACTGTGGGAGGCAGGCAGATAGCTTGAGCCCAAGAGTTTGAGACTAGCCTGGGCAACATGGTGAAACTGTCTCCACAAAAAATACAAAAATTAGCCAGGCATGGTGGCATTAGCCTGTAGTCCTAGCCACTCAGGAAGCTGGGATGGGAGGATCACTTCAGCCTGGGAGGTCAAGGCTGCAGTGAGTGGTGACTGTACCACTGCACTCTAGCCTGGGCAACAGAGTGAGACCTTGCCTCACAATAAATAAATTAACCAATAAATAGCCTTGGAAACCAGAGCTCAAATTAAACATTCATATCAAAGCAAAGAATGGCCTCCATATGGCACAAAAAGGGTCACACATTTTTAAGCATTTTATAATAGGCCGTCATTATAGGCATTATACTCTGGACATAGAGTTTTGAAGAAAGCGGCTTATTGAAAAGGACTGTTGCATTCAGATGGTATTTTTTTCCTAGGAAGGGAATTATTTCCATTTTTTAATGAGACCTTGGTATAGACTTGTGAACAATTTAACTGCTGTAAGTACTAAAAAATGTATCACCAACAGGAGCCATAGAAAACATACAAAAAGAGGTAAGAAAAATACCTAAATACCACAGGATGCCTTCCATTCTTGTGTTTCACAAAGATACCTTCAAGACACGCTCCAATGGATATGTCACTTCCTTGGCTATCCTACAAGGAGAAAGCAGAAGAAGAAACACCCAGGAAGCAGATGCAGAGGAACTGCTGCTAGAGTTCCCTGGACTGGTTTCCCAGATGTAGAAAGTTCCGAAGACCTACAGAGTAACTATTCAGGAAGACAAAAGTCTGAATGAGATCTATGATCTTATAGGTAAGTATAAAAATTGAAAAAGTTTGGCCCTCCTTAGGAACTCTATTTCAAGACCATTTCAAAGTATGAACCACAAAATGGGAATGTGTTTTACCACAAAACTTTGGTCACCAGGACCTCAGCTTTTAAGTTTCCAGAGTTTTGCACGTCCTCAGCCTTTGCACATAAGGACATCCTTGGATTTCCCCATGATTTTCTCAAATTTGTAAGCCTAACTTTAAAGAGCCCCAGCCGCCAAGCCACACTTACCTTAGCAGGGTAGCTCTCTTCTCCATAGCCATCCATTCTCTCTACCTCCTGCATGTACAGCATTTCAGCATCAGGAGCTGTGAGCCCTCTGCAACCCAAAAGAAGCAAGATTGTTCACAAAGCAAGCTTAAAATGGTTTAAAATAAAGCTTTTCTTAAAACCTATATGTCAATTTAGCATAAGACATTATAAACATTTCACGTTTCTAAGCATCTATAATTGGCTATATCAATCTTGCTATTTACTGAAAACCAGTATGTGCTGAATGCTGAGGGTATCACATGAGATCCTGCTCTCCATACTTAAGGCAGATGAGTGGGAAGGTGGGGGATAAAACAACTCCCTAAAAAATCTTAGGGTGAAATCTTGAACTTTTCTTAAACCACCAAGTAATTGCTTATTATCCCAAATATCAGGGCTGGGCATGGTGACTCATGCCTGTAACCGCAGCACCTTGGGAAGCCAAGGACAAAGGACCACCTGAGGCCAGCAGTTTGAGACCAGCCTGGGCAACATAGTGAGACCCTGTCACTACAAAAAAAAAAATGTTTTAAATTAGCCAGGCATGGTGGTGCACATCTATAGTCCCAGCAGCTTGGAAGGCTGAGGTGGGAAGACTGCTTGAGCCCAGGAGTTCAAGGATGCAGTGAGCTATGATCGCTCCACTGCATGCCAGTCTGGGCAACAAAAAAACAAAAAAAAACAAAAATAAAAACAACAAAATATGAGGCATTACTGAGAATTATGTGCTAAATGTCGAACGCAGGGAATAAGGGTACGAGGAGGCTACATGAAAACCCCTTTTTGCTCAGGTGAGTGCAACACTACTAGGATGGGTAGGAAGGCAGTGTGGGTAAAGGAGGAGTGCCCAAGTGCATGCAGACTTGCATCTCCAGCCTCATCTTCCGATGCTCCCCGCTGTCCTCAAGGCACCCACACTGCAGCCATCCCAAACTCTGCATCTCTTCAGATAGAATATGTTCCCTAGCCCCTCTGGGCTTTTGCACATGAGAATCCCTCTTCTTGGTGTGCCTGTGACTCACCTGTGGACCTGGCCAATCCCTAATATCCTTCAAGACTCTGTCTATGCATCATTTCCTCTGGATCACCTTCTGGGATTCTCCAATGCCGCAGCTCCATGCAGTCCCAACACATTCCGCCCATACCCCTCTAACTGCACTCATTATCTTCTTATATGTATTATAATTACTATAGTGGGTTGTCCTGCCAGCCCTCATATTGCAGGGCTGGGAATGCACTCTTAGAAGACAAGAAATTATTCTATTTATCTTTGTGTCATAGCATCCAGCACTCTTCCTCTGCTTAATGCAGAATAAGAACACTAAGCTATCTTTTAAGGAAATGCACAAATGAATAAATGGAAGTGACAAAAGGCAGGACAATGTGTGCCTGAGGGACCAATTAAGCTAGAAAAGAAATGGTTCATGTGGTTCTGCTGTCCAGCAGAAGGTAAAGCTGGGAAGGCAGGATTTAACCAACTTGTAGGAGGCCTTTAATCCCAGGGTAATGAACTTGGGCTAGTAGAAAGCATGAAAATACCCATGAGCACGTGGAAGGAGAAGGAGAGAGGTAAGAGGAAACTGATATTCTAGGGAGATTAATCTTTTGTGAGTCACTGTGTGGATTTGAGTGGAGAGAGACTAGAGGCAAAAGTTTATTTTATTTGGAAGGGGATAAGCAATAGGTTCTAATGAAACTGATCTGCTTTCAATTTCCACCTCTACCACACGTAGAGGTAACTAAATCTTTTTCTTTTTTTTTTTTTTGCTCTGTCACCAGGCTGGAGTGCAGTGGCACGATCTCAGCTCACTGCAACCTCCACCTCCCAGGTTCAAGCGAATCCCCTGCCTCAGCCTTCTGAGTAGCTGAGACTACCGGTGCATGCCACCACACCTGGCTAATTTTTTGTATTTTAGTGGAGACAGGGTTTCAACATGTTTGCCAGGATGGTCTCGATCTCCTGACCTCGTGATCTGCCCACCTCAGCCTCCCAAGTGCTGGGATTACAGGTGTGAGCCACTGCTCCCAGCCAGAGATAACAAAATCTTTTTGAGCTTGGTTTCCCCATCTGGTAAGATGGAGATAATAATGTTTATCTTAATGAGTAGTTATAAGAATTTAATGATAGAGTACAGACAGTCCTCAACTTACGATGATGGTTCAACTGAATGACTTTCAACTTTACAGTGGTACAAAGGTGATACAAATTCAGTAGGAACTGTACTTCGAGGACCCACGCAACTATTCTGTTTTTCACTTTCAGTACAGTATTCAACAAATTATATGAGATATTCAACATTATAAAATATATTACAGGCTTTGTGTTAGATGATTTTGCCCAACCGTATGCTAACATAAGTGTTCTGAGAACACGTAGGGTAGGTTAGGGTAAGCTATGATGTTCAGCAGGACTGGTGTATTAAATACATCTCGACTTAAAGAGTATTTTCAACTTACTATGGGTTTATCAGGACTTAACCCCATCACAAGTCAAGGAGCATCTATATGTGGAACTGTGTGGTAGTTGGTTTAGAATAAGACTTAGCATTATCCAGAAGAGTATTTTTTCTTACAGGCAACACAGAGATTCATCATGAAAGAACGTCAATATGTACAAGTATACAAAGGTATGCAGAAGCATAGTTCAGAGTAATAAGCACCATAGCTCTTAGCATAGCTCCCCAGGTGACAGACACAGCTTCCATAGGTATAGAGAGGGAAGTAACCCTGTACTTGCTAAGCTGTATCATAAAAGAAAACAAATCATCCTAATTTTACGTTAACCTATACAGGTTTGTTTGAGGTTATCAAACAAACCTTTACTACATGCAGTAAAAAATGGGCACCCTTCAATGACTGGCTGCTTTCAACTTCCTCAGTGTCCTCACTGGTAAAACATGGACAATAAATAAGTAATATGGGTAAGTGCTTACTTAGAACAGCACATGACACACAGTGAGTGCTATATAAATGTTGGCTACTTGTAATAGTAGTGGCAGTAATGTTCCAAATTTAGTTGGGCAAATAAATATTAATCATGTAAATTAAATATTTAATTGAATATTTCAAATTCAAGCAGACATTGGTTCTATGCTATTTCCATGTCTTATTTCTTAGAGTTACCTGTATTTCTGATGTAGTAAGGCCACTTTTTGGGTTGCTTCTTCCAATACTTTTTCATCTTGTAACCATCCCTGAAGAAAACACACAGTGGTAAGTATGTGACAATTCACCCCAATTTCTTAGAAGGAATCATGGCCATTGACTGTTAATGACTCTCGTCACTATCAGGCAAAATTATGACTATTGTTACTATATGGGAGCTTTGTTTACATAGGTAATCATCTTTCTAAGGAATTAACTGGCTTCTCACAAGAGCCAAAAAAAAAAAACTTGCCCCACCTTCTCAATTCCAGGGAAAGTTTCAGCTGAGTTATGTCAAGTTGGTGACAGTAGTTAGCCAGTCCTGAGCCCAGCAAGATAAAAACATCTTGTGCGTTCTCTGGCACTGTGTAGACACTCAGAACAGCATACCACACCTTCCTTAGTTGTTGCAATGCAGTTTCCATGTCCCTTCCATCAGTAATGACTTTATAAAAGTAGAAGGCAGTGTCTTTGTCATCTACTTTTTAAATTGCTGATGAGAAGCGACATTCCTCAATATAATTTTGTAAGGTTTCAAACCTTCAGTTAAAAGCAAAACCTGTGCATGCTTCCTGAGAAGCTGAAAATGAATCCTTCTTTTTAAACTCACAAATAGAAAACAAATGTCTCCAGGCACAGTGCAGTGACTACAGACCCTTCAGTTTCTGTGGGTTCACAAGGACCAAGATGACTACAACAGGGAAAGCAGTCACACTTGAGATGTTTATAAGAGGGAATTTTTTTTTATAATCCTATTCCTGACAGTAAGTCTATCATACGGATTTCATTTCAGGGATTATTAAGGGTATAGGAATAAACTGTTTCTTTTAAAAGGCCCAGTGTCAAAAGAAGTCTTACCACAGGAAACAAGGCAAATTTCTGAAGAAAGTCCTGGGATTCATACTGATCAAAGTCACCAAAATCCGCTATATAGAATGACAAACATTCACGTTAATTATATTTAAATTTCATTGCAAAATATGCACAACAAAATTCAATACGCAGTATATCTAGATGGTATGCTAATATTTCAGAAGTCAAATTTGTTATAGCTATATAAAGTATATTTTTAAAGTATCTTTTTAAAAGTGTTAATTAGGCAGATATGAGTCTTGGCTTGGAAAAATGCCTATGAATTAAATAAAAAAACAAGTTGCAAGCTCTATGTAATATGATCTCATTTTACAGTTAAAATGCAAACAAAACCTACCCTGTAATCATATATGCTTGCTTATGTACAGGAAAATGTCAAGGAGAAACCAAATTGTCAACAGTACTGATGACCTCTGGGGAATAGACTTAGACCACTTGAATATATTACAGCAAGATATATTTGTGTTGAAATTTTTAATATTTTTTAAAAAATTGACAATTCAGCAAAATGCTTATGAAAAAGTAATTCTTAAAGCCAAAAGTGATACTTAAGAAAATCTAAAGTACCTTGAAAAGGAATGTGGCTCCATGTGCATCAGGCATTTGTTTAAAAATGATACATGTCTCCATGCCTTCTTATAGCTGAAGGAGTTTTATTAATAATTATTCTGATTAAATTTCACTCCCAAGGCTAAATGCCAGTTATTGTTTGAAATAATGCCCCATCAGAAATCTTCCCAGCCAGGCACAGTGGCTCACACCTATAATCCCAGCACTTCAGTAAGCCAAGGAGGGAGGATAGCTTGAGCCAAAGAGTCTGAGACCAGCCTAGCAACATAGCAAGACCCTATCTCTATAAAAAATTTTAAAAATCAGCCAGGCATGGTAGCGCACACCTGTAGTCACAGCTACTTGGGAGGCTCAGGTGGGAGGATCACTTGAGCACAGTAGGTTGTGGCTGCAGTGCGCCACGATCACATCACTGCACTCAAGCCTGGGCAACAGAGTAAGACTGTCTCCAAAAAAAGGAAAATACACACATACATGTAAATACATGTATATCAGACATGTAAAAATGAAAAAAATAAACAATTCAAAAATGCTGGTGAAATGCAGAATCTTTATTTATATATGTACATTTTAAAGATGAGGTCTTGCTATGTTGCCCAGGCTGGTCTCGAACTCCTGGACTCAAGCAATCCTCCCACATTGGCCTCCCAAAGTGCTGGGATTAGAGGCGTGAGACACCGCACCCAGCCATCTTTATCTATTATGATTGATGTTATTACTGCATAATTCAGGACAACCATTTAAGAAACCAAACAAGTGGGAGTGGGGTGAGGGATAAAAGTCTATACATGGGGTACAGGGTACACTGCTCAGGTGATGGGTACAGCCAAATCTCAGAAATCACCACTAAAGAACTTATTCATGTAACCATAGCCAGCCACGGTGGCTCACATCTATAATCCCGGCACTTTGGAAGGCTGAGGCAGGTGGATCACCTGAGGTCAGGAGTTTGAGACCAGCCTGGCCAACATGGTGAAACCCCATCTTTACTAAAAATACAAAAATTAGTTGGGTCTGTGTGGTGGCAGGTATCTGTAATCCCAGGTACTCGGGAGGCTGAGGCAGGAGAATCGCTTGAACCCAGGAGGCGGAGGAGGTTGCAGTGAGCCGAGATCGTGCCACTGCACTCCAGCCTGGTCCATAGAGCGAGACTCCATCTCAAAAAAAAAAGTAACTAAATAAATAAGAAGAACTTATTCATGTAAGCAAACACCACCTGTTCCCCAAAAACCTATTGAAATAAATAAAAAGAAACCAAACATATGAAGTGTACTTAAACTGTAAGCGAATATAACCTCATCAAACTCACTGACTGGCATATCTTTCTTCTTAAAATATGACCTATTAGCAGACAAAGTCTTTGAACTAGATGAATACATAGCATAGTATTAATAAATGTATATGTATATAGTCATGTGTCAAGGATGGGAATGTGTTGAGAAAGGCATCATCAGATTTTGTCACTGTGCAAACATCAGAGTATACTTACACAAACCTAGGTGGTGCAGCCTACTCCACACCTAGGCTATATTGTATAGCCTACTACACACCTAGGCTATATTGTATAACCTATTGCTCATAGAAGCCTATACAGCATGTTACTGTACTGAATACTGTAGGCAACTGTAACACAATGGTATTTGTGTATCTAAACACAGAAAAGGTACGCTAAAAATAGTGTTATAATTTTATGGGACCACTGTCCTATATGAGGTCTTTTGTTGAACAAAATGTCATTCGGCATATGATTGTACATATGTGTGTGTATACACACATATATACATACTTCTATTTATTGTACTGTTTGCTCTGTTGACCTATAACATGATTAACTTCCAGAAGTCTCATATTTCATTGAGGTATTCCAAGTTCATTTTTTCCCAAAAGGAAGCCCCTTAGATAACAGAATATTTCACTAATATATAAACACTACTAAAGATGTATATAGATAGATAACTTAAAAATCCCTTGCTATTTTGTTGTAACACATTTTAATCTGATAGAACCATTTCATTATGAATTGATCTTATTTACCTTGAACAGCTAAGCCTGCTAGCTGAATTGCTTGTTCTAAGGTACAAGGAATACTTCCTTCCAAGATATCTTTCTTCAGTTGCAGATAATACTGATACCTATAAAAAATGTCAGTTGTATAAGGTCAATGTCAATATTATCTCATTGAGATACAATGCATTTAACCATAATTTGGTAGAGAAGCATAAACCAGTGAAATAAAACCTTAATCCCACATGGTTGTGTGTGTTTTTTTTTTTTTTTTTAGATAGGGTCTCCCTTTGTTGCCCAGGCTCGAGTGCAGTGGCATGATTACTGCTCACTGTAGCGTCAACCTTCCTAAGCTTAGGTGATCCTCCCACCTCAGCCTCCTGAGTAGCTGGGACTACAGGTGCATACCACTATGCCTGACAAATTTTTCTATTTTTTACAGAGATGGGAGTTTCACCATGTTGCCCAGGCTGTTCTCTAACTCCTGGGCTCAGGCAATCCTAGTGCTTGGATTCAAAATGTTGGGACTACGGACATGAACCACCACACAGAGCCCCTAGACAGTTTCAAACAAGGATGAGAAAGTCCTCAACCACATGACACTTACACATATTAAAGTATATGTGATGAATTACTTATCCCAGATTATAGTTATTTCAAAATTAAAACGATCCTATAAGACAATTAGTCATCTGCTTCATGCCCTGTAAAACAGTCCCCACAATTTCTTTTTAGTTGGAGAAATGGAAAGCCAGTGGCTAATCTTTACTTTAAAAACTCTGACTAGTAACTTAGTAATATAAGAGTTTGCTTACCTTGTTTGGTAGAAGTTCCCTAGCACTGGAAAGTAAAGCCAGAGAAAAATGGTTTCTGATATTTCAGACCAGGCTGATATTAAAATGTTTCTGATGAAATCCCTCAAAACAGCTGTTAAGATGCTTTCTTAATATCTGGTAATGTGGGTTTACTTCTGTTTACCACCCTGTTTGTACTTTCAATATATAGGGCATCAGTTACCAGAACAAGGTTTAGAGTCAAGTAGACCTGAACTCTCCAAATTAGTATTCTGCACGAACTTGGGCAAGTCATAATCTGGTGAATTTAAATTCTATCACCAGTAAAATGAGGGTACCATCACCCCTTCACAGGACTGAACATACTCAAATAATAATATATGTGAAGGACCAAGAGCATAGCCGGCTAACAGCAGCTCTTATCAATCACGTACTTGAAGCCACTCACTTCTCCATTTTGATAAAGCTCTAGAGTGAAGATTTACTACTTCCTTTTATTTATTTTCTCAACAGGTAATTACTGGGGTCTATTATATGTTAAGCATTATTCTAGATGCTGGGGATACCGTACTAAATGGAAATCACAGACACTCTGCCAGTGCAGTCTATGGAGCCATCTGGAATCCAAACTGTCCTCCGTATCTGGTGCCTGTGAAGTGCAACCCAGTTACAGTTCATGTTTGAATTCCTCTGACAGCCCACCCCTTTAATCATTTCATATGAGTCTTTATCATCTTATTTCAGCCACAGACATGTAAACCTCTGTTCTTTATTACCAAAGAACCTGACCAAAACACCATCCATTCAAGTAAGAAGAATTTGGATCCAGCTTTTCTCCTTCCACCTGCTAACAGCCAAACCCATGGATTTCCCTCTATAGCTAATGGGATGCTGGCAGTTCTGGGATCCACCAAAGAGAAAAACTTGAGATTTTCTATATGGCAGCTCCTTTCAGAAGCTTATCTGAGGGAGAGCGTGTTTAGGGAAGTCTGTCTATTGAACATGCTATTCACATATTCCATTCTAAATATTCTAGGACTTTTCCTTAAATCAAAAACACTAGAAAGGGCTGGGTGCAGCGGCTCATGCCTGTAATCCCAGCATTTTGGGAAGCCAAGGCGGGCGGATCACTTGAGGTCAGGAGTTGGAGACCGGACTGGCCAACATGGTGAAACCCCATCTCTACTAAAAATACAAAAATTAGCCAGGCGTGGTGGCACATGCCTGTAGTCCCAGCTACTTGGGAGGCTGAGGCAGGAGAATCGCTTGAACCCAGGAAGCAGAGGTTGCAGTGAGCTAAGATGGTGCCATTGCACTCCAGCCTGGGCATCACAGAGAGAGTCTGTCTCAAAACAAAAAACAAAAAACATGAAAAAGCAACATACTTGGACCCAATTAATGTAGCCTTCCACAAAAATATTTTTGCCTTACATTATACTGTTATGAGAATTGACTCTTCCATATTTGCTCTAACTTATTCATTTCTGGTTCAATGTCTTATATAAAAAATCACACCTCAAAGTTTCTGTTTAAATGCTATACCAGGAAAATGTATCATGCTTGCAAACAGGTATGCTTCTTTGTGTTACATAATGAATGATGGAACTCGTATTTCTTCTTTTGCTTTGGCTGCCATTAAGCTCACAGCTAAAATCCAGGCATAATCGCACTCATTACTATCCCTCTTAATTGCTTTCTCCACTATTTAATAATAGTTACCTTTAAGTGATGAAGAGCTGGAGCTCAGAGATTAAGCAACATGCTCAAATGCACAGAGCCAGACTGAGCTGGAGTTTGAATCCCCAGGTCTCAATGACCCAAAGGTCTTGTTCTTAACCACGACAAATCTACAGTTATAGATATTTCTAGTATTTTTATTCATTTAGTATGTTACATGACAGTCCACAAAACACAATGGTCGAGAGCAAGGACCCAGGAGCCAGCCTGCTTGAGTCCCAGTTCCAGTATATACTAGCAGTGTGACCTTGGGCAAGGTGTTCAACCCTTCTGTGTCTTGGTTTCCTCATCTACAAAATAGAGATAATAGCACCTACATCACAGGATTTGTTATGAGAATTAAATTAATAAAGTACTTGGGACAGTGTCTAACATACAGTAAAAAACATAAGTGGTTGTTATTATATGTTATTGTATTATCCCTCAAATACTTTAATGGAAGCAACTAAGGATGGATGAATGGATGGATGGATGGATACACAGACAGATAGATTTTTTTTTTTTTTTGAGACAGGGTCTTGCTCTATAGCCCAGGCTGGAGTGCAATGGCGTAATCAGGGCTCACTACAGCCTCAACCTCCTGGACTCAAGTGATCCTTGAGCCTCAGCCTCCTGAGTAGTTGGGACCACAGGTGTACACCACCACAGCTGGCTAAATTTTTTTTAATTTTTTGTAGAAACAGGGTCTCTCTATGTTGCCTGGGCTGGTCTCAAACTCCTGAGCTCAAGCGATCCTCCCACTTCGGCCATCCAAAGTGCTGGGATTACAAGCATGAGCTACCACACCCAGCCATAAATACGTTTTTCTTAAAGAAGTATTTACTGTAGGAGCAGATGGCCAAGAAATTACACTTCAATGACATTATCACTTTCTACTAAAGTGATTAAAAAAACCTTTTTGCTAAAATTTCTATATATTGGTGGGGCTGAAGATGGCTTATAAATATGTTATTTCAATATTTTTGCAGGCCTGCTGCGGTGGCTCATGCCTGTAATCCCAGCACTTTGGGAGGCTGAGGCAGGTGGATCACGAGGTCAGAAGGTCGAGACCATCCTAGCCAACATGGGGAAACCCCATCTCCACTAAAAAATACAAAAATTAGCCGGGCATGGTCGTGGGCACCTGTAATCCCAGCTACTTTGGAGGCTGAGGCAGAATTGCTTGAACCCAGGAGTCGGATGTTGCAGTGAGCCAAGATAGCGCCACTGCACTCCAGCCTGGCAACCAAGCAACAAGAAGAATGAAATAACAGGAAAAAAACAAAGCAGTAATAAAATGTAACATGCAGACCTGAATTCAAAACTGTCAGCCAAGGAATAAAAGAAATTGCACGTTTTGATTCAAAAGCAAGTATTCCATAAACTTGCCCGAAAGTCAAAATATGCTGATTAAATATTTTATCTAAATCTTTATGAAGTTACTGATCAACTTTCCAATATAAAATATTTCATACAATATATGACAATAATTATATAATAAATTAGGTGACCCCATTTTGCACAACAGAAATTCCAAATAATGTATGAAGAGGCAGCCTTTTTTCTTCATCTGTTTTTCTTAGACTAGTAATAGAAGGCAATGTGTAGGCATCGGCATTTTTATTTTTTAAGTTTTATTTTGGAAATTCTGAAACATATGTAGAGACATTAAGTATAGTCACCCCATCTCCTTATCATGGTGCCTCACCCATCAACCTTATGCCTACCACGTTTTCTGCATCCATCCTGTCCTTTGCCCCCTCCACCGCCAGTGTTTTACAGCAAATCCCAGACATCGTGCCACCTGTAAGTACTTCAGTACATATCCCTAAAAGGTAAGCTTTATTTTTTAAAAATGTAACTACATTTTTATCACACCCAACAAAATGAACATCTTCATAATACCCAATACCTGATTCATATGCAATTTTCATGATTGCCTCAAAAATGCATTTTTACAATTTTCTTAAATTAGAATCCAAACAAGGTCTACAGATTACATTTAATGGATGTTTCTAAATATCTCTTGCTATAAAAAAGAAAGTTTTTATTACCTTTTATTTTCATGTTATTAACAGAAATGGAGCCATTTGTCATGTAGAATTTCCTGCCTTCTGGACTTTTCTGATTGTAGTCTCATGGGGTCATTTGGCAAGTTTACATGTTCTCACATCTTTCCTGAAAACTAATCATTAGATTTAGAGCAGCACTGTCTAACAGAACATTCCGCAGTGATAGAAATTATCTATATCTGCACTGCCCAATATAGTAGCCATTAGCCACATGTGGCTATTCAGTACCTGAACTGTAGCTAGTGCAAGAAAATTTTTAATTGTATTAATTTTAATTAACTTTAGCCACATGTAGCTAACAACTACCTTACTGAACAGTGCAGACTGGAAGCTTGCTTTGATACAAGTTCATTTTAGTCATTTTCATCAGTGGTGCCTGGTACTTCCTGATGCATCACATCAGAAGAAATGGTATTTGGTTGTCCCACTTACAGTGACGCTGACATTGCCCACTGAGTTCAGATGATGCCAGCCTGTTCCCTTTACCCAAAGGTTTTAGCCAATACTGATGATTGTTACCTCTTTATATAGTCTATAAAGAAAAGATAGGATAAACTTACTGCCATTCAGAGTAATGAATTGTACTCTAGTAAGTTTCAAAGGTGAGCAATGAGGTTTTTTTTAAAGTATTATGAATTCATGAATTTTAAGATATATTTGGTATGTTTTAATCCATGCAGTTGTATTCTTTTTTTTGTTTTGTTTTGTTTGAGATGGGCTCTCACCGTCGCCCAGGCTGGAGTGCAGTAGCGTGACCTCAGCTCACTGCAACCTCCGCCTCCCAGGTTCAAGGGATTCTCCTGCCTCAGTCTCCTGAGCAGCTGGGATTACAGGCGTGCGCCACCACACTCGGCTCATTTTTGTATTTTTAGTAGAGACGGGGTTTCACCATGTTGGCTAGGCTGGTTTCAAACTCCTGACCTCAAGTGATCCACCCACCTTGGCCTCCCAAAGTGCTGGGATTATAGGCGTGAGCCACTGTGCCCAGCCCAGTTGTATTCTTTATGATGGTCAAAATTTCCAAGCTTTGTGCAGTGGTAGTATCATAGCCAGTGAGGTTTATCTGAGGCATGATTATCGACAATTGAAACAAAATGTCCTCTTTTGCAAGTAAAAACTCCAGGCACCAAAGTGTTTGCTCGCTCTGCCATGTGAGGACCCAGCCAGAAGTTCTGCAAGCCAGGAAGGGAACCCTCATGAGACCTCAACCATGCTCAGATCTCCAAACTGAGAAAATACATCAGCTACC
Organism: Homo sapiens; assembly: GCF_000001405.40. NCBI lineage: Eukaryota > Metazoa > Chordata > Mammalia > Primates > Hominidae > Homo > Homo sapiens. Next base: position 88,513,724 of record NC_000014.9, read on the forward strand.
CAGTCTATAATATTTTGTTACGGCAGCCCATGCTAAGATATATTTGCAGGTCGTTTTTGCTAGATATATAATCATTGCCTCATATTTCCTTTCCTTGAGGATGTTAAATGTTACTTTTTTGTCTGTTGGCATGAAGTGTTTTTCCAGAAGTCTGATACCAATCTTATTTTCTTAATTTTATAACAGTTTTAGTCTGGATGCCCAATTTCTGGTGACTTTGCAGAATGTGTTGGCGCTGATTGCTCTGGACTGACCATACCAGGTACACAGTATGCCTTTTCAATAGAGAGCTTCAAGTCATTTTCCTTTCAAGGAAGTTTTTAGAATGTGTTATAGCTAGAATATACAATTTGTTATATAGTTTTTGGAATTTGTTCTTTGCCAATGTTTTGCCTTAGATCATACTGTTAGAAGAATGTTTTGGCTTTTTCCTTTAGGGAATCCTATTACATCTATTTTTTATCTTGTCTTCTATACTTTTATAGTTTCTATCATTTCAAAATTTCTAATTGTTTTTGCAGCTATTTTCATATTCACCTGTTACACAGACGAATTATTCCCAAGCTTTTCTAATTCAGATTTAAATGGTTCTTTCATATCATGTTATTTTCTTAATTTTTTAAGTTCATTTTGTAGTATCAGGTGGCAGTTTTCTGCTGCTTTATGGTCATATTTTTCTGTTAAGTCTGCACTTTCTGAAGATGTATTATTCAGATTGTTGTTCTCCCCCTTTGTTTTCTTTTTTCTTTTTTTTTTTTGAGACAGAGTTTCACTCTTGTTGCCCAGGCTGGAGTGCAGCGGTGCCATCTCGGCTCGCTGCAACCTCCGCCTCCCGAGTTCAAGCAATTGTCCTGCCTCAGCCTCCCGAGTAGTTGGGATTACAGGCATGTGCCACCACACCTGACATATTTTGTATTTTTAGTAGAGACGGCGTTTCTCCATGTTGATCAGGCTGATCTCGAACTCCCGACCTTAGGTGATCTGGCCCCCTCAGCCTCCCAAAGTGCTGGGATTACAGGTGTGAGCCACCACGCCTGGCCCTCCCCCTTTGTTTTCTTCCAATATCTTTGAGTGGGTTTTTTTAGAACACAATTTTTGAGGTATAATTGGCATACGAATAAGCTGTTCAAATTTCAAGTGTACAATTTAGACACATATATATATCCATGAAACCATCACTATAAAATGAGGAACATACTGACCAACTGCAAAAGTTTCCTTGCACCCCTCATAATCTTTCTCTCCAATTCCTACCCCATTCCTAGGAAACCACTCATCTGCTTTCTGACTATGGATGTAATAGACAGAACTCTGGATATCTTGGACCAAGAGGTAACCTAGTGCATGGGAAGGATGCGCTGAGGATGCTGGAGCACTAAGAGAAAGTGCGAGCATCCTTGAAGACTCTGTGGAGCTGTCAGACAAGCTCTGCAAGGCTGACTTCTGAACTCTCACAGAAGTCAATGATATTTAGGGTTTTTGTTATATATAGCTATACTTAATCCTTACCGATACAACTTCTCTATCAGGTGCTCCTATACCTAATCGATGAGCAATCCTATTGATTGACTCTAATAGGCCCATTCTCTCTCAATCCAGCTAATGCCTTTCTGTTCAGTTCTATATTGTAAACCTATGCCTAGATTATGGCACAGGTATTCCTAAACTGGTGTCCTGCCTATAGTCTTGCCATCTCTGATCTACCTTCTATGATGGGTGATCTTTGTGAAATGTAAATTTAATGATTCCATTAAATTTGAAAATCTCTTCCTCATTGTACCATGACTTTATTGCTAATGTCTATTTTTAAAACCTCCTTAGGTAATACCTGAAACTTCCTGAAGACATGTAATCATTTTGATTATTCCCCCTGCTTTGCAAAAACTATTCCCTCTAGAACATTTCTAAAGTCAATTTAAAAGTCAGTCTCTCTACCTTTCCTGTTCAAGTTCCCCTTGCCCCACCCCTAGGAATCCACAGCTTTAATTAAAGCATTTATTATCATAGGATACTGTAACTATTTATATGAACTGCCAATTCCACCAGACTGTGAGCAGCTCCTCCAGGGTGGGATTAAAGCATATTCACCTCCCACTCTATTCAACACAATTCTTAGAGCATATCTTCAGTAAATGTTTAAATGAGTTAAAGTGATCAGTTCAGGCTTTTTCCTTCTGGCTTCCACTTTTCTCTTCAATATTTCTATCTCAGACTTTTACAGTCAGTTTGTGTTTATCCTACCACTGGATCCTACTGCTTTGACTTTCCATTCTCTCCTAATCATTAACTGGCAGACTCAAACAGCACTCCACAAACATGGGACAGTACCAGGTTCTTACTATCTGCAAGGCACTGTGTAAGATATCATTAAGTAAAGCTAAAGAAAACATGGGCTAAAACCTAGGAAAAAGATACACGGACAATCCTAATAACAGGGTATGACAATTACCATCTTAACACAAGTAGAATCAAATTCTAGGTGGTAAGCCAAAACTCATTCTATCCTGGGGTCATAGATGCTTCATGGAGGAGGTACCTTCTGAACCACAACTCAGGAGGCAAACAGGATTCCAGTAAATACATGTGAGAGAAAGATCTAGGACACAAAGATGAAAGGGCGTGCAGCATGTTTCGGGCCCTTGAAGTAGCACAGCTACTTCATTTTTGAACATATTTAACGTTCAAAAGTAACATTAAATAGGGTTAAAAAGGTCAGGTAGTGATGGGATTCACAGAACTTTGAAAGGCAGGCTCAAGAACTCAAATTTTATTCCTTTTTTCATTGTCTTCAGGGGGAAAAAGAATAAGAACACTTAGTTCCTCTATTCTGCTCCTTAATATCATCTTCCCTTTCTGCTTTTGTCCCTATTAAGTGCACTTATTGGCCAAAATTTCCTGATCTTAAACACTTCCCTCCCTCTCCTCTGTACTCCCTCCCCAACCGGTCTACAGAATATAGCTAGAGGCAGAGAATTCTAGGAGCCTTTCAGCACATTTCCTTGAGGAATGAAGACAGATTTTGTAACTAATTTTCTAAAATCTCTTCTCTCCTTTCCTTGTTACAAAAGATCAGAAACAAAACAACAAAAACATTAAAGGTAACATCACTACAAGAAGAGTTCACAGAGAGGGTAAATCCATCATTTTTCCCTTTAATTATTCCTTTGTGCCTAGTGAACCCATAAGTTACCCAACATGCAGTAAAACACTCTGACATGCCACATATGAGAATCTCTTTGTAACACCGTGGCTAAAAATGTGGGGCGAGAGGGCAAAGTTTCAAACTTATCTTCTGACTTCAACCTTAGTTTCACTTTTTACATCTCACTAGACTATTTCCTAAAAACAAACGGCATGTAATTTCTCACCTGGTAATCTCCTGCTGCAGCTGAGAAACTGAAGGCACATAAAACACCACTCCAAAATAGACGGTAGGTTCCAATGCATATTTATCCAGCTGCTTCTTCAAAGGTTTTTCCAAATCTACCCACCGGCGCTGATTTTGCTTGTTGTAGTACCAGAGGCTGAAGTAAGTGACCTGGAAAGACAGAAGGTCATTGAAGGAGGCAATAACATACAAAAGGATTTCAATGACTTCAGTCGCACTAATCCCTGACCTGTGACCAAATGACAGCAGTCTCTTATTGCCTTTCTTCTCAGAGAAGAACAACAGCAAAAACTGAAGGAAAAAAAGGAGGTAAGACCTATCTGTAACTAGCTACTCATATTCAGGAAACAGAGGCAAAAACTCAATTGCTCTTGCATATCATTTACTGAACTCTGAACCAAAAAAATACATTCACGACCTAGACACTGGAATGTAGTGGCGGCTACTCAATTTTATATGCAGATTTTAACAACAACAAAAATACAGAAGAATTTATCCTTGGTTTTTCAATTACTAAAACACTAAATTTATCATATATATGTATATATACACATACACACACATATGTATATATACATATGTGTGCGTATGTGTATATATGTGTGTATGTGTATATATACTATATATACACGTGTGTATATACTAGTGTATATACACTATATATAATGGTATATATATATGTGTACATGTGTATTTATGTGTGTATGTGTATATATAGTGTATATACACTATATATATGGTATATATATGTGTATATGTGTATATATACTATATATACGTGTATGTGTATATATACACCTGTATATATATATGATAAATTTAGTGTTTTAGTAATTGAAAAACCAAGGATAAATTCTTCTGTATTTTTGTTGTTGTTAAAATCTGCATATAAAATTGAGTAGCCCCCACTACATTCCAGTGTCTAGGTCGTGAATGTATTTTTTTGGTTCAGAGTTCAGTAAATGATATGCAAGAGCAATTGAGTTTTTGCCTCTGTTTCCTGAATATGAGTAGCTAGTTACAGATAGGTCTTACCTCCTTTTTTTCCTTCAGTTTTTGCTGTTGTTCTTCTGGGCAACAGAGTGAGCCTGGGCAACAGAGTGAGAATCTACCTCAAAAAAAAAAAAAAAAAAAAAAAAAAAAAATATATATATATATATATACACACACACATACGCACACACACACACATATATGTGTATATATACGTATATATACACATATATGTGTATAAGTGTATATATACATACACGTGTGTGTGTATGTGTGTGTGTGTATATATATATATATATATATATATATATTTTTTTTTTTTTTTTTTTTTTTTTTTTTTTTTTGAGATAGATTCTCACTCTGTTGCCCAGGCTACAGTGCAGTGGCGCAATCTCAGCTCACTGCAACCTCCGCTTCCCAGGTTCAAGTCATTCTCCTGCCTCAGCCTCCAGAGTAGCCAAGATTATAGCATGCACCACCACACCCAGCTAATTTTTTGTATTTTTAGTAGGGACAGGGTTTTACCATGTTGGTCAGGCTGGTCTCGAACTCCTGACCTCAGTTGATCCGCCCACCTCGGCCTCCCAAAGTGCTAGGATTATAGGCATGAGCCACCGCACCCAGCCTCATAATTAATATTTTTAAATAATCATAACTGGGGTTCTACCCAGTAGAATGCTGAGTAAGCAGTGTTAAACCAACTTTTCACTACTCTTAGTTTTGGTTTCTATAAAAGAAATTATTTCATGTAAGTACCATTTCTAGTATTCAGATGCAATTCCAACTCTTCTTTATTCCTTTGTCCCCAAAATTTCATTACATGCACATTTAAAACAATTATAATGCTGTGAAGGTGAATTCTCTCTCTCCCTACACACACACACATACACACACACACACACACACAGAGTGCATGAGAAAAGCTATGACTAATGCAGTAAAATAACGTTAGTGTATTACTCAGAAGTTTAAAGAAAATGCCCAGATGTCTTAGCATTTAGATCTCACTTGCTGTGAAATGAAACTGTTAAGATAAATCAATACTAGCCCTGGGCCTGGTCAACCTGAAAGGATATTAATGCACTTATGAGCTGAAATGACAGCCTCAAGCCACTGCTAATACTTGCCTCAAAATCAATCTACAGATTAAGACAATTGGAAAATCACTGCTTTGTAGTTGCACACTCCAGAATAACACTGTCCCAACAGAACTTAGTGTGATGATGGAAATTATCTACATCTGCACTGTCCAATAAAGCAGCCACTAGCCACATGTGGCTACTGAGTACTTGAAATGTGGTAGTGCCACCAAGGAGCTGTATTTTTAATATTATACAATTTTAATTGACTTAAATAGCTGCAAGTATCTAGTGGCTACTGTATTGGATAGTATAGATTTAAAGCAACAAGAAAACTGAGAAATAATAGAACATTTCTTTGACCTGCAATCCTCATTCAAGTAAAAAATAAAACTTTAATTTGCAAGGGAAAAGATTATGCAAACATGTGCTCAATAGTCATTTTATTATTTTTTAACAAGGTAAGAACTATACCTTTAAAATGAGTTCATCAAATAAATTCAACAAGAGTGAAGAATGTGCCCATTTTCCCCTATATCCACAAATCCCTAGAATACTGCTGGAATTCAATAAATTTTGTTGAATGTAAAGAAGGAATATTCTCTTGCTTCTTAGTTGCCACCCAAGTCATCACACAAGAATGGAATATTTTGAACATTTCCTATGTGCCAGGTTGTATTCCAAGAGCTGTAGAGATACCATAGATTAAATCACCATCACTAATTTATGAAGTAGGTATTTTTATCTGTGTAAAACCTCAAAGCCAGTGTTTCCCCCAGGTATTGTCCCTGGACTACCTCTACCAGAAGTACCTAGAGGGTTTCTTGGGCCCTAAAAAGCTATTAATCTCCTAGGTATTTCTTGGGTCCTTTAAAGTTTGATAACTTTGCACTACACTACACTGCTCCTCCAAAGTTATGCAAGAGAAAGTTATATAAAACCTTATCTTTGGCTGGGTGTGGTGGCACACACCTGGAATGCCAGCATTTTAGGAAGCTGAAGTGGGAAGATTTCTTGAGCCCAGGAGTTTGAGACCAATCTGGGCAACATGGCGAAACACTGTCTGTGTAAAAAATACAAAAAATTAGCCAGATGTGGTAGCGTGTGCCTGTAGTCTCATCTACTTGGCAGGCTGATCACTTGAACCCAGGAGGTAGACAGAGGCTGCAGTCAGCTAAGACTGCACCACTGCACTCCAGCCTGGGTAACAAAGTGAGACTCTGCCTTAAAAAAAAAAAAAATCCTTGACAAGCTGCATGCAAATAAAATTTTTGAAAATCCAAGCACATTGTAATATATCTGAAAGGCCAAGTCCCATTGTTAATTATATTCTGAGGTTATGACATTTTAAAATGAATTGCTTATTATCTGTAAGCATAGAATATGTATCATACATTTATAGAAAACAAGTACTGTTCTTTTCTTTTTTTAAACTGCAACTTATAGAAAACAAAAATCTGGTTTAATAGAAAGAGCTTGATGCTTAAGTCCAAAGTTCTGAGTTTGATTTCCAACAGTTATTTACTAGGAGTGAAATGGTAAAGTCAATCAATCTAATTTGGTTTTCTCAAGTGTAAAATAAAGTAATATCTCCCTCACAATCCTGTCATGAGGATTGGATACGGGAAAACTACCTAAGTACATTTTCCTATTAGAAAACCATTATATTTTATTTTTTGAGAGAGAGTTGCACTCTATCACTCAGGCGGGAGTGTACTGACATGATCACGGCTCACTGCAACTTCAAACTCCCAGGCTCAAGTGATCCTTCTGCCCCAACCTCCTAAGTAGCTAGACAACAGGTGCATGCCACCACACCAGGCTATATATATATATTTTTTTTGGTCAAGAGAGGGTCTCACTATGTTGCCCAGGCTGATCTTAAACTGGCTTCAAGTGATCTTCCCGTCTCAGCTTCCCAAAGTGCTGGGATTACAGGAGTGTGCCACTGTGCCAGCCTGAAAACCACTATATTTTTAAAAATATCATTTAGTTTCACCCATTCTCTCCACCAACAAAATCAATTACTGACTCCTCCCCTCAAAAGACTTTTAAAATTACCTACATGTATTTGATTACAACAAAATACATTTCTGTTACTATGTTTGTTTTCTGTTCCATCTTAGAACACAAGTTTTGGACTGAATGTACCACATTCGGTCTATAATGCCAGATTAGGAATCCTTTAGGATCTAAAACTGTTTTGGTAAGTTAACAGCAGGTCATTTTTTTTTTTGAGACGGAGTTTCACTCTTGTTGCCCAGGCTAGAGTGCAATGGTGTGATCTCAGCTCACTGCAACCTCTGCCTTCCAGTTTCAAGCGCTTCTCCTGCCTCAGCCTCCCAAGTAGCTAGGATTACAGGCACCCGCCACCACGCCCAACTTTTTTTTTTTTTTTTTGCATTTTTTAGTAGAAACGGGGTTTCACCATGTTGGCCAGGCTGGTCTTGAACTCCTGACTTCATGATCTGCCCGCCTCGGCCTCCCAAAGTGCTGAGATTACAGGCGTGAGCCACCACGCCTGGCTGTATGTCATCATTTTTAACCAAAATGAAAAGGTCTTAAAAATACCCTTTGAATACATTAACTTCCCCTTTAAATACAGTTGGACTGTAGACTGTTCCAAATACAAAAACAGAATTATAAAATTTCTGGTTTATTGTATAATTTGTGGTTGTACCTTTTGTGAATGGACTGTAATATAATTTAAAAAAATAACAGCTGAACAATCTGCTAGCATTCTGTTAAAAAGCACATTCTGAAAGGAAAACTGTTAAAATATGCTAACTTTATCAGTGCATCTATTACTCATGCAACATGAATTAGAAAATCAAATAGAACTGAACAAATACATTTGTTGAAATTGCATCATAATTAGTTTTTCACAAATTATAGACCATAGAAGAGAGTAGCGAGAACTTTATCTAAAGGTACAAACAGCTGAAAAGAATGGTGGGCTTAGGCCGGGCGTGGTGGATTGTGCCTGTAATCCCAGCACTTTGGGAGGCTGAGGCCAGTGGATCACTTGAGGTCAGGAGTTCGAGACTGGCCTGGCCAACATGGTGAAACTCCATCTCTACTAAAAATACAAAAAATTAGCCGGGTATGATGGTGGGTGCCTGTAATCCCAGCTACTCAGGAGGCTGAGACAAGAGAATTGCTTGAACCCAGGAGGTGGAAGTGAGCTGAGAGCATGCCACTGTACCACTGCACTCCAGCCTGGGCGACAGAGCAAGACTGTCTCAAAAAAAAAAAAAAAAGAAAAAAAGAAAGGTGGGCTTAGTAAATTCTTTGTTGGTTAGCTCTTTTAAATAAAGGAGTCTAAGATTTGGGACATCTGAATATTGACTTTGTAGCTTGTCAAGGATAGATTGTTTACATGACTTTCTCGTGCGTAACTATTGTAGTTAAAGTATTTGCTTTGGGACCTGCCCCAATGTTCAAGTTCTATCTTAAGAAGTAGTGAAAGCTAGCCAAAAATCAAATTTATATCTTGTTAAATACCTCCAAGGAGGTATTATATTTCTAAAATTGCTGCTAGAAATGTTTATATACATATGGGTAACTAAATTATTGTAACATTATAATCCTGGATTGAATGCTCTCTTAGAATTTCTACACATACATAATCAAGTCACAACATCTGATTCCATGAGATTTTATGACTACAATATCATCTGTTTCTAAAATAGGTAGGTGGAGCTTGAGCAACAAAGTATTGTGATTAAATTCTCATCAGGCAAAGATTTTTCCTGGGTAAGACCATTTTTTTTTTTGGCTCGTCTTGAATAATAACCTTAAGAATCTGAATAATTAACTTTCCAAAATAATTTAAAATCCATTCAAAAAACAAACAAGGTGGGGAGTGAGCACGAAAATCAAGGAAAAGGAGAGAATACTTTCTAACTCAATCTATAGGCCAGCATTACCCCAATACCAAAGCCAGACAAAAGATAACCACAAGAAAACTATAGACCGACATCCCTTGTAAATATAGATGCAAAAATCCTAAGCAAATATTAAAAAACTGAGTCTAACAGCACACTAAAAGGATTATACACCATGACTAAGTAGGATTCATCCCAGGACTGCAAGGGTGGTAAAACATACCCCCCAAAATCATTATACCATATTACTAAGACAAAAGAAAAAAAACACACATGATCATCTCAATTGATGCAGGAAAAGCATTTGACAAAATCCAACATCCTTAATGATAAAAAACACCTAGAAAACTAGGAATAGAAGAATAGAGAAGAGCTTCTTAACATGACAATGAGCATTTAGGAAAAACCCACAGCTAATATCATACTCCATGGAGAAAGACTGAAAGCTTTCCCCCTAAGATCAGTAACAAGACAAGGATGCCCATGTTCACCACTGCCATTTGACATTGTACTGAAGGTTCTAACCAGAGCAATTAGGCAAGAAAAATAAAAGACATTTAAAGTGGAAAGAAGTAGTAAAACTATCTATGTACAGATGACATAATCCTAGACAAAGAAAATCCTCCAAATCCACCCCCCAACCGTGACACACACACACACACACACACACACACACACACACACACCCCTGCCCTACTCGAGGTAATACATTCAGTGAAGTTTGCAGGGTACAAGATCAACATGCAAAAATCAGCTGCTATATACCAGCAATGTACATGTCAAAAAAAGAAAACAATTCCATTTACAGTAATATCCAAAAGAACAAAATATGTAGGAATAAATTTGACCAAGAAGGTGAAAAGGCATATACTGAACACAACTAAACAGTGCTAAAAGAAATTAAGGAAAATCTAAATAAATAGAAAGATATCCCATGTTCATAGACTGAAATACTTAATATTGTTAAGGTGCAGTACTACCCAAAGTAATCTTCAAATTCAAATGCAATACCTATCACAATCCCAATATGCTTTTTCATAGAGATAAAAAGCCAATCCTCAAATTCACATGGGCCTGCAAGGGGCTCCAAATAGCCAAAACAATACTGAAAAAGAATAACAAAATTGGAGGACTCACACTTCCTTGTTTCAAAACTTATTACAAGAGTATAGTAATCCAAACTGTGTGGTACTGGCATAAGGAGAGACATATAGACAAATAGAATAGAGAGTCTAGAAATGAACCTATGCATCTACAGTCAACTGATTTTAAATAAGGGTGCCAAGACCAGTTAGTGGGGAAAAGAATACTCTCTTCAGCAAATGGTGCTGGGGCAACTGAAGATCCACATACGAAAGAATGAAGTTGGATCCCTACTCCATACCATATATAAAAATTAAGTAAATATAAGAAGCGACCCGTAAAATAGTTTAGAAGAAAACATTAGGGTAAATCTCTGTGATCTTGAATTTGGGAATAAATGCTTGAGTATAACACCAAAAACATGAGCAACAAAGAAAAAAATAGATAAACTTATTTCAAAATTACAAAACTTGCCAGGCACAGTGGCTGATGCCTGTAATCCTAGCACTTTAGGAGGCCAAAGTGGGAGAAACTTGAGGCCAAGAGTTCAAGACCAGCCTGGGCAACAAAGCAAGACCCTGTCTTTACAAAAAATTTTAAAGTTAGCTGGGTGTGGTGGCACACACCTGTAGTCCCAGCTACTCAAGAGGCTAAAGTGGGAGGCTCACTTGGGCCCAGGAGACCAAGGCTTCAGTAAGCTATAATTGTACCACTGCATTCCAGCCTGGGCGACAGAGCAAGACCCTCTTAAAAACACACATACACACGCACAAAATTTAGAACTTACATGCAAAAAAAACCATATCAGGCTAGGCATGGTCACTTATAGCTGTAAACCTAACATTTTGGGAGGCTGAGGCAGGAGGACTGCTTGAGCTCAGAAGTTTGAGACAATCGTGGACAACATAGTGAAACTTTGCCTCTACAAAAAATAAAATTAGCTGAGTACAGTGGCACACACCTGTAGTCCCAGCTATTCAAGTGGCTGAGGTGGAAGGATCACTTTAACCCCAACAGATCAAGGCTGCAGTGAGCCATGATTGTGCCACTGCACTTCAACCTGGGCAACAGAGCAAGACCCTGTCTCAAAAAATAATAATAATAAATGAAGAAAGTAAAAAAAAAACCTACAGAACAGAAGAAAAGGAGAAAATATTTGCAAATTATATATCTGATAAAGGTCTACTACTTGAAACGTATAAAATGACTCTTACATACAGAAAGAAACAACCCAATATTAAAATGGGCAAAGGACTTACACACTTTTTGAAAAAAGATATGAATGGCTAACAAGCACATGAAAAGATGCTTAACATTGTTAGTCATTAGGGAAATGCAACTCAGAACCATAATGAGATACCACTTCACACCAACTAGGATGGCTATAATTTAAAAAATAGGAAGTAAACATTGGTGAGGAGAAACTGGAACCCTTATACATTGCTAGTAGAAGCAGAAAATGGTTCAGCTGCTGTGGAAAAGTTTGGTGGATCCTCAAAACACTAAATATAGAATCACCATATGATCCAGCAATTCCACTTCTAGGTACATACCCAAAAGAACTGAAAAACAGGTGCTCAAGAAACACATGTATATGCATATGCACAGCAGGACTATCTGCAATAACCAAAAGGTGGAAACAAGCCAAATGTCCATCAATAGATGAATGGATAAACAAGTTTGTGGTGTATACATACAATGAACATTCAGCCATAAAACACAATGATGTACTGGTTCATGCCACAATGTGGATGACATTCAAAAATATTATGCTAAGCAAAAGCAGCCAGAAGACAAAAGGTCAAATATTGTATAATTCTGTTTATATGAAACATCTGAATAAATCCCAAGGTGTGGTGGCTCATACCTGTAATCCCAAGGCACTGGAAGGCCAAGGTGGGAGAATTGCTTGAGGCCAGGAGTTCAAGACTAGAATATATAAATCCACAGAGACAGACAGTAAATTGGTGGTTGCTAGGGGCAGGGAAGAATAGAGAATGACTGCCTATGGGATACAGAATTTCCTTTGGGGGTGATGAAAATGTTTTAGAAATAGACAGTATTGTAATCGTACTAAATGCCAATGAGTTGTTTACTTTAAAGTGGTTAGTTGTGGCCAGGCACGGTGGCTCACATCTATAATCCCAGCACTTTGGGAGGCTGAGGCAGGCAGATCATGAGGTCAGGAGTTCAAGACCAGCCTGACCAACATGGTGAAACCCCATTTCTACTAAAAATACAAAAAACTTAGCTAGGCATGGTGGTGTGCACCTGTAATCTCAGCTACTCCGGAGGCTGAGGCAGGAGAATCGCTTGAACCTGGGAGGCAGAGGTTGCAGTGAGCCAGGATCACACCACTGCCCTTCAGCCTGGGCAATAGAGCGAGATGATCTCAAAAAAAAAAAAAAAAAAAAAAAAAAAAGGTTAGTTGTACATTATGTGAATTTCATCTCAGTAAAAAAATGTTTTTAAAGATCAGAAATATTCATAATAAAGTAAATAATTTTATTTTTATTACAATAATTTTTGGGGAACAGGTGGTGTTTGGTTACATGAATACATTCTTTAGTGGTGATTTCTAAGATTTTGGTGCACCTATCATGTGAGTAGTGTACACTGTACCCAATCTGTAGTCTTTTATCATTCACCCCATTCCCATCCTTCCCCTGGAAACCCCAAAGTCCATTACATCATTCTCATGCCTTTGCATCCCCATAGCTTAGCTCCCACTTACAAATGAGAACATAACGATGTTTGATTTTCCATTCCTGAGTTATTCACTTAGAATAATGGTCTCCAACTCCATCTAGGTTGCTGCAAATGCCATTATTTCATTCCTGAGTAGTATTCCATGGTGTGTGCGTGTTTGTGTGTGTCACATTTTCCCTTATCCACTAGTTGGTTGATGGACATTTAGGCTGGTTCCATATTTTTGCAATTGTGAATTGTGCTACTATAAACATGTGTGTGCAAATGTCTTTTTCATACAGTGGCTTCTTTTCCTCCTAGTAGATACCCAGTAGTGGGATTGCTGGATCAAATGGTAGTTCTACTTTTAGTTCTTTAAGGAAGCTCCACATTGTTTTCCATAGTGGTTGTACTAGTTTACATTCCCACTAGCAGTGTAAAAGTGTTCCCTTCTCACCACATTTACACCAACATCTATTATTCTTTGATTTTTTTATTATGGCCATTATTGCAGGAGTAAGGTGGTATAGCATTGTGGTTTGATTTGCATTTTCCTCATAATTAGTGATGTTGAACAGTTTTCCATACGTTTCTGGGCCATTTGTATATCTTCTTTTGAGAATTGTCTAACTCATGTCTTTAGCCCATGTTTTGATGTGATTATTTGTTCTTTTCTCACTGCTTTGTCTGAGTTCCTTGTGGATTCTGGATATTAGTCCTTTGTCAGATGCACAGTTTGCAAGTATTTTCTCCCACTCTGTGGGTTGTCTGTTTACTCTACTGATTACTTCTTTTGCTGTGCAGAAGCCTTTTAGTTTAATTAAATCTCATCTATTTTTGTTTTTGCTGCATTTGTTTTTGGGTTTTTGGTCACAGACTCTTTGCCTAGGCCAATGTCTAGAAGGATTTTTCTGATGTTATCATTTAGAATTTTAATAGTTTCAGGTCTTAGGTATAAGTCTTTGATCCCACTTGAGTTGATTTTTGTATAAGGTGAGAGATGAGGATCCAGTTTCATTATTATACATGTGGCTTGTCAATTATCCCAGCACCATTTGCTGAATACGGTGTCCTTTCCCCACTTTATGTTTTTGTTTCCTTTGCTAAAGATCAGTTGGCTGTGGGTATTTGGCTTTATTTCTGGGTTCTCTATTCTGTTCCATTGACCTATGTTTTTATACCAGTACCATGCTGTTTTGGTAACTATAGGCTTGTAGTCCAGTTGGAAGTCGGGTAATGTGATGCCTCCAGATTTGTTCTTTCTACTTAGTCTTGCTTTGGCTATGGGGGCTCTTTTTTGGTTCCATGTAAGTTTTAGGATTGTTTTTTCTAGTTCTGTGAAGAAAGATGATGGTATTTTGATGGGAATTGCATTGAATTTATATATTGCTTTTGGCAATATGGTCATTTTCACAATACTGATTCTACCCATCCCTGAGCATGGGATGTGTTTCTATTTGTTTCTGTTATCTATGATTTCTTTCAGCAGTGTTTTGTAGTTTTCCTTGCAGAGTTCTTTCACCTCCTTGGCTGGGTATATTCCTAAGTATTTTAATTCTTTTTCCAGCTGTTATAAAAGAAGTTGAGTTCTTGATTTCATTCTCAACTTCATCACTGTTTGTGTATAGCAGTGCTACTGATTTGTGTACCTGAATTTTGTATCCTAAAACTTTACTGATATGGTTTGGCTGTGTCCTCACCCAAATCTCATCTTGAATTCCCACGTTGTGGGAGGGACCTGGTGGGAGGTAACTGAATCATGGGGGCAGCTCTTTCTGGTGATAGTGAATAAGTCTCATGAGATCTGATGGTTTTAAAAATGGGAGTTTCCCTACACAAACTCTCTTCTCTTGTCTGCCACCATGTGAGACGTGCCTTTCATCCTCCACCATGATTGTGAGGCCTTCCCAACCATGTGGAACTGTAAGTCCATTAAATCTTCCTTTTGTAAGTTGCCCAGTCTCAGCTATGACTATCAGCAGCATGAAAACAGACTAAAACATTTACTGAATTCATTTATCGATCTAGGAGCTTTTTGGATGAGTCTTAGGGGTTTTCTAGGTATACGTTCATATCATCAGTGAATAGAGACGGTTTGACTTCCTCTTTACCGATTTGGATGCCCTTTCTTTCTCTTGTCTGATTGCTCTGGATAGGACTTGCAGTACTACGTTGAAGAGAAGTGGTGAAAGTTAACATCCTTGTCTTGTTCCAGTTTTCAGGGGGAATGCTTTCAACTCTTCCCCATTCAGTATAATGTTAGCTCTGGGTTTGTCATAGATGGCTTTTATTACCTTAAGGTATGTCCCTTCTATGCCAATTTTACTGAGGGTTTTAATCATAAAGGAATGCTGGATTTTGTTAAATGCCTTTTCTGCATCTATTGAGATGATCATATTGTTTTTAATGCTGTTTTTGTGGTCTATCACATTTATTGACTTGATATTAAACCAACCCTACATCCCTGGTATGAAACCTACTTGATCATGGTGTATTATCTTTTTGATATGGTGTTAGATTCAAATAGCTAGTATTTTGTTGAGAATTTTTGCATCTATGTTCATCAGGGATACTGGTCTGTAGCCTTTTTTGGAACAAAGCCTCCAAGAAATTTTAGATTATGTTAAATGACCAAACATAAGAATAATTGGTATTCCTGAGGAAGAAGAGAAATCTAAAACTTGGGGAAACTTATTTGAGGGAATAATCAAGAAAAACTTCCCTGGTCTTGCTAGAGATTTAGACATCCAAACACAAGAAGCTCAAAGAACACCCAGGAAATACATCACAAAAAGATCATCACCTAGGCACACAGTCATCAGATTATCTAAAGTCAAGACAGAGGAAAGAATCTTAAAGGTCAGGTGCAGTGGCTCACTCCTGTAATCCCAGCACTTTAGGAGGCCAAGGTGGGCAGACCACTTGAGGCAAGGAGTTTGAGACCAGTCTGGCCAACATGGTGAAGCCCCATCTCTACCAAAAATATAAAAATCAGCCGGGCATGGTGGCAGGAACCTGTAATCCCAGCTACTTGGAAGGCTGAGGCCAGAGAATTGCTTGAACCCAGGAGGTGGAGGTAGCAGTGAGCCAAAATCACACCATGCACTTCAGTCTGGGCGACAGAGTCAGACACCATCTCAAGAAAAAAAAAAAAAGAAAAAGAAGAATCTTAGGAGCTGTGAGGCAAAAGCACAAGGTAACCTATAAAGGAAAACCTATCAGATTAACAGCAGATTTCTCAGCAGAAACTCTACAAGCCAGAAGGCATTGGGGTCCTATATTAGCCTCCTTAAACAAAACAATTATCAGCCAAGAATTCTGTATCCAGCAAAACCAAGCTTCATAAATGAAGGAGAGATAAAGTCTTTTTCAGACAAACAAATGCTGAAACAATTTGCCACTACCAAGCCAGCACTACAAAAAATGCTGAAAGGAGCTCTTAATCTTGAAACAAAACCTCAAAATATACCAAAATAGAAACTCCTTAAAGCATAAATCTCACAGGGCCTATAAAACAGTAACACAATGGGGGAAAAAAAACCAAATTATTCAGGCAACAACTAGCACGATGAATAGAGCAGTACCTCACATTTCAGTACTAACCTTGAATGTAAATGGTCCTAAATGCTTCCCTTAAAAGATACAGAATGGCAGAATGGATAAAAATCCACCAACCAAGTATCTGCTGTGTTCAAGAGGTTCATCTAACACATAAGAACTCACATAAACTTAAGGTAAAGGAGTGGAAAAAGATATTCCATGTAAATGGAAACCAAAAGCAAGCAGGAGTAGTTATTCTTATATTGGGCGAATCAGGCTTTAAAGCAACGACACTTAAAAAAGACAAAGAGGGACATTATGGAATAATAAATGGTCTAGTCCAACAGGAAAATATTACCATCCTAGATATATATGCACCTAACACTGGAGTTCCCAAATTTACAAAACAATTACTACTAGACCAAAAAAATGAGATAGATGGCAACACAGTAATAGTGGGGGACTTCAATACTCCACTGACAGCACTAGACAGGTCATCAAGACAGAAAGTCAACAAAGAAACAATGGACTTAAACTATACCCTAGAACAAATGGATTTAACAGATATTTACAGAACATTCTACCCAACAACTGCAGAATATACATTATTTTCATCAAAACATGGAACATTCTCCAAGATAGACCATATGATAGGCCACAAAACAAGGCTCAACAAATTTTAAAAAAATCAAAATTACATCAAGTACTCTCTCAGACGACAATGGAATAAAACTGGAAATTAACTCCAAAAGTAACCCTCAAAACTATATAAATAAATGGAAATTAAATAATATGCTCCTGAATAATTTTGAATCAACAACAAAATAAAGACAAATTTAAAAATTCTTTGAACTGAATGATAATAGTGACACAACCTATAAAACCTCTGGGATATGGCTGGGCACAGTGGCTCACGCCTGTAATCCCAACATTTTGGGAGGCTGAGGCTGGCAGATCACGAGATCAGGAGTTCAAGACCAGCCTGGCCAACATAGTGAAACCCCATCTCTACTAAAATTACAAAAATTAGCCAGGCATGGTGGTGCATGCCTGTAGTCCCAGCTACTCGGGAGGTTGAGGCAGGAGAATTGCTTGAACCAGGGAGGCAGGGGTTGTGGTAAGCCGAGATTGCGCCACTGCACTCCAGCCTGGACAACAGAGTGAGACTCCATCTCAAAAAAACAAACAAACAAAAAACCTCTGTGATACAGCAAAAGCAGCTCTAAGAGCATTAAATATACATTAAATATATATTAACTCATAGCATTAAATGCCTGTATCAAAAAGTCTGAAAGAGCACACAGACAATCTATGCTCACAACTCAAGGAACTAGAGAAACAAGAACCAACCAAACCCAAACCCAGCAGAAAAAAAGAAATAACAAAGATCAGAGCAGAACCAAATGAAATTGAAACAAAACAAAACAAAAACAAAAAGCTGGTTCTTTGAAAAGGTAAACAAAATTGATTGACCATTAGCGAGATTAACCAAGAAAAGAGAATATCTAAATAAGCTCAATTAGAAATGAACTGGGAGATATTACAACCAATACCACAGAAATACAAAAGATCATTCAAGTCTACTATGAACGCCTTTGCGTGCATAAACTAGAAAACCTAAGGGAGATGGATAAAATCCTGGAAATAGACAACTCTCCTAGATTAAACCAGGAAGAAACAGAAACTCTGGACAGACCAATAACAAGTATTGAGGCTGAAACGGTAATTAAAAAAAAAAAAACTGCCAACAAAAAACAAGTCCAGGACCAGATGGATTCACAGCTGAATTCTATCACACATTCAAAGAAGAATTGGTACCAATCCTACTGAAACTATTCCAAAAGATAGAGAAAGAGGGAATCCTCCCTAAATCATTCTATGAAGCCAGCATTACCCTAATACCAAAACCAGGAAAGGACATAACAAGTACAGATATTTTCAGCTCTATTTTAAAATGTTTAAATACAACAAATTCAGTTCATTAAGTCTAAGAAAAAAAATGAGCCAGAAATAGACGAGCCTATGAGTTCATTACAATTTCTATTTTCTAATATCTATACTTACGTCAAGATTTTGTGCCGTTTGACAGTTAACTGGCAACCTCACGTGAACATAATTGAAGAACAGAGAATAGGGAAAAATGTGTTTGAGCAATCAAAAATACATATTAAAGTCAATGTTATAAAGTATATGCCCTTGACAAAGAAGAAATTTCTCCTATCTCTTTTATGGATTTTTTTTCTTATTTTATACATACTTTTAATGAGTTTAGCGATTTGGTAATCCAATCCAAAGCAGATTAAAAGATGACAAATTAAAGGAAAAGGGCTTATTTAATAATAGCAAGTTGGCAGTAGAGGGAAGTGATGGGCAACATTCTTTTTAGCAAAGGAGAACACGTACATAACAAACAAAAACCCCTTAAATAGAATTTACAAAGAATTACAAATATATGGGAGTCTGGAGTTACTTACTAAAGAAACAAATAACTCCAAACATTAATTAGTCATGTATTCAACAACAATCACTGTTCCTAAAAGCAGAGGTAGTATCCTTTATTTACGACAGATAGAAATTTATAAATTGTTTCCAAAACTTAGCACTCCAAATAGTTTGGACAAAGGAGTCAACCTTGTTTATCAGGCAAAGTTAGTTATGAAGCGCTTCATTTCCCAAAGAAATAACTTATTTCCAAGAAATAACTTATTTTCCAAAAATAACTTATTTTATATAAAGCTTTACAGTACTCTAGCCAATTTAATTGGGGTTTCATTACTTCACTTACAAGTACAAGCATATTTTCCAAAGCCAAACATGAAAGCTGTTTCCATTTCTGTTTTGGTACCTGCTGTTATTTGTTTTTTGAAAGGTTTAACTAGTAGCATAGAAGCTAATTACAGTCACGTGCCGCATAACAATGTTTTAGTCAACGACAGACCACAAATGCGATGGTGGTCCCCTAAGACTGTAACAGCTGAAAAATTCCTATCACATAGTGATGTTGTAGTTGCTAAGTTGCAGTGCAATGCATTACTCACATGTCTGTAGTGATGCTGGTATAAACAAACCTATCGTGCTACCAATTGCACAAAAGCACAGCACATACAACTATGTACAGTACATAACACTGGACGATAATAAATGACTATGTTACTGATTTATGCATTTATTATACTTTTTATTTAGAGTGTACTCCTATTTATAAAAAAGTTAACTGTAGGCCAGGTGCAGTAGCTCCCATCTGTAATCCCAGTGCTTTGGGAGACTGAGGCCAGAGGATCACTTGAGCCAAGGAGTTCAAGAACAGCCTGGGCAACATAGTGAGACCCCATCACAACAAAAAATACAAAAATCAGCCAGGTGTGGTGGTGTAGACCCAACTAGGAGGCTGAGGCAGGAGGATTGCTTGAGCCCAGAAGTTCGAGGCTGCAGTGAGCTGTGATTGAGCCACTGCACTACAGCCTGGGTGACAGAATGAGACCCTCTTTCAAATAAAAAAAACAGTGAACTGGAAATCAGCCTCAGGAGGTTTCCAGAAGAAGGCATTGTTATCATAGGGGATGACAGAGCCATGCATGTTACCGCCCCTGAAAACTGTCCAGGAGGACAAGATGTGGAGGTGAAAGAAAGTGTTATTGATGATCCTGACCCTGTTTAAGGCTAGGCTAATATGTGTGTCTTAGTTTTCAACACAGAAGTTTAAAAAGTGGCCGGGCACGGTGGCTCACACGTGTAATCTCAGCATTTTGGGAGGCCAAGGTGAGTGGATCACTTGTGGCGAGGAGAGTTCAAGATCAGCCTGGCCAACGCGGCAAAAACCCACCTCTGCTAAAAATTAAAAAAAAGGGGGGGCGGGGGGCGCTTGGTGGTGCACACCTGTAATCCCAGCTACTTGGGAGGCTGAAGCACAAAAATGGCTTGAACCCAGGACGCAGAGGTTGCAGTAAGCCAAGATCACGCAACTGTACCCCAGCCTGGGCAACAAAGTAAGACTGTCTCAAAAGAAAAAAAAAAAAGTTTAAAAAGTAAAAAACAAAAAAATACTTTAAAATAGAAAAAAGCTTATAGGGTAAGGATATAGATATTTTTGTATAGCTGTACAATGTGTCTGTGTTTTAACCTATGTTATTACAAGAGTCAAAAGTTTTAAAAATTTAAAAGTTTGTAAAGCAAAAACGTTATAGTAAGCTGAGGTTAATTTATTATCGAAGGCCAGGTGTGGTGGCTCATGCCTGTAATCCCAGCACTTTAGGAGGCCGAGGTGGGAGGATCACCTGAGGTCAGGAGTTCAAGACAAGCCTGGCCAACATGTTGAAACCCCATTTCTACTAAAACTACAAAAATTAGCCAGGTGTGGTGGTGCACGCCTATAATTCCAGCTACTTGGGAGGCTGAGGCTACTTGGGAGAATGCTTGAGCCTGGAAGTCGAGGCTGCAGTGAGCCATGATTGCGTCACTGCACTCCAACCTGGGCAACAGAGTGAGACTCTGTCTTAAAAAATTAAAAAATTGTGATATATTTAATGTAGCCTAGCTGTACAGTGTTTCTAGAGGCTACAATAGTGTCCTACTACTATAGTGCAACTTCCTAGGCCTTCGTATTCACTGACTCACCCACAGCAACTTTTAGTTCTGCAAGCGCCATTCACGGTAAGTACCCTATACAGGTGTACCTTTTTAATCTTTTACCTCACATTTTTACTGCACCTTTTCTATGCTTAGATATGTTTAAGTACACAAATACTCACCATTGTTATATATATATAATTACCTACAGTATTCAGTATAGTAACATGTTGGACAGGTTTATTATAGCCTACCAGGACTAGGCCACAGCACATAGCAGGTGTGCAGTAGGCTATACCACGTAGGTTTAAGTACTCCCTGTGATGTTCACACAACAATGAAATTGCCTAACGAATTTCTTAGAACATTTCCCTGTCCTTAAGTGACACATGGCTGTATTTCCCCCGGGTGACAATGCCTGAGATTCCAATAGCTGCCACTAGCATGGTGTGGTACAAAGAGCACTAGATTTGCAGGCAAAAGGCTCGGCCTTTGAGTCCTGACTTTACCACTTGCCAGCTCTGGAATGTCTCACTTCCTCACTGAGTCTGTTTCTTAATAGGGAATTTAACATGTACTCTTCCTTCCTCAAAATTGTGGTGAAGAACTTTGTAAGTTCTAATCGTACTGATAATACTGAAAAGCACTCTTACCTTTGTCATGGTACCTATATTTAGCAGATAGGATCTCTTCAGGTATGACAGAAAATAGAATAAAACTTGAATCAAGCATGCTTCTTCCTTGAAAATATCACTATTCAAATAACAGTCAAACTAATTTCTTCCTTTAAAGTCTGAACATACCAGGACTTTTACTAAAAGAAAGGCAAAAACTTTGCTACAGACAGGCCCATGTGCCTGAAATTTTAACTACTGCCTTGGTCTAGGATATCTTCCCAGAAGCACACATCCTCTCTTCCTTGAGTCCAAATCTTCTGGACTATGCACGTCCTGTTAATGGAGTTCGTTTAATTGTAACAGAAGTTTTCCAGCAGACAGCCTTTAGTTATTGGCGTTCAGTTCATGTCTCCTGCCACACTTTGTTATATAACTTTCCAGTGCTTTTCCTGATAAGAAACTTTACCTCCACGTGGCTTCTCTTTCTCCACAGCTGCATCCACTCTCACTGGTGATCAAAGCAAATTGACTTGACCTGTGGGAAACTCATTCCAGCAGAAGTTGTTAAATCACTGAATCTTCTAGCATCCCCTAGATCAATTCTCAATAGTCACTGTAGAGAATTTTGTGAAACTTTCATTGTCAGGTGTGTTTACATTCTCCCTTCCTTTCCTATTTTGTTATGAACAAACATATCAGGATAGTTTTCAAAAAGTTATTCAATGATTTCTTCATAGTTGTTTAAAATTTTTTCATAGCTACTCTTCTAAAATTGTACAGATAACTGTGCCTGCTTTGTAAACTACAGTAAAAATAAAAGTTAAAACAAACTTGGCTTCTTTTCAGCACAATATGGTTGACTTACTTTACATGAACTGATGTTGACTGAGAACAAAGTGATTTGATAACCAAGTTTTTTGTTCAAAGCAAAAGAGAGTTTACAAATTTGAGATGGGGAAAAAATGTGCAGCACCCAAATCATAGTCCCCTAAGGAGACGTCAGCTATTAAAAGCAGGTCCAAATCCTGTCAGAATGTAAACCCTTTCCTAATCCCTAAGTCATTTCTCGTCTAATTATTTTAAGAGTCTTTTTGGTTGTACTATTTTTAAAGTAGAGCAGAGGGACACAGAAATTAGCTGAAGGGTTTTTAAAGCCACTGATGCATTGGGTTGATAAAAGTTAATCCCATCTAAAATTGCAAATATAATTTCATCCTGATGCCTTTCTTAGACTAGGCAGAAGTCAGAAGACTTTTCATCAGGAAAGAGATGACAGAAGATAGCACTAGATAAAGTCTATCCCGGGAAGAGATCATCTAACAAGGGTAGTTAACAAGTATTAACCTAATTCAAGCCTGGAGCTTACCTTTACAGAGTCTGCCATAAATAATGAAGTATCGTACTTCTTCCTTGTGACAGATAGTGGCGGTCACATTGCCTCAAAGCAGGCAGCATTTTTTCCTTTTCTGTTTAATTTTAATCAGTTTTCTTCTATACTTGATCAAATAATATATATTTTACAGCCAAAGTGGTAATATGCAATATCATTATACTCTATTACAACTAAATGAAGACTCAAGAAAATAATCAAGAGTACATCTTGACCTTCTAAATTATTCTGAAATTATACTGAAGTCCAAGTAACTGAACTTCTCGTGTGGCTAGATTTTTGTTGTTGCTGTAGCATTTATCTTTAAGGAAGAGTCAAATGATAAGACAATTTCAGGGACTGAAAGACAGTAGGAGGCACAAACTGAGATTACTGTCCACATGGATGAACTGCTTATCTCTTTTCTATTTACTATCCTGGACAATGAGATGCTATGAATATGATGCCTCTGAAACACAAATAAATATACTCTATTTTTAACTGGACTAATGTTTAGAAAGATTCATCTATTCATTCAATGAATATTGATTGAATACCTACTACATGTCAATCACTGTTCTGGGAACTAGGAATACAGCATTGAACATGAGAACAAAATTCCTGCCCTCACGTAACTTAATTCCAATAGGGAAAAATAGACAAGCAAAATATATATTATGCCAGATACTGATAAGTGCTATGGAGAAAGATCTTGAATTATAAGATTAAGACAATATCAACATGTTTTTAAAGAGTAAACTAGGATTAAAGGGGAAATTTTAGTAGTCACGTGTCCCTTAACGATGTGGGAATGCATCATTAGGCTATTTCATTGTGTGAACATTATGGAGTGTACTTACACAAACCTAAATGGTATAGCCTCCTACACATTTAGGGCATGTGATATAGCCTACTGCTGCTAGGCTACAAACCTGTACAGCACATTACTGTAGTGAATATTGTAGGCAACTGAAACACAATGGTATTTGTGTATCTACACTTATGTAAACATAGGAAAGGTACAGTAAAAATACAGTATTATAATTTTATGGGACCACCATCTTATAAGCAGTCTGTCATTGACCAAAAATGTGATATGCAGCACATGACTGTATATATATAACCAACAAGAATGACAGGGATAATTGAGATGTTACTGCACAAAGTTTCAATACAGTCAAAAGCTAATATGCTCTATGTGCTACCATATAAAGGTTGTTTAGTTTACGACCCACATAACCAAAGATAAACTAGAACTTCTTATTCTTCAGTCACAGCCTGGGCTCATCACGAAAGGCAGCCAGCACTTCAACGGACTCACTGCCTCTACCTTTCTCCTTGCTTGGATGAAGAATCTGAATCTAGAAGCCCACCAAATTCATCTAACAGTAGTGCAAGCAGATATTGCTTTGGAAAATATCTCAGCAGAGAACACTCCTGGGATGTATTTCATCAGTCTGATACTTCCAACTCTGCCAGGGAACAAGCTCACCAAAGGCTTCTCATCAAACAGCTCTGCCCTAAACACCCTGGGGATTCCCCAACAGTGTCTTGCGGGCCTAATGACACTCATGTTCCTTCTCATGCTTACCTTTCTTTGCCTGACGTGAGTGCAAAAACCTATCTTAAGCAAGATAATTGTAAAAATACAAAAATTAAATGATAACAAATATCTCCAGAGTACTTACAAAAACTACTGTCACATTTAGGAGGCCACTCTGAGCCAGGCTGTCATCAAGGGCATGAGCTCCAGAGCAGGCCACCTGTCATTTGTCAAAGGTTATAAACCAGGAAGAAAGATGCTGTTCAAGGAGTCAGAACTACTCTAGCTGTGGTTTCCGCCATGTAACCATGAGCAAGTCACTTAATACCTTTGTGTCTCAGTTTTCCCATCAGTAAAATGGAGATGAGCATAACAGTGCCTCATATACAGGATTTTTGTGAAGATCAAAATAAGCAAAAACATTTAAAGCACTTACAAAAGTGTCTCATGCAAACAAGTGCTCAAGTAATACGAGATCTTCTTATCATGGTTTTCTAGTCCCTTTAAACAGTATAAAATTTCGTATTACATTTATTTAGTAGAGGAGATCCTACACTTAAATACTTCCTTCACTAATAGGATTCTATCTTTGGGAACTTTTCCTTTTCTTTCCTTTTTTTTTTTTGAGATGGAGTCTCACTCTGTTGCCCAGGCTGGAGTGCAATGGCACAATCTCAGCTCACTGCAACCTCCACCTCCTGGGTTCAAGCAATTCTCCTGCCTCAGCTTCCCGAGTAGCTGAGATTACAGGCGACTGCCACCACGCCCGGTTAATTTTTTTTTTTTTTTTGAGACATAGTTTTGCTCTTGTTGCCCAGGCTGGAGTGCAATGGCATGATCTTGACTCAATGTAACCTCCACCTCTCAGGTTCAAGCGATTCTCCTGCCTCAGCCTCCTGACTAGCTGGGATTACAGGCATGCACCACCATGGCCAGCAATATTGTATTTTTAGTAGAGATGGGGTTTCTCCATGTTGGTCAGGCTGGTCTCCAATTCCCGACCTCAGGTGATCCGCCCACCTTGGCCTCCCGAACTGCCGGGATTACAGACATGAGCCACCACGCCTGGCCTTCTTTCCCTTTATTTCCTTTTAAAGTAAATAGACAATATCAACACTTGGATTGCTTTTCTTTTAGGAAAATGGCAATGGCTCCATGGAAAAGCAGTATATTGAGAGAAAAGTGCTAAAACAAGAGCTGGAAGACCTGAATTCTAGCAGGGGGCTGTCACCAACTAGCTGCCCTAGCCAGGCATTAGTTGTATAGCATCATACAGAGAAATCTGCATTCTATTGAAGGGTAGCATACATTATACAAATAATAATAATACAATTTTAGACATATTCACTATTAAACATGCTTCATTTTTCTGTTATCATACTGTATGGTTTAAGTGTTATTTCCTTAAGTCACTAAGCATAAATTTGACTTCAAAATAGGTGTCAATCATAAAAACACAGGCGAATCAAGTATGCAAGTGTCTACATATTATTTCTAAGTGCAAAATACAAGGGACTGAGAAGGTTATTTTCTAGATATTTCATACCAAACTTGCAGGAAGAGAAAGGATGTTATGGTGAATATCTTAATTCTCAGCAGTGCAGCTCTGAACTCAGTTGCCTGACTTAACAATAATACCTCTCCAGTGATTTTTCTCCAATCCATTATTATCCCTCAGTGTATTATTCCAACTAACAAATTTACATGATGAAACAGAAAGTGGAAACGGCTAAAGAATACTAAAAAAGAGCTGCCAGTTAATGAGTGTCCTATGGATGCTATTGGTCTTTGGTCCACTCCATCAACGAGATGGTGGGAGGAAACAAAGTTGATTATACACAGGGTTACACATATGTAAAGCAACTAGCACAGGGCATGGAATATGGTCAGTACCCAATGCAGAGCTATCATTCTTACTATTACATGCAGCCATATCACATACAAAAGAAACAAATCCCAGGGAAGTTGGTTTCCTCAGTTCACACAGGTAGTCTGCAGGGATTTGAACCCAAGTCCATTGAGCACCAAAACTTTACCTCTTTTCTTCCAAAACCCCACTTTGCCAAATGTAGTTGAATCAAATGGTATAAAGTTCAATGTGCTGAAAATTCACTTGACATTGAGGTTCATTTGACAAGTCAACGAAGTCTGAGCCATCTAAGTAACTGTAACATAACAAGTTGTTTTTATTTTTATTTTTTCTGGAGACAGTGTCTTGCTCTGCCACCCAGGTTAGAGTGCAGTGGCATGATCATGGCTCACTGCAGCCTTGCCTTCCTGGGTTCAAGTGATCCTCCCACCTCAGCCTCTAGAGTAGCTGGAACTACAGGTATATGACACCATGCCCAGCTAATTTTTTAATTTTTTGTATAGATAGGGTCTCACTATGTTCCCCAGGCTGGTGGTGAACTCCTGGACTGAAGAAATCTTACTGCCTCGGCCTGTCAAAGTGCTATGATTACAGGCATGAGCCACCTTGCCCGGCCAATAAGTTGTTTTTAGATTCACATGAGCTTGCCACTCAGCATGAGATTACCCGTATATTTTCTTAGCCTGAGTAGGCAAAATAAGTCAAAACTTATTTAAAATAACAAAACTACTCTGCCCCATATATAAATCTCAACACTATACACCTTTTAATGATCATATTTGGGTAATCTACTATAGAAAGTGGTACAAACCCTTGATAGGAAGTTATTTCTACTACATGCTACCAATCCTCATGAAGGATTTGTGACATACACAGTTTCTTCTAGTAATGTTAGCATCTTAGGCAAAAACTTAAATTGCCTCTGTATGTTCTGTCAATTCATTAAAAGATAAAGGAAATCTAAGTGACATTTGTTTATGAACAAATTGCTCAGAGAACTGAATAGGAAAATATTCGCTAAATTGGCATACTGTTAAAAGAATGATGAATCCTTGTTAATAGAAAAGAAAATGCCATATTCACATAAAGTGTGTATCTGACAAGAAGAATGATACAGAGGGCTCAACAATTGGCCTGGGAACTTGATTAATGTATAAAGGAAGAATGAATCATCCATTCAATTCCTGAAGATGCATCACATACCTGCTGCCTAGCAGGGAAGACAGACATGGATCTACCATCAGCAGGACAGTGGGGGAATTCCCACTCATGACCTCCCCTCTGTCCCCCCTGAGAGGGGCTTTTTCCTTAATAGTAAGTTGTCCCACTGAGCAATGAATGGCCCTTCCTGAGACCTAAAGATGAAGGCCAAAGAAAAAAAGGGCATCTGTAGTAGAAGGGTCAGCGAGGGGAGGCTCTATATTCAGAGGCAAATTATTATTTTTTAATTATGAAGGTCTTGAATTGTTCACAAATATTCCATCCTTCCAGCATCTTTCACTCTGGGAAGTAGAAGACCAGGGAAGAAAGATCCTGCTCTGTGACAAGGGGAGAAAAAGGGAAAGACTGCCTTAACCAGGAAGCCTCCAGGCCCACAGCCTAGGCCCATGGATGGACTTGGGGGAGAGAGTGGCTATGAACCACCTGAAATTGTATACAAAATTCTGTGTTTGCATCAGATCTCAAAGGGGTCCATGACCGCCACAAATTTAAAGGTCAAAGTTCGAGCAGAAGTCTGATATAAAATCTCAAATCCTGGGTCTTTTGCTTATTAGCTACGTAATCACTCAAACTTTTCTTAAGTTTAGTTTCCTAATTTGAAAATGGAAAAGATAATACAACGCCTAACTCATTGTGAAGATTAAATGAGGTAAATAAAGCTTCCAGCACAATAACGCTCATTTACCCAAATGGAGACAGCAGAAAGTCAAAGCTTCTAGAGATATTAGAAGGAATGGAATCTGATTCTATACACCAAAGACAGTGACAGCACTTAGAGCCCCCAAAACACCATCAGTTCCCTCATGTCCACCATTTTGTAATTCACCTTACAAATCTCGAATGAGTAAATTCATGCTTAATTCCACATGGTCCTGAGACTACACTACTGTGACAGACTGATGGTAAGAAAATAAGGACATCTGGTATCTCAAGGGAAAAATCCAATACTGAAAGGAAAACATCTTAGGTTATTAGCCTTTAAGTTTATTAGGCACTAAGTCTAGGTTGAATAATACTCTATTCTTCAAATAAACAGGTTTCCAAATTCTGCAATAACTTGTGATTGTAGAATAGACTTTAAAATGCATATCCTCCATGTTTGTATGTGTAATTTCCATACTTATTTATATGGCTAATTCTTAATTACCTAGACCAAAGAAGAAAAGTAACAAAACCTAAACATCAAGAAAAATCCCTGATCATTTATAATTGGTGTTAGACTTGGGAAAGCTTTCTCTATCTAGGTGAGAGGCCAACCAACCTAACATTATATTTGCTTCAGACGGTCCAATAGCTCTAACTGAAAATATTCACAGATTCTTGTCTCTACCTCGGTCTTACTTGTTTTATAACGTACATACCTAAATGAATAACTACTTGGCCCAAAAGGTAAAAAAGTTTCTGGGTACTAGACTTTTACTTTACATATATATCAGCTATTTTTAGAGTCCAAATGAAAACAGCTAGTACACAAGGAAATAAGCATGAAATTCTTGATGTCTACTCAGATAACAGTCAAGATAAGGTCAGTGGATATTTGGAATACCTAAGACACTAATTTAAAATAAAACACTTTGATGGCCAAGAACACTTTCTAAAGTTGTGCTTGAGGGTTATGGTTTGCGTTATATGCTTGATTCCTCTCTATTCTAACAAATCCCCTAGCGAAAAAATATCCCCATCTGCCATAAGGTGCTATGAGAAGTATCTGTTCAAAGTCCAGTGAGGAAGCTGACACTCCCTTGACACAGCAATCTTACATCAGGGAGCCACTACAACTAGATCACTTTCTAAGTGTTTCAGAAGAAGCCCCAAAGTGAAAAAGAAGAGTCTAAAGAAAATGGTGCTTTTCTATCTGTATACAAAACTTTGGAAATGTTTACCTCTCTCCAGGAAATAAAATCAGAGCAAACAAAGGCTGACTTAATTGTACTGCTGTCCATGTTTATCAATCTAAATTCAAAACTAAACTCTTAATTTTTAAACTAAGTAAACATTTATTCAGCAACAACATAGGTGCAAGGTGCCATCCCAGACCCTGGCAATGCTCCAGTCAACAAGAGTCCTACTTTGATGGAGCTTACAGTCTATGGAACAAAAACTTGACATTGTGTGTAACGCACTAAACACACAATTTAAAAAACATTTCGTAAAGATCTATGATAAACCAAAGCCTATAATTAAGAAATGAGAGGCCACTATATATATTTTGCTAGACTTTCATCTTCAACAAAATACCCTGGAGGTAATTTTTAGCAGTGGCTCAGTATTTAACTCAACTTCAAAACAATAGTTATGTATGAAGGCCATATATGGGAACAACAATAAAGACGCCCCAGCATGCACACACCCCCCTCAGAAACAGCTGAAAGAAAACTGTCCTCTAAGTTATAAAACTAACACAATATACCACAGCAAACATGAAAAAAATAACCTTGAAGAGACTTCCATGGTTTCACAACTTCCCCATATCCTGAGGATTAAAAAACTTTTTAGGCCAGGTGCGGTGGCTCCTGCCTGCAATCCCAGCACTTTGGGAGGCCAAGGTGGGTGGATCACCTGAGGTCAGGAGTTCAAGACCAGCTTGGCCAACATAGTGAAACCCAGTCTCTACTAAAAATACAAAAATTAGCCAGGAGTGGTGGCAGGTGCCTGTAATCCCAGCTACTTGGGAGGCTGAGGTGAGAGAATCGCTTGAACCCGGGAGGCGGAAGTTGCTGTGAGCCGAGATCGCGCCATTTGCACTCCAGCCTGGGCAACAGAGCAAGACTCCATCTCACCAAAAAAAAAGAAAAGAAAAGAATTCCTATGAAGAGAATTTGGTCAGTTACTACAACAGGGGATAGGAGTCACTAATAACAATAACATAACATCAACAAAAATGGTAATAAAGAAGAACACTTATTGAGAGTTTCCCAAATACCAGGTCCTTTGCTAAATGTTTTACATTTAACACCGAATCCTCATAACCACTATCAAGTAGGTACTATTATTATCCCCAACTTACAAATGAAAAATCAATGAACTTGGGAAATTAAGTGATTTAATAATTACTTAAATGACAGCACTTGGATGCAACCTAGGTGTTTCTGAATACTGCAGACTGTCTTAACCACTTTACTAAGCAGCCATCTCAAGAGGCAGACAGGCACTGAAGCACCACTGAAGCACCGCGCAGAGGAAAAGGTGCCCTGACTCAAAGGAATTTGTCTGGTCCTGGAGGCAGCAATTCTCTGCTTATAAAAATATGTACTTTTTCTTTTCTTTTCTTTTTTTTTGAGACAGAGTCTCACTCTGTCGCCCAGGCTGGAGTACAGTGGCGCAGTCTCGGCTCATTGCAACCTCTGTCTCTCGGATTCAAGTGATTCTCCTGTCTCAGCCTCCCAAGTAGTTGGGACTACAGGCATACACCATCACGCATGGGTAATTTTTTTGTATTTTTAGTAGAGATGGGGTTTCACCATGTTGGCCAGGCCAGGCTGGTCTTGAACTCCTGACCTCAGGTGATCTGCCCACCTCGGCCTCCCAAAGTGCTGGGATTACACGCGTGAGCCACCGCGCCTGGCCGACTTATGAAAATATCTACTTTTTCAAGGTAACATTCTTCTGATTCCATGTTCACCAAGAAACTTCTGGTTTGTTCTGGTTCCCATGTGCCCTAACTATAGGAAAATCTTGGCCTAGGCAGAGGGCACACATACCTGGGACCCTTGGCAGTTCCTTACTGCTTATAAATTACTAAACTTGGGTCCTGGTTTTACACATCATTTTTAGCGAGCTAGATTAAATCAGGTCTTCCCATGACATGAGATTTTTGAGCCTGACTCTTGCACTCTGGATTGTGCTGATTCCGTCAAGGTGATGCCCCAGGCAGTGCCCATGCCCAGGTGGCCACTTGTGTCACCACCTCCTTCAAGCCTCTACAGCATATGCTTTTAAAATTGGAGAAAATTTTCTAGCTCCCCTTAAATTCCACAAGGACTCACAGCCTCTCTTGAAAAAATGTTTTGAAACTCAGAAGAATGATAGGCAGGGAATTTCAACAGCTTTGAGAAACTACTGCTATAACGAACAGCAATATTTTCCTAAGGGAATAATTCATTTTCCCATTTTTAAAAGTTACTTTGGCTCACGCCTGTAATCCCAGCACTTTGGGAGACCGAGGCAGACGGATCATGAGGTCAGGAGATCGAGACCATCCTGGCTAACACGGTGAAACCCCATCTCTACTAAAAATACAAAATTAGCCGGGCGTGGTGGCATGCGCCTATAGTCCCAGTTACTTGGGAGGCTGAGACAGAAGAATGGCATGAACCTGGGAGACTGAGACAGGAGAATGGCATGAACCTGGGAGACGGAGGTTGCAGTGAGCCGAGATCGCGCCACTGCACTCCAGCCTGGGCGATAGAGCGAGACTCTGTCTCAAATAAAAAAAAAAAAAAAAAAAAAGAAGTTACTTTCTGTAGTTCAAATATGGTGAATTTAAAAGAAAGTTAGCAACCTAAGTTAACTACATTGGATACATGTATATTAACCACGTTGCTTTTAATTTAATACAAAATATCTTAGACACTTGTAAAAATATGACAGCTAAAAATACAAACAAAAAAAATACCCATATACCCAGTGTAAGAAACACTACTGATATAGCTGAAACCCCTGGGTATAGTGTTATACTATTGTGCGGCCCTTGTAACTGTCATTATAGGCCCGGGCACGTTGGCTCACTCCTGTAATCCCAGCACTTTGGGAGGCCAAGGTGGACAGATCACCTGAGGTCAGGAGTTCAAGACCAGCCTGGCCAACATGATAAAACCCCATCTCTACTTAAAAAAAAAAAAAATACAAAAATACAAAAATTAGCCGGGCATGGTGGTAGGCACCTGTAATCCCAGCTACTGGGGAGGCTAAGGCAGGAGAATCGCTTGGACCCGGGAGGCAGAGGTTGCAGTGAACCGAGATCGCGCCATTGTACTCCAGCCTGGGCAAAAGAGTGAAACTCCATCTCAAAAAAAAAAAAAAAAAAAATTGTCATTATAGAAGTGAAATGGTATTCAATTAAGCAAGAGGGACTTTTCCCTCCATTTATATTTGGACAGTAGCAAAGTTTTCCACCCAAATCTATATGCGATAATTCCAGATTTGCTTGGTGGGAGAACAGTGCAAGAAACCAACATACTGATATTTCTTGGTATGAATCACACAGAGACTATATGTACAAACTAGAAACAGGTGTGACCCCACTCAGATTATTTCTGAACAGTCATTTGTTAAGATTAGGCCTGATGCCTGAGCCATCTGTTTATATGCTACAGAGCAGAGCTTCTGGGGCTTTCAAAGAAAAAGTTTGCTATACAAACTTTCTACCCATGACTGTTACATTTATGTTGGAAATTGTGGGACAGACTCTCCACAGGCAAAACATTTTCTAGGGACCATGCCTGTTTCCTCTTCTGTTAAAAATCAGGCTCAAAATATACCCACAGCTATATAAAGTTACTTGTTCCCTGAGACTGATAACTTCTAACAAGGGATGGCAATTTCTCTGGACTTATTAACAGAAGGAAGGCAATGCCTGTGGGTTCAGTTCTCCCTGTATTTACTGAACACATTCCACACCTGGTATAAAAATAAATAAACCACAGTTCCTCAAGAAGCTGACTCTCTAGGCGTTATAGACAGACCTGGTGCACGAGGAAGAAAATTACAGGAAGAAGAAACCATAATAGGAAAAAAAAAAAAAAAGTCGAAGCAACCAAAGTAAATAAATAAATAAATAAATAGAATATAAGCCACTAAGCCAGGCAAGGTGGCACACGCCTGTAATCCCACCTACTCACAAAGTTGAGGCAGGAAGATAACTAGAGGAAACAACTCCCAGACCAGCCTGGGCGACATAGCAAGACTCCATCTCAAAAACACAAGTTAAAAAAAAAATTAGCTGGGTGTGGTGGAGTGTACCTGTAGTCCCAGCTCTTGGCAGGCTAAGGCAAAAGGATCACTTGAGCCTAGGTGTTTGAGGATGCATTGAGCTATGACGGTGCCACTGTACTCCAGCCTGGGTGATGGAGTGAGACCTCATCCCTAAAAAAGAATAAATGCAAGTAAGCAGGGACTGGTTACTGAGGCCTGCTGTTCTGGTTTTCTTTCTTCTTCTTCGGCAGTTTCATCTCAGTTTCCTTCCAACACTTTCCCCTCCTCTAATCTACCATGAGGGGTCTGCGATGTCCTCTTTTTCTCCCCTGGAGAGCCTCATACCATCTTCTGGCTTTAATGAACTCACTTAGGCTGATACTTCCCAATATCTTCCCTCTAACCTGGATCTCATGCCTGAACTCCAGATCAGCAGATCCATCTGTCTATTCAAAACCTCCAACTGGCACCTCAAACTCAGTATTTCTAAAACTGAACTCACCACACGCTCCTCCTTGCCCCTAATAGATCTGCACTTCCTTTCACATTTCCTCTCTGTTATAGCCCCACCATCTACTGAAAACCTGAATATCAACCAGGACCCATGCTAACCCTTCTCTATTACTCGGTAGGTCCTGATCCAGATTCCAACCACCTCTCTCCAACCCTATCCAACTCCAGGTGGCTACCATCTGTACCTGAACCACTCCCCTCAAATCATTCTCCAAAGGGCTCACTCTTCACAGAAACAATCGTACCACACCTGTTTACACCCTTCATTAACTTCCCCACTACCCTCAGGATAAATCTAAATCCTTTAACAAAAAATCCTCATTGTGTGGCCCTTACAGTCGGCCTTTCCTCCACGCACTTCAGGCTTCAGGCAGACCAGCTTCCTCTGCGTCTTTGGTCCTGTGCAGTTCTCTTTGTTGGAACTCCTCCAGCCCTTGATAGGACTCCCTTGCCCCATCCTCAGGTCACAGCTCAGAATCAAATTCCCTGAGCAGCCTTCCCTTTGCTGCACCTCCCTCTGGCCTATAGCACACCCTCTACTTCCCTTATCACAGCATGCATCATGCCTGTTTTCTTACTGGCAACAACACTAGGGTGAGCTTCCAAGTATGTATGTGCTTGGCACTTACGCATCTTCAGTACTGAGTGATCATATAAGTGATTGGATGGTCACCAGGAGCAAAGTTCATCTATTCCTGACTTTTTAGGTGGAATAACCAGTTTCTCTAACTTTCCCTTACCCAAGAACCAGGTAGCCAAAGGTAGGGAGGGTCCTAGGTTTAATTAGAGACCTTTCTTCACAGGCCTTGCATAACATTTTAAATTTAAGACATTATATGGATACATGAGTACTCCATAACTTCCTACCAACTAGATTAGGGGTTTCCTGGGCAAACCTCCCAATCGGTACTCTAATAGACTAGTTAGCAGAGCTTACAACCTTATGCTACTCTGAGAATTAGGTGTCACAGTCATCCCCATGGTTCAGATGGAGAACTGGGGCTCAGAGATATCACATAACTTGCCCAAGGTAACAGAAGCAGATGGTGAGGAAACTAGAACTCAAACTGAGTTCAGGCAGTATGTTTCTAGAACCTCGATCTGGCCTGTAAGAATATAGTCAATGAATTTTACTCAATGAATGTTGAAAGAACGAAGTCAAGAGCCGGACATGGTGGCACATGCCTATCGCGGGAGGATCGCTTGAGCCTAGGAATTTGAGACCAACCTGGGCAACATAGCTAGACCTACCTTGACTCTAAAAAAATTAAAATGAACAAAAAAGAAAGAATGAAGTCAGTAAACTGTACTAGAGATCAGGATGACCTTTGGGGGTATATTAGAAAATGGAAATTTGAACAACCCAAAGTGTATTCACATTTGATTCTGGATTACCTTAGAGGGGGAATATAAACATATTCAAAATAAGAACCATTAGTTCTTATAGGGCACCCCAAGGGGAGACTTCTTAATCTAATCTATTCCTGCTTCATGAGGAGGGGACTACAGGCTCAACTCAGACATCCCAGCCAGGGACACACAGTGAGTGGCCCGTGGGCTAGAACACACAGCCAGCATGCGGGCCAGAGAAGCCTGTCGTGTTTTTTTTATTTATTTTTAATTTTTTTTGAGACAGAGTTTGTTGCCCAGGCTGGAGTGCAGTGCTGTGATCTCAGCTCACTGCAACCTCCACCTCCTGGGTACAAGTGATTCTCCTGCCTCAGCCTCCCCAGTAGCTGCGATTACAGGCACCCACCACCACGCCCAGCCAATTTTTTTTTTTTTTTGAGCAGGTGTCTCGCTCTGTAGCCCAGGCTGGAGTGCAGTGGAGCGATCTCGGCTCACTGCAG
The DNA here is from genome assembly GCF_000001405.40 of Homo sapiens. Lineage (NCBI taxonomy): Eukaryota > Metazoa > Chordata > Mammalia > Primates > Hominidae > Homo > Homo sapiens. The sequence continues at coordinate 88,549,844 of NC_000014.9, forward strand.
CCTCTGCCTCCCACATTCAAGCGATTCTCCTGTCTCAGCCTCCCGAGTAGGTAGGATGACAGGTGCCCGCCACCACACCCTACAGGCGCCCACCACCACGTCCGGCTAATTTTTGTATTTTTAGTAGACATGGGGTTTCACCATATTGGCCAGGCTGGTCTCGAACTCCTGACCTTGTGATTCGCCCGCCTCGGCCTCCCAAAGTGCTGGGATTACAGGTGTGAGCCACTGCGCCCGGCCTTGTATTTTTAGTAGAGACAGGGTTTCACCATGTTGGCCAGGCTAGGCTCGAACTCCTGACCTCAGGTGATCCACCAGCCTCGGCCTCTCAAAGTGCTGGGATTACAGGCTTGAGCCACCCGCGCCTGGCCTGCAGTGTCTTTAGGTGGCTTACCTCCCGCAGCTCCAGCCTCTGGGCCACGGCCTCGAGGCTTTCCTGGCCAGTGCTCTCCACGGACAGGGTGAACTCCACAAACTCGTTATTAAGCAGTTGGATCCGGGCAACCAGGCAACTCTTGCTGGACACCGTGTAGCGCCGGGTGCGTTTCAGTTTCAACCCAAATGGCAGTGGCATCTTCTTCTTTCTTCAAGAATGGAGGAGCAAAGAGGGAAAAGCTACCCCCACCAACCCAGCGCTGGTGACGCCAGGAGAAAGCGATCCTCTCCGGATGGGACGAACACTGTCCGGCCTCCAGCTGCTCACCCAGCAGCCGCTGCCGCCATTAAAAAGCAACGGAGTCTCCAATGGCCCGAGGAAGGGAGCATTGACGCCAGCGCTGGGGAAAGAGGAACGCCGTTAGTTAAGCAAACGTAACGCTGGGCTTTGCTTGTATAAAGAAAAGCCAGTCAAGCTGTGGCCAAAGAACAAGCCGTCCCTCTCCACTGGAAAAAAGGCACTAACAGGACCCGGAAGGCAGGGTGGAATTTTATCTCAGAGTTGTGCTAGGCTCAGGGTCAGACTCCACCCTTCACTGTATCCTACAAATAGGGATAGCAAACTGGGCCATCCTCAGGATTAAATGAGATAATAGCCAGCACTACTATAATCCCAAATTTTGTAGTTAGTAATTGTGATCCTCTTCCTATTTTGGATAAGGTGTTGTTTTTTCATAGGTAACTCTTTCAGGTTGTAATACTCCAAATGTCAGAGTTCTTTAGTCCTTAAGTGAGAAAAGTGCCAAATGGCCCCAAAAGAGCTAGGTTTCAGTCCCAATCCCTTTAGAAAATTAACCCTGAAGGCAAATGGGAGGAATAATCCCCACTAAGAAAGGCAGGTGTGTGATTCAAACCCGGTGAGGTGCCTAACAAGCGCTTGTGGAAGTATTTACGTCATCAAATTGATTTACTGATAAACATCATAAAAGACCCTACAAATGCTCGTTATCCATTTACCACTAGAAGAGTGGCAGTTCTGAAAATCCAGACCCCGGCCCCTCTCCAGGGTGGGGACGCCCAAACAGGCCTTCACCTAAGCGGAGCCGCGGCCCAGAAGGGGAGGCGGGCGAGGTCTTCCACGCCATCCTGAGTTAATGAGCGGCCGGAGGCAACAAACCCAAGAAGCCCACGGGGCCTTGGAGCACTCAGGCCCCGGCTTCTCCCGCGTCCTCCCCTTGGGAAGAGCACGCGGCGTTGCCAGGCCAACCAGTAGACTCGGAGGCCCCGGAACCCTCTTTCTGCAGCCGCGTTTCTGGACGGACGCGCTCTAAAAGGACCGGTCCCTCGGCTCCCGAAGGGAACATTTAAAGGGACCAGCGCGTGCCCTACTGGCGGTGGAGAGGTTGGGCGGGCCCCATAGGATGCCCGCTTTGGAGCCACAGGACCTCAAAATACGCTCCTTACAACGTGTTTTATAGAGCGAAGTCTCGCTATGCCACCCAGGCTGGAGTGCAGTGGCGCCATCGTAGCTCACCGCAGCCTCGAACACCTGGGCTCAAGCGATCCTCCCGCCTCAACCTCCCGAGTAGCTGGGACCACAGGTGCGCGCCACCAAGCCGGGCTCTAACAGTTTTTAACCAGACCTGTTGATGGTTTCTGGGGCGAGCACTAGCTGGGGATTTTTATATCAGCTGGATTAGTTTTTTCCCCCTAAACGAGTCTACAAAATCCCGGACATTTCCAGGGTCCTGAGACGGTTCCCTACCTTCCTTCTGCGCAGAGATTGCCTGTTGGGGATGAATCGCTTAGCGAGACCCAGCCATAGCTGGCTACGCTGAGTTCCGGCCCGGGACCGCGCGGAGAGGCAAGATCTATTCCCGACCCTCTCATCTGGCAGACAGAACCCAGGCTTCAGGAAGAGAAGCGGCTTTCGCAGTTTCACGCTAGGACGGGCTGAGCTGGGAATCGATCCCAAATTCCACAGTCCCAGTCCTCTCCTGGGTCCTGCTCTCCTGACTGCGTCTCAGGCCCAGAGGTGATGGGGCACTTAGGGTTAGGGAATGGCAGACCTGGAGAAAAGGGTTCCGCTACTACCCTCGGCTTTGCCAAACTTAACATTTTGAAATTCCATTCCACAAATGTGTATTGCGTCTCTGGGAACAAGACAGCGTAATGAGCATCGTGAGAAATCTAAGACGAATCCCTAAACCGTCGCTGTCTTTAAAGAGATTACAACCATGCTATAATTACATACAGAGCTGTATCTCTAATAAGGACCCAACCACGGTTTTATCTGGCTAGTTTTTTTGTTTGTTTTGAGCTCTGGTTATTTCCCATAGCCAGGAAAATCAAAATATTAAAAACAAGGGATAGGGGAAGGCCAGAAGAAAAAAACAACGCTGCAACTACCTAAAGCACTGTGTTAATTAACCGCATTTGCTGAGTGCCTTCTGTAGGTAAAAGCACCATACTATGGAGGGAAACAGAAAATAAGTATTAAAAGATATGGTTTCCACTTCCAGTAGTTTTCAATGCTCTTTGCTGTTTCAGGGGTATAAACTAAATAAGTAAAGCAAGATGGAAAAAAATTAGCAAATGACAACTTTAAATAATAAGCTTTTAACTAGAAAATTGATAAACCAAGAGTAAATATTTAAGGATTATAAATATGCATACTAAACACCCTTTCATGAGATCAGATGGTGGGTTTCAATTTTACATAAAAATTATGGTAACTGGAAACCGGGCGGATTAAGTAGTGTAGATGAACAGACAAGATATTGCATATGTGTAGAGGAAAGATAAATATTTGTATTAGGTGCCATTCAAATATGGTAGTCTTTTCACTACATAGAACTATGCCTTGAAAGCAATAGATACTACACTGTATAACTTAATTATTAACTTAAGCTCTGATTAAGCAAACTCAGTAAAACTTTCAATTGTCCCTCAGACTTGAAATGTATTACTGCATCAGGGATAAAGGAAAAGTCAAAATTATCTCTTATTTTGGTAGATGAAATTGAAAAAGTTGCAGTGTGTGTGTACATGGTGCATCCCCCCAAGATCTATCCATAAGAATGGCTTGCTTTTTGCTTATTTATATAAAACCCACTATGTTAAAACAATGATTTTGTTTAATAATTTACAAATTTATCAATGATTTATACATCTTAATTTTCAGTAATATGCAGTATTTGTTGCCAAATGGTGTAATACAATTATGAATGTCTGAAGATAATAAAACCAAGATGAGTAGAAATTTAAGAGTTCTTTGGGGAGGTCTGTTTCAGGTATAAAATAATATGCAATAATATGAAAGTGATTGGGTCTGGAATTATAATTTACTAAAGTAAACATAATTTATAAATAGCTATTAAAGGAAAACTAGGATATAATTTTTTCTCTACAAAATCTTTCCGTTTTGTGGTAAGTAAACAGATACATACTAGATTCTGCTTCAGTACAAGTTTACAAAAGGCAGTCTGAACTATTTGTGAATTCATTTTAATTTTCCCTCTCTACAACCCTTTCCAAAAGTTCCTCAAATACACTTTACCTCTCAATCTTACAGCGTTTCCCCTTTCCTATTAAGGTCCTTACCACATGTAATTTTGCCAAAGTTGCTTTAAAATAAAATAAGCACTAAAAGGAGAGAGTATGTGACATTTTTAGAGTAATATCTATAGCTATAGCATTAAACCCATGTTTCTCACGGAGAAAACATCTGTGCGTAGATGCTCCAGAATAAAATGCCCTAGAAACGAAACGGACTATATTCAGAGTAAAATTACTGTCGTGTCCCAAACTTAAAAAAATAAATAAACTGTCAGCAACTATTAGGCATACAGCAGTTGTCACTTGGAGCACACGAATGTTCTGAATGTGTTTGTGAGCATACGCTATTAGTATAAGGCTTTCTCAGCAAAAAAGAAAATAGGACGAGCATGCCAAGAGCGGCCAATCTAATCAGGATTTGCAGAAATCACAAGTCGGAATTTGCAGATCCAAGAATTCTTGTTTCCAGAGTAAATACTCTACTCCAAAAACAAACCCAGGCGTTACCAAACAGTCCTTCCCTGCGCCCCTTCTCGCCAAAGTTATCTGGCGAATTTCACGTTTATATATTCTGAGAGGCACAAATATGCCTAACACATTTAAAACCCTGATCCAGAATTAACCCGCAACAATCGGCCAGGGCGTTCGGAATAGAAGTTCAAGACTCCTTTTAGAAATTACTCAAGTATATGAGAGCGAACCTGAAAAACAAGACTTTTCTCTTTGTTACGCTCCCGCTACGGGTCTGGCCGCCGCGCCCCATTCTCCGGGATTCCGGGGCCGCGGGCGCGCTCCGGGGTCCGGGCGAGTGGACACACCCCACCGCTCGGGCCAGCCGCCCGCCCCTCCCGCCGGCCGGGGACCGCGCCCTCACCTGCTCCCGCTCCCGCTCCCGCATCCTCGGGGCCGCGCGCCCCGCTCAGCGACCCGCCTCCCGGGGCCCCGCCGCGCGGCCGCCGCAGCCGCACCCGCACGCCAGCCCGGGCCGCGGCGCGCTCATGGGGCTCGCACGCCTCACTTCCTGTCTCCAAAAACCCGGCTCGCAGACCATTCCCCTGGGCAGAGTCCGGCGGTGGCGACGGCGAGGGGCGAGGCCTGGAGGTGGGACCGGCCGGCGAGGAGCGCCGCACAAAGAAGCCCCGTGGGGGCGGGGGGTGGCAGGAGGACGGACAGACCGTCGGACCGACGCGGGACGCGCGGCCGGAGCAGCGGGGCGGCCGGGCCCAGGCGTCCCTCCCCCTGAGCCGGGCGGGCGGATCCGGGGAGGCGGCGGCGGCCCGTGACCTCAGAGAGTTGGAATGCGGGCAGCCGCGCGGGGGAGGCGCGGACAGCTGCGCCCGGCCGCCGGGGAGGGGGCGCGCCGCTGCTTTTTTTAATCGTATGACCACTTATTTTAAGAGTTTCCAAATAAAGCAAGGCTTTTAATAAAATGAGTGGAGGGGGTATTATTTAGGTTCCAGATAAAGGGTTTTATTCCTGTGTTATTAGGTAGGCTGTAAAATGCTGTTATTGATGGTTATTCGTTTACTCTGGTATATTTCTGAACACTATTGGAATACATTTCTTCTTTTCCTGCTTGCTCCTAAGGTTATGCCCCATATAACTAGACACTTCCAGTACTGGGTGGGAAAGCCCCCCCACCAAAAATGGTTCATATGCCTCAAATAACCTGTCAGTCCCCAAAAGGGAGCTGTCTGCTTATGCAATATAGAGCAGAACTGTTAAGGATGGAGACTTGACAAAGTTGTCAAATCCCAGCTCCAACATTTACTAGCTGGATGACCTTGTGCAAGTTTCTTAACTTCTCTTTACCTGTTTCCTCTCCTATAAAAGAGGGATATTAATATCTTTGCACAGCAGGGGTGGGGGAAATAAATACTAAGCAATATCCAATAACTTGTGTAAAGTATATATGAAGTGTTTCGTTTAAGGTTTATTATACAGTATTCTTGTACTGCATTATTACTGTATTGCAGCACTTAAGCTGAGGAATAAAACTGTGTGACCCTACCACTATTACAATAGTGTAAGATCTTTTCTTGGCATGTGGAACACAGAACCTTTTAATTTATGTAAATTTTAATTTCAGTGATTTTGTTTTAATGCTGTTGTTTCTGGAAAGCTTTTTAAAGTATTGTTTCATGTAAATCTCATTTTCTTAAACAATTAACAAAAACTTTTGAATACTTAACTCTGCATGAGACGTGGTCCCTGCACAACACGGACTTTTGGTTTAGTGGGTGATAAACGCACCTGCACACCACACACGCAGTACAAGGCCAAAGTGGGGAGCATTGTCATAGAGGTATGAGTGCTATCCAAGAGCAAAGCCCAGCAAGGTGCATCTTGGGTCGTTTAGCTAAAGGCAAATAAGATTACCTGTGTTTCTAAGGGAAAAAAAATAGATCAATTCTGTTTGTAATTGATATTTCAACTGAACTCTATGAGGGGGTCAATTTGTGTGTGAGCAAAGAAAAGAGATCTAAAAAGAAGTCACTTTGCTGGCTTCCCAAGGTAGAAAAACTGGAATCATGTGTGACTTCTCCCATTATCATCTCCAGCCTGTCATCAAGACCTGGTATTTCCTCCTTTGAAATGTCTCATGAATTCTTTGTTTCCTTTCTGTTCCCCCTGGAACATTCTAAATCCAAACCCTCATCATTTTACATCCGGATTATTGCAACAAGGGTGGTCTCCTGGCATCTGGTTTCTCAGTTCTCTCTTATTTCCTTGCTAATACCAGGCTTCCTTCTCTTATCACTCTTAATGGACTCCCAAGGTTAAGTTCTTCTGCCTGACCTATAGGGACTTTCCAAACGGGCCTCTCTGACCACCTATATCGCTTTCTGCCCCTGTCAAGCTTTGCCCCTGGCCAGCAGCCCCTCCTGCCCTCTTTCCACTTGTCTAAGCCTTCTGCTTCTCTGCAAGTAAGACTCTGCTTCCAGGATGACTTTCTAGCCACACCATTCCACAGTGATCTCCACACTTGGCAAGAACTGTAAAAGTTGTTTCATGACGGCTTCTTTTATATCTCCTAGGATTCCTAGGACAGTACTGGGCAAAGAGTAGGCACTAAATAAAAACTTGTTAATTGAATCAGGAAGAAAATAAAAGAATTTTAAAAATAGAAAATGACCATAAAACCCAAGAGATGTTAGACAACTGAGTTGAACTTCCTCCCTCACAGTCCACAGATGTCATTTACTGACCAAGTACCTAAGCCCTATTTTCCCTCAGCTATGTTAATTTGGCAGGAACATTCATGGGAAGGCACTTGAATAACACCTTCAAAATATTAGACATAAAATTATTAGCTTGTGTTGCATATCTAAGGAAGTGAGATAATTTATATGGTGCCACCCCCAAAGATACAAAAGGGTGTAAGTAAAAAGTCCCCTTCTCACCCTGCCTGCTAGACACCCAGCTCTTCTCCTGGGAGGTAACCAGTGTTCCCTCATTCCTCTGTATCCTTACAAAGATGTTCTGCAGAGTTACAAGAAACTACATATAAGTATCTTTACCCCCTCTTGTTATCCAGAAGGTGGCATACTTACACATACTTTTACACTGGAAGTTATTTCTTACTAAAATAAATAAAATGTAAAAAGAAAGCCCAGCACATAAAATGATGAAAGACAAAAAGATGAAAGAAGGCTGGGTGCAGTAGCTTATGCCTGTAATTCCAGCACTTTGGGAAGCCTAGGAGGGCAGATCAGCTGAGGTCAGGATTTCGAGATCAGCCTAGCCAACATGAAGAAACCCCGTCTCTACTAAAAATACAAAAATTAGCTGGGCGTGGTAGAGCATGCCTGTAGTCCCAGCTACTGGGGAGGTTGAGGCATGAGAATCGCTTGAGCCCAGGAGGCACAGGTTGTGGCGAGCCAAGATCACGCCACTGCACTCCAGACTGTGTGACAGAGCAAGACTCTGTCTCAAAAAAAAAAAAAAAAAAGGAAAGGAAATTGTGGTTTGGTGGGTGCACTGACTAGTGTTTTCTTAGAAGTTCAAAAGTTAATCTGTTTTGATAGCATGGTGAATACCCACCGTATAAATTATCATCATCTGCAAAAATCCAAATTGAATGAATGCCCTGCCACGCAAAGATAATGATTCCTGTCTGGGCGCGGTGGCTCACGCCTGTAATCCCAGCACTTTGGGAGGCCGAGGCGGGTGGATCACGAGGTCAGGAGTTCGGAACCAGCCTGGCCAATATGGTGAAACCCCGTCTCTACTAAAAAAATACAAAAATTACGCCCGGCACGGTGACTCACGCCTGTAATTCCAGCACTTTGAGAGGTCAAGGTGGGCAGATCACAAGGTCAGGAGATTGAGACCATGCTGGCTAACACGGTGAAACCCCATCTCTACTAAAAATATAAAAAATTAGCCAGGCATGGTGGTGGGCACCTGTAGTCCCAGCTACTTGGGAGGCTGAGGCAAGAGAATGGCGTGAACCCGGGAGGCGGAGCTTGCAGTGAGCCGAGATCGCATAACTGCACTCCAGCCTGGGCGACAGAGCGAGACTCCGTCTCAAAAAAAAAATTAGCCGGGCAGGTGGCACACGCCTGTAGTCCCAGCTACTCAGGAGGCTGAGGCAGGAGAATCGCTTGAACCCAGTAGGCGGAGATTGCAGTGAGCCGAGATCGCACCACTGCACTCCAGCGTGGGTGATAGAGTGAGACGCTGTCTCAAAAAAAAAAAAAAAAGATGATCCCTGAGGAAGGGGACAGTGAGGGCTAGAACTAGAAATGTGTGGCCAGGCGCGGTGGCTCACGCCTGTAATCCCAGCACTTTGGGAGGCCGAGGCGGGCGGATCACGAGGTCAGGAGTTCGAGACCAGCCTGGCCAACGTGATGAAACCCTGTCTCTACTAAAAATACAAAATTTAGCCGGGTGTGGTGGAGGGCGCCTGTAGTCCCAGCTACTTGGGAGGCTGAGGCAGGAGAATCGCTTGAACCCGGGAGATGGAGGTTGCAGTGTGCCGAGATCGCGCCATTGCACTCCAGCCTGGGGGACAAGCGCCAGACTCCGTCTCAAAAAAAAAAAAAAAAAAAAATAGAAATGTGAAGTCTTCGGTCTCTGAATCTGCACCTTAAGTTCTGCCTACCACACTCAATACTGTGTCACATGCAACACCTTTTCAGTTGCAAAAGAGCAACCATTTTATGGATAGATTCCCCTGGACATCAGAGAAATGATTATCTTGGCAGTGTGTTTGTTGAAATGGAGAAGCATGTCTGCCTCAGTAGCAAGTGACTGCTGTGACTGTAATTCCCAACACTTAGGGCTTTTGATCCAAGTATGTCTATGCCATGTGATAATCACTATTGGAAAACACTTGTCCATTCAGCCCACATATATTTAGAAGCCAGGTGCTGCAAGGAGAAAGGTAAATAGATGCATACCCCTGTCCTCAAAGACTCACCATGTGAACAACAGATGAATATGTAATTGTAGTAGGTGAGGAAATTTATACATGGTTATACTTTATAGTCTGAATGGACTGGTAATGTCTCGTTAATCACTGTGATCAGCTTCTGCTTGAGTCTGGAAAAGCAGACTCAAAAGGCTGACAAAAAAAGGTTGACTGAGTACTCAAAGAAAAGCAAAGCTTTGGGCCTGGCACGGTGGCTCACACCCAGCACTTTGGGAGGTCGAGGTAGGCGGATCATGAGGTCAAGAGAGCAAGGCCATCCTGGCCAACGTGGTGAAACCCTGTCTTTACTAAAAATACAAAAATTAGCTGGGTGTGGTGGCACGCGCCTGTAGTCCCAGCCACTCGGGAGGCTGAGGCAGAAGAATCCTTTGAACCCAGGAGATGGAGGTTGCAGTGAGCTGAAATCACGCCACTGCACTCCAGCCTGGCGACAGAGTGAGACTCCATCTCAAAAAAAAAAAAAAAAAAAGAAAGAAAAGCTTTTCAAGCAGGAAGACACCCCCACTCCCACCCCACCTTCCCCCATCCCCTAGTGCTTCTACACACTCACACACGCACACACGTGCAAAGGATGTGCAACATCCAGCTGAAATACAACCTGAGAAGAGATTGCAGACGTGGTTGGGGGGCAATGTTAGAAGACTCATGGCTCCATGGAGATGGGGTTGGTACTCAGCCCTTCTGACTTCAAAGCCAATGCTCTTTTCAGTCATCTTCTCTTTTTGGAAGACAGCCCAGAGCCCTCTTAGCTGGCACTTTGGGTTTGTTGAAATCTGGTCTTCACACTGTCCCCTAGAGGAAAACATGTTGTTTCCCCTAAATCAGAGAACATTTCCAAGCTGGGAAAAAAAAAAAAATACTGTCCAGTATAGTCTTTTTCAAGCCTAGCACTCCTACTCCCTCTAATGGCTTCTCTTAGGGCATTATCATGAACATCTTCTTCGAGATGTGATGTAGTTTGTGAAGCTGCAGTTTACAGGGAAGTGCCTGGAACTGCACTGGAACACCAAATGAACCATTGGTTTAGTGGGTTTGCCCCTCCTGTGATCGAGACATCATAACATCTTAGATCTAAATGTGGGAGGTCTCAAGCAGCCTTTCAGTCTCTTTTCCACAGTTGTCCTAAAAGTTAGCTCATGGTCCTAAAAGTTAACGCTTTCTTGAATATATTTTAATAAGTTTCCCTACTCTGAATATGTTTTAATGAAAACATTACTTTTTATTAAATGTTATTCTCAATATTATGTTAATATTGACTGAGAATTGGGTACCCAGTAATGGTAAAACATGTTTTTGTTCTTAGTTCTGAAATGGCTGGTAAAGGAATAAAAGTAATTCATCTGTCTTTTGTATTGTGAGTGTCATGAAAGCAGGGAGTTGGTCTTGCTCCTCTTTGTGCTCTGGCTCCTACCACTGTATCCCAGTGCAGGTACTTAATTTTTAATCAGCAAGCATAGTACTGCTATAAGCCAGGCACAGTTCAATATACTTCACAAATATTAACTTATTTCATCCTTATAGTAACCCTTTGCAGGTGAAACTAGTATACCTATATCACAGATAAGGAAACTGAGGCACAGAGATGAGAAGCAATTTGCCGAAGGTCTCAGAGGGAGTGGCAGAGCCAGGATTCAGACCCAGACGGTCTGGCTGCAGTGCCCTTGTTCTGTGTCATTCTGCTCTGCTGCCTGTCATCAATGCTGAATGAGTGTATGATCACTGGATTTATCCTTGAGGAATGCTTTTGTAAATTAGGTCTTTAATTTCTTTTACCCTATTAATATTTAATGAGTGCTTACTATGTGTCCAGCATCCTGAAAGGTTGGAGAAATATAAAGCCCTACAGAGAGTTTATAATTTTGTTAGGGAAGACACACACACACACACGAAATAACATTGCACAGAATATATTATTATACTAATAGCTTCCATATAGATGCCATAGGAATTCACAAGAAAGGATTATATGAGATTATTAAAGGACCACGTGACAGACCCTAGGTAGCCCCACAACTCCTGCTTCTGCTGTCCCCACAACCCACTCCTGACCCCTAGTGTGGATTGCTTAGGTAATAAACATGGCAAAAATAAGAGGTTTGGCAGATGTAATTGAGGTCGTGAATCAGCTGATTTTGGGGTCAGGTCCTGGGTGGGCCTAACTTAATTAAATGAAAGCCCTTGGCTGGTCTCAAACTTCTGGTCTCAAGTGATCCTCCCACCTCTACTTCACTGAGCTGAAATTACAGGCATGAGCCACTGTGCCTGGCTTTTACTGGCGTAAGTGAACAGACATGTTAGTGAACCCTTTGGCAAAGAACTGTGGGCAGCCTCTAGGACTTGAGAGTGGCTTCCAGATGATAGCCAGAAAAAAATCTGGGTCCTTACTCATAAAGCCACAAGGAAATGAATTATTTTTTTTTTTCCTGAGACAGGGTCTCACTCTCTCATCAAGGCTGTAGTGGCATGATCTTGGCTCACTGCAACCTCTGCCTCCCAGGCTCAAGCAATCCTCCCCTCTCGGCTTCCCAACTAGCTGAGACTAGAAGTGCATGCCACCACGCCCAGCTAATTTTTTGTACTTTTGAAGAGACATGTTTTTGCCATGTTGCCCAGGCTGGTCACGAACTCCTGGTCTCAAGTGATCCGCCAGCCTAAGCCTCCCAAACTGCTGGGATTACAGGCATGAGCCACCGCACTCAGCCAGAAATGAATTCTTGCTAACAACCTGAATGAGCCTGAACATAGATTCCTCCTCAGTCAAGCCTCCAGATGAGAATACAGCCTGCCTGACACGATTGTAGCCTTGTGAGACCCTGAGCAGAGGACCCAGTGAGGTTGACCCACGGAAACCATGAGATGATAAACGTTTGTGTTTTAAGCTGCTAAATTTGTGGTCATCTGTTATGCAGCAATGGATAACAGAGACCACTCTCAGGAATTAGTGGATATGAGGGAGAAAGGAGACCTCTCTGTGCTTCCTCTGTTTCCCAGGTTTTGTGATCAGGGATAGGGAGAATTCGGCTATTGATACAAATAGGGGAATCAACAGTAGTAACCTATTGAGTGGAGGAAGGGGAGATGAAGGCGACTTCTGTCTAAGCGCTGAGTTGGGAGAAAATAAGAGTAGTTACTTAGAATTTGGGAGTGGGGTTTGTGTGAGAATTCAAGGCTGATGGAAAATTCGGTCATTATCAGCACAGAGTTGACAACTTAAGTCCTAAGAACAAAAGTGTTGTCCCACGGAGGGTGTTCAGAGAAGCAGGAGGATGGGATTCGTCTCGGGGAGAGGCCACGGGTGGCCCTGGAAGAAGGAAGGCAGAACCAAACCCAGGAGGGCCAGTGTACTGCAGAGTCAAAGAGTTGACGGATTGGCTCTGTTGCTCTGGATAGTCCATTTTCCCTTCAAGGGTAATTGCAGTGCAACCTCTAATGGGCAGACTCCATTTTACAGGTAAGAAAAGTTGAAATACCTGGACCGATACCATACTGACAGTAAGTGAGGGCTGGATTTGAACTCGCGTCTCATATCACAGCCCAAGATCTTTCTGCTACACATTTAATTCATTCTTACCATCCAAGAGAGAATAAAATGAATAAGCGGAGGGCCAGCAGAGAGACTAACGAAAGGTCCCCGAGGTGCCCGGGAGGCGGAGCTGCAAGACCACCCGCACGCGCACGCCGCCGCCCTCCTTGCCTGAGCACAGGTTTCGCGGGTAGAAGGCGTGCGCAGGCGCGGACACGGGCGCATGCGCGTTCACTCCGGCGCGCAGTGCCGGCCGGGGCGGGGATACGCCGTGTGCGCGGCCGGGGGCGGAACGGAGGAGGAGGCGGTGGTGTCCCGGCTGCGGGGTAGGAGTCCGCGGCAGCCTCCGGGTAAGCCAAGCGCCGCGCAGTGCTGAGTTCCCGCACGCCGCAGAGCCATGGAGATCGGCACCGAGATCAGCCGCAAGATCCGGGTGAGGCCCGTGCCGGTCGGGGGTGGGAAGCCAGGTCTCGGCGAGCGGGCGGTTGTCAGGAGTAACGGGGACTGTGGGCCCGGGTGGACGCCGCGGCCTGGCCTCCGCTGGACGCTCCTGGCGGGCTGCGGCTCCTCCTCGTCCAGGCCGCCTCGGCCCTGGGGACATTTGCGGCCTCGGAGCGTGGCTGCGGCTGAAGTAGCCGCCGGGAAATGGAAGGACAGGCGCAGGCCCGGCTGGAGCCACCACCGCGGCGCACGGCGCCGCTTTGGATCCGCTGCGGGAGGTGGGCGCCGCGGGGCTGGGGCTGGAGCTGGAGTGGGGTGCGGGGTGGGGGGCGGTGCAGGCGAGGCTCCTCCCAGCCCCCGCCCGGGGGATCCGAGGTGCGCGCACCAGCAAAGTGGCCTCAGCCGCTGCAGAGTCCGGTCTTGTTTTCCTAGAGCCGCCTTTCTCACATGCACGTTTGCTCTTTTTCTCTCAGAGTGCCATTAAGGGGAAATTACAAGAATTAGGAGCTTATGTTGGTAAGTGTTTTTTTGGTTGTTAGTCTTACAGAATTTAGAGTTTGCAGCTAATAGAATTTTAGTGAATGCGTATTTCTCACCGTACTTTGGACATTGGGAGAGACTCCCTTCTACCTTCTTCAAATCTTATACTCCCTGGTTACTTCTTTATCATCTTTTTGCAACCTTGTTTTTTTTCTCCCAAACCTCCTTCTGTTATGGTGTTTTGAAATTTAGTTTCCTCCGTTAAGGCTCTGTTTGACCGAATTTTATTTTATGTTTTTCCTATTCTCTCTCTCTCTCATTTTAAATTCTAGGGACGGGTCTCGCTACGTTGCCCAGGCTGGTCTTAACTCCTGGGCTCAAGCAATTATCTGACCTTAGCCTCCCTAGGTGCTGGGAGTGCGGGGATTACTGGTGTGAGCCACCATGCCTGTTTAAAGTTTCCTATTCTTGTTACTTTCCTCTTGACATTTGTTTTTAGAACTCTGATGTTGGATGTGAATGTTTGATGCTTTCTGGCATTTGCTTCTGTAATGGTTCAGTGAGTTTTATTTTCCGATCTCTTTATGTTTTCCCTCTCTCTCTGAAACAGTAAGGCTTTTTCCGTCTCTTTATTCTTTTATAATTTGAGTGTTTACTCTGGGTCAGGTACTGTGCTTAACTATTGTATATGTATTAACTCAGGATAATCCCTACGAGAATCCTGGAAGGTAAGTGGCAGTATCTTTGACTGTGTAAACAAGGAAACTGAGGCTTTGCCTACTTGAGCAAGGTTTTATGGTTTGCCCCCAAAGCTGGTGCCTCCTATAAAAATAATAGCTACCACTAATGACAGTGGTTCTCAAAGTGTGGGAGACTCCAAGGGCCTCTGAAGTCAAAACTGTTTTCATATTAATACTAAGATGGTATTTGTTATTTTTCACTGTGGTGGTGGTGTTTGGATTGTGTAAAACTAATGGTTGATAAAACTTGTCAGCATAGTAACACCATAATGAAATCATATTCAAATCACTCCCCCCTTGTAGTTTTTTTCTTTTTGAGCCAATTACACTTAAAATGTCATTGATGAAGATGTGAAGTCCAGGGTTTACAAAATATTTTTTATCTTCTTAGTATTCAGTGCGAGGAAATAGAAATGCTCATAAAACATTTTTATTGTATACTGAAATACGATTGTTCTGAGGAAAATCATTTTAGTTGAGAACTAAGCTAGCCACCTCTTTCAGGGAACATCATTTTTAACTTCAAAGTACTGACAAACTGGTTACATACACTAGGATATTTGGCAGATATTTACTTGAAAGTGAGCAAAGAAAAGAATCCATAGTCTTTGTTGCCAATCACATGTGAGCTTTCAAATGAAAATTAGAATTTTGGAAAATCTGAGCCTGCCTCCATGAATTTCACAGCTTCCCAGTACTTAAAAAATTTCTGATTAAATAAATGGTGATTTAAAAAAAATTTGTTATTATTATTATTTTTTTTGAGATGGAATTTCACTCGTTGCCCAGGCTGGAGTGCAGTGGCGTGATCTTGGCTCACTGCAAGCTCTGCCTCCCGGGTTCAAGCGATTCTTTTGCCTCAGCCTCCCGAGTAGCTGGGATTACAGGCATCTGCCACTACACCCAGCTAATTTTTTGTATTTTTAGTAGAGACAGGGTTTCACCATGTTGGCCAGGCTGGTCTCAAACTCCTGACCTTGTGATTCGCGTGCCTCAGCCTCCCAAAGTGCTGGGATTACAGGTGTCAGCCACTGCATCCGGCCAACTCAATGGCGATATTAAAAAATAATTATTTTATACTGCATAATGAAATATATCAACGTGTCAGTGGTTTTTGTAGCTAAGTGAACCAATCTTTTCTAAATAACCAATGCATAATATTACAAAATTATGCAGTGGATTAAAGATTTATTTAAACTCTGGGGTGGGTCAGTGGATTTTTGTGCAACAGTTCAAAAAGGTCATTGACGTATTTGACATTCCACGTTGCTTTAACATTTAATAAGCTACCACTTGTTTAGTTTTGGTGTAGTGTCACAGAAGAATATCCACCTTATCTGAAAAGACTATCAGAATACTCCTTTTTCAACTGCATATCTGTGAGACCAGATTTTTTCATATTCTTCAGTCATAAGCACATAGAACAAGATATATAAAAATATGAAACAAGGCCAGTCTTTGCAGTAAATTTTTCTTTTTCTTTTTTTTGAGATGGGGTCTCACTCTGTGGTTCGGGCTGGAGTGCAGTGGTGCAATCTTGGCTCACTGCAAC
The DNA here is from genome assembly GCF_000001405.40 of Homo sapiens. Classification (NCBI taxonomy): domain Eukaryota; kingdom Metazoa; phylum Chordata; class Mammalia; order Primates; family Hominidae; genus Homo; species Homo sapiens. The sequence continues at coordinate 88,565,950 of NC_000014.9, forward strand.
CTCCGCCTCCCAGGTTCAAGCAATTCTCCTGCCTCAGCTTCCCGAGTAGCTGGGATTACAGGCACCTGCCACCACCCCGCCCCCCCCCCCCGGCTAATTTTTGTGTTTTTAGTGGAGACGGTGTTTCACCATGTTGGCCAGGCTGATCTCGAACTCCTGACCTTAGGTGATCCACTTGTCTCAGCCTCCCAGAGTGCTGGGATTACAGGTGTGAGCCACTGTGCCTTGCCTAAATTTTTTTTTGGAAAATTTAATAATGTTACTTGTGTTAATATAATTGGATTTGTGATTAACATGTGATGGATTTATTTTTTAATGAATTAATAAATACTTTTTAATTAAAAATGATCAGTTCTAATTTTGAACACCATAAATAATAGAACCTGCATAAACCAAAGAAGGGGCCCAAGACCAAACAGTTTGAGAATTGGTAATTTATGGAGTACTTACCACCATTTGCTGGGCACTTTCATAAACGATTTGTTGTCAGGATTGTTGGAAGACTAACAGATGAGAGAATTGAGGCTCAGAGAAAATAAAGCTGAACCAAGATTTATTTATTCTTTTATTCTTTCAACACTTGAACTGCATTTTTTATAGTTTTCTTTGAAACAAAAAAAGTACTTCTGAAATGAACCTTTCTGCCTGCATAGAAATATTACAAGTATTTAAGGTATTAAAGAAATTTGTCACAGCATGGTGGTTCACGCCTGTAATCACAGCACTTTGGGAGGCCGAGGTGGGTGGATCACTTGAGGTCAGGAGTTCGAGACCAGCCTAGTCAACATGCTGAAACCTGGTGTCTACTAAAAATACAAACATTAGCTGGGTGTGGTGGCAGGTGCCTGTAATCCCAGCTACTCGGGAGGCTGAGGCAGGAGAATCGCTTGAACCCAGGAAGCAGAGCTTGCAGTGAGCCGAGATTGTGCCACTACACTCCAACCTGGGAGACAGAGCAAGACTCTGTCGTAAAAGAAAAAAAAAAAAAAGAGAACTGGAATGGAGTTTTGAGGGTCAGAGATTAGAGTTCCTGATAACAGCTTTTGCTTCCTTATCTTCTTAGTGAGGTTTTTGTTTTTTTGTTCTTTTAAATCCTAGACCTCACTCTCATAATCACTGTAGGATTACCACTAGGAGGGTGTTTTTTGGCTTCTTTTATTTATTTTATTTATTTATTTTTTTTTGAGACAGAGTCTTGCTCTGTTGCCCAGGCTGGAGTGCAGTGGCAGGATCTGAGCGCACTGCAAGCTCCGCCTCCTGGGTTCACACCATTCTCCTGCCTCGGCCTCCCGAGTAGCTGAGACTATAGGCGCTCACCACCACACCCGGCTAATTTTTTGTATTTTTAGTAGAGACAGGGTTTCACTGTGTTAGCCAGGATGGTCTCAATCTCCTAACCTTGTGATCTGCCCACCTTGGCCTCCCAAAGTGCTGGGATTACAGGCATGAGCCACCGCGCCTGGCCTTTTTTCTTTTTTTTTTTTTTTTATCCTAGACCTCACCCTTATAATCATTGTAGGATTACCACTGTGAGGGTAAAACCGTGCATTGAGTTGACATTATTTAATGTTAAAATTGATTTTTTTAAATGATGTGGAGCTTTTGGGTCTATTTGTTTATTCGATGTTGCTACAAGTTTGTTACTGTGAGTAATTGAAACCTGCCTTTAGCAAGGGTAAAGATGTTCACTTGAGAAATGAGTGTTATTTTGAAACTTTGCAAATTAAAACTAAACAAAACTCAATTCTTTTTCTTGGGGAATGTTCAAATATTTCCCATAAGCTTCTTTGAAATTAATAAGCATTATTAAAAAGATTCAAGGAAGTGAATGCATGCTCAAGTTTGACCCTATAATTCAGAATGTTTAGTTTTGTAAGTATCAATTATTCTTAATTTCCATTCTTCTAGTATTTGAAATACCTGTGGAATGAAGAGAAAAAAATTAAAGCTAAGCCATCTTGTCCAATGTAATTCCAGTAGAGCTCTGCGACTCTAAAGCTTAGAGCTACATCTATATTTTCAAGCACATCAACTTTAAGAAGAAAGTTTTGAGGAAACAAAGTTTTGATCTACCTTTCCTTTTAAATAGATGAAGAACTTCCTGATTACATTATGGTGATGGTGGCCAACAAGAAAAGTCAGGACCAAATGACAGAGGATCTGTCCCTGTTTCTAGGGAACAACACAATTCGATTCACCGTATGGTATGTTTCTGAATTTTTGTGCCTCAGACCAAAGTTTGGCACAAGCCTGAGTTGATATTCTGTCCAAAGAGAGGTTCTTGACACTTGAGTTAGGTTTACTTTGGAGAGGCAGTTTGTGAGTGATGAGAGCACAGCCTCTGTATTAGTCCATTTTCACAGTGCTATGAAGAAATACCCGAGACTGGGTAATTTCTAAAAGAAAGAGGTTTAATTGACTCAGAGTTCCACATGGCTGGGGAGGCCCCAGGAAGGGGAAGCAAGCACCTTCTTCACAAGTCGACAGGAAAGAGAAGAGTGAAGGAGGAACTTCCAGAGACTTATATAAAATCATCAGATCTTGTGAGAACTCACTGTCTCTTGAGAACTCGGGAACTCACTGTCTCTTGAGAACTCACTATCATGAGAACATCATGGGGGAAACCACCCCCATGACCCAGTCACCTCCCTCCCTTGACAGGTGGGGATTACAATTCAATATAAGATTTGGGTGGGGACACAGAGCCAAACCTTATCAGCCTCTGAAGCCAGACAGCCAAAGTTGAATCCTGGCTGTGTCTTGCCTTGGTTTCTCTAGCTATAAAATGGAAATAGTACAGCCACTTGCTTTATAAAATTATTATTGAGGATCAAATGGGCTAATATGTGTAAAGTACTTATAGGTGTCCCTAGCATTTTCCTAAGGAATTCTTAGTATATGTCGGCTATACTTAATATGTTTCTTTTGTAAACTTCTATATCTTTTTTTTTGAGACAGGGTCTTGCTCTGTCACCAGGCTGGAGCACAGTGGTACAATCATGGCTCGCTGCAGCCTCGATCTCCTGGTTTCAAGTGATCATCCCATTGCAGTCCCCTCCTTCCTGAACTCCCATGCCTGACTAATTTTTAAATTTTTTGTTCAGACAGGGTCTTAGTATGTTGCCCTGGATGCTCTTGAACTCCTGGGCTCAAGCAGTCCTCCTGCCTTGGCCTTCAGAAGTCTTGGGGTTATAGGTATGAGCCACTGCACCTGGCCAGCTTCTGTATCTTATAGTTCCTTTTCCCCCACCAAAACCAGTTACAGATGTTTTTTTGAACTGGGTTGGCTTCTTACATTGCCTTTTACAATGAGTTACCTTTAGAGGGCAAGGTTTTCTGTTTCTCACTTTTCTGTTTCTTACTTTTTAAGCTTTTTGTTAAACTCACACCTTCATTTTGAGTAATAATTGTAGTGTAATGTTACAGCATATTTTGAGATTATAAGTTTTTTTAAGTTTGGAATTTTAAAATAGGCAACTTTGCTTTTATACATAAATTACTGTTATATGCCTTTAGTTGAGAATACTGACTAGAAGAGTAAGATTCAACTTAAGATGCTAGGTCCTGGTACCAGGTTTGAGGTAAAGTGAGGATGAGGGCTGGAGGATAATGATGTAGCTGAGAATAGACAGACGAAATACTTTATTAGGCTTCTCAGGCTAGGAACTACCAGTTACCGTGAAAGGTGATGATGTAGCAGAAGTGAGCAAGTGGCCTGCCGAATTTGAGTGCAAGAGGAGGCACTGAGTGGGGAGATGAGCCTGGTTAAGTTCTTGCCTTTATACCAAAGGTCGTCTTCAAGGTGTTTTTGCCCAAGTAGGCAACTGTATGCTTATCAACCGTCTTGAAATTCTGCACAGAATTCTCTGGGTTTATACATTGCACAAATTTGAAGAACATTGTATAGTGGTCATCAGTTGTTATGATACACTGCTGCCTCACTGTGGGTGACCCAACCCATTTGTTACAATTTGTCCCCAGAGGTTATTCCCTCCCAGCCCCCCACAAAAAAAGACTGTGGGTCTTTTGACTGGGAAAATTACCATTATTGTGAGTACTATTTTTTTTTCTAAAGCGACCGAGTAGATCCTTTTCTCCGATAACTTGATAGAATACTTAGATTTTTAAAACAGACTACCAAATGAATTTAAAACCAAATTAATTCAACATTCTCATCTGGCCATAAATTGAGTTCTTTAACATGTAGTGAAGCAAAGGGTGATGTCCCCATTTTGGCACTTTGCTTTCTTAAGTTAGTGTTCATTAACACCAGCCCCAAACAGACTATTGTGATTATTTGGAGCCTTGAAGTAATTGTGTCCGTGGGGACAGTAGCATGTGACTAGGGTTCTCATTGAAACATGAGGTTTCTGGCATATTTTGAGAGGTACTGGGAAGGGATGTAAGGCAAAGTACCTCATTTATAACTACCAAAACAGGTTATGTTACAAGCAAGATTACAGCCTTACAGCATCAGTTTTGAAAGTAATAGAGTGAAATGATATAGCATAGTTTGAGATTATAACTTGTTTTAACCTCTCAGAATTAAGTTGTCCAAGACACCATCTAGTTTAAGCAGTTAATATAAGCTGCTTAAATGGTGGTAATAATAAGCAATATTACATGTTTATGATACTTGTTTTACTGTAAGCTACAGTAAATCTTTAGTACTTACAAACAGGGTGACATATTTTGTAGACTAAGACTGGTCAGATGATATTCTTTCCCATATTTTTGCAGAGGCTAGATGTTGAAAACAGTGAAGAAAAAAATACAATTTTTTATTGACTTCTGTAGGATTTATACAAAGCCCTTTTTTAAAAATGTGAAGTTTGAAAGTTCATACCATTTATTCACTAAATACAGTTTATCAGTATTTATCTCAGCTAGGTGCGGTGGCTCACGCCCGTAATCTCAACACTTTGGGAGGCTGAGGCAGGTGGTTCTCTCAAGTCCAGGACTTCAAGACCAGCCTGGACAACACAGTGAAACCCCATCTCTATTTAAAAATAATAAAAATATAAAAAAATTTAAAAAATTATCTCTGAATATAATGTCATAAATTTAGAGTGACAGTTGAAATGAAATCTTTCTTAACAGAAGGTTTATTTTTGTTTTTTGTTTTTTTCCTCAGGCTTCATGGTGTATTAGATAAACTTCGCTCTGTTACAACTGGTAAGATTCATAACTTTTTTTTTTAATTTCTGCTTGCTATGGCATATGATTTGTTTCTTTCTAAAGTCATAGTGCTTTGGGAAAAACCCATCAATTTCAAAACGGTTCATTTGAACTTTTTTAGAAAGCACATACTTTTATGAACTTAAGAGCAGTAAATTTAACATAATTCAAAGATAATTTAAGTGTGGGAGAGGGAGCAGTGCACTTTATCCGAAGGAAATAATTACATATATGTGCAAAGATTTAGCCTCAAGGATATTTCAGTATTTTATAATTGAAAACAATTTAAAAGTTCAGTCATAATAAACGAAATTGTTGTATTACCATGTGTGGAATAATATTTAACTATTAAAAATAATGTTGTGGAAGAATAACAGAATATACACGCATAAGATACATGTTTTAAAAAATGTGTATATATGCTCTTCCCCCGAAAAATCACCTTTGAGATAATTGGTGATTTTTATTATATTTTTAAAATTTTCTACAATAAACATACTGCTTTTGAATTGGTGATGAGGAAGGAAACGACTTAAAGTAATAAAAATAGATGGCCGGGCACGGTGGCTCACGCCTGTAATCCCAGCATTTTGGGAGGCCAAGGTGGGCGGATCATGGGCTCAGGAGATGGAGACCATCTTGGCCAACCAACATGGTGAATCTCCGTCTCTACTAAAAATACAAAAATTAGCCAGGCATCGTGGCACATGCCTGTAATCCCAGCTACTTGGGAGGCCGGGGCAGGAGAATCGCTTGAACCAGGGATTTGGAGGTTGCAGGGAGCCGAGAACGCGCCACTGCCCTCCAGCCTGGCGACAGAGCGAGACTCCATCTCAAAAATAAATAAATAAATAAAAATAAGAAATAAAAATAGATTAAAAGGACTGTATTTTTCTTTTCAGAACCCTCTAGTCTGAAGTCTTCTGATACCAACATCTTTGATAGTAACGTGCCTTCAAACAAGAGCAATTTCAGTCGGGGAGATGAGAGGAGGCATGAAGCTGCAGTGCCACCACTTGCCATTCCTAGCGCGAGACCTGAAAAAAGAGATTCCAGAGTTTCTACAAGTTCGCAGGAGTCAAAAACCACAAATGTCAGGTAAGAGTCTGGTGTAGACCTGCTGGGGGCAGATGGCTCTGTGTATGTGACATTTATATTAGTTTTTATATCTTTCAGTTTGCTGTTCTCAGCAATTTTTAGAAACAATGAAGTGATCGTGAGTAGTTTTTTGAATAAAATAATGGATAAGATCTAAGTATGATTATCTTTTATCACAAATTTAGTAAATCAAAGTTGAAAGAAAGTGCAATTTCAAAGCAGTTTTGAATGGAATATGTAAAGGGAGTATCCTCAGTTTTTTCATTGAAATTTTTCAAGTAAACATTCTTTAAAGATTTGGTGATAATTGCCCTAATTTGGCTGTAATACATTTTGTTGTTCTTTTAAATAGACAGACTTACGATGATGGAGCTGCAACCCGACTAATGTCAACAGTGAAACCTTTGAGGGAGCCAGCACCCTCTGAAGATGTGATTGATATTAAGCCAGAACCAGATGATCTCATTGACGAAGACCTCAACTTTGTGCAGGAGAATCCCTTATCTCAGAAAAAACCTACAGTGACACTTACATATGGTTCTTCTCGCCCTTCTATTGAAATTTATCGACCACCTGCAAGTAGAAATGCAGATAGTGGTGTTCATTTAAACAGGTTGCAATTTCAACAGCAGCAGAATAGTATTCATGCTGCCAAGCAGCTTGATATGCAGAGTAGTTGGGTATATGAAACAGGACGTTTGTGTGAACCAGAGGTGCTTAACAGCTTAGAAGAAACGTATAGTCCGTTCTTTAGAAACAACTCGGAGAAAATGAGTATGGAGGTTTGTATGTACTTTTAAATTCTGGCTTAGGCTAAAAATCGGCAGTTCTTGATACCAAATAATATATGAAGTAACTAAACACATATTCCAAGGCTGGGCACAGTGGCTCACACCTGTAATCCCAGGACTTTGGGAGGCCGAGGCGGGTGGATCACGAGGTCAGGAGATTGAGACCATCCTGGCTAACACGGTGAAACCCCGTCTCTACTAAAAATACAAAAAATTAGCCAGGCATGGTGGCAGGCGCCTGTAGTCCCAGCTACTCGGGAGGCTGAGGCAGGAGAATGGCGTGAACCTGGGAGGCGGAGCTTGCACTGAGCCAAGATCGTGCCACTGCACTCCAGCCTGGGCAACAGAGCGAGACTCCGTCTCAACCAAAAAAGAAAAAACAAAAAACAAAAAAAACACATATTCCAAATTTATTTTATTTTATTTTACTTTTTGAGAAGGAGTTTCACTCTTGTTGCCCAGGCTGGAGTGTGATGGCGCGATCTCAACTCACTGCAACCTCCACCTCCTGGGTTCAAGCGATTCTCCTGCTTCAGCCTCCCGAGTAGCTGGTATTACCCGCCACCATGCCTGGCTAATTTTTTGTATTTTTAGCAAAGACAGGGTTTCACCGTGTTGGCCAGGCTGGTCTTGAAATCCTGGCCCTGTGATCCACCCACCTTGATCTTGGCTCACTGCAACCTGTGCTTCCCAGGTTCAAGTGATTCTTCTGATTCAGCCTCCTGAATAGCTGGGATTACAGGTGTGTACTACCACGACCAGCTAATTTTTGTATTTTTAGTAGAGATGGTGTTTCACCATGTTGGACCAGGCTGGTCTTGAACTCCTGACCTCAGGTGATCTGCCCTCCTTGGCCTCCCAAAGTGTTGGGATTACAGGCATGTACCATGGCGCCTGGCCCCAAGTTTATTTTTAAATTGTTTTATCTGCTGTTTCTCATGCTATACCAGATTTTCTTCCCCATGGCTTGCTCCTAGAGTTCTTTTGTATCACATCTGTATACCTTTTTGGGATTTCCAGCATTTGAGATATTAATCTTAAATTAATTTGGGGGGTTTCAATCAATTTTAGATTGTTCATGGTAATTGCTAGTGAGCAACCAATTAACTCTGTTTTATTAGTTTCCTCAATAGCACTATATGCAGCTGTTGATAAAATAAATGTAAAGTTCTAATTTTTGTTTTAGCTAAAGGTTGACTGTTAGGGATAATATTTATATTTATAGTATTTATTTATTTATTTATTTTGATACGGTGTCTCACTCTGTCGCCCAGGCTGGAGTGCAGTGGCATGATCTTGGCTCCCTACATCCTCCACCTCCCGGGTTCAAGTGAGTCTTCTGCCTCAGCCTCCCGAGTAGCTCGGACTACAGGCACATGCCGCCACGCTCAGCTAATTTTTGTATTTTTATAGAGACAGGGTTTCACCATATTGGCCAGGCTGGTCTCGAAATCCTGACCTTGTGATCCGCCCACTTCGGCCTTCCAAAGTGCTAGGATTACAGATGTGAGCCACCACACCCAGCCTCATATTTATATTTTTACATAAAACCAAGAAATACTCTGTGAATTTCTCATATTACTGTGTACTGTTTTTTTCTTAAAATGGAAACATTTTGTGGTAGAACTCTTGTTATTTTCTGAGATTAGGTAAGCATAAATTTTATCTGATTGCAGGATGAAAACTTTCGGAAGAGAAAGTTGCCTGTGGTAAGTTCAGTTGTTAAAGTAAAAAAATTCAATCATGATGGAGAAGAGGAGGAAGAAGATGATGATTACGGGTCTCGAACAGGAAGCATCTCCAGCAGTGTGTCTGTGCCTGCAAAGCCTGAAAGGAGGTACCTTGAACATGGCTGTAAATTAATCTTTAACTGCCTTGGTGGAGTCTTCCTGATTTATTGAAGAGAATAATCACGAAAATAATTTTTGTTTGTTTTTTGAGACGGAGTCTCGCTCTGTCAACCAGGCTGGAGTGCAGTGCCACGATCTCGGCTCACTGCAACCTCTGCCTCCCAGGTTCAAGTGATTCTCCTGATTGAGCCTCCTGAATAGCTGGGATTATAGGTGTGCACTACCATGACCAGCTAATTTTTGTATTTTTAGTAGAGATGGTGTTTCACCATGTTGGACCAGGCTGGTCTCGAACTCCTGACCTCAGGTGATCTGCCCTCCTCAGCTTCCCAAAGTGTTGGGATTACAGGCATGAGCCACCGCACCTGACATAAATATTTAATGTAATACCGTGTAAGACTTTTCCATTGGGTTTTGAGAAACACGTTAATGAGAGAAATTGCTTAACATTGGAGAGGATTGCAGAGAATATTGACTAATATGGTGGGGTGAGGAGGAACAACATCAATTAAGATTCAGATTTATTATTTAAAAAAACTAAAAGGGGCCTAGGCATGGTGGCTCATGCCTGTACCTAGCACTTTGGGAGGCTGAGGCAGGAGGATTGCTTGAGACCAGGAGTTCGAGACCAGCCTGGGCGATGTAATGAGTCTTTGTCTCTTAAAAAAAATTAAAATAAATTAGTTGGTCATTGTGGCAGGCACCTGTAGTCCTGGACTGGAGAGGTGGATGTGGAAGCATTGCTTGAGCCTAGAAGTTTAAGGCTGCAGTGACATCACACTCCATCCTGGGTGAGAGAGTAAGAGTCTGTCTAAAAAAAAAAATAAGGTTCCAGTGTAGTTGGCATTTTCTAAAAACTGCAGCTAGTCTGTTTAAAACCTAGAGAAGGTTGTGGTAAAGGCATAATAGATGGCTGGCCTGTGAGGAACTGAAATTTAAAGTTTAATAAAAATACCTTTCTTAACTCTTTTAGACCTTCTCTTCCACCTTCTAAACAAGCTAACAAGAATCTGATTTTGAAGGCTATATCTGAAGCTCAAGAATCCGTAACAAAAACAACTAACTACTCTACAGGTAATTTAAATGTATTATGTTTACACTTGGTAAGACATTTCTGTAATTCTTGAGTAAGGTGAAAATGATTGCTCCTTAAATTGTAAAATAAAGGTGCCTGTCAGATGTCAAGACCAAGATGAGGTTCCCATATAGAAAAATGGCTTTAAAAGGAAATTGACAAGTTTGAGAAACTTCGCCAACTGTTATTGGACTGTAGTTTTTCAAGCACCATATAATGCCTTTTATATCTTTCCAATGTGTGTAAAATATATAGTACGTAAATATTTTGAAGAGAATTTTGATGAAGTAGGACTTTCATATTAGTAGCATTAGATTCAACATTAGATATGAATTTACGATGTGTAAAGGGGAGTACAATTGGACAATGATAGGTATCTGAAGTTATAGAAATTTGTTAAACAGTAGTATATAAACAAGGTTGGTTTCTTCCCTTTTGGCGGAACTCATTAGTAGAATATAAGGCAGAGAATTGACTCATTTGTGATGTTCCTGCTCCAATTCTAGTGGAAGTACTGAATAATTTTATGAGAGAATATAAAAGTATTACGTTTTCAAAACAGGAGATGAATCAGCTGTAAGCTGGTCTTACGGAAAGCTGATTCTGAAATGCAAACAACTGATGGGTGTCATTTTGTGTTGTCAAATTCTGTACTCTCTGGCCGACCTGTTGTAGCCAATGTGTAAACTTGTGTTAAGAAGCTGATGGTAATGAGCTACTCTAAAAAGATTTAAGTTTTGCTGTGGATTTGGTGGGTGTACTTACAGCATTGCCCTGCTTATCCACTCTCTCGCTTTTTTTTGTGACCCCCCTTCCTAAAATGAGGTAAACTGTAGCCATCAGTTTTTTTATTTGTTTTCTTTTTTTGAGGCGAAGTCTTGCTCTGTTGCCCAGGCTGGAGTGCAGTGGTGTGATCTTGGCTTACTGCAATCTCTGCCTCCTGGGTCCAAGCGATTCTCCTGCCTCAGCCTCCCAAGTAGCTGGGATTACAGGCGCCCACTACCATGCCAGGCTAATTTTTTTGTATTTTTAGTAGAGGCGGGGTTCCACCATGTTGGCCAGGCTGGTCTCGTACTCCTGACCTCAGGTGATCACCTGCCTCCTCGGCCTCCCAAAATGCTGGGATTACAAGCGTGAGCCACCGCGCCTGGCACCATCAGTTTTTGATCCTGATACTTGTCTGTCCTCTTGGTTCTCCTCATCCCTAATTTAACCTTGAACACAAAATTCAACAGGTTTTGGCATATAGAATAAAGATTATCAGGCAAAGGCGCACTCTTGACCTAATGATATATCTACATTTCATTTCCTGATCTATCAGCAATATTAATTGTCTAGAATGATGAGAAGTTTAGAGAAGTTCCATGACTTTGAAATTTTCTTTCTTTACCTAGGTTATCTAAATTACAATTTGAAACTCATATAAGATCATGAAGCTAAGCTTAAATAAACCGCATTTTGTTGAAAATGAATACATATGTACTATATTGTATTCATGGTATGTGGTTGTATGGATATTGTTTACATATGTTTGGATAAATAGGTTCAGGTATCTATCTCAGTAACGTAAGAAAAAATGAATGGTATCTATGGATTGAACTCCTCATATATATGTTCTTTTCTTTTCTTTTTCTTTTTTTTTTGGAGACAGAGTCTCACTCTGTTGCCCAGGCTGGAGTGCACAGTGGTGCAATCTCGGCTCACTGCAACCTCCGCCTTCCGGGTTTAAGCAATTCTCCTGCCTCAGCCTCCTGAGTAGTTGGGATTACAGGTGTGTGCCACTATGCCCGGCTAGTGTTTGTATTTTTAGTAGAAACGAGGTTTTACCATGTTGGCCAGGCTGGTCTCAAACTCCTGACCTCAAGTGATCCACCCACCTTGCCTCCCAAAGTGCTGAGATTACAGGCATGAGCCACTGCGCCCAGCCTGAACTCATATGTCCTAAACCAAAGGAGGCATTTATATTTAATATGACATAGTCACTGTGGAGTTTTGACGTATTACTGCATTTGTATTTCTATCTTTTTTGCTTTTATGTGAAAGTTCCACAGAAACAGACACTTCCAGTTGCTCCCAGAACTCGAACTTCTCAAGAAGAATTGCTAGCAGAAGTGGTCCAGGGACAAAGTAGGACCCCCAGAATAAGTCCCCCCATTAAAGAAGAGGAAACAAAAGGAGATTCTGTAGAAAAAAATCAAGGTAATAACTTAAATGATGTTTCACTCTTTACTACAGTTTTTTCATGAGGCATTGAATATTTTCCAATGGATTTTTATGAAATATTACACTATGAAAAAAGTGATGATTAAGCCCAGAAATAGAATGAGAAGAATACCATGAGGAAGGTTCATACCAACACTTCAGAAAAAAATTTTTTTTTTAAAGAGGTAGGGTCTTGCTGTGTTGCCCAGGCAGTCCTCAAACTCCTGGGCTCAAGCAGTCCTCCTGCCTCAGCATCCTTAGTAGCTGGAGGTGTGTACAAGTGTGTGCCACTGCACCCAGCCCTTTCTAGAAATTTTTGAAAGTCTTTTTATTGTGGAAATTTTTAATATTCTCAAAAATGGAAAGGCTAGTACAGTGAACTCTCATGAACCCAGTCATTAAGCCTTAGTTATTATCAGAATTTTGCTGGTCTTTAGATAGCTCCTTCTTAAAGATATATTTATTTCTGCATTCTTTCTTTTTCTCTTTTTGTTGATCCTGCCCGTTTACCTGAACTTGAAATTTTAGTTACCTTTAAATCTCCCGTCTCTTAAGCATCCTGTCTCTGACCTCCCATATGTGTCCCAGCAACCCTAATTTATCCCCTCGTGCCTAACATACTTCAGTTTGCTTCCAGGTTTTTTTTTTTTTTTTTTTTTTTTGCTTTTTTCTCAGCTTTCTCCCCCAATTCCTATACAATCTTTTGACTTTGAAAGTGTGTCTCTCATCTTCTGACTCCTTTGTGAAAGTATCTCTCCCCTCCTCCTCATTACCCAGAACTAACGCTATTAGTTTGGACTTTTGGTGTCTGTTATCTGACCCCTGGGCCTGCACAGCCCTTCTCCATGACTCTTCAGACCTTTTGTCTCTTTTGTCGTCAAGAAGGATTCTTTTTTCTTCTGTTTCTTTTTCTACTAAGATTTGAATTTTAAGACCCCACCAAAAAAATCTATATGCTTATTATGTTATTTCTCACATACTTTTCAAGAACCTTGGAATATATTTTTTCATTTCTTCAAAACTGTCCTTTAAATTGTTCCAGGTTTCATGAAACCTTATGATTTCAGAATTGTCAATTCTGTATTTGTTTCCTCATTGTGTCTCTTTAAAAATTTTTGACTGTATTGTTCAGTTTGCCATGACAGCGTTATATACTATTCTGATAATTGATAGGCCTGAGGACAAGACCTGTTTGGTCCCCAAACAGCAGATAGGTACCAATTGGAAAATGTGAATGGGCCAAATTGAGAAGAGGAGCTGAAACTGAGGAGGGATTTTGCTCAGTGCAGTGGCAGATGAGGCTGATCTAAAAGGACTGCAGTGGTCTACTCCCTGTGGAGTCTGTAGTGTGTTGCACCAAGGTTTTCTTCAAACACAGGACTCTACGTGAGAGTCTTGGAGTGGAATCAGATGGAGCAGGGAAACAGACAATAGAGAAAAGGAAAGAATGTCAGATAAAAATAGGAGAGGAAAACAATAGGAAATCTCAAAGCAAGGTGCCATATTTTTTAACATCACAAAATCAACAGAAGAAGGTTGTTGATTCTGAAGTTAGAATAGCTATCCAAAGCAAACTTTCCCCTAAAATGAACAACAGAAAAGTATCAAGGTCAAGTCCTGTGCCGAATTAAAAGATAAAAGGGAATAAAAGACAAAACAGCATTGTTTCAATGAAAGCATGCTGAAAGGTATACCAAAAAGAAATACAATTTCAAAGTGAGCTAGAAGACATTATTTAAATAATACAAGACAAAGCCAAGAAAAACATAAAACAGAAGAACTTTGAGGCTGGGTGCAGTGGCTCATGCCTGTAATCCCAACACTTTGGGAGGCTGAGGCAGGAGGATCACTTGAGACTAGCCTGGGCAGCATAGCAAAACCCTGTCTCGACAAAAAATAAAAATATTAGCTGGGCAAGGTATACACCTGTAGTCCTGTCTCCTTGGGAGGCTGAAGTGGGAGGATTGCTGGAGCCCGGGAGGCTGAGGTGGGAGGATTGCTGGAGCCCAGGAGGCTGAGGTTGCAGTGAGCCACGATCATACCATTGCCCTCCAGGGAGGCTGAGGTGGGAGGATTGCTGGAGCCCAGGAGGCTGAGGTTGCAGTGAGCCATGATCATGCCATTGCCATCTAGTTTGGGCGATAGAGTGAGACTGTGTCTCAAAATAAATGAAGACTAAATTAGAAAGAACTCGAAAGAATTAGTGCGTCTTAATAAAATAAAACATGCGTGTAATCCCAGCAATTTGGGAGGCCAAGGCGGGAGGATCACTTGAGGCCAGGAGTTGAAGATCAGCCAGGGCAACATAGCAAAACCTTATGGCTACAGAAAACAGCAATTTAAAAATAAATAAAATTAAAACATCTTCAGAGAAATTGAAGATAAAAGACAAGAACATTTTAAAAGTCTAAAAGGGCTCATGAGAAAGTGGCAAATATTGATAATAGGCAATAGAAATACAGTGTTTTTATAGTAGGAATCTCCAAAGAAACAATATTCAGAGGAACAGAGCAAACATTAACTGTCTTTCAAGAAAACTTTCATGAAGTGAAAACATGTTTGAAACTGTTGTCTGAAAAATTGTACAGTATACCTGAGAATATTTACCCAGAACCATAACACTAAGATGTATTATATAATTAATGAAATTTTAAAAAGAAAAAAAATGATTTGGACATTCAGGCAAAAGGGGCACATGACTTAGAAGAAAAGGAAAGGTAGATTATCATCAAACTTTTCAACAGCATCACTTTTGTGCTGGAAGAAAATGGACTAGCATATTTAAGATACTCCAGAAAAGAAAATGTGAGCCAAGAATTTAATGTCCAGCAAAAGTGACCTTTAGAAGTGATCCAGCACCAACTGTTATCTATATGCAGAAATTCAGAGACTCATTCCCATGAACTTTTCTTAGGAAATCTAATGGAGGATGAGCTTCAGACAAGTAAAAGCCTGTTGTCCTGAATTTACATTGGAAATGTTTCGGAACTCACAGTGTATTTTATATATAAATACATTTTTTTCTAGTTCTGTCTACTAGAAGGCATAGAAACATTCATCAACCCTTAGCATCATCTGTAGTTCCCAGATTGTGGTCTTGGAATACTTCCTATTTAAAAAACTAGGCTTCTTGGGCTGGGTGCAGTTGCTCACGCCTGTAATCCCAGCACTTTGGGAAGCCGAGGTGGGCAGATCACCTGAGGTCAGGAGTTCAAAAGCAGCCTGGCCAGTGTGGTGAAACCCCATCTCTACTAAAAATACAAAAAAATTAGCTGGGTGTTGTGGTGTGCGCCTGTAGTCCTAGCTACTCGGGAGGCTGAGCCAGGAGAATCGCTTGGATCCGGGAGGCGGAGGTTGCAGTGAGCCAAGATTGTGCCACCGTACTCCAGCCTGGGCAACAGAGTGAGATTCCGTCTCAAGAAAAAATAAAAATAAAAAAACAAAGAACTAGGCTTCTTGAGAAATGTCTTTTTCCAGGTCTGGGGCAGGAAATGTTAACATGATCCTGGAATGGCTCAACATCCCAGATAGCAAAGAAGCTGTCAATGAATGGTAGACCACGTCCAAAGGATGCAGGCGCCAACTTAGAGGTTTCCATTGGCCAAAAATGGAATTATTTGAGATTCAGTAGGTGTAAATATCGCGGTGAATTAAAGCCCATTTAAATCCACAATTTCATAATGACATTTTAAAAAAATAAGCTCTAACTAGTCACCTTCTGGAAGGTAGTAGATAATCATTCATTGTCTTGAAAACTGGGTAAATAAAATAATTGAACATTTATGCTGTCTTTTCTGTGAGAACGATACCACTGGGTAACCCCATAGGACAGGAGTTGGCATCTGTTGGAACCAAACCGTGCCTATTCATGTATGTATTGTCCGTGGCTACTTTCATACTACAGCCTTAGTTGAATAGTTGCAACAGACCATATAGCTTGCATAGCCTAAAATAGCCTAAAAGATTTGCCAACCTCTGATATAGTAGATGAGAGAAACATTTTCTTTTAAAATGATTTCAGCTGATAAGAGAACAAGATGGTAGGATTAGAGTTATGCTTTTAAGAGTGAAAACCAGTTGTTTTGTGCCTCTTGATACAAAAGAACAGAACTTTTGTCTTGCCAAAAATGTAAACCTAAGTCATCAAGCTCCCAGTCCAGCAGTCAGTTTGCAAGAAGTTGCAGAGGCCAGAGGAGTATGTTGGTTGAGCTTCACCATGAGTGTGCAGCCGGAAAAATAGTGTTTGGGACACTGTGGGTTGAATAGCCTGAGAAATTGAGATTAAAAGGCAAATCAAAGGAAAATAAAAGGAGCAGGATTAAATTGTAGTGGCTAGGGATACCCAGTGTGTGTGAAATTATAAAGAACCTCTAGGCGTTAATATAAAAAGCACATAGTGGTTGCTTTTGAAGAGGACCGATAAAGATGGAGCACACAGAGAGGCTTCTGGGGTGGCAGATGACGTTCTCTCTTTTGACTTGGATGGTAGTCAGAAGGGTGTTTTGCCTTACAAAAATTCATTAAGCTATATGTTTGTGTGGTTTTCTATACTGTGTTTTAAAAGGGGATAATTGAAATGGTGTCAGGTACCTTTGCTGATGAGGAGTTTGGTATTACTAGATATATTCACAAGTGTGAAGTGATACTGCAAGCAACTGTTATCTGTTAATGTGGTTACTCACTGTTGTACGGTATAATCTGGGGCAGGTTTTTAAAATATAAACATGCACTCGTATTGGCATAAGTTGTTAATTTTTTTTCTTCTTTTGTTTGAGCAGATAGCATTCTCTCATTTCTCTGGTGTCTTTATTTTTACTAGCGCACCCACCTCATAATATGTGTACTTTTTGCTTTTTGTCTTGCCATCAGTCTGTCACTAGAAGTTTATTTTGCCGATCTTTTCAAAGACTTAACAACATTATTCTGGCTTTATTGATTTTTTTTTTTTTTTGGTGTTTTTGTTTTCTATTTCATTGACTTGTGCTTTTTTTTTATTTTTTTTTTTTAAGAGGCGAGGTCTCACTGTCACCTAGGCTAGAGTACAGTGGCACAATTGTAGCTCACTGCAACCTCAAATGCCTGGGCTCAAATGATCCTCCCACCTCAGGGACCATAGGCACACGCCACCACGCCCAGCTAATGTTTAAGTTTTTTTGTAAAGATGGAGTCTCACTATGTTGCCCAGGCTGGTCTGGAACTCCTGAGCTCAAGCAGCCCTCTTGCCTCAGCCTCCCAAAGTGCTAGGTTTACAGGTGTGAGCCACTGCACCTGGCCCGACTTCTCTTTTAATTTATCCTTCCATATTTTAAAAATTATTTACCTCAGGCTGTCTTCTTCTCAAATGTAAGCATTTGAGAAGAATACATATGACAGGTTTTAATTCATCATGTTTTCATTATCAGAGTGTCTTTAATTTCCATTATAATTTTCATCATTGAAAGTGTGTTTTCTATACAGTATTTGGAAGTGGTATGTGTTTTTGTCTTTTAATCCTTTTTATTATAGACACCTGACTTAATTGCATTGTGGTTAGATAATGTAATTTTTACAATGCATAGTTTTTGAAAATTGTTAACACTTGCTTAGTGCATAATCAAGTTTATGCATCTTCCACATGCATTTTGGAAGAAAGTGGACTAATTATTGGATGGGGAATTTTACATTTATTCAGTAGATAAAGCTCTACTGTTAACATTATTCAAATCTTGACCTTGCTGAGTTTTTGTGCTGCTTGACTTACCACTTGAGAAAGGGTGTTGAAATTGCCCAACATGATGACAGATTTATCTTAATTTCTCTTGTACTTATATCAAGTTTTTGCTTTATTTTTAGGCTGTTATATACTATTAGGTGCATACATATTTAAATTTGTTATATCTTCTCTGCAAATTGAATCCCTTATCTTGATTTATGACCCTCTGCAAAAAAGATGTTTTTATCTCAAAGTCAGTTTTGCCTGATATTAATATAGCCATTTAATTATATTTGCTTTATATATCTGGTTTCCCTGCCTTTGTTTTCAGTTTTCTCTCTCATGCTTTAGGTATATACAGTTGACCCTTGAACCAGACAAGTTTGAACTGTGTGGGTCCACTCATACACTTATATGTGGATTTTTGAAAATAAATATATTGGAAATATTTTTTGAGATGTGGCAATTTGAAAAAACTTGTAGATAAACTATATAGCCTAGAAATAGTGACAAAATTAAGAAAAATTTAGGTATGTCATGAACACATAAAATATATGTAGCTACTAGACTAACATTTACTATCTTAAAACATACACATCTATTATGAAGTTTAATTTATCAAAATATATGCACACAAACACAGACTTTACATGATACCGCTTGTAGTTGAGAGAAATGTAAGCAAACATAAAGATGCAGTAATAGCTACATAAGATTTACTATAGTACATACTGTACTACTGTAATAATTTTGTAGTTACCTCCTGTTGCTTTATGGTAAGCTAAGGTGTTTTGAGTGTCCACTTAAAATGCTGTGTGATGCAACCATCTCTGCGACAGTTCAGCTCTCCAGTAAATTGTGAATTGCAGTGAAAGGTGATCTCGCAGTTCTTGCATATTTTTCATCATGTTTAGTGCAATACTGTAAACCTTGAATAACACCAGGGGACCCATAATGTGCTACTGGTGATGCTGGACATGCTCCCAAGAAGTAGAGAAAAGTCATGACATTACAAGAAACCATTGCTCAGTATGTACCAAAGATACATGTTACAACTGTGGCTGCAGTTATTCACCATTTCTGGATAAATGAATTTAACATAAGAACCATGGTTAAAAAAAAAAGAAAAAGAAAAAAATGTATGAAGCTGCCACTGCAGCTACGTTGGCAACAGTAAGTAGTTAAATGTTTGGGAAGTCAAAAGTTGTATGTGGGTTTTCAACTGTTGTTGGGGGATTGGTTCCCTTAGCCCTCATATTGTTTAAGGGTCAACTATATATTATATCTTAAATATTATAAAGCTGGATTTTGTTTTTTAATCTCATCTGAGTTTGCCTTTTATTGGAGAGTTTAGACCAGTCACATTTATTACAATTACTGGTATAGTTGGATTACTTTCTGTCATCATTGCTGATTTGCATTTGCCTGCTTTTCTGTTTTTTCTCATGTTTTTTAAGGTTCATTAATTACTGTTATTGTTGACAACCCTAACCCTGGTTCTACAATTTTAAACTAGTTTACTGTTTAAACCTTCCCTTTCTGTTCTTTTTTTTTTTTTTTGAGACGGAGTCTCACTTTGTTGCCAGGCTGGAGTGTAGTAGCGCGATCTCGGCTCACCGCAACCTCCGACTCCTTGGTTCAAGTGATTCTCCTGCCTCAGCCTCCCAAGTAGCTGGGATTATAGACGCCCACCACTACGCCCAGCTAATTTTTGTATTTTTAATAGAGACGAGGTTTCACCATATTGGCCAGGATGGTCTCAATCTCTTGATCTCTGATCCCCTGACCTTGTTATCTGCCCGCTTCAGCCTCCCAAAGTGTTGGGATTATAGGTGTGAGCCACCATGCTTGGCCTCATTTCTGTTCTTTTAGTCGTTACCAGTGAAATTTTACCACACAAATTTAATTTAGTATTCTAAAAGTTAATATCCTGACCCCACTCTCAAACAGTAAAAGGACTTTTGAATACCTATGAAGAGCTTCAGTCTTTATCCTCCTCATTTACTTGTTTCCAGTGTTTCAATTTGATCTTTTTTAAAATGCACAAGTTGGGCCGGGTGCGGTGGCTCATGCCTGTAATCCCAGCACTTTGGGAGGCTGAGGCGGGTGGATCACCTGAGGTCAGGAGTTCGAGACCAGCCTGACCATATGGTGAAACCCTGTCTCTACTAAAAATAGAAAAATTAGCCAGGCATGGTGGCACACACCTGTAGTCCCAGCTACTCAGGAGGCTGAGGCAGAAGAATCGCTTGAACCCAGGAGGCAGAGGTTGCAGTGGGCTGAGATTGCGCCGCTGCACTCCAGCCTGAGCGACAAAGCGACACTCCTTATCAAAAAAAATAAGTAAAATAAAATACACAAGTTGGACAACATTTTTGTAATTTTTTCCAGGCAATGTTTTTTGAGGTTTACCTCCTGTTTATCATTTTACTTATTCTTAACATCTCTGAGTGTTATTTGGGGATCATTATTTTCCAATATTTTGAAGTATTTTTGAAGTATTTTTTTGGAAGTTTCACTGAAACATGTCTGTTGGCAATATATTTTCCAAGAGTCTATTCACCTGTGAGTGTTTTCTTTCTTTGTGTTCTTGTGCAGTAGTTTTGCTGGATACCCAAATCTAGGTTGTTAGTTATTTGCTCTCCACACCTTATATATATTATTATCCCACTGTCTTCTGCTTTCCATTGTTGAGTGGACTTCTATCATTCTAATTGTCTGTCGTTCCTTTGTAGGTGATCTGTCCTTTCTCTCTGGCTGCTTTCAAGATCTTCTCTTTGTGTTTGATGTTCTGCAGTTTCACTACGATGTGTCTAGGCGTGGATTTCCTTTTATTTTTCCTGTTTGGTATAATGTATGGAAGCATCCCATATATTTGAAATAAAATGCATTATGAAATACATGCTCACCATAGAAAATCTGGAAAAAGAAAGCATATCAATGTAATATCTCCTGATAGATGAGAAAATAATCAAATAGTATAAAAAAGATTAAAAATAAAAAGCAACATTCCTTACTTCATTCTTCTCTATACTAGTCCCACTCCGCAGAATCCCCCACTTTTAAATGCTTCTGTTTCTTTCTCCGTGTTGTAATAATATGCTTTATACTGTTTCTTCATTGACCAACTAGATAGTACCTGTTGATTTCTTGCTGTATGTCAGGTTCTAGCCCATTTATACTTTTCCCTTGCTTCCAAGCTCATACAGCAAAATCAATTTTTAATTCATTTATTGGTTACTTTAGTAATTTTAAGTAGTAACTTAAATATTTCTTGTCTGGTTATATTTCAGTATATTTTGACTTCTGAAAGATATGTATCCTTCAATTCCTTTTTTTTTTTGGAGGTAGAGTCTCACTTTTGTCACCCAGGCTGGAGTGCAGTGGCGTAATCCTGGCTCACTGCAACCTCTGCCTCCTGGGTTTAAGTGATTCTCCTGCCTCAGCCTCCTTAGTAGCTTGGGACTACAGGCACACCCTGCCACACCTGGAATTTTTAATAAAATTTTTAGTAGAGACAGGGTCTCACCATCATGCCCAGGCTGGTCTCAAACTCCTGAGCTCAGGCAGTCTGCCCACCTTGTCCTCCCAAAGTGCTGGGATTACAGGCATAAGCCACCATGCCAGGCCTCTCTTTCAAGTCTTATATTTTCTTTCTTGCCGCCACCTACATTCTGTCCTGCCTCCACCTTCTAAATTGTCACCTGTTCTTTTATATTGTCAAAGCTGATCAAATTTACATTTTGTTCCCTACTTTAGTTAAGACTTAGTCGATTGACTCTAAGTTGAGAAACAGTAAGCATTTACACTGTTAAGACTATTTAGTCTGGGCATGGTTGGTGGCTCACACCTGTAATCCCAGCACTTTAGGAGGCTGAGGTGGGAGATTTGCTTGAGCCTAGGAATTTGAGGCCAGCGTGGGCAACATAGCGAGACCCTCATCTATATATATATTTTAATGTTTTTTAATTAGCTGGGTGTGATGATGTGCACCTATAGTCATGGCTACTCTGGAGAATTGCTTGAGCCCAGGAGTTCGAGGTTACAGTGAGCTGTGATTGTGCCAGCCTGGGTGACAGACCAAGACCCTGTCTCTAAAAATAAAAAAAAAATTTTAAAGACTATATAAATATTACAAGGCCAAATTTACATTCTGTTTCTTGTACAGTTTTGTGTGGGAACTCTCTAGAGTTTTTTTAATTTTTCCCCCTTTTTTGTTTCCCTTAGGTTCTTCTTTTTTCCCTTCTTTCATTGCCTACCTGTACTGTAGCCTAAAAGTCTTATCACTCTGTGCTTTGAAATCTTTGGGTTTCCCACTTTTTCTTAGGTACCTTCCTCCTGGAGCCTCTCTCCTCCTTTTCTGACCTCACTGCTTGCTCTAGGCCTGCTCAAGGCCATCATCCCGAGGCGCCCTCCTCCCCTGAGTCGGCTCTGCAATTCCTGAATTCCATTTTGTCTTCTCAGTGCATTTCTCCGTTTTGTAATCACGTCACAAAGAAACTCCTTAAGAAAGTATAGAAGGTAAATTTTCTGAGTTCTTGGAAATCTGAAGCTATCCTTGTACTTGTTTGATACTTTGACTAGGTACAGAATTATAGGTTGAAGTCATTTTCTTCAGAACTTTGAAGGCATAGTTTCATTATCTTGAGGCTTCAGTGTTGATGCTGAGAACTTGGTTGCCCATCTTATTCCATTGTGTAATACCTGGGATTTTTTTCTCCGGGAACTTTTTTTTTTCTATGTTCCTGGTGTCTGAAATTTCACTGTGGTATGTCTAGATGCTAGTTAGGTACATTAGGTACCCTTTTAATTTGAAAATTCATTCTCTTCCGTGTGGGAAATACTCTTGCATTATTTGTTTTAAAATTTGCTGTCCTTGTTTTCATTGTTCTCTGGTGGAAATTCTGTTAGTTGGATGATAAGCCCTTACTTTAATCTGTCAGTTGTATATTTTTTCTCTCTTGATTTTTGACTTGATCTTGTTGGTCTACTCTTGAATACTTGCTTGACTTGATCTTTAGTCTCCTTACTGAACATTTTAAAAATGTAGGCAAGCATATTTTTTAATTTCCACAAACTTTTTCTTGTTCTATTTTTCATAGTATCTTACTTTGTGGATACAGAATCATCTCAACTGTCTGAAGATCCTAATTAAAGGGATTTTTTTTTTCTTTTCAAGGAATTCACTCTTGTCTTCTAATTAATGGAGTCAGAGTCAGATTTTATGCTTTTTTTCTTGCTCTTTCGATTATGGAATTTTTTTCAAAAACATCTGCAGATAGTGGTTCCTAGTTTAAGGAAAGGTAGTGCAGAGGCTTACCTAGAATTGTGCTGTGGGCTGAGCTTTTCTGCAGGCAGGTTTAGCTTTCAATGAAGCAGACAAGGAGCTGCAATTGGCCTTGCAGTTGTAGAGGAATTTCTTGGGGGAGCAGGTTGGTATGCTTACACTCCTACTGGTTGTCTATTAAAAATATTAAAATTTTGTCTTTTAAATGTCTGTCTCTGGCAGTACCATTCACAAGCCTTCTTCTCTGCCTTACATCCTTCTTGGTTTTTACTCATTGCTGCAATCTCTCACAGTTGGATGGCCCTTTGTTTCATCCAAATTCAAGGCTTGATATATCATCTCTGCACTGTGACTCTCACATTTTTATATCTCCAGCCTGGACCTTGCCCTGAATTCCTCATTTCTGTCCAACCACTTTATATTTCTTCTTGGAGGTGTAATAAATCATTTCAAACTTGTCCAAAGCTCAACTATGAATTTTCCTCTCCTGTCTGTTCTTCCTGTAGTCTTCCTCATTTTAGTTTATTGGTGACTTCACCTTTCCAGTTTCTGAGACAGAATCCTGTTGCCATTCTTTTTTTCTCTCCTTCTCCTTTCCTTCCTCTTCCCTCTCTACCTCTGTCTCCCTCCTTCCCTTGTTCCACCTGTCAGCCTCTACCTCCAGATTTATAGAATTCACTACCGTTTATCACTTCTGCCTCTACCACCCATCAAAGTCACTGTCTGGCCGGGTGCGGTGGCTCATGCCTGTAATCCCAGCACTTTGGGAGGCCGAGGCGGGTGGATCATATGAGGCTAGGAGTTCGAGACCTGCCTGGCCGGCATAGTGAAACCCCGTCTCTACTAAAAATACAAATATTAGCTGGGCATGATGGCACATGCCTGTAGTCCCAGCTACTCAGGAGGCTGAGGTACGAGAATTGGTTGAACCTGGGAGGCGGAGGTTACGGTGAGCCGAGATCATGCCACTGCACTCTAGCCTTGGTGACACAGTGACACTCTGTCTCCAAAAAAAAAAAGGCAAAAAAAAGTCACCGTCTGTGATTTGCCTTGGTTACTTGATTATTGGAATAGTGTGTTCTTACAAGGTGTGCCTGCTTTCAAACTTGCCTTCCTTCAGTCCATCCCACACAGCAGCAGCAGTGATCCTTTACACTGTAAATTAGATCATGCTACTTTGCAGCTTAGAACCCCCCAGGGGCTCCCTGTCACACTGTAAGTCACAGTGTTCTGCCTTCTCATCACCCACCTGCCTCCCTCTGCTCTGGCTCCCCGTGCTTGCTGCTGCTCCTGCACACTGGCCTGCTTGTCCTTCAGGACGTTGGAAGAGCTGCGCGTCTCAGATGCTTTTGCCCTCTCCTGAGAATGTTTACTTTGGATGTTCTCATATCTCATCCATGTGTCATCTTTGAGGCCTTCTCTGGCCCCATCCCCACACTCCCTCTTTTCTGAAGCTTTATTTTTCCCCATAACGTTTGTCACCATCAAATACATATTTTATGTTTTTGTAGTTTAGGTATTTTTATCCGAACGTAGGTCTTTATGTTTTAACGTGAATTGTTTTCTTTTAGCATGTATTTTTTTGGGGGTCTTGAGAGCTACCTCCTTCCCCGTCTCAACAGAGTCTGTCCTTTTTGAGCAGGGATTTATGTGTTTGTTCTGTATGGCTGTTACTGAGTGCCCAGAGCAGTGTCTGGCATATAGTAGCAGGAGCTCAGTCAGTGTTTGTTGTCTGAGTAAATGTCACTCCTGCCTTGCATCTAACCTGCAGTTTTCACAGGGGCTCATTTGTGGTTTTGCCTGCTGTGCCTTACAGCCAGTATTTGTCCATATATTTTCTATTACCCAGAGATTGTTGACATCTCATCTGCTGCACCTTGTAACCCCCATCTCTAAACCAGTGATCTCCATCATATTTTTGACCTGAAAATTTTTGTACAGTAGCCATTTTTAAGTATGTATACCAATATATGTATTTTACTTACGTACACATGCTGTATTGATATGAATATTAGAAAACATAAGAATAGAAATCTGCCGGGCTTGGTGGCTCACGCCTGTAATCCCAGCAATTTGAGAGGCTGAGACGGGCAGATCATTAGGTCAGGAGTTCGAGACCAGCCTGGCCAACATGGTGAACCGCCGTCTCTACTAAAAATACAAAAATTAGCCGGGTGTGGTGATGGGTGCCTGTAATCCCAGCTACTTGGGAAGCTGAGGCAGGAGAATTGCTTGAACCTGGGAGGCGGAGGTTGCAGTGAGCCAAGATTGCGCCACTCCACTGTAGCCTGAGCGACAGGGTGAGACTCCATCTCGGAAAATAAAATAAAAAAAGAACAGAAACCCAAAGATCATAGGGTAGAGATGTAGATATTAAGTTCTTTAATTCACTTTTATGGACTCTTCAGAAGGAGAGATTATAATTGTATATGCTTGATACATTGTGTTGGACTGGAAGCACTGTGAAAGATTCTTAGTCAAGGGGAGATTTTACATTCAAAGAAAATGGAAAATCCCCCTGCTTTGCTCGGAGGGAAGAACTGCACTTAAAAGTTTGATGTGTATTGGTGTCGTCTTCTAGGCATTTCTTATATCTGTGAACATGTGCACCCTTTGTATATAAAGTGGAATTACATGTTTACTTACGCACACACACACATGTACATATAAAGCAGGAATTATACTACCCAGAGTTCTCTGTGACATTTTTGTTCCACTTAATGTATCATGGGAGAGTCCTTGAGTGTGGACCTAGGAGCCAGACTACCGAAGGTGCAGACCCTGCAGTTTACTAGTTGATTTAACCTTTCTGTACCCTAGTTTCCTAATCTATAAATGAAGAATAACGGTAGCATTTACTTCAGAGTTCTTGGTAGGAGTAAATGTTAAAATACATAAGCTTTCTCTGCTGATGAATATTTACACTGGAGTCTTAGGAAGGGTCCTTGCTTATTTTCTATTCTAAAGTTGGGCTGGACATAGTGGGCCATATGGGTGCCATCAGATGGGCTCTTGTTTCTCTGTGACCCGTTCTGTTAGACCTCTTTCCTGCTTTTTTCCTTGAGGTTGTTTATCTGTCCTCTAGTGAACCAGCTGGTTTGCAGGTGGTGCTTTTCTGAGAGTGTCTTGCTGTTAACAGTTACTATGGATGTCATATGCCAGCTGGTTCTGTTAAAAAAAAGTCTGTGAATCCAAAGCCTTGAATTTTGAACATTATTTTCTGTCTGGAATTTTGAAGAACTGATTCATAAAGTGGAGAAATGAATAAAGATTTTTATTTTACAAATTCCAGCACTTAGCATTTTCTTTATTCTGTTACTGTGACATCTATTTGGGAAACCAAAGACTACCATTCTTTATAAGGATTCCTTTTTTTTTTTTTTTTTTTTTTTTTTTGAGACAGATTCTCACTCTGTCACCCAGGCTGCAGTGCAGTGGCGCAGTCTCACTCACCGCAGCCTCTGCCTTCCCAGGTTCAGGTGATTCTCATGCCTCAGCCTCCCGAGTAGCTGGAATTACAGGCATATGCCACCACGCCTGGCTAATTTTTGTATTTTTAGTGGAGACAGGGTTTTGCCATGTTGGCCAGGCTGGTCTTGAACTCCTGACCTCAAGTGATCCACCTGCCTTGGCCTCCCAAAGTGCTGGAATGACAGGTGTGGGCCTCTGTGCCAGGCCAGGATTCTTCTTTTAAGAGACTATAGTGAGCAGCATCTACCAACTTGCATCCTTGTATGTTGCATATCTTATTTGTTTGCTTGGGGAGTAAACCAAAGTAAAAACGTCCTTTGTCAAATTAAGGACCTTACAAGATTTTCTGTGTTAATGGATTGGAAGTCTTTACTATTCTTTTTTTTTTTTTTTGAGATGGAGTCTCCCTCTGTCGCCTAGGCTGGAGTGCAGTGGCACGATCTCTGCTTATTCAGTCTCTGCCTCCCGGGTTCAAGCGATTCTCCTGCCTCAGCCTCCTGAGTAGCTGGGATAACAGGCGTGCGCCACCACACCTGGCTGATTTTTGTATTTTTAGCAGAGACGGGATTTCGCCACATTGGTCAGGCTGGTCTCGAACTCCTGACCTCATAATCCACCCACCTTGGCCTCCCAAAATGCTGGGATTACAGGCATGAGTCACCACGCCCAGCCTAGATGTCTTTACTATTCTTAAGATGGCAGTAGTCCCCAAGTTGATCTATGGATTCAACTCAATCCCTGTTTAAACCCCAAATTGCTTTTTTTTGTAGAAATCGGCAGGCTGATCCTAAAATTCATATGGAAATAAAAAGGGACTGAGAATAGCCAAAACTATTGAAAAAGAGTAACGTTGGCAAGGTTATGTTGCTTGATTTCAAAACTTACTACAAAGCTAGAGTAATGAAGACTGTGTGGTACTGGCATAAGGATGACCATACAGACCCGTGGACCGGAATTGAGAATCCAGAAATAAATGCATACTTTCACAACCCATCAATTTTTGGCAGCGGTGTTAAGACAGTTTATTGGCAAAAGAATAGGTTTTTCCACAGGTGATGCTGGGACAACTGAATATCCACATGAAAAGAATGAAGTTGGAACCTTATCTTATGTCATAAACAAAAATAACTCAAAATGGATCAAAAACCTAAACTTCAAAACTCTTAGGGAAAAAAATAGATATGTCTTGGATTCCAGAATGATTTCTTAAATATGACACCAAAAGCACAAGCAACCAAAGGAAAAAAGATAACTCGGACTTCATCAAAATTTAGTATTTTTGTGTTTCAAAAGATACTATCAAAAAAAAAAAAGACAACAAAATGGGAGAGAATATTTAAGAAACACCTGTCTAATAATGGTCTAGTATTAAGCCAAGGCTGAGTTCTTATTTCCCCATCCTTAAGTTTACACGATACTATATTAGTGAAGTTGAATTCTGTCATTACCACATGTATCTTGAAAGAAGTTTGTGTGGATCACGGGTCCAGTTACTTTCTCCGCCCTTTCCCTCCAGAGGATTTGTCACTCTCAATAATGTTATATACTAATTTCAAGGGGAAATACAACTCAAAACAAATCAGAAATCTGAAGCTTAAAAATGTTATGGTTTAGATGATGAAAAGGGAAAAGTACATTTAATTCATATCATATTTAGATGTAAAGCACTTAATGTTATATTGCTTAACCTATAAAGTAGCGCTTCAGTGCTCTCATCATATGAAGTAAATAATAGAAAATTCTTTGTGTGACACATGTCTGTTTTCAGCCAATCAGAAACCAGGATTATTTTGTATGTAATAATAGGGTTTACTGGAAGAGGAGCTATACAGATGGTACTTAGAGGATGTAGGGCCCTACGTATTAGGGCTTCTTAGTTGTAGCGAAGAGCAATTGGTCTGGTACGTTTAGCTTTTTCACATTTAGTTTTGAATTCTGACTCTAGAAATGTACAACCCCATCTTTTGAATTACAGGTTTTAAGATGTTATTTGCTCTTAATACGTCTTAAGGTAACAGCCTTGATCACTGCTTTTACTTTCGATGAAATAACTTAATGAGCTGTGAAGAAAAAATTATCAGATTTTAAGGGAGAGAATTTTATGAAAATGTCTTTGAGGTTCCTGTCACCTTTATGAGAATGTCTTCAAAGTTTCCATCACCACCTCTACCAATTTTTCTTCCACCGGAGCCAGTGGACTTAGGTTCCATAACAAGCTCCTCTTGTTCACTGAATGAGCTAGACAATATTTCCCACCTTTTAAGGAAAATATCAGCTGATATCAATGAAATTAAAGGAATGAAAGCAGCTATTTTGACAGTGGAAGCAAATCTTTTTGATCTAAATGTTAGAGTGTCCAAGAATGAAGCAAAAATTTCATCTTTGGAGGTTAAAATGAATGAATATTCAACAACATATGAATGCAACAGACAGTTTGAAGATCAAGAAGAAGATACTGAATCACAGTCAAGAACTACTGATGTAAAAATAATCGGCTTCCTTAGAAACGTTGAGAAAGGTAAACTCTTAATATATGATATGTTCTAGGTACCCATCCTTTGATCTGTATCTTTCCACGTATGTTGACTGTAGCTCTGATGTGGAGGGAGCAAGTTACAGAGAACTTGAATTTTTCATGGACCTTTAATGACAAATTTGGATTCTGCTTGATTTAGCTTAGCAATCTAGAATTGATCAGAATTCCATCCTCTTTAATGGAGCTCTCTAAAACGATGTTTTGAAAAGACAGATGAACCTAGAGCAATGAAGCAAAACTTGAAATGTGGAAGTGTGGTCTTTCATGTGTCTTGTGAAATTATTTTAAAATGTCTCATTCTTTCATCATGTACTGTTGATGTGAAGGAGACCTGTTGCAGTATTTGGATGGAAAGAGCATTCTTCCTGTAACTTTTCACCTCAGTTTTCCAAGCTTCCCACAGGAATGCAACTTGACCTAAGTGTCATCTTCGTTACAGTTCCTCAGAATGTGTGTTTTTTTATGGTAATAATTCTGGAAGGAATTGACTTTTTTGGGACGCACCAGTAAAATTTCATATAACTTATGTTTTAAAGGAAACTAACTGATACAATTTCAAATCGAGTATAGGTTTTAAAATTTAAAAACACCTTTTAATGAAATGTGGTGCTTGGTGGGAGATGGCCCACTTAACATCTTTGCACTGAGTAAGCAAAGCCTGTCCTTGTGAAGCCACCTGTAATGGATATACCCAAAATCAGCATGTGGGCATCTTAGTAAGATTTCAGTATTTGCAACCCTATCAGTTACATCCCTTTGTACACTGTAGTGCAGTACCTTATAATGAGCAAGTGAGTGCCTGATGTCTGCTAAGCGCTGTGGGGGCTACAGAAAAGTGTGACATTCTCCCATCCTCAAGGAGCTTAACATCAAATCGAGGATGGAAAAAAATCAGTTCTTTGTCCCTATTTTGTGCAGTCAGACTGCTGGGCATATTATTGTTAGGAATAGTGAACCTAATAGGAATTAATGTTAGGAGCCTATTTTAGAAGAAATAAGTAGTTGAACATCTTTTCTTGTGGAAGAGGCAAAGAATTATTATCATGCTTTGCTAACATAGGGTGTGGATTGTAGAGCTGAGTGTCTTATTGTTTTCTTTGCATGCATCGAAGCCCAGAGTTTGTCTTTTAGGAACTCTTGTTTAGATGATGAGAGTGTTTTGTTTTGCTATTTCGATTATCTTCAAAGGTCATGAGTGAGTCGTGATGGTAAGAGCTCAGGTGATGGAGGGAGGTGCTTGCCATGCTTATTGTGCAGTTGGCTGTGATGCGAGCTGCTGGGCCACAAGGTGCCTTTTCCTGGATTTTCCACCCGTTTGCCACCTTTACTTTCCCCGCAGAATTCAAATTCAGGAAAACTGATGTCCTCATAGAGGGAGAACCAGGAGTGTTTTAAATTGGCATTTGTGGTTTAACCCTGAGTACAGCCTTTTTTGTCTTACAGGATATGTCTTTGGTCTATAAATACTATTAAATTGAATTGTTGAAGCTTTAAGTTACTTTTAAGACTTCAAGTTAAGAACCCAGAAGGATTGATTTTTGGGAACCACATGCTGGTATTGTCTGTGTTGTAAGCTTAGTGAAGTTTTAAAATTTATATTCTAGGAACTCAACAGAGGCAATTATTATCCCGACTGCAAATCGACCCAGTAATGGCAGAAACTCTGCAGATGAGTCAAGGTTGGTAATGTTTCAAGTTGTACTGTAATCCAGCCATTTCAGTTGCCATTTCCATTTCTTACACCCCATTTAACGTATCTCGGATCTCTTAGATCCTGCCCTAAGATGTTATATTTAGATCTGTGAAAATATTTTAGGGCCAGGAGATAAGATCTGCATTTCTTTCATGTTATATAGTGTTATAATTTTTTGCCTCATTGGAAAACTTTGTTCCTTTCACACCATTCCAAGTGTGTCCCTAGCACTGTCGGCTGTCACTCTCCTGCTGTCAGGAGTGACCTGCGTTTCTGATTTACCCTCCCACTCTACCCAGCTTTTGTCATTGCCATGAGTGGCTTTTGTATCCTGTTTTTCACCTGGTTAGCCTTATCCTCTTGTACTTCATTTTGGAGTCTTATCACCAGGGCCACACCTGGAACTTGTTGTTCTAGTGTTCTAGAGCCACTCTAGTTTGCCTGTCTCCTTTCCTCTCCCCACAGACACACATGCCAGGGGCTACTCCAGGACTGGAGCTGACGCCTTCATTTTTATTATCTCTGTCCTCAGTGCCCAGCCCCTGCCAGATGCATGTTCAATGTCTTAAAAATGACTGCAGGATAAACACAGGCAACCATGAGAGACCCGGAATCATCTCAGTCCTTCTGTTTCCCCTAAGTCTGTCTTTTGTGGGAAGCTCTGGTCCCTAGACCCCTCTCAGTCAGGACTCCACAGTCAGTCACTCTGTTCCCCGACCCTCCCCCAGCTTTCCAGCTCAGAAAGTGTGCTTTTCCTCCCTAAGGGTCAGCCTCCACCAGAGGCCAGATCCCACTGGGTTGGTGAGCCACTGGCATGTCACCCACTCCTCCAACTTCATTCTCTGCCTCCTGTCTTCTCTCTGTAGAGGTGTTCAGACATTCTCTGCCCGTGATTTTGCTCTCTCATCTCCCAGCAGTCCGTCCTGCTTCCTCCACAGGAGTATTTGAAAAGGTTGACAGCCGAGATCTGTGTGTGGGATCCACTTCATCAGCTCTTGTGCATGTTTTCTCTTCTGCCTCCTTCAGCTTTTCATTGTACCCATGGTGCACGCAGTTTGAAATAGCAAGTAGTTCTGTGAGGCTTATGAATGACTGCAGTCCTTAGCTCCTATCACATTTTTTATTCTAAGATCCCTTTGTTTCTGCATATTCTATTAATTTTCTAAAAACATACTGATTTTGTGTACACAATACTCTTTGTTATTTCTCTGTGGTCTGAAAGGTGGTTTTGACATTTTTCCCCTCCCTGCTTCGTCTTGTTTTCTCTAAGTGG
Source organism: Homo sapiens (assembly GCF_000001405.40). Classification (NCBI taxonomy): domain Eukaryota; kingdom Metazoa; phylum Chordata; class Mammalia; order Primates; family Hominidae; genus Homo; species Homo sapiens. The sequence goes on from NC_000014.9 coordinate 88,598,096, forward strand.
TCTGTTTTGGCTGTCTTTTATGCTGGAGGTTCCCCTCTGATGTCTGGGGATCCTAGGTGGTCTTACATTTAAGAGTGGAGCACTCAGAAGGTCACTGGTATTCTGGGTTCATGAGTTGGGGCATGGGGCACTTTGACTTTCTGTTTGAAACTAGACCCTGTGGTGGAAAGTGATTTGTCCTGCCTGTCTGGTTTGTGGGCACCCTGATGTCACTGCCTTCAAGACTTTCCTCTCAGGCTGGTCAGCTTCTCCAAAACAAAGTTTTTCAAGTAATAGCCTGGTAGTCAGAGTTCTGCGAGCTTAAGTGGGGAAAGAAGGCTGGGGGAGGCACCTCACCATTAATTATTATGTAATGTTTATTTAACCCTCCCCCAACCATTGTCAGTCCAGTACTTCTTTCATCATGGCTGGTGTCTCTTGGTCCAGGGACTCTGTTCTTATCCTCTGAAGAGTCTAAAGCTCCACTTTCTCCAAGGGAGAATGCATGCAGTGGGTAAAGATTTATCAGGAAATCTAATTGCCTTTAAAAATTTTTAACAGTGTACCTTCAGGTGATTTTGTCGTAGCATCTTTCTGGCAGAGACCCTAATGCTTCATCCATAGGCCTCTCCGAAGATTATCTACAGGAAAGCACATCACCAGTCATCCCAGGTGTCTTCAGTGTAGAGGTCGGGATTGGTGTGGCAAGCATCAAAACCAAGAAAACAGTGGCCAGGTGCAGTGGCTCACGCCCATAATCCCAGCACTTGGGGAAGCCAAGGCAGGCAGATCACTTCAGGTCAGGAGTTCCAGACCAGCCTGGCCAACATGGCGAAACCCAATCTCTACTAAAAAATACAAAAATTAGCCAGGCGTGGTGGTGCACATCTGTAATCCCAGCTACTAAGGAGGCTGAGGCAGGAGCCTTGCTTGAACCCAGGAGGCGGAGGTTGCAGTGAGCTGAGCTCGCACCACTGCACTCCAGCCTGGGTGACAGAGCAAGACTGTCTCAAACAAAGAAAACAGATACATGGAATTAGAGTTGAAGAAGAACTAACTGCTTCTTGGACACATCTAATACACCTCTTTTTTGCCTGCCATTTCTTCCATTTCTTCCTAAGGTCCTTTTACTGCCAGTTCCTGAGCCTTTGGAGAATCTTGTGGTCTGAATTGGATTGCTTCATTATTGCCTTAGAATTCAGCTTTTACAGATCCCCTGAGTTCTTAATCATCTGTTTTCCACTTTGAAAATTTCTTTTTACACTTATTTTCTTTGTGAGTTTATGCTTTCAAAACAAAAACAAAACCCTTATTGACATTTCTGTGGGCTTTCAGGAGGGAACAAAAAGTAAATGCATGGGGTCAGCCTGTGGTCTCTACTCAGAAGATGTTACTTACTCCCCCGTCTGTCTGGTCTCCATGTGACCTGGGCTGCTAACGTTCCGCTTGCAGAGAGGTGTGCGGGAGGGACCGGTGCACGCTTTCCTCAACCCTGGAGCATGTTACACTTGGGTTCCCATACTTTCTCCAAGCTTTGACCTTTCGGCTTCCAGTTCACTCTGTCTTTATTCTTCTCATTCCCTTTCATTCTCATGTGTCAGCGCATCTCCTCCATTCCTCCTCAAAAGGTTAGCTTTGCTCTCTCCCACCTTCAGCATTATTTTCATCTCTTCTGTGTTCACCCAACCTATGAACTGGTAGAACTCCTTCGTCTCAGAAAGTGCAGAGTGGTGGGAAGGAGTGAAGCAGCCCCTGGGCCACTGTTGGGACCCACCTTTGACAGTTGTGAGACCTCGGTGAATCATTTAATAACTTGGAGCTGCAAACAGTCATCTGTAACATGGGAGGAAACCGACTTTGTAGGCTTTGAGTGAGGATTCAGTGAGAGACGGCCACCCTGAATATGTTAAACACTTCTGTCACCTTCGGTTTTGACTCAGCATCTTATTTCTGTCCCCCCACCTACAGGTCAAATCTGAATTTTCTACTTCCTCTTAAACATGGGAGAGTCCCACAAAGACTTTAAATCTAACATGGAAATGTATCTTTGCCCCTTTTAACTTTGCTCTTTTTCTTTTGCTAAGTTTCTCATCCCAGCTTTCTCTTCCGCCTGTCTCCCTTTACCATCTGTACTGCCCTTGCTGGGGAAGGCGGGCACGCCCCTTCCCAGGATGGAGCATGTCTTCTCTTCCTGTCAGGTGTGTGAGACCAGGACAGACAGCAGAGAATCTTTTCATTCAGAGCCTCACCCTCTGTCCCGGGCAACAGCAGGTCGAGAACTCTGGTTCTTCCTTAACACTGTTTTTCTAAAAACCAGTTTGATCAGGCCACTTCCTTCCTTAGGAACCTCTCTTGATTTCTTTTCTCTTTTTTTTTTTTTTGGTTTGAGATGGAGTCTCCCTCTGTCACTCGTGCTGGAGTGCAGTGGCACAATCCTGCTCATTGCAGCCTTGACCTCCTGGGCCCAAGCACTTCTCCCACCTCAGCCTCCCAAGTAGCTGGGACTGCGGGCATGTGCTCCCACGCCTGGCTAATTTTATTTATTTATTTATTTTCTGGTTGATGGGAGGTCTCACTATGTTGCCTAGGCCGGTCTCAAACTCCTGGGCTTATGGAATCCTTGTGCCTTGGCCTCCCAGAATGTTGGGATTACAGACATGAACCGCCACACCAGGCCACTTGATTTCTTACTAATTATAGACCAGAATCGAGAGTCACTGAGACATAGAAGAACCTTTATTATATGTGTCAGCCTTCCTTGGTATGTACTGCTGAGCCCACCACACACACCCTTCCAGCCATTCCACATTCTAACCTTTCTCAGATGCCTTCGGCCTTGTGAAAGCCCCTTTCCTTCTACGTGCGTTTTCCTCTGCCTGAAGTGCTGTGTTCGTTTCTCCGAGTCTCTCTCCTTGTTTATTCCTGCTTGTTCCTTTACTGCTGACTTCAGATGTTCCTCCTTGCTAAGCTTTTCGTTGGTTCTTGGCTGGAGTGGGCTGTTCTGTATTCTCAGCACCTTGTTCACATCCCTTTTGGGTCATGCTATTCTGAAATTGTATATGTGTCTGTTTTTCTTTTTTTCTTTGTGTATCTAGCTCAGTTCTCTTAGTTGTTCAGTAAATACTCAGTGAATGAACATAAATGAATACCCTGTAAATTTTGGTCTCTAAGCTTTAAAAGAAGTGTATTAACTTCAGTCCGTTGATGGCGTATTGATAGGTCAGCCATTCTGGGTTGTAGGTCTTGGCATATTTTATAAAATAGTAGATGATGTGAGCTTATGGTTATTTGCATTAAAGGCCAGTGTTTTTCTTGATACATATGTTTAAGTGTCCATTCACCTTTCAGTTACCTTTTAAAGTAGTCCTCGGTTTATAACCAACTGGAAATTATACCACTTGAATTCTTTTTATCAGGACATGATTCTAAGTGGTACTGTGCGAAGTGAACAAACCAGATTTTGGAAAAGTGGTTCAGCAGTCTGTGTATTCTAATTATAGGGAGCATTAGGACTCAAATTCTCCAGGTTTTTAGAAAAGATTTTTGTACTTTAAGGGTATATTGTTAATATCTGTTGAGATGCCTCACCTGAGAACCTTTCTCTGCTGTGGTTAGGGAGTGTTAATCAGAATCACTTGTGCCGTGCCCTACGCGAGAAGGACTCCTTGAGTTCTTTGAAAACATGTTTGGAATAGAATTATAGCCCTGTTTTCCTGAGTGGAACCAGTTGTGATTTTCCTTTGAAATAATTTGAATATATAAAAGATTGACATTCTTCTCACATATATAATGTTGGGAATGTAAGGTATATTCAAAAGTAAACATTTGTGGCCAATTTTTTTGGCTCAGATTACTATGACATGGAATCCATGGTCCATGCAGACACAAGATCATTTATTCTGAAGAAGCCAAAGCTGTCTGAGGAAGTAGTAGTGGCACCAAACCAAGAGTCGGGGATGAAGACTGCAGATTCCCTTCGGGTACTTTCAGGACACCTTATGCAGACACGGTAGATGGTTTCTTTTTCTTGTGTAGTTAATTTGTGTGATTAGATAGTAAAGGTTAACCATTCGTTTGCAGCTTCCCTCCTCCCCGCCCTAACCGCTAGCGTAGAGTGCTTTCATTGATTCAGTAGCTAGCCCATGAATAGTTAGCCAAATTCAGTTTTCAAGAATTCCAGTTCATCTTTCTTGTTCAGAAATCCATTAACCTACAAATTACAACTCAGTGTATGATTTAACTCTATTAAAGATTCTTTTCTTTATGCAAATTCAGGAAATGCAAGTTTAAAAGCCAGCTGACCATAATCAGGTCAGCTCTAAAGAGAGTTGGCAGATCAGGTTTGGGTGATTTTTCCCTTAGAAAATTGACTGTTTCTATAAAAGAAGAAACATACAGATAATTAGCATAAATGCTGCTGGCCCTTGTGTTCTGAGCATTGATGCTAATTTTTTGGTTTGTTTCCATGTTGACCCTATGAAGATCGAATGGGTGATGGGGTCAGGCTTGAGGGGAGATTGTCCTTAGTAAGTACAGGCTGGAGGGTCACTGGTGATGCCACTGTGACTGTTCATGGCCATCGTGTGTTAGCAGAGAACCCACCAGTGCTGCACCTGGTAGCCCTACCTAGTCTTTTTTTATTGAACCAAACGCAAAGCCAAGGGAGTGATAGTTCTGCTGAAGAGCACTTTAGGGGGCTCAGCGTTTTGTGTTTGTTTCCCTAATTCTATGGTATTTTTTATCTGTCTGGCAGAGATCTTGTACAACCAGATAAACCTGCAAGTCCCAAGTTTATAGTGACGCTGGATGGTGTCCCCAGCCCCCCAGGATACATGTCAGATCAAGAGGAGGACATGTGCTTTGAAGGAATGAAACCCGTAAACCAAACTGCAGCCTCAAACAAGGGACTCAGAGGTCTCCTCCACCCACAGCAGTTGCACTTGCTGAGCAGGCAGCTTGAGGACCCAAATGGTAGCTTTTCTAACGGTGTGTTGAGAGCTCAGATTTTCAGGGTGCTGTCATTGTGAAGGGAATCTTTGACTTGTTTCTCTACCTTGAATGAATATTGGTTAAAGGCCTTGCTTTTATTTATATTCAGTAATGGCCTTTTTTCTTCTTTCAGACAAACCCACCAAGTACATTTCAGACTCTTTTTCCTGTGTCTTTTTCATAGGTGGGCTGTTACTCCAGTTTGAAAACGGAGTTCAGCCATGGAACCTGAGAGACCTCTTCCGCTTATGCTGGCTAAAGGATGAACCACCATTCTTGTTGCCTTCTTTACCTTTGTATTTTCTTCAGAAACTGTACTGCCACTTTGCCCTTTTATCAGCAATAGTCTCTTGCAATTAACTTGAGAGAAAAATTTAGATTTGATGCTATTTCTACCTCAGTGAAATTTCTTTGAAAGGAGTTTCTCACCTAATCTATCAAGATCTTGGAACTGTTTAAATTAATGTTGAAGAGTAATATTTAGCAGAACTCAGATGAACTCATTTCAGATAGCACCATAGTTTTTGGCAGGTGACAGTTTCTTATCACCGTTTCTTTCACTGGGTATCAGTGGTAGCTGCAACGCCACTGATCATTTCCATTCATGATAGAGAATGGTAATTATGTTCCTTATATCTTCTAAAATATTTAGAAGCACCTCTTCATTGGCAGGAGGGATAATTACTCAATCTTAAAAGCGTACAGATTCAAAGGAAAAACAGTAATGGATTTTGAAACATTTCCTTGAGTAATCCTCTTCTTGGAAGAGATATGAAAATGTATTGAATACCTTTCTCGATCATTAAAAATAGAATAGACTTCAGAGGGAAATCATATGTTAGTGGAGCAATAACACTTAGCTTTATTTTAATTGGTTGCGTTTCCTACTGTGAATCAATGACGTAGTGTCGTGGTTTTGATTAGTGGAGGGAGTTGAAAATCTGACCCTATCAACAGGAAGAAAAACTTAAAAAATAGTAAAAGCTGCAGTAGGCAGTCCCGATTTATTGACTCTGTATGTTTTGTCTAAAGAGAAGACTCCAGTGTTTTCACTACTCTTGATTTTCAATTTGGTACCTTAATTTTTTGGTCTATTAGGATCTGGTTTCATTTAAATGTAGGTGTCCATATGAGGCTTTATGGGGTATACATGTAGCAGCAGTGACACCATAAATAATATGTTAGTAAAAATTCTTGCCAGTGCTGTGGCCATTGTGCTGACAGCCATGATGAGTGGTGAGCCTCCTTTCCCATTGCTTTGACTGGGGACTCAGTGTTTCCCTGCTGCTCAAGGATGAAGCTTTGTAAGATTAGCATAGGGGTGTGGCTGGAGAGACTCCTGCAGAACAGTTCTCAGGAGTCTCTAGTCTCTGCACCACTTCCCCTGTGAGCAGGGAGTTTGAAACTGCAATTGCTTCTGGTTGGTTTTATGTTGGGTTGTTTCAAGGATGCTACCAACAACAACATCTGTTTTAACCTGCTGTCTTTTCACTCACTGTCATATGGCAGCACAGATTTTATAGCTTGCTTTCTTTGTTTTTTTTTTTTTTGAGATAGAGTCTCTCTGTCCCCCAGGCTGGAGTGCAATGGAGCCATCTCAGCTCACTGCAACTTCTGCCTTCCAGGTTGAAAGCCATTCTTCTGCCTCAGTCTCCCAAGTAGCTGGGATTACAGGCATGCACCATCACACCTGGCTAATTTTGTAGTTTAAGTAGAGACGGGGTTTTACCATGTTGGTCAGGCTAATCTCCAACTCCTGACCTCAAGTGATCCACCAACCTCGGCCTCCCAAAGTTCTGGGATTACAGGTGTGAGCCACCGTGCCTGGCCTATAGCTTTCAATAAAAGGTGAATTTGCCTCTTAAAATTTGAACAGAAAGTTTTAATAGTTTACAAAGTCGGTGTCAGCCAGTGAAGACTAGGGGCATGACCTTCGTATGACTTAATGTTTTTAAAAGAAAGATAAAGTTTCTTTGTAAGGTATTATTGTAATAATCACATTTCTTTGTAAAGTATTATATTGTTCCTGAGTATCTAGCTACTTTGCTTTCCAGCTAGGCTTCTCTTGGGTATTCTCTTAATCTTTTATTTGTACTGGGTTCTTGTGTATATATTATAGTCTGCTGTGTGTAATTTATTATAGGAAAAGGGTAAGACACATTTACTTTGCGGGGATGACACAAAAAACCTGTAAAAATTAGAGAAACTTCCAGTCATCTCACATTTTCTTTGGAACCGATTATTCTTGTATCTTAGAACTAAAATGACTTATACTGTTTTGTTTTTAGAAAGGGTATCCCTCCTGTTGCCCAGGCTGGAGTGCATTGGCACAGTCATGGCTCACTGCAGCCTCCACCTCCCAGGCTCAAGTGATTCTCCCACCTCAGCCTCCTGAGTAGTTGGTTACTACAGGTGCACACCACCATGCCTGGCTAATTTTTTGTATTTTTTGTAGAGATGGGGTTTCACCATGTTGCCCAGGCTGGTCTGAAACTCCTGAGCTCAAGTGATCTGCCCGCCTCGGCCTCCCAAAGTGCTGGGGTTACAGGCATGAGCCACCACATCCTATTTAAAGCTTAAATAGGACTTTTACTATTTTTAAAGTAGCATAGAAAACTGTTTGTATCAGGCATAGTCATAATTGCTCTTTGATGCTGCTCCTATCTGGGCTGCATGACTACATTTGTGTGCCTTGTTCTCCTGTAGTGAGGACAGAATGTGGGTCACTGGAACAGTAAGTACTCATAGAACTAGCTGCTGCTGCTATTACGACTGGTTGCCTGTTTTGCATTTTTTCCGTTTAATCATCAGACTCTAAGGAAGACATTATTTTCTCTTTGTATAGATGAGGAAACAGAATTCCAAAAAGTTAGCTAACATTTGCACAGAGTGTCTGGCTGAGCAACTAAGTGGCAGAGTCAGATTTTAACTGACCTCTGGCAAGAGGACTAGAGGAATACAGTTGAAGTGATACTTGCTTTCATGAACATGAATGTGAACCATAATACATAATACCCATGATGCTATTTTGTGGGGAGTTTAAGGTGTCTCAGTCCAGAAATTAGCAGCTGATTATTGCCTGTAGCTGTAATTTTACTTATTCAGTGTTATTTAATAAATTGCCAGCATTACAATTTCGATGAAGGCAGATTTTTGGCTTACTGAAACAGGATAAAAATCTGGCAACAGGGGTCCCACTTTGCCCTGTCATAGTAATCGAAGCTGTGATTGGATGTGGCACAGGGAGTGGAGTGGATGGGTGTGCACTTGCTTTCCAGGCTGCTGCTCCCCGTCTGTCCCTTATTGCATTTATCATCTTCAGCCCAGTCAGTCTTGCTGTTAGGGGAACTGCCCAGTCTCTGTAAGTGATGGCATTTGTGACCCCATTGTAGGTAAAAATGTTTTCCCCTTTTTAGACATTGCTGGCTGAGCGCGGTGGCTCATGCCTATAATCCCAGCACTTTGGGAGGCCGAGGTGGGTGGATCGCTTAAGTCCTGGAGTTCAAGACCAGCCTGGGCAACGTGGGGAAACCCTGTAGCCAGGCGTGGTGGCACGTGCTACTTGGTAGGGGCTGAGGTGGGAGTATCACTTGAGCCTGGGAGGCAGAGGTTGCAGTGAGCCGAGATTACACCACTGGCACACCACTGTACTCCATCCTGGGTGACAGAGCAGGACCCTGTCGTAAAAAAAAAAAAAAAAAAAAAAAGTAAAAGACATTGCTGAGTTTCGCACCTGGACTTACAGCTCAGCAGGTGGGAATCCTTTTGTATTTGGGCCACTCATCATCTTGCTGGCGTGTGAGGATTCACATCTCCTTATCACCTTACCTGTTTTCAGTTTTTATTTAATTTTATTAGTTCCCCACTTGACGTCCTTCTCTATTTTTAATTCAGCTATGAATTAGTATTGAGAATTAGAATTTTTGGTGAAAAATTTGGCCGTAGTTGCAGAGTCACTGTCCTCTTTCCTTTTCACAGTGAGAACTGTTGTCTTCTTCCTGGCAACCTTTTATAGGATTCTATGGCCAGTGTTAATCCCATAATTTGAGCTCACTTATTTTATATGACTGTACATTTAACAGAAGATTCTAAGACAGGTTTGAGGGAAATATGTTAAAGGTGCTGTGTACTGAATTGATCATAATGAATGAAATACTTTTATTTCCTTTCCCTTTGTAGCTGAGATGAGTGAACTGAGTGTGGCACAGAAACCAGAAAAACTTTTGGAGCGCTGCAAGTACTGGCCTGCTTGTAAAAATGGGGATGAGTGTGCCTACCATCACCCCATCTCACCCTGCAAGTGAGTACCATCCCCCCATCTCACCCTGCAAGTGAGTACCATCCCCCCATCTCACCCTGCAAGTACCATCCCCCATCTCACCTGGCAAGTACCATCCCATCTCACCCAGCAAGTACCATCCCCCACATCTCAACCCTCAAGTGAGTACCATCCCATCTCACCCTGCAAGTACCATCCCATTTCACCCTGCAAGTACCATCCCCCATCTCACCCTGCAAGTACCATCTCCCCATCTCACCCTGTAACTACCATCCCATCTCACCCTGCAAGTGAGTACCATCCCTGCATTTCACCCTGCAAGTACCATCTCATCTCACCCTGCAAGTACCACCCCCTCATCTCACCCTGCAAGTATCATCCCCCATCTAGCCCTGTAAGTGCGAGTACCATCCCCCATCTTACCCTGCAAGTACCATCACCCACTTCACCCTGCAAGTACCATCCCCCACCTCAGCCTGCAAGTACCATCCCCCACCTCAGCCTGCAAGTACCATCCCCTATCTCACCCTGCAAGTACCATCCCCATCTCACCCTGCAAGTATCATCCCCCACCTCACCCTGCAAGTACCATCCCCCATCTCACCCTGCAATTGAGTACCATCCCCCATCTCACCCTGCAAGTACCATCCCCCATCTCACCCTGCAAGTGAGTACCATCCCCCATCTCACCTTGCAAGTACCATCCCCCATCTCACCCTGCAAGTACCATCCCCCATCTCACCCTGCAAGTATCATCTCACCCTGCAAGTGAGTACCATCCCCCCATCTCATCCTGCAAGTACCATCCCCCATCTCACCCTGCAAGTACCATCCCCCATCTCACCCTGCAAGTACCATCCCCCATCTTACCCTGCAAGTGAATACCATCCCCATCTCACCCTGCAAGTGAATACCATCCCCATCTCACCCTGCAAGTGAATACCATCCCCCATCTCACCCTGCAAGTGAATACCATCCCCATCTCATCCTGCAAGTGAATACCATCCCCATCTCACCCTGCAAGTCATAGCCAGCTGATTTTGGCTTTCAGTTTAGTGTCTGTATCTTACACCTTATTTTGTTTTTGTTTTTCTGTGGACAAGTTTTTAGTTTTATAACTAAATGGAGTGACAATTACCATGGCCCTCTCCAGAGTAGCGTATTTCTTGTTCATGTATGTTTGTTGAGAGGCAAGGGTGGGGGGGCTTTGTTTGTGCCTCGGACCTGTGAGATACTGAAATACCTGGGGTTCCTTAAGAATTCTGTACGTTTAAGCAGATGGGTATATGGTAACTGCCCCAGTTTGTATGCATTTTGGCCACACGCAGTATACACAGATTTTGAGGAGTTGAGGGAAAAGTTAGTTATGGGTAATGAAAACATTTTGGACTTGGGTTAAATTTTTCCTTACAAGCTGGCTGGCTCAATGTAATGAGCTTTATGAGATGGCTTTTTGGGGCTTCTTTTTTTTGCCGGGGGTAGGTCCTATGGATGGAATCTTCATTTTTAATTCTTTTAAGGAAATGATGTGGGAATAATACAGCTGTACATATAAGGAGAGTATGGGATGAGTCTTTTTGTATCACAAAGCCTTGCATAGAGGATGTGTTTATTGTATTAATGAGTTCACTGCATAAAATATATACCTTTTTTATTAAGTGGTGTGATTTTTATCACAAAAGCTTGTCTTTCTTGGTGGCTTGGCTTGAGTTAAAAGCCTGTGTTTGTGTTATCCCAAGCTTTGGAATAAATGATTGTGTCCTATTTTGATATATGGTCTTATTTTAAAATATTCTTTTTGTTGCTGTTTTTTTTGCATTTCTCAAAACAAGTAGTGATGGGGAGTGTAAAGAGCCCTTATACACAGAACTAATAATGCATTGAGAAGATTGAATATGAAATATGCTTTTTTTTTGTTTTGTAGAGCCTTCCCCAATTGTAAATTTGCTGAAAAATGTTTGTTTGTTCACCCAAATTGTAAATATGATGCAAAGTGTACTAAACCAGATTGTCCCTTCACTCATGTGAGTAGAAGAATTCCAGTACTGTCTCCAAAACCAGGTGAGTGAGTGACTGTGCTACTACATTTGGGTAAAAAATATAAAATGGCATTTTGTGACTGTAAATGGAATTGAACAAACAAAAGATGGTTTCAGAAATAATTTTGGCAGGATCAGTTAATCCAACCAGTCTTTAAAGAGCAAGTGTGCCTATCTGTAGTATTCCGAAGTATTTTGACTAGTGAATATATAAACCTTACCATTCTAATTTAAAAATGGTTTTCACTTTCAAAAAAAACATCAGTAGACTGCATTAAAAATGGGTTTTCCAAACAGATTGGAGATCAGTCCTGGTTTTTATTTTGTTAGCAGTTGCACCACCAGCACCACCTTCCAGTAGTCAGCTCTGCCGTTACTTCCCTGCTTGTAAGAAGATGGAATGTCCCTTCTATCATCCAAAAGTAAGAACTTCTATTTTCTCAAATCAATTTAGTGACAACATCTCAATTTCCTCATTTAACTTCTTTTTTGTCAGAGTTACTACATTGGTGCAAAAGTAATTGCGATTTTTGCCAGTAAAACTATTAAGTTGTTCCTCGTCACTGAACCTCCATCTGGCCCCTTAGGCCAAGTGGTCTGAAACTGTTCAATGTTAGTATCCCAAGCACTCAGTGGGGGGAAGCATATCTTTGCTAGTCACATTTTCCATTATTCCCTGCATTTAAGTATATGGATGGGTTTTAGCGGGGGCTGGGGGGCAGTTTGAACCTAATGTCAGAACTGAGATGAAGAAATCCAGTAGGTACTGCTTAAAACCATCCAAACTTGTACTGATGATGGTTGATGAATCTCCAGATGTTTAGTTGGTCAAAATGAATTATCTCCTTCTTGCCCCGGTAGCTTGAGGACCATATGAAGGCCTTCACTTGCCCCCATCTGTAACTGGGCGTAGATGAGGGTACTCAGTGAAGAGTGTAAGGGATAATTAGAAGTTTTTGTGGTATGCTAAACTACCTTTTGAAATTGTACTTGCTGTGATTCTTTGACTAGAATTTTGTGTCTCAAGGTTAAGTCCATTTTTCAAGGCTTCACTAGTATTAAAATGGTCCTTATAGATGGAATCTCTTACTCTGTTAATGGTTAGGGTGGGCTGGTTATTGTCTCCTAAGTTGTATGTTGGCCAGGTGAGGTGGGTCAGGCCTGCTATCCTAGTACTTTGGGAGGTAGAGGCAGAAGTGGAAGGATCGTTTGAGCCCGGGAGTTTGAAACCAGCCTAGGCAACATTTAAGAGACCCCATCTCTTAAAAAAAAAAAAAACAGGCTTGGTAGCACACGCCTGTAGTCCCAGCTACTCGGGAGACTGAGGCAAGAGGTCATGCCACTTCACTCCAGCCTGGGTGACAGAGTGAGACCCTGTCTCAAATAATAAAATAATGTGTTTACTTATATTAGCCTTGTGGATATTGTTGAAGCTCTGTTATCTCTATTCAGCATTGTAGGTTTAACACTCAATGTACAAGACCGGACTGCACATTCTACCATCCCACCATTAATGTCCCACCACGACATGCCTTGAAATGGATTCGACCTCAAACCAGGTAAACATTCAAATTCGTTTTTCTCATGTCAGTTCAAATTCTTTTTTCTAATTTGCAGTTTCTAAATTTATAAGCACACAAAATTGGAAACTAGACTGTTACTTTGAATTTTTTTCTTTGCTGTTTAATTATAGAAGGCTCCTTTGGCAAAATAATTTACTACATGGGCTAAATTTTACATTATCCAGTGGTTACTTTTTTAACCTAGATTATCTTGCTCTGTTGCCCAGGTTGGAGTGCAGTCACACTATCATAGCTCACTGCAGCCTCAAACCCCTGGGTTCAATCCATCCTCCCACCTGTAGCTGAGACTACAAGCGTGTGCCTCTATACCTGGCTAATTTTTTTTATTTTAAGTAGAGATGGGGTCTTGAACTCCTGAGCTGAAGCGATATCCTTCCACCGTGGCCTTCCAAAGTACCAGGATTACAGGCATGAGCCACCACACCCAGCCAGATTTTAACTTCTCATTATATACTACGCAAACATATACTAAGGCCAGCAGGAGTATATATATGTGTACTGTACTTGAATTTCACATCCATTTTCTTCGACATTAGCAACTGGGAGATACTGAAAGGAAGTTTCAAAATATTTTAGTGTGGCCAGAAAATTTAATTACATATGGTATTATCTTTTATCTACCTGACATAATTGAATTATTTTTAAAAATCTGCCATTTATATTGTAATCTTATGACCAAATATTTATTGCTTAAAACTAGTCAACTTTTTAAACTGAGATATATGGTATATATGGATACAAAGCAGATAATTAAAACAATTTTTGGTTCTGTTCATTCAGCGAATAGCACCCAGTCCTGCCTGGCAGAAGATCATGCAGTTTGGAAGTTTTCATGTACTGATGAAAGATACTCTACAGAACTTGTCAAATCTTTGAAACTTGGAATATATTGCTTTCATAATATGAAGTTTTATTGCCTATCTATCTGAAGTGTCTAATTTTTCAAGTTTGTAAGTTTATTATGTGGTTTTAACATTGGGTGTTTTTGTTTTGTTTTTACTATGAAAAGACAGCTTAAGGAAGAGCTAAATTCTGTTAAAATATTTGGGGCATGTTTGTGCACTGCTGTTGTGAGGATCAGCATATGAAATTGACATCATGGTTAGTCATGGTACTGCAGCTTAGGGGGCTACACGGTTGCTGTGTGAGTGGAGAGATGCAGTGAGGCAGTTGTCATTATTCTAAAAATTGTACTACTTTCACTTTTCCCAAAGATTATATAATGTTCATAATCCACCATGAAAACAGCATTGGCCAAAGGTACTGAGGCTGCTTAAAATATTCAATTCTGCTTTTTAATTTTTAAGTGAATTTAGTTTGAAAAGCATGATTATACAGGCCTCTCAGGCTGAGTGCTACTTTGGTAAAGTTCCCAGTTTTCCTGCCTTCTGTGACAGGATGAATGAGGTGGGTATGGACAGTGGAGGCAGCTGGAATGGCAAGTGCAGAAAATAGGAACAGTTCTATACAGTGCTCTCATTTACTAATAACATAATGCCTTCTAAATAATTTTTTTGGGAAACTACATTATCACAAAATTATACAAATTTTTTTACAAGTATTTACATACTGTATCTGAAAACAGACTTTAAAGTCACAAGATTATAAATGTACATATATATTCTCACATTCTGAAAAATAACATTCTCAGAATCCACAGAAAATATACTTAGTTACTACTGAAGATAATTTTTGAAATGTAAAAATTAGATTTAAATAGTATATTTTAAATGACAGAACTATAATTACAGAGATCAGATCAGATAGGTAAACTGCAAGATAGATAGGATGAAACTTTTGGCCTACTGTATTACTTACAGAGTTTTTTTGTGTGTGGTTTTTAAAACTGTTAAGGCAAGAAGTGTCAAATGCTTTAGAGTTAAATAACAGATCACTGATTTCAAAGACTTGGTGTATAGTGTTAAAAATTAAAGCTTAAAAGGTGGTTAGAAAAGTGGATTAATGCAAAAGGGGTAATAAAGACTGCAACATTCTCAGGACCAAATTAAACTGCTAAAAAAAAAAAAAAAGTTCATTGACTTGCTTAGTCGTATACTCAAATGATGATAAACCTACATGTGCAAAGGCTCACGTTTAAGATTGTCAAGCCAGCAGTCTACTGTTGTGTTGCCATTGCTTTTCCATTGGGAGAAGAAAGAATTAACCAGTCATTAAACCATTTGGTAAGTTGCACTTTGCTGTGCTGATCCCACAGGAAAGGCTTGAAACACGAGAAGCAGCAAAGACAGAGCACACAAGTGCATAAGGCTGTTGTCTTCGGCTTGGGTGAAATGACAGTTCCTCTTCATTCTAAAGGTTTACTCCATTGAATTTAAGGCATTTGTTCATTCCAGTGTTGAGATGCTTTGCATCTCTGCAGAAGAAATTTATTTTAAATTGTTTAAATATCTGGAAATACTTTTAGCTATCATTTATAAAGATAGTTTTGTTCTCAGTTTCACTATAAATTATAGAACAAATGGGAAACAAGGGTTTAATTTAGTTCAGCCATTTTACAAGGAAATAATAAAATACTAAAATCTGATTGTTTTTTGCTATTTAATAGCCACTGCCCAGACACATATTTAAGAGTTTAATCTTTCAGTTGCTATGGCTTATGAACAAGCTAAGGTTGACCATAAAACATTTGTTGGATGACGTGGTTTAAAATGATCACCACAAAAAGGGACCACAAAAAAAGGAAGGAAATGAGCATGGTTGGCGATTGGAAGCAAGGGTACCAGAGGGCACAGTGTGCTTTGGCATGCATTTTATACATAAAATGAATGGAACAAAAGGTGCCAGAAGTCCCAGGTTACACAATCAGGAGCTTAGATACTGCACACAAAAATAATTATCTGGGTTAAAAAAGTAAACATAGGGCAGATTCTATATGGCCTATCATGTTTCTTCACCTTCCCCTCGTTGCTGGCTGATACAGCGAGGTGGTCAGCTGATGACTACTTAGTCAATATGACCTTTAGTCGTGAAACTGACAGCAGCAGTGATTAAGGCTGACTTAATCAGGTTGGCCACTTTGAAGGACAGAAATGCAGTGGAAACAGTTTTATTCTATGTAGTTTACATGCTTAAGGTTACAGAGTTTCTACCTGCACTGTAATGGAAATATAATTTCTCTGTAGCCAAAAGCTGGCAAACTTGACCCAGAGGGAAAATTTAAAACTGCAGCAGGCTCAAATGTAGAGTATTTTTCTTTTTATGGGCAGGTTGTTCAGGGATTTTTTTCCTCCTTTAATTTATTGACTGACTGTAAATACATGAGTAGAAACTTAATAGTCATGTATTTCAAAATTTGGCTTAATTTAGGAGAATCCACTGATGAACAAGTACCAACTTACGTTTCAAGCTTCTTAGCCCCATAATCAGTCCTTCAGCCACAGCTATTTAGAGCTTTAAAACTACCAGGTTCAATCACTGGTTATGCTTTCTGTGATGTAATTTAGTCATTTCTATTTTTAGTATTAACCAAGTATTAGACACAGAAAATAGGTATTAAGAATCTTCATATATCCTGTCAGACCAAATGGGATTCCAGGAACCTAAAGCGATCTATTATGCTATAAAGATAATTAACACATTAAAAACTCATAGGGTCAATACAGCATCTTAAACCTCACACTTAGAAAAATATATTTTTAAATAGCAGTCTACATAATTTTCAATCTTCAGGAAACTACAGATAGGCTAGACAGCGAATTCCTGAATGATGAGTAGTGATCTTTGGCAGCATTTAAAGTGAAAAGAAATAAGGATCTAAGAATTCAGCCCTAATCCACTAAAAAAAGGAATTCTAACTGACAAGTTTTTACAAATGGAGTTGGGCTCATTCATTTTGGAAATAAACCTATGGAGTGGCACACATCTAAACAAATTTTCCCAATAGAAAAAAGGCTATAAAAATTTTATTCCAAGAGTGATTAAATTGTATAATGTTGTATATGTGAATTTAACACTTTTGTTTACATGTTAAACAAATGTGTATATATTAGACTACATTAAATATGCAATTCTTTCTTCCAGTTAAATACTGTTGCTCCCTAAAACCCTTACATTGTACACCATTGGGAATGATTGTTCATCATACTACTTTTCCATTAGTGAGGCTACAGTTATGTTTTAAATGTGCGATTACAGAGATGGCATCTGAACATAAACTGATGGCTCGAAAATGAAAATGGAAATGTAGCAGCCATATACTGCTAACTTTGGATCTGTTCCTGAATTCAAAACTACTAGGAGAAAAGTGTCCTTTATAAAAAAGGACCTTATTAATGCCTAAAAAACATCATATTCTCTAGGAAAGCTTGTGTCTGTTTCCTTAGGGAAAATGTTTGCCTTTTAAAAACTGTGATCCTTTAGGATGATCATGACTTTCCCTTTCCTTATGGAAATGCAAGAATAAAATATTTCATTAAACAATGAACCTTGAAAATAAAATATAAACATTAAGAAACCATTTTGCTAAAAAGATAATGAAAATTATCCAAATTGGGTTTTTGAGTTCTTCTGTAAAGAGTGCTCTACCCTAAATTTTCCCAGCAGGTCTGCCGAAATCACACACTTCCCAATACAGGGGGACTTGGCCTTTACCATCAAGTATTCGATCCTTCCTTGAAATGGCATTATCTGGCAGTGTATGGATTACGGATTATACCCAGTGCATATAGCAAATATTTTGAACAGATCAGTCTTTCACTATTTTGATGATTCTGGGCATTTCTCCCTGTTACAGTCTTGGGTTAGCACCACTTGACCATGCAGGGTTGGGTTTTGGTTTTTCTTCTCTGTAATTCTGGTCTCAAAGTTAATTTCTGTAGTCATCTCAGCATCTCTCAGTGAGGTGTATGTACACATTTCCAGACAAATAAGCTGCAATCAGAGAAGAAAATTGCAGGGAGTTAATTATGTTTTTAGATTTTCATAACAGTTTAATATTTTTCAGTTGTGCTTTCAGGTTACATGTGTAATATTTTTCCTCTTTAACTCCTTTTATTCTGTATTTGCATAAATATGAGATTCTGAAGAGCCATCTGGTTATACTACCTTCTACTAATGTTGACTAGCTGATTTCATAAACCAAAGCTGTAGGAGTTGTTGTATTAAGTCTCTTAACTAGTAACATAGTCTGCTCTTCATGGGCTGAGAAAGTTACTAACCTGCAGTCATCACCTCCAGCACTAACAACATGTCGATCACCACTGGTAAATCGAATATTTGTCACATGGGGCGAATGACCCAAGAACCTTTTGTGTTTTGCCTAAAAAACAATGACAGACAAGCTCAGGGCATTTGGTGCACACAGAAGTCAAAGGCTCTTATTAGGAACTATAATCTCTATGACAAGAGCTGTGGAGAGAGTAGGGAGTTAGCACCGCAGCCAGTGATTAGAATGCTTTTCAGCATGAGTAGTGGATCTGCAAAACCAGGCTGTGTGGGCAGTCAGATGTCTCCAGGTACTCTGACCATTTTTCTCTAAGGAAAAGCATTTGAAATTTGATAACTGATTATAGGTTTGGTGAAAAGCTAATTACAGCTTTTGTAGGATGGTTCCAAAGATGGTATTACTCGAGGGAGAGGATTTGTTTCTAATAGCTTTTATTTCAAAGTAAATAGATTTAGAAAGTTTGGGGAAAAATTTAGAAATTAGGACAAAACATTTTAAATATATGGGGAAAAGTGCTGATGATAAGACATCAAAATTAGGAGTAAACTGATAATAGTAAACAAAACACAAACTTACAAATTTTTCTGGACATGGGAAGTCAAATAACTTAACCATGCCAAAGTCATCTCCTGTAACAAGACTGATTCCTGAATGAGATACACAGGCACAGTTGACATCAGCTTTCTCAGCATGTCTGGACCAGATTCCCAAAACCTCATCTCCTAGAATACTAGAGGGAAGGAACAAAAGAAAACTCATCATGGCAAGTGCGGGCAGGTTGACTATATTCAAAAAGTTTCTTGGCAATTAATCTCTAAGTACCCTATCATGTTACTTAAAATACAGGAAGTAAATTATGGTAAGTTGTTTGGAGACCTGAATTTCATCAGGATATCAACTCCTGCCTTTTAAAAATGACATTTTATAATTTGAAGGGTTTCTAGATTAATCTTTTTAAGATTAAAGTAGTACTTTATGAAAACTGATAGAACTATTTTTTCTTTTTTTTTTTTTGAGACGGAGTTTTCGCTCTTGTTACCCAGGCTGGAGTGCAATGGCATGATCTCGGCTCACCGCAACCTCTGCCTCCTGGGTTCAAGCAATTCTCCTGCCTCAGCCTCCCGAGTAGCTGGGATCACAGGCATGCGCTAACATGCCCGGCTTATTTTGTATTTTTAGTAGAGACAGGGTTTCTCCATGTTGGTCAGGCTAGTCTCGAACTCCCGACCTCAGGTGATCACCCCCGCTCGGCCTCCCAAAGTGCTGGGATTACAGGCTGAGCCACCGCGCCTGACTGAAAACTGATAGAACTATTTTTCAAATTAAAAGTGCTACTTGGCTGGGTCCAGCAGCACATACCAGTAATCCCAACATTTTGGGAGGCTGAGGCAGGAGGACTGCTTGAGGCCAAGAGTTTGAGACCAGCCTGGGCAATATTGTGAGATCCCTATCTCTACAAAAATAAAAATGACTTATGACATAGGAATTAAAAAAATTTCAGAGATGGGGTCTTGCTATGTTGCCCAGGCTGGTATCAAAACTTCTAGGCTCAAGTGATCCTCCCACCTCGGCCTGCTACATCAGAGATTACAGGCATGAGCCACTATATGCCTGGCTGATACAGGAATTTGATGGCATTTTTCATTGGCCAAAAAAATGGATAGTCATGGTTACCTGTCATACAGCCAGGAAATTTGAACAAATTTGGAAGCTTTGACTTCTAATAGATTCAAGATAGCATTCCTTTAGATAGAGAATTAATAACAGTTGCTTAACAGCACCCAATACCTTTTTGCCAGTCATTAAATTTAGCATTAAGAAAAATATCAGGGTATCTTTAAAGTTAAAACTTTGATTTCCTTAAAAAAAAAACTTGATAAATCATGGAAACTGATAAAACATGGAAATATATTCAATAAAAAGGGGTCCCAACATGAACATACCATTTCAAAATATGGTAACAAAAACTTGAAACTCAATTACTATTCCTTATTGGAATGGCTCTAACAGTTCAGAAATAGGATTTTCTAACTGGCCTTCAAAGTCAGTTCTTGCCTTGTGAATATATAAGTATTTACCTAGTCCATGTAGCCCAAGTAATTCTGTCAATAGCGGCATGATCCATAAGATGTTTTCCTGAAGGCACTTCATAGACATGCCGTTTATAGCAGCCACTAGAGACCTTTTTCATCAGATTAAAATGGGACAAGAATTCCATTAGGTGAGAGACAAAATCCACAGGGGGTTTACAGAATACTAGCATATTGCTACTTGATTTACATGTCTAACATTATTAAGTATGCAAAAGATCACTACAAAAACTTAATAGGAGAAAAGCTCTGATAAGTGGGGGAGGAAAGGGGAGCTGTAGGTCAGAAGGTACAAAGGGAGGAGTTGAGAAGCTGGAGCTCTGGAGCTCAGGAACTTTAAATGCATTCACTAACACGAAATGTAAAAGCAGAAGAACTTGCCACCTGGGTATACAGTATTGGTACTGTACCTGGAGATAACTGCTATCTGCAGAGAAGTCCATTTGAATGACAAAGCTTGGAATGTCTTTGCAGTAGCTGATTCTGTTAAGAGTGGGGCCCAGCGTTAGGTCATAAAAATCCACTGAGTTCTCACTAGAACCTACTGCCAGATACCGGGAATCCGGACTAAATCTGAATCAAAACAAAACGTAAAAAGTATTAGACCACATGAAGTATTATAAATACTTAAGATCAGTGACTTTTCCTTTCTAGTTCTTAAAAGTAACGTGTGATAAGGCCTCAAATAGATTTACCTGTCAGACACAACTGATCATGTATACTGAGATTGTCTGGGTTACATGAAATAAGGAAGCTTTATATTTTACTTAAATTTTAAATATTTCCCCAATTGTCATCTCCCAATTCCTTTAAAAACGTCTAATGGCTTAAAAAAACTTTCTTAGGCCAGGCCCAGTGGCTCACACCTATAATCCCAGAACTTTGGGAAGCGGAGGCGGGCAGATCACCTGAGGTCGAGAGTTTGAGACCAGCCTGACCAACATAGAGAAACCCTGTCTCTACTAAAAATACAAAATTAGCCAGGCATGGTGGTGCACGCCTGTAATCCCATCTACTCGGGAGGCTGAAGCAGGAGAATCGCTTGAACCCAGGAGGCACAGGTTGTGGTGAGCTGAGATTGCACCATTGCACTTCAGCATGGGCAACAAGAGCAAAACTCCAACTCAAAACAAAACAAAACAAAATTTAATTTTTTAAATAGAGGCGGGGTCTCACTATGGTCCCAAACTCCTGGCCTCAAGCAATCCTTCCCCCTTGGCCTCCCAAGGTACTGGGATTACAGGTGTGAGCCACAACACCCAGTCAGAACATCTCAGCTTTTAAAAGCCATTAGCATTACATAATTAATAAGCTAACAATTCATTAAGATAGTTTTCTTCCATCTGGAAAAAACGTTGTCTTAATATTAAGCAAAGAACACAGCCCAGCTTAACTAACCTCCAGTTATTAAGGTGAAATGACACAACTTGAATCTTGGAAGAAGAATTTTTTTTTTTTGAGACGAAGTCTCGCTCTTGTCTCCCAGGCTGGAGTGCGATGGCGCAACCTCCGCCTCCCGGGTTCAAGCGATTCTCCTGTTTCAGCCCCCTGAGTAGCTGGGATTACAGGCGCCTGCCACCACGCCCGGCTGATTTTTGTATTTTTAGTTGAGATGGGGTTTCACTATGTTGGCCAGGCTGGTCGAGTACTCCTGACTTCAGGTGATCTGCCTGCCTCGGCCTCCCAAAGTGCTGGGATTACAGGCATGAGCCACCGCGCCCGGCCTGAAGAACTTATTTAAAAGACAAAGTGAAATGCTATTTGCCTAGCAATCTTTGGAGTCATATGGGACAATTCAGTCTCTTGAAATGGCCCATGAGTCTTACTGAGGTACGATAGAGACATGTAAAAGCTAAGGGAAGCCACTGTTACTATTTTATATATTGAAGTTCTGAGGAAGGTTTCATTTGTAAAAGGATTTTACTGATGAAAAGTGTACAAGCTTTTGACAGACCTAGATTCAATAATCTTATCTACTGATCACACGGAAGTACTCCGTAAATGGTAGCCACTGTTGAAAAATGCTTAAGCACTGAAAAACAAAGGTTTAAGAAACATTTAAATTAATTTGGATTCTGGAACATTTAATCAATAGGTATTGATTAAATTAATGAACTACATATTCCCAAACTGAGGTTACTAAGAGAAGATATGTTTGAAATCACAACTTTAGTTTTCCAGGGTGACAACTTTTGAAGGGCAGATAGCTCTCTTGTATTACAGTGGGAGATACCTCTTGGTGGGATGAACTTAATGGACATGGCTAAGTGTTAACATGAATTCATCAAACATTACCTACTAGTACTTGCTATTATAGTTGGTGCCCAGTGGGTTTATAATTTAGCAAGAAGAATTAAGTAGTATACAAACAGCCATATTTTAGCATACAATTTATAATACGGGAAATGCTACAGGCCCTGGGGACCTCTTTTTGAAGGCAAGGCTATGGAAAATTTTACAAATGGAAGTTAAATCAAGTATATACTAGAAACTCTATTCCATTTGTTCACTAACCTGATATCATGGATTGCACATCTCCTGTCTCTCTTCTTTCCCCATATTTTTAGAGAACTCACTAGTAAAATGATAAATTCTCCATTTTTCATTCCAATAGCCACCATGTCCCCTTCAGGGCTGTAACACACAGTACGAGCAGCATGTCCCAAATTCACTTTGTTTAACATCTTCTGCATTTAAAAAAAAAAAAAAAAAGAGTCATAGGAAACATTAAGTGAAGTACTTCTAAATTATACCAGTTTCCCCTCAAAATGCTCAACAGAATTCTGGCAGTTCTTTAAGTACTAGCAATTTAGAACTTCCAACTTTTCTTTTTAGAAGTTGTAACCTCTTTTAAAAAAATTATCTGTACTTACTTTATCAGCAATATCCCAAAGTCTCACTGTCCCATCTTCTGCAGCAGAAAGGAAAAAATCCCTGGAAGGATGTGTTGCTAGTCCCCAGATTGGCCCATCCACATGACCGTTAACTAAAATATTACAAGCTGCATTTTTCTCTCCAACTTCGATTATTTCAGCATTCCTTGTCCCAACAAGGATCTTGCCCTGAAACACAAGCAGGACCAATACAGTGAATGTAATACAACAGCTGCTTTTCTTCTTCATAATATAAAAATGACCCTATTGACCTGCTTTCAGAGAACTTTTTGCTTTGAGCTAATCTAGTAGCAAGGCAGTCATTAGCTCATGCAAATTTTTCTATGACTACAGGCACACATCTATCTGTAAGCACAATGGGCTAGATTACATATTAGAGTCCATGCTACAGAATAGAACTTTTCTGTGGCAGTACACCTGGATTCTTCAATAATCAAAGTTTTTATTTGATAATCTTAGGATTTCCAAACTGGGGTCAGTGCAGTGGGATATAGGAAAAAATAATAGAATTTATTTTTTAGTTAAAAAGTAAAAGCTTAACTACAATTTAATATGCAGGCTGAAGATAATATCCGTATGATTTATAAATACACTTAATAAGTACAAACACGCTCAAAAATTTTCATAGGAGTTGTAGTTTTGAATTTTTATTTTGAAATTGACACATAATTATACATATCTATAGGGCATAGGGTAATACGCATAACCATCACCTCAGACATTTATCATTTCTTTGTGATGGAAACTTTCAAAATCCTCTCTTGTAAATACCTGAAAATACATAAATACGTGATTCTTAACTATAGTCATCCTACAGTACTACAGAATACTAAAACATACTATTCCTATCTGGCTGTGTAAACTTGTATCCTTTAACCAGTCCTTCCCTATCCCCCTCCCCCTCCCCCTTGTCCGCCTCCAGTAACCACTATTCTACTCTCCACCTCTGTGGGATCAACTTTTTTAGTTTCTGCACAGGAGTGAGAACATGTATTTATCTTTCTGTGCCTGGCTTATTTCACTTCACATCATGTCCTCCAGTCTCATCCATGTTGCCACCAAGAATGACAGAATTTCATTATTTTTTATGGCTGAGTAGTATTTCATTGTTTGTTTACTGCACGTTTTATCTAGGGAATGTGTGTTTTTTTAAAAAATGGAGACAGCTGTCCTAATATGAGTCAACTGCCAAGGGCTTTCAATTATGTCTACTAGAGTTGTTAAATTGGCAGATTCTAGAAAATATTGGAGGTTTACATACAGTATTTAGACAGAATAGCTTCCTAGCTTATGCACCACACTGGTGCTAACTTTGGCAAAGAAAGCAGCAAAGACAGAGTAATGTTGGCAAGCAAATCCATCGTTATGCATTATTAAGTATTGTTCATTAGGCTGCAAAGGGTGAGGGAATCACAGTAATAACCACTTTCTGTTTTCTGCTGCACTGTATCAGCTCATGGAACATCTTACTTTGCCTCTGCACACAGAACGAACACAATCTGTGGCTTGTCCTGTCTCAAGCCTGAAGGCACGGCACCGCCTCAGTTCCTGATCCCACAGTTTAACCGCTCCTCCTTCTTTTGACCTAAGTAAATAACCAAGCCAGAGTAAGTGTTCATTATTGGCTACTATAATTTTTATTATAAACAAATACCAAGTTATAAGCAGAATCTTTTTTTTTTAAAAAGGCCCTGATATTTATAATTTACCTCTAATATTCTTGTAAACTTTCTATGGCAATTTGAGGATATACTATATCTCAGTCAAAATAAACATCCAGTTTCAGTGAATTTTATTTTGAGAAATACTCTTTTTTTCTGACATGAGCATAATTTTATTTAGCCTCTACAATACATTACAATACATTATCCTCTCTCATAATACTTTTTTTTTTTTTTTTAAGATGTAGTCTCGCTCTGTCTCCCAGGCTTGAGTGCAGTGGCATGATCTAGGCTTATTGCAACCTCTGCCTCCCAGGTTCAAGCGATTCTCCTACCTCAGCCTCCCGAGTAGCTAGCATTACAGGTGTGCACCACCACACCCAGCTAATTTCTGTATTTTTAGTAGAGATGGGGTTTCACCATGTTGGCCAGGCTGGTCTCAAATACCTTGACCTCAGGTGATCTGCCTGCCTCGGCCTCCCAAAGTGCTGGGATTCCAGGTATGAGCCACTGTGCCTGGCCTCATAATACTTCTTGATTAGGAAGATGTAAAAAAACAATTTTATTAAAAGGATAATGGAAATGTAAGGCAAAATAATAGAATTACAAATGCTATGCTACAGAGTTGATTTATTTATTTTTTTGAGACAGAGTGTCGCTCTGTCACCTGGCCTGGAGTGCAGTGGTGTGATCTCGGCTCACTGCAACCTGTGCCTCCCAGGTTCAAGCGATTCTTCTCCTTCAGCCTCCCAAGTAGCTGGGATTACAGGCACCATGCCTGGCTAATTTTTGTATTTTTAGTAGAGATGGAGTTTCACCATATTGGCCAGGCTGATCCCAAACTCCTGACCTCGTGATCCGCCCACCTCGGCCTCCCAAAGTGTTGGGATTACAGGCGTGAGCCACTGCAACTGGCCCAGAGCTTATTTTTGAAGGCCAAAACAGAAGCATATTTATTCCCTATCAGGTGTTAAAATATCTCACTGGAACAGTTTAGCAGGCTTCTAGTGAGTGGGGGTGTGCAGGAGTAAATGACGTGGGAAATACAAGTGTTGGAGGACGAAATAGAGCCCATTTATGGATTTTATTCCTGGAAGGGCTGAAAAATGTATTCCTTCCTTTTCTGCTAGATGAATTGCTTGTCTGAAAGCATGCCTATGTGCATTCTTCCTTTATGTAAAAGGCACAAATTCTGCGCTTGTGTTTAATTAACATATGTGGGTTCTTTCAATCCTGTATTGAAATGTACTTCTTAGTCAACTATATGTCACATTTTTTTTTGTTTTTGTTTTTGTTTTTTAAATGGGGTCTCACTCTGTCACCCAGGCTGGAGTGCAGTGGCACCATCACAGCTCACTAAAGCCTTGACCTCCCCAGGCTCAAGTGATCCTCCCACCTCAGCCTCCTGAGTAGCAGGGACTACAGGCATGTGCCACCACACCCGGCTAATTGTTGTTTTTTATAGCGATGGGGTTTCACCATGTTGCCCAGGCTGGTCTTGAACTCCTGGGCTCAAGCGATCCACCTGCCTCAGCCTCCCAAAGTGATAAGATTACAGGTGTGAGCCACTGTGCCTGGCCTACATGTCATGTTTCAACATGCATATGACTATGTTGGTGACAAATCAAATCATAAGTATCTGGTTACTGTTGGGAGATTTGAAAATCACTCAGAAGAGACCTCTTCTCAAATTTTGAGGTCTTGTATAAAACAGTTTAAATTTGCCTCAAGCAAAAGGAAACAAGGCAGTTCTCTCTAGTTCCCTCATCCTTTTCTAAAGCAACAATGTGCATTCTACTCCTTAGAATCCATTCTGAACAAAAAGAGAGCAGGCAGTCAAAATACAACCCTGGCTCCAGATTCCCCCATGGGCCTCCTACTCAGCAAATCATACACAGGCATACAGACATTAAGAAAAGTAACTCAACTTGTAGGACAACTACCTATCCACACCTCAGAAAAAGTATCACCCCAACATGAAAAAAATTGGAAGTGAATTAAGACCAGAAATGAGAATCAAATAGAAGGCACATAAAAGGTAATAAAGGAGAAGCATATGAGGAGGAAGGTCGGAGAGGACACTCTGTGTAGCCTAGAAACAACTAGAATAATTAACTGCAAACCTCAGGTAGGTCACAAATGCATAAATATTCTGTGAAAAGAAAGAGGACTCACGGCCTTTCCTTTCCCCCAGTCACGATAAGTCCATCTCGCAGGGTGGTGTACATGGCAAACACAGGCCCGTTGTGAGCTCTCGCCACGATTCTACACAATATGTGATCTTTCCACACACAGACATCACCACTGATGGTACCTGTAAACGTCAAGTTATTCTGAAAAGGAGTGGGGGAGGGGGAGACAAACTCATCAAAAGTTCAAATAGAGTTTAAATAGATAATTTTCTATGTATGTGTAATGCTGTCTCACCCTTGATACAAAGAGCATGCATCGTGTAGTGGCAGCAGCACTGAATTCACGAGTCAGGAAACCTGAACGGGAGGCTTAGCTTTGTCAGGACCTTTTCCTTTCCAAGTCTGTTGCTTATTAGCTAGAATAACCTTAGACAATTCTTCCCTTCCAATTCTAACATACTATAATTCTAGGGTTTATTTTTTATTTTTTTGAGACGGAGTTTCGCTCTTTGTTGCCCAGGCTGGAGTGCAATGGTGCGATCTCAGCTCACCACAACCTCTGCTTCCCAGGTTCAAGTGATTCTCCTGTCTCAGCCTCCCAAGTAGCTGGGATTACAAGCGCCAGCCACCACGCCCGGCTAATTTTTGTATTTTTAGTAGAGACAGAGTTTCACCTTGTTAGCCAGGCTGGTCTTGAACTCCTGACTTCAGGTGATCTTCCCGCCTTGGCCTCCCTAAGTGCTGGGATTATAGGTGTGAGCCACTGTGCCCGGCCTGAGCCACGGTGCCTGGCCTGGTCTTATATTAAGAATACCCAAAATGTTCAACTGAAATTTGACATGGCACAAACATTTCAATAGTCTTTTTCTCAAAAATGTAAGTGTACTTAAATATTCTAAAATTATAACTTTTCCTATAAGTATTGCATAATCACAAAAACAAAAAATGCACTTAGTTTTTCGATGCACCAAAGGATTTATACAGCCTAGCCAATGCAGGATATTAAAGGAAAGAGATGTGGATTGGAAGCCACAGGTCCAGATGAGATGGAATAAAGTGAGAGGAGAGCAGGTCTCCTGAACACCCTTCTGTCAGGGCCAGGAATTGTGCTATTTCCTTCTGTCTCACTACCTCCTTCTTCCCTCGAAGTAGAGACACTGGCCCAGAGCACTTCCAGCTGTATGATAAGCAGTGTGTTAAATGATAAAAAGCAAAGGAAATCCTAAACCCTAGTACCACCTTAAATCATTTGAAAATCATGTTTCTTGATTTACCTTTCTCTCTGACAAATTTTTAGGACTATGAAGAACTACTAGGAAGACAGAAATTTTAGGATATTTAGGGTGACAATTAGAAGATTAAGGAAGGCTTTTGAGTATAACAGTAGTCCAAGGAATCAAATGTTCATCAGAATCCTTATTATGGTGGCTCATGCCTGTAAACCCAGCACTTTGGGAGGTCAAGATGGGAGGATCACATAGCTTAGGAGCTTGAGACCACCTAGGCAACATAGCGAAACCCTGTCTCTACTAAAAATGAAAGAAAAATTAGCCTAGCATGGTGGTTCCTGCCCTGTAGTCCCAGCTACTAAGGAGGCTGAGGATCACTTGAACCTGGGAGATGGAGGCTACAGTGAGCTATAATCGCACCATTGCACCCCAGCCCAGGCGACAGAGTGAGATACTGTGTCAAAAAAAAAAAAAAATCCTTTTCCCCCTCTCATTAACATTCTTTTCACTCCCTAATTTCTGAAAGAACTAGATTTTTGAAAGATGAAATATATGCTTGACCAGGGCATGTAATGATTAGCAGATCACAGTATCATCTCAACAACATTCATGTGGCTGATGATCTAAGGCAAGAGAATGTAAAGTAGTCAAAGTCACACTATGTGCATTTTAAGAGACATACTGCACCAAATGCAATAGCGAGCATGGTCTGCATCCGGGCATCTTCCAGTGTGCTCAGTAGCCCTTTTTTGCTAAGAAGAGCTCTTCCTGCCAGGGTCCAGAACTTCACATGTTTTACTCCCACTGAGACAAACTGGGTATCTGAATCTGGTCGGAATTCTGCCACAAAAATACGTTGATTGTGACCAGCTCTGCTGGCAATTTTGGCACCTGACAAGATACAACAAAATTATCTAGGTTATTACAAGAACCAAGCTAATCAACAGCATCAAACAAATATGTAAAATACATAGTTCAAAAAACAAAGGCTTAGAAGAGAGGCCAATGGCCCCTGCTCTACTACCTAGCAATACATGATTTACAATTATTTGTGTATTGAGTCCTTTTCACTTATCTTCGCTCCATTAACTTTTCTTTATATAACGTAAATGTTTTGTCTAAAGTGTGGTAGGTAATATTATCCTGCTGATCTGCCATTATCATTAGAAATATACATAATTTTCATAAGAATCTCCAAAACCAATCAAATCATTAATAATAAATACATAGTTTCTTGCTGGAAGAAAATAGCAGTGAATCATTTATAATGCTAATAATGGTTTCATTAATTTATCTGTTTTGTGAGGTTACAGTTCCACTGGGCTTTTAAAGTGAAATATACCTACAGTACCACTGTGTACAGTATATTGCATAGGCCTCCACTGAATGATTGTTTCAACCACCAACTTTAAGACAAATATTAAATACAGAATTCCTACTACCTTTGTATTCTTGTTTTTTTAAAAATCAAACACACAAAAGAATCCTACCTTCCTGCCATCTCCAAATGGTAATAGTATGTTCTGGGTCTAGTCCCACAGACAGCAATAGTTTGCCAGTAGCACTGAAGCTGACTGAACATACTCCCTTTGAATGGTAGCATCTTAGGATAGATAAAGTCTGCTTGTTCATTGCATCCCAGATGTGAATAGAAGGAGCTGTAGCTAAATAAAGATAGTATCAAAAAGTTGTAATCTACCTGTTATAAATATTTCTGTTTCTAAAGCTTATGCATATTCATCTGTGAAACATGGACAAATGTGTACCAAACAAAAACTGTACTTAACAAAGAACAGCTCAAAACTAAGGCTAAATTTAAGAAAGGAAAAGGAGTTTTGGGGGTGGGGAGGAAAGAAAAGGAAAATATATAGAACACTTCTTCAGGCCATATTCCAAATTGCACTTTTGGAAAAACAGCATTTAGACAAGCAAATCAGGCAATCTCAACTTTAAACAATTCAAAACAAATGCATGTTTTATGTATACTTTTAATCTTTATACAATTATATGGAGAACTATACAAATATTAAACAATAAATATTAAACACCAAGTATACATTCAGTACTGATGTTATCTGAAAGAGAAGTGAAAAGCAGACACAAATAGACAAAGGCAGTAGATAGGAAACCACCTGAATAGATCTCAAAAGAAATTTTCAACCATACAGATAGACATCTGGTAAAAAGCTAAGTTCATATCACTTTATAAGACATTTACTTAAAAAGGATTTCATGAGAAAGATAAAACTGCTAATCTTTAAAAAAATGTGGTTATTATTAATCTTGTGTAGCTTGTTTCTGCTGCTTAAAAAATTATCCCAGTTCTCCATATTTTCTAAATTAAAAAAATTATAGTTTTATATTTTCTTTTTTATGAACTGCACCCTATAAAAATGGATAGGTCAATTCAGCAGTTAATTCAATCTCAGAACATAAGTACTTTTAATGAAGCAATAAAAATACTAAAGTGCATTTGCTTCAAATTATAAATGTTATAAATGTTTTAAAAATAGAGAAACATTAAGACAAGCTGCCTTAAATCATTCAATGCAGAAATAAATGTTGGTCTCTAAAGAAAATATTCTGATAAGTTTAGATTATATTTTATACCATCTGCTATTTGTAATACACAATGATAAATTAAATCTGGCAGTTCTTCAAAGCAGTTAAAATATATTAAACCAGAGACTTAGAGTATCATTAAGTAGAAATTGTTCAAAGATTTATGCAACTGTAAAATATCAAAACTACACGGAAACATACATAAAAGTTTATCATATAATAAAATAGGTTATTTATGTTTGTAAAATTTATGACAATAATGTCAGTATTGAACTAAAATTAATATATTATTCATTCATTAAAAGTCAAAGTACCCCAAGGCATAGGTAAACTTAACCTCAATAAAGAATGTTAGGTGGCTTAAATTTAAAATGTAAATATATACCAGATCACTCTATACATTTTGCCAGTGATAAATATTATATAAATATTTTTATATGTTTACAAAATGCACCTCTAGGCAATTCACATGTTATATTTGCCAAATCATGATGAGGTAGACAATAGATTTTCAAGAAATATCACTAACTTTGCCTCCAAATTTAATATGCCACAAGTTTTAAAGTTTTATTTATCTAAATTTAAATAGCAAGTAATCTTAAATTCAATGACTGAGCTTCTCATATTTTTATAAAAAATTAAAGGAGATGGCAAGAAGGTGAAACCAGAATTTATGTTTTAAAACGTATAGGTACGTAAGGTAATGGAATTGTCACACACTTAGACTGTTCTAAACTTACATCAGTAACAGTATTTAAAACTAAAATTACTGCAAATTTTCAGGACCTCTCGAAGTTACTAAAGATGAAACTATGTTTATTAAGTATATTATATTTTCTCCTATCATTTGGAAATGGTCATTCCTGATGCTTGGGTAACACATAAACAATTCTTCCTCCACCTGTTCCAGGAGGCCATGAGGTATTAAGTACCTATCATGGCAGGCATGTTACTGGGGACATCGCATATTTTCTAATGCTTACCTTCTAGGTAGGTACGTTTTTTCCTGAATTCAGCCTCAGAGAAGATAACTGACTTGCCCTAATACAACTCAGAGCTGGGAGAGGCAGCACAGGTATGCTGTTCTCAGTATCCAGGTTCCACTCTTGCTCTTTTCCCCACATGTAGCTCCCTCCAGAAAATCAATCCCAGTAACTTTTCACTACCGTTTTTCACTCTTAGTTTCCAGTATAGAGATGCCATAAGTGTCTCTTTAAATTTTTAATTGGGTCTTACAAGAATCAAAGTTTTAAAGGATATTCTTTATCCCCTAGTTTGCCTTTGATGCAGTATAATAAAAACTGTATTTTTTTTTTTTTTTTTTTTTTTTGAGATGGAGTTTCGCTCTTGTTGCCCAGGCTGGAGTGCAATGGCATGATCTCGGCTCACTGCAACCTCTGCCTCTGGGGTTCAAGTGATTATCCTGCCTCAGCCTCCAGAGTAGCTGGGATTACAGGCACCTGCCACCATGCCTAGCTAATTCTGTATTTTTAGTAGAGATGGGGTTTCTCCATGTTGGTCAGGCTGGTCTTGAACTCCCGGCCTCAGGTGATCTGCCTGCCTTGGCCTCCCAAAGTGCTAGGATTACAGGCATGAGCCACCATGCCTGGCCTAATAAAAACTTTATTTTAAAAGAAAATTTTAACATGGGTCATTAGGTATGCCAAGTGTATTTTGTCCTTTAGTCTCTGTAGTGAGTAACTCCTTACTGCATACTCAGCATCCATTACATCCTTTCTTCCTACCAAGGCTCCAGTTTTATTCAGGAATCTACTCCTTCCTAGAGCGTAAGTGATTCAGGGGAAACAAACTGCATGCTCAACTAATAAGTCTGAGCCCACTGTGATAATACTGCCTCCACTCCCAACCCAGACCTCAGTGATTAGTTTAATAACCCAGACTTAAACCAATCAGCACATGGTATTCCCCTAGTATCTTCTCAGTTCGCAGTTTGCTTTGTGTCCTCACGCAAAGTCAGGCTAAAATGACTCAGTCAGGCTAAACGGAAGGATTTTTAGGTCATGGCTCTGAAAAGGATTTTTTTGCTTCTTTCCCACTGGATAACAGCAAGGAAGCACATAACTCCAATTGCTACTGCAGCCATTTTCATGACCACAAATGCAACCAGCCTTATCGGTGAAGCCAACACTGTGGATAGCAGAGCAGAAGAGACGGAAAGTCCCTGGGTTCTGGATGACATCATGAAACTCCTGAAGTAGCACACTCCGGAGGCTACCCTCCCTCTTCATTCTTGTGTGCTAAGGAATTTCCTTATCCTCTGCTGTAAAATGCAGACACCCACTGAAGTTATTTGATGGGCAACTGCCTGTCACTACAAATACTACCAGAGAGTGAGTTTTCTCTGCTTAATTGCCTTAAGGATCAAAAATATCAAATTCTGAGGTGCAGTCTTAGGAGGGCTGAAATTACTTTATCAGAGACAAAAGATATTCCCATAGTGTCCACTGAAAACATATCTAATGTATTCAATGCTAACTTTTCTTTTTTCTTTTTGAGACAAGGTCTCACTCTGTCATCCAGGCTGGAGTGCCATGATGTGATCATGACACACCGCAGCCTCGAATTCCTGGGCTCAATTAATCTACCTACCTCAACCTTCCGAGTAGCTGGATCTACAGGCACATGCCACCACACCCATCTAAGTTTTGTATATTTTTGTAGAGATGGGGTTTGCCATGTTGCCCACACTGGTCTTGAACTCCTGAGTTCAAGCAATCCACCCACTTCAGCCTCCCAAAGTGCTAAGATTGCCGGGCACGGTGGCTCACGCCTGTAATCCCAGCACTTTGAGAAGCTGAGGCGGGTGGATAACCTGAGGTCAGGAGTTCGAGACCAGCCTAGCCAACATGGTGAAACCCCATCTCTACTAAAAATACAAAAAGTTAGCTGGGCGTGGTGGCAGTCGCCTGTAATCTCAGCTACTTGGGAGGCTGAGGCAGGAGAATTGCTTGAACCCGGGAGGCAGAGGTTGCAGTGAGCTGAGATTGTGCCATTGCACTCCAGCCTGGGCAACAAGAGTGAAACTCCATCTCAAAAAAAGAAAAAAACAAAACAGAAAAACCCAAAGTGCTATGATTACAGGTGTGAGCTACTGCGCCCAGCTCATATCTCTTCTAATGTATTTATTCTCCCACATTGCAAAGTGACAATTTAAAATCTTTATCCTTGTTCCAACCTAATACTCATTCCCCACCTCCTCAATCTCAGTTGATGATACAGGGAAAATGGAAGTCATCAGACAGTACTTCCTTATTTTTCCATCCCCAAATCTACCAGTCTTCTTATATTTGTACAAGAAAGAATGTCCAATAAATTTCACTCCTTATATCTGTGGATAATTTCTTCCTGTCAAACTGATTTCTCTCAAAGTATTCCCCATCCCATTTGGCTCACTGTTCAAGCAAAAAGTTCAACTGGCCTTGATTCCTCACTATGTCATACGCCCATACCCAATTAATCAGAAAGGATAACTGGCTTTACTCCAGAATACACCCCATATTTGTCTCGTTCTCTCCACATTCACTCCTGCCACCCTGCTTAACTGTTTTTTGCTTGGACTACTATAACGGCCACCTAATTTTCCAATTTTCTCTCTTCCCCCTCTACATTCTCAATAATATAGTGAGAGTGGTTTTCTCAAAGTATAAATTCGGTCATATCACTCCCTTGTCTAAAATTCTCCAGTGACAGCCTCTGCACTTAGCATGAATCCAAACTCTTCTCCCTGAGCTACAGCATCCTGCATGAGATGACCACTATCCCTCTCTACATTCATCTCAGAGGCCTTCCTCCAGTCACACTGACCTTCCAGTTTCTTGATCCAGCCTCAGGGTTTATGCAGGAAAGATTTAATATAAGCAGGGTACTTGCAGGGTACCAAAAAGCAGTGCAAAGGCCCAAGGTTACTGTCATCAGAAGGGCCTGCTTGCTGGGCTAGCTCTTGGCCAGTGTGTAAGAACTTCTGAAGTGTTCTCCATGTTGACAAAGCTCTTTTGTCCACCTGGGGCGCTGAACACTTGCTTTCTTCAGGGCGTTTGGTATTTTGGTAGTTAAGGCTGGTCTTTATCCCTATGTGACCAACCCCCAATAAAAACTCTGGACTCTGAGACTTCAGTAGGCTTGCCTAGGCAGAAACACCTCATGTGTGTTGCTGGATTTGACTGCTGGAGGAAGAAGCAGGTTCTGTGTAATCCCTGGCATGAGGGTGTTGGAGAGACATAGAAACCCTGTAACTAGATGCTCCGGATTCCACCTCATATGTCTTTTCCCTTTTCTGTTCAATGTAATAAACTAAAGCCTTAAGTACCTCTGAGTCCTGTGATTTCTCCTAGTGAACTGCTGAATGTGTGGGAAGTCTTGGGACCCCTGAAACTGGTCTGAGCCTGCAGCCCCCAGATCATGCCTCAGCTATCTACTCCTGGCATAGCTGAATGTTACCACCTCTGAAAAA
This sequence comes from Homo sapiens, assembly GCF_000001405.40. NCBI lineage: Eukaryota > Metazoa > Chordata > Mammalia > Primates > Hominidae > Homo > Homo sapiens. Next base: position 88,633,189 of record NC_000014.9, read on the forward strand.
ACAAATACTTTGTTTTATTGCCATCATCTCATTTATTGTTTTTAACACATTTCTTGCCATCTCATCTCAAATCATCAAGGTATTTTAGTTTTTATTTATTTATTTATTTATTTTGTAGAGACAGGGTCTTGCTGTTGCCCAGGCTGGACTTGAACTCCTGGCCTCGGAACTCCTGTCTCAGCCTCCCAGAGTGCTCGGATTACAGGTGTGAGCCACTATACCCCACCTGTCATCTCATTTGATTACAATACAATCCATGCTTCACTGTGCCTTAAAAGTGTGATATTCAAAAACTATTTTTGTTTTTTGTACCCTTGTCTTGACATGATGGAGATTTACTGGTTAAAAAACAAAATAAAATAACAAGAGATAACAGATAGTGCTCAAAGTCTGTGAATTATAATTGTGTTACTGGAACTTGCAGAGTACCAAAAAGCAGTGCAAACAGATGAGTGTCATCTATAGCCTCTGTAGCTACTACACACCTCTGCCATTGTAGCACAAAAGCTGCCACAGAACATATATAACTTCATAAGCATGGTCGTGTCAAATAAAGCTTTTATTTAAAATGCTTATACTTTTATTAAAGTGCTTAAAACAGTGCTGAGAACAGGGTCTCACTATGTTGCCCAGGCTGGTCTTGAACTCCTGGGCTCAAGTGATCCTCAGACCTTGGCCTTCCAAAGCACTGGGATTACAGGTGTGAGCTACCATGCTTGTCCAAAAAAAACCATTACTATTACCACAGATTGAGTTCAGAATCATGACATTAAAATAATGTATTCTTCATTAAAAAAAATCCGCAAGTTTTTTATAGAGTAACAAGATACTTGATGATATGGTTTGGATATATGTCCCTGCCCAAATCGCACATTGAATTGTAACCCCCAGTGTTGGAGAAGGGGCCTGGTGGGAGGTGATTGGATCATGGGGGCAGATTTCCCCCTTGCTGTTCTTGTGATTGTGAGTTCTCATGAGATCTGCTCGTTTAAACGTGTAGTACCTCCCCTTTCTCTCTCTTCCTCCTGCTTCCACCATACAGGACATACCTGCTCAAGCCCTTTGCCTTCCACCATGATTGTAAATTTCCTGAGGCCTCCCCAGCCCCATTTCCTGTACAGCCTGTGGAGCTGTGAGCCAATTAAACACATTTTCTTTGTAAATTACCCAGTTCTTTAATAGTAATGCAAGAACGGACTAATATACTTGAACTTAAGTTTAATATGCACTATCATTACCAAACAATATAAATAAAGCAGAAAATGTTTAGTTTTCCTTACCTGACATGTCTGCTGAATCACCTATAATGGAAAATAATTATCTATAAATAACATAAATCTGTAAAATCTGTAAAAACCCAAATATCATATTAATTATAATTTAAACTATTATATACAAAATTGGTTTTATTACATTTGATTGAGTAAACTGTAAGAGAAGGCACTCATTTCAATCATACATACTTATTAACATGCTATGTATGATCTTTCAATCTTCCTTTGGATAAAAATTTTGTTTTCTTTGCATTTAATGAGTTACATAAACTTTTAATTATAATAACTTTTAAAATGATACTGATATGATTTAAAATTATATTACCCTCATTTTGGTTTATAAAAATGTACTGCTAATAATAGACTCTCTGGAGTTTTAATGACAGCAAAGGTTACTATATAACTCAAGAAAGGAAACAAGTTCTTTCTTTCAACTAAAGATTTTCCGTATGCATCTTTTAATGCATCTCTGTCTCCAGGGAAGAATTAGATCTAAACCTTCTGAGCTGAGAGACATGATGGCAAAGCTTACTGTATAACTCAAGAAAGGAAAAAAGTTCTTTCTTTCAACTAAAGATTTTCCATATGAGTACAAGTTTGCCAAGAAAGAAAATGTGAAAGCTCATGCTCATTATATTTGTGGTAGAAATACCTAATAACCAAACTTTTCAAAGTAGCAGTCTTTAGAACAAGAAAGAAAATAAAAATATAGGAATCCATTGAAGACAGGTGATTGTTTTTTGCTTTGGTAAAGCTTTATATCCATATGAAATAATGATTTAAAAAACATATTGATAACATAGGACCATAGTGCCTTGACCTGGAACATGAGGAAAAACAGAATAAAGTACTTAACTCTGCTGAGCAGACCACATAGGAAATATCATTTTTAGTTATGAATATGCTCTATTAACAACCAAATGGTGAGAGGGCTTGGAACTTTGCCACCTGAAGCCTGGGTGAAAGACTGGGAGTGTTTGGTCTGGAGAGACTAGGTTTGTCTCTGAATATTAACAGGGTCTGGGACAGAAGTACAAATGAAAGCTTGAATGTCATCGGCCTAAATATTTTAAAGCTATCCATCAAGATAAAACTTATCAAATAAAATATATTCTAGCCTCTTACCTTGATGAGTACACTCCTATAATGATCTGGAAGGCAGATACCAATTTAGAACTCCTTAGAGTTTGGGCAGCATGAGACAACCTGTCTCATTCTCTTCCATCCCACACCACAAAGAACCATGGAAGCTCATGTGTGGTGCTATGAACTGGATGTCTGTCTTCCCCCAAAATTCATATACTGAAACCCTAATCACCAGTGTGATGGTATTAGGAGGTGTGAAGGTTATGAGGATGGAGCCCTCACAATGAGATTAGTGTTCTTATAAGAGACAGGAGAAAGATAATCTTTTTTCACCATGTGAGGATATAATGAGAAGACAGCCATCTGCAAATACAGAGAAGGCCCTCACCACAACTTGACCATGCTGGCACCCTGATTTTGGACTTCCAACCTCCAGAGCTGTGAAAAATAACATTTCTGTTGTTTAAGCTACAAACTCTGTGGTATCTGTCATGGCAGCTCAAATTTCTTAAGACATGTGGTTATCCTAGCTACTGCATTAGAACTCCATCCACCCCTACACAAAGAACAGCTTGGCCACCCCTCAAGAGTATACACATTGGTTGTACAGTCTGTCACTGGGAGGACAGACGCAGAGAAAAGGCTCATGCAGGGCCATTAGTAGGTTCAGGACCATCTGGTAGAGAATTCTGGGATTTCATATACCCAAAACATGGTCCAGTGGAGAAGTAGGCTCCCCCATGGAAAGCAATCCCCTTGCTCTCATGTACACCTTGTTCCATGGAATGTAGTTGGAGGGTGCCAAAGGAGACCTTTTAAAAGAGAAGCAAAAGGCTGGGCACGGTGGCTCATGCCTGTAATCCCAGCACTTTGGGAAGCCAAGGCGGGCAGATAACAAGGTCAAGAGATCAAGACCATCCTGGCCAACATGGTGAAACCCCGTCTCTACTAAAAATACAAAAATTAGCCAGGCATGGTGGCGTGCACCTGTAGTCCCAGCTACTCAGGAGGCTGAGACAGGAGAATGGCGTGAACCCGGGAGGTGGGGGCTGCAGTGAGCCGAGATTGTGCCACTGCACTACAGCCTGGGCAACAGAACGAGACTCTGTCACAAACAAAGAAACAAATAAAAGATAAGAACTAGATAAGACTCAGGGAGAATATGCTAGCTGTCTCCAAAACTGGAAGATAATGCCATGGGAATGTGATTAGATGTTCTAGATACACCAAGAATGAGGGCCAAAGAGTAGCAATCACAGACAGATTTCTGTTGTATATGAAGAACCACTTTATAACTAAGCTTCCCAGGGAAACGTTTACTTCATTAGGTATTAAGTGGCAGCAGGGTTCAAACACACTGTAACAGAGAGGACAAAATGATATACTTGGCCCTAAAATTCCAAGATTCTATCCAGGAAAAAAGTTTGAATGTAACTGGCTAAAATAGTACAAAATCAAACATTTCAATTACTCTATGATCTATATGATTTTTAACAGAAGGAACAATAAACATTGTAAATGCTGTTTTGTGTTTTGTGGGTATTAAACAAGCCTGACAGCAAAGTAACAAAACAATTCTCTTTATGTGTGAGGAGAAAAATAAAATCCTTTCTTATTCTTTAGTCTTCCCTTGAGTCTATCTTAATTAGTCACCAGTAATTTTTGTTATCTGTCTTCTGGAAGGGTACAAATGGTGTAAAGAATGGAGCTACATATATAATCTAAAATTTACCTCTGTACTCCCCAGATTTTGACTTGGAAAGAAAGAGGAGGGATATAATTAAACATTTCATATTTTCTATAGTGTTGTCTTTCAAAATAAAGGGGAGAAAAGGGCCAAATTCCTAAAAGATTAATTTGTGACCATGACATTTCTTAACTAAGAAAGAAAACCACAGCACTAAAATGATAAATAAGTTGCCTAACAGAGGGAGAGCAAAGGAAAGAAAAGGAGAAGCCAAGGTGGGAAATGAAAGAACCATATTCTAGAATTCTATTTGCAGAACGTAAATCCCATTAATACAGGGATTTTGCCTTTTTGTAAGTAGCCCATATCCCCAGCACCTAAAACAATACCTCGCACATGGCAGGTGTTCAGTAAATTTGTTGAGTAAGTGAATTTACTCAATAAAAATTAACTAAACAGTAACTATGTACCAAGAGGCATTGAGCTAGGTACTTAGGTAACATAGTTTCTTCATTCCTCAAGGAGATGGGCCTTGTTCCTTGTGCACAGTGAAAATAAGACTTCACTTTCCAAAATCTTAGCACAAACAGAAGCTAGACCTATGTATTTATATGCAAAGATTAGAATATTTTCTGTATAATGGGTAATGTTCCATTTACTTTTAAAAGTAGAAAACTGTACAAAAAGGAAAAACACAAGGGTCTATGTGGCATAGCTTCAGAACCAGGCAACCCAGACAACAAATTCCTGACTATCAACTTAGTACTCGCATGAAAAATAAAGATATTAAAAGTATAAATTATCTTAGTCAAGAAGAAAAGGGACCTGGAAAGCTAGCTTAGCCATCAAGGCCCAATAAATTCCAACAAACTCAATGATTTCAATAAATTTTACAAACGTATTGAAGTTTATGAAACTTCTGCCATATTCATATTTAGTAATCACAGGTTGGCAGATATGTCCTAAACAGACCTGCCATCCTCTCATCAGTTTGGCTGTAGAGTTATGGCCTTTGTTTAACAGTTTTTCACAGAGGTAAAAGAATACAGGTATATTTCAAAACAGCTCAAGACAGTTGGTGAATTAGGTCAATGACAAAGAAAAGAAAAAGGCAGAAGGGATTTACCAACAACAAACAGACTTGGGTCCTCTCTTCTTTCCAGCCTGAACCCCCACGGAAGCAGGGTTCTACCCCGCCCAGTCTAGTTATTTCTTAGCTTCCCTTTGTTTACTACTTCCTCTTCAAACTCCTCTTTTCTGCTTTATATGCTATTGACTTAAACCTTTTTGCTGACCAGAAATTCCTGCTAAAGGACTAAATCCAACTATTTCAACTACCATACAATAGTTTCCTTTAAATTTTGGATTGTCAAGACCAACTCAGATAACCAGAGTGAGTGAGAGAAAGGTACCTGAAAGCAAATAATATGGTATAATTGGGTAGGGCTTTATGTATACATAGATTTTGAACAATCGATAAATCAATAAAATTTTGATTTTTTCCTTGGATATTGAATTTATTTGAACAAAGCAAATGCTTTAAATTGTTTCTTTTTAAAATACAGAAACATACCTACTTGGCCAGTTGCCACTATGTTGATAAATTTGGGGTGCTGGTTTACTGTGAGGCACAGAATATCATCATTATGTTCCTGATAAAAACTCTGAGAACCTACAAAAAAGAATTTGAGAATTAAGTTTGAAAATTTTAAGATGTAACAGCCAAAAGCACTTACCCAGAACAATAAACTACTCTTTAACTTATTTGCTTATTCAAAACATGTTTTTGAGCACTTACTATGTATACAGCATCATAAGGATAGAAAAATGATTCAGAATTATGTAATGGGATAGAGCCGTAAAAGGGATAAACAATACAGTACAAGGCTGAAGATTCCAAGTGCCACAAGAGAGTTGGGATCAAAATGCTATGGGAATTCAGAGCAGAAAAGATTAATCTCATCATGGGAATATGGTACTCCTGGACTGACCCAGATAGATTTTACAAATGTAAAAGTCAGTGGGGAAGGGCCTTCTAGACAGAGGAACACTTTAAGCAGAGGCCTAAAGGCAGGAAAGTGTTGTGTATCCATATAACAGGCTCATTTGGCTGAAGTGTAGGGTCATGAAGAAGAAAGATGAGTAACATGGTTGGAAAGGCAGCTTGGGACTAGAGTTAGGGAGGATTTTGAGTGTCAGCCCACGATCCTTCTGTTTTGGTTTCTCAAAGAAAAGGATTTGCCAGAGTCACACAGAAACCAGTAGTAATTTTCCATTTAATAATTTGGGCCATATTGAGTCACATTTTATATTTGTTCTTATGTCAGTGGAGGAAGAACTGCAATCTGTTTTTGTTTTTTTGAGACAGTCTCACTCTGTTGCCCAGGGTGGAGTGCAATGGTGTAATCCTGGCTCATTGCAACCTCCACTTCCCTGGTTCAAGCAATTCTCATGCCTCAGCCTCCCAAGTAGCTGGGATTACAGGTGTGTGCCATCATGCCCAGCTATATATTTTTTGTATTTTTAGTAGATACGGGGTTTTGCTGTGTTGGCCAGGCTGGTCTCAAACTCCTGGCCTCAAGTGATCCGCCCATCTTAGCCTCCCAAAATGCTGGGATTACGGGCATGAGCCACCGTGCCCAGCAGGAATTGAAGTTTTTTGATCAAATAAGTATAATGTGATTCATCTGGTAGTAGTAACAGTGAAGAGACCTTGTAAGGCTATGACAGTAGTCCATGCAGAAGGGAAAAAAGATAGACTTGTGGAAGTAAAATGAAGAGGTGGAAAATGAGTTCAGAGCAGTAGGTTGGATCCAGAGGATAGAGAAACCATGAATACTACTAGGCCCCCCAAAAAGCAAAACAAAAATCAAACAAGTGGGGCACTTCAACAACCCACTGATAGTGTTAGATCATCAAGGTAGAAAACTAACAAAGAAATTCTGGACTTGAATTCAATACTTGACCAATTGGACATAACAGAAAGAACACTCTGCCCATCAACCATAGAATATACATTCTTCTCATCTGCACATGAAACATACTCTAAGATTGACCACATGTTCAGCCATAAAGCAAGTCTCAATAAATTCAAGAAAATTGAAATCATCTCTGCCATACTCTCTACCCACAGTGCAAAATAGAAATCAATACCAAGAAGAGCTCCCAAAACCACACAATTACGTAAAAATTAAATAACTTGCTCCTGAATGACTTTTGGGTAAACAATGAAATTAAGGCAAAAATTTAAAAAAAATCTTCAAAGTAGATTAAAACAGAGACACAACATACCAAAATCTTTGGCATGTAGCAAAAGCATGTTAAATGTTAAGAGGAAAGCTTACAGTGCTAAATGCCTATCTCAAAATGTTAGAAAGATCCCAAATTAACAATCTAACATCACACCTGGAGGAAATATAAATACAAGAACAAAGTAACCCCAAAGCTAGCAGAAGAAAATAAATAACAAAATCAGAGCAGAAATGAACAATACTGAAACCCAAACATCTATACAAAGAATCAACAAAATAAAAAAATCGGTTTTTTGAAAAGATAAACAAGATCAATAGACCACTAGTAGTTAGCTTAACAAAAAAAAGAAGATCCCAATAAACACAATAAAAAATGACAAAGATCACATTACAACCAATCCCACAAGAACACAAAAGGCCCTCAGAGACTATTATGAACACCTCTAAATACACAAACTAGAAGATCTAGAGGCTATGATGTTAGTTGTGGGCCTCTAAAAAAAGAAGAAGAAGAAGAAGAAAAATCTAGAGGAGATGGATAAATTCCTAGAAACACACAACCTCTCAAGATTGAATCAGGAAGAAACTGAAATCTTAAACAGACCAATAATGAGTTCCAAAATTGAATCAGTAATAAAAAACCTATCAAAAAGCCCTGGACCAGATGGATTCAGAGCTGAATTCTCCCAGACATACAAAGAAAAGCTGGTGCCAATCCTACTGAAACTATTCTAAAAAATAGAGGAGTGGGCACTCCTCTCTAACTCATTCTGTGAAGCCAGCATCACCCTCATACAAAAACCTGCCAAAGACATTTGAAAAAAGAAAACTACAGGCCAATATTCCCATAGAAAACTACAAAACATCCCACACAAAACATCATTCCCATACAAAACATCATCCCTATGATGAACATAGATGCGAAAAGCCTCAACAAAATACTAGCAAACAAAATCCAGCAGGACATCAAAAAATTAATTCACCATGATCAAGCAGGTTTCATCATTCCTGGCATGCAAGGTTGGTTCAACATATGCAAATTAACGAATGTGATTTACCATATAAACAGAATTAAAAACAAAAACCATATGATTATCTCAACAGATATGGAAAATGCTTTCGATAAAATCCAACATCCCTTTCATGTTAAAAACCTTCAACAAACTAGGAATTGAAGGAACACACCTCAAAATAATGAAGCATTTATGGCAAACCCACTTCCTACACTATGCACAATGTATCCTCAAACTGGTGAGAAACCAAATATAATAAAAACTAAAGCAGGTGGCCTAGTCTCCATCTGCCCTCTCTCTAGACACCCCACCACTAGAAAAGTGATTAATTACAAATCAGAAAAGTAAAAATAAAATTATAAGTATAAACATGAGAGTTTACACATACATTCCTTTCTTGTTTATCTTACTCTTCCTCATTCTCTCTGAAGGACAGACAGACCTCGATTAAGAAGGATTTTTCTCTCTAATCAGTATGTTTTAAATGGCCCAAATTATTAAATAGAAAATTGCCACTGATTTCTGTGTGATCCTGGTGAATCCTTTTCTTTATGAAACCAAAATAGAAAGATCATATTGATGGTTAATACCGACAAGAGGTGGTGGATTATAATTCACATCATCAATCTACTCTTTACCCATTCAGGATGAAGCTATCAGAGGAAAACCAGAATGAACTAGATAACCTTTATTTTTACTTCTAACTTTCAGACTTTTATGAAGTTTGCCATTAAATTGTAATAAAACAATTCAAAATTAAATACTTAATGTTACTAGTAGCATTATCACATTGTTCATGAAATGATGCTAACAGAACATTATTTGCTCTTGAATAATCCAACTGAATAACCCAATCAGTTAAATGAACATCAAGAAATAATTTTCTCACCTTCTTGGATCAAACAAGGTATCATCATAGAGCCACAGATAAACAGCTTTCTTAGCCTTTCTTCCTTGGCTTTCCAAGGCCTCAGTAAGAACACTTCCAGCCCCAGCAATCACTCACCCAACATGCTACATTCAATCACTATCAGAAACCACCATCCAAACCATCTATTCTCATCATGAGGTTATGGGAAAATAGAATTAAAGTTACAAACGGTTTCAACATAAAACATGGTTTTAACATACAGTAAAACCTCTACTTCTAATAGAGACTTATGAGCACTTTGCATTATGAATTCCTTTTCTGCTGTATTATACTCTCTTAAAACTGAAATTTGTTTACTTGAAATATTACTAGAAAGTTCTGAAATATGAAATATTTTTATTCTGGAGTGTTTCTCCTACATTTCAATTACTATTTATAGCTTTAACAAAGATTTTAAGCTGCTAGATCAAAATTTCTAAGTTAAAAAAATTGATAGAGGGATGGAGAATCAGGGTTTCCTACCTGTAGCAACATTGTGCAGAATTCCAACAGATGCAGTGTGATAAATTATATCATCACCATCATTTAAATAGTGAACATTATTCCTACAGTCTCTGCCTCGATAACCAAAAATGAGCTCCAACACAAGGTCCTATAATGATAATAATAAAACCATTATATTCTTCCTCATGTATAAATGTTCACCACTGTTTTGTTGTATACGTAATACTAGTAGTGTCTGCAGTCAAAATGGAGTATGCATTTTTGATGTTTTACAAACTTAATATACAAAATTAAGCTACTCATACTTCTTTATATAACCTGTTTTGGGCAGCTTAAACATACATTCTATACTTTTCTATATAAAGTTATGAAAAGGAAAATGGAATCACAAGGTAGTCTGATTCCAAGAACTTTAGTTCTTAAGATTTCACATGTAAACACTGAGGTACAGTTGGCCTTACATATCCAAGAATTCAACCAATTCCAGATAGAAAATATTGGGGAAAAAAACAATAAAAAATAACATTTAAAACACAATATTGTATAACAAATATGTATACAGCATTTACACTGTATTAGGTATCATAAGTAATCTACAGATGGTTTAAAGTATGCAGGAGAATGTGCATAGGTTATATGCAAATTACTATGCCATTTTATATAAGGCACTTGAGCACCTGTGGATTTTGGCATCCCCAGGGGGAATCTATCCCCCATGGACATAGAGGGACTGTATTTTTTGTGTCCAAAAGAAGAAAATTTTATGTTCATTGTTAATCAAAGTATCTGACCTACATACAAGAGTCAGGATAAATTATGTCCAAGTCACATACTTCGAAGAACTCAAACAGTACATTCATCATCGGTGGATAAAAACTAAGTATACTGTCTCTGACAATTCATGCTAAAGTTCTGGCAGATAATTCTGCAACTGAAAATGTACATTTCATTGACTTTGTAGGACTAGGTTGGGGAGGGAACGACAGCAATCACCATCGCACAGCTTTACGCCTTGTTTACGTTTGATTTAGCAGAGTTTGGTTGTTCGCTACTGCTACCGGGATTATGAAATGCCTAAAGAGCCTTCCTTCTTCCTCAATTATTACGTAAGGTTACTTTGGCTGGAAGCAGAGACAGAAGGAGAAACAGGCTTCATGAACCCTGTACAGTGAATATATCGCACAGGGTCAAAATTCCTATTTGGTATAAGTACTTACTCTTTAATTTACAAATTTAAGCCACTAAATTTTAGATACTGCCAAGGTGTCTGTGCTTCTATAAGCAAAAGATCATTCACACATACTTAGGTTTAGGACTCCTCTGAGATACAGTTCAATTAGGGTATTATTCACAGAAAAGTAAAAGGAAGACTAATTTAAAAAATTAAGAGAAACAGAGAATATCCATCCAAAACTCAGACTTACATAAGAATTAAGTCAAACAAAAAACAGTACTCAAATACACTGATTTTCATGAAAACTAATGACAAAACTTGGGTGTTTTATAAAAAAGAACTCTGGATACATTTCAGTAACACTGGAGAGTGAGTTTTCCTTACCTCTATAGGTCTCTTTTTCTTGCCTACATTGTTTGTCTGGAGTTTCTCTGGCTGTGGTGGGGCCCTGCTCACTGGAGGCCTGCAACAGAGAAGTGGGGAGGAGGAAAGGCATGCAGCACTCAGTGCCTTCACTGAGCCTCTCACACCATCCCTCCCAGAGAGGTGTCTTGTCACACCTTCCCAAAGATGACCCATTCTGTGGTCCACTAGACTGCCCTCTTCATCTTGAGAGCTTCTAAAGCAGGAAGGTAGAAAGAAAATATTACAACTTTTATTCATTTTATTTTATTTTTTTTGAGACGGAGTCTCACTCTGTCGCCCATGCTGGAGTGCAGTGGTGCAATCTTGGCTCACTGCAACCTCTGCCTCCTGGATTCAAGCGATTCTCCTGCCTCAGCCTCCCGAGTAGCTGGGATTACAGGTGTGTGCCACCACACCAGATAATTTTTGTATTTTTTTAGTAGAGACGGGGTTTCACCATGTTGGCCAGGCTGGTCTCGATCTCCTGACCTCAGGTGATCGGCCCGCCTGGGCCTCCCAGAGTGCTGGGATTACGGGATCAGGAGTGAGCCACCACACCCAGCCTTTTCTCTTCTTTCTTTCTTTCTTTTTTAGACCAAGTTTCACTTTGTCACCCAGGCTGGAGTGCCGTGGCACATTCTCGCCTCACTGCAACTCCACCTCCCGGGTTCAAGCAACTCTTGTGCCTCAGCCTTCCCAGTAACTGGAACAACAAGCGTGCACCACCACACTCAGCTAATGTGTGTATTTTTAGTAGAGATGGGGTTTCGCCATGTTGGCCAGGCTGGTTTGGAATTCCTGGCCTCAAGTGATCCGCCTACCTCGGCCTCCCAAAGTGCTGGGATTAGAGGAGTGAGCCACTGTGCACAGCCTTACTTTTAATTTCTTTGGTGTACGTGTCATAATGTAAATAACAGCACAAGAGTAGATTGTTTATAAACAAATGTGAAAATGTTAATTTAACATACTCAAATATTTCTTGATAGGTACATTAACAACAAAGCCTGGATTACTGTTCTAAAGTATCTAACAGAGTATCTTCACATGGCAGGTATTGAATACATCCTTCTTGAAAGTGAATTTTCGTAATATTTCTATGAACGTTCCACACTGTTAGCAACATAAATCACATCCGAGTTCAAATTTGTATTTATCTGTTTCTCCATGCCCTTCACCTTCTCTACTTGCTGAAGTCCCTAGTACTGGTTAATGGCATTGCCATCAGATGGTTACTCAAGGAAGACATTTTATAGTCACAAAGCACTGTAAACCATACAACACACTATAAAAGGAAATAACTATTATTATTGCTTCCAACTCTTTCTCTTCCCTTATTCTCACTATTTACTAAAAATGTATCAACTTTACCTACACAGTAGCTGTCAAATCTCAAATCTAGCCCCTCTTCTCTGTTCAGGATCTATTTATAATGTGCCGTGTCCCAACAGGTATATTGAGTTCACATTTTGAATTACTTAAATGTAGAAGCTCTTCTCTAGAACCTTTAATTTTTTTAAAAAATGCAATTTAGTTTATTATTTTTATCTCAACCATTATTCAAATACTGAATAACCGGAACATTGAATTTAAATCAATCATGCACCAATCCCTTTCCAAATTTTAAGTTAATATTCAATTTGTAACACCTAAATCAGGAAATAATACAAATTAACCTTCCCATATAAAAGACTCCAACATTTATGAACAAGTCTCATAAAATTAAAGGCATAAAATATACTTGCATTTTCAAAATGGTTGTCAAGTTAAACATCAATAAAAGTAAATGTGCTATATCTTAAACATCCAATAAGAAATGAATGGGATGTTGATACGCAATATGAGGCAGCATGTAAAATATATAAGCATGACTGGTGTCATAAAAAGTAAACATCCTTTTCAAGAATATATAAACAATGTTTTCAAACCTTCTTCATATACTTTTTTGGATGCCCACAAGTAAAAATAAAACTGAATTTATCATATTTAACATTTAAAAATATTTCTGACAGGACCATTTCAAAGAATGATAGAAGCCTTGCTTTTTTCCCCAAGTCAATTTTGTTGGTGAATATTATTCTATGTTACTGTCTGACAGCTTTAAATGTAACCCAAACAATAAACAGGTAATTTTTATCTATATAATCCTATATAACAATTAACCACATTTTAATTTTTATAAAGATCATTTAAGCATATTTTAATTTTTATAAATATCATTTATATAAGGTATATCATTGCTGAAAATAAAATTATACAACTTATAAAATTATACAAGTTGAATGGATAAGTTTTAGTAAAGCAGTTACTTATACAGAGTAAGTCCAATAATTAAGATGTTATTCATTTCAGTGATACCAATTCCAAAGGAAAAAAATGTGCAAAACTGTGAAGAGAGGTAAAGAACACTAAGTAACAGTATCCCATTAATGCTAAATATGGAAGATGACAAAAATACAAAGTTAGGCTTTGTAAACACAGCAAAGAGAGGATTACCTGGAACCTCTTTTCAGCAGCAGATAAAGAGGGAAAAAGATTACAACATAAATTTGAATTGAAAACACTAGTGAAATACCTCCTGTAATAAAATATTTTAACAAGTTTAATGCAGACAGCTATATTGCATAATATTAAAGGCCTGTTGTTTTTAGTTTATAATCCCAGCACTTTGGGAGCCCAAGGCAGGAGGATCACGAGGTCAGGAGTTCGAGACCAGCCTGGCCAACATGGTGAAATCCCGTCTCTACTAAAAATACAAAAAACATTAGCCAGGCATGGTGGCACGCACCTGTAATCCCATCTACTCAGGAGGCTGAGGCAGGAGAACTGCTTGAACCCAGGAAACGGAGGTTGCAGTGAGCCAAGACTGCATGCGCCACTGCACTGCAGCCTGGGCGACAGAGCACGACTCCATCTCAAAAAAAAGAAAAAAAAGAAAGAAAAAAGAATAAAGAAAAGGCATAAGGCTGGGCACAGTGGCTCACACCTGTAATCCTAGCACTTTGAGAGGCCAAAGCAAGAGGATTGCTTGAGCCTGGGAGTTTGAGACCAGCCTGGGCAACACTGTGAGACCCCATCTCTATAAAAAACACAACAATTAGCCAGGCCTGTGGCACCTATAGTCCCAGCTACATGGGAGGGTGATGTGGGAGAATCACTTGACCTGGAAGGTCAAGGCTGCAGTGAGCTGTGATCACATCACTGCACTCAGCCTAGGTAACAGAGTGAGACCGTCTCAAAAAAAAAAAAAAAAAAAAAAAGGGTTACTCCATTAATTAATAACAGGGAATCACAAGAAAGGTGAAAAAAGAAAAAAACAAATAAATGAGAATTCAATATATTTCATGTTGTGAACTTTAAAGCTTGCCATTCTTATTTTTCTGCAATATAATCTGAATTTTAAACAAAACATTTAAGCTTATTTTTGTTTTTAAGAATGGGCACTGGCACTAAAATGTTAATTTAAAAAGCTGGTAGCACTGGAGATACTTCAAAGGAAATTGTCTAAAGAGCCTAAGTTCCACCTGTTCTGACCTAAGAGGGTTCCCCAGTCAGTGAATCCAAGCAGGCAGAATTAGTCACTCGGGACTATGCTGAATTTAGAATTTTGCTAGTAAAAAAAGTAATCTTTAAAAAGTTTTTTTTCTCTCTTAATAGCATAATGATCAAAACAAAATTGGAAGGAATCATGAAAGTCATTTCATCCATTTTCCCACTGAGACCAGGAACCTTCTTTACATGTCTAGAACAATCATTGTACAGCTTTGATGACAACTAATCATCTAAACTCTGTATAAATACTGCTTGTGACAGGTCTCTTCTACATAAAAAGCCATTCATATCCAAGATAACAATGA
This sequence comes from Homo sapiens, assembly GCF_000001405.40. Taxonomy (NCBI): domain Eukaryota; kingdom Metazoa; phylum Chordata; class Mammalia; order Primates; family Hominidae; genus Homo; species Homo sapiens. Next base: position 88,648,308 of record NC_000014.9, read on the forward strand.
TATCTCCATTTAGTTTTCTTGTTTTGAAACAAGATTCCCAGAATAATAATTATTATATTTTTTTGAGACAGGGTCTTGCTCTGTCACCCAAGCTAGAGTGCAGTGGTGTGATCATGGCTTACTTGAGCTTTGACCTCCCACGCTCCAGACATCTTCCTGCCACAGCATCCCACGTAGCTGGGACCACAGGTGCACACCACCACACCCTGCTAATTTTTAAAATTTTTTTTGTAGAGACGGTGCCTCATCAGATTGGCTAGGCTGATCTTTAACTCCTGGCCTCAACTGATCCTTCAAACTTAACATCCCAAAGTGCTGGGATTACAGGCATAAACCACTGCACCCGGTCAATTAACTATTCTTTATATGAAGTGGCCTCCCAACCTCCCTTCCTCCTGTGCTTTCTTCTAGCCCATTATAAACTATCCAAGTCTCCTTTAAAATGTAGAGATCAGTACTGAGTAAGCTATTCTAGATGTGAGGCTAGATCCGGGTGCTTTATTTCTGGTAAAATAGTATAAGATTTTATGGCCCATTTTAGAGGTTGCTTCATACTCTGAACTCATATCTTTGTACACACCACTCTGCTTAAAACAGATGATGGATTCCTGCTGTAGATATAATATTAACAGGTGCCTATTATTTGAGTTTCTGCACCATCTGGTCTCAAGTCTACTGTTTTCATCCTTATCTCCCAGCATTTTCCTAGTGATACCTTCCTCCCGCCACCCCCCACCCCCGAAACAGGGTCTTGCTGTGTTGCCCAAGCTGGAGTGTAGTGATGCCATCACAGCTCACTGCAGCCTCAAACTCCCAGGCTCAAGAGACCCTCTCACCTCAGCCTCCTGAGTAGCTGGGACCACAGGGCTGCCACCACACCCAGCTAATTTATTTTTACTTTTATTTTTTGTAGAGACAGGGTCTCATCATGTTGTCTAGGCTGGTCTTGAACTCCCAGGCTCTAGCAATCCTCTCACTTCGGCCTTCCCAAGTGCTGAGATTACAGGCCTGAGCCACAATTACAGGCCTGAGCCACCGTGCCCAGCCATGATACCTTTTTTAATTTATAAAACAGACTAGCCATTTCCACACTGTCGTTTCAGAAACTCTTTCAAGACATTTTCACATCACCAAAGGTAGATATAAAAGTAACCCAAAGAGTCTTTACCTACATGTCATTTTATTAAACATACAAATACCATAGTTACCCTCTTTTCATCTTTTTAAATGAATGGATTAAACATGCATTAAATCATGTTAACAGGTTTAAAATTGAATAGTCTTTCACTTAAATATATGTGTGGTTAGGTTTGTTTTTACGAGCCTCTGAAACTTAAAGAAAACCAAAACTATTCATTTGCATTGTAGTAGTTTGTACAGTCATATGTAAAACAATTTATCATAATGAAGACCCTTATAATAACAACCATATATGCTATCTAAAAATGCAACTCTTTTATAGAATTTGTCCTACTTCATTTTATAATGCTTTGTTGACAAATGTAGTTAAATGTTTTATAGGGAAAAAATACCTTAAAATACCATAAAGAATAAAATAAAGGGTAAATTTTTGAATAAAATATTTTCTTTTATAAAACACTTACCTTACTACTCCCTGCCTTCAAAAGGAGCAAGGGGGAAAAAAGTAGGAAAACATATAAAAATTGATGATGAATAGAATACAGCATTTTAGCAAACAGAAGAAAGGCAACATGTCAACAGAATTTTAAGGAAATACAAAAATGTCTAACTTATGTCACATTGGTTTAAACATTGATTTAAATATTTTTATTCACAAATACTGGAAATTTGACAAAAATTAACTACTTTAAATACATAATATTTGTTATAAAAACATTTATTGGCTGGGCAAGGTGGCTCATGCCTGTAATCCCAGCACTTCGGGAGGCTGAGGTGGGTGAATCACTTGAGGTCAGGAGTTCGAGACCAGCCTAGCCAACATGGTGAAACCCCGTCTCTACTAAAAATAACAAAAAATAACTGGGCGTGGTGGTGCCTGCCTGTAATCCCAGTTACTCAGGAGGCTGAGGCAGGAGAATCATTTGAACCCAGGAGTTGGAGGTTGTAGTGAGCCAAAATCGTGCCACTGCACTCCAGCCTGGGCGACACAGCAAGACTCTGTCTCAAAAGAACAAAACAAAACAAAAAAATAAAAACAAAAACATTTATTAAAAAAGAAAAAGGTAAAATTATCACTTAGGAAAAACATCCACGAAAGTATCAACCAAATAGAATGGTTATTGTCATCAGAAGCATTTTTCCTTTTAAGTGGATATTTGATAAGTATTTAATTGTTTTTAATTTTTTTTTCATTTATTTATTCTCCCAGAGACAGGATCCCACTCTGCTGCCATAGCTGGAGTGCAAGGGTGCGATCATAGCTCACTGCAGCCTCCAACTCCTGGGCTGAAGCAATCCTCCTGCTCAGCCTCCTGAGTAGGAACCTCCTGGTACAGGCATGTACTACCATTCTTGGCTAATTTTTCTATTTTTTGTAGAAATGGGGTCTTGCTGTGTTACCCAGGCTGGTGCTAAACACCTAGTCTCAAGCAGTCCTCCCACTTCAGCCTCCCAAAGCACTGAGATTGCAGGCATGAGGCACAGCACCTGGCCTGTTTTCCATATAAAGTGCTTTATTTCATATTTATGACAGTAATATATGTTACTAAAAAGCAATTATTTAAATAAACCATGAACCATATTATCTCCTCACAAATATTCTAAGTTGGTAAAAGAGATATGAACCTCTTCATTTGTAATCTCCTTTGATTTTTTTTCATTTTGTGAAAATGAAATCACATTGATGACTTCTGCCTTGTCATTTTCTTTTTTTTTTTTTTTTTTTTTTTAAGGCAAAGAGTAGAGCTTGGACTCTGCCACGGGGGCCAACAGACCCTCTCTCTCCCTCCCCACACCTTGTCATTTTCAAAATATTTAGCAGGGTTGAAATTGTAAAGTAAATTGAGAACAAAATGCAAAGCAATTTGAAAAATTACTTTGAAAAAGTTAGCTGCAGAATATACAAGCTAACATCAAAGATTTCAGTTATGACAGTGTTAATCATTCTTCATGAGTAGTAAAATATTTCCATCTGTCAGAACATGCCTCACTTCAGCAATGGGTGGAAATTTACATTTAAGTGTTTTACCGTGAATGAAGCAGACTACAGATTAAAATTAGGTCACATTTTCTGACATACCAAATTTATCCAATAAATAATTTTTTTAAAAAATCAATATAACAAATGAAAGAAATTTATGGGAATGTCTAGAGCCCCTTCTTCCCCATAGAACACTTTTCACTTTTCATTACTTAGGAGACATAATTTTCCTTAAGTCATATTAAACACTACACTTCAAATATTCTAATTAGAATATTTAAATAATATTATATTTTCATATTTATCTGTATTTATCTAATAAATACATATGTAGCGCTTATTGCTTTGTGAATATTTAATTTCAGAAATAATGTTTAAGTATTTACCAGGTATCTCCTCAGTTAACTTTCATTTCATTCCAAGGGATAAGGTGTCATTAATGAAGACCTACTATCTAAATTCTTGATTTACATTATTTCATTTAAAACTTGAAATATACCATAAGTTAGGGATTATAATGTTCATTTTGCCACTGAGGAAACTGAGGTTCAGAAAGAATGAATAATTTTTCAAACTCACACAACTGGTAATGAAAAAAATGAGTATTTTACCCATTTGTCTGACTCCAGAATTCATGTCCTTTGCACTATACGATGCTGCATTCTAGCAAGTTACTTGAAACATGGAATTCTGTACAAGTACTTAGATTATGGTATACTGTGCTTTCTTAAAAATATCCCTAATTTAATACTTTGCCTCTTTATACATAATGAAAAACTGGATGATCACTCTCCATCCCCTTTCCTTAGGTGACCTCCCATTGCTATGATCTGAGGTACATGAGGTATACCATCAGCAAACGACACCTGGAAAAGGAGCTGAGGAGGCACTGCGCCCTTAACACTCCATCTAGACTTCCCTGGCAACGCGGGGGTCAGTCAATTTACAAGATCTCTCAGTTCTCCCTTCCCCATTACTAACGTGTTTTTCACCTTAACTTCATCCCTTTCCCCGAATATAAAATCCATAGGTGCAAACTCAAATCCCTCTGACGAAGCTTTCCTGTAGTCATTTCTATCTCTCTGAGTTCCAAAATTCTTCAGCACTATCCTAAATGGCCACAAATTCGCTTGAATTTTCTACAAATCCTGTTCAACTGTGAATGAATTCCCTTTTAATTTCTCCCTCAAATTGTCCACTAACTTCTCATAATAAAGTTTTCCTCACCACAACCTTGTTCTCACCTCCCACTCCCTCTGTTCCTTCTTACTGTTTCTGGATCTTTTCCTTTTTTGTTCTTTAAACCTCTTTGCTTCTGAAGTCCATGCCATTCAATGCTCCATATCCCTTTTTATTGTTTACCACCTTTGATTTTGAAACACTAGTTTCACAATTTATTTCTTAATCTGTCATCTAGCTCAGAGACTTTATTAAAAAGTGATCTCTAAATTACTTTGGGCAGTATGGCCATTTTCACGATATTGATTTTTTCCTATCCATGAGCATGGAATGTTTTTCCATTTGTTTGTGTCCTCTCCTATTTCCTTGAGCAGTGGTTTGTACCTCTCTTTGAAGAGGTCCTTCACATCCCTTGTAAGTTGTATTCCTAGGTATTTTATTCTCTGTGTAGCAGTTGTGAATGGGAGTTCACTCATGATTTGGCTGTTTGTCTATTATTGGTGTAGAGGAATGCTTGTGATTTTTGCACATTTATCTTGTATCCTGAGACTTTGCTGAACTTGCTTATCAGCTTAAGAAGATTTTGGGCTGAGACAATAGAGTTTTCTAAATATAAAATCATGTCATCTGCAAACAGAGACAATTTGACTTCCTCTTTTCCTATTTGAATACCATTTATTTCTTTCTCTTGCCTAATTGCCCTGGCCAGAACTTCCAACAATATGTTGAATCAAAGTAGTGAGAGACAGCATCCTTGTCTTGTGCCGGTTTTCAAAGGGAATGCTCCCAGTTTTTGCCCATTGAGTATGATATTGGCTGTGGGTTTGTCATAAATAGCTCTTATTACTTTGAGATATGTTCCATCAAAACCTAGTTTATTGAGAGTTTTTAGCATGAAGGGGTGCTGAATTTTATCGAAGGCCTTTTCTGCATCTATTGAGATAATCATGTGGTTTTTGTCATTGGTTCTGTTCATGTGATGGATTACATTTATTGATTTTGGTATGTTGAATGAGCTTTGCATCCCAGGGATGAAGCCGACTTGATTGTGGTGGATAAGCTTTTTGATGTGCTGCTGGATTTAGTTTGCCAGTATTTTACTGAGGACTTTCACATCGATGTTTACCAGGCATATTGGCCTGAAATTTTCTTTTTTTGTTGTGTCTCTGCCAGGTTTTGGTATCAAGATGATGCAGACCTCATAAAATGAGTTAGGGAGGAGTCTCTCTTTTTCTATTGTTTGGAATAGCCAGAAGAATGGTACCAGCTCCTCTTTGTACTTCTGGTAGAATTCGGATGCGAATCCATCTGGGCTTTTTTTTGGTTGGTAGGCTATTAATTACTGCCTCAATTCCAGACTTTGTTATTGGTCTATTCAGGGATTCCACTTCTGGTTTAGTCTTGGGAGGGTGTATGTGTCCAGGAATTTATCCACTTCTAGATTTTCTAGTTTATTTGCGTAGAGGTCTTTATAGCATTCTCTGATGGTAGTTTGTATTTCTGTGCAATCAGTGGTGATATCCTCTTTAACATTTTTTATTGTGTCTTTTTGATTTTTCTCTCTTTTCTTCTTTATTAGTCTGGCTAGCAGTCTATCTATTTTGTCAATCTTTTCAAAAAACCAGCTCCTGGATTCACTGATTTTTTGAAGGGTTTTTTGTGTCTCTCTCTCCTTCAGTTGTGCTCTGATCTTTATTTCTTGTCTTCTACTAGCTTTTGAATTTGTTTGCTCTTGCTTCTCTAGTTCTTTTAATTGTGATGTTAGGATGTTGATTTTAGATCTTTCCCACTTTCTCCTGTGGGCATTTAGTGCTATACATTTCCCTCTAAAGACTGCTTTAGCTGTGTCCCAGAGATTCTGGTATGCTGTATTCTTTGTTCTCATTGGTTTCAAAGAACTTATTTATTTCTGCCTTAATTCTGTTATTTACCCAGTAGTAATTCAGGAGCAGGTTGTTCAGTTTCCATGTAGTTGTATGGTTCAGAGTGAGTCTCTCCATCCTCAGTTCCAATTCAATTGCACTATGGTTTGAGAGACTGTTTGTTATGATTTCTGTTCTTTTGCATTTGCTGAGGAGTGTTTTACTTCCAATTATGTGGTCAAATTTAGAATAAATGTGATGTGGTGCTGAGAAGAATGTATATTCTGTTGATTTGGGGTGGACAGTTCTGTAGATGTCTATTAGGTCCGTTTGTCCAGAGCTGAGTTCAACTCCTGATTATCCTTGTTAATTTTCTGTCTCGTTGATCTAATATTGACAGTGGGGTGTTAAAGTCTCCCACTATTTTTGTGTGGGAGTCTAAGTCTCTTTGTAGGTCTCTAAGAACTTGGTTTATGAATCTGGGTGCTCCTGTATTGGGTGCATATATATTTAGGAAAGTTAGGTCTTCTTGTTGCATTGATCCCTTTACCATTATGTAATGCCCTTCTTTGTCTTTTTTGATCTTTGTTGGTTTAAAGTAGATTCAATGCTATCCCCATCAAGCTACCAATGACTTTCCTCACAGAATTGAACTACTGTAAATTTCATATGAAACTAAAAAAAGAGCCCATATAGCCAAGACAATCCTAAGTAAAAAGAACAAAGCTGGAGGCATCATGCTAGCTGACTTCAAACTATACTACAATGCTACAGTAACCAAAACAGCATGGTACTGGTACCAAAACAGATATATAGACCAATGGAACAGAACAGAGGCCTCAGGAATAATGCCACATATCTACAACAATCTGATCTTTGACAAACCTGGTAAAAACAAGCAATGAGAAAGGATTCCCTCTTTAATAAATGGTGTTGGGGAAACTAGCTACCCGTATGTAGAAAACTGAAACTGGACCCCTTCCTTATACCTTATACAAAAATTAACTCAAGGTGAATTAAAGACTTAAACATAAGACCTAAAACCATAAAAACCCTAAAAGAAAACCTAGCTAATACCATTCAGGACTTGGCATGGGCAAACACTTCATGACTAAAACACTGACAGCAATTGCAACAAAAGCAAAAATTGACAAATGGGATCTAATTAAACTAAAGAGCTTCTGCACAGCAAGAGAAACCATCATCAGAGTGAATAGGCAACCTACAGAATGGGAGAAAATTTTTGCAATCTATCCATCTGACAAAGGGCTAATATCCAGAATCTACAAAGAATTTAAACAAATTTACAAGAAAGAAACAACCCCATCAAAAAGCTAAGGATATGAACAGACACTTCTCAAAAGAAGATATTTATGTGGCCAAAAAACATGAAAAAAAGCTCATCATCACTGGTCATTAGAGAAATGCAAATCGAAACCACAATGAGATACCATCTCACATCAGTTAGAATGGTGATCATTAAAAAGTCAGGAAACAACAGATGCTGGAGAAGATGTGGAGAAACAGCAATGCTTTTACACTGTTGGTGGGAGTGTAAATTAGTTCAACCATTGTGGAAGACAGTGTGGCAATTCCTCAAGGATCTAGAACTAGAAATACCATTTGACTCAGGAATCCCATTACTGGGTATATACCCAAAGGATTATAAATCATTCTACTATAAAGACACATGCACATGTATATTTATTACAGCACTGTTCACAATAGCAAAGACTTGGAACCAACTCAAATGTCCATCAATAATAGACTGGATAAAGAAAATGTGGCACATAAACACCACGGAATACTATGCAGCCATAAAAAAGGATGAGTTCATGTCCTTTGCAGGGACATGGATGAAGCTGGAAACCATCATTCTCAGCAAACTAACACAGGAACAGAAAACCAAACACCACATGTTCTCACTCATAAGTGGGAGTTGAACAATGAGAACATATGGACACAGGGAGGGGAATATCACACACTGGGGCCTGTCAGGGAGTGGGGAGCTAGGGGAGGGATAGCATTAGAAGAAATACCTAATGTAGATGATGGGCTGATGGATGCAGCAAACCACCATGGCACATGTATACCTATGTAACAAACCTGCACGTTCTGCACATGTATCCCAGAACTTAAAGTATAATTAAAAAAAAGTGATCTCTCCTCATAAAATGGCCTTGCATATGTCCTTACTTTTTTATTTGCTGATTCTAGACTAAGACCAATAATTCCCATTAAAGACAACCTGCCTTTTTAGAAAATTTTTGAAATGAGGACTGACTATGCTTAAAGAAAGGCACATGGATAGGCAGGCCTTTTCAAAATTGAATCACAATACTGCTCACATACTTCTTAAAAAGTACTCGGTATTGGATTCAATTTTTATTATCTCCTCCAACCTCATCACACACATTTATAAAAGTTAGCAAATAAGATGAATCATATCAACCTTATAAACATGTATAAATCCCTAAACCAATAGTGTTAACACATAGTGTTACCATCAATAGGGTTTTGTTTTTGTGGGTATTTTTTTTTGAGACAGGGCCTCATTCTGACACTCAGGTAGGAGTGCAGTGGCACCAATCATAACTCACTGCAATCTCAACTTCCTGGGCTCAAGCAATGCTCCTGCCTCAGCCTTTGAAGTAGCTGGGGCTACAAACACACACCACTAAACCTGGATTATTTTTATATTTCCATAGAGACAAGGTCTCACTACATCACCCAGGCTGATACCAAAAGGTATTTAAAGACAGACATACTTTCTAAGAGGTGCTGTGAATTGTCTATAGCAAGAATATCACTGTTACTTAGTTTGTGTAAAAAAGCCACTTAAATAATAAATTCCATTTTTAATGACAATATCTTTTTCTTCATCTAATACTAAACTAAATTATTACCTTTCATCAATTGAGGGTTCTTTTTGTTGTAAATGAGGCTTGATTCCTAACATTGGGCGAATATTTGTTGATAAGGCTCTGATGGTGTAACTGATTTCATTCTCCCTTGTAACATCACTGTCATAGCCTACAATAAAAATATACGAGTAATTCTTTAAGCAATAACTGAGATCAATTATGATCTTATAAATTGGATACAAAGATGTTCAACAATATGAAATAAATTAAGTTGTTATAAGCAAATTATGAAGTAATATACAACCAGAAAAAACGATGTAGAAGAATATTTAATTATATGTAATGATGTTTTCAAAGTATTACTAAGTAATAATAGCAGGTTAAAAAATAAGTTCAATATGACCATACTTTTCTTAAAAAAATATTAGCTACATACATCTTAGGATATACCCCAAATATTAGAAGAGGTGTTACCTCTGTGTGGTCAAATTATGGAGGCTGTGTTTAATTTTTATGGCAAAATACATTTTCTATAACGAGCTGATATTACTGGTATATTAGAAGAAAATCAAAATTATTTTAAAATATGAGGTTTAATAATATAAAATTTACCTTAACAGTACTTATTTAAAATTCAGATATTTTTCATTTGTAGATAAATAATATCAAAGTCATAAATTCATGGCAACCTGTTGTTCTTGAGTCACAAAATGGATTTTGATGTTAAACAGACTAAAAACAGTACCACTACAATTATTCAAACATTATTATTACTTGCTTTAACTTCCACAGCTTAAACAAGTTGTGCTAAATTTTCCCTATATTTTTGTTCAAGTATTATAAAATGACGTACCCCCATCTTCTTCAGAATCAATGTCGGATTCTTCACTATCACAAGGCCTTTTTTCTCGATAGCCTTCCATCTCATTTGTCCACACCATTAAAGACATATCTGTACCGCCTAGGGTAACCAACATGCTGTCATCATAAGTCCAGCGAACATTTGTGACATGTGTACTATGGGCCACATACCTCTTAAACTTTCCAAATTTCCCCTAAAGAGGAAGAAAATTCAAACAATCTTTCTGAGAAATTTCATTATTTAAATATTTCCATTATGATTTTGAATTTTATTAATAATTAAAAATTAATCATTTCAAGTGCAATGTGTTAAAAAAAATGAGAAAATACTGAAACTCAGCAGAATAAAAGATACCAATTCCTAAACCTGTTAAGGACAAGATCTAAAACCAGTAGTTTCACAAAATGCTGGTACCCCAGGCAAAACTCTTTAAAAAACCAACTTGGTATTCTGCATTAAAAGCATAAAAATGTTCTTGTATTTGACTCACCCATCTCCCTTTTAGGGATCTATGCTAAGAAATGCTATCTGTGTAAAAAAATACTTACCATGGTATTTACTTATAGTAGTGAAAAAAATTAAATACCTTAAATGTTCAAAGTAATAGTTAATTACAATGTATATGGAATAGTGTATATATATTAAAGACAATGGTTATGCAGATGTACTGTTGGAAATAGATACAATAATTGAGAAAGGATACACATGCCTATGTACAGCATGAGTATGTTAACAAAAAGTAACTATCGATTGATTGCTTTGGTACACATATATTTATATACCCATGTAAATATCTTTCATCTCAATTCATTAGTGCTTTTTTTTGTAAGCAATACACATAGAAATGTATTTTCCTTTTAAATAACAATAAAGTTTAAGTTATTGTTATTATGGTATTAGCATTACCAAGTTACATAAATTTCAGATCAAAGCATCATAAAGCAGGTTTTCCGTTAACATCTTTTCAAAGGTGTTAAAATGAGAGATGTCTTATACAAAACACAGTGATAGCAAAATTTGTGAATTCCCTAGGAATGACGACTCTCTTTTTTTTTTTTGATACTGGAATGCAGTGGCACGATCTTGGCCCACTGTAACCTCCGCCTCCTGGTTCAAGCGATTCTTCTACCTCAGCCTCCCAAGTAGCTGGGAATACAGGGACCCGCCACCGTGCCCAGCTAATTTTTTCTGTTTTTAATAGAGACGGGGTTTCACCATGTTGACTAGGCTGGTCTCGAACTCCTGACCTCAGGTGATCCACCTGCCTCGGCCTCCCAAAGTGCTGGGATTATAGGCGTAAGCCACTGCGCCCAGCAGGAATGATGACTCTTAATAATTAAGTCAGGGTGAGGGATCTGTCATCAAAGCATGGCAAGAAGGTAGTTTCTCTAAGACTGTGTGGTTCTTGCTACACTAAGGTGAAAACATAATCTGCAGATCAATATTCCAGAACCTATTCCTAAGGGATCTACACCATCTGGAACGCTGGAAGTGAAGTTTCTGGCAAATATTTTAGTGGAACACATTGTTAACAACTAAGACTCTACCATTTACATGTATCTAAAACAGGAATCAGTGGAATATTTTCTTGGGTGTCTGAGTTTTCAATGAGAATTTTTAAACCTGTGTTTTCATTTCAATGCTGATCTAAAAATATTAATATGAGCAGTTACTCAAGATCACCAGGAACTGAATACCACAATATCATTTCAGTGCCATATTTCAAATTTATCTTTATGTTCATGTTGGTGCCAGAGTATAATATATAACTTAATTTGTGAATTAAGAAATAAATGCTGCCAGATAACAGTGACTCGCGCCTGTAATCCCACCACTTTAGGATGCCGAGGCAGGAGGATCACCTGGGTTCAGGAGTTTGAGACCAGCATAGGCAACATCTGGAGACCCCATCTCTACAAAAAAAAATTTTTTTTTACATTAGCCAGGCATGGTGGCATGTGCCTGTGGTCCCAGTTACTCAAGAGGCTGAGGTGGGAGGATAACTTGGGTCTGGAAGGTCGATGCTGCAGTGAGCCATGATTGCGCCATTGCATTCCAGCCTGGGTCACAGAGAGAGACGCTGTCTTAAAAAAAAAAAAAAAAGAAAGGAATGCATTGTATCTGGACTTGATATATAAATTTTATTTCCGTGTTAAGGAAAAGCCTAATATTTTACAGTAGTTTGAACAGAGGGAAGTGATAAAAGAATTAAGTACTTGCACAGCACACATTAGCATAGGTACGTAGAATGCCAAAGAATCTGTTGGCGAGGCCCAGTGGCTCACGCCTGTAATCCTAGTACTTTGGGAGGTCGAAGTGGGCGGATCACAAGGTCAGGAGTTTGAGACCAGCCTGACCAACATGGTAAAACCCTATCTCTACTAAAAATACAAAAAAATTAGCTGGGCATGGTGGTGCGCGCCTGTAATCCCAGCTACTCAGGGGGCTGAGGCAGGAGAATAGCTTGAACCCGGGAGGTGGAGGTTGCAGTGAGCCTAGATCATGCCACTGCACTCCAGCCTGGCGACAGAGTGAGACTCCATCTCAGGGAAAAAAAAAGAAAAAAGAAAAAAAAAACTTAATATACATAAGCAGGAAGTAAATACCAATTTTAAGCAGAAAATCATCAACAAATGATGCTGATGATTTAAAATGCACATATATTCTGCTACGAAAGCAGAAAAAAAGAATTTGTATGATTTGGTTTCAAAAAAAGTCATTCATTACATTAAATCAATGGTGCTTAATTTTATAAGTGTAAGTATTTTCTATTTAATTGGTTAAAACAACTTCAAGTTTGAAGCTGTAACTATAAAGAGTTTATATTTATTGTTAATAGTATATATTTAATTAAAAATTGAAAAATTATTGAAGTTAATATTGGGGATAAAAGGAATGTGTCTCTCTCTCTGACACAGGGTTTTGCGCTGTCACCCAGACTGGTGTGCAATGACATGACCACAGCTCACTGTAGCCTCCAACTCCTGGGCTCAAGCAATCTTCCCACCTCAGCCTCCTGAGTAGCTAGGACTACAGGCATGTGCCACAATGCCTGGCTAATTTTTTTCTCTGTTTTGTAGAGAGGAAGTCTTGCTATGCTGCCCAGGCTGGCCTGAAACGCCTGGCCTCAAGTGATCCTCCCACCTCAGGCTCCCAAAGTACTATACTGGGATTATAGGCATGAGCCACTGTCCCCAGCCAAGATGTTTCTTGTAAAAGGGATATTCATATTAGTCAATATTGAAAAACACTATAGGATATGATATATAACTTAATGTATGGGATTATAAATTACAATACTTAAAAGCTATAGATATGAAACATAATTCTGAACCTTTCATATTACAACATTACATATTACATATGTACAATTAATAACAATGAAGTGCTATGACAGGACATTACCTTAACCATTTCATAATTGATGATCATTAGGAAAGTTAAAGAAAAACACATACTTTAGTAGGATATCTAAATAACTTCACAAATCCCAAATCGTCCCCGGTAGCTAGAACCATTTTGTCACTGGTGAGGCAAGAAGCAGTTACATCTGTAACTTCTCCAATTACTGGCCAAATTCCTTCACAGCATAAACCAAGTACACTTGTCCATGATGCCCAAGCAATTTTTTCTACCTAAAAATGAAAAACAATGCTGTAAGTTTGGATTATCCAAACCTAAAGTATTAACAACCAAAATGTAAACATTTTTCTTTGTAGTTATGTGTGTCACAAGTAAAATGAAAGTTTTAATGAAAAAATAGTTAAATTATTAGTTGTCTTGGTTTTGTAACTCCCCAGAGCCTACTAATTGCTGCAGAAAAATTTTAACATAGTATTATTCAGAATATAATTATATATCCACTGTGTGTTCTAGATGCTAAGCATACAGTGTTAATAATAAAACCGTTTCTGACTTTAGGATAATCAAGTAAGATTCTTACAGTTCATGTTTAAATTTCTAATAATGCATTATGTTTTCCAACTAACCCTTACTAGAAATTTAGAACTTTTACTTATGGTCTCTCCCTTCATTAAGACACTTTCATGTTAAATTTGTTAAGCCTCTCTTCCTAGGCCAAGATAAAAAATAAAAAAAAAAAGGCTAATATTGTCAGGCACAAAATGCAACACAATTTTTCTTGTTTTTTTTTTTTTTTTTTTTTTTTTTTAAAGAAGCAAAAACAGTAATCTGCCAACAAACTTCTTAGGCATATGGATTCCTAAGGACGTGGCAGATATGCAATACTCCAATCTTAGATGGCATGTCTTCTATTTGCTATTTCACGCTTCTTGTCTTTTAAGGAAAGCAACTGGAGCACAGCTAGCCGTGCAAGTGATTTATTCCTTTTTTTTTTTTTTTTTTAATACAGGGTCTCACTTTGTCACCCAGGCTGGAGTGTAGTGGCATGAACATGGCTCACTGCAGCCTCCGCCTCCTAGGTTCAAGCAATCCTCCCACCTCAGCCTCCCAAGTAACTGGGACTATAGGCACATGCCACCATGCCCAGCTAATTTTTTGTATTTTTTTGTAGAGATGGGGTTTCAGCATGTTATCCAGTCTGGTCTTGAACTCCTGAGCACAAGCAATCTGCCTGCCTCTGCTTCCAAAGTGTTGGGATTACAGGCGTGAGCCACCATGCCCACTGACTCCTTTTATTAATATAGTGTTTCTTCCTTCACCCATGTATTCTGACTCAATAAACTCAATAATATCCAATATTTTAATAATTTGAGAACAGACTTCACGTGTAACTAAACGATAGAAAGTAGGTATCAGTTTTCTAGCCACTTTTATTCACATGAACAACACTGCAAGCACCACTGTTGTCCTACCTCCACGCTGGGGATGGTTTGTTTTTTCCCTCTGGGAGCTTCAAAGAATAATTGTTCCTTAGCACCAGTGTTGACCTGTAAAAGCTTTCCTTCAAAAAAATTTTTAAAAATATTTACACATATAAAATACATACAAATATATATACCATCAGTATGATGTTTAAGTTTTATGGGAAAAAATCAGCTTAAATATAAAAACCATTTTCTGCTGCAGTCAACTTATAGTAAGAACATTTTATTTTTATAATTCCATATTACTAAGTAACTAAATTCATAAGTGGTTTGATTTTTGTATATGTATATACATAAAAATGATTTCTTTGGTTATGCATATGTAAAAAATTCCTAGAAACAAATGTTAAAATATTTTTTAAAGTGTATCTGTTTAACTATATTTAGAAAAACTTTATGATGCTCAATTTATATAGTTGAATACAATATAGTTGAATACATGAAACAATAACATCCTTAAAAAGAGAGGATTTAAAATACTTAACATTTATCAAACATATTAAACTCAGTCATATGCCATGCATTCTGCTAAAATACAAACATACTCATTAAGTTCTTTATGTTATATGATTATGACTCTTTTTGAAGATATATTTCATATCAAACAATGAGAAAAATGACTTTAAAATCTTCATTAACATTTCTTTTTAAAAATGTATTTCATTTTTTTTTTTTAGGAATGGGGTCTCACTGTGTTGCCCAGGCTGGTCTCAAACTCCTGGGCTCAAGCAGTCCTCCAGCCTTGGCCTCCCAAAGTACTGAGATTACAGGCATGAGCCACCATACCTGGCCAACATTTCTATATTCTATTTATGTCAAATTTATATGACAAAGATCAAGACATCTTCACAACAATTTTTTTGCACAATATTTAAATCACTTTACAAATTAAACAACTAATCACTTACTGTACTATTATTTGAACGATATTAGGTGAAGTATTGAAAAGTGTAGGTTGGGTGCAGTGGCTCATGCCTATAATCACAGCACTTTGGGATGCCAAGGTGGGAGGACTGCTTGAGTCCAGGAGTTCGGGACCAGCCTGGGCAATATAGTGAGAACCTGTCTGTACAAAACATTTAAAAATTAGCCAGGCATGGTGGTGCATGCCTGTAGTCCCAGCACTCAGGAGGCTGAGTTGGGAGGATGACTTAAGCCCAGGAGGTTAAGGTTGTAGTGAACTGTGATTGTACCACAGCATTCCAGCCTGGGTGACAGAGTGAGACCTGTCTCAAAAAAAAAAAAAAAGAAAAGAAAAAGGAAAAAGAAAAGTCTCAACTCTATAGTATTCATCTTCAGATGTAAAATAGTAAAAAATAATTTTGAGAATAATGGTTGTTTTTCCCAATTCTTTTTAACTCATCTGTTGAATCACTTTTCCGTTTCTCTAATATAGCTATACTAAATCAAATGAAACTTTTATCAAGTATTAAGTTATTTAAAGTCTTACCTCTAATATCCCAATCAATATGGGTTATGTAACTGGTAGCTCCTTTGCATATTCCTACTCGTTTACTACTCATTACATTGTATATATCTATAAAGCTGTCATGGGATGCTACAGCAAGATATTTCCCAGAACCTATAATAGAAACATATTTGCTTGACATTTTCTATCTTTGGAAATACTTTTTTACACTCTGCAACTAGAGTTAATTTTCCTTTTCTTTATGGAGAAATCTTAGCTGTTTCATAAATTATAATAAAACAGATGTGTTAAATAACAAATGATAACATTTTTCAAGTATATTATACTTAACAAAATAATTTTTTAGTGTAACAAATTAGTTCAGTGGGAAGCAAATGTCAAAAGCTATGTATGATGTAGTTTTGATACTTTGTATTTAACAAAACTCCCTCTAAATTTAGAAAAAAATGGAACTAAACCAACATAAGTAAATTTTGCCTTAACATTAGTAATTGCTACATTACAGTAGGTTTGTAGTAGATAATGAATACATGGAAATTAATGGAGTAAAATGAGTGCAATTTCAAAAGCATTAAGAATATAACGAAAACAGTTATCCAACCCCTTTTATATCACAAATGAGGAAACAAAAGCTCAGAGAAGCATCCTGGCTCAAGTCACACAGAAAATTTAGTAACAGAATTGGCGCTAAGACAGATATTTGCACCAATCTAACAACAGGGCTTTTACCTCTTGCTACACTGCCTCTTCTAGTAAAAAAGTTAAGTTCTGAGATAACATAACAGTTAATAAAAATTATACATTGATACATTTATACACTGCCAGACCCAAGTTAATACTCAAATACAATTTCAATGGATCTTACCAGGTGAAAATCGAATATCTGAAATCATATCTTTTCTGTGATGAAAAGACACAAGATCCTCTAGAGTATCCGCATTTGCCATTAAGAAGCTTCCATCGTTGAGACCTACGGCTAAAGCTTTACCATCAGGAGAAAAACAGCAACACCTCCCACCTGAAAGAGAAAGAGCATATTAGGCAATTTTCCCTTTTTTCTAATTTAAAGTATGGGCCAGGTGTGGTGGCTCATGCCTATAATCCAAGCACTCTGGGGAGCTGAGGCAGGAGGACTGCCCGCGGCCAGGAGGTTAAGACCAGCCCGGGCAACATAGCAAGACCCCATCTCTGCCAGTAGGCAGAGTAGGGGAAGGGGCAAGGGGCAAAGGAGA
The DNA here is from genome assembly GCF_000001405.40 of Homo sapiens. Lineage (NCBI taxonomy): Eukaryota > Metazoa > Chordata > Mammalia > Primates > Hominidae > Homo > Homo sapiens. The sequence goes on from NC_000014.9 coordinate 88,665,704, forward strand.
AGGGGCGAGGGGGAAGAGAGAAGAGGGAAGGGAAGACAGGTAAGTAAGTAAATAAATAGACAGGCATGGTGGCACACACCTGTAGTCCCATTTACTTAGGAAGCTGAGGCGGGAGGACTGTTTGAGCCCAGGAGGTTGAGGGTGCAGTGAGCTATGATTGCACCACTGCACTCCAGCCTGGGTTACAGAGTGAGACCTTGCCTCAAAAAAAAAAAAAATATTTGCTAAAAAGGTTGCCTCTTTATTATGGCTTCAAATCAATATTAAAAAGGAGTCGAGATACAGATTAAGTTTTCTATAGAAGTCAATGGTATGGAATTCTAAGCAGGAATGAAACTCACTTCTGAATACAACAAAAGCAAGTATGGATATTTACCTTAAAAGAAATTAAGTTGATGAAAAAGAATGAGAGATTTTAATTAACATAAAAAGCCAATGATATATGTGGAAGTTTTGCAGAGTAGGTTTTACCTTTGTAGCTTCTTTCCAAAAAAACAGAAATTTAAGAAATAAGTCATCTTTATAAAAGTAATTTTTTTTGAGATGGAATTTCTCTCTTGTTGCCCAGGGTGGAGTGCAATGGCATGATCTCAGCTCACTGCAACCTCCGCCTCCTGGGTTCAAGTGATTCTCCTGCCTCAGGCTCCCAAGTAGCTGGGATTACAGGCATGTGCCACCAGGCCTGGCTACTTTTGTATTTTTAGTAGAGATGGGGTTTCACCATGTTGGTCAGGCTGGTCCTGAACTCCTGACCTCAGGTGAACCACCTGCCTCAGACTCTCAAAGTGCTGGGATTACAGGCATGAGCCACAGCACCTGGCCTATGAAACTAAAATATTTTTAAAAATCTAATAGGCCATTATTAAAGGTAGGAAGATACATCTGTATATATACGTTTCAGAACCATATATGAAATGATATTTTTATTATTAATGATAAATTAATATCGTTCATTAATGTCATTAATGATGTTAACATTCGTAAAAATAAGGGTTAGTGCTGCATTGATAAACACAAAAAAGGGCTTACCCTAACAGCAAGGGTTGCAGCAAACATATTCAAAAGCCCTAAGGATTTTGGTATCTTGTATGAAATCTGATGAGGAAAGGACAGGGTATATACAGAATGAAAAGTTATAGCATAAGTTGAGAACAAGTAGTCATTTAATTATCAAGCATACATTGGAAATGAAGAAATCTAAGATGTGATTTCTCAGATTTGAGAGTCAAGAGATGATGATGACCTGGAGCTGGGTGGCAGCAGTGGAGGTGATAAGAGGAAGGATTTGGATATATTTCAAAGATAGAGCTGGCAGAACTTTGACCAACTGGATGTGGGGTGAAAGGCGTCAAGGGCATGGTTTTGCTTGAGTGGTGATGCCATTTACTGAGATGGGATAAACTAGAGGAGGAACCACCAGTGCTTAGTTCTGTACAAATTAAGTTAAAGATGCCTATGAGAAGTTCAAGTGAAGACATGAAGGAGACAATTTAATATATGAATCCTTTTCAGGAGCTGCATATAATGTTTGTTATATGTATATCTTTATTTGTGTATATTAACTATTTGACTTTTCTCTCCTTTTTCTCCTTCATATTTTATACAAGTTTGTTGGAGGTTAACTTTACAATTTTGTGTTAAAAGAATATTCCTTGTGTTAAAAGAATATAAGACCGTGACTAAATTTGAGAATAGCGTAGGTCTTCTCTCTTTAGGGGTGAGAACTACTTCACTTGTACCAAGGGTAGCTGCATCTCTTTGGGTAGAAACATAAGGTTAGTTCTGTGATTGTACTGAAGTTCAAATGTGTGTATAAAGGTTCATGTGGATCCTGACTAGCCAGAGGGGAAGACTGTGCTGGTTATTAATTTATTGCCTCTCAGTTCCAAATCTGCCACTTTGGGCCTCACAGACTTTTTTGCTAGCTTGCCAGTAGAGGGAGCTGGAGAGACACTACAAGGCCAAAACAGAAGTGACTCCCTTCCTCCAGTGTGCTGTTTTACTAACAGAGCCCGGGCACTGGCATGAAGGGGGCCTGATGGCATTCACCAGAGTGGCAGCCCCAACTGCCTCTTTCAGCAAGTTTCTCCACCATCACTGTAATGGCTCTAACAATTTAGCTGCAATTTGCGGACTTCAGGAAGATTCTCTGGCAGGAGTCCTCACAGTTCAATGATTTTGCCCTAGGTTAAGCTCTTCAAGCAGTGGTTCTGACCATTCAGCTCTGGCCTGCTGCCTCTGGCAAGCTTCTCCTTCACCAAGTGACTACTCTCACTGTTCCACTGAGGGCTGCACCCTCTGGCAAGCTTTTTCGCCACAAGCTCACTGAATGTTCTGGTGGCAGCCACACCATTTCCAAACAGGTCTGAATCACCTTTAACTTGTTCACTCTCCCTTAGTACTAGGGTTGCTGCTTTCTATGGTGGCTACCTCTAAGGCTTTTTCAGTAGGTAATCACTTTTTGCTAGTTAGCAATTCTTTTTATTAAATTCCCACTGTTCAAATAAGCCTTGTAGTCTCATCTTCTGACTGGACAGTGACCGACTGAATCTAAAGTGTGAGTGTACATATGAAAAGAAAAGTCCGGGGAGAAGCGCTGGAGCAGTCCTAAATGCAGAGTGCAGGAAGAAGAGATAGCACTAGCAAAGGAAACAGAAAAAGGGAGTCAGTGAAGTAGAGAGAAGAAACAGACACGCACGGGTTCCAGAGACAAGTGAATAAAGTATTTCAGAAAAAAAAAAGGGAATGATAAATTGTGTCACAAACTGCTGTGAGGTGAATACACTGAGAACCAGGAAGTGATCAACAGATTGGCAGCAGGTTAAATGGACAAGTAGGGAAAAAAGCCTAATTGGAGTGGGTTATGGAGCTACTGTCATGTGAACACACAGAGAAGGGCGCCTCAACTATTTTGAGGAGTTCTGCTACAAAAGAGGGAAGAGAAACAGAATAGTAGTGAGGTCAATTATCACAGTTCCCTGTTTTACTCAATGCTTATTCTGCTGGTTGGGTGCAGGCATAAAGCAGGTAGAAAGTTGAGTTTAAGGGAAGATTAATATAGTAAGTATCCTTTAAAATTCATAGCTGAGATCATTGAAAAATTAGAAACATTTTCTAGTTATCAAAATTAAAAGGGGAGCAGAAACCCAGAGCAAAAAAGCCACATTTGGAAGGGGAGGGGCCAAGAAAGCCAACTAGAAACAGCTGTGGTCAGAGGCTCCCACCAAGAAGACCGAAAACGGCAAGTGAATCCTGCACCAGCAACTGAGGTATCCAGGTTCTCTCATTGGGACTGACAAGGTGGTTGGCATGACCCATGGAGAGTGAGGAAAAGCAGGGTGGAGTGACAGCCCACCTGGGAGCTGCACAGGACAAGGGGAGCTCCTACTCCCAGCCAAGAGAGGCAGTGAGTGATTGTGCTATCCTGCCCGGGAAACCACACTTTTTCCATGGATCTGTGCAACTGGTGGATCAGGAGATCCCCTCCGTGAGCCCATGCCACCAGTTCCTTGAGTCCCAAGCATAGAGCTGCACAGATTCTCAGTGGCCACTTAGCTACAGACTGCCGAAGACTACCAAGTTCCTGGGGGAAGGGACGGCTGTCATCACTTTGGCTGTCTGCTGCCTCAGATGACTGAGCTCCCTGGGCGAGGGGCAGCAGACATCACTGCAGCTCCAGTCTGCCATTTCTCCTCTGATGGTGCCTGGGAAAATAGACAGTTTAGACCCAGGAGGAATTCACCACAGTGCAGCACAGAGGCTGTGGCAGATGGTGGCCAGACTGCCTCTTTAGGTCGGACCCTGACCATAACCCCTCACTGTGCGGGGCCTCCCTGCAGGAATTTCAGCAACTCCAGCCAGAGGTTTGTGGACAGAACTCTGATCTCCCAGGGACTGAGCTCCTAGAGGGGAGGGGCATCCGTGGTCTCCATGGATCAGCAGACTTAGTCTTTCCCTCTACCAGCTCTGAGGAATCTGGGCAGTCAGGACAAGTGGGATTTCCCCCAGTGTAATGCACCCCCTCTGCCAAGGGGTAGTCAGAGTGCTTCATTAAGTGGGTCCTGGATCCTGTACCTCCTGACTGGGTGAGACCACCCCAACAGGGGTTGCTAGACACCTTATACAGGGGCGTTTCCACTGGTATCAGTTCAGTGACCCTCTGGGACAGAGATCCCAGGGAAAGGAGCAGGCAGCTACCTTTACTGTTTTGCAGCCTCCACTGGTGATACCTCGAGGTGTGGGAGGGACCCAGGCAAAGAAGGTCTGGAGTGGACCTCCAGCAAACCTCAGCTGGAAGAGGAAGAGGGGTCTGACTGTTAAAAGAAAAACAGGCCAGGCATAGTGGCTCATGCCTGTAATCCCAGCACTTTTGGGAGGCCGAGGCAGGTGGATCATGTGGTCAGGGGTTCAAGACCAGCCTGACCAAGATGGTGAAACCCCATCTCTACTAAAAAAAAAACAAAAAAAATTAGCTGGGTGTGGTAGCAGGTGCCTGTAATCCCAGCTACTTGGGAGGCTGAGGCAGAGAATTGCTTGAACCCAGGAAGTGGAGGTTGCAGTGGGCCAAGATCATGCCACTGCACTCCAGCCTGGGTGATAGAGCAGGACTCCATCTCAAAAAAAAAAAAAAAAAGGAGAAAAAAGAAAAACAAACACCAACAACAAAAGCATCAACAAAAAAAGTCCCTGCAAAAACCCCATCCAAAGTTCAGCAGCCTCAAAGACTGAAGCTAGATAAACTCACAAAGATGAGACAGAATCAAAGAAAAAAAATGCTGCAAACTCAAAAAGCCAGAGTGCCTCTTCTCCTCCAAATTAACACAACACCTCTCCAGCAAGGGCACAGAACTGGGCAAAGGCTGAGATGGATGAATTGACAGAAGTAGGCTTCAGAAGGTGGGTAATAATGAATTTTGCTGAGCTAAAGGAACAAGTTCTAACCCAATGCAAAGAAGCTAAGAGCCATGATAAAACATTACAGGAGCTGTTAACCAGAATAACCAGTTTAGAGAAGAACACAAATGACCTGAAGGAGCTGAAAAACACAACCAAGAATGTTACAATGCAACCACAAGTATCAATAACTGAATAGACCAAGCACAGGGAAGAATTTCAGAGCTTGAAGACTATCTTGCTGAAATAAGATACACTACAAGATTAGAGAAAAAAAAAAAGGATGAAAAGGAATGAGCAAAACCTCTGAGAACTATGGGATTATGTAGAAAGACTGAACCTATGACTGACTGGGGTACCTGAACAGAACAAAGTTGTAAAACGTACTTCAGGATATCATCCAGGAGAACTTCCCCAACCTAACAAGACAGGCCAAAATTCAAATTCAGGCAATCCAGAGAACCCCAGTAAGATACTCCATGAGAAGATCAACCCCATGATACATAATCATCAGATTCTCCAAGGTCAAAATGAAGGAAAAAAATGTTAAGGGCAGTCAGAGATAAAGTCAGGTCACCTACAAAGGGGAGCCCATCAGACTAACAGCAGACCTCTCAGCAGAAGCCCTACAAGTCAGGAGACACTAGGGGCCAATATTCAACATTCTTAAAGAATTTCCAACTCAGAATTTCATATCCAGCCAAACTAAGCCTCATAAGTGAAGGAGAAATAAACTCCTTTTTAGACAAGCAAATGCTGAGGGAATTGGTCACCACCAGGCCTGCCTTGCAAGAGCTCCCGAAGGAAGCACTAAATATGGAAAGGAAAAAGTGTTACCAGCCACTGCAAAAACACACTGAAGTACGAAAATCAATGATACTACGAAGCAACTACATTAAGTGTGCAACATAACCAGCTAGCATCACGATGACAGGATCAAATTCACACATAACAATATTAACCTTAAATGTAAATTGGCTAAATGCCCCAAATTAAAAGACAGAGAATGGCATGCTGATAAAGAGTCACAACCCACTGGTGTGCTATATTCAAGAGATCTATCTCATGTGTAAAGACACATACAGGCTCAAAATAAAGGGATGGAGGAAAATTTACCAAGCAAATGGAAAGCAGGAAAAAGCAGGGAGTGCAATCCTAGTTTCTAACAAAACAGATTTTAAACCAAAAAAGATCAAAAAAGACAAAGATGGGCATTGTATAATGGAAATGGGATCAATTCAACAAGTAAAGCTAACTATCCTAAATATACATGCACCCAGTTCAGGAGCACCCAGATTCATAAAACAAGTTCTTAGAGACCTACGAAGAGACAACTTAAACTCCCACATAATAATAGTGGGAGACTTTAACACCCTACTGTCAACATTAGATCATAAAGACAGAAAATTAACAAAGATATTCAGGACTTGAACTCAGCTCCGGATCAAGCGGACCTGATAGATATCTACAGAACTCTCCAACCAAAAACAATAGAATATACTTTCTTCTTGGCACCACATAGCACGTACCCTAAAATCGATCACATAATTGAAAGTAAAACACTCCTCAGCAAGTACAAAAGAACTGAAATCATAACAGTCTCTCAGACCACAGCACTATCAAATTAGAACCCAAGATTAAGAAAATCATTTAAAACCACATAACTACACAGAAATTGAACAACCTGCTCCTAAATGACTCCTGGGTAAATAATGAAATTAAGGCAGAGATCAAGAAGTCCTTTGAAACCAATAAGAACATGGAGACAAGATACCAGAATCTCTGGGACACAGCTAAAGCAGTTTTAAGAGGGAAATGTATAGCCCTAAATGCCCACATCAAAAAGCTAGAAAGATCTCAAATTGACACCCTAATATCACAACTAAAAGAACTAGAGAACCAAGAGCAAACAAACCCCGAAGCTAGCAGAAGACAAGAAATAACCAAGATCAGAGCAGAACTGAAGGAGATAGAGACACGAAAAGCGCGTCAAAAAATATTAATGAATCCAGGGGCCGGTTTTTGAAAAAAATTAATAAAATAGATCATTAGCTAGACAAGAAAAGAGAGAAGAATCAAATCGACACAATAAAAAATGATAAAGGGGACATCACCACTGATCCCACAGAAATACAAACAACCATCAGAGAATACTATAAACACCTCTATGCAAATAAAATAGAAAATCTGGAAGAAATGGATAAATTCCTGGACACATACACTCTCCAAAGACGGAACCAGGAAGAAGTTGAATCCCTGAATAGACCAATAACAGTTCTGAAATTTAGGCAGTAATAAATAGTCTACCAACCAAAAAGAGCCCAGGACCAGACAGATTTACAGCTGAATTCTACCAGAGGTACAAAGAGGAGCTGGTACCATTTCTTCTGAAACTATTCCAAACAGCTGAAAAAAAGGGACTCCTCCCTAACTCATTTTTTGAGGCCAGCATGATCTTGATACCAAAACCTGGCAGAGATGCAACAAAAAAAAGAAAACTCCAGGCCAATATGACTGAAGAATATTGATGCAAAAGTCCTCAATAAAATACTGGCAAACTGAATCCAGCAGCACATCAAAGATTATCCACCACGATCAAGCTGTCTTCATCCCCAGGATGCTAGGCTTGTTCAACACACACAAATCAATAAACATAATTCATCACATAAACAGATCTAAAGACAAAGACCATATGATTATCTCAGTATATGCAGAAAAGGCCTTTGATAAAATTCAACATCCCATCACGTTAAAAATTCTCAATAAACTAGGTATTGATGGAACATACCTCAAAATAATAATGATAAACCCACAGTGAGTATCATACTGAATGGGCAGAAGCTGGAAGCATTCCCCTTGAAAACCAGCACAAGACAAGGATGCCTTCTCTCACCACTCCTATTCAACATAGTATTGGAAGTTCTGGCCAGGGCCATCAGACAAGAGAAAGAAATAAAGTGTATTCCAATAGGAAGAGAGGAAGTAAAACTGTTTTCTGTTTGCAGATGATATGATAGTATGTCTAGAAAACCCCATTATCTCAGCCCAAAAGCTTCTTAAGCTGATATGCAACTTCAGCAAAGTCAAAGGATACAAAATCAATGTGCAAAAATTACAAGCATTCCTATATACCAACAACAGAAAACAGAGAGCCAAATCATGAATGAATTCCTGTTCACAATTGCTATGAAGAGAATAAAATACCTAGGAATATAGTTAACAAGGGAAGTGAAGGACCTCTTCAAAAACTACAAACCACTGCTCAAGGAAATAAAAGAGGACAGAAACAAATGAAATAATTCCATGCTCATACATAGGAAGAATAAATATTGTGAAATGGCCATACTGCCTGTTATTAGTCTGTTCTCACACTGCTATGAAGAAATACCTGGCTGGGTGTGGTGGCTGACACCTGTAATCCCAGCATTTTGGAAGGCTGAGGTGGGCGGATCACTTAATATCAGGAGTTCAAGACCAGCCTGGCCAACATAGTGAAACCTTGTCTCTACTAAAAGTACAAAAATTAGCCAGGCATGGTAGCGCATGTCTGTAATCTCAGCTACTCAGGAGGCTGAGGCAGGAGAATCACTTGAACCCAGGAGGTGGAGGTTGCAGTGAGCTCAGATTGTGCCACTGCACTTCAGGCTGGGCTAAAAGGGTGAGACTTCATCTCAAAAACAACAACAACAACAACAATAAAAACCCTGAGACTTGGTAATTTATAAAGGAAAGAGATTTAATTGACTCACAGTTCTGTATTTCTGAGGAGGCCTCATGAAACTTACAATCATAGCAGAAGGCAAAGGAGAAGCAGGCACCTTCTTCACAGGGCAGCAGGATGGAGTGAGTACAAACAGGTGAAATCCCAGACACATAAAACCATCAGATGTCGTGAGACTCACTATCACGAGAACAGCACAGGAAAGACCCGCCCCCATGATTCAATTACCTCCCACCAAGTCCCTCCCACAACACATGTGAATTCGAGATGAGATTTGGGTGGGGACACAGTTAAACCACATCATTCTGACCCTGGCACTTCCCAAATTTCATGTCCTCACATTTCAAACCCAATCGTGCCTTCCCAACAGTCCACCAAAGTCTTAACTCATTTCAGCATTAACTCAAAAGTCCACAGTCTAACATCTCATCTGGGACAAGGCAAGTCCCTTCCACCTATGAGCTTGTAAAATCAAAAGCAAGTTACTTACTTCCTAGATACAATGGGGGTACAGGCATTGGATAATACAGCTGTCCCAAATAGGGGAAACTGGCCAAAACCAAGGGGTTACAGGCCCCATTCAAGTCCAAAATCCAGCAGGACAGTCAGATCTTAAAGTTCCAGTGATCTCCTTTGACTCCATGCCTCACATCCAGGCCACACTGATGCAAGAGGTGGGTTCCCATGGTCTTGGGCAGCTCTGCCCCTGTGGTTTTGCAGAGTATAGCCCCCTTCCTGGCTGCTTTCACAGGCTGGCATTCAGTGCCTGTGGCTTTTCCAGGCACATGGTGCAAGCTGTCAGTTGTTCTACCATTCTGGGGTCTGAAGGATGGTTGCCCTCTTCTCATAACTCCACTAGGCGGTGCCCCAGTAGGGACTCTGTATGGGGGCTCCAACCCCACATTTCCCTTTTGCACTGCCCTAGCAGAGGTTCTTCATGAGGTCCCTGCCTCTGCAGCAAACTTCTGCCTGGGCATCCAGGCATTTCCATACATCCTCTGAAATCTAGGTGGAGGTTCCCAAACCTCAATTCTTGACTTCTGTGCACCTGCAGGCTCAACACCACATGGAAGCTGCCAAGGCTTGAGGCTTCTGATCTGAAGCAACAGTCCAAGCTGTACTTTGGCCCCTTTTAGCTATGGATGGAGCTGCTGGAATGCAGGGTACCAAGTCCCTAGGCTGCACAGAGTAGAGGGGCCCGTGGCCTGGCCCACAAAACCATCTTTTCCTCCTAGGCCTCCAGGCCTGTGATGGGAGGGGCTGCCGTGAAGACTTCTGACATGCCCTGGAGACACTTTCCCCATTGTTTTGGGAATTAACATTCAGCTCCTCATTATTTATGCAAACTTCTGCAGCTGGCTTGAATTTCACCTCAGAAAATGAGATATTCTTTTCTGTCACAGTCAGGCTGCAAATTTCCTGAACTTTTATGCTCTGGTTCCCTTTAAAAACTGAATACTTTAAACAACACCAAAGTCACCTCAAGAATAATTTGTTGCTTAGAAATTTCTTCTACTAGATACCCTAAATCATCTCCCTCAAGTTCAAAGTTCCACAAATCTCCAGGGCTGAGGGAAAATGCCACCAGTCTCTTTGCTAAAACATAAGAAGAGTCACCTTTGCTCCAGTTCCCAACAAGTTCCTCATCTCCATCTGAGACCACCTCAGCCTGGATTTCATTGCCTGTGTCATCATCAGCATTTTGGTCAAAGCCATTCTACAAGTCTCTAAGAAGTTCCAAACTTTCTTACATTTTCCTATCTGCTTCTGAGCCCTCCAAACTGTTCCAACCTCTGCCTGTTACCCAGTTTCAAAGTTGCTTCCACATTTTCAGGTATCTTTTCAGCAGCATCCCACTCTACTGGTACCACTTTACTGTATTAGTCCGTTCTCACACTGCTATGAAGAAATACCTGAGACTAAGCAATTTATAAAGGAAAGAGATTTAACTGACTCACAGTTCCACATTGCTGAGGAAGTCCCAGGAAACTTAACAATCATGGCAGAAGCCAAAGGAGAAGCAGGCACCTTCTTCACAGGGTGGCAGGATAGAGTGAGTGGAAGGAGGTGAAATGCCAGACACATGAAACCATCAGAAGTCATTAGACTCACTATCACGAGAACAGCACGGGAAAGACCTGCCCCCATGATTCAATTACCTCCCACCAGGTCCCTCCCACAACATGTAGGAATTCAAGATGAGATCTGAGTGGGGACACAGCCAAACTATATCACTGCTCAAGGTAATTTATAGATTCAATGCTATTCCCAATAAACTACCATTGACATTCTTCACAGAATTAGAAAAAAACTACTTTAGAATTCATATGGAACCAAAAAAGAGCCCATATAGCCAAGACAATGCTAAGCCATAAAAACAAAGCTGGAGGCATCATGCTAATCCCACTTCAAGCTATACTACAAGGCTACAGTAACCAAAACATCATGGCCACTAGTACAAAAACAGACACATAGACCAAGGGAATAGAATAGAGATCTCAGAAGTAAGACCACATATCTATGTCCATTTGATCTTTGACAAACCTGACAAAAACAAGCAATGGGGAGAGGATTTCCTATTTATTTGTTTGTTTGTATTTTTTCTGAGACAGAGTCTTGCTCTGTCTCCCAGACTGACGTGCAGTGGCACAATCTTGGCTCACTGCAACCTTCACCTCCTGGGTTCAAGCAATTCTCTTGCCTAAGCCTCCCAAGTAGCTAGGACTACAGGCACACACCACCACACCTGGTTAATTTTTGTATTTTTAGTAGATACAGGGTCTCACCATATTGGCCAGACTGGTCTCGGACTCCTGAGCTCACACAATCTGCCCACCTTGGCCTCCCATAGTGCTAGGATTACAGGAATGAGCCACCACACCTGGCCAGATTCCCTATTTAATAAATGATGCTGGGAAAACTGGCTGGCCACATGCAGAAAATTGAAGCTGGACCCCTTCCTTACACCTTATACAAAAATTAACTCAAGATGGATTAAAGACTTAAATGTAAAACCCAAAACTATAAAAACCCTAGAAGAAAATCTAGGCAATACCATTCAGGACACAGGTACAGGCAAAGATTCAATTATGAAAATGTCAAAAGCAATTGCAAAAAGGCAAAAATTGGCAAATGGGATCTAATTAAACTGAAGAGCTTCCTCACAGCAAAAGAAACTGTCATCAGAATGATCAGGCAACCTACAGAATGGGAGAAAATTTTTTGCAATCTGTCCATCTGACAAAGGTCTAATATCCAGAATCTACAAGGAACTTAAACAAATTCACAAGAAATAACCCCATTAAAAGGTGGGCAAAGGACATAAGCAGACAATTCTCAAAAGAAGACATTTATGCAGCTGAGAAACATATTTTAAAAAGCTCAACATCACTGATCACTAGAGAAATGCAAATCAAAACCACATTGAGATACCATCTCACACCAGTCAGAATGGCGATTATTAAACAGTCAAGAAACAATAGATGGTGCTAAGGCTGTGGAGAAATAGGAACACTTTTACTCTGTTGGTGTGAATGTAAATTAGCTCAACCATTGTGGAAGACGGTGATTCTTCAAAGACCTAGAACCAGAAACACCATTTGACCCAGCAATGTAATTACTGAGTATATACACAAAGGAACAGAAATCATTCTATTACAAAGATACATGCACACATATGTTCACTGCAGCACTATTCACAATAACAAAGACATGGAATCAACTCAAATGCCCATCGATATTAGACTGGATAAAGAAAATGTGGTATATATACACCATGGGATACTATGCAGCCATAAAAAGTAACAAGATCATGTCCTTTGTGGGGACATGATGGAGCTGGAAGCTATTATCCTCAGCAAACTAACACAGGAACAGAAAACCAAATACTGCATGTTCTCCCTTATAAGTGGGAGCTGAACAATGAGAACTAAGGATACAGGGAGAGGAACACACACTGGGGCCTCTTGGGGGACAGGGAGGAGGGAGAGCATTGGGATAAATAGCTAATTCACATGGAGCTTAATATCTAGGTGATGGGTTGACAGGTGCAACAAGCCATCATGGCACACGTTTCCCTATGTGACAAACCTGCACATCCTGCACATGTATCCCGGAACTTAAAATAACATAAAATAAAAAAAAATTTTAAAGCCACATCTGCCCTAACGGCATAGCAGACTAGTCTTGCACCTGAACCTCCTAGACAAAACTGGAATTCATGAAGGGACATACATTAATTGTACTCATTATAGTACTAGCTTTCAAATTTTTGTTAATTTTAGGTTCCAAAATACTCATAGTGATTAATACCATTATTTCAAAATTTTAAAAAAATCTGATCTCTGAATCATTAGCATCCAGAGTAAACACGGGTTATATTGTTTTGAAAAAAATTTTCTTCCCTCAAATTTCACAGAGATAATAAAGGTCAACTAAGCAAAACTAATACTGTGAGAATAATTCTTATTCTAGCTTGAAGACTTTTTGAACACTGGAATATGAACACAGTATTGGTTTCCTAGAGGCTGTAACAAATGACCACAAACTGTGTGTCCTAAAACAACAGAAACCCATTCTCTCACAGTTCTGGAGACTAGAAATCTGAAATCAAGATGTTGGCAGAGCTATGCTCCGTTGTGAAAGTTCTTGGGAATAATCCTTCCTTGTTTCTCTCTAGCTTCTGGTGGTTGTAGCAATCCTTGGTGCTCCTTGGTTTATAGGTACATCACTCCAATCCTCTGCTTCCATCATCACGCTGCATTCTCCCAGTGTGTCTGTGTTCCTATATCTTCACATGGCCTTCTTATAAGGACATCAGTCACTGGATTTAGAGCCCAACCAAATCTAGTATGCCTTTGTCTTAAACTGATTATATCTGCTAATACTCTATTTCTAAATGAGGACACATTCACAAGTACTGGGGGGTTAGAACTTCAACATATCTTTTCAGGGGGACACAACTCAACTCACAACAAATACAATAGTAATGAATTATAATTTCCTTCTACAAATCATAAATTTAAAGACAATGTAACCTGGAAATGCTTTCTTTAAAATAAATATTATAGCTTGCTATCAATAAAGGGGCTATAGCCAGGCATGGTGGCTCATGCTTGTAATCTTAGCACTTTGGGAGGCCAAGGTGGGCGGATCACTTGAGGTCAGGAGTTCAAGACCAGCCTGGCCAACATGGTGAAACTCCATCTCTACTAAAAATACAAAAATAAGCCAGCCGTGGTGGCGCACGCCTGTAGTCCCTGTTACTCGGGAGACTGAAGCAGAAGAATCGCTTGAACCTGGGAGGCGGAGGATGCACTGAGCCAAGATCATGCCACTGCACTCCAGCCTGGGTGATAGAGCAAGACTGTCTCAAAAAATAAAAATAAAAAATAAAAAAATAAAGGTGCTATAGTCCCTACAAAAAAAAACTTTTTCAAAAAAATGTCCTTGAAGCCATCAAACAAGAGATAGTATTATCTGATGATACAAGAGTCACAGGAAATTTAGAACTGGATTATACTTATATTTTCATCATTACTCAGACTAGTGTATAGAATAGTGTATAGTATAGTGTAGCGTATAGTAAGGGCCTTTTAGGCCATTGGAAAAATTTGCTCAAAATTAATTACTTTTCAACTCAATAATACTATCATTAATAAACTTTGCTCCTTAAGGTTGCTTTAAAAGAAACATCAGTTATTTTATTTCAGTGTTTTATGCTGAAACTTTCTTCATTTTATGAAGTATTTACTTTTAATAATTTACCAATTAAAATACTGCACAGCTATACTTATATTATGATTTTGTCTTTTTGTATTTCAATATACTAAACATTAAATTATATATTTAGTTTCACTAATTTTTACTTTAAATTTTTTTGACTCATGAATATCTTAAGAAATAAAATAGTTATTTAATTACATGCAATTTTTTTGGCAAAAACTCTCCAAACAGCATATTGTCATTTTCTTCTAGTATTACAACCATATCTCAGGAGAAAAAAACAGAGAAACCTTTTTTTTAAAATGTGTCTGGCAATAAAGACTTTATGAAACAAGCTTATCTATCCTGGCCTGGGTTCTCCACAGAGAAGGAAAAATCATACTTGAGAATTCACAAACACAGGGTGGCTTTCATAAACCTTAGATTCAAATTTATTCTAATTACATGATTTATGTAATCCCAGTTAAATAAATTTTCAGTGGTTCTCGATGGTAGCACCCCAGACACCTGAAGAGAGAAACACAAAATCTCTGGAATTCATGAAGGGACATACATTAACTGTACTCATTATAGTACTAGCTTTCAAATTTTTATGTTAATTTTAGGTTCCAAAATACTCATAGTGATAATCTAATACCATTATTTCCAAATTTTAAAAAAATCTGATCTCTGAATCATTAGCATCCAGAGTAAACACGGGTTATATTGTTTTTCAAAAAAAAGTCCTCGATCCAGACATCATGGGATTCCCACACCCTCAATCCAGACATCATGGGATTCCCACAGGTAAAGTCCAATCAAACATGAACTTACAATACAAATTTAAAATGCACAAGAAGATGGACCACTAGGAGGGAGTCAGCAGAAAAAAAACAAAAACCAAAACAAAAAAACAAGAAAACATCCAAAAGAATGGTAAGAAAAACACAGCAAAATGAGATCCTTGGAGACAATTAGATTTTATATTCTTTATCTGAAATGGGTAGTTAAGATTAAAGATAGAAAAGAGTAAATCTAAAATATAAACAAGAAGTATGATGTTAAAATATCTCAGGCAAACTTGAAAACAAATAGAAGTTATAAAAATGACAATTATCAAAATTAACTAATGGGTAGCTTAAAAAACAGATGGGAATGAACTGCTATAAAGAGAATTAAAAACTAGAATAAAGATCTGAAAAAATCACACAGACGCCACATAGAGACAGACAGAAAACATGAAATGAACAAGACAAGGACTAATAGTGTAGAATTAAAAAACAGAAAGTTCATTTTAAACTTGGAATTGGCCGGGGGCCGTGGCTCACGCCTGTGATCCCACCACTTTGGCAGGCCGAGGTGGGCAGATCATGAGGTCAGGAGATTGAGACCAGCCTGGCCAAGATGGGGAAACCCTGTCTCTCTACCCTGACAGCTTCATCTGCTTCCTACAAATGGGCTCAGTTCTATTTACAATATCCTTCCTCAGCTGTCTACCCTTAGTTTTTAGTTCTTTTTTGAATTTTTTTTAGTCCCCACTATGCCTTAGAAAAGTTTCCAGTTCTAAATTATGTATAATCCATAGTCACAAAGGAGAGAAAAACTTAGCTTCTGTTTACCTTCTATATTCTTTATTCAACAAGTTATTGGAAATTTGCTCACTTTAGGCATGATGATAGGAGGTCCCATAAAGCCAAGACTGAGTACAATTACGTTTCTCTATGTGGCACCATGAGCAAGTAGACATTGAATAAATATTTCAACATATTTAAAGCCTTTTTAAAATGTGCCTAGTTTTGCTTTCTTATATTTGTAAAGGTTAGAAAACTGTGAGAGCTTAATCTACGTTCAAGTGTGAGAGCCTCTTACCCTTTTTCAGCTTCCGGACAGCCAACATACAATGACTAGGTGAGAGATCCCATATTCTTAAGGTTTTATCATCGCTTACAGTAGCACAGATGGGCAGATAAGGGTGTGTAGCTAAACCCCACACCTCTCCTTCCATGTGTCCCTATAAAGAAAACATAGGATCAATTTAGTGTATGTGTGTGTATATTTATACACAGTTTTATTTAGAATAAAGCTAAAGATACCATTCAATAATATATGATAATAGGATACCGAATAGTGAGTAAATCTATCAAAACTTTTCTGTTTATCTTTGGGAAACACAATAAAATACCTCTGTAACAACTTTAGCTCCACAATTACCATATAATCAAGCTACAATTAAAGTTAGCTTATAATCCTAAAACTTTCTCTGGGTGGAGAGAATAGGAATTGGCTGCTCTGCAATGTTAATAATTGCCACACAGGAGGTACTTTCCTGCATGAGAGAGTGAGGAGCTCCACAGACCTGCTCACCAGTGAAACTAGTAAAAATCAATTAAAAAAAAAAAACGCAAGCATTTAAAGTCTCTGAAAATAGTTCCAAGGAGATGCAACAAAGGAAGGAACATTTACTCAAGAAAATCTGTTAAAATTTGTTAAGAACAGTGAGAGTCTACGGTATTTAAACTGAGATCCACTCCCTTCCTCCCTCCTCATCTGGTTGGAAACTCCGAGACTGATGCAACCAAGAACACTAGGCTCTCTCTCCCCCCAGCTCGCGGTCAGAGCACTATCTTTCCAGGTAGGGCAGGATGTCAGCATTTCTCACCCTGCCCTCAGCCTCCTGTTGCTGAGGCTAAATTCTTGTTGAGCTCAGCTGACAGGTGGGAGATAACTTCTGCCCAGCCCCTCCTCCAGATGGAGGCTCTACTTTGGATGTGGTGCCTCTGAGAATAATGGGGTCCTGGGGTAACCCAGGAAAAGCTGAGACTACTGTCCCCTCTCCCCTTACCAAGTACTCAGGGCCTAAAGCCTGAGATACTCAAAGATAAGGATTCCATTGACCTCACTCTCAACTCCAGAGCCCTGGTTCAGAGATTCTGCCTGGAGGGAGAGGCAATCCAGAAATCCAGATAGCTCCTAATCTCTTCTCAAAGGAACTGACTTCATTTACAGCAGAGTGTGAAAAAGCTCATGCATAAGTACGTCTCAAAAACAGTGAAAATTGTTTTGAAAATTTCTTAACTATTCTTGAATATTTTTTCTTCTATATGGTTTTTAATATCTTTCCAGAATTTGTAAAAAATCTAATAAAAAGTAATTGGGAGGAGACTGGTAGGCTAACTGGAAATATAGGCTAAACCGTAGGCCAGCTAGTTTGTCCAAGAGAACCAGTAAACTCGCAGAGATAGCTGGGAGGAGCCTGCCTGGAGTCAGAAACAAACCTCAAACACTAATCTAGGGAAGTATCCCTTTAAAGGAGCCTGAATTTGATTGGTTTAGCCTGTGGCACAATTTATACCCAAGGAAAATGTTGAAAACAATAGAGCAATATGCTACCAATTAAAGGAGTTTAACAGTTGGGTGTGGTCAGGGAAAGAGACAAAGATGAGGGAACCCTTCCTGAATTATGTTATACAGCCATTATTACCCTGATATCAAAGCCAGACAAAGATATCACAAGAAAACTAAATACCAATATCTCTTATAAATACTGATGCTAAAATCCTCAACAAAATACTGGCAAACCAAATCCAATACACATAAAACATTACATATCACAACCAAGTGGGATTTATCCCAGGAATGCAAGATTGACAACATCAAAAATCAACTAATACACTATATCAACAGAATTAAAAATGAAAAACACATGATCAGCTTAATAGACATAGAAAAAGCATTTGATGAAAATGCTCCACAAATTTGGAATAAAAGGGTAGTAACTCCTCAACTTAAACTTAGTAAGGAGCATCTACGAAAAACCCACAGTTAACCTTATACTCAATGGTGGAAGACTAGATGCTTTCACTCTAAGATCAGGAACAAGACAAGGATGTTCTGTTCTCACCACTTACATTTAACAATGTACTGGAGGTTCTAGTCAAGACTATTGGACAAGAAAAAGAAATAGCAGGCATCCAGATTGGACAAGAAGAAGTAAAACTATGTGTATTTACAGATGACATAATGTTGTACACAGAAAACCCTAAATAATCCATTATAAAACTATCAGAACTAATAAATGAGGACGGCAAGTTTACAGGTTATAGGGTTAATGTACAAAATCTACTGCATTTTGATACACTAGAAATGAACAATATGCAATCAAAATTAAGAAAACAGTTGTATTTATAACAGCATCAAAAATAATGGAAGTTAAAAACTCGGCTCACTGCAAGCTCCGCCTCCCGGGTTCACGCCATTCTCCTGCCTCAGCCTCCCAAGTAGCTGGGACTACAGGCGCCCGCCACTACGCCCGGCTAATTTTTTGTATTCTTAGTAGAGACGGGGTTTCACCGTTTTAGCCGGGATGGTCTCGATCTCCTGACCTCGTGATCCGCCCGCCTCGGCCTCCCAAAGTGCTGGGATTACAGGCGTGAGCCACCGCGCCCGGCCTGTTTTATTATTTACATCTTTTCACTGATATTTAATTTTCAGTAATGAAATTTTAGCATACATTTTTATTTTTTCTTAGAAACTTAAGAATGGCCTAATGAAGAGTTTCAGAGAAAAATAATTGCCTTAGGCTCAACAAATATACCTTATATAAATAAAATTAAAAACAGACTGGGTTAAATTAATTACAGCTGGTTTTTCTTTTCATGGGTCCTTTATTTTCTGATAAGAAATTACTCAAAATATTGGCAATTATTCCATAGAAGAATATGTATATTTACTGACACCCAATCATTTCATTATAACCAAATTAAAATTTTTTCTGTATACATTAACAGAAAAAAACAAATTTTTTCTGTATACATTAATTTTTTCTGTATACGTTAAAATTTTTTTCTGTATACATTAAATTTTTTTTCTGTATACATTAACAAATATTTCCCTAATTTAACATTATTTTTCATCACTGTCAACTTTTGGCTCTTATATATTGAAATAATCAATTGTATGTAAAGAAAAAAAAACAAATTAGCATTTAAAATTACCTGAACCAGAAGTGTTATTGGGCCACTTTTATCCACTTCTAGTATTTCACCATTCTTTGTGCCAACTAAAATATGACCATGTCCTAATGATATGGCACGTATAGATGGATTATCTTCCAAGAGAAGACCTGAAATGTTAAATGAAGATGTTCTTTTAGACATACAGTTACTATAATACAACAGTGTATATATTGCCAATTAAGCTATTTTGACAGTGAAAATCACATTACAAGGTTTTCTCCTGTATTTTAAGTATTCTAATAAATGTACTATATTAACCTCAATCATTCAATTTAGTAATCTCTAAATAAGTACCACCTATGTCTTATAAGTCTATGATTCTATTCTCACATTCCCTCCTACCATTCCAACAGCTATTTGTTTACCTCTTCTTATATTAGCCCTTCCTTATCCATCTCCTGCCCCTCTTATTTACAATATTCTTATTAGTAATTTTAATTCAATTCAAGATATATAGTCAGCCCTCAGTATCCTTGGGGGATTGATTCCAGGACAACCACAGATACCAAAGTCTATGGATGCTCAAGTCCCTCATATAAAATGGTGTAGTATTTGCATATAACCCACATACATCATTCCATATATTTTTTTTTTCAGTAGGGTGGGGTTGTGCCATTTTGCCCAGACTGATCTCAAACTCCTGGGCTCAGGAGTTCCACCCACCTGGGCCTCCCAAAGTGTTGGGATTACAGATGTGGGCCACCACAGCCGGCCCCCATGTGCTTTAAATAACTTTTAGATTGCTTATATCTAGTAGAATGTAAATGCTATGTAAATAGCTGTTATACTGTATTTTTAATTTATATTATTTTTATTGTTCTATTGTTACTTTTTATTTTTCTCTAGCATATTTTCTATTTGCAGTTGGTTGAATCTGAGGATATGGAACCCACAGATACAGAGGGCCAACTATATTTATTTATGTCTACTTGTCCTAGGGAGGCTTCAGCAACATATTAGTAAAGATGATAGACTCAACTCATACCCTTACAGAGCATACAGTGAGGAAAACAGACCCTGTGTTAGGGGCATATTGAAATGGGAGCACAGAGCAGTGGAATCTAACTTTTTTGAGAGGAGATGAGGGTGGGGGAAATCATCCTAGAAAAAATCAGGTTTGATATTTGAAAAATAAGTATGTTGTCAAGTAACTGGAGGGGGCAGGAAGGAAGAGGAAGGACATGTTTTAGGAAAAAGTAAAAACAGGTAGAAAGGCCCAGAAGTCAGAGAGAGTGTGGTGCTATGCCTTAAAGGAAGAAATGCACTCAAAGACGAGTTAACGGGTGCAGCACACCAACATGGCACATGTATACATATGTAACAAACCTGCACATTGTGCACATGTACCCTAGAACTCAAGGTATAATAATAATAATAACAATAATAATAATAATAAAGAAAATGCACCCTCTGGGCCCACAGCCCGGAGGATGGTCGGCGGACAGGGAGTTGGGCCTGATGCTGCCCTTGCACCCTTCCTCCTCTTCAAAAAAAAAAAGGTAGGCCAAGCACAGTGGCTCATGCCTGTAATTTCAGTGCTTCGGGAGGCCAAGTTTAGAGGATCATTTGAGTTTGAGACCAGCCTGGACAACATAGAGGGACCCTGGCTGCACAAAAATTTGAAAATTTGCTGAGTATGGTGGCAGGCGCCTTTAGTCCCAACTACTCAGGAGGCTGAGGCAGGAGGACCACTTGAGTCTAGGGGTTCAAGGTTTCAGTGAGTTATGATTGCACCACTGCACTCCAGCCTGGGCAGCACAGCAGGACCCTGTCTCTTAAATAAATCAACAAACAAATGGCAAAGGGAAAAAAGGCCTGTGAGGCTACAGAAACAGGGTCAACAAAATGCCAAGGTGAAACAAAATATCAAAGTTGCACACAAGTTCCTGACTGGTGATAAATGTGATGTTCACATGGAAATTTTCTTTGGAAAATTAATGTTAAAATTAGGATTCATAATCTTGTATTTCACTAATATTTTACCATGTGTATCATAGAAAATAGACTTTTGAAAAGATGGCAATGATTCTGGTATCCAGTTAAGTGATTTCTTCCACTTAATTCTGATGCCCAACAAGACGGAAAAATACATGCCATGTGTTCCACCTCAGTGATCACACACATTAATGAGCAATTAATCTTTTTTTCCTATACAAAAACCCCACTAAGTCTCAAATCACCTTTAGATCCTGGGGCCAATGCAGCTCTTTTTATAGCATAGGTCTTGAGACATCTTTCAAAAGAGTCATCCCAAAGAGCTACTATACCATCTTTTCCTCCAGTTACAAACCCCTATGGAAAAAAAAAGGTTCAAGTTAATAAAGATCTAAATATTTTTTAAAATAGTAACCTTTTTCCTTATATTGAAAACTTCTAGAAAAAAGAACATAGTCAAAAGTTACAGCTTGTAAAGAACAGGAATTAGCTTAAGAATCCATTGTGTTTTTAAACCGTCTACATGGAATCTGCAACAATATTTACAGTGACCCTAAACATTTTACTTTTAGATAGGGCTTTAGAAACACAGTTTCTAAAATCTGTAACTATAAGTTAGATCACCACTCTCAGAAAGTTACATATATCCTCTTGGAGTCTACATAATAACCTCATCCTTAAAAAGAGAAAACAAAAATGGTAACTACCTGATGGATATGGTGATTATATATAAACAGCCGATTTTTGACACATAGTATGAGCTTAAGAACATGAAGTTAAACTTTAAAAAAAAACAAAAAAAACACAAAACAACAACAGCAGACCTGGCTGGCACCATGGCTCATGCCTGTAACACAATACTTTGACGGCTGAGGTGGGAGAATAGCTTAAGCCCAGGAGTTGGAGACTACCCTGGGCAACATAATCTCTACCAAAAAAATTTTTAAAAATTAGATGGGTGTGGGTGGCACTTGCCTGTAGTCACAGCTACTCAAGAGGCTGAGGCAGGAGGATTTCTTGAGCCCAGGAGCTGGAGGCTGCAGTGAGCTATGACCACACCACTGCGCTCCAGCTTGGGTGACAGAGTGAGACACTATCTCAAAACAAAACACTGCAGACCTATTTCATTCTGTGTTCGGGAGTTTGAAAAGAGAAACAAAGAAAGGTCAAGATGACCCTAGCCCACAGACTACTGCTGGATAGTCCAGGCAAGTAGAAAGGCAGTGTTCCTTTACTTCTTAAAATGCTCTACACTCCAGGACAAATTTTGTTTAATTTAAAATCTCTTTAGGTTACTTACTTTTTCCAATGCATGCATACTGAACACTGGCCCATCATGCGCTTTCACTGTTTTTACAAGAAAGATGTCTCTCCAGATACACACATCTCCTGTGGATGTTCCAGAAAAAGCCATCTCTTCAGTCCATCCATACACTGCACACATCATTGTGTCATTTTTCCCCAGTGTGCCTATGTAGCCTTTTCTTCCAATCAATCCTCCCCCTAGTTCACAAAAAATATTATGAAAGTACCACTTTCAAAATGTACTCAATTATAAAGAAGCAAAGTTTCTTTTCTACTGTTGTTGTTGTTGTTTGAATAGTAAGGCATGCAACAGTAAGGAGAATTGAAAACTACAGGTGTCTCAATCAGTGATGTGGGTAACACCTTGCATAACTGCATTTAGACCATAACTTTTTAGATAAACAAAGACCTGGACTAAGTCTGTTTTAATCAGCCCTTAGCACTTTTGATGATGTTTTTTAAAGTTTTTATTATGACATATTTAAGAATACAAAAAGGCATTTAAAAACCCCAATACAATGAATGCCTATATATCCGCTGACCTACAAAAAGATCCCAAAGTAACTGAAATGTCATGCCAACCTCATCTCCCTTCTTCACGCTTTAGTATTGTGAATGTGATACTGATTATTCTCATGCATTCCTTTACATATAAATATTTGTGAATTTTTAAGCAATCTCATTTTTCATGTTTTAAATTTTTCTATAAATATCATCCTGTATGTATTCTTTGCAACTTGCTTTATTCACCAATGATTTGTTATAGAGTTTTTTACATGTTAGAAAACTCACTTTCATAACCACATAGCATTCCATTATATAACTATACCATGGCTTATCCATTTTCCTATTAATGGAGATTTAAGTTACTTCCAAGTTTTTGCTATTAAAAGCAATGCTGCTTTAAACATTCTTGTAAAGGCCTCTTCTATACAAGTGCAAGAGTTTCTCTAGGAATGCCTGGGAGTAGTAATAGGGTAATGTGCAAAAGGCATATCATATAGATCAGAGAGGTATCAGCTCTTGCCAAACTGTTTTCCGAAGTTTATATACCAATGTACACTCCTACGAACAGTGAAAAGAATTCCTTGTTTCTCACCTTTGGGAACAGTTTGTGTTGTCACACTAGGGAATACGAAATACCAACTGAATTTTATTGTAGTTTAAATTTGCATTTCTGTGAATATTATGCTAGATCACATTTTCATATTTTTACTGGCCATCATTACCTATTGATATCTCTTGCCCATTTTTCCCAATTGGACTCACAAATTCCTTCCTTCCTTCCTTCCTTCATTCAAGAAATATATTAGCTGGGTATGGTGGTGTACGCCTGTGGTCCCAGCCACTTGAGAGGCTGAGGCAGGAGGCTAGCTTGAGCCTGAGAGGCAGAGGTTGCAGTGAGCCATGATTGTGCCAGTACGCTCCAGCCTGCGTGACAGAGCAAAACCCTGTCTCCAAACAAAAAGAGAGAGAGAGAAAGAAAGAAAAAAGAAATATACATGCCAGGCACTATTCAATGTACCAGGCATAGACTTATGAACAGAACAGGCAAGACAACAAAATTCCCTAGAGCTTCATGGTGAGAGACAGTCAATAAATGTAACAAGTAAAATATACTGTGCTAGATGATGATGGGTGCTTTGGAGAAAATAGAAGCATAAAAAGGAGACAGGAAGTGGGAGGAGTCCACTTTAAGTAGGGTGGTTAAGGTAAGCCTCATCAAGAAGGTGTATCTAAATGAAGACTTGAAGGAGGTAGCAAGAGCAAGCCATGCTAGAAGAGTGTTCCAGGCAGAGGGAGCAGCAAGTGCAAAGGCCCCGATACAACAACATGACTGAAATCACTAAGTAACATCCAGGGAGACAAGTATGGAGCAGCAAAGAAGGGGAGACAGTAATGGGAAATGGGGTTGGAGAGGTCTAAGGCAGTACTGCAGGCCATTGTAAGGACGGCCTACTTTTGCTTTACATGAGATGCAAAACATTTGAATAGTGAAATGACAAGATCTGGCAATTGATTTATTAAGAGGTTCATTCTGACTTCTGGATTGAGAATAGATACAAGGGAGGTCAAGGATGAAAGGAGTTAGAAGGCTATTTCAATCATCTGGGCAAATGGTAAATGTGGCAGACCAAAGTGATATCATAGAAGATGACGAAAAGTGGTTAGATTCCAAATGTATTCAGAAGACTGTCTTTTCTCAACATAGAAGGCAGAGTCATTAGTGACCTTGTAAGAGCAGCTGGGTGGAGTGGTGAGGTGAAAAAAACTAGATTAGACTTTTCTAAAGAGAAAGAGAACATAAACTGCAAATTGAAAGTAGGAACAACTGTTTAGAGGTGGTTTAGCATAGAAGATGACAAATTGATCAGCAACTGGAGAATAAAGTTGAAAGAGGGTTTTGTGTCACTTATTTAAGATGGCGAAATCACATCACACTTTTATGCTGAAGGGAAAGTCAGTAGAGAGGAACATTGATGATACAGTAGAGAAAGGGTAGAAGAGTTAGAGTGATGTCCTTGAGTAGATGAGAGAAAGAATCTAGTGCACAAATGGAAGAACTGGCCTTTATTAGAGGGCAAACTATCTTCTAGAGCAGGGTGGGGAAACAACAGGCTGAATGCCAAATCCTGCCACTACCTGTTTTTGTACAATGTCCACTAGAGCAGGTTAGCACTCTGAGCTGCAGAGACCAAGTCTGTTTACTTCTCTGCACCCAGGGTCTGCCTCCCTGGTTTGTGGCTGTAACTAGCATCTGCCCAGAGTCTGGGCTGGTCCCCACCTACAAGCTAGAGACTCTGCTAATGGCAACTGCTGGGTATCTGGCAGTGGAATCTCAGTCTAGTAGTTGCCCCATTTCTGGTCAGCTGCCCAAATTCAGAAGGTTGGGCTCTCCAGGAACAGAAGGACACACTAGGATCTATGTGTCACTGGGGTAGTGAAGCTCACTACAGTTTCACTCCCAACCAAAACCTGCCAGACCCATTCCCTGGCAGACAGAATGTCTAATGGCAACTGGGTGCAAACAGGGTAAGCAGGGCAGGACAGTTTTCTCTCTTGTTCTATAATTACCTACATAATACCCTTGATTTTGTCCTTTGGCCTAGAAAGCCTAAAATATTTACTATCTGGCCATTTATGGAAAAAGTTTGCCACCTTTGGTTCAGAGCATTGACAGCTGGGTTTTCTTGATGATACACACAGCATAACATGTTCCTGTTACATGAGGTCATATAATCAGCTCACATTATTATTGCATCAAAAACTTTCAGAGGCTCCCCATCCCTCTGTCCCTACCATGAATAGAGTTCAAATCCCTTAGGGGAGAGATTAATAAATCATAACTTGAAATTCTCAAAGCCTAGATCTGGAATGGGAGGCAAGAAGCCCCATGTTAACCTCAAGCCTAAGTCATCTCCTTCAACCTAGTTTACCTAAAACTATGCATTTAGAGGGTTAAACAATAGTTAGGTTAAGTAAGTGGATACTTATTTCCCAAGTGGTTAATGAACTCTGTGGATCAGAACCCCAAAAGTAAGGAAGGTTGAAATGCTCACCAAAGCCTTAACATTCATCCTTTTATGCTTCACTTTCAGGTCTACTATACGTCTAATCAAACTTAAGAAAGAAAGTTATTCATTTGGAAGTATTTTCACTGCAAGAATATTTGCTTTCTTGAAATCTTATTTCAAACAAATTCATAGTTCTTTTCCAAGACAGAAATACTGAGTAAAATCGGCCTTCCATGTTCTCAGGTTTTGCATCTGTGGATTTAATAAAATGTGGATTGAAAATATTCCTTTTAAAAAGGATGGGCTGGGCACGGTGGCTCATGTCTGTAATCCCAGCACTTTGGGAGGCCAAGGCGGGTTGATCACCTGGAGTCAGGGAGTTCGAGACCAGCCTGGCCAACATGGTGAAACCCCATCTCTGCTAAAAAATACAAAAATCAGCTGGGTGTGGTGGCGGGCACCTGTAATCCCAGTTACTCAGGAGGCTGAGGCAGGAGAATCACTTGAACCCAGGAGGTGGAGGTTGTAGTGAGCCGAGATCACAACATTGCACTCCAGCCTGGGCAACAGAGCGAGACTCTGTTTCAAAAAGAAAAAAAGGATGGTTGCTCTGTACTGAATACATACAGACTTTTTTTCCTTGTCATTATTCCCTAAACAACAGTACAACAAACTATTTACATAGCATTTACATTATATTAGGTATTATCGGTAGTCTAGAAATGACTGAAAATATACAGGAGGATGTGCATAAATTATATGCAAATACTATACCATTTTATACAAGGGACTTGTGCAGCATGGATTTGGGTATCCTTGGGGAATCCTGGAACCAATCCCTGATATTTTCTGATGCCATGAGGTACAACTGTAGTATATGCTGCGAATTTGCAATTACAAGTGACTAAGGTGCCCAAATGAAGTTTGTTTAAGCATGTGGAAACAAAATTACAAATGTAAAAATACTTCTTTTTACTTTGTAAACGCATATGCTGTTATCTGATGAGTTTTTGATAAAGTGTTAAATCCAAGACTGAAAATTAATTCATGTCCCATGTAATTTACAACTTGAAAGTTACTTGAACTTGGGAAATGTCTTCACTAAGTTTATTCTTTTCTAATAATGTTTTACTTCTTCCTATATTTACATATTTTCTCTGAACAGTTTCAATTTATTGAGATTTTGATGTCACATTGATGGAATTTATAAGTATACTATTTAGAAAACAGACATTTTTTATTTTATAGTTACAAATGACTAAAGTATCATTTGTACTATAAATGATACACTTTTGTATCATTTAATAGCATATGAGTAATTTTTTTTAATTTTCATTTTCAGTTTAGACTATAGAACATGTCTTTAACAGAAGAAAAAGTCTGGACATAATTTGATTAATCTCATATATTGAATTCTTTTGCAAGTATGAATACTACTGTATTAGTCTGTTCTCACACTGTTCATAAAGACATACCCAGGACTGGGTAATCTATAAGGAACGAGGTTTAATTGATTCACAGTTCCACATGGCTGGGGAGCCTCACAATCATGGCTGAAGGTGAATGAGGAGCAAAGTCACGTCTTACATGGTGACAGGCAAAATTGCTTATGCAGGGGAACTCCCATTTATAAAACCATCAGATCTCATGAGACGTATTCACTTCCACAAGAACAGTATGGCGAACCGCCCCCATGATTCAATTATCTCTACCTGGCCCTGCCCTTGACACATAGGGATTATTACAAGTGAAGGTGAGATTTGGGTGGGGACACAGTCAAACCATATCAACTACATAAATGCAGCCAATAAATGGCAATAAATCTTGTATTTGTTTAAAATGCATCAATACAACAGTAAATTACTTTTAAAAAATAAACTAATTTTAGATAATTTTAGATTTCCAGAAAAGATGCAAAAGTGTTACAGAGTATTATTCTCTTATACACTTCAGTTTCTACTAATGTTAACATCTTTTTTTTTTTTTTTTTTTTTTTTTCGAGACAAGTTCTTGCTCTGTTGCCCAGGCTGCAGTGCAGTGGGAGATCACAGCTCACTGCAGCCTTAACCTCCTGGGCTCAAGTGATCCTTCCACCTTATCGTCCCAAGAAGCTGGGACCACAGGTACACACCACCATGCCCAGCTAATTTTTTTTTTTTTTTTGTAGAGACAGGGTCTCACTATGCTGCCCAGGCTGCTCTTGAACACCTAGGCTCAAGTGATCCTCCCACCTTGGCCTCCCAAAGTGCTGGGATTATAGGCATGAGTCACTGTGCCCAGCCAATGTTGACATCTTATATTACCATAGACCATTTGTTGAAACTAAGAAACCAACATATTTGATACATTATTATTAAATGAACTCAAGACTTCATTCAGATTTCATCAGTTTTTCTCCTAGTGTTCCTGCTCTATTCCAGGATGCAGTCTAGGGTACACACTGCACTTAGCTAAATTACTTTCAAAAGCAATAATTTCTTAAAATTCTATGGAGTAAAAAAGAAGCACTTTCTTACCTGCTTTACGCCAAAATTTCATGTGTTTAATTCCAGCTGTAATTAGTTTATCAGGCACATAGGGGTTCATCTTTACAACAAAAATCTTATCTTTACTTCCTCTGAAATAAACATCGAAATGTTTTAGCTCTGAAGATTCATCATTCCTGTATTAATCTCTTGCCTAATCCATACCCTATCTTGATTACTCTATTTACGAATATTTTACTCCCACTTATCTCTCAGGTTTGGGCTGTGTATTTGTTCTTTTGTCATCATTTTAATATGGTAACTCTGCTCAAGAGAATCTCAAGAGACAGAAATGGTCAAAACTGAACTCCTTTTGGACAGCATCTATAATACCTACTATAGTACTGTGCCATAGGGAATGCTATTTGTGGCATGAATGGGTTAAAGTCAATTTTAAAACAATACTTTGTTATAGCTTAAGATAGCCTTTCCAACTACAAAATTCCTCTTAAACTATTGTTAATTTGAGCATTATCTATATGCTCCATAAAAAGCATTTATCTATATATTTAAAGTGCTTTAACATCGCTTTAATAAATAGCAGGTTAAAATCTCTGACACTGTTGACTAGTTCCTCCTTTAAAGCATTGTTAATATTACTATAAAAAATACATGCTCACTGTAGAAAACTTAGAAAATGAAGAAAAATATAAGAAAATAAAAACCTATAACTTCTTTGTGACATATATGCATATATATCTTTTTTCACTTTAATATATAATATAAGCATTTGAACATGGTCTCCAACAGCTATATAATAGCCTATCATACAGTAGAACACATTCTAACTGTACGTGGAGATTTTAGATAGTTATATCCAATGCCATATTATAGTTATATTTAAAAGTGGGTTCACAAGGGATAAATCTACAAAGAAATTCTGAAATCATTTACTATGATTATATTATTTATTCAATGGTAATAAACATGGAAGCAATAAAAAGTTACATATTTGCTTGATTTCAAAATTCTTTTAATTAAAAATTTTTTTAAGTCCAAAGTAATTCTAGTATTTTGCAAATGTGATATCAAGTTTTTTTCCTACCTTGCTATTGAAAGTTTCTCTCCTTTCTTCCAGTCCCAGAGCACAACAGTATGGCTATCATCTATGCCAACTGATGCCAAACGTTTCCCATCCGCTGTGGAAAATTAATGAGAGAGATAAACTGACTATTAACATTCAGAAGAGAGAAAACATTCAGTATATATTCTAAACCCACATCCTATATTTAAAATTTGATAAAATAATGTTAAATGTTAGGCATGCATACACCTATAAAAAGAACCAGAATTTATAAGGGAGGGAGAATAAAAGTTTCTCAAATCCTCTAAATGTATCTGCTCTCATCGCACCTGATCTCCTTTTCCCTTATCTATCCATCAGGTTGGGATGGGAGGAGGGAGATAAGAAAAATGGAAAAAAGAGATTTAAAAAATAGAAGGAAAGGGAAAACTAACAAAGGGATGAAGAAAATATTTAATTAAATTCATCATAAGAAATTTACTGTAATATAAGAACTTTGAGTAATTATGAAAAGTTAATCAAATGAAAAACACGTAAGTTACAACAACATGCTGCCACTAATATGACTACTTTTAGTAAAGGTCAATCATTCAAGCAATACATAATGAATATATTAGACAAATCACTGCGACAAATGATCAGTGAATATCCTATGGGTGTGCATGTTTACAGGCTGTAAAGGCTCAGACCACAAGAAAATATTTTCCATTTTACCACACTTTGCAAGTCTCAATTAGTTCCTCACTGCTCCAGTGGTATTTTTCGTGGTGACTCACTTAGCTTGCAATTCATTTTCTAGTTTCTTAACTGTTAGCAACTCTTTGAATATATATATATATATATATATTTCCCTCTGAACTCTACTATGGATAATTTATCACTTCAGTCAGAGCAGCAAAAGCATTAATTCACTGTTTCTTAATATAGAATTCTCTATTAATGTATTTCCTCCCTCTTCCCAATTCACACCCTAGCTTTCACCGTAGATCTATCTGTAGTGGTCAAACTTTTAAACAAACAGAAAAGCGCTAATATGATCTGAAATTATTTTTACAAGACAGTTTAAAATTGTCACTGTATAAATATGTCTAAAATAAGTATTTCAATTCTCAACTCTTTCTTTGCTAGCCTTTTACCCTAAACATTTTCAAAGTTTACTCTGGCTATAAAACGGTAAGTGAGATCAGTGCCCTCCCAGCGTGGGAGATGCAAACCACCTGTGGTAACTGAGATGAATTTAGGTTGTTACGTAGATAAACATTTTTATGTTAACAGAAACATGTAAATTTTAATAAGTATTAAAACTATACTCATTAAGTTATAATTATAAACTAGCTAGCAAATCCACACTTTCATAGTATTTGATAAGGATAACAGTATACACATTTGATAAAAACTGTGAATGTCACAGCTAAATGACAAGCTTAGGTAACACTGACTTAGATTAAAATGCTATGTGTTGCCTCTGCATTTTGTTAATTCTTACTGAGACAGCAAACAGCCTTACCTGAGAAATCAACGGCACTAACACCATACTGGTGGTGGCCCTTTAATATGGACAATGGTTTAATGGTCTCTGTATCCCATATATGAATTGAGGGATCTCTACCAACCTAAAATAGAATTATAGAAGCTATTAAATACAATTAAATTATTTATTTCCATATCTACTAAAAGGAAATAAAACAAGAGATTTTTACAGCTTGACTTATTTACCACAGAAATTTATTAAATAAAAATTTAAAGCAAACTATATAAGTGACTGATATTTTTTTCTTATGCTTGTTCAAAAGCTAATGAGGCTAGGCTCAGTGTTTCCAGGAATGATGTAACTAACACTATGTGACTTTTATCATATATTTCATCAATAAAGATGATAAATGCTTACTGAATATCTATTGTTTGTATGCTAGATACAACGAGCAATAAGACATTCAGGTAACTTTTGCAAACTCACTGGAAAAACAGGACATTATCAATGAAAGACAAACACCTCTTAATAGATGCTTAATGAACATGAAAAGGCTGTGCAGAATGAGTCCATAGAAGAGAAGGTACTGGAGGTGGGCCTTCAGAAAGCACAGAACTTGAATATAAAGAATTCTAGACTAAAATAATGGGGTAAACAAATATTCAGAGGGGGTTAAAGTACCAAGCATGTCTATAGACCTGAAAAGGCAAATCTACTGCAGCACTCTGTCACTTATTTTTTAACTTGGTTTATGATGTTCACTAATGCACAGGTAAACTATCAATTCTTAATTATTCCTCTAGACTCAAGTAATCACTTTCTTTAACCATAAGCATAAAGAGATATAATATCTTTGTATATAGAGACAACTCCTGAAATAATTAATAGAGCTGTCAATTATAGTTAATTTTGAGACTGATTTATTTATTTTTTATTTTTTTTGAGATGGAGTTTCACTCTTGTTGCCCAGGCTGGAGTGCAATGGCGCTATCTCGGCTCACCGCAACCTCCACCTCCTGGGTTCAGGTGATTCTCTTACCTCAGCCTCCCAAGTAGCTGGGATTACAGGCATGTGCCACCACACCCAGCTAATTTTTTGTATTTTTAGTAGACACAGGGTTTCTCCATGTTGGTCAGGCTGGTCTCAAACTCCCGACCTCAGGTGATCTGCCTGCCTCGGCCTCCCAAAGTGCTGGGATTACAGGTGTGAGCTACCGCACCTGGCCGAGATTGATTTTATAAAAAGATATAACAAATAACACTGCAATCAGCCAATATTTCACTAAGTTATTCAGCCAAACATTACCAGTAACTTTTTAGAAAATTTTTAACATTTTTTGTGGGTACACAGTAGTACCAGTAACTTTTAAGTTTTCTTTTTATATAAAAACTTCTACAGAATTTGATGCTTTTGATGATTTTACTGTACTACTCTCTTCTGGTTCTCCAGTTTCCTTTTTTTTTTTTTTTTTTGAGACAAGGTTTCACTCCTGTTGCCCTGCTGAAGTGAAATGGCATGATGTTGGCTCACTGCGACCTCCGCCTCCCAGGCTCAAGTGATCCTCCTTGTCTCAACTTCCCAAGTAGCTGGGACTACAGGCATGCACCACCATGCCCGGCTAATTTTTGTATTTTTTGTAAAGATGGGGTTTCACTACGTGTCCAGGCTGGTCTTGAACTCCTGGGCTCAAGTGATCTGCCGCCTCAGTTTTCGAAAGTGCTAGGATTACAGGCATGAGCCACGGCGCCCAGCTTCCTTGACTCCTACTACTGAGTTTCCTTCTCAATTTCCTCACCTGTTACTTAAATACAAACCTCTCCCAAGGTGGTCTTTAATTCTCCAGTCTTCTCATTCTTCATTTTTGCCCTGAGGTATCTCACTTCTATAGTTTCAGTGGTTAAATCAATAAATACCTCCCAAGTCCTTCTCTCGAGCAGTTACTTTTCCTCTGAATCCAAGACTTACATTTTCAATTGTCTACTGGACATCTCACCTGGAAATTATGATGATGACTAACACTCACTGAGAAGTAATTTATGTGCCAGAAACTGTTCTAAGCACCTTACGAACATTGACTCATGTACCAATCACAACAACTCTACGAGATGGGAACAGATAACATCCTTATTTTAAAGGATGAAGAAACGAAGGTAAAGAGAGGTTAGGTAATTTGCCAGTAGCGAATAAGTGGAAAGGCTTGGATTTCAATATCACATTCCATGAGGTATAGACAGTATTTAGTATAATATTGAGTACTATTAAAGTACACTTAGGGCATCTCACTCAGGGATGAAGGGGAGAAGGGAGAGGTTGGGAGAGTTCTCAGATAGGCTTAGCCTAAGTCTTAAAAGGAGCAGAAATTAGATAAAGTTGGAAGGTTGAATAGAAGTGGAGGGGAAGAGTTTTCCAAGACGAAGGAACTAAGTAAAAGATGTGAAATAGCATTATACGTGTTGGACAAATTCTATCTATCTCAGAAGGCAAAAAAATAGTTTACAAAGAGGCAAATAGAAAGAGATAAAAAGGGGAGTTGGAGAGTCAGACTTGGTTAAATGCCTTGAATTGCATTGGGAGTCAACTTCCAACTCTGCATTAATGTTATGCCTTGAATTGCATTTAACCAAGTCTGACTCTCCAACCTCCCCTTTTTATCTCTTATCATTTATAGCTTGTGGCTATTTAGACAGCTGTTTAGACAGCCTACAGGCTATTAACACTAATAAATATGAAAGAATTTTAAGACTTTTAGAAAGATTACTAGTGAATGGGAAAAATGGATAGAGGAAAAAAGCAGAAGACCAATGGCTATAGTAATGTTTTAGAAATTGTGAAGCATTGATTGTCAGTAGAGATATGGAAAAATTAAAGATGAAAAGAATATTGAAGATAAAGAATAAATATATATTCAGGTGAAAGAATGGGTGCTACTTGAGGACTGACTAGCTTTAGGGGTGAAGAACAAGATTAACTTCCAGGCTTAGGCAACCAAGTTAATACACTGCTATGTTCTAAGAAGGAAACACGAAACGATGAACAGGTTTGGAAGGGAAGATTAATCCTATTTATCTCCATTTTAGATATGTTGAATCTGAGTTGCCCACAAGACATCTAAATCAGTGTATTTTTAGTGAATTATATCTATATATACACACACACATATATACACACACACATACATATACACACAGAATAATTTGTCCAATTCTTATACTACATTGTGAGCTCCCGATAGTGGCAGCCAGTCTGAGTTATCTCTGTGTTTCCCCACAACATTTAATGCTTTTGAATAGGAAGCACTCAACAAGTATTTGCTGAATTAAACAAAATTTCCAAATTATAGTACAATTAGTCATGTTATTCGACTTTCCAGGTAAGTTTCTTTCACATTCTTTCATTTCCACTTAAGATCACAGTTACTGACAAGAGGTTATTCTTTGTATTTAATTCTCCAAAAGACAAAACTCTCTAGATTTTTCATCTAAATTTCTTTTTTTTTAAATTGTTTTATTTGGGAAAAGTGCTTCTTACAAAAGGGAAGCTGCAAAATACAGAGACCTCTGCAACAATTATTTGTTTTTTTTTCTTAAAGTGAAAGAATGGGTGGGATCCAAGGAATCAAAACAGTAGATGGACAAACCAGGAGCATCCCTGAGTTATTTTCAGGAAACAAAGCATCAAAACACAAAGGAAAAATTTCCAATCAAGGAATTCTTCCAACGACTTAACTTTATCTAGTCTCAGGGATTCCCAAGCCCTCCCCTTCAGTGGAAAAGCATGACTTATTACTGCAAACCCATTACTCCACTACAACAAGCACCTTAGAACAGAGTTTTTAATCACATCTGTCTACCTGAAAACTCAGAGGTGGAATGAGGCAAATACCCACAAAAACAAACACAAAAACCTGACAACAAAATGTCCCAAATGAGGACAAACGTTTCTCAGAAAGTGCCTGTACCGGAAAGGTTAGATCGTAAACCATTAAATACAACTGTGCATCCAAGACCCAGTTTGTGTTAATATATAGGATAACCAGGTAGTTTTAACCTCTACCTACCCTCCTGATTAGTTCCTCAACTAATGTCCATAATGCATTCTAAGATTTGAACACTGTGAGTTACTCATAGTTCTTTAAATAAGCTGGGTTTTTTTTTGCCCTACTTTTACAGATGCTGTAATACACTTAGAATGCTTTCCCCCAACTTCCCCTCTGCCAGGTAAACAACTCAGCTCAAATGTCATCATCTCTATGAGGGTTTCTTCGATTCTACTGGGCAAAATTAATCATTAGTTCTTCATTACATTGCTACCAGGCTTTGTACATATTTCTACATTTAAAAACAGGGTGATTTTGCCTTCCAAGGGACATCTGGGTACTGTCTGGAGACATTTTAGGTTGCCACAACTCAGGGAAGTGGGTGTTCCTGGCTTCTAATGGGTTGAGACCAGGGATGCTGCTAAATATCCTACAATGCATAGGTCAGCCTCCCACAACAAATAATTACCTGCCCCGAAACATCAATAGTGCTAAGGTATTGTCATAAATATAGATCAGAGAAGCTTCTCTGCTCTATACTTAGGACACTGTATCACAACTCAGAATGTGAGTTTTCACCATGACAAGAAGTTGTCTTATTTATCTTTATATTCCTAGCACATTTCTTGGTACATAGAATGTGCTTGATGAATGTTTTTGAGTGAATGAAAGAAAGGAAGAAGGAGAGGGAAAGGAAGGAGAGAAAGAGCAAGTAAGGAGAGGCACAAAGAAAGGAAGAAAAAGGAAGAAGAATGGGAGAAAGAAAAAAGGGAGGAGTTTTCTCTCCTTTCAGGAAAGCTATATAGGAGGATGCAAGTTGATCCCTTTTCCACATATCCTAGCTAGAAGGTATATTTACACAGTGTTTAAAGCCAGACAGACTGAAGGCTTTAGGCTTTACTACCTATTAACTGATTGATCTTAAGCAAATTATTTAATTTCTCCAAACCTAAACCTCATCATTTGTAGACTGAAGGAAATAATTTTACTCTCACATGGTTGAGGTGAGAATAAAATAAATATACATTAATAAACTAGTAAAGTACTTACACAAAGGAAGAATCTATAAACATCATTTCTTCCCTTCCTTCTCTAAGAATATCCATATAGAGAGGTATCAGTTAAGATTTTCTCAGGGTTTTTTATTTCAATATTTGTGCTTTCTACTTTGGTAAACCTGAATAGATTACTATCATGGTTGTAAAATAAAGAGACATAGTCCTTTGGTTTGTCACAGGACATTTGTTAAATAATTTACATTTGTTTTAGGTAACTCAACCTAAAGACACCAGATTTCTAGTCTTTATGTTTTCTCTAATTTTACTAATTTAAAAAATTAATATCATGACAGAAATAAAACAAGCCAGAGCTATGAGTTCCAAATTTAAATTAAAATAATATGAATTAAAATAATAAAAACTCTAAAACTGTAGGAAAAAAGTTTGGGGTAAATTTTATTTATAATCTGAAAATAAAACTCATTCTAAAGAATTCTTTACTCTTCATATCCTAGAACATAAAAGAGATATGTGATTAATTTATTTAAACTCAAACAAAGGTGTAGCTTATCTGGCTTATTGTCAGTCTTTCAAACCTACCTGGCCTGTTGCCACGTAGTCTTTCAAAGGATGAATAGTTAGGCAGAGAATATCATCATCATGACCCAGATAAAAACGCTGTGTGTTTTGCTGTCGATTATAAATGACACCCACTGCTGCCACATGGTACACAATTTCACCAATTTGAGTATAAAACAGATTACTTCGACAGTCATAACCTCTGTAACTAATATAGAAAACAAATCATATATAATTAATTTTGGCCTTTTATCTGATCAATACAGAATATACAGGGGAGAAGTAGGTACCCTTTGGGTGAATCATTCAATTTCCAGTTTTACAGGATACTAAACAATTTTTTTTCAAGAGATGGGGTCTCGCTCTGTCACTCAGGCTGAAGTGCAGTGGTGTGACTGCAGTTCCCTGCAATTTTGACCACCTAGGCTCAAACGATCCTCCCACCTCAGCCCTCCAAGTAGCTGGGACTACTGCTGTGCGCCACCATGCCTGGCTAATTTTTGTATTTTTCATAGAGATGGGGTTTTGCCATGTTGCCCAGGCTGGTCTCAAACTCCGGAGCTCTACCCACCTTGGCCTCCCAAAGTGCTGGGATTACAGGTGTAAGCCACCATGCCCAGCCTGAACAATTAAAAAAATACCACCATCTCAGATCCAATAAACTTTTATGAACTGCTCGGACTGCAAATAGCTAAATCTAAGCTATAATACTGAGTGAAAAAAACAAGGTAGAAAATAGTATGTATAGTATACTACCATTTACATAAGTATAATATTAAAATTGTATACTATAAAACAAAAACAATTGCTTTTTATAAGTAAAAGGTATAGAAAAGTATATTTGTATTTGTTGTATAAGTATTTCTGAAACTAAGTAACAGTAACTATCTGCAGAGAGGGGAAATGATGGCTGGGAGGGCAGAGGTGGGAGAA
The DNA here is from genome assembly GCF_000001405.40 of Homo sapiens. NCBI lineage: Eukaryota > Metazoa > Chordata > Mammalia > Primates > Hominidae > Homo > Homo sapiens. Next base: position 88,703,358 of record NC_000014.9, read on the forward strand.
AGATTTTCAAACTGTACCCTTTTATACACATTGTTGGACCATGAGAATACAACGTATATTCCAAAAATAAGTTTAAACTACAATTTTAAAATATTATCCTCATCCAAGACAAAGTAGTCAAATCTTAAAATGGTCAATATAAGTCTATTTATAGCAACCTTGGTTTGCACTTCAAAGAAACCCAATTCATAAAATACAACTGCATAGAAACTACTGCCATTTTAACACTAGAGAAAAAATACTTGTACTAATTAAATCCTTTTTCAAATTCTTGATAAGTATTATCAGTCAGGTAAGAAAACGAATGCTGGGTGAATGGTAGAAAAGAGTCAGATTGGAAAATCTGTTTCTGCCAAGCTGAAATGTGAGACCCGTATTGCCAGATGTTCTAAGAGAATCCAGAACCCGTATTTTGGTGAAATTAAAATATTTAGGCAAAAATGCTCATGCAAGAAGAAGTCACAATATCATTCCAAATTAGACATATTGAGGGGAGATGATTATCTCTTACATTTTACTTAATTGTTTAAAGAGGCCCATTTCCATACATATGAAACTTTCATAAGACAAATTTATTTTTTATTTAATAAACACTTACATAGTGCTTATTATGTGCCACATAATGTTGTAAGTCACCACTAGCATTGCCTTATTCACTCCTCATCAGAACCTTGTAAGGTAGGTACTTGATATGATTCGGATATTTGTGCTGTCCAAATCCCATGCTGAAATGTGATCCCCAGTGTGGGATATTAGGCCTGGTGGGAAGTGTTTGGGTCATGGGGGCTGATCCCTCATGAATGGCTTGGTGCCATCCCCTTGGTGATGAGTGAGTTCTCTCTTGATTAGTTCATACAAGATCTGATTGCTTAAAGAGTCCAGAAACCCCCTTCCCTTTCGATCCCTTTTTCCTTGCTCTCTCTCTTGCTAGGTAACACACCTGCTCCCCCTTTGCCTTCTGCCATGAGTAAAAGCTTCTTGAGGCTTCACCAGAAGCTGAGCAGATGCTGGTGCCCTGCTTGTACAGCCTGCAGAACACTGAGCCAAATAAACCTCTTTTCCTTATAAATTATCCAGCTTCAGGTATTCCTTTATAGCAATGTGAAATGGACTAACACAGTACTATTATCTCCATTTTACAGACAGAAAAAAAGAGACACAGAGAGGTTAAGTGACTTGTTTAAAGTCACAAAGCACACATATCATTAATATATTACACACAATGTAATGTATTACTCTAAGTCAAATATGCCCAGTTGTCCCAACAATGTCCTTTATAATCATCTTAAAAATCCAGATATTTTAAAAAATATCTTTCAATTTGGTTTTGTCTAATGTCTCCTCATGATTAGATTCAGGTGATGTGTTTTCCCCATGGGCAATGTTGTATCCTTTCGGATATGTCATTTCAGGGGATACAGTCAGTTCTATCATTAGAGATGTTAAGCTAGTAAGTGTGAACCAAAATTCAAACAAATAAATGAAAGATAGTTGTTTTATACCCGTGAACAAAGTGTAATCGAATACTATTTCCTGGAGCCCGCTCTCTTCTTTTAGAAGTAGCACTTTTTTGTTTCTCTTTGCACTGTTCTTTAAGCTGAGGTAGATCTTCTTTGTAAACCTTTAAAAATGTATACAAGTAGAAATATTCTTAGAATATATACTAATAAAGGTGTTCGTATACTCCCAATATAACTTTCAGACATTGTCTGAAAACAACAGCTTTAATAGTAGTCTTAAATGAAAAGTTAATTCATGAAATTTACTCCCTCGGAAAGAACAAACAAATTCACATTTTCTACATATCACACTGACAAATAGATACATAGTGTTCCAGGAAATTTTTATACTTCATAAAAGAATATTGTTAAAGGAATAAATGTGAGTATACTATGACAAAATCCTATAGGCAAATAGAAGGCAAGCATACTTAATATACCAAGCATTTAATATAAAAAAAATTTTACACAAGTGTACTCTAACACTGACAGTGGGAAAACTAATATAGTCATACATTGCTTGAGAAATTAAAGCCACAAAAGATAACAACAGATGACTAACGGGGAGCAAGATAAAGAAGAAATTAGACTTTTTAGAGAAAAACCATGTGATATGGAAAATTACCTGTCGACGGTAGGTGAGCTGTGTCTCTTGTTCAATTTCAGAATCCAGTTCTGGAACATCAGACAGATCTGAATCTGATTCATCACTATGAGAGTCAGCCAGACTTTCTGTAATTTTTAAAAATGAAATGTTACTTGTTTAAAGAAGATTCATTTTCAAAACAGCACTGAAAAATTAATGATTAAGAGCTATGTCAGTTGACATGGAGACAAGCCATAAAACAATCAAATGAAATTACCTATTCAAGTGACACAGATGTCAGTAAACTGTACTACAGATTATCTTCCTCTCCACTCACTGCAAACTCAATAGCTCCTTTAAATCCCTTCACTGGCTCCCCAATGACCGCTACATCAAATTTAAATGTCTGTGCAAATATAAGTGAATATAACCTATAATTAACATGAAAAATAGCTAAAAATACTATATGCAACAGATGAATTGACATTAGATAATTTTTGTCAATAAAAGCATTTACAAAATCTAGATACCCATCTCTCAGAGGATATATTAAATGTTTGTTTTGCTATTAATATAACTGTTTCTTCACTCATTATTTGATAGATTAAAACGCAATCAAAATTACTTTGTATTTCACACTCTGTGACATCTAACTTTAAACATATAGAACTAATATTTTAACTTGAAATTTCTACTAATAACAAACTACACTGTTAACTTATGAGGCCAGATTATACTTTAATATAAAATTGTTATTTGGGGGTTACTGAAGAATTATTTGACAGGGAAACTGTTTAGCTAATGCATACTACTCACCTTGGGGTGCTATGTGAACAGCATCTTTCAGTTTTCTTTCAGGAATAAATTTCCACTGAAAGACAGAGTGATCTGCTCCACCAATAGAAATAACCCACTGATAATCATGTGACCATCTGACATTAGTTACGTGAGCTGAATGGCCAATATATTTTCTAAACTTGGCCCCTATAATAAAAATATATCTTTAAATTGATAAACAAATGCTAAACAAAATACCATTTCAAACAATTTTTATATATGAACCACTGTATCATCCTTCTATCTGAATTATAAACAAATGGGAAAAATGCTGACTCAAAAATTGAACAAATGAATGAATCTGTATCAAGGAATGCAAATATCTCCTCTGCTGATTCACAAGGAACCACAAAGGCTGTGAGGCATTATCTTACCACTTTGAGAAAAACCTGGGGATCAACTGTTTTTATATTAAAACATTTGAATGTTTTGGCCTGAGGCCTTTGGGCTTAAGTGAAATTCAAAGGACTAATCAACTAGACCTTACCCCCATTATTCTCAACCCAAGCAGCCAGAGGATCCTTTTAAGACTTAAGTCATCAAGAAAATATTAGCAAAATGAATTCAGCAACATATAAAAAGGATTACACAACATAATCAAATGAGATTTATGCCAGGAATGCAAGTTTGGTTCGACATTAAAAAGTCAATCAATGTAATGCATCATATTAATCAAAGTCAAATATGCCCAGTTGTTCCAACAATGTCCTTTATAATCATTTTAAAAATCCAGATATTTAAAAAAAATCTTTCAATTTGGGTTTTGTCTAATGCCTCCTCATGATTAGATTCAGGTGATGTGTTTTGGGTAAGGGCAATGTTGTATCCTTTTGGATATGTCATTTCAGGGGATATGGTCAGTTCTATCATTAGAGATGTTAAGCTGCATCATTTGGCTATGGTGGTATACACCCAATTTCTCCAATAATAAAGGAATCATTTAACTTTGTGGTTAATTTTCTTAAAAATCTATGTGATAATAGGGATATATTTTATTTATTTATTTATTTATTTATTTATTTATTTATGGCAGAGACAGGGTCTTGCTATGTTGCCCAGGCTGGTCTCGAACTCCTGGGCTCAAGCAATCCTCCTGCCTTAGCCTCCCAAAGTGTCAGGATTACAGGCATGAGCCACCACATCTGACAGGAATATATTTTTAGAATATATTCTCTATCTCCTCCTCCTGGTATGTGGCATTATACAGATATTCTTATTAAAATACACAGGATACAATGATGCTTAGCTTCCTTTTGATATTGTTTTAAACACTTTATATTAAGTTATAGAAGACTTGTATATCAGGATGTCAAAGCCCCATCAACGAAATTCTGGAGAAAAACTTTCATCTTAGTCATTAATTTAAGATAACTATCATCATTAATGCATGAGATAGAATCAAAACTCATCTAAAGTTATAATTTACTGCTGCTTAATAGTAATACTGTTATTTTAGGAATAAATTTTTTATGTAGCTTAATATAAGTCACTAATTTAACTTCGCATAGTTCAGCCCAGCAAAGTCCTATGAGGTAAGGGCTCTTATATAGGAATGCATTACTTGCCTGTCAAGAGGGCTTTGGCTACTACTACTACCTTTGATGCAACCCTTAAGCACTCTTAGACATCAGAGAGTCTGAAAAGTTAAAGCCAGAAATTCTAACAAATAAAATTCCAAGTTCTAAGATCTACTAATTTGTTATGTTAGGACAATTAAAGAGTTATCTCAGCATCTGATCTGCCTATACCGAGTGATAGAGAGAGGTACAAATAATCCTGTAAGTCCCTTCCAAACTTTTCTTTGAGACTTCTCAAAGACCCTCTTGGATAAACCAAGGCAGCTAAACAAGAAAGTTGTAAAATAAGTCTAAGAGAAACCAGTATTTTTAGTCAATGGGACTGTATTAATTTTTTAATAACCAGTTTAATTTTTAATAACTTGTTCTGATAAATGGGTATCTTAAAAGTGAACCTAGATATCATATCTTTCATGAAATGACTTTGACTCACCAAGACCAAGTTACATGCTTCCAGAATTCTCTGTGATTACCCCTTGTGATTATATTTATATAACACTGAAATGTAATAGTCTATTTACTTGTTAACTCCTCCAATAAAACTATAAGCTCTTTAAAGACAGCAGTGGTGTCTTGTTTAATATATATCTCTGGTGCCTGGTATATAGCAAACACTCATTAGATATTTGAAGAAAGAGAAAAAGAAAGGAAAAGCAAAGATTATATTTCCTTTTGCTCTGCTTGGACTTTTGAGTTGGAATGCTAGACTGTAATGTAGGAAAGAGTAGTAAAGGAAACTGAGAGGGCATGAACATGATTCCAACCCCTATAATGCACAGAAGAGGGCAAAAGTTTGATGTGCCTTAAAGAATATTAGAATTGAAATCAAAAGACTAGTGCTTGAGCATCATTTAATAGCACGGAAGTCTGAGCATTCCACCAAACCTCTTTTGGACTCCATTTTCTCAGTTTTAAATGTAAATTGGATTATATGCTCACAAGGTACCTTTTGATTATGAAAACTATGATAAAAAATGATTCAGTAATAAGAATAGTTAAGGCCTAAACAGTGTATCATCAATTAGTACAAATATCTCAGAGAAAAAATTTATCAAGACAAACTATAATGATCATAGAAGCTTCCTAATTTAAAAGAGGATGAAAATTCTTGGTAAGGATAAAGAAATATACTAAAATATTTGTGTTTCAATGATTCCATTTCTTTTATAATGTGTTTTAATGTGTATTTTCACACAAGGGTAATATGATCTAAATATTTTCAATATATGGTATCAATATGACAAAAGATTTTTTTCCATTTAACTATGTTTTAATGATATTAAACTTCTAGATATGGGAATAATAAATATATGAAAATATCTTTCTGACCCTAGTAAAAGTAAGAATTTCTTAATATACAAAACTACACTACCTATAAGAAAAGAAAGAGAAATAGACTTGACTACACTGAAATTAAGAACTGGCCAAGAAAACACATCATTAAGAAAATAAAAAGGCAAGCCAAAAACTGGGAAAAGATATTTGCAAACTATAAAAATTACAAAGCATTTGTATTATTAGAGTATATAAAGTAATTCTTAAAGATCAATAAAAGAAATAACCCAACAGAAAATAGGAAAGAGATATGAACCCATGTTTGACAGAGGAGAAAACACAGAAGACCAAAACATATTTTAAAAGATGGTTAACCTCATTTGTAGTCAGACAAATGGAAATTAAGACCTCAATGTGACATCATTTACACCAACTGGGTTTGCAAAAGTTAGAAAGTATAGCAATATCAAGTGCTGAATCAATAGGCTTTGTAAAACTGGATAACCACTTTGGAAAATATTTAGGTATTTTCTTATAACGTTCACATTCTCCATGACCCAGAAATTTCACTCCTAGTTATTTCACTCCTTTGAGAAACCTGCATTTAATATCAAAAGATGGGAAATGACCCAAATGTCCAATGACAGGAGAATAAATGCATGAATTGCAGCATATACTTACAACACAATATTTTGCAGCAGTGAAAAAAAGGCATTAAAGCTACACGCAACAATATGGAAAACAGCACTGAATCAGTCCCCGTTATAAATTTTTCTTTGTTAGATATTTGGTTTTTCCTATGAATTTCCTGGAATCTAAATGATATTTTCTCCAAATATAAATTTTCATTTGTCAACAAGAAGTACAGAGGGGGTCTTGGCCATTATTAACAGTGATGGAGGTGATGGGCTAACGTAACTCTGCCCTCACCTCTCCATTCTCCCTGACCCTGACCTGCTCACTGTCCACCACAGCCCCTATGCTGCTGCCTAGGAAGAGTCCTGGATTCTTTCAGAGAGATTATGGTCAAGAGCAGGTGAAACTAGAGAAAAAGAGGATGATAATGAAGAAAAAAATATGAAGAGGGGTGGAATGCTTTGGGCTGAAATTAAAGTGCAGTATGTAGGGTATATGTGGTTCATATGATCATTCTCTCTTTGAGCTAACTTCGTATATTTTTTGTTTCAATTACAATGATTCTATAACATAAACTACTTCTATTATTTAAAGTCCACATTTTGTAAATGCTGCACTTCTAAGAAGTCACCTAATGAATATTACCTGAGTGGATATCTAAAATATATTAATACACCAGCTACATTTTTCTAAGTTGGACTAGCAATGCAACTTAATAATTAATCTAAAAGAAAGAGTATATTTCTAGTAATACTGCCAACTTCAAGGTATGTAATTATGTGAATTCAATTAATACATAATCTTTTTTGGCCTAAGTGGTCTGCAAAACATAAAATCTTAAAATACTTATATTAATCCATTAAAAATGCAGTAGTCGTATTCTGTCTTTCCCACTTACCTAGCTACAATCTCAAGCTGACTCACAAGTGCCTAGAAATAGAAATCATCCTTACTAGAAAATAAATTACTAACAAAAAAGCTAACAAATGGGAAACAAAAAAGAGAAGCAATTTATACTTATGTCCTTGAAGGAGTGAATAATCTCTTAGACAAGACTAATTTTCTTAGGCTTTGGTAAAATATTCACACAGCAGTTCAAAGAACTACTACACATTTTATAAATGAAATAAAATTATTGTGCAATAATATCGACTTCTCTCTTGCAAATGATAAAAATAATCAATAAATCCTATTCACTTGACTAAGAAAACTAAGAAGATTAAAGCATTTTTGTTTTTGCATAGAGGTCAGTATGTGAAACAGTAAGTAGGAGCAACGTCTAAGAGGAAGATCATCATGACTACTACTGAATCTCACACTTCATAACCAGGCAAGTATCATCTTAAAATTTGTTGTGCATGGTGACTCTCATGTCCTGGCTATGTGGTGGGACTCAGAAATAGGGTACTTTAATTGTTAGATATTTAGCCAGTCTTTTGATATGGTTTGGCTCTGTGTCCCCACCTAAATCTCATCTCGAATTGTAATCCTCATGTGTTGAAGGAGAGACCTGGTGGGAGGTGATCGAATCATGGGGGCAGTTTCCCCCATGCTGTTTTCGTGACAGTGAGTGAGTTCTCACGAGATCTGATGGTTTAAAAGTGTTCAGCAGTTCAGCATGGCTGGGGAGGCCTCAGGAAACTTACAATCATGGCAGAAGGTGAAGGGGAAGCAAGGCACCCTCTTCACAGGGTGGCATGAAGGAGAAGTCCATGAGATCACAGGAAAAACTACCATTTATAAAACCATTGGATCTCGTGAGAATTCACTCACTATCACAACAGCAGCATAGAGGAAACTGCCCCCATAATCCAATCACTTCTCACCAGGTTCCTCCCTTAACACCTGGAGATTACAATTCAAAATGAGATTTGGCTGGGGACACAAAGCTAAACCATATCAGACCCTGCTCATGCCTGTAATCCTAGTACTCTGGGAGGCTGACGTGGGGAGATCACCTGAGGTGAGGACTTTAAGACACAGCCTGGCCAACATGGTGAAACCCTGTCTCTACTAAAAATACAAAAATTAGCTGGGAATGGTGGCACATGCCTGTAATCCCAGTTACCTGGGAAGCTGAGGCAGGAGGGTTGATGGAACCCAAGAGGTGGAGGCTGCAGTGAGCAGAGATCACCACTGCACTCCAGCCTGGGCAACAGAGTGAGACCCTGTCTCAAAAAAAAAAAAAAAATACAACCATCATTGTACAGTCTGACTCTATGAAAGAATTCACGAAGTGAAAAGAAAAACGTTTCTTTGAAAAGAAAGAGATATAGTGCATTCATAACAACATATGAATTCAAAAAGAATTTTCTAATAAAACTTCATGACCAAAATAAATGCAGCATATGACAATAATTTTTGAATTAGAAAAATGAAACCCTTCACCAATCAGTGTAATTTTAAAAAATATGAAATCCTTTATCTCAAGACTAATTTTCTGCAAGAACACGAAAGTCTTCTGTGAGAGAGAGGTTACTTAATATTTTGAAAGAAAAGGTACCTTTTCTTAAACATGGATATCGGAATAATTTTATAATTCCATAGTCATCAGCTGTAACTAAAACTTGGCCAATATAATTTCCATCTACTGAATTTATATCGTTGATATCTGAATACTTGGGCCAAATTCCATTTACTTCAAGGCCTGAAACACATGTCCATGAAGCCCAATGAACACCTTTTATTTCTTCTGTACTTGTCACTTCCTTTCCTCCTAAAAATAAATCAGAGTCTTAATTTAAAAAGTTATTTCATTTGATTTTCTCAAGCCTAAACTGTACTGAGAACATAGTAAATTCCAAAATTTAATGTATCTTCCCACCCCACTTAGAGGAAAATACATAAATAGGTAGATAAGTTTGGGTTAAGAGAAAAGAAAACTAAATGCAAGAAATTTATAAAAAGCTACTACAGAAATTATACTGATTCAGAGACACACATTGCCTTGAATGATTAGCTTAGCAGGTTCAATTATGTGGAGAATAAAACTGAATCTTATTTAAAAAATGATACAGATTAGTCATAACAGGGTAAGTTATAAAAAAGGTAAAAGCTATGAGAAAGTGGCAAATCAGGTATTAAAAAAGAAGCCTAAGATACATAGTTGAGGAAAAAGAGAGAACTGGAAAAGACCAAGAAGAAAGGATGAGTGTAGGATAATATATTTACATTAGGTAAGAGGACTTTAGGACCCGGTCAGTCTTCATTACATATAGACTGTTAATGAAAAACTTTTGGGGAGATGCATTAATTGAATTATGCAGCTAATTTTATATAATAGGTTATTGGAAGATAGTGACTAATTCCCTAAGCGTCACAACAAATAAAGTACTATGCAGTGGCTGGGTGCAGTGGCTCACACCTGTAATCCCAGCACTTTGGGAGGCCGAGACAGGCAGATCACTGAAGGTCAGGAGTTCAAGACCAGCCTGGCCAATATGGTAAAACTCCATCTCTACTAAAAATACAAAAATTAGCTGGGCATGGTGGTGGGCACCTGTAATCTCAGCTACTCGGGAGGCTGAGGTAGGAGAATCACCTGAACCTGGGAGGCAGAGGCTGTAGTGAGCTAAGAACATGCCACTACACTCCAACCTGGGCAACAGAGCGAAACTCCGTCTCAAAAAAAAAAAATACTAATAGGTAATATTTTGATGATTCTGCTTTTATTCCATCCATTCATGCACTCACTCACTTGTTAATTTATTTACTTATTTGTTTAGTTAGAGCCACGATCTTGCTCTTTCACCCAGGCTGGAGTTCACTGGCACGATCTTGGCTCCCAGCAGCCTTGAACTCCCAGCTCAAATGATCCTCCCACTGCAGGTGCATGCCACCACAACCTGCTCATTTTTTTTTTTTTTTTTGGTAGACATGTGGTCTCACCATGTTCCCTGGCTGTTCTCAAACTCCTGGGCTCAAGAGATCCTTCCACTTTGGCCTCCCAAAGTGCTGGGATTACAGGCGTGAGGCACTGCACATAGCCTATTCCTCTCTTTTAAAATCTTTGGTTGCAATTCTGTTTTTCAAAGTTAGTTAGTTATATTATTAATATTTGCAAAGTTTATTTGTTTTTTTTTTTTTTTTGAGACAGCCTCTTAATCTGTGGCATAGTTGGAATGCAGTGGCAACATAACGGCTCACTGCAGCCTTATCCTCCCAAGCTCAAATGACCCTCCCATCCCGACCTCCCGAATAGCTGGGACCACAGGTGCATACCACCATGCCTGGCTAGTTTTTGTATTTTTAGTAAAGGCAGGGTTTCGCCATGTTGCCCAGGCTGGTCTCAAACTCCTGGGCTCAAGCTGTCGGTCCACTGTGGCCTCCCAAAGTGCTGGGATTACAGGCGTGAGCCACTATGCCCAGCCTGCAAAGTTTATTTGAGATAAACACAAAAAAAATGTATTGGTCACACACTTCTAGTAATTATATTCACTTAATTAGTTCCACCCATAAAAATGGCATTTTTGACTAAGATACAGTGGTACTTTACCATACACTATACTCATGGTATGGTATTCAATAAAAAGAGAATCTGTTTTAGATCCTCCAGCCAAAGCAGTTTTAATTAAGAACCAAAGGATTTATAGTAGTAGTTGCCAGGGACTGGGAGAGGTAGAGGTTGGTGGGGGCCGGGGTGGATATAAGGAGATATAAGTTTCAGTTATACAGGATGAATAAATTCAGAAGATCTAATATACAGCTTGTTGAGTACAGTTAATAATGCTGTTACTGTATGATATACCTGAAATTTGCTAAGAGAGTGGAACTTAAATGTTCTCACCACACACACACAAAAATGGTAACTGTGAAGTGGCAGATACATCATTTAGCTTGATTGTGGAAATGGTTTCACAATGTATCTATCAAAACATTACATTGTAAATTTTCAATATATACAATTTTTAATGTCAATTATACCTCAATAGAGTTGAGAAAAAACCCAAAAGGATTTCAATATAAGGCAGCCTTATTGTATTATATTGTAGAATTATTGTAGAATACAATAATATATTGTATTATATTGTAGAAAAGTCTACAATGCCTGAAATATTAGCTCAGATCTTCTTTGATTTCCTATGATCAAATGTAACTTACACTCTGCTTCCAGTAAAACTCTAAAATATTGTATAGGTACTACAAATCTATAATTTGCTAGAAATTGTTACCTGGCATTCTATAAAAAAGTCTTTTCCCATTTCCATCATTTGTCTGCAAATATCTACTGTCTGAAGACCAGTCCAGATGAGTGATGAAACTAAGGGATCCCAAACACTCGCCAACTTTTTTATAACGCTGAGCAACTCCATAAATATCAACCGAGCTGTCATTGCATCCAACAGCAAGGTAAGTTCCATCTGGTGAATATTTTAACTCATGAATTGCCTCCTTCCTATCTTTAATATGTACAACTTCCGTCATATCTCTGTTAAAAAGAAAAAAATGAGACTACATGAACAGAAGTCACAACAGAATTAATGCCGTTTCAAACATGTCTAAAATGACCGTGAAGCTGTATCAAGTGTTTATAAACTATAAAGTAAACATAAATAACACAAGTAGTATTAATTCAGCAACAATACGTTGCTGAACAGAAATACATGGAAACAATATATGCCAGATGTACAGGAAAATGCTGAATTTCAGTTTCTAAATTACTTTAAGTACTTCAGAGATCCATACTAAATTTCTGGAGTTAATAAAGAATAAAGGAAATAAAGTAATAGATTTTTATGGTAAAAGAAGTTCTTTGTAAATATGGAGTTTATGAAAAATGTTTAATTTAAACACTATAATTTTCAAACAATTTTTTTTTGTAAGGAGCTAAATGTGCAAAATTACATTTAGGAAATAATAAAGGATGAATTCATCTATATTACTTCAGTAATACTTTTTTTTTTTTTTTGAGACAGAGTCTCGCTCTGTTGCTTAGGCTGGAGTCCAGTGGCATGATCTCGGCTCACTGCAACCTCCACCTCTGGGGATCAAGCGATTCTCACCTCATACCTCAGCCTCCCGAGTAGCTGGGATTACAGGTGCACACCACCATACCCGGCTAATCTTTTTGACGTTTTTAAATAGAACACACATTCCTCCCTTAGGGACCATGTTGACCAGTGAAGTGGAACTTTTTTTCAATGATGACTTCTTATTGAGTATCCAAAATAATACAGATATTAGTAACAACCAAAAGATGGATAAATATGTAGTAAAACACCACGGAGTTTCCAAAGTTGTGGAGTTTGTGGGCAGGAGAAGGAGAAACAGAGGGAGGGAGAAAAGGTAGGGGGAAGTAAAAATTCTTATTTTCAATCAGTGTCAGAGACTTTTCTCCAGAAAAATTTTGCTTTTATTGACTTCTGTTACACATGTGCAAGAATTAATCTTCAGTTGTATTTGAGTCACTATACAGCTGTGGGCCTGTTAATTACAGTACTTACTGATTATGCTAACCAACATAGTACTAGAAATAGAAATAGAAAAATGAGCCCCAAGATAAATCCAAGATTGTATTATTTGAAGCTTCTGTACTTTTTTTTAAAGTTTCCCTGGTCAACATCACTTCTGCCTCTGCAACTTGCAAGGTCCTCTTCCTATGCATAGACTCATACAGCTGCCTCTGCATTTCCCAGGGACTCCTTCAAGTTAACATTAAATCCATATACCGTATTGCCCTTTGCTCCATATCCATCCATCCATCCATTCCTCCCTCCCTATATGGAGTAAGATTTTTAAGAAAAGTCTAAGGCACTATTTGGCAGCTTTTACTTTTTATGCCTCCTTTATTTAAAATTTTATAATTATAATCTTCATGACCTGCATTAAAATGCTTCTGGAAAATTCTTCAGAAGTATTTTGGTATTTTTTATAGCATTTTTGTTTAGAGACTTAATTGCTTCCAATTAAGAAGAGAAGAACGTCTTATGTCCAAGGTTTTCTGTTAACATGTCCACTGCTCACCAACACACACACACACACACACACACACACACACGGTAGAAGGTAACAGAGAGAGATTGTGGTTGACTGATTGGTATTTTAGTATAATATCGCTCCGTCAATATTGTGAATTATATGACCACTCTCTCACATGAAGAGTTTCTCTGACAAATTTAAAGCAAAGACGACAACTATTAGATGAAAATTTGTTAATTTTTTAAAACATTCTGAATTAAGTCTCTGGGAGACTAATATATGATCACTATGGTTTCTTTTAAGAAGCAGAAGGAGGCAAAAGCCTGGGAATACTCATACATGAACAGTTCATAATACATCACAAAGTAAAGGTACAGAGTTGATCAGAGCATACAACCGAAGAATCATTTCTAGCTGAGTGATTCTGGGGAGACATATCAAAGGAAGTGGAGTAGATAGCTATGATGTCTCCATTTTGTTCTGAGGAATGAATGAGATTTAGCTCAGCAGAAGATAGGAAATGGAGGTAAAGGACCTGTTTCAGCAGAGACAACAGTATGTGAAAGAGCTGATGGCAAGAGAAAGTATTCAAGTTCAGCTTGTGACGGCCACTGTAGTTGAATGGACACAAACAAGGGGACTTTGGTGTGAACTCAGTCTGCTGAGGGAGAATCATGAAGTGGGGGCCTCATATGTCTTATTAAGATTTTTGGCCTTAATTTGTGAGGTTAAGCTAGGATAAGATGTACCAGTCAAATCACTGATTTGGTTCCAACGTAAAAAACAAATAAGGCTGGGTGTGGTGGCTCACGCCTGTAATCCCAGCAGTTTGGGAGGCTGAGGCGGGCAGATCACAAGATCAGAGAGAGACCATCCTGGCTAACACGGTGAAACCCCATCTCTACTAAAAATACAAAAAATTAGCCAGGTGTGGTGGCATCCGCCTGTAATCCCAGCTACTCAGGAGGCTGAGGCAGGAAAATCACTTGAACTCGGGAGGCAGAGGTTGCAGTGAGCTGAGATCCTGCCACTGCACTCCAGCCTGGGTGACAGGGCGAGACTCCGTCTCAAAACAACAACAACAACAACAACAACAACAACAAAACAAATTAAAGGAGCATAGTAATAGGATCAAAACCAATTAAAAGGTTACTGCAGATGATGGTTTCTCAGACTTCAGAAAAAAGTGAGCTTCTTTAAAATACAATGTAGTATTATACTCCATACTATTATAGGACGTAATACGTACTATAGGTTAAAGATATAATTCTAATCTTATTCACAAACCTTAATTAAAATGTTCCTAGAAAATTAATTAGGAAAGCAAAATCAACAGGATGTGGTGCTGATGGATTACAGATGGTGGGTTCAGGAGAAAGAGGTATCAAGGAAAACACCTAGGTTTTTGCTTAGGAACATGGATAATGGTGCCATTAACTAGGATACGGCCCATAGACAGATGATCAGTTTGGGAGGGATATCATGAGTTCAGTTTTGGAAATGCTGAGTTGCAGGTGCCTTTGAGACATCCAAGTGATGTTAAATAAGTAACTGGATATGCATAGCTCGAGTTTTGAGATAACAGCTGGAGCTGTGCATCCAGGGTCATTAGGCTATGCGTGGTAACTGACAGCAGAGGCAGAATGAGACTATCTAGGGAGAAAACATAGAGTAAAAAGAAGAGAAAGTCTAGGCCTGAGTTTTGAGGACCTCTAATATTTACTTGCTGGGCAAAAGATAATTAGCCTATGAAGAAAATGGGGCTAGAGAGGTAAGCTGAAAACAGAAAGAGAAGAAACACCTAAAAGCCAAGGGAGAAAGCATTTTGAGAAGCAGCAAGTGGTTAAGAGAATCAAATACTGCTGGAAATTCAAGCTAAATGAGAAGTGAAAAATGTCTCCTAGTTTTAGGGACATAGGGTACAATTAGTCAGTGTTTTTCAACATAAAGCTGAAAGCAGAAGGCATATAGGAATGAGGATAGAGGTTGATAATTAGAAGAAAAGAGAGAATAAAGTTAGACAGTTTTATGAGAAATACTCCTGTGAAAGGGAGGAAAGTAGAAATGTGATGTAAGAGAGAGAGACTTTGGTTTGAGGCATGAAACTTAAGATGGGACACATTGAGCATGTTCTAATAGGGCTCTTTGGTGGGGGTGCAACCAACCATTTCATGTGAAAAAATAATGGACGTACACAAAGAGTTACTTTTTTAAAGCCAGGAGACAACTTTTGGAACTTACTACTCCCAAGACGCAGAGCAGAAAAAATATAAATAATTTGAAGAAAAATTTTAAATGAATGTGTGATTTCTTCAGCAAAAACTGTCACGATCCCTTTTAAAGTTGATAAAATGTGGTAGTAACACTGTCAGAGAGAGACAAGTGGCTAGCCATTGGTAGAATCTAAAATGACAATTTGACTAGGCATGGTGGCTCGTGCCTGTAATCCCAGCACTTTCAGAGGCCAAGGCAGGAGGACTGCTTGATCTCAGGAGTTTGAGATCAACTGGGCAAAATGACAAGACCACATCTCTACAAAAAATTAAAACATTAGCTAGGCATGGTGGCTACTTCCAAGTAGTCACAGCTACTTGGAAGACTGAGATGGGAGGATCGCTTGAGCCCAGGAGTTCGAGGCTGCAGTGAGCTGTGATTGTGCTACTGTACTCCAGCCTGGGCAACAGAGCGAGACCTTGTCTCAATCAATAAATAAAATGACAATTTTATGTATTTACAACTATTAATAGTCTATCCCATACCCTGTGGGAAACCTTACTCCATCTTCAGCATAATTCATTAGCCTTGCTTATCAAGCTCTTCCACTATTATGAAGTCTCTCTCACTATTCATGAGAAGGAATGGGTGCCTCTGAGGAGTTTGCTGTTGATAACACAGTGTAGCTTACTGTAAGTCAAAGTTCCATATGTGTATATATAATTTTCTACTTTAAAATATTTGCAAGTTTTCATATGACTCTATGATATGAGCTTTTTTTTTTTTAAACAGAAAATGGTGGGAAGTGAGGACAGCAAAATGGTGGAAAAGGACTTTCCAATGCTACTCCCCTTGCAGAAATACCAATTTGAATCATCCATGCATAAAAATACCTTCACAAAGGAGATAGACACATGAAAATCCCTCCAAAAAATTAATTAATCTAGGATCTGGTTTTTTGAAAAAATTAATAAAATAAATAGACTGCTAGCTAGACTAATGAAGGAGAAAAGAGGGAAGAATCAAATAGACATAACAACAAATGATAAAGGGGATATCACCATTGACCCCACAGAAATACAAACAACCATCAGAGAATACCATAAACACTTCTATGCATATAAACCAGGAAATCTAAAAGAAATGGATAAATTCCTAGACACATACACCCTCCAAAGACTGAACCAGGAAGAAGCTGAATCCCTAAATAGACCAATAACAAGTTCTAAAATTGAGGCAGTAATAAATAGCCTACCAACCAAAAAAGGCTCATGACCAGATGAATTTATAGCTGAATTCTACCAGAAATACAAAGAGGAGCAGATACCCTTTCTTCTGAAATAGCCCAACAATTGATAAGGAGGGACTCCTCCCTAACTCATTTTATGAGGCCAGCAACATCTTGATACCAAAACCTGGCAGAGAACCAACAAAAAACTTCAGGCCAGTATCCCTGATGAATATCAATGCAAAAATCCTCAGTAAAATACTGGCAAACTGAATCCAGCAGCCCATCAAAAAGCTTATCCACCACAATCAAGGAGGCTTCATCCCCGAGATGCAAGGCTGGTTCAACCAATGCAAATCAATAAACGTAATTCATCACATAAGATCTAAAAACAAAGACCATATGATTATCTTAATAGGTGCAGAAAACGCCTTTGATAAAATTCAGCATCCTTTCATGTTGAAACCTCTCAATAAACTAGATATTGAAGGAACATCCCCCAAAATAATAAGCTGTTTATGACAAACCCACAGCCAATATCATACTGAATGTGCAAAAGCTGGAAACATTGCCCTTGAAAACTGGCACAAGACAAGGATGTCCTCTCTTCACCACTCCTATTTAACACAGTATTGAAGTTCTGGCCAGGGAAATGAGACAAGAAAAAGAAATAAAGCATATTCAAATAGGAAGAGAGGAATTCAGATTGTCTTTATTTGCAGATGACATGATCCTATATCTAGAAAACTCCATCGTCTCAGCCCAAAAGCTTCTTAAGCTGATAAGCAACTCCAGCAAAGTCTCGGGATATAAAATCAATGTGTAAAAGTCACAAGAATTCCTATACACCAACAACAGGCAAGCAGAGAGCTAAATTATGAATGAACTCCCATTCACAATTGCTACAAATAAAATACCTAGGAATACAGCTAATAAGAGAAGTGAAAGACCTCTTTAAGGAGAACTACAAACCACTGCACAAGGAAATAAAAGAGAACACAAATGAAAATATTCCATGCTCCTGGATAGGAAGAATGAGTATCATGAAAATTGCCATCCTGCCCAAAGTAATTTATAGATTCAATGCTATTCCCATTAAACTACCACTGATATTCTTCAAAGAATTAGAAAAAAACTACTTAAGACATCATATGGAACCAAAATAGAGCCCGTACAGCCAAGTCAATCCTAAGCAAAAAGAACAAGGCAGGAAGCATCACGCTACTGAACCTCAAACTATATTACAAGGCTACAGTAACCAAAACAGCATGATGCTGGTATAAAAACAGATGGGTAGACCAATGGAACAGAATAGAGAATTCAGAAATAAGACCACACATCTACAACCATCTGATCTTCAACAAACCTGACAAAAACAAGCAAGGGGGAAAGGATCTCCTATTCAATAAATGGTGCTGGGAAAACTGGCCAGCTATATGCGGAAAACTGAAACTGGACCCCTTCCTTACACCTTATACAAAAATTAACTCAAGAGGGATTAAAGACTTAAATGTAAAACACAAAGTTACAAAAAACCCTAGAAGAAAATCTAGGCAATGCCATTCAGGTCATGGGCATGCGCAAAGATTTCATGAAGAAATCGCTAAAAGCAGCTGCAACAAAACAAAAATTGACAAATGTGATCTAATTAAACTAAAGAGCTTCGGCACAATAAAAGAAACTATCATCAGGGCAAAGAGGCAACCTACAGAGTGGGAAAAAATATTTGCAATCTATCCATCTGACAAAGGTCTGATATCCAGAGTCAACAAGGAACTTAAACAAATTTACAAGAAAAAAACAACCCCATTAAAAAGTGGGCAAAGGACATGAGCGGACACTTTTTGAAAGACAACATTTATGTGGCCAACAAACATATGAAAAAAAGCTCAACATCACTGATTATTAGAAAAATGCAAATCAAAACCACATTGAGGTACCATCTCACGTCAGTCAGAATGACAATTATTAAAAAGTCAATAAACAACAGATGCTGGTGAGGTTGAAGAGAAATAGGAATGCTTTTACACTGTTGGTGGGAATGTGAATTAGTTCAACCATTGTGGAAGATGGTGTGGCGATTCCTCAAAGATCTAGAACCAGAAATACCATTTGTCCCAGCAATCCCATTACTGGGTATATACACAAAGAAATATAAATCATTCTATTACAAAGATGCATGCATGTGTATGTTCACTGCAGCACTATTCACAATAACAAAGACATGGAATCCACCCAAATGCCCATCAATGATAGACTGGATAAAGAAAATGTGGTACATGTATACCTTGGAATACTATGCAGCCATAAAAAGGAAGGAGATCATGTCCTTTGCAGGGACATGGATGGAGCAAGAAGCCATTATCCTCAGCAAACTAATGCAGGAACAGAAAAGCAAACACCACATATTCTCGTTTATAAGTGGGAGCTGAACAATGAGAACTATGGACACAGGGAGAGGAAAAACACACACTGAGGCCTTTGGGGGTGGGGTGAGGGGAGGGGGAGCATTAGGAAAAATAGCTAATGCATACTGAGCTCAAACCATTTATGCCTAGTGCTCCATTACTGGAACGCTAAGCTTGTGGGAATTATTTATATCTTACTGCTCAAGGTCATTGCCAAGGTCTGATTTTTCATAAAAAAAAATTTGCAACCCCTGGCATAAATGGGTTAATACCTAGGTGATGGGTTGATAGGTGCAGCAAACCACCGTGGCACATGTTTACCTACATAACAAACCTGCACATTCTGCACATGTACTTTGTAACTTAAAATAAAAATTAAAATAAAAAAAATGTTCATAAGAGCTAAGAAAACATGGTGAGAGATTATAGAATCTGTATGTAACACAGCAATAAGGAAAGACATATTTGAAGAAGGAGGGAAGGACAGTTTTACATTACTCATGTCACCCCTTCCCTCAAGCCAACCTAAGTGTCCATCAATGTACACATGAATAAAAAAGAGATATACTATTCATTCTTAAAAAGGAAGAAAATTAGCTGGGCACAGGGGCTCATGCCTGTAATCCCAGCACTTTCAGCAGCTGAGGCAGGAGGATTGCTTGAGGCCAGGAGTTTGAGACAAGCCTGGGCAACACAGTGAGGCCCAGGCTCTACAAAAATTTTAAAAAATAATTTTAGAAAAGGAAGAAAATCCTGTCATTTGCTACCACACGGATGAACCTGGTGCACATTATGCTTAGTGAAATAAACCAGGCAGAGAAAGACAGATACTGCATGATCTTGCTTATATGTGGAATCTAAAAAAGTCAAACATAGCAGAGAGTAGATTGGTGGTTAACAGGGATTAGGAGTACAGGTGGGAAATGGGGAGATGTTGGTTAAAGAGTACCAAGTTTCAGTTAGAACGAGTTAGTAAGTTCTGAAGATATACTGTATGGCACAGTGATTAGAGTTAATAATAATGTAGAATATACTTGAAAATTGCTAAGACACATCTTAAATGTTCTCACCCCCTAAAGTGGTTAAGTATGTGAGGTGATGGATATGTTAACTAGCTTGATGTAATCATTTCACAAAGTATATGTATAACCAAAATCTCATGTTGTACGTCGTAAATATATACAGTTTTTATTTGTCAATCATGCCTTAATGAAGCTGGGGGGACACAAAAATAAATTTTTAAAAAGGCAGACTGGTTACAAAATAATTTTAAAATTGTTAACAGTTTTTATTATGAAGAAAAGATAAGTTTTAAGAAGATATTGTGGCTTTACCCTGGCATACCACCTTATATACTAATTTAAGAATCATGATGTGAGATTCTAATTCATTCTATTTTCTTCCAACTCTAACATAACCCCCACTCCTGGTGCAGGTACTTTAATATGTTATGAGCCGGGCACAGTAGCTCACGCCTGTAATCCCAGCACTCTGGGAGGCCGAGGCGGGCAGATCACAGGGTCAGGAGATCAAGACCATCCTGGACAACATGGTGAAACCCCATCTCTACTAAAAATACAAAAAAAAAAAATAGCTTGGCGTGGTGGCACGCACCTATAGTCCCAGCTACTCAGGAGGCTGAGGCAGGAGAATCGCTTGAACCTGGGAGGCGGAGGCTGCAGTGAGCCGAGATTGCGCCACTGTACTCCAGCCTTGTGACAGAGCAAGACTCCATATCAAAAAAAAAAAAAAAAAAAAGTTATGTTCAGTAATGAATCCTGCTTTACCATATGGAGAATACAAAGCAAATCAAGAAGAAATAGTAACCAGATAAATTCAGATGGATTAAGAAGACCATTTTGTGAGTTAGAATTTTGTGGTTCACTTTTAAAGGCATTTAATAATCAGAATAACCCTTTCAATACTATTAGCAATGTTGGATTCAGGTGCTAAAATACAGTCTTATTAGGAATAAAAACTTTTTCATCCAGTCTACTGCATTCAGTAACTGAAAGGGCAAGTAAATGTATAACTAAAAAAAAATCACTACTTTTGAATGTGTATCAGATATGATAGGAATTCTTAGGTGTTTTACATGCATCTTAAATTCTTGTAAAACCTCTATAAGTGAGCACTCCAATTCCAGTACTTCCAATACTTTCAGTTCTTACAGAAAAGAAAAAATGAAGCTGATCATGAATATTAATTATTATTCATAAGTAATGACCAGGTGTTTCTATTTATTATTTCTAACCTGCAAAACTGAAGAGCAGCCTCCAAAGAAATTAAACAACCAATGAGAAAAAGAACAGATGTTTAATCTTAGATGATGATAGTTACAGAGATTCCAGAATCAATAGATCAAATCAGTGCCCAAATTATAACAGTATGGATAGCCCAACAGGGAGGTTTCGTAGTCTTTCATCTCTCTTCAAGAAGCTGTTTCAGCATGACAAAATAAAGTAATATGACATATTTATAGAGCTCTGTGGAAAAAGCTTTAATTTATATTCAAATGTTATATTCATTTTTTTAAAATATGAGGTACCTAGAGTAGTCAAATTATGTCTTTCATAGAGACCCAGAAAGTAGAATGATGGTTATCATGGGCTTAGGAGATGGAAGAATGGGATTATTTTTTACAGGGTACAGAGTTTCCATTTGGGAAGATGAAAAAGTTCTGAAGCTAGAGGGTGGTGATGGTTGCACAACAATGTGAATGTACTTAATGGCACTGAATTTTACATTTAAAAATGGTTGAAATGTGAAGTTTATATATTATATATTTTACCACAATAAAAAATGTTAACTTAAAAACCGGTCTCGGAAAGGGGAGTCAGCACGTGTAGAGGCTCAGAAGTACAAGAAAACATAATGTATCTGTTCATAATGGGGAGATGTTAGTTAAAGAGTACGAAGTTTCAGTTAGAATTAGTGAATAAGTTCTGAACATATACTGTATGGCATGGTGATACAGGAAAGGAGTTTCCTATAGATGAAAGAAACTGGGGTACTGAGAAATAGGCTGGAAAGATGGGCACTACATACCACGTGAAGGATTATGAGCTGCATCCTAAGGACAGTACAAAGCCTTTATCATACTTTAGAAATAAGAAGAAAGCACACAATGTGTTTTAAAAGGAATCACCATCACTGTGGAGTGAAGAAAGGTCTTGAGGGAAACCAAACAGGAGGTAAGAAGATCAGCTAAGAGGCTATTCCACCAATCCAGTTAGTAGATGACAGAAGCCTACACAAGAGTACAATGGTGAGAATAGAAGGAAGGAGATTAATATGAGAGCTATCTCAGAAGTAGACTCTCCAGAACTCTTTAATTAACTACACAGGGGAGGCAAAAGAGAGAACTGTGTTAATAGTTTCTGAATTGAGCAACTGAGCGAAGGATCTTACCGTTCACTGAGGTAGAGAAGAAAGACTTCGTAAGTACTTATCCTGTGGATCTACAGCAAATTTCTTACTGACTGCATAGAATTCAATTGAATTTATCTATCTATAATTCAACACAAAATGTTAACTGCTTTACCAAATTCTTTAAATTTTTCTAATTACTCAAACAAAAGAAGAGATGGAAGCATTTTTTAAAGCATAAGGCTGTAAATAACAACAACAACAACAACAACCCCATTTTAACAGCCTCAGCTTGTTAAACGGAGAGGGATCATTACTGAAAATCTATACTAACAGGAAAAGGTAGTTGGGACCCAAACTTTATAGCTCAAAATTTTAGCCATTAATCTATTAAGCATTCTTAACCCCCCAAACCAAGGCTTCTGAATTTATTTTTCGGACAAAGCTATTTTTATAAATATATTTTTATACTTGATGAAATTAACATCTGAAATATATTAATAAGAAGGGGAAGAGAAAAGGATAAATAGGTAAAAACAACAAGTATTATATATTCTGTATCGCTGAAGAGAAAATTACTTATATTCTGTATCACTGAAGATAAAATTATTATGTGTTTCTACCCTAATACCATACCTTACTCTAAGTACAGTGAATGAGCCATCCTTCATTCCAAGGGCAAGATGGATTCCATCTGCATTGACAGCTGCACAACGAATTGGTTCTTCCATATTACACCTTGCTATTAATGCATGATCTACTAGGCTCCATATCCTGTAAAATTTAATTTAAAAAATAAAAAAGGTTAGCTAATGCATACTTTAGTAAAAATATTTTGGTTAAAATAATCTCATCTTAATTAAGATAAATCTAGATATCTTAACTATCTGTTGTGTGGCAAGAAATTCTTATCTATGAAAATGGGAATTGTTCATGCTTAAATGACAGAAGTTGATAGAATCTTTTGCTTTGAATTTTTTTGGCGACATCACGTCACTCTGTCACTCAGGTTGGAGTGCAGTGGCGTGATCATAGCTTACTATAACCTTGACCCTGTGGGCTCAAGCAATCCTCTAGCCTCAGCCTCATGAGAAGCTGGGACTACAGGAATGTGCCACCCAACCTGGCTATGTTTTGTTGTTGTTGTTGTTGTTGTTGTTTTGGTATCCTTTTAGCACAGTTATAGTGTCACTGCATAATAAACACAATGTTTTGCCATCTAATTGAATAACAGTAAAGTCCATGCTCCACTTTGCCTTAAAAATGTAACACTCAAAGTCCAATTTTATCTTTTTCCTCTTATGTCAACATGATGAGTATGCACTGGTGATAAATAATAATGTCACCATATGGTAATGCACATAGCGGTCAAAATTCTGTCAAGTTGTAAATGTGTCACTGAAATTTGTAATGAGCTGAGGAGCAGTGCAAAGGGATGTGAGTATACCATCTCTTTCCCAACTTCTCAACTCTGCATCTGTAGTGTGATACACTGCATTTTTTTTTTTTTTTTTGAGACGGAGTTTCGTTCCTGTTGTCCAGGCCGGAGTGCAATGGTGTGATCTCGGCTCACTGCAACCTCCGCCTCCCGGGTTCAAGCAATTCTCCTGCCTCAGCCTCCCAAGTAGTTGGGATTACAGGCATGCACCACCACGCCTGTATTTTGTATTTTTAGTAGAGATGGGGTTTCTCCATGTTGGTCAGGCTGGTCTCAAACTCCCAACCTCTGGTGATCCACCCACCTTGGCCTCCCAAAGTGCTGGGATTACAGGTGTGAGCCACCGCACCCAGCCAATACAATGCATTTTTAAACAATGCAGTACATTGATTCTTTCACTTTTAGATAGGTTATTTCTACCCTGACCAAAGGGAGAGAGTGTGTGTGTAGACACACATATGTATATATCCTTATGTACATACAGTCTAGTGTTTAAAACTATCCAAATTCAGAATCTGTTCCAGACCACAATGCTAGAAATCAACAACAAAAAAGATAACTAGAAGATACCCATTGTTTGAAAATTAAGAATTATACTTCCATATAATCTAAAAGACAAAGACAAAGATGAACTCTTAATGATTTGTTACTATTTTGAAGTAAGTTATAAAACTGCTTAAAATCAAAACTTGTGAAATATAGCTGAAACAGTACTTAGGAGGAACTTTTGGGAGCTTTAAATGCATATACAGTTGGCCCTCTGTATCCATGGGTTCTGCAGCTACAGATTCAACCAACCATGGAAGGAAAATGTAGTTAGGCCTATGATAGTTGCATCTGTACTGAACATGTACAGACTTTTTTTTTTTGTCATTATTCCCTAAACAATATAGTATAACAACTATTTACACGGCACTTACACTGTATTAGGTATTATAAGTAATCTAGAGATTTAAAGTACAGTTGACCCTTGAATAATGCACCAGTTAGAAGCACCAATTCCCATGCCATCAAAAAGCCACGTCTAATGTTTAACTCTCCAAAAACTTAACTACTAGTAGCCTACTGTTGACTGGAAGTCTTATCAATAACACAAACAGTTGTTTAACATACACTTTGTGCATTATATGTACTAATACTGTATACCTACAATAAAGTAAGCTAGAGAAAACAATTAAGAAAATCATAAGGAAGAGAAAATATAATTGTTATTCATTAAGTAGAAGTGGATCATCATAAAAGTCTACATCCTCATCATCTTCACATTGTGTAGGCTGAGGAGGAGGAAGAGAAGAGGCTTGTCTTACGATCTCAGGGGTGGCAGAGGTGGAAGAAAATCCACCTATAAGTGGACCCATGCAGTTCAAACCTGTGTTGTTCAAGGAATAACTGTATTTTGGAGGATGTTCAAATTATATATCATTTTATATAATGAACTTGAACATCCACAGATTATGGTATCTGCAGGGGGTCTTGGAAGTAATCTCCCCCAAAAATAGCAAGGAATAACTACATTATAAATAAACAAAGGCTACAATTTAATAAATAGGCATCTACCCCCAAGACATTAGAAAAAGATCAGCAAAACTAAGATTTTCTAAATGCTTTTATAGTATTTTTAAAATTGTTACTAGTTTATAGGAAAAATGATTTTTGTATATTGTTTTCATATCCAGAAAATTTGCTAAATTCTCTTTTCAATTCCAGTAATTCATCTTTGGATTTTTCTATATATATAAACACATCATATATATATATAACCAACTGAGAATGGCAGTTATTTTTTTCCTTTCCAATCTGTGTGTGTGTACGTGTACATATATATACACATACATATATATGCTATACACATATACATTTGGCCTTACTATATTGACCAAGACTTCTAGTCTATAGCTGAACAGAATGGTGAAAATAGCATAACTGTCTTTTTTCTGATTTCAAAGGAAAATCTTCAATACTTCAACATTAAATATGATATTTGCTGGTGACATTCTATGCTCTTACCACAAGGGACAGCAAACCATGTCCTGTGGGCCAAACCAGGCCTGCTGCCTATTTTTGTACAGTCTGAAAGCTAGGAATAATTTTTACATTTTTAAATGGTTGAAAAAAATGTTTTAATAAAATTTTGAAACACAAGAAAATTATTTGAAATTCTACTTTCTGTATCTGTAAATAAAGTTTTATGGAAGTATAGGCATATACTTATTTGGTTTTTTGTTTTTTGTTTTTTTGAGACAGAGTCTCACTTTGTCACCCAGGCTGTAGTGCTGGCGCAATCTTAGTTCACTGCAACCTCCGCCTCCCAGGTTCAAGTGATTCTCGTGCCTCACCCTCCTGAGTAGCTGGGATTACAAGCATGTGCCACCATTCCCCGGCTTATTTTTGTATTTTTAGTAGAGACAGGGTTTTGCCATGTTGGCCAGGCTGGTCTTGAACTCTTGGCCTCATGTGATCCACCTGCCTCAGTCTCCCAAAGTACTGGGATTACAGGCATAAGCCACCACACTCGGTCTTGTTTTTTGTTTTTTTTTTTTGTTTTTTTAATGTATTGTCTATGGCTTACATACTGTCTTTGTATCACACTACAGAGGCAGAGTTGAGATACTGGGAAAGAGATGATACACTCTCATCACTTTGGACTGCTTCTTAGTACATTACAATTTTCAGTGACACAGTTACAACTTGACAGAATTTTGAGGGCTATCTGTATTACCATATAGTGACATTTTGTTATTATTTTTGTTTACCAATGTATATATTAATACTGGACTTAGAATGTTACATTTTTAAGGCACAATGGAGCATGGACTATACTGTTATTGAATTAGATGGCAAAGCATTAGGTTTATTATGCAATGACACTGTAGCTGTGCTAAAAGGATACAAATATACATTACCAGACTAAGCACTCATCACAATTTTTCCAACTCACAGGAAAGCTCAGAAAAATTAGAAAATTTAAAACAGAATATCTCATCACAGAAGTTATTCACAAATTTAAAAATACAATGAGGTTGCAAGAGAAGTAAGTTTCTGAGTGGTTGATTTGTTAGCCAAGCAAGGAAAGCTACTTATTGGTAATGAATTACTTAAATCATTTTGAATTGCAGCAGCTTAAGAAATATGTCCAGAGAAAACAGACTTGTTTAAGACTGTTAGCCTTTCTGTGAGAACAGTTGCTCCAAAAGTTGAGAATATTGGGAACACTACCAATAATTAATTTAAAAACACGACAAATAATTTTGAGTGGTTTTCCTTGATTCTTCATGGGTTAACAGATGTTACAGATACTACTCAATTGTTTATTTGGGGAGTCAATGCAAAGTGTGAAGTGACAAGAATTTGCTTTTATGAATAGTCTGCATGAAACAACTAGAGACAAGAATATATTCAAAATCATTGAGAAAACACTAATTCAATGCAACCTAAATTGGAATCTGCTAAGATGAATTATAACTAACTGATGGTGGGAAAAAAGTATGTATAGAAAAAATGGCTTAAAGAAATTTACACAGATTATGAAAACGTAAGGGGTTTAAAGCCTGTGCTTATTCATTGTATTATTCTTTAGCACGTACTTAGTGAAGAAAAAAATAAGACTCTCTCGTTTTTTTTAACCAATAGCATTAATGGTGAACTTCATTTGCTCCTGTGGATTTAACTAACCACTTTCAGTTCTGTGAATTTATTTTTTGTAGTTATAACAGCTGCTTTAATGTCTTTTTATATTATTATTATGCTTTGAAGTTCTAGGGTACATGTGTACAATGTGCAGGTTTGTCACATATGTATACATGCGCCATGTTGGTGTGCTGCACTCATTAACTCGTCATTTACATTAGGTATATCTCCTAATGTTATCCCTCCCCCCTCCCCCCACCCCATGACAGGCCCCGGTGTGTGATGTCCCCCTTCCTGTGTCCAAGTGTTCTCATTTTTCAATTCCCACCTATGAGTGAGAACATGCAGTGTTTGGTTTTTGTCCTTGCGATAGTTTGCTGAGAATGATGGTTTCCAGTCTCATCCATGTCCCTACAAAGGACATGAACTCATCCTTTTTTATGGCTGCATAGTATTCCATGGTGTATATGTGCCACATTTGCTTAATCCAGTCTATCACTGATGGACATTTGGGTTGGTTCCAAGTCTTTGCTATTGTGAATAGTGCCACAATAAACATACGTGTGCATGTGTCTTTATAGCAGCATGATTTATAACCCTTTGGGTATATATCCAGTAATGGGATGGCTGAGTGGAATGGTATTTCTAGTTCTAGATCCTTGAGGAATTGCCACACCGTCTTCCACAATGGTTGAACCAGTTTACAGTTCCACCAACAGTGTAAAAGTGTTCCTATTTCTCCACATCCTCTCCAGCACCTGTTGTTTCCTGACTTTTTAATGATCACCATTCTAACTGGTGTGAGATGGTACCTCATTGTGGTTTTGATTTGCATTTCTCTGATGGCCAGTGATGATGAGCATTTTTTCATGTGTCTGTTGGCTGCATAAATGTCTTCTTTTGAGAAGTGTCTGTTCATATCCTTTTCCCACTTCTTGATGGGGTTGTTTTTTTCTAGTAAATTTGTTTGAGTTCTTTGTAAATTCTGGATATCAGCCCTTTGTCAGATGAGTAGAGTGCAAAAATTTTCTCCCATTCTGTAGGTTGCCTGTTCACTCTGATGGTAGTTTCTTTTGCTGTGCAGAAGCTCTTTAGTTTAATTAGATCCCATTTGTCAATTTTGGCTTTTGTTGCCATTGCTTTTGGTGTTTTAGACGTGAAGTCCTTGCCCATGCCTATGTCCTGAATGGTATTGCCTAGGTTTCCTTCTAGGGTTTTTATGGTTTTAGGTCTAACATGTAAGTCTTTAATCCATCTTGAATTAATTTTTGTATAAGGTGTAAGGAAGGGATCCAGTTTCAGCTTTCTACATATGGCTAGCCAGTTTTCCCAGCACCATTTATTAAATAGGGAATCGTTTCCCCATTTCTTGTTTTTGTCAGGTTTGTCAAAGATCAGACGGTTGTAGATGTGTGGTATTATTTCTGAGGGCTCTGTTCTGTTCCATTGGTCTATATCTCTGTTTTGGTACCAGTACCATGCTGTTTTGGTTACTATAGCCTTGTAGTATAGTTTGAAGTCAGGTAGCGTGATGCCTTCAGTGTTGTTCTTTTGGCTTAGGATTGTCTTGGCAATGTGGGCCCTTTTTTGATTCCATATGAACTTTAGTTTTTTCCACTTCTGTGAAGAAAGTCATTGGTAGCTTGATGGGGATGGCATTGAATCTATAAATTACCTTGGGCAGTATGGCCATTTTCAGTTCTGTGAATTTTTGCCAGATACAGAAGCAGAAAATCCTGACTTGCACTAACACAGCAGTTAAATGGCTTAGCAGTGGTTAAGTTTTGTTGTGATTTTCTGATCTCAGAACCAAGATTGAAATTTTTCTGAATTAAGAAGAATTGATCTCTGTCTTTCTTTTGAGACGGAGTCTGGCTGTTTCCCAGGCTGGAGTGCAGTGGCGCGATCTCAGCTTATTGCAACTTCTGCCTCCCAGGTTCTAGCGATATTATTAAACACTGAATGGATTTGGAAATTAGCTTCTACTGAAGACTCAATACTGTTACCTAATGAATTCAACCTAAAATTATAAGGCAAAAGCAGCACAATGTAATGTGAAACTTACATTGTGGTAAAGTCATTTGAACAATTAATGCTATTTGAATAACAATATCAAGCTGCTTTATACACTTCTGTGCTATCAAAACTTAAAACAAGAAGTGAGGTCTCCACTGCCACACAAATCTGCAGCAGATATTTTTTGGAGCTTAATTTATAGCTTTAGCACCATACGTTGGACTATCCTCCTTTGGCAAATGCTGGGTCTTGTCTGTCCCTTGTGCTCCAAGACAAAGCCATAAACAAAGGTCAAGTTTACCCAAAGGAAAAATGCCTTCAGGGCAAAAAGCGGCTTTGGCACAATGCCCCTAAATGCCCATTTTCTTTCACAAATTGGCTGGATAGCTCCTCACTATCTTGTCAGTTCTTTGAAGCTTTTAAGGTGATTGACATTTTAACTAATATCTTTAGTTGTTTTCATTGGAAGTTGTTTTATTCCAAATAAATTGCCCACCAATAACAGGAACAGTAGTCTGAACAATTACTTTTTAAAGAAACAATTGTCCTATTGGCAGCAGCTAGGTGGCACTTGGTAATAGCAGTTCTACAATGAAAGGATTATGAATAGCTCCTAGCAGAGCACAGAGTGAGGTAAGGTGTAGCCCCCACAGTAAGTTTACAGACATATGACCTATGCCATCTCCCATCCCCCAAAAATAGACTGGCACAATGACAGTAAATGGCATGACTGATTAGCATACCATAAAAAACATCAGTAATTATCTGGAAACAATTAGGTTGAGTCCCCATCTTACTTCTTACACTAAAGGAAGCTTTACATAGATTGGGAGTTAAACATAAAAATATAACCACTAATGTACTGGAAGAATATATTGAAAATTTTTAAAAAATAATTTTGGGGAAGATTTCTCTATGATACAATCCTAGAAGTCATGAAAGAAAATACTGATAAATTCAGCTATATGAAAAATAACAACAACAACAACAAGAATTTTTGCTTACCTAAAACAACCTACACGAAGTAAAAAAAAAAGCAAGTAACAAACTATTGAAATTACTTGCAATTTACATTATAGGCAAAGAGTTAACATCCATAATATATAAAGAGCTGCTAAAAGTAAAGGAGAAAAAGATCAACAACCCTACAGAAAAAATGGCAAGAAATGTGGAAAGTTTACAGAAAGGATTCTAGGGAACCACCTAACTTTTAAAATTGGTAAATATAGGGAAAGAATTAAGCACCTTTCTGCCTTTATTATAACCAGGATAAACAAATAATTGATGAGAAGAAATTCTCTTTATAGAAATATTACAGCTAACAAATGAATAATGAGTGGTAAATGTAAGTATTAGAATGCCACCATTTGAAATTCTTATTAAAATGATAGATTTAGGCCATGCATTCTCAACGGGGGCAATATTTCTTGAAAGGGGTTAAAAATGAATTCTTAGGGGTAAAATATCTTAAATATTACAATGGTTTGCATTCTCTTAAGGGGCCACAATACAAAAAGAGATACATAGTTGTCTGTGGTCTTAAAATTTCAAAGACAGGGTGTGATCAAGAAAAAAAATGTAAGAAAGTGACAATGAAAAAAGGTTGGGAAATACTAATCTAGACGATAATCATCAATGGCTGCTACTAGAAAAAACGGAGACTACACATTACATACCATCAAGCAGGAGTACATCACCACCTAGGAAATATCCTGAAAATTCATAACTGTATCTCATCAAACCTCTAAATCTAACTACCAATTTACAGGATACAGGGAACACAGACTATGTTAAAATACACTATGGGTATGCAATTAGCCAAATCCAGAATGTGGGAAACGCTGAATAAACTGTAAGAAGAACAAAAAGGGAAGGAAGAAAGCTGTAGAATAAAAGAGACTGAAAAGACATATCAGCAAACGCAATATATGAAGCTCATTTGGGTCCTGATTTTAAGAAATCATAAAAATATTTTATGAGACAATCAGGAATTTCTATACTAGCTAGATACAGAACACTGTGTGATAACAGTATTGTGGTGATGTTTGAGATATCTTTTAAAGATACAAACAGAAATATTTACAGATGAAATCAGGGAAAAAAAAGACAAACTGGGGTAAACAAATCTCAATTCCTAAATTTGATCAGTGGTTCTCAAACTTTTGAGTATATCGTAGTCACTTGGAAGGCTTCTGAAATCACAAATCGCTCAATTTCTGGTATTAGGTCCTGTAAAAGGCCTGAGAATTTGCATTTCTTACACATTCTTAGGTAATGCTGATGTTGCTCGTCTAGGAACCACACTTTGAGAACCACTATCACAGACAAGGTTTCTAATTTCTTTAATATATAAACAGGTATCATTAGATCTTATTTAAAATCAAGTAGAGAAAAAGACCTATGAACTAACAGAAAATAGGCAAACAGCTTGAACAGGTCAAAGAAAAAAATGTCCTCTAAACATATAAAAACATAACAACCCTCAATATAAGAGAAATACATATTTTCAAATATAACAAGGTATCATTTTTCACCTTTTGGGATTATAATTAGTTCTGTTAAGGGTGTGAGAAAACAGGCACTGGTAATATATTCACAATAGGTGTATAAATTGTTGCTGCCTCTATGTAAGGCCTTATCTATCAAAATTTAAAATGCACACATCCTTTGACTACTGCTAAACATTTATCAGAGATATTCATACATGTACAAAATGACAAATGTATAATGATATTCACTGCAAGCCCTGTATTTCTAAAATACACAAAACTGGAGGAAACTAATCTTCCATCAGTAATGGATTAGTTGAATAAATTACAGTATATCCATGCAGTGAAATATTATATTCCTGTTAAAAAGGAGGAGGTAGTTTTGTACATTCTGATATGGAACAAACTCCATATCATATATTTGTAAGAGAAAAAATATTACTAATAATTCTATTAATTTTCAGTATTACTTATGTTCATTTGTTATACCATGAGCTAATAAAGTTTTAATCGGAGTATTTTTTCTTTCTTTTTTTTTTTTTTTTGAGATGGAGTCTCACTCTGTTGCCAGGCTGGAATGCAGTGCCATGATCTTGGCGCACTGCAACCTTCGCCTCCTGGGTTCAAGCGATTCTCCTGCCTCAGCCTCCCAAGTAGCTGGGATTACAGGTGCCCGCCACCATGCCCAGCTAATTTTTGTATTTTTAGTAGAGACGGGGTTTCACTATGTTGGCCAGGATGGTCTCAATCCCTTGACCTTGTGATCTGCCCGCCTTGGCCTCCCAAAGTGCTGGGATTACGGGCGTGAGCCACAGTGCCTGGCCATGTTTTCTTTATGTTTATCTAAGGATACATTCCAGCCTATGGAATTAGTTTATAATTTGCTTACCTGACCGAACGATCATCACTTCCAGTCACAGCCAAAGGTTTAGTAGGATGGACAGCAAGTGCCCAAAGTTCACCTTCACAATGCCCTTGCATAATTAGAAAAGGTTTATTTCTTTCTTGCACCACAATTTCAAAAATTTCACTGTCCTGTGTTCCAACTAGAATGTGGTCACCTCGCCAACACACACTCCTTACAGACAAACCTAGTAAAAAGTAAATTGTATTTAATATATAATGCTGTAATAATGATAGCAGCAGGAGGCAGACAAATCCCTATGCAGATAGGGGCAAGTCCCGGTGAAAGCCAACCTTCAAACCTAAGACAGTTTAAAGCCTGAAAGCCAAGCTACAAGTCTCAGATAAATCCATGGACCAACTGAGAACGTCTCTTCCCATTTGGTGCACTTTCCTCTGATTGATCCCCACCTTTCACTTACTTTACACATATTTATCCTTCCCTAATTTTTTTTTATAGTGTTGTGCCCATCTTTGAGGGGTGCTTTTTTTAAGCCTTTTTTTACTCACAAACCCATCAGCATGCAATCCCCCATTCTGAGCCCATAAAGGCTCCAGACTCAGCCATATTTGGGGACT
This sequence comes from Homo sapiens, assembly GCF_000001405.40. NCBI lineage: Eukaryota > Metazoa > Chordata > Mammalia > Primates > Hominidae > Homo > Homo sapiens. The sequence continues at coordinate 88,736,957 of NC_000014.9, forward strand.
GCCCACCTTTGGGTGGGGGGTTGGGGGCAGGGGAGACTACCTGACTTCACCCCATCTCGGGTACCCTCTCCATTGAGAGCTGTTTTGTCACTCAGTAAAACTCTTTGCCTTGCTCACCTGCCAGCTGCCAGTATAACTTCTTTCTTCTTGGATGTGGGACAAGAACTTGGAACTCACCAAACAGTGAGTACAGACAGAGCTGTAACCATGCAGCACTCCCCTCCTACTCACCAAGCAACAGGAGAGGGAGCCGCTGGGCACCACATGCCCCCATTTATTGGGCAGGACTGAAAGAGCTATTAACATGCTGTAACACCCCCTTTGGGGCTTCAGGGCCGCTAGAGTCCCCAAGTTTTTTAGGTGCCACCACATTCCCTTCAACCAGACGCCAACGCCCAAGGCAGAAGCAGGTCACAGCACACCCGGCCCAGCCACAGGCTGAGCATGGATCCTGCAGCAAGTGTGGGATCCAGCCAGAGTATAAGCCAAGCGCAGCCTGCCAGGCCAAGTGGGCAGGGTACCTCCTGGCGAGCCTGGAGCCCAGTGCAGCCCGGGACAGGGGCATTGCGCCCGCCATGGAGGTCTCCAGCTGGCAAGGTAGCACCCAAAATATCCTGTGTCAATAATTCCAATCTTCCTAAATTGAAGTTAATTTTGTACCTTTTATATCTTAGATGTGAGACAGAAGAAATATGTAAGTCCTTGATCTATACTCACATTTTCTTCAATTGTCCATGTTGTTTTCTACATGAAATATTTGTCTTTTTATGTACCTAGTTCCTACCCATCCTTCAAGACATGTACTCTTCTTCCTTCTCCCTTGTAGACAACTCTAGCCATGTCTACTTGCTCAGCCAGTCTTATAACACTTCAGTCTGCATTGTTCAATAAGTACTCAATTAGTAAATTACCTTTATAGAATTGTATTCTTTTCCTTTTAATAATCTTTTTACTTGTCTATATTTCTTCAATATACTTATAATATCATTAAAAAGAGAGAATTTTACTTTTTCTGCCTACTCCTGAATGTCTTTTGTAATCTTAGGAAAGCTACCGTGTTTTTCAGTTTTCTCATGTGTGTTACATGGCCAATATAAAGACACCGTGTACCTCACAATGTTCTTGTGAGGATCAGATAAGAAAAAGTCTCAAATTATTTTGTAAGCTTTAAAGCACAATAATGTTTAGCAAAACTAATGAAAATAAAATACCAATTAACATTTACATGCTTATTATGTGCTATCCTTATAAACATTTGAGAAATATCAATTCATATATAGGATCCTATATCCTAAATAATATATTTATTCTTATTCTCCTTATTTACAGTGAGGGTAAATTACCAGCCCAAGGTCACACAACTTGTAGGTGACTGGAATATGGTTTAAACACAAACCTGTGGGTAGCTTTTATAGTAAAAGGTCCTGTTTTATTACATCAATTTTTTTTAATCCCCAAGAGAAAAAAAAAAAATCCCCCAATTGCTGACAAATTTGGGTGAAGGAAAAATACACCTATCCACATTTAAATTATCCTGAACAAAAGTTTCCCAACCCTCAATATTTACCCCCAACTGTTTATTTAGAATAGTTTGTTAAATAGTTATATTTAGCATTCTAATAGTAAAATACTTTCAAAATCCAAAGATACCTAAGTGAGTACCTCTCACATCTCTCTATAGGTCCCATTATAATAGATATTAGACTTATGAAAGAATCTTTCTCCTAACAATGAACCTAAACTCTTTACAGGCAAAATTTCTCCTTAATAGAAGAATTTTAATCAAATGCATACAGGGTGAAGAGGCAAATATAAGTCTTATTTATATTTACAAAACTTACATTTATACTCACTGAAAGAAAGAGATAATCTTTGGGAAGTTTAGAGTTTGCCTAGTAATAAGACATTTGTTTTGTTATTACCTTTGTATCCCTGGTCTGTTTCCCTGAGATCAATCACAGTAATTGGTTTAAAAGTTAAATCCCAAAGACGAATACAACCATCTCTGCCACCAGTAGCAAAGCCTTCTTCACAAGCATTCATGCTAAAAATTCCTGCCTAGAAGAGGAAATAAAATAATTTAACGACAAATATTTTTTAAGAACATCTACTATATGAAGGTAGAAACCCTTTTAAACCAATTTAACAATATTTTGGTAGGATATAAGAATAAACAAATACATCAGAAAACACAAAAGAAAATCTAGAAGTAAGTCCATAAGAACTTAATACAGTTGCCCCTTGTGGATTTGAACTTCACTGGCTCACTTATATGGATTTTTTCAATAAATACAGTCAGCTGTGTATCCACAGTTCCACATTAGCAATGAAACCCAGATCAAAATACAATCTTTGTGGGATGCAAAACCCATAGATAGGGAGGGCTTTACATATGCAGGTTTCCCAGGGCAAGACTTGAGTATGTGTAGATTTTGGTATCTGTGGTTCTGGAGCCAATCCCCCCCAAAATATCAAGGCATGACTATATATAACCAAGGTGGTATTTAATTATATGGATAGAACATAAAAGAAAATAAATTTAATTCCTATACCACATGTAAAAATGAATTATACATGAACTTAAAAAATAACTATTTATAACTAAATATAAAACAAGAATATTAGAAAAATTCAGAATAACATTTAGGTAACTTTGGGCTGTGAGAGACTTTTCTAGGCATGGCAGATCACCCACAAGTTTTAAATTTGTTCATATGAGAAAAGATGTAATAAGCAAAGACAAACAGATTGGAGAAATATTTGCAACATGTATGACTGTCAAAAGATTAATAACCCTAATATTCAAATGAATAAAGGAAAGAAAACCAATTCAACAACCACAAAAAATTTAAAAAGTAAAAAAGAAAAGGGTAGGAAAACCCAATTAATAGAAATGTAATGCACTGAGGACTTTTCTACACAAAGATCTTGCTGTTAACAACATGGCAGCTTTGTGCTATCTAGCTCCCTTTACTTTGTAAGGGGGACCCAAACTGCTAAAAAGCTCAAACCAAAAAACGCTAAGAATTTAAACAGCAGATTTCTTTTTAAGTTTAGTAAGTTATTTACACGAAAATTTAATTGCCTCTGGTAAATTAGCCTCAAGAGCACTAGCTTTATTCTGGTGTGGTTAATCTAGAATACTTTTAGATTGAAGTCAACAAGCTTTTTTTCAACACTACTCTTCAGAAAGACACCATACTAAAGCAATAGCTTTAACAAGATACTAATTATACTAATGTAATAAATATCAATGAGTCTAATTGATTTCTTCATTGAAATCTTGAAAACAAATAGATAATTCAGTTAGAAAAGCATTTTCAAGCAACCAAACTGACTAGAAACAATATACTATATTACGCAGTCTATCATTCTAAGACAAGGTTAAGTAATACACATGAAAGTGTTTAAAATACTTAAATGTACTTACAGCATGGGCTCCTTGTATTGTTCGTATAAGATTGATTCCTTTCCAAACATATATATCCCCATTGAGTGCACCAGAATATGTTAATTCATCCCTTGCACAGGCTAGGCACAGTATTGTCTGAAGGTCACCCGTCTTACCAAAGACACCTCGTTTTGGGGTCAGAGCATTTCCACATAAACTCCAGAACTAAAAGGTATATAGTATAATCAAATTACCAAAGAATTCTTATAAAATAAAGTAAAACATTCCCAATACTTTGATGCTATATTAGAGCAGTGAGCTAAAAATTAACTAAGAAATTGCCTTATGATAAAATAGCATTCAATGTTCAGATTCTCATCCTAGTGCTGTCAAAAGCTACGTTATAGCATAGCTATATAGTCACTGGTTTCAATTCTTATCTGTAAGAATAAGGGGTTTGAATCAGATTATTTTTAAAATATGCTATGCTTTCCTTAGGTTTCTGAAAAGAAATCTACATAAAACTTAGATTAAGCCAGGCACAGTGGCTCATGCCTGTAATCCCAGCATTTTGGGAGAGCAAGGTAGGCAGATCACCTGAGGTCAGGAGTTCAAGACCAGCCTGGCCAATATGGCGAAGTCCCATCTCTGCTAAAAATACAAAAATTAGCCAGGTATGGTGGCGCATGCCTGTAATCCCAGTTACTCGGGAGGCTGAGGCACAAGAATCGCTTGATATCAAGAGGCAGAGGTTGCAGTGAGCCAAGAGTGTACCACTGCACTCCAGCCTGGGCGCAGAGTGAGACTCCGTCTCAAGAAAAAAAAAAATTTTAGGTTAAAAAGTTGGGAATCGGTTAGCAATGAAAATGAAGGTAAGTCATCATAGACTAAGAAGAAGAAAAAGGACCAAATCTAACATACTCTCTCTGATAGAAACATTAAGGATAGGAAAAAAAGAGTATGCTACAGCTCACGGTAACTGCAGCTCACTGTAACTATAATATTTGATATTTTCAAAGCTGAGCAATTGCTTTGCTTGTAAAGCTTAAAAAAATAAGATAGATGTCCATGTGGAATGATTTGTTCATTCTTGGGAGAAAATAAGAAGTTAACCATGAATCTTCATTACCAGGGCTTTTGTTCTATTAGGTGGAATTAGGTAAATTTTTATAGTTCACGGAGAGAAATTTAAAGAAAAAGGAGTTGGGGGGAAGTGGACACAGTGGCAAACGCCTGTAGTCTCAGCAACTTGGGAGGCTGAGGTGGGAGGATGGTTTGAGGCCAGGAGTTTGAGGCTACAGTGAGCTATAAATCACACCTGTGAATAGCTACTGCACTCCAGCATGGGCCACATGGTAGGATCCCATCTCTAAAAAATAAACCAAAAAAATGGGACAGGGCAGAGATACATACATTAAATAGTTCTGCATAAAGAAATTAGGCCCAAAGAAAAAATTCAACTTTGTAATAAGTAATTAACATTTAAAATAATTTATTATCATATATTCTTATTTTAAAATTTGAAGCCTCAAAGAACTAAAAATTATGATCATTATCTATTCAAAGATCTAATGAGTACTTTAATTAAACTTTGTAATTTTTAAACTTAAAATCTCCATAATTTGTGTACATAAGTGGCTTGTTTTCTTTCTTTCAGCATGTCCTAATTTGAATCCATTATTTTCTTCTAGATCAGTGATTCCCAATGTTAGCTTCACATTAGAATCACCTGGGAAATCATAAAATGGGATGCCTGGACTCCCAATTGAGATGAACTGAGACAGAATCTCTGAAGCATGAAGCCCAGGTACCCAAATTATTTTGATGCTCAGCAAGGGTTAAGAACTATTGTTCTAGAATCCAAATCAATATTGACCAATAGAAATTTCAGTGATGATGAAAATATTACACACACACACACGCTTTCCAATACAGTAACCACTACTAGATACATAAGCATATGAAATGTACTGCTAGTGTGACTGAGGAAATGAATTTTAAGTTTCATTTAACTAATTTGTGTTTAAATAGCTATGTATGGTTGGACAGTGCAGTTCTAGATCATCTCTGGGAATTAATTTCCTCACATGTATTGCCTGCAAAGAGAACTATGTTACTATTCATTTCTTCTAGCAAAGGGAAAGAAATGTAACTCATTATAAAAATATAGTTTATTTAGTTTGAGATAAGCTTTTTATAAAAACCTGAAAATGGAGCCTTTAGCTTTACTTACAATATAAAATAGTAAGATCTCCTTATTCATAATTAATTTGCCAATCACTTATTAAGCACTTAATATATATCAAGTACCATATCAAACACACTGTCCATCAAAGATGAACAAGACAAAAATACCTTCACAGTGCTTATATCATGTGCCTTAAAGCCCAGCATACAGCCTTTTTGGTATTAAATATTTGTCAAAAAATAAATATTTACTACTATCCATCAATCAAATCAATACCAGAATAACAAATCAAGAATTGCAGCAGCAGTGAAAGATGCACTGGAGAAAACGTGGATGGAGTTAGGCATATTGAAATAAAGAATGTGAACACAGAACCTTAATTAATTCACTAGGAATTAACTGTTACCAGGAACTGTTACATCAGACAGTGGAAGTAAAGCAAGTTAATTCCAATTTGTTCCAATGATTTAAAAGTAACTATAAACATAATAATGAATATCACCACTGACTTTACAGGCTTCAAAATCTGAGCTGTAATTATAAAACAAAACCCAGAGCTTTCATAAGCAAAGTAAATAGTGGCTATCAAGGCTGAGAGAGGGACAAGGAGAGATTTGTTAAAGGATACAAAATTGTAACTAGAGAGGAGGAATAAGTTCTACTACTCTATACCACTGTAGAATGAGTATAGGTAATATGAATACACAGTTTCAAATAGCTAGAAGGAGGATATTGAATGGTCCTAAAACAAAGAAATAGCAAATGTTTGGGATGATAGCTAATTACCCTAATCTGATCACCATACATTTTTATGTATCAAAACATCACTATGTACCCATGAATATGTACTATCATTATTTGTCAAAAAAAAAATTTAAAGGCTGAGGTCAAATCAGGGAGCAAATATAGAAAAAGGAAAAGCAACACTTTCAGAAAGCAGACCATGTGTTAGGCACTATGACAAGCACTTGAATATACACTGCCGCCTTATTTAATCATCAATTCTTTGAGGATGGTAACAGCAGTCACAGTTTTAAAATGTGAAAATAAAAGCTCAAAGAGGTTAAATAACTCATAGCAGGTTAAACAGCTAATAAATGGCAAAGCCAGGTCTACTCATGTTGCTTCTCCCACACCATTCTATGTAAATGAAAAACTCTTCATTTCTTTCCTATTCTCAACATTTTACTTTGTAAGTGAAACATGAAGAAACAGGATGGACACAGTAAATCCTGCCTCACTAGACTACAGATTTCTTTATGGAATGTGGCTTATTAATTTCCTATTCATACCTATATTCCTTACAATAGTTCAAAGCAAATAATATATATATTTGTTTGACTGAACATAAGAACAATAAAAACATTGCCATTTTAAAAATAAGTACTATCAAAATTCTGAAAGTAGGCTAAATTGTTAACAGTGCAATATATACTTAGCAGCAGAGAACTAAACGTGACTATTATAAAACAAGACCCTTCTAGTACCTTGATATGTTTTACACCACAGCTGACAAGTTTATTTGGCTGGTACAAATCCCAAGAAATATCAAATATCTGTAAACAAATCAGATTCATGATTAAAATACTTATTTCCAGAATCATTTAAAAATCCTGTCCAAAAGACCAAATGGCCCAAACTCCTAATCATAAAATAATATTCCTCAATAAATAATAATCAACATCCCACACTTCAAAATCTTATGAGAAATAAAGTAAATTTGAAAATGATAAGAAATAAAAAGCATTTCTTCATTTCTATGAACTTCAAACACTACTGGAGTAAAATTTAACACCTCTGTTTATTTTTAATTTTTAAAAAAATTTGGTCCATAAATAACAAGAATGGTTGAACAGAATTAGGACACGAAGGGAGGTGCTTGCATAATTTCTACAGAAAAGAGATTCAGAATGGAACGTGACACTTACACAGCCTAGAAATAAGAAACACCTTTATAGCTTTCTATCACTCAGAACTGTTTACATAAAGAATCCAAACACTGATTTTACAGTAATTTTTTTCACTGTTTAAAGGTCAAAGTTAACTCAAATTTTGGGGAGTCTCCAGGCTTCATTATTTTCTAAAATTCCATAAATTCTAAATACATGCAAAACATTTTGTTACAAAAGCAAACAAGCAAAAACCCAGGTGAAATAAAATACGAATGAGAAATGTAATTAAACAAATGATGAAAGAAAAACTAACATTTAAAAAATAATTCATTTATTCTGCTTTCTGGTAGTCGTCATGTTTCTTTGACACCTTATCAACCTACCTCTAAAAGGTTTACATTTTTGGTATACTAAAATGTACACTTCACATTTTGGTATACTCCAAAAATTTACAAAGTGATGCTCTTTAGTGATAATGAAGAAAGAATACATATTACAGTTAATATTTAACAACTCACCATAATACAGATTATATGAAAAACATATCAATGCAACTTTGAAATATTCAACCACAATAATACTTTCAAAAACTCCATTGACAGTGTCATATTTTGTAACGGGTCTATTTATATAAATTCCAAATAGTCATGTGCAAAATGCTTTGATCTAAGCAGGTAAGAACATGCCAGCTGTCTAATAAAATATATCCAACATTTTAATAATGGTCTAAATTGTGTGTTTGTGTGTGTGTGTGTGTGTGTGTGTGTGTGTAATAGGCCTCTCTGTGCACCTACTAAAAACCAAATGTATTCTCCAAAATGCGAATATACACAAAATTTTCTACCCAACTTTTAGAATGATAAATTCCCACCAAATACAGTCATTGGCCATGCCTCTGTGCTGGTTCAGGTTAGGATTTTACTACATATACATACACACAAATTAGACACTTTTAGGAGTTTACAACTTTTTTGATCTACATCCATAAAAATAGTATAATATTTAATTAAAAGCTGGCTATGATGTATTGTTTATATACAATTTGGAATGAGGAATATATATTCTAACAAGTCATCAGTTAAAAATGTTAGGTCTCTAAAAAATGTAATAGTAATACGTAATTTTAAATCCACACAAGCAACATTATTTTTCACCTTAACCATAATACATATGTAACAAATTAGTGGTAAACCAAACTAAACAGACCCTAGGCTCAAACCATTCAATTTTTAAATTGAGATTTGAATAATGGGTGTCTGCATATGTCAAACCCATCAAACTTCACACCTTAAATATGTGCATCCCTATGTATATCAATTATATTTCAATAAAACTGTTTTAAAAAATGTAAAGAAAATACATTGTTTTTACTGAAGCAAACACCAGGTTAAAAGTCTTATACCTAATGTAGATGATGGGTTGATGGGTGCAGCAAACCTCCATGGCACGTGTATACCTATGTAACAAACCTGCACGTTCTGCACATGTACCCCAGAACTTAAAAGTATAATAAAAAAAAGAAAAAAAGTCTTATGCCAATGCTATACATATCAAATCATGTTTCCAAGTCCTACAATACATATGTACTCTAACACTTTAAGACTTTTTACATCTGTACAATTATTTACCAATTGTAAAATTTTAATTACATATGACCTATCTGGCAATAACAAAATACAGAAGAATAAAATCTCCTGAACTCTCTTCTGGTCTTTCCCTTCCAGTACTCATTAGAAATCTCAAAAGAGAATACTTACTCTATCTGTATGACCAGGAGCCATAGACAACATTTTTCCCCTTTTCCAGTCCCAAACACAAACTGCATTCTTTGAATCAAGTCCAACTGAAACCAAGCGCTGATTTATGTCCAAGAAGTCCAGGAAGGAATAAAAAGGCAAACAAATCAAAGAGAAACTGAATTACAAATAGCAAAGAAATTATACTCATGGGTTTTTATAAACATAAAACATATATGCCTATATTTTATAGACCTCATAAAGGCTGAATGTATTTCACCTTGTTAGTGTTTCCACATATGTATAGATCTTCACATTATGAAACAGAAGAGAGACTTCCATTTCTAACAGTAGGATTGACAAAATATCCTAAATATACCTCCTACCAAAAACTAAAAATACTAGATAAAATGTAAAATCATGTTTTTAAATGGACTGATGAGCTGTCGAAAAATTAAGAAATTTTCCAGTGGGAAACCTGGAGGATGAGAAAACACCTACACCTACTGGACTCTAAAGGCATCGGGTGAATACTTGTACCCCTGATTTCTGTGCTGTGGGCTGAGGAAGATAGGAGACAAAGTCTAGGGCCTACCTAAGGTGGGGATTTGAATTGCAGACCGCCTCTGATTAAAGCAGTAAACCTCTCGGAAACAACAAATAACCCCTTCCTAAAGAAGCGGAGGCAACTCATGAAGAGGGAGAAACACCTCCCTGAACATTTGTAACCACAAGCATCCTTCACATGGTTGCTGGCCTAAATTCTCATTAAACATGAATCCTTCAACTAGGAAATTTAATTCAAAGTAGTCTTCAGGGTTGGCTGTGTCTTCAAGCAACTTCAACAATGTGGCCCAAGCAAATATAAATCCTAAATGAAGTACCGCAACTTTGATCTATCCCTCAAAGAATTCCTACAGGTAGCAATTCAATCAAAATAAGCTAAACAAACAAACAAAAAAAAAAGGGTCAGGTGCGGTGGCTCACACTGTAATCCCAGCACTTTGGAAGGCCAAGGCAGGTGGATTGCTTGAGGCCAGGAGATTGAGACCAGCCTGGGCAACACGTTGAAACCCCGTCTCTACTAAAATTACAAAAATTAGCCAGGCGTGGTGACTCACGCCTGTAATTCCATCTACTCGGGAGGCTGAGGCAGGGGAATCACTTGAACCCAGGAGGTAGAGGTTGCAGAGAGCTGAGGTCGTTCCACTGCACTCTAGCCTGGGAGACAGAGAGAGACTCTGTCTCAAAAAATAGTAATAATAAGCTGAAAAAATAAACAAACCACCCCACCCACACACACAAACACAACAAAATAAGAAACCATGAGTGAGAATGGGCAAGTCACAACAAACAGCAAAGTCGGCCTTGCAAAAAACATCAGATATGGCATTATTAGTTAAATAACATAAGCTTAACGTGAGAAATAAGCTTAATGTGCGAAATAAAATTAAGGATTCAAAATATCTGTATATGAGCAAAGAATACGAGACTATAAAAAGTATCCAAGGAGACCTGAAGAAGCAAACGGAACTTCCAGAAACAAAAAATAAAATAAGTTAAAAATTCAATGGAAGAGTTAAATACAAGATTAGCAGGAGATGAAAAGACAAAGTTGAAAACAGAAGTGGACAGTGAGACCGAAAGTATGAGAGAGGTTTAAAAACACAAAAGATGGACTTCTAGCCATGAAGGAGTATCAAGGTCTGAACTTACCCTCCCCGACCCACCCCTGCCATAAACAGCTAGAAACTGTACAGAATACATGAAACAAATGTTTTCAGACATTTGCAACTGGAAGTAAAGCACTGTGAACCCTGAAAGAGGGGAAAACAAATAAATTAAGTCCTGTAATCACCCGAGCTTCCATCTAGGAGGCAATTTCTAGACCATGGCACAGAAAGGTGGAATCCAAATAGAGCCTGGTAGACTTACTAATTTGGACAAACAGAGCCTGGAGTTCAGAGAGGACAAGATGCCTAGAATTTGCAGAGCAGGAAAAGAGCTCCAGTAAAACTATCTATAGTAAGATTTGAGAATATTAATCTCTGCATGCATAGGATGAACTCTATGAGGTCATGCAAAGAAGAAATTCTAGAAAAAGAACAATTACTAGAGAGCTAAAAGCAAAAAATTCTCAGAGATCACAAAGGGTCCAGAATCACTCAAATTCTCAATAACCAGAATGAAGATACCTCTTTGAACTCGCTGGGCAGTCATTAGGAATCCTGAGGTCAGGAGGAGAGTGTCATACCTTAATAGTGAAATTATACCAGTAATTCTAGAGCAAAAGCTACTCTAGTGCTGCCTCATCAAAGTTTGAAAGCAAGCTTTTCACAAAGATGAAACTGATTCATGAGGAACTTGACTATTTGCCAGAACAGTGTCCATATACTTTAAAAGGATATAATAAAATTACAGGTATGTGAAGAAACAGGAAAATGTGACTAATAACCTGGGGAAAATCACTCAATAGAAACAGACTCAGGAAACCCAGAGATAATTAAAATTAGGAGACATTTGCTGTTAAAATTAACATTTTCAAGACAAGAATTATCTCAAACATACCAAGAATAAAAAAAGATATAAAAGAACAACACAGAAAACTGTTACATTATCTAAAATGAAAATTTACTCCAAAGGATTAACAGCAGCTCAGACAATGATGAAAAGATAAATAAACTTGAAGACACAGCAATAGAACCCATCCAAAATAAAGTACAGAAAGAAAAAGAAAAAAAGAATTGACAGAGCTTCAATGACCTGCAGGAAAATATCAAGTGGTCTAACATACAGGTAATCATGGCTCTAGAAGGAGAGAAAAGACAGAGGAAAAGAAAAAAAAAAACTGAAGAAATAATAGTAAAAAGTTTCCTAAATTGATGAAACCATAAATCCACAAATTTAAGACGTTCAACAAATCCCAAGCAGGATAATCATTCACACAGAAAAAACACACAAGACACATGGCAAACAAATTGCTGAAGCCATCGCTAAAGGGCAAATTCTAAACAGCAGCCAGACAAAAAAGGACAACTGCTGTATGGAGGAACAAAGATTTAAAAATTATCCTAGACTGCTCATCCAAAGTGATGTAAGTTAGAAGACAATGGACAAACAGTTTAAAGTGCTGAGGCAGAAAAAAGTCAGCACAGAATTGTATACTAAGCAAAAATATCCTTTGAAAATTGAGTCAAAACAAAGTCTTTTTCAAGCAAACAAAAGCTGAGAAAATGAATCATCAGTAAACCTGCACTACAAGATATGATCATGAAAGTTTTCTCATGCAGAAGTAAAATGATACCAAATAGAAACAACTTACACATATGAGAGTGTCCAAGTGGTTAAATATGTAAGATTTTTCTCATTAAAAAAGTTTTAACAACTATTTACGGCAAAATAACAGTTATTATGGGGTTTTCAAAATATGTAGAAGTATTAATAAATAAATGACGATAGCACCATAAACAGAAGAAAGGAAACAGCAGAATATACTTTTTCATATTCTTTCCAAATATACATGAAATATCATGAAGATCACAAAAATTTGGATTACAAAGTGTCAATAAATTTTAAAAAATTAAAATACAGAGTATGTTCTCTGACAAAAACAGAATTAGAGTAACAGAATGTTATCCAGAAAATCTCCCAAATATTTGGAAATTAACAACATACTTCTAAGTAACTGAAAGGTCACAGAAGAAATAACAAGAAAAATGTGAGGAAAAACCCACAACACATACTGTGAAAAGTACTGGTTTAGAGCAGGGGTCAGCAAAGTACAACTCTCAAGCCAAATCCTGTCTGTACCTATGTTTTTGTAAATAAAGTTTTACTGGAATATAGCCACACTCATTCCTTCGTGCATTGTCTATGACTGCTTTCACACTGCACTGCAATGCAGAGCTGAGTAGTTATAGCAAAGACCAAATGGCCCACAAAGTTTAAAATATTTACTATTTCACTTACTATAGACAGCTTATCAAATGGTGGTTTGGAGCACAGATTCTGGTAGCAGATTGCCTAGGTTTGAACATCATCTCTTACTAGCAGGGTGACTTTGGACAATTATTTAGCCTCCCTGTACCTTACTTTCTTCACCTATTAAATGGGGATATAAAATTACTTCACAGGGGTCACTATGAGAATCAACATATACACTATTTAAAGGAGTTAGAGTGCCTGATATATGGTTAATGTTATTTAATGTTTGCTTCATATCATTATTATTATTGCTATTAGTTTACTATAACCATAGTTAAATGGGGACAAATAAAAATACCTCACAGGGGTTACTGTGAAAATTGACATATGTACTACTTAAAGGAGTTAGAGTGCCTGGTATATGACTGATGTTACATAAATGTTTGCATCATATTATTATTATTACTATTAGTTTACCATAACCTTAATTAGCTTTAAGAACCTACGCCCTCTAACTGTCCAAATGAGAAATGCCATCTAGTACCCAGTTACAATTTCTGAAAAGAAAGTTTTACTATTTAAACTCCAAAATTGGTAGAATGAATAATTTATATAAAAAGATACAGAATACAGTTTGTTATGACTCTCCATCAAATCAAGCTAGCAGAAAGCCCAGAGAACAAGAGGAGATTATTTGTACCTCCTGAGAGTATTTACTATTTGGGAACCAAAGGGCATCAGCAAAAATCTAGCTAGAACAAATGTATCTACCTCTTGCTATCAGAATACTGTGTAGAGGTTAAAATTTCACAAGACAAGTATATTAAGTGAGGAATAGCCAGAGGGGCACTGCTGTTCTTTCTACTAATGTCTCCTCTGTCTGGTATAGCTCATCAAATACACACAGCAAAACACAATTGGCCAAAAACTTTAAAATTCCATGTATCCAAATAGAGCCTCAATACATCTAGTTCTGCAACTACAGGCAATAACAAACTAGACTTGAGAGTACTTTCTCTGTAGGCTTGATAAACATATCATGACCCAAACCAACATCCCTATGCATAGATTACGCAACAACAGACAGGACAAGGTAGAAATGACACAGCAAATACTACCTCCTCTTCTAGCTTTTTATCATTTTTTACTTTATCATTTCTTTTAACCCAGACTTGGTAGGTGAGAAAGAGAATAAAGTTTTCAAGCAAAAGTAATGCTTAATCCATTAATTGGAAGAGAGAGTCAGAGACAGTTTGTAGAAAAGTAATAGTACATTTCAGAACAAAGGACCTCAAGATTAGAGAGATCATGGTGCTTTCAAGAGAGTGCCAGTAATTCAATCCAGGGGAGGGAAGGAGTGCTAACTGGAAAGCGGCAAGAGACAAGGCTGGAGAGGTAGGGCAGAAGTCAAGAGGAAGAGTTTTTTTTTGTTTGTTGGTTTTTTTTTGATAGTGTTCGAATAAAGAGAGAATTCAGTTTTAAATGTAGAAAATGGAATATCTACAGAACATTCAAGTGTGATATTTAGAGTTGAGAAGCCAGAGCCACTGTTAGCTGATATGGAAGTTAAAGTCATGGGCCTATATACTCACCCAGAGAATGTAAGTAAAGTGAAAAGAAAAGGCTACAGACTCCTGAAGAACACTGATATTTAAGAAGCAGACAAGGAAAGACTCCTTTAAAGATAAAAATAATCAGAGAGGGAGAAAGAAAACCAGATAAAGAAGCCTCTATCCATCTTCCCAAATTCCTACCTGATCCTATTCCCAGACAAAATCTTATTTGTGTCCATTAACTGAATTGGAAGTATCCATAAAAAATTTTAGCACATCAAATATTTAAATAAGGAGATAATAATAGCATCTATTCCAAAGGGTTGTTGGGAGGATTAAATGAGATAATGCAGGCTTAGCATAATACCTGGCACTTGGTATATGCTCAACACCTTTAGCTATTATGTTTTTATGAACTTAAAATTTTAAGTAATATGTTCTCATGAAGATCTCTGATAATGAAATACATGTACCCAAGACTTTTCCTATAAGTTGCTCAAAGTAAGTGAAATTAAACACTTTCAACTAGTAAAAGCTATGGGCATGATTTCTCCTTGGATATATAGAAGAAATTCCTCAGCAATGCAATATATTACATTTAGAAAGGGCAAATTTAAAGCTAAGAAGAAAATATCTATATTTAATGTTATAGATGCTTATAATTAAAATGGCTTGAATTTCATAACACCTTAAATAAGTGGTTTTTAAAAATAACTTTGTAGGTTTGTTTTATAACATTTTATGCTATGAAATAGGTATTATTTCCTTTAAAGAAGAAAATGAAATTCTGACAGAACATTAAGACTTGAAAAATAATAGCAAAAATGGGATATGAATTAAGTTTGTGCAATTGCCAAACACTGCTATATGGTGATATAAACCTAGAAGCACATTTTTTTTCCAAATAAGAGATTCCAATTAAGTCTTTATAGATCCATTACCAGAAAGTCATCTCTTACTAATATGAACAGGAGGCAGGGAAATACTGGGTAGAAGAAGGTGGGGTCCCTGGCAAGGGTTCCACCCTCAAGCCTGGACCCCTGGCCCTCAATGAGAACATGCACTCCTGTTTTCCCACCCGAATGTTGCCTTTGCCAAAATCACTCTGGCCCACAACCCCAACCCTGTACCCATAAAATCCCCAAACTCCACTGGCGGAGGAGCAAAACAGCACTGTAGAGAAGGAGAGAAGAGAAGTGTCTGCATATCAAGAGGAGTTTGGCCCAGGATGGTCAGGAGAAGATTATCTTCCCACTCCATCCCCTCTCCAGTTCGCCATACCACTTAGAGCCACTTCCATTGCTCAATAAAATCCTCCATATACACCACCCTTCAATCTGTTCGTGTAACCTGGTTCTTCCTGGACGCTGGACAATCCAGGATGCACTGGGTGCAGGAACCCAAAAAGGCTGTCACACTGACTCTTCACTGAGTTGTTCAACACTTAAGCTGCTGGTGTCAAAGAATATTGTTTGTAACACACACCCTCTGGGGCTCCAGAGGTTGTGGGTAACCTTAGATGCTGCCACAGGCAAGCCAGCACCCAAAGGCACTCACCCCAGCTCTCCTGCAACCTCTCACCTGCATGCCCCACTCCCACAAGGGGTTTGAGCTGGGCAGCCAACTAAACGAGCTACACCCTTGTTACAAGTCCTGCAAAGGGGTCAAGGGAACTCTCTCATCTCACTACCAGAAAATCACATTAACCTATGCTACTCAAAGAAGCTATTCCTCAGAGTAATATATAAAAACATCTACTGGCTATCATGTTCAAGGGGATAGAACACACTGTAATTTGTTTCTGTAAAATTGAGGTCTATAAAACTAATTTTATGAATTAAAAAGCAGATAACTAAAATTGTTCTAAAATTTAAAATGATTTTAAAGTCTAATTATAACATAAAACTTTTAAAGATTATAAATGAACAACCTGCAAGATCCAACTTTTTACTGGTAACTTTAAAGTATTTTTAGGTATAACAATTTCCATAAAAGCACCACAAAAAAAGCTCTTGGCTTGTTTAACTTTTTAAAATCATTGACTAGAAGTAGATGATAATTTAGAAACTGATTAGTCAGTTGAATGATAATTATATCCTTTGTTGTGAACTTTGATTTTGTATAAAAAATAACTCATAGGAATTGTTCCATTATATTCAATAAAAATATAATTTTAATAGACAACCTTTAAGGTAACTGAAAATTGAAATACAGGCTGGGTGCAGTGGCTCAAGCCTGTAATTCCAGCACTTTGGGAGGTCAACAACACTGGAGGATAGCTTAAGGCCAGAAGTTTGAGACCAGCCTGGGCACCACAGTGAGATCCCATCTCTACCAAAAAAAAAAATTAGCCAGGCATGATGGTATGTGCCTGTAGTCCTAGTTGTTCAGGAAGGTGAGGCAGGAACATTGCTTGAGCCCAAGAGTATGAGTTATGATCATGTCACTGCACTCCAGCCTGGGCAGCAGAGCGTGACCCTGTCTCTAAAAATAAAAAAATAAAATTAAAATAAAACATATACAGCTTTCTGAGAAACTTAATTTTCCTAAGATATCATCCATCTGTCCTGTCAAAATACCCTATCTGGAAAAGAGTTACATAGAAAAATCTGTATAATAACCATGTAATATTCCACTGAATCAAAATCACTTTGGCTTTCAAGGTAATAATTAATTCAATTGAGAAAGTTCTTGACATGATGAAATAAAAACCCCATTGTTATATATCAACCTCCCACCCCACCTACCCACCTCCACCTTTGGACAAATAATTTTCATCAAGTGTCCAATTTAATATTTATAGATTTATAATCATTTTCTATAATATACCTTAACATACAATTTAGAAAAAAATGAAAAACTGTCACATACCTGTCCATCTAAGTCAAACGCCAAGCAAGCTATACCATGTGTATGAACATCCTTTAAAACTGATATGGTCTGCACAGTGTATGAATCCCAAATACAAATATAAGGCTCTTTCCCAACTTGTCCTGTTGCTACCAACACTCGTTCAGGATGCAATGCAAGGCTGTAAAATAAGGAAATAAATAAGTAGTATTATTAAAAATTGCTTATACAGATTTTATAGTATTTGGTAGATGTAAAACACATATACCAGTGTGAACATTAGACTTTATCCACTTTAGACAATTTGGATTTTTTAAAAATTATTTTTGTTGAGACAGAGTCTCGTTCTGTCAGCTAGGCTGGAGTGCAGTGGTGTGATCTCAGCTCACTGCAACCTCCATCCCGCCAAGTTCAAGCAATTCTTGTGTCTCAGCCTCCTGAGTAGCTGGGATTACAGGCACCCGCCACCACGCCCAGCTAATTTTTGTATTTTTAGTAGAGATGGGGTTTCGCCACATTGGCCAGGTTAGTCTTGAACTCCTGACCTCAAGTGATCCGCCTGCCTCAGCTTCCAAAAGTGCTGGGATTATGGTGTGAGCCACCACGCCCAGCAGGTAATTTGGATTTAAAATAAATAGCTTCTATAAAAATCCATGCTAACAGTTACTACTTCATAGAATATGTGATAAACAGTTAATGATAAGCTAATTATACCCTTCATAATCCCTGCAATATATTGTGTGTAAACTTCTCAAGAAAAGAACTCTCACAAGAGAGCAATTGGATCACAGCAACAAATTGGTAGCCTTTTCCTCATTTAGTATTCACCTGTTTCCAAGCCTTCTTTCCCATTTTACTATTCCTTTCACTGGATAAAGTTAGACAAAATCTTAATGTCTAAATACAGCATTTAGTAGCACTCCTACTATAACACTAATTCTTAAATTATAAATTCCATTTTAAGAAACAGAAAGGTCACCCATAATTCGCAAAAAAAAATCTATGAGTCTCTAAAAACAAGACAAAGACCTAGCAGTTGGTAATAGTTTATGTACATCAGCAGAAGGCGGGGAAAATATAAATTTCTATTTGATAATTTTTTCTATATGTCAATTTACAATATCATATTTGCCCTTGAGATGAACAAGAAAATCACACCTGGCATCACGGTGGAGAATCACTAAAAGGGGAAAATTAGGAGGATATTAAAACAGAATCAAGGCTGGGTGTAGCGGCTCATGCCTATAATATCAGTGCTTTGAGAGGCCAAGGCTGGAGGATCACCTGAGGTCAGGAGTTCAAGATCACCCTGGGAAACACAGCAAACCATTGTCTCTACAAAAAAAAAATTTTTTTTAATGAGCCAGACATAGCAGCATACACCTCTATTCCCAGCTACTTGAGGGGCTGAGGTGAGAAGATCGCTTGAACCCAGGAGTTCAAGGAACCCAGGAGTTCAAGGCTGCAATGAGCTATGACTGCACCACTGCATTCCAGCCTGGGCTTCTGGGCCAGATCCTGTCTCTAAAGTAAATAAAGAAGATAAAATTAACAGATTGGATGCAGGGGACAAGGGGAAGAGAGGGGTCTAAGATGACTCGGGTTTCTGGCTTGGGTATTTGAATGGTTTGGGGTGGTATTCATCAAGTCAGGGAATACTAAAGGGGTAATCAATGGGAGAGAAGATGAGTGG
Source organism: Homo sapiens (assembly GCF_000001405.40). Lineage (NCBI taxonomy): Eukaryota > Metazoa > Chordata > Mammalia > Primates > Hominidae > Homo > Homo sapiens. Next base: position 88,756,184 of record NC_000014.9, read on the forward strand.
GAATACCAGGCTGGTTCAACATATGAAATCAACAAATATGGCATATTAACAGAAGAAAGGTCAAAAAAACTCCCATATATGTTTATCTCAATAGACACAGAAAAATTATTTGACAAAACCCAATCCCTTCATGATAAAAACACATAAACTAGAAACTGAAGGAAACTTCCTCAAACTGACAAAGGACATCTACATAAACCCAAAGCTAATAACATATTTAATGATGAAAGCCTGAAAGCAATCCCACTAAGTAAAGGGAAAAAACAAGGATGTCAGTTCTTGTCACTCATTTAACTTATTAGATATTCTAGCCAAGAAAAATAGGCCAGGAAAAGGAACAAAAAGTAAAAGTAAAGATCTCTATTGGCAGATGATATGATCATATATACAGAAAATCCTAAGGAATCCACAAAGAAACAACCAAAAAATGAAGAGCTAATATGAATTCAGCAAGGTTGCAGGATATACGATCAACATAAAAAATCTATTGTATTTCTATACACTAGCAACGAACAATAAAAAAATTAAAGAAAATAATCCCACTTACAGTAGCATCAAGAGGAATAAAACATTTAGGAATAAATTAAACAAAGTACAAGATTTGTACACTGAAAACTACAAAAACCCACTGAAGGACATTTTAAAAGATCTAAATAAATGGAAAGACATCTCATTTCTGGGCTTAGAGGAATGTAATATTTGTAAGATGGCAATACTTCTCAAATTGATCTACAGAGTCAACATAATCCTTGTCAAAATACTAGTTGTCTTTCTTGAAGAAACTGACAAGCTGATTCTAAAATCCAGAAAGACTCAAAATAACCAAAACTATCCTGAAAAACAAGAACAAAGTTGGAAAAATCACACTTTCCAATTTCTAAACTTACAAACTTACTACAAAACTACAGTAATCAAGACAGTGTGGTACTGGCATAAGGATATGCAGATCAATCAAACAGAATCGTGAGTCCAGAAGTAAACCCATACATTTGTGGTCAACTGATTTCAACAAGGGTGGTGCCAAGACAATTCAATGGGGGATAAAATGGTCATTTCAACAAATAGTACTGGGACACCTGAATATATATCCACATACAAAAAAATAAATTTGGACACATACCTCAAACCATATACAAATGTCAACTCAAAATGGATCAGAAGCTAAAATAATTGTTAAAACTCTTGGAAGAAAATATAGGCATAAATCTTACCAATCTTGAATGAAGCAGTGGTTTCTCAGATATAACACAAAGCATTAGTGACAAAAAAAAAAGCAGATAAAATGGACTTAATCAAAATTAAAAACTTTTATGCTTCTAAGGACAATCATCAAGAACATAGTAATGCAACCCAGAGAATGGGAGAAAATATTTGCAGAGCATATATCTGATAAGGGACTTCTATTAAGAATATATAAAGAATTCCTACAAATCAACAATAAAACTATAAATAATCCAATTTTTCAAACAAATAAAGGATTTTAACAGACATACCCCCAAGGAAGATATACAAAAGGCACATAAAAAGATGCTCAACATCAATAGTCAGCAGGGAAATACAAATCAAAAATCACAATAATATACCATTTCTTTTTTTCTTTCTCTTTCTTTCCCTCTTTCCTTCCTTCCTTTTCTTGCTTTCTTCCTTTCTCTCTCTTTCTCTCCTTTCTTTCTATTTATTTATTTCAGACAGGGTCTCACTCTGTCACCCAGGCTGGAGTACAGTGACACAATCACCACTCACTGCAGCCTCGACCTCCCATACTTAAGACTCATCCTCCTGCTTTGGCCTCTCAAGTAGCTGAGACTACAGGTGGGTGCCACCACACCTGTCTAATTTTTTTTTTTTTTTTTTGTAGAGATGGGGTCTCCCTATGTTGCCCAGACTGGTCTCAAACTTTTGGGCTTAAGAGATCCTCCCACCTCAGGCTCTCAAAATTCTAGTATTACAGGCATGAGCCACTGCTCCCAGTCCACTTCTATAAATATACATATATATACATATATATGTGTATTTATTTTTTTTTGACACAGAGTTTCACTCTCATTGCCCAGGCTGAAATGCAATGATGCAATCTTGGCTTACTGCAACTTCCGCCTCCCAGGTTCAAGCAATTCTCCTGCCTCAGTCTCCCAAGTAGCTGGGATTACAGGCATGCACCACCACGCCCAGCTAATTTTTTTGTATTTTTAGTAAAGACGAGGTTTCACCATGTTGACCAGGATGGTCTCAAACTCCTGACCTCAGGAGATCCACCTGCCTTGGCCTCCCAAAATGCTGGGATTACAGGCATGAGCCACCGCGCCTGGCCCACTTCTATATTTTAAAAGACAGAAAATATGAAGTATTGGCAAGGATGTGGAAAAAGCGTAACCCTTAAACATTGATTATGGGATTGTAAAATGATGTAGCCTCTTTGGAAAACCGCTTGGTAGCTATTCAAAAGGCTAAACAAAGTTACCGTATGATCCAGCAATTCTATTCCTAGATGTATTCCCAAAAGGAATGAAAACATATGTCCACACAAAACTTGTACACAAATGTTCACAGCAGCATCATTCACAAATGGCCAAAAAGTAGAAACAATCCAAATGTTTGACTGAATCACGAATAAAATGTGGTATCCACACAACAAAAATGACAAAAGGAATAAAGCATTAATACATGCTACAACATGGATGAACCTTGAAAACATTACGCTAAGTGAAGGAAAACAGATATATAAGGGCCACATATCATATTAATACATTATGAAATGTCCAGAATATGCAAATCCATAAAGAAAGTAGATTAGTGATTGCCAGGTGCTGGAAGGAGAGGAGAATGGATAAGGACTGCTAATGAGCTTGGGAATTTTTTAGGGGTGATAAATATTCTGAAATTAGATAGAAGTGATGGTTGAAAAACTTTGACTATACTAAAAATCACTGAATTGTGCACTTAAAGTGTACATTTTATGTTATGTGAATCATATCTCAGTTTTTAAAAAGTGAAAAAAAATACTGACATTACTGTCTGTACACATATTTTTAGTATAAGGATTTATGCAAAGAAAACCTTTGAAGTTAGACAGACATGGGTTCAAAATTCTGGCTCTGCTCTTCACAGGCTTCTTAGCAAATTCTTTATCTTCATCTTGTTTTCTCACCTTCAAAAAGGGCATATATTTACTACAAGTAATATGAGGGAAATTTCCCCAAGCTTGAAAACTGGGGAGGAAGGCTGTGTGGTGGCTTGTGTCTGTAAACCCAGTGCTTTGGGAGGCTGAGGCAGGAGGATCACTTCAGGCTAGGAGTTCAAGACCAGCCTGGGCAACACAGCAAGACCCCACCTCTACAAAAAATAAAACAACTAGCCAGGTGTGATGGTACATGCCCGTAGTCCCAGTTATTCAGAAGGCTGAGGCATGAAGATCACCTGAGGCCAGGAGTTCAAGGCTGCAGTGAGCTGTGATCATGCCACTATACTCCAGTCTGAGTGACAGGGCAAGTCACCATCTCTTAAAAAAAAAAAAAAAAAAACTGGGGAGAAAAACTATGCAGGTCCTCATAGTTTAACTACAAAATCTTCATACAATAGAACAGAGGTATTCAAAGTCAAGTTAGAGAAAAAGGATAGGGTGGGTCCGTGTTTAGATTTATAAGAAACTGTCAGTTTTCCACAGTAGTTGTACCATGTTACACTCTCACCAGCAATGTAAGAAAGTTCCAGTTGCTCCACATTCCTACTAATATTTGGTAGTGTCAGTGTTCTTAATTTGAATTTCCCTGATGACTACTCACATGGACTAATTGGTCTTATAATGATCTGTTCAAGTCTTCTAGCCATTTTCATTAGGTTGCCTTTATATTTTTGAGTTTTCAAAGTATTTCATATATTCTCAATACAAGTCCCTTTGTCCTACATGGGACTTGCAAATATTTTCTCCCAGACTGTAGCTTTTCTTTGCATTCTCTGTTTCTCTCACAGAGCAAACATTTTTTAATTTTTATGAAGTCTATCTAGTTCATTGACTTTTGTTTTATGGACCATGCTTTTGCTTAACCAAAGGTAATAAAGATTTCCTCTGATATTTTCTAAAACTTTTATAGTTTGTCTTACATTTAAAGCTACAATCTATTTTGAGTTAATTTTTGTATAAAGTGTAATGTAGGTTATAGTTGTTTGTTTGTTTGTTTTTTGCTGTCTTTATGTAAGATTCCTAACTTTCCAGCACCATGTATTGAAAAGACTATCTTTTCTCCATTGACTTCCCCAAGCACTTTTGTCAAAAATCAATTGACCATATCTATATTACTTTTCCACAAATTGCACCCTGTATTTTACACCATTAACCTATGTATCTATCCTTTCACCAATACCACACTGCCTTCATGAGTATAGCTTTATTATAAGCCTTAAAATTGAATACTGTGAGTCCTCTACCTTTGTTCTTTTTCCAAATTGCTTTGGCTATTCTAATTACTTCATCTTTCCTATAAAGTTTAGAATCAGCTGTATATCCTATATATCTTGTTGGGATTATGATTAGAATTGTATTATATCTATAAAAAACTTTGAAGAGAAGTGACATCTTAATTATATTGAGTCTTCCAATCCATAAACATAGTACGCCCGCCCTCCATTTTTCAGGTATTCTTTGTTTTCTGTCTCATTTTATAGTTTTTAGTATATAACATAGACCTTGCATAGATTTTGTAAAATTTATATAGATATTTTTGAGCTTTTGTAGACAGTATTGCTGTAAAATTTCAGTTTCCAATTGTTCATTGCTAGTAGGTAGAAATATAACTAATTTACGTATGTTGACCTGGTATCCTGTGACCCTGATAAATTCACTGAGTTTTAGGAGTAGTGTTTTTTGTGTGAGTTTTTAAAAAATAAATTATTTGGAATTTTCTATGTAGGCAATCATGTTGTCTAAGAATAGAGACAATTTATTTCTTCCTTTTCTTTCTATAAGCCTTTTTATTTCTTGTCTGATTGCACTGGCTTGAACTTCTAGCAGGATGTTGTTTTTTTAAAATTATTATTATTCTTTAAGTTCTGAGATACATGTGCAGAACGTGCAGGTTTGTTGCATAGGTATACATGTGTCATGGTGGTTTGCTGCACTCATCAACCTGTCATCTACATTAGGTATTTCTCCTAATGCTATCCCTCCCCTTGCACCCCAGCCCCAACAGGCCCTGGTATGTGACATTCTTCTCCCTGTGCCCATATGTTCTCATTGTTCAACTCCCACTTACAAGTGAGAACATGTGGTGTTTGGTTTTCTGTTCCTATGTTAGTTTGCTGAGAATGATGGTTTCCAGCTTCATCGTCCCTGCAAAGGACATGAACTCATCCTTTTTATGGCTGCATAGCATTCCATGGTGTGTATGTGCCACATTTTCTTTATCCAGTCTATCATTGATGGGCATTTGGGTTGGTTCCAAGTCTTTGCTATTGTGAACAGTGCTGTAATAAACATACATGTGCATGTGTCTTTATAGTAGAATGATTTATAATCCTTTGGGTATATACCCAGTAATGGGATTCTTGGGTCAAACGGTATTTCTGGTCCTAGATCCTTGAGGAATCACCACACTGTCTTCCACAATGGTTGAACGAATTTACACTCCCACCAATGTAAAAGTGTCCCTATTTCTCCACATCCTCTCCAGCATCTGTTGTTTCCTGGCTTTTTAATGATCACCATTCTAACTCGTATGAGATGATATCATACTGTGGTTTTGACTTGTGTTGCTCTAATGACCAGAGATGAGCTTTTTTTCATATGCTTGTTGTCTGCATAAATGTCTTCTTTTGAGAAGTGTCAGTTCATATCCTTAGCCCACTTTTTGATAGGGTTGTTTTTTTCTTGTAAATTTGTTCCTTGTAGATTCTGGATATTAGCCCTTTGTCAGATGGACAGATTGCAAAAATTTTCTCCCATTCTGTAGGTTGCCTGTTCGCTCTGATGATAGTTTATAAATGTATATGCACCCAATACAGGAGCACCCAGATTCATAAAGCAAGTTCTAAGAAACTTACAAAGACACGGGCCATGCGTAGTGGCTCACACCTGTAATCCCAGCACTTTGGGAGGCCGAGGCAGGTGGATCACCTGAGGTCGGGAGTTCGAGACTAGCCTGACCAACACAGAGAAACCCAGTCTCTAATAAAAATAAAAAATTAGCGGGTTGTGGTGGCACATGCCTGTAATCCCAGCTACTCGGGAGGCTGAGGCAGGAGAATCACTTGAACCCGGGAGGCAGAGGTTGCAGTGAGCTGAGATCATGCCATTGCACTCCAGCCTAAGCAACAAGAGTGAAACTCCATCTCGGGGGAAAAAAAAAGAAACTTACAAAGAGATTTAGACTCCCACACAGTAATAGTGGGAGACTTTAATACCCCGCTGTCAATATTAGATCAATGAGACACAAAATTAACAAGGATATTCAGGACTTGAACTCAGCTCTGGACCAAGCAGACCTAACAGACATTGACAGAACTCTCCACCCCAAATCAACAGAATATACACTCTTCTTAGCACCATATAGCACTTATTCTATAATTGACCACATAATTGGAAGTAAAACACTCCTCAGCAAATGTAAAAGAATGGAAATCATAACAAACAGTCTCTCAGACCACAGTGCAATCAAGTTAGAACTCAGGATTAAGAAATTCACTCAAAAACCATACAACTACACGGAAACTGAACAACCTGCTCCTGAGTGACTACTGGGTAAATAACAAAATTAAGGCAGAAATACGTTCTTTGAAACCAATGAGAACAAAGACACAACACACCAGACTCTCTGGGACACAGCTAAAGAAGTGTTTAGAGAGAAATTTATAGCACTAAATGCCCACAGGTGAAAGTGGGAAAGATCTAAAATCGACACCCTAACATCACAATTAAAACACTTAGAGAAACAAAAGCAAACAAATTCAAAAGCTAGCAGAAGACAAGAAATAACTAAGATCACAGCAGAACTGAAGGAGACAGAGAAGAAAACCCTTTCAAAAAATCAATGAATCAGGACCTGTTTTTTTGAAAAGATAACAAAATAGATAGACAGCTAGCAAGACTAATAAAGAAGAAAAGAGAGAAGAATCAAATAGACACAATAAAAAATGATAAAGAGGATATCACCACTGATCCCACAGAAATACAAACTACCATCAGAGAATACTATAAACAACTTTATGCAAATAAACTAGAAAATCTAGAAGAACTGGATAAATTTCTAGACACACACACCCCCCCAAGACTAAACCAGGAAGAAGTCGAATCCCTGAATAGACCAATAACAAGTTCTGAAATTGAGGCAGTAATTAATAGCCTACCAACCAAAAAAAAGCCCAGGACCAGACAGATTCACAGCCGAATTCTATCAAAGATACAAAGAGGAGCTGGTACCATTCCTTCCAGAACACTTCCAAACAATAGAAAAAGAGGGAATTCTCCCTAACCCATTTTATGAGGCCGGCATCATCCTGATACCAAAACATGGCAGAGACAAAACAAAAAAAGGAAATTTCAGGCCAGTATCCCTGATGAACATCGATGCAAAAATACTCAATAAAATAGCAGGATGTTTAATTAGAAGTGACAAGAATAGACACTCTGGTCTTTTTCCTGCTTTTACAAGGAAAACATTCAGTCTCTCACCATCAGGAATAAACTTAGCTGTAGGTTTTTACAGATGCTTTTATAGCCGGGTTAAAGAAGTGGACTTCTAGTCCTAGTTTGCTAAGCATTTTAAAAATATGAATAAGTATTAAATTCTGTCAAATGCTTTTCCTGTAACTACTGAGATAGTCACCTGGCTTTTCTTCTTTAGCAATTATATAGCGAATTACACTGATTAATTTTTAAATGTTGAACCAGCCTTGTATTCCTGGAATGAATCCTACCTGGAATGAAACCTGGTTATGATATATTATCCTACTGACGGATTTTATTTGCTTATTAGCTTATTTTGTTGAGAATTTTTACATCTATATTAATGAGGGACAGTTGTCTGTAGTTTCCTTTTCTTCAAATGTTTGTCTGGATTTTGTATTAGAGTGATGCCAGCCTCATAAACACAGTTGAGAAGTAGTACTTCCTCTTCTATTTTCTATAAGCAATTGTGTGGAATTGGAATCATTTATTCTTGTAAGTTTGGTAGTTTATATCTTTTGAGGGAATAGTTCATTTCATCTCAGTTGTCAAATGTATAAGTTGTTTATAGTAATCCCTTATTCTCCTTTTAACGTCTTTAGGTCAATAGTGATATCCTGATGAATACTGGTAATTTTTGTCTTCTCTTTTTTATTCTTGGTCAGCCTAGCTAGAAGTTTATCAATCTGATCCTTTTCAAAGAACCAACTTTAGGTTTTTCTCTATTGTTTCACTGTTTGCACTAATTGTCTTCATTATTTCCTACTTTGTTTGTTTTTGTGTTTGCTCTTCCATTTCTATTTTCTTAAGTCAGACTCCTAGATTACTGACCTGAGATTATTTTTCTTTTAAAAAATATGCATTTTAATGCTCCAAATTTCCCTTGAAACACTGCTTTGGCTGAATTTTACAAATTTTGATATGTTGTATTTTCACTTTCTTCTTCTTTTCATTTTCATAATATATTCTACTTTCCCTTCTGTTCTGTGTTACTGATTTTTATTTTGATTCCATTATGGTCAGAGAACATACTCTATATGATTTCAATTCTTTTAAATTTGTTAAGGTTTGTTTTATAATATATAGCCTATTTTGGTAAACGTTTTGGCACTTGAAAAGGATGTGCATTCTGCCATGACTAGCTCATGCTGTTTTCTATGCCATGAATAATAAAGTCCTTTGTCTCTAACCTAGGAATTTCACGTCTTTGCCAGCATCCAAAGAAAAAAGTAACATATTAGTTTGTAACAAGGGTATTATATTAGTTTTCTATGCTGATGTCACAAATTACCATAAATTTAGCACCTTAAAGCAATACAAGCTTATTATCTCCCAGTTCTGCAGGGCAGAAATCTGGTTAGTGTGGCTCAGCTGAGTCCTGTGCATACAGTCTCACAAGGCCAAAAGTCAAGGTGTTAACACAACTAAATTACTTTCTAGAGTCTCTGGGGATGAGTCAGCTTCCAAGTTCATTCAGAACGTTAGCTGAATTCAATTCCTTGTGGTAAAGGGACTGAGGCTTTCACTCCCCTGCTGGCTGTCAAGGGGGAACTGCTCACCTCCTCAAGGCCAACTGCATGCCTCATGATGTTACCACCTCCATCTTCCAATCAGCAACGGCACATTGAGTTCTTCTCAAGCTTTGAATCTTTCTGACTTCTGCTGCATGTTTTCTCATTCCAGCTAAAGAAAATTATTTGCTTTTAAGGGCTCACATAATTAGACTGGGCCCATCTAGATAATTCAAGATACTCTCAATATCTTAAGGTACATCCCTATCTTAATTATATCTGCAAAGTCATGTGTGCTTTGTTTAACATAAAAAATTCACAGGTTCCAGGAATTAGAGTATGGATATCTTTGGGGCCAGTCTGGCTACCATGCAGACTCAGAAATTGAGTCCCCTGGAGAATTATTTATATTTTTATATTTTCAGTTCTAAGTATTCCATTTTTCTACAACTTCTATTTCTTTGCTGAGAACTTCCAACATTCTATTTGTTTTAAGAACAGTTACTTCATGGCATACTGTTGTGGGAAGTCAGGGACCCCGAACGGAGGGACCGGCTGAAGCCATGGCAGAAGAACATAAATTGTGAAGATTTCATGGACATTTATTAGCTCCCCAAATTAATACTTTTATAATTTCTTATGCCTGTCTTTACTGCAATCTCTGAACATAAATTGTGAAGATTTAATGGACATTTATCACTTCCCCAATCAATACTCTTGCGATTTCCTATGCCTGTCTTTACTTTAATCTCTTAATCTCGTCATCTTCGTAAGCTGAGGATGTATGTCGCCTCAGGACCCTGTGATTATTGCGTTAACTGCACAAATTGTTTAAACAATATGAAATCTGGGCACCTTGAAAAAAGAACAGGATAACAGCGATGTTCAGGGAACAAGGGAGATAACCATTAGGTCTGGCTGCCTGAGAGCTGGGCGGAACAGAGCCATATTTCTCTTCTTTCAAAAGCAAATAGGAGAAATATTGCTGAATTCTTTTTCTCAGCAAGGAACATCCCTGAGAAAGAGAATGTGTTCCCAAGGGGAGGTCTCTAAAATGGCCGCTTTGGGAATGTCTGTCTTTTACAGTTGTGGATAAGGGATGAAATAAGCCCCGGTCTCCCATAGCGCTCCCAGGCTTATTGGGACGAGGAAATTCCTGCCTAATAAATTTTGGTCAGACCGGTCGTCTGCTCTCAAACCCGGTCTCCTGATGTTACCAATGACAATGCATGCCCAAAACTTCATTAGCAATTTTAATTTCGCCCCAGTCCTGTGATCTCGCCCTGCCTCCATTTGCCTTCTGATATTTTATTACCTTGTGAAGTATGTGATCTCTGTGACCCACACCCTATTCGTACACTCCCTCCCCTTTTGAAAATCACTAATAAAAACTTACCAGTTTTGCAGCTTGAGGGGCATCACGGAACCTGCCAACATGTGATGTCTCCCCCAGACACCCAGCTTTAAAATTTCTCTCTTTTGTACTCTTTCCCTTTATTTCTCAGACTGGCCGACACTTAGGGAAAATAGAAAAGGACCCACGTTGAGTATCGGGGGCTGGTTTCCCCCGATAGCACACAGTTATAACAAATGTTTTACATTCTTTCATAAATTCAACATGTAGGTCATCCTGGGGCTGACAACTGTTGTCTTTTCTTGTATAAATTGTTGAGATTTTAGTAATTTTTATATGCTAATTTTCAGTTATATCCTGAGCACTTCGAATATTAAGTTATAAACTCTGAATCCTCTTAAAATTTTCCAGAGAATGCTGATATTTTTATTTATTTCAGCAGACAAGCAATCCAATTAGGTTCAAGGTACATATCCCTGCCCTCCTTCTGGGGTCCCAATGTTAGTTCAGTTTTAAAGTCTTTGCAGTGCTACCACATGTACACACACCAAAGGGGCAAATCTGAAACTTGGATGATTGTAGGTCAGTTCTCAAAGCGCCTGATATGCAGGCAGTTCCTGCACATGCAGCACAGAAGTGAGTCAACTATACCCTTATGAAGATGCCCTTCTTGAGCTCCGTACCCCCTACAATTTTCCCCATAATTTCCAGCTCCCAGAGGTCCCTTTTCATTATACTGGAGCTAAGAGTCTAGGATGTTAGCCTCTGCATACTATCATATACTTCCCACAACTGGGCCTGCCTCTGGACAAAAAGCATTTTTCCTATTTTTAAATTATTTGTCATAATATTGTTACACTGTAAGAGTTCTTAATATATTCTTGGTACAATTCTTTTCTCAACTGTATTTTTTTGCATATGTGTGTCTGCTTGTGGCCTACCTTTTAATTTTCTTAATGGTATATTTAAAAGAGCAAAAGATTTTAATTTTTTTAAGAAGTGTTTTATTTTGGACTAATTTGAGACTTATAAAAATGTTACGAAATAGTACAGTTTTCTTGTATCCCTCATCACACTTCATTACAATATAAACATTTTACATAACCATATAGTAATCGGGAAGAAGAAGGAAATTAACATTAGTACAATATCATTACCTAAACTAAAAACCTTATTCAAAAATTCACCATTTTTTCCACTAATGTCTCTTTTCTGTTCCAAGATCCTATCCAGGATCCCATGCTGCATTTTAACTGTTATTCCTCCTTAGCAACTTCCAGTCTCTATAAAACTTTCTTAGACTTTCCTTTCCTTTCATAACCTGGGAACTTTTGAAGAATACTAACCAGTTATTTTAGAAAATGTCTCCAAATTTGGATTTGTCATGGTTTCTCATGATTAAAGTGGGGTTATGCATTTTGGGTAAAAATACCACAAAAATTACATTTGTCCTTCTTTCCACATCGTATCAGAAGGTTTAGGGTGTCAATATTACTGATGATGTTTACCTCGATCCCTTGGTTAAACAGTACATGCCACTGTAAAGATACTACAAAGTTTTTCTTTGTAGTCACTAAGTATGCTAGGGGAGATACTGTGAGACTATGCAAATCCTATTTCTCTCCTCAAACTTTCACCCACTAATTTTAGCAACTATTGGCGGATTCTGTCAGTAACATTTACTACTAAAATATTTCCGTAATGTGATTGTCTTTTTTTTTTTGAGACAGAGTTTCGCTCTGTCACCCAGGCTGGAGTGCAATGGCGCAATCTTGGCTCGCTGCAACTTCCACTTCCAGGGTTCAAGTGATTCTCCTGCCTCAGCCTCCTGAGTAGCTGGAATTACAGGTGCCCGCCTCCACACCTGGCTAATTTTTTGTATTTTTAGTACAGACGGGGTTCCACCATGTTGGTCAGGCTGGTCTCGAACTCCTGACCTCAGGTGACCCACCCGCCTGGGCCTCCCAAAGTGCTGGGATTACAGGCGTGAGACATCGCACCTGGCCTATAATGTGATTCTCTTTTTTCTCTCTTTTCTTCAACATTTATTAATTAGAATTCTACTACAAGGAAGTTATCTTTTCTATTTATTTATTTAACCCATCTATTTATATCAGCTTGAACTCATGAATATTTTATTTCAAAAGTTAGCAAACTTTTTCTGGAAAGGGCTAGAGAGTAAATGTTTTACGCTCTGTGGGCCATACAGTTTCTGTCACAACTACTCAACTGGGTTATTATAACACTAAATCAGCCATAGATAATATGTAAACCATGCATTCCCATTGGGAGCAATATCATCTCCGAAGGGGCAAAAATTAGTTCTTAAATGCATAGAGGTCTGATTGCATAAAGCACAGAAATACATTCAATATAGGAACTGATATATAGCATATCTGAGCTATTAAAATTTTGTAGTGGGTGAGGGCATTGATATAGTTGGATCTGTGTCCCCAACCAAATCTCATGTTGAAATGTAATCCCCAATGCTGGAGGTGGAGCCTGATAGGAGATAACTGGATCATGGGGTAGCTTCTCATGAATGGTTTACACCTTCCTCTGGGTGCTGTTCTCATGATAGTGAGTTCTCATGAGATCTCCCCACCTCGCTTCCTTCTACTCTAGCCATGTGAAGTGCCTTGCCTCCCCTTTGCCTTCTGCCATGACTGGAAGCTTCCTGAGCCTCCCCAGAAGCAGAAACTGCTATGCTTCCTATACAACCTACAGAACTGTGAGCCAGCTAAACCTCTTTTCTTTATAAATTATCCAGTCTCAGGTATTTCTTTATAGCAGTGTGAGAATGGACTAATACAGGTGTTTAGAGAAAAGACAATATCTAAAAGGGCTCCTTAGGGGGCAGTAATAGAAATGCACTTGTAAAATACTGAGGTAACAAATAGTCATATCTGAATTCAATTAAAACCTTATTTACAAAAAATAGGTGACACGCCAGATTGTCTCAACTAGGAAATATAGTTATGTATACTAACCCATGCATACATTCTATAGTCTGTATACATAGATACATTCTGTATCTAAGTATTTGAAAATCATGAATTCGTATCAACACTTCAGATTCTAATCCGAAACCACAGGGCTCATTTAAGACTTCTCCCTTTATTTATAACTTCTTACTCCAAGAGTGAGAAACTAGGCTCTCATAATCTATGGTCTATTTACTTTAGTAGACACAAAGACAGTTCAGAATTGGTAGCCCTGTGGAGGACAATTTTACTAACTAGATTACAGCATTATGTGCAGTTTTTTTTTTTTTTTGGTCTTTATCCTTACAGTTAAGATACTGTTAAGACACTGTTTTTCAGTCATTTAGGTTCATTGTTCGCAACAAAGCTCAGCAGCAGAGGAGAGGAAAGAGCGCTTGTGAAACGGCCGCTGAAATTTGTTTCTTTTTCTCTTTTTACTTACAGTCATTTTGCAGTTTTGGTATTCTCTGTTTAAGTAATGCTGGGGCTATGGTTTGCACAGAAAGTCTGGAGAAGAGATTTTGGGAGGTTACTTACTACATACCTGCCATTGTCTTCACTTACCTGGAGGTCTGATAAGTTATTTTAATGAGGTTCAATTTATAATTTTACTTTTTATAATTCATGCTTTTTGTGTTCTATTTCCTATGCTTTTTCTAGAAATTTTATAGTTTTACCTCTCACCTTTTAAATTTTATATATGGTGAGGTATATGCTGGGGTTCATTTTTTCCTCATAATAGATATTCAGTTGTTTTTCACATCATTTGTTGACAAGAGACCATTCAGTACAGAGAAAAAATGCTGATGTAGGTTAAGATAAGAACGTTTCTGAAACAGGGAAAAAAGAGTGGGATCCAGTACACAAGCAGCAGGATTAATATTGGATAGGAGCTGAATGTATTGCTTTTGGACAGTTGGAATCTGAAGATTCTCTTCCGATTGGTCCAATTTTCTTAATGAGAATGAAAGCATGAGTGTTGTTCAGGTATCCTTCAGGTTAACTTAATATCTTACAGTTAAGTTTCATCCACATAATGCCTAGTATATTGCTGAACATATAGTAAAAACTCAACATTTATGGATTAATTTGGGAGACAAATGACAGATGTAATCATCTGAGGGTATATTCCCATTCTAAAACATTTAACAAGATTATTACCCATCCATATTGTGACACTATCATCTGAAATATATGGAAAGAACAGATTTTTTTAAAGTTCTTCTTCCTATTAATATTGCTGAGTAATGGAAATTAATTAGATATAAGCACTGTCATCAAATCCCACAATTACATATTAAGTTGCTTTAAGTATTTAATCTCTAAATTTATCATAACTATAAGGAAATAACATGTTAAACAAACATAAAGTGAGCTATCATCTTCCTCATAAATCTCCATTCTTACATGCAAATATATCAATGTTCCTTTACATTTATCTCACACATCTCAAATGAGCACTGTACACTAGTAGAGAACTCTATTAAACACTTAGCTGGTAAATGTGCATCCTTTTCTCAACCTCCAAACTCTCACATGAGCACAGTTCCCCCCTATCAACCTCTGCCTTGCAGCAGATAAGCCTGTCTTGTACTTAATGATTAACATAGATCGAATTAAAGAAGATACTTCATTCCCATGAAATTCACTAATCTAACTGTACTGGCAGACTCTGACTTCTCTTTATGTCTATACTCCTTGAACTCTCCGCTTGTGTTCTAGGTCCCATTCTCCTTAGTTTCAAGTACTTTACTCCTAGAACTATGCTTTCTGGAATTATTGCTTCCTCACTACTGAGTCATTCCTATTACCATTCAAATATACCCATTAAAAAACAATTCCCTTGACCAATTACCCATCATCCCATTTCTCTGCTCCTCATTCAAAGCAAAACTTCTCAAAAGAGGTGTCTCATCTTTTTCACTCCCTTTATTGTGTTAACATACTTCAAAGTAGGCATTCATCTCTTCTCCTTCACTGAAACAGTTTTTTCCAGGTCATGTATGACATTGCCAAACCTAATGATAAACTGTATGTCCTTATTCCCCTCCATTTTTCAGTAGTGTTTGACATAACTGACCACCCACGTTTTTGAAAGACTTTCCTCTCTAGGCTTCCTGACTTCACAGTTTATCAGCCCTTCCTTCTCTGTCTCCATTGGTAGGCACTATCTCCTGCACCCCACCTCTGAATATTAAAGTGTATGAGGGCTTTGTCTTGGCTGTTTTCCCTTCCTTTCCCAGGTGATTTCATCCAATCCCACAGCTTTAAATGCATATAGACTGTGATAACTCCCAACCCTGTATCTCTAGGTCAGCACAATGGATACATTCCTCAAATTTAACTCATCCTAAAGAGAATCTGATTTCCTCCTTACCTTTCCAATCTGCTCCTCCTTGCCTTAGTAAATGATATCACCATCCATTCAATTGCTCAGACCAAGAAGCTAAATTTCATCCTCACTACTTATCTTTTCCTCACTCATCTCATGCATTCTATTAGCCTGTCCTACTGGCTCTATCATCACCGTCATTTCTGCTACAATCTTAATCTGAACCAGCATTCATCTTACATCACAACTACTTCGGTAGCCTTCTGTCTACCTACCATTATTCCTCTATTGCTTCCCTTTAGAGCTTTCTCAACATAGCCAGGTGATCTTTAAAAATAACATAAATCTGATCTCATCATTTACCTCGGTAAAAACCCAATAGCTTCCTACCGAATTAGAATGAAACCTGAACCATCTAAGATGGCACTTTCAAGCCTTTGTAAGATATACCTTCGGCCGGACGAGGTAGCTCATGCCTGTAACAGCACTTTGGGAGGCTGAGGCAGGCAGATCACGAGGTCAGGAGTTCAAGACCAGACTGGCCAACGTGGTGAAACCCGTCTCTACTACAGACACAAAAAATTAGCAAGGCGTGGTGGTGCGTGCCTGTAATCCCAGCTACTGGGGAGGCTGAGGCAGAAGAATCGCTTGAACCTGGGAGGCGGAGGTTGCAGTGAGCCGAGATCCTGCCACTGCACTCCAGCCTGGGCGACAGGGCAAGACTCCATCTCAAAAAAAAAAAAGGTATACCCTCACCTACTTCTCAAACCTTAGCTCCTACCATTTTTCCTTTTGTTCACTACACTCCAGCTACACTGGCCTTTCTATCCCTTAAAATGGCCAAGCTCATTATGCTATCAAAGTCTTTGTCTGGAATGACCTCCCAAATCTTTGCCGCATTCATATTATTCATGCTTTGGGGCAAATATAACTTGCTCAGAGAAGCTCTCCCTAACTACTCCTAGTCATCCCAACATATTCTGTCCATTACTCTAATTATTTCATGTTTCCCTTCATGCTTACTCCTTCGGAGGTATCTGCATGCCAGTGTTACAAGGTAGGCACTATGTTTTACTTGATCTTTTAACAATCCAGTTTACCTTTAAATTCAGCCAAACCCACTGCAGCTACTCCACGAGTCTGCTGAAATCATCACCTGAGGCACTGGGTCATAGTACACCTCACTTGATATCATACAGGATGCACATAATTATGACCTTCCAGGTTCCCTGTGAGTGAGCATTTTTCTGGACTGATAATGCAGGATATCTGTCTTTCGGTGTTTTCAGCTCATGATGACACTGAACAGATCCACCAATAGAAAACAAAAACTTTGCTTGGTAATAAATCTCCAAACAGGGAATATCCAGCGTGGGAGGGCCTTAGGCAAGAAGCCCAAAGTATTTAAGGAGGTCCCAGTACTTACCCACATTGTCATATAACGCATAATAGTAAATGAGTGGATTTGGCTAGGTCCTGAGGTTTTTTTCAGGTTGACTCCTAGGCCAGCACCTGAACATGGATTACTATTAAATCCAGAGCAGTGGTTTTCAACCCTGCCTGCATATTACAATCATTTGGGAAGCTTAAAAATTAAAAACAGAAACAAACAACAAACGATACCTGGACCCCAACCTAAACAAATTAAATCACAATTTCTTTGGGTAAGGCTTGGCCATTGGTGGTTTTATTTTGTTTGTTTTCTTTTAACTTTCTATTAAGCAGCCAGGGTTGAGAATCAGGAATCTGGAGCAGTGTTCTCAAACTTTAGATTATATTAACATCACCTGGAGGTGATAAAAAACTTATTACTGGGGCCGGGCATAGTGGCTCATGCCTGTGATCCTAGCATTTTGGGAGGCCAAGGCAGGCAGATCACCAGAGGTCAGGAGTTCAAGACCAGCCTGGCCAACATGGTAAAACCCCACCTCTACTAAAAATACAAAAATTAGCTTGGTGTGGTGGCAGGTGCCTGTAGTCCCAGCTACTTGAGAGGCTGAGGCAAGATAATCGCTCGAACCCGGAGGCAAAGGTTGCAGAGAGCCGAGTTCATGCCACTGCACTCCAGCCTGGGTGACGAGAGCGAGACTCTGTCTCAAAAAAGCAAAAAACAGAAAACAAAAAACAAAAAACAAAACCACACAACTGATTACTGGGCTCTACACTTAGAGTTTCTAATTTGGTAGATCTGGAATGAGCCCAGATAATTCGTATTTTTTAGTAACTTTCCAGGTGATGCCGTTGCTAGTCTGAAGACCACACTTTTCAGAAGCAACGATCCAGGGCTGCCAGCTATGTGTCATTTTTTTAATAACCAAGTAAAGCAGAAACTGCTGGAACAAATCTGTTTTTAAGAAATGTTATGAATACATAATAGTTATACATTGGAACGAATCTTGAAAGAGGCTAGTTTTGTGTACCAATAATGACATGACTCATTTTCTCATCTTCTTCCTGCTCTTCCTTTTCCCCTGGGCATACACAGTCTTTTGGGGAGTCTTATGATTACAATATAATTATAGCAAAACTTCGCTAAGGTGAAGCAGTCCTCATCTTATTGGACACAGCTGATAATTCCTTTCTCCCTGAAATACTCTCTTCACTTGACTTCCATGATCTTATACTCTTGGTTTTTCTCGTGTTTCTCTGGCCACATTTTTGTCAGTTCTTCATCTCCCCTACATTAAAATGTTGGAGTGCCACAGGAATCCATTTATTAGATCCTTTATCTAAACTCACTCCTTCAGTGGTCTCATCTAGGTTCATGGCTTTAAATACTGTCTATATGCTGATAACATTCAAATCTATACCAGCTCAGATTGCTTCCCTGAATTATAGACATGTATGTTCAACAGCCTAATTTAAAACCCCACTTGGTTGTCTATCAGATAATCTCAAATAGAACACTTCTAAAACAGAGTTGCTTGGTCAAAGTCATGAGGCCCCTGTTTCAGGCCCTAGCTACCAGACGACATTTTTATTCCCTGGGACAGAAGGGAAACTGCTGCCTTGAAGGGAAGGACCTACTCCTGGCAGCATTCACCACCTGCTAACTGAATAGCCCTTGGGCCCTGAATAACCAGTAGCAATACCCGGGTACTATGTCAAGGGCCTTAAGTGAGCCTCTGAGGCTTGCTGGCTTCAGGTAGGATACAGCACATTATCAACTGTGGTGGCCATGGGGCGAAACTCCTTTTGCTTGAGAAAAGCGGAGTGAAAAGTAAATACTTTGTCTTGTACCTTAGGTACCAGCATGGCCATAGGGGTGGGTAGATCACCAAGTGGGATCTTTGGGTCCCCAATTCCAGAACCTGACTCTTAGATGGCATTTCTGGACCTGCCCTGGGGCAGAAGGGAGCCCATTGCCCTGAAAAGTGAGTCCCAGACCAGGCAGCATTCACCACAAGCTGACTTATGAGCCCTTGGGCCTTAAGGGAACATTGGCAGTAGTCTGGTAGTGCTCTCCATGGCCTGTGGTGGCAGGCAGTGGCTGTAGGGAGAGGCTCCTCTGTCTTTAGAGAGAAGAGTGGGAAGGACTGCGCCTTGTGGTTTGAGTGCCAGCACATCCACAGTACAACAGAACACCAGGTAGACTTCTAAGGTTTTTGACTCTAGTCCCTGACTCATGGATGGTACCTCTGGACCCACCCAAGCCTGGGGGAACTCACAGCGCTGAAGGGAAGCACACTGGCCTGGCCGGCTTTACCACCTGAGTGTAGAACCCCAGGGCCTTGAGCAAACATAGGCAGTAACCAGGGACTGATTACAGCAAGCCTTGGGCAAGACAAAGTGCTGTGCTGTCTTCAGGTCTGACCCAGCACCATCATAGTGGTGGTGGCCACAGGGTGATTATGTCATTCACCCCCAGCTTTAGGTGGCTCAGAAGAGAGAGAGAGAGAGAGACTCCATTTGTTTGGGAGAAAGTAAGAGAAATGAGTAAGAGTGTGCCTGCCTGGTAATCCAGAGAATTCTCCGGGATCTTGTCTAAGACCATCAAGGTGGCACCTCTATGAGTCTGCAACAATTACAGCATTACTGGGCTTGGGGTGCCCCCTAAAGCAGATACAGCTTAGATCACAACACCCAAGTTCTTTCAGATATCTTGGAAAGGCTTTCCCTAGGACAGGTACAAACAAGCTCAGATAGTGAAGACAACAATACCTAACTCTTCAATGCCCAGACACCAAAGAATATCTACTAGCATCAACACCATCCAAGAAAACATGACCTAACCAAAGAATTAAATAAGCTACCAGGGACCAATCCTGGAGGAACAGAGAGATGTGGCCTTTCAGAAAGAGACTTCAAAATATAGCTGTGTTGAAGAAACTCAAAGAAATTGAAGATAACACAGAGAAGGAAATCACAATTCTGTCAGATAAATTTAACAGAGACTGAAATAATTTACAAGAACCAAACAGAAATCCTGGAGCTGAAAAAATACAATTGACATACTGAAGAATGCATCCAAGTCCTTTAATAGCAGAATTGATCAAGCAGAAGAAAGAATTAGTGAGTCTGAAGACAGGTTATTTTAATCAGAGAAGACAAAAGAAAAAATAAAAAACAATGAAGTGGGTCGGGCATGGTGGCTCACACCTGTAATCCCAGCACTTTGGGAGGTCGAAGCAGGTGAACTGCTTGAGCCCAGTAGTTCAAGACCAACGTGCGTAACATGGCAAAACCCTGTCTCTACCAAAAAAAAAAAAATTAGCTGGGCATAGTGGCACATGACTGTAGTCCCAGCTACTCAGAAGGCTAAGGTGAGAGGCTCACTTAAGTCTGGGAGTCAGAGGTTGCAGTGAGCTGAGATTATACTGCTGCACTCCAGCATGGGTGACAGAGCAAGACCCCGTCTCAAAAATGAAAAAACAGAAACAACAACCAAAACAATGAAGTACCCCTATAAGATCTAGAAAATAGTCTCAAAAGGGCAAATAAAGGAGTTACTGGCCTTAAAGAGGAGCTAGATAAAGAGACAGGAGTAGAAAGGTTATTCAAAGTGATAACAACAGAAAAAGATATCCCCAAACCTAGAGAAAGATATCAGTATCCAAGTACAAGAAGGATATAGAACACCAAGCAGATTTAACCCAAAAAAGACTACTTCAAGGCATTTAATAGTCGAACTCCCAAAGATCAAGGATAAAGAAAGGGTCCTAAAAGAAGCAAGAGAAAAGAAACAACACACAACGGAGCTCCAATACATCTGGCAGAAGACTTTACAGTGGAAACCTTACAAGCCTGGAGACAGTGGCATAACATATTTAAAGTTCTGAAGTAAAAAAAAATTTACCCTAGAATAGTATATCCAGTGAAATTATCCCTCAACATGAAGGAGAAACAAAGACTTTCCCAAACAAAAGCTGAGGGATTTCAACACCAGACCTGTCCTACAAGAAATGCTAAAGGAAGCACTTCAATCAGAAAGAAAAGGACATTAATGAGCAATAAGTAATCCCAAGTGGGTTTTGAAGGTACAAAACTCACTGGTAATAGTAAGTACACAGAAAAACACAGAATATTATAACACTGCAACTGTGGTATGTAAACTACTCTTATACTAAGTAGAAAGACTAAATGAACCAATAAAAATAATAACTACAACAACTTTTTAAGACATACGCAGTACAATAAGATAGAAATAACAAAAAGTTAAAAAGCAGGAGGATGGGCCGGGCACAGTGGCTCATGCCTGTAATCCCGGCACTTTGGGAGCTGAGGCAGGCAGATTGCTTGAGCCCAGGAGCTCAAGACCAGCCTGGGCAACATGGCAAAATCCATCTCTACAAAAACTACAAAAATTAGCTGGACATGGTGGCACACACCTGTAGTCCCAGCTACTCAGGAGGCTGAGGTAGGAGGGTCACCTGAGCCTGGGAAGTCAAGGCTGCAGTGAGTCAAGACTGTGCCACTCTACTCCTGCCTGGGCAAAAGAGTGACATCCTGTCTCAAAAAATACAGCAAATTTTTAAAAATGAGGGGACCAAGTTAGGGCATAGAGTTTTTGTTTTCTCTTTGTTTATACAAACAGTGTTAAGTTGTTATCAGCTTAAAATAATGGATGATAGTATTTGCAAGTCTCATGGTAACCTCAAACCAAAAGACATAAAATGGATACACAAAAAATAAAAAGCAGAAAACTAAATCATATCACCAGAGAACATCACCTTAACTAAAATAAGACCTGAACGAAAGAAGGAAAAAAAAGACAATGAAACAACAAGAAAACAAATAACAAAACAGCAAGAGAAAGTTCTTACTTATCAATAACAATAAAGATTTGTTTAATATTGTATGGATTCCTGCAAGTTTGGGGCTCTCTTCAGGTACACAAGAGTTAAAAACTTCAATTTTGAGTGTACGACTTTTCTCAGAAGCCACTGTGGTTTGCCCTGTTAAGTATATATTATATTGACAATTCTGTTATTTTCTGTTTCTGGACATAGAACTGTGGAAGGTTAAGAAGTGGTAAGTGGCTGGGTGTGGTGGCTCACGCCAGTAATCCTAGAACTTTGGGAGGCCGAGGCGGGTGGATCACGAGGTCAGGAGATCCAGGCCATCCTGGCAAACATGGTGAAACCCTGTCTCTACTAAAATACAAAAAATTAGCTGGGCAATGTGGCGCACGCCTGTAGTCCCAGCTACTCAGGAGGCTGAGGCAGAGGAATCACTTAAACCAGGGAAGCGGAGGTTGCAGTGAGCCAAGAATGCGCCACTGCACTCCAGCCTGGCGACACAGCAAGACTCCATCTCAAAAACAAAACAAAACAAAACAAAGTGGTAAGTTAAATATTTCAGGGATCAATAATGCAGTTTATCAAAGATATTTGGGTTTTCTCCCTTTTAAGCATATAACAGGATTTCATTTTTGGGCTTCTTTGTGGTTGGTTGGAACAATGTTATTAGTTTTTGGGGTTTCTTTCAAATGAGTTAGGAGCCTATGTGATGAAACTTCCATGCTAAAGCATTTAGATTGTAGATTGTATATGTGAGAATTTTTGGAGCTCTCTTTTCTTCTGGCGCAAGCAACCATCAATGTTCAAGGTAATCACTGCTCCATTAGTCTGTGTTCAAGAGTAACCACAAAGAACAGAACCCTTAGGGAAACTAATTAATGATGGGTATGAAAAATATACCTTCGTTATTAAGCAATCCAGGTTTTGGGGATATTTGTTACCATACCAAAATTTAGTCTATCTTGACTGATTAAAGCCTTCTTCTAATATCTTTTTTCCTGAAGCCATAAAGAAAAAGCGAAACTATGAGTATCATATCAGAAGTTTAAATATAGCACAGAAATATAGATTTACTCAACAGAAAGGGAACTGAACCAGATCCTGCCTTCTGCCACTGATAAGTTATGAGACCTATGGCTAATTACTTAATGTCCAATAGTATCAACAGTTTATATAATAAAGGCTAACAAGGGATAATGGCACGTCTTTCATTTACATCATCCCCAAGAAAATGAGTTGGTTCTCTGTCATCTTTAGAAGGTGACCAATTACCTTGAACTTGAATTTACTGCAATTCTTACCCTAATTAAAAAGCTCAAATTGTCCCATGTAGAAGTCACTTCATATTGCCTCCTTGGAACTTTGTTTGTCACCCTACTAGTCTTTTATATATCCTCTGCTCTCTGATGTCAAGATATTCTAGGCGCAAACCAGGATCAGCTGTTTCTCCATTAATCCTTAGTTTTTATCTTGAGGAATGAATTTTAAGACCAGAGTCTGGGACTTGCTATCTATACTGGCTTTGTCACAGTTTTGTAAACTTTCAGTGGATAGAACTAGGTTAAAAAATGCATATATGATACATTGTGAGTTCATATGGACATTTCCAATTCAAATCCAGAACTACAAAATTTTTACTTCTATGTTACTGTGAGGAAATAATTCTCTATGGATCTCTCATGTTTCTGAAAAAAAATTTTTTTTTTTGAAATGGAGTCTTGCTCTGTTGCCCAGGATGGAGTACAGTGGTGCAATCTCGGCTCACTCTGTAACCTCCACCTCCCAGGTTCAAGAGATTCTCCTGCCTCAGCATCCCAAGTAGCTGGGATTACAGAAGCACACCACCACATCCAGCTAATTTTTGTATTTTTAGTACAGATGGGGTTTCACCATGTTGGCCAGGCTGGTCTTGAACTTCTGACCTCTAAGTGATCCACCTGCCTCAGCCTCCCAAAGTGCTGAGATTATAGGCATAAGTCACCACACCCAGCCCGTGTTTCTGAAAATTCTGAATGCAGAGGTATTGACTGTCTTTGTTCTAGGCTATTTTTTGGAGGATATTTGTATAGCAAACAGACTTGAAAAATAAAGATAATATCTCCCTCTGCACAAAGGGTAGATTTGTTTACTGTTCAGTATAATAAATGTATCTCTCTCCAGCACAAAGGACACTTTATCAGTCAGGGTTCTGCAGAGAAACAGAATAGAATACATACAAATGGATTTATTTCAAGGAATTGGCTCACATGACTGTGAGGATCGACAGGTCTAAAATCCACAGGGCAGGGCAGCAGTTGATGTTTATAAAAAATCTTTTTTTTTTTCTTTTAAGATGGAGTCTCACTCACTGTGTCATCCAGGCTGGAGTGCAGAGGCGCGATCTTGGCTCACTGCAACCTCCGCCTCCCAGATTCAGGCAATTCTTGTGCCTCAGACTCCCAAGTACCTGGGATTACAGGCGCGCGCCATCATGCCCAGCTAATTTTGTATTTTTGGTAGAGACGGGGTTTCATCATCTTGGCCAGAATGGTCTCGATCTCTTGACCTCGTGATCCATCTGCCTTGTCCTCCCAAAGTGCTGGGATTACAAGTGTGAGCCACTGCACCTGGCTGAGTGGGGCCCCTTATAAAGAATAATCTCCTTTCCTGAAAGCCAACTGATAAGATGTTAATCATATCTATAAAATACCTTCACAGCTCACTTAATGTTTGATTAAATCATCTGGTACTATATAACCTAGCCAAGATGACACAGAAAACTAACCATCACAAGCAGGTTTGTTTGCAGTCTATTATAAAAGATTCAGTTTCCCTAAACTCCAGGTTACTTAGCTGTGATGTAAACTCACAATTTAGGCTCCTCTATATCACCCTGTGGGTTTAGGCGGGCAAAGATGACTGATACAAATACAATGCTCATGCTGTTTTCTGTGCATATACAAAGTGATAAATCCTTTTGTCTCTGACCCAGAAGCTGGTGTGTTCTGTCAGCATCTAAGAAATTGTGATAGGCTCCTAGTAACTTTCCAGTAGGGTAAAACTGCAGAACTTTCACAGTTCTTCACACTTACATCTGATTTTTTTTCTTCCATCCTGAGAATTTTGGTTCTCAAATGTAATAGATTTATAAATCAGAATGTCCCCAAATTACTGATTTGTTTTATCCCACCTTGCACACACCACAGACTCAGAATAACAATACCAATGATACTACCACTAATTATAATTACTAAAAATAGTCACTTCTTTTGTATATCCTTATCCCCTCTTTGCATTTCTTATTGATATGGTTTAGTTGTGTCCCCACCCAAATCTCACCTTGATTTGTAGTTCTCATAATCCCCAGACATGGGAGGGACCTGGACAAGGTAACTGAATCATGGTGACGATTACTCTCATGCTGTTCTCATGATAGTGAGTTCCCATGAGATCTGATGATTTTATAAAGGGCTTTTCCCCCTCTTCACTCTGCACTTGTCCTTGCTGCCACCATGTGAAGAAGGACATGTTTGCTTCCCCTTCTGCCATAATTGTAAGTTTCCTGAGGCTTCTCCAGCCCTGCAGAACTGTGAGTCAATTAAACCTCTTTCCTTTACAAATTACCCAGTCTTGATTATGTTTTTATTAGCAGTGTCAGAACGAACTAATTCAGTAAATTGGTAAAGATACCCAAAAATGTGGAAGTGACTTTGTAACTGGGTAACAGGCAGAGGCTAGAACAGTTTGGAGGGCTCAGAAGAAGATAGGAAAATGTGGGAAAGTTTGGAACTTCCTAAAGACTTGGAGGGCTCCGAAGACAGGAAGATGTGGGAAAGTCTGTAAGTTCCTAGAGACTTGTTGAATGGCTTTGTCTAAAATGATGATAGTGATATGGACAATAAGGTCCACCCTGAGGTGGTCTCAGATGGAGAAGAGAAACTTGTTGGGAACTGGAGTAAAGATCAATCTTACTATGCAAAGAGACTGGCAGCATTTTGCCCCTGCCCTAGAGATCTGTGGAACTTTGAACTTAAGAGAGATGATTTAGGGTATCTGGTGGAAGAAATTTCTAAGCGACAAAGAATTCAAGAGGAAGCAGAGCATGAAAGTTTGGAAATTTTTCAGCCTGATGATGCAGTAGAAAAGAAAAACCCATTTTCTGGGGAGAAATTCAAGCCTGCTACAGAAATCTACATAAGAACGAGGAGCCAAAGGCTAATCACAAAGACAAAGAGGAAAACGTCTCCAGGCCATGTCAGAGACTTTTGCGGCAGCCCCTCCCATCACAGGCTCGGAGGCCTCAGAGGAAAAACTGGTTTCCTGTGCCAGGTCCAAGACACCTCTGCTACATACAGCCTAGAGACTTGGTGCCCTGTGTCCCCACCACTCCAGCTGTGGCTAAAAGAGGCCAAGGTACAGCTCAGGCCATGGCTTTGGAGGGTGCAAGCCCCAAGCCTTGGCAGCTTCCACATGGTGTTGGTCCTGCAAATGTGCAGAAGACAAGAACTGAGGTTTGGGAACCTCTGCCTAGATTTCAGAGAATGTATGAAAATGCCTGGATCGGGCACGGTGGCTCACATCTGTAATCCCAGCACTTTGGGAGGCTGAGGTGGGTGGATCACCTGAGGTCAGGAGTTCAAGATCAGCCGGGCCAACATGGTGAAATTCTGTCTCTACAAAAAATACAGAATTAGTCAGGTGTGGTGGCACACACCTGTAGTCCCAGCTACTCAGGAGGCTGAAACAGAAGAATCGCTTGAACCCAAGAGCTGGAGGTTGCAGTAAGCCAAGATTGAGCCACTGCACTCCTGCCTGGGCAAGACAGAGTGAGACTCCATGTCAAAAAAAAAGAAAAAAAAAGAAGAAAGAAAGAAAAGAAAATGCCTGGACGTCCAGGTAGAGGTATGTTGCAGGGGCGGAGCCCTCATGGAGAACCTCTGCTAGGGAAGTGCATAAAGGAAATGTGGGGTTGGAGCCCCCACACACAAATGTGGGGTTGGATCCCCTACACAGCTTCACTAGGGCACTGCCTAGTAGAGCTGTGAAAAGACAGCCACAGTCTGGAGGATGGTGTAAATGTAAAGGACTAAAATCTCCAATCAAAAGAAATAGAGTAGGTGAATGGATGAACAGATCAATGGAAGATCCAATGGAACAGATCAATGGAGCTTCCACTGATCCAAGAAACACACTTCACCTATAAATACACACACGGACTGAAAATAAAAGGATGGAAAAAGATATTCCATGCCAATAGAAACCAAAAAAGAGCAGGAGTAGCTATATTTATACCAGAAAAAGTAGATTTGAAGTAAAAAAACAAGTGACAAAGTCACCGTATAATGACAAAGGGGTCAATTCAGCAAGAAGATATAACAATTTTAAATATATACGCACCCAACACTAGAGCACTTAGATATATAAAGCAAGTATTATTAGAGCTAGAGAGAGAGACAGGCCCCAATATAATAGCTGGAGATTTCAACAACCCATTTGCAGCACTGGACAGATATTCCAGACAGAAAATCAACACAGAAACATCTGACTTAATGTGCACTATAGACCAAATGGATCTAATAGATATTTGCAGAATATTTCATCCAATGGCTACAGAATGCACATTTTTTTCCTCAGCACATGGATTATTCTCAAGGATAGACTGTGTGTTGGGTCATAAGACAAGTCTTAAAATGTTGAAAAACATTGAAATAATATCAAGCATCTTCTCTGACCACAATGGAATAAAACTAGAAATTAATAACAAGAGGAATACAAATACGTGGAAATTAAACAATATGCTCATGAATGACCAGTGGGTCCATGAAGAAATTAAAAAGGAAACTGAAAAATTTCTTGAAACAAATGTAAGTGGAAACAACATAACAAAACCTATGGGATACTGCAAAAGCAATACTCAAAGGGAAGTTTAAAGTTGTAAGTGCCTACATCAAAAAAAAGGAAAAACTTCAAATAAACAATCTAATGATACATCTTAAAGAACTAGAAAAGCAAGAGCAAACCAAATCCAAAATTAGTAGAAAGAAATAAGATCAGGGCAGAAATAAATGACATTGACATTTTAAAAAACCAATACAAAATTTCAAGGAAACAAAAAGTTGTTTTTTTTTAAAAAGTTAAACAAGATTGACAAACCTTTAGCCACATTAAGAAAAAAAAAACAAGATACAAATAAAATTGGAAATGAAAAAGGAGACATTACAACTGATACTGCAGAAATTCAAAGGATCATTAGTGGCTTCTATGACCAACTCTATGCCACTAAATTTGAAAATCTAAAAGAAATGAACAAATTCCTAGACATATACAACCTACCAAGATTGAACCAGGAAGAAATCCAAAACATGAACAGACCAATAACAAATAACAAGATCAAAGCCATAATAAAAATTCCAAATCAAAACTACAATGAGATACCATCTCACCCCAGTTAAAATGACTTATATCCAAAAGACAGGCAGTAACAAATGCTGGAAAGGATGTGGAGAATGTAAATTTGTACAACCACTATGGAGAACAGTTTGGAGGTTCCTCAAAAAACTAAAAATAGTGCTACCATATGATCCAGCAATCCTACTGCAGGGCATATACCCAAAAGAAAGGAAATCAGGATATCAAGGAGATATCTACACTCCAATGTTTGTTGCAGCACTGTTCACAATAGCTAAGATTCGGAAGCAACCTAAGAGTCTATCAACAGATGAATGGATAAAGAAAACGTGGTATATATACACAATGGAGTACTAGTCAGCCATAAAAAAACGAGATCCTGTCATTTGCAACATCATGGATGGGACTGGAGATTGTTAAGTGAAATAAGCCAGGCAAAGAAAGACAAACATCGCATGTTCCCACTTATTTGTGGGATCTAAAAATCAAAACAACTGAACTAATGGACATAGAGTAGAAGGATGGTTACCAGAAGCTGGAAAGGGTCGTGGAGGACTCAGGGGGAAGTGGGGATGGTTAATGGGTACAAAAAAAGAGTTAGAATGAATAAGACCATTTGATGGCACAACAGGGTGACTATAGTCAGTAATAATTTAATTGTACATTTTAGAATAACTAAAAGGTTGCAACTGGATTCTTTGTAATACAAAGGATAAAGCCTTGAGGGGAAGGATACCCAATTCTTGATGTGATTATTTCACACTGCTTGCCTGTATCAAAACATCTCATGTACCCCATAAATAGATAAACTCACTCTGTAACCACAAAAATTTAAAATAAATTTAGTAAAATAAAACAGAGCTGTTGATCTTTCCTTCTGTCCAAAATATAAAACTTGCTCTTCCAACACTGTTTCCCAATTCAGTAGCCAGCAACTCCATTCTTCCAATTGTTCTGACCAAAAATTCTGTGATCATCACTGACCTTTCTTTTCTCTCACAATTTATATGTGATCCATTAGTAAATCATGCTACCTCTATCTTCAAAATACATAAAAATTTGCTCTTTTGTCACTACTTTCACTGTTACCACCCCAGTCCAAGCCACCAATACTTCCTGACTGGATTACTGCAACAGTCTCCTAAGTGGTCTCCCTGCTTCCATCCTGCCCCTGCCTCTCTTCAGTCTGTTCTCAACATAGGAGCCAGAGTGACTTTGTTAAACCGTAAGTCAAATTATGTCACTATTTTGATTAAATAGTTCCAATAACTTCCATTCTCAGATGGGAAAGTGAAAATCCTCTCAATAGCCTATAAAATCTGCCCCCACCACCATAGCTCATCAGACCTCATTTCTTACTACTTTCCTTCAAGTTCACTCTGCTCCAGCCACACTAACATTCTTACTATTCCTCAAAAATACTGGCATTCTGCTTCAGGGCATTTGCATTTGATAGTCCCTTTACTTAACATGTCCTTTCCACACAGCACATTACCTCACCTCCTAGTCTCTACTTAAGTGTCACCTTTACAGTGAGGTCTTCCTGGCCACCCTATCTAAATACCTATCTAAACTCTTCCCAATAGTTTCTATCGCATTTTCTCACCTTCTTTTCCTTAGCTCTTACAAACTATACATATATACATGCATATATAAAAATTTACACACATATATAAAATTTACCTTCTTTATTCTGTGTCTCCCCACCCAGTAGATAAAAGCTCCATAAGGGTGGGCAATTTTATCTGTTTGGTTCACTGCCATATCTCTAGTGATAAGAATAGTCTTTGGCAAATAATAGGTGTTCAGTAAATATTTGCTGAAAGAACAAGTAAACCAAGAAATAGATATGTCCTAAATGCCACTTAAGAAAGGGTCTTAAGAAGGTGTAACCAACTGATAAGGTTTGGCTCTGTGTCCCCACCCAAATCTCATCTCGAATTGTACTCCCATAATTCCCATGTGTTGTGGGAGGGACCCAGTGGGAGATAATTTGAATCATGGGGGCAGTTTCCCCCACACTGTTCTCATGGTAGTAAGTCTCACGAGATCTGATGGTTTCATCAGGGGTTTCGGCTTTTGCATCTTCCTCATTTTCTCGTGCTGCCGCCATGTAAGAACTGCCTTTCACTTCCCACCATGATTCTGAGGCCTCCCCAGCCATGTGGAACTGTCAATCCAATTAAACCTCTTTTTCCTCCCAGTCTCAGGTATCTCTTTATCAGCAGCATGAAAACGGACTAATGAACCAACTATGTCAAATCATGATGAAAAATCAAATAAGATGAGAACTGATAACCACTGGATTTGGCAATGCAGAGGTCACTGGTAACCTCAACAAGAACTGCTATGGTGAAACAGAACAAAGCCAAGAGTAAATGGGAGAAAAGGAACTGAAGATAGTATAAGCAAATTCTTCAAATATTCTCTCATAACACAAAACCACTGCACACAATGTTACCTCTTCCCAGAATGCTATACCTTCTTTCATTTCTTCTGATGACCCTTCTCCCTATTGTCCTCAAAGACTTAGCTTAGGTATTATATTCTATAAGAAACACTGTGAACTTTTTATATCCCCATGTACATACCATATCACAGGTACATTAGTGCTATTCCTAGTATACATATGCTCATTGAGCATCTGATTGTGTCTAAACTCTGAGTATCTTAAGGCAGGGATTCTTGCACAAAACAGAAGCTCAACAAATATTTCTTGGATGAGAAAACTTTGAAATAAAAGTTCTTAATAGCTTCTAATAATTCATTATTCCACGTTTTCCTTAATGTATATCCAAAACATGTTTTATTAATTGTCTGCATATTTGCACATAAGACATTATAAAATAATAAAGGAAAATAATTAAATGTAAATCTAATAATCTGGCTTCTCCCTAAAGAATATATACTTAATACACATCTATTACAACTTCAACTATTATTCTAGTTAATTCCTACTTTTCCTGGAAAACATCTCTTAATTTTATCCCTTAAATTATGCAATATTTAAAAAACCATAAATATTTTGATATTGCAACACATAAAATGAAATCTTACCAAATATAATTGTTACATGGTCTATAAATAAATGTTAAGTCCATCTAATTCTAGTTACTTAAGCACAGGGACATTTTATTAAATATGTTTTCTAATACTTTTTGAAGCACTACTTCTACATATTGCACAGTGCTTAAGAAAACTCTGGTATCAGGTTTGAGGAGAGGGTTTGTGCCCATTTCTCAAACGGCTTGTGTTAAGAATTCTAGGCATGGTGGGGGCAATGTGTTTCCCAAACAGAATAATCTGAGGCACTTTTTAAAAAATAGATTCCTGGGCTCCAACCCTAGAAGATTCTGACTTTGTGCGTTTGAGCAAAAGGCTAGAAACTGGTGAAAAGCTCTTCAAACTATTTTGAAGATAAGCCAGGTTTGGGAAATCATGAGCATGTATCTAGAAGCATTAAGTAGACTACAAGTAGGTTTCCAGTAATTCCTACCAGAGCTTAAAAAGTTGCTACTCTGAACCCATATAAACACAAAAAAAATCTATCTACCGTGCAAATGTTATTCTGAATCGCTTTTCCAATTACAATTTTGACTTGCGTTGAATAAATTAAGTTTCTATACCATAAATACTGAGCTGTCAAAAACCACTTTTACTAAACTACAATAAGACTTGGTCAGTATTTTTTCTTAAGAACACGATTTACCACAAATAAAGAAAATAGCTTCTACACCCTTCATTTTGTCTTTTAAAAAAGCCATACATAGAAGCAATGAACAGTTATTATTTTAACCTGCAACCATATAGTGTGGTATACTTTTCAAAATATTTCAGATGCATCGTCATTTGAGCTCATCACCAACTGGTGAGACCCTTTCACTATGTTAAAAAAAAAAAAAAGTACTCTAAATTCTATACCTACTTAATACATAAACAATGGGCTCTGACTCCCATAAGGAAAGCAGAGTCAAATAACAAAATGCCCCAAGTTAATTATATTCCATCAATGGTCTTCACTGGTATAGATTATTTGTAAACTCTCAATAATATCCTTAAGAACAATCTTGCAAAAATTTGCTTACGGGAAGTACCTAGAATAATAAATTTGAAAAGATATTGCACTCTGGCTGCACACGGTGGCTCACATCTGTAATCCCAACACTTTGGGAGGCGGAAGTGGGAGGATCACTTGAGCCCAGGAGTCCAGCACACCAGCCTGGGCAACATACAGAGACCCCATCTTTACCGAAAAAAAAAAAAAAATAGCCCAGCATCATGGCCCACATCTGTGGTCTCAGCCACTTGGGGAGGCTGAGGTGGGATGATCACCTGAGCCCAAGATTTCAAAGATACAGTGAGCAGTGATTGCACCATTGCACTATAGCCTGTGTGACGCAGAGCAAGGGCCTGTCTCAGTTTAAAAAAAAAAAAAAGCTATCGCATTCTTGTAACAACTGGCAAAAGTTTCAAAATATAGACCAAGGTATAGATGTGCATCTTATGCTAAAACTGGTAGTAGCTTATTTTATAACTTAGTCTTAAATCTAGACTAGAGATTTTTATAGATACAGATTTTATAGATTTATAGATTTTATATTGATAGAATAACTGGAGAATTTTATCAATATAACTTGAGAAAAAGAACAAAAAAGTGACCCCAAAAGCCCTATATTATTTCTGACATTGAAACTAATTGCCATATAAACCAGTTACTAAGATAAATATAACTAAAAGATAAATGACTAGAGAAGTATACACAAGTAGATGGCAAAAAGAAGATGGAGAACTACAAGCAACACTGAGAAAATGATGAAATGTCATGTGGCACCACCACTGGCAATCCCAGGTGATAATAAAATGGTCAAAGAACCAGTAAGCAAATGATAGACTAGTCATGATTCAGCCTTTACTGAGAAAATGATGAAATGTCATGTGGCACCACCACTGGCAATCCCAGGTGATAATAAAATGGTCAAAGAACCAGTAAGCAAATGATAGACTAGTCATGATTCAGCCTTTACTGAGAAAATGATGAAATGTCATGTGGCACCACCACTGGCAATCCCAGGTGATAATAAAATGGTCAAAGAACCAGTAAGCAAATGATAGACTAGTCATGATTCAGCCTTTACCACCAACATTGCACTCACATTTTCAAAACCTGAGGACAATGATCTGCTCATTCTGGAACAGTTCTATCCTCAGACTAAGTAATATTTGACCAATAAGTTTTACATAAGTTTCAGGCAAAGGTGGAAACAAAACAGATGATGAAAACAGCACTGACTTTTTATTACTAAAGCTAAGGTTACAGCAACATTGGTTTTCACTATGCATCACATTTGTGAATATTACATCTTCTGCTGTGGCATAATTTAAAAATTACTAGAGTTGTTTCTATACTCACAAGTCAAACACTGAACTGAAAAAATATTGAGGTTTTAATATTAGCTCAATATATTTCACAAACATGAATGATCTGTCATTACTATTTGAAATAAAATGTCCAGAGCCCTTTCACTGATTCCTAAATTATATTCTCAGTATCATATTAAATTTGTGCCACCAATTTCAAGATGCTGTATGATTCAGATTTTACTCCCTCATTGAAACTTTTCAGGAAACTTATTTTCATTGTTATACATTAAAGATGTGTCATTTGGATAAAATCATAAGCATGTATATTCAACGATGAGAAATTCGAGTATGTTTGTTGTTTTGTATAAGTTGTGCAACTATACCAAAAGAAAGTCAAAGCATTACCTTCCTTACAGTTTACTGAAACACAATTATGAAATTTAAGCGGTGTGACATATAACACAGCTTCTAATTACTGCTAGAAGAACAAGATGTAATTTACCTCACCAAATAAATCATATCTAGTTTCAGAAGACCTTAGTGCTATACTGCTCTCATAACCCCCAAGGAGTAAAAACAATACAAGTGTACCACGAGAAGACCTCAAAATCCTTCACATTTACTCCACCAGCTGAATTCAACCTAACAG
Source organism: Homo sapiens (assembly GCF_000001405.40). Classification (NCBI taxonomy): domain Eukaryota; kingdom Metazoa; phylum Chordata; class Mammalia; order Primates; family Hominidae; genus Homo; species Homo sapiens. Next base: position 88,790,658 of record NC_000014.9, read on the forward strand.
ACTAAATTATCTGGAGCAGGGCTTCAGTTAAGGCTGCTCCAGCTAGGTAAAGCTACTATGCCTGGTACTTTGGGAGACCTAGCATATGGAAAAGAAGGGAGACTTGAAAGGATTAGGGAAAAAGACAAGACACTGGGGTAAACTCTACTCTTGGGATAACTAAGAAGATAAATAATTACTACGGGTTTACTTTAGTTTTGTTTTTCCATCAGCAATTTGGGCTATTATAATAGGTCTGTAACCCTAATCACCACGATACAGAGTCCCAGCTTGAGAAAAATGAAATGACTTATCAGTTACCTTTTCAAAGTAATACATTAAATACAATCTGAAAAAGCACTCTGGTGTCCAAAAAACAAAAACAAACAAAAAAAACCAACTGAATACAGAGCACCACCTCATTCCTTACTCTGCAATCTCAATTTTGTCTTTTCTTATCTTTACTCCATCTTGCCCTACCTCTGTTTGTCCTAGGCATCCTTTCCCTCTTACATATTATAGATGTACAGAGACGCAAAACAGAAGAACAACTTTATTTGTGGAATTTACATACCAGGGCTTCTTGCCTACAAGACTTCAAACCAAGGTACCGTATTTGAAATGCCCAATTTAAATCCTGTGCAACATACATGAGGGAATAACATTTTGTAACCAAACCCAAATCGTAGAATCTTTGATAAAACCCCAAGAGCACCACACAAACACATTCTCAATTGCTTTTAATATATTTTCCTCTGTAAAGGACAAAAAATGCTGTGCTTGAGGCAATAATCAGTGGCCTAGAATGATTTCTGAAGCTCTTGACTTTACCATAAAAGTTGTACTAAGACACTGATTGAAAATTACATTTCAAATATACCGCTCACTAAAGAAATGTCAACAAGCTCTGGGACCAACTTTGAGTTATTGTCCAAGGAAGACTAAAAATAGCCCCCCAATAGCGATTTAATTTTAAGAAAATACAAAAGTAGCTTATTTAGGAGTATTTTAATGAAGATGAAGAGAACTGGAAATCAGTGAAGTTTTCAGCAGCCTCTTCAGATAAGACCTACCTTAAATTGCCTTCAGGTGTGCACATTTTAACATCCAGTGAATTGCCTGGAGGTTGCCTGGGGTTTCTGCTGATTATAGCAGGCGGTGAAACCTGAACTAATAATTACGGCCAGGAGGTGAGAGCCCTTCAGGACGCCACCCTGGGCGCGCTCCCCGGGAGCAGCCCACCGCTTGCTGTGCTTCCATCAGTCCTTTATTAGGTAAAGGGTTTCCCCCCACCCCGGGTGCTTTAAGAATGCGTTTAATAAGAAATTTCTCACAGGATCTAACGGAATAAAGTGCCACCAAAATAACCTTTTCGCAGTTTTCGTAATTGTGATGGAGTGGGAAAGGGGACAAAGCCGTCAAACCGGGTGCCCGGTGGATCCGCGGACCTGATCTTCCTGCACGGACCCGAGAGAGAGTCCCTAGACGAGGAAGAGGGGAAAGGCATTTGTAGGGTGTTAACTGGTGGACTCGGGACCAGAGAGACAGCTGCGGATTCCCCTCGGGGTGATGCTCCGTGCAGGAGCGGTCACGGCGTCCAGAGGAACCCGCGGGTGCAAACTCCGGGAGCGGCTTGCAGGGTGACGGCGGCGGCCCCCGCTCCCCGGTACCTGATGATGTCGTCGCTGTGGCCCCGGTAGAACTTCTGCCTGTGCTCCCGCGGGCTGTACACCACGCCGACCCCCGCCACGAAGTATACGATCTCCTTGGCCGCAGTGTAGTAGAGGTTGTTGCGGCACTGGTGGCCCCGGTAGCCGTACACCCACTCGAGCCGCAGGTGGCAGCTCGGGGCGCTCCGGGCCGCCATGTCGGGGCGCCCACCCGCCGCTCCCGCTCGGGCCCGCGGCGGCGACGGGAGGCGGCGGCGGCCCGGCAACGAAAGCCCTCCCGCTGGCTGCCGGGACTTCCCGCCAGCCGCGTCCTCTAAGCCGCGCCCGTCAGGTGCATCTCGTTTCGGGGGCCGCCGCCGCCTCAGCCCACAGGCGGGAGGAAAACCCTCGCCTCGCGGAACATGCTGAGGGCCGCGAGCGCCGCCGGCTGTCAAGTGGATGCCCAGAGCCCTTCGCCCGCCTCGGCTCGCCTAGTCTCCTCAGCCCGTAGCGCCTGGGCCGAGAGCGAGGGCCCGCCTCCAGCTCCTCAGCCGCCGCCCGCGCACGCAGCTCCCAGCCCCGGTCACCTGCGGCGCTCGCGCCCCGCCGCGGCTTTGTAGCCACAGCCTGGCGGACCCGCGCCGCGCACCCCGAAACCGAGCGAGCCGAGCCGAGCCGAGCCGAGCGGCGGGCGCGCGGCCTTGCGTGGCCCCGCCCCCTCCCGCGCTCACTCCGCCCCTCCCGGAGCCGAGAAGAGGCTGGAGTTCGCGGGGCCACGGTCTAGTTGCGGAGTCGCTGGGACCGCGTCTCTGCAAGTGCGCGGGCCGGTGAGCCCTCCCTCGTTGAGCTGCTTAAGCCCAGGCGGACCCTCGGCGACCCCGGGCTCCCGCTGCTTTGCGTCCTCAACCGGGAAGCACCTGCCGGTTCCGCACGGTCCCTGCACCCAGCGTAGGCCACGTTTTTGCCTGGGAAAATCCACACCGGGATGCTAAATTCTCTTTTTTACGCTTGATACCTTGTGTGTCTTGCTGCCTTATAGTGCTTTCGGACCCAGACATTGGAATGATGCCGAGCTTCCTAAATGTGCTTTTAAATTATTATTTTTAGAAACAGAGCCTCGCTCTGTCGCCCAGGCTGGAGTGGAGTGGCGCAGTCTCAGCTCACTGTAGCCTCCAACTCCTGGGCTCCAGCGATCCTCCCGCCTCAGTCTCCGGAGTAGTAAGGAGTACAGTTGCGTACCACTATGCCCGGCAAATGTTTTGCTTTGTTTTTAAGTTTATTTTGTAGAGGCGGGGGTCTTGCTGTGTTGCCCAGGCTGGTCTCCACCTCCTGACCTTCAGCAGTTCTTCTGCCTCAGGCCTCCCAAAGCGCTGGGATTACAGGCCCAATCCACTGCTCCTGGTCCTAAGTGTATGTTTTCTTAAGTGACCGCAAAGCTGAAGGTAGACTTTAGATGGTAAACTGACATGTGAGATCTGATTTCCGAATAGCAAAAAAAAAAAAAATTGTACTTCGATTTTTTTAAAAATGACTGGGACATCACCAACAGTTACTCTTAATTAAATAAATTCAATTGTGATCCTGTAGAAAACTCCTGTAATAAAAGTATTGGGAACAATCAATTCCTGACTATGTCATTTCCCCTCCTACTCAGTTGTGTCCTCTTCTCACAGGAATATGAACAAGATTTATCAATACCTCTAAAAATAATTGGAAATCCACAATTTAAAAAGTGTTAAGTTCAGGATGGCCACAAGATTTACAACAAAAAAATACTAATTCAGGATATACCAATATGAACCCTTATTGTCTAAAAATTACTGTTTGATTTCCATAGGAAATACCAAGACAGAAATCTGACAAAAGCTAAAATAAACTACCATCGTTTCAAGAAATATGACTCCAAAAGGGGTTGACTCCTGTGTGGTACAGATATATTGGAATAGATGTTATCCAATGTCTACTTCCTCAAAGATGCCAGTTACTAACTTGAGACAGGATTACCGTTTCGTCTTTGATTATGACTTCTAATCTGCAAGCAGTTTACATGCAGGAAATAAAGGCCATCTGAAAGGAATTTACATAGATGTCATGAAAAGTAAACTCTGAAAGAGTTTCCATTCTGGGCAGAATCTGAAAAAGAGGAATAGCTTTCTGGCAGCTGCTGCAAATAAACAAAGAAATCAGGCCTGAGAAGTGGCTCTAAGGCCCATGTAGGGTACCCTGGGCAAAAGCACACACAGTTTCTCTTTGTCACCAGGAGGGCGTTTTCTGTTTTTTAATAAGAATATGTTCTAATTCACTAGTGAGTTCCTTGAAATCCCCTGGTGAGAAAAAGAAAAATTGTTGATTATTTAAATTCAAGCAGTGAACTTAGAAAACATTAAATATTTGTTGCTATACATTTGTGATATATTAATTACTGGTTACATGTAAATTTTATGAGACGAGATGGAAGAATATAGTTTTTTCTATGTTTCGGATTTTTCAGCACAATATCTTATGGATCCCATGATACACACTTAAGTACTCAGATTAATAAGAGATTTAAGTAATTTATTTTCCCATTATCATATTTTCCATTACGATTTTAATGACCCAAGTGTAGAGTGCGAAGCAAAAACATTCTTAATTAAACCATCCTCAACTGGCGACTCAAGACCAAAAGAGACAGCCGAGGCACAAAGGTGGCTAGAAAATGAACCATTCATGAATACTAGAGGAAGAAAAAAACAAACCTGATCAGTTCTTACCCTCACAACTTTATATAATCCAGTATTACCAATGTCACATCAGAAAGCTTAATGAAGCTTCTATTGCTAGGTGATATTCCATCATCTGTATCCTGTGAAAGTAATGCAAATAAGGATGTGGGAGAAAGAAACAAAAAATTATACACATCAACAAATGGACATTTGTTAAGCATTCCAGACGAAGGCTGCAATACCCCCTGTATTCGTCCGTTCTCATGCTGCTAATAAAGACATACCTGAGACTGGGTAATTTATAAAGAAAAGAGGTTTAATTGACTCACAGTTCCGCATTGCTAAGGAGGCCTCACAATCATGGTGGAAGGCAAAGAGGAGCAAAGTCGCACATGGCAGCAGACAAGAAGAATTTGCGCAGGGGAGCTCCATTTATAAAACCATCAGATCTCATGAGACTTATTCACTACCACTAGAACAGTATGGGGGAAACCACCCCCACGATTCAATTATCCCCACCTGGCACCACCCTTGACATGTGGGGATTATTACAATTCAAGGTGATATTTGGGTGGGATACAGCCAAACCATATCACCCCCTTTGGTAATCTAGTTCCTGAAACTTGAGTTCCTAGTATGGAATTTGAGATATTTGAAATATTTCTAAAATTCAGGCAAATAAATCATGTGCTGGCTACTGATTAGGTACCCTTAGGTTTATAAAGAAATCTAAGGCAAAATGTAGAAAACATAAAAACCAAAATTCCCCAGCCTGGCCAATATGGCAAAACCCCATCTCTACTAAAAATACAAAAAAAAGTAGCCGGGTGTGGTGGTGCAGGCCACCATCTCAGAAAAAAAAAAAAAAAATTCATGCAATTACTTCTAGCTAGCATGGTGGCTCTCACCTCTAATCCCGGCACTTTGGGAGGCCAAGGTGGGTGGTCAGGAGTTTGAGACCAGCCTGGCCAACATGGTGAAACTCCATGTCTAGTAAAAACACAAAAATTTGCCAGGCATGGTGGCGGGCGCCTGTAATCCCAGCTACTCGGGAGGCTGAGACAGGAGAATCGCTTGAATCCGGGAAGTGGAGGTTGCAGTGAGCTGAGATCGCACCACCGCACTCCAGCCTGGGAAACAAAGAGTGAAACTCTGTCTCAAAAAAAAAAAAAGTATATATATATTATATATATATTATATGTTATATATATTATATATATTATATATATATTATATGTTATATATATTATATATATTATATATATATTATATGTTATATATATTATATATATATTATATGTTATATATATTATATATATATTATATGTTATATATATTATATATATATTATATGTTATATATTTTATATATATATTATATGTTATATATATTATATATATATTATATGTTATATATTTTATATATATATTATATGTTATATATATTATATATATTTTATATATATATTATGTTTATATATTATATATATTATATATATTATATGTTATATATATTATATATATTATATCTCTTATATGTTATATATATTATATATATATTATGTTATATATATTATATATATTATGTTATATATAATATATATTATATGTTATATATGTTATACATATTATATGTTATATGTTATATATATTATATATGTTATATGTTATATATTATATATATTATGTATATTATATGTTATATATATTATATATATTATGTATATTATATGTTTTATATATTATATATTATATATATTATATGTTTTATATATTATATATTATATATATTATATGTTATATATATTATATATTATATACATTATATGTTATATATATTATATATTATATATATTATATGTTATATATATTATATATTATATATATTATATGTTATATATATTATATATTATATATATTATATGTTATATATATTATATATTATATATATTATATGTTATATATATTATATATTATATATATATTATATGTTATATATATTATATATTATATGTTATATATATTATATATTATATGTTATATATATTATATATTATATGTTATATATTATATATATTATATGTTATATATATTATATATATAATATGTATATAATATATATAACATATTATATATATATATCTGTAGTCTTACCTTTGATCAGCCTATTGTACATGCAGAGCCTACCACAGTGCCTGGTACTACAATAGCTGTTCCCTACATATTTATCAACCATGAATTAGAAAAGAAAATGTTGTGCACAATCCTATTGTGTTGTGCACAATAGGATTCCTCTTAGTTTTATCTTGAATACTTGAAATCTTTGAAAACTTGGAAGTTTTCTTTCTTTCCTTCTTTTTTTTTTTTTTTTTTTGAGACAGAGTCTTGCTCTGTCACCCAGGCTGGAGTACAGTGGTGTGATCACACTTCACTGCAGCCTCGACCTCCCAGGCTCAATTGATCCTCCTACCTCAGTCTCCCAAGTACCTGAGGCTGCAGGCATCTGTCACCGCACTCAGCTAATTTTTTATTTTTTAGTAGAGGTGAGGTCTCACTATGTTGCCCAGTCTGGCCTCAAACTCCTGGACTTGAGCAATCCTCCTGCCTCAACCTCCCAAAGTGCTAGGATTACAGGTGTGAGCCAGCGTTAGCCACTATGTCCAGCCTTGAACCTTATTTGATATCCAATACTGTGTTAGTCAGGACTTCTTTGGTTGTACGTGACAGAAACCCACTCAAAAGGCTTAAGATAAAAAGGGAATTTTAATGCCTCATAAGACTGAAAAGCTCTAGAACTGGCATCAATGCACTTGAATCCTAGGGATCAAGTGATGTCATCAGAAACAGGTCATCAGGCTGGGCACAGTGGCTCACACCTGTAATCCCAACATCTTGGGAGGCTGAGGCAGGTGGATCATTTGAGGTCAGGAGCTCGAGACCAGCCTGACCAACATGGTAAAACCCCACCTCTACTAAAAATACAAAAAAATTAGCCGGGCATGGTGGTGCATGCCTGTAGTCCCAGCTACTCCGGAGGCTGAGGCAGGAGAATCGCTTGACCCCGGGAGGCAGGGGTTGCAGTAAGCCAAGATTGCACCACTGCACTCCAGCCTGGGCAACAGAGCAAGACTCTGTCTCAAAAAAGAATACAAAACAAACACAACAACAACAAAACAAAAAAACAGATCATCAGAATTAACTCAGTTCTACTTTGAGTAGACTCCATTGCCAGACAAGCAAAACAGCTGCCAGCCACTCCAATTCTATATCCCACCCGCTTAGCAATCACTGTGGAAAGAGCTTTTCTCAGCAGTTCCCCTGGAAACTGTTAGACTTTAGCCTGGTTAACTCTGATTGGCTGACTTATATGCCGCCCTTGGATCCATAGAGTAGTGCCAGGTGCGCCAAAACCACAGGAAGGGGGAGTAGGGGTGGAGGAATCCTCTCAAAGAAAATCAAAATAGTATTACCGGAATAAGAAAGAATGGGGGCCAGCAGGGCTGCACAGGGCTGACTTGGGAGCTGTAACATTCCCCAGTCTTCATTTACCAAACCAAATACACCTGCAATCTAAATCGTAAAACAGATGTTTGGTAAATAAATGCAACTATAACACAGTACTCTTTCTAACCAGATTGCCACCCAAAGATCCTCCTCAGGAAAAAAAAAAAAAAATCTTGAAGCTAGTACCAGATGCCAGGCAGGCACAACCAGCAGATGTTCCCTACTATTAACTATATTTTCAAATGCCTATTAGATTCCACCTAAAGCCTTTAAAAACTGGTACCATATATAATTCAAATAAAAGAAATCTCTAATCAAATTATCTTGTCCTACACATCTGCACACCTTGCCATCTTCTCTTTCTGTTTTAATATCAGTATTACCCCAGTGAGGCAGGTTGGAAAGATAGGCAGTTGCCTTTGGTTCCTTACTGTTTCTCACCTCCAATATTTAGTTACCAAGTCCTTTTGGCTCTGTTTTAGAAATATTACTAAAACGCATCCCCATCTCTACATCAATGCTTTCCCAATCCCCACTGCCACAGTTCAGTTCAAGCTGTAATTATCTTTTCCCTAGATTCTGCCACCTGAGTTAGCTGTAAAAAAATCATTTATCTGATCATGCCAATTCCTCTCTTTTAACAACATTTGCTATAAGCAACTTAGGAATAGGTATCTTGTGCCTTGAAATATTCTTATGTTTTGACCCACAGATTTCTCATCTGGATACCTGCCACAAGGTAATAACAAAAAAATGTAAATCAGGATTCATGTTGAAATTCATGTTCAAATATTTATCAAAAGGCTGGGCACAGTAGCTCACACTAGTAATCCCTGTACTATGGGAGGCCAAAGGGGGAGAATTGCTCCAGTTCAGGAACATAGTGAGACCCCATTGCTACAAAAAGAAAAAAAAACAATTAACCAGGCATTGTGGCATATGCTTGCAGTCCTAGCTACTCAGGTGGCTGAGGGAGGAAGATCGCTTGAGCCCAGGAGTTCAAGGTTGCAGTGAACCATGATCATGTCACTGCACTCCAGCCTGAGTGACAGAGTGAGACCCTGTCTTTAAAAAAAAATTATCACAGCATAACTTAGGACAATAAAAAATATGGAAGCCTAAATGCCCAACCACGGAGAAAACCTTAAGCAAATTGATTCAGCCAGTATGACAAAATATTATAAACCATCAAAAATTAGGCGTTTTTTTGCAGATAAATTTTGGCAACGTTGCAAATTTCCCATAATAGAATGTAAATGTTTTATAGCAGGATACAAAAACATATATATAGAATGAGCCCGTTTATATAATATAATGAGGACTAGATCAAAAGATACCAAAATGTGAACAGTTTTGTAATATGATGGGCAATTTTTTTTATTATACCTTAAGTTCTGGGGTACATGTGCACAACGTGCAGGTTTGTTACATAGGTATACATGTGTCATGGTGGTTTGCTGCACCCATCAACCCATCATCTACATTAGGTATTTCTCCTAATGCTATCCCTCCCCTAGCACCCCACCCCTGACAGGCCCTGGTGTGTGATGTTCCCCTCCCTGTGTTCATGTGTTCTCATTGTTCAACTCCCGCTTATGAGTGAGAACATGCGATGTTTGGTTTTCTGTTCTTGTGTTAGTTTGCTGAGAATGATGGTTTCCAGCTTCATCCATGTCCCTGCAAAGGACATGAACTCATCCTTTTTTATAGCTGCATAGTATTCCATGGTGTTTATGTGCCACATTTTCTTTATCCAGTCTATCATTATTGATGGGCCTTTGGGTTGGTTCCAAGTCTTTGCTATTGTGAAGAGTGCCACAATAAACATACATGTGCGTGTGTCTTTATAGTAGAATGATTTATAATCCTTTGGGTATATACCCAGTAATGGGATTGCTGGGTCAAATGGTATTTCTATTTCTAGATCCTTGAGGAATCGCCACACTGTCTTCCACAATGGTTGAACTAATTTACACTCCCATCAACAGCATAAAAGCGTTGCTGTTTCTCCACATCTTCTCCAGCACTGTTGTTTCCTGACTTTTTAATGATCACCATTCTAACTGGCATGAGATGGTATCTCATTGTGGTTTTGATTTGCATTTCTCTAATGATCAGTGATGATGAGCTTTTTTTCATGTTTATTGGCTGCATAAATGTTTTCTTTTAAGAAGTGTCTGTTCATATCCTTAGCCCACTTTTTGATGGAGTTGTTTTTCTCTTGTAAATTTGTTTAAGTTCTTTGTAGATTCTGGATATTAGCCCTTTGTCAGATGGATAGATTGCAAAAATTTTCTCCCATTCTGTAGCTTGCCTGTTCACTCTGATGATAGTTTCTTTTGCTGCGCAGAAGCTCTTTAGTTTAATTAGACCCATTTGTCTATTTTGGCTTTTGTTGTCATTTTTTTGGTGTTTTAGTCACGAAGGTTTTGCCCTTGCCTATCTCCTGAATGGTATTGCCTAGGTTTTCTTGTAGGGGTTTTATGGTTTTAGGTCTTATGTTTAAATCTTTATAATCATTATGGGTAATTTTTCAACTATTTTTGCTATGTTTTCTAAGTTCTTTTTAAATATACTTGTTGGTTGTGCGTGGTGGCTCATGCCTGTAATCCAAGTACTTTGGGAGGCCAAGGCAGGTGGATCACCTGAGGTTGGGAGTTCAAGACCAGCCTGAACAACATGGAGAAACCCCGTCTCTACAAAAAATACAAAATTAGCCAGGAGTAGTGGTGCATGCCTGTAATCCCAGCTACGCTGGAAGCCGAGGCAGGAGAATTGCTTGAACCCGGGAGGCAGAGGTTGCAGGGAGCCGAGATTGTACCACTGCACTTCAGCCTGGGTAACAAAACGAGACTCCGTCTCAAAAAAAATTATATATGTGTTCGTGTGTGTGTGTGTGTGTGTGTGTGTGTGTGTGTGTGTGTGTGTTTGTAGCTGGGTACAGTGGCTCACGCCTATAATCCCAATGATTTAGGAGGCTGTGGCAGATGGGTCACTTGATCCCAAGAGTTCAAGACCAGCCTGGGCAACATAGTGAGACCCTGTCTCTACAAAAAAATTTAAAAAGCAGCTGGGTGTAGTGGCACACGCCTATAATCCCAGCTACTAGAAAGGTTGAGGCAAGAATGATCCTTTGAGCCTAGGAGTTCAAGGCTGCAGTGAGCCAGTTGTGCCACTGCACTCCAGCCTGGGCGACAGAGTGAGACTCTATATCAAAATACGCACAAACAGACAGACACACAAAGACACTATCTCAAAATACACACACACACACACACACACACACACACACACACACACTAAGATGAGATAATTTTGTTTTTCAGCATTCTGCATGGGAAAAGAATTATGTTTGTATAGAAAAAACAAAATACCTGAATGAGTGCTTGGCATAGAAAATTAGATCTTAAAGGAACCGAATGTGGACAATAATGTTCTGCAGGGAGAATGAGGAAGAATTTGTTGCTCCAGGAAGATGAAAGAGGAATGAAAGTAAGAGAGATGGCAAAATTGCAAGTCCTGCCATGTAGCTCTCTCCAAAACCTTTCAAATCTTACATAACATTTCTAAACTCATGAAATGTTAGGTGGGTTCTTTCTTAAAATGGAAACTGGAGAAATGGGCTTCTCATGTGAGTTGATGTAGCAGGAAGCAATGCCACAAGAAGAGAAGAATAAAGTCAGTGGGGAGCAGGCAGGGAAGTCCTGGATTCTAACTGGTAAACTTGGAGCTCAAGCCACGTTAAACTCTCCAAGCGGTAGTGAAGTTGAAACTGACATCTCAGTTACACACACCCATTGCTTTTATTATTAGGGAAAAGTAACAAAAGTAATTTTAAACAAACATTGGGTAGAATCTAATTGCCGTATAAAGTACAAACTCCTCATGTGACATACAATGCCTCCCATCTCTTTTAACAGACTCACCTCCAGCCAGTTCCTCCCTGCTCTGAACTAGCCCTTCTGTGTAGACATTCTAGATTGCTGGTAATTCCTAAAATTAACCAGGCCTTTCAAGAACTGCGTATACATTTGCAGCCTCCATGTTGTGCCTTACCCTCAACCATCCACTGTCAGCCTGTTAAACTCCTACAGAATCTTTGATGTCCAGCCCAAATGAACTGCCTTATTATGAGTTGGATTGTGTTCCTCCCAAATTCATAGGTTGAAATCCTAACCCCTAGTACCTTAGAACAGGGTTCTTAAATCTGCCGGCCATGGACTGCTACCCATCTGTGGCCTGTTAGGAACTAGGCTGCACAGCAGGAGGTGAGCAGCAGGCAAGCGAGCGAAGCTTCATCTGTATTTACAGCCACTCCCCATTGCTTTCATTACCGCCTGAGCTCTGTCTTCTCTCAGATCAACAGGGGCATTAGATTCTCATGGGAGCACAACCCCTATTGTGAATAGATTGCACACGCAAGAGGGATCTAGGTTGCACGGTCCTTATGAGAATCTAAAGCCTGATGACCTGTTGCTGTCTCCCATCAACCCCAGATGGGACTGTCTAGTTGCAGGAAAACAAGCTCAGGGCTCCCACTGATTCTACATTATGGTGAGTTGTATAATTATTTCATTAAATATTACAATGTAATAATAAAAGAAATAAAGTGCACCACAAGTATAATGCACTTGAATTATCCTGACCCACCCCATCCGTGGAAAAATTGTCTTCCACAAAACCAGTCCCTGTTGCCAAAAAGGTTGGGGACTGCTGCCTTAGAATGTGACCTGATTTGGAAAATATTTCATTGCAGATTATAATTCCTTAAATTAAGATGAAATTCATACTGGAGTGAGGTGGGCCCCAATTCAATGTGACAAATGGGTAATTGGGATACAGACACCCACACAAGACAAACTCTCTGTAAAGATGAAGGCAGAGATTTGCAAGTCAAGGACTGTCAAGGACTGGCACAACCACCAGAAGCTAGGAGAAGGGAATAAAACTGATTCTCCCCCACAACCCTCGGAAGGAACTAACACTGCCAACACTTTGATCTTGGACTTCTGGCCTCTAGAAATGTGAGACGAGAAATTTCTATTGTTGAAGCCAGTCAGTTTGTGGTACTTAATTACAGTAGCCCTAGAAATCAAATACATACCTCTCTTCTATAGTTTGCTGTGACATCCCCATACACAACCTCCAGAATTAATCAGTGTTCATTTAAGTCCCTAGTACATTTTATTTTTTTGAGAGGGAGTCTCAGTCTGTTGCCCAGGCTGGAGTGCAGTAATGCTATCTTGGCTCACTGCAACCTCCACCTTCTGGATTCAAGTGATTCTCCTCCCTCAGCCTCCCGAATAGCTGGGATTACAGGGACCCACCACGGCTGGCTAATTTTTTGTATTTTTTAGTAGAGAAGGGGTTTCACCATGTTGGCCAGGCTGGTCTTGAACCCCTGACCTCAGGTGATCCACCTGCCTCAGCCTCCCAAAGTGCTGGGATTACAGGCATGAGCCACTGCACCCAGCCAGTCCCTAATACATTTTATACAATCATACATACCTTTATAGCAGCGCTTATAGGACTTTAGGAAATTATGCTTCCAGGATATGTGTTCTCAAGAGCATGTGTTTGCCACTTACTCTTTTAGAATCTGTAGTTCTCCTTCTTTACTTAGCTACTACCTTAGCCTGGAGTCTCAAGAAAACAGAGCCTGAGGCAATGATTAAGGCACTGATGTTTTAATTGGGAAGGGCAAGCCCAGGGCAGTGAGGTTAAGGAAAAGGAAATGAGTCAAGGAAAACTGTGAAGCAATGCGAAGTGACATAAAGTGACGTTACTCCCTTGCTACCATCTTATCAGAAGCCAGAAGAGACAGAGCAGGTCACCAGGCAGGCACATCCACTTGGCACACAGGATGTCCCTCAATGTGCTGCAAGGACAAATCATGCCATGGAGTAATCCATGGGAAGGAGGATGGGAATTTATTCATCCAGCTTCCTCTTGTTCCCTCTTTCCCATTGGTTAAAGTTCATCTCTCTAGGAGTTAGAATTAATAGCCATACTTCCAGGTTTCATTGTTCAGCTTCTTCTGTGGTTTCTTGGCCACTGGATCCCTGAACCCCAATTCTTACAGGGCAGCATGCAGAGGGCCAGGTGATATCTACACACACAGTGAGTAGCATTACAGGGCAGGAATTCCAACGAAGCTTAGGGAACCTAAGTCTTTTATAATGGGCAGTAAACCTGTCTGACCTTTGCCCTGAAGGAGATGTCATCTTTATTATAGGGACAATAAACAAATCTGTCCCTGTTCAAGAGGAGGATCACACTATCTTTATCTTCCATCATTGTTCACTACATAAATATCCTTGAAAGACAGTCTGGAACCAAGGCAGTGAGTGCCTGTGCTTGCAAGATATGAGAAAGGTGAGAGACCTACAGAACACTGTCCTAACACAGATCCAACACACTGCAGCCAAGTGTTTATTTCCTGACTGGAAATCCTACTAATTTATGATCAATATGTAAAATTTATTTTTGCGGCAACTGAGAATATTGACTTAGGCAGGTAATGCAACATAGTAGATAGCCATAGTACAGCTAAACTACCAGTAAGAAATCTATCTTGACATCAATCTAATAAAGGAAAACATGAGAAATCTTTGCTCAATAAATTAACATAACACCTTCAGGGACATAAAAGATTCTACTCAAACAGTTATGCAATATTTGAGGATATAGTAACTGTGGATGCTTGCAAAGTTACTAAAAGACATTATTATATATTGTAGTGGTGATTATTCTGTAATCACTGCTGACTTGTTTCAAGTTCCTTCATGTTTCTAATTCTTTCAAGTACATTGCCAACAATTCTACTATTTGAAAGCATGTCACAGAAAGTAAAAGGTAAGGAATCACCACCATAGTCATTTTTAAACATAAATTGAGTGCCCACGTGTGAATCATTGGGCTTGGTATTATGGGGGAATAATTTAAAAAATGAATACACAGTCTGTGTTTTGAGAAATTTATGTTCCAAAGATGAAAATGAGATAAAGACATAAGTATCTTTAAAAACAAGTGAAAAAAATATATAAACAAATGAAATATGTATAACTACATATATATTTTTTAATTCAAGTAAACACCATATTTTAAAAATTACAAAAGAATTATAGAGTAAATATGCTCTTATTAAAAGATACATTTCTGAATTCTACTCATCATTAAAAGTTACTATATTTTTTTAAAAAATGGATCTAGGAAAGATAGCAAATAAAAGTAGATTTACCATAGGTTGTGAAAAAAAAAAGAAACTTAATTGCAAAATATGTATGGAGAGAGAAAAAGCTAATTTTGATGTAGGAGGATATTTCCTGGAGAGGCAAATACAGTTTAATTCTAGATAGTACCTTTCTAGAAAGAGGAGATGTGATAATTGGTGATAAAAGAAGATAAAGTCAGGATGCATAAAAGACAAGGATGGTAGGCTGGGTGTGGTGGCACACACCTGTAATCCCAGCACTTTGGGAGGCTGAGGCGGGCAGATCACAAGGGAAAGAGATCGAGACCATCCTGGCCAACATGGTGAAACTCTGTCTCTACTAAAAATACAAAAATTAGCTGGGCATGGTGGCACATGCCTGTAGTCCCAGCTACTCGGGAGGCTGAGGCAGGAGAATCACTTGAACCCAGGAGGTAGAGGTTGCAGAGAGCCAATATTGCACCACTGCACTCCAGCCTGGTGACAGAGTGAGACTGTCTCAAAAAAAAAGACAATGATAGTAGTGAAATGTCACATATATTTTAAAGTCACAGACTTTACTGGGAAATAAAACCATTGTTTTATTAGTCAACAATTGAAACATTATCTCCAAATGATAGCTTTACATTTTGCAATATTTTTATTTTATTCTGCATACCCCTATGAGCATTCAATAATACTTGATTTACATATTTTGTCACCATTTAAAAGTAAGTATACTTGTAATAAATGTTTCTGAATATAGACTTGCTCATAATTTAATCTGCAATATAATACAGTGTAATTGGATGGGACCAGATAAATTCATTTAAAATTTCTTCTAAATTATAACTTACATTATTACAAGTATGGGGTGGTCACCTGCCAATATAAAATATTGGAATATCACCGAGCACTTCAAATCTTACTCCCTTATTTGTGATCCATTCTAGTATACCCTAGGTTATCTTCAAAAATTTTTCTTTAAAAATATGACAAAATTTACATCATTCAAAGGCATTCATATATAAAATACAAACACTGGGAGATCTGAATTATATGTTGCTTAAATATTATTTTTTTCAAATCTAATTGCAATTACATCCCTTTCCCCATCAACCTCAATTTGAAATTCTCCAATGGCTTCCCACTATTTAAGATAAAGGCCAAAATTCTTAACAAGACCAAAATGTCCACGATGGTCTTGCTCCTGTCTCTTTACCCTCAATTTACACCCTTTTCGTACTCACTGGGTCTTCTTATCCTAGGACTTCTTACTTTCTTTCACTTCCTAGTACTTGCCATATTACCCTGCCATAGGGACTTTTTTTTTTTTTTTTTTGACAGGGTCTTGCTCTGTCACCCAGACAGTGGCACCACAGTAACTTACTGCAGCCTGAAACTCCTGGGCTCAAGCGATCCTCCTGCCTTGGCTTCACAAAGTGTTGAGATTACAGGCGTGAGCCACAGTGCCCAGCCCGATGGGGACTTTTTACATGCTGATCCTCAGCGGCTGGAAATCCTCCCCTCATTCAGGACACTTCAACTAGTTGACTTGTACCCAGCCTACATACCTGAGTCAATTATCACTGGACAGCAAAGTCTTCCCTGACCTTCCTGAAAAGGTCACATTCCCCTCTCACAATCTCATAACAACAGGTTCCTCTTGCTGAATATTGATCAAAATTATAGCTTTATATTTGCTTGTATAATTCATTAATGTCAGTGTTGCCCACCAGCTGTAAGTTCCTTGAGGGCTTTCATCAGAAAGATTAGGGGCAGAGCAGGGAAATGGAGAGAGCCCCCCTTAGTGGAACAAGCATACATGCTGATTGGCGATCAACTGCCACTGGGGGACAGACGCTAATCTCCACCTACTTTCCTGGACTCTTCTCGTAAAGCCTGCCCGAGGCAAATATCCCCTGCTTGTAGGGAAGGGGTAGAATAAAAACCAATCAGTCCCTAGAGAGGGGAAAATATCCTCTGGGACCCAGGAATCTGCACCAATACAAAGCAGAGGTCTGTTTATTGCTAGGACAGAAGCAGAAACACTCTCCAAAACAAGATCAAACAGAGATACAAGGTAGCATTTGACTATCACGGGGAGATGGCAGGAATACCAAGAAAGCCCTGTCCCCAGGCCCAGGTTCAAGTTCTGCTTAAGCCTGACAGGCTGGACCAAAAGAACCAAAAACACCCTCCTGCCCCCACCACAATCTTAGCATGAGTAACAAGAACCAAGAGTCTGCTCTTGGGGAAGGGCAGGAACATAGAGAAAACCTCTCCCTCCCTACTGTGGCACAGTCCCTGCAGAGACTAATGAAAGTGGAGGGTGGAGCAGAAGCACTGGGAATAATCCTGCAGCACCCCAGACATAATACATGCACAAAGTAACAACAGCTCACTTTTGGAGGAATATGAAGCTTGTGGTACACTGAAGGTAACAATAGCAACAATAAAGCCCAAAACTAGTTCAACTCCTGACCAGATTAACTGCAGCTCCCATAATAACAGCTTGAAAGAGAAGAGGCATACCCATTTCCAGGTATAAACAGCGCTATGTTCCTCATCCTCTGCTATTCTTCTACCTACAGTGTTCTAGTATATACTAAAAAATTATAAGACACAAAGAAAGCAAGACAGTGGTGGGAGGGATATTGTGAAGAGATAAAGCAATCAATAGAACCAGGTTCAGAGATGGCTAGTTGTTGGAATAATCAAATAGGGACTGTGATGGTTAATTTTATATGTCAATTTGACTGGGCTAAGGGATGCCCAGATAACTGTAAAACACTATTTTTGTTTTGGTAAACCCTAGTGTAAAACACTATTTTGTAAAACACTAGTGTAAAACACTATTTTTGCTCTACAGTTATCTGGGCATCCTGTAGTCCAGTCAAGTTGACATATAAAATTAATCATCACAGTCCCTATTTGATTATTCCAACAACTTCTGTCTGTAAGGGTGTTTCCAGAAGAGATAAGCATTTGAATTGGTACACTAAATAAAAAAGATTGCTTTTGTTGTAGAAAACAACCAGATTCTTGTCACATAACCAGGAAAATTTAGGCCCACAGACACACTGTAGGGTGAGTAGGGCAGGGTTTATTGGATTAAAATAAAAAAGGAAAGAGGAACTCTCAGCAAAGCAAGAGAAAGTTCTGCTAGCAGGTCTCCTGCCTCACAGATTGAATCCCAGGTCATTACCCAGGAACTGAAGAGGCCAGGTTCCTACCCCCTGCAAATGGCACAAACTTCCTGAGGCTCCACCCTGTCCTCCCAGTGTGCAGATGGGCATTATTCAGAGAGAATCAATTGGGAAGGGATGGGCTTCATCTGGCACCAGCAGTCCCATTTTTCAGCCTTCAGGCTGAAGGTGGGATTTCACCAGGGACCCTTGGCTGTCTCCTGTCTCTATCACTTTCACCAATAAAGAAGGGCATCATCCAATCTGTTAAGGGACTAAATAGAACAAAAAGGCAAAGGAAGGGAAAATTTGCTTTCTACTTGAGCCAGAACACCTATTTTCTTCTGCACTTGGACATGGATGCTACTGGTTTGGGGCCTTTGGACTAAGACTGGGACTTATATCATCAGTTCCCCTGGATCTCAGGCCTTTAGGTTTGGGCTGGAGCTGCACTGCTTTCCTGGGCCTCCAGCTTGCAGATGGCAGATCATAGGACTTCTCGGCCTCCATAATCACACTGGTCAATCCCTCATAATAAATCTCTTAATATATACCTACGTACATCCTATTGGTTCTGAGTCTCTGAAGAGTCCTGACTATTACAGAGACTTTAAAATTACTATGACTAGCATGTTAAAGAATCTTAGAGAAAAGGTGGACAATATGCATGAGCAATGGGAATTTCAGCAGAGACAGAAACTATAAAAAATAGTCAAATGGGAACTCTAAAAATATGAGATATAATATCAGAGATAAAGAATTCCTTCAACAGATTCATCAGTATACTGACTGACACTGCTGTGGAAAGAATTAGTGATTTTTAAATTAGAGCATTGTCCAAATCAAAAGATAAAGTGGAAAAAAGAAAACAGCACTCAAGAGCTGAGACATCAAATAATCTAACACACATGTAATTGGAGTCCTACAAGGAAAAAAGAGAGTGAACAGGCATAAAGGCATATTTGAGGATATAATAGCTGATAATTTTCTAAAATTAATTAAATGTAACAACCACAGATCTGAGAAGTTTAGAAAATCTCAAGAAGGATATATATAAAACATACACACAAGCAACCCTGGACATATCATGGTCAAACAACTGAAAACCAAAGATTAAAGATAAAATTTTGAAGAAAAAGATGACACTCAGAGGAACCAAGATCTGAAAGATCCTTAAAGAGTAATTTCAGAAAGGTCACATATCCACAGTCAACATATGAAAAGTAGATGAAATTTATTAATGGTGTTGTAATTCAAAAACAGTTTGTTAAACATCTTCGATTAGCAACAGCATCAAGAGCAATTTGCAAGCAAATAGTCAACTCTACAGAGGCATCATTCCTTTGAAGGCTCTGTGAAAGTTTTGGTCACTCTAATTTGGCTGATAATAACAAGTGAGTTAGGGCAGTATTTCTCAATCTGTCCTCTAGATCATGAGAAGCCTGTGAAAGTAATAATTTTTCACATGTAGAAAGACAATTGTATGCTCTTCAGCACAAGCTAAAAGATTGTTTTGGGCTGGATCGTACTATAGATACAGTGGTTAGTTTATTTTGACAAAAAGTTTTTTGTTTTCTTCTAACTTTTTAACTTAGAAACAATTTCAGGCTGAGATAAATGATAAAGAGAATCCCTGTATACTTTAATTTTAATCCATATTTCTTGATTCCTTGAAATTAACATTTATTGCATTTCCTTTACCATTCTTCCTCTCCCTCTCCTTCCCTCCCCTTCCATATGCACACACACACACATTCATTTATAAGTTGTAGACATAATGCTCCTTGTTTCTATATTTGTATTGGTACATATTTGTATATGTGTGTGTACAATATACACACACATATACGAATATGTATATGTATATGTATATAGTGTGTGTTCTTAAGATGACAGTTTTTTGTAGGGTTTTATGAGAAAGTATAGATGTTGTGTTCAATTAAATAATCTATTACTATCAAGTGTTAATATTTATGAAAATGCTAATAGTATTTGGATCTTTAAGCTGAAAGTGATTCATAACTTGTATTGAGTATACTATTATTGGAAAGAAAGCCATTTATTCAACAAATATCTTTGGTGCACACATTATGTGCCAAGTACTATTGTAGGCACTAAAGATACAGCAAAGACCCTACTCTTGGTGCTTATGTTGTGGGAAAAAGGAAGTTGAGGGCAGAAATCGACAATAATATGTACAATTGTCCCTTGGTTTCCATGGAGAATTGGTTCCAGGACCCTGCAAAGATACCTAAATCCACTGATGCTCAAGCTCCTTATATAAAACGGCATACTATTTGCAGATAACCTACATACATCCTCCCGTATAATTTAAATCACCTCTAGATTACTTATAATAACAAATACAATGTAAATGTTAGGTAAATAGTTTTTATACTCTATTATTTAAAGAACAATGATGAGGAAAAAGTCTGTACATGTTCAGTACAGATGTAACCATCCTTTTTTCCCCAATATTTATTTCCTTCCTTCCTTCCTTCCTTCCTTCCATCCTTCCTTCCTTCCTCTCTCTCTCTCTTCCTTCCTTTCTCTTTTCTTTTCTTTTTTCTTTCTTTTTTTTTTTTTTTTTTTTTTTGAGATGGAGTCTCATCCTGTCACCCAGGCTGGAGTGCAATGGCGCGATCTCAGCTTACTGCAACCTCTGCCACCAGGATTCAAGCGATTCTCCTGCCTCAGTCTCCTGAGGCAGAGCTGGGATTACAAGCGCCTGCCATTGCACCTGACTAATTTTTTGTATTTTTAGTAGAGACGGGGTTTCACTGTGTTGGCCAGGATGGTCTCGATCTCCTGACCTCGTGATCCGGCCGCCTTGGCCTCCCAAAGTGCTGGGATTACAGGTGTGAGCCACTGCACCTTTCTTTTCTTTTCTTTTCCTTTCTTTTCTTTTCTTTTCTCTTCTCTTGTCTTCTTTCTCTCTTTCTTTCTTTCTCTTTCTTTCTTTCTCTCTCTCTTTCTTTCTCTCCTTCCTTCCTTCCTTCCTTCCTTCCTTCCTTCCTTCCTTCCTTCCTTCCTTCCTTCCTCTCTCCCTCCCTCCCTCTCTCTTTCCCTCTTTCCCTCTTTCTCTCTTTCTCTCTTTCTTGAGAAGGTCTTGCTCTGTATCTCTCCTAGCTTGGGACTACAGGTGCACACCACCATGCCTAGCTAATTTTTTGTATTTTTTTTGTAGAAGATGGGGTTTCTCTATGTTGTCTAGGTTGGTGTCAAACTCCTGGGCTCAAGCAATTCACCTGCCTCAGCCTCCCAAAGTGCTAGGATTACAGGCATGAGCCACTGTGAACGGCCTTAAATATTTTCAATCTATGGTTGCTTGAAGCTACAGATGAGGAACTCACACTTATGGAGGGCCCACTATAAAATCATACTTCTAAAATATGTCTGGTGATATTAAAGAGAACCAGAGCCTGAGAGTAGTTAAAGCAGCAAAACTGATTTTCATTCAGGAGCTATTACAATCGGGGAAAAGAGACAGTATAGAACTGGGCTCAACTCCAAATATAGCAAAAGCAAGTGGAGATTTATAGCCAAGGAAACAGGTTGCAGGGGGTTGGGAGGTGAGTGGTCGGTGGACAGGAATCACTAAGAGGAGACATCAAGGGAGGGGGAACTCTTGCTGAACTGACTTAACAGGTTAGGGTGATCAGCCATCCCCTGGGGGACAGTGGGAGATGAGGAATTTGATCAGATATCAAGGGTGATCAGCTACTGAGGGTGAAGGATTCCTCTTGACTGACATAGCATAATTCTCAGTAAAACCGGGCTCTGCAAGAATTGGACACAGAAGCCCAAGTTTGAGGCCAAATCTAGAAAAGGACTCAAAGGAGCCTGATTACAGTTTGGTCAAGGACACAATCTTTGTCTGGAGTAGTAGGTGCTTTGATGAAAAAATATGGAAGGAAATGAGATGGAGATGGTTTGGAGGGAGGACCTCTTTAATGAAGTGACACACTTCAGTGGGGACCTTTATGAACTGGCAGAGTGAGGCAGGTGCATACCTGGGGGAAGAGTGTAGCTGTCAGCGAATAGCAAATGTGAATACCCTGCTAAACCCACTCAAGGACCAGCAAGAAGGCAGTGTCACTTAAGTGGAATGAGCAAGGCTGAGGAGGTAAGATATGGTTGGTGAAGTAGCCAGTAGCTACAAATGTAGGACCTTTAGATAGCTTGGTAGGGAGTTTGGATGGTGTTGGTAAAGCATTTTGGAACTTAATTTTTCTAAAAAAGAGCAGTACTGTAGCCAAATCAAAGAAATTTTCTAACTCATTGTCCTCCTCTTACATATGTATATAAATGTCTTTGTGGCAGATCAGAGTAAAAGGCAGGGATGTAAGAATATATTGTATATTGAATTTTCCTTTTCTTTTCTCTTTTTGAGACAGTGTCTCGCTCTGTTGCCCAGGCTGGAGTGCAGTGGTACAATCTCGGCTCATTGCAAACTCTGCCTCCCAGGTTCAAGTGATTCTCCTGACTCAGCCTCCCAAGTAGGTGGGATTACAGGCACGCGCCACCAAGCCTGGCTAATTTTTGTATTTTTAGTAGAGACAGGGTTTCACCATATTGGCCAGGCTGGTTTCAAACTCCTGACCTCAAGTGATCCGCCTGACTCAGCCTCCCAAAGTGCTAGGATTACAGATGTGAGCCACCGCACCCGGCCTCTATATTACATCTTTTCAAATAAGAAGTTTTATATTTTAAAATACTTATATCAGGATTCCCAATAAAAGTTAAAGGTTGGCTGGGCTTGGTGGCTGACACCTACAATCCCAGCACATTAGGAGGCCGAGTTGGGAGAACTGCTTGAGCCCAGGAATACAAGACCAGCCTGGGCACCAGAGTAAGACCCTATTTATTAAAAAAAAAAAAAGAAAAATTAGCTGGGCATGGTAGTGCATGCCTGTATCCCCAGCTACTTAAGGCAGGAGGATTAATTGAGCCTGGGAGGTAGAGGCTACAGTGAGCCATAATCTCACCACTGTACTCCAGCCTAGGTGACAGAGTAAGACCCTGTCTCGAAAAGAAATAAAAAATAAAAATAAAAGTTAAAGGTCTTTAACTGTTTTACATATAAATGCTAAATGGGAAGTAGATTTTATTTTGATTAAAATGTCATTGTTTCAGCTAAAGAAAGTCTAGGTCTACTTTTCTTCTTAAAAAGTATTTTAAAAGAATCAGCCATGGCTCTTTGCCACTGAATAGGAATAAGGCACTCTTTCATATCATGTTCAATCACATCAGGATAAAACGGCGCCAAAGGTAGCTGTCACATAAATAGAATTTATACCAACGGAGTTCTCAGCCTACTTCAATTGTTGAAAATTAACTTATTTTCAGACTTCAAAACCTGATTTTCAGAGTACAAGAAGCTTGATAGAAAAAGCAATTCAGTGTAATCAGCTCTCTTTATATGCTTAGTTTAAAACTCTTTAGCCTGTCTTATATGATATGAATCAGAGGGAATTGATAAATATTCCTAAAAACACCTGGATGGATCACCTTAGTGAATGTCTAATTGCCTGTGAAATTCTGACTGTGAAGTTTTCTGTGAAACAAGAAAGTTTAGAATCAAAGGAGATGTTTAATAATTTTATTTTCACTTTCTTAAGACCTTTGCTAAAATAACAGGTAATGATATCACTGGAGAGCTCTAGCAGAAAATAGATCTTGGCAATTGGTCAGTAATTTGAGATTAATGTAATGCAAATCATGAACAAAAATTGAGAAGCATTTTATATATTTTCAGGGAGATTGCTAGTTTTATAGTGCTTTTTTGATTTGGAGGTTACTATAGTAGCAGCAGAGTATTATTAAGTGTGTATTTCTCACCACATAAATAAAAGTTTTTGTTCAAGTATTTGAAATGCCAGTAATATTGGATTGTGACTACTTTATGGCATAAAATAGTTTTTCTATGAATAAAGGCTCACATAGGCTTAAGACTTCAAAAAAGTGAAGATTTGAAAACAAAGCTACAGAAATTAAAATTGTGTTGTATGGTTATAAATATTAACCTTCATACCAATGGCACTGAAGAGACAAGGCAGAAATAGGATTCAGTATATACTAGAATTAGTAGAGGATGAAGGTAGTATTCTAAGTTACTGAATCAAAGTGTCCAATAAATTACAGAATACAAAATAAATATTTTTAAAAACAAAAGATTTCCTATATAACAAAATTTTCTAGAAAGAAAACTATCTGGCTGGGCGCGGTGACTCATGCTTGTAATCCCAGCAGTTTAGGAGGCCACGGTGGGTAGATCACCTGAGCCCAGGAGTTCGAGACCAGCCTGGGCAACATGGCAAAACCTCATCTCTACAAAAATTAGCCGGGCATGGTGGTCCGGTGCCTGTAGTCCCAGCTATTTGGGAGGCTGAGGTGGGAGGATCACTTGAGCCTGGGAGGCAGAGATTGCAGTGAGCAGAGATTGTGCCATTGCACTCCAGCCTGGGCAACAGAGTGAGACCCTGTTTGAAAAAAAAAAAAGAATTTTCAAAATTTTTAAGGTTAACTACACTTACAAAGACTAATCTTCAAAGGCTTTGGCATTTTAATAAAAAATGTTATACAGCACCATGTTTTTAAATGGTTAAAATTGGTTCCCTACGCATTTAAACAGATGCCAAAGTACACATTCAAACATTACAATATTTATTTAAAATATAACTGTCAATTTTGCACTTAGTATAAAAGTATAGTATGTATTGAACTTCATTCAACTATTCATTCAACAAACGTCTATAAAATGATTATTGTCATGTGCCATTTGCTGAATGAATACATTAAAGTCTACTTGGAGAATCAGATATTACAATGTAGCACAATGTTTTATTTTTTTATTTTTATTTATTTATTTATTTATTTCAGATGGAGTCTTGCTCTGTTGCCTGGGCTGGAATGCAGCGGCATGATCTCAGCTCACTGCAACCTCTACCTCCAGGGTTCAAGAGATGCTCCTGCCTCAGCCTCCTGAGTAGCTAGGACTACAGGCGTGTGCCACCAAACCCGGCTAATTTTTATGCTTTTTGTGGAGATAGGGTTTTGCCATATTGGCCAGGCTGGTCTCGAACTCCTGAGCTCAAGTGATCTGCCTGCCTCAGCCTCCCAAAGTGCTGGGATTACGCCCAAAGATGTGAGCCACCGCTCCTGGCCTAGTTTTATAATAAGAGTATTAATGATATCTTGCAGACAGGCCCTTGGGGCATCCGTAAGGTTCACAGTAGAGTGGGAATTTGGCCTGAATCTATCTACACCAATAAGAAAAAAAGGCATGTGGAGAGGAGATAAGGACACTGCAGATGTTAGACAGCATATGGGAAGACACTATATGAAGTTCAGATGGAGTAGGGAGAAGTCAAGTGTGGTTAGAAGTGTACAGTTGGTTGAGGGTGCAGGATTTTGACTAAACATGAGTTCAAATTCTGGTTGCGCTACTCACTAGCTGGAGGACTTTTTGCAAGTAACTAAACCTAAGTTGCTGTCCTTTCATCTGTAAAATGGGGATAGTAATAATACCTAGCTTGCAGAGTTAATAGGAAGATTTAAGAGCACGTGTGGAACCTAGTATTGTGTCTAACCTACCCAGACTAAGAGCTAAATAAATGGGCCAGACAAGGTGGTTTCTTCCTGTAATCCCAGCACTTTGGGAGGCTGAGGCGGGTGGATCACCTGAGGTCAGGAGTTCGAAGCCAGCATGGCCAACATGGTGAAACCTCGTCTCTACTAAAAATACAAAAA
This sequence comes from Homo sapiens, assembly GCF_000001405.40. Lineage (NCBI taxonomy): Eukaryota > Metazoa > Chordata > Mammalia > Primates > Hominidae > Homo > Homo sapiens. The sequence continues at coordinate 88,816,626 of NC_000014.9, forward strand.
TTAACCGGGCGTGGTGGCAGGTGCCTGTAATCCCAGCTATTTGGGAGGCTGAGACAGAAGAATAGCTTGAACCTCGGAGGTAGAGGTTGCAGTGAGCTGAGATCACGCCATTGCACTCCAGACTGGACAACAGAGCAAGACTGTCTCAAAATAAATAAATAAAAATTAAAATAAATAAATAAATAAATGGTACCCATTTTTATATTATTTATTACTACTTCATGTAAGTAATATCAAAAAACATTTGGCTACATATTTCTGAGAATTTTTCATTCCATGGCCTTAAAATTATTTTAGTTTTTAAATTTAATTTATTATTTATTATTATTTTTTGGAGACAGAGTCTTACTATGTTGCTGAGACTGGCCTCAAATTCCTGGGCTCAAGCAATCCTCCCACCTCAGCCTCCCAAATATCTGGGACTACAGGCACGCACCTGGCCATTCTATGGCTTTTTAAATGACAAGTGAGTGTTAATTGCCAACCTCTTTTAGATGTTCTCTAAAAGAAAATGATATTTATTCAGGAATAGGACATTGCAATGGGAATATGTGTGCCATAGTAAACTATATGCATATTAAGGGAGGTAAAGGAAGATAAAGGTTTTAAAAGGAAAAATAAAGAGGATTACAGAATTGTTTTGAAGTGATTCTCCTTCAAAGGATCATAACAAGGATCTGTAACAAGCGTGGCATCAGTCAAGGTTGGCTGGCAGATGTCCTCACAGAAGTATTTTTTGTGTAAGGTTGTGATGATCTTTGTGCAATGTTGTGCTTTTTGTAGTCTTTTGTGATAGTTTTTGTTACAAAGCACTCACGCAGGAGAACCCTCTCTTCATAGCCTTCCTCAGTTCTATTTGTCAGGATTTTGTTTTTTTTTTTTTTTTTTTTGAGACGGAGTCTCGCTCTGTCACCCACGCTGGAGTGCAGTGGTGTGATCTCGGCTCACTGCAAGCTCTGCCTCCCGGGTTCAAGCCATTCTCCTGCCTCAGCCTCCCGAGTAGCTGGGACTACAGCCGCCCTCCACCACACCTGGCTAATTTTTTTTGCATTTTTAGTAGAGACGGGGTTTCACCTTGTTAGCCAGGATGGTCTCGATCTCCTGACCTCGTGATCCACCCGCCTCGGCCTCCCAAAGTGCTGGGATTACAGGCGTGAGCCACCGCGCCTGGCCGATTTTGTTCGTTTTTAACACAAATGACACCATTTTGATTCTGAGGACTTTCATGTAATAATGAGTTCACTTTTTCATATGGAGCCCAAGAGTATAAAAGTGTCACTTCTTCCTGACCAAAAATACGGTAAACGAGTTACTTCAGACTACATTCACTTTAGGGAATAATCTCTACCCCAGAATCAGTGGTTTATGTAACTGCCTGTTATAGAACTTGATAATCTTAAAAAGCTTTACAGAGAGCATCTATTACATGGTAAAATGTCCAAAAAGTAGAAAATTTCTATGAATTCAAGCATATGCATGTGGCTTTGCAAGTATTTTAAAATCATTTGCATGAGTAATTGTCCCTTGAAAGAATAAGCTGCATTCGCATGTCTCTTTCTTTAGGTCTGTTTCTGTCTCAGCCTATTGCACTCAGGTTTCTGTTCCTATTCACTCTTGACTCCCTGAAATGACTCTGACAAATATTGCAAATAGATACCTAATGGCCAATGGCCAAATCAGTGACTTTTTTTAAGCTTTTCATTTCCATGAATTCTCAGAAGTGAACATGGTTGAACTGCCTCTTCTTTTTGAAATTCTGTCTGTACTTTGGCTTCATGATGCCACACCCACTTGGTTTTCCTCTTACATCTCTGGCCACTCTTTCTCAGTAGATTTTATTTTTCCTCTTTTCATTACCTGCCCCTCAATGTTGGGAATCTGCAGGGTTTCTGTCTTTGGCTCTCTTCTCATTCTACAAATTCTCTGTGGGATGATTTCATCCTCTTTATTGCTTTCCATGAGCAGATGTATAATAATATGAGTCTCAAATTTAATCTCCATCCCTGACCTTGCTCCATTGTTTCTGACTGGCTTCTAACTCTAGTTACTAACAGAATATCTCCATCTGGCTGTCCCAGAGACACTTAAAATCATTATATCCCAAAATGAATTTAATCTCTGTTTTTTTCCAACCTTTTCTGTCTCCTTCACTCTCATCTTGGTGACTGGCTCCCCTATCCATACATGCACAACCCAGAGAGCTGGGAGTTATCCTGGCTTCTTTTCTTTCCTTAGCCAAATGCCCTCCCCATATTCAGTCGGTGTCCAAGTACTGTTGATTCTATTTCTTGAACATGTTTTGGCCTCTTCTGTCCATCCCCATTACTCCCAGCAACTCACATCATGACTATTGCAATAGTATCCTAACCAGTCTCCTTGCCTTCACTTTTAGTCAATCAAGTTGTTTCGTTTCACTGGTAAAACTTCTCTGGTGGCTTTTCACTGATTATGGGCTAAAACCCAAACTTCCCTGCATGGTGTTCCATATTCTTGATGATCTGGCTTCAGTGAATCTTTGTGTCTTCTTTTTTTTCCACCCCTCCTTTTCTGTCCACAGGATTGCATGCTGTTGGGAAACTTTTCCTCAGCGGCTGACTGCAGAGCTGTTTATGAACCCCACACACAGGTAGAATCACTCAGTCCTGTGCCTACGTCCATAACCGCATTCTCTCACAGGTTTCCATCATAGCTCCTATCACCCTTTATTTAACGTATTTGTTTATATGCACATTTCACCCTATTTCTCTGGCATCTCATAGTATTTAAAAGAATTTTTGGCATAAATATCGGTATCAATAGATATACATCAAGCACTTTCTTAAGGAATTCCTCAAGAAACTTCCTCCAAGAACTTCCTCAAGGAACTGGGAAAATGAGAACAACTTCCTATCTCTTTGGTAATTCCTCAAACTGTTCTATCTCTAGCATGTAATAAACATTGTCTTGCTGTGGGGTAATTAAGGAATCAGAGAGATCGAGGGGTTAAGGAGGAATTATTTAATTATTTAGGTGCACCGACCCAGTCGGATTAACATCAAAAGGACTGAGCCTCGAACAGAGAGTCAAGCTACCTTTTAAGCATTTTTTGGGGCAGGGGGAGATCTATGCAGGGGGAAGCATGTTACAGAAGCGAGAAACAAAGACAGTTATTCAATTAAGACATGCATTACATTATTTCTTACTTTTCAAGGAACAACATGTTTTACGACTTGACATTATCTGTCTAGTGACCTTGCAGCTGCACAGCTAGAGAAACAGAGTCTTCACAATGCCTGGGAAAGGGAGAGATAAGGTCCACTAGCCACAGAAAAACAGGCAGTTAATTTTAAAGGACTCCAGCTCTTTCTCTTCTTCAGGGGGAATTGAGTTTTCTTACATACAACTGAGTTTTTGCTTACACATTCTTTAATTTCTTTTAATTCCTATTTCAGTCTGACTGAAATTAGAGGAGCTACCTGGCTGCATACATTACTGATTCCCCGCCAACGTGTTTCTATGTTCTTTGAAAGACAATGTAATTGTGCCTTACTTGAAGTAAATTGATGTGATCTCCACAGTCATCCCATAAAATATTCACTATCATTATCACTATCATTATAATCTGGCTCAAAGGCCAGATTAAGATGGTCAAATAAATTAGTTTGTTAAACCAATTTAAAACACACAGTCTTAGCTTTGTACAGTGGAAATATGGTAGCCAATGAGGTTTATCCTAGGTTATTGCTAATTGAAAACTTTTTCCAATACCCTGCCATGACAACTTGCAAGATAGTCAGCACTGGCAATTTTTGACAGTCACTATGGAGACTGAATTGTTTTAGAAAAAAGTGGGAAGCAAGGGGAAAGAGATTCAGTAGGTGAACACATTTAGATCATGCAGGTGAAAGGACCACACTACTGTGGGTCACTCAATGTTCACATGTTCTGCCTCTCTCTCTGCCTCATCTGCCTTCTCCAAAGATGGCATGGTTACAAGAACCAGAGTGTAGGTAAGAATGTTCAGAGATGGAAAGTTCATGGTGCCAGTCTATGTTTGCTCTATCAAAAAGACTGAGGTTGCTGAGTGCTGTGGCTCACACCTGTAATTCCAACACTTTGGAAGATTGAAGCACGCAGAGTACTTGAGTCCAGGAGTTCAAGAACAGCCTGGGCAACATGGCGAGACCACGTCTCTACAAAAAATTTAAAAAAAAATTAGCTGGGCATGATGGTGCGTGCTTGTAGTCCCAACTACCCGGGAGGATGAGGTGGGAGGATCACCTGAGACCTGAAGGTTGAGGCTGCAGTGAGCAGGCAATGAGTCATGATTGTGCCACTGCACTCCAGCCTGGACGACAGAGCAAGATCCTGTCCCCAAACAATAAAAATAATAAAAAGATAGAGGTAAGTATGAGCTACACCTATAGCTCAGCAATGACCTGATGAGCAGCAGTATACATTTTAAGCACAAAACAAGTGGGTTAGAATGGATGATACCAATGGGTGGTCAATTTGAGGCAACAAGACTGATCCATGCTTTATGAATATTTAAGGTTTATTTTGCTTTCCATCTCTGTTTACAAGTAACACTCTTGTTTGTTTTGTCCTTTTAACGTATGTCTAAGAAGTAAATATCTATTCTATGTTTAACATGTTTCATGGGTTAATGATTTACTTATTATCTGTACTTAACATATGAACTGATGTAACATATACTTACAGATAAGTTTCATCTATCCCATTTGTTTTTCCTATTCTTTAGGGCAGAATTGAAAATTCTTAAATAATACAGCAAATGCATGTTACATTATGGATAAAAAATCTGAGGCACAGGCCAGTAAGTCCCTTCCACAAAGTCCCCACAACTTTGCCAAGGGCATGAAAAAGTCAGGTTTCAAATACAAAACATCTGGCCCCAGAGCCCAATTTTTTTTTTTTTTTTTTTTTAGTGACAGGGTCTTGCTCTGCTGCCAGGCTGGAGTGCAATGGCATGCTCATGGCTCACTGCAGCCTTGACTTCCTGGGCTCAAGGCTCAAGTGGTCCTCCTTGCCTTTGGCCTCCCAAAGTGCTGAGATTATAGGCCTGAGCCACCATGCCCGGCCTCAGACCCCACTTCTTAATCATCATCCTAAACTGATTCCTAATTTGCCTGAGAAAACACGGCTGCTAAATCTAACCTTAAGTCCAGTGCTCTTCGTGCTAATTACTCTTTGTGTATAAGTACTCTCCGGCCAGGAGATCTGTCTTGTTGATCTCTGCATTCTTACCACCAAGCACAGAGCCCGGGCAAATACTTGTTGACCAAGAAAATATCTCATTTTATGCCTTTTGTTTTTCTTTTGGGTTAAATGTGCAGAATAATTCCAATTTAACATTTAAGAAAATTTAAACTTTGGCATTTAAAGTTAAATTACCTTAGGTATTTGATTTAAGACTGATTAACCTAAAGAAATATCTAGTTGCTACAGAGTAAAAGATAAGGATCTATGAACTGAGATCTAGCATCGATTGTGAAACTAACCCTTTTAAAGGGCTTGTTTCTCTGTGCTTCACTTTCTCTAGGAGGAAAATGGTCCTAGTAACTCTTATCTATTCCCTTCACCAGGAATTGTTACATTGTCTATTCTTCCTATTACTAGCATATCTTTAAAAAAATGGTTTCTGCTTTATCAGTTAGATATTATTAAAAAATGTAAGTCTGTCTATAAATTCATAAAATCAATGAACCATAAACATATTTACATGATATTAAAAATAACATATTTTTATATCCTTTTAAAGACACATTTTATGCTACATTTGGACATGTTTAACATCCTGTAATTTACTAAATATCCTACAATTTTCCTCATTCATTTGACTTTTGTGAGAGGAAAAAAACAGCCTTCTGAAAGAAGTTAACACACATTATATGCTACTAAAATATTTTAATGCCTCATTTGTTCCACATTTATTTATATGTTTATTGGCATGTTTATTTCCCCACTTATGTAAATAGTGTTTCTCTGTAGGAAGTTGGCAATAATCTCAATAGATACATGACTAGAACTCAATGTAGTGGGTGATTAATCCTGGCTACCCATCAGAATCACCTGAGACACTTAAAAAAACAAAACCGATGCCCCAGTCCTACCTCAAACAATTTAAGTCAATATTTCTAGGGCTGGAATTGGGACATCTCTATTTTTAAGAACTTCTCAGATATTCTACAAAATACTTGACCAGCACTTTTCAACACTGTCAAGGTCATCATAAACAAGGAATGTCTAAAAAACTGCCACAGTGTCAGAGGAGGTGAAGGAGACATGATAACCGAATGTTATGTGGTACCCTAAGTGAGATCCTGGAATAGAGAAATAACATTAAGGGAAAACTACTGAAATCCAAATAAACTGTGGAGTTTATTTAATAGTAATGTACCATTGTTGATTCCTTAGTTGTAACAAATGTATCATCTTACACTAAAACAAATGTCAACATCTCACACAATAGAGAAACTGGGTATATGGGAACTGTCTACTATTTTTGTGACTTTTCTGTAAATCGAAAACTATTCTTTAAAAAAGTTTATTTAGAACATCTGACTATATGCTAGAGAGTAAAAGATAAGGATCTATGAACTGAGATCTAGCATCATTTGTGAAACTGACCCTTTTAAAGGGTTTCTCTGTGCTTCACTTTCTCTAGTAGGGTTGAAAATCACTTACATAGTAATCTGCTTACAGTGTACCAGAAAACAAAAAGACGCTGTGAAATATTGAGCCCAATTGTCAATTGTCGGCATGTGCGTTCTTAAAAATTTGACACTCAGAAACCATGGGCTGCTTCATTAGGACCTTTAGGGAGATTACATTTCTACCGGCAGTTCCAGGAGAACACAAATAGACTAATGACAATACACTTAACTGTAACAATGACAATCCTGATAATTACTGACTTCCAAAATACAACAATTCAAGAAAGACTGCTTAGTAGAGAATAAAAGGTAACAATAAATTTCTTAGTTTAGAAGCATAAGTTTCATTTTAATACCTATGAAAAATATAAATATGTGGATTAAATAGAATGTCTAATGTTTTCTCAGACCCCAGTGGTTTGAGAAAAGCCTACCTGGATTTAGCCGGTCACACCTCTCTTTTCATAACCATTGCAATTTTAAGCATATTTGTCATCTGTGCAAATTTCTAGAGAAAAGTCAGAATTGTGTTTGAAGAAATCACTCTGCACAAGTAAACCCTTGCCAAACAGCAAGTGCCAGGAGACGATGTTTCACAAAGCTTTTAAAAATTATTATTATTATTATTATTATTATTATTTTGCACACATTATCTAGTTTGGTAAAACTGTCACCAATTTACAATCCGGAATCACCATGTGAGTCGAATTAACAAATGTATTAGCAACTTGTAGTCAACCAGATTGCAGTTCCAGCTCCCTAACTCAATGCAATTTTAATAATTTCTCTTCTCTGAGTCTATCTCAGTTTCTCATCTGTAAAATGAGTAAAAGCAAACCACTTGCAGTTCAGATGTTGAGATTCGGTGGGAAGGACCTCGAGAAACAGCGGACAATTTCAGGATTTAGGACTTTAGGTCTTGATGGGTGGATGGTACTGTGGAAGCTGTTTACTTGTTTGTATTTCTAGAATCGGAAGGTAAAGCGAAAGGGATGGAAACGAGCGAATGGAAGAAGTAGGACAGACACCAGACAGAGATCAACTCCAGGGACTCTTCCGGACCTGCAGGGCAGGCAGAGCATTCGGTTGCTAGGCAGCTGCGCCTCCTGGGAGGGTGGGGGACCCCAGGGGCAGGTGTCTAACTCACTACCTTTTTGTTTAGCCGCGGTGCCTTCTTTTCAAAATCAATGAAACCTGTAGCCTTTAAAAGTAGACATCTTTTTCCAACCAAGTTTAGGCAAGCCCTGTAGCCGAGTTCTGCTTGCGGTTGTTTTTCTTTTTCCTGTTCTCAGGCGCGCTGCGGGCACCTCTCGGACAAGGCCCCAGCCGTCGCGGGTTGCCGGGCAGAGTCGGACGCCGCCAGCTCTTCACTCCACGCCCACCTCTCTCCTGGAGCGCTGGGCCTTCGCTGGCCGCACCGGCAGCCATGAGCTCGGAGATGGAGCCGCTGCTCCTGGCCTGGAGCTATTTTAGGCGCAGGAAGTTCCAGCTCTGCGCCGATCTATGCACGCAGATGCTGGAGAAGTCCCCTTATGACCAGGTACCGGCCAGCTCCCGTCAGCCTGTGCATCCTGACGCTGAGGCTGCGGGGTCTGGGGCATATCCCAGCCCCGGGTTGGGAGGCCGGGGAGGAAGGCCCGAGGCGGGGCTGACCGTTCGGCCCTCGGAGGCGCCCGGAGCGAGACCTTGTGGAGCTGTGACTAGCGGGTCCGCTGTCCGCCACGTCCACGGGGATAGCAAGTTCTGTGCCATGACCGCCCCCTCCTCACAATTTTCAGCCTCCCCTCCCCTATACGTGTCCCAGAATGAGAGCCCTGAACTTTACTTGACGAGGAACTTTGATAATTCGTTTATACTTGCATATTGATGGGCTTTAAGCTCTCAGCGTGTGCGTTGTTAATTTCTAAAAAATATGCATAAACAAAGATCTGTGACTCTCCACCTCCTGTTAACATAGCTGCCTTCTTCCTTTTGGATCGAACATGTGATCCTCCCACCTCATCTTTAGACTGTTGTCCAAGAGTGAAGGAGGCCATGAGTTTAGCTTGAGGCAAATATGCAAATTAGAAGAATGAGAATCTAGGAGGGAGAAAGATACATTCATTATTTAAAAAATTACCTAGGCAAGGGAAGCTCTAATTGTAGGAGGGAGAAATGGGAAAGAAAGGCTCCTTACAAGAAGGAATGATGGCATTGATGAAAAGAGAACTTAAACTAGAGTAATGTGTATAGCGAGTGGAAAAGGTAGTATACAATGTACGTGAGCGGTACAATTCTGGTGGGCAGGTGGCTCCTGGAATAGGCAAAAAAGGAGAAAATGGGAGAACAGAAGTAGCGCTGCGGCAGTTTGTCAGTGCTTTTAGTAAGTGCGGAATATACCTACGTAGTTCTAGTTCCCTAGCTTTTCCTCTAGTGGTGTTGCCTTGGAGATGTTAGAAAAAATGGAAAATTGAAGGGAGTTACAAAAGCGGAGGCCTGAGTGTGAATGCTGTTACTAGGCTCTGCCTTAGCTCCCAGCAAATGGATGATGGATGATAACCTGCTGAGATGAACATTTTGTCTTTCAGATAGTACATCTCTCTTAGAACAGCCTACGTTAGTGGTAATACAAAGCTAGGTTCTGTTGTTAGTTCACATTAATTAATAGGACTATATTTCTGTAGACAAGCATTTTTCCAAGGTTTTTTTAAATTTTTTTTATTTTTTTTTATTTTTTTTTGAGACGGAGTCTCGCTCTGTCGCCCAGGCTGGAGTGCAGTGGCACGGCGCGATCTCGGCTGTCTGCAACCTCCGCCTCCCAGGTTCAAGCGATTCTCCTGCCTCAGACTACCGAGTAGCTGGGACTACAGTTACGTGCCACCAAGCCTGGCTAATTTTTTTGTATTTTTAGTAGAGACGGGATTTCACCGTGTTAGCCAGGGTGGTCTCGAACTCCTGACCTCGTGATCCGTCTGCCTCGGCCTCCCAAAGTGTTGGGATTACAGGCATGAGCCACCGCGCCCAGCCCCCAAATGTGTTTTTGGCATAGTAATCTTATAGATATTGCTTAAAAAAATACACAATCAAATATGTTTGGGACTTGTGACAAAATATTGACCCTTTACGTTGGTACAACAGAAGCTTGTTAAGAACCTTTGATGTGGCCGGGCACGGTGGCTTATGCCTGTAAACCCAGCGCTTTGGGAGGCCGAGGCGGGCGGATCACGAGGTCAGGAGATTGAGACCATCCTGGCTAACACGGTGAAACCCCCTCTCTACTAAAAATAGAAAAAATTAGCCGGGCGTGTTGGCGGGCGCCTGTAGTCCCAGTTACTCGGGAGGCCGAGGTAGGAGAATGGCGTGAACCCGGAAGGCGGAGCTTGCAGTGAGCGGAGATCGCACCACTGCACTCCACACTCCACAGCCTGGGCGACAGAGAGACTCTGTCTCAAAAAAAGAACCTTTGATGTGCCAGACATTGTTCTAGGCACAATGGTTTGCAGGAACTTTATGTGCCATTTTAATTTTTCCATTGAGTTACGGTAGTTTTCATTCTGTGTTCCACGAAACAGTAGTCCCAAGAGCTGTTCAGTGAGAACAAGTTCCCTCATTAAGTACATTTGGGAAATGTATGTTCCTTCTTGGAGATTCAGGATGCACCCTAAAGGCTCTGAGTAGTTTTGAAGAAAAGGAAACTAATTTTGCCTATTTTTGATTAATCCAAATAATTAAATAGTTCTGAAACTTATTTGACCACCGGATTCCTTTTTTTTTTTGACCCAGGGAAAGGGTCAGATATCTTCACTGTTATCCTGGGAAGATGTTGGTACATCGGGAAATGTAGGCAAAGCAGCAATATTTTTATTAATAGTTAAGACCCTCTAATCTTGAGTTCATAGTGACATTCAGTATTGCACCTATAAATTGAGATATCAGGACTTGATATATATTCATCTCAATGACCTTTCATTGAGTGCTTACTACAGATTGTGTATCCCTTATCCGAAAAGCTTGTGACCAGACCTGAATAGAAGTTTCAAAAAAAGTTATTGTTTTATTTTTATGAGCAAGGGTTGATATGTTCAGCTCCAATATATATAGAGTAGGTCTAAGAGAATCAGTACCAGATCTGGAGGAAATTTGATATTCTTTTCCTTTCTAATAATTTTTATTTGTTTTATTTGTTTGTTTTGTTTTGTTGAGGTAGTTTATTATGGTTGAACTGTATGTATTGCCAGAATAATGAGTAGCATTTTACCAGGAATAGACGTTTAACTTGATGTCATCTTACCAGAGTTAGGTTTTGTTACTAGGTAGGGCTATTGAAAAGTTTACAGGGCTTACTCATGTTAGTCATTCTTTGACCTAACTTTGAACACTGTGCTGTTATTACTCTATGTTTTTCGTAACACCAGTTTCTGTATTTTGCACCCAGTTGTTATTTCATGTTGGAAATATTTCCCAGAATGATTTTTCCCAAGCTTGAAGAAATCCTGCCTTTTTCTTCATTAAAAAAATTAATATTTATGTTAGAGTGTTGATGCAATTAAAGAAGAGCTTTAGGAAGGAAGCTTAAGGAAGTTCCTTTGATTACAAGCTTGAAAATTATCTTTCCTTAGAACATGACTCCACAATAGCAGGTTTGTGTGGTATCCCAAGCACCTGATGCAGAGTCAGGCACACAGGGGCTTTTGATATGTATTTGCTGAATGAGTGCGTCGATCATGTTCATGTGTGTGTTTTGATGGAGTTGTTCATATTTGTCAGCTTCCTCTCTATGAAGGTCGTCGTAGTTGCTTGATGATCTTTGTCTTCCCCTGCCCCATCCTTAATTCTCAGCACCATATGTTCTTAAATGTACACTTACTTTTTCAAATAAATATAATTTCATTATGGGCATTCTTAATTCTTGTTTTGAGGGTCAGTTTTTAAAAATCAATTTTTAAAATGCTTCCTAGGTTCCTCCAGGAGAGTGTTTCTAATAGTAATGATCATCATTGCTATCTCTTACAGTGCTTTCTTTGTTTCGGTGGAGGAAGTTAAATGATGGAGAGATTCACAATCTATGAAAAGCTAACAGAAATGTGACCAGAGCGTGAGCAGATGGTCCTCTGCTCCGCAGTTAGCTGGTTCACCTTCATGCCCCTTTAGCCTCATGGGCATTTACTGAGGTTTTGACATTTGAGAGTACTTTTCCTCTATAACTATTTGAATTACTGTTCTGTGCCACCAAACTGATTATAGTATGGAGTGAATTTGAAACTCCTGGACACATAGAGGAGCCCAGAAATTAAAATATTTCTTCTTAGTGCCAAATGGATTCATTTTTGCTCTTACGTTTTCCCCTCCCCATTACAAAAGATAGTTTTTGTTTTTAATAATGTCATTTTTCACTTTTGGTTTTGCTTATTTTTCTCCCAGATGAGAAAAACCTCTCAAAAATGATTTGTTATTTGTTAATCTTTTTATAAGCTGGTCCAGGGAGCTTCAAAAAGATAACATTTTGGTCCTGATACATTAGCTTATTGAGATGAAGGCCACCTCTAAGACTATTTATATGCATTTATTTCGCCTTTAAGGGATACTATTTTGGTGTAGAATCATCAAAAGTCTTTAATTATTGCCTTGTATTTTCTATTAGGATTTCTGGATTTTATTTTTGATAGTCAGGCTAGCCAGAGAGGTATGATGTACTATGCAACAGCATGTTTCTTCAGAGTAATACATTTTAATTTGGCTACAAAAGAACTGAAGGGTAGATTAAATATAATAATATGGTGTTTGGTAATGGGGAAGGGTTCTTGAAGAATATGGGTTCTCAACTGCTTTTTCTAGACACAGAATGGTGAGGGACAGAGGCCAGCCGGGGTCTGTAAGCATGAAGAGTATTAAAGTTCAGATCTGTTAAGAATAAAGAAAGAAAGATAACTGATTAATTTATTATAATTTCCCTTTTTTGATTAAATATAATAGGAATAACCAATTCATAGAGAAGCATTATCTTTTTCAAAGTGTTCTTTAAATCGTGACTGAAAAAGTGGTTAAAAGTTGTAAGATATAAAAAGAGGAAATGCAAAACAGTCCTCTCCGTACAGCACTGTGACCTAGAGAGAATGTTTGCTTCTGCAGCTCATGTTGATCATCCTGATCAGTTGCTTAATCTGTTTACTGTTCTTTGTGTTCCATATGTCAGATTCATGGCTTTAAAACCAGTCCTGATTTTTAGCTCCATTATAATTAAACAGTTAATAAAACGTAAAGGTTTTTCAGGCAGTGGGATTTTTAAAAGACAATATGCTTTCATTAATGGGGTAGGTGTCTGGTAGATTTTCAGATTATTAAAATCGGTGATTCTGAGGGTGGGACCCATTAGCTGTGTATCAGAATGGGAGAAAGACTTTTTTCTAACTTACATTCTCGTTTTGCCCCAATCTCTGCTTATAATGAGAGATGTTACAGAGAGGAGGGGGTTATTATTGTAAATGGTTTGAAGGAGGAGAAATGGCTGAAAATGACTGGCTTAGATGAAAGACATGAAACCAGGGCTCCCCAATGAGCTGTATGTTAGTAGTTGGTTGAGACAGTGATTTGGTGATCCAAGCCAAAGAACATATCGTGTGATTATCTAATTGGTTTCCTCTTTGGGGCCATGGAGACTTAGCCAGACTTAATCCTTTGATTCTATACGCTGTGGGGCAGGTCATTTTATGAATTTGTATTCCTGCTGAATTACACAGATTACACTCCCACTTGGCTGCGTGGTCACTAGATCTCTCTAACCTTCTGAAATCCATCAATTCCTCTATTCTCTTAAACTTTTTCCCCCTTCTTTTATTACTAAATTTTGAACAATGACTCGGCAGTTTAAGCTGAGGAGACTCATTAGCCAGCATAAGTAGTGGTGGTAATTAGAAAGTTGCATTCAGAATTATCTGGAGATTTAATTCCCTAAAGTAACAGAAACAAGCTAAGAAAATGCTGAACCCTAGGGTGGAAGGAAGGAAGCAAACAGATGTGACTTGAAGTTGATGCTAATGGGTATTTTCTGGTTCTAGGAAGTGGCACTCTACTTTCCATGTCCTGTTACCCACTTTGAGGGAGATTCAGAGGAAGTTTTAATTTGATCTTCCATCACTGGGAGTCAGTTCTGAGTTCTGAAAGGGGGAGTAATAGATGGTTTGGTGCTTCTGTTAAGCTTATACTTGAATAAGTATGATAATATATGTGAAAGAACTCTAAAAGTTGTGAAGTTTTCTTAAAAATGCAAGGTTTTATTATTAGTCCTTAAGATTCTCCTATGAAGTAGGTACTATTGCTTTAATTTGAGAAGGTAATGTAGATTATATGACTTGTTCAAGGTCATGCAGCTAAGTGGCTCCCTGAGGATCAAGCCTAGCCCACGTCTTCTGACTCTAGGGCAAAGCCTGGAGCTTTCTGCTCAACTGCGCTGATACCTGTAGAAATAGTTTGCTAGACTAAGTGAAGCTGCACGGGTGGATTAATTTAAATCACAGAACTACAACTGAGAGCGACCCAAAGAGGAAAGGCTCAGTGATTTTTAAAAAAGAGTTTTCCCCTATCTCCTAATTAAAACATTCCGACTCTTCCTTCATAGTCCTGCTCCTGATGGATCTCCACAGAGCCATGCCTGTCCTTGGTCTCTCCACATCCTACGGTAGTCTGTGTTCCATCCTTGCTGTCATCCCACATACTCAGCAGAGTCCTGCTCTGGGCCCAGAGTGTCTAGGTTCAAATACTGCCTCTATACCTTTGAGGTAAGAGACCAACAGGACTTGTTTTCTGGTCACAACACGGCTGACCAAAATAGGATCTAGTCTAGACAGGTTAAAGTGAAGAAACCAGCAGATGGCAAGGAAAGCGACCCCTCGCTGCCCTCACTGCTCATCAGTAGAACACCCCTCCCACCAGCTGCCATGACAGTTTAAAAGTGCCATGGCAATGACCCAGAAGTTACCACCTCTTTCCATGACAACAACCTATAAGTTACTGCCCCTTTCCTAGAAAGTTCTAAATAACTTGTTCCCTAATTTGCATTGGCCCACCCCTTAATTTGCATGTAATTGAAAGTGGGTTTTCATGAGTATAAATACAGTTGCCAAGAGCCCATAGTTGCTGATTCTGGCTACACTGCCTATGAGTTAGCCCTCCTCTGCAAGGAGCAGTACCAGCCAATAAAGGATTGCTGTCTAATACCACTGACTCACCCTGGAATTATTTCCTTGGCAGAGCCAAGAACCCTCCTGGGCTAAGCCCCAATTTTGGGGCTCACAGGTCCTGTAACATCTTGCTCTGAGTGTTCTCATCTGTAAATGGTGATGATAGTATACCTATAACTCAGAGGGTGTTATAAGGCTCATGAACATGTGGTAAGTGATAAAAAATGTTAGCTGCTGTTGTCTGTATACCTACAGATATTTGCATGCAGGATTCTATCATCTATATTTTTCTTAAAGGATTGCTGGGAATCTGAAAAGCATTTTTGAGGAAGATGTCCAGTGAAATGGATGGTGAAAGGATGTTGAATATAGTTCATAAATCATTGGCACTCAATAATTTCCAGAATAATCTCCCCCTTCTCTGACTCTCTTATCTTCCATGTCTTCTGCTTTTCTTTTGTTCACCTAAGTCATCTATAATTTGACCACAATGTGAGTATAGTATTTGACACATTGTATTGTAATTTAGGTGCCTCCCCCTCTAGAATGTTGTGGAATTAATGTGTTCTTGGCCTCATACCCACTTAGGCCTGGTCTCCATTTTCCTTCAATGCAATCCCTCACCTGTCTCTGCACCTCCCTACTCATTAGGCCTCTCATTTTCTCTTCTGACCTGCACATTGATGATTTCCTGTAATTTCCCTACACACTCTTCATCCACATGATCAGCCCTAAATGTATCCCTGAAGGGCAGAGGAACAAGACAGAGAGATCGCGGAGACTTTCCTCAGTGAGCAGAAATCCTCTGAGGCTGAGCTGGTGGTTTCATTTTGTGTCACTGGAGGAATCTACCTGCCCTTGGCAAATCACAGCATCCAGTATCAGTGGCTTCTGTCTCCTTTAGCTGTTTTTTCCTTTTCAAGCATTGTCTACAATCACCTCTAGTAAACTTTCTCCCTCAGTTTTCTATAATATATTGGATTTATCTTGTATCTCTCCTAAACTTTACCTTTCATTCCTGCCTTACTATGTCCAACTCTCTTTTTTTTTTAATCTCCAAGAGGCACTGGCAAGAAGGAGCATTTGATTCCCTCAACCGTTTGTGTGACCTTAAACAAATTACTTAACATCTCTGAATTTGTTTCCTTATCTGTAAAGTAGATAATACTTACCTGCTTTCCTCAGATGGTTGTTATGAGACTCAAATGAGATAATGGGCTATAGAGATATGTATACAAGTAAACAGAAGAAAGAAAGAATAGAATGTGTTACTTCTTTCATCTGGCATGTCATTCCCTGGATTGGTGTGTTTCCTTAAGTTTGGACTGTATTTAGGAAATCTATACTTTTTCTACATCCTTGGTAGGTGCACTGGAGTTGAAAACCTCCAATTGCTATGTGTTCTCTAGTTGCTGTTTTGTGTTCGGTTCAGTTGATTGCCACATCTTCTGTAACTTCCATCCTTTGGGGCCCTCATTTTCTAGCCTAACTTAACCTTTTCCTCTCATGTTCCTACCATGCGTCATGTTAAATAAATTACCTGTCCTTGCATGGTGACCATATGGTTTGCACATTGCTTGTACCAAGAATATATTCTTAAAAAATATTTGAGGTGTTCTTTTTGGATTTAGAGCTGTAGAAAGCAAGGATCTTTTTTCCTTTTTCTGTTTCTTAGTACTTTCCCCAGTAAAACAGATTGAGTGCTCAACAGACATTGCTGACTAGACAGACATGTAAGTGTAGATGTTTTATAAATAAATTTGTTATAAGTCTGATTTTTTTAACCAGTGGGTTTCTATTTAATTTGTACAGAAAAACCCAGATGCTGAGTTTATCTGAAGGGTTTGTGTTATGTGGATTTTCCTTCTTCTCCTTAAGTGATTAAAGTCTGAATGTTTTAACCACCGTGAACTTATTTTTGAATAAAAGGAAATATTTCCTTGGTATAGTTATGGGATTATTCTCAATTTCTGATATATTGTGTGTTCATTAAACAAGTAGTTATCATCTCTTTGCACTTTGAATGAGGTTAGATTAATTAGAATTTTCTGATCATTGAAAATTTAGCATTCTTCAATGTATATTCATTTTACACAACTCTTGAGAACACTTCTGTAGGAAGACTAAAGTTAATTTTTTGGATTCTTATTGAATGAGTTAGAGTTCACCTACAAATACTTGGTTGGTCCTTAGGACTTTTTATTTTAGAAACTGTATTTCTTAAAACTGTTTACTGCCTTCTTAATGCTTTCCAGGAACCAGATCCTGAATTGCCAGTGCATCAGGTAAAGAAAGGTTTAGCTGCAACCTTTAGTTTAGAGAATTCTTTAATGCTATTGCTTAGTTGTTGCTATAGATTAGAAAATTTGCTGCATATCTTCCTGTGGGTTTATAAAATTAGCCATATCTGTCAGACATTCTGTGCCTTCTTATGTAAATAAATGATTATATTTTCAATACTTTTGTGTATATTGATAGCCTTGTAGAACTAATAATGCAGTCTACTCATTGGGACTTGGAGCTTAAATGGAAATGACCAAGATGGATTAGAAGGATATGAAAAATAAAGAAGGAGGTGAGGGGAACCAAGGGCTTAGAAAGGGAGCGGGAGAGTCAGCGGAATGACAAATGTCTGAAAGACTGTGATGGATGGGATGGCATGTCTTGAGTCAAGAGTGGACTGTGCTTGGGAAGGTCTTGGTTTTAACTGACCTGGTGGCTCTAAGAGGGAGGAGGCTGCCACAGTGAGGGAAGAAGAAAGGGACACTGGCCAGACAGTCACATCGAGCAAATCAGTTTGGATAAGGATAGGAGGCAGCTAGAGCCTTGCTAACTGGATAAAACACAAGAGAATGAATTGGGAGGAAACCCTGGGAGAGAGGAGGGGGACACCTGGCCAGTGATACTTTTAATCCAGGAGAGTTGCCAGTGAGTCTGGGACTAAGGAGAGAAGTTGTGCAGAGTTATAAATCAGAGAGCTTAAATGTTGCCAGGTGTTAGCCCTACCAAGCGAGATGGAATGTTAACAGCGGTTTTTTTAGGTAAATAAAAGACTTGAACCTTATTAGGGGTCCATATGTGTAATTAGCAAACCTTTTAGAATAAAAAGCAATTTACAAAGTACTCTTATGGAGGCTTGTGTAGTATTAAACACACACTGTAAATAGGTTAAAATGTGGCACTGTGTTCTTTAAAAGGCTGACATTTGTCTTTTGAATGTTCATAATCTTGATTTACAAACTGATAGATGGGGCAAAACTATTTTTTTTTTTGCATAATATGGGTACAAGTCATTCAAGAAGGATCAAAGTTATAAATACTGTGGATTTTGTTCTCAGGAAATTTGGAAGATTTTGATTAAAATTTAAAACATCAATAATTTGCATTGTAGAAATGGTTTTAAAACTATAAATGGCATTTAAGAGCTTTAAACTAGCACAAGGACTCATGAAAAATCTGTATTTGGCATTATTTTCCTGTTCTGTTTGTATAGACTTAATTATTCACTGGATAATGATACAAAAGGGAACAAGGCTGACTAGATTCTTTTGGCCTTACTATTTCCACTTTTGGAATTTCTTATTTTTGCACACTGTTACAACTTCAAAAGGAATGAGGCTATATACAATAACAATTCAGTATCTTGTGCCTAAGTTTTCATTTTCATAGAGTAGGCAGAGTGGCCATAGTTACTGAGTCTTATGATGCTAAATCAGGTCAGACAGACTGTTCCTTTCATAGCCTTATTCTAATAATAACCTAAAATTGTTTCTTACATGCTTTAATCTACTGGCCTTGCATTCTGTATTAAGAGTAACAGAATAATTTAAACATGCTTTGCTCAGTCAGCAGAGTTTTAACCCCTTCATCTGTTTATTTTTATAACTAAAACTGAACTAGTGTCACAGTGGATGGAATGAGTGAGTCAATATTTTCCTGATGTTTGCTGGCAAGTATCTGCTTCAGGAGTAATGTCCTATAGACTAACTCAGTTGGTGAGTGAGATGGGATTGTGTTTCACAGATAAAAAGGGAAAAATTGATATGATTATTCATTTGGTTTGGGAGAATCTGTGCTTTTCCCTTAAAAAACAAAGTTCCAAAAGCATCAATTCTTATTTTTATTGATATTATGGTACTTCTAATACATAAATATTTAAATAAATTTACATAAACTATTTTTTAAAAACTGTGTGACCCTCCCATTTGTTAATAAGTAAACATATCTGATAAGGCAAATTTATATTTTTATTTAGTTTTAAGGGGTAGTTTGGGATTACTGTGTGTGCTTTGTTATTCATTTTATTTTAATCACTGATTAGTTTTAAACTTTTTTTTGGTTTGTTTTTTTAAAACAGGCAGAGGATTTTAGGGATGTGAAACATACTTGGCTTGTTTCCAAAGTAAAAAAAAATTATTATTTTTTTAAAGCCAAAGCTCCTTCTGCTGTTTTCATTAAAATCTCAAGAATTGTTCACATTGCCAGGAGCAGTTCTTTGAAAACAGTCTGATGTTTAATCAAGCAGTGATATGTGATTTTCAAGGTCATTTTTGTTAGGACAGAAGAGAACTCAGGAAGATTAATTTTCTCAAACACTGATAAAATTTAAAATTGAATAACAGTCTGAGTAGATTTTATTCTAGAGCTGTAAATATCAAAAATTCATACCATTGTTTCTTAAGAATCATATTTTAGAAATTAAATTAATATTTTTCTATCTTTTTGAAAAAGTGGATTCTTACGGAATAAAAATTTTAAAAAGATATTCCTAGCCTTGGTGCAGTGGCTCACACCTGTAAACGCAGCACTTTAGGAGGCCAAAGCAGGAGGATCACTTGAGACCAGGAGTTCAAGACCAGCCAGGGCAACAAAGTGAGATCCCATCTCTGCAAACAAACAAACAAAAAAAGCTGGGTGTGATAGTACACACCTGTAGTCCTAGCTACTCTGGAACCTGAGACCTGAGGTGGGAGGTGGAAGGATCACCTGAATTCTGGAGGTTGAGGCTGCACCACTACATTCCAGCCTGGGAGATAGAGTGAGAGCCTGTCTTAAAAAAAAAAAAAAAAAAGTTCCTATTTGACTTTGACTTCGGAAGTATTTATTCATATTGCAGGGAAGGAAGAGTGGATTTTCTTTTCTATATTTTGCTTAGCCTAATATAAAAAATTTCTAACTCTTTAATATTTAAGACGTCAGTTGGGGGATGGATGTCAAGAATCATGATGAATTGGACTATGAAATAACAGTATGAATTTGAAAATAGTTAAAAGTAAAATATATTAATAACCAACTATATAAATGCTGCTATAATGATAAAACTTGATGTTTAAAACTTAAGGCTGGGCATGGTGGCTCACGCCTGTAATCTCAGCACTTTGGGAGGCAAAGGAGGGTGGATCACCTGAGGTCAGGAGTTCGAGACAAGCCTAACCAACATGGTGAAACCCCATCTCTACTAAAAATACAGAAAATTAGCTGGGCGTGGTGGCACGTGCCTGTAATCCCAGCTACTTGGGAGGCTGAGGCAGGAGAATTGCTTGAACCCAGGAAGCGGAGGTTGCAGCAAGCCGAGATCACGCCATTGTACTCCAGCTTGGGCAACAAGAGCAAAACTCCATCTCAAAAAGTAAATGAATAAATAAATAAATAAACTTGATTTAGGTAGGACTCCAAATCATAGTTCTGAAGCCTCATTAGCTTCTCATCAGGATAAAAATTTACATACCTCACTGCGGCATACAGGATCCATCACCTGGCTCCTGACTTTTTCTCCAACCTCTTCCCTCATTCTTCACCTACACTCAATTCTCCTAGAGTTTCCAAACATGCCATAGGCTCTCTAGCTAGCCTGCCTATTGTCCACTTTGCCTGTCCGCTGGGCCCAATTCTTCACTTCTACCCTTCCTTCCACTCCCAGGTAGCTGGACACATTTCCTCTGTTCTATCACACACTTCTTTTTGTTTTTCATTTTTGTTATTACATTTTTCCCATTACATGGAAATTCTTTCCAGTTAGAACTAGGACTATGATTTACTCCTCTTTGTATACTCAGGATGTAGCATGCAGTAGGTGCCCCCTGGTAATATGGGAATGAACAAGCAGAGCCCATGTTGTGCTTTGCTGTTCCAACAGAAAATGCTGTAGTCCTTCCTGTCCACCAGAGAGTGCTGAGCAAAGAATGCTCTTTTGAAAAATCAAAGCTGTCAGATACTGGCAGGGCAGTATGACCTGTAGAGATTTAATATAAATCAGTATTGCCTATTTCCATCTTTGAAGTTAAATTAGAACATTAGCTCAAGCCATTGAGGACTTCCCCGATCCCTGGGAACAGTTGTATAGATATGGTATTGTTCCTGATCTTTGATGAGTGAAAACCTGAGATTTTTTTTCTATACTTTGTTGGCTCTCACAGTTCCAATTGGAGTTCCAATAGGAATTGTTTTTTTTTAATTTTTTTACAAATAAGTTAGTTTTTTGAGTCTATATTCTACTCATCTAATTGTGTTAAATTCATACATAACATTCAAAACAGTTTGTTCTAAATTTTTAAATAATCCAGTAAACCTCAACCAGAAAAGTGCAAGCCAAAAGCCAATCATCTAACCAAATGTATTTTCACTTTGGGAACCTAAATATGTTGTAGAGGCAGCCATCTTTATTCCCATTAAAATGAACGCATGATGTTATTCTTTTTTTTGTTTTTAAAAAAATGTTCATAGAATGCATTCCAATTACTTGAGCTCACAAAAGGATCTTTGCTTTCCAACATCTATAAAACCACACACTTGTCACCTGTCATATTTCACCCAGTAGGTGATGTGTTCAGGGAAATTAGGATCCGTGTTTTAATCTTCTCATGTTTCCTTATCAGAACCTAGCCTGCTGGTATTTAATTAGGGGGTGCTCAATGAATATATATACTGAATGCATCTTGAGTTCTTTACGTGGGGACTTTCTGGACCTCCTGTAGCTCTCACCTGTTCCTTTCGCAGTCCCTTGGCCTTCACTGAGCCTGCTTGACAGCCATATATTCCTAGTATACTGAGCCTAATGCCCCCAAATTTCCCTTGCTGCTACTTCCTCTAGGCTCTAGAGTCACTAATATGCTGCAGCTTCAAGAGTTGCCTTCTTTTCAAATCCTCCACAGCACACCAAGCTTTATTGTTTTCTGCCTCTATTCTGTAGTAAAGGAAAGGTAGAAATTTCAAATAAAACAATTTCATATGTTTAATAAGAAATTGAATGGTGTACATGTTTACATTGAATTTTTCAAGGTAAAGCAAAGCTGATAAAATATTTGCCAGTTTAGATTTCTTAATTAGCTTTTCCCTTTTTTTCATTATCTAGCAGGTTTTCTACTGACTAGATCACAAAGCAACCAGTGTTGTTTCGTTATTGGAATCGGATAAATTGATCTTAGTTCAGTTCAACCAACATTTCTTGAATACCTACTGTCTACAAAAACCATAGATATTATGGAAAATTCCAAAGTGAACAAGATATAAAAGTTTGCTAGAGTGTTTTTCAAATATGGTTAAGTGTGTAATAATAGAGGCATAAAGAGAAGTCTCTGAGAAAGACAAGAGTGTGTAATAGGTTTAGAACTGGAAAATCAGGGAAGGCTTTATAATAAAGGACTTGACCTTGAAGGAGGAAGGCAGAAAGAACAATGTGGTTGTAGCTTTATTCATTTGTTTTCAAATTATTATTTTAGTAAAATTTTCTCTAAAGATCTATCTTTTTATTTATAAAAAGGAGTGATAGAAGACTACCAGGTAATTACCCCACTTCTATTTACTATGTAATTGATACATTGGTTGTTTCTTGATTAATAATGATGGCTTCTTGTATTAGTTTTTGACATGGCCCTTTAAATTAAAATAATGTGTTAAGAGGTAAACATGTTTAATATAAAATGAAATAACAACAATGAAGGATGGCTATTTCTATAAGCTGTGTAGTATTTCTAATGCTATTTTAATATATGTTTTATTTATCCATGGGTTTTAGGCAGCTTGGATCTTAAAAGCAAGAGCGCTAACAGAAATGGTATACATAGATGAAATTGATGTAGATCAGGAAGGAATTGCAGAAATGATGCTGGATGAAAATGCTATAGCTCAAGTTCCACGTAAGTATTGGGTTTTCAGTTAAGTTAATGAAATACCATTAAGAGGAAGAATACTGTGTATAAGAGGAATATATATGCCTATATATTTCTACACTTTATATATATAAACATTATAGACATGAAACAAAAATGATGAAAAAACCATTACTTCAAGTAAATGGTTTCTGTTCTGCCTTATGGTACAAAGGCTTTTTCCCCACAATTCAGTTATCTTAAACTTAAGGTATGAGATTGATGTATAACAATTTTCTGATACAAGCTATATTATGCATTTTAGAAATAATTTATACCTACATTCAACTGCTGATCATATGGGAAAAATTTATAAAAGTACATTCTATTTGAACTACTTGTCTAATATATCAGAATATTGTTTATCTGGGAAGTATCCAAACAACAGAGGTGTTCTAAGAGCACTTTAAAAAAAGGTCGTTCGAAAACATCACTTTATTCTTATAATCGAACATGATTTGCTCTAAATCATAATGTGAGGTAATGAGGTGATATGCTGGGCTGTGAGTGTCTGTTGGGATTGTCACAGAGGCACAGTCCCCAGCTTGGAGATGTGGTGGTACAAATGGTATTGGATAATGGCTGATCTAAGAGTGTTGTTTACAACTAATTGATCACAACTCATTACAGATTTCTTTGTTCCTTCTTCACTCCCACTGCTTTACTTGACTAGCCTTAAAAAAAAAATGGTATTGAATTATAACCAGGACATATGGTGGTCTTGCTGGTAATTATAGTTCTCAGTCATTTATATCTTTTGGAAGGTAATAGCTATTTTAAACCTTCAAATAGAAATTGAGAAAAAAATACATATTTTTATGTTAATATATCTTTCTTTACCATTATTTTGTTCTTTTAGAATTAAAAATATCTAAATTCTAGATATTGTGGGTAAATTATCTTTTATTGGGAGAAGTTTGTATGAGAAATAATTGAACTATGAAGATAGAACCATTATTTTGAACTTTGGAGCCTGTTAGTCTTGAGTTTAAATCCCAGCCCTACTAATAGGTTGACCTGTTTACTTAATTCTGTGAACCTTTGTTAAATAGGTTAATACTACCTACTTTACAGACTTAATGTGATGATTAAATGTGATGACATAAGTAACATGATAGGTACTCATTAAATATTAGTCTAAAACACATCTCCCTAAAATACATTTCTTGCTATTAATGTCTTTTTCACCAGGCCAGCGCAATTCTGAAAATTGTATTAGCTTACAGTTTTTACAGATTAATAGATAATATATAAATTGTATTAGCCATCTTGTCTCCTAGGCCCTGGAACGTCTTTGAAACTCCCTGGAACTAATCAGACAGGAGGGCCTAGCCAGGCCGTTAGGTATGTACTTCTGCTTCATAACCTCTGCCACTAAATATTGATCAGACTGTATGAGAGTCTTTCCTCAAATGATCTTCTTTGTATTATAACAATTTATAATCTTCACAGGCCAATCACACAAGCTGGAAGACCCATTACAGGTTTCCTCAGGCCCAGCACGCAGAGTGGAAGGCCAGGCACTATGGAACAGGCTATCAGAACACCCAGAACCGCCTACACAGCCCGCCCTATCACCAGCTCCTCCGGAAGATTTGTCAGGCTGGGAACGGTAAATTCTATCAGCTTTCCCATAGCCTTGTATTACTTTGGTATTACCAAAGTAGCTTTATATTATGGTATATCATTTTCCCCTGTTGTTATAGTGGAGAATTATATGGAAGATTTTTGAAGGTGATTATTTTTATTTATGTTGCCTTTATATTTTTATGCATATTAAACTTGTTTACATTTCAAGAGAAAGTTTCAGATCTCTTGGTCTATTGTTTTTCCTCTGTAGGCTTCCATGCTTACAAGTCCTGATGGACCATTTATAAATTTATCTAGGCTGAATTTAACAAAGTATTCCCAGAAACCTAAGTTGGCAAAGGTATGTACTTAAAATGATTTTGAGTTATGAAGTAATATTACACGTATGATGATAATGACAAATTAGAAAATGAATAAAAACTTGTGAAGGAAAGGCCATGTCTTTATTGAAGTGGAAATGTTTTATATGTAAAATTACTCTTAGTCTTTGAGTTAATTGAGTTAAGGAAGGTCAGTCAGAAATAAAGTACATATACCATTATTATAGGAAATTCTTTTCCCTTGATAAAGAGTAGTAATTTGTAACAAAGAAAGCAG
The DNA here is from genome assembly GCF_000001405.40 of Homo sapiens. Taxonomy (NCBI): domain Eukaryota; kingdom Metazoa; phylum Chordata; class Mammalia; order Primates; family Hominidae; genus Homo; species Homo sapiens. The sequence continues at coordinate 88,841,772 of NC_000014.9, forward strand.
GTATGCAGCATCATCTTTGTAGAATGAAGCTTAAGAAGTCATCTGTATATGTACGTATTTTTTTCCTTTTTAGCTTGGACTATTCTCAGAGAAATAATTTTCTATCCTTGTAGGTTTTTTAGGACTGTCAAAGGATGATAAAAATTATGTACTCCTAATTAGTAATTTATCAGGCATCTCAAAAAGGATTACTGAAACCACATAGTGGCATGCCAACCACATTAGTAATTATCACTACTCAAAGATTAAATGCTCCTTTAAATTAAAGAGAAAATGAGAGGCAGAAGGAGAGGGAGAAAGGGAAAGAGAGGCAGAGGGAGAGAAAGAGAAAAAGAAAAATAAAGGAAGGTGTCCATGACCTTTTCAGTATATAAACCTTGAGGGTGAGCTTGCAATAATTCAGAGACAGGAGCACTTATCTTCCAGAAACTAATTTAAGCCTAGCTCAGGTTTTTAGCTGAAATCTCTGAGCATAAGTGCTGAGCTCATTCCTAATCTCAGTTCTAATGGTGTTTAACGTATGTGTTTACTAAATACCAAACACTCTAGAGAAAATTAAAATGGACACTAGCTGTACAGACTTAAGTTTAAGTCTGAAAAAAAGATGCCATTTGGTAGACAGGGAATTAGCCAGTAATAATTGCTGCTGATTTTTTTCTTAAATTCTTGTTCAGCAGCAATCCTGTTGACTTCATTTAGTAAAATTGTAAAGCTATCCTTACTTCCCTTTCTTTTATGAGAGTGGAGTAGTGAAAGCAACTCATGTGGAATATCTGGTTCCCTACCCTTTAAGGTCGCTTACTTGAAGGGACTGTCTGGCTAGTTGATACCATTGCTATTTTTTGACCAGAGAGTCAGTCAGTGGAAGCATTTTTCTCAATTAAATTAAGATGCATCCAGGACAGATCTGGTCTGTTACTAGATTTAGCCTGAACTAGATTTTGTGCTTTTTTAGTGTGTTGTAGAAATAATGCCAGGTTTTTCTGTCTTTGGCCCCCAGCTTGCCTTGACCCAAAAGGAGTCATTTTTAATAAAGGCATATTGCTTGGGGTGTCTAGGGTGACTCTATGACACTGTCTTTGATGCTGTAACGTCATTTTCATGGCAGTAGTAGCACCAATTGCACTCTTAACTTTTGTTTCTTTATAACAGAACAAATGGAAGGATTGTTATAGGTTTGTTTTTTTTTTTAAAGAAAGGCCTTGTCTTGATTTTTTTAAAAAATTGGTTGCCTCCAAGTCTTCTTTGTTAGTAACCTTGATATTTTCCAGGGCTGTTAGCCTCTTTGCAAGTGTAACAAGATGGTATTATGGAAAAAGGTAGTACCAATAAGAGTAAATGCTTATTTGTTTAGAGGAGTTGAGTGAAATATTGGAAATAATTGTTCTTAGCCCTGGCTGTACATGAGAGTTATCTGAGGGCTTTAAAAAATATAAGGTCAGGGCTTTGCCATCCCCCCAACTCTGATTTAATTTAAGTGGTCTGATATGTGCCCCACCGCCAGGTGATTCCAATGTCCAGCTTAGCTGAGTAGCACCCTGCTAAAGAAACCTGAATATTCTGAATCATAGAGTTACTATGAATACCATATAAGGAAAAATAGCTTTAAAAATTAAGCAAAAAACACCCTGCTTTACCCTTGTACTCTACTTTGTTTCAGTAGAAACTTCCAGTTTTTTTATGTCTAAATTATCATTATTAATATCATAATCACTGTATAATATATGTAGAGAATATAAAGAATTGTCTGCATCTGTTTTACGACAATTCTGAAGTTGGTCTTTAAGAAATAAATTTTTCAATTGTCTTTCTAATAAAATACATAATACGAAAAAAAGTTTAATTCTTTGAGCATTCCAGTTTGTATTCTGTTAAAACCAGAATCAGTTATAAATAGTAATATTTTAAAATGAGTGATAGTAACAAAAGATGGATAGGCCCTTTTATCTATAAATCCAGGGCTTTAGAGTACTTTTGTTAACAGCAAATTAAAAAAAAAAATCTAACGTATTTTTGACACTTTTTTCTTCACAGGCTTTGTTTGAGTATATCTTTCATCATGAAAATGATGTTAAGACTGTAAGTTTTGAATTCATGCTATTTTCTTTTATTGTAATTTTTCTGACTTTGGAAGTTTAGATTCTGAAATATTCTATTTCTGACCTTATAAACAGATGAAATTATTAAAGATTGGAGAACTACTAATACTTTAAAATCCACCCTCAGTTTCTGTGGGAAAATGTGTATAAATATACAAGTGATAAGAACTATGCTTGGTTCATAGAGTATGTAGATCTCCAATAAATGGGAAGATACAGGTTATTGAGAATACTGCATAACATGCTTGTGTTAAAGTTATAGTTTTTATGCTAATGGTGTTGTTGATCTGTTTATTTCCTTAGTCCATATAGTATATTATAGGTTTACTAACATGCATATTTCTGTTATTTTTGTGGTGTGTCCTTTTCCCCATCATTAACGTTTTATGATCAAAGATTTCAAACATACAAAAGTAGAGGGAATCGTCTTCATAGCCTCTTAACAGAGAATTTTAAAGTTATATGCGTATGACTTCTCAAATTGTTTTGATTTTTGCATACTTATATGCAAATGAGCAATAATGGAACAACTTTGGTCAAATCAAATGCAGTTCATTCTACAGTGTCTGATTGCATGTTTTCTCATTTTCCTATTAGTTCCAGGAAAAAGGCTTTATATCCATACATTAAGCATTTAGGAAAATAAAAATGTTTTCCTTAATTGTGTTTTCTTTTTTTCTTCTTTTTTTTTTGAGACAGAGTCTCACTCTGTCACCCAGGCTGGAATGCAGTGGTATTATCACGGCTCACTGTAGCCTTGACTTCCCAGGCTCAGGCGATCCTCCCATCTCAGCCTCCCAAGTAGCTGGGACTATAGGCGTGTGCCACCATGCCCAGCTGATTTTTTTTTTTTTAATTATCTGTACAGACATGCTCTCCCTATGTTTCCCAGGCTGGTCTTGAATTTCTGGCCTTAAGTGATCCTCCTGCCTCAGCTTCCCAAAGTGCTGGGATTACAGGTGTGAGCCACCATAGCCATCCCCTTAATTGTGTTTTCTATGTGTCAACCACTAGCTATACACTAGGAGAACTAATAAAAAATATGATACTTTTTCCTGCCTCTACAAGCCATGTAATCTAGCTGAAGAAATAAAATGGACATAAATGAAATAGTTAAAGAGGTAATTGTCAAACTGTGAAGTTGTTACCAAGTAGGAAAGGGAAAAATTCAGAAGGGATGATATTAGTAAAGATCCATGAAAATAAGTAGAATGTATGGAAAGGAGGAAAAAGAAATGTAAAGAAAGGGCAAAAACAAGAAAGAGATATGGAATGATCACTAAATCGTCCTTATCCTAGAAAATTGGAGTTCCACAGAGACATTTTAAAAAAGGAAGTGACAGAACTTGATGATAGATTTGATGCTAGGGACAAAGGAAAGACAGACAGGTCAAATTTGCCTCCTAGAGATGCTGTGAGAAGAGTGATAGTTTTATTGGCAGAAATGGGATAATTAGGGAAGGAAGTCAGTTTGTAAAGAAGCTGACTAAGTGACTTGAAGGCGTTTTGAGCTTGAAATGACAAAAGGCTATCTAAGTGGAGATACCATTGCATGTGTTGGGAGATGTGACATTGAAATGTAGGGGACAGCCTGGGCCACATGTATAGAATGTGGTGTTCATAGATGTGGTTATGTAGGGAAAAGAAAAAATGAAGGTTGGGACAGCTGAGAAACCATGCACACTTCTGTAAATAAAAGTCAGCCATTTTAACTTCATAAAAAGCTGGTGAGGGGCTTTCAGCATGATGATATATAAAATTATATGGTCAAACTGTAATTAAAAAGCATTAGAATGCTATTCCATTTCATAAATTAGTAAATCTCAAATTACTAGAGTATCATAAAGTGATACTCTTGTATTTGGAAGATTAATGCATATCAGGGGCATTTATTCTTTCATCCAATGTATGTTTGAACCACAGTTCCAGCCCTGAGATCACACAGTGAAACAGACAGACAAAGTCTCTGCTCTTTTAGAGATAATATTCTGGTTGGGCAAGGAATAGAAACAAACTTTAAAATGTATGAAGTCTTATGGGCTAATGAGTACTGTAACAACAAAGAAGCAGGAAAGCAGATAAGGGAATAAATAATGACGTGGGGGAGGATGCTATTTTGGATGGAGGGGGGAGTGGTCATTGAAGTCTCTCTGAACAGAAAATATGTGGCTCAGTGGCTGAATCCCAGCACTTTGGGAGGCTGAGGCAGGTGTATCACTGGAGCCCAGGGGTTCGAGACCAGCCTAGGCAACGTGGCGAAACCCTGTCTCTACAAAAAATACAAAAATTAGCCAGGCATGGTGGCACGTGCTTGTAGTCCCAGCTACTCTAGAGGGATAGAGCTGTAGTCCCAGCTACTCTGGGAGGATCACCTGAACCCAGGGAGGTCGAGGCTGCAGTGAGCCATGATCATGCCACTGCACTCCAGTTTGGGTGACAGGGTGAAACTCTGTCTCAAAAAAAAAGAAAAGAAAAGAAAACATTCTAACAGACACCTCAATGAAGGGGGACAGGAACCACATCATTATGTGTAGGAAGAGCATTTTCAAAGAGCTTTAACTGTAAAGGTCCTGAGTAGAAGCATGCTTGGGTTGTTTAAGGAACAGTAAGAAGGCCAGTGTGGCTGAGTGAGGCCTGTGAGGGGGAAGAGTTGTTGGTGATGAGTTTAGAAGCTAGGCAGATCATAAGCCATTTGTAGGTCATGGTGACAATGTTTTTTATTAATAGATTCATCTTGAAGATGTAGTTCTACATCTTGGAATTTACCCATTCTTATTGAGGAATAAAAATCACATTGAAAAAAATGTAAGATTTATTCCCTGCACTACTGCACTTAATATTCTAAAGATTCTAAGGGTTAGCCGACTGTAATTTTTACATATTATGTTAGTATCATAGTTCTTCATGCATATGAACTTAAAAATTTTTGATTTTAAACAGATAGAGTAGTAACATTTAAACTTTTTATTTTAAGCAGCAAAATCCTTTTCTTCAAGTGAAATCTTATCGAGACCCTAATACGTAAAACAGACAAAAGGTGAGCTACTTGAATTATAGCAGGGCTAGCAAACTTAGAACATATCCATCAGCCTCCTCCTTGCTCGTCCCACCCCATGATCTTCTGCCCCTCAAATATTGGGGCTGTTGGGTAGTTCCTATATAGGGCTCTGCTTCTAAATTACCTGGGGAATTATTAAATAAGGACTTCTGGATCTGTGCTAGACTTCTTGAGTCAGAATCCTCAAGGGTAGGTGTGGCGAATCTGTTGTTAATAAAAGCTCCGCAGGCAATGCTAATTTTCAGGCAGGATTGGAAAATACTGCCTTAGAATATAGTAGTTTAAAAACCAATGGTTAATAGACGGGTGTAATGCCAGGTGTTCCTGTGTAGTAAAATAGACCTGGGGAATATTAGCAGAACTCAAAAACCAGAGCTCCCTATAGCAAACAAAACAAGAGGGAGGTGTGTTACCTGTCTCAATGAAAGAAATCAGCAAATGAAGAGAAAAGAGACAGCAAACATGACTCAAACATATCTCATTAACACGGAGGTGATAGTAAAAACTATTGAGAACTGGAGTCCCCATTTATAAATTATATATTTTTATTCTTGGTAACAGTGACTCTCTTAAAACACCAAAACCAAGCAATATTGAACAAAATCGTTGACTCTTTTATCTTTATGATTCATTAAATGACACTTGAGAAAATTTGTCTGGGGACTTTATTTTAGATATTTAATCAATGAAGAAGAAAAAAAATTGAAACTAGCAAACATTAGGGTATTTCATAAAGTTGGTTGGATTTGTGAAACAATCACAAAGGAAAAAGACTTACTGATGCATATGTGTAATCTCTATCTAGTGGACAGAAACAAAATCAGAAGTAAAAGGGCAATAGAAGGGGGAATTATGTACATGAAGCATGATTTTGAAATATTGGTATTTATCATGTATAAAAAAGCTGATCTTGGCTGGGTGCAGTGGCTCACAACTGTAATCCCAGCACTTTGGGAGGCCAAGGTGGGTGGATCACCTGAGGTCAGGAGTTCGAGACAAGCCTGGACAACATGGTGAAACTCTGTCTATACTAAAAATACAAAAATTAGCTAGGCATAATGGCAGGTGCCTGTAATCCCAGCTACTCAGGAGGCTGAGGCAGGAGAATTGCTTGAACCCGGGAGGCAGAGGTTGCCGTGAGCCCAGATCGCGCCACTGCATTTCAGCCTGGGCGACAAGAGCGAAACTCTGTCTCAAAAAAAAAAAAAAAAAAAAAAAAAAGCTGATCTTAATTTTTGAAAAATTTTTATGACAATAGAAATGACCCCAAAACAGAAAATTTACATTAGAAAAAATGCTGGTAAATAAGCACATTAGAGGTGTACTTTTTTAATAACAACAAAAATATAAAATAAAGAGTCTTTGGACTTTGAGTTTTATATTTATGAAATTAGAAAAAAAATCCTGAGGGAGAGTACAGTTAGTTGTCATACATTATAGGTGATATTACACATGGTACCACAATTTGGAAAACAATATGATAATATAGAGCAGATAGCCTTAAAGATAGTTCCTCAATTTGTTTCTGTAATTTCACTTCTCAGGAGATTGCAGGAAAAACTAAAGTGCTGTATTTGCAATGGTGTTCATTGTAACTTTAGATATAGTGGCAAAACTATATCTAACCTAAATGTTTAACAATAGGGAATGAGTTTGGTAAATTATAATAAATAGCATGATGGAATCTTATGTAGCCATTAAAAACCATAATTATAAACACTAGGCAGAAACATGGAAAGTGTTTATTTTATAATGTTAAGCCAAAAGTATACCATTTAGTATGTTAAATAGAAGTATAACTCTAAAAATATGCATTTATGACAGATACTAGAAGGTATTACTTAAACATTAAAGTGGTAGTATTTTGAGGTTAAGATGTATTCATTCCACAAATATTTGTTGAATGCCTATGTTGTACCTCATGGTACTAACGGAGATTAAGTCTAACTTTACCTTTGTTTTAAAATTTTTCAACAATAATGTTATAGTAAAATGAATTATAAATTAGGGGCAATAATATATTAAAATGCTGCCAATTTGTACTCTGCTTGTTATTTTCATCTGCTTACCCCCAATATACATACATTTTTTGTAGAACATAAAATGGAGCAATTTGTTTTGTTCTTATTTAGTGAGAAACACAAATTGTTCCTTTGTTTTCCATTTTATTTACTAATTCATATATTGATACATGCGTTGATTAGTTTATTCTTTAAATAATAATGATTGGGTTGTATATATTGGTACTTTGATGGGTGCTAGGGGTGCTGAGTTGGACAGATGTCTTGTTCTGTTTCTCACTCTGGTACAGTCTTGCCACATTATAGTGATGTTGTGGATCAGATTGTTCCATTAAAATGTCATTCTTGCTTTTACCAGAAATGTTCTTTTCTGAATGGAAGAAGGATTTAGATAATAAGTATAAAGCATGTATTTTTATATCTTACATATATTTTGTAACTTTAGCTGGAAAAAGAAAACAGGAATTCTGTTTTTTAACATGTTAAGAAATCAGAGGTGTTTTCATATTTAGATACCTTGGGTGGCCTCCAAATTTCTCTTTAAATAAAGTATTTAACACAAATACAGAGAATATTATAGACAAATATAAGAAATACCTTGAAATGGTGTTTAAATATTAAGAAAGTATAAAATTGATTGTCCATGGAAAACGATTTTTCTGTCTTTGAGCTTTTAGTGCTTTTCTCATGTTGTGGGGGTGGGCAGTATCAACGAAACTCAGGGGACACGTGGGCTGGTGATTCTGTGTTTATCTACAGACTAATAGGAAGAATACTGTAGAGACAGAGAACGCCATGCAGTGGTATTTAAATGTTAGGAAAAAGTAAAGTTATATATGGAAAACTATTTCTGCCTTTGAGTATTTAATAACTCCCTTTCCCCACCTTTCCCTTTTTGGACAATATTGTTGGTATCGACAAAACTAAAGTGGCATGTGGGTTGGTGATTCTGCAATCTTTGTTTCCACATGCTCTTTAATTTCATCATCCTGAAGTTGTTACAACTATAACAACAGTGAAAGGATGACTTTTTTTAAACTTAGATCTGCCAAAATTCCTCCTACTTTTGGACTTTTATAAACTTACTGCTTTAAAAAAATGGCATTCTGAGCTTTTATTAATATCTAGATATTGGTTTTACTAAATCATCCAAAAATCATTAAAGTCTTATTTATTTTAAAAATTTGGGAATGATTAAAGAAATATAGATCTGTCACTACTTAAAAATTTTAAGGTTAATAGCTTTTAATTATGAATCTTATTACTATGACAATTTTGTTTGGTTTTTAAGGTGTTGTCAACAGACGTCAGAAACAAAGATTATAATTAATTCAGTCAACAGATAGTTCTTGAGTACCTCTTCTGTGCACAGCAATATTCCAGAACAACAGCACAGATGTAAAAGAGGATTATCTGTCCTCAGGGAGCTTGCCAGCCACTTAAAATTGTCCCAGATGGGCCAGGAATGGTGGCTCACACCTGTAATCCCAGCACTTTGGGAGGCTGAGGCAGGCGGATCAACTTGAGGTCAAGAGTTTGAGACTAGCCTGGCTAACATGGGGTGAAACCGTGTCTCCACTAAAAACATAAAACATTAGCTGGGCAGGGTGGCACATACCTGTAATCCCAGCTACTCAGGAGGCTGAGGCATGAAGATTGCTTGAGCCTGGGAGGTGGAGGAGTCGAGATTGTGCCACTGCACTCCATCCAGCCTGGGCAACAGAGCAAGACTGTATCAAAAAAGAAAGGAAAGAAATTGTCACAAATGTTTTTCTTTAGTGCCAGTGAGGACAGAAAAACCAAATTCTGTCAAAATATTTAAAGAGGTTTATTCTGAGTCAATATGCGTGACCTCGGTCTGGGGATACACAGTCTCAAAAGGTCCTGAGAAAGTGTGCCCAAGGCAACTGGGTTACAGTTTGGCTTTGTACATTTCAGGAAAGTATGGGAATTGCAGGTAAAATCATAAATCAGTACATGGAAGGTATACAGTGATTGGGCCTGAAAATTCTGTACATCTCGAAGCCATGGCTTACAAGTCATTGGTGGGTTTTAGGGATTCTTTAGTTGGCAATTGGTTGAAAGGTAATCTTTGTCTAAAGACTTGAAGTCAGTACATAAGGATGTTTAAGATCAGGGGGTGTCTGCCATCTCTCATGTGATGCTACACTAGAGTCAGATTGGAAAATAGGCTGCATTATACCAGCTTAGTTTAAAAAAACTGTTTAATGAGATTTTATGGTTTGTGGGGTCTGCTTAGAAAGGATTTGGGGCAAGAGAAAAAAAGGTCAGAGTTCAGTCCTTAGCAGCCTGAGTCTTCATCATTATAATTTCTTTTTGCCATTTTTATTCTGTATCAATAATTTATATTAATATCCTTAATTGGATTAGCACAAAGATATGGGTTCTCCATAGGATGAGTTGTTTTAGGACCAACTATGCAAGCAAAACCAGCAACCTGTAAGAAGCACTAAATCTAACCTTGGGAAGTTAGAAGACATAAAAAATTTTTGCATGACATCTTTTTCTAAAAAATAGAAGGTCTGTTTATACAAAGCATGAGAAGGACTATGGTCTATTTGCTGGAAAAAGGTCTTTATAAAGATCAACTTAAAATGTTTAGATATTTACCATGTATGCCTGAATTAAGCTGGCTGAAAATATATTTTTCTAGTATATCTGAAAATAATGCTAATTGTAGTTATACTTTTCTCCTCATTTTTTTTTGTTTCATTTTTATTTCTGGCTGGGGGCAGGGTGGTGGGGGAGAAAAATAAGCATATGAAAGTACTGTGTGGCTTCTTTTTAATTTTCATAGCTTTCAAGTAGAGATGCTGATTTTTCAAGTCCATTAGAGGCTCAGCATGGTGTCACCATTTCTTTATAAGTAGTTTGCATATTTAAAGATCTCCCCTGGAGCAAGAGAAGATGGGGAACACAAGGAAAAATAATTAATTATACAGTAAGATTAAGGAACTCGCATTCATTTCAGAAAAGAGTTGGTATTAAGAAGTGGACAGTAATCTGGGATGTGTTTTGAGATAATAGAACTGAAAATCTAAGAGGTACTTTAACTGAGCTCTTGGATATCATGATTATGTTAACACTGGCTAAAGAATAAAAAACTTTCAGCCTTGAGAGAAAAATCGTATTACAAAAAATCAGAATTCTCTCTTAACTAGTAGCCCCAGCTTCTATTAATCACATCTTTATCTGAGCTTCAAATTTCTACAAAGACTGATTTGCTTTCCCTTTGTCAAAAATGGTTTCCACCTCCTCTATGTAAAATTCTAATTCTTTTTTAGTCACCTCTTGTCTAATCTTGAATAAACAATAGAGGGAACAAACTCGAGGGTATTAAAGATATGGGGTAAACAAATGTAAAATATGAAAACAATTGAAGAGAAGATCTTTTTCAGTTTGTGGCAAAGGGCAGTCTGCTCCTTAGAATTTACTGGGACTTAAGGTGATGTCAGAAAAGTGAAATGATGGTTGTTGAAGACAACAGTTATCCAAATACTCCAGCTCCTTTCACTCTTCTTCATGATCCCATTTTCCAAGCCTTTTCTCTACCTGCTTACTTAATCTTTATTTCTCTACATCTGTCTTGAAAGTGGGCACTGCCACTGGATCTGGCTTACACACCGAAGACTTGACTGCCACGGAGTTTGGAGGCATTTTGAATCATTATACAGTAGATAAATCAGGGGGAGTGGGTAAAAACTTAGGCATTTTTTAATATCAATTTTGTGTCTTGTATATTAAAATTATATTCAAATATATTATACATCTGCTTCCCTTTGATGAGTGTTTTTATCTCATCTGCTATTAGCCCTCTGGTCTGGAACTGATTAGTGAAAATTGGTGGGGCCATCTGGAAACATGAGCAACTTGAGTTTCTGTCGGATTTCTAATGCACATTTTGATTGGTGCTAATTATATGGTCTATTTCATTATTTATTTTCCTGACTGCTTATTGTTAGAAAAGAAAATACTAATCTAAAATGAATTGTTTTCAAAGGCTTTGGATCTGGCTGCCCTCTCCACAGAACATTCTCAGTACAAGGACTGGTGGTGGAAAGTACAGATTGGAAAATGTTACTACAGGTAAATTTCATTATTTGTGAAGGGCTTAGAAGTGGCCACGTATTTTAGGGTCTCAAATCTGATACTTTTTGAGGGGGGGGAGATTTTCCCATGAAGAAATGAGAACTGTGTCTTTGACTTACTTGATAAAGCATTTACTTAACAATCACAGGGTAGCAATAAGAATTAATACCTTTAGAATAATAAAACTTTGAGCTGGGAGAGGGAAGCTTTGAGACCATCAGGCCCAACTCCCCTTTTCACATGAGGAAGCTGAGGCCAAGACAGTGGCTGTAATTTGCATCAGGAGCTAGTGAGTAACAGACCAGGGACTAGAACCAAGTCTGCTGATTTCTAGTTCTGTTCTCTTGGTAATCAAATCTTTTTATTTACACTGATGCCTCACATCTGTAAAACACTTCATAGTTAAGAGATACTTTGTTCCTACATTATACCATTTCACTTAAGTCTCACAGAACCTTGGAGGTAGTGGCTATCGTTAGTCCTTTTCCCAGATGAAAAAAATTGAGCCTCACAAAGATAAAGTGATTTGTCCAAATTCACGTAACCAGTAAGTGGCAGAACAAGAATTTGAGCTCCCTTTCTGACGCCAATTCTCTTGCTGTTTCCACAATTCCATATTGTTTCTGTAGGACCTGAGTATTTTTATATTCTCTTAATGTTTCAATGTATTTTAAAGCAAATTAACTGAGAGATCAGAAGAGTCGTAATGAATTTTATGAATATTTATATAGCAACTAGTAAATAAGATCTGAAACTTGTTGCTGATATTGAAATGCATATAGAACATTTGGAAAAATAGAAACAAATGAACAATTCTATTTTTAAGTATAAATATCTTTTATTATTAAAATAGGGTAGACTTCAGTTACTATGAGCACACTTCAATATTTATAAGCTTCAGTTGTCATTCAAGTACTCTGAGAAAAAAGAAGACTATAAATGGGACAAAAAGCATGTTTATTGTTCTGCCGTTGAAATTAAGACTACTTTCCATTTAGATATTTCACATAAAACTCTAAAGTGTTTTTTCCTGCTGCTAGATGGAGAAAGTGTTTTCTGCTAAAAGGTAATTTTAGACCATTATATCATTAAACTCTTATGAATGTAATTCCTGGAGACAGTCTTGAAATCTTGAGCTGCCAAGCAAAACCTTCAGAAATGCTTGATAATTAAAGGAAAGCAAAACTCTGATTCCTTTTGCCATCCATATACGATGGCATTTAAATGAGTGTACCTTGTCATATTAAATTATCCTTCTTTTCTGTTCTTTAATACCTGCCCATCTTTATGACATATTCAGTATTCTTTCACTTATACATTCATTCATTCACTCAGTAAAATATTTAATGGGCAGCTACTCTGCCAGGAACTGGGAGTACAAAAGATTAGATTGTCCGTTCTTTCAAATGGTTTACAATAGAATGGAGGAGAGAGGACAGTAAATAATTACGGGTTAAGTATTTCTTATCTGAAATGCTTGGGAACAGAAGTGTTTCAGATTTTGCAATATTTGAATATATTTAATGAGATATCTTGGGGATGGGACCCAGGTTTAAAGATGAAATTCATATATGTTTCATATAAACCTTATACACATAGCCTGAAGGTAATTTTGTATAATATTTTATTTTATTATATTTTTTAGAGATGGGATCTTGCTCTTTCACCCAGGCTGGAGTGTAGTTATATGATTGTGGCTCACTGCAGCCTCAATCTCCTGGGCTTAAGCCATCCTGCTTCAGTCTCCCAAGCTGGGATTACAGGCACATGCCACCATGCCCGGCTAATTTTTTAAAGCTTTCTTTTTTATAGAGACAGGTTCTTGCTATGTTGCCCAAGGTGGTCTTGAACCCCTGGACTCACACCATCCTCCCGCCTTGGCATCCTAAGGTGCTGGGATTATAGGCATTAGCCATTGAATCCTGCCATACTCCCATTATTATGTCCTTTTCAATGAAACCAAATTCAGCATTCCCTAACATGCTGTTTACTTTACTGCCTATGTACTTACGTTCATGGTTTAATTTTATTTTGGAAATGTCGCTCTTCCCTCCACATCTGGCTGTTGAAATCTTGCCTGTTTACTATCTCCCTGAACCTCCTCTGTGCTCTCAAAGCACTTTTTTCCTGATTGACCATAATATGATTAAATTTATTTGTGAACATGTTTTGTTTCATTCTTTGATTATCATTGCTTTAAGGACATGGTTGTTACCTTCTTCATTTTTCATCTCCTTACCATCACGAAATAAGCACGCAGTTGACACTTTACAGTTTTGTTAACTTTAAGTTGGAGAGAAAAAGTTGGCAGCTGGACTCTGACTCTTTGATACTGGCCGGTGTTTATAAACTTGACTGATGTTTTATGCCTTGACTTTCTTTGAACATGGCATGTTCCATTTTCTTTGCACAAGAATTCATGTGGTGGATTCCTTTTTGATAGTATTAGATTAAGTTCTCTCTTAAGGCTGTAGTAATAAAGAACATGGTTCTTTGGCTTTCATGTAGTGTAATATTTCTGATTATATTTTTATTTTTAAAATTTATCTACATTGTTTTTAAAATAATCTATTTCTGTTTTCATATTCTTGTTTTATATGTATCTTTTTATTGTAATCCCTTTTAAATCATTTTTGGAAAGAAACAAGTTAGATAAAAATACACAGACTCTCATGGATAATTTAAATTCATGGAATTTAGTGACTGTATTTCAGTCACGTGTTTAAGACTTGCATGCATGGCCAGGTGCGGTGGCTCATGCCTGTAATCCCAGCACTTTGGGAGGCCAAGGTGGGAGGATAGTTTGAGCCCAGGAGTTGGCAGCCAGCCTTGGCAACAAGGTGAGATCCTGTCTTTACCGAAACAAAATACAAAAGTTAGTCGGGCATAGTGGTACATGTCAGTAATCCCAGCTACTTGGGAGGCTAAGACAGAGGATTGCTTGAGCCCCAGAGGGCAAGGCTGCGGTGAGCTGTGATCCCACCATTGCCCTCCAGCCTGGGCGACAGAGACTCTATCTCAAAAGAAAGAAAAAGATTTGCATGTTCAGTTGATGTTGTGTACATATATATGTTGGTTTTCAGAACTTTAGAGTTCTTTGATAACATTTTATAAATACTCCCTGTGAAACTGTGGGACCTTTGAAGAGGTAGGGGCTTCTGCCATGTCCCACATCTTCTCACTTTAGCCTTTAACCACTTTAATCCCAAGGCCTCCAATAGCTATTTGGGCATCAGCCACACCAATGCTTAAGGTTTAAGGTTATGAAAAATGATCAAAGGTCTTCTTTCAAGCCTTTAAATGAAAGTAGCACAATGGAGCATACTGTATATCATTTTGATTTGATTTCACAAAATAAAACATTATCGTATCTGAGTAGCTCTCAGATAGCTAAAAAATGAGTGGTTATGAGTAAGCCTAACAGGTCTATTAAGGACATGAATGAATAGACCTGTTGAAAGTTGTGTGTGTTTTAATGATTGAATTAGTGGCAACAGATTCTTTCCTGGGTGTAAGAGGTAGGCCCTACTTACATCAGGACAGTCATATTTAGGCAAGGAGCAAATCTCAGATTCATAGACTAGGACAATCAGTATCAGATATCTAATAAGGGAAAACAAGATTTCTAGAATAATAAAATGGTATAACTATATTACCCAAGTGCTAATTATTACTTACATCAGAATAGCTTTTAAAGATAGCTTTTAAAAATGTGCTTTTGTCTCAGAGCAGAAGAGATTTTCAAATAAATGTCATCCTTCAGCTCTTCCAGTAATATGGAGACTCTAAGCATTTATTCAGGTCACTTGCCATATGTCCAGCTGATCATAAGCTCTTTGGGTGGTGAACTGATGTGACCTGGCTTACTAGCAGCTATTATCTTAGTCCTGCTGTGACTAGGCTTCAGACAGACTCTTTACATACCATTTGGGGGTTAGAAGCCAGTGAATATGGGAGATAGGCAACTTATTGCTAAGCTGTATAAATAAACATGTTAATTTATGTGTATGTGCAACATTACCTTCCTTGGTATGTGCTTCCTCTTATAATTTGTCTCTATTCATCCTCAGGGTATGATGTAGTGTTTATTTTTAAGTTGAATGTCTAATTCTTAAAATTGCTATTTGTAGGTTGGGAATGTATCGTGAAGCAGAAAAACAGTTTAAATCAGCCCTGAAGCAGCAGGAAATGGTAGATACATTTCTGTACTTGGCAAAAGTAAGTAAATCTTAATTTGAGTGAAATCTGCCTTCTCAGAATAAATGTTTAAATTCTGGCCATTGCATGGGGAGAGTAAACAGCTTCTTCAGGAATATTTGGCAAGTTACTATGTTTAGATTTAACTTGTTTTTCTTTACAGCAAGGGAAAAAATGAGAACGTATAGAGGGTAACTGTCTCATAAGAAATTGATTGCCATGAAAAATAAGAAGACCCATTTGAAAGATTGCCCATTAGGACAGGAGAAAATACCATAGGCTCACTACTCGCATAGGTAACAGGCCCCAATGAGGCCTTATTTTCTACAGTACCTTTGTATCCCACTTGGGCAGGTAGTAGAGAACAGGGACTGTTTTTACTTAGGTTCCTAGTTACTCGGCTGAGGCATAATAATAAAAATAATACTTCACCTTTATTGATCACCTACTCAGTGTAAAACATTTTATCATGTTCATTATATATACAGTTTAACCCTCACAATAACCCTGCAAAGGTGAGTTTTATCATTTCCTTTATACTCTTAAGGAAAATTAAATTTAAAGAGGGGTAAGTTTTTCAGGGTCCCTTGGTGGTTAGGAGTTAGCATTCAGATCCAGGTCTTTCTGACTCCAGACCTAGTCACTGCTGCAGTGCCACCTGCAGCCACAGCAGAAATGATGGGGCCACCTAGGATTTTCTTTCTTTCATTTTTTTTTTTTTTTGAGATGGAGTCTTGCTCTGTTGCCCAGGCTGGAGTGCAGTGGCATGATCTCAGCTCACTACAACCTCTGCCTCCTAGATTCGAGTGATTCTCCTGTCTCAGCCTCCCAAGTAGCTGGGATTACAGATGCACACCACCATGCCTAGCTAATTTTTGTATTTTTAGTAGAAATGGGGTTTCACCATGTTGGCCAGGCTGGTCTTGAGCTGCCGGCCTCAAGTGATCCTCCCGCCTCAGCCTCCTTAAAGTGCTGGGGTTACAGGTGGGAGCCACCATGCCTGGCCAGAATTTTCAATAGTGGAGTAAAGTTACTTCTTGACCCTCACCAAGGCTACTTTGAAAGAAAAACACAAGTGGTGGTGATGACATGATTTTGCTTTATCTGTTAGAGTTTCTTAAATTAAAAAATGTGGTAAAGGAGATTCAAAAGAAGATGAGATATAAAAGGAAGTGCTACTAGTTCCTAAATATGGGAATAAAAATTAACATATGAAAAGCAAAATGAAAGTTATATAAATTTACTGTGCTAGTCTTAGTATGTTTTAATGACTTTCAAAAATGTTTGAAACTATCTGGTATCTAACTTTATCTTCTATATGTGATATATTCAACTTAAACAATTTTTTTTTTTCTGAGTAGGGGTGTCACTCTGTCACCCAGGCTGGAGTGCACTGCCATTATCACGGCTCACTGCAGCCTTGACTTCCCAGGCTCAGGCGATCCTCTCCTCTCAGCCTCCTGAGTAGCTGGGACCACAGGCCACCATGCCTGGATAATTTTTTTTTTTTTTTTTTTTTTTTTTTTGGTAGAGATGGATTCTTGCTGTGTTGATAGGCTGGTCTCAAACTCCTGGCCTCAAGCGATCCTCTGGCCTCAGCCTACCAAAGTGCTAGAATTACAGGTGTGAGCCATCATGCCCAGCTTACACTTAAAGTCTTAAAGAAGTTTCTGTGCATCATAGTAAACTTTTTGGAAAGAGCTTGAAATTAAGGCTCAAGTCACACTATTTGACTATCATCTTAATTGATAATCACTATGTTGTTGAAAAAATATGCTTTTTATTTAACTCTTGTTAAATACATGGCTTCACCTGTTTTTCCATAAATTGATTTGTTTATTATTCCCTACACAACTATATAGAGGTAGAATATACAGTTTTTCTTTAATGTATGAATGGATGGTTATTATGTAATAGAGATCAAGCAGATTTTTGTTCTATCACAATGACACATGCATGCATATGTTCATTGCAGCACTATTCACAATAGCAAAGACATGGAATTAACCTAAATGCCCATCAGTGGTAGACCGGATAATGAAAATGTGGTACATATACACTATGGAATACTATACAGCCATAAAAAAGAATGAGAGCATGTCCTTTGCAGGAACATGGATGGAGCTGGAGGCCATTATCCTCAGCAAACTAACACAGGAACAGAAAACCACATACCTCATGTTCTCACTATAAGTGGGAGCTAACTGATGAGAACACATGGACACATAGAGGGGAGCAGCAGACACTGGGGCCTCCGAGAGGGTGTAAGGAGGGAGAGGAGCAGAAAAAATAACTAATGGGTAGTAGGCTTAATTCCTGGGTGATGAAATAATCTGTACAACAAACTCCCCATGATATGAGTTTACCTATATAACAAACCTGCACATGTACCCTGGTGGCTCATGCCTGTAATCCCAGCACTTTGGGAGGCTGAGGCTGGAGGATTGCTTGAGTCCTGGAGTTCGAGACCAGCCTGGACAACATAGTGAGACTCATCTCTAAAAAATATATATACATATGAAATTCAATATATATTTAATTTATATAAAAATATAAGATTATATAATTATAAACATATAAAAATAATATAAATATATAATCATATATAATATAAATATATTATATATTATATAATATATAATATAATATAAATATAATAACTATATAGCATGTTTATTATAATGTATACTATATATAGTAATATAATATAAATATTTTTATATAATATATATTTACATATGTTGTATATGTGTAAAGGAAAGAGATCAAGCAGATTTTAGGAACATTGCTTTTTAAAGTTCTTAATTGTTAATTTAAAAATTAAACCTTTTAGATTATGTAAATACTAATTATATATTATTTGTTATATTTTTAAAATATAGAACTTGTACAGTCAATAGTGTATAAGGTAAAAACTGAAAAGTTATTATCCATACCTCTCTCTCTCATCTCAAACTTTAATGATAAATACTTTAGTTTTCTATTGTATCCCTTTGGATTTTTTCTCAAAGCACACCCTTACTGTTTAGAAAGTGGATCCGAAAATCATGGAAAAAAAGTGTCATAATCTTATGTTGCCATACATAAAATAATAATACTGTTTTAGAAATTCCTATTAAGTATATGGTTTACTCATGCTAATGTTCTAATTGCTAATGAAGTGGAAGCCATTAAGTGCTAACTTGCTTTACTCCCTGACCTCACAAACCTGTGTCCTCTCTTGTTTTGGAAAGGCCTGTCCACTGCCTATCTCTCTCAGGCCTTGTTCCATGGGTCATCTCCTCTTTATTCAGCATCTTTAACCTCAGTCTCCTAATTGGTTTCTTAATGCCAGCCTATAGACATAATCATACCTGTTCTATCCTAAAAAGATTTTCCCTTGATTCTTTCTTGTCTAGTTACTATTGCCAGTCTCTGGCAATAGTAAACTCACAGTAAGCATTTGTTAGAGAATAAATGAATGAATGCTTTATGTATAACATGTGGAGATAAAACTATAATGTCATTATTGAAAATTAATCCTGCACATTTTTGAAAATTCTTTCTTCTTCTTCTTTTTTTTTTTTTGAAGACAGGGTTTCACTCTGTTGCCCAGGCTGGAGTGCAGTGCGATCACAGCTCACTGCGGCCTTGACCTCCCAGGCTCTAGTGATCCTCCCATCTCAGCCTCCCAAGTAGCTGGAACTACAGGCACATGCCAGCATGCCCAGCTAATTTTTGTATTTTTTGTAGAGATGGGGTTTCACTGTGTTGCCCAGGCTGGTCTCGAACTCCTGGTCTCAAGTGGTCCACCCACCTCAGCCTCCCAAAATGCTGGGAATACAGGTGTGAGCCACCACACCCGGCTAAAAATTCTTTAATGTAATATCTAGGAGATAATTTGTTACTAATCAATAATTATAAATGTCATAACAAATATTAATTTTAAGAACCTATACTTTTATTGAAATGTATCTTGTTTTTAGGTTTATGTCTCATTGGATCAACCTGTGACTGCTTTAAATCTTTTCAAACAAGGCTTAGATAAGTTTCCAGGAGAAGTAACCCTGCTCTGTGGAATTGCAAGAATCTATGAGGTAATTCATGTTATTATTATTATTATTTATTGATACACAATAGTTTTACATATTTTTGTGGTACATGTGATATTTTAATTCCTGTATACAATGTGTAATGATCAAATCAGGGTAATTGAGTTATCTATCACCTCAAACATTTATCTTTTCTTTGTTTTGGGAACATTACAATTCTTTCCTAGCTATTTTGAAATATACAATAAATTATTGTTAACCATAATTTCCCTACTGTACTATCAAATAGAACTTATTCTTTATGTCTAAATATTTTTGTACCCCTTAACCAACTTCTCTTCATCCTCCAGTCTCCCCACACCCTTCCTAGCCTCTGGTAACCATAATTTTACCTTTTACCTCCATTAGATCCACTTTTTTAGCTACTGCATGAGTGAGAACATGCGGCACTTTTCTTTCTGTGCCTGGCTTATTTCACTTAACATAATGACTTCCATTTCCATTCATGTTCCTACAAATGACAGGATTTCATCCTTTTTTATGGCTCAATATTGCTTTATTGTGTCTATATACCACATTTTCTTTATCCATTCATCCACTGATGGACACTCAGGTTGATTCCACATCTTGGCTATTGTGAATAGTGCTGCAATAAACATGGGATATCTCTTTGATATACAGATTTCCTTTCTTTTGGGTATATATTCAGCAGTGGGATTGCTGGATCATATGGTAGGTCTATTTTGAGTTTTTTTGTGGAACCTCCATACTGTTTTCCATAACAACTATACTACTTTACATTCCCATCAACAGTGTATGAGCATTCATTCCCCTGCCTTCACATCCTTGCCAGCATTTGTTATTTTTTTGTCTTTTTGATGATAGCCGTTCTAACTGGGGTGAGATGATATTTCACTGTGGTTTTGATTTACATTTCCCGGATGATTAGTAATGTTGAGCATGTGTTCATATACCTGTTGGCCATTTGTATGTCTTCTTTTGAGAAATGTCTATTCAAGTCTTTTGTCCATATTTAAATTGGATTGCTTGTTTTCTTGTTTAGTTATTTGAGTTCTATATTCTGATAATCCTTTCTTGGATGGTGTATTAGGTGATTCTTGCATTGCTATAACATTGGTATAAGAATGGACAAACAATCCAGTGGAACAGAATAGAAAGCCCCAAAATGTATCTTCCACAAATAGACAAAAATTGATACTGACATTACATTCCATTCTCTCTCTCTCTCTCTCCATATATATATATATATATATATATATATATATATATATATATATATATATATATATTTAGAGATGGGTTCTCACTCTGTTGCCCAGGCTGGATCGCAGTGACGTAATCATAACTCACTGCAGCCTCCAAATTCCTAGGCTCCAGTGAT
This sequence comes from Homo sapiens, assembly GCF_000001405.40. Taxonomy (NCBI): domain Eukaryota; kingdom Metazoa; phylum Chordata; class Mammalia; order Primates; family Hominidae; genus Homo; species Homo sapiens. The sequence continues at coordinate 88,862,690 of NC_000014.9, forward strand.
CCTACGTCAGCCTCCTGGGTAGCTGGGACTACAGGCTTGTGCCCCCATGTCCAGCTAATTTTTTTTACTTTTTGCAGAAATGGGATCTTACTTTGTTGATCAGGCTGGTCTCGAACTTCTGGCATCATGCTTATAAATTTTAGAGTCATGTCGTCAAATTCTATGAAAAGTCCCATTGAGATATCTTCCCTGCTATCTAATTATTGTAGTTTTACAATAATTCATGATATCAGGTTGGGCAAATTCTACCACCTTTTTCTTCTTGTTTACAGTTGGTTTTCCTGGCCCTTTGCTCTTCCATATTGATTGTAGGATTGGCCTATCAAGAGCCATAAAAATCCCTGGAAGCATATTGATTGGAATTACATTGAGTGTGTGAATGATGGGGAGGGGGTGGGTGGGCCGCCTGTCTTCCCATTCTCCATCATGATATAACTCTCCATTTACCTAGGTCTTTTTTTTGTTCTTCAGCAAATATTTTGTAATTATCTCCAGAAAGATGGTGTGTTGAGGGTCCCCCAAACCACGCTGAGATTCAGTGATTTACTGGGACTCATAGTACTCAGCCAGCAGTTGTACTCACTGCTATGATTTATTTCAGCAAAAGGATACAAAGCAAAATTAGTAAAAGGAAACAGCTCTTGGGGCAAAGTTCAGAGGAAACCAGGTACAAGCTTCCAAGAGCTCCCTCCCAGTGGAGTCACACAGGACACACTTAATTCTTCCAGCAGCAAGTTGTGACAACTCATGAGAAGTGATGTCTACCAGGGAAGCTCATTAGAGACTCTGTATCCATGGTTACTATTGGGTGCTGGTCATATAATCACACACTGTTTATCACACAACAAAGACTCCCAGAAGTAAACAGGCATTCAGCACAAACCACACTGTTTACGCAAACAGGTTAGGTGTAGCAAGCTACGCTTATCATCTGGGGAAATTTCATATCAATGTAGAGAACCAGCCAAATTCCCAGATACAGGCCTTTCTAAGAATAGTGGTCTCAGGCCTGCTATGTTAACTTTTTTCTATGCAGGTGTATTCCTACGTATAAGTATGAATGGAATCCTTAATTTTTTCTCTTCTATTTTCTATTTGATTACTTCTGGCAGATAGGAATGTATTACTTTTTAAAACTTTTTTTGATACTAGCAACTCTTTAAATTGTAAGATCTTGTTCATAGGTCCTCTTGGATATTCTAAGTAAATAAAACAATCATCATTTGCAAATACAGATGGTTTCATCTCTTCCTTTCAATTATTTTACCACTTTTAAAAATATGTCTTACTGCTTAGGGCTTCCAATATAATATTGAACAGACATATCTCTGTTTTCTTGAAATTCCTTGAAAATGCTAGGTATGATATTTTGAAATCATTTTGTTAGAAAAGAATGGAATATATTAATAGCTTCTATACCTAGGTGATAGTATATGAATTTTTTTTATACTTTCTGTATTTTCTAGATTTTCCATAATAAACATGTATTACTTTCAAAATAAAAGTATTTTAACATTGTCTAGAAAAACTATGATTTCCTTTTGAAATGTAATTTTTATAAATGTATAAATAGAAGCCTTTGATCAATCAATGAAAATATTCTGGACTCTAAATTGAGTATGAATAAAACTTTGACCAACAACCTTAACCAGTGGAATTCATGCTTGTTCCAATGGTAACTATGCCAGTGCAGTTGGAGCTCTGACCTTTAGGCCCTTGCCTTCTGCTCATTTCAGCCCTTTTGCCCTTCTCTTCTTAGACAGGAAGTGCTAGCAGAAAGAGCTAGAGAACTATCACATCTTTATTGCATGGTTGCTGGTGGGAAGAATTCCTTCCAAGCCTCTGTTACAGTCACTGTTGCTGTGGCTGTGATACGGAGTAGCTCTGGAGTGGATTCCTTTTCTCAACCTTTCCCTGCTCTAAGTTGACTGTACACTTGAAGGAAGAAAGAAGTGGAGAGGAAAGCATCTTAGCTGTAGGGACAATCATGCACAAATAGAGTGATCAAGGACTAAGCACAGATTTGAAATAGTTGGTGGCAGTATTTCTGTCTTTTGCCTTGAATTTGCATAGCTAATTTCCGTTATGTAAAGGTTTACCACACCAAAGTCAGATTTCCAGTGTATTCTTTTTCTCTTCATGTGACAATAGATGTCCAGTTAATCAGTAAATTGGTTTTAGCACCGCAGCCTGCACTGTGTGTGCCTTTAGGGTTTTTGTTACATACATCATGCTTGGCCCTGGCTGGAGGGATTCCATTCCTTTATGTTCTCTTCTTTTTTTTATCTTTCATTGTTGAAGATATCTTTTAAATATTGTCTATTTTAGGATGAATATGTTGAACTGCTTATTGTTCATTGTTTAAAATGATTTATCCTTGCCAGATTTCTTTGTTGGTGGTTTCAGTTTTTCTTGAGGTATTTTGTTTATTCATTTCAAAGACAGGTCTTAATTTTAGCCATTCTTTGTTGAAAGGCATTTGCAATTAAAAACCTTACCCTGGAAATGTTATTCTAGAGGTCTTCAAACTTTACTGTGTATGAAATTACCTTGGGAGTGGATGGGAAGTATGACCCATCCTCTTCCTCTGAATCAGAAGTCCTGGAAGGTGGGACTCAGGCATCTGGATTTTTAGCAAGCCCACTAGGTGATTGATTCTGTTGCAGAACAAAATTTGAAAACTACTGCAGCATTCATTTTCTGCAGTTGTTTAATTTTATTTTAATCCCAGAACTTTGGGATGCAGAGGTGGGCAGATCACCTGAGGTCTGGAGTTCGAGACCAGCCTGACCAATATGGAGAAACCTTGTCTCTACTAAAAATACAAAATTAGCCTGGCTTGGTGGCACATGCCTGTAATCCTAGCTACTCAGGAGGCTGAGGCAGGAGAATTGCTTGAACCCAGGAGGCAGAGGTTGCGGTAAGCCAAGATCGTGCCATTGCACTCCAGTCTGGGCAACAAGAGTGAAACTCCATCTCAAAAATAAAAATAAAAATAATAATAATTTAAAAATCTAATTAAAGATTTTGTGTCTACATTTTGTGAATTGGATCAAAAATAACCACTAAAAATCACTTGATACCAAATTTATTATATACTTGCAATGGCATTTATATACTTGAAAATGTAATTTTAAGTCTACATTAATAAAATCTATTCTAGAACTAGTAAAATTTAAACAACTCTGATAAAGGAATAAAGAAAATAGAGTCAATGTGTGTTCATATATATGAAAATTTAAGATGTGAGAAAGATAGCCTATTAAGCCAATTGCATTACTTGGTTATTTAATAAATAGTTTAAAAATAGAGCTGGATGAGTAATGATTTATACTATTAATTACTGCCAGATTTAAAACTTTAAAAATTTAAAACTTCAAAAAATGATACCCTGAAAGTTCCAGAAGAAAACACAGATGAATTATTTGTATAAATTGGAATGAGGACGATTTTTCTAATCATGACACAAAGTCAAAAAGCCATAATAGCAAAGATTGATAAATTTGAGAATGTAAAAGTTAAATTTTCTAAATGGCAAAAACAAAAAATAGAAACCAAACCCATATACAACAAAACAAAAGATAAAAATATCAAACAGGGAAAATAGTTGGCATACCTGGGACAGACAAAAGACTGCTTTTGATTTCCTCAAACTACACATTGCTTAAAAATTGCTGAAAATGGGAGATTTAAACACACACACACACACACACACACACACACACGCACACACAAATTCTCATCTATTTAGTCAAGAATGTAAACATGGAAACGAGGTATTTCCATGTCATGGTGTGGCTTTTCCTTAGGCTCTTGTTTCCTTTCAGCCTACACAGTGGCCATTGACCCTCTCTGTGAAAGTAAAATCACCACAGAGATGAGACAACAACCAAGTTCCAGCTGCATTGACTATACCGCCCCCCTTTTGTACTTAGGGCTTGGTGACACCTATTTGGAAGAACTTAATTAACCATCTATACTTTTCCTCTGAAGAGAATGTTTATAAACACTGAGCCTTCCTGTGTTGTTGAACTATGGTCAACATCAACACGGGCTCTTTTCATCTGGAATAGAACACAGTCAGTGCCCAGGGATTCTTGAGCCACACCTCAGCCTCCAGCTCTCCTGTGTCCAGGAGGGCAGTGTTCCACCCAAGACTCCCATACACACAATCGTGGAGGGACAAAAGATAGGATAGGATAGAAGAACAGACAAAAAATATGAATTGGCAGTTCACTGAAAGAGAAATATAAATAATATCTGATGTGTTAAATGCCTAACCTCTGTCATAATTAAAGATATAAAAAACTAAAACAACAGTGATAAGCCATTTTTCACTCAATCAGATCAGCAAAGATGAAGAAGTTCTATGTTATCTAGGGTTGCCAAGGGTGTAGAGAAACAAGCTCCATGTATGAACATTTGGAAGTTGTTTGCAATTATTGATGATATTTTAAAATGTGCATGCTCTTTGACCTGGCCATATTACTTCTAGGAATTTTCCTTAAGGATATTTTCATACAAGTGCACAAAGATCTGTACAAAGATGTTTTTATAGCATGTTTTTTGGTTAAAAAAAGGAAACATATGCTTGAACAAAAAGGGACTGGTTTAATAAATTATGGTCTCTGTATTGATGGAACACTATGCAGAAGTATTATTTAAAAATATGAAGTAAAGCTTTTGGTTTTGATATGGAAAGAGTCAAGACACTGAGAGTGAAAAAATAAACTGTATATTAGAATGTATAGAATGATTCTGTTTATGGTTAAAATATGCACACCCATATGTATGCTTATGTATGAACAAAATTTCCTGAACAATACTCAAGAAGCTATTAACAGAGCCTCTGCCTACTACAATTTGGGGATGGGGCATTTACTTTTAATTTTGTACCGTTTTGTAAGGTTTACATTTATTTAGTATAAGCACATATTTTATAAGTTTATAAAACTTAATTGAAAACCTACATACGAGGTTGTCAGTACAATAGGTGTTTCAGTCTAAAATTCCTCGAGATTACATAAATTAATTTCTGTGTCCATTAATTAAGTATACAAGTATTCAAAAGTAATTTTATAGAACCCAAAGTCTTGAACCAACTGGCTTATTGAGGCTTGAGCCTTCTTTGCATTGGGCGTTGCCACCTTTGGAAGCTGTAACACTGAAGCCTAGCACTGTGGGATGCTGTTGGCTTTGAAAAAGAATTTCAAATATAAAGCACATGAAGAAATATATATAAAACATAGATTTGGGTCAACTGGTGAATGTTTTGTTAGGGTTTTATGGGACTGATAAGTTACATCCCTGTTCTCCATGTTGAGAACCAACTGAGAGAGAGATACAAGATTTCGACAAATAGAGGTCAGACCATTAGCTTGATTACAGATAAAAGCAGAAGTGGAGCTTTTGGCTTTAGACCTATGCTCAAAAGGACTTAACAACCTTCTCGCTCTGGGTTAAACAGACTAATCTACCCTGTCACAAACATAGTTGTACCAACCTACAGACTTTCTCCACTCAGAAGAGCTTATTATTTTTCATAAAAATGTTATGTATGTGAACATGTAATAGGTTTATTTTGTGTTATTTAGAATGAATTAATAAGTAAATGTTTAAAGATAGCTCAGTTGCAATTTCTAATATTAATCTATATAACTTACATAAACAAAACTTCTTCTCAGCAATTTTTAACAGTTTAAAAGGAATCTTAGACCAAAACGTTTGAGAACCTCTGTTCTAATGGAAACATGGGAAGCTAAGAACATTTTTTAGAGTTGTTTAATTCTTGTTTATTAATTTTTCAGTTTCTAGAACACTAAATTTTGTGCTAAGAAATGGCACATATGATCTTGCTTTAAAGGAATTTACCATATTTCATGGACTCTAAAAACACATTTTTTTTCACATTTTAACATCTCTGAACTTGAGATACATCTTAAAATGGATAGCATCTTTTTATGGCCAAGTGGCAGTTGCCATGTAGTTGTCATAGTCTGTTTATATGGAAACTTGGGTAATTACTCTTGGGAGCATGGTGAACCTGGTAATTATTACTGGTTGTAGCCTGAAAGCTTTTGTTGACACCTGCTGGTAAGATCAAGAAAATCAAGAAAACACAGGTATCAGCATAGCAGAATGACTGTCCATAGGTTGGAAGAAAATCTTGGAGACAATAGTGGAGCACTTTTAAGAAATATTAAAAGTGGATTTTAAATGTTCTTACCACAAAGTATGCAAAAGAGTGATCTGTGATGCAATCTGTGTATGAGTATGTCTAAATATCAGTGAGGATCAAATAAAAATTCTGTTTAAAAAAAGCACTGCATGGTGCTTCTTAACAATCAGTAGAGTCTCTTATATTTGATATGATTAAAATTTAATGAAAAGTATGAGTCCTTCTCTAATGAGAACAAGTTCACATAATAAACACCATGTAAGTTGAGAGGTAGAAGACAGCTATGTGAAGTGAAGGCATTAGGGAAATCTTCATGAAGGATGTGGAGCCTGAACAGGGCCTTGAAGGTGGACTTGAGAAATATAACATTCATTGATAACATTAGATGCATACATTTATGATTATCAGTATTTTAGAAAGAATATATAATAACTGTAGAAGGTTTATTTAGTTTTTCATTTTGTATGTATTTCTAAGCTTGGTCTTGGTTGCTGTCTTTTCTTTCCTGGACTTTTGATCTTCCTGCTACCACTCTTTCCTATTTTGGTATGTCTAGCATGCAGCAGTCAAGTTATTCTTTCAAAATGCAAATATGATTGTTATTCCTCTCCTAATGGATTTCTCTCAACTAGAAAAAAAAAAATCTGAAGTTCTCACCGTGGCTTACAAAGGCCCTGGCTGCCTCTCATCTCCTTTTGTGCCACTTTCCCTCTTCCCAGCCTCATTTACCTTCGTGTGGTTCTTCATATGTGACAAGCACGTTCCCCTCTCAGGCTCATACATTTGCTCTTCCCTCTGCCCAGAGTGAGCTTCCCCCAGATATGCTCAGGGCTTGATCCTTCACTTCACTCAGGTCTTTTCAAATAGCACCTCCTCCAAAGTGGCCCCTTCCGCCACCCCTTCTGAAGCACACTCTCCCTGCTCTCTCTCTCCTTCTCTGTTTCTCTTCACAGCACTTAACCTTCTCTTATATTACATATTTGTTTGCCTTTCATACCAGATGTCACCTCCCTGAGGACAGTGACTTTCTCTTTTTGTTCATATTGTATCCCCAGGGTCTAGAATGGAGTCTGGCACATGGTAGCCTCTCAATAAATACTTATTGAATGAATGGACTTAAATCAGTCAGAAAAAAATAATTTTTTGTCCAATATTAATAAAATATTGCTCTTCTCTCTTGATGGAGAATAGGAAATGAACAATATGTCATCAGCAGCAGAATATTACAAAGAAGTTTTGAAACAAGACAATACTCATGTGGAAGCCATCGCATGCATTGGAAGCAACCACTTCTATTCTGATCAGCCAGAAATAGCTCTCCGGTTTTACAGGTGCACTTCACATCCAATTCTTAGAACCACTTTCCTGTGAAATATTGATAAAATAATAAGAAAGATGGAATGAAAGTATAGAGAAATAAGGTATAGGCCATGTCTTTATGAAACTCAAATGTCAACACTGAGATATATAATGAGCATTGAAGTGACATCCAATAATTTGGAAACATGCAGATGTCTGGCATCTTGCAGAAACACACTGGACAACTGACTGAGTTTTAAACCTCATTGTCATTGTATGTGTTAGCCATTTTGTCATCAACCAATAAGTTGAATAGTTACTTAAAACTTATCATCATCATTGCCTCCGTTAATACCATTAAACATAAAGACACTGAAATTGAAAGGTGAAAAGATTTGCAAAGAGCATTTGGCCTCATGTTCTGAACCTTGATGAGGACCTGAAACAGAATCACCTGTTTTGTGCAGCATTGTTGGTTCTTGTCCCAATATTTTTTCAGTCTAAATAAATTATATTCACTGATTCTCTTTTAAGTACTTATTTCATCCTACATATGACTTCTGAAATTAATTTTTAAATTATGATTTCCTCCTTAGCCCTTGGGTAATATAGAAAGAGATGACTGGCAGCTGACAAGGGTTCTTTCCAAATATGTGTTGGAGGCATAAAATGTAATAATAAGAACACTATTCTGTGCACCTGCAGCTGACTCTACTCCCCAACCCCCAAAGTGGGTCATGGGTTTCTCACGGCAGCTGGGCTGGATTTTCATTTGCTCATATGAACTCGCTTGTCCTTTGTCCCATGGGATTAATTATGCATAGAAGCAAATGGGGCTCTTGAGCTGCAGTGTGAGAGCTAAGTGGATAATGTAAGGATCCGCTGATGGTCTTGTCTTCCTCAGTGGAAGCTCATTGGAGTTCAGTAGACACAGCTGAAGCACAAAGTACAGCGAGCCAAAAACGGGATCCAGTCAGCTGAAAACGTAGAGGTTAATGCTAAACGCAGTCCTCAAATTAGATTAGGTTTTAGGAATTTACCCTATGGGCAGCAAAGCTTTATAAAGCTGAAGTGTGTGGGCGTTACTTTTTGTGACTATTTCTTATTTTGGTTCTCTAACAAAGCATTTGGGGAGAAAACTTAGATCAGTTGTTTGTCTTTGTCTCTAGACACATTCCCCATGACTAGTACCATTATGAAAGAGAGGTGTTTGTATTTGCTTTAAACATTTTTTCATTTACTATAACACGTATTTATATTCTTAAGGAGTATCAAAAATCACAAGATGAATTCATTTTTAACTGTGTAAAATATATATATATATGTCTTAAAACTTACAAAGTTGGTCTGACACCAAAATTTGTGTGTTCTTTTTTGAAAAGGCGGCTGCTGCAGATGGGCATTTATAACGGCCAGCTTTTTAACAATCTGGGGCTGTGTTGCTTCTATGCCCAGCAGTATGATATGACTCTGACCTCATTTGAACGTGCCCTTTCTTTGGCTGAAAATGAAGAAGAGGCAGCTGATGTCTGGTACAACTTGGGACATGTAGCTGTGGTATGTTGTCTTACTGATATAATTTCTGTTATAGAAAGTTGGTTTGAGCCAGACACAGTGGCTCATGCCTATAATTCCAGCATTTTGGGAGGCTGAAGCAGGAGGATTGCTTGAGCCCAGGAGTTTGAGACCACCCTGGGCAACATAGTGGGACTCTGTCTCTACAAAAAATTTAAAAATTAGCTGGGTGTGGTAGTGCACATCTGTAGTCCCAGCTACTCTGAGGGCTGAGGCAGGAAGATCACTTGGGCCTAGAAGGTCAAGGCTGCAGTGAGCTGTGATCGTAGCACTGCACTCCAGCCTGGGTGACAAAGTGTGAGACCCTGTCTCAAAACAAACAAAAAAGTTAGTTTGAAGAAATTTTCAGGAATTATCCTACATCCAGGTTTGGCAGTAGTCTTACGGGGCAATTTAGAAGTTTCTGGGAGTCATTGCGGCTCATTTTATATTCTTAGGTTAAATCCACTTACGTAGAATTCACATTGACTTCTATAATTGTATGGTACTTGATGCTTTTTGTCTGGTAGCAGAAGAGATACCTATGAGGAAAGAAGGGAGGAGGAAGTAAACGGACCCATGGGTGTGAACATAGGCTTTCTTTTGTAGGGAATAGGAGATACAAATTTGGCCCATCAGTGCTTCAGGCTGGCTCTGGTCAACAACAACAACCACGCCGAGGCCTACAACAACCTGGCTGTGCTGGAGATGCGGAAGGGCCACGTTGAACAGGTCAGTGAACTGGCAGCGGCATGCTGGGCAGTCTGCTTTCTTCAGAGAAAAGCTGTCATGTGTGGTAGCATTACAGCGTATGTTATTTTAAAATGAGCTCTAGAATCTGACAGGCGTGGATTTGAATCCCAGCTCTGTTGTGTATTAGCTGTGTGACCTTGGGACAAGTTACTTAACCATTCTGAGTCCAAAATAGAATGTTTGATTTTATTAGGACAAATCTGAGCCTCCCCAGTCTACCCTATCTTAGTGAAGTGTTCTACCAGTCACCATCCCCTGTCTACTACATAACTGCTCAAGCCAAAATCCTTGGAGCCACCCCGAAACTTCTCTCTTTTTATTGCTTCCCCCTGCCACACCTGCGCCCACATCATATTCAGCAAGCCCTGTCATTCTGACCTCAGAGTCCCATCACATTCTGAGCCTGGCCACCTTTCTCCATTCCCATGACCCTTCTTCAGACTGCTCTCATCTCTTGCATGGACTACTATGAGAGCCTCCTAGCTGGTCTTTTTGTTTCCACTTACATCAGCAAGTCAGTGCACTCTATGATACACTCTTCTCAGAACAACCTGAGAGATTTTTTTTAAAACCAAGACTGTTTAATACTACTTTGTTTAAAATCCTCTAGTGCCTTCTCCTTCAACTTGGAATAAAATCTGGACTTGAAACCGTGACTATGGCCTTTGAGGCCCCACGTGACCTGCCCTCTGGCTCCTGCTCAGACCACATCTTTTGCCACTCCTTCTTCCCCACTGACTTGCAGACACATCGCTGCCTTGCTGCTCTGCAGACAGACAGTGCTCTGTCTTCCTTTAGGGCCTTTGGAGTGTTCTTCCTTCAGATCTTGCAATGACAAATTTCTGTCTTGTCATTCAGGTCTTAGATTAAATGCCACCTTCTTAGAAAGGTCATCTCCCCCATCAGTCTAAAAGAGCCCTTGGGTGTTATCACATCTCTTACTTTTTTTCTTCACAGTATTTACCACTTTATCAGATATTTTCATATATATGTGTAGGATGTAGAATGTCAGCTGTATGAAAAGAGTGACCATATCTGTCATGTAACTGTTATATTCCCAGCATCAGAAACAGTACCTGCCGTATGGTAGATGCTCAGTCAATATTTGTGGAATGAATGGATGATACATAAAATAGAGTGTAACAGTAGTGATTTGAAGGGATTGTTTGTGAGTGTTAGATCATGCACTTGGCATAGTGGAAGCATAGTATGGAGCACATGGTAGATGCTTAATAAATTGTATTATTATAATGATATATGTAAAAGAAAAAGTTTAAAATACTAAATATGTTCATACAATGTTAGCAGCCATCAAGGGCAAATATTATTACATTCCCCACTTTGGAGATAAAGAAACGGAGGCTTGAGAAGGGTGAGTAACTTTACCCGAGGTCACAGACATGGCGAACAGCATGCCAGTACATTAGCCTGGTCTTCTAAGCACAATGATAAACTTTTAACAACAACAAGGAAAGAAAGGTCATTGGATGTTACCTTTATTGCATAAATTCTCCCAAAGTAAGGAAGATAGATTTGTAGTTTACAGACTGTTCTAAAATGGACACTTGTTTTGTCAGGAACTTTGCCTGTATTCATATGGTGAAACAAGTGATTTTTGTGATTTTTCTCTGTTCCCATATTGGTAATTTTCTTTTCCTCTTACTTACTGTAGTTTCTCTAGCATGCAATTGACTTGAAATGTTTTGGTGAAAGATTTCATAATATGAACTTCATTTTATTAAAAATTATATCTTTCATTCTATATTAGCTTGATATCATTTTGTTTTCCATTAAAAAAGTTATACAAATTTGTCTTCAGGGTCATGGATAGAAGTTTTAGATGTAGCTACAAGTTGAGGGGTTGTTAGCAGTTTGTAATGTTGAATTTGTGGTCTTAATGAATGTATAAGCATCTCATGCTGCTCAGTGGTCTCTGCATTGATGATCCTATGATCACAAAAAAAAAATGTGAATGTTATATTTTGAGTATCTTAGATAACAGAAAGCTTGTCATATTCAATTGCTGTCTCACTAACAAAACTGATCAGCACTATATTAAATACTTGCTCACTGTCATCCAGCACAGAATTTTGGGCTTTGAAATTTACAATGGTTTTTTTGGTTGTTATTACATTAAAGAAAAGGTAATTAGAGCCTGCTTAGTCAATCAACAGCAGTAAAAACTAGATTAAGTAGAATGTTGTAGTATTGAGAAGATTGTATTTCAGATTGTATGTCATATTGAAATATAACCTTTATGAGAACATTGGTTCCCAAATAACTTTAAATGTACTCTGAATTTTCAGTTCTCTTATTTTCTGTGTCTTATGAAGCATTTATTATTAACATAATTTTGGCAAGGTATCAGTAGTTAATTGTATTTCATGAAGTCATTGTATTTCATGAGGAATGTTGTCGGTATTTATCACAGGCTCGTGTTATTAAAGTCCTGTCATAGGTAAAGAATTCTTTTACCAAAAAAAAAACACAAATATGGTGCTGATATATGTTCATACGCCTTTGGTTTTTCTTTTCTTTATTTTTATACACAGGCAAGGGCACTATTACAAACTGCATCATCATTAGCACCCCATATGTATGAACCGCATTTTAATTTTGCAACAATCTCTGATAAGGTATTCTCTTTCTTCATTAATTTATCATCTGATCTGTTCTTTTTTTTTCTTTGTTTTAAAAAAAGTACAAATAAATGAGGAAATTCTAACCTCATCTTCCTGAAAGAAATGACTTTTTAAAACTCTTAATTACTGCATTTATTTATACATCTTTACTTCAAGGGACAGCATTTAAAACTTTTAATTTATTGCTGAATATTGACTAAACTCCATTATAGATTATAGAATTATTTTATGTTTTGAAATATGGCATTTAGTCATTGAAGAAATACTCACTTAATAACTCCTGGTTTGGGAAATGTTTAGTTATTGGCTTTTACAGCAACAAAATCCTGTGCATTATTTGTAGATCATATTGCCACCAAGTTTCTGGTACAATTGCTGTAAAATTAGTGATATTCTAATGTGAAAACTATCTTAGCTATGAAGAATATGGGGGAAATAATACTGTGTTGCAAGTCAGTTAGTATCCGAAAGCTAAAGGGAACCACGTGCCATTTTTAACAATAAGAAAACAAGAAAAAGACATCTAATAACTAGCTTGTACTTGGAAGGTGAGTCTGTTTTGAGAATAAGGAAATGGCTAAAAATATTTGTGATATAAATTAGGGTCTTGATAGACCATAAGATATTTATAAAGATGTTATTCTTCATAGCATAAATATGAAGTCATCTACACTGTCATTTCTGTATTGAAAATAAAATAAACTGTCATTCATGAGTTGTAATTATTGAGCACCTGTAAGTACCAGCCACTGTTCTAGGTGCTTTAAATACTTTCTCTAATTCTCCCAACTACCCCGCCTTCCTCACTCATTTTTTTCATGACTGATGTTCTATTTATTGAGCCTTTGCTATATACCAGGCCCTGTTTTTGGCACAGAGGATGTAATGATGAGTAAAAGACAAAAACCTGTACCTCAAGCAGCTTAATTTCTAATGGAACCCAAGGCTTAAAGAGGTTAAAAGACTTCTGCGTCCCTTGGCAGTGGCAGATTTCAGATTCACACCCAGATCCCAGTGATGTCCATGTGTTTCCCACTGTACTGTGCTACTGCTTAGTTAGTTAAACCCCCAAGAGGGCTGGCTTACCTTCGGGAATAGCACCACATTTTAATAGTATATAACTCAAATGAGATATCTTCTTTAAGCAAAAGGCTGCACTTCCATAACAGAAAGCAGTATATTAAAAAGAAGTGCTATGATTTAAAAAAGGAAACTTAATTTCTGTTTTAATACGTATGTATTGTTACCAGAAATCTACCAGAATTTATCTAGATTTTTTGAGTGTATACATGAAAAAGCCTCTTCCTTTTTAGAACGTATCCATGAATCAAGATATACTCAACTGTAATTAATAATTTATTGTATATCCCAAAATAGCTAGAAGATTTGAAATATTCCCAACACAAAGAAATTATAAATGTTTGAGGTGACGGATACCCCAGTTACCCTGATTTGATCATTATACCTTGTATGCTTGTATAAAAATATTGCATGTACCTCATAAATATATTATTATGTATCAATAAAAAGGATACATTCAGACAGTATATGTGTTTTTCTTTGGGAATTAATATAAAGTTCATTGAAAATCAGAGACATCCTTTATAAACTTTTAAAACCAGATATTTTCCCAACATTATTGTGCCAGCACCACTTAAAACCTCTCAAAACATGTTATTATGCCTTAAATACAGCAGTTTTTGCTTAAATTTTCTGTCTAAAAGGTAACAACTCTAATCAAAATATATTTTTGTTTGTGGTACCTTACAGATAGTTTTCTCTAAGTTTTCTGAGCTATCTAGAGCTGGCTGTTTCAGCATGTAAATATCACTTTACGTTTATAATACTATCATCAGTGACAGGAAAAGAAAACATAGGTTTCTAAATTCATTACCAGACAGCTAGAAATTATTTATATAATTGGTTATTTTATCTTTCTCATGTATTTTTCAAGATTGAATTATAATCTAGAATTCTAAAATCAAAGTAGCATAATTAAGCAATTTGCCTTTAAGAACCCTTTGAGTTATGATGTTAGTTGTGGGTTTGTTAAAAAAAAAAGAAAAGAACCCTTTGAATTTCTACAGCATGCAGATACTATGTCTTATTTTCTTTTTTACTTCCTTACTCATTTTTTTCTGATCTCATTCCATGGTCTTATTCTTGTATTTTTTGCAGATTGGAGATCTGCAGAGAAGCTATGTTGCTGCGCAGAAGTCTGAAGCAGCATTTCCAGACCATGTGGACACACAACATTTAATTAAACAATTAAGGCAGCATTTTGCTATGCTCTGATTGTTCCTTAGACCACATATGTTCTTATGAAGCAGCATTATGCAAGGGGAAAAAAGCACTATGTCTGTGTATGTATGTATATAGTGTAATACGTATATTTTAACAAACCTGTCCTTGATATTAGTTAAGGTGACACATAAGGGTGACACAGAATGTGTAATGCAAATTTCATAGTAATAGTAACTTTATAAAATAATATTATAAAATACAGGATTTAAACCTTTCTAAATAGATCCTGAAACTGTCTCTCACATTATATAGTAGATGTTTGTTTATAATGTTTACAAAACATTTTGGTGAATTTCCTCAATGTTTTATAAATGTACATTTTTTAAGTCCTTAAGCTGACTCTTAGCCATCATGTAGCTTAAGGAGTCTGAAATCTGCCATTAAAACTGCACCTTTAAGCCAGGTGTGGTAGCATGTGCCTATAGTCCCAGCTACTTGGGAGGTGGAGGTGGGAGGATTATAAATAGAGACTTTCCTTAAGACTTTAAAAATGTATTTAAAACTATTTTTTATTAAATACTTTGTGATTTCCTATTAAGCTTTAAAATAAATCATTGTGTAAAACACCATCATTTCATTATTTTTTAATGAGTTTTTATTTTAGTCATCTCAGGTGAAACAGGTTTTACAGAAGTCCAGTAATCTTAGAAATCATCATTATTTTAATTTTATTTCAAATGATATACCACCAATTCTGTTTTTTCCTAAAAAGTGATTTATGGGATGTCACATTATTAATAATAAGAATATTCAGATTAGAAATAGAGTCACAGGCCAGGAGTCCCACTTCTGGTCAGCCACAGCACGGAAGTCAGCAATATTCCAGTACCATGCATGGCATAGCAGCCTTAGAAAGGCTCTTGAACTTTTCTCTGCCTTATTTAGTGGAACTCTTATTAAAGTGTTCACACAAGGAAATGTGTTAATGGGACAGGACCACTCAAACTCATACTTTGGACTTTGGGACCTCCATGTTATTTTTCATTTTTTTAACTTCATGAAAACTATTTGATAGATACTTCTATTCTTTTCAGATTTGTATAAATTGTATACTCAGCTGAGAGAACAAAAAAATTGAATTCAAGGAATGATAGCTTGCTCAAGGCTAGCATTCACTACAGACAAGAAAGCAAGGCCCCGCGTCACATCCATAGCTGCAGCCCAAGGTCTTGTTCCTGCACCTTAGACTTGAACCTTTCTTGGTTCTCTGTGATGTGTTAGTGTTTATTTAGCCCTTGAGAATTTCCTCAGGTACTATCACATTTCCTAATATCGTAGTCAATATTTAGATTCAAATGGTATAATGTGAATCATTTTCTTAATTTAAAATAAGAGCTAATAAGAATGGCTGAACATTTACTGAGGATGTTAAATATGCCCACTGTTCTGAGCTCTTTATGGGAATGAATTCATTTCATTCTCACCGTAGTCCTATGCAGGCTGTTATTCCATTTTACTTATGAGAATACTGAGGCATAGTAAAAAGCTTATTGAACTAGTAGTAAGTGCCAAAGATTCAGGTTTAGGCAGCGTGGCCTCTTGAGTGTGTGCTCTTAATCACTAGGTCAAATCACCTCTCTCTGTTTCTGCTGTAAATAAATCTACTACCATTTAAAATGAACATTGTGTGCATTAGGAAAGTTGAATAATAAGGGAATATTAACACAGCAAAAAATAAATGATTCCATTTTCCTAAGGTGATATGGAGGGATTTTGTCTTGAATTTATGTGAATTCAGTGTGAGCATGAAGGCAAAGAATGAGTCACAGTGGCTCAGGGCAGAATGATGACATAGCACCGTGGATGACTGTATCAGAAGCGACATTCAGGATGTCTTTGTAACAACATTTCCTATGGACTGCGTAACTTCTGGCTTCTGTGCCAACATTTCTGTAGAAAGAACACAAAAAATACTAATAATTGTTTTCCAGTTTTCCACTGTGGCTAAAGAGGTGCTCAATCCATAAATACAAATTGCTCAACCAAAATTCATATCATCGAGCATATTTCCAACTGATGAAAATGAGATCTGGCAAGAAGGCTTCCTGCGCTAAAACATTACTGAGGTTAGAAGTTCTTCCTTTTTTACAAATGTGTCATGGCTGAGCCAGTCCCCATAGTGATAACTCTTCCATTGCATTTCTGAGTGCTTTTTCCCAGGCTCAGATTATCTATCAGGATACAATTTATGGCCTACAGATAAGAAAATTAATAAAGGTAACGTGTCACTACATTATTATTATTATTATTATTATTATTATTATTATTATTATTATTATGACAGTCTTGCTCGGTCGCCCAGGCTGAAGTGCAGTGGCATGATCTTGGCTTACTGCAACCTCTGCCTCCCGGGTTCAAGCAATTTTCGTGCCTCAGCCTCCCAAGCAGCTGGGATTACAGGCATGCACCACCACACCCAGCTAATTTTTGTATTTTTAGTAGAGACAGGGTTTCACCATGTTGCTCAGGCTGGTCTCAAACTCCTGGCCTCAAGTGGTCCACCCGCCATGGCCTCCCAAAGTGCTAAGATTACAGGTGTGAGCCACTGCACCCAGCGTCTCTACACTTTTAGTTTCCACCACCAACCCTTTACTACAATGAGGGATTTCTGTCAGGGTCTTTCAGCTGGGATTGAATTTAAGCATTCAGAAAACAAATATTTTAGAAAGGCTGGCAGGACTAAACCTTAGAAAATAACCCAGAAATCAAGTGTAGGAAAAAAAGCCATCACCAAATAATTTTGTATTCTAGGAAATAGAGAAATTGGAATGTTCCATGTTTATGTTCCTTGCAGAGTTCCAAAATGGTCATCTAGGCTCAGATTTGAGGGGGAAACATTTATTTAGCAATTTGAAAATAACTGCACTTTCATATCTATCCATATAGATGGCATTCGTCCTATTTTTAGCTAAATAAAAACAACATTTTTGAGAGAGACTATTATTTCACTTCTTTGATGTCAAAGCCAGTCCTTGAAATGAAAGAATAGACATGTTGTTATAATCCTTGGGAACTATGTTTCTTGCAATGTGATCCTTTTCTTTACCTGAATCTAATTCTGACTAATAAGGGAAAGTGGATTGTTAAGTGAAAACAACGGGAACTCTTGGTGAAAGCAACCGTGTTATCTTGGAGAAGAGGCTAGACCTAAACAGATTTTAGGAAGAATTTTGTTTTCTTTTTAAATCAGAAAGAGAGACCCTCTTCCAATATTTGAAACTCAAGTTTTTATGGACTCCAGCACCTTGCAACTGTCACCGCCCCCAAACCCCACCCCTCTTCTGGTCTAATAGCTTCAATTTATTTCTCTCTACTGGATTATGTCTTTTTTAAAAATCACATTTCCTTTAAGCCTGCCTCCCTTTTTAAAAATAGACAATATAACTGTTTATTAAAATAAAGGAAGAGAAAGAAAATAACCTGAAAAGGAAACTCATAAAAGAAATTAAAATGGTTGATAAACATATGTAACAAAAAAAATTTGATAACAGAATGAAATTAATTCAAGAGAAAGATACATTTTTAACCTCTTCAGAGAACAAAGATTTGAAATGTTTATTATATATGAGGTGAAGGTACTGTCAAAATTCACTGTTGGGCATATATATCATTACAATCTTGAGAGTAGTGTGGCAAATTTTATTAAATTCCTTCCATTTCTCTTGTGTGTTTTTTTTTTCTTCCACTTTTAAGTTCCAGGGTGTATGTGCAGGATGTGCAGGTTTGTTACATAGGTAAATGTGTGCCATGGTGGTTTGCTGCACAGATCAACCCATCACCTAGGTATTAAGCCCAGCATCCATTAGCTATTCTTCCTGATGTTCTCCCTACCTCTACTGTCCCCACAACAGGCCCCAGTGTGTGTTGTTCCCCACCATGTGTCCATGTGTTCTCATTGTTCAGCTCCCACTTATAAGTGAGAACATGTGGTGTTTGGTTTTCTGTTCCTGCATTAGTTTACTGAGGATAATGGCTTCCAGCTCCATCCATGTCCCTGCAAAGTACATGATCTCTTTCCATTTTATGGCTGCAGAGTATTCCATGGTGTATACGTACCACATTTTCTTTATCCAGTCTATCCTTGATAAAACCTGCCCCCTTTTCTAGTACCACCCTATCTCCTTTGTCACAGGTCTTGAAAGGCTAGATGACTTTTGTTACCTACTTCCTCATCTTTCATTCATTCCTCAACCTCTTTAATCTGGAGTCTACTTCTACCACTCTAGAAACTGCTTTCACTGAGGTCACCAGTAGCTCCCAACCCAGAGGTCGCTTTTTTAACATGACTTTTTTGAGATATTGTTCATGTACTATATGACTCCTCTTTTTTAAAAAAAAGTATACCCAGTGGTTTTTAATATATTCACAGTTAAGCAATCATCATTACAATCAATTTTAAGACACTTTCAGGTTGGGTACAGTGTCTCATGCCTGTAATCCCAACACTTTGGGAGGCCAAGGCAGGAGAATCGCTTGAGCCCAGGAGTTTGAGACCAGCCTGGGCAACATAGTGAGACCCCATCTGATATGGTTTAGCTGTGTCCCCACCCAAATCTCAAATTGTAGCTCCCATAAGTCCCCTGTGTTTTGGGAGGGACCTGGTGGGAGGCAATCAAATCATGGGGGTGGTTCTTTCCCATGCTGTTCTCATGGTAGTGAATAAGTCTCATGAGATCTGATGGTTTCTGCACATGCTCTCTCTTGCCTGCTTCCATGTAAGACATGACTTTGCTCCTCATTCACCTTCTGCCATGATTGTGAGGCCTCCCCAGCCACATGGAAGTGTGAGTGAATTAAGCCTCTTAACTTTATAAATTGTTCAGTCTCAGGTATGTCTTTGTTAGTAGTATGAGAACAGGCTAATACAAAAAATTAAAAAATTGGCCTGGCACAGTGGTGCATGCCTGTGGTCCCAGCTACTCAGGAGTCTGAGGTAGAAGGATCACTTGAGCTCAGGAGGTCAAGGCTACAATGCAATGTTTGCACCACTGCATTCCAGCATGGATTACAGAGCAAGATCCTGTCTCAAAAAATTTTTTTCTCATCATCCCCCAAAGGAATCTCATACCCATTAATAGTCACTTTCCATAGCCCCACAATCCCGTCCCTATCCCTGACTGTAGCCCTGGGCAACCACTAATCTACTTTGCTTCTCTATAAATATACTGTATTAGTCTGTTCTCACACTGCTATGAAGAAATACCCAAGACTTAGTAACTTATAAAGAAAAGAGGTTTAATTGACTTCAGCGTGGCTGGGAAGGCCTCAGGAAACTTACAATTATGGTGGAAGGCACCTCTTCACAGGGCGTCAGGAGAGAGAATGAGTGCCAAGCAAAGGGGACAGCCCCTTATAAAACCATCAGCTCTCATGAGAACTCACTATCACGAGAACAGCATGATGGAAACTGCCCCCAGGATTCAATCATTTCCACCTGGTCCTGCCTTTGACACAAGATGAGATTTGGGTGGAGACACAGCCAGGCCATATCATTCTGCCCCTGGCCCCTCCCAAATCTCATGTCCTCATGTTTCAAAACATAATCATGATCTTTCAACAGTCCCCCAAAGTCTTAACTCATTCCAGCGTGAACCTAAAAATCCAAGTCCAAAGTCTTACCTGAGACAAAGCAAGTCTCTTCCACCTGTGAGCCTGTAAAATCAAAACCAAGTTAGTTACTTCCTAGATACAATGGAGGTACAGGCATTGGGTAAATACACCCATTGCAAGTGAGAGAAATTGGCCGAAACAAAGGGGCCACAGTCCCCATGTAAGTCCAAAATCCAATAAGGCAGGAATTAAACCTTAAAGCTCCTAAATAATCTTTTTTGACTCCATGTTTCACATTCAGGTCATGCTGATACAAGAGATGGGCTCCCAAGGCCTTGGGCAGCAGCTTCACCCCTGTGGCTTTGCAGGATACAGCCCCCCTCCCAGCTGCTTTCATGGGCTGGCATTGAGTGTCTGTGGCTTTTCCAGGCACACGATGCAAGCTGGTGGATCTACTATTCTGGGGTCTGGAGCATGGTGGCCCTCTTCTCACAGCTCTTCTAAGCAATGCCCCAGTGGGGACTCTGTGTGGGGGCTACAACCCCACATTTCCCTTCCACACTGCCCTAGCAGAGGTTCTCTATGAGGGCCCCTTGATGAACTCAGTATACCACTGGCGGCTCTATGAGTAAATAGCAAACTGTTCTCATGAAAGCAGGTTGTTAGCAAACTGACAAACTGCGTCTGCTGCCCAGAAGGAATGCTGAGGGCAGTCACGCCCAAAGCACAGTGTTTCTTGTGATTAGGCACATCTGAAGCCTGTTAGCAATAATGTGAACCTGTGATCAATCAAGCAGCTGACCAATCATTACTTCCTCCTCCCTGCTCTTTCTACCCAATAAATATGAAGGGCTGTAGAAGCTCAGGACGGCTGCCTTTGCTCACTAGAAGCAGGGAGCTCTCTTCTTCTTCCCCCGGCCCCTTCCCTTAAAACAGTTTCTTTTGTTTTAAGTTTTCATTTCTGCGTTTGTCCCCCTTCATTCAGCCTTGTAATGACAGTCTCAAGTAGGAACAGTAATAACGGTTGTAATGACGGTCTCAAGTAGTAACAGTAGTAATGGTCATAGTGATGCTCTCAAGTAGTAACTGTTACAAGTCTGCCACACTTTTCCATACATCCTCTGAAATCTAGGTGGAGGTTCCGAAACCTCAATTTTTGTCTTCTGCACACCTGCAAACCAACACCATGTGGAAGCTGCCAAGGATTGGGGCTTGCACCCTCTGAAGCAATGGCCTAAGCTGTACCTTGGCCTCTTTTAGCCATGGCTGGAGCGGCTGAGACACATCGCACCAAGTCTGGAGCTACACACAGCAGAGGGACCATGGACCCAGCCCATGGAACCATTTTTCCCTCCTAGGCCTCCAGGTCTGTGATGAGAGGGGCTGCCTCAAAGTTCTCTGACATGCCCTGGAGATATTTTCCCCATTGTCTTGGTGATTAATATTTGGTTCCTTGTTACTTATGCCAATTTCTGCAGCAGGCTTGAATTTCTCCTCAGAATATGGGTTTTTGTTTTCTATCACATTGTCAGGCTGCAAATTTTCTAAACTTTTATGCTCTGCCTCCTCTTGAATGCTTTGCTGCTTAGAAATTTCTTCCACCAGATACCCTAAATCACCTCTCTCAAGTTCAAAGTTCCACAGGTCTCTAGGGCAGGGGTAGAATGCTGCCAGCCTCTTTGCTAAAGCATAGCAAGAGTGACCTTTGTTCCAGTTCCCAACAAGTTCTTCATTTCCATCCAAGACCACCTTAGCCTGGACTTCATTGTCCATATCATTATCAGCTTTTAGGTCAAAGCCTTTCAACAAGTCTCTAGGAAGTTCCAAACATTCCCACATTTTTCTGTCTTCCTCTGAGCCCTCCAAACTGTTCCAACCTCTGCCTGTTACCCAGTTGCAAAGTCTCTTCCACATTTTTGGGTATCTTTATAGGAGCACTCCACTGTCTGTGGTACCAACTTACTATATTAGTCTATTCTCACGCCGCCATGAAGAACTACCTGAGACTGGGTAATTTATAAAGAAAAGAGGTTTAATTGACTCACAGTTTCACATGGCTGAGGAGGCCTCAGGAAACTTACAATCATGGTAGGAGGAACTTTATCACAGGGCATCAGGAGAGAATCAGTGCTGAGTGAAGGGGGAAGCCCCTTATAAAACCATCAACTCTCATGGGAACTCACTATCAGGAGAACAGCATAGGGGAGACTGCCCCCATGATTCAATTATCTCCACCTGGTCCTGCCCTTGACACGTGGATGTTATTACAATTCAAGGTGAGATTTGGGTGGGGACACAGAGCCAAACCATATCATCTACCTATTCTGGATATTTCATATAAATTGTGTGATATGAGGTCTTTTGGGACTGACTTTTCTCCCTTAGCATAACGTTTTCATATTTCATTCACGTTGTAGCATGTATCAATATTTATTTCCTTTTTATTGACAAATAACATTACATCATATGGATATACCACATTTTATCTATCCACTCATTAGATGATGGATATTTAGATTGTTTCTACTTTATGGCTATTATTAGTATTGCTCCTGTAAACATTTACATACAAGTTTTTCTGTGGATGTGTTTTTCTCTTGGACAGATATCTAGAAGTAGAATTACTGGGTCATATGGTATCTATATACTTAACCTTTTGAGGAACTGCCAGAGTTCCGAAGTGGCTGCATCATTTTTCATTCCCACCATCAGCGTATGAGAGTTTAAATTTCTCCACATTCTCATGAGCATTTGTTATTATCTGTCATTTGGATTAAAGTAAAAGTATAGGAAAAGATATATTATACTAAAACAGAAGAAAAGCTGAATGCTATATTAATATAAGGCCAAGTAGAGTTCAAAGCAAACAATATTACTAGAAATAAATAAAGGACATTTAACAATGATTAAGGGAGTGAATTCCTCAAAAGGACATAAGAATCCTAAATGTTCCTGTACCTAATAGCAGAACTTCAAAATACCTGAAGAAAGAATGGATAGAAATGCAAGGAGAAATACACAAATCAACAAGTTGCCCATAAAAACATAGAAAAAGAAGACCAAATTAATCTCAAAATAAGCATAATAAAAGAAATAACAAATATTAGAGTGGAAATCTATGAAATAGAAAAGAAATAGAGAACGTTAGTGAAATCAAAAGCTGATTCTTTGAAGAAAGCAATAAAGTTGATAAGCCTCTAGTTAGAATGATAAGGAAAAAAGAACACACAAATTTCCAATATCAGGCATGAGAGAAATATTACTCCAGAATTTTACAAATATTAAAAGGCTAATAAAGACATTTATAAACAACTTTATGGCAATATGTTCAACAATTTAGATAAAATGGAGAAATTCCTTGAAAGACACAAACTGTCAAAGCTTTTTCAAGAAGAAATGAATAACCCAAATAGTCCCATATCTATTAAAGAAATTGAATTTGTAGTCAAAAACCTTCCCAGGCGCAGATAATTTTACTGGTTGATTCTACTAAACATTCAATAAATAAATAATATAAATTCTACACAAACTCTTCCATAAAAATTGAAAAAGGACAGGACAAGTACTTTTCAACTCATTCTATAAAGCCAGCATTACCCTGGTACCAAAATCCAGACACAGATAATACAAAAAATACAACTATAGACACACCAATATCCCTTAAGAACACACATTTTTAAAATTATTAACAAAAAGTCAGCAAATCAAATTTAAGAATGTATAAAAAACAGTGATACATCCTGAGCAAGTACAGTTTATTCTAGGAATGCAAGAATATTTTAATATACAGTAGTCAATTAAAATAATTCACTATATTAACAAGAAAGAAAAAGTCATATGATCATCTCAATAAACTGAGAAAAAGCATTTGACAAAATTTCACACGCATTTTTGATTGAAAAAAATAACAGCAAACTAGGAATAGAAGAGAACTTCCTCAATTTGGTAAAGGCACCTACAAATAGCCTGTAGCTAGCTAATGTCGTACTCAAAGGCGAGAGACTGAAAAAGAACACACTTTCCCCTATAATTAAGAAAAATGCAAGGTTGCTGGCTTTCTCTACATTAATTAATGTTGTACTGGATGTTCTAACCAGTGAGATAAAGCAATAAATAAATAAAATACATTTAGGCTGGAAAGAAAGATACAAAATGGCCTTTATTCATAGATGACATGATTATGTAGAAAAATCCCATGTAGTCTACAAAAAATACTAGGACTAAAAAGTGAGTTTAGCAAGGTTGCAGGATAGAGTATCAACATACAAAAGTCAATTGTATTTCCACATATTCACAGTGAAGAGTTGGAAACTGAAATTATAAAATCAATACCATTTACAGCAATATGAAGAATATGATATACACTTGGGGATAAATTTGACAAAATATATATAAGACTTCTACAAAATATTACTGAAAGAAATTTTTAAAGTCTTAAATAAATGATGAACTGTACTATGTTAATGGATTGGAAGACTCCATACTGTTAAGATGTTATTTTCTCCCAGATTAATCTACATATTCTACACAGTCCCAATCCAAATCCTAGCTTGTTTTTGGTAGGCATTCACAGGCTAGGTCTAAAATTAATATAGAAATGCAAAGATCCAGTAATAATCCAAACACTGTTAAAAAAGAAGAACAAATTTGGGACTAACACTATCTAATTTCAAGGCTTATTTTAAAGCTAGCATAATCAGTACAGTGTGGGTTTCTTCTCAACACAGACAAATAGATTGATGGAACAGATCTAAAGAGTCAGAAATAGAGCCTCACATGTGTGGAAAACTGATTCTTGACAAAGGTGCAAAGACAAAGGGTAATTTTTTCAGTGTGATGAAACAATTAGATATCACACGCAAAAAATCAACTTTGGCTTGTAGCCTGCACCATATAAAAAATTTAACTCGCAATGGATGAGTTAAATTTTATACTTACCTATAAGTATAAAACTTTTAGAAGAAGACATAAGAGAAAATCTTTGTTAGTTTGGGTTACACAAAGATTTCCTAGTTACACCAAAACCACAATTTAAAAAAGAAAAATGGATAAATTTGACTTCATGAAAATTAAACTTTGTGCTTCTATGGACATTGTTAAGAGAATGGAAAGAAAAGCCACAAGCTGTGAGAAAATATTTGCAAATATTATATCTGATAAAGGATTTGCATCCAGAATATGTAAACAACTCTCAAAACAATATGAAAACAATGCAATTATAAAGTGGGCAAATAATTTAAATGAACATTTCAAAGAAGCTATATAAATGGCAAATTAGCACATGAAAAGATATCTAACACCATTAGTTATTTAAAAATGTAAATTAAGATTAAATTAGGTTGTCTACAATTAAAGAGATGGCCCATATCACGAGTTGGTTAGCACGTGGAACAAATGAAACTTGGAAATCATATAATCAAGAAAAGACTTGGACATGAGTGTTCATAGCAACTTTATTTGTAAAGTTCCTAACTGGAAACAATTCACATGTCTGTCACAGATAAATGGATAAATAAACTGTGGTATGTACACATAATGGAATACTATTTGAGAATAAAAAGGAATGAACTATTGATAATACATAACAATATAGATGAATCTCCAAATAATTATGGTGAGTAAAAGAAGCTAAGCAAAAAGAAATGCATACTGTATTACTCCATTTATAGAAAATTTTAGAAAATGTAAACTATATTGTCAGAAAGCAGATCAGTGGTTGCCTGGGGACAGGGTAATGGCTTCACCAATGTATACATATGTCAATCTTACCACATTTTACACTTTAAATACATGCATGTATATTCATTACACCTCAATAAAACTGTTTTTTAAAAAAATAACTCATAGAACTCTGCACCTTAGTGAAAGTTTTACACTATGTTGATTATACCTCAATAGAACTAATTTTTAAAATAGAAACATTCCAGTTAACTAAAATGCCATGTTATTTTTTACAGACTGTGTAACTGCAATAAAATTTTAAGAGCTCTGTAAACATGTTTTGATTTTTATTTTTATGCATATACAATAGTTGTACCTATTTATGGGGCACATGTAATATTTTGATACAAGCATGCAATGCATAATGATCAAATCTGGGTTATTAGGATATTCATTGCCTCAAACATTTGTCATTTCCTTGTGTTGGGAGCATTCCAAATCTTCTCTTCTAGCTATTTTGAAATATATAATAAATTATTGTTAACTGTTATTAAAAAAAGTTTTGAGACAGGGTCTGTCACCCAGGCTGGAGTTCAGTGGCACAATCATAGCTCACTGCAGCCTCAAACTCCTGGGCTCAAGTGATCCCCCAACCTCAGCCTCCTGAGTAGCTAGGACTACCCGTGCATGCCATCATGCCCAGCTAATTTAAAGAAAACATGTTTTTAAATCTTTCATAGAGACAGTGTCTCACTGTGTTGCCAGGGCTAGTCTTGAACTCCTGGCTTCAAGTGATCCTCCCGCCTTGGCCTTCCAAAGTGCTGGGATTATAGGCATGAGCTACCATGACCGGCCATAAGTCTTTTTTAAATGAATAAGCATTGAGAGCATATGGGAGAAATCACTGGATGAAGTGCCTTACCTTGAAGAATAAGTAGGATTTTGACAACCAGAGAGGAGGAAGAGGCCATAGAGTGGCATTCCAGGCAAAGCTAATGGGTGAACAGATTTGGGAGCCACTAGAATATGAATTTGGCTGTAAGGGAGTCGAGCAATAACAGTGAGAGTAGGTTGGTCATGAGAGCTAAGTTTGGTGAGATGGGGAAGGATTGGAGTGTAGGTTTTGAATCCCAAGTTAAAGAGTTTAAGTTTTAACTGAAGATTGAAAAGGAGGCAGGTATTTTGTAAACACTGATCTGGAGACAATATTTGGGATCAGTTGGAGAATACAAAGTTAGATATAGATTAAATCAGGTTTTCTAGGAAGAGTATGAAAATGAATATGTTTATACCAGATAATAAATAAAATTTTCTAAACCGTGTAGCATATGCATCTAATAGGATAATTCACACAAAGGTTACACCCTTTTCTCTTTCCCATCTGTGATAAAAAGCATAAAAATTTGCCTAGATGACTAGTCACAGCTCATGCAAAGAACACTGAATCTCACAGATGGTGCTTCATTAATTAGTTTGCAACTAATAGTTTTCTTAACAAGATTGCTGTCTTTTTATAAATGCAGGACTACTAGTTATATGGCAGTTTTATATTTTAGCAAACGGGAATTGTGGGGAAGTAACAGTTACCTCAGGTTACAATTTTATCCATTGTAATATTTGTTACAACATTTGAATTAGTGTCTAGAGCTGCAGTGATTCTGACATACCTTACAGTTTGAGAACCACTTTGCTAGATGGCTTCTAAGAGCACTCTCCCCACTAAATTCCTCAAAAGATGCAAATGATTGAAGCTTCCTCAAGAAGAAACAGATAACCTAAATAGCCCTATATCTATTATCTAACTATTAATACTCCAGTGGGAAATATCTGATACAGCTCCAATGGGAGGTGCTCCAGGATCCTTTAAGGGGGCTTTAAACCAAATGATCCAGGCCACCTTTTGGGACTTCCATAAAACACTTGTGAACAGATGAAGAGAGAGAAAACATCATAATAGAAATTATTATGTATTAGATGCCTGTTGCATGTAATCTTCACAACTCCACAAGTTATCTATCATGATCCTAATTTTCCTGGTGATAACCTCACAAAGGGTATGTAACTTGTCCTAATTTACAGAGATGGTAAAGGCATAGTGGGAATCTCAGCATCTTGGCATCTTGTCTTCTTTCAGCCTATTGAGAAAAGATCAACCATGGTAAAAGCAGAAGATGAGGTGGCAGCTCTCCACATGTCTGATAAACATTGAGATGTCACAGGGAATAAATGGTTCACAAATGATCCAATGTCTCCCATCAGAATGGGTCCTGGTAGCTCCACAAGTTCTATGGGCCACAGTGTGCTTTCACAAGCTTCTCTGATCCTTTCAGCAACCTGTGGGACTAGCAGCCCAGCAATTTGAATCCCCCTCTTACAGATGAGAAAAACAAACATCAGAGAGATAAAATGATCCACTCACGGTCACACAACTGGTAAGAGACAGACTGGGGACTTAAATACAGATCTTCTGTTCCCAACCATACCAGTACCTTTCCACTTTCCCAACCACACCACAGCCTGTTAATAATATAGAGACCAACTGAAAGGCAAAGCTGAATTAATTAAACTTGCCAGTAAAGGGAGACCTTTAATTGGAAACAGAGTCTCCTCCAACAGCACTGAACACCTCTTAGACACATTGAGCGTGTCCATCAGTTGAAGCAGGAGAAGATCCTGACTGGCAGGATGGAAATGTGCTGCGTTGATATCTCTGTATTCTGACCTGTCTGAGCTTACAGCAGGCTTATTTTGGTTTTACAGTCCCTAATAGTGTTTCAACTGCAAAAAAATTTCTCAAGGACTTTGATTGAAAATAACATGTGTTCTTAGGACTACAGTCCTCTTTTTGATACTGATTCCCCAGAACAAGGCTCCTTGCTTTTATATCCTTGAAGCTCATGCAAGCAGCTCTTCCCAGTGTACAGTGACATTCACCAGCAGATGCAGGTGAAGGGACAGAGCTGAGAAAATCTGAGATGTCTGGGACACTGTTTAAGAGGTCCACTATTAGCATGAAATTTGAAGTAATAGCCTTCTGTTTATCCCCCCTTTAAAATAGCCATGTGAATTAACTGCAAAGCAAATCTGAATTTATTTTAATGTAAAAATAATGTGGTCATGGTATCTTCGCATAAAGCAGCTGTTCCAGAACAAAGGTGTGTATTTTAGCTGGTAGTTTCTCCAATAGTCCCCACACTTAGTCTCTTCTCAGCTCTAGGTGGAAGAATTAAGTGGGTGAAGCTTGCTTTGTTTTGCGCCTTCATCTCCTTACCTGCCCCCGTGACTTCTCCAGCCTCCTTTCCCCTTCACTGGGCTCAGGGTGCTCCCCCACCCTGTGAGCAGCATCTCCTGTTCCAGAGCCTCGTCTCCTCTCACCGACATGTGTCAATTCTGTCTCTCCTCATGATTATGCCAAATCACCATCTAATTCTCCCTCCTAAGTAAAAGACTTGTATTTTCACATGGGGCTTCAGGCAATGTGGCAGAATTATATGTGAGATATTTTGAGGCAAGACAAACCTTGCAGCATCCCTCAACTCACCCCATGACACCAACTGCCTCGGCAGGGACACTGCTCTTGCAAGTTCCAAAGTCAGTGGAGCATTTGGTGACGTTATCGTAGCAGAAAGCCATAATGTTTTAGATCCTATTTATTCAAATTGCTTTTCCAGGCTTTCATCATAGGGCTGCTTTTAGAGCTGTACTGGATAGGGTTTAATTTGCAAATCTGATGGGGGGATATGACAACAATGATAGTGGACTTCTAAGAAAAGTGGATCTAGTTCATATTGGTCTCCAGGTTCCTAGGAGACCAGAAAATAATGGCTATAGTACTTGATTTACCCTTTGAGAAAACCATTGCTCACTGAGGTTTGAATCTGCTTCTACTGTGTCCTGTTAAAACTCTCAGGACCTACTCTCCCTTGAGTAAAAGTGTTAATTACATTTTTAAAGCTGTAAACTCAACACAATGTTCTTGGAAGACAGTGGGAGGATGCGTAAGTGTTTGGAGACGCTTTCTGCTCTGGCTTTGCTCATGCATCCATTTCTGCCCACATGGTGCCACACAGATTATACCTTTGGGGTTCTGTGGGGTGCTTTCTTTGTGTATCCGTGTGTGTGCACACGAGCACGTGTAGGTGTATGTATGGAGAGGGAGATCATATTCTTTTTTTTGTCTGTTTGCAAGTTAATCTAAAGATTCTGAAAGTTGCTATGTAGATGACACTTGGGAAATAAAAATCTTTGATTTGCTTTTAATATAGTAATATAATCATGAGGCCTCAATCTACCACATAGAATAGACATACTTTTGTGGTGCTAGCGGAGCCCCTGCACTGTCTTGGAAATACCTGTTTCCTAACTACAGACACTGTTTCATCATGTCCCTGCTGCTATCCCTCCAGCCACAGCTGATGGGACCAGGAGTAGCAAATTAATTGTCGAGGAGTAGCAAATTCAAATTATTCCTTGCCTCTTCCCAGGTTGCTGGTAATCCTTGGTATTCCTCAGCTTGCAGCTGCATCACTCCAGTCTCTGCATCTGTCACAGACACACAGGTGGCCTCCTCCCCTGTGTGTCTGTATGTGTCCTCTCTCTCTCAGTTTTTTTAAGACAGGGTCTCACCGTCGCTCAGCACTAACCTGATTCTGCAGCATGATGGTGTGCACTAGAACTGAAAGGCAGAGGTGAGTCAGGGTGGCCTGGAGAATAGTTGAAGAGCGTTGCTTTTAGCATCTCTCTACTGATTTGGAAGTTTGACAATCTCTTTCTGTGTCTTTTTAGTAGTTTTTCTTAATATTTAAGAGGTATATTCAATTTAAATCTATATTCAATATTTCCATCTTCTTCCTGCATAATTCAAAACCCTCCAATTGTAGGTGCTGACTGTTACATGCCCAGGGCTTTAATTTCACCTTGTTTCTGTATCCCTCAAAGCAGTCACTTGTCACTATTGTTGCTAATGATTGTTTAGATTTACCTATATGATTACCAATGTCTTTGTTCACTTCCTTCTTGAGACTAGTCACATCTTGTATGAGTCTGTTTTCAGGCTGCTAATAAGGACATACCCGAGACTGGGTAATTTATAAAGGAAACAGGTTCAATTGACTTACAGATCCACAAGGCTGGGAAGGCCTCATAATCATGGTGTAAGACAAAGGAGGAGCAAAGTCATGTCTTACATGGTGGTAGCAAGAGGGCATGTGCAGGGAAGCTCACCTTTATAAAACCATCAGATCTCATGAGACTTATTCACTATCATGAGATCAGCATGGCAAAAACCCGCCCCCGTGATTCAATTACCTCCCACCAGGTCCCTCCCACAACATGTGTGGATTATTACAGTTAGAGGTGAAATTTGAGTGGGGACACAGAACCAAACCATATCACATCTTATTATGAATTCTCAGGGAGATTTATCTTACATTTGGTATGTGATCCACGGACAAATAAAAAGGCAGGTTTTCCATATGACAGATACCAAATCTTTTCTCTTTCTGTAACATACAAGTTGCTTTATCTATTTCATTTATTTTATTATTCAATGTATTTGTGTCTTTACTGCCTTTTTGTCTATGAAATTTGTCAGATTCCGAAAGCATCGTTATTGATACACTATCTCACAGCATTTTGATTTGAGTAGTAAATAAAATTATGTGTGTGTACATGTAAAACCTTTAGCTCAGGGATTTTGTGCTTAATCCTCTCTTCTCTCCCCTCATAATGGCCCAAGCCTTTGATGACCTCCCATTCTATAGTGTCATGGTACAAAATCCAGAGCAATACTTTCTTACCTTAATACAGTTTTACTTGGGGGATCCCACAGTCTGAAATCAAGGTATCAGCAAGGCTGTCCTCCCTCTGAAGGCTCTAGAAGGGAATCTTTCTTCACCTTTTCCCAGGTTGCTGGCAATTCTTAGTGTTCCTTAGCTTATAGCTGTATCACTCCAGTCTCTGCCTCTGTCATCAGATGGCTCCCTCCCCTGTGTGTCTGTATGTGTCCTCTCTTCTCCTCCTTCTTTTTTTTGTTTTTGTTTTTAGAGACAGGGTCTCATTTTGTCACCCAGGCTGGAGTGCAGTGGTGTGATCACAGCTCACTGCAAACTGAACTCCTGGGCTCAAGCAATCCTCCCACCTCAGCCTGCCTGTAGTAGCTGGGACTACAGGTGCACACCACCATAAGAACACCAGTCATTGGATTTAGGGCCCACCCTACTGCAGTATTGTCTCATCTTGATTTAAGTAATTATATCTGCAAAGGTGCTATTTCCACATAAAATTATATTCAGAGGTCCCAGGTAAACATGAATATTTGGGGGACACTATTCATTCCACCACAGGGGGTGATATGTGCAGGGGTATGGTGGTCTATTTGTCTGAATGAAGTCCGTCACTCCCCATCACTTTTAATGAGGTCAGTAATTCCCGAAAGGGGATTTTAAGGAAAATTTGGGAGCAAAAGATCTTAGTAGATGTTATAGTGTAGAATGCGGCTTTGGGCATAGTGAGCCTTGATGGAAAAAGTATTTCAATAAAAGAGACGGAAGTTTGTTTGTGAAAATTGGAAAGGTACTGGCTGTACACCCTGCAGAGCCCCGGAAAAATGAACCTCCTCCTCACCCTCTTTTTTATGTTCTTGGTAAACAGCTCTGACTCAAAGGAAGAATATGCTGCCAGCCAGGGACTATGTTTACACTGAAGTCCACATGGGAGTAACAAAAACCTGCTGGGAGGCTTTTGTGGGTTGTTTTTAAATTGTGTTAATAATAAGGGCTATTATACATATGACAGAATTATTGTAGAGTTGGGGCCTATTGTCTTGGTCTATGTTGAACATATAGGCTCAAAGTTCTGTGGCAGGGATGGCTGGCAAGCGAAGGGATGTTACCAGGCACAGCAGAAGGGATTGTCTTGGGAAGAATATTTAAGTGACATTTATTCATTCAACAAACACTTACTGAAGGCCTACCCACTGTGTGGCAGGCACTAGACTGTGTATCTCTCCTTTAATATAACTCATATATCATATATAGGCATAATATTTTATGGTTATTTACTCAAAAAATGTGAGTAAGCTCATGTGAGGATAACGTAGCAAAGCTTTAAGCACTGAGTTAACTAAAGCGTGGGAAGTTGATATGAAATAACGAGGCATTGTGCCTGGAGTGAAATGGAACATGTCAGGGTTTGTGTGAGGCTCAGAGTCAGATAAGATCAGGATGAAGTCTAGGAAAGATGGTAGTTAAATCTACTAATCTAAGATGATTCCTCAGCCAGGGTCACATTAGGTGTTGTGGAAAGATCAAGAGAAAAGAAACAGTACGCTTTGTCAGATATTCAGGAATAGGTGTTGCTTATTGGGTTTATGTAAAAAACAACTCATAAAAGGACAAAAGTTGAAACATCTTCCACTAAGACAGTTTTACACATTAATCTCAATAGTTGTGCCTCTGAACAAGTTGCTAGGTAACATGTATGTTTCTCTCATCTCAAAAATGTCTTCTTTGATAAAAGGCCAGGGAAGCTCAAAGAGGCCAGGGGGTTTCTTTCTCTTCCTAGGTACCTGGTAGAATCTATTCATTTGGCCATGTTTTTGGGGTGACCACAGGAGCAAAGCACAAGCTGACTGGAAAGTCATAATATTTTGGGACCAGAAGAGCTTGCACAGAACATTTCATCTTTCCCCTTTATTTTTCAGCTGAGGAAAATGCCCAGAATACCAAAAGGCCTGGCTCAAGACCACTGGTGGCCAGGGGAACCAGGTTTTCTGAGCCACGTCTGATACTTTTCTACAAGGCCATTTTGCCACTTCTGTGCCCTCACCACTGGGCATATCCTGAGATGGAACAGCTACAGCCTGGCCTGAGCCCCTTGGACCTTTGGAAGGGCCTTTTACCTCCTGGTTTGGGATTGTTCTGAAGCATGATAATGAATCGGGAAGCAAGTAAGACAATGAAAAGAGAAGGAGCCATGTAAAGTAAAAGGAGCATTTAAAAGAATTTCAAGGCAGTGACATTTGTCCTAATCCCTAGGTGGTATAAACAACCAAAATTAGAATCCTAAGAGTTCATTTCTAAACAAACAAAAAGTTAAATTTCAGGCCAGGCATGGTGGCTGACACCCGTAATCCCAGCACTTTGGGAGGCTGAGGCGGGTGGATTGCTTGAGGTCAGGAGTTCAAGAAGAGCCTGGCCAACATGGTAAAACCCTATCTCTACTAAAAATACAAAACTTAGCCAGGCATGGTGGCAAGCACCTGTAATCACAGCTACTTGGGAGGGTGAGGCATGAGACTTGCTCGGACCCAGGAGGAGGAGGTTGCAGCGAGCCGAGATTGTGCCATTGCACTCCAGCCTGGAGTGACAGAGCGAGACTCTGTCTCAAAAAAAAAAAGAAAAAGAAAAAAAAAAAGAAAAACTTCAAGCTGGGCACAGTGGCTCACTCCTGTAAACTCAGCACTTTGGGAGGCTGAGGCGGGTGGATCACCTGAGGTCAGGAGTTGGAGACCAGCCTGGGTAACATGGCGAAACTCTGTCTCTACCCCCAAAAATACAAAGATTAGCCAGGCATGATGGCACATGCCTTTAGACCCTTCCCACTCAGAAGGCTGGGGTGGGAGGATCACCTGATCCTGGGAGGTTGAGGCTGCAGTGAAACATTGTCATGCCACTGCACTCCAGCCTGGGTAACAGGGTGAGACCCTGTCTCAAAAAACAAACAAAGGTAAACTTCAAGTAATAGAATTCTTAGAATAGAATGAAAGGGAATTGCATTTTCTAGTTAAGGAAGGATGAACAAGAAAATTATGTCACCTTTAAAAGCTGACATTTCTAATATGTATTATTAGTTCATTCTATTAGTGAGTAGAAGAGTGAATATATAGTTAGATACTTATTTGATAAATGTGCCTCTTTTAGGACCTTGGGGTGGTCATTCTAGTGAAAAGAATAACCTCACAGAACAGTCAATATAGAAATACTGGTTTTAATGTAGACTGCAATAATCACTTGTGATTATTCCTTTAAAAATGCCTTTTGGTTAAAGTCCTCTTATCAGTTTGTTTTGCTATAATTTCAAACAACTCCCCCCACCTAATCCATTTTCTGTATTTGCTTGTTCTAGCATGGCTATAAGGAAATACCTGAGACTGGGCAATTTATTTAAAAAAAGAGGTTTAATTGGCTCACGGTTCTACAGGCTTTACCGGAAGCATGATGCTGGCATCTGCTTGGCTCCTGGGGAGGCCTCAGGAAACTTACAATCATGGCAGAAGGGGAAGCAGTCACATCTTACATGGCTGGAGCAGAAGCAAGACAGAGAGTGGGGTGATGCCACACACTTTTAAAACAACTAGATCTCATGATCACTCACTCACTCACTATCATGAGAACAGCACCCAGGGGATGGAGCTAAACCATTCATGAGGGATCTGCCCCATGATCCAATCACCACCCACCAGGCACCTCCCCCAATACTGGGGATTACAATTCACATGAGACTTTGTGAGAACACAGATCCAAACCATATCAATCCCCTAAAACAAAACAAAACAAAACAAAAAAACAAATAAAAAACCAAATATAGTTTGAAGCACTTACAGAAGTCAAATCCAGATACTAAAAATCAAAGAAACCAGCAAACACAACAAACCTGAATGACAAAGATATTTGAATCCCAGTGAACCTATTTCAAGTTTTAATAAACATGATAAAACTCCAACACAACAAAACAATTTGGACAGTTCTGAGAATTTTGCTTAGGTGTAATGGTCAAAATCTATGAATGTAAGTGATAGCAATGGAGGACCTCCTAGATCAGCCTAAAATTCCATGATTCAGTATTTTTGTCATTTAAAAAGCATAATTTTGTCTATAAGGTATAACTGACCCATGAGGTTGCTCTTTTTCAAGGGAAAATTAGAAACAGATTTAATTCAATTCCAACAGTTAGTTCAATTCCATTCACTTCTTTGCAGTCCAGTATAACCATATATGTAATATTTTAAGTCTTCTACACGAAAATGTGTACGCATATACATTTAAGGCAAAGTGAGAAAACTTTTTATAAAACTTTCATTACTTTTTATGACCACAGCTCTAGAGGCTAGAAGATACAAAATCCAAATAAAATCTCAAAATCGAGGTAGGAGATTGGGCTTTTCTTTCAAAGGAGAACGGGAGTGTGTTCCCTAAAATAATTACTCTAAGTGTTCTAAAAAAGTAATGTCTATTTTGGGCTGGGCATGGTGGCTCACACCTGTAATCCCAGCACTTTGGGAGGCTGAGGCAGGTGGATCACTTGAGGTCAGGAGTTTGGGACCAGCCTGGTCAACATGGTAAAACCCCCTCTCTACTAAAAATACAAAAAATTTTGTGTTTTTGTAAAAATACAAAATATGTATGGTGGCATGCACCTGTAGTGCCAGCTACCAGGGAGGCTGAGGCAGGAGAATCGCTTGAGCCTGGGAGGCAGAGGTTGCAGTGAGCTGAGATCGTGCCACTGCACTCCAGCCTGGGTGAAAAAGCTAGACTCCGTCTCAAAAAAAAAAAAAAAAAAAAAAAAGTAATGTCTATTTTAATGTGAAACAGTCTGGAATTAACTCTTTTTTGCCAACCTGTGTGTGTACTTGATATTCAGGGGTTTGTAATTTTGTATCAGTTATTCATTTCCACACATTTTAGGTATCCTCTGCATAAAGGAAATACAGATGAGAAAACTGAGGTCATGGAACTAGCCCAAGGGCACATAGCTCAGGTAGAAAGACTCTACTGCAGTGAGGTCCTCCCACCCCAAAGTCAGCTGTTACTCATTGACATTTTGCCAAATCTGTGACATTATTAGTTACAAACTAGTGACATTTCACTAACCTTACTCAGGAAAGCCTTTGGGTGTGCTGTATTTCTCACAGTGTGGTGTGAAGATCACCTGAATGAGAATCTTCCTGGGGCGAGAGTGTGATATGGTTTGGATATTTATCCCTTCCAAATCTCATGTTGTAATTTGAGCCCCAGTGTGAGAGGTGGGACCTGGTGGGTTGTGTTTGGGTCATGGGGGCGGATCCCTCATGATCAGCTTGGTGTCCCCCTCTACGGTAATGAGGGACTTCTTGTTCTATGAATTCACTCAGGATCTGATTGTTAAAAAGAGCCTGGCATCTCCTTCCCGGCTCTGTCTTGTTTCTCTCTCATCATGTGATCTGCACACATCAGCTGCCCTTCCCCTTCCACCATGAGTGGAAGCTTCCTGAAGCCCTCACCAAAAACAGATGCTGGTACCATGCTTTTTACAATCTGCAGAGCCATAAGCCAAATAAACTTCTTTTTTTCTTTTTTGAGACGGAGTCTCTGCATGATCTCAGCTCACTGCAACCTCAGCCTCCTGGGTTCAAGAAATTCTTATGCCCCAGCCTCCCGAGTAGCTGAGATTACAGGTGCACACCACCATGCCCAGAACATTTTTGTATTTTTAATAGAAACAGGATTTCACCATGTTGGCCAGGCTGCTCTCGAACTCCTGACCTCAAGTTATCTGCCTGCCTCGGCCTCCCAAAGTGCTGGCATTACAGGCGTGAGCCACTGCACCCGGGCTTTTTTTCTTTATGAATTACTCAGCCTCAGGTATTCCTTTGTAGGAAGGTAAAATAGACTAAGACAGGGTGTTTGTTAAAAACACAAATTCCCGGGGCCCATACCCAGCCCTACTGAATCAGATCCTGAAGAAGGGTCCCAGGAATAAATATTTTAGACACACTCTGTAGTTGATTTTTTTTTTAAGAGACAGGGTCTTGCTCTGTCACCCAGGTTGGAGTACAGTGGTGCAATCATCATACTCACTGTAACTTCACACTCCTGGGCTCAAGCGATCCTCACACCTCAACCTCCCAAGTAGCTGGGACTGCAGGCATGCACAACCATGCTCTGCCAGTATTTTAAATAAATATTTTTATAGAGACGGGGTCTCCCTTTATTGCCCAAGCTGGTCTTAAACTCCCAGCTCCAAGTGATCCTCCCACCTTGGCCTCCCAAAGTGCTGGGATTACAGGCATGAGCCACTGCACCTGGCTGCAGTTGATTTTTATGCTTATTAAGATGTTGGAACTGTTTAAAGAAGGAACATTGACTCATGGCTGAGTAATCACCATGGCAACTAACGAACCCATCACCTGAACCATATTCCAAATCATTTTATGTGTACCATCTTCTACTTTAAATGATAGAAAAAAACTATAAAGATCTGGTCAGAAAGTCATCATTTATTCATTAACACAACCTCAGGTCCAGAAGCAGCCTGACATGACAACTTTTCTATCTCAGTTATGATCCCTTCCAGACAAGAGTGATGAGGTCATGGATCCCCTTCAACAGACCAGAGATGTGCTTGTCCCAAAGTGGCCTCACTGGGGACACTCTGTCATTCTGCCAGCCTTGCCAATGTGAGATATGTGAGGTGACCCTGCTAAGGGAACTGTGGTGAGCTAATTTTATCCCAATCCCTCACCCCATCAAGCACAAGGATATATGAATCAGACAGCAAATCCGAGAAAGAAAAAAAAGGCATTCGGAATAATTTTAGGAGGAGGGATGGGATACTTTTAGAACTCCAATATCATGAGAAAGAAGGAGAAGGGAGAGAAGGTGAATTTTCCATTTTCTATTTTCTAAGACTGTCTGCAATTTGCTCTTGATAACTCAGTTTGGAATAAAGCTCAGGTGATGGGCCTTTAGTTGCCATGGCAATTACTCAGCTGTGTGCAGCAGCCTCACGTGTCTCTAATTTTCCTACAGACGCACACTCAAGGTCAGCAGAGGATACGAAATGCTCATCCCAGGCTCCTGGGAACCAAGTTGTACTCTGCCTGGCACATGACCAACATTTCTTTAAAATTTATTCCATCCCTTAAAATATTAGTGATTGTTTTTAACATAAAATGAGGTAAATTTGAACTCTGGTGTGCCGAAAATATAATTTCATTTTTGCATAACTTATGATTTCTCCCTTTATTCCAATGGGATAGTGGGGAGTTAAGTTAGTCTTTAGAGATCACTGTACTTTTTTTTTTTTTTTTTTTGAGACAGGATCTTGCTTTGTTGCACAGGCTGAAGTGCAGTGGCACAATTTTGGCTCACTGCAACCTCCACCTCCCAGGCTCAAGCAATCCTCCTGCCTCAGCTTCCTGAGTAGCTGGGACTTTAGGCATGTGCCACCATGCCTGGTTAATTTTTAAATTTTTTTGTAGAGGCAGGGTCTCACTATATTCCCCAGACTGGTCTCAAACTCTTGGGCTCAGGTGATCCTCCACCTCAGCCTCCCAAAGTGCTGAAATTACAGGTGTGAGCCACTGTGCTTGGCTCACTCTACTTTCTCAGAGCTGTGTGAAGGTTTGGCAGGGGAGATGGGTTACACACTGACAAGATTTTTGGAGAGACAGCCTGGGTACACGGATGCCCACTGAGACTGCTCTCCTTTCTGTACAGGTGGCCATATTTGGCCCTGTGTCTCTCTCTGCTGCTCTGCTCCTTCTTGGGGTGTGCACCTCCCTGAGATGCTGTTTCTGGTCCTCTCTGAATAGAGGCATCAATGAGGCATCCGCACTCACGGGTCTTGAGGCTTCCCTGGGGTTCTGTCCATGGGGCATAAATGTCACTCTCCAGGACTCACCAAACTCTCTGCTTTTGTCACTTTCCTTCAACCCCCTCAAATATTTTTCTAGTGTGTAGGGAGAAGGAAAATCCTCTCTCATGTTTCTCCCAAGCATTTTGTCTACACCCTATCCTTTCTGTTGCTCAGAGGCTCAGAGTTTTAGAAACTCAGAAAGACTTTCTCTATTTTCTGGTCTGCTTTATTTCTCCCCTGAGACAGTCACTTATTTATTCAGCACATATTTATTGAGCATCTACTAAATGCTAAATACTCTTATAGGTTAGGGAGATACAACAGTGGACAAAATACACAAAAATCCTTGTGATTATAGGGCTTATATTCTAGGAGGGAGACATATAACCATCCATAAATGTGATAATAAGTAAAGCAGAGAGTGCACTAGCAGAGAAGGCATGCAGGGTACGTGCTAAGATACATGCTAGGGTACACGATAGGGAAAAACAGCTCAGGAGCATGCAGAGGGAGCTGTGAGTTGCAATTTTAAATAGAGAGTCTAAGGCAGGTCTCATGAGGAGACATTCTAGCACAGACTTACAGAAGGTGGAGGGAGTGAGCTAAGTGGGTATCTTGGGCAAGACAGTTCCAGGCAGTGGGAACAGCTGAAGCAAATGCCCTAAGACAGGAGCATGTTTTGGAGCTTGGGATTCTTCTAGGAGTAGCAAGCAGACCAGAATGGCTGGAGTTGAGTGAAGGGGAGAGTGGTACAAGATGATGTCAGAGATGTGTGTGGGGGGAGGTGTTTGATAGTGTGTGCATGAGTGTGTGAGAGTGTGTGTGTGGGTGTGTGAGAGTGTGTGTATGGGTGGGGGTGGGTATTGACAGATCATTAGGGTCTTGTAAGCCACTGTAAGGACTTTGATTATTTCCTGATTTGAGATGGGGAAGCACTGGAGAGTTGTGATTAGGAACATAATCTGACTCAGGTTTTAAAAGGCTCACTCTGGGCCAGGTGCGGTGGCTCACGCCTGTAAACCCAGCACTTTGGGAGGCTGAGGTGGGCGAATCACGAGGTCAGGAGTTTGAGACCAGCCTGACCAACATGGTGAAATCCTGTCTCTACTAAAAATAGAAAAATTAGCCGGGTGTGGTGGCACATGCCTGTAATCCCAGCTACTCGGGAAGCTGAGGCAGCAGAATTGCTTGAACCCAGGAGGCGGAGGTTGCTGTGAGCCAATATCATGCCACTGCATTCCAGCCTGGACGACAGAGTGAGACTACGTCTCAAAAAAAAAAAAAAAAAAAAAGGGGATCACTCTGGCTGCTGTGATGAGAAATAGACCATAAGGGAGAAGAGTGGAAATACGGAGATGTCAAAGATAAGACCAGATCAAACTAAAATTTTTAAAAGTTTACTGTCATACAATAAGAAAAATTACAGATCGCAATGCAGGAGACTTGGAACCAGGTGGTAAGAAGCTGGCCTTATGGCAGACAGCACAGTTTGTAAAGCATAAGAAGAGAGATATTTTGTTCTTTCCTGTGATTGGCCGTTGTACATTATCACATTATCATTCTTTTTAGGACAAACAAAGCTCTTTACGCTGATTTGTCTATAGTTGATTGGTTTAATTTCAAAGAATCATGCTGACAAGGATGCAAAGGCAAGGTTTTGTGTTTATGACTAGAGGAAGGGTTTCAGGGTAATCAGAATGACTTGTTTTGGCTATGCGGCTGCAGGTGGTTGGCCTTGGGGTATATCTAAAAGGTGGTCTCTGTTTTTATTTTTCTTAACCAGAAACAAGTCAGAAAACCATTGCAGCAACTCAGATGAGAGATAGATCTGGAAGTGGTAAGAAGCGGCCAGATGCCAAGGTTAAGGGTGATAACTGTCCTCTACCTGCTTTTTGATTATGTTGGTTAAGTTTCTTCTTTTCCCTACTGCTAAAGTCAGTTGTCACAAACCTGGGTTTTATAACATGTGACAGGTTTTCCAGGAGCTCTGCTTCATGACAAGCAGAGCACCCTTCAGGGATAATGCAGACAATCATTTGTGCAATAGCCCTTCCTGGTAGCACGAGTCGTTTAAAAAATGGCTATCTAGTAACTCGATTTTGCAAATGGCCTCAATTTGATCCAGATAATCTATACTTTATTAAATCCTGGAGTACATGTCCCATCACATGCTGCACCAATTAAGCACTTAAAAAAATTTACATCTAAGTTCTGTAGCCATTTGTCTCTCCTAACTGCTACATGGCAGTCCAGCTTGTATGTCTCAGAGCAACCTATGACTTTTGAATTAAAGCTCAGCTATTTCCTGGGCATATATTAACATTCATTCTGTCCAATGACCTGGCTATTGTGCTCTGGTTTAAACTACAGGAATATTGGAACCAGAAAGGGGTGTGGAGGGCCTGGCATCTTACTATTATTCTAGCTGCTTTTTATTAACATTCATCCTGAATATAGACTTTTGTTTTTTTTTTGCCCAAGAGCCATTTAAAGTGTAGTTGCAATTGCTGTATACTTGGAAGAAAGCTTACCTCTTATTTCTACTACTACATCAGATTCTTCCAGCAACAGCTAAATATCTTAAATATTTTGTTTTAGGTTTCATTTTTTAATCTCTTTAGTTTTTTAGGTGCTGAGATCATGGTTTCTGGTTGCAAACAATAGAAATCCAGTCTGGCTAACCTGAGTGGAAAAATGAATATATCAAAAGAATGTGAGCTAGGCCACAGAAATGACGAAATGTCTGGATAACCAGACTCAAAGGACAAGTGGATTGCAGGGGAGGAAAGGGATGGTCGAGGCCACACCACAGGGAGGATCTGCCCAGGACGCTGCCTCCAGCATCACCCAGCATCATTGTGGTTCCTGCTATGCTTGGTTTCTGCTCCTAGGACTTTCTCTGCTGTGTGGCTGGACTTGCGTCATCTCTGAAGCCGTTACAAATAATCTCTCTAATCCTTCATCTTTGCTTCTTTACCTCCAGATTCAGAGGTTGGACAGGAGCATCTGATTGGCCCAGCCTGGATCACAGGCCCAGGCAGTACCTGTCAGGGAGCTGGGAGAGGATCTTTTTACTTCCTCTGGCCTCCGTAATGGTAGGTGGGCTGTGGCTTCCACCTGACTTAGGATGCCCACCAGATAGAAGAGTTGCCTGGATGATGGGTGGCAACAGTGACAAATGTTCACTTCGGGTACTTAGGTCATTTATCTTCACATCATCCTGCAAAGTAGGTACTATTGTCCCTACTTTAATCGTTCAAATCTAAAAGTCCACAGAGGTAAAGCAACTTGGACCCTAGCACGTGTTGTTTCCACTTACTGGAATCTTTCTGCTTCTCCTTCCCACCAATTCCTCCTTGCTGTTCTGATGCCTGCTTTATTATTTTTTTAACTTGTATTGCAGGTTCAGGGGTACTTGTGCAGGTTTGTTATATAAGTGCATTTCATATCACAGGGGTTTGGTGTACAGATTATCTCATCATCTAGGCAATACCTGATATCATGCTGGATGTGTCATCCAGCACAGTACCTGATAGGTAGTTTTTTGACCTTCACCCTCCTCCCACCCTCCACCCTCAAGTAGTTCCCACTGTGTTGTTCCCCTCTTTGTGTCCATTTGTACTCCCAATTATAAATGGGGCCATGTGGTATTTGGTTTTTTGTTCCTGTGTTTGTTTGCTTAGGATAATGGCCTCCAGCTCTATCCATGTTGCTGCAAAGGATCATCCATTTTCATGGCTGCGTAGTAGTCCATGGTGTATATGTGTCACATTTTCTTTAGCCAGTCTACTGTTGATGGGCATTTAGGTTGATTCCATGTCAAGACATGAATACTCAGAGGCCTGCTTTAATATCACTCTCATGAAAGCCTGAGCAGAACCTACTGGTAAGGTTAAATCCTGCTGTCCAATTCTCATCATGGCCCGTGTTTCCCCTTTGCAGACCTATCACATGGAACCAAATAAATATTTAGTGTGTGTTTTCTCCTCAACTAGGATAGAAGCCCCAGAAATGCAGGGGCATTGTCTGGTTCCCTGCTATATCCCCTTTGCCTCACAGTACTAGGTAGGTGCTCAATAAATGCATGTTGGACATTGATAAAACCAGTGTGCAACCCAGGGATTGGAGACCACTGTTCTAGTCCATAGAAAGAAGTTTGAAATTTTTGCTTCCTCTTTTGAACCTTCCCTGACCTTTTCTCATTAACCTTTTAAGCACAGTTATTTGATCCTGAGGAAATTACTACTAAGCCCATCTGACCACCCATCATTCTCATCTCAACTGGTCTTTGTGGATCTCTGGTCATTTGTTTCATGTATTCTTCAAAAATGAAACTCCGTTTGTTTTAAAATAGCACCAAATTAAAGAGAAAACGTAAGTGAAAGTTGAAAAGGCAATAAGGATACATTCAGGAATCATGTGATTTTCAGTGATCATATTATCCATATTTATAAATTTGGAGACCCCAAAGGTCTACAGATATCAACCTCCTAAATGTCCAAAGTCTATGCTACTGTGAATTACCAGCCCCAGTGGCTTAGCCCGTTCCTACTGCTATAATAAAATACCTGAGACTGGGTGATTTATGAAGAAAAGATTTTTTTCTCTCTCTCACAATTTTGAAGGCTAGGAAGTCCAAGATTAAGCCACCAGTAGGTTCATTGTCTGGTGAGAGCTGCTCTCTGCTTCCAAGAGGGTGCCTTGTTGTTGCATCCTCTGGAGAGGGACAACTGCTATGTCCTCACATGGTGGAAGAGCAGAAGAGCTAAAAGGCCCTAGGCGAGTTACCTCTAGACCTTTTAATTTATTTTTTATTTATTTTTTTATTTTTTGAGACAGAGTCTCACTTTGTTGCCCATGCTGGAGTGCAGTGGCGCTATCTCGGCTCACTGCAAGCTCCACCTCCTGGGTTCACACCATTCTCCTGCCTCAGCCTCCCGAGTAGCTGGGACTACAGGCGCCCACCACCACACCCGGCTAATTTTTTTGTGCTTTTAGTAGAGACGGGGTTTCACTGTGTTAGCCAGGATGGTCTCAATCTCCTGACCTCGTGATCCGCTCTCCTCGGCCTCCCAAAGTGTTGGGATTACAGGCGTGAGTCACCGCGCCCGGCCCTCTAGACATTTTATAAGGCACTCTAGACATTAGTGACTTCCTCCCTTCCCCAAAGGCCCAACTTCTTAATACAGAAACAGGAGAATAGGGTCTGGAGGCAGGGAACCTAAGGCCAATTCACACTGATTTCCTAGACCTGAATCAAAAGGAAAACCCCACCCCTCCATGTGCAATTAACAAAAG
Source organism: Homo sapiens (assembly GCF_000001405.40). Classification (NCBI taxonomy): domain Eukaryota; kingdom Metazoa; phylum Chordata; class Mammalia; order Primates; family Hominidae; genus Homo; species Homo sapiens. The sequence goes on from NC_000014.9 coordinate 88,907,546, forward strand.
GGTCAGAGGCTACTCCCTTTGCAACTCCCACCCTTTTAACTGTGGGGCAGAAGAAAAATGGAAAGTACCTCTGACTGGTCCCCTCCCACAACCAATCAGACTGGTCGAGGGCCAAGTCTTTATTTACATAGGGTGTAACCAAGTAACCAATGATAAACCTCTAGAGGGTATTTGAACCCCAGAAAATTATTTAACCAGAGCCCTTGGGATTTTTGCTCAAGCCCACTCCCACTCTGTGGAGTGTACTTTCATTTCAATAAATCTTTGCTTTCGTTGCTTCAGTCTTTCATTGCTTTGTTTGTGCCTTTTGTCCAACTCTTTGTTCAAAATGCCCAAGAATCTGGACGACTCCACCAGTAATAATACCATTACAGCAGGGTATTTCAACATGAATTTTGCAGAGGACACATTCAAACCGTAGCACATAGGTATCAGCTGGTTGCCTATTTCTTCAATTAAATTATAAGCTCCTTGAAGCTGCGTATAAAATGGCTTTTTCTGCACATGTAAACTTCCATAAAGAACCAAACACATTTCTGGTTTCATGGCAGGTACTTCTTTATCTCTAATTAATTAATTCCACCTTGAAGATCTTTGCTTACACTGACAGAAGGATTGTGTAAAGATGATAATTGTTGGAGTTTATGAATTTCCCAAGATGTAAGTCGCCTACCCTACTTCCCAAGATAGAAGTTATCTTCCTTTCCAGCCTTTCTTGCAGGTAGGGAACAGACATATGATCTTGATTTCTCCAATCAAACTCACCCACGGGACACTTTAATTTGGAAGAAAACAATAGTAGGAAACAGCTGGATCCAAGAATCCAGTTTTCAGATGGCAGGGGTTAGTGAGGCATCCAGCCTTGAAGAACAGAAGAAAGAGAGGTCTGGCAACCAGAATGTGGGGTCAGCTTCTGGTGTGAGCTGCAGTTCTATATCCACTGATGAGAAATGTCTTTCCTGGAGCTGCCCTGCAGCATGGCTTGCATGTTGCATGGACTCTCAACCTGACTCTAGTCCTCCAGGAATTTCAGTAAATGATCTCATGTCCTTTAATAAATTCCTTTTCTGGGTACACTGCTAAAATGCCTTCTATTTTTCTCAACTAAGAACTCTGACTGGCGCAAGCTGGGTAGAGAAAGCAGGGATATTTCAGCTAAGTGTTAGAGTTGAAAAGAATCAGGAATTAGAAACAAAACCTCTGCAAGTTATAATTTAAGTCAGTAGGGGCATGATAGTAGATTTAGAAAATCTCAGTTTGCTTACAACCTCTCGGAGAGCAACACTACTGAAATAGCATGCTTTAAAATGGAAGGCGGGTATTTGGCAACTAGAAGCTTGTCAAGATATTTTGACTGTAAAGTACCCTAGTGGGATGGCACATGGACATTTAAAATAAGGCTACTTTCTCACCCTTATACTGGCACACTGCTTGATGTTATTACATCCCCTTCCAATATGAGCTGTTTTCCATTCACCCTCAGATCCCCAAGGCATATAAAATGCCACTTGAGTGTTTCTACATTGAATTCCTGGCAACTGAAGGGGAGATTTTGAACTATTTGGTTGAGTTGATATTCCTATATTGTAAACAGTTCAGTTTTATTTCTCCTGGGCTATTTTCATAGTCTTGTTTTTCATTTTTAATGTAATCATAGTACTAGGTATGATCTAGTTCTGTCAGCTGGGTTCCAGGGCTAAAAGTTAGCACCAGCTCCGGGCTAAATTCTGAGCTAGAATTAATCCTACTGAATTCTGTCAATAACCCTGCAAGTGAGGTCTTATAGCTTCTTTTTTTGTTTTGTTTTGTTTTTTGAGATGGGGTCTTGCTCTGTTGCCCAGGCTGAGAACAGTGGCACAATCACAGCTCACTGCAGCTTTGACTCCCTGGGCTCAAGTGATCTTCCTATCTCAGACTCCCGAGTAGCTGGGCTACAGGAGTATGCTACCTTGCCCAGCTAATTAAAAAAAAAAAAAATTGTAGAGGGAAATCTCTCTATGTTGCCCAGGCTCCTGGCCTCAAGTAATCTTCCTGCCTCACCCTTCCGAAGTGTTGGGATTACAGGTGTGAGCCACCATGCCAGGCCTGCTCCTATTTTGTAGATGAAGAAACTGAGACTCAGGAAAGTGATGTTCTAGAATTTAGATAATTCACAAGCTTTTTAGACATCATAAACCATAATAAAAATGGAAAATATTTTAGATTGGTGCAAAATTCTTGACTTTTCACCAACCTAATACCTATTTGCATTAGTTAGGGTTATCAGTTGGAAGACACAAATTGCTGTAGGTATTTAGGCAGAGGCGAATTTAATATAGGAATTAGGCCACAAGATTATTGGAAGGGCTGTTGAGAACAAAAAGCAGGGAGGGATGATGTTATCCAGAGCCCAGAAAATGCAGAAAGCTGCTAACATCCCTGCAGGGGTCCAGGTCCCTGCATTCTACTGGCGGAGGTGGAAGAAAACTAGCTTCCACTTTCTTCCCACCTTCTGAGTGAGTGCTTCCCAGAAACCATAGTGAGTGCTTCTTGTGACAGAAACTAATGGGGTCTTCAGGCTTCCTCCCTTGCTTTGCTGGAGAGAGCATGCCAAGGTGGGACCGTGGTTAAGGACCACAGATGATGCCCAGCACAGTGTTTAATCCAAGTTTTCTCTGTCCACACTAGAGTCCTATTAACAAAAACAAACAATATTTTTCCAGCCACTTTCCCCTTCCACAGTTATGGGGGCTTCCGTTCTCTCTAAGATAGCATCCTATGATTTCTATGGGTCCTCTAGACTGTCCTCGAGTGCCGGTAAGAACACCACTCTTGGGTTCCATGTGTCAGCTGTTGGGGTCTTCATTTCTGGAGCCCCGCTGGATGGTGTCTGCTGCCTGAGGAGTTTTGGGGCTGGTGCCTGCCCTGAGTGCCAAGAGCATGCTCTCCCACGGCTTTCCCACCAGCCCTGCTGTGAAAGGGTCTGGCACCCACTAGAAAGCTCCAGATGCCGTCATGACGTGGTTGTGCCTGCCATCCAGGGCACTGCCACCACCATCCCCGGGAGCTGTCGGTTCCTCCATGGTATGCCAGTTGAAGATGACAGCATCAACCACCAAGGCTGCCTGGGCCACAGCCTGTCCCCACAAGGTACTGCCTCTGCCAAGTGCTGAGTCTGTGTGCTATCACCATGCCAAGTTGCCATCTGGTGCAGCCACTGTTGTTGGTTCCATCATCACACTCTGTGGATGTTGCTGAAGGGGCGTTGTACCCATACCACACCCCACTGATGTATTCTGGAGAAGTCTTTGCTCATTGCCCCAAACTTACTGCTGCACGTGACCTTGTTCCCAACAGGTTACAGAGCATTCATTTGAAAAAGTGCTCGTTTACTTAAAATAGAACTACCACTTGGCCCAGCAATCCCATGACTGGGTATATATTCAAAAGAAAACAAATCATTCTAACAAAAAGACACATGGACTCGCAGGTTCATCACAGCACTATTCACAATAGCAAAGACATGGAATCAACCTAGGTGTCCATCAGTGGTAAACTGGATAAACAGAATGTGGTACATATACACCAGGGAATACTATGCAACCATAAAGAAGAAAGAAATCATGTTCTTTGCAACATGGATGCAATTATTGTAAGTGAACTAATGCAGGAACAAAAAAGCAAATACTACATGTTCTCACTTACAAGTGAGAGCTAAACATTGGGTAATCATGGACATAAAGATGGCAACAATAGACAATGGAGACTACTAGAGAGGGGAGGAAGGGAGCAGAGCAAGGGCTGAAAAACTAACTATTGGGCACTTTGCTCAGTACCTGGGTGACGGAATTGTTTGTACCCCAAATCTCAGCATCATGCAGCATATCCAGGTAACAGACCTACACACATACCCTCTGAATCTAAAATAAAAGTTGGGAAAAAAAGAAAAAGAAAAAGGGCTCTTTTGGTCTGTTTTGTTTCTTAAGTTCACCACTCGCCTTTTTCTAGGGATGGGACCTTGGGAGCCTGGGCCTGGAAGAGCACACCTGTTCATTCACCACTCATTCATTTGGTCAACAAATGTTTATTGAGTCCTAGTATTGCCAGCTCCCATTCTAGGCTCTAAAAATAAAGCAGGCAAAGTTCTGGCCCTCGTGGAGCTTATTGTCAGGTAGAAGATTGACAGTGAAGGCAGATCATAAGGAAACTAGTAATTTATAACCTATCATGGGGTAATAAATGCCATATCAGAATAGGGAAGATAGAGAGTAACGTGTGTGTGTGTGTGTGTGTGTGTGTGTGTGTGTTTGGTATTTTAGTGGGGGTTAGGGAAGACCTCCCTGATAAAGGGACATTTGAGCTTTTCTTTCTATTTATTGGATGTGGCCATCTGCACCATCTCTGTCCCCATTTAATCATTGCAGTGACGTTCCAGCAGCCAATTTTCAGGGGCACAATATCCCCCTGGTCAAACAGAGTATTACGCAACCACAACAACCATAACAACCCCAACCCCAACAGCTAACATATTTTGAGCATCTGTTACGTGCCAGACACTGTTCTAAATGCTTTGTATATGTGACCTAATTTAATCCTTATACTGATTCTATGAGGAAAGTACTATTATTATGTCCATTTCATAATGCGGGAACAATAGGGAGACCAGTGTGCCTGGAGCAGAGTGATGGCAATGTTATGGGTGGAATTGTGTACCCCTAAAATTTCTATGTTGATGTCCTAATCCCCAGCATCTCAGAACGTAATCATATTTGGAGATAAGGTCTTTAAAGAGGTAATTACATTAAAATAAGATCTTTAGGGTAGGCCCTAATCAGATGTAATTGATGCCCTTACAAGAAGAGGAATTTGGACACAGGCACGTGCATGCACAGAGGAAAGGCACAGCAAGAAGGCAGTCATCTAGAAGCCAAGGAGAGAGGCCTCAGAAGAAACCAAACCTGCTGACGTTTTGATCTTGGACTTCCAGCCTCTAGAACTGTGACTAAATAAATGTTTATGAGTTAAGCCCCCTCCCCCCACCCAGTATGTGGCATTTTGTTCTGGCAGCCTAAACTGAGTTAGGCAGCAGGGACAGGGTGCAGTGAGGTGAGGCCAGAGGCCTCAGGATCCAGGTTGTGTAGAGCTTTGCAGGTGGTGGTAAGGGCTTTAGATTCTATCTGGGAGAGGTAGAAAAGGATGTGAGGGTTCTGAGAAAAGGAATGACATACCTGACCTGATTTTTAAAGCATCATTCTGGCCGTTGGGATGTCAAGGGTAGAAACATAGAGTGGACCACAATGATCCAGGTGAGAGACGATGGTGGCTTGGCTTGGGTGGTGGCAGTGGAGTCAGGGAGGTGTGAGCAGATTCTGGGTATGTTTTAGAAGTGGAGCTGCCAGGGATTTGCTGATGGATTGGCTGTCGAATGTGTGAGAAAGAAAGGAGTTACAGATGCCTCCATGGCTTTTTGGCCTGAGCAACTGAAAGAGTTGATGGAGGGAGAAATCAAGAGTTAAAATTCACTCAGTTCAGTGGCTCATGCCTGTAATCCCAGCACTTTGGAAGCCAAGGTGGGAGGATTACTTGAGGATAGGAGTTCAAGACCAGCCTAGGGAATATAGTGAGGTCCTGGCTCTACAAAAAATAATAAAATTAGCTGGGTGTGGTGGTATGCACCTGTAGTCCCAGCTACTCAGGAGGCTGGGGTGGGAGGATTGCTTGAGTGTGGGAGGTCAAGGCTACAGTGATTGTGCCACTGCACTCCAGCCTGTGCAACAGAGTGAGACTTCCCTGTCTCAAAAAAAAAAAGGAGTTAAAATTCAGCTTGAAATTCCTATCCCAATGGAGCTGTACAGGAGGCAGCTGGATTCAAGAGCTGAGATTCGGAAGACATGTCCAGGCTGGCACATTTGGGAATTGTCAATGACAAGATAGTATTTAAAGCCATTAGGCTGGATGAGATTACCTAGGAAAGAAATGCGGATAGAGAAGATAAGCTGTCCAATGACTGTATCCTCCAAACTTTGGAGATGGGGAAAATCAGGAGGATGCAGCAAAAGAGGCTGAGGAGTATGTAAAACAGGCTGAGGAGTGGCCAGTGAGTAAGAAGAAAACCAAGAGAGGAAGTGGAGGGCTGGAGGTCCAGTGAAGTGTGTTTCAAGAAGGAAGGTGCTCAACAGGGTCACATGAATCTGTTGATAGGGTTCGAGGAGAACTTAAATTTGACCATTGGATATAGAGCTCTTTCACTGGAGTGTTAGGCATGAAAAGCTTATGTGAGAGGATCAAGAAAAACCAAAAAGAGAGATGTTGAGCCCGTAAAACTAGATAACCAACCCTTTCAAGGTATTTTTCTGTAAAAGGGAGGGAGGGATTGGCAGCACCTGGATTGTAGACGTTAGGTCAAAGGAGGTTTTTATTTCTGTGTTTTGATTGTGTTTTGTTTCTAGATAGGCAGTGTACGACGTGTTTATATGCTGATAGAAATGATCCAGCAGAGAGGGGGCATGGAGCAGGCTCACTAATCATCAATCTCAAGAGAGACTCCCACTGAGTATAGAATTGCAGAGAATGTCATTATGCCAAGCACCAGAAACCAGGAGTCCATGTACTTATGCCCGAGACATCCTAGGCTACTGTTAAGTCCACCTCATACTGGTTATCTATTTGTCTGAGTCCAGTGAGACAGAACATACACACAAGTTATGTAAAGCAGGTTTATTTTTTATAGATAACAGTAAGGGACAGAAGTCTTGGATCCATTGTGAGCTCATCCCTCAAGGCTCAAGAAAACTGCCCAAGGTGAACGTGGTCTTGACTGCCTGTGTCCCATTTTGTATCACAGCTGAGGACCCTCAAAAGGCAGCCTGCCCTGGGTTTCATACCCTGGGAGAAACAGGACTCCCTGGGCAAAGCTTTGAAGGACATCTTCCTTCTGGGGGAGAGAGGAATAAAGCCTGAGCTTTTTCTCAGGATATTGCATTCCAGCACATTCTACTCTTATTCTTGAGACTACATGCAAAAAAGGGGGAGGGAAAATTGGGTTGGTTCAAGGTCACTCAGAGAACTGTCTTGCAGGGGAGAAACTTGGCGATGCAAGCAAGAGAGGGTTATCGCAGAAGGTAAGAGGGGAAGGCTTCCAGTGTTGGGTTTGGTTTTAAATAGAAGTGTAGACAGCTCTGCCCATAGCAACAGGATGAAAGACAAGAGTATAAAGATATAGGCACTGCTACCCGGAAAGATGTCTCCTTGGGGGCAGGTGACATTCTTCTAATTGCTCCTATTGTTCCAGTGAAATAAGGCCATCAGCTGAGAGTGAGGAGAAGGGAGGAGATACCACAAAACATGGGCTGCAGCTTGGACCCCTGCCCCATATTTTTAAACCCAGCCTATCTGGCTTGAAATTTCTAGTCAAGATGCTGCATTTGGATCTACCTTTAAGCCGTCCACCTTGTAAAGGCATTTTTTCCCTCATATAGCCCTAAACACCTCTTTACAAGCAAGGTGATTTACCCGAGTTGGCTGTCCTACTTAATCAAGCTATTAAAGCCCAAACTGCAGTGTGAAAAAGGTGCAGGCTCAATTTAGGTGCCAAGTCATTACAAAATTGGCCCTTATGAACTATAATTAGGCAAGAGAGCCCACAGCTGATCCAGATGGCATTAAGGAACAGAAGAATGAGTCAAGGGCCAAGGGGACAGGTGTACCATCCACGGAGGCTTTCCTCACACAAATGCTTCTTTTCCTTCTTTTCCTATCTTCTCCGCTGGTGGCAGCAGCCTCTCTCATTGTGGCCTCTCCACTAAAGCCTTAGGGTGCAGGGGTGGAAGGGTTAGGGCAGAACCTAACATCCAGTGTTGCCGTGAGTGGGGTGAGCCTGGGGCCCTGTTGAAACCCAGGCTAAATCATAGTGGGAGCCTCTCCTACCCCACCTCCCTCACCACTTCTAGGATTTTCATCCAAAGCAAAAGAGGCTTCACTGAATGTCAAGTCAGACTTGAGAAGAAACAGAAAAGAGAAGTGCAAAAATGATAGGAGGGAGGCAAGAGTCTCTTATGAGGCAGTGCCCACAGCTATAGTGTAGAGCTGGCTCAAGCCACAGCCAACAGAAAATAGGAGCTGAAGAGAAGCTTGCCCAGGGGGGCTGCCTTAGCCAGAGCTTCTTGCAAATCCCCCAAATGATTTTCACATCCTTGCATTTAACTCCTCCATCTCCCCCACCCCCGCTCTGAGCAGAGGTGACTGTAAACTAGTTTTTGTTCCATACTTCTAGAGTGTTACCACGGTGGTTGCAGTCCACTAAGGGCAGTTGTGAGATACCGGAAGTCAAACCCAGTTTTCCCTTATCACCTCTTTATGTCACTGATTTTCAATTTAACAGTTACAGAGAAAAATGAATTTGGCTGGTTTCACGATAAACCAAAGAAAGCACACCTGAAGGCAGGTGAGTATCAGGTGCTGTCTGTAGGTTTCCTATCAATGAATGGAGTGGAGGGATGTGGTTCATTCTTATTTTCTCCCTGACGTCTCTCCCGGCCCAGAGGACCACTCTGTTTTAAGCCATGGGATGATGTTCTTTGACTTGCCAGAGTGGCTGCTTCTCCTCTGTCTTGCAAGGGAGGGTCCCCCTCAGAGGAGTGAGACAGCTTTCAGACCCCACAGTAGAAAACAAAGAGGAAGAAGCATCTGGGGCTACAAAATGAAACAGAGTCCTCTCAATAAGCTCTAAATGACACTGGGCACCATGTCATCTCTACATGTTCTCTACACCCAGTGGTGTGCTACCACACGTTTAACAGTTGGTTCTCTGGGGAAAAAAAAAGACCTAGTTTGTAGCATATGCCAATTTCTATGGTGTAAATACTACCACTCAGATGAATTTCAAGCTTTCTAATATGAGGTCACTGAACACAAAGTTGGGAAGATAAAAGCACCACTGGCTTTTGTGAGCTGGTGATTACCACCAATGTTTCATGGTCAACAACGTGAGGGCAGGTGTACTTCATCTCGAATGAAAGCTGCGGTAGAACTCAAAGAAGTAAAAGGTATAGAAGTAACAGGCATGCAAGGCTTGAGGAACTGGGCAGAGATTAATTTCTCTGCAAAATGAGAATATTGGGAAGATCTCTTCGGTGACCCAAAACAGAGAGACTTAGGAAGAAGTATCAGACAGGGCGTTTTGGGGGTTGGGAGTGGAAAGCAGGTAAAAATCCTATTTGACATGTATTAATTGTGTAATTTTAAAAGGAAAAAGAAAAACAATATTAAACAGTATTCTGGGCTATGCAATGTAGACTTCCCTGTAGCATCCTTTAAGAAATCTTCAGTAAAATCTTCAGACTAATTCTTCACTTATGGTTATTTGAGTGGCTTTTGCTTCAGGGGCTGTGAGGAAGTGATGAATTCTGCTGTGAGGCTGTTGTAGGATAAAGCTGAGTCTGCTTATGAGAGAGCTGCTGTATCCAAGACCATTTAGTTACAATCTCTTATTTATTCAAATCAGAAGGTAAGCTCCACAAGGGCAAGGACTTTGTTTTGCTCACTGCTATCTCATTAGTGTCTAGAAATATACGTGGAAGATTGTGATAGCTAATCTTGAGTGTCAACTTCATTGAAGAATACAAAGTACTGTTCCTGGATGTGTCTGTGAGGGTGTTGCCAAAGGAGATTAACATTTGAGTCAGTGAACTGGGAAGGGCAGACTGACCCTCAATCCTGGTGGGCATAATTTAATCAGCTGCCAGTGCGGCCATAATAAAAGCAGGCAGGAATCAGGGAAAGACTAGACTAGTTTAGTCTTCTGGCCTCCGTCTTTCTCCCGTGATGGATGTTTCCTGCCCTTGAACATCAGACTCCAGGTTCTTCAGCTTTGAACTCTTAGACTTATACCAGTGGTTTGCCAGGGCCTCTTGGGTCTTAGGCCACAGACTGAAGGCTGCACAGTCTGCTTCCCTACTTTTGAGGTTTTGGGACTCGGACTGGCTTCCTGGCTTCTCAGCTTGCAGATGGCCTATTGTGGGACTTCACCTTGTGATCATGTGAGCCAATTCTCCTAATAAACTCCCCTTCATATATACATCTATCCTATTAGTTCTGTGCCTCTAGAGAACCCTGACAAATACAAAGACGATCAGTAAACACTGTTTGAATGTTATCGAATAGCTTTTTAAACATCACCATGGTGCTTAACACAGCACAGTCCAGTGGAACTTTCTGCAGTGGTGGAAATGTTCTATGTCTGTGTTGTCCAATGTAGTGGTAGCCACTAGTCACAGGTGGCTGTGGACATCTAAACATTTGGCTACTGCAATTAACAAACTGGATTTTAAATTTTATTTCATTTTAATTAATTTAAACTTAAATGAACACCTGTGGCCAGCATCTACCACACTGGACAACACAGTAATCACTTTGCTACTCCAGTTATGGTCTATGGCCTAGCAGCATTGGCATCATCTGGGAGCTTGTTAGAAACTCAGAATTTCAGGCTCCACCACTGAGCTACAAAGCCAGAACCTGTATCCCATTCCCACACGGTCATACACACGTCAAAGTCTGAAATGCTCTGCTCTAACAAACGTCGGCACTTTCACCTACTTTATTTTGTGTGATCCTCATTAAAAAATCTACATTGAGGATATCATTCTTCCCGTTTTATTTATTTTATTTTTATTTATTTATTTTGAAACAGAGTTTTGCTCTTGTTGCCCAGGCTGGAGTGCAATGGTGTGATCTCGGCTCGCTGCAACCTCCACCTCCTGGGTTCAAGAGGTTCTCCTGCCTCAGCCTTCTGATTAGCTGGGATTACAGGCACTTGCCACCACGCCCAGCTAATTTTTTTTTTTTTTTTTTTTGTATTTTTAGTAGAGATGGGGTTTCGCCATTTTGGCCAGGCTGATCTCGTACTCCTGACCTCAAGTGATCCACCCGCCTTGGCCTCCCAAAATGCTGAGATTACAGGCGTGAGCCACTGCACCCGGCCTTTTCTTCCTATTTTATAGATAAGGTAATTGAACTTCTGATTATGTGATTTTCTTAAGACCACAAAGTGGAAAGGAGAGACGGGGTCGGCAAGCCCAGCATTTCATCTGTTCTGTTCTCTCTCTGTATGCTGGGGTAGAAGATAGCAGGCTAGATCTGAGCAATTTCAGCACCATTTATTCCAGGACTGTTTTAAAATGGAATAAGATCACAGCACTTTACTGCCAGCAACATGAGCTATCGATGTAAGTGATAGTGTAGATGGGTTGTGAAATGGAATAGTTTTGTGGGGCAGGTAGAGAATTAGCTTCCCATCTCTTCCTCAAGTATAATTGAGTGAGTAGGAATGAAGGCATGGCCTCAATGTAATGGCAGGCTTGCTTTTAGCCAGAAAAACTGGTCCTTTTGTTGTTCGGGATCTACTTATATGCATACAAGTTCTAGCTGCTTTTCATTTGTTTGTTATTGCATCATATAAAAGGGTTGGGGAGATTTTTAACAATATGGAGATTAAATTTGACTGGCTTAATGAACAATTCCCTTCGAGAAGTCCCAGGGGTGAGGATGTGGTTCCCTCTATAATGACTGAAGATGAGATACAATGACAGAGAAATGAACGGTGGCTTTCAACATGAACCCCAAATCAAAAAAAGGTCACAAGGACTCAGACTACAAATTATAAGACCTGGTTTGCTCTCCAGCACCCTTCCGTGGAGACATCTGTTTATAGCAAGCTCCAGATTCATATTGAATAAATTAATACATGTATTTAATTATGGCAAATGAATCCCTCAAGCAACGTTAAGAAGTCTGCAATGAGTATGTGCTGTTCAGTCACCAAGTTTTCACTGGGGACACTTTCTTCCCCAGAGCAACCTGTTCCTAGCCAGCCTACACTATTTCATTGGCCCTACCCTTGTAGAATTAAAACTCTCAAGTGAAAGGACTTGTTACCAAAAATAATGATATCAGTTCAAGTTAGGTGTATGTACTCCTGGTTTGCAAACCAGCAGTGAGAAAGAACAAGCAAAGGAACAAATAGGTAAACAAAGACAGAAGGAAAAGCAAAATAATAGATTCAGAGTTATCAACAAAGCCGTGAAATAACAGGCCTCACCTCCTCCTGGCCCAGCTACCCTGTGACCTCTGTTCTCCGGCAGGGAGAGCAGTTACTCTTCCACCCGGGCACCTGAGCTGGCATTCCTGCCATTGCAGTCACTCTTGGTTCATCTCTGAAGGCATGCTTGCATTCTTGACTCATTCCTCTCTCTCACCCTTCACATTGAATTGATCATCAAATCTGGTCTTGTTTTTTAAGGGTATACAAACAATAAAACTTTATTCCACCATAAAAAGGAATGAAAGTTTGATACAAGTTGCAACATTGACAAACCTTAAACACATTGCAAGTGAATTATGACAGAAATTAACAGGACAAATATGTATGATTCTACTTCTACAGAATATTTAGAATAGGAAAAATGAATTGAGACAGACAATAGATTGAAGGGAGCAGGTACTGGGGTGGTGGTGGAAATGTGGGTTATTGCTTAATAGATGCAGAGTTTGTATTTGGAATGATGAAAGAAATTGCATATTGTGGTTATGGTTTAATGACATTGTAAACATAATTAATGCCATGGAATGGTCCACGTAAAATGGTTGAAATAAAAAAAATTTATGTGAAAACTTTAATCAATATTTGAAAAACTTTAGGTCACTGAAACACACAGTTAAGATGATGAAATAAACCTACTGAGTGGAAAAATATTTGCAAACTACACGTACAGCAAAGGACTAGTATCTAAAATATATGAAGAGTTATCAAACTCTAATAGTTAAAAAAATAAACAATCCAAGTACATAGTGGGCAAAAATACATGAAGAGTCATTTCAGAGAAGAGGATATACAAGTGTTAAATAAACACATGAAAATTGCTAATGATGTTGAAAATCTGGTCAATTCTAGTTTTTCAATAACTCCATTACATCATTTCTCCTGCTAGGGTAATAATTCAGGTCTTTATCATTTTACCTGGAATTCTGCAATTGCCTCTTAACTACTCCCTTCCAACTCCATTTTTAATCTCCCCCCTCATCAATTCATAATTTCTGTGAAAACAGAAAGCAAAATACCAAGCATAATTAGACAAATATCTGTATTTCATTATCAGAATTGTCATATTGTATCAAGTCTTTTATAAAATTATATTACAGTTCTAGATAACATCCTCTTCATTCACTGACTCCTCTTTCCATTCCCCTTCCAGCTCCTCCCCTGGCGGTCACCACCATGAGTTTGGAGTGTATGGTAGATCATGTTATTTGTTCCCAATAATTTATTGCCTCCTTACCCTGTTATGCTTCCCTGAAGGCAGAACACACTTCCCCAAAGACTTTGGGCTTGGTCCTGTGACTTTCTTTGGCCAAAGGAAAATGAAGCATGCCAGATCTGATCTTGCTTTAAATGTACTCTCATTATTTAATATTGCCCTTCTTGAATTCTTGTCCTCTGCCATGGTTACAGCAGATTCCAGATAGGAGCTGCTCCTCCAGCTGGGGTAGCAGAGTGAGAAGCCACATGATGCTGAGCCCAGCTGAGCCCAGCTAAACCCACCAGAGTCCAACAGAGCCTGACAGAGTTGAAGAGGGACATTGAGAAACAACAGCCTTCCTGTAATGTGAATAAAAGCAAATGTTGTTATTGTAACCCATTAAGATCCCGGAGCTATTTGTTACACAGCAAAGGCTGACTAAGTCAAAATATTTATGTATGTGAAGGCTTACAAAATGTACACAAATATTTCTTGTAATGGTTAATATTAAATGTCAACTTGATTGGATTGAAAGATGCAAAGTATTGTTTCTGGTGTATCTGGGTGTTTATGGGTGTTGCCAGAAAATATTAACATTTGAGTCAGTGGACTGGGAGAGGAAGACCCACTCTCAGGAAGACCCACCCACAATGTTGGTGGGCACCATCCAATCAGCTGCCAGGGTGGCTAGAAAAAGTAGGCAGAAGAAGGTGGTAGAAGCAGACGTGCTGAGTCTTTCTTGCCTTCATCTTTCTCCCGTGCTGGATGCTTCCTGCCCTCGGACGGCAGACTCCAAGTTCTCTGGCTTTTGGACTCTTGGTCTTACACCAGTGGTTGGTGAGGGGCTTTCGGGACTTTGGCCACAGACTGAAGGCTGCACTGTTGGCTTCCCTACTTTTGAGGTTTTGAGACTTGGACTGAGACGCTACTGGCTTCCTTGCTCCTTAACTTGCAGACAGCCTATTGTGGGACTTCATCTTGTGACTGTGCAAGTCAATTCTCCTTAATAAATAAATTCCTTTTTATATATACATATATCCTACTAGTTCTGTCCCTCTAGAGAATACATATGTATGGTGTTTATTTTGTATATTTTGATATACATATGTGTAACCATAAGCAATATATAGTTTTGCTCAATGGGTGTTCCAAGTCTACCCAAATAATTGCATTCTCTACATCTTGATTTTTTACACTGGAGATTTGTTTGGGGTATCTACCCATGTGGATGTGTACAGATCTAGTTCATTCCCTTTAAGAGCTGGCAGATAAATCTTTCTAAATTATGTCTCTTCTCTGCCTTAAAGGACTTACAGCTGAAGGTAGTCACCAACAGCACTCCAGGCACCTGGGGAAACAAGCCCTTTCTGAAAGAGGATCTCAATGGAGTATCACAGTGGCCCCCACAGTTCACCTTTGTGCACTTGAATCTCGTCTTCATATACATTCTGGAAGCAGCTTCTTCTGCCTCTTGGGGGGAACCTAGAAGCAGTGTATCAGTAAGATAAGTTTGAGCCCCTGATGCTGCAACTGGTCTTAAAATCAGAATTGATATTTATAATCTCTCTCCTCTACCATCCATCCTCAATTCCTCTCACCCTCAGCCAGAACCTCTGCAGATCTTGATGGTTAAGCTGGTGGAGTGACCCAGACTTATATCCCTGAGGGGTCTGTGCCCTGGTCACCATGCCCTTCTGAGGTTGGGCTTTCTGCACTCGTGCTCTTATTGTCAAAATGGTGCATGTACCAAGAGGGACCCAAGTGGATCACCTGGGTGCCAAACATACTCCTCCTTGACTCCATTGCATGACAAAAGCCCAAGTCAGTTTTGCATAGAAAGAAACAAGTGATAACCAGGAAGCTAATACTAGACCCTTTCCTGACTTCACCTTCAGGTCACCAGTCTATTAATTTAATTTCCTTTCCATTGTCCAAACTGGGTTTATTTATTTTTTTTATTTTTAATTTTTGTGGTTATATAGTAGGTATATAAATTTAAGGGGTACATGAGATGTTTTGATGCAGGCATGCAATGTGTAATAATCACATCATGGAGAATGGGGCATCCATTCCCTCAAGCATTTATCTTTTGTGTTACAATCCAGTTATACTCTCTTAGTTATTTTAAAACGTACAATTAAATTATTATTATTGACTATAGTCACACTGTTGTGCTATCAAATAGTAGGTCTTATTCATTATTTCTATTTTTTTGTACCCATTAACCATTCCCACCTCCCCCTACTCCCCTACTAACCTCCCCAGCCTCTGGTAACCATCCTCTACTATCTCCATGAATTCAATTGTTTTGATTTGTAGATTCCACAAATAAATGAGAATATACAATGTTTATCTTTCTGTGCCTGGCTTATTTCACTTAACATAATGACCTCCACTTCCACCCATGTTCTTTCAAATGACTGGATCTCATTCTTTTTTGTGACTGAATAGTACTTCATTGTGTATATGTACAACATTTTCTTTATCAATTCATGTGTTGATGGACACTTAGGTTGCTTCCAAATCTTGGCTACTGTGACAATGCTGCAATAAACATGGGAATACAAATATCTCTTCAATATACTTATGTCCTTTCTTTTGGGTATATACCCAACAATGAGATTGATGGATCATATGGCAGCTCTATTTTTAGTTTTTTGAAGAATCTCCAAATTGTTCTCCTTAGTAGTTTTACTAATTTACATTTCCATCAACAGCGTACAAGGGTTCCCTTTTCTCCACATCCTCACCAGCATTTGTTATTGCCTGTCTTTTGGATATAAGCTTTTTACTGGGATGAGATGGTATTTCATTGTAGTTTTGATTTACGTTTCTCTGCTGATCAATGATGTTGAGTACCTTTTCATATGCCTATTTGCGATTTGTATGTCTTTTTTGGCGAAATGTCTATTCAAATCTTTTGTCCATTTTTTGATCAAATTATTAGATTTTTTCCTAAAGAGTTGTTTGAGCTCCTTATAGATTCCATTTTGTTTGTTTGTTTGTTTTGTTTTTTTGAGATGAAATCTCACTCTGTCACCCAGGCTGCAGTGCGGTGGCACAATCTTGGCTCACTGCAACTCTGCCTCTTGGGTTCAAGAGATTCTCCTGCCTCAGCCTCCTGAGTAGCTGGGACTACAGGCACGTGCCACCACGCCTGGCTAATTTTTGTATTTTCAGTAGAGACAGGTTTTCACAACGTTGCCCAGGCTGGTCTCGAACTCCAGACCTCAGGCAATCCACCCGCCTCGGCCTCCCAAAGTGCTGGGATTACAGATGTGAGTCACCGCACCCAGATAGATTCTGGTTATCAATCCTTTGTCAGAGGGGTTGTTTGCAAATATTTTCTTCTATTCTTGTGGGCTGTCTGTTCACTTTGTTGATTGTTTCCCTTGCTGTGCAGAAACTTAAAATTGATGTTATCCCATTTGTTCATTTTTGCTTTGGTTACCTGTGCGTGAAATTTTTGCCCACACCAATGTCCTGGAGAGTTTCCCCAATGTTTACTTGTAGTAGTTTCATAGTTTGAAGTCTTAGATTTAAGTCTTTAATTCATTTTGATTTGATTTTTTTATATGGTGGCAGGTAGGGGTCTGGTTTCATTCTTCTGTATATGAATATCCAGTTTTCCTAGCACAGTTTATTGAAGAGATTGTCTTTTCCCCAGTGCATGTTCTTGACACCTTTGTTGAAAATGAGTTCACTATATGTGTGTGGATTTGTTTCTGGGTTCTCTATTATGTTCCAATGGTTTTTGTATCTGTTTTTATGCCAGTGCCAGGCTGTTTTGGTTACTATAGCTCTGTAGTATAATTTAAAGTCAGTAATGTGATTCTTCCAGTTTTGTTCTTTTTGTTTAGGATAGCTTTGGCTATTCTGGGTCTTTTGTGTTCCATATACATTTTAGGATTATTTTTTCTATTTCTGTGAAAAATGTCATTGGTATTTTGATTGGGATTTCATTAAATCTGTAGATTGCTTTGGACAGTATGGACATTTTAACAATATTGATTCTTCCAGACTACTAACATGGAACATCTTTCCATTTTTGAGTTTCCTTTTCAATTTCTTTCATCATTGTTTTATAGTTTTTGTTATAGAGATTCTTTTCTTCTTTGGTTAAGTTAATTCATAGATGTTTAATTTTATCTGTGGCTATCATAAATGGGATTTCTTTTTCAGATTGTTGATTGTTGACATATAGAAATGCTACTGATTTGTATGTTAATTTTGTATCCTGCAACTTTGCTGAATTTGTTTATCAACTCTAATAGGTTTTTTTTTCATTGAGTCTTTAGTTTTTTCCAAGTATAAGATCATATCACCTACTAACAAGGATACTTTGACTTATTCCTTTCCAATTTAGATGCCATTTATTTATTCTCTTGTCTGATTGTTCTAGGCAGGACTTTAAACTCTAGGCTTATTTTAAAAGCCTAAATTGTATGTATATGTGTATAAAAGGATATATGTGTGTATGTGTATATATCAGAAGCTATAGGAAAATAGGACTACCATAGAAAGCACCCAGAATCCCGCCAACCAGAGGAAAATACTATTAACCTTTTAATCTTTCTTTGCCATCTCTTTCTCGATATGTTTCTTTGATTTTTCTAAAACAAAAACTACATATATGTATATATAATTGAGTGTCTTACCTCTTTTTTTTTAAAAAAAAGAAGAAACCCTTAATAATATATTGTGAATATTTCCCAACTTCTTTTCAGTATATTTAAAGAAGGGCAAAGGAATTAGGCTAATTGTGATTCTTTCTAGATAGCATTCCTCAACGTTATTTTATGGTAAAAACTGTTGACTTTGAATAAAAAAAAAACCCAAAGTGATTTATCTTTAGAAGGCAAAAAGCAGCATATATAATGCAGGGCATATGTAATAACAACAACCCCAATAATAATAAGCACATTATCTCTTATAACTCTGCAGCCATATTATGAGTTCAGGGTATATTGTTACTGTTAATACAGATGAGGAAGTTAAGGCTTAGAGAGATTAAAGCACTTGTCAGCACCACACAACTAAAACCTAGAACTGAAGTTCAAATCTAGGTTTCCTGATCTCAAATTCCACACTCATAACTAGTACAAATAGTTAAGGCAAGTTAGCTGGGGTGATGAAAGCCCAGGAGACACAGTGTTCAGTGAAGGAAAGAAGTCTGGCAGAGCGGGTGTATCACAGCATCTAACAAAGACAGCAACAGGCCAGAGCTGTTAGCTGAGGCTAGGAATCGGCATTCAGAAGGCTTGCCTGAGGTCACAAGAATTCTGGCCTGCAGGTGGGTGAAAGAGGATGTGGCAGTCTTGAGGCATAGGAGCTGGAGCTCCAGGGGGAAGTCACAGGAAAGCACATCAGGAGGCAGTAGGAAAGGCAGCCCCAGGTTGGGATAGATGAATCCCAGGTCCTGAGGGAGGAGGGTGGAGGAAGTTGCTTGGGGAGGAAGGAAGATAGGAGCCAGAAGTTGGGCAGCTGGAATTCTTTTCCCTTCCAATCACCCACTCTTGGATTACCCTGCCTGACTTGGATAAGGGGAGGGAGGCTTGTTAAAAAGAGGGGAGATAAACAGTTTGTACGAAACAAAATAGATTTCACACATTCACCAAAAGATGTACAAGAAGGTTCCTAGCAGCACTATTCAAAATCGACTGAAACTGGAAACAACACAAATGTCCATCCAATGTGATAGATAAATCAACTGTGGTCTAATCACACAATGGCATTGACATGGTTTGGCTCTGAGTCCCCACATAAATCTCACCTTGAATTGTAATAATCCCCACATGTCAAGGGCGGGGCCAGGTGGAGATAATGGAATCATGGAGGCCGTTTCCCCCATACTGTTCTCTTGAGATTCAGTAAGTCTCACGAGATCTGATGATTTTATAAATGGGAGTTCTCCTGCACGAGGCCTCTTGCCTGCCACCATGTAAGATGTGATTTTGCTCCTCATTCACCTTCTGCCATGACCGTGAGGCCTCCCCAGCCATGTGGAACTGTGAGTCCATTAAACCTCTTTCTTTTATAAATTACTCAGTCTTGGGCATGTCTTTATTAGAAACATGAGAACAGACTAATGCAGGCATACGGCACAGCAATGAGAGTGAACAAACTACAACTATATGTGATAAAATGGATGAATCTCATAAATATGATGTTGGGTGAAAACAGACGCAAAACCATAGGTTCTGTAAAATTCCATTCACGTGAAGTACAGAAACAGTCAAGACTATTCAATGCCCTTAAAAGTAAGGTTATGTATGCTTGGAGGTGGGAGAGTAGTGACTAGAAAGCATCATGGCTATAGGGTTTCTAGGGCACTCATAATGTTCTTGTTTTTTAAAAAATCAGGGTGCAGGTTTCATTTGTGCATTCTAACTATTTCATCTAAACTTGAACAGGAATTTATTAGATTACAAACAAAAGAAGTAAGAGAAAGGAAAGAAATAAACAAGAGCAGCAACAGCAACAGAATAATCTAAACCATTATGATGAAAAGGTTTATTTCACTCAGCTTCCATTTATGAGTAGAACATAGCACATTTTTGGCCACTTAGTTTCTACGTGATTACCCCCAATACTGTCCTACCCCTGTCATCACAGGAAAATTGCAAGGGAGAAGTTTCATGCTGTCAAATAATTTAAAATTGCTCCAACCCACTTTGGAAGTTTCAGAGATGGGCTGTAGGGCATGGTTCTAAGTGGCTTTGAAGTCTTATTGCATTATTTCTATGTAATGCAAATTGACAAGGTCTCTAAATTAGGCAACTAACTAGAAAATGGGGTCTGAAAGCCAGTTTTATTAGCAGCCAGGAATCTGCTCTCAAAGACTTATCTGTTTGTGGCCAGGGCATGGGTGGGGAATATATTTTCCATGCAGGAAATCAGGATGATAGTAGCAATGGGGAGGAAAAGATCCAATGTAGAAGCCAGGGAATAGATATGGGTGTTGCACATTTTTCTAGATTTTATTTGACAAATATTTATATAGAACTTTCTATGTGCCAAGCACTGTCTAAGTACTCACTGTATGAAGGATTGATTTAATTCCTTACAGCAAACCTACAATGTGGGTGCTATTATCATCCTCACTTTAAAGTTGAGGAGACTGGAGCACAGAGAGGTTAAATACACATGAAAGGCTACACAGCTGTTCAGTGGCAGAGCCAGAGTTCAAATTCAGATTGTCAGGTTCCTGAGTCCTTGCTCTTAACACTAAGCTATGATGCTGCTTCTCACCAAAATGGCAGCATGACTCCCAGGCTGAGGACCTTGGCTTTTCTCACTGCATGCTGTGATGGAGAGATTGCCAAGAAGACTTTCCCCTCCCCGTCTGTCCCTGCCCCCAACTCAGCTTCTGTAAGGCACTATTGCTAATGTCTGAACTTCCACCATTGAAATTTATTCTTTTGGGTTAAGTGCCCTGCTTTCCCAACATTTCTTATAAAAGTGTGGACACCTTCGCAAGATGTCTGTGAACCAATGTCTGAGTGTAAGACTTCACCCAGTGTATTAGTCTGTTCTCATGCTGCTAAAAAAAGACATACCTGAGACTGCATAATTTATAAAGAAAAAGAGGTTTAAAAGACTCACAGTAACAGTTCCACATGGCTGGGGAGGCCTCACAATCATGGTGGAAGACAAAGGAAGAGCAAAGGGACGTCTTACATGGTGGCAGACAAGAGAGCTTGTGTGCAAGGGAGCTGCCCTTTATAAACCATCGGATCTTGTGAGAATTATTCACTATCATGAGAACAGCACAGGGAAGACTTGCCACCATAATTCAATGACCTTTCAATGGGTCCCTCCCATGACATGCAGGGATTATGGGAGCTACAATTCAAGATGAGATTTGGGTGGGGACACGGCCAAACCATATCATCCAGCTTTCTGGGAAGGGAAGAATGCAAGCATGGAGGACTCAGGAGGGCAGGAAGATACCCAAGTTGGTGGTGGGCCTGAAGGCCAATTTCACTGACTTTACTGTTCTGTCAGTCACTTGCTGGCTAAGGCACATTTCTGGATCCATCCATTCATTGAGTCCTTGATAGATGCAAGACCTCGGTGTCGGTGTCCTTAGGGATATAATGGATTTGTAATCTCCAATAGCCCTTATATATTATCCATTTTAATTCATAAATCTTTTCCCAACCTATCCTCCAAAGTCACTATTATTATTCCCAATTATCCATGAAGAAAGTTATGTGCAGAAAGCTTTTGTGAATTGCCCAGGGTCACGCAATTTGTGAGTGACAGTCCTGGGATGAGGACCCATGTCTTCAATGAATCTCAGTAGAATAGCAGGAAAAACAAAGGGGACTCATTCAGCAGGTGCTTATTTGTTTGTTTTCAATATTGTAGTAAAATATATATAACATAAAATTTACCATATTAAACTTTTTTTTTTTTTGAGACAGAGCTTGCTCTGTCACCCAGGCTGGAGTGCAGTGGCACAATCTTGGCTCACTGCAACCTCTGCCTCCTGAGTTCAAGTGATTCTCCTGCCTCAGCCTCCTGAGTAGCTGGGACTGCAAGTGCCCACCACCACAACTGGGTAACTTTTGTATTTTTAGTAGAGACGGGGTTTCACGATATTGGCCAGGCTGGTCTCAAACTCCTGACCTTGTGATTTGCCCTCCTTGGCCTCCCAAAGTGCTGGGATTACAGGCGTGAGCCACCACACCCGGCACTTAACCATTTTTAAGTGTGGAGTTTAGTAGTGTTGAGTACATTTACACTGTTATACAACCAACCTCCAGAATTCTTTTCATCTTGCAGAACTGAAACTCTATATGCATTAAACAAGAACTCACCCATTCTCCCCTTCCCTAAGTCCCTGGCAATCATCCTTCTACTTTCTGTCTTTATGATTTCAACTATTCTAGGTACCTTATAGAAGTGGAATTATAAAGTACAGTATTTGTATTTTTGTGACTGGTTTATTTCACTTAGTATATTATCCCCCAGGTTCATCCATATTGTAGTGTATACCAGAATTGTCTTTCTTTTTAAGGCTGAATAATATTCCACTGTATGGATATACCACATTTTGTTTATTCATTCATCTGTCAATGGTCACTTGGGTTCCTTTACCTTTTGGCTACTGTGAATAATGATGCTATGAACATGGGTGTGCAAATGTCTCTTCAAGACCCTGCTTTCTACTCTTTTGGTCAACAAGTGCTTTTAAGATTAGATAATAATGTCAAAATTACTAAGCCTATGATGAAAAAAACCTCAAAGAAAGTGTTGTGAAAGCTCAGACTAGTCTAATCGGTATGTGATTGAGCCTTTAGGGCTCAGACCATGAGGCCCACAGGGAAATGGTCAGAGCGGGTGCCTTCCTTCTTCTTTGCTGGTTGCCCATCCTCCAGCAGCGCAATCTCATCCTTGGACTTTCTCCTCCTTGTGGCAGAACTGGGCAGTGTTTCTACCCCCCAGCTCACCCTTTTCTGTGAGCAACTTGTCCATCTGAAGATGGGGCTCTGGACTCCAAGAGCTGCCCTGGGCTTCTTGACTCAGCCTGGTACCAAGGACCAATTCTTAATTATCTGTTTTCAGTCCCAACTTGCTGACCCATCAAGTCCAGCCTGACCCCCAGCCGCAGCACACAGTCGAGGTCACAGCAAGTGACATTCCTTCCGTAAAACACCACAGAGCTCGGGCTCCACATTAGCTGTGCCAAAGGGCCACTATCCAAGTGAACAACATTACAGTAGGAAAGAATTGTGGAGAAGACTTGAAATTGCAAGAGGGAGAGAAAGAAAATAATGACTTCACCTAGCCCCATAGTATGTGTAGTGGGCAAATTTTAAGACTCCCGTTAGATACACTGTGCCCCAAACACAAGCTGGTATGAGCCAAAGTCATGCTTCCCACTCCTGCGTTGATTTGGTAGGGAAGAGCATGTCTTTTTCATTATCACAGATGTAATGGAGAAGCTCAGATTGTCAAGGAGCAGGCTGGCCACAGTAAGGATGGAGAGGGAGGAATGTGGATGGCTCAGGTAAATCCAGAGAGAACTCCAAGCACACACTCCGCTGAGAACCAGACATGTCTTTGTGACTCTATGAATGTCTTCTGCTCATCTGTGTGGGATGCATCAGGGCAGCCTAGCTTGGACGTAGACTCATAGAGCACTGGGATCATAACTATTTGCCTTAGTTAATCTTGGGCAGATTGATTTTCTCATCTTATCTCATGACAAGATCCATCTTTGTAGGATCTCAGCATGGCAAATTGTCTCCAAAAGGATATGGTCTATAGAGCGTGTTCCTTTTGGTTCAGAAGTCCCAAGCAATCACTTTTAGTGGATGTATTGATCAAGGCCTGGTCTTTGATGTTCAAAGGCTGCAGAACTTAGGCCGGTGTTCCACATTTCCTTTCCTTCCAGCTTTTTTAATGCCTCTGAAGTGGACCATCAAGACTTCTCTACAGGCAAAGGAAAGTTTCCAACAATGCCAAGGAACCAGGGAAGGGGCATTGTCTAGTTACAGATCAAAGGAGTGGGGCGGTCTAAGGCTTCATCCCTCATGAGAGCAGCTGGGCACTGGGCCCTCCGCCCATCTCTTCATCTCTTGAAATGGTCATTTCTGCCGTGGAAATACAGTTCTTTGGAAGCAGCCGATGAAATAATGAGCTGGGGAAACATTGTTCCAAATGCCATCTGTGCCATAGGAATGGGACCATGACCCCCTTCTGTGAAATTGCTGGGGTTGTTTCCCAGCCCCCCGTGTCTGTGGCTCTCATTAGTGTTCTAATGGAACACTCAGAGATGGCTGGCAGTCGGGTCCAGAATGTGTGTTATCGACATCTCTTCTCAAGCCAAACAAAAGTCACACTCAGGTCAAAGGGAGACGGGGCTGCTGCAGAAAGAGAGATATAAATAAAAAGCCAAAATAGATACTTTGAGAAAGGGCACTTTATTTTTAGGAAAGAAAAGGAATTAGGAGAAGATAATGGTTGCCCTGGCAATGAGAGAGCACTGCATATATTCTATAGGCCCAGCTTTAAATGTAATGCGGGAAACAAAACGGATTCCCTGGTGACTTTCTGAGAAAATACAGATGGAAATAAAAAGCCTGCTCAGAAACAATATCTCACATTAAGTCCAACTGCCATTTCACTACTGTTTTATAGGCTTCCCACTCCACGGCCCTGTATTAATTTAAAAACCCATTTTCATGTCTGGCACAAAATCCACTTTAAATGAGAGTCTCCATTTCATTTTTTTCCACTGTTCCTAACTGTGCTTTAAAAATTGAACTGGGAGGCCAGTCACGGTGGCTCACAACTGTAATCCTAGCACTTTGGGAGGCCAAGGCGGGCAGATCACGAGGACAGGAGATCGAGACCATCCTGGCTAACACAGTGAAACCCTGTCTCTACTAAAAATACAAAAAAAAAAAAAAAAAAAAAAAATTAGCCAGGCATGGTAGTGCACGCCTGTAGTCTCAGCTACTCGGGAGGCTGAGGCAGGAGAATTGCTTGAACTTGGGAGGCGGAGCTTGCAGTGAGCCGAGATGGTGTCACTGCACTCCGGCCTGGGTGACAGAGCAAGACTCCATCTCAAAAAAATTGAACCAGGAGCAGCAGACCTAGAAGCATGGCTTGGAATACTGTAATTCTCAGCTGAAAGAGGGTGATAGTGTCGGCAGCTTCTCTAAGCCCTTGATTTTACCCAGGAGGACCAGACAAATTGGTTGCTGACATTTAAACATCTGGAGAATGCACACAAAAATTCACATTTCTGTTTTTTCTTGAAAATGTAGAAAACCTGACCATCTTGGACCTTCCTTTCCACGTGGCAAAAATCAGCCCCAGTCCCCTCAAGTCCCCATAATATTCTTTTCTGTCCAATGCCCATCGTATTATTGCCTAGTCTCTATGGGCATTGGGGTTTGACAGGCTCATCTAGTTCCAGCTGAGGTCCTCTTTCTTGGCCAGTGCTTCTCAAACTTTATTCCATATCAGAGTTACCTGGAAGGCTTCTTAACACATAGATTGCTGGATCCCACCCTCAGAGTGTCTGCTTCTGTAAGTTGTTGGCAGGGACAGGGCTAGGGATTTGCATTTCTAGCAGTTCCAGGTGATTCTCATGCTCCTGGTCTAGGGACCACACTCAGAACCACTGCCCTGGATTCATGGTAACTCTGCTTCTGTCAGTAAAGAGCTCTTGATGATTTTCCTCAAAGAAATTTATATCAAGTTTAATGAAGTGGCAAAAAATTTTTATCCATTGCAATGCATCAGAGGAAGAGAGCCATATTTTTGGGGAAAAGGGAGCATGATGCTCTAGCTGGAAAGATGACAGCAAGACTGCCTTGCTGAGACAGGCAAGAAAGGAGAAAGGAAAGGAGGGAAGAGAGAGACAGCAGGGAAAGGAGGTCTTAGTGTGAAGTCAGTGGGAGGAGGGGTCCTTGCCTGTGACCCCCATTTTTGTGACCCTGAAAATGCATGGTGTGAGTGGAATGTGTATGTGTGTCAATGGTGACAAAGTCTTGGACTGAAGTGGTGAAACATGAGCCTTCATACATGTCTGTGGGAGCCAGAGAGGAAGGTCACCATGGCAACCAAACCCATGAGATCTGTACATGCCTCGGTGAAGGCTTTGGACTTTCTCAAGCCATGAAATTGAGAGATTTGAGCCAGGTCCCCTCCATCTCAGAAGAGCAGGGAGGCCCCAGCTGAATTCTGGGTTCCATAAGAAAGATTTCATCTGAATAAAGTACATAATTCATTTTGCCCATTCTAATCATCAAAGTGGTGTATAGCAAAGAATCTGAGATTCTCCTCAATGGGAGATAACACCCTGGACTGTCTCAATTCCAGGCAAAAGCAACAGCACTTGATGTTTTTGATAATCTATGCAGGCTTAGAGACGAAAAACTCTTTGTTAGTCTTTTCTTGAAATACCAGTGATAGCTCTCGGATGTCCATTATTTCCTTTAGAGGTCTTTGGAGATCTGGAGATGGCTGGGAATGCCTCCCGGGCTGGTGTCCGGCCACGCACAGGCAGGTTGGGGGTGGTCTTGAGGGCCATGTTGCAGGCCTGGTCCAGAGATATTCACAGGGAGATTTAAATTTTCTGTTTCCAACATGCCTTATTATTATTCAGTATATACAATTACATAATGAAAGCATTATGTAGAAGGTAACATGTTATTTGGCTCTCTTTCCTTTATTGAGCACCTATCATGTGCCCAACATGTTATGTGCACTTTTTAGTTTAATATTCACCACTGTTCTGAAAAGTCAGAATTTTATCCCCATTTTACAGAAAGAAAAATATGCTTCAAGAGTTTAATAACTTTCCA
This sequence comes from Homo sapiens, assembly GCF_000001405.40. Classification (NCBI taxonomy): domain Eukaryota; kingdom Metazoa; phylum Chordata; class Mammalia; order Primates; family Hominidae; genus Homo; species Homo sapiens. The sequence continues at coordinate 88,934,148 of NC_000014.9, forward strand.
AATGTTATTCAGCCAGTGAGTGGTGGTGCCAGGATTTGAGCCCAGACCTGTCCAACTCTAAAGTCCCTGTTGTTTTCTTCTGACCACCCCACCGCTTGCTGCTTCTCAAATGAAAGAGATTGCCTTTATTGTCTATCCCTATAGCTTTCGAGTATGACAAGCAATATTCTGGCTCTCTTACATTTGTTCAATGTTTAAAACCTATCCCTTTAGCTCCAAGAAAAGCATAAAAGAAGAATTTGTACTGCATTCCTTTGCATGATAATATTGCATTCCTGAGCATCAACTCTACAGGAGCCTTCTCTGTGATGGAAGTACAGTGTTTGAAGATGGCTGCACGTTCCCAGCCCTCTATGATTTTTCAGTGAGCAGTTTCAGCTGGATATAGAATTGCAAGTAAGAAAGTTCCAGTTGGCTTCCCAGAAAATTTAATCTCTCAATTTTCCTTAGTTGTTTGGCATGCCAGGATGAGATTCAAATGAGATTCTATAAAAATGACGAGTTTTTCCTGCTTCCTTCTGTCATTAGCCCCTCTCACAGCTGGGCTTCGTTTCTGTGACCATAAACTAGCTCATGCTCTCAACACAGGAGTAGCTACAAACTGGGAAATGGAACTAAGCCCAATATAGCAGCCAAACCCTCCCAGTTCTGCTTTGCTCTGTCTTGGTGCCATTTTGTTTGAAGAAAAAGGGGGAACACATCACTTTAGAAGGCAGCTGTTCATTTTTCCTGTAGGTAAACGCAGAAGAAGGCGCGGAGGAGAAGAAACCTCACCTTGTTGTGAGGTTTCTGTGGACAAGGACCTCTGTCACTGGGCTTTCTGCTAACCACAACATCCAACTGATCAGCACTCCTGCCTATCTAAAATGAACTATTGATAGAACTATTGACCCCGAGGAAGACTTCAGAGTACCCTAAGGGTACTGGCCATCTGGCTTCCTTGCCAGTAGTCTCCCCAGACCTCGTCTCCACATCAAGGTCACTCTCCACTGCTGCTAAAATGATCCTTCTATAATGTGAGCAAGCCACACCCTGGCCTCAATTGTTCTTCATAAGGTCTTCTATGACCATATCCCTGCTGACTTTTCCGGTCTTGTACTAACTTGTCTTCCTGCCTCCACGTGCCTCCATGTGCCTCCACGTGCTATGGAGAACCTAAGTTGGATCATGTCACTCCCCTGATCAATTCCCCCTCCCCGTCTTGTCCCATTGCATGCAAAATGAAATCCCAGGTCTGTACACTGGGCCAGGAGATCCTTTGCAATCAGCCTCTCACTGTCTCTCTACTCTCATTCCTTACTGTGCCTTCTCCTCTCCAGCCACTCTGGCTTTCTCTTCCTCTTTCTCTCTCCCTCCCTCCCCTCCAGCCACTCTGGTTTGAGCACTGTTTCAAGCCTACCTCAAGGCCTTTGCACTTCTTCCCTCTACCTGTGTCACTCTTTCCCTAGATCCACAGGGCTCACACTCCCTCAACCCCTTGACCCAGGTTATGGGCCAAATGTCAGAGAGGCTGTCTTTATGAAAATAGCAGCTCTTGTCACTCTAATCCTTTTCATCTTGCTTTAGAATTTTATTTTTTTCTACTCCTGTACAAAAATCCAGTCACCATGAAGGCAATATCCCTTGAATGGAGACTCCTGTGTGCCCCATAGTAGGTGCACACCTAACACTTTTTCAATGAATGAATCTCCTCCCATACCACCCTCAGTACTACACACCCCATACCACCCTCAGTACTATACACCCCATACCACCCTCAGTACGACACACCCCATACCACCCTCAGTACTACACACCCCCTACCACCCTCAGTACTACACACTCCATACCACCCTCAGTACTACACACCCCATACCACCCTCAGTACTACACACCCCATACCACCCTCAGTACTACACACTCCCTACCACCCTCAGTACTACACACTCCATACCACCCTCAGTACTACACACTGTAGTTGGTCCAGAGTACTTACAAATCCTCAAACTTGTTAGGTAGCTTCACACCTCTGGGCTTAAAAAATGTTTTTTTAATTGAATAACAACTTTAATAAAGTAAACAAATATTAATTGTATAGCTTGATAAATATATATATTATATATATATAATATAGACACCTGATTTATGACAGAAGCCCCAGGGCAATTCAGTAGCGAAGGAACAGTCTTTTCTATAGTTGTTGCTGGGTCAGTGGGATATCAGTTGGGGCAAAAAATGAACTTTTATTCCTGCCTCCACTATACATAAACATTAATTCATGGTAGATTATAGAACTAAATGTGAAAATAAAAACATTTAAGTATGCAGAAAAAGAAAGTAAGAAAATGTCTCCATGACCTTGGGGTAAGCAAAGATTGATTGATTGATTGATTAACTGATTAACTGATTAGATTGATTTAAGAAATGGGGTCTTGCACTGTTGCCCAAGCTGGAGTACAGTGGCACAATATAGCTCACTGTAGCCTTGAACTCCTGGGCTTAAGCAATCCTCCTGCCACAGCTTCCTAAGTAAGGACTACAGCCCATGTCATCACTTCTGGCTAATTTAAAATATTTATTTAAAGATGGGGTCTTGCTATGTTGCCCAGGCTAGTCTCAAACTTCTTGTCTCAAGGGATCCTTCCATTTTGGGCACCCAAAATGCTGGGATTATAGACCGGAGACACCACACCTGGCCCAGTTATTCTTAAACAAAACATTAAACACTAACTTTTTAAAAATTGATGAATTTAATTAAAATAAAACACTTTGGGGCTGGGTACAGTGGCTCATGCCTATAATCCCAGCACTTTGGGAGTCCAAGGGGGGGCAGATCACTTGAGGTCAGGAGTTCAAGACCAGCCTGGCAAACATGGTGAAACCCTGTCTCTACTTAAAAAATACAAAAATTAGCCAGGTGTGGTGGACACACCTCTAGTCCCAGATACTCGGGAGGCTGAGGCAGGAGCATTGCTTGAACCTGGATGGCGGAGGTTGCAGTGAGTTGAGATGGTGCCACTGCACTCCAGCCTGGGTGACAGAGCAAGACTTTGTCTTAAAAACAAACAAACAAACAAACAAATAAATGAAAAACATTGAAAGAGGGAAAAAGACAAGCTGTTGACTGGAAAAGATACATATACTCAACAAAAGTCTTGTATTCAGACTGTAAATCAAGAAGAAATAGACAAAATGGGCAAAAGAGTTGAACTGGCACTTTAGAAAGAATATCAAAATGCTCAATAAATATGTAAAAAAAAATACTTAACATCATGTAAATTAAACTCACAATGAAATAACTACTACCATGACGAGATACCACTTTTAAGTAGCTAACATTTCCAGGACCAAAAACATCAAATATGAACTAGAATGTTTCAGAACAACTGGAACTTCCTTTTGTTACTGGTAGGACTGTAAACTGGAGCAACGAATTTGGAAAAATTTTGCCGGTACCTACTACACCTGAACATATATATATGTATGTCATGTTAAACCTCTGTGCTTTCACCAAATGCTTTTCCATCTGCATATATACCTTCTTGGTCCATGTCTACTGGTTAAGCCCTTTTCACCGTTCAAGACTTCTCCTAAATATCATCATGCCTGTGAAGCCCTTCCTGGCCTCACCACCCACTTCGCTCTCATGGAGGCCTTACTGCCCTAATGACCTCTGCATCACACACTTGCTGTTGTTGCAAAGGTGTCATGACCCCTTGGCTATGTGTTTGCCTGGGAGCATCTTGGCGGCAGGGTCTGGGCCTTATTCATCTTTGTGCCAAGCACTGTGCCTACCACAGATGATCTGTGAATGTTTATTGAATGAGTCAAGTTGAGAGCTTCTGAATAACTAAAGAAAGGTCAAATTCTTTACAGCGTAACTTTAGAAGTAATCTGTACTGAGAGTTTCATTCTTTGAAAAACTGATATTCAATGTCCAGTATGTGGTATAACCCAAGTGTATTATAAGGATAACTCATAAACCAGTCATTTAGCTGATAAAAGGGAAGGTTTAGTTATGAATGGAGGAAAAAAATGAAAGAAACTAAGAGAAAAGCATTTAAATGAGAATATTTCTTTTTTCTTTTCTTTTTTTTTTTTTTTTTTGAGACAGAGTCTCGCTCTCTCACCCAGGCTGGAGTGCAGTGGTGAGATCTTGGCTCGCTGCAACTTCCATCTCCCGTGTTCAAGCGATTCTCCTGCCTCAGCCTCCCATGTAACAGGCGCCCACCAACACGCCCAGCTAATTCTTGTATTTTCAGTGGAGACAGGGTTTTGCCATGTTGGCCAGGCTGGTCTTGAACTCCTGACCTCAGGTGATCTGCCCGCCTTGGCCTCCCAAAGTTCTGGGATTACAGGCATGAGCCATTGCATCCGGCCCTGAACCAGAATATTTCTAAGGACATTAAATAGGGAGAATCTACCCAGCAATATATCCTTTAATGTCTTAAATTCCTTCTATCAGAGTCACAGTTTCTAGGGAGACATTTGTATAGGGTACCTGCTAAAAGTGTAAAATTTGGAATTCGGATGTGATTTCAAATTCCCTATATGCCAATTATTTGAGAATCTACCCAGTAATATATGCATTAATGTCTTAAATTCCTTGTGTTGGAGTCACAATTTCTAGGGAGACATTCATATAGTGTACCTTCTAAAAAGATGGAATTTAGAATTCAGATCTGATTCCAAATTCTCTATATGCCAATTACGTGACCTAATGTAATATTAATTTGTCTCTGCCTCAGTTCCATCATCCATTAAATGGATTGTTGAAAGGTTTAAAGAAGAGAATGTATGTAAAGCACCCATAATACAGTGCTTGACATAGTAAGTGCCCCATAGGTGGTAAAATTTTGGAGGTGCTCCTTCCCCAGTGTTTCATTCATGATCTGCAAAGATGGCAAGTTGCACCAAGAATGCTTCTAGTAAGCTTATACAATTACTAATTGGTCTTCCTGTTGCAGTCATTTTAACTGAATCAAGGCAAGAGGGAATATTTATTCTTTTCATTTGTTAGTTCAGTGACAATATAATTACATGCTAAGAACGCTTTTTGCTTTGGGACAGAGACTGTTATATCTTAATGCTCATTTTTTTTTTTTGAGATGGAGTCTTGCTCTTGTCGCCCAGGCTGGAGTGCGATCTCTGCTCACTGCAACCTCCGCTTCCTGGGTTCAAGCGATTCTCCTGCCTCAGCCTCCTGAGTAGTTGGAATTATAGGCATGTGCCACCACGCCCAGCTAATTTTTGTATTTTTAGCAGAGACAGGGTTTCACCATGTTGGCCAGGCTGTTCTCAAACTCCTGACCTCAGGTGATCCCCTCACTCGGCCTCCCAAAGTGCTGGGATTACAGGCGTGAGCCACCGTGCCCGGCCCTAATGCTCATTCTTTCCGTCTTCCCTTTAGATTACAGCTTGTTCCCACATCCAAATAAGATTTGGCAGAGCACATGGCCATCTGGCTGGAGGCTACATTTCCCAGCCTCTCTTGCAATTGGATCTGGTTCTGTGATTATATTCTTTCCAATGGAGCTTGCTAGCTCCTCTCCTTGGCTGAAATGCTGATGTAATTTTGGTGGTGAACCAGCTTTGACTATGTGGAAGAGGAAAACACCCTGGGGTTCTAGGGAGATGGTCAAGCAACAAGATGGAAGGAACCTGGGTCTCTGAATGAATTAATGGAGCAAAGTTCCCTATTAATCCTAGATAGTGATTACAGAGAGAGATACATTGCTATCAGTTGGGTCAATGTGTTTTGAGGGTCTTTTGTCATAGCAGCTTAGCATCCACCTTTACTACTGCAAGCATCGTATCTATATATCTTTTTGTCCTTCGGGTGTGCTGTCCTCCGCCACCCCTGCCAGAACATTTTCCCTCTACCCTCTGCCTAATAGTCTTTTTTTTCTCTCCCTTCAGGTCTCAGACTAATGTCTCTTCCTTGGGGAAGCTTACCCTGGCCTCTCATCATGAGTTAATTGTCTTAATTTTGCTACCTAGCACCATTTTCTGCTTCCAAAGGAATGGCCTATTACAGTCGTAATTTTACATGTAATTGTGTTTCTTTGATTAATGCTTATCTCCCTCACTATATCATAAGCCCTGTGAGAAGAGGGACCATGTTTTCCTTTATTTACTAAAGTATCCAGAAAAGCTAGCACAGTAGAGAGCACACAATAGGTATTGACTAAATACCATCATTTTAAAAAACCATCAATGCACCCCCCTACCCCATAGTAATAAGTAATCCTTGTCACTGTTCCTCATTACTCTCTAGAATGGGTTAAGTGATCAAGAATTGAAGGGCAACTTGGCTTATCATGCTGTGGGAGGAGATTCTCTTTTGTCCCCTGACTAATCCTTAATTCTAAAAGCCAGTCCATCAGTGTGAAGCCAAGACTGGGGCTGCCAATTATATCTATTAGCATGTGAGGTGGCTGATAAAAGTCAGAGGATGGAATCGAGATTGACTCTGGCCACCCGTAGGAGTTCTGAATCACTGGATAGAATTCGGTAATTTACCCCCGTGGTGTGATTCTGCATCCAAGTCGACCATTTGCTAAATATCTGGCCATTGCAGCCTTGAATCACATTTACTTTCTGGGTTTAATGTCATTGAAACAAACCTCTATGGGTTTGAACTAAATTATATGGCTGCCAATCTCTAAATAAAAATATTTTCCTAGAGGTAAAACGTTGGCAGTTGTCTCTGCTAAATCAGATGGTGTGTTATCCCAGAAGAAAACTGTTTCAAGTCAAGGCCAACAAGGGAGTGACAGTGACTTCTGCAGAAAGTTGCATCTTCCTCCTGGGGCATTATGAAAGAAGAAGCTGCAAATTTGGGAGCTATAATATAATTTAGCTCAGCACTTGCCTACACATATTTTTAGAAGCATGGGGCTTCTATCTTCCCCATCCTGTTTTTGAATAACCTCACCACGTCTCTGGAGAACATGTTTAAACCAATTACCTTCCAAGTGGTCTGCCTCTGCAGAGATGGGTTATATTTATGAAAACAATTTTCATAGACTAAAAGCCTTTCTCTAGGATGTGCCAGAAAATAATGCCACAATATTGCTAGGAGAAGCTTCTAGAAATCAAAAGCACCTGAGTCATATTAAAAACTTTGAGCCTAAGAATCAGGTTGGTGCTTAAAGCCCAACCTGGCCCCTGCTTAAAGCCCATTTTCTGTATTATTCCTCAAGGGCTTCCTCAAGGAGACTCCTTTTATAACCTGAAACTCCTCAATGTTGCCTTCTTCATCATGCTTCTCAAATTGCTTTGGAAGTATGTGAAGTTTGTGAAAACCCAAATTTCATTTGCATTTAGGCCTTTGCATTGATACCTTTCTCACTGACATTTCCTAATTCCATGAGAAATTCCATGAGAATTATAGTCTGTGTGTGACTCAGGGTCAATTCCTTGAAGGTTTTTTATAGAATCAATACTCCAGAGAAGAACCTCAACAGAGTGGTGAGTAAATGGTGACAGACAGAGCTGGCTGTTTCCTTCAGTAACTAATGTGTAGGTATTACCTAGGTAACCTCTGTTTGTTCTTCCAGGCTTCCAATACCTATGTAAACAATTCCCTGTCTTAAATATCCTCTGTTAAAAATACCTAATATGGTTTCTGACTGACTATATATTGCATTTACCTGTAAAGCCATCTAAAATCCATTGCAAACACAAGGCAGGTTAAAACCAAATGAATAAGTAAATAACAAGTGACGGGACTTTTTGGGGGGTTCAAATCTCCCCTCACACTATGCAGAACCAGAAAGAACTAAAACTATGGTAACCATTGCACAGCATAAAGATGAATAGCAAAATTTATGCTAATATTCTCCAGTTTTAATTTATATTTACTTACAAGAACATTAAATAGCAAATAAAAGACACCATGACAATTTGAGAGAGAGAAAACATGGAATAAAGAAGCTTTATATTTAGCACAATTTTTTTTTTTTTGAGACGGGGTCTTACTCTGTCATCCAAGTTGGAGTGCAGTGGTGCAATCTTGGCTCACTGCAACCTCTGCCTCCCAGGCTGAAGCAATCTTCCTGCCTCGTTCTCCCGAGTAGCTGGGACCACAGGTACACACCACCATGCCCGGCTGATTTTTGTATTTGTGGTAGAGATGGGGTTTCACCATTTTAGCCAGGCTGGTCTCAAACACCTGAGCTCAAGCTATCTGCCCACCTCAGCTTCCCAAAGTGCTGGGATTACAGGCGTGAGCCGCCATGCCTGGCCTATTTAGTACTTTTAATGAAACTTTCCTTTTGCTTGGAGAAATGGAGCTCCACATTTTCCCCCCACAAATTATGCAGGCTCTGCCTGCAGGGAGTGGGGGACAGAAAACCAAAAGCTCGGCCGGGCGCGGTGGCTCACGCCTGTAATCCCAGCACTTTGGGAGGCCGAGACGGGCGGATCACGAGGTCAGGAGATCGAGACCATCCTGGCTAACACGGTGAAACCCCGTCTCTACTAAAAAAATACAAAAATTAGCCGGGCATGGTGGCGCGTGCCTATAGTCCCAGCTACACGGGAGGCTGAGGCAGGAGAATGGCGTGAGCCCGGGAGGCGGAGCTTGCAGTGAGTCGAGATCGCGCCAAAAGCTCTTATAAGAAGCACATTTATTTGAGCTAGCAACACTCCCAATCCACTTTCTCAGCCCAACAACAATAGCAACACACACACACCTGGAATCAAAGTAGTCTTCTGATTTGGGGGTAATGTCTGGAAAAGTCTCTGGGGTCCCCAGTATCTGACATTTCATGGAGGTTCTTGGTGCTACTGGGGTGATTTCTGTGGTACACATTGACTGAGCTTCAGAGGCTAACCCACGAGGTATCAGGGGTGGGTCCCCTAATTTACCATGTAAATTAATTTAATGAGCAATTCTTTACCAAAAAGAAAAACCACTATTGTTCCCCTCATAATACGCATGTACTGAGCATCCACTAGATGCAAAGCTCTACGCTATTACAAATCTGATTTCCTGTAAAACTCACAACAATCCCGAGAAGCAGCTTTTGTTAACTACAGTTGAGGAAACTGAGGCTCAGTGGCTGTATGTGACTTGCCCAGGGTCAAACAACTCTTTATTCAACAGACATATTCTTGATTTCCGAAGCATTTGCTCAGAGCTCCCCTTCTCCATGAGTCTGCCCTGATCACTCTATTTAATATTGCAAACTGCTCTCTGACTGTGGCACTCCCAAGTGCCTATGCCCTGCCCTACTCTTTTATCTTTTTTTCATAACATTTATCACCTGCTAACACACTATATAATTTACATCATTATGTTTGTTGTTTATTTTTTGTCTCCACTGCCAAAATAGAAGCCCCTTGAGAGGAGGTGCTTTCTTTGTTTTGTTCACTGATTGTCTTAGTCTATGCAGGCTGCTATAACAGAATACCATAGGCTGGGTTGCTTAAGCAGCAGACATTTATTGCTCATGGTTCTGGAGGCTGGGAAGTCCAAGATGAAGGCACTGGCAAGGTTCAGTGTCTAGTGAGGGTCTGTCTCCTGGTCCATAGATAACCATCTTTTCGTGTCTTCACATGGTAGAAAGAGTGAGGGTCTCTCGGGAGATTCTTTTATAAGGGCAATAATCCCATTCGAGGGCTCCACCCTCATGACTTATCACCTCCCAAAAGCCTCATCTCCAAATACTATCATGTTGGGGATTAGGTTTCAACATATGAATCTTGGGCACAAACATTCCATCTATAGCACTGGTATATCCCACAAGCCTGAACCAGTGCCTGGTGCATAGCAGGTATTCAGTATTTACTGAGTGGCTGAGTATTGATTCCAATTCCTGAGATACGGAAAGATGTCTCTCAACATCTTTTTATACATCCATCGTCTTTCTGAGATCCTACGACAACCATTACTGTCCCCAGTTTGCAGATGAGAAAACAAAGGCGCAGCAGCTTGTGTTAAAGTCACAGAATTAGAAAGAACCAAAGATGAGGTTTAAATACAGCCCTGTCAGTACCTGACATCTATACTTTCTCCTTTGTGCCCTAGGTTTGGTTTTCACTTGAAAGTCAAATACTTTGTCCGACAGTGGACCCGGCGGTGTTCCCCCCAGCTTCTAGCAGGTCTGCAGGCCTCATGTCTCCTCTCACAGCGCATGCAGGGATGGTCTCCCAGCTGAGAGAATGCACCGCAGCAACCACAGCCTGACCTCCAGACCAAGGGTGAAGGACTCTACCGACCAGCGATGAAGGAGCACCCGCGTCTTCAAGCCCTTCCGTGCACCACCGCTTCCTGGTGTCCAAGGCAGCAAATCAGCATCAACATTTTCCAAGACCTTCTGACCCTTTGGTGGAGCCAAAAAAGGAAAAGAAGACTCAATCCCTGCCTTCAGGATCTCACATATAAAAATAACTAATAGCAAAAGGCAGCTTGAGCTGCCTGGGATCTGGGGACCATTTATCCAATTGTTTCATCATCAGTCAACATCCATCTCCCCAGTGTCTAGTAGAGGGGTTGGCACATGCTTTTTCTGTAAGGAAACAGATTATAAATATTTTCTGTTTTAGGAGACAGATGGCCTCTGTTGCATCTACTCAGTTCTGCTATTGTAGGGCTAAAGAAGCCATAGACAATATATAAATGAATGAGCATTGCTATTTTCCAGTAAAACTTTATTTGTGGACACTGACCTTTGAATTTCATATCACTTTCACATGTCACAAAATATCATTCTTTTGGGGGATTTCCCTCCCAACCATTAAAAAATGTAAAAACCATTCTTAGTTCACAGGCTAGACAAAAACAGGTGGTTGGGGGATGAAATATGGCCCAGGGGCTGTAGTTTGTGGCCTTCTGTCCCAGTTGGGGGTGAAGCTCTGGGCTGGGCACAGGGGATGCAGCAATGACTGAGACCAGGTCCCTGTCGCCATTAGCCTACAGTCCAGTGGGGAGCAGACAAGCAAACAAGCCATGACCAGTCCAAGGGATGAGAAGGTGTGAGAGGAGACACAGGCAGAACCACCCTTGGAGGGGCCCTGGGAGATTGGAGGATGCTGGGGAGGGCTTCTCAGAGGCAGACAGAACTCAAACCAGCAGAGCCAGACAGACCCCACAAATGGCCTCCCTGAATGGGGGTTTGAAAGTAAGCTTGCCCTGCAGGGTGGGAAGTTTCAGCCTGAAAACTCTCTGAGCTTTGGAAAAAGCTCACCTCCCTTGGGTGTCTGCTAGAACCAAGTCTTGTGATGAAAAGGAACATGGCACTCACGAGAATGGCTTCAGGGAAGCCTCCTGCTCTGTTCTGTTCCATGTTCTCCACATGTGTGGGAGGCATTGAGGAAACCTTTCTGAATAAAATCAAATGGGCAGACTGGCCCTCTAGACAGGCACAGAGGCACAGTGCCACAGGCAGAGTGGGTTGAATGCAGTAGGTCCTTATGATGTGCTTGGCAGGAGAGGAGTCTCTGGCTGTTATGGATTCCACCATGTCCCTCAAAAGTTCATATGTTGAAATCCTAACCCCCAGCGCCTCAGAATGTGAGCTCATTTGGAAATAGGGTTGTTATACACATAATTAGTTAAGATGAGGCCAGACTGGGGTAGGGTGGGCCCTTAATCCAGTATGACAGGCGTCCTGAGAAAAAAGAGGAAATGTGGACACAGACACCCAGACACAGGGAGGACACGGTGTGAAGATTGGAATTCTGCTGCCACAAGCCCAGGAACAACAGAGATTTCCAGCGAATGATCAGAGGGTGGAGGAGAGGCCTGGAACAGAGTCTCCCTCAGAGCCTCCAGGACGAACCAATCCTGTTGACACTTTGATCTAGCTTCCAGAACTGTAAGACAATAAATTCCTATTGTTTACACCACCCAGTCAGTCAGTGGTACTTACTTCCCCAGTGGAACTGTGCATTTGGAGAAGGCACCTCAGACAGAAGCTGGAGCGGTCTAGGCTTAAATAAAAATGCAGGGTTTTAAATACATATATATATATACATATATATACACACACACACTATATATATATTAAAATATATATATATATTGTATGTGTGTATATACATATATATATATGTATACACACACACACACACACAAGTCTAGCTGCCCTATATAGAAGGAGGAAGGGAGGGAAGAAGAAGAAAGAGAAGATGTTGGAGAGGGAAGAGAGAGAAGAAGGAAAGAGAGGATGAAGAGGAGAAGGAGGAAGAGGAGGAAGAGAAAGGGGAAAAGGAGGAAAGAGAAAGAGAGAAGAACAAGGAGGAGGTAAGAAGGAGGATAGGGAGGAGGAAGAGAAAAAGAAGGAGAAGAAGAGGAGGAGGAAAGAGAGAGAGGGAGAGGAGGAAAGAGAGAGAGGGAAAGGAGGAGGAGGAGGAGATGCCCAACGGAGCCCCAGCAGTTCCAGGTTCCAGCCCAGGTGCCAGAGAGCCAGTGAAGAAGCCCTTGAATGACCTCAGCCCCATCACCACCTGACTGTCACTGCATGAGACACCATGAGTGATCACTTCCAGTTCGGCCCAGTCAGCCCTAGATCTGCGAGCCCAAGGTGATGGAAAACAGGCCTATCGGCACCCCCTTACTGAACACCTTGCAGGTGCCCAGAGGGTGGGGAGCATGCCACTGGGCCAGGGCTCAGTCTTCCCAGGCTTCTCTTGGGAAATCCTAGCCCCAACCAGAAGCATTCTGTCCTCCTCTCTGGGCTCCCTAGGTACAAATGTATATATATTTTCTATCCAAAAATCTACTTTCTTGTAATTTTATTTTTTCTACAAAGTATTTATTGTAGACATATAAGAAGATATCAAAAGCATGAAAAAGGAAACAAAAGTCACTCATATTCTCACCACTCAGACATTTTAAAAAGTGTATTTATTTTTGGCCAGGTGCGGTGGCTCATGCCTGTAATCCCAGCACTTTGGAAGGCTGAGGCAGGTGGATCATTTGAGGTCAGGAGTTCCAGACCAGCCTGGTCAACATGGAGAGACCTTGTCTGTACTAAAAACACAAAAATTAGCCAGCCATGGTGGGGGGCACCTGTAATCCCAGCTACTTGGGAGGCTGAGGCAGGAGAATCGCTTGAACCGGGGAGGCGGGGGTTAGAGTGAGGGGAGATCCTGCCACTGCACTCCAGCCTGGGCAACAGAATGAGACTCTGTCTCAAAAAAAAAAGTATTTATTTTTAACACACACAGTTTTTACATGAATGAGATTCCACTGTGCCTATTTTTAACCCGATTTTTTTCATTTGACAATATATTGTGAAGGTCTGTCAAAATATACTCTTCTAGCTTTTTGTTTTGAATGAAGAACATTTCTTTCTATGAATATGCAGTAGTCTTCCTTTTGTCCAATGTCTCAGCAGCTGCTTAATTAATAGAAAAAGCTGATAAGATTTTGGAATCCTGGACAATTTCACATATGTACCTTAGGCATTTTAGTTCCAATGAAAGCATAAAAAAATGCATATTCACTCACCAGTCTTTTGCACAGAGCACAGGACTTGCTAGCTGGAGTGCTAGCTCTTTGTCTCACCTAAACCACACCCATGATGGCACCATCTACATCTCCAGTTTCTGTGTCTTTAATGTGGAGTGAGTACTTAAAGATACAGCCAAGCAATTCTGGTGTAAAATCCTCATAATTTTCCCCACTCATTTATAGCTGTTTCACCCACATCTCATTCTGCAGCAATTCTTTGGCAACTTTCCATTTATGAAGTCTTTCCTAGGCATTTAACACAGTTTTCATAGAAACACATATTCTCTCTGCATGCACACTTCATCAGTTTGCATAATATTTAGTTATATTATGAGATAAAATTAATGCATACAGCTGCCATAAACTACTTTGGAGGCAAAGCCAACAGACTCACTAAACTCACACCTCAGCAGTCGGGAGCTGGAGTATTGAGTACCCTTATATGCACAGGCACACCGGCAGGGCCATGGCCTCAGTCACCAGGTTTTACAGAGGAAGAGGAGTCTGGTTCAGTTAGGTAGGTTGAGAGAGCTTTCACCTTCCCAGGATTCATTCAGCCCTGTGATGGAGAGTTTGGTAGTTTCCTATTATATTTTTCTGTTGTGAACAATGCTCCGCCGAATGTTCTTGTTACTAACTTCTTGATGTTGTAATATTTGGAACAAAATTGAGTATTTCTTGGAATGAATAAATGTGTAGCGGTCGAGATACAGAGACCAGTGGTCTGCATGCTTTTAAAGGTTGTGATAAGATTTGTCAAATGGTCCTGCACACAGCACCTATCAGCACTAGGCATGAGTGTTTTCCCATCCCCTTCTCAACTCTGGATAGAAAGGAAGAGTTGCATCATACATAACTTCAGGAAATTCAACTCTATGTGTTCAGCAACTCCTCCACAAAAAGACAAAAAAGCACAAACATTTATAGTACAAGCAGTTGAAGTATTGACTTCGACTGCTGCTCCAACCTTGTTGGAAAGACAGCCTGTGGTGACTTACTAAGAGATGCGGCAGGGACGGTCTGTGCAGTTTGTCACTAAGGTGTCCGTGTCCTATCCACAGAGGTCCTTTGGGTCTGGGTGCTTTCCCCACGACTGCGGGGTTACAGTAACATTCCTGCTTAATTTCACAAGCCAGCCCTCTCCTCTCTGAGGTCTTGCTGGATCTACCAGAAAGCAGACTGCTGGGTCCCCTGTGTCAGAACCTCCCAGTGCCTATAACCTCATCACCTCACCTCCATTTTCCCACCCCACAGTCTGGGGAATTCTTGCTTAATCTTTAGGGAAAGCCTCCCTTTTCCCAAAATGTGGTCTCCTATCTAGGGCTTCAGGCTCTTAGGAACCAAAGCCAGGAGGAGGCTCCTGGGGTGTTGTCAGAGCCCTCCTGGGATAGACTGGCTGATTGAATGAGGAGAAGGGCAATGAAGGAAAATGTCGGCAGAAAGAAAGTTATGATTACAACAAAATGGGCCAGGTGTGGTGTCTAACACCTGTAATCCCAGCCCTTTGGAAGGCCGAGGGGGATGGATCACTGGAGGTCAGGGGTTCCAGACCAGCCTGGCCAACATGGTGAAACCCTACTAAAAATACGAAAAAATTAGCTGGACCTGTAGTTCCAGCTACTCGGGAGGCTAAGGCAGGAGAATCGCTTGAACCTGGGAAGTGGAGTTTGCAGTGAGCCAAGAGCATACCACTACACTCTAGTCTGCAACAAAGCGAGACTCCATCTCAAAAAAATAAATAAAAATAAATAAATAAAACAAAACAATCTTAGCCCACAACTCTTAGCTCCCAGCAAGCTCCAAATGTGGTCCACTCCTGTAAGACATTTAGCCTCTTCATGGGAGGTAGCAGTGTTACTGTATTATCACTTGGAACTCATTATTTTCAGTGGTCTAAAATAAATTTAGAATAATATGTAAAGCAATCTTTCACTCAGATAATAATTACTCACCAGATTATATTATCCACAGGCTTTATTGCTTTGAACTTATGATAAAACAAACACGACTTGAATTCTTATGGGTTTTCACGTCATATAGGGACGCTGAACAGAGCTCCACTTGATTCAGTAAAATTATCGTGCCTACCTACTGCATGCAGGAATCTGGGCTAGATCTGGTGGGGGCTACAGAGATGAAAGGACGCTGTCTTTACCCTAAAGAGTATGTGAATTTATCTTACTAATTAGATTAATGAAGAGAAGTCAGTTGAAACTATTAAATGTTAAAAGATTAAATTTTTGGAGAAAATATGCAATTAAAGTACTTTTTAAAGAAAATAAACAGAGTATGACCATCTGGTTTTCTGCTTGTCCCAACCATGGAGTCCGCAAGCCAATGGTCTAGGACAGCTTCCAAAAGAGAAATCTTGATTATTTTGCTATTGCATCTTCCATCTTCAGCAGCCAGGTAAGACAGGTGGCATTTCACAAAGGGGACACAGACAAATATTGCATCCACCCCTGCAGGTATTCTAAGTTCCAATTTGGAGCAGGTCAGACCATCTGGGGTACATACTTCTATGTCATTAGTTGTGCCTTTGCACGAATGTCTTCATGGAATTGAAAGAATATTGGGAATGTGTTTGGAGCCAGGCTCCTCATTCCAGCTGCTTTGACTACTGGCTGTATAATCTTGGGTTAAAAAAAACCCAGTACCTCCTTGAAAAACATTCCTGAGGGTGGGTGTGGTGGCTCATGCCAGGAATCCCAGCACTTTGGGAGGCTGAGGTAGGCGAATGGCTTGAGCCCAGAAATTTAAGACCAGCCTGGGTAATGTGGCAAAAACCCATCTCTGCAAAAAGCACAAAAACTAGCCAGGCATGGTAGCACATGCCTGCAGTCACAGCTACTTGGGAGGCTGAGGCAGGAGGATTGCTTGAGCCCGGGAGGTCGAGGCTGCAGTGAGCTGTGATCATGCTGCTGCAATCCAGCCTGGGTGACCAGTGAGATCTTGACTCCAAACCAAACAAAACAAAACAACGACAACAACTACATCCCTGAGTTCTGCCTCTGCTGGAAATGAATCATTCCCTCCTCTGTGTTGAAGTTTGCGTTACTGCGATGCTTATATCTTGCCTTGCACATTTATTTGTTCACTGGTTTGTCTTCTCCTCTTAAGCACTTTGGCAGCAGGGAGCATGGCTGAATGGTACTTTATCCCCAGGACATAGCACAGAGCCTGGCATGTGGTGGATGTGTTAGGAGGCACACATAGAGCCAATGCTCTGCAGAAGCTGCCACAAGTGTTGGGCAAAACTGCCAGCGACCTACCCAACTGTGGCATGACCTCTCATAGTACCATCTATTATTAAAGAGCTCAGACTAATGGGGAGCCAGTGAAACGGAACCAGATTCTATCCTCAACCCCATTATCTTTCTTTAACTCACCAGTAATGTGATTCTCAATGTTGGTCCTGCCCAGTCCCTCCAAAGAGGAAGCGTCCCTGGTAGAGAGTCTACCTGGGCACCAGAGGGTTGCGGTTAACAAGCACCTCACTTTTTTTGTCCTCTTCTATATCTTGTCAGTGGGAGAATGCTAAAAGTGTATAGGCAGAGAACCTTGGCAGTTGGGTTTGTATAAGGCTGAGTATGTCCTGTTTTTAAGGTTCATAGGCTCTAGGCTTATTCTTTAAAAAATAGGGGTGGCCTTTCATATTCCCATCCACATCCATTCTGTGTAGCCAAAAATTACTCTTTAAGTGTTCTGGATCGAGACCTAACCTCCCTGCAGTGCATTGAATGGTAGCCTCCAAAAAGATATGTCCATATCCTAATCCCAGAACTTGTGAATGTGACTTTATTTGGAAAATGGGTGTTAAAACATGTACTTAAGTTAAAAATCTTGACATGAGATTATCCTGGATCATCCGGATGAACCCTACATTCAATTGTTGCCAAACTTGACACACAGGAAGCCAATCACTGAGACAATAAGTTTTGCCCAGGAAGAAAGGCTTTATTGTGAATGACGTCAGCTGGAAAATAGGACACAAGTCTCAGATCTATCCTTACAACTGACTAAAGTTAGGGGGGTTATATAAAACAGGAATTAGGGAGGCACAAGGAAAACAAGTTGATCACAGACAGGAGGTGGTCGAATGAGGGGTTGTGTGGCATCTCACTGTCTGGATGTGGTGATCTGGAAAGTTTCAGTTCCTTGATACTATCTGGGAGACCTGATGGTCAGTTTCCACAGAAAGGAACTCAGATAAGACAAATGTTGTTTCTCAAGCTTTAAGACTAAGAGGGTCAATTTCAATGTTTATTCCAAACAACAACAACAACAACAACACAAGTTATATGGGGAAATTGGGCTGGTTTCACAATCACAAGTGTCCTTATAATAGAAAACAAAGAGAGAAGACACACAGAGGAGAAGGTGTTGTGAAGATGGAGGAGAGATTGGAAGGATGTCACTACACCAGATGCTGGAAAGGCAAGGAATAGATGGTCCCATAGAGACTTTGGAGGGAGTGTGGCCCTGCCAACACCCTGATTTTAGACTTCTGGCCTCAAAAACTGGGAGGGAATGTATTTTCGTTGTTTTAAGCCACCAAGTTTGTATTGATTGGTTATGATAACCCTAGGAAGTAAATGCACTTTGCAAGTTTCAGTTTTCTTAGCTGTAAGATGAGAATAATAATAGTTTCCACCAGATTTATTGTATGGGTTTCATGATAAAGTACACATAAAACTGCCCAGAGCAGTGGCTTTCACAGTGGGCCCTCAATATATGGCAGCCACTGGACTCTTATGCTGTGTTTTTGGCATTTCTGGAAGGTGATTTGAAGACCTGCATTTGGTGACTTCACATGAACCTGGATTTCCCTCTCAGTGTCAACCTGACAGAGAAATAATTGATGAAGAAGAACAAAGAAGTGAAAGATCACATGAAAGAGACAAAACCTTCTCAGGTCAGTAGGATGTGAGTTATCCTGATTGACTGTAGTGACATCATCAAAGAGAGTTGCAACCCAAAGGGTTTGGGGCAGCCACAGGAGCCTAGAAAGAGGAGAGCAAAGGGGCAAATGTTGGCCGTGCCCATTCAGACACTGTCCAGGGAAGAAGAATCTTAGCCAAAAGATTCTGTGATTTCCAATCTCTAGGCAAAACTATCACATCTATGTGGTTAATGGGTATTAGCTCAATGCCCTTACATAGTTTGTGTATCACTTAACTTTCCTTGTTTTCAAAGCAAACTTCGGATTTGCATGTAGATCTGCCTTGAGAGGAAAATGAACTAACTGTAGGGGTTTTGATGCCTCTGATAGAGATTTCTCATGACAGGTCCTAAGTGTGGACCATCAGAAGATTTGGCTTCCCACGTGTCTTCCTAGAGGTAGAAAATGTACAGATGGTGCCAGTGAAGGCACCCGTGGTCTTCCTAACAGCTATCTTGTTGCTGGTGCTTGTTTCAATCTCTGTGCATTTCCATTAAGCTGAGCCAGTCCAGGACTTAATCATGCCTGGCATCAAAGTCTCCCTGGCCGATGAAGCCTTTGTTGGTGCATGGGCGGCACCACTATGATATTTCTGGTTCATCCCTCCTACTGATCTCCACAGAAGCACTTTTTACACTCCCTGCAGAGCTTATCAAGAACATTCAATTACGTCTTTCACTGTTTCCAATACTCATGGTGACTACGTTTTCTAAAACAGAAATTGGACATGCGTGGGTGAGTATTTGTATAGAGAACAATGGGATAGAATATTTAATAATGAGAGTAATTTAAAAAATTCAGCACATGTGGCTATTATTTTTATATGTGGTCCCAGTGAGAGAAACATTATAGAATTTAATTCTGGGGAAAACATTGTCTCTACTGAGGAATTGATATATTTGCTTCTTTAGTAAAAATATCTCTTTCCCTTTTGTCCTGGTTAACTAGAAGCTCAATGTTAAATCTGTTATTTAATCATAGAGACTGCATAAATTCTTGCACGTTCTTTACTCCTAATTTTCTATTTCTTCCACTCTGATTCTACCACAATTTCAGCTGCTCAGGAGGATGGCTATCTATTCATGGCAAGGGCTGGTTGGGTCTACTCTGCATCCATTATCTTCTTTTCCTTTATTAAGAAAAGCTCCCTTGGAGCAAGGTATGGTCACATGAATAAATTTTGGCCAATGAGCTATAAGTGTCAGTTTTGTGTGGGATTTCTAGGGAGGTTGTTTAAAGTGTGCTGACTCATTCATTGCAGGAGTACCCATTTGTCTTTCCTCTTTTTCTCCTACCTATTGACTGGGTAGCACACTGGCATACCAGCAGTCATCTTGGACTAGGAGGTGTCCCAAAAGATGGAAGCCAGCATGAGGATGATGGAGCCAAACAATGTTTCCCCGGGTCCTTAGTGTCTGGAGAGTCACCCTGTTAGTTCTGGACTGCCTAGCTTGAGGCTTCTCTTAGGTGAGGCAGAAATAAACTTTCACTTTATTGAAGTCACTATTGTTTGGGGCTTTCTCATAAAATTGCTATACTATCTTTTTGCAGCACTTCCCAGGACTCTTCAAAATGAATTTCACACTCATCACATATTTTAAGATAGACCATCTGTATTAGCCCGTTCTCACATTGCTATAAAGAAATACCTGAGACTGGGTAATTTATAAAGAAAAGAGGTTTAATTGGCTCACAGTTCCATAGGCTGTACAGGAAGCATGATGCTGGCATCTGCTTGGCTTCTGGGGAGGCCTCAGGAAACTTACAATCATGATGGAAGGCAGAGAGGAAGCAGTCACTTCTCACATGGCCAAAGCAGGAGCAAGATAGAGAAGGGGGAGGTGCTATATACTTTTATAAACAACTGGATCTCATGAGAGATCACTCACTGTAATGAGAACAGCACCAAGGTGGAGATCATGGAAATCACCCTCAGTCACCTCCCACCAGGCCCCACCTCCAACATTGGGGATTACAATTCAACATGAGAGTTGGGCGGGGACACAAATCCAAACCATATCACCACCCCCAAAATATCCTCCAAATTTAGTGAAAATCTGTTTCAATATTTCTGTGTGATTTTAATTTTATCTATGTAAATATGCCCCTTTTTGTAGGCTGGCTTAAATCCTTTTTTTGTAAGTGCATAGAGTACAAATAAATAAGTAACAGTAAGCAAAGTAGAAAAATATTGTCAAGAGGTGATCTCCATCCATTTTCTTTAATGAAAATATTAACCATTTTGAAATTAGCATAGCACTTGTGTGGAAAAGAAAGTATCTAATGAATATTTATTATATCTTGTATATAGACTCTTCCCATAAGACCTTATTTGTATCATTCACCTGCAGAGAAAAATCACTTTTTCATAGATTAAACCAAGATAAAGACCAGATCACTCTCTGTCCAAAGTGTCATAAATTCTGTATTAGTGAGTTAATGAGATTTAATGAAATCCAAATTAAGTCTTATAGTACTTTGGAAAGAATCCTTCTTTCCTCCCAACCCTAGGTCTTTCCTCCCCTCTTCAAAGGGAGCATTAATGTGAAGCAATAAATCCCAGCATGGATCATGATTAAATTTCATAAATTAAACAGAAATACTTTTGCAAAATGGTAAATTCAATCAGTGAAACAGATATTTTTCTTTCTCAGCCAAACTAAAGGCCAAATGTTTCCAGATCTTGGCAAAATGACTACATTTTCATTCTTCCTAGAAGTATTATGTTTTTAAATACCTTCAAGACTAAATTGCAAAATGATAACTCCTGCCTTTAAAAACAAGGCGTCATGCTGTCTTTCTGTTCCTCCTACTTCCTCCTTTCCCCAACACATACCCATACAGACTTGGTGGATATTTGGGCAACACTGAAGAATAATCATGGCTTTGAGTGTAGAATGGGAGAAAGTAGCTTTCAAAATCTGGATTCTCTAAGTGAGAAGCACCGGCTTGGAAATAATTTCTAGTCACTATAGGTTTTCCAGTGTCTTGGCAATAAGAAACAGCAGCTTGCTGGCAGCATTTTAAATGACCTACATTTTTGTGGAAAGCCACGTGGTTCATCCCAGCAGGACTAGAAAGGGGAAAGATGGCTTTGGCACTGATTGTTGATCAGGACAACAGACTTCAGATCCTTCCTGCTTGGCTTCTCTATCTCACCATCTGCATAACTGCTGATTCACTAGGCAGGTGTCTCTCCTGCTGCTGGAAGGGACATTTGTTCCCTATAATTTGCCACTTTTCCAAGTGGTTAAGGGAAATTGGACTCAATGCTGGAAACCAAAGGCAAGTAAGTCTGGGAATGATGTGAGTGAGCTAATGCCAGCCTTTACCCTCATAAATGCCATTAATGGAGTCAAGGCTCAAATGGTGAATGGCTTTCCAGCTAACTTAGAGTGGATGCCTACAGGAAAAACAACATCTGTCATGAAATTTTTGGAAAGGCTCTGATTTAGATGTGGCATCTTGTTGTCCCTGTATTTATCAGATTATGCATTTTGAATTCTGGTTTGAAGAACAGTGTTATATACTGAAGGTTGAACTATATTTCTCAGAGAATGTGTCTTCAAAGTATGTCTAAGTAATTATAATTCAGCAGTGAGGAGTCTGGAAGGCATAATGCCCACATATTTCCAAAAAGAGCTCAGAAACAAGAGTGCCTTACTCTCAGCAGGGCCTAAGACACTACTTGTTACGCTACTTGTTGCTCTCTCCTCTTCACCTCTGTTCTACTTCTGGTGCTGTGCCTCCTCCCGACCACCAGACACAGGTGTGTGCGTGACTCAAGATGAGCCCATCAGAGTACCTCAAACCCCTGGACACAGTGACTGGACTTAGAGATGATCAAATTGGGATGGAGCCTTTGCCTATTGCATGAAGAAGCCATTCATTCATTCATTCTTAAAATATTTACAAGGTCTCCACCTATATATAGGTACTTTTCTATCTGGGGAAGTAGCAATGAACAAGACAGATGCAACTCCCTCTTTCTAGGGAGTTTACATGATGCAGCGGGTGGGAAGTAGGAAAGCAGGTAACAAACAAGTAAATAAACAAGATGATTTGTGAGAGTGTTAAGTGTAATGCAGATGTAAGCCCATGAGTGATAGCATACTAGGCTAACACTCAACAAGAAGTGGAAACAGAATGGGGAGGAGACCCTATTGGTACTGGAGAAGGCTCTAGCTGTTCCGCAAGGCCAACCCCACCCCTGCTCTTCCTGGGTTTTTATATCATGAGCCAATGAATCTCCCTTTGGGGCCAAGGCCAGATCAAAGCTTTGGTTCATACATTTCATATCCACTATTCAATACCCCCAAGACCCTGGCTTAAGAATGGCCATTAGGTTAGTCAGGAAATCTGTGCTGACTTGGCACTGTGCTAGGTGCTGTGATGGATACAAGGATGAACCGGTTATGCTCCTTCCCCTCAAAGAACTTTTAGAAGCCACCAGGGGCTGGGGAGTGGGAACGAATGCACATGAACAATGCCAACCTGTGATTGTGTGGGCCAGATACGAACGACTCTTTGGAGAAGGCTCTGGATTTGAGAAAGAATTTGACCTAATTCTCATTAAATTCCCATTGTTGAATAAGAGAACTCTGAAACATAGAGAAATGTAAGTAAGATCTCTGATTAAAAAATATTCATTAAGAAAATATATTGTTTATTCATTAATTAATTGGTTGATTAAGGGTAACTATGAGGAAGACTGGCAGGGGAAAGAGACTAGGATAAAAATTTAACAGGTCTAGGAAATGGGAGAAAAGCCCATTCTTGTCTCTGTCTATGCTCTGTCCCTTGGTGATTTTATCCAGTCCTAAAGCTTTAATCGCATCCCGTATGCTGATGATTCCCACACTTGGATCTTCAACCCAGAGCTGTCCTCTATGCTCTAGACTTCTACATCCAACTTTCTTGACCTTTCCACCTGAAGCTCAAGATTCATCTATTAAAAATTGAACTCTTGATTCTATACCCACCCCCAAACTACTTCTCCCTAGTAGCCTTCTTTCTCAGTAAATACTTCTGTTATCCACAAGGTTGTAGAGACCAGAAGCCTGGGAGTCTTTCTCCATTCATCTCCCTCTGTCATCTTCCATTTCCAAATCTCAAAACTGTTTCTTGAGTCCATCTCCATATGCATCACCCAAGTCCAAGCCATGATCATCTTTCAAGTGAACCATGGCACAAGTCCCTCAACTCATCAGAGGTGGAGTGAGCTTCCTTGGATCTACTTGAATCTTCAAGTGAGACAGGGAAGAAGATCTTGGAAACTGGGAAATGGTTCATCATACATTCATCACTGACCCAAGGAAGTCACAGACTCTAATGCATTCCTAGACCAAATGGAATTATCACTTAGATTTCCCCCTGCTTTTTGTGATTTGTGATGTGACCGTTTCTTGTTAGCACACATATGGTTAGAGTTGAGAATTCTTCGTGAAATGTTAATATTGGAAAACACTTTGAGGTCACCCAGACCAATTACTTCATGGTACCAGTGTGGAAACTAAGGTGAAAAGAGGTAAAATGGCTTGCCTGAAATCGCCCTGATTAATTAGTTGTATATATAAAATGCCTCATTACAAAACGGATTTGAGATACTTTATCTGCAATCCAAAAGACTAGATGCATAATGTCATAACTATTATTTCTACAAATAAGACTTTTTTTTTGAGACAGAGTTTTGCTCTTGTTGCTCAGGCTGGAGCGCAATGTCACTATCTTGGCTCACTGGAACCTCTGCCTCCTGGGTTCAAGTGATTCCCCTGCCTTGGCCTCCCAAGTAGCTGGAATTACAGGCATGTGCCATCACACCTGGCTAATTTCGTATTTTTTAGTAGAGACTGGGTTTCACCATGTTGGTCAGGCTGGTCTCAAACTCCTGACCTCAGGTGATCCACCTGCCTTGGCATCCCAAAGTGCTGGGATTACAGGCATGAGCCACCACACCCAGCCTACAAATAGGCTTTTGATAAGAATCATGTGGCAGGGAATTCAAGGATATGCGTGGATGGGTACAGGGGAACATGTATTGTGGTATGGATTAAGTGTGGATCCATATGCTCTAATGTTCAGCCAACTCTTGAGGAGGGTTGACGCCTTTTGTAAAAATGGAACCATTTTTCCCCTGCATACCTCACTTTAGATGAGTGCCCCTGGATATGGCTAAGATTTCTTTTAGAAAACATCTCTGGCCCAATACTACACTGGACAAATGTATGGTTAGAGCCTTGGTTTTCTACTATGGAAAAGAGCTGTGGCCATTTTAGTTTAAGAATGTTCAAATTAGCACTATCTGAGCCATAAAAACAAAGCACCCATTGAATGTCTAACGTTAAGCAGTTAAATCCTGCAAGATAAACTAATTGCAAAATTTGTGAATGTGTAAATAAATGAATTGGCTTTCTGTTTGATGTGTAGTCCTATAAACCAGTTAAAGATTGGAGGGCATTTTCTCAAAACGAGAAGTTTTATTTTGGAGTGGTCATTTTATGTCATTATTTCCCACTTCTTTGTCCATGGGACAAATAATTAGCTAAGCGTGTTAGTGCTCTTCTGTTGTCTCAGCTGCTCGAGAAGCTGAGGTGAGCAGATGGTTTGAGCCCAGGAGTTTGAGGCTGCAGTGAGCTATGATTGTGCCACTGTACTCTAGCCTGGGTGAAAGGGCAAGAACAATGTCTGTCTGAAAGAAAGAAAGAAGGAAAGAAAGAAAGAAAGAAAGAAAGAAAGAAAGAAAGAAAGAAAGAAAGAAAGAAAGAGAGAGAGAGAGAGAAAGAAAAAGAAAGAAAGAAAGAAGTGTGTAGGAGAAAGACCTCTGTTTATTAATGTATTACCTTTCTTCTAGATGGGAGGACACCAAGCAGAGATTTTGTCTTGTTCAACTTTGTCACTCCAAGATTGCTGAATTGATAATAAAGGTCCTGCATTATCCAGTTAATTAGCTTTAGTCTTGACTTTGACTAGAGCTTGCTTAGTGTCTAGCATGAGTTTGATATGCTCTCATCCCTCATCCCAAACTTCTATATGCTGATAACAAGATTTTATTGTCATAAACTGAGTGAGTAGGATAGACAATCAACCCCTTAAAATAAAATATGAATATTCATTGAGAACTATGATAAACGCTTTATGTGAACTATCTCATCTCCTTCTCCCAACAACTCTGTGACACAGGTATTATTATAGACTCATCATACAGATCTCAAAGTGTTTTCCAATACTAACATTTCACGAAGTATTCTCAACTCTAACCATATGTATGCTAACAAGAAACGGTCACATCACAAATCACAAAAAGCAGGGGGAAATCCAAGTGATAATTCCATTTGGTCTAGGAATGCATTAGAGTCTGTGACTTCCTTGGGTCAGTGATGAATGTATGATGAATGATTTCCCTGTTTCCACGATCTCCTTCCCTGTCCCACTTGAAGATTCAAGTGATCCAAGGAAGCTCACTCCACCTCTGATGAGCTGAGGGACTCGTGCCATGGTTCACTTGAAAGATGATCATGGCTTGGACTTCGGTGATGTGTATGGGGATGGACTCAAGAAACAGTTTTGAGATTTGGAAATGGAAGATAAGGGAGGGAGATGAATGGAGAAAGACTCCCAGGCTTCTGGCCTCCACAACCTTGTGAATAACAGAAGTATTTACCTAGAGAGAAGGCTACTAGGGAGAAGTAGTTTATGGGGGAGGGTATAGAATCAAGAGTTCAATTTTTAATAGATGAATCTTGAGCTTCAGGTGGAAAGGTCAAGAAGGTTGGATGTAGAAGTCTAGAGTGTGGAGGACCACCTCTGGGTTGAAGATCCAAGTTTGAGAACCATCAACATACAGGATGTAATTAAAGCTTTAATTGTTTATTTTTTATGTGTAGTGACAGAGTTTCTGTATGTTGCCCAGGCCTTAAGCAATCCTCCTGCCTCAGCTTCTCAAGTGCTGGGATTACAGGTGTGAGCCACTGTGCCCCACCAGAAAGGATTTTCTTAATTAAATTGGATATTGACCATAAGGTCAATAAATAAGCAAACACAATTTGCAATACTCTGATTGCCATTGGTCACTACAGGCTTGTCACTAGGGATTAGGCCCTGATGAGCAGGATGACAGGTCGTGGGAACAAAGCACCAGGCCTCACAGTGGCATGAGCGATGCTTTCTTTGTACACTTGTTCATGCTGTGTCCTTTAGTTTACTTGCATTATGAATTGCGATGCCAACAAAGTTTGCAAGGTCAAGGCCAAAGATGATTGAGGTTGAGAAGGCTCGGGGGTGTGTGGCTTGTGAGGCAATGAGATGTTTGTCTTTCTTGATAAAGTAATTTGATCGTTTTAGCTTGCAATTAAATACTCTGATAGCTACAAAACACCTTTATTATTGAAATTCCTGCAGGAAAACTAACTTTGTTATTGTGAGCCTCAAATGCCCTAACCTCAACCCCTTTTATCTCTCACTGAATCAATTGGTTTTAAATTCCATTCTGATAAGATAAATTTTCTTAGGAACCCAATTATCTCTTTATAGCATATCAGTGTATAAATACACAATCCAGGAGCTGCTACTGCATAGGAATGCATAAAATGGAATGGTAACCCAAAATAATTCTGCCTGGGGTATGTGGGTGGATAGAGGGAGTGTTAGGGGAGGCTACGGAAAAGAGGTGACATTTAAATAGAAGAATTAGGAATAAGGACCTATTCCCCAAGCAAATGGAATGGGAAAGACTGCTCCTGGCAAAGGGAATGACTTGAATGTACAAACTCTGGAGAAGTGTAAGTGCATGTCATGTACAGGAGATTATGACGGGTACAGCTAGTTAAACATTTGCAGGACAAATATAACCGAATGTGTAGCAGGTGCTGTGCCAGGCAATGGCTGTTGGCTGCTGGCTGCTAAGAACAGAGATGACTTGGAAAAAGAGGCTGGAGCCAGGAGACAGGCTGGAAGGCCTCATGTATCATTGCCTTAGTGTTTGCATTTATTTCTGAAGACAGCGTGGCATTCACTGTGGTTTTTAAGCACAGGAATGAAGTGATGACACCTAAGTGTAGAAAAAGAATGCAGACAGAATCCTAGAGGGTGGATTAAAGAGAGGAGTGACCAGAAGCGTATTCTGCAGTCCAGGCTGGGGCAGTTGGGGGTAGGAAGATGTCATGATATATGATTTGAAGGAGCCCCATTGGCATATAGGGCCCTATTTCTTGCACCCAGAGATCCATTTCTCCAGCTTCTCAACTCTTCTTTTCATCACCTGCTCTAATTTGCAAAGAATTAACAACAACAACAAAAACCCTAAAAAGCTAAATTGGACTCTCTCTCCTAGAGCTTAAATTACTTTAGCAAGGATAACGGCTCCTTTTAGTTTGCAGGGTCTCCTCTTCTAAAGGTTAAAAATAGAAAACATTAAAATCCTGAAGATAAACCCAAAAAGGATTCCTATTCCCGCTCTGTGGGGTGATACATTTAAAGGGCCCTGGGATCTAGAAATTGCCTGAGTGACAATCTTCTGTTGATGCATTTTTTTTTTCTCGTTGAACCAACAGTCAAAGACACAGCCATGTGCTCTTTTACAGAATGGATGGGGTCATTATTGTTAAGTAGGTTCATTCTGTTTTGCTTAGCAGACCTGCTTCTAATCACTTCTCTTACTATTTCAGGTTAGGTGGGGGTGGGGATGATGAGAAAGGAGAAGAGGGAATGCCTATTTTAGCTGTGGCTTCAAAAATTAACTCGGTTTCCAATGAAGATGTCTCTTCTATTAGATTCATTCCCTTGGGGCATGCCTGGAACAGCAGCATTTTCTCTGCACTCCCTGGAATGCTCTTCTGTCCTAGAATTGCACTTTGTGCTGCTGCCCACTCTGCTGGCTTCCCCTTGCCAGAGACTCCCAGAATCACCACTCAGTGGCCCTGGCTGTGGGCTCTAAGTGGCCCTTTAGGCTTATGTTGATTGGGTGAGCCAACTAATCCAGCCTGGAAATAATGAAACTTTGCTTCCAATGACTCATCTAAAAATCTCTTCTAAGCCTTCTTAGCCTTGGGTCCAGTGATATTTACTACAGGATAGGCGTGGGAGTGGGGATAGCAGAGGCTCTGGGCCATGTAGCTTCAGCGCTTACGTAAATTAGAAAGAGAACTCTAGCACCTCCAATGCTGGGAAGACGGAAGGGGCTGGTGGATGGTGGCCCTCCTTCCTTGGTGTCCTCATGAGAACTATTACCTTATGCTAGAGAAGACAAAGCACACGTCAGCATGCATCAAGTCTCCTTTTCCATCCTTTCTGAAATTGCTGATAAAATCGTTAAGTTGTCATGGTCTGTTATTTCAGGAAGGTGTTGTTTTAAAAAATAAGTTGTCTTTGACTTCACTTTCCAAAACTCTTCTGAGACATTATTATTATTACTTTATTTAAGCTCAAAGACAAATTTTCCCCCTTAGAGACAGATATATTTTGAGCCAGAAATAGCCCATTTGGGGTTGCAATAGCAATCTGTTGTTCTTCCCTGCCTGGCATCCCTTCTCCTTCCCCTCGGATAGACAATTAACTCCAAACTTTCCTTTGGAAAACCATGCCATCCCTCACGTCCCACTCTTACTCCCTAAGGCAATTTTCAGGCTTTCCTTGCTAATAAAATCTCAATTCTTCTTTAGGGAATGATGGGCAAAACGCTAGCTTCATCAACCTCCTTTCCCGCTAGCAGTGGGCTTATAGCAATGAGATCTAAGTGGAAGTCCCTGAACCCTCCTGGGAGGACCTTTGTATTTCATGATAAGAGGGACAGATAGGTTGGCATGGTGGCTCATGCCTGTAATCCCAGTGCTTTCAGAGGCCAGAGGGAGAGGATTGCCTGAGCCCAGGAGTTTAAAACCAGCCTGGGCAACATAGTGAGAACCTGTCTCTATAAAAAGTTTTTAATTAGCTGGGCATGGTGGTGTGCACCTGTTGTCCCAGCTACTCAGGAGGCTGAGGCAGGAGCATTGCTTGAGCCCAGGACTTTAGAGGCTGCAGTGAGCTATGATCATGCCACTGCACTCCAGCCTGGGTGATGGAGCAAGACCTTGTTTCTAAAAACATACCAAAAGAAAGAAAGAAACAGAGGCGCTACAGAAGGCCCTTTGATCTTCTTCCTCCTCAAATGCAGACACAATGGCTGAAGCTGCAGCATTTCATCTACTGGAAAAGGCCAGTCGAATCACAGTTCATTGGCCCTTCATGTCATTGAGTCACCAACTTAATGCTGGTGACTGCTTACCTCTAGATATATTATTATGTGGGAATAAGAAACATGCTTATTTAAACTACTGCTAGCCAGATATTATTCTGTTACTTGTGGATGAGCGCATTTCTAACTGATAATACCTGAATTTACACTAACAGAAAATCAGCTGCAAAAGAATGAAATTCCCAAAAGTGCAATTCATCCCAATATCCATCTCTCCTGTCTATGGAGGGCATCAAGGAGAACAAAACCTAAGAAAACTGGATTGGCTAGTCCAGGAACTCATCCTACAGCCAAGCCAGGGAGCTTTGCTATCCCTCTCCAAAAGGATGTGGTATATGCCATGGACTATACCATGTTGTTTCTCTTTTTCAAACACATGTTTTCAGAGCAACTGTCCTGGTTTTTTCTCCACTCATATGTATTGGGTAAGCTGGTAGACGGTTAAATATCATTTACTCAAAGGCTGCAGATCATGAAGAGCCACACTCAATCTGACGGAGAAGAATACACATCATGAAGAAAGCCTGGGTTTGCAGTGGGCACAGTAACTAGACAAGACTTTGTGTTGTGTCCCTTTGGAGACTGAGATTACTGAGTTTAGTGTTGCATGTGGATCAGTTGCATGATGTTTGGCTGGGTACTTTTGAAGGTGGGTTTATGGGAGGAAATGTGCATGAGAGAAGAGCACTCAAGGGGTGGACTATAGCAGACATCAATTTTCATGTTCTCACCTTCCATTGCCCGTTCCTCTGATAGCAATACCCAGATCTTTCTTTAGAGAACTATCCCTTCACTCTCAGCCATTGTGTTTTGGTGGGGCTGGCCATACCCTAACTCCAGAGATGGGTATGTATGAAGTCCATACAAATCAGAATATTTACTCTTCTCGTCACTGTTACTGCTTCAGGGATGAGCTTGTGTACCATCAAAACCTAATGAGAGTCATCACAGGGGGTTTTGCTGTCATTAATGGGAAAGAAGCTAGTTATTTTTATTGCCAATCTGGTAGAATGAAGATGTGGAGTTATGGATGGGCATCATTGACAGTGATGGGCAAAACTTTTTTCTAAAGTTAACATAGAAGGAAAAGAGCAAGAGGTGGAAATACTATTGGTAATTTGAGCTTCTGGATCCAACTGACCTTGACTCTAACCTTGAACTTTTCAACCATATAATGCAATAAATTCTATCTCTCTCTCTTTCTCTCTCTCTCACTCTCTTTTGAGGCAGGTTCTTTCTGTCGCCCAGCCTGGAGTGCAGTGATGCTGTCTCGGCTCACTGCAACCTCTGCCTCCTGGCTCAAGCAATCCTCCCACCTCAGCTTCCCAAGTAGCCAGGACTACAGGGGCATGTCACCTTCCCTGGCTTATTTTTGTATTTTTTTGTAGGGATGGGTTCTCGCCATGTTGCCCAGGCTGATCTTGAATTCCTGGGGTCAAGAGATCCTCCTGCCTCAGCCTCCCAAAGTGCACTGGGAGTATAGGCATGCAGCACAGCACCTGGCCAAATTCTATTTTTCATTTAAGATAATTTGAGAAGCATTTTTGTCACTTGAAGCAGAAAGAACCCTAATTAGAGAATTATCTAGTTTCTTGATCTTAATTTGTAGATGGAAAATATAAAACCACAGAGGGTAAGTGACTTGCCTGAAGTCACATAGCTATTTAATGGCAGAGCCAGGAATATAATCCATGTCTCCTGACCCCTGGGCTGTGAAGCTCTTTTTCTGCCTCCAATTAGCAAAAGGACCAGAACTACGGGTGTTCACAGGAAGAGATGTGATTTCCAATTGAGATAAGCAGGAGATATTAAGAGGAAATAGCATGGAAACTAGGAAGGGCCCTGAGGTTTTAGATCTGGGAAGGTGAAGGGTGCTCCAGGGAAACAGGACATTGAAGAAATGTGGGGAGACTCGAAAGCCTAAAGGAGATTTAGGGAGAAGCAAATGCCACTTTTCCTCGAGCAGAGTTTGCATAGGGGAGTATTAGGTTGGTGCAAAAGTGATTGTGGTTCTTGCCATTAAAGTAATAGTTTATTTATTACGAATGAAAAAGAGTGAGAAGTGAAGAAGAGGAGAAAAGAAGCATGAGGAAGAGAAAAAAAGAGAAGGTAGAGGGAAGAGAAAAAGAGAACAATAGGCTGGGCATGGTGGCTCACACCTGTAATCCCAGCACTTTGCGGGGGCCGAGGCGGGCGGATCACCTGAGGTCAGGAGTTCGAGACCAGCCTGGCCAATGTAGTGAAACCCTGTCTCTACTAAAAATACAAAAAAAATAGCTGGGCATGGTGGTGCATGCCTGCCTGTAATCCCAGCTACTTGAGAGGCTGAGGCAGGAGAATTGCTTGAACCCGGGAGGTGCTGAGACTGGGGGATTTATTAAAAAAAAAAAAAGGAGGTTTAATGGACTCACAATTCCACATGTCTGGGGAGGCCTCACAATCATGCAGGAAGGTGAAGGAGAAGCAAAGTCATGTCTTACATGCTGGCAGGCAAGAGAGCATGTGCAGGGGAACTGTCCTTTATAAAATCATCAGATCTTGTGAGACTTATTCACTATCACGAGAACAGCACAGGAAAGACTTGCCCCTGATTCAATTACCTCCCACCAGGTCCCTCCCATGACACGTGGGGGATTATGGGAGCTACAACTCAAGATAAGATTTGGGTGGGGACACGGCCAAACCATATCAGTAAGTTAAAGAAAGAGGAGAGAAATAAGAGACCTAAATTAATACTTCTGCACCTGTTAGGCACTGAATTAAATGCTTTATGCTCAGTTTTTAATTCTCATGAAACTTATTGGGGGTATTTTTAAATCCCATTTCACATTTACATTTCACGTGGTGAAATGTTAAATGACTTGCCCAAGCTCATACCGTGGAAGTCCTTGCTAGAAGGCCAGGGTTCCAGCCCAGGCCTGCCTGCTCACAAAGCCCTTCCCCTCCATTGCTGGGGCTTTAGAGGCAGAGCTCAGGTCAAAGAGAGAGAGAAGTGATACCCTGGTCAATTCTATGGAAGCAGTTTCAACGGAGTTAGGAGTTAGCCTGGGCTCTTGATTCTAATCAACTTGATTCACCAGATTTGCTTTTAATTTTATTTATTTATGTTTTGTAGAGGCAGGGTCTTGCTCTGTCATCCAGGCTAGAGTGCAGTGGCAGCATCATAGCTCACTGCACCCTCAAACTCCTGGGCTTAAGCGATCCTCCCACCTCAGTCCCCTAAAGTGCTGGGATTAGACGTGTGAGCCATTACCCAACCCTAGAGTTTTTTTCTTTAGAAGCCAGCAAAGGCATTGTTTTTAGCTTCGGGAGCATCCACAATTTATTATGTTAACTCTGTCTCTGCCTTTAGTAATTTTTGCTCTTACCTTCCAAGGCAGTGGATGAGAAAAGTCAATAAGCACTTAAGGGACTTCCCTATAACAGGACTACAGTTTGGTCTCAGAATGCTGAAAATTGTGCTTCCATTCGAAGCTCTCCTGGGGCAGCTCCTACAAGTTGGGTCACTGCATTTTCTTGGGATCACAAAAGATCTACACTCTCCTCTCCTCACCTGTGGAGGATTAAAGGTGCCCATTCATTCTTTTACATTCCTCCTCTTGAGAGACGGGTCTGTGTTCTTATCCCTTGATTCCGGGTCAGATTCTTGACTGCCTTGACCAACAGAATAACAGTAGAATAGTGATGCTGTGCCAGTTTCCAGGTCTGCAGGGATGGCAGTTCCCAGTTTGTCTCTGGGATCACGTGATTTTGGAGTCCTGAGTTATGATGTAGGATATCTGTCTATTTTGCTGGAGAGACCAAGTGAGAGGCCCTGAGACTACATGGAAAGAGAGTGGGGTCCACTTGGGCCCACCAATCCCCAGACATGTGGATGAAGCCTACTTGGGCCCTCCAGGACAAACCAGGTACTAGTTGAATGGCAGATGGAGCAGAAATGCCCCCACTGAGCCCTGTTCAAACTGCCAATAGCTTATGAACTAATAAGATGATTGTTATTTAAGCCACTACATTCAGGGGTTTGGTTGCATAGCAATATATAAGGAGAACAGAACATCACTAGACAAAGAAGTCTTTTCTGGAGAGAGGAACAGAGAAGAGACCATTGAGGAATGTCTTCATTTTAGAGGAGGGATGTCAACATCATTCTGTTCCTCCTCAAAATAGTCACAGAAGCAAAATACTGTAAGAAAGGTATAATTAGAGGCCTCTCCACCCCCCACCCTCATACCCAGCAATGCAGAGGAATTTGGAAAGGAGAAAGTCTAACTGCAGTTGTCCTTGACATGAGCTGTGTCAGCATGTGGGTTGCAAGAACATCTTTTGTTATTTCTAAAAGGCCTTGTCCCCTAATGCCCAGAGACTGACTAGATGGAACACTTCTCAGGGGTTTCTGCCAGTCTGTGAGCTGGGCAGGAGCAGGGGCCTTATTGCCCCTCTGGAAAATTGGATGCATTACCCCCAGGCCCCTGCAACCCACAGCAGGCATGCTGAGAGGTTGGTGGAAGAAGGCGCCAGGTGGAGCAAGACTAAGCATGGCAGACACAAGAAGAGACGTCCTCTGCATGGAAGGGATGCAGATTTTGACACGGAAAGTGCTTTGGAATCTGGAACAAAATGGGAAAGAAATACTCTTGCTGTAAGTCTGTCAAAATACATAATCATTCATTCACTCCTTCCACAATTATGTACTAAGCCTCTACAGTGACTTATTAACTCTCAGACATTTATTTATTTTAAAGGAGTCCTTATGCATATACAGACACAAGCTGAAATGAATTTGGATAAAATAATAGGATACCTGAGATTTGCTTCAAAATAACGCTGGCATGGGGGAAAATAGATGCTCCGAGACACGCCATGAATTAACCAGCTGTTGCAGCCGGGAGATAGATCCAAGGGCCTTCGGTAAACCTTTATCTCTACTTTTGTATATGTTTGGAATTTTCCATTTAAAAATTAGCATCAAAGCTTCTGGGCAAGGTGCACATGAAGATTCATGTGTGGTACATGAAAGGGCCGGGAGTTGTTAAGCCGTGGCCCAAGTGGCTTCCAGCCTCTCACCCATTTAAAGGGCCCCCGTGTCCACTCCTGGCTCTATGTGTCCAAAAGACACATCTGATTGCACCCCAACTCTTCTTTGAGAAAGACCAAGGCCATGGAAGCCCTGCTCTCCATCCCAGCCCACACGCTCATGTTCCCCTCTCTCCACTCCCCACTCCCTGCCCTCTGCACTCTGAACACACCAGCCTTCTTCAAAGTCCTCCAGCTCACCACCCTCCCTCCTGCCTCAGGACCCTTGTTCCTGCTGTTTCCCCTTCTGGAATGTTCTCCCACCTTCTTTCGCTTACTGTGCTCAATGAACTTGCTCTTCTCCTTCTGTTTATGCTTTAGAGGTTACTTCCTTGGTATGGTAGGCCCCCAAAGATGTCCATGTCCTAATCCCCCAAACTCATGAATATGTTACCTGGCATGACAAAAGGGACTTTGCAGGTCTGCTTAAGGTAAGGATCTTGAGATGGGGAGATGTTCCTGGATGACCTGGGTGAGCCCAATCACAAGGGTTCTTATAAGGTGAAGGCGGGAATGTTAGAGTTGGAGAAGATGTGGCAATGGAAGCAGAGGTCAGAGCAGTGGGTTGCTGGCTTTGAAGATGCAAGGAGGCCATGAGCTAGTGCAAGTGGCCTCTAATAGCTGGAAAAGGCAAGGAACAGATTTTTCTTTACAGCCTCCAGAAGACATGCAGCCCTGCCAAGACCTTGATTTTAGCTCAATGAGACCTACTTTGGACTTCTGACCTCCAGAACTGAAAGAGAATAAGTTTGTGTTGTTTTAAGCTGCTGCATTTGTAGTACTTTGTTGTAGCAGCCATAGGGAAGCAATACATTTGAGGAAGGCTCCTCTTTCCCCGGCCCCTGTCCTCCCACCCGTAGATAAGGTGTCCCTCTTACATACGGTCATGACCCTCACTGCAGGGTGTAATTATTTTCTTGGGTGATTACTTGTGGGATATCTTTTGACACCCTAAACTGTGAGCTTCAGAAAGGTTGGGACTCGAGGTGTGCTCACCATTGAGTGCCCAGAGGCTAGCCTGGGCCCCATCAAGGGAGCCTGGGGCTCACTGTGGCCAGCCTCACCGGTGGTCCAGCTGAGTCCAAGCCCCAGCTCTGGCCACTGGACTTTCCCTCTGTGTCTCCGAGGTTTGGTCCCATAGGCACCCAATTCCTCCCACATTGAAGTCATGTCTGTCTCTCCTCCCCCCTCCACCCTGGGCTTTTGAAAGACCACACTTATGCTCCCGTGGCTGAGATCACACCATTAGGAGGCTTTGGGGGTCATGCCAGCCTGGTCGAGTCATGGCTTTGTCACTTACAAGCTGCGTGACTTTGGACAAGTTCCTTTACCTTCCCGAACCTTGGTTTCTTCATGTATATACTGTGGATACAATACCTCTAGTGTTGATTAATAAGAAGGTAGAATTAAAACATCCAGCACAGACCTGAGCTGAACAGGAAAATGAGGGATTAGTTCCTTTCTCTGTTCTTAACACTGGGCTGTGCGCATCCACTGGGGCTATCAGTGAGGAAATTTCTGACGATTCCCGTCCTCCCTGTACCCCACCTCCATCACTTATTCAATCCAACCCTAAGCTTTTCTTAGCCCTCCAGGTCCCAGGCACCTGCAAGAGGCCTTGAGCCAAATGTGGTTTCCCTAATATAGGGAACAGTGTTAAATTCCAAGGCTCCGACAAAGTGAGCTCCTGAGCAAGGACTCTTCCTGCCACTCAGGCTCACTTCCCAAGTGCAGCCACTTCCTGGCTTCCTTGTTTGCAAAACATCCCTTTAAAACAGGAGGGAGGCCGGGCGTAGTGGCTCACACCTATAATCCCAGCACTTTGGGAGGCAGAGGCAGGAGGATTGCTTGAGCCCAGGAGTTTGAGACCAGCCTGGGCAACATATTGAGACTCCCATCTCTACAAAAAACTAAAAATTAGCTGGGCATGATGGCATGTACCTGTGGTCCCAGCTACTCAGGAGGCCGAGGAAGGAGGATCACTTGAGCCCAGGATTTTGAGGCTGCAGAGTCAGGGGGAAGGAAGATACTAGTCCCTGGAGATAATCATACCTATTGGAGGAGCAGCAGCATCTGGTCAGGGAAAGAGCATGGATCCAGCAGTCAAACAATTGCTCTTGTTTAGTGTGTAGAATCACAGAACTGAGGTGGCAGATGGTCTGTCATCATGTTTTTCAGATATGGGAAGTGAGGCCTGTAGAGGAGAACTAAGGATCCAGGCAATTAAGAAAAGATCCCAGGTCTCCCATTTCCCAGAGCAAAACTATTTCCCATTGCGACTTTTTAGGCTGCAAGTGTAGGAAGTTGTTGGCTTACAAAAGTGAGTTCCTAAGATAAAATTGGTTTCAGGTGTGGCTGTATCCAGGCATTCAAGTGATGCTCCAAGTCTCTATCACTGCAGCTTTCTCCATATATTGACTCTACTGTCACTCCTTCTATTTGTACATTGGCGTCATCCTCTCCTGTCTTGGATAGGATCCCTTCACAAAACAGGGAAAATGGCTTACAGTTTGAGATCAAAACTACAAGAAAAGACTTTCAGTTTAAGATCCAAATGGAAGAGCAACTTTTCTCTTAGCTTCTATCCATCAAATCCTCAGAAAGACTCCATTAAGATCTCTTGGGTCCCATACCCACCCCTTGAAGCAATCACAGGGAATAGGATGTGAGCTAGCATGACTGGATGACTTTGAGTCATTTGTCCAGCCCGTGACCAGGGGTGGAGGGACACTAAGATTGGCTGTTGGACCAGAATATGTGGAATAGGGGAGAAGCAGTTCTCCAGTGGTGAAGGGAATAATTGAGACACTAAACAGAACAGAGAAAAGAAGTCCACTTTATCTCCTTGAGGGACCTGGCCAGGAGTCAGCAGAGGCTGCCTCTAGGGGACAGCCAGGCTCTGCTTAGCCAGCATCCAGCACAGTACCTGACACATATTTGTTGTCTCTTTGAATGGAAACTGTTCCTTACCAGCTTCACAGATGCTCCTCTGACCCCAAACCTCAATCCCACAAGTAGTTTTCTCTGTGGCCTTGCACCACATCAACTCAGAGCTCTTTGTTTGAGAAATGGGCCAAGATAGCCCTCTTTGGAGGCCTCTTCACCTGGGAGGTCTTTCTCCCATGAAGGCTGGGGAAGGTCGAGTTTTCCAAAAGGGTCCTGTGATAGTAAAAGCAGGACAGAGCTTCCACCTTCCACATAGATACATGGGATCACTATTTTCTATATTTTTAGCATAGGGTTGCTAGTGTTTGTTTTTTTTTTTAAAGGCTACCATGTATTTAATTACTTTTAAAATTAATTATTTAAAAGTATTGAATGTACTGACTTTTTAAAGAATCAAACAGTATAGGATGATAGAAGAGAAAAAGTGAAAATTCTCTTTCCCTCCCTTCTTAATCCCTAAACCTCACTTCCTAGAGATGATACTGTCAACAGGTTCCCATCTGCCCTTTCAAAACACTTTCTACATGTAAATGGATACCTAATTTTTTAAAATATAAATGGGCTCGTACTACACAATACCATTCAGGACATAGGCATGGGCAAGGACTTCATGACTAAAACACCAAAAGCAATGGTAACAAAAGCCAAAATAGACAAATGGGATCTAATGAAACGAAAGAGCTTCTGCACAGCAAAAGAAACTACCATCAGAGTGAACAGGCAACCTAGAGAATGGGAGAAAATTTTTAAAATCTACCCAACTGACAAAGGGCTAATATCCAGAATCTACAAAGAACTTAACCAAATTTACAAGAAAATAATCAAACAACCCCATCAAACAATGGGCAAGGATATAAACAGACACTTCTCAAAAGAAGACATTTATGCAGCCAACAGATACATGATCACTGGCCATCAGAGAAATGCAAATCAAAACCACAATGAGATACCATCTCACACCAGTTAGAATGGCGATCATTAAAAAGTCGGGAAACAACAGGTGCTGGAGAGGATGTGGAGAAATAGGAACACTTTTACACTGTTGGTGGGACTGTAAACTAGTTCAACCTTTGTGGAAGACAGTGTGGCAATTCCTCAAGGATCTAGAACTAGAAATACCATTTGGCCCAGCAATCCCATTACTGGGTATATACCCAAAGGATTATAAAGCATGCTGCTATAAAGGCACATGAACATGTATGTTTATTGTGGCACTATTCACAATAGCAAAGACTTGGAACCAACCCAAATTTCCATCAATGATAGACTGGATTAAGCAAATGTGGCACATATACACCATGGAATACTATGCAGCCATATAAAAGGATGAGTTCATGTCCTTTGTAGGGACATGGATGAAGCTGGAAACCATCATTCCGAGCAAACTATCGCAAGGACAGAAAACCAAACACCACATGTTCTCACTCATAGGTGGGAATTGAACAATGAGAACACTTGGACACAGGGTGGGGAACATCACACAATGGGGCCTGTCGTGGGTTGGGGGGAGGGGGGAGGGATAGCATTAGGAAATATACCTAATGTAAATGACGAGTTAATGGGTGCAGCCCACCAACATGGCACATGTATACATATGTAACAAACCTGCATGTTGTGCACATGTACCCTAGAACTTAAAGTATAATAAAAAATTAGAAATAAATAAATATGAAAAAAAGTATTACCAAATTAATTATGTTTAAGCCCTTGTTTGCTAAACTTACATACATGGAAAACTTTATTAATACCCCTATAAACAGTCTGAAAAACAGTTTGGGAAACACCAAATTTATTCATTAAACTAATAACACCTACTGTGTATCACCTGGTGATACAAATATAAATAAGATGTCTTCCTATTCAAACACTTGCTATAGGCCGGAAGCAGTGGCTCATGCCTATAATCCCAGCACTTTGGGAGGCCGAGGTGGGGGGAATCACTTGTGGTCGGGAGTTCAAGACCAGCCTGGCCAACATAGCGAAACTCCGTCTCTGCTAAAAATACAAAAATTAGCTGGGCGTGGTGGTGCGTGTCTATAATCCCAGCTACTCGGGAGGCTGAGGCAGGAGAATTGCTTGAACCCAGGAAGCAGAGGTTGCAGTGAGCCCAGATCATGCCACTACACTCCAGCCTGGGCGACAGAGCGAGACTCTGTCTCAAAAAACAAAACAAAAAATCCACAAAAAACAAAGACTTGCTATGAACAAGAGGAGTCAGAAGTAAATAAATGGAGACTGTAATATAATATAATATAAATATGCGCTATGGACAAGATTTTAGAAAGTGACTAACTGCCCAGAGAGAAAGCAGGAGACTTCAAGGAGGAGAGGTCATTTGGCATTGGGTCATGAAGGATGAGCAGGAGTTCAACCAGCCATCAACCATGTGGGCATTCCAGGAAGAGGGAACGGCCTGGACAAGAGCACAGTACATTAGGAAATGGCAAGAGTCCAGTGTGGCTGCAGAACAAGAGTCTGGGGAGAGGTCGGGTATCAACTCAAGGCCTGAGGCCAAGAGGTGAAGGACCTACAGGAATCTGGGCTTTCATGAACCTGGGCTTTCAAGAATCCTGGGTGAGGTCACTAAATGTTCCATGTATGGGAGATGTGATTGGACTTGTGTGTTAGAAAGATTAATCAAGCCTCAGAGTGGAAGCTGGATTGCGGGGGGGGGGGTGAGCCCTGGAAGCCACTGCCATGGTCTAGGTCTGAAATGGTAACACCGTTTAAACATTGGTAATGAAAGAGGCCAGGATACACTGGGGGCCTATTTAAGATGCACAATTAGCCGGGAGTGGAGGCTCATGTCTGTAATCCCTGTACTTTGGGAGGCTGAAGCGGGCAGATCACTTGAGGTCAGGAGTTCAAGACCAGCCTGGCCAACATGGTGAAACCCCATCTCTACTGAAAATACAAAAATTAGTTGGGCCTGGTGGTGTGCACCTGTAATCCAAGCTACTTGGGAGGCTGAGGCAGGAGAATCAAACCCAGGAGGCAGAAGTTGCAGTGAGCAGAGATCATGCCACTGCACTCCAGCCTGGGTGACAGAGCAAGACTCAGTCTCAAAAACAAACAAACAAACAAACAAAAACATGTACAATCAGTACCACTCAGTGACTGATTTTAAATGAGGTTTCTAACTGAGCAACAGGTGCATGGTGGCACCATTAGCAGAAGAGGATGAAGAAGGCTCAGGCGCTCTGGGGCCCACTGACCAGTGTCCCTTGGTTTCTTGGAGCACCTTGGAGGAGATGCCTGAATGCTGAGGCCCACGAGGGCAAGTCCCCTTCCTTTCTCATCTTCATAGACCTTCTAGAATAGCCAGGTCAGAACAGTGCACAGTCACCAGGTGGTATTTGCTTAATAAGTAAGGAAGACACAAGGTCCTCATTTGCTGAGTGAGCAGAACAGATGGACCAGGATGAAATGGCTGGAATAAAATCCAAACTCCAGCTTGGGCCAAAAAGGCCTGGCATGATCAGGACTCTGGCTGCCTGAACAACTTGTCTTTTCTTGCTTTCTCCCTCACTCTAGCCACATGGGTTCCTTGCTATTCTTCACACCCCAGATTCACTCCCTCTTCAGGGCCTGTGAAGTCATTATTGCCTCTGCCAGGTGTACCCTTCCCTTACATTTTCAAATCACTTCATTCAGTTCCTCAGTGAAGCCTTTTCTGACTGCTCTAAAATAGCTTCCCATGGCCACCATAACTCCTTTTTCTGATTCTGTTCTATTTTCTTCGTGGCACTAAACATTCCTGAAATTATATTATACATTTATCATTTTATTGTGTCTCTCCCACTAGTTTATGAGGCTATGAGGGCAAGGGCCTCTTGCTGTTATACTCTGCTGTTTCCAGGGTTGGAACAGGGCCCAGCTCACAGAAAGAGCTCTGTAAAAATGTTGACCAATAAGCAAGTAAGCAGAGTGATCTCCGTGGCCTCTAAGATTCCTTCCAAGAGTCTTTTCTTTCTTTCTTTTTTTCTTTTTCTTTTTCTTTTTCTTTTTTTTAATGTTTCCCACTGTGCTTTATACCTGGAAGGTCTTCATGTATTTGTAAAGTTGACTGGAGGGTAAACTATGGATACTAAAAATTTCAAATAAAACCAGTCAGTGAGTTTGCTTTAGCCCCCTGCATAGCAGTGGCTATTTCTTTTTAATCCCAAATAGCACATTTCCACTTGACTTTGATGAAGTGCCTTAAGAATATCAAAGAGAGCCTGGTTGAGCTGCCTAGAATTTCCTGCCCATGTAAGCCAGCCTGGGAGCTCCTGGGTGAGGCTGAAGAAATCAGGGGAGGGAAGGAGTGGGGGTTGCCTGGGCTTAGCGCTGCCACTGGTTATCAGTTCAGGTCTCAAATAGCTGGAACCTGGTGTTTGTCTTAAACTTCATCTTTGTCAACATGACTGCCATCCTTCTCCGACTCATTACCATTTTCATGATCTCCTCTGCTTTACATAAGCCCTTGACCTTTTCTGATCTGTCTCAGTCTATAAATCTAACCCAAGTATTTTAAACTGGCTTATCACTCCAGCTGACTCCCAACTTTATCAAACTTTAGCAGGAGATTGGCAGCAATTCCTTGTTCAATTTCTCTGTAAAACAGATCTTTTCGGAGTGAAGGCACCAAGATATCATGATGTAGACTTTGGAGTCTGCCAGACTTGAGTAGGAATCTGGCTCCCCTACTTTCCAGTTGTGTGATTTTGGCCAAATAAAGTGCTCTCTCTGATTCCAGTCCTGGTCAGAATGTAATTTTAAAA
This sequence comes from Homo sapiens, assembly GCF_000001405.40. Classification (NCBI taxonomy): domain Eukaryota; kingdom Metazoa; phylum Chordata; class Mammalia; order Primates; family Hominidae; genus Homo; species Homo sapiens. Next base: position 88,976,543 of record NC_000014.9, read on the forward strand.
ATCATAATTATCATACAATTATGCAGTGAATATACATAAAATACTTATTTAACTCACAAAGGAAGAAACCTGCAGGGTGGTAAAGGTTGTTCAAAGATACTGTCCAAAAATATTTAGAAACATACTTAGTCTGTCAGGAAAGGAGTGTTGCAATAAACCTGTTAAGTGAGATTTAAAACTGGTGAATGTCATACAGGCCAACAAAACCATAAACGTTGGTGCTATGTTTCCTAGTGGACATAAATAATGTGCATCTCCATTGAACAAAATTATTTGCATCTTACCAATGTTTCTCTAGCTAAAATAGAAGTTTGCATTGTCTAAGCCCTAATTAATAATAAATAGTAAATAGTTAATTGAACAAAGATATTTTTCTAGAAAATTAGAAAATCCTTGGGAGTATCTCTTAAACAATGCTCCAATATGATATTAAAGGACATGCAATATTCTTTGCCATGTTCCAGCTTTTGAATACTTTTTTAAACAGTTTTCTTATGTTAATTGGGGTGCTATACTATCAGACACATTGCATAATATAGAGGAGATAGTATTTCGAGCCTCATACAAGGCCCTTCTTTCTTGATTAAGTAGACTGATGGTTTACCAAGCTATTGCTACTCATTAATTCCCTATTAGGTATCAATATCACCATGCAGTAGAGAGGGTCCTTTGAGCCTTCAAGATTCTGAAGACATCAACCTCTTCCCTTTGTTGACCCAGCCTTGGGGGTTGGTAGCTGCTTCCTGCCATTACTGTTTCTGAATTACTTCAATATTTTCTTTTAGCTTTATCTTCCCTTCAACACCTGTTTAATGAATTTATATGTTACATTCTCTGTTAAAATAATGAGTATGGTTTCTGTTTTTGATTTACCCTGACTACTACCTGTGGAAAAGGAGCATATATTTCCTTGACTTCCTGATGATAAGGAAGTTTTCTCTGGAAAACATGACATGAGTTTTAAAGTTACATTTATTATTACATTCAGAACTGTTACTTTTACTGCTTCTGGAAAGTATTGTTGTTTTTTTCCTACAAAAAAACTCTCTCAAAGCACTTTGCATGCATCATCTCATTTAATACTCAAAATGATCCGATGAGTTATTAATTACTCTCATCCTTACTTTAAAGATAAAGAAACTTAAGTCCAGAGAGGCAAAATAGCTCCCCTAAAATCCCACTAGCAAGTAGTGGGGCTGGGATTCAAACCCAGGCTGCCTGAATCCACTCTCCATCGCTCTCCTTCGTAAATTGTGATGTATGAGTCATGGGTTCAATTTGCATTGTGACATTGTTTGTGTAAAGAGCAGTCTTTTCGTCAAGAAAAAAAAATAAAGCAAAGAAAGCCTGTGAGAGGTAAGAGCATTCAACAAGAATTAGTGGGGAGAAGATCCATTGTCCTCACCTGCTGTGATTGTTCAGGACCATGGACAGTAACCACGGAGTTTCTCACACAACCACCTGCCCCCATGGCAATGCAAAATACGTTTCTTACCCCTCAAGCTGCCCTGTATCGCTCTGCAGACTGTGCCTTGTAAAAGAGTATTTGGCTAAGGGGGTGAGGGTAGGCTCTGATGGCCAAGTTGTGCAACCTGGTGTGGGACTATAACTTCCCTGGGGAAGAGGGGCTTTCTATAAGTTTTCTCTTAGCCCAGTGGGCTATAAGTGATCCTGTTACTGTAGGTCATGGTCAAAAAGTTGGAAAACAATTCCAGAGTTCGATAACTGCGAACCAGACATGGCAGAACTAAGATCCACACAGGCCGAGTTTTGGTGAGAAGAGGAGGAAAGGATAATATTTGGGAATTTGGAAACGAAATTTAAGAGAGATCTTTGAGAAGCATGAGGGTGTTACTTACTTGAGGAGAGAGAAGGTTAAAGAAGAACTGAAGTGAAGAGGGTGCTTAGTGGGAGCAAATTTCCCAGACCTGATGATTTTGCCTAAGGCTTGCTCCAACCTTAGCTCTGAGACAGTAAAGACAAGGATTTACGGCCGGGCGCGGTGGCTCACGCCTGTAATCCCAGCACTTTGGGAGGCCGAGGCGGGCGGATCACGAGGTCAGGAGATCGAGACCATCCTGGCTAACACGGTGAAACCCCGTCTCTACTAAAAATACAAAAAATTAGCCGGGCGTGGTAGCGGGCGCCTGTAGTCCCAGCTACTCGGGAGGCTGAGGCAGGAGAATGGCGTGAACCCGGGAGGCGGAGCTTGCAGTGAGCCGAGATCGCGCCACTACACTCCAGCCTGGGCGACAGAGCGAGACTCCGTCCCAAAAAAAAAAAAAAAAAAAAAGACAAGGATTTACAACGTAAGACCTGCATTAAATTCCTGGCTCCACAATTGCTAGTCTTTGAACTTGAAGGCAGAGTTTGCATTTAATTTGTCTTTGTGTCCTTAGCTCTGAACACAAGGTACAAGATTACTGTGTAATGAACATAATTATCTATGGATTCTAAGCAATCTTGTACTAGTCCTTCCAGAAATGTCTGAGACTGTTTTCTCCTCTGCAAAACAGGCTCCTGTTTTCTACATAGGATGACCATCAGGATCACATGGGGAATTAGCTCAAGTGGTAGAGCGCTCGCTTAGCATGCGAGAGGTAGTGGGATCGATGCCCGCATTCTCCATACGTTACCATTTGAATCTTGGGTCTCCAAACAAGATCACAGACGTTGAGCCAGGTTTATTTTGAAGATCAAATGAAATAATCAAGGTGATGAACCTTGTGAAATGCTAAGTGCTGCATAGCAGTTGTTTGTGGTATAGTTGTTACGATGTAAATTAACTGGTCCCTATTTTTATTTATGGAGGGCAGACTATATTGTGGAATCCTAGGAAAGTGTTTTGGGAAATAGGAGTAGATTTAAAGGCTGCCACTACAAGTGCTGTATGAAGACTAGTATTCTGTACTGAAAGATAAGGATTTACAAGGTATTTTTTATAATTAACATGGTGTAAACACATTCCACTTTCTAAACACATTGTTCAACTTAGTAACTGCAACTCCTACACCCTTAGAAGGATAATTTTCTCCTCCTGATTTTTTTTTTGAAAAGTCACTAGCTAGCACTTCTTTAAAATCCAACATTTAAAACAAATACATCAAACTCCGCCAGGAGATGCAACCTCTTGATCTCAAAATCCAGGCAAAGATATTAACAAAATGCAGAAATTATTTCAAAACTGTGTAGTAATGATGAGACTATGGTGGGTGATGAGGAAATAAGGGAGAGAAGGAGGGAAAGAAAGGGAGGAAGACAAGAAAAAGATCAAAAGCTTCCCAAATCCCAAAAACTTTAGAAATTTTTAAATTTCAGGACACCTGCTGTTTAAGCCTAAAATATCCACTTTGATGCTTTAAATAGATGAGACCAAAGTGACATCATTGATGTCACTCTGGAAAACATAGTTCCATTAGGGTGATTTTTCACAACATTCTTTCCCAAGATATAAATGTTATTTGTTTCAAATGAAGAAAGGAACCACACTGGTCTAAGTCACACTTCCCCAGCTATTCTTTTTACAGCATAAATTAATGATCTTACGGTTTACACTGACAGACACTCAAAGGTGTTTAATCAGCTGTCTCTGACAAAACACAGCATTTTTTAGGCTGGCACATTTACAAATAAAGAAAAAACAGCCTGTAATCCCTCATAAAGTGGAGCTATAGTTCAACCCCATTTGATAAAATGACATTCTCTTGAACAGTTCCTCATGAATGCATAAACAGGGCACAGCTCGGGAAGTTCAGGTACGTGCAGAGCATAAATATTGCATGGGATACATTAGCCAAGCCCTGGAAAGAAGGGTATCTCAACCTTCCTATCCCAGTTAAAAGGGGGAAGGGGCCAACTGTATAGCTAAGGCAATAGATTACCTGTTGGCTTCCAATGAATCTAGGTCACACAGAGAGAAAATGTTCAGCCCAATAGAAGAAGCAAGAGTGGGAGAGTGGAGGTAATGGGAACAGGCATTTCTTTGAGCAGGGCAGCATTTATGCATGCAAGAAATGAATAACTATCTGCCCTGATTGTTGCCTCCTTGGAAACAAAAGGATGAAAATCCTAAAAAGATGAAATTACTATGGTGCATAGACTGCTGGTAATATCTAGGCCCAGCTCATCCTTGAGATATTACTGGCAGTCTACACACCACAGCAATAATTACTGAATATCCACTGTGAGCCAGGAATGGTGTCAGGGATCATAAATCCAAAAGCCATGAAGATACTTCTGCTGTTCCATTTCAATGGGGAGGAACATAGTCAGGGATCTTGGTGGCTACAGAACCCAGATCTGGCTACACTGAATGGAAAAGGGATTTATTTTTTTTATTTTTATTTTTTTTATTATACTCTAAGTTTTAGGGTACATGTGCACATTGTGCAGGTTAGTTACATATGTATACATGTGCCATGCTGGTGCGCTGCACCCACTAACGTGTCATCTAGCATTAGGTATATCTCCCAATGCTATCCCTCCCCCCTCCCCCGACCCCACCACGGAAAAGGGATTTATTTAAAGGACTTTGACTGGCAAATGAATAAGCAAAATGTGGTATATCCATGTAGTGAAATATTATGTGGCAATAAAAAAGGAACAAACAATGGATACATCCACCAAATCAACTTTTAAAGAAATTATGAAACACTATGGGAAAAGCCAGACAGAAAATACTACATAATGTTTGATTCAATTTATATGATATTTTTAGAAAAGTCAGAGAGTCAGGAAGCAGATTCTTGTTGCATGGGACTAGAGGTGTGAATGGTGATCAGTAACAAATGGGCAAGAGTGAACTTTTCTGAGGTGATGGAAGAGTTCTAAAACTGGATTGGGGTGATGGTTGCACAACTGGATACATTTACTAAAACTTATTGAAATGTACACTTACAATGGGTAAATTTTATGGTCTATAAATTGCGCTCCAATAAAATGGCATGACAACTACAAAAAGGACATTGGACAGCTTGCAAAATAGGGCACAGAATCTGGGAGGGCTGGACAACTAACCTTAACAGCCAGGACCAATGCTTGAAATATGCCACAGGAACAGTGGCCACTACTGCAGCTGCCCTCACTAGAATGGGATCCCCAGGGTCTCTGCCTCTGTATGCCACATATTTCTGGGGCTAGCCCAGGCACTGCTCTCTGACTGGAGGAGACTATCAGAGCTCTCAGTTTAGCTGAAAGGAGGACTGAGAGAGAAGGTGTCTGACATTTTTCCATTTCTATACTGCGAGGTAGGCATTGCTTATGAGAAGCAGGAGCACCCCAAACATAGGAATGGGGTTCAGATGCAAAGTGGACAAAAAAAACAAATATCCACTACAGACCAATATAATCCATTTTTTAGTATGTTCTGGGATGTGCATGATAGAGGCATGTGCAGAGAATTTGGGGAGCACTTATAAGGTAGGAGGGGAACTTAGGCAGACTGGTGCTGAAGAGAAGAGTTCCTGGAGGAAATGATGCAGAGTCTAAATGAGGAGTAAGAGTGAGCCCAGTGAGTACAGGAGGAGTCTTCTAGACAGAGGCAAGTAAAGGGAGCTCAGTTTCCAGCGTGTCGAGGCTGAAGTGGAGACTGATGAGTCATGCCGGGGTAGGAGATTTGCATTTATTTTATTGGCCCTAGATATCATGGGAGGGATTTAAGGTGGGGAGTGATCTGGTACAAATTTTCACTTTGGAAGGACAATTTTGGCAGCAATATGAAATGTGTGTTGAGAGGAGCAAATCTAAAGGCAGGGAGACCAGGCGGAACCTGCTGTAATTGTTTGGATGGGAGATGATATGGGCCTGAGCAAGAGTGGAAAGGAGGGTGTGGATTTAGTAGATATTTGTGAAACCAGAAGAAGAGGAATTTATTCTTGAGTTGCTGTGGTGGAGGTGAGGGGGGAGGTCCACGACTACCTTAAGTTCAGTGTGAGTAATTGGGCAAGTGATGGTGCCATTGGCCAACAGAGAGAAGAGGTAGAGGAAAAGGCAGCCCAAGAAGGGGGAGATAATAGGTTCAGTTTTGGACAGGTTGAATGAGAAGTGCCCACAGGATGTCAAAGATGTCAAGTCAGTAGCTGGATAAATTGGATAAATGAGTCAGAGTTCAGGAGAAAGACTAGAGGGCATGATTTGGTGTGTCATCCTATAGCCAAGCCTACAAGGGGCCATTGGCTTGTCCAAGTCAAGCATGCATAGGGAGAAGGGTAAGAACAGAATTATTGAGCACAGACACCCTTGTTTCAGGAGAAACACTGGAAGAGAGCCAAGGAAGGGGCCAGAACATAGGCCAGAGGAGGCAACCCTCCCAACAATGTGTGACCCACTGTGTTACTACAGCTGAGAGAACATGCAGGGACAAGACTGAAAAAAATACTCTTTTGAATTTAAAAATATGGAGGCAATGAGGAACTCCAGCAAAAGCAATTCCAGCGGAATGGTGACAACAAAAGCCAGGTTTCTGGGGGACAAGGAGGAAATGAGCAATGAGGAAATGGAGACAGTGATCATCAACCACTTTTCTGGGAATCTTGGCAGAGAAGGACTGGAGACAGAAAGAGTAAGAGAAGAGATTTAAGGTCCTAGAGGGTTTTCTTTGAAAGTGCAAGAGATTGTGAGAGCCACATGTACAGGTGGAGGGAACACAGCCAGCAGAAAGAGTGCATATGAGATGTATGAGAAAGGAGATATTCGCTAGAGCAGAGTTGTGGGGCAGAAAGAGGGGAATTTCTGGAGAGTACGGGGCAGTAATGAGTCTCAGCAAAACTCTGAGACTCATGAGAAGGAAGCAAGAAAAGGTACAAAGATAAACGTGTAGGTGAGTGAGTTGTTAAGGTAAAGGCTAAGCCGCTATCACAAAAAGGCCCCAGAATTTTGTGACACCAACAAGATAGAAGTTTACTTTTCTCTCATGCGATGGTCCAGGAGGAGTATGCAGGCTCTGCACCCCTTGAGCTTTTCCCTCCTTCTCTACATCCTCAGCTTCTAACCTGCACCCTCCCCCAAGTCCAGGGGAGCACTGTGCCCCACTGTCTCAGGTATGTTTGCAAACTACATTAAATAGATTCCTAAACCTCTGCCTGCCTCCCCTTACCACAGCTGGCCTGGGCTAAAATATTCAACAGCTTGAGTCTTAAAACAAAGGGGAAAATAGAAAATGCTTACATTATAGATTTGACTAGATATCTACTGTATGTATGAATGAATATTTTTCAGACACTTTCTGCCTTTTATTTGAGGGATTGCTGAGGGCTCCTTTCCCTGTTCCCCTTAGAGGTGAAATTATCTCTAGCTTTACTTTCCTGCTGGGAGAGGGAACTGCTGCTCTCGAGCATCAGAGCATTTACTCATGGACTCACTCCCAGCCATCCATGCCGTCATTCCCACCTCTGGTTGCAGAGAAGACAGCATTCTCCTGCTCTGCCTAAACTCATGACTCATCCCTTTGTTATCTGTATTCTCTGACTCCTGGTCTCTGTTGGTGTTACTGATCAAAACAGAAATTGTAGGTGGATAACAGTGTTGGTGGGGAAAAAAAAATTGAGTTCTGTTTGGAGCCCGTTGTGTTTGGGGTGTCTGGGGGTCACGTATGTGGAGATGTCCACTGAGCAGCTGGTGATCCTGGACTTTAGGAGGAAAGTCATCTAGTGGTCTGGTGGCAAACCTGTTCCCTGAAGGAAAACCCCCTTGACTTATAGCATTTGCCAACTTCTATTGTGTAAATATGGCTACCATAGCTAATTTCAGCTGACCAGTGGTTTAAAAACCAGCTTGCAGATTTCCTAAATATTTAATAATCAACTCTTGTGAAAACAAGCTGGCACGAGCCAGCTCCAGACACCACTAGAAGTTGAGAATAGAGATACACATTTTGGAGCCAATGATGGCAGGCAAAACCCTGCAAGTGTTTAAAATATGCATGGCATAAAAGGAGAAGAGAATCAAAGGCCCAATTCCTTAGCATTCAGCATCTCCCTCCACCTTCTTCCTGGGGCACAGAACCTCCACATTAGGGGAGTGAGAAAAATTTCACTGGGTTCTATACCCAGTATGCAGAGTTCTAGAATCAAGAGCCCATAAAACTTGGGCTCATAGGGGAATAAAATGTTACTCCAGGAGAAACAAAGTTCTTAAAAACCATCAAACATATGACAATAGCCACCAGCAGAAGGTCCCCCACCTCAAGGCACCATCTATGCAGGAGGTCTGGAAACAACTGGTCCAAGTGAGGTGGCCTCTGGGAACATTCTTAAGACCTACATGTCATTGGAGCAGGCTGCCACTCAACAGCTATGTGGCAGCTGGGAAGGCTGATGGAAGGAGGCTTTGATGGAAAGCCGGGGTCTTCTCAAGGTCTGAAACAAAGTACAATGAGGAAAGGCCTTTTGTTCATCTGCCCAGCACTGGCTGGTCAGCATCCATGTCTTCCTATGCAATGGACGTGGTGGCTTTGAGCTATAAAATCAGCCTTAAAAATCAGCCAACTCCCTTTGCATGGATTTGCACTTTCACCAAGCTCCCATGCAGACTTGCAGCATTTCCTACAGTGCAAAGGATGCTGTAGGACTTGCATACTCCAGGCTATATGTAGGCAGACACATTTCTTACCATTGTCACTCCGATTTGTCAACTGGTCATCTTGTGGGATAGGTAGAATCAGTTCCTCTTGAGTCGAATGCACTCTGGATTAACTATCACTTCCATCATTATGATTTATACTACAACTAAGCATTTATGTATCACAGGTAGTCCCAGGCACCACGCTAAGCACGTGGCATATACTATCTCAACTTACCTTTATGGCAACCTGACCAGATAGAAATTGGTATCCCCACTTACAGATTAGAAAAGTGAGGCTCAAAGAGTTTCAGTGTCTTGGATTCTCTGAAAATGCAACCCTGAGGATAAGACCATGAGCTATGAGACTCCACCAAGGCCAACCTGAAGATTTGCCAGGGCAGCCAGTGCAGCTAAAGTTCCTGCTCCTTAACATCACTATTAAAAAGCAGCAGGTACCATTGCTCTAGGCCTGTGTCCTCTGTTGCCTCCCTCAGGGAGAACACACATATGAGAAAAAAGAGGGAGAAGTGGTGGAGAAATAGTGATGAGATTCTGACAAACAAAATGTATTCTTAACAAGAAGGGCTGCTCTGTGTTGAAGCAGAACCCTGTAGGTATCTCTAATTATGCATAGCATAGACTGTCTCCTTCAGAGAGCTCTGTTTCCCAGACTGTCCAGGACTTGTTATTGCATTAGGCATCTCAAGGGCATGATGGCCATCTGGAGGGCATCTGGCTTTCTTCAGAGTTAAGGTCTACTGACATCTGGCAGGAGGGTAATAGAAATAATCAAGATATCCAAGCCTCCATGGCGGTAAGAGGCAGGCCTGGTCCTAGGAAGAGTTGGGTGTATCAATAATGATAGCAACAGGGATGGTCATAGCAACAGCAGGAAGAGGGAAAAAAAGAGAAGATATAATTTGTGAAGCACACACCAAGGTCTGCAGTCTGTGCTGGGGACTCTGTGGACATTCATGAGCTGACAGCTCGTCCAGAAAATCACGGGCACCTAGGATGTCCCAAATAGGGCCAGGAAAAATACTGAATTCAGTGGTTCTTTTCCTCCATGAGTTGTGATCTCCTTCAACTAATGATCATAGGAATTTTCCTCCTGGGCTGGCAGAGTGCCAAGACAGAGGGCTGCAGACATCTGGGGAGAATGCCGAGGGGTCATCTGGAGGGCACTGCAGCCGATGAGTCAGGGCGAGGCAAGCGGGTGGCTTGGCGTCCTAACCATGTTAGCACCTTGGCCCAGTTCACATCTGGACTGCATGGTGGGCCAGAGTTGAAAGGCCTGATTTAATTTCAGCCAAGATGGTCCCCTCTGCCTCCTCCTCACAGGACAGCAGACTCAAGCAAAGCAGCAGTCGCTCCTCTGTCCCATCCTAGGAGCCAGTCGTTGTTCTCAAGGACAACCCAGCATTGGCCCAGGCACACTCTTTCATGCAGGGACACACACTTGGCTCCCAACTTTGTGGAGCTTCCTGACTGCTGGTCAACAGCGACCGCTGCTTCCGGGAGTCCATTCCATTTGCCATGGTGATTTCAGTGGCTCTCCCTTCATATAACCCCATCTGCTGTGCTGGCAAACATGCCTACTTAGTCACTTAGGTAGTTTTGTGGGAAGAAGAGGTTTCCTAACTAGACGGGAAGTTCCTTGATCCTTCAGTATCTGACCTCCTTTACCTCCTTCATGGAGCCTCAAGGTCAGAACCTTCAACCCTCCTGAGAGTCCTTCTGTATTAGTCTTTTCATGCTGCTGATAAAGACATACCAGAGACTGGGTAATCAATAAAGGAAAAGAGGAGGCCTCACAATCATGGCAGAAGGCAAAAGGCACGTCTTACATGGTGGCAGACAAAGAAAGAATGAGAGCCAAGCAAAAGGGGAAACCCCTTATAAAACCATCAGATCTCATGAGACTTATTCACTACCATGAGAACAGTATGGGGGAAACCACCCTCATGATTCAGTTCTCTCCCACTGGGTCCCTCCTATAACACATGGGAATTATGGGTAGAGACACAGCCAAACCATATCATCCTCTTTCATATTTGTGGGAAAGAGTTTGTCTTGTGTCCACCCCCAAACTGAGTCCATGTCTCAACTACTTTTCTTCAACACTTGCGACTCACTTTGGGCTCACTTGGCTGGAGCCTGCTTCTATGCCTTCCCAAGGACACACAAACTTGAGGTCAAATGAGCAGCTAATTTGCTAATCATTTGGGGAGCAGCAGAGGGGTTTACACTGTAGCAGACATAGCAGGTATCTTAAAAATGGAATATTAGAACCCCGTCCTGAAAGCTCTCTGGTTCCCACTCCCAGGAGTCCCTCTCCTTTCTTGGTAGGTCTCTTGTCTCACTCACTGCACATCTCTCCCCCAACCCACTCTTCCTGAGAGCTGTCCCTGAAATCCTCCAATTTCATTTTTATTATGAAGAGGAATTTTTGTTCTCCTGATGCTATGGCTTTGGGGTTATGTGTTGAGGATTGTCTTTTCAGAGCCAAATGGCTCACCAAGAATTTTACTGAATGAGAGCCCTTCTGTTCCAGAAGAAAACCATGCCACTCCTTTAAGGAAGTGGTTAAGGAAGTGGCTGCAGGCAATTGCGGTTGGGATTTTTCCCTACTAAATCACTCCCTTTCCAGGTAGGTAGCAAAATGGGTTCATCCACTAGAATCTTTCTGCTATCATTCTCCCTCCAATCTCTCTGACTGGGTAATTAGGGTAGAGGTACTTGTGTATTTGTCCATCCTAGGCAGGCCTTTCTATAACAAACAACTCCTTGTATCTCGGTTACTTAATATAAGAAGTTTATTTCTGGGCCAGGTGTGGTGACTCATGCCTGTAATTGCAGCACTTTGGGAGGCCCAGGCGGGCAGATCTCTTGAGGCCAGGAGTTCAAGACCAGCCTGGCCATTATGGCAAAACCCCATCTCTACTAAAAACACAAAAATTAGCTGGGCAAGGTGGCACCCGCCTGTGGTCCCAGCTACTCCAGAAGTTGAGGCATGAAAGTTGCTCGAACCTGGGAAGTGGAGGTTGCAGCGAGCTGAGATTGCGCCACTGCACTCCAGACTGGGTGACAGAGCAAGACCCTGTCTCAAAAAAAAAAAAAAAGAAGTTTATTTCTCACTAACATGTAGCTCTAACGTGGATTGGGTAGGGGATCCTCTACTTCATACAGTCATAAGGGACCCAGGTCCCTTCCATCTTGTGGCTCCATCCACCTCTAGCATCTCAGAGTCTTCTCTATTCAGCAGGCAGATGGGGAAAGGGAGCAAAGACTGCTTGTGGAAGGTTTATATAGGACACACCTGAAAGTGGCAGTCGTCGTTTTGGCTCACATACCATTGGCCAGAATTCAGTTACATGGCCACACTTAACTCCAAGGACAATGGAAAATATAGTTCAGCTGTCTGGAAGAAGCACAGGGCATGAGTGCTGATGAGCTGTAGCAGTCTCTACCACATTCTTTTAAGGGTAGCTTCCCTTTACTTCAAGGTGTAGCTTCTTTTAGTGGTTCATCCAAGTTAAAAAACAAAAACAGCAACAACAACAAAAAACCTGGTACCTTGCATTGATACAAGAATGGCCATAAAACTGAAGCCTCCTGAATCCTTTCTGAATATCTCCACTGGAGTAAGAAGTAAAGGAGTAGGCAGAGAACAAATATCCTAATGCCAGAAGAAGGACCACTGAGTAATTCTCAGTTTAAAAAAATTAAATATGGCAGTCACATAGTTTTGATAATATGGCATCTTCCTCCTCCCTTCTATTTTCCTCCAAAAATGGAGAAAATTATTTATTCTTTCCTGTCTGCTCTCTTATGTCTGGAAGTCTTACTTCAAAGCTTCAGGAGAGACTACATTCACCCCAAGATAAAAACAAAAACAAAAATAAAAATAAAAACACCTGTGAAATCACAGCAACTTAAGTGGGAGGAGAATGTAATGTTCTCAGCTATCTCTTGCTACGGAAGATGTGAAGGGAATATAAATAAACGTAGACAGTGCAATGTACTTTGCTGAAGCGTAAAAATTATAGGGTTTCAATCTACAGAAAGAAACTGAAGAGCTTTTTGACACTAGGTAAGTACATTGTGTGCAGTTGACTCCGAATCTCCTAGCAATGAAACTCTCTGGAAAGAAGGCTTGATATCCAGAGAGAGAAGGGGATAGGGAAGGTGGCCATTCATTCTTGTGTGCCCAGGACAGCTGTGGATCATGCCTGTCCTCCCAGTTCATCACTTACAGCCCCTTTATTCTCTCTCTCTCTCTCTCTTTTTTTTTTTTTTTTTTTAACAGAGGCTCACTCTGTCTCACTTAGGCTGGAGTGCAGTGGTGCTATCTCAGCTTACTGCAGTCTCCGCCTCCTGGGTTCAAGCTATTCTCCTGTCTCAGCCTCCTGAGTAGCTGGGGCTAGAGGCATGTGCCACCACACCCAGCTAATTTCATATTTTTCGTAGAGGTAGGGTTTCACCATGTTGGCCAGGCTGGTCTTGAACTCCTGACCTCAGGTGATCCACCCTCCTTGGCCTCCCAAAATACTGGGGTTACAGGCATGAGCCACCACAGTCGGTCAGCCCCTTTTCTCTCAAATAGGTACCACTGAGATAATACTTTCTATGGTCCAATGGAAGGCATTTGAATACAGAACAAATTTATTTACATCTAATATCACCATGGGAAAATTATATCTGCAAATTACATGAGGAAAATGGTTAAGTAAATCATGGCTTATCCCTAAGGAGGAAGCCACCAAATGATGACTATGTACGATATTTGAAAACTCTTAGAACCCAGAGTACTGCCAGGGGTCCCTAACTGGTTTCCTTGCCTCCAGTCTTGCCCCTTCTAATATGTTCAGGGCCATTGTGTACAGTGCTTCATATTACACACTGTGCAACTCCAGGAGATGCCATTCCCATAGACCAGGATGAGGATCGTGCCTACACTGGAGTTGTGCAAATACCCAATCTGTCCAACTGTGCAGGGCAGGCCTGAATGTGTTTCCCACACTTGTAGTCTTAATGCTTAGTCTTAACATGAACACACTGAGCATGGCATTTCCTGATTAAAGTCATTCAGTGCCTCCCCTTTGATCTCAGGATTAACTGCAAACTCATTTTTGTGAATAGGGCAGCTCATGATGATATCTGGCCCCTGACAAACTCCCTAGCATCCCCTCTTGCCTTTCCTCATCACAGAGTCTGTGATGGTTAATTTTATGTGTCAACTTGACTGGGCTATGGGGCACCCAGAGAGTTGATCAAATAGTATTCTGGGTGTTTCTGTGAAGGTATACTTCTTGGATGAGATTAACATTTAAATCGGTGAACTAAGTAAAGCAAGTTCCCCTCCATAATGTGAGTGGACTTCATCTAGTCAGTCAAAGGCCTGATGAGAAAAGAAGGCTGACCTTTCCCGAAGTAAGAGAAAATCCTCCTGCCTGATAGTCTTTGAATGGAGATATTAGCCTGCAGATTTTTGATTTACCAGCATTTATAATTGCATAAGCCAACCCCTTATAACAAATCTATTATCTATCTATCTATCTATCTATCTATCTATCTATCTATCTATGTATCATCTGTCTATCCATCTTTCTATCTATCTATCTATCTATCTATCTATCTATCTATCTATTATCTATCTATCTATCCATCTATATTATATATCCTCTTAGTTCTGTGTCTCTGGTACAGATTTTGGTACCAGGATTTGGGGGGCTGCCCTAACAAGATGCCACAGGCTCGGTAGCTTGAAAAATAGAAATTTATTTTCTCATAATTCTGGAGACTGGAAGTTCAAGATCAAGGTGTCAGCAGGGTTGGCTTCTGGTGAGGCCTCTCTTCCTGGCTTGTAGACAGTTGCCTTCTGGCTGTATCCTCTACAAGACCTTTCCTCTGTGCACACATGTGGAGAGAGAGAAACCTCTGGTGTCTCTTCCTCTTTTCCTTGCCTCCAATCTTATCAGATGAGGGCCTCACCATATGACCTCATTTAACCTGAATTACCTTCTGAAAGGCCCTATGTCCAAACAGTCACATTGGAGGTTAGAACTTCAACATATGAATTTGAGAGGGACACAGTTCAGTTCATAACAGAGTCCAAGCTCCCACCATGCTATTGAGCTCCTGACATATCCTCCAAGTGCTGTGGACTTGCCAGAAGCCTGCTTCCTTAGGCTCCCTTGCAGCTGGAATATGTGACTGCCATCTTGGCTAATGGAACCCAAGGAGAAGACTGTTGGCGGATTCTGGGCAGGGTTTTCTACTCCAATAAACTGAGACAAATGGGAGGAAGTATTTCCTACTTTCACCAGATATTGCCATGTCTACATGCCATGAAAAACACTCTTCCCTCTGCAGAGAATACTCCTCCAATTTCTCTTTACTAAGGTCGCAGGAGGCATGCATCTTTTGGTCTAAGGTTACAAAGCACCTCCTCCAGGAAGGCTTCCTTGAGCACTGCCCCCACAAGTCCAGGTCTGGGCTTCCTCTAATGTGTTTCCATAACCCCTGCCATACACTTCCATTTCATCACATTGCATTGTCCTCATTATCTGTTTATCATTGCCTGTCTTCTTCTCCATTGAACCCCTACCAGCTAATACTGAGCCTGGTATTCTCAGACATACACAGTAAACATTTCTTAAATTTAAATTGAAAAAGTAGAACAATAATAGTCTGTATGCTATGATTATGACTATGTGAAACACTTGAGTAAAAGGAAAATGTTAAGAAGAAATGATAAAATGACAACAGTGGTTGTGTTCATTCGTGGAATTATTGGTGGCTTTGTCTTTTCTCTATTTCCCAAGTTTTCTGTGATGTGATTCTACTATTTTATAACTTTTAAAAGTATGGTTTAAAAGTGCACGTGGCATAGCATTGTAGTTCTCAGCCCTAAGCTGGCTGGTTTCAAGCTATCTTCCAAAGGAACTGATTTCCTCACAGAAAACGATTCTGAAAGGTGCCCTGGAGTTGTCCCTAATGGGATTTGACCTATATGTTGTTAATTGGGGAATGTGACCTCCCTGGAGGATGGTTCATTACTGCTCTGTGGGGTTTCAATAATGATCACAATCATCACCTTGGCAGGTAGGCATTCTCCAGATGGCAAGCCTGCCCTGGGAATCTGTGTTACAAAGATGTCCTATAGCTGGAATGCTGGAAGGCCAGTGAGGTCTGGATATCTTTTACGGAGATGAAGCTACCTGGCGTTATCCCCTAGTTTTTAGCTTCACTCAAGGGGAGAGAGGAAGTCAAACACCTAAGAATATTTATAGTCCAGTGTAATAGTCTCTGTAGGTGTAAAGAGGTCATACACCTGTTGGTGTTTATTAGCTGAGCAGCCATGCTGTGTCTGTGGTCTTCAGAAAGGGGCCAGTTCTGGGAATAATGTAATTTTAACCATAACTGGGGGTAAAGGATGATGCCGTGGGTTTGTAATGGTGGGATGAGTGGATGAAGAGCAGAAACAACTCACACATACTGAGCTCTGTGCCTGGCAAGCACTGGGCAGGGTCCTTTAATATACCTCCCCAACAGCCCTTACCCACCCCTTCCCTTCTGGCTGCAGGGCCACCTGCCATTGTAAACACTGAAAATGCCAGAAGTCTGCTTCCTCAGGCTCCCTTGCAGCTAGAATATGTGACTCCCATTTTGGCCAATGGAACTCAAGGAGAAGAGTGTTGGGGGCTTCTGGGCAGGTTTTTCTACTCCAGTAAACTGAGACAAATGGGAGGAAGTACTTCCTTCTTTCACCAGATATACAATGCCTGGAACTGTGACAGCCATCTTGAGAACATGAGGAAGCAAGCCTAAGGCCAAAGTCAAAAGACTCTGGGGATAGTAAGACAGAAATATGGAAAGAGGTTGAACCTTTGGTAATATTGCTGAACTAGAGAACCAACCCAGGAAATGCCCTACCCCTAAAATTGTGGCTGTATTACATAAGAAACCCTTTTTAATTGGGTGTTCTATTGCTAGTAGCATCCCACGTTCCTTTAATCCTCATGAGAACCCTATGATGATGGTCTGATTGTCCCCATTGTAGAGATGAGGGAACTGTAAACTCAGAAGATCATCTGGCTCCAAACTTGTGTTGTTTCCACCATACACTGCCCTGACTGTGTTCCTAAGATCTGTGAGAGCTCTTTGTGAACAGGTGCTGTGAAGATGTCAGGCATTGTATTCCCAATCCTGGGCCAAACGTGCTTCTGGCTACACTAAAGAATCACCTAGAGGCTGGGCACAGTGGCTCACACCTGTAATCCTAGCACTTTGGGAGGTCAAGGAGGGCAGATCATGAGGTCAGGAGTTGGAGACCAGCCTGGCCAACATGGTGAAAGCCCATCCCTACTAAAAATACAAAAATTAGCCGGGCATGGTGGCGCATGCCTGTAATCCCAGCTACTCGGGAGGCTGAGGCAGAAGAATCACTTGAACCTAGGAGGTGGAGGTTGCAATGAGCCGAGATCACGCCACTACACTCTAGCCTGGGTGACAGAGCAAGACTCTGTCTCAAAAAAAAAAAAAAAAAAGAACACCTAGAAAGTTTCAAGTATTCTTTCAAATGCCCTGGCTGCAGACCAGCCTAATTAAAGCAGAAGATCTAGGGGGCTGGCTCCATACATTGGTGTTTTTGAAAATCTTCCGTGTGATGTCAGTGTGCTGCTACCACAGTTGAGTTCCAGTGTGCAGTACAGAACATTATAGGAGGGCTTTTAAGCAGAAGTAGCTTGAAATTGTTTACATTCAATATTTTAAAAGATCCTAATCTCCTCAAAAGCAAGAAATAGATTTACCTTTGCATCTCTCTTATTTCTCTCCTGTCTTCTTGTACCCTTAGCCCAGTTTTCAAATGAAATTTAAGGTGGCAGTGTGCCTTTTGCCCCAGAGGTATAAAAGGTCCCAATTTATGGCATTTACCAATTTCTGTTGTGTAAATATTTCCTTCATGGCTCATTTCAAGCTACCATAGGATGCGAACTGTCTGGGAAAATTCTGAAAATGTAACAATCAGCTCTCATGAGTCAGCATGAGCTGATGCCAACCCACCACTGATAAGGTAGGACTCACATACCAAGGGATTTCAGAGTACAGGCATGTAATTTCAATGACTTAGGTAGACCAGGTGGAAGGCACTTGAAAGTGATGGGGACCGTGGCAAATTGGAGAGCAAATGCCCATCTAATGACAGTCAAATGTAAATATCTGGGGAAACAATGCTTGAATGAAAAACTACTTAAAGATTGAATGCAGCCTCCTTAATTCCCAGTTTAGGCGATTGATTAATGATTAATTAATAAAATTAAAATTCTAAAACTGGGGTATTTTTCCCTATTATATCCTTTTCCCAACTATTTGACTTGCAACTCAGGCGGAGGGGTTTCCTACTAGGATTTACTCTCCAGAGGCTGGGTGCGGTGGCTCACACCTGTAATCCCAGCACTTTGGGAAGCTGAGGAGGGTGGATTACCTGAGATCAGTTCAAGACCAGCCTGGCCAATATGGTGAAACCCCATCTCTACTAAAAATACAAAAAAATTAGCCGGCAGTGGTGGCAGGCACCTGTAATCCAAGCTATTTGGGAGACTGAGGCAGGAGAATCGCTTAAACCCAGGAGGCAGAGGTTGTAGTGAGCCGAGATCACACCACTGCACTCCAGCCTAGGTGACAGAGCAAGACTCTGTCTCAAAAAAAAAAAAAAAGGATTTATTCTCCAGAAACTCCTGCTGTCGCTCTGGCTCTGGTAGTTTCCAGAGATTCTCTCCAGGTGGGAGCAGAGGCAGGAACTTCTCCATGCTGGTGTACAGATGCTCCTGCTTGATGCAATCACTTGTCTTGAAAAGGGGTCAGATTGTGGGGTGTTCATTTTGGAAGCAAAATAGGTGATGACGGAGTCATTGTCACAAGGGCCTTCAGCTCCAACCCTCGTCCTCACTCCCAGTCTGGCTCAGCTGATCTAAGGATGCATTGAAACTTTCCATCCTTGAGTGGTCCGTGGAAACAGAGTATGCCCCTAAACCCCCCTCCCTCTCAGAGATCTCCCATAGATCTCTGGACGAAAGTTATGAGTAGATCTTTGCAGATTTCATCACATTGTGAAAAACAAGGCAGGTCAATGCTAATTGAGTGAATAAGTTCAAATTCTGTTGCTTGTAGCCAAAGGCAGGCCACACTGCTTTTATCCTCATGAGAACCCTATGATGATGGTCCTATCGTTTCCATTTTACAGATGGTACAATTTTCTCATTCTCAGGCACTTCAAGCCCCACCTTGTGCTGATCCCCACTTCAGTACACCCCTTGCTGGTCTGCAGCAAACCTCTCGAGGCATCTAAAGTGCAGCTCATTTTTCTCTCGCCCCTTGGCCTGATCCCACCTTCCTGGCTTGGCCTCGGCCTGACCAGCAGCCCCTGGTGTCAGCACACTCCCCCTGTACATCTCATGGCTCTGGGCTTCAGCCACCATCATCTTGGCTTTCTTGGCTCATGGCCGAATCATGATGCTGCCCTTTGCCCTGGTGGCCCAAAGAGATCACTCCTGATGAACATGATTTATCCTGTGAATCATAAAAATTCCCCATTGCCTGACTCTGGCTTGGCAAGGCCTTATAGACATTAAACCTCATTAATCCTTATTAAAGCCCCAGACGGAGGAGTTATTTATAACCCGTCCTGGATACAAACTCACAGACATGTGGGTCTATGGGTATTTTTCTGCTTCAATGGGCAAATTGTGTGTGAGAGCCAGCTTCCAGGTATGTAAACAGCAGGCATTCCAGGCTCCACTAACCACCGCTCATGAAGTTGGGTAAGGGAGGTTTCCCAACACTGGAAACATCATAAGGATTACACTAGAGTAATGTCAAGAGCCATCTATCTACACTAACTCCCTGTAAACTACTTGAGGCCAGGAACTTCTGTTTTATGTGTCTCCATAGGCCCTGTGCCCAACACTTAAAAATATCTGAGGCATGAGCTGTCCCAGGGAAGTCAGGTAGATCATCCGAGGCCCGTAGCAGGTGACAGTGCAGACCAGAGCCAAGAATTCTGGCCTCCAGGTGGGGGCCTGCCTGGGAGACTGAACCCCACCTGTGATAAAACCAGTGCTTCGTTGGACAGGATGGAAACCTTCAAGAGGCGTGTGATTCTAAAGAAGATTCGAACCCACTTGAAGGTCCAAATGCTAGATCTGACAGTGCAGTCAAGTACATAAGTTGGAGGGTGTGGGGGCTGCAAACCCGAGAGAGTAAGAGATTTGCACTTGGCACCTTTATTCATTCAGCAAGCATTGATCTCACTCGTTTTTCACTGTGGAATGAGATTTGCAAAGGCCTTCTCACAGGTTTTGTCCAGGAACCTATGGGAAGTCCCTGCAAAGTAGAAGGGTTTAGGGGCATCACTTCTTCCATGGCTCTCCCAAGGATGGAAATTTTCACTGGATCTTTAGATTGTCTGATCCAGACACTGGGTAATTGGCGGGGGGCTCAGGGGTCATACAGCCAATTCTATTGTCAACTCCCCTGCCTCCAGTATGTCCCCTGAATCTGACCACCTCTCTCTGTTGCCCCTAACCTGATCCAAGTCACCACCCCCTCTCACCTAAATGACTTCATCGGCCACCTCATTGGTCCACTTGCTTTCATTCTTACCTTTTGCCATCCTTCCCTTGCAGAGTAGCCACAGAGACCTTTGGAAACAAGTCCAAATGTCTCTCTCCCCTACTTAATATCCTCTAATAGCTTCCCACCTCCCCTTAGCTAAACTCCAAACCTCTTCCCATGGCCTAGGAGACCAGCTATAGCCTCCTTCTGTCACCTCTCCTCACTCTCTACACTCCAGCCACACTGCCCTTGTTTCCCACCCTTGAAACTCACTTTGTTGCCCTCTGCCCAGATAATTTTTCCTGCAGATCTCCCTCTGCAGACCTCCAGGTGCCTCTGGCTGGCACCTTCTTGTCATTCAGGTCTCAGGGCAAACACCACTCCCACCAACTTCTAACCCTCCATTGCTAGAACCGAATGTTACTGGATTTTATCGGTTAACATATCTGTTCTATTCTGAGCAAGGATGGAGCAATGTAACAGTTTGGTTATATTGTTTTGTACTGTGAGGTTCATGGGAGAAGGATCCTTATCTGGTCAAGTCACCTCTGTGTCCCACACTTAGAACAGTGTTGCTTCACCCATAGTTATTCAATAAATAGCTGTTGAAAGATTGAATTTTCCTGAGATTCAGTCGTATCACAGGTCAAAATGTATTTTCTGAATTTCATGCAGTAAAAACCATCACAGAGCCTATAACATTGATGATGATGATGATGATGTTGATACATGTAGTGGGGATAACATGCTCACTAAACATTCTACCTGCCTCTTACATTTCCCGGGTGCTCAGTAGACTAGTTCTGCATGGTGAGACATGTTGGAAGCCAGGTTTGTCACTTCTGGGTGGTGGCAATGAGAAGCCTGGGTAGGTTTCTCTGGGCTCTCTTCCCCTTCTGCTGTATGGGTAGGTCTCTTGGTATAGCTACGAAGTGGTGGTTCCTTGAGGCCATGTGAAGCACAGCTCTCTTCTACCCCTCACCCTATTGACCCATGGTGGGGGCATAGCTTGACTGAGAAATTCAGTTCATTGAGTAAAGCCACTGGGAGTTGGGGGTCCACACGTCACTGCATCATACTTAGCCTATCCTGACTAATGCAACAGCTAACACCTTGTGAGTTCTTACTGCATGCCAGGACCTTTGCATATATTATCTCATTTACTCTTTGTAGTACCCTATAATGTAAATAAGATTGTTATTCTCATCTTGCAGATAAAGAAACTGAGAGGCAGAAAGGTTGAACAATGTGCCCAAAGTCACCCAGTTAGAAAGTGGGAATTGACTTGAATCCAGGCAGTGTAACTGCAGAGCCCACGCTTTTAATCACATATTTTAAGGAACATTCTACTTTATGGATTAAAGTTTTTCATGATAAAGATAAACATAAAATCCTTTGCCATTAAGAAGTCTCTCCCTCATGTTTATCTTAAGAATATCTTTGGGTTAAAAGCAATTTTAAGAGATGCTGTTCCTGACTTGTTTCTCTTTGTCTTCTAATAAGCTCTAATTGAATGATGTTGCAAGCAGGTCTGCTCTCTGGAGCCAGTCTGCTGTCATGCCAACTAATTTAGAAATGTATGGATCTTACTGTTTCAAACCTGAGGCCATATTGATTCTGGAATATGCCCCACTAATTGCTGACAGCCTGATGCTAAGAAAAAAATAGAAGAAAAAAGCTTTCATGTCAATATTTGTTACTAACCTTGATAAATAAACATTATAAGTGATGGTGACTTTTTCCTCTTCTAAAGCTTTAATTACTGGCTTGCACACACTGCCATCATTTTGTTCTTGTTGGTGTTTAATAGTCTGTAATCCATTTTAATTACATTCTTTGCTTATCAAGATCAGACTCCAGAGCGAGGATAGAACAAAATTTAACTTCTGCCTTTTCCCCCCGTCTCTATCCAGTACCTTAAAAATATTCTGGGATTTAAAAACATCTTAAAGATAAAAATTTATCTTTAAGCTTAAAGCAAACAAGCAAACCATTAAAAGGAAGTTTCTTGCTACTTTTGCCAATTTATCAGTCCATTGACAAAAGCAACTGGACACACCTGCTTCCTCTATTAACCTTAGAATCTGAAGCTTGCAGAGAATTTTGAGAGAGTAGGGGTGGCATGGGGAGGAGAGGACTTCTAGGGTGAGGAAAATGTTCTCTTTCTTGACCTGGGGTGGTGAGTACAGAGTGCTTTGTTTTGTAATAATTCCTTGATCTTGTGCATTTATGTTGTGTGCACCTTTCCACATATGTGATACATGTCTATAAAAATGTTACTTAAAGCACTGAACGTGGCTAGGTTTCCAGGGTTTTTCAGTGGTTTTGTTAAGGGTAGTCATTTGAAGGTAGCCAAGCTCTTTTTTTGTTGCCACTTCTGATGATTATACTATTTTCATTTTTTATATCTGTATTTACAAGAGTAAGAATTATAAGGAAAAATGACTGTCATGCAGAAAAACACTACCACAAACGAAAAAATACTCTTTCGCTTACCTAACAGTCCCAGGTGGAAGCTCCTGGTCAGTGAGAGCCCTTCCACACAGTGATTCAGGGATCAAGCCTCAGATTGCAAGGCAGAATTGACAGCCTCAGCCTACTCAAAGGGAGATCTAGAGTAAAGATTATCCACTGGAGCAGTCCTGCACTGGGCAGAGATGGCCGGCTCCACTATCCCGCCATGCTCGGTCATTGCCTGAGGGGTGCCCTAGAAGAGGGCTTCAGCTCTAAAGCTACTTGTAGTCCTTGAAGCTGAATGGCAGTTATTTCTTGAAAGGTGATATGAGTGGTACACCTTCATGACTGTCACAAATGCTCTATAATGGAAGGGGAAGCACCTTTTTTTTTGGTGATCAGGAAGCCTCTTTGCCATAGTGGTAGCGGGCAGATTTGAACTTGACTCCAGAACCATGCTGGCGTGACTTCCCCCAGGTGCTGACCTGCCTTTCACTGCCCTTGAAATGTCCCACTGCCTCATTGTCTGTGGCCCATTAGGGGACTTTTTAATTTTACTCCCCAGCATTTATTCCTTTTTTTTTTAATGAAAGCCTCCATTTTTGTATGGAAAGCCCACCCCCACCCCACCCCAATTCTTAGTCCATGTGGTTTGGTTGGCCACCTTATCTCCACTGATCCAGCTCTATGGTTATTCCTATCCCTTAGCCAGAAGGAAGCTTTCCGTGTTGGGCACATGACCTAACCAGGGACAGGGACTTCTGCTAAGCATGCTCATCTACAAGAGGGTGACTCAGAGAGGATGCAGGCTGGAGTTGTGCAGCCATCTTGTCACTATGGTGGGGGAGCTTGGAGCAGCTGGGACCACTGTGGGAAGCATGAGGGTGAAGCCAACATGGTGGAAAGCAGATCTAAATCTGGAGAGAAACCGGGTCTTACGGAGTATGTCTGAGCCTGAAATCTCTGTGTCTGAACCCAGACGTGGATTCCTCCACGTCTTAGTAAAAAGTTTCCTTTTTACTCAAGCCACTTTGAATTGGTTTCAGTCCCTTTCACCTGAAAGTGTCCTAATAAAGTCCAACCATCAGACCTGAAACACACCCAGTTTAGAAATATTTATTTTCATTGTAGTTACTAAAGTCCCTGGAGCCAACCATCAGATCAGTCCCAGATGGTTAATTAGCATCAGCTAAGTGCTTTCAAAACAAAAAACGGTATTTTAATTAAATCCATGCAGGTTCCTCCACCCTACACTGCCCCCCACCCCCAATACCCCAATACACGCACACTTGGTATTTCAGAACTTCTGCCTACATTTTAACTGAGGTCTCCCTTGGAAAAAACAGCAAATAACAGAAATGTTTTTAACTCAGTTTCCCAAATGGACTCTGACTCCTTGAGGGCAGGAGTTTAGGGCATCTCATATTCCCAGAGCCTAGCACAGAGCCAGGCAGGAAGCGGTGGTTCAACCCATCTTAGACTCGACAATGCCCAGCTGGTGTCCTCAGCCTTGAGGTTGAGTGGCAGACACCTTCCCACGCCCTGTCTGGCTGTGTGCATGACTCAGCAGTTCCTGTAGGGAGAAGGTCATCCAGGGCCTCCCTGGAAATGAGTAAGCAGTATGATTGGGTAATCTAAGGCTGCCTGGTGAGGACCACCAGCCTCCTCAGCCATATGCCACTCTCCTCCACTTCCTGCCCCCTCCTTTTTCTAGCTCCTTCCCCCTCCTACTCCTTCATTTCTTTTCTTTCTCCTTTCCAAGTCCCCCCACCCTTACCCACAAACATGGGGGTTCTCCCATAAGCCTTGCGTGCCCTGGTAATTGTCCTCAGGGCTGTGCTTGAACTAGTCTTGCCCTGCAAATCAAGACATGTGACACAGTGATTCCAAAGGGGGTATGACCTGTATGAAGACAGATTTCACAAGGAAGGACTCTTCACTCTGGAAAACAAAAACTAAAAAGCAGCATGTGTAAAAGTATGATGGGTTATTAGCTATCTGTTTCTGTGAAACAAATTATCCTAACACTTAATGGTTTAAAACAACTATTATATTTATTGTTGTCCCTCATTTGGGGGCATCAGGAATTTGAAGGGGGCACAATGGAACAGCATGTCCCTAATTCATGATGTTTGGGGCCTTGGCTGGAAAATGCCAAAGCTGGTGGCTGGAATCATCATTGTTTACTTACATGACTGGAGGTTGAGGCTGACTGTTGGCAGAAACCTTAGCTGCGGCAATTGGCTGGAGTGCCTACATATGGTTTCTCCAAGTGGACTTGGCTTACTCACAACATAGCGGATGGGCTGCAAAGGTAAGTATAGAGAGAGAGAGAGAGAGAGAGAGAGAGAGAGAGAGAGAAATAGAGAGCGTCCTAGGCACCTCCCTTGTGTTATCCCAGTCCCAGCTCTGCAGCCTCACCAGACATTTGCTACAAACCCATTGACAGAATTCCCAGGTCCCCTAAAAAGCAGGACAAATCTGAAGGAGGTTCAGTGCAGGGATAATGGGGCATCCCTTCCCTTGGAGCCATAGAACCTGGCTTGGAATCCAGGTTCTCTTTTTCAGCTCTGTGACTCTGGAAAATTTCATTTCATTTCATTTCTCTTGGTCCCAGTTTCCTCATCTGCAAAATGGGTGCTAATCAAAATACTTATCTTGTGGTGAGCATTAAAGGAGTTATGGCTATAAAACACTTTGGAATTGACAAAGAACTACATAAAAGCAGGCTATTGTGATTCAGTTTAAATAATAAGACAAATAATGAATTATACAATTAAGTGGTCAGAAAAATTATTAAAGTGTGATTGTCCCCAGATTTACTCTGTTCTACCTGCTGATTAAACCCTGTATTTGCTCACTCTCTTTGTAAATAAAAAGTATTATTTCATGTTAGAAGAGAGCTCATACTAATTCCATACTAAGGAATGGAAAGAGATGGTGGGGAAAGATAGAAAACACATCTGGGAGTACTGGGGGCATGGAGAGAGAAGTTTACTAAGTATTGTAATAGATTATAATTAGACTCAAACTTTGCTGTCTCTAAGAGATACAAATATAACATTTTAGTTACATTTTTATTATTTTTGTATATTGGTCTCTAAATGTAACACTCTTCTTAGACTGGACCACATGGATCTCCAAATGTATAGAGAAAAATGCTACTACTACTACTACCAATAATAATAATAATAATGATAATAATGGCAAGAGTGATTGGTAAATTCTGCCTGACAGCTTAAGATACTGAAGGTCGAATCTACTATGAGATAAGATCAATTACCCAGAACTAAGTGGCAGTTTTGCAAGGTGAAATGTTAGAACCAATGGCCATGCAGAAATGTGGAGAAATCTTCAGTCCCTCTGTCCATGCAGGACTTTCCGCTGTCAATGACAGCTCCCAAGAAGATGGCGTATTAGTCCATTTTCATGCTGCTGATAGACATACCTAAGATTGGGAAGAAAAGGAGGTTTAATTGGACTTACAGTTCCACATGGCTGGGGAGCCTTCAGAATCATGGCGGGAGGTGAAAGCCTCTTCTTATATGGTGGTGGCAAGTGAAGAGAGGAGGATGCAAAAGCAGAAATCCCTGGTAAAACCATCAGATCTTGTCAGACTTATTCACGAGACTTTACCATGCGAACAGTATGGGGGAAACCGCCCCCGTGATTCAAATTTTCTCCCACTAGGTCCCTCTCACAACACGTAGGAATTATGGGAGTACAATTCAAGATGAGATTTGGGTGGGGACGCAGAGCCAAACCATATCGGATGGTGAAACAAAGTTTACATTTCTTTCATAATCAGCTTTATGACAGTGATGGGAAATTTTGAAAGGAAAAAAAATCTCACAACTTTACTGACCTGTCTTAATGTTCGAGCTATAATTCAGCTCAACATGGTATTTTTAATCTATTAGTGTCACCGTGCAAAATTTGGATACATTTTCTCATAGCTGGACTGAGGGACAAGGTCTGAATGTCTTCAGACCAAAGGACGATGTTTGGGAGGAAAAAAGAGAGATGTCTGAATGTTCCTCCAGCCTCTCCTTAGATGCAATCCCAACTCTGCAGGATTTGTGCCATTGTTCCCCATGTACTCAAAAGGAGCACAGCCCAGCCTTGCCCAGCCTTGCTTGAGTATGGAAAGTGAGTTACAAAAGCTTGGCCCCCAGAAAGGAAAATAGCTTATTCCCCAAGACTGAATTTTAATTGCCCTGTCTGGGCTGCTAGACATCAGATCATACCTTAAGATGCAACAGTACTTTTGATTAAATATCTTTATCACTTGGTGAATTCTTTGGTTCTTTGTCGTCAATATCATAATTAGACCCCAATTTTTTCATCGTTTCAAAACTAGGAGGTACTCAGACTAACATTGGAGACATTCTGAATTTACATTCTTTTATCTAAATTTGTGCCCCTTTCTGTGGTCTCCCTTCTGATCAATGATACTATGTAAAAACCATAGTACCTACTCTTCCCTCCATTCAGTCTTCTGTGAAGTCCACGATTCTGCCTGTGAAATAGTACCCAGATCCATCCCTACCTTTCTATCCTCACAGTTCTAGTGCAGGCTCCTGCTCCTCTCACTGGGACTCCCACAGAGGCCTCCTAAATGGCCTGCTGATCTCCAAGGCCACAGGCACAGGCACATCCCACCGCAGCTCAGAGGCTATGCTGGCTTCACACTCCCCATCTAAACCTCCCCTCAACCCTTGCTCATGGCATCAGGCCCTCCCATCTCTGGTCTAATCTCTTTTCCTTGCCCTTGTACTCTCTCTAACCATACCCCACTCAGTGTCTTACACATGCACATAAATTCCCACCTTATTACCTTTGATTTCACTTTTTCTTTTACCTTTCCATTCCCACACACCTTTATTCTCTCCCTTAACAAATGCAAATTAATACTT
This sequence comes from Homo sapiens, assembly GCF_000001405.40. NCBI lineage: Eukaryota > Metazoa > Chordata > Mammalia > Primates > Hominidae > Homo > Homo sapiens. Next base: position 89,004,091 of record NC_000014.9, read on the forward strand.
CAATGTCTAGCTTTAAAAGCATCTGCTCCATAAAACCCTTCTCTATCATTCTGGCTAGAATTAATCCCTCCTTGCCCTATAAGTCCAAAATCCCATCTCTGGAATCCTCTATAGCATTTACAATTAGTAGCTTATATCTGGATAGAACTTTGTAGCTTATGACCTATTTCCCAATAACTTATCTCATTTGTTTGTAATGTAGTGAGGCACATGTTTTACAAATGAGGAAACTGGGCTGGGTGAGAAGCAGTGGGAGGGGCTGTTTAACATTATGGCAGAGACAGCTCTTGATGCATTTTCCTCCTCTATGATGATAGAAGCTTTTAGCTGGGAACATGACTACCCAGCAAAAGACTCATTTCCCAGACTCCTTTGCAGTCAGGTGACTAAGTTCTAACCAGTGGGAGGTGGTGGGTGCAATTTCTGAGCCCAGCCCTTAAGGGGTGGGCCTGGCCCTTATTCCCTTCTCTGCTGACTGGAGTGTAGACATGAGGAACCAGAGCACTTGTTTGGGTCACAAGATGGAAAATGCATTTAAGGATGGAAGAGCAGCAAGTTAGAAGGAGCCTGGGTCTCTGATGATTGTGGAGCCACTAAACCACCCACAGACTGCCTCCCTGGACTTCAAAGTGAGAGAAGAAAAAAACTATATTGTTTAAGCTGTTACTATGGTGGCTCTCTTTGTTATAGCAGCTAAATTTACATCTTAACTAATACAAATAACTTGCCCAAGGTTATAGGGCAGTTAATGGTAGAGCAAGCATAACTCTAGAGTCCAAGCTCTTTCCAATAGATGCCATTGCAGTTTTATTACCATAATTTGGCTCCTGGATACACACCTTTTCTTTCTCTTTACCTTTTCTTCCCTCTCTCCTTGCTTCATTGTAAATACCTTGATCACTTATTAAGAGACTATTTACTGAATGCCTACAGTGTATCAGGCACTGTTTTAGGAGCTGGGAATACCACAGTAAATACGTATGTTTGTCTATTTTCATACTGCTATGAAGAAATACCTGAGACTGGGTAATTTATAAAGAAAAAGAGGTTTAATGGTCTCAGTTCCACATGGCTGGGGAGGCCTCACAATCATGGTGGAAGGTGAAGGAGGAGCAAAGTCACATCTTACATGGTGGCAGGAAGAGAGCATGTGCAGGGGAACTGCCCTTTATAAAACCATCAGATCTCAAGAGACTTATTCACTATCAGGAGAAGAGTGCTAGAGAGACCCACCCCCCTGTTTGATTACCTCCCACCAGATCCCTCCCAGAACATGTGGGGATTATGGGAGCTATAATTCAAGATGAGATTTGGATGGGGACACAGTCAAACCATACCAATAAGGCAGATAATATCCTATCTTTGTGGAGCTTACATTTTAGTGGAGGAGAAAGACTACAAACAAGCAAATAAATAAGTATATAACATATCAAGTGGTGGTAAGTCCTGGGAAGATAAGCTGGGATGATGTGCTGGTGAATGAATTGGGCAAGGGTTGGTGACTTCAGGTAGAGTGATCAGAGAAAACTTCTCAAAGAAGGTGATATTTGAGCTGAGAACTGAATGGTAAGAAGGCCATCCTGTGATTATCTTGATTAAAATCATTCCAGGCAGAGGGAACAGTAAGAACAAAGGTACTGAGGCAGGAATAAAAGTGGCTTCTTGGAGGAATAGTGAAAAGACAAAGACCTTAAAAAAAAAAAAAAAAAACCCTTACTTGGCTGGGTGTGGTGTAATCCCAGCACTTTGGGAGGCCGAAGCAGATGGATCCCTTGAGGCCAGGAGTTTGAGACTAGCCTGGCCAACATGGCGAAACCCCATCTCTACTAAGAATAAAAAAATTCGCTGGGCATGGTGGTGTGCACCTGTGGTCGTCCCAGCTACTTGGGAGGCTGAGGCACAAGAATTGTTTGAACCTAGAAGGCAGAGGTTGCAGTGAGCCAAGATAATTCCACTGCACTCCCACCTGGGACACAGAGTGAGCCTCTGTCTCAAAAGCAAAAATACAAACAACAACAAAAACCTTTCTTCCACCACCACACTGTGTCATGCATGCACACAGCAGGTGCTTAGTAAATGTTTGATGAACTGGACAAGACACATCTCTAGTGCTTGATATGTAGGTCTCTATCCAGCTGTCCAGCATTCTGGAGCACAGTGGGTTCTGGACATGCTCATATTTTTCAGCACTACGGCCTGTGCTGCTCACTGAACAATGCTTCATTCTTCCTACAATAACTAGGATGACCCATTACCAAGATAAAAGTTTCTTGTTTTTTCACTTGAAAATCCTTCAACATGCAACGAGTCATGGGAACCCATTCTATTCCATTCTGAGGCCTTTGAGTTCTAGCTCAGCATGAGTATCAGTCAGGTATTTCTACAAATATGCTAGGTAACAAACCACCCCAAAATGCAGTGGCTTACTATAGGTTTATTTTCTTGCTTTACATTTCTGCAGGTCAGCTTTGGCTCTGCTGGGCTGGCCATAGATTGTCTGAGCCTGGATCCAGACTGGTTTCAAGTCTGCTACTGTTTAGTCAAACCTACTAAGATCCCAAGAGAAGAGTGACTTTGGTGAGATCAGCTAGTTGATATGAAAACCCCAGATGAAACCAGGTCTCTTCATGCCTAAATGAGCCTTCAAACTAAGAGCAAACCAGCAAAGCAAACACTGAGACAGGGGGTCACATGAATTCCTCATTGTCTTTGGATAAGTGGTTAACCAAGGCGTGTTTCTCATGACAGATAGCAGATACTAAAAAAGGTGAGCACATTTAACCTCTGCTCATGTCGCATCTGCTAACATTCCACTGGTCAAGGCAAGTCACTCGGCCAAGTCCAATGCCAATGAGGCAGGGAGGCAGGGAGGGAAGCATACTTCACTCTCAGCAGAAAGGAGAGAAGAATGATATTTACTGACCAGTCACCAGTCTATCCCAGCATATAGACAATTCTGACTTTGCTCAGATTTAGAAACTTTATCTGTAGCCAGAGATTTCCTCAATAATGTGTCCTTGATGGAAACTTTCTCCAATCTTTAGATTTACAAAGACTTCACTTTGGGGACTGTCCTCATCTCTGAGCTGTAAGATGCCATGCAGTGACTTTATTCTCCTTGGATGAGGGGAACTTTCTTGCCACATCATTTGCATCCCACTTCCAGCTGGGAGGCTGGAACCCAAAGCTCAGAAGTCTCTTTCAGGGCCATATAAGCTAATCAAGGCCTTGAAGGTAAGCAAGGCCATCAAGATTTGGGGAGCAACTCCTCTAACCAGATGCTGAGGGGACCTCAGAGGAACACAGAGCATAACCTTCTGGAATAAATTGTAAGGACCAGCCCCTGTCAAGTATCCTCTGCATCTTTAAGGATATGGAGATAAATGTGTTTTGTTACAGAAAAGTAAATGAGTGAACCATCGTAATGGCAAATTGCAGCTCCAGTTGGAATGGAGATGTAGGGAAGATGCTTCCATAAATATCAGGAGGTGAATTCGTGTGACCCTCTTTCTCAGTGTTTGCTTTACCAGCCTGCTGTCAGTTTGAAGGCTCATTTGGGAGTGAGGAGACCTGGTTCTGTCTTGGGCTTTCATATCAGCTAGCCATGTGAACCCACTGAAGTCACATCTCTTTTTTTGGGCCTTAGTGGGTCTGACTGTAGCAGTTGTTCTCTGAATCTCAGGCAGGTCCCAGCAACAAGGGAATCTGCAAGTGCCGCTAGAGGGAGAGTCACTCTTGGATGATTGGTCTGGAAGGACTTGCAGGAGGAGAAATTATTGAAACTGGTTCAAAAGAGATGGGAAGGTTTAGATTCAAAGAGAAAGAAAGAGAGGGAGAAAAGGGTCATATTCTGAACATCTATGTTAGGCAATACTAGAGGTTTTATATATGTACCAGATATTAGAACAATACTTTTCCAGCATCAGTTTCACCTGACAAGCATATATGATGGGCATCAATATTTCAAAGGGACTGTGAGAATGACACTTTCCCAGGCTGACTGGCAAAGGAAATGATCTCATCACTGATAATCTGCTATGATACTCAGTTCCTGGCCCTCTCAGCCTACCAAGGGTTTAAACTAGAGTGAAGAAAGGGGTGAGAAGACTTCTTTGTTGCCTCAGGGAGAGAGATCTGTGTGCCACCTTCTGATCCCAAACCCAGGGCTTTGAAATGTTGGAGCCTCAGAGAACTGGGGCCTCACTCATGCCTGAGAAATCTTACATGGACCTGGGTAGAGGGTGGGGAATTAGCCTCACCCAGGGAGTCCTGCACAGGAGCAAAGGCTGATTAAATGCTCTGATGGGGCTCCAGGACAAGACTGGGATTTGCCACCCCACAGAAATGGTCAGAGCTTGAACGAGACAGAAACTCCCCTATCCAGAGGTGGCCATGCCAGAGAGTCCCCATAATGATAGAGTGCAGAGTCAACACCATCAGAGGTTGCATCTAGAGGGGAGAGTGGATAAGCTGGTCTCCAAAACTGCACTGTCTCCTGAAGAGAAGGGCACAACAGAGGGAGCTGCCTGTTACCCATCTATGAGCTAAGGCACCCCTCTGAACAGAGATGCACTAGCCAGAGCCAAGGGGGCTGCAGGAGACAGGCCCAGCAGGCTCTTGGAAGAGCCTGGAAAGGTGCCTGTCGATAAAAGCCATCTTGACCGTCACTAGGCAGACCAAGAGAGAGCAGAGTCATTCACACAAGTGTGAGCAGTCCTTTCCCATACCTCTCCTCCTTCCCCCAGCTCTGGTTGAAGAAAAGTCCAAACTACAGCAAAGAGTGGATAAGGAGGTGAGCAGGCAGGCCACGGGAGGAGAAGCCAGCGGTGCCCTGCTTCCCCCACTGCTGGAGACAGTCTAAAGCAGGCCTGAGCCAAGTCAAGATTGGAGTTGTGTTGAATAGCTTGGACAGGGCATTCTAATTACTGACTGGGCTTTGTTTGAGATTTTCTGCCATTGCAGCACTTTGTTATTCAAAAGTGAGCAGAAAAGTCAAGGGATCTGCTAGACTAGGTAGGGGAAGACAACCTCTACTGAACAAAGATTAAAGGGAGGTGGGAGACAAAAAATAAAAGTATGTTTTGTTAGATCAGGTGTAATGTTGTGGTTTTTGTTTGTTTGTTTGTTTGTTTGTTTGTTTTTGAGACAGAGTCTTGCTCTGTCACCCAGGTTGGAGTGCAGTGGTGCAAATCTTGGCTCACTGCAACCTCCACCTCCTGGGTTCAAGTGATTCTTACAGTTCAGCCTCCTGAATAGCTGAGATTACAGGCGTCTGCCACCACATCCAGCTAAATTTTGTACTTTTAGTAGAGATGGGGTTTCACCATGTTGGTCAGGCTGGTCTTGAACTCCTGACCTCAGGTGATCCACCCCCCTCAACCTCCTAAAGTGCTGGGATTACAGGCATGAGCCACCGTGCCCAGCCTGAGATCAGGTGTAATGTTTATTCAATACTCTGGTTGCATGAGCATTAGCTTATTCAGCCCTCACTTTTCATAAGACTTAGCTTCCTAGCAGTGTTTAGGAAAAACCTTTCTGGTCATGATATGGGTATGCTGAGGAGAAAAGGTCTTCCTTGAATAAATGGACTTTTTTTTAACCACTGAATAAAATTGAACTTGTTTATTTATCACAGGATTGCTCAGAGCCTTTAATATACCAATGTGCATTTTTGACCTAGAAGAGGAAGACTTCTTAGAGAGCACTTCTCATGCTCATTTGATTGCATGTGTTCTTAGAGTGTATTTAGGAGCTTCAATGAAGGGTTTAGAAAATGCTCCCCTGTAACACAGCAATAGCATCTGTATTTGGTAGATGAAGAATGTCTTGGCTGCATCTTTTATGCTGAAAAGAGTAGAGACAGGCCCAGGTCACCTTAGGAGATGATGACTTATTAAAAGGATAAACATGGAAATAAGGAAGTCAAGATTCTCAAGCAGAGGGGTCAGGCCCCAAAGGACTAGAACAAAATTTGGTAATTGAAAAGTCATTCAAAAGACAACACAGCTCTTTGGCAATGATTTATTGGATATGACACCAAAAGCACAGGAAACAAAAGAAAATAATAAATTGGATTACATCAAAATTTAAAACTTCTGTGCATCAAAGGACACAATCAAGAGTGTAAAGGCAACCATAGGATGGGAGAAAATATTTGCAAATCACATATACAATAAGAGATTAATATGTAGAATATACAAAAAACTCCTATAACTCAACAACAAAAAAAGCAATCAATCCTAATTTTAAAATGAGCAAAAGATTTGAACAGACATTTCTTCAAAAGATATACAAATGGCCAATAAGTGTATGAAACAATACCCTTTCATGATCCAATCAGCCCAGGCCAGAGTGGTACTATCATATGGTAGACAGGATAGCTGAGAAAGGTACTATGACAGACATGGCTAGTTGTCTGACAAGGGTGCCATGACAATTCACTAGGGGAAAGATTAGGCCATTCAAAAAACAGTGCCAGGACAACTGGATATCCACATGCAAAAGAATGAAGTTGACCCTATACCTCATGCCTCATATAAAAATTAACTCAAAATAGATAATAGACTCAAACATAAGGGCTACAAATCTTCTACCTGAAAACAAAGGTATAAATATCTACGATCTTGGGTTAGACAATGGTTTCTTAGATATGATATTAAAATCACAAGTAACAAAAATAAATAGACCAATTGGATATCATCAAAATAAAAAATATTTGTGCCTAAAGGGACAACCATGAAGAAAGTGAAAACACAACCCAGAAAATGGGAGAAAATAACTGCAAATCATATTTCTGGTAAGGAAACTGTACTCAGAATATATATTTGAAAAAACTCTTACAACTTAATAATAAAAACATTAACAACCCAATTTAAAATGGGCAAGACATTTGTCCAAAGAAGATATACAAATGGTCAAAAAGTCTCCACATCATTAGTCATCAGGGAAATGAAAAAAAAAAAACTACAATGAGATTCTACTTCACGTCCACTATAATGAAAAGGACAGATTATAATACATGTTGGCAAGGACACGGAGAAATTAGAACACTCATACACTGCTAGAGGGAATGTAAAATGGTATAGCCCTTTTGGAAAAGTCTGTCAGTTCTTCAAAAGGTTAAACATAGAGTTACCATATGATCCAGCCATTCTACTCCTAGTTATATAACCAAGAGAAATAAAAACATTTCCACACAAAAAGTTGTGCACAAATGCTCATCGCAGCATTATTCACAATACCCCAGAAGGAGAAACAACCCAAATGTCCATCAACTTATAAATGAATAAACAACTATGGCATATCCATACAATGGTATATTATTTGACAATATGAAGGAGCGAAGTACTTATGACACATGCTACACCAGGCATGAACTTTGAAGAGATCATGCAAAGTGAAAAGAGCCAGTCACGAAGGACCATATATTGCACAATCCTAGTTATGTGAAACGTCCAGAGCAGGCAAATCTATAGAGACACAAAGTAGGTTAGTGGTTGCCTACGGCTGTAGGGAATGGAGAGATGAAAGGGAAGGACAAGGGGGTGGGAATGCCTAAGGAGTCCACAGGTTTCTTTTTAGGATAATGAAAAATGTTATAAAGTTTATTGGGTAACAGATGCACAAACATGTGAATATACTAAAGGTCACTGAATTGTACACTTCAAATGAGATGAGTGAATTGTATGGTATGTGAATTACACCTCAATAAAACTTTTTAAAAATGGTTTTTTTCTATATAATATTAATTCTCTTCTTCCCGAACAACCCAAAACTCATTTGATTCAAGACACTCCGCTAAAGAACTACATTTCCCAGCCTCCCTAGCTAAGTATAGCCACATTACAACTTCCGGCCAATAAAATGCAAGCAGATATTTTTTGTGGGACATCCAAGAAGGCTGCTTAAAGGGAATCAACTGAATGATACTTATTCTTTAGTCCTCTTTTATTTTCTCCTGCAGCTGGCCTAGAACTCAAATATGACGACTAGCAGTTATTTGGGGTCGTGAGTTGACCTTGAGGGTGAAGATCACATGCCGAGAAAGACAGAAGGAAAATTAAGAGCTTGGGTCCCTGATAATCCCATGGAAACACACCCTATCTATCAGCCTTGGATTGCTCACCTCTAGACTTCTTTTGTGTGAATGAGAAACAACCTCCTATCTTGTTGGTTCTCCTCTTTTATGGAACAGATCCTAATCTTAGCTGACAGCCTAATCCTAATTACCCAAGGTTACTAGTACACAGTAGAGCCGATACCCAAAGCCGTTTCCCTTCCTCCTCCAATATGCCGGCATTTCTGTAGATCGAATGACCTGAGGTTCAGAGGTGAAGAAATCATTCTGTGAAGACAAGACTGCCTGAAATAAAAAGCTGCTATGGGAGATAACACGGGAAGGACAGAGTGGGAACAGATTGCAGAGACTGAGACGTTGAGGAGGTGATACTTTATCCTGCAGGTAAAAAGCCGTAGAATACCAGGATGAAAGGAATGTGTGGTAAAGATTAACCTGTACACATACTACACTAAGTGGTTAGATTAAGGCAAACTAAATTTGCCCAGTGGGAGAAGAGAGAACAAATATAGTAATGAGCTTACACATTAACTGTTGCAGCCACATAGATTAAATCACAACAAACCATCCTCGAATCAACTCAGGGAATCCTCAGAAAAGCAAATGAGAGCAAAACACACTTATTTACGCAAATGTGGAGAGAAGGAGGATTTTTTTTTTTCCAAATTTGGCAAAATACTCCTTTTTTCAAGCCCGTCACCATCCCTGCCACATGGGATGCCCTAGGACACATTCATTATACCACAGGTTTCCGGCTGACTCTGCAGGTCTCAGAAGTCTAGATTGCCTTCAGAAACCCGCCCGTATGGGCTGGCTATCTGAAAGTTCGATTTTTTTTTTCTATTATCACTTTTTTTTCTCAAGGGCTTCAAAACCCATCTTTTAGTAGCTGATCAGGTTCCTACAACTTTTCTGTAAAGTTCAGGGGGAGGTGGGGAATTGATCTGAAATATTTTCAATTTTCTTGTGTGTGGAGGATGTCTGTTTCCTTGGTCGGCTGGCGCCCTCTGTCCTTGGGGAAATGCACTTCCCCTATTTCACGTGGTGCTGGTGGGACTGCCAATCACAGCGCCTTCTTCAGCCTCCTGGTCACATGAATGGGACCTGGCCAATCACAAAACTCCATTCTCCGACCTCCAATGATTGAGAAGACCGCAGGACCAAAGCAGGACCAATCAGAGCCTTCCATGGATGCTAGGCTAATAGGAACCCTGAGAAGGAGGTTATGTTCTTTCTCCAGGATGGTGGATTATTAGGGTCATGGAGCCTGACGCTGCCAGAACTTTTTTTCCCACCTCATGGAAAGAAGAACTTCCTGGAAGGAAGGCAGGACTGAGAGTTGGAATGAAAATGACAGAGCCCTGTCCACACCGTTAAAGTACTCAAATCCAGGTAGGACTGCAAGCAGTTCAACTCTTGGACTTTTAAGTTATATGAACTGAAAAAGAAATTAATTAGATTTCTGTCACTTGCAGCTGCAACAGTTCTGATGAATAATACAAAGTCCAGACAAAACAGGGTATCAAGGCACATCTGTCCAAGCAACTCAACAGGTCTTTATCTCAACATTTTCAAAAGGGAATGTCAGGTCAACCCAGGGTTCTGGAAATATTTGGGGAAAGGTAAATAATATACATAGAAAGTGGCTTGGGTTTTCTGGCTCCGTCATTCTTGCTAGCTACCTAGGATCAGAGTGATTGCAAAAATCAGATTCTGGCCCATGTGGGGTGCAAACTAGGTCTCTGGCATCATGTAACTGAGCTAATTTTGAAGCATAGGCTTTCCTCAATTCTTAAAATAAAAAGCCCCCCACATTGTGTCAATCATGTAGCCAATTAAGAGACCTAGAAATGACAAACCACCGCATTGTCAAGGTAGATTAAAGACACAGAAGACGTTTCTGATGGTTGGGATAATTAGACTGTCATCGTGCTGCATGGCCCGATCTGCTTGCCAGAGAGGGGGATGTGGAGGAGCCCAGGATTATTTTAACAGGTGGTTTAGGGAGCTAACTCCCCTGAACGCTCACCTGCTTGGCCCAGAGCAGGGATTGAAATACCAAAACCAGGAGACTGGGAGCGAGGTGTGTTTCTGTGCATGCCTATGTGTTTTTATTCCTGATGTATAAATACAGCCAAGGTGTACTGTAATCAAGCAGCCCCCATCTGTTTGCAAAATACAGCCACCTTCCACAGTTCATCTGCCCCAAGGGCTTTATTTGAGATGGAGTTTATTTGCCCAGCAATTTACTTCCTTTCCTTTCCTCTGGGAGCCCTCACGACCCCATTTAAACCTTTGAATGCACGTATCAAATTTCAGATTTGATTCCTCCCAACTCACACCTCTTCCCAGCCAGTCCACATAAATCCTCACGAACGGTGATTACCTTCCTTGCCCCAGAGACCTAGAGAACTCCAGTTGAACAAGATTATTCAGCTCCCAAAGACTAAATAGAGGAACTATCCCTAATTTACAGACAGTTAGTACCTCTCGTCCACATCCTCCTTGGGGGGAAGTGGGTCTGTATTGCTTTGCTGCAGGAAGTCACAAATCTAGTGCTAAAAAAAATCCATATTTATATACACATGAGGGCCCCAAAGGCAAAAATCTATAAGAGGTACTAGACTGCCAGAAACACAGCGGGATGAAGAAAGTGTTATTTGTTGTTATCTTCTCAAGGAGATCTGTGTGTGTTGCAGGAATAGTTTAATACACTGCTTGCAATCCATGGTAGCTTAAGCCACTTTCCCAAGAGTATGGGTCCAAAAAGCAGAAAGGCTTTTATCTTGCTGGGTGTTGGACACAGGGCCGGGGCCTCAAGGGAATTGCTTTAGATGATTGAGGCAGTTTGGGTGGGGACTGCAGACAACAGTCTTCCTCCCACCTATCCTTTTGTGTTTGTACCTATTGCTGCCATAACAAATTATCACAAACTTGGTGGCTTAAAACAACAGAAATGTATCCTTTTAAAGCTCTAGAGGCCAGAAATCCAAAACATTCCTACTGGGCTAAGATCAAGGTGTGAGTTTTGCAGAGCTGTGCTCCCTCTGGAGGTCCTAGGGGAGAATCTTTTTCTATATCTTTCCAACTTCTTGAGCAGCATTCCTTGGCTCATGGCCCCTTTTACCACCTTCAAAGCCAGCAATGTGACATCTTCTCTCTCCGATTCCTTCCTTTTGCCCTCATCACATGGCTTTTTCCTCTTCTGTCAGTAGTCACATCTCCCTCTGTCTGCCTCTTATGTGGACACTAGTGATTACATTGGGCCTACTCAAATAATTTCCCCATCTCAAAATTCCCAATTTATTCACATCTGCAAAAACCCTTAGTTTATGTAATGTAACATTGAGAGGTTCCAGAGTTTAGGATCTGGTATCTTTGGAGGTCACTATTCAGCGAATGATGCTTCCTGTTAGGGGTTGAAGAGTTATTTCCCACTTATTGATTAGGGGAAGCAGTCACTCTCAGTCTGGTGGTAGGAGTTCAAATTGATGCCGGACAACTTGGCAGTCTCTATCAAGAGTAAAATATATTTTCTCTTGCATTCAGCAGTTTCTTCTAGGAATTCATCGATTCAGCTTCTAAGAATTCATCATGGAGATGTTTTTGAAAATGGATGTGTAAGGATTTTTTTTCTAGGGTTGTTATAACAGCCCAATTTTCTAAACAAACTGCATGGCCCCAGCTATGAGGGCTGGTTGGACAAATTAAGGAACATCCATATCATAAAATGCTGTGCAATTATAGAAGAGAATGAGATAGATCTGTGTAAGTTAATGTGGAAGCCTTTAAGATAAGGGAATAAAATAAGGTCATAGACAGTATGCAGAGTAATTCTCATGTGTGTAAACAAGAGGAGTGTGTGTGTGTGTGTGTGTGTGTGTGTGTGTGTGTGTGTATTTGTATAGACCTACAATATTCCTGGAGACAGAGGACAAGTTGTTCCCTCTGTGGAGGGTGACTAGGAAGATGGAGGTATGGAATACAAGTGGTTTTAAGTTTTTACAGTGGGTATTTATTACTTTTAAAAGCAGTTAATGAAAAAAGAGAGCAAACATTGGTTTGAAAGAGCTCGTTTTCAAGAAGCGACTTTTATTAGCCTTTCCAAGGCACCCATAATTTCTGGTCTTATCTCCCCAACTCCTCAACCCTCATCACCAAGACTGAGGTCTTTCCGGCTGGGCGCAGTGGCTCACACCTGTAATCCCAGCACTCTGGGAGGCCAAGGCAGGTAGATCACGAGGTCAGAAGATCGAGACCATCCTGGCTAACATGGTGAAACCCCCGTCTCTACTAAAAATACAAAAAAAAACAGCTGGGCGTAGTGGCGGGCGCCTGTAGTCCCAGCTACTTGGGAGGCTAAGGCAGGAGAATGGCATGAACCCAGGAGGTGGAGCTTGCAGTAAGCCAAGATCGTGGTACTGCACTCCAGTCTGGGCAACAGAGTGAGACTCCATCTGAAATAAATAAAAAAAAAACACAAACAAAGAACAGACTGAGGTCTTTCCTACAATCCCACAAGATCACAGTACCTTTCTCCTTGGAGGCTCCCACAGGTATCCTTTGAAGCCAGATTGATTTCTGCAGGTTACAAATGGGAATTTGCAGGGGACATTTACAGTGGGGGGAAAATATTAATAATTTTCTCCGATCATAAACCAAGACTGGGAGAGGGGTAGCAGGAAAAGAATCTCGGCCTAGAGTTGAATACTTTGGAGTTCAAATTCTGGCCATGTGACCTTGAGCAAGTCACCAAACCATTCTGAACCTCAGTTTCCTCATCCACAAGATAGGAATAATGATATGAACTCAGGACTGTGGTGAAAATCAAAATTAAAAGTGAGACTATAGGAGATTGTGTTTTGGAAGCTTTAGACACTCCCCAAGTGGATGCCCTCTCTGGGGATTGCCCTGACCCCATGCTCAGACTGTGTTGGTAGGGAGAAGACCTAGATCTGAGGAATGTAGGGTTAATAGTACAGGAGCTTCGGAACTTGTGGCTGCTTTGTTACATAGAGGAAGGCACAAGGTCTGTGTGCCTGAGATTCTAGTCTATAAAACAGAATTCATAAAACACAAAGTTAATAGATAAGGCAGTGTAGGGTTTAGTTGGCCTTGTAGTACATTAAGAACCTCTTGAAATTAAAAAAAAAATGTTAAAGGCTATGAGATACCCACGGTCTCTTGACTATTGATGCTGAACCAACAGTACTGCTCCAACTCAAAACCAACGTTCTTGGCTCAAACCACTGCATGTCCAGAGCCAGAGGGTAAATAAATACACAAGACAATTGCAAGGGGATCATGAGGTGACCAAGGCTGGCTGTGAATTGGAGCCAAGTAAGTGAATTGGAAGTAGAGCACAGCCACATGAGGCAAACAAACTCTGCTCCAGGTGTGTGGATGGGCTCAGAGCTTCTCATGCCCGCTCTGACTGGACTTGCTGGCTGGGCTCCGGCCATGTGAGCAGAAGCCTGGGATGCTTCAGCCTCATTGCACAATACATTGTACTCATCCTGAACCAAATACCGAAGCAGGAAGAGGTGTCTGTCCAGACTGCAAAGGAGGACAACTTTTCTTAGAAGCCCCCCAGGTCCATTGTGCCATGTCAAAACTCTCCACGTAGCCTTAAAAAGATCAATGCTGTTCAGTTTCCTTAGACTACATTTGAAGTGAAGAATTCCCTTTCCTGGAGTTGTTATAGTGGAGTGCCAGCCCCGTACCTGAGTCCTGGCCTTGACATTTACTAAGTGGGTAACCTTGGGCAAGTTGTTAAACTCTCTGAGACTTCATTTCTTCATTTACAAAATGGGTATCATACCAAATTTCCTAATTTCTAAGATGACATTTTGCAACATTTCGGAAACCATGCTGGGTCTTATGATTAAGGTGTATATTTAATTTGCCATTGCTTCTTTTATTCTTAGACTCTTGCAGGATCACTGATATTTTTAACAGCTGTATTAGCATTTCTTTATTAGCAGCTTTATTCACACACCATGCAATTCACCAATTTAAATTTTACAGTTCAGTGATTTTCAGTATATTCACAGAGTTGTACATTCATTACCACAATCAATTTTAGAACATCTTCCCCAAAAGAAAACCTCTACTGTTTAGTTATTGTATAACCCAAGTCTTTCTGTCTTTATAGTCAGGCCTTTTCTGGACATTTGCTACAAATGAAATCATATGATATGTGGTCCTTTGTGTCTGGCTTCCTTCATTTGGCATGTTTTCTAGGTTCATCCATGTTGTGACATGCATCAATAATTAATTTCTTTTTATGTCTGAATTAATATTCCATCATATGAACATGCCATATTTTATTTATCTATTCATCAATTGATGTTTGTTTCTTTGTGTCTGTTTTATGAATAAAACTACTATGAACATTCATGTACAAGCTTTTGTCTGAACATCTTTTCATTTTTCTTGGATATGTAACTAGGAGTGAAATTGTTGGGTCATATGTTAACTTGGTGACAATGGTTAACTGAGAAACTACCAGACTTTTCCAAAGTGGCTGCACCATTTATTTATTTATTTATTTGAAGTAGAGTCTTGCTCTTTCCTCCAGGATGGAGTACAGTGGTGCAATCTCAGCTCACTGGAACCTCCGCCTCCTGGGTTTAAGCCATTCTCCTGCCTCAGCCTCCTGAGTAGCTGGGACTACAGGTGCGTGCGACCACACCTGGCTAATTTTTGTGTTTTTAATAGAGATGGGGTTTCGTCATGTTGATCAGGCTGGTCTTGAACTCCTGACTTCAGGTAATTCACCCTCCTCAGTCTCCCAAAGCTCTGAGATTACAGGCGTGAGCCACCGCGCCTCGCCAGCTGCACCATTTTACATTCCTGCCCGCAGTGTATGATAATTCCAATTTCTCTACATCTTTTCCAACACTTTTTATTGTCTGATTTTTTTTATTATAGCCATCCTGTGAATGTGAAGTATTATCTCATTGTAGTTTAATTTGCATTTCCCTGATGATAAATGATGGTAATATATTTTTGCCTGTTGGTCATTTGTGTATCTTCTTTGGAGAAAGTTCTCTTCAGAAACTTTGCCCATTTTTAAGTTGAATTGTCTTTTTATTACTTAGTTGTAAGAGTTTTTAAAATATATTTTAGACACAAGTGCCTTACTGATATATTATTTGTAAATATTTTCTCCCATTCTGTGTGTTGTCTTTACACTTTCTTGATGGTATCCTTTTAATCATGAATATTAATTTTGACAAAGCCCAAACAATCTCCTTTTCTGTTTGTTGCTGTGCTTTTGGTATCATAATTAAGGAATCATTTTAAAATAAAAATCACAGTGGTTTGCCTTCTAAGATTAAAGTTTTATTTCTCACAGTTAGGTCTGTGATCCATTTTGAGTTCATGTTTATATGTAATGTGAGGCAAGGGTCCAGATTCATTCTTTTGCATGTGGACTTCCAGTTGTCCCAGCACTATTCGTTGAAAAGAATACTCTTTCCCCATTGAATTTTCTAGGCACTCATCTTGAAAATCAATTGACCATGCATGTGAGAGTTTATTTCTGGACCCTCAATTCCATTCCACTGATCTGTCTGTCCGTCCTCATATAGACAGTACCACATGTTCTTGATCACTGCAGAATTGTAGTTAGCTCTAAAATCAGAGAATGTGAGTCCTCCAATGTCGTTCTTCTTTTTCAAGATTGTGTTGGCTGTTCTCAGTCCCTTACACTTCCTTAAGAATTTTAGTATCAGCTTGTCAATATCTGCAAAAAGACATCTGAGATTTTAATAGGGAATGTGTTCAATCTGTAGATCAGTTTAGGGAATATTGCTATCTGAGTAATATTAACTCTTCTAATCCATGAACATGGGATATTCTTCTATTTATTTAGACCTTCAATTTCTTCCAACAATGATTTTTAGATTTTTAGTCTTTTGGATATAAGGTTTGCTTTTTTTTTTTTTTTTTTTTTTTTTTTTTTTTTTTTTTTTTTTTGAGACAGTGTCTTACTCTGTCTCCCAGGCTGGAGTGCAGTGGTGCCATCTCGGCTCATGGCAACCTCTGCCTCCTGGGTTCAAGCGATCCTCCCACCTCAGCTTCCTGAGTAGCTGGGACTACAGGTGTGTGCTACCACACCTTGCTAATTTTTGTCTTTTTAGTAGAGACAGAGTTTTGCCATGTTGGCCAGGCTGGTCTCGAACTCCTGGCCTCAAGTGATCCACCCACCTCAGCCTCCCAAAGTGCTGGGATTACAGGCGTGAGCCACCTTGCCCAACCTACTTCTTTCATTTATTTTTGAGTATTTTATTCCTTTTTACACTATTGAAATGGAATTGTTTTCTCAATTTTATTTTCATTGTTCAATGCTAGTATATGGAAATACAATTGATTTTTGTATATTGATTTTGTACTCTGAAACTTTGCTGAACTTGTTTGTTCTAATAAATTTTTAGTGGATTCCTTAGGATTATCTGTATACAAGGTCATTACATATGTTTCTTCTTTGTTTCCAATCTGGATACCTTTTATTTCTTTTTCTTACCTAATTGCCCTGGCTAGAACTCAAATACAATGTTGAATAGGAGTGGCAAAAGTGGACATCCCTCTCCTGTTCCTGGTCTTAAGGGGAAAGCAGTCTTTCACTATTACGTATGATGTTAGCTGTGGGGTTTTCATAGATATCTTTTAAAGGGTTGAGAAAGTTCCTTCCTATCCCTAGTTTTTTTTTTTTTTTTTTAGCATTTTTATCATAAAAGGATGTTGAATTTTGTCAAATGCTTCTTCAGTAGAAATAACAGTGTAATTTCCTAACAATCTCTCCAGTGTTTTGCTTGGAGTAAAAAGTCTTGGGGCCACTTCACTAATTTTAGCATTAGCCCCAAGCAAGGAACACCTAAGATCTGCCAAGTCACTGGCTTTGGGACATCTAAGAGCAGAGGAGCACCCCTTTCCCACACACCTTTTACTCCAGCTGGCCTTCCACTTAGACCCCAGTTGAACTGTCCTATTCAAGGGCTGATTCCTATGACCATGGATAATCAAGTCCTGGGAGATCAAGAGTTGAATTTTCATGGCAATCAGATCAGATTCTTTCTTTGCCTTTTGGGGGATGGTTTTTTCTCATCTTGACCATAATTTTCCTCTAATTTCTACTCATGGGCATTTGAACTTGGGCATAAGACATACATATACTGAACTCAATTGTTTTGTAAGTGTTTCACAGGTTTTTATTTTGCCTAGGTAGTCAAGGAGTAATTTTTTTTTTCTTTGAGACAGGGTCTCACTCTGTCTCCCTGGCTGGAGTGCAATGGCTCAATCTCAGCTCACTGCAACCTCCACCTACTGGGCTTAAGTGATCCTCCCCACTTAGCCTCCTAAGTAGCTAGGACCACAGGTGCACACCACCACACCTGGCAATATTTTTGTATTTTTTTGTAGAAATGGGGTTTCACCCATCACTCTGAGCAAACTATCACAAGGACAGAAAACCAAACACCGCATGTTCTCACTCATAGGTGGGAATTGAACAATGGGAACACTTGGACACAGGAAGGGGAACATCACACACTGGGGCCTGTCGTGGAGTGGGGGGAGTGGGGAGGGATAGCATTAGGAGATATACCTAATGTAAACGATGAGTTAATGGGTGCAGCACACCAACATGGCACATGTATACATATGTAACAAAGCTGCATGTTGTGCACATGTACCCTAGAACTTAAAGTATAAAAAAAAAAGAAGTGGGGTTTCATTATATTGCCCAAGCTGGTCTCAAACTCCTGAGCTCAAGTGATCTGCCTGCCTTGGCCCCCGACGTGCTGGGATTACAGGTGCGAGCCACCATGCCCAGCTGAATAAATTCTCTGAGGGCAGAAACCACACCTTTGAGCCTTTCACAGAACCAGGTAAACTATTTGTCACAAAGAACAGACTTGATAAAGACACTTTACGACTAATCTCAACCTTTTAGCAAAACTGTCACATGTGACGTGCTATCCGGCCTGTACACCACCACATTTCCTATGTTTGGAGGATGCTGAGCAGGAGAGAATGACACAAACACATTCATGAGAGAAGAAACTGAAACACAGAGCCCAGGGGCCACCCAGATCCCTGGTTTCAGCTGTCCCTGTGTGGCTTTATGGCTTCCACAACACAACAGGAGGGTCTAAATGAGTAAATTGAACATGGTACTGAAAGAAAAGAAACACTGCCATCCCAATATTCTTTTAAAACTTCACGAGAAAGCCATATTCGCCAGCTTAATCAAAGAGACTTTGTCAGTATCTAATGTCACAACACAGATCATCCCACGCAATATTGTCTGTCACTCCCTAATGCAGCTTGAAGAGAGATATTGACAAAGTATGGCATGATGGCATTATTAGATGGCATGCATGCCCCCCGGGGCATGACAAATGCCACACTCAGCTCAGAGAAGCTTCACTGCCAGAAGTCTTCTCACCAGTGATAGTAACATGACAAAGCTTTCATGTTAGGGCATCCTATCTCTCCTTCAACACCCTCCCCACTCCAAATTCTGATCTAGGGCATTGCTCGCTAACATAGAAACCAGAATTTTTCACTGAAGAGAAAAAAAAAAGCAATGATCCATTGTATTTGCGAAACCAGATCTATGTAAATCACTTAGCACAGTCCCTGGTACAAGGACGCTCAATACACATTCACTGTTGTTCAATTATTACTGCTCTTAATGGAGCACTCAGAGTATCCATCTGGGAATCTAAGTTCTCCAGCTGGACAGTGCTTTGGGCTGGGTTTCTTCAGGAAAGGTGAGTGGGGATTTCCTGGTTTTGTTTCCAAGAAATAACCAGGACAGCTGTGGGCCATTTTGTACAAACTGTGCCCCTGTGCGCACAGGTGGAATTAGTTGCTCATGAGAGTCAATAGGCATGTAGGTAGCTCAGGAACTCAAGCAAGGCAGGTGCCAATCAAGATTCATTTCTGAAAAGATTAGATGTCCCTAACTCATCCGGTGCTATTCCAGGTGCTGGGAATACAAATGAACATTGGCTAGGCTCTGCCTCTGAGCAGTCATCTACTTGCAGCGGAGGAGAAGGCAGGAGAGCAAACACCCTTATGTGCCATGTGGTGTGGACCCCTGATGGAGGGACTGGCAGGAGAGATTCCCAAATGGGGTGACGTTCAAATGGATCTACAAGAATTAATAATGCATCAGGCAGACAGAGAGAGAAACACTCTTAAAATCTGTTTCTTTATCTGTAATTTGAGAAATTAAAAACAAACAAACAAAAAACAGCTTTCTCACAGTACGCAGAACCGTTTAATGGCCAAGCCTGTGGACTTTCAACAGGCCTGGGGCTGAGTCTTGCTCAACCACCAAGATCTTGGGAAAATAAAAATAAAAACCACAATAATAATAGCAACAAGCATTTAAGCCAACTTTTCTTTGTCTGCAAAAAAGGGACAAGAATAGCAGAAACTACTTAAAAAAGAAAACACACGTAAAGCATTTGACAGAATGCCAGGCACATGTAACATACTCCTTACATGGGAAACTGTTGTTGCTATCACAGGGAGCTTGTGAGGATCAAATGAGACCTGAGGTGTGAGACTAATCTGTGAAACCAAATCTCTGGGGTTATTACTCCAGGCAGAGGGACTATCTCACGTAAAAGCAGGGAAGTTAAAGGAGTGATGATTGTTTCTTGAAGGGAGAGTCCTTGAGTGTGGTGGGAAGGAAAGGTGCACAATGAAAAGGGGGAGGTATTTGAATTGAATAATCAGACAATTGATTAGAGGCCATAGGTCTTGCCTCAGTTATTCAGTTATATGACCAAACATATGGAACAAGAAAATCACGAGAGAAAGAAATCACTGGGATCATAATTTTGAGTTGAGATTTTTTACATTTTTAAATAATGAAACAGTCACATAATTATAAATAATATTAATACAAACATATATAATAAATATTTGTTAAAATTTTAAGTAACAATATTCATATATCCCCACTCCTAGATTTCACAGATGTCAACACTGCGGTATTTACTTGGGACCTTCAGGTATTTGTTGTTTTTGTTTTTAAGTAATAAAATGTTACAGACACTGCTAAAGCTTCACATTTACCCATTTGTGTGTATCACTCTCCTAGATGTTTGCATACTTTACTACATACATGGGTGATTCCATAAACAAAATACAACCTTTTTCTGAGTGTTCTTAGAATTTTACATAAATAATACTATTCTGTATCATTTTATACCTTGCATATACTTCAGTTAACATGTTTTCAAGATGGATCCATGTTGTTAGACATAGATATTGTTAATTCATCTTAACTGCTCTATCCCCTTTGAGGTTTATACTGTGGCTCAGCAATTCTGCTTCTAGAAGTCTTCCTAGAGGAACCATCAGGTATGTACAGAAGGCAATATGCTCAAAGAAGCTCACTGCAGAACAGTTCACGATAGTGAAAAAAGTGTGGAGAATCTGTTCTGGTCATCTTATTGCCAAGTAATAAACCTCCCAACCTTAGTGGCTTAAATCAACAATAATTGCTTATTCTGCTCATGAATCTTCAATTTGGGCAGAGCTAGGCAGGAACAGCTCATCTCAGTTCCATACGGCATTGGCTGGAGTGTCTGAAAAGCTGGAGGCCAGAATTGCCTGGGGACACACTTGCTCCCATATCTGGGGATCAATGCTGGCTGTTGGCTAGGACCTAAGCTGGGACTGTGGCCAGAGCGCCTACTTCGTGGCTGCTGCATGTGGCTGCTTGGCTTCCTCACAGCATGGCGGCTGGGTTCCAGGAGCAAGTGTCCCAAGACAGCAAGGCAGATGCACATGGCATTTTTATGATCTCATCATCACTTCTGCCACAATCAACTGATCACAAAAGTTCACTGAAGTTCAAGGGGAGAGGATACAAAGAAGTCAGCCCAGACCCACCCAGGTTCAAGGGATGTCACAGTTACACTTTAAGAAGAGCATATGGAATGTGATGTATTGTGGTGGCCACTCTTGGAAAATACAATCTGCCACACAACCTAACCGTTCACGCTATGGGACACATAAATACACAAAATTTTGGTGTCTTTGCTTTTGCTGTTTTAAAAGCTGTAAAAAGATGGGCATCTTTTCTCAAAACATAAGCATATTTCCATGCGGAATAAAAAGAATGAAGTGTTTAGGAGGTGATAACAGGGACTTTATACTGGTCTCTATATATCTTTGTATGATGAAATGTTATTACTTCTAGGCACAGAGAACATCTTCCTCCCTTAGAGTACTCTCAGGAACAGTCACAAAAGAGAGTTACTTTTTAAGTTCCTTTTTTCTTTCTCTTGAACAGTATGAAGAAAATCTCCTAGTTCTACAAATTGAGGACTATGATACAACGGTTGCAAAAATGGTGTCTCCTTGAGGGTGCATCTTTGTTCTCTCTGCACTCCAGAAAACCTGGAGAGAGGCTCTGGGTGTCTTGTCTTCATCAGCAGCATAGCGGCTAAAGGGGTCTCTGGAGCCTGGATGGTTGGGTGTGACTCCTGGCTTTGCCACTGGCTCTCTGTGCTTACTTAACTTCCCTGTGTTTCAATTTCCTTATATGGACAACGAGTCTAATGTTACCACATGCAATATTTTTGTAAACACTAAATTTGTTCATCTTGAATTCTGCTTAGACTTGATGAGTGCTTTAAAAGTCATCCGCTGTTATTAGTAATTACAAGAGAGCTGATTCAGAAAGTTGGAAGTAACTTGCACCAGATTAAGTGGATTTAATCATGAACACTATCCCCATGGGCAATCCCAGAATCCTCCCAGCCCGCAGGATAATTAAAGTCAGGCTCTCGATGGAAACCTCTCCTGCCTGTCTTCCTCCGTGTGAGAGAGTTGAAATTGTCAAGATGGGAGGCTGCAGGAAGGGGACGTGCGTCACAGACAGGCGGCAGGAACCCTCCTGCGTTCCTATTTTACAGACAGGGATGCAGCCTGGAGCTCCTGCCTGGGCGTGGCGGCCACAGGGCGCAGTGGGAAGTCCCATGCTCTGGTTAGATGTGAGTTCTCTTCCCAAATCCCCAGCCTTCCCCGACTCCGCTCAATAAAAGCTCCTTGGCCTGGCGCGATGGCTCACGCCTGTAATCCCAGCACTTTGAGAGGCCAGGTGGGTCACGGGGTTAGGGGTTCAAGACCAGCCTGCCCAAGATGGTGAAACCCCGTCTCTACTAAAAATACAAAAATTAGCCGGGCCTGGTGGTGCGCACCTGTAATCCCAGCTACTCGGGAGGCTGAAGCGGGAGAATCGCTTGAACCTGGGAGGCGGGGGTTGCAGTGAGCCGAGATCGCGCCACTGCACTCCAGCCTCGGCGACAGAATAAGACTCCGTCTCAAAAAATAAAAATAAATAAATAAATAAGCTCGCCTCGGAGAAGGCTGGGGGTGGAGAAGCAACAGAGACCCGAAGGCTGTGTCTCAACCATCGGCGATGGGCTTGAGAGATAGACTTGTGTTCCCGTCTGTTACTTATTAATCGGTGACCTTGGCAAATTACTCAGTCTCTTCTGCCTCATTTTACTCCTCTCTAAATTGTCAAATGCTCATAAGGTTCTTTTCCGAGGGGGTCAGCGCAGTGCCTGACCCAGGGTGAGCCTCAGCGAGCAAGAGCCCACGATGGGGTTGGCGGAGAGGCGCGTCCTCGAGGTAACAGGGATGCTGAGAGGTGGCTGAATTCTTCCTTCTTTCAGCGCCCCTGACCTCCCGGCACGGCGCTGGGGAACTCACGGGTCTGGAGCGTGTCCGTGCTGGGCCCCCGGAGATGATTTCTGGAATCGCGACCCGGGGACCTGAGGCCACTCTGGGACCTGCGAGGCAGTTGTTGCCCAAAGACAAGGCCTGGGTACAGGAGCTCGGGAAGCTCTCTGCTGCCCGTCTCCGTTATCCACGTTCGTCTGGGCACCCTCCTCGGGTGCTGCCCATTATTCCTCCCGCACCTGCCGGATCCAAGAGTAGACGCAGAACCCGGACCTCGGAATGGGACGATGCGACGGGCGGGGAAGGCCTGGCCCGGCCGAGGTGCCCTCGGCCCCGCCCTCCACCGAGGGCAGGGAGGCACTGCCTCCGCTCCGTCCACTCGTAACTGGTGACGCTGGCAGCCCCGCCGGGGGGCGGGGGGAGTGCAAGAAAATCCTGAGGTGTGTCGGGGGACCTGGACCAGATGCCCTCCTGCACCGCCCTAGCTCCGGGGAAGTCGCTCTCCGGCTCCGCGGCGCGGGACCCGCCAGCGGGCAGAGGCGCGGCGCTTTGATGTCGCGCGGCCACACGGTGGCGCTGCCGCACCGCCCGCTGGCGGAGACTGGGGGCCAGGGGTGCCCGGGGTGGGGTGGAGCCGGGACGCGCGCACTCCCCAGCCACGCCCGGGGCTCATCCTGGAACCCGGGCGCCCGCAGGGTCGCGAGGCCAAGTGTAGGTCATTCCCCTCCCCGCGGGACCCGTGCCTGGTGGACGCATCGCCGACGCGGACCCTGAACGCTCACATGAGATCCTTAGGGAAACTGAGGCCGAAGAATTGGGAATCTGCATTTAGTCCACTCTCCTGTCCGTAAGAAGAAAGGGGCGCGACTAAGGGGAAGGGAAGGAGCCACAGGGATTCATTCCCAGCCGGTCCCAGTAGCCGCCACAACACCCGGCAGGTCCGAGTTAATCCGTTCTGCAAGCTAGGAAATGAGGCTCGGTATTGGCGGAGGCCACACTGTTGAGAGGCGGTGTTCAACCCCAGGGCTGTGTGTCCCAGCTCTGCAAACTCGGTCACAGCCTCTATCTCCGTGGCATTCACAGTCCTTACCGGTTTTTGACAGTGACCTACAGTGAGATGTCTGTTTACGTCCCTGTCCGCGCGCGCGCGCACACACACACACACACACACACACACACACACACACCTATATAGAACTGAAAACGACACTTAACCTTAATTAGTGTGATGCACTCTGTTTTCTTTTTTGATTCTGTACTGTGTCTTTTCTACCTTTCAGTGCTGGGTGCTAAAATAATCTCACTACTCACTAGTGGGTCCCTAGTCAGTTTGACAAACAACTTCATAGGTGCTGGCTGGGCTCTTCTAGCCATGGAAGTCAACGGAAAGTTGTCCATGTAAGAGGACACAGTCAAGACCAGATAAAGATGGGGAAGACGGTGATTCCCCACGGATAGCCTGGGCATGTGCTGAAGAGCAGATTCTGACTCAGTGGGCCTGACGCTGGCATTTCTAACAAGCTCCTGGTGATTCCGACCACTCCATGCTGAGAGTGACCAAGTCCCCATCACGTGTGTTATCATGAAAGCAATTCTGAGACCAAATTCTGTCATACATACAATAGCTATTAATAAGCAGACACAAAAACTAGATTCAGCCTGTTCTTGTAGTTCTGAGGCAGAGTGCTCCAAATCTACTCCTCCCTTCCACCACCACCACCACCACCACCCTAACCCCTGCTCTTTCATGTCATGGTGATAGAATCTAAGGCGGATGCTGTTGAGCCACCTTCTTCCTCCCAGGGTGGATCTCTAGTGAAGTTTGAGTCAATGGGATGTGAACAGAAGGGATATATGCAAATCCCAGGTGATCTTCTGGGAGATAGCCTAGCTTAGTCGACTTAAAAGACAACTTAAAACTTGTACTTCAACTTAAAATGTAAGCTCCTGAGTTTCGTGAGTGCTCCTGAGTTTCCTTCTTTTCCCTTCCAGCAAGTAGGAAAATGCTCACAGTTCAGCTCTGACCCTGCAGACAAGGGCAACAACCCTGCAGACAAGAGGTCACAATTCAGCTCTGACCCTGCAGACTAGGGCAACAAGCTGGAAGGAACCTGGATCCCTGAATCATTGCATGGAGCAGAGCTGCTCCATCAACCAGGATCTCTCACCTAGAGATGCTTATTTAAGAGAGAAACAAACCATCTTCTTTAAACTTCTGTATTATACAGTACTTGGTTGGGGAACTTGTGCTTTTGTTACAGCGCATATTCTCATTTAGGTTCATCTGAAGCAAATGCAACAATATTCTGATAGCAGAATCAACTAACGGGTATCTGATCAGGTAACAGAATCCTCTGTTGAGTGTGTTGTGGGGAGGACCCTGGGGGAAGAGGAGAGAATAGGACCACAGTTGTAAACCTAGGGCACTAGATTCCCATGCTACTTTCTTGCAAGCATGGAGATATCTCTGTGTGTATCTTTCTAGCCACTACCCATTAGCACCACCCATTTCACCATCAACAACAACAAAAAAATCTTTTTCGTAGTTCTTAATGAACAAACCCTCTGGGGAAGACTTGGAAAGCAATTTTTGAAGCCTGGGTCTTCCTATGTTTACTAATTGCTCCACCTTGCTGCCCTGTGTATCACTTAAAGTTAACTTACATACATATATACCACCTATATCTATACTGTTTAAAAGTAAATGTAGACAATATTTTACCTTGTATTTTCCCAGAGTATTATTATAGCCTAAGTGGCTATTGACCTCCAAGCTCATTATTTCCTTTATTACTTTAAAGGAATTTGGCTTGAGCCCCATTGAACATGGGATAGAAACCCTGCTCCATCTCCAAAAGTCCTCAGTGGTGGGACCTTCCTTGATTCTTATCACCCCAGACCCCCATTTCTTACTTCTCCTGACTTCTCTGGCTCCACTTTGCATCTCATGCTTCATGATTGTTCCCTCTTTCTGACCCATATCAACACAGAAGGGAAGGTACATCTGGTGAGGATTGGTGGGCAGTGGACTGGGAGTGGGGTTACACTGCAGTGCAGTGCCGCTGATCATTTTTAAATTTCACAGTGGACGTCCGTATCTTCAGAGCCCTTCAGCCTTCCTCACTTCAGGCTATTTATTAGTTATGTGCCTGCACCTTAGCTGGCCTCTGTCTCTTTAGGCTCGTGTGTCTTGTGGTTCTCTCCCTTCACCATCCCACCTGCTCTCTGCTCCCTGGCCCCTCATCCAGACAAAAAGTCACGTGCACAAAATTGAATTGCAAACCAATTTGTAAAAAAAATTCTGTCATCCACTGCCCTGCTCCCTCATTCTGTGCTTTGTTCCAGAGCCCGTCTTTTTCATAGCACCTGTGCTGTCAGAGAGTTCTGCTTAACACCAACAAACACCCAAACACACAAATACACACAAAAAGTCTCTTCCTGCCTGGCCAGATCACACCTAACTTCTTTCCCCTCCCCAACTACATGCAAGGCTGATTCAGGGATCCCTTTACTTAAATCTCTGCAACAGCTCTTCACTGGCTTCTGTGCATCACCATTGCCACGGTGACCGCCAGGCCATTGGTGACCTGGCCATGCTCCCTCCCTTCCAGCCTCATATCTGACTGTGTACCCACACACCTCCTGTGCCACTCATCCCAGCCACGTCACACTCTCCAAACGGGCCCAGCTCAGCTTTCTCAGCTTCATTCCTTTGCACATTTACTCTCCTTGCTGTGTTCACCTGGAGTGTCTCTCCCTGAACTCTGCCCAGCAGCTGTTGTCTCAACCACTGCTGGGAAGCCCTCCTTGACTTCTCAGGCTGGGTGAAGGACTCCTCTAACCCCTCTGCCTGTCTATCCTGGCACATAAAACTGATTTCAGGAATTTTAGCTTTCCTTGTCTCTCCCCTCCAACAGATGGAACGCTTTAGGGGCAGGACTACATGCCCTGCTGTTATTTATCCTATAGATGAGCGCATAGGAGGCAGGCCTTCAGTGCATGCTTATTAACTGAATGTGAGAGTGTATAAGACCTGTCGCTGACTGAATGTACAATACCTGTCGAGGTAAAAATCAGACTGGAGGACAGTCTGGAAGGGGTGAAGCAAAGGAAGGGGGGTGCCTGGGAGGCAACTTTAGGGCTGCCAGGGGAGAGGGAAGTCTGGGCAGCAGGTTCATAATCAATCAAGACACTCATTGGCTCCAAGCCTTTAGTTTTCTTCCCACCAGTGGGCCAGACCGCTGTCCTCTTCTTGCTCTCTCTCTGGGACAGGTCTCTGCATCTCCTTCCCATTTTGCCTCCCAGTGGCTCTGCCTGCCTTCCCTGGGATGGGCAGAACAGCAGCAGGAGCACTGAGGTAGGTTTGTCCTAAGCCTCCATTTCTGGGAAGGGGCCACTAACATCTCTGATGACCATGGAGGGGGGTCCTCTTAGCAGAGGGGAAAGGCATTCCTTGATTCTGAATGTCTGTTGAGAGACATTACTTTCCCGACCCTCTTCCAAACACACCCACCCCAAGAAGAGTATGTGCTTTCTGGACGGAGGGGCTATATCAGCGAGGATGGGCTCAGTCACATCTCAGGAATGAGATACTGTAAAGCAACAATGATGTGTTGTTCCTGACTCCCAAGACGTCCATTTTGCATGGGCAGAAAGGCTCTAATCATTGCAGTTACTTCAAGAACTGGCTTGAACCACCTCAAGCCAGTTCTTTTTTTCTTTTTTCTTTTTTTTTTTTTGTTGTTGTTTTTGTTTGTTTTTATTATTATTATTGAGACCGAGTCTCTGTCTGTCGCCCAGGCTGGAGTGCAGTGGCGCAGTCTCAGCTCACTGCAACTTCTGCCTCCCAGGTTCGAGCGATTCTCCTGCCTCAGCCTGCTGGGTAGCAGGGACTACAGGCGCCTGCCATCACGCCACCTGGCTAATTTTTGTATTTTATTTTATTTTTATTTTTATTAATTTTGAGATGGAGTCTCGCTCTGTCGCCCAGGCTGGAGTGCAGTGGCGCAATCTCTGCTTACTGCAAGCTCTGCCTCCTGGGTTCACGCCATTCTCCTGCCTCAGCCTCAGGAGTAGCTGGGACTGCAGGCACCCGCCACCATGCCCAGCTAGTTTTTTTTTTGTTTTTTTTTTTTTTTTGTATTTTTAGTAGAGACAGGGTTTCACCATGTTGCCCAGGCTGGCCTTGAATTCCTGACCTCAAGTGATCTGCCCTCTGCCTGTCTTGGCCTCCCAAAGTGCTGGGATTACAGGAGTGACCCATCAAGCCCAGCCAGCCAGTTCTTGAAAGAGCCTGGGATGGTCCCACACTGACAGTTAAATGCTGTGTCCCGGAAGGACTCACTTCACTTCTACTCTATCATTGGTCAGAACCAGTCACATGCCCCACCCATCACGTGCGGACCAGGAAGTGCAACCCTACCACAAGGTGGGGGACTAGAAATCCTCGGGACACAGCACTGATGACTACCGTAGGGGGTGAGGAAAGGAAAGTCTAAAAGACAAAAAGGGGAAATGGAGGCTTTTAGACATTAGGAGAATCTGGTCGCCCTTGAGGCACAATGGCTTGGACTTTTGGCTGGCCTTAGAGCAACGCAAATGCTGGCCTGCGTCAGGCTTAGAGTATGGAGGAGGGTGGATGCTCACTGGGCCCCCAGAGTGCATTTCCCCATCCCCAGTGACTTGCTTCTGGCCCTGCCCAAACCCAAGCCAGACTTTCAGGACCTCATTGTTTCCTAGAATGTATCTCTAGTAAATACAACTGGCATTGACCTCCCTTCCATTTCAGCATATTTAACATGATGTTCTCCGATCATTTTGTGTTGATACAGCCTCTTCTTCCTGATGGCAAGTCCTTAAGTTCAGAGTCAATCTCAAGGCTTTCTCTGTATTCCCCAACGCATGGGGCTGGGCATTCACCCAACATGTACTGGGTCCTTATGCACTCCACCCTGGGAAGATAAAAACCAACACACACAAAAATTAACGCAAAAGGAAGGTTTAAGGATGGGAAAGATGTGATGCCTACTTCAGCCTATCAAGGTGCCCAATAAATGCTTAAATTGAGTCAAATCATCCTTGGATACACAAAACCACATTGTCAATTTCCTGTATGACAATGTCATCATCTCTGTTTGAGTGAAGGCTTCACAGAGGTGAATCTGTCCATTATCCTGTATCTCTGCACTGGCCAATAGAGAGGCTTCTAGTTACATCTCTGTTGAGCGTTTGAAATGTGGCAAGACCAAGGAACTGAATTTTTAACTGAATTGCACTTACTGCTGTAAGTGCAAAGTAGATATCAGATGTCAAAGACTCATGAGAAAAAAAGAATGTAAAGTATCCGATTAGTATTTTTCTCTTGAGTATATTTTTAAGTGATGTTATATTTCTACTGAGCAGTTCAGCTCTAGAAAGCCCAGGGCAGGATTTGGGTAAGATCAGCTGCTTTCAGATTTTCATTTACAAAGCTTCGAATTATAACATTTGATCAAACCCGACTTTGGAAAAGTTATCATAAAGATGGCATTTGAAGTTTGGGGCATTTAATTTTTGGTTCTCTTTATTCTCCTTTCTGCTTTTCTCCCAAAGCTATGACTACAAAGAAAACTAAAAGCATCTCATTTATTCCACAAACTGATCTCCACGTCTTAACTAAATAGCAATTGCTGGGCTGTATTTTATACACACACACACACACACACACACACACACACACACACACGTTCCTACAGGGACCAACATTTTCCCATGTGTAAAGTGACATGCCTGATTGCTAGATTAAGCAACGGAAATTAATTATTACAGTAATTACTCGGCCACTAAATATTTGAATGCTAGACTTGACATAGCCGTCTCGGGAGCCACCTTCAGCTTCCTGAATGTGTTAGTATTGACAAGGCAGCTCATGCGAATGTATTTTTAAAACGCCTTCTTTTGCTGCGTCTTGCCACTGTGAGCCAGGTGTGTTTGTTTTGGTCAGTGGGTAGGACTGTACACCCTACGTCACAGGAAAATAGACGGCTGGCTTCTGGCACCCATCTCTCCAGGCCTGAAATCAAATGCCTGAAAATTGGAATCTGTCGTCTTCAGGGAGGCCACACAGTAGGGTGTTGACACATGTAGTGTGCAAACACTTGCTGGGCAATTTCAGAAACCAAAAAGTGACTGCTAGAATGGGCTCATATCCAAGCCACCCTCCCTGAGGGAAGGAATCTGTATCATCTGGAAATTCTAAAGCTAAGGAAGCCACACCAAGGTGTTTATGGGCAGTCCCATCCATTCCTTCTAAGCCATTGCTTTTTGTTTTCTCTTTTCATCATATCCTGGGTACACAGGCTTCCCCAGGGGACATTGCGTGCCTTCTTCTCTAAGGCAAGGTGGGGAAGAGATTTATTTTAGTCACGTATCCAGGTCAAGACCAAAGATTTTCAAAAAGCAGCTCTACACATTGGGCCTTGTCTAGCAAGAAAACAAGAAGTCCTTACCGCTTGTCACTCACCTCTGCATTTCTTTCTGTTCTGGGACTCTACCTTCATTCAGGAGCTATGTGATGGTGAACGTAGCTGAAGCTGGCTCAGATGGTTCAAGGAGCGGATTTACAGGATAAAAAACATTTCTGCCACTTTTTGCATCTTGGGGTAGGGTTTGAGTTTGATGGCACGGGGGCATCTTCACAACTTTTTGCACTTTTTTTCCATAAGTCCCCAGTTCCACCACCATTTTAGGACATCTGGGGTTGTCAGGTAATTCTCTCTGACACATTCCCATTGTTCCTGCTTTAAAACTGTCAGGTCAACTCAGAAAATTATCAAGCCACATGTCGGAGAGTATTAAAGGCAGTGGCTTCACTAAAAGCCAAAAGAGAAGCTCCAATGTACCCAGACGTCTGGCCTAACTCGAGTTTTCATTCTGTAGCTCAAGGCCAGAACTACTTTGACCTTCTCCAAAACAATGCATCTTCCAAGCAAAGACACAAGCCTAAATATTATAAATTTATCCCAAACAACTCCCATTCCTCTTGAAAAGCATCACTGTCTATTAATAAAGAGAAATTAATAATTATAACAATAACATTTGATATTTTATTTTCAGTATATTATTAAGCATTTTAGAATATTATTTTATTCCATCCTTATGTATTAATTCAAATATATTTATATGGTCTTGACCAGTCCCTCCCTCGTGGAGCTCTCATTCCATCCTATAACAATGGAAATCTTCAAGGCAGATGTGCCCAAGCCACATCCCCTCCACCTTCCTCTGACCTCAGCTGTTGCCAGGATGGACACCTCCCCATCTCCAGTGCCCTTGAATTTCAGGACGGAGGAAGGGGCTTCATCCCCAAAGTAGGTGCAGCCTGGAGGAGCAAGGAGTTTGCATCAAAGGATGGGGATGGGCAGTGGGAGAGAATGTCAAGCCTTTCACCCTTCAGATGGACAATTCCCAGGCACGTTCCTCGCAATTTCTCCAAGGCCCCCCGACAGGACAGGCTCACTTGGCTGGCAGGGCTTCATAGCCCCTGCTCTGTGGGCCTCTCCTCCTTGTCTGTTTCACTCTCACCACCGCTTCCCTCCTGCTCCCTGGATCACCTCCCGAATAAACTGCCTGCACTCACATCCTTCTCAGGCTTTTCTCTAGAGGGACTCAACCTCCCATTTTACAGATGCAGACTTTGTGGCAAAATGCCTTGAAATCGTAAGCAGCAGATCCAGGACTCACACCAGGTGTGTGTGACCCCAGAGTCCAAGGACCCAGCACTGATGTGATGCTGTCTCCTGCTGTCAAATGTTTTAGGGCTGTCCCAGTGGCACTCAGATTTATACTGATTACCTGAAGTGGTACTTTTCAAGACAGCCCCACTCCATCGCCGGGTAGGTCTAACGATTAGAAAGTTCTGATTGGCATTCAGCTCATATCTACATCCATGAAGCTTCATGTATTTTTCCTTCATCAGCAAACACCTATTCATTGTTGTCTAGAAGCTGGACACTGTGCTAGGCATGGGGGCACAGCTCTAATGAGGAAGATATGGTCCCTTTGTTGACAGAGCTGCCCGTCTGGGACTGTTGAGCACCGTGCAGGGTGGGAGCTGCAGGCTGCTGTGGGGACATGGAGTAGGGCACCTCTCTCAGCCACACTGTCCTTCTCAGTAACCTAGAATAGGATTCTCCATGTCCGCATGAGTCCTGCAGGCAGTGGCTGCAGATATCATGTCCCCGTTCTCTGTTCTTCACGTCCATCAGCCAACCTTTGAATGGACCTTGATAGCATAATGGAACCCATATCTCCTGGTGTGATCAAATGAGAAACCAATGCAGAGTGCATTCCCTTACCCAGAGAAGAGATCCAGACCTCGGCAGGGAGTCTGGGAAACCATGGATGAATCCTTGAACCTGTCCTCAAGGTTAGTCTTTGGAAGACCCCACGGGGCTTTTCCCCAATGCTGAGTAATTCAAGCCCTGATCCCTAACCCTCCCACCAAAAATATTGGCAGCACAGGCCTAAGACGCCTGAATAGGTCCTAGGGAGTGAAAACAATATTACGTTCCTTTTTCCCTTGTGTTGCAACTGATACAGAAGGTAGTAATTTACATGACCAATTAGTGGGTAGTAGGCTTTGGAGTCTGCCTTATTTAAAAAAATAGGCTTGTGAAACTGCTAGACTTGTCTGCTTTCTTAAATTTCAGATGGTCCCACAGCAAAGCAACATATTGTTTGGCAATTAGGTTGCTGCGGCAGGCTAGAATGGCTCAAAAGCAGCCACAAAAGCACAGAAATGTGAACTATTTTTAAATGGCTTTCCCAGCAACATGAATGTATGCTCAAAGTTTGACTTCCTTCCCTCTGATCTATTAAGTTCTCATGTGGATTTTTCTTTTTGAAATATTTTTGGAAATGGGATTCTAGACATGTGTCCCTGGAAGTCTTGGAAAGGCAAACCTCAGATTCCCGGGAAATGACACTGTGACCTTCAACTGCCCTTGCTGTATCCATGGTCAACCCCCTCCCCTGCCTGCCCCCACCTTGCCTGATGACACCAACTCAACAGGCATTCTCTCTTCCGCTATGACTGGCAAGGCAGCAGCCAACTCCAATCTCGGAAAGTCCCATTCACCCATCCGTTTATCCATCATCCATCCCTCTCTCCCTTCATTTCGTAATTTATTCAATGAATACTAACCTTCCAATACACACCAGAAACTGTGTTAGGGGCCACACTAAGCCCTTGAGACACTGCAAGAAATAAGAAAGTCCCAGATGTCCTCTCACAAGCCCTTTCATCTAGCAGGGAATGGATGTTATGCAAATATTTTACAAATAATTGGCTACAATTGTAATAGGTGCCCCTAAGGTGAGTATAAGGCACTATGTGCACCTATAACAAAAGGGACCGAAACTAGCCTGAGTTTCCTGAGGTGACACTCAAGCTGAGAGATGGAGAAATAGATGGTGTCAGCAAACTAAAGAGGGAACAGAGAGGGAGGGCAAGAGATTTAGGAATGAAGGGTCTGCGTAAGGGTCCTGGGAAGAAGGAGTATTCACTTTGAGGGGCCGCATAAAGGCCACTGTGGCCAAAGGGTGAGCGCTCAGGAGACAGGGGATGGGGCAGGATGGGCCAGAGAGGGAAGCTGTGGCTCCATCATGCAGGATTTAGGAGAAAAAGGGGAAACCAGGGGAGGGTGATGTGTGTGATGCTGGAGTCACTTGTGTTCAGGAAGGCCACGCTGCTGCCTGCTATTTGGAGAGTGGGCTCCAGACGAGAGGGTGGAGTGATGGGTGGAAGGTGGAGGTAAGAAGCAGGGAGGGATGTTAGGAGGCCAGTGCATTGTCCTGGAGAGGTGACTGTGACTGTGACTGGAATGGGGATAGTGGCAGTGAAGAGAATCAGAATGGTTCAAAATATACTTTGGAAGGGACC
The DNA here is from genome assembly GCF_000001405.40 of Homo sapiens. Lineage (NCBI taxonomy): Eukaryota > Metazoa > Chordata > Mammalia > Primates > Hominidae > Homo > Homo sapiens. The sequence goes on from NC_000014.9 coordinate 89,037,810, forward strand.
CATGAGGACTCCTCGGTGCTCTGTGGCATGCCAGGAGAGCCCCTTGGACATGCTGCACAGCTTCAGAGCTGAGCCAGGCCCTCAGCAGCCTCCTGCTTCTGATCCGTGGCTGCGCGAGGGTCTGCAGGGTCAGAGGGAAAGGATGGCTTCACTTCCGCCCACCTCTCCTGCTTCTGTTTCTGGAGGGATTGTGTTGTGCTGCTGTTCTCCAACTGCTTCTCGTCGAGTGAGTAACTAAGGAGAGGTGTATTAGAAACTTTTTGTACCCTCCTTTTTTCTCTGAATGGCTGTAGCACTTACCAGCCTCTTGGCCATACCGTCAACATTCAATTTGTACTTGGGGATTGAGCCATCACTCCATATAATCTCAGGAAAGGTGAGAATCAGGTGCATTCTCACCTCTACCTGTTGCTATCCCATATCAGCTGTCAGGTCAGCCAAGAGGCTCTATAAACTAGGAAAGGGGAAGATGGTTTGTTGGTTATTGCAGCACTATTCACAATAGCAAAGACTTGGAACCAACCCAAATATCCATCAATGATAGACTGGTTTAAGAAAATGTGGCACATATACACCATGGAATACTATGCAGCCATAAAAAAGTTCATGTCCTTTGTAGGGACATGGATGAAGCTGGAAACCATCATTCTCAGCAAACTATCGCAAGGACAAAAAACAAAACACCACATGTTCTCACTCATAAGTGGTAATTGAACAATGAGAACACTTGGACACAGGAAGGGGAACATCACACACTGGGGCCTGTTGTGGGGTGGGCGGAAGGGGAGGGATGGCGTTAGGAGATATACCCAATGTAAATGACGAGTTAATGGGTGCAGCACACCAACATGGCACATGTATACATATGTAACAAACCTGCACGTTGTGCACATGTACCCTAGAACTTAAAGTATAATTAAAAAAAAAAAAGGGGGAAGATGGGAAAAGTAAGTTCCCTCAACCCTAATACAGGAAGTTGGAAAAGCCACACTGTCAGTACAGTCCTCAAATACAAGAATTATCAAACAGTAGCATCAAAAGGCACAATGGGGGCTGAGTGCAGTGGTTCTCACCTGTAATCCCAGCACTTTAGGAGGCTCAGGCAGGAGGATCACTTGAGCGCAGGAGTTTGATACCAGCCTGGGCAACATAGTGAGACCTTGTCTCTACAAAACGTAAAAAATTTGCTCAGTATGGTGGCACACACCTGTAGTTCCAGCTATCTGTAGGCTCAGGCAGGAGGATCAATTAAGCCCAGGAGTTCGAGGCCACAGTAAGCTATGATCACACTACTGCACTCCAGCCTCACAGAGTAAGAACTTTTCTCAAACAAACAAGCAACAAAAAAAGAAAGAAAAAGGCACAATGGTGTGGCTTTCTGGCATGTAATACCCTCTTTTATCTTCCTGCCTAGCTGTATGTATGCCACCACCCATCTGTTGTGTGCTCATGGCAGACATTACAAATCAATCAAGATGCTTTGCCTCAAATTGAACTTTCAGGAACACTCTCAATACTATGCTTTGGGCTCTTCAGTTGACTAAGGTTGGTATGGAATGTGAAACTTATTTGCCATCCCTATTCTTGACTGTTTAATCAAGATAATCAACTTGGGAAGATTCCTTTTTTTTTTTTTTTTTTTTTGAGACGGAGTCTCATGCTGTCACCCAACCTGGAGTACAGTGGCATGATCTCGGCTCACTGCAACCTCTGCCTCCTGGGTTCAAGCGATTCTCCTGCCTCAGCCTCCTGAGTAGCTGGGATTACAGGTGTGTGCCACCACACCCAGCTAATTTTTGTATTTTTAGTAGATATGGGGTTTCTCCACATTGGTCAGGCTGGTCTTGAACTTCTGACCTCAGGTGATCTGCCCGCCTTGGCCTCCCAAAGTGCTAGGATTACAGCCATGAGCCACCGCACCCAGCCACTTGGGAAGATTCTTCAAGTGACCATTTGGTCAAGCGCCCAAGCTTTTATGTAGGCAAACCTCCTAGTTATCCTAGGCAGGTGGTGGCCAATTCTTTTAAAGATTTCCATGGCTCTCGATACCCCCATCATACTCCAGCACCCATCCTGCCCTGGCTTATCCTGACAAAAGATTTTTTCCCCCACATTTACCTGAACTCTGTCTTCCTTGCTATTCAGAGAAAATGAAGAAGGAAAGAGAAAGAACTACAGAATTACCAGGATACAAGGAATTTGCTGTTAAGATCTTCTTAACCTTCCAGTTGCTTGGGAATCATTGCCGTAGGGTGTCTCTGTACTCAACAGAAGGGTGAAGACGTTTTAGCAACAGTAGCAAAGCAAATGATCTTGGACTTACAGTTTCTTGATTTCCGATGATTAAGCTTCTGCACATACCAACCCCAAGACAGGGTCATTCTATAACTTCTTAATAAGGTTAAGGTATTTCGACTACTTGGTCTTCAGTTTCCCTCAGTAATAGAGACACCAAGATCCTATTGCTCTCCAGCAACCAGGCAGGAGAGATTTGAGTCAGAGGAAAGCACGAGAGAGAAGTTAAGAACAGCAATTTCTTAAGTCATAAACGGAGTCAGGACTGTAAGTGTGATTTTCTGTTACCTGCCCCAGACCTCATGGAATTAAACTTTCCTGCCCTGATCCCTTGGATTCGTTTCTCCAACCCCACTCACCTAGCCCGGCCTCCCCGAAACACAAATTGGAATGGCGTTGGCTCCCGGGCACACTAGGGGGCGCCAGCGGGCTTGTTTTCCAGGATGGCCCTAAAATTCTCTCCAGCGAGGAGAGGACCATGACGGCCAGGCCACGCTTGCTCTGAAAAGCGCCGAGCGTGGAAGGGTGTCTTGGAATGGGGTCTAAAAGGGAGAACGACATCCTTATGACTTGCTTTAGGCTGCTTTCTGGATGTATTTTCAGAGCTGGGGATGAGGAGAGGTTGCGTAAAGGTGCCGGCCTGCTGCTGGCCGGGGCTGGCAGCCTTTCAGCCGCCGCGGGTGAGTCAACACCTGGGAATTGCATCCAAGGGCGGCCCTTTCAAGCTGCCTGGAACTTTCTGCCATCACACTGAGGCCACTGTTTGACCCAGTCCCGGGCCAGGGAGGCAGGAGCCGATCACGTCCCAGGGCAGTGCTTCTCCCTGGCACTGAGTCCGTGGAAAGAGGCTGGGAAGGTTCTTTCCACACTTGAGGGCTGGCGTTGGGAAAATAGGGTAGTGCTCTCCGCCCCAGTGAACAGCAAGAGCTCACTTCCCCCAGCAGACTTCTGCTCCACTGGCCTACTTTCAGCATGGAGTGGAAGGAAGCCAGCTCCAGGAGGGCAGAGGCTTCCTCTCCACCCCTCTCTTCCACAACCTTCAACAGGCGCCTTGTTCTCCCCGGCCAGGGAACTGCGGATGGTGACCATCGTTTCCCAGCCCAGCAAGGGGAAATGAGGGGAGGAAATAAACGCAGGGTTTTTATTGCCAAATATTTCTTTCCCTGGGAGGACAACGCATTCAAACCGCTGAGTGGAGATTGGAGTTAGTCCAGCCATAAACCATCTTAATGAACACTAATAGAGAACCGCAATTATTGTTGACTTCAAAATGCAAACAAGAACTTTAGACAGTGATCCCTATCAGCCGGTGAGGCCGGGCACAGATGCCGGGCGCTGTTTTTGCCGTTGCTTAGCAATGGAAAATGAACTGTTCCTGTCTGTTACCACTGGAGGTGGAGGTAGGACAATGAGCTTTATTGGACAGAATAGGTATGAAATTAGTTTATTCTTTTTCACTTGGAGAAGGCAATTGGCAGCCAAGAGAGTCACTCGGAAAAGGGGTATTTTAGAGGTTGAGGGTGACTTTCCTTCTCATTACTTCGGTAAATCCTAACCACCTTGTTTTCCTCTACAGATAAAGTTTGAACTTTTGCCGGGAGTGTCCCTCCAAAACGATCATCAATCAGACAGAATAGCTGCAAATACCAACTCACAGACCAGGTTGGGAATTAGGGTGAGGAGAATGAAATCTTGGGTGCAAAATTTAAGGGAATGCCAAAAAACTTAGTAGCCAGGATAAATAATAGTTTAATGCAATATTTTTTAAAAGTCAAAATAAATGTAAAATAACCATGGTAAAAAAAAAAATCAGATTTGAAATAAAGAGAAGCTCAATATCACTGATTTTTATTTTTCCTTTGGCTTCAGGCTTTAATATGGCACAGTGCGTCAGTGCCACAGACTTTTTACCGCACCAAACACATTTGCAACACGGACAGTTTTGGGAGCTGCTTTTTCCTCAGCAGTGTTGATGCTATGGAGTACAGAGCCCTGTAGCTGGGCAGAAGGGAGTGTCTCTTTCTGCAGTTCTTTAGTAGGCTTCTTCCAGGATAGTAGAGAGGCAAATGGTCTTGGGGAGGAACCTACCTATGCTTCCAGGGCAGTGACACAGGAAGTACTAAGGTACAGGAAGTACTAAAAACCCAGGGCTCAGCAAACACAGACAGTCAGGTGAAATTGCCCAAAACACTGTTCCTCAGACAACAGGGACAGGCCCAGAGCTGGCAGTTTATGGTAAAATTATCTCCTCTTTTGTTATTGGTATTAATAGTAACTCCTATATATTGAGAACCCTTAGGTGGAATCACATGGAATCGCCAATATTGAACCTTTTTTGACCTACAAACCCAATGTATATGGTTTAATCCAATGTATGCTGAGTATGGGAGGCTGAATAATGAACCCCAAAGATGTCCACATCCTAATCCCTGGAACCTGTGAATATTACCCTATATGGCAAAAAGGATTTTGCAGATGTGATTGAATTAAGGATTCTTTTTTTCTTATTTTAGTGATAGGGTCTTGCTATGTTGCCTCGGCTGGAATGCAGTGGCTGTTCATAGACATTATCACAGCACACTACAGTCTCAAACTCCTGGACTCAAGCAATCCTCCTGCCTCAGCCTCCTGAGTAGCTAGGACTACTGGGATGCACTACTGCTCTTGGCAAATTAAGGATTTTGAGATGGAGAGACTATCCTGGATTATCTGATGGGCTTAATCATTGACAAAGGTTCTTATATAAGGAAAAGTCAATGTGATAATGGAAGCAGATTTGAAGATGCTGTGCAACTGGCTTTGAAGATGGAGGACGGGGCCACAAGCCAAGGATTGTTGGCAGCCTCTAAGCTGGAAGAGGTAAGAAGCATATTCTCCTGTGGCACCTCCGGGAGAAATGCAGTACTGCCTATACCTTGACTTTAGCCAAGTGAAACTAATTTTAGACTTCTCACCTCCAGAACTGTAAGATAATAAATTTGTGTTGATTTAAGACACTATGTTTGTGGTAATTGGTTACAGCAATAGGAAACTAATAGACCAGGCATTATGTTAAGTGCTTTATATCATTAAAGAAATGTATACAAATCCACCCTCAGCCTTCTCGATGACTTTCTGTGTTTGGGTTATTTCCTCTCTTTTGCATCCTCAATTTCCCTTTTCTTAGTGGGTCTTTTCCATTGGCATATACACATGCTTTCCTGTTTATCGCCTTCAAGAACAAAATCAAAAAAAAGACCTAATAACATCCACTCACGATTTTTTAAAAAATTAGTGAACTAGAAATAGAAATTTCTTCAACCTAATGCAGAATTTCTACCAAACATCCGTAACAAACATCATACTTAAAGGTTAACAGTTTTTTTTTAATCCCCACTTCTATTCAATACTGTACTGAGGGTACTAGCCAGAACAATAAACCAAGAAAAAGAAACAAAAGATATAACACTTGGAATCAAAGAAGAAAAACAGATATTCACTGAAGGTGCTAAATGACGAGTGAAGCACACCAACATAGCACATGTATACATATGTAACAAACCTGCACGTTGTGCACATGTACCCTAAAACTTAAAGTATAATAATAATTTAAAAATAAAAAAAGATTATTTTCATAAAAAAACTCAAGGAATCTACAGCTAAATTATTAGCATTAATAAGTGAGTTTAGTAAGTTTAAGGGATAAAAGATCAATATTCAAAAGCAGTTGATTTTCTATACACCAGCAACAAAGAGATAAGAAATATAATTTAAAAAACAGTTTCCAGTTGCAACAGCAGCAAATAAGTAGGGGAAAAGTGGGCAGAGAGAAAGAGAGAGGCAGAGAGAAAGAGCGAGACAGAGAGAGAACAAACCTAGGAGTAGATCTGTCAAAAGATGTGTGGCTGGGCACGGTGGCTCATGCCTGTAATCCCAGCACTTTGGGAGGCCAAGGCAGGTGGATCACGAGGTTAGGAGTTCAAGACCAGCCTGGCCAACACAGTGAAACCCCGTCTCTACTAAAAATACCAAAAAAAAAAAAAAAAAAAAAAAAAAATTAGCCAGGCGTGGTGGCACACACCTGTAATCCCAGCTACTCAGGAGGCTGAGGCAGGAGAATTGCTTAAACTGGGGAGGTGAAGGTTGCAGTGAGCCAAGATCACACCACTGCACTCCAGCCTGGGTGACAGAGCAAGATTCCATCTCGGGGTGGTGGTGGGGGGAAAGAGGTACAAGTCTTTCATGGAAAAAAATACATAAAATTTCATCAAAAGGTATAAATAAATGGTTTATAAATTCAGTTCAGTTCAATCAACATTCAAATAGGCTTTTCTTCATGGAATTTGACAAGCTTTTTAAAAAATTAGCATAAAAAAGCAAAGGACGAAGAAGAGCCAACAAAGAAAGTAGGGAGTCTTGTCTATTAGATGTCAGACTTACTTCACAGTCAATAGTAATTAAGACAATGTGGTATTTACATAGATCAAAATCTAAATCAGAATGGAATAAAGAGCCCAGAAACACATATAGAAGTGTGATGTAAGCCAGCACTAATATTGCAGATCCAAAGGGGAAAGGATAAATTAGTCAAAAAGAGGGGGAAAAATAAATATATACACTATAAAGAAACAAATTCTTATTGATAAAATAAAAAAAGAGAAAGATGAACAGTTTAAAAATTTAGAATATATTATATAAAGGATTTTAACCTGGGTTCCACAGACATCCACTGGTTTGTTGAGCATAATTCAGTACATTCATGATCATGGATAGGAAAAAAATTAATGTTTATTTTCACAAATCCCAAACTGAAAAATTAAAGATTCAATTATGATCATGGACAACAGACCATAGTAGCCTTGCAGTATCTGTGACTTTGCCACTAATAAAAATACAGATAGGTTTATGTCGTATTATAGTTATTGCAGGTATCTCATAATATTATTTATGCACTCAGTACTTGGAAATTTACAGCAGTTATTAGATATTCTGCTAAATCTTGATATTTAATGCATTAAGAAGGAGCACATGTGTTATATATCATCACTTTAAATATTTTAATAACTATATTTCAGCATAATTGGTTTTCTTTGTAATTCTATGAGTTTCATTTTTTACCTTTACCAACATGACAAAGGGTCCACGGCATTAAAATGGTTTAAAAATCATATTACAGAAAAAATTGTATTATAGAAGAATATTCATATGACCTCAGCATATACAGAAAGATTTCCTAAACAAGGCAAAAGAGGAAGCCATAAATGAATAGAGTGATAAATTTGATTACATTAAAATTATAAACTTTTTCTATCAAAATATATAATACTATAAAGAAACTAAAAGATATGTCACAAACAGAGAGAAGAGATCTGCTTCATCTACTTAACAAAGGATTAGTATCTGGAATATCTGAAGTCTACAAATCAATAAAGAAAAGACAGACAATTCAATCTTTTAAAGGACAACATTGTATGGTCTTCTGGGAAAGACCATACAATGACCAATAAACATTTGAAAAAATGGTCAACCTCAGTACATTGAGAAAAGGTAGTTTAAGACAAGGAGCTACTTACTATTTAATAACCACATTGTCCCAGGTGAATATTTTTAAAGTATCTGGCAATACCAAGTGTTGGCAAAGATAGAGAGCCAGGGGGACTTTTACATGCTGCTAATGGGAATATAAATTGTTGTTTTGGGAAAACCGTTTGGCTTTTTTTGTTTGTTTGTTTGTTTTTTTTGAGACAGAGTCTCGCTCTATTCCCCAGGCCAAAGTACAGTGGTGTGATCTTGGCTCACTGCATCCTCCACCTCCCGGGTTCAAGCGATTCTCATGCCTCAGCCTCCTGAGGAGCTGGGATTACAAGCGCGTGCCACCACGCCCAGCTAATTTTTGTATTTTTAGTTGAGATGGGGTTTTGCCATGTTGGCCAGGCTGGTCTTGAACTCCTGACCTCAGGTGATCCATCCGCCTAGGCCTTCCAAATTGCTGGGATTACAGGTGTGAGCCACCGCGCCCAGCCGTGGCATTATTTTTAAGGTGGAAGATGCACATACCCTAAACCCAGTAAAACCCTTGCATATGTGCACTAGGAGTCACATTCAACCCAACTTGCCAAGAATGGAAGAATGGATGCATAAATTGTGGTGTAGTCACAAAGTGTAATATAATGCTATTGTGAAAATAAAGTAACCACAGCCACATCCATTCACATGTATGAATCTCAACCCTGATGTTGAGTGAAGAAAGCAAATTTCAAAAAAAAAAAAAAAAGCAAACAATGTGATTCAATTTATACAAAGTTGAAGAAATAAGCCAAAAAGAATTGTTTTCCAGTGTTGAATGTAGAACACTTGAACTTTCCACTCCATCCAAACAAGCAAAAAGCTAAAGAAACTAGAAAATCAAGAACTCTTAGATCTGTAGCAGAAATGAGAGCTCAGGGCACACTGCTGTCCCCAGAACTGGAGAGACAGACAGGTGGATACAGACAATCACAACATACTACAGCAAAAACCTCCATGGGAACCAGTGCTGGGGACATTGTATCTCGCTATCATGAAAAAATTCCAAAGCATGCTAAAAGATAAAAACACAGTTTGAAGAGACAGAGTAAGTCAGAACCAGACATAATACAGATATTGGAACTATCAGGCAGAGAATTTAAAATAATTATGATGAATATGCCAATGGTTCTAATGCAAAAGTAGACAGTATGCAAAAACAGATGGACAGTGTAAGCAGAGAGATGAGAAGCCTAAGAAATAATAAAAAAGCAATGTTAGAGATCTAAAACACTATAGCAAATGAAGAATGCTTTTGATGGGCTTATTAGTAAACCGGACATGGCGGAAGAAAGAATTTCCGAGCTTGAGAATGTATCAGTAGAAATCTCCGGCCAGGCGCGGTGGCTCACGCCTGTAATCCCAGCACTTTGAGGCCGAGGTGGGCGGATCACAAGGTCAAGAGATCGAGACCATCCTGGCAACATGGTGAAACCCCGTCTCTACTAAAAATACAAAAATATTAGCTGGGTGTGGTGGCACGTGCTTGTAGTCCCAGCTACTCAGGAGGCTGAGGCAGGAGAATCGCTTGAACCAGAAAGGTGGAGGTTGCAGTGAACTGAGATCGCACCACTGCACTCTAGCCTGGCGACAGAGCGAGACTACACCTCAAAAAAAAAAAAAAAAAAAAAAGAAAAGAAAGAGAGAAAAAAAAAAAAGAAACCTCCAGGACTGAAAAGCAAAGAGAACAGACCAAAACAAACAAAAAGACAACAATAACAACAGAAAGCAAAGAAAATCTTAGACTATTCAAAAACTGTGGGAAAACTACAAAAGGTCTAACATACAAAATGGTTACCACAGATTCAGGAAGCTGAGAGAACACAATGCAGGATAAACGCCCAAACAAAACAAAACTCTAAACCTAGGTACATAATTTTCCAACTACAGAAAATTAAAGATAAAGAAAAAACCTGAAAGAAGACAGAGGGGAAAACATTTTACATGCAGAAAGAGCAAAGGTAAGAATTACATTCTACCTCCTCAGCAACTATGCAAGCAAGAAGAAAGTGAAGTGACATATTAAGTGTTGAAAGAAAAAGTCCCACCAACCCAGAATTCTGTAACCTTGACATTAACTTTCAAAAGTAAAGGAGAAATAAAGACTTTCTCAGGCAGACAAAAATTGAGGGAATTTGTTGCTAGTAGATCTGCCTTACAAGAAATGTTAAAAGAAGTTTTACAGAGATAAGGAAAATAATACAGGTCAGAATTCAGAGCCACATAAAGAAAAGAAGAACATCAAAGAAAGAATATGTGAAGGTAAAATAAAAACTTTTATTTTTCTTATTCTTAAATTATCCAACAGATAACAGTTTGTTCAAAATAATAGCAACAATGTATTTGGTTATGTATGCTTATGTTTATATCTTATGTTATATGAGTGTTTATGTATATTTATATGTAAGTAAAATGAATGACAATGATATAAGGAGTGGAAAGGTGGAATTAGGATTTTTTTTAAGTTTTTTTTTTTTTTTTAGGGTCAGGGTCTTGCTCTGTTGCTCAGGCTGGAGTGCAATGTTGTAATTATAGCTCACTGCAGCCTCAAACTCCTGGACTCAAGCTATGCTCTTGCCTCAGCCTTCTGAGTAGCTAGGACTACAGGTGCATATCACCATGCCCAGCTAATTTTTTTTTCCATAGAGACAGGGTCTCACTGTGTTGTCCAGGCTGGTCTCAAACTCTTGGCCTCAAGTGAGCCTCATGCCACAGCCTCTGAAAGTATTGGCATTATAAGTGTGAGCCACTGTGCCTGGCCTATTTTGTTATTTTAAGGTAATCACACAACCAGTGGAAATGGCAATAGTGTTATTATTCTACTTATTTTTCTTTTACTTTTTATAATGATTGCCCTAGAGTTTGCAGTATATATTTACAACAAATCCAGGCCCACTTTCAAACAACACTATATCAATGTATAGTGACTTAATATATCACTACACTTTCCTCTTCTATATAACATGTTATATTTTATACATATATTAAATATAATGGTATAGTATTATTTGAAAGTAGGCTTGTATCTGTTGTAAATGTATGCTGCAAACTCTAGGGCAATCACTATAAAAAAGTAAAAGAAAATTAGGTAGAATTCATATGCTAAGAATGGAGAAAAAAATGGAATGATAGAAGATGCTCAGTTAAACCACAAAAGGCAGACAAAGAGTGGAAGGCAAAAATAAAATAATGTACAAGAACAACAAATAAAAACCAGTAACAAATACGGTAGATATTAATCTGGCTATATCAATAATCACTTCAAATGTCAATGGTGTAACTGATGCAATTAAAAGACAAAGATTGTCAGAGTGGATCAAAAAACATAACCCCACTTTGAGAGTCCAAGGAGGGAGGATAGCTTGAGTCCAGGAGTTCAAGACCAGCCTAGGCAACATGGCGAGACTCTATTTCTATGAAAAATACAAAAAGGTAGCTTAGCTTAGTGGCTGAGATGGAGGGTCACCTGAGCCCGGGAGTTCAAGACTGCATTGAGCCATGATCACATCACTGCACTCTAGCCTGGATAACAGAGTGAGACCCTGTCTCAAAAACAAACAAACATAAAAGACCCAACTATGTGTTATCTACAGAAAGCCCATAAAGACACATAGAGATTAAAAGTAAATGGATCGAGGAAGATATAACATGGTAACACTCATCAAAAGAAAGCAGAGGTAGCTCCATTAATTTCAGACAGAGCAGACTTCAAAGCAAGGAAAGTTGTCAGGGACAGAGAAGGGCATTAGTAATGATAAAGGGGTCAATTCTCCAAGAAGACATACCATTCCTTAATGTGTGTATGTCTAACAATAGAACATTAAAATACATGAGGCAAAAACTGATAGAACTACAGGAATCATTGAAAATAGATGAATCCACTAGTATAGTTCCAGACTTCACCCCTCTATCAGAAATGCACAGATCCAGTAGGCAGAAAATCAGTAAGGACATAATTGAACTCAACAACACCATCAATCAACTAGGTATGATGAACATCTATAGACTGCTTCATCTGACAACAGCACATTCATCTCAAAATCACATTCATCTCAAGATCATATGGAACATTCACCAAGATAGGTCATATTCAGGGCCATAAAACACACTTTAACAATTTTTTTTAAAAAAAATAGAAATCAAACAATGTCTGCTCTCAGGTCACAATGGACTTAAACTAGAAATCAATAAGAGAGATAACTGGAAAATCCTAAAAGACATGGAGATTAAATATAACACTACTAAATAACAGAGGGGTCAAAAAAGTCATCTCAACAAAAATTAAAATATTTTTAATTAAATAAAAATGAAAATACAATTTGCTGAAATTTGTGGGATGCAGCAAAAGCAGTTCTTGGAGGAAAATTTCTAGCATTGAAGGAACATATTAGAAAAGAAGAAAGACTGGCCAGGCGCGGTGGCTCACGCTTATAATCCCAGCACTTTGGGGGGCCAAGGCAGGTAGGTTGCCTGAGGTCAGGAGTTCGAGACCAGCCTGGCCAACATAGTGAACCCTCATCTCTACTAAAAATACAAAAATTAGCCAGGCGTGGTGGTGGGCACCTGTAATCCCAGCTACTCGGGAGGCTGAGGCAGGAGAATCACTTGAACCTGGGAGGCGGAGGTTGCAGTGAGCTGAGATCACACCATTGCACTTCAGCCTGGGCAACAGAGCAAGACTCCATCTCAAAAAAAAAATAAACAAAAAGAAGAAGAAGAAAAAAGATCTAAAATAAATACTTTAAGCTTCTACCTCAGGATGCTAGAAAAAGAAAAGAAAATTAAATATGAAGCAAGCAGGAGAAAAGAAATATAATAATAATTAGAGCAAAAATCAGAAAGTCAGTGGAGAAAATCAATGACTCCAAAAGCTGGTTCTTAGAAAAGATTAATAAAATCAATAAGCCACTAGCCAGGCTAACCAAGAAAAAAGAGAGAAGACACAATTTACTAATATCAGAAACAAAAGAGGGGACATAGCTACAAATTCCATGGACATCAAATGGATAATAAGGCAATAATATGATAAATTCTATGTCCATAAATTTGATTATCTAAATGAAATAGACAAATTCCTTGAATCTGCCCAAACTCACACAAGAAGAAATAGGCAATGTAACTAGGCCTATATCTATTAAAGAAATGGAATCAATAATTAATAAGCTTCCAAAACAGAAAGCACTGGGCCCAGATGGATTCAGTGGTGAATTCTACAAAATATTTAAGGAAGAAATTAAACCAATTCTTTACAATTTCTTTCAGAAGGAAGAAGCAGAGGGAATACTTCCTAACTCATTCTATGAGACCAGCATCACCTTAATACCAAGGCAGGATAAAGACATTACAATAAAACTACAAACCAATATCTCTCATCAACATAAATGCAAAAATCCTCAACAAAATATTAGCAAGTCAAATCCAGAAATGTATAAAAAAGAATTATATACCACAACCAAGTGGGATGTATTCCAGGTCTGCAAGGCTGATTCAACATTTAAAAATTAATTTAATCCATCACATCAACAGGCTAAAGAAGAAAAATCGCATGATTGTATAGACACAGAAAAAGCATATGGCAAAATCCAATGTCTATTCATGATAAATAAAAAAGCAACTCTCAGTAAACTAGGAATAGAGGAGAACTTTCTCGACTTGAAAAGAATATCTACAAAACACCTACATGACATCATACTTCATGGTGAAAAAATGGAAAGTTTCCCACTAAAATCAGGAACAAGGCAAGAGTGCCCCCTCTCACCACTCCTTTTCAACATCATACTAGAAATTCTACATAATGCAATAAGACTAGAAAAGTAAATAAAAGGTTTACTGGTTGGAAAGGAAGAAATAAATATCTCTTTGTTTGCAGATGACTTGATTGTCTATGTAAAACAATTAAAAGAATCAACAATAACAACAACAACAACAAAATCCTGGAACTAATCAGCAATTACAGCAAGGTTGCAGGATACAAGGTTAATATCTAAAAGTCAATCACTTTCCTATATACTAGCAATGAACAAGTAGAACTTAAAATTTAAAACATGATACTTGCTGGGCATGGTGGCTTATGCCTATAATCCCAGTACTTTGGGAGGCTGAGGCAGGAGGATCACTTGAGCCCAGGAGTCAATGTTGCAGTGAGCTGTGATGGCACCACTGCACTGCAGCCTGGGTGACAGAGCAAGAACCTGTCTCAAAAAAAAAAAAAAAAAAGTAAAAACACAGAAAACCATGACACCATTTATATTACCACCACCAAAAGTAAACGACCCAGGTATAAATCTAACACAATATGAACAAGATCTATATGAAGAAAACTAAAAAAAATATGATGAAAGAAATCAAGGAACTAAATAAATGGAAAGATATTCCATGATTATGAATAAGGAGACTCAATAACATCAAGATGTCAGTTCTTCACAACTTAAACTATATATTCAATGCAATCCCAATCAAATTCCAGGCAAGTTATTTTGTAGATATTTACAAACTGATTCTAAAGCTTATGTGGAGAGGTAAAGGACCGAGAATAGACAACACAACATCGAAGGAGAAGAGTAAAGCTGGAAGACTGACATTACCTGACCTCAAGACTTACTATAAAGCTACAGTAGTGGCCGGGCTCGGTGGCTCACACCTGTAATCCCAGCATTTTAGGAGGCCAAGATGTGCAGATTACCTGAAGTCATGAGTTGGAGACCAGCTTGTCAACATGGTGAAACCCTGTCTCTACTAAAAATACAAAAATTAGCCGGGTGCGGTGGCACACACCTGTAATTCCAGCTACTTGGGTAGCTGAGGCATGAGAATCGCTTGAACCCGGGAGATGGAGGTTGCAGTAAGCCAAGATCGTGCCACTGCACTGCACTCTAGCCTGGGGGATAGAGTGAGACTCTGTCTCAAAAAAAAAAAACCAAAAAACAAAAAAAAACACCCTACAGTAGTTAAGACAGTGGTATTGGTAAGAAAATAGATAAATAGATCAGTGAAACAGAATAGATAGCCTAGAAACAAACCCACATAAATACAGTCAACTGACCTTTGACAAAAGAGCAAAGGCAATACAATGGAAAAAAGACAGTCTTTTAAACAAATATTGCTGGAATAATGGAAATCTACATGCAAAAATGAATCTAAACACAGACCTTAATATATTCTTCACAAAAATTAACTGAAAATGGATCACAGACCTAAATATAAAACACAAAACTATAAACTAGAAGATAGCATAGGAGAAAATCTAGATTACTATAGGTTTGAAAATGATTTTTTTTTCAATAGGTTCTCTGTCACCCAGGCTGGAGTGCAGTTGTGTGTAGTGTGATCATAGCTCACTGCAGTGTTGAACTCCTGGGCTAAAGTGATCCTCCTACCTCAGCTTCCCAAATAACTGGGATCACAGGCCTGTGCCACCAAGCCCAGCTAATTTATTTTTACTTTTTAGAGACAGGGTCTCACTATGTTGCCCAGGCTGGTCTCAAACTCTTGGATTCAAGTGATTCTCCCGTCCTCCTAAATGCTGGGATTACAGGCATGAACCACTGTGCCCGGCCTGGCAGTGACTTTTTAGATATGACACCAAAGTTACAATCCATGAAAGAAATAATTGATGAGCTGGACTTTATTAAAATTAAAACTTTCTGCTCTGCAAAAGACACTGTCAAGAGAATAAAAAGACAAGTCACAGACTGTGAGAAAATATTTGCAAAAGACATATCCAATAATGGACTGCTAGCCAAAATTTGCAAAGAACTCTTAAAACTCAACAATAAGAAAACAAACAACCCAATTAAAAAATGGGCCAAGACTTTAACAGACACCTTGCCAAAGAAAATATACAGATGGCAAATAAGCATATAAAAAGTTGCTCCACAGCAGGAAAATGCAAATTAAAACAACAATGAGATATCACTATGTACCTAGCACGACTGAAATCCAGAACACTGACAACACCAAATGCTGGCGAAGACGTGGAGTAATGGGAAATCTCGTTCGTTACTGGTGGGAATGGTATGGCCACTTTGGAAGACAGTTTGGTGGTTATTTACAAAACGAAACATACTCTTACCATATGATCCAACCATCATGCTCCTTAGTATTTATCCAAAGGAGATGAAAACTTATGTGAAAAACCTATGTATAGATGCTCACAGCGGCTTTGTTTATAATTATCTAACCTTGGAAGCAACCAAGATGTCCTTCAGTATGTAAATGGATAAACTGTAGTACATCCAGACAATGGAATATTGTTCAGCGCTAAAAAATAATGATCCATCAAGCCATGAAAAGACAGGGAGGAAACTTCAATATATATTACCAGTGAAAAGAGCCAATCTCAAAAGGCTACATACTGTGTGATTCCAACTATACGACATTCTAGAAAAGGCAATCCTATAGAGACAGAAGATCAGTGGTTGCCAGGCACAGTGGCTCACGCTTGAAATCCCAGCACTTTGTGAACCTGAGGTGGGCAGGCTACTTGAGGTTAGGAGTTTGAGACCAGCCTGGCCAACATAGTGAAATCCCATGTCTACTAAAAATTTAAAAAATTAGCTGGCCATGGTGGTGCGTGCCTGTAGTCCCAGCTACTCAGGAGGCTGAGGCAGGAGAATCTCTTGAACCCAGAAGGTGAAGGTTGCAGTGAGCCAAGATTGCATCACTGCACTCCAGCCTGGGAAACACAGCAAGACTCTGTCAAGAAAGAAAGAAATGAAGGAAGGAAGGAAGGAAGGAAAGAAAGAAAGAAAAGGAAAGAAGGAAAGAGAGAGAAAGAGAGAGAGAGAAAGGAAGGAAGGAGAAAGAAAGGAAGTGTTGATGGTGACTCCTGTTCCAATGTAGGAATAAATAATATTAAAAAAAAAAGAAAGATCAGTGGTTGCCAGAGCCTAGGGTGGAGGGAGGATGATAGGAGGAGCCCAGGGGATTTTTTTTAGGGTAGTGAAACTATAAGATGTAGGATACTGTAATGGCGGATACGTGTCATTGCACGTTTGTCCAAACGCAGAGAGTGTACAACACCAAGAGTGCGCCCTAATGTATTACAAGGAACTTTGGGTGATAACCACGTGCCAGTGTCAATTAGCTAACTGTAACAAATGTACCACTCTGGCGGGGGATGTTGATAATGGGGGAGGAAGCTATGCATGTGTGGGGCAGTGGTATATCAGATGTCTGTGTACCTTCCTCTCAATTTTGCCATGAACCTAAAACTACCCTTTAAAAAAGTCTTAAAAAACAAAAAGCAAAAGTGAACAATATATTATTCTGCTATTCATAGAAATGTATAAAATTATAAATGAAGACAAAAAAATCATAAATCTTCAGGGTGTGACTTCCCCCATGGGATAGAGGCAGGAGGAAAGGTCTTGGCTATCTAGGAGGGCCCTGCAAGGGTGCCCATTAGTGGTGGGAGTCCCTGATTGCTCATCCTATTTCTTTTCTTTTACGTGAGTGAAATAGTACACTACTAAAAACAAAAATTAAAACATGACACACAAAAGCCAGAAAACAGGACTCCTGTTAGCATGAAATAAATCTGAATTAATGGGAAAGCTGGCCCACTCTTAGATGGGAAAAATCAGTATTACAAAGAAGTCATCATTCCTCCATAAACCGGCATATTTCATGGGTTCCTATTAAAAAAGAGCAAAAGCTGGTTTCTTCTCACATTTTAGTTCACAGAGAGGCTTTTCCTGCACTCAACCCAAAGTAGACCCTCCCTCTTCTCATTTTTTCCTTCATTGCACTTATTCTGGTTTGTAATTTACTTGTTTGAATTTGCCCTCTCCACTAGACTGCCTTGTACTTGAGGGTAAGAATATGTGTATTTTGTTCAACCTATGTGGATACAAAGAATACATATAGTTGGTATAATTAATTCCTGGCACATTGTGGCTGTTTGATAGATATTTGTTAAGTAGGCCAGGCGCAGTGGCTCATGTCTGTAATCTCAGCACTTTGGGAGGCTGAGGCGGATAGATCACTTGAGGTTAGGAGTTTGAGACCAGCCTGGTCAACATGGTGAAACCCCGTCTCTACTAAAAGTACAAAAATTAGCTGGGCGTGGTGGCAGAAGCCTGTAATCTCAGCTACTTGGGAGGCTGAAGCAGGAGAATCACTTGAACCTGGGAGGCAGAGGTTGCAGTGAGTCAAGATCACATGATTGCACTCCAGCCTGGGCAACAGAGCGAGACTCTGTCTCAAAAAAAAAATGTGTGAAGCAAATAATTTATTTTACCCAAGCCACCCCAGACCAAAACAGATGGTGAATTAGTCTGTTTTTATGCTGCTAATAAAGACATACCAGAGACTGGGTAACGTATAAAGGATAGAGGTATAATGGAGTCACAGTTCCACATGGCTGGGGGAGGCCTCACAATCATGGCAGAAGATGAAGGAAGAGCAAAGGGATGTCTTACGTGGTGGCAGGCAAGAGAGCGTGTGCAGGGGAACTCCCCTTTATAAAACCATCAACTCTTGTGAGACTTATTCATTATCACGAGAACAGCATGGGAAAGACCCGTCCCCATGATTCAATTACCTCCCACCAGGCCCCTCCCATGACACATGGGAATTGTGGGAGCTACAATTCAAGGCAAGATTTGGGTGGGGACACAGCCAAACCACATCAAATGGGTATCATTATCTCTTTTTGCAGATGAGTAACGTGAGGCTCTGGGACATCTGGTAACTTTCCCAGCATCAGCTATTTGGGATGCTCTCCAGGGATGATAAGGGTACCGCTGAGCAGAAAGAGGATGCAAGAGGGTGCCAGAGGGTGCTGGCAATGGTGGTCTTCCATCTCCAGCTTCCTTCTGAGGGGCTGTTTCCCAAAGCAAAATAGAGAACCTTCCGAGCTCTGCAGTAGCCTCTTCTGGTCTGGGGTCAGAAAACAGACAGACCCAGCAGGCATGGGCAAATATCCCCACTTCCTCTACACAGGCCTCCACTCCACGCAGACTCAAAGAGCATCCCTTGGGCACTTGTGTGCCTGGGGCAGTGTAGGGGGCAGTTATCCACATGGGCCATCTTGTCTACCCCTCTTAGTGCCTGCTGGGGCAACAGTGCCAGGGCAACCCACTGCAGCTGTTGGCCTAGGGCTGTCTCCGTCTGGCCCTGAAAGTCTTGAGTCCTGGGCGAACTGGGATGGCTGCTCATCTTCCTTTTTGTCACCACCCTCTGTTTCCAGGAGACTCAGGGAAGGCCATATTGTTTATTCACAGAGGCTGGGTTTGAACCACATTTTCTTTTCTCTTTTTTTGAGACAGGGTTTCACTCTTGTAGCCCAGGCTGGATTGCAATGGCACAATCTCGGCTAACTGCAACCTCTGCCTCCCGGGTTCAAGCGATTCTCCTCCCTCAGCCTTCCACATAGCTGGAACTACAGGTGCCTGCCACCATGCCCAGCTAATTTTTTGTATTTTTAGTAAAGACGAGGTTTCACCATGTTGGCCAGGCTGGTCTCAAACTCCTGACCTCAAGTGATCCACCCTCCTCAGCTTCCCAGAGTGCTAGGATTACAGGCGGAGCCACCACGCCCAGGCTGAACTACATTTTCTACATCACATCTGCCTGTTTCAAAAGAACGAACAAAGTAATAATGTGAATGATAGTAGCTCATGGTAAGACGGAGGTCTTACCGTGTGCCACCCACTTGGTGTTCAGGTCCTTGTTCAAATATCACCTTCTCAACCACCCCATTTAAAAACAGCATGGAGTCCCTGCTCTCCATCCCTCTCTATCTCCTTATGCTGGGTAATTTTCCTTCATAGCACTGATCACTACCTCATCCCACATCATAGCTGTATAATTTATTTGTTTATCGTCAGAGTCTCCCACCAGAATGGAAGCCTGCTGGACCCCAGATGAACCAGCTAAATCAGCCACGTTGCTGTTGGGGGCTTTTTGGTTACTGTTTCCCGAGTGCCCACCATGGGCTGACCCCTGTACCACAGGCCTGTCAGTCACTGCCACAACGCTCCATGAACTAAGGACTAACGCAGAGCTGAGCTGCCCTCACAGTTGATTCTGAGCACCTTGCTGGGTACAGGGTGGGCACAAGGTGTCAGCTTCTCTTCTGAAACTGACAAATGAAGCTCTTGTATTAGTTTCCCGGGGTTGCCATAGCAAACTGCCACACACTTGCTGGCATAAAACAACAGAAATGTGTTCTCCCACAGTCTGGAGGCTGGAAGTCCAAAATCCAGGTGTTGGTGGGGCCACATTCTCTCTGAAGGCTGAAGGGAGGGTCCCTCCTTGCCTCTTCGAACCTTCTGGTGGTTGTTATCAATCCTTGGCATTCCTTGGTTCGTGGCTGCATCACTCCAGTTTCCGCCTCGGTCGTTTTGTGTCCCTCTCCTTGTCTGTGTCTGTGTCTCCGTATCTGAATTTCCCTCTCTTTTCTTGGATAAAGACAGTAGTCATTGGATTTAGGGCCCACCCTAATTCAATGTGGCCTCATCTTACCTAATGACATCTACAAAGTCCCTGTTTCCAAATAGGGTCACATTCTAAGATTCTGGGTGGACGTGAATTTTTAGGGGAACACTCCCCATCCCACCACAGACACTAAGGTAGGAAGAGTCACTCCCAGCCCAGGTCTGTTCTCCCTCCAAGCACAAAGCTCTGAATACCCACCCTTTACTGACTCTCAGTTGTCTCCATTTGTGGAATTGAATCAGAGTTTTATTACCTTCAAATTGCTGGGCACGGCATCCTAACAGCATTTCAGAGACCAGGGCCCTGGAAATCTCATTTCTGCTGGTCCAGGCCCTCGAGGGATCAATGTTTTTCACGCTCTTCTCTGGATCGTTGGAATTGGTCTTCCAAAGGCCAACTTGCCAGACTTAGAGGCCTTTTTTCCATGTCACGTTCCTCAGCTACACTTCAAGGGCCTGTGTCTATCTGAAACTCTTGAACATGAACAATTGCTTATTATCTGTGTATTGCTGTTTAATAGGGAAGTTGGAAACATGGTCCAGAGGCTCAGTTACAAAATACTGAAAACAAAACAAAAATATCTGACAAAACACCCAACACCCTATCTCACCTCTTTTATTGGAGCCTATTCATTATTGCTTCACATCTATCTAGAAGTCCACGTCCCATTTTGGATTCTGGTTTGCTTTAGTTCACTTTCCCTGTCAACATTCTGTGTGTGTGTGTGTGTTTGTGTGTGTGTGTGTGTGTGTGTGTGTGTGTTTTCTTCCTTCCCTAAGAAAAAGTCTAAATAATTCAACAGAACTTCCCTTTCTTCCTTTGGGTGATGAGTCACCCTCTAATGAGTGTCACTGATATCTAATATCACTAGGAAAAAACTCCATCTTAATTTTAATTTGTATTTTTTTAGAGACAAGGTGTCACTCTGTTACCCAGGCTGGAGTACAGTAGCATGATCATGGCTCACTGCAGCCTCAAACTCGTGTGCTCAAGCGATCCTCTTGCTTCAGCCTCCCAAGTAGTTGGGACTACAGGTGCATGCCACCATGCTTGGCTATGTTTTAAATTTTTTTGTAGAGACGGGTTCTTACTATGTTGCCCAGGCTGGTCTTGAACTCCAGGCCTCAAGGGATCCTCCTGTCTCAGCCTCCCAAAATGTTGGGATTACAGGCATGAGCCACCGTGCCCAGCCAAAAAAATCTCTTCAATTGGAATGATTTCCTTCTGCTTATTGCTAGTCTGTTTACCAGCTGAACTAAATCAGCAACTAGTTTTAATCAATTTGCCTACTTGCTGTCCCCCTAGCAACCAAGCTCTTCTCTCTAGGCCTTCGCACGAGCTTTTCCTTCTGTCTGGAACTCTCTTCCCGGTGGATCTTTATGGCTCATTCCCTTGCCTTCCTCAGGTTTCTGCCCACATGTCACCTTTGCAGGGAACCTCCTTTGACTATTCTGTAAAGACAGCATGCCCCCAAGGCCTACCACTAGCTTCTATCCCCTTTGCCCCCAACTCAGTGCCACCTGAGTTATCATATATCGATTTGTTTTTTTGTCTGTGCTGGTAATTAGAATGTCCACTTCCTGAGGGCAGGACTTTTTGGTCCTTTTTGTTCCCCCACTGTATCCCCAATGCCTGAGAGTAGCAGACAGCACATAGCAAGTGCTCAGTGAATATTTGTGTAAATAAATGATCTCTCAGATGTAAACAATATGATTCCATATTTAAATTACTATCTCTTTGTCTATACTAAGAGAGATAGAGAACGCCCTTTTACATCATGCCATTAACTTCCTTCTCTTACCAACAGTGTCTTCAAGGTTTCACACCGGGGAGTCACTTAGCCAATTAAGAAACTTTGACCACTGAGATTTACATCAAGGGGTCTCCACTTTCAGAGGGCATGGACCCTTTAGAGCCTGATGCAAACTATAAAATTTCTTTGCAGAAAAATGCACACTTTTGGAACATTTTGCCTGTGATGGTGGGATGGGGACTGTGAGCATTCCCTAGCCTTCTCCTGCCTGCCCCTGGTTCTAATGTACCTGCCCTAGGGTAAGTATTTGTTGACTGAATGAATGATGTGTATGGTGAGTTCTCAGCTATATACATTCCTTTACTAAGGCTGCTGACACAGATTACCACAAATTTGATGCCTTTAAACACAGAGATTTATTATCTGACAATTCTGCTAGCCAGATGTTCAAAACCAGTGTTTCTGGGCTGAAATCAAAATGCTGGCAGGGACAAGCTTCCTCTGCAAACTGCAGTGGGGAATCCATTCCTTGCCTCTTCCTGCTTCTGAGTGCTCCTGGCATCTTGGCTTGTGGCCACATCACTCCAGTCTCTGCCTCATGGTCACACTGCCTCCTCTTCTGTGGCAACCAAATCTCCCTCTCCCTCCCTCTTCTAAGAATACATGTGACTGCATTTAGAGCTCACTGTGAAAATCTGGTGCAATCATCTTCCCATCTCAAGATCATTAGCCTAATTACACCAGCAAAGTCATTTTTTTTAAACCATATAAGATAACATGTAAGGTTCCAGAGATTAGGGTCTGATATCTTTGGAAGCCATTATTCATCATAGTACACCAAATAAAGAGGAAAAATGGCATAAATAAATACACACACACACGCAGAATTATTTGGAGATTTTCACTGTGTTTTGTTTTGTTTTTTGAAATGGAGTCTCACTCTGTCACCCAGGCTGCAGTGCAGTGGCATGATCTCGACTCACTGCAACCTCTGCCTCCCGGGTTCAAGTGATTCTCCTGCCTCAGCTTCCGGAGTAGCTGGGATTACAGTAGCTGGATTAGCCACCATGCCCGGCTAATTTTTGTATTTTAGTAGAGACAGGGTTTCACCATGTTGGCCAGGCTCGTCTTGAACTCCTGACCTCAAGTGATCCGCCCGCCTTGGCCTCCCAAAGTGCTGGGATTTGAACCACCATGCCTGGCCTTCACTGTGTTTTAAACCTGAGTGTGACAAAATTTCCAGAATTCACAGCATTTAAAATAAGGAAGGTAGAATGTGAAAGGCTGATTCCATCCCCATCTGGCCCCCAGCCCATACTTCTCATCCTCCATGGGCTTTGTTTAGAATTCACAGGAGGAATTTCAGGTTGCCTGGGGGGGCAAACATAAATGAGAGGGAGCAGTCAGAGTTGTTTAAATGACTCTATAACTCGAGTGTGTCCAAAACTGACAATAGGAGGGTGAGCGTGAGTTTGTCTGAATGCTCTGATGCCCAATTCCATTGCGAGTTAACAGTATGTAAAGGGTTTCCAACCTTCCCAGGACCCTGAAGGCAGCACTGAAAATAATCTACCTGCAGTAAACTTTGCTGTTGTTTAAGAGGAGAAATGAGATTTAATGCTGTAGGCCACACCAGGAGTCCAAAAGTGTGTCCCCAGCAAATTGATGTGCACTGTGCAGAAAAACTTCTCTGCAAAGGGTGGCTGGAATTCTGTCAGGTGTTGTCCCACACTTGGCATGTTAATTTAAATAACAAGGATAGCGTCATCAGTCCAGGAGGGTCACAAGTCCCTGTCCCTTCTTGGCAAGTTAATGTGGCCTAATGTTTGTGTAAAGTCCACCTATTCTTTTAAATAAATATACTTTACTTAGCAGGGTTTTGACCAGTGTCATATATCCTTAATTCCTTTAAGCAATAAATTAGATAACCTTTTTACCCTCTTTTCTGTCCTAGAGCAACAAACTTTTCCAGAAGGCTCACTAGCTGTAGGCACTATGAGAAACAGACCCTGCCCTTAAGGCTCTCATAGCCTGGAGCAGGAGAGGAACACACACATAGTTCATGCATGGAATGTGACTTCTGGATGCTTGGAATACTGGTTTAAAAGGCTTAAGGCTAAAGGTGACAGACAATATGTGCCCCACTTTCTAAAAAGAGCTGCAGACAAGCCCCTGAAGAATTTACTGAAACATGGCAGAGTCCATTCCATCAGTGTTCACCTCCGTTGCCCTCCTCCAGCCTACATAAAACAAGAAATTTGCAGGAGGGTTCATGCAAGCAATGGGTTGTGGTAGACAGAAAAGTATCATCCCTCTCCACAAAGATGTCCATGTTCTAGTCCCTGGAACCTGTGAATATACCATCTCACATGAAAAAAGGGACTTTGCAGATGTGATTTGCGTTAAGGAGTTTAAGATGGAGTAGCTGGGATTTTTCAGGTGGACCCAATCTAATCACATTGGCGAACCATTCCTTGTTGTTGTCAGAGAGGGGGATGTGACGACAGAAGAATGGCTGGAGAAATCCAACCCTGCTGGCTTCAGAGATGGGCCTGGTGGAGGATTCACTGTCAAGGAGTGCAGGCTCTAGAAGCTGGAAGGGCCAGGAGATACGTTCTCCCCTAGTGCCTCCAGAAGCAACAGCCCCACTGACACCTTGATTTTAGTTCAGTAAGACCCAGGTTGAACCCCTTGAGACTGCCTTTACAAAAATTATAACAGTGAGAACATTAGAAAAGTGAAAGAGATCTGACTTGACCAACTCCATCTTGCCTTTAACCTCTACATGGCCCTTGGTCATGCCTGGCTGTGGACCAAGCTAACTTTGGGAGAAATTTAGTTTATAGTTTAAATGATGTTAGCCCTTCCCAAAACTAAATGCCTTTATAAAACTAATAAAAGCCCCCAAGTTTAAGATTATAAGAGGGGACTGAATTCTGCTAAAATGTAGATGTAGTTAAATAATTGCCAGCCATTGGTCTGGAGGTCACAAGATTTGTAACTTCCCCAATTATTCCTGTAAATAACATCACTATTGTAGAAGCCATGATTGGCCTTTTGAGATGCCTTTTCAGACTTTCGCATTTCTGATGGACTGAATAACTCCACCCAGACCCGAGACTCAAGACTCAACCTCTCAACCAGTCCTGTGGTCCCACTCAGAAGTGGGCTCAGTGCACGAGGACCATTTTCCACCCCGCTATGATTGCATCCCTAACCAGTCAGTAACACCCATTCCCTAGCCCTCTGCCCACCAAACTATTCTACTGTAAGTCAGAGAGAGGATGTCTCAGCCTGGTGCACCGTACATAGCTGGAGCTGGCTCCAGAACTTCCACAAGAGTCTTTTGAGGATGGGCTTGCCACGTAGATCACTAGAGTGCCAACTCTGCAAGACACTGATGCTGTCCTTCGAATCCCCTCTCCCCTTCCCAACTCTGGAGAACCTAGCTAGGGAAAGAGAAGGAGCAGAAGATCAACTGGGAGGAAGAATGAGCTGGGCCCTGTTCCCATCCCCACAGTATCCCCAAACCACTGGCAAGCCTGAACTGGGAGAGGAGATTCATGGAGCTGGACTGATTGAGGTTTTGTTCTATACTGGACTGGCCTTCTTACTACCCCCTAAATAAAGCTGTTCTCCTCACTGGAAGTGAATGAAAATCTGTGGCTCTGCATGAAATGTAGTTAAGCAGTAGGGAAGGGAAAGATCACAGGACATGTTGGAAGGCAGTGAGGGGAGAAAGTAAAGCTCTTTCCTCTTGAACCCATGGAGTTCAACCTGCTGGAGAACCCAGTTTTGCTGCAACCAAACACAGTAAGCATCATGATAGATGTATCTTGACTTCTGTAGGAGACCACCTGGGGAGTTACATAGACTTTAACTCTCTTGGCATATTTAAAAAAAAAATTTAGAGAAAAAAGCATGGGCATGGTAGCTCCCACCTGTAATCCCAGCACTTTGGGAGGCCAAGGTGGGAGGATCATTTGAAGCCAGGATTTCAAGACCAGCCTGGGCAACAAAGTGAAACCCCATCTGTACAAGATTTTTTTTTAAAAAAATTAGCTGAGCATGGTGGTACATGACTGTAAGTCCCAGCTACTCAAGAGGATGAGGCAGAAGGATCACTTGAGCCCAGGAGTTCGAGGCTGCAGTGAGCTGTAATTGCACCATTGCACTCCAGCCTGGGTGACAGAGCAAGACTCCATCTGGAAAAAAAAAAAAAAAAAAAAAAAAAAAAAAAAAAAAGCCAAAAATGCCAAGAAAAAGATACAAAAATTGGGGGATATTTCAAATATATGCATTTAGCAAATTAATGATTTTTAGTTAAAAATACAGTCCAATGTGATTGTGTCAGTCATCATGGAGTCAGTTTATCACTTTAAAATAACTACAAGTGTATGATGCAGTGTGGTCAGTGTAATCGAGTAATGAGACACATTCAAAGGCAAATGATGAAACTTCTTGCTTTTCAGTGCAGTCAGTGTATTATCCTTGTGTGTGTATGTGTAGACACACACCATTCTGATGACCTCAAAAGTTCAGATTTAAGAAGGTGTGGCCCCGGTCAAATGATCCTTCTGCCCCTAACCCCCATGTCTCCGTGACTGGCCATAGGAGGTATAGGGGAGTTAAGGGAAATGTTCCAAGACAGTGACATCTGAACTAGGTCTTGAAAGATCAGGATGACTCCTCCAGGTAAGAAAGGGCATTCTGAGCCCAAAGAGCCACGCTGCAAAGACACAGATGCTTGAGAGAGCCTGGCACATTGGCAGAGCTGTGCCAGGCTCTCTCAAGCATCTGTGTCATTGTAAAATTATTTACAGCCGGGCGTGTTACAGGGCTGCAGAGTGCAGAAGGTGATGAGAGAAGCAATGAAGACATAAACGGCCCCAGATGGCAAAGGGCCTTGACTGTTGAGCTGGGGCTTCATCTTGATCCTGAGGACCCCAGGGAGCCAAGCAGCTTTTGAAGCAGGATGAGATCAGTTTTGGAAGGTGACTCTGAGGGTGGCACAGAGGACGATGGGAGAGAGGTGAGGTCAGACCCAACAGAATGTGGCCTGGAGAGGAGCAGCCAGAGGGGAGAGAGATTTCTGAGGTGGGATCGGTCAGGACATGGTAGCCAGATTCTGCTTAGGGACAAAGCAGGGTCAAGGGCGACCAGAAGCTGCCATTTAGGAGCCCGAGAAACACTATAGACCAAGACCTGGACGAAATCCATATGGGTAGATGATGAATTTGCTTTTAGATGTTTTAGATGTTTATATTCCATGTGAGTTACCTGCCGAGAACATCCATTGAGGAGGTCCCCAGATCCCTAGTCCCTTCCTGTGTCTTGAAATTCCACGACCTCAGGGGCCCGTGGAAGTCAATGGTTTTCTACTCTACTTGGTTCTAGTGAGGGGTGAGCCTGGATGGGAGATGGCAGCGGGGAGGAAAAAGAAACAGACCTGGGCTGCTTTTCTCCTAAACCATTTGAAGTATAGCCCAATTTCATTTATTCTCAAGGACCACTCTGTTTAATCTATAAGAAAAAATTGTGTGTGTATATATAAATAAATTGTATATGTATGTATGCATGTAAAATAAGATACATATGTATATCTTCTGAAATGATTATACCCCTAGTTCTTTAACAATTAACAATAATCTTGGTACCAGGCTCAAGACACTCTCCTGACTACCATGGCTCAGAAGGCACAGGTGGTAGATAGTCAAGAGTCCAACTCACCACCTCCATTTATATCGTATAAATCTGTCTATAACCCGACGGGGGGAGAGGGTCACCAACATGTTAAGGATGATTATCTGGATGGCAGAATTTCAGGTTGTTTTCATTTTCTCTTTAATATTTTACATACAATTGTAATTTTTGTTATAAAAATATTTTTCCTTTAAAAAAGGTAAGCAGCCTGGGCAAAAGCGTGAGACTCTATCTCTACAAAAAATTTAAAAATGAGCCCAGCATATTGGTGCATGCCTTTAGTCCCAGCTCCTTGGGAGGCTGAAGTGGGAGGATCACTTAAGCCCAAAAGTTTGAGGCTGCAGCCATCTTGCCACTGTACTCCAGCTTGGGTGAGAGAGCAAGACTCCAACTCAATATAAAGGAAGAAGGGGGATCAGCCTTACCTTTATGTTACCAGTGGGAATTTCAGCAGGCAACTTAGCTGTACCAGAAGCTGTAAGATAAACCTTTCATTTGAACCGACAAGTTTACTCCCAAGAATGCATCCTAAAGAAATACTCTGCATTCCACTACAACCCAATAATCACATTCCCAAACTTACAAAAATGGCCTAATTAAATTAAGGAGTTGTTTTGATGATTTATATATTTTGAAAAAGGAGTTGGGTAGATAGTAAAAGGTTTCACATTCACAGTAAAAAGCGATTTCTTTTTCCTGCAGGAATTTTGTTAATAAAGTATATCTTAACTATATGTGCATTTCTATTATTGCAAAATAAATCAATTGACCTAAATTGACCACAGAATCTGAAATCACAGATCAAATCTGAAAAAAATACAGGTGATCAAAATAACTGCATTTCTAGGCCAGTGGTGCGCCAACCTGGCTGCACGTTAGAACCACTGGGAAGCTTTGTAAAAATACTGATGTGGAGCTCCGCCCTCAGGGATTCTGATTTAGCTGATCTGGAGCAGGGCTGGACAGCAGTATTTTTAAAACACATCTCTAGATGATTCTAACGTGTAGCTGGAGTTGAAAACCCCCAGACCATTGGCCACACAGCATATAATTCGTAACTGTTTTAAAAAATGCAATGCTAACTGAGCAACCAGTACTCAAAGGCACTGTTTCTATGCTGCCATTCAACACGTTCCCTTTTACTTTTCTTTGAAGTATAGCATCCATATAGAAACATGCACGTATTATAAGCAGATAGCTCAATGCATTTTTACCAACTGGACATATCCGTATCACCAGCACCCAGATCAAAAAAGACACCCTTACCAGCACCCGGCACACTCTTGGTTCATTTCAATTGTTCAATAGTTTCCCCTCCTTTCATGTTTGGTGTTGATTCTTATTAAGTAACTGAGTTGTAAACAATAGTAATCCTTATAATGCAAATAAGTTTCCTTAATTCATCGATCACATCCTAGCTAATTTGAATTACGAAAACTTGTATAGGAGAAATAATTATGGACATGCATTTAGCCGCAAGAAGTTTACTAAATATCTAATCGCAGGATCCAGTTAAATAAATTAGCTAATGTTCATATGAAACTGTCTGGTTTGTATGCTATGGCATAAATAAGATAGGAAAATGGGAGTCCTTCCACAAAAAAAGACTTTATTCTATCAGAACCCTAGAATAGCATTGTTAATGGGCTAACTTGTGCCCTCTCCCCACCCATCCGCTGCTCGACAAATTCATACATTGAAGCCTCAGCCCCCAGTACCTAAGAATGGGACTGCATTTGGAGACTAACAGGGCCTTTAAAGAGGTGATTAAGTTAAAATGCAGTCAGTAGTGTAGGCCCCAGTGCAATATGACTGGGATCCTTATAAGAAGAGGACATGAGGCCACAGACACACACAGTGGAAGATCGTGTGAAGATAGAGAAGTCGCCATCTGCAAGCCAAGGAAAGAAACCTCAGAAGAAATGAACTTTATCAACACTTTGATCTCAGACAGCTAATCTCCAGAATCGTGAGAAAGTGATTTCTGTTGTGAAAGCCACTCAGCTGTGAAATACCAAACACCAGTCTGTGGTATTTGTTCTGCAGCCCTAGCAAACCAATGCAAGCACCAAGACTACTAGTAGCAGGTGGAGGAAGAGCTGGACCATGCGAGGGTGACCAGACTAGTACGGGCTTCTGATGAACGGAGACTCCCAAAGGAGCCTCAGAGGTGGGAGGAGCCGGGCAGGGCCCCAGTTGTCCGTGGCCACCAGAGTAGAGAGGAAACCTCACGTTCGCAACACAAACCCCTCACATACACCTCTCCCTTGGCCCACACGGGCAGTAGAGCCAGGTTCTTCTACCCAGCACCTGCATGCCCAGTCAAACGCACAGGGATTCCCACAGGATCTGAGGAGTCCATTCCAGCCAGAGTAATCTGGACCAGTAGGTGGCCAAGATTCACCAAAAGTTTTAGAAAAACAGAAAAGGAAAAGGAAAGCACCAACTCCACCTCCAGAGAAATTTACATCTGAAGAAACAGAATTCTTACAATGGGGAAGCAGAGGGAGAAACACTTTACAATAAATGTAATTAGTATTGTCAAACACATTTGAAACAGTAGCATATCCAGATAGATGAGAGCGAGAGAGAGAGAGAGAGAGAGAGAGAGATAAACAGAGCCTCTATAAAAAGTCGTACTCAGAGTTCTTGAAAACTAACATTATGAATAATAAAATTGAAAGCCCTATAGAAGATACAATTTCCATCCATCAGATTGCCCAAGTGAAAAAGTTTGATAATATCTAGTCTTGGTGAAGTTGTGGGAGCCACAGATTCTCAAACACTGTTGGTTTGACATAACGACAGTTTGTTTATGCTCAAATATTATGTACATAATAAATTTATTAGAAAAACAAGTTTTTCTAATAAATTTATTAGTTTTTCTAATAATTTATTACAAAAACTGTTAAGCTTTTTCTAATCAGTTTATTATGTGCATATGATTTGACTCAGCAATTCCCCAGGTATAAGCCTCAGAGAAACTCTCACACAAGCACAAATACACATTGTGTTCTCTGCTGTACAGCTTCTAATAACAGAAAACCTAGAAGCAACTTTGATGTCCATCATTCGTAGGGTGGATACATTCATTGCACATATTCCTACAAAGCTCTATTATTTACTTAGATTGTTGCATATCTCGTTCATTTAAATGAAGAAAGACCATGTTTATTTAAATCAACCAGATATGCAACAATCTAAGTAAATTTCCCAAAACATATTGTTGAGTGAAAAAGCTAGCTTAAGAAAAGTAAATTCAATATTTACTTAAAATATTTTTATCTTAAAATACATTTTTTAAAAAACTGTGAAAGACTGTAGGCGGCCGGGTGTGGTGGCTCATGCCTATAATTCCAGTACTTTGGGAGGTCAAGGCAAAAGGGTCATTTGAGGCCAGAAATTTGAAAACAGCCTGGGCAACATAATGAAACACTGTCTCTATGAAAAATTAGCCAGGCATGGTGGTTCATACCTGTAGTCCCAGCTACTCAGGAGGCTGAGGTGGGAGGTTAAGCCTCCTCAATCTGATAAACATATTTTTCCTTTAAAATAGGTGAGCAGCCTGGGCAACATAGTGAGACTCTATCTCTACAAAAAATTTAAAAATGAGCCCGGCATATTGGTGCATGCCGGTAGTCCCAGCTCCTCAGGAGGCTGAAGTGGGAGGATCACTTGAGCCCAGGAGTTTGAGGCTGCAGTGATTGTGCCACTGTACTCCAGCCTGGGTGACAGAGCAAGACTCCAACTCAAAAACACTGAAGAAGGGGGATCAGCCTTGCCTTTATGTTACCAGTGGGAATTTCAGCAGGCAACTTAGCTATACCGGAAGCTATAAGATAAACCTTGCAGGTGGGAACCTGAGCCTGGGAGATTGAGGCTACAGTGAGCCATGATAGCACCAGCCTGGATGACAGAGTGAGACACTGTCTTAAGAAAAAAAAGAAAAAGACCAGAGGATGGTGGAATATATCTATATCTATATCTATATCTATCTATCTATCTATCTATCTATCTATCTATCTATCTATCTATCTATCATCTATCTATATGTATATATATCTATATATGTATATACGTATATATATGTGCATATATGTATATATGTGTATGTGTGTGTATACACACACACACACACACACACATATTTTTATAGCCAAAATAAATGGAAAAGTGTGCATAATGTTGATGATAGCAATTCCTTTGGGGACAATGGGCAAAAAGTAGTAGCAAAGTGAACAAAAGGGACTGCAATTTTATCAGTAATATTTTATTTATTTTATTAAAATGGAACCAAAGCAAATGTGACAAAATGTTAATGCTAATTATTTCTCAGTAATGGGTACATGGGTGTTTGCTATGTTATTGATATGGTTTGGCTCTGTGTCCCCAATCAAATCTCATCTCAAATTGTAATCCCCACGTGTCAGAGGAGGGGCCTGGTGGGAGATGACTGGATCATGGGGGCAGATTTCTCCCTTGCTATTCTCACGGTAGTGAGTGAGTTCTCACAAGAGCTAATGGTTTTAAAGTGTAGCACTTCCCCCCAGCTAGCTCTCCCTCCTGCTGCCATGTGAAGATCCTTGCTTCCCCTTCTGCCATGATTGTAAGTTTCCTGAGGCCTTCCCAGTCATGCAGAACTGTAAGTCAATTAAAACTTCCTTCTTCATAAATTACCCAGTCTTAGGTAATTCTTTACAGCAAGGTGAAAACGGACTTATACAGTTGCTTCTGTAATTTGCCATGGTTTATAACTTTTTCCAAGTGAAGAAAACCCTAAAATAGATGGATTGATTATAAAATGCATAGAACTGGAGAGTACTTTAATAAACTGGAATACTGAGGCAAGTGATCCACCTTGAACACAGTGCGAAATTCCGGAAGTTGAAATGTGAAAGATAAAAACCTGAACACAAAAAAACAGAACAAGAAGTTTCAACCTCTGTCTCAAACTATATCCAGAAGGTGAATGGATAGAGAAAATAATCATACGAATTATACAAAACACTTTCAAAGCTAAAAGAAAGTCTGAATTCTTCATATAAAAGGGCCCATGAAATACTGAAAAGAAATGTGGGAGCAAGTGAGGGGTATTTGGGAAAAGACATATTGATGAAATAAAAAATAAAAATAAGGAATAAGGGAGAGATTAAAGAAAAAAATTCAAAGAGAAATAAAATACCCCTAGTTTAACTTCAAAGGAAGAAGAAATAAATGGACATTGAACTTCTCAAATGCAATGAATATAAAATTATATAAAACATGGTATCACCAAGTTCTGCAGAAAAAATTAATTTCTAATCTAGAATTTTGTACTTAGACAAAAAGTGATTTAAGTACAAAATAGAAATTATTCCTAGATGGACAAGAACTCAGAAAATTTCTCTCCATGAAGTCTTTTTGAAAGATTCTCTAGAGGCTATACTCCAACAATACGAAAAATGAGCTGAAGAAAGGGAAATATCAAACAGTGTTGCGCAAAGAAACTAGTAAAATTTGAGCCCAAAGTGTTACTGAAAATATGGCTATAAAGCTTAATGCATTGTTAAGAAAGAATTCCATCTGTTAAATTCCAGATTTCAACAAAACTTGGGAGTGGGTAGAGGCAGTTGGTGCATGGAGAGGGAAGAAAGACATGATAAAGCGTCAGGATAGTAATATGTACTGATTAATTCTCAGCATTGATAGAAACATATCTTTAAATGTGTTGAGTAAAATGTTTAAATACATGCTTAAAGAAGGAATAAAAACAGAAAGAATATTTTTCAAACCACTAATGGCTAAAAAGAAAACAGTCAACCAAGCTAAAGAAGAAACAGTAAAGGAAACAAGGAAACGTAATAAAAAACAACAAAACAGGATGGCAGGACTATGACCAAATGTATCAGTAATACAGCCATAACAGGGAGAGATTTTTCGCTTGAACCCGGAAGGCGGAGGTTGCAACTAGCCAAGATAGTGCCACTGCACTCCAGCCTGGGTGACACAGTGACACTCCGTCTCAAAAAAAAAGGGGGAGATATTTTTAAAAATTTAGTTATATGGTATTTATAAGAGTCCTACCTAAAATGAAAGGATAAGAACAGCTTGAAAGTAAAGAATAGGAAAATATATATAGGAAAATACTAACCAAAAGAAAATAGATGTGATAGTATTAGATCAGATACTAACTAAACAGAAAGAGTTACAGCAATAAAAGGTCCAACTCACTGAGACGTTACAAAAGTCTTAAGCCTTTCTGCACCTTAATAATATAGTGTTAAAACATAGAAGGGAGTAAAACCAACAAATAAGGATAAAAGAACTCACAATACATCCTCTGATTGCAACTAGAATTAATAACTAAGGCAACCTAAGAAATCTAATCACTTAGATAATTAAAAAAATTTTTGTTTTGAGATGGAGTCACCAGGCTGGAATGCAATGGTGCGATCTCAGCTCACTGCAACCTGCACTTCCCGGGTTCAAGCGATTCTCCTGCCTCAGCCTCCTGAGTAGCTGAGACTACAGGCGCGTGCCACCAGGCCCAACTAATTTTTGTATTTTTAGTAGAGTCACCATGTTGGACAGGATGGTCTCAATCTCTTGACCTCATGATCCACCCGCCTCCCAAAGTTCTGGGATTACAGGTGTGAGCCACCGTGCCCGGACTAGAAAATTAAAAACACTCTTCTAAATATCTCTCAGGGATTTCAGAAAAAGAAGTCAAGACTGAATATACCAAATGTGAAATAAATAAAAATCAGACAGTACATAATAAAACCTAAGGCATGTAGTCAAACCAGCATCCAAAGGAAAATTTAGTTTCAAATTAATTTGCAAATAAATTAGTGTCATTTGATTGCAGAAACTAGAAACAAGGACAATAAAATAAATCTAAAGAAAGTCTAAGGGAGGAATTACTAAAAGTAAAATTAGAGGTTAAAAAATAGAATGTAACAAAAAGTATACTTGATTAATAAAGGCAAATTCCAGTTCTTCAAATATAAGCAAACATACAGATACGATGTTCTACCTAGAAAACCCAAGACAATTGACTGGAAAACTCCTAGTTATAATACAAATCGATAAGCTAGGTTGGGTGCAGTGGCTCACTCCTGTAATCCCAGCACTTTGGGAGGCCAAGGTGGGTGGATTACCAGAGGTTGGGAGTTCAAGACCAGCCTGACCAACATGGTGAAACCCCATCTCTACTAAAAATAGAAAAAATTAGCCAGTCATGTGGCTGGTGCCTGTAATACCAGCTATTCAAGAGGCTGAGGCAGGAGAACCACTTCAGCCTGGGAAGGGGAGGTTGCAGTGAGCCCAGATCACGCCACTGCACTCTAGCCTGGGCAACAAGAGTGAAACTCTGTCTTAAAAAAAAAAAAAAGAAGAAGAAGAAGTCAATAAGATAGTAAGATACAAGGTGAACATATAAAAGAGCTAGCTTCCCCTTACTGTAGCAATAACTAATTAGAAAATATATTGAAAAAATCCTATTAACAATAATGAAAAATATTATAAAATACCTAGTCATAACTTTAAAAAACCATGCAAAGCCTATATGGAGGAAAACACTAAAACATTTAGTGTGGAAGACTAAATAAATGGAGAGACATCCTATTTTTCCACGTTATGTACTCAATATTGTAGAGATATCAGTTCCCTTCATAAAAATCAAATAACTTAGTTCAATGTCAATTTTCATGGAATTTAACAGACTGATTCTAAATTTCATTTAGTGAAGTAAAAGAACAAAACACTCAGATTTACTAAACACCCTACCAGACATTAAAAACTATTAAAAGGTAACATTACTAAATAATGCTGTTATAGAAATGAGAGATATATGAAATAAATTGGAAGCCGGGCACGGTGGCTCACGCCTGTAATCCCAGCACTTTGGGAGGCCGAGGCAGGTGGATCATCAGAGATCAGGAATTCAAGACCAGCCTGTCCGACATGGTGAAACTCCATCTGTACTAAAAATACAAAAATTAGCCGGGCGAGGTGGTGGGCACCTGTAATCCCAGCTCCTCTAGAGGCTGAGGCAGGAGAATCGCTTGAACCTGGGAGGCAGAGGTTGCAGTGACAGTGAGCCAAGATCATACCACTACACTCCAGCACTCCAGCCTGGACGACAGAAACTCTGAAAAAAAAAAGAAGAAAGAAAGAGAGAAAGAAAGAGGAAAGAAACAAAGAAAAAGAAAGAAAGAAAGGGAGAGAGGGAGGGAGGGAGAGAGGGAGGGAGGAAGGAACGAAGGAAGGAAGGAAGGAAAGAGATTAGAGTTCAGAATTTAGTCTATGACAAAGGTGGTATTGAAACAAGTAGAGAAAAGATGGATTGTTTAAAATTGGGGAAATTGGCCATCCATTTAGGAAAAAAAATAAACATAGACCCCAATTTTATATCACACACAAAAGTAAATTTCAGCTAGTTTAAGATCTAAGACTTTAAAACTGTAAAACAAAAGCAACAACAAATAATTACAGGGTAATAGTCATTTGTTTAATGGTTTTCCTAATCAAGATATAAAACTCAGGTACCAAAAAGAAAGATCAATAGGTTTGACTACCTGAAATTTAGTTTTTTTTGTACTGTGAAAACTACTGTAAACAATTTAAAAGAAAAGATGCAGATTAGGAAAAAGTATTTTTAATTTTATATAGTAGTAGGAATTTAAACAAATTTGCAAGGAAAAAAATCCTATTAAAAAGTGGGCAAAGGACATGAACAGACACTTATCAAAAGAAGACACACATGCAGCCAACAAACATATGTAAAAAAGCTCAACATCACTGATCATTAGAGAAATGCAAACCAAAATCACAATGAAATACCACCTCACGCCAGTCAGAATGGCTATTACCAAAAAGTCAAAAAACAACAGATGCTGGCGAGGTTGCACAGAAAAAGTAACACTTTTACACTGTTGATGGGAATGTAAATTAGTTCAACCATTGTGGAAGACAGTGTGGTGATTCCTCAAAGACCTAGAGGCAGCAATCCCATTACTTGATATATACCTAAAGGAATATAAATCGTTCTATTATAAAGATACAGGCATGCATATGTTCATTGCAGCACTATTCACAACGGCAAAGACATGGAATCAACCAAATGCCCATCAATGATAGACTGAATAAAGAAAATGTGGTACATATACACTGTGGAATACTATGCAGCCATGTCCTTTGCAGGGATATGTATGGAGCTGAAAGCTGTTATCCTCAGCAAACAAATGTAGGAACGGAAAACCAAACACCACATGTTCTCACTTATTAGTGGGAGCTGAATGACAAGAACACATGGACACACAGAGGCAGGGAGTGAAGGGAACAACACACACATGCCTGTCTGGGGGATAGGGGGAGGGACAGCATCAGGAAGAATAGCTCATGGATGCTGGGCTTAATACCTAGGTGATGGGATGATCTGTGCAGCAAACCACCATGGCACACGTTTATCTAAGTAAGAAACCTGCATATCCTTTATGTGTACCCCTGAACTTAAAATAAAAGTTGAAGAAAAGAATTTATTTATGAAAATGTATAAATTAGTAAGAAAACCACATTCTAATAGATTAATGGACAATTCACAGAAAAGGAAATGATCACATGGCCAATAAACATTGGGAATGATATTCAGTCTTCTTATAAGTAATCAAGAAATTTATCTTAAACAAAAAGATGAAATATTATTTTTATCTCATCAGTGTGGCAAAACTTGGAAAGATGGGCAAATCCAGTGTTGCTGAGACTGAGAAGACAGAAAGCAACTCTGTCCGCAGGCAAAGTAGTCCAGCAGGTCAGTCTCTGGATGCACCAACCCTGAGGATGCCAAGCAAAGAAGTTCAGGGTCCAGGAAAGACACACACGGGGACAGCGAGGGAGAAAGAGATAGGAGGTAGGTTGAAAAAAAGCTCAACATCACTAATCATTAGAGAAACGCAAAAAGCAACCAAAGCCCACTACCAGTTTTTGACTTTTTAGTAATAGCCATTCTGACTGGTGTGAGATGGTATCTCACTGTGATTTTGATTTGCATTTCCCTAATGATCAGTGCTGTTGAGCTGTTTTTCGTGTTTGTTGGCTGCATGTGTGTCTTCTTTTGATAAGTGTCTGTTGATGTTCTTTGCCCACTTTTTAATAGGGTTGTGTTTTTCTTGCAAATTCATTTAAGTTCCTACTACTACATAAAATTAAAAATACTTTTTCCTAATCTGCATCTATTTCCCCTCTCTTCCAGAAACGCAATAGAATTTATACCTTTAGGTGACAGGGGAGGGGCCCAGGACCCTGAAAAGTGAAGGAACAATAGGGTTTGTTGACTAGTTGCCTCACAGGTAAACCCCTACCTCTTTGAAGCTTCCAGAAGTCATAGATGGATGAGTGGTCTGGTTCCTGCACAAAAGAAAGCAACCAAAGCCACTGCCAGATTTGTCCTTAGTTTGACCCCTTCTACTTCTTCTCAAAGTAAGAAAGCAAATGTTCAAACCTAGAGGGACCCTGCAAAGGTAGCCTGGGTTTGATTTTAATCATCCAACAGCCTCTAGTCACCAAGAAAAAGGAACCCCCCCACCCCGTGCCAGTGGTTCTTGCGTTCTGGTGAGCAGCAAAAATTGAGAGTTTGTAAAAATAGAGACTGTTGGGACCCACGCTCAGAGTGAGTGACCCAGTGAGATAATTTGCCTTTCCACTAAGTCTCCATTTGTTGATGATGCTGTCCAGGGACCATACATTGAGAACCGCTGCTCAGAGTGAGTGCGTCTGTCCCATCAACATGTGGATGTTCTGGATTTGCTGGTTTTTCTCTTTGGAGGAAGTTATCACAAGCTGCTACCCAGCGTGGGAAGGCCTGTTGGACCTTTTTCCAATTATCAAGAATAATTCGTTTTTGATTCAAAAGAATGTCTCTCTAGGAAGACTGTTGCTGACGAAGAAAACCCCGAAGTAACTTATTTTTCTGTTGAAAAAAAAAAAGAGAGAGATGGGGAGGTATAGAGAGAACCCCAGTCATTTCTGTGGCAGTACTGGTTGAACATGCCTGGCAACAGCATTCTCTTAACCCACCTGGGCATAAAACAATCATTCTCTGACATTGATATGTATATGTCAAGAAACATTTTTAAGAAATACTCTGGTGTTGCAAACTGTATTAGACAATATCCTTTGTTTTGGTTGACAAAAAGCAGAAAAAACAACTGCATTTAAATAAACTTAAACAAAAGTCAGCGATTGGCTCCCATAACTGAAAATCCTTAGGGTAATGGCTTCAGGTATAACTGGATCCAGGCCACATGGGAAGAAGGCAGACTTGCACCTAGATAATGGGGTGGGCAATGGGTGAGACCAAGCTGCAGAGGTAGGCAGGGGCTGGATCTTAAAGGGCCCAAAGAGCCGTTTTAAGGAGTTGAGAACATGTGCATGCATGTATCTTTATAATAGAATTATTTCTATTCCTTTGGGTAGATACCCAGTAATGAGATTGCTGGGTCAAATGGTATTTCCACCTCCAGGTCTTTGAGGAATCACCACACTGTCTTCCACAATGGTCGAACTAATTTACACTCCCACCAACAGTGTAAAAGTGTTACTTTTTCTGTGCAACCTCACCAGCATCTGTTGTTTTTTGACTTTTTAGTAATAGCCATTCTGACTGGCGTGAGATGGCATCTCACTGTGATTTTGATTTGCATTTCCCTAAAGATCAGTGATGACGAGCTTTTTTTCATATGTTTGTTGGCTGCATGTGTGTCTTCTTTTGATAAGTGTCTGTTCAACTCCTTTGGCCACTTTTTAATAGGGTTGTTTTTTTCTTGCAAATTTGTTTAAATTCCTACTACTACATAAAATTAAAAATACTTTTTCCTAATCTGCATCTTTTCTTTTAAATTGTTTACAGTGGTTTTTGTAGTAAGAAAAAATTAACCAGGTGTGTGGCGGGCGCCTGGCTAATTTTTTTGAAGACAAAAGCTCCACCTAAATAAAGGAGCAGCATGAACCACTTGCCTTTAAGAAGCACCCTTCTGGCTGTGGTGTGGGTGGCTGGCATGGGCACGCCTAGAAGCAGGGGTTCAGGTGGGGCAGTGTATGACCAGTGAAGAGGTGATGGGCATGAGCAGCCCCAACAATTCTGCCTGCTGACCCAGACCTCACTATTCCACCGCCAGGATGATTCATTTGCCATTAACCAAGTCCAAGGGCCTGCCACGGGACACATTTGCTTAGGGAACCTCACATTTATACTTCCACTACCCTCTTATGCTCTTTAGTCTGAGCCCAGACTTGAACCCAGGTCTACCTAAATCCAAAGCCCATGATCTTAAACTCAACACTGCATTGCTCCTAGCTTTTTAAAGTCCTGTTTCCATAATCTCCCTGAAACAGAAGAGGAGACAATTGTAGGTGGGGTTGGGTGGGAGGCCCACTGTTCTCTGTTCTTGACCACACTGATGTATTTCATGGCGAAGAACAAACTTTTTCATAAAGCAATTACTCATCAAGTCAAAATTTCTTATGTTCGCAGCCTTATTATTTCCATGTACCTTTTTTATCCTTTCATCTATGATTTAATTTTTCTGTCTAGCGACTCTACAGCAAGCTCCCATTAGCACCGAAAGCTGTCTACCCACTCGGTTGGGCTTGACTCAGGCACCAGATGTGCCCCAGTTTATCCACGTGGCTCCAGGCACTCACATGTTCCTCCAGGTCCCATCCGCAGGCCTCCGGGACGCCTGCAATGGTATCCTGAATTCCCCTCCTAGAGCACCACCGCTACCACCACCCCCTTCCCGGCTCCAAGCACTCAGCCTGCTATAATTAAACAAACAGGGTTATTTGTGACATCCTGGTTTACACATCAACAAGTTATTTTCTCTGATTTTGCTATGGATGGATTTGCTCTGCTTACATTAAACAAAAACAGCTCACCCAAAAATGCAGAACAAGCAAGGCAGAGGAAAGGCGGCCCGACAGCTGCCTCCTTCCCTGTGAGGCAAGATCGAGTCTTCCCTTCCCAGACTCCTGGTCTCAAAGGAGCCAAGCCAGGAAGCTTCAAAGACACGGCCAAAGACCTCAGACCCGTAAGACAGCTGTAGAGGGTCAGAGCTTGGCACGGGAAGGGAGGGCTCCAGAAACACAGAAAGGTCAAATGGGAGTGTGTTTTGGAAGATTCCAGACTAAACAACATAGGAAATATAAATGTGGGATTCCCTAAGCAAATGTGTCCTGTGCAGGGCCCTTGTGCTTGGTTAATGGCAAACAAATCACCTTGCAGGTGGCAATGTGAGGTCTAGGTCAGCAGGCAGAATTGTAGGGAGTGCTCATGCCCACCACCTCTTCCCTGGTCAAACACACTGCCCTGCCTGAACTGGTTTCCAGGCATGCCCATGCCAGCCACCCACACCACAGCCAGAAGGGGCTTCTTTAAGGCAAAGCGGTTCATCTCACTCCTGTATTTAGGTGGAACTTTTTTTCCTCAAGAGAAATCCCAATTCTACAATGGTTCTATCAACCTTTTCTTTTCTTTTCTTTTCCTTTCCTTTCCTTCTCTTTCTTTCTCTCTTTCTCTCTTTCTTTCTTTCTTTCTTTCTTTCTTTCTTTCTTTCTTTCTTTCTTTCTTTCTTTCTTTCTTTCTTTCTTTCTTTCTTTCTTTCTTTCTTTCTTTCTTGACACGGCATCTCTCTGTCACCCAGGCTGGAGTGCAGTAGCGTGATCTTGGCTCACTGCAGCCTCGAACTCCCAGCTCAAGCCATCCTCCCACCTCAGCTTCCCAAGTAGCTGGGACTACAGGTGCATGCCACCATGCTCTGATAAGATTTTTGTATTTTTCTGTAGAGATGAGGTTTCACCATGTTGCCCAGACTTGCCTTGAACTCCTGAGCTCAAGCTATCTGTCTGCCTTGGCCTCCCAAAGTGCTGGAATTATAGGTGTGAGCCATTGCACCTGGCCAGTTCTCTCAGCCTTTCAAGATGCAGCCCCTGCCTATCTCTGCAGCTTGGTCTCACCCCACTGCCCACCCCAGTAAGAGGAACATTCAAGTTTTGCAAATGTGCCATTGGCACAAGGTGTTCCTTCTACCTTGAACACACTCTCGGCAGCCACCTTTGTCTGAAGCTTCGAGCCTACACTTTGCTGACTTTCTCTCCACCCTTAGCAAAGCTCGGATCTGGCTGTGTTCTAATCATCTGACTACACACCATTTCCCTTACAAACATTCAGCTCCATGAGGGCTGGGGCATGTCGACTTTGAACACTGTCCCATCTCGGTGTTTGTCTACATGGCTGGCATATTGTAGGTTTCCCACAGATGGTGTTTGCTGAATGAATGAGTGACTTTCTTTTGTGTTCAGTATCTCTTTTGGGGTAACTGACTCTGCAAACATCTGGTTCAAAAGCAGAAGCCACATGGTAGCTCCAAACTGGAAATACCCCAAATATCCATCAACTATAGACTAGAAATAGTGGTGTATTCACAAAAAGAAACTATAAAGGGCATGAACTATCTATAACAACACCCCAAAATGTAGCTGCATTTCACAAATAAAATGTTGAACGCAAGATGCCAGACACAAAGAATTATAGGCTATGGGATTCCACTTACATAAAATACAAAACCAGGTAAAACAAATCTTTGCAGTTAGCAGTTAGGATAGTGCTTCACCTTTTGTGGAAGATAGTGACTGGGGGATGCTAGCATGTTCTGCATCTTGGTCTGGATCCTGGTTACACAGGCATATTCAGGTGGGAGAATTCACACTGGGCTCTACACTTATGGCAGATGCACTTCTCTGTATGTATATTAAACTTCAATGTAAAGTCAAACAAACAAAAAACTAGAGACTGATATGGAGCTGAGGCAGGAGAACTGGGCCCCTGCTCTCTTGAATGTGGTGGGCACCCAGGCTTACACCTTTTCTCCCAGGGCCCCCAGTACTGGGATCTCTTCTTTTGCCTCTGAAGGCCCCAACCCCATGTAATGGAGACATGTGGTTGCTGCAAACAGTCAGACTCAAGAAATTCAGAAAGTCCCACACCCCAATGAGTTAGGAACTGTAGAGGGGACTCTGGAAGCAAGTGCAGGAAGAGACAAGGGAGAGAGGAATTGCTCTGCAGAAAGGAGGGTGAAGAATTTGGATCCTAAGAGATAATCCTGGGGGAAGGAGGTGACGAAGAACAACAACGAGATGCACAAAGGGAATCAAGATTGAGTGAGAGGCCTGGCACGGTGGCTCACGCCTGTAATCCCAGCACTTTGGGAGGCCAAGGAGGGCGGATCACTTGAGGTCAGGAGTTCGAGACCAGCCTGGCCAACATGGTGAAACCCCATCTCTATTAAAAATACAAAAATTAGCTGGGTGTGGTGGCACATGCCTGTAGTCCCAGCTACTCAGGAGGCTGAGGCAGGAGAATCACTTGAACCCAGGAGGCAGAGCTTGCAGTGAGCCGAGATCACCCACCGCACTCCAGCCTGGGTGACAGAGCAAGACTCTGACTCAAAAAAAAAAAAAAAAAAAAAATTAAGTGAGATGGGATGCAGCTGGGGCACCATGTGTTGACACCTCCATTGTCAGGGTGGCCAGGAGACGTTACGATGCAAATATTCAATTTGAAGGCATTGTATGTTGGCAACAAAAACCCCTTTTTGCTGCCCTCCCCACAAAACTCCAAGAAAGTAGGCCACATATACACACATGCCTTGTCTGAGTGGGAGTTTTGTTGGGAAGCCAGAAAGAGACTGAGCTCCATGTCTGGGTCCCTGAGGTGGTCAGCTGGGACAATGAGATGGACAATGAAACTGATCTGCCAGCAGAGGCAGCAGGGACACCATCAGAGGGGCTCTGAGCCTCCAGGGAATTCTCACTCCTCCTGGGGATGGTTTTGTACTTGCCCGGAATGCAGACTGAGAACTTGAAGCAAATCTTATTTGGATTTTAAGAGGCTAAGAGATCATGGCTGACACCAAGGTCACGCATTAGTACATTTAAGTAGCTATTAAATGTCTTAACTCTCCTCTTAATTATAAATCTCTCCAAGGCAGAAATTGCATATTTATCTTAGTGTCTCCCAAGAACCCGAGAGCCAGGTCTGGAATGAATACATCTCTCCAGGTCCCTGAGATGGAGGGGTTGACCACACACTCGCCATACTTGATGCACTGTCCTCAGAACAGGCCTGCACGCCGGTACCTTGTCCCAGTGTCAGTCCAGAGAGAATGAACAAGCTGTTCGTTCAGCCAGCCTCACAGCATTTTCATACGTGTATCGCACTCAGTTCTTACAGCAAGCCAGGAAGGAGAGTATGTGGTAAAGCTCATTTACCTATGAAAAAATGGAATTTTAGGGAGGGGTCAGAATGTCTTCCAGGTACCCAGTTAGTAAATGAGGCAAATGGGACTTGAATTCAGACCATCAGAGAGCAAAGTGTCCTTTTGAGGCCACTCAGGCATGCAGGGTGGGTTTCTTCCCCCAAGAGTTATTCTTTCTATTAATAATATCATGCTGCTTTTTTTTTTAACTTTTATTTTAGGTTCAGGGATACATGTGCAGGTTTGTTATTTAGGTAAACTCGTGTCACGGGGGTTTGTTGTACGAATTATTTCGCCACCCAGGTACTAAGCCTGGTACCTAGTAGTTATTTTTTCTGATCCTCTTTCTTCTGCCATTCTCCACCCTCCTGTAGGTCCCAGTGTGTGTTGTTCCCCTCTATGTGTCATGTGTTCTCATCATTGAGCTCCTACTAAGTGAGAACATGCAATATTTGGTTTTCTATTCTTGCATTAGTTTGCTAAGGATAATGGCCTCCAGTTCCATCCATGTTCCTGCAAAGGACATGATCTCATTCTTTTTTATGACTGCATAGTATTCCATAGTGTATTGCAGAGAAAAGGGAATGCTTATACACGGTTGGTGGGAGTGTAAATTAGTTCAACCATTGTGGAAAACAGTGTGGTGAT
This sequence comes from Homo sapiens, assembly GCF_000001405.40. NCBI lineage: Eukaryota > Metazoa > Chordata > Mammalia > Primates > Hominidae > Homo > Homo sapiens. The sequence goes on from NC_000014.9 coordinate 89,082,486, forward strand.
TCTTCAAAGAGCTAAAAACAACTACCATTCAACCCAGCAATCCCATTACTGGGTATATACCCAAAGGAATAGAAATCGTGCTACCAATAAGCCACATGAATGCATATGTTCATTGCAGCACCATTTACAACAGCAAAGACATGGAATCAATCTAAATGCCCACCAGCATCACACTCTTTAATTACTTCCCAGTCTCAAGACACCCACGAAATGACTCCCTCCCCACCCCAATCTGTAACAAGGTTTAAGTCGATGACCAAGGCAGCCAACAGGGGTAGACAAAGAGCAGCCAAGTGGCACCTTCAGCAACTATAAGGGACCCTGGGCTGTGCCTCTATTAGAGCTCTGCTCTCCTCTCCCTTCCTCCCCCTCCCTCCTCCCTGTTTGCCAGCAGCTCACCCATCTCCTGGATTGGGGTTAGCAGGGCTGAGAAGGGTCTGACCAGTCCACAGACTTCTTAAGAGTGTGGCTGCCCTCAAAGTGACTCTGTTGGGGAGCACCCTGGGGACTCATTCATCCTTTCTTTGAATAAATGCTGTAGAACTAGAGAGATCCTGTGGCAGGCTCTGGGAGGGGGAAGCAGTGAACCTGACTCTGCCCTTCACCTGGAGGTGTTCCTAGTCTGGTGTGGGAGCTGCCTGAAGAGGGAAGGCTCTAATCCCAGTGAGCCCAGAGGGAAACTGACCTGGCTTTTGAGGTCTCAGGGAAAGTGTCATCTCAACCTATATTGGAGGTTGGCTGGAGCTGGTGGCAGTAAGGGTAAGAGCCCCACACACTTAGTGAACAAAGACCAGTTCAGCCTGGCTGCTTTCCAAGTGGGGGTGTGAGGGTGGAGAGCATGGCTGGTCTCACATAGCTGGCCTCACCCGGTCCACCTATGGCCAATGGGGTGCACATACCTTGGCTGGATGATAGCAGTTATTTCCTGCTGTGTTCTGAATATTTGTGTCCCAACAAAATTTGTATGTTGAAACCTAACCCCAAAAGAGTAGATATTTGAAGGTAGGGTCTTTGGGAGGTGATTAGGTCATGAGAGTGAAGCCCTTTTGACTGGGATTAGTGTCCTTATAAAAATCTCAAGAGAGCTTGCTTCTGCCATGTGAGGACACAGTGAAAAGATGGCCATCTATGAAGAGAGTGCTCACCAGATGCCAAAAGTGCCCTGGTCTGAGAATTCACAACTTCCAGAATGGTGACAAATACATTTCTGTTGTTTCTGAGCGACCCAGACCGTGGTATTTTGTTATAGCAGTCTGAATTAGTAGTGACTAAGACACTTCCCATAGCACAGTGCTTTGGGGCATACGTTTCTCTCTCCTCCTCCTGCTCTGGCCATGTAGGACGTGCCTGCTTCCCCTTCACCTTCTACCATGATTGTAAGTTTCCTGATGCCTCCCTGGCCATGCTTCCTGTACAGCCTGTGGAATCATGAGCCAATTAAACCTCTTTTCCTTATAAATTACCCAGTTTCAGATATTTCTTTATAACAATGTGAGAATGGCCTAATACACCTTTAATCTCCATTAGCCTCCCTTCAGTTTGGCATCCCAAGGTTCGACTGAAAGTTAGAAATATAAACCTCTTCCCCCAGGAAAGATTTCAGGCACTGCCAGGCCTGAAACATTCATTTTCTACTTTCTGCTTTTGATGGATCAGGAGCCCAAGAAGCTGGCCCAGACCACTCTGAAAATGGAGTGGTGTCCTGGATCTTGACTGAGTGCAGGAGGAAGCACAGAAGGACCTTCCCCTGGTTGTAAATACCTGGCTGTGGAGCTTTGGACAGGGCAGTGAGCCCCTGGGTTCAGTGTCATCCTTTTATAAAATGAGGAAAAATGTGTGGCTGTCAGGTGGGCCACGTGCTAGGGAGAGAGCAGGCACCAAGGCAAGGCCCTGCCTTCATAGACCAGATTGAGATGCAGAGGAAACCAGTGGCCCCTCTGCTTGGTGACCATGTTGTATTAGTTTTCTAGGGCTGACACAACAAGGCACCACAGCCTGGGTGACTCAAACAACAGACACTTATTAATTCACAGTTCTGGAGGCTGAAAGTCCAAGATCAAGGTGTTGGCAGGGTTGCTTCCTTCTAAGGGCTGTGCGGGAGAATCTGTTGCAGGTCTTTCTCCCAGCTGCTGGTGGTTTGCCGGCCATCTTTAGTTTTCCTTGGTTTGTAGAAGCATTGCCCTGACCTCTGCCTTCATCTCACATGTGTTCTCTCTGTGTGCTGTCCATATCCACATTTCCCCTTTTTAATCAGGACACCAGTCATATTGGCTTAGAGGCTCACCCTATTCCAGAATAACCTCATCTTAGCTAATTACTCTACGAGAACCCTATTGCTAAATAAGGTCATATTCTGAGACACTGGGAGTGAGGATTTCAATGTAGGAATTTAGGGGAATGCAATTCAACCCATAACCCATGTGAGATCAAGAAAGGTCAAGATCATCTACCTTTCTTACCTTAGTTTCTGTGCTTCTGAAACCAGGGATAATCAAGAAGGATAAACGGGACCATACATGTGAGGGTCCCTAGAACATCATAGATGCCAGCATAGAGGAGGAGCTCAACAAATGCTGATTCCTTCCATCAGTGACTCGGCAGAGATGCCCAAAGTCCCAGTCCTCGTTCCTTTACTCATGGCCTTGGCTCACTCTCCTCCTCCCTCTCGCCCAGGAAAGCTGACAAACTGATTATGCTAAAACTTAAGCATTGAATCTATTCTCCAAAAGGACGCTTGCTGTTGAAGTCTGTTTGGGGGCATCATTTTTATACTCCCAAAACCATGACACGTTTGTGACCTGCAAAGCCCAGCCCCGCCATGAAGATAAAGAATGTGACAGCTGCACCGAGGGTGACCGCTTTTCAAGCACTGCTCAGGACCATCGGCACAGCTCAGTGTGAATAACTGCAACCTCCTTTCTCCCTCTCTCTCCCCCACTCGTCGGCTTCGATTCACAGGCTGTGTAATTCAAGTCATTAATTTTTTCCATTCAGTGCACTGCCAATTTCTTCTCATTTTGTTCCTGGAAATCTCTTGTGTGCGTCTTCTAAATTTAAAATAAATACACTGTACATAATTGGATGCTAACCAGACAACACTGAGCAATCATACTTTCTCATTGATTCTGCAGATGTATTCGTCTCCAACACGGAATAGGAAAGGTCTCTGCGTGTTCTGGATGAAATGGTAAATGGAACAAGTTGTCCTCACATTCTTCAATATCAGTATTGGCCTTTAGAATATTTCCCCAGTTATGATCTTACTTGAAATGAACAATGAAAGGTTCTTGCACCAAAAATAGACATCCAAATTATTCTAGCTGCTACCATTGCGTGCTCACAGGGTTGAGTGGAAAGAGTGTAAGTGCAGGCCTCAAGAGACAGGAGATGTGGCTGCAGACGTTCCACGAAGAGGGCGGGTCATGGCAAGGAAGCACTTATTTACACTGGAGATTTCAGTATTCTCAGCTATGCAATTAAGAGCTTGGCCCAGATCCTTTTCTTCCCCCAAAGCACAGGATGCATTCTTGAGATATACTCAAGATGATTTTAGAAGTACAGAACTATGACATAAAATAGCATCGGATCTTGTGGAAGAGACAGAAAAACACCCCCCAAAGAATCCATTTGCTCACCCGCATTTCCTAGCCCTCTTGTTTGTATTAGGTGAGGCCATATGACTAGCTCTGACCAATGAAATGTGTACAGAAATTATGTGTGCCACTTCCAGTCTCAGATAGTGGGAAGCCTGTGCACCGTTCTCCAAACTCTCTCTTCCTCACACATGGTGGCAGAGAGTGCCTTGCATTACAGATTACCCAGTTCTAAGATGGTGGAGCCTTCGTCAGCTTAGCCTGCCGAGTGACTGGGCAGAGAAGACTCCCCACCAACCTGTGTAAAACACATAACGTGAGTTAGTTAGAAATAAACATTTAATGTGTTAAGACACCGAGATTTTTAAACATAGAGTATAATCCAGACCTGACTGAGTTTCTCATATTGAAAAAGTCCTTTCTTTAAAAATTCTACCTACTTCTGATTTCATCAAGGAGAAAGTCTCTGTTGGTGATAGTACATCTTTAACACTTCTTTCTTTTCTTTTCTTTTCTTTTTCGACAGGGTCTCACTCTGTCACCCAGGCTGGAGTGCAGTTGCGTGATCACAGCTTACTGCAGCCTCAACCTTCCGGGCTCATCTAGATGATCCTCCCACCTCGGACTCTCAAGTAGCCGGGACTACAGGCATGCACCACCATGCCCAGCCAATTTTTTTGTATTTTTTGTGGAGATGAGGTTTTGTCATGTTGGCCAGGCTGGCCTTGAACTCCTGGACTCAGGCGATCTGTCTGCCTTGGCTCGGCCTCCCAAAGTGCTGAGATTACAGGCATGAGCCACCGTCCCTGGCCCTTTTATTCTTATAATCTCACTTTTTAACTAAAAGAGAGCAGACTGGGCTCAGCATTTTTCAGCAGGCAGTAATACCCAGTATATTAGTTTGTTAAGTCTACCATAACAAAATACAACAGACTGGCTCGTTTAAACAACAAAAATTTATTTTCTCTTGGCTCTGGAGGCTAGAAGTCTGAGATCAAGGTGTCAGCAGGTGCTTTCTGAGTCATCTCTCCTTGGCTTGCAGATGGCCGCCTTCTCTCTGTGTCCTCACAGGGTCTTTCCTCTGTGCACGTGCATGTCTAGCCTCTCTCTCCTCTCTCTCTCTTTCTCCCTCTCTGCCCTAATCTCCTTTTCCTATAAGGAAACCAGTCATACTGCATTAGGGCCCACCCACCCTATTTGAACATAATTACCTCTTTAAAGCCCCTACATCCAAATACGGTCACATTCTGAGGTTTGGGGCTTTGGGACTTCAACATATGAATTTTGAAGGAACATAATTCAGCCCATGACACCCAGCTGGAGTTTTAGGACATTGTCTTTCACTTGTTTTTGGAGGGGTAGATGTTGCTTTCTATTAATGCAAGCCATGCCAGATTTCCATTTATAATTTTGATGCAAATTTTTCATAAATATACATGTATTTAAATAGTAGGAAGCTTGATTTAAAGTAAAACGTAAGAATTAACAGTATACCAAAAATTGTGAAGGGAGATGCAAATGGCTGAATTTGGGGAAACATTGCCTGGATGATTTATAAAGCCCGTCCCAATTCTTAGTTTCTTTCTTACACTATTTTAATTTTATTGCTTATGCATCCATTTAACTGAGTGCCTGCTATGGTTTGAATATGTCCCTCAAAGTTTCTGTGTTGGAAAATTAAATGTCATTGCAACAGTATTCAGAAGTGGGACCTTTAAGAGGTGATTAATGGATTAATGCCATTATGGAGGGAATAGGTTAGTTATCTCTGGAGTGAGTTCCTGATAAAAGGATGAGTTTGGCCTGATTTTCTCTATGTCTCCCATATTCACTCTTCCACCACATTATGATGAAGCAAGAAGGTCCTCACCAGATGCTGACATCATCTTTGTGGATTTCCCAACCTCCAAAACTGTAAGAAATACATTTCTTTTCTTTATAAATTACCTGGTCTGTGGTATTCTGTTACAGCAACAGAAAATGGACAAAGAGGGTGCATACTAAGTTTCATGTTAGTGTTGGACATTAGAGTGATCATAGAGTCAAGTGAATAATACCATCAGACCAAAGAAAGAAATAATTCAATTCTGCCTGGGAGAATCAGAAAAGGCTTCCCAGAGGTGGTGACGAGCAGTGTATTTTGGACTTTTCAGCCACACAAAAACATGGTCTCCTCATTCTTAACTCAATATTTCCTGAATTTTGAATGTGTACAAAACACTGTGACGATGCACCAAGAAGACACTGTGACTTTAAGAGGAGAGAAGAGGCTAATTAGTAGCAGAGAAGACCAGACATAAAATTCATGACTTGCATGTAGGGTTGTACTTCTTCCAGAGATGATTTTAAACATGTTTGGTTTTTTTCCCCTTGATTAGGAACTTTACATTTTCCTAGAATCTAGTTGTCTGATGTGAAATACATATTGGAAAAATTCAGGCATAATTGTGAAAACATATTTCTTAATCAAATGTAACCACAGGAGGAAAAATATTTCATTGAATAAACTCCTCTGAGGAGAGAGAGTTTGTTTTTGGAGTAATTCATTAAATGTTTTAGCCATCGGTCCCTGTCTTGGTCATTCAGCAAAGTACAAATATTTTTGGAGCTCCTACTAGACGCAGGAACTGTTCCAGATGCTGCAGATACTGTGGGGAGTAAGGCCAACAAGATTCTCTCTCCTGGGGCTTATACTCTGGCAGGGAAATTGACAATAAGCAAACAAATAGATGAGAGAGGATCAGATAGAAATAAGCACTCCAACTGAATGAAAATAAGGTGACGAGATAGGGATGATGGGAGAGCATGCCTTGGACTAGGGGAGTTGGGAAAACCTCTCTAAGAGGCTGATCTTAAGATGAGATCTAAGTGACAAGAAGCAGCCAGTGGGAAGAATATTACAGATCAGGGAAGAGTTGGACATGGGCCTCAAGGTAAGGAGGAGTATGTGAATTTCAGAAACAGAAAGTGGGCCTGATTCTGCAGCCTGGTGGGCAGAGGAGACTGGCAGGAGGCAAGGTCAAGGTCAAGAAGGAAGGTCAGGGTGAGATCACGCCTAGAACCTCGTAGGCCATGGAGAGGAACTGGGATTTGCTCAGGTGCGAGGAGAGCCACTGGAAGTTTCTGAACAGGAAATGGCATGATCTTGTTCAGCATAACATCTGCCTGTGTGAACACAGAGGCTAAAGAGTCCAACTGCCCAGCTCCAAAGCTTAACATCCCCACCTACCAGCAGCGAGACAACCTCTCCAAGTTCAATTTCTGTACCTTGGGGTCAAACCCAGCTCACAAGATGAGAGACAATGTTGTACAATTTCTCCACAGCAGGAGTTGTCAAATTTTTTTCTGTAAAGGATCTGTTGTGGGTTGAGTTGTAGCCCTCTAAAATTCTTATGTTGAAGTCCTAGCCCTCAGTACCTCAGAATATGACCTAATTTGGGAATAGGGTCAAGGTACATATAACTTGTTAAAATGAGGTCATTCTGGAGTAAGGAGGGCCCCTAAGCCTATATGACTGGTGTCCTGATAAAAGGAGAAATTTGGACAGAGACAGCACACAGGGAAAACGTCATGTGAAGATGAAGGTAGAGGTCAGGGCCATACTTCTGTAAGCCAAGGAATGCCAAAGATTACCAGGAAACCACCAGCAGCTGGGACAGAGGCTTGACACAGGTTGTCCCTCACAGCCCTCAGAAGGAAGCAACCCTGTTGACACCTTGATCTTGGACTTCCAGCCTCCAGAACTGTGAGAAGATAAATTTCTGTTATTTAAGCCACTCAGTCTGTGAGACTTTGTTAGGACAGTCCTAGCAAACTAATGCAGTGCTTCCCTAGTAAATATTTTAGGCTTTGCAGGCCAGATGATCTCTGTCATACTACTCAACTCTGCCATTTTAGCACAAAAGCAGATATAGATAATACAAACAAAGGAATGCAACTGTGTTCTAATAAAGCTATTTATAAATATAGGCAGTGGGCAGGCTGGATTTGGCCTGTGGGTTGCAGTTTGATAACCCCTGTCCTACAAAAATGTCTACCTCATTTTGCCCACCAAAGGCTGGGGCTGTTGGGTAAGTTCACTTTTTTTTTTTTTCGTGGAGACTTTGCCTCTGTTTGCAGTTTGGTAATAATAGTAAGAACTAATATTTACAGAGTAATTAATTTGTACCTGGCTCTATGGTAAGTGCTTTATGTGAATTTCCTTACTTAATACTCCCAACAACCTAATGGCATAGGAATTACTGTTTCCAACTCCATTTTACAGATGAGCAAATTGAACACAAGTGAGTTAATTGAGTTGCCTAAAATCCCACAGCAGGATTCAACCCCAGCAGCCCCACCATTACTCTAGCAAAACACACATAGAAGTGACTTTCCACTGCCTCCAAAAAAAAAACAACAACAAAAAAATCATTTTCTGGCTTTCTCTTTCCTCTCATACTCGTCTCCTAGCCTTTGGCATTTTTTTCTTTTTCCAGCATAAAAGTGTGTTTAAGTCATTTCCCCTCCAATTAAAATGTGCAATCCTTTCCTCCCTAGGGAGCAGTCAGCTACTGCAGATGATTTTGGAAAAATTGTTCATTTGTCTTATTTCTATATGTTGGAGCAATTATTCCTTTTTTCTTATGATCATTCTTTTAAAAACAATACCATAACTTTAATAGTCCCGTCAGTATTGTTACTTTTGCACGGATGATGGGCTGATAGAGCCATATGAATAAACTGGTACATGGAAACTCTGAGGTTTGATAAGAGCAGTTGATGAGCTGTGAACAGTGGTCAAGTGTTGCTGTTTCGTTTCTTCAGCCTCATTTATTCACCTGTTTCTCTTCATTCCTACTGGTGCCATCCTAGACCAGGCCTCTTTATTTCATGGCTGGATTGTTGCAAGTTTGTCCCTATGTCCCTGAGCTATTTTCTTTCTCATTTTTTCCTGTGTGCTATATCAGATTCATCTTCCTAAAATATCTCTTCAGTCATATCACTGTCCTTCTAGAGAACTTCTAATGGCTCCCCACTGCCTCCCAAATCAGGCTCCTCCATGGGACCCCCACCCTCACAAACATGGCCTTTTAGATTTATGTGAGTGAGTGTGGTATTTCTTTCAAGCCAAATGTGTTTTGAGTTGCAACAGAGCATCTCTGATTTGTGTAAAACATTTCTCATGCCAAAAATGTCAGCATCACCCATAAGAATTCATGAACTTAGAGAAGCAAACAAAATTAAGGGCATATAAAAGCAATCCATTCCACCAAATTCACCAATCGGTTGTGATATGCGGCATCCACACGAACATCCTTCCTACCAGATGGCGAGAAAGAAAATTGAACCCAAAGTTCAATCCACACAAAGGAAATATTCCACCCAGTTAGAAGGCTGGCTATGTCCATGTGTGAGCCAAGAAATCACTGAATCCATTTTTGAAATATATGTCCTATTAATCAGGATAACACAGCTGCCATAACAAATAGGTCTCCAGATTTCAGCAGCTTGACATGTTAGTTTATTTCTTGCCCACATAGCAATGAATGGGTGTTCCAAGGCAGGCATTTTTGGTTGGTGGACAGCTTTCCTCCACGTGGTCGTTCAGGGTTCCGGCCCTCTTCCCTTTCTGGCTCCACAAGAAGAACTCATTGTTGTCAGTTTCATCTTCTGATGGAAGGGAAAAGGGTCTGTGTGGAGCAGGCACACCTGCTTCTTAACAAACCTATCCCGGAAATAATACCCATGACTGGGGCTTGATTCTATTGGCAAGAACAATGGCACCTGGACATAAGGGGGTCTGGGAAATGAGTCCCTGGTTGGACAGCCACTTCTCAACAACAGCCTCATACTATGGGAGGGGGACTGCAGATTGAGGTGGACAGCTAGGTGTTCCAGCTATATAGACAGGCTGTTAATATCAAGTTCAATGGTAACTTGATCCTCAGACTAAATATAACTTGTCCAAGTTATGACAGGCAGGCAAAACCTGAAAAATAAAAACAAAGCTATTATTCCTAAAAATTACTTTTTATTACATGATTTTACCTGGTTAACTCCTATTCATTCTCCAGATCTCAGCCCAATCATGACATTCTCAGTGGAGCCTTTCCAGATATTTCTGCCTAAGCTGCATTTCTGTTTTCTATACACTTCTAGCCCCACAGACTCTCCATCTGTAACACAACATGGGTGCAGTTTTACATTTGTGTGTGTGATGATTACATGAAAGCCTGTCTCCCTCATTAGACTCTATGTTTCATGAGGGCAGGTATATAAATTGTTTTTCTGACGACCTTATTCCCAATGTCTAGCACAGGAGCAGGCACACAGTAGGTTCTCACCACATAATTATTGATTGAATAAATTAAATAACATTTGTTCATTGTAGAAAAACGGAAATACAAATACACACACAAAAATGAACATTTAAAATCATCTATAAGCTCTTACATGGGTCAGCTATTGCTGAGCTAATGCTGTGTAACAAACGTCCCCCCAAATCTTGATGACGTGCAACAACAATGTTTATTTCTCACTCAGAGTTTTGTGAGTTGGCTGTGGTGGCTTGGCTTTGGGCTTCAGGTCTGGTCCAGACCTGACATAAATCTTTTGCCATGACCTAGGCTAAAAGATCAGTAACTACCTGGGGTGAATTCTTCTCATGGTGCTGGGCGGTAGTGCAAATGATCAAGCCAATCCACACACACAGTTAAAATCTCTATTTGGGTTTGGTGTATGTTTTCACTGTCCATATTCAATTGGCCAAAAGCAACATGGCCTTGGGAGACAAAAGAAGGACCAATGGAAAGGGGTGGAAGAAAACAGGGCAATCTATTGTGTTCCCATCCTGACTTAGTGCTCCATATGTTTAAATATTGTGTGTGTGTCTGTATACATAGATATATTTTTAATGTTAATCATACTGTCTTCTAACCTTCTAAAGGCAGAATATTTAAAGGTAGAGAGATCCTGAGGAGGGGACACAACGGGGGGCATTGTCAATATATGAGCTCAAGTGTATACAGAGTATTTTATTAATTCCTGCAGTGACTTACAAAAAACAAACCTGCAAAAAAATCTTTCAATCTAAACTGTGTTCGAACTATGCCCTGGCTTTATTTATAGCTCCTTTTAAAAAACAAATGAATCATGACTCATTAATAAGTGCAGCAGGAATAACAAAACTGGGACTTACTTCTTGTGTTCAAATATTGCCATGGCTGAACAATTCTAGAAAACATACACGTATGCAAAAGCATTTCATCACTGCTCAGGCTGGTTCTGGTGCTTAACAATTCTCAGAGACTAGAAGTCCTTTCATCTCTCAGCACTTTAAGTCTTTTTCAGTAGACACAGAAAACAACAGGCCATCCCTTATGAACATTTCCTTCGAATCACCTTTATGTACCTCATGAGTGACAGGAGCTGATTTCTCCTATAGACCAACAATAACCAAGTACTTAAAAGTCACTCTCTCTTGCTCTCTCTCTCTCTTTGCTCTCTCTCTGCAAGCTTTTGGTGTATTCAAATACAATTGATGCCTTAAATCCTGACTTATTAAATAAGAAGGGAGAGGTTTACTGTGATCTTATGTGGAAGCTGCTCAGATGTCAGGGTGAAATGTGAATGAGAAAATCAAGGAGAAAAGACATTTTAAGTGGCTCTTGGTGCATTCATATTTGAAGGGGGAAAATGTACTTGTTCAAACATTTATGTTGCTGTATTTCCATTTCTACCAAAGGCAATAAATACAAGTAGATTCTTCCACCCTAAGATGTCCTCACATTATTTTTGACATATTTTTTCTGTCTTGAACTAAAAAGAATTGAAATTGAAATAAAGCTGAAAAAATGAAATAAAAAGAATAACGTATTTCTAATTAAAATGAATACAAAACAAGACTCAAGGCTGAAACTGATGACTGGAACTAGAACTTAAGGATTTCAAGCAACCAAGAGCCATCCTGGGTGGTCCAGCCTCTCCCCCGTAGACATGTGCAGGACAGCACCTGGCCCCATGCTCGCCCTCAGTCCCTGCTCCATAAACTTTAGCCTCCTTCCCTCAGAGGAGGAACTGGGATTCGGGTGGCACAATTCTGTCTTGAGACATCAGCCAGCAAAATGATGTTGTAAAGCCAGTAAAACAATCACCCATCTTCCCAGACTCTCCTTAGGTCTATTTGCTTGGAATCTGGCATTTTCATTTTTCCTGCTTGACAAAGTTCCCCTCTCACCTTCTTTCCCAGGACTCTTCTGTTTCTGCTGCGCTTGCTTACCCCTTGCATTTGACCACCCACCCACGCAGGTAGCCTGGTTGTTTTGGGGATATGCCACCCAGTTAATCCAAAAAGCCAGCAGTTTTGAAAAAGAGGCCCCTCCTCCGGGGCCTTGACTCCTCTCTCACTGCTGCTAATTCCATTAACTGAGAAAAGGCAACACCTGGAAAACCAAGGCGGGGTGTGGTCAATATCAGAGCACGCAGTGGGCTGGACAGGGGCTGGAAACCAGCTCTTAGAAAGTGGTATGGTTTGGATCTATGTCCCCACCCAAATCTCATGCTGAATTGTAATCTGCAGTGCTGGAGGTGGGGCCTGGTGGGAAGTGATTGGATCATGGGTGTGGTTTCTCATGGTTTAACACTCTCTCCCTTGGTGCTGTTGCAGTGATTGTGAGTTCTCATAAGATCTGGTTGTTTAAAAGTGTGTGGCACCAACTCTCCCTCTCTCTCTTCTTCCTGCTCTGGCCATGTGAAGTGCCAGCTCCTCCTTCACCTTCTGCCATGATTGTAAGTTTCCTGAGGCCACCTCAAAAGCCAAGCAGATACCGGCACCGGGTTTCCTATGCAGCCTGCGGAACTGTGAGCCAAATAAATGTCTTTTCTTTATAAATTACCGAGTCTCAGGGTATTTCTTTCTTTATATTAGGTTGGTACGGAAGTAGTTGCGGTTTTTGCCATCACTTTTAATAGAATTGTGAGAAGAGATTAATACAGAAATTGTGCCCTGTTTCTGCTTGAGCAGTGTTTTGTTTCTTTCTTTCTGCATAACACACCACCCCAACATTTAGCAGCTTAAAACCATAACACTCATGTTTAGCTCTCTCCATTCTGGGGATTGACCAGGCAGCTCTTCTGCTGGTTGTGTTTATAATCTCTTATGTGTTTGTAGCCAGATGGCAGCTGGGTGTGGGGTCATCTGGGGGCTCAGCACTGAAACGCTGGGAGCCCCTCCTTCTCTATAGAGTGTTGAGTCCTCTCCTTCCTGCTAGGCCTCTCCAGCAGGATAGCTGGACTTTCTACCTGGCATTCAGGGTTCCCAAAAAGTAGAAAGGAGAACTGCCTGTAGGGTCTGAATGTTTGTGACCCAAACTTATTTTGAAACCTAATCCCCAATGTGACAGTACTAGGAGACATGGTCCTTGGCAGATGATTAGGGCTAAGTGCGGGACCCTCATGCATGTGATTAGTGTCTTTGTAAAAGAGGCCAGAGGGAGCTTCTCTGTAGTTTCCAGCATGTGAGGACACAGCAAGAAGGTGTCATCTAGGAACTGGAAAGCTCCCACCAGACACCAAATCTGCTGGTGCCTTGATCTTGGATACTGAACCCCCATAACTATGAGTGATACATTTCTATTGTTTAAAAGCCACCCAGTTCATAGCATTTTGTTGTAGCATCTGGAACTAAGACACTGCCAGACCCACTGAAGTCTCAGGCTCAGTGTCAGCAATGGTGCACTGCTACTTTCGCTTGGCTAACGCCATGCCAGGGCCAGTCGGGAGAGGGTGAATAAACTCCGTTTCTTTTTTTATGAGATGGAGTCTCACTCTGTCGCCCAGGCTGGAATGCAGCGGCACCATCTCGACTCACTGCAGCCTCCACCTCCCGGGTTCAAACAATTCTCATGCCTCAGCCTCCTGAGTAGCTGGGATTACAGGTGAGTGCCATCACGCCCAGCTAATTTTTATATTTTTAGTAGAGATGGAGTTTCACCATGTTGGCCAGGCTGGTCTTGAACTCCTGGCCTCAAGTAATCTGCCTGCTTTGGCCTCCCAAAGTGTTGGGATTACAGGCATGAGCCGCCACGCCGGGCCTAAACTCCACCTCTTGATGGAGCAGTGGGAAGAGAGAGACAGATTAATAATTTCTGGCCGTCTGATTTGGAAGGACTTGTTTTCGATGCTCTTCTGCAGTGGATTTCACCTCGTCCTGGTCCTTTGTGCTTGAGCACATTTTTCTTGGGTTGCATTCTTATTCTTGGCTTTGGTATTCTTCTGTATGTCATGTCACTGAGTCCTTGGCCTGGTAACTGGCTTCACTGTTCCATGCTTTCAGTTCATTTGCTGCCATTTCTTTTCCTTGGACGATGGCACAACATGTGCATGGTGTGCATGTGTGTGCTTGCATGTCTATATGTGCACACATGTGTATGCATGTGTGTACATATGTATGTAGGTAGTCACTGGGGAACAAAACAAATGATACAATAAATCAGGAAAGAAACGATTAGAGTGCTAGGCGACATTTAGTCTCATCTGACACTGAAAATTCTGGGACTGCAAGCAGTTTTCAGAGTTAATGTTTATTAGATCCAAAGAAAACATAAACAAAGTGAGAGATATTGGAGCATTTTTAGTCAGTAATTACTACGTCCTACTGGTTTCAGGGATTGCTTTGAGTGGAGAACATATTGCAAAAGGAAATTCCCATCTCACTACCCTTTTCTTCAAGCCTATTAAGCTAATGATTTTATTTTAACAATGCCTTTCCGCACAGCCAGTCTGCCTTGGGTATAGACTGCCAGGCATGGTTACTAGACACCCAGAGACTCAAGCAATTTTAGCAAATTCTATTTTTAAATTCTCTTGTATAGTCTCCAGGGCAGGGAGGTGGCTAACATCAGCTCCATAGATTCCAGAATCTTCTGCTCCCACTAGTCTGAGTCTTGATTTCCTTCAGGTGCCTCTGGAAGTTGCTGCCCAGGACTTCCATCTCTGAGAGCTGGATACCAAGGGGGAGCTGTCCTTCAAGGGGGGAAGAGGGCACTCCTAACCCGAGGTGGGACCCTCAGGGAGCTGCGCCAACGTGGGCAGAGTCCCGGGTGCTGACAAGTGGCCCTGCTTCTCTTTTCCTGGCAGCTGATGGGCTATTTGCCCCCATGCCCTTGCCAGCTCGGCTTGTGGCCACAGACACACGTGTGTCAGGTTTCTGAGTATAAAGGTTCCACCCGAGCCAGGTGAAGGCTGATGCCCTCGGGCAAAATTTCAAAGTAGTCGAGCTTATTTATTGGTGGAATCATCTCCCTTTGGGGAGTCATTTTTCCTCTGAACCTTCTCTCCCAGCACCCCACTTGTTACTCTCAAACTCTCCACCTGGCCCACCCTCACTTTCTAAGCCTTTCCTTTTAGTATGAGGTTGCACGGCTCTCAAATGCTCCCTGGTCCATTCCATTACAGCCCCCACCCCATTCCTCTTCCACCCTAAGGCTTTGCTTGCGATTCCTACTTCCATTTGAATCTGCAGCTGGGGTTCAAGGCAATGACAGGTGATTGGCATGTTAAACAGCTCCAGGGGCAGACATAGAGGGTGAAAATTCCAAAGGGGTCAACCTGGGTGGGAAGGAAGGATGATCCCCCTCTGCTCCCCTACCTAGGACAGCCCACCTGGTAGCTACTAAGGAAACAGTAACCATCATTCTAATGGAGGTAATTACCCCAATCAGCCCCATCTCAGCAAAATGTAGAGAGAAATTCCCCTTAGGAGGAAGCCAGATCTGTCTTCTCTCAGTCCCCTGGACTTACAATCAAGAAGAAATCATACAGATACATTCCTATAACTTATTTCTTACAGAATTTGAACTCTCCACTCTGCCTTGCTCCCACCCACAAAGAAGGTGTCTGTCAGGGCAGCTGCTAGTCCAGAAGGTTATCTTTCTTCCAGCTAGAAGTGTGAGCTTTTCTTTTGGGCAGACTCAGCCCCATGCCCAGGTGCACGATTGGATCTTAGTGCCCCCTCCTCCCCTGAAGTGTCTGTCCGCTTCCGAGAATATTCTCCCCAGCTGAAATCACACAGCTCCAGTCTGATTGTCATGTGGTTTAAATACAAGTTTATCATTTTTGTCTACATCAGATGTCATTTCAGAGAGGACTTGAAGCAATTTACAAAAATACACAACATCAAATTGAAAAATTACACATAAGTAAAAATCAGATTCAAGGAAAATGTAAATAAAGTGATTTTTTTTTTTGAACAAGGGAAAGTCAGAATTCAGATATACAGTCTGGAGAAGTGGTTCTCAGCCACAATTGCATATTGGAATTACTCGGGGATTTTTTGAAATGGACATCTGGGTCCCAGCCCTCAGAGATTCTGACTTAGATGGGGTGTGGCCTGGGCATTGGGATTTTAAAAAGCTAAGTGATTCTAACTTGCAGCCAAGGATGAGAAACACTGGCCTAAGTGGAGCCTGCTGTTATTACAATGAAAATACAGATTTAATTGTGAACTTCCCAGCAGGGAAAGCAAAAAGGGAAACGTGGTCAGTTTCATAATACACATTGTCCCAAAGATGGGAAAACTTTCTCTTCCTCTGAAATCTACAGGAAATCCCTGAAACATTTTCTGGACAGTTGTGTGTGCATGCACATATTTCTTGGGTCATTTATATGCATTTGTATATCCCTTTTTATGTAAATGGACTCATACTATATTTGCTCTTCTGCAACTTCCTTTTTCCTCTTTTTAAAAAAATTATACTTTTAAGTTCTGGGATACCTGTGCAGAACGTGCAGGTTTGTTACATAGGTATACACGTGCCATGGTGGTTTGCTGTGCCCATCAACCCATCATCTACATTAGGTATTTCTCCTAATGCTATCCCTTCCCTAGCCACCCACCCCTCAACAGGCCCCCATGTGTGATGTTCCCCTCCCTGTATCCATGTGTTCTCATTGTTCAACTCCCACTTATGAGTGAGAACATGCGGTGTTTGGTTTTCTGTTTGTGTGTTAGTTTCTGAGAATCATCCATGTCCCTGCAAAGGACATAAACTCATCCTTTTTTATGGCTGCATAGTATTCTATGGTGTATATGTGCCACATTTTCTTTATCCAGTCTATCATTGATGGGCATTTGGGTTGGTTCCAAGTCTTTGCTATTGTGAACAGTGCTGCAATAAACATATGTGTTCATGTGTCTTTACAGTAGAATGATTTATAATCCTTTGGGTATATACCCACTAATGGGATTGCTGGGTCAAATGGTATTTCTAGTTCTAGATCCTTGAAGAATGGCCACACTGTCTTCCACAATGGTTGAACTCATTTACACTCCCACCAACAGTGTAAAAGCGTTGCTATTTCTCCACATCCTACCCAGCATCTGTCGTTTCCTGATTTTTTAATGATTGCCATTCTAACTGGTGTGAGATGGTATCTCATCGTGGTTTTGATTTGTATTTCTCTAATGACCAGTGATGATGAGCTTTTTTTCATATGTTTCTTGGCTGCATAAATTTCTTTTGAGAAGTGTCTGTTCATATCCTTCACCCACTTTTTGATGGGATTGTTTGTTTGTTCTTCTTGTAAATTTGTTTAAGTTCTTTGTAGTTTCTGAATATTACCCTTTGTCAGATGGATAGATTGCAAAAATGTTCTCCCATTCTGTAGGTTGCCTGTTCACTCTGATCATAGTTTCTTTTGCTATGCAGAAGCTTTTTAGTTTAATTAGATCACATTTGTCAATTTTGGCTTTTGTTGCCATTGCTTTTGGTGTTTTAGTCATGAAGTCTTTGCCCATGCCTATGTCCTGAATGGTATTGCCTAGGTTTTCTTCTAGAGTTTTTATGGTTTTAGGTCTTACATTTAAGTCTTTAATCCATCTTGAGTTAATTTTTGTATAAGGTGTAAGGATGGGGTCCAGTTTCAGTTTTCTGCATATGGCTAGCCAGTTTTCCCAACATCATTTATTAAATAAGGAATCCTTTCCCCATTGCTTGTTTTTGTCAGGTTTGTCAAAGATCAGATGGTTGCAGATGTGTGGCGTTATTTCTGAGGCCTCTGTTCTGTTCCATTGGTCTATATCTCTGTTTTGGTAGCAGTGCCATGCTGTTTTGGTTACTGTAGCCTTGCAGTATAGTTTGAAGTCAGGTAGCGTGATGCCTCCAGCTTTGTTCTTTTTGCTTAGGGTTGTCTTGGCTATATGAGCGCTTTTTGGTTCCATATGAAATTTAAAGTAATTTGTTCTAATTCTGTGAAGAAAGTCAATGGTAGCTTGATGGGGATAGCATTGAATCTATAAATTACTTTGGGCAGTATGGCCATTTTCATCATATTGATTCTTCCTATCTATGAGCATGGAATGTTTTTTCATTTTTTTGTGTCCTCTCTTATTTCCTTGAGCAGTGGTTTGCAGTTCTCCTTGAAGAGGTCCTTCGTGTCCCTTGTAAGTTGTATTCGTAGGTATTTTATCCTCTTCATAGCAATTGTGAATGGGAATTCACTCATGATTTGGCTCTCTGTTTATCTATTATTGGTGTATAGGAATGCTTGTGATTTTTGCACATTGATTTTGTATCCTGAGACTTTGCTGAAGTTGCTTATCAGCTTAAGGAGATTTAGGCTGAGGTGATGGGGTTTTCTAAATATGCAATCATGTTATCTGCAAACAGGGACAATTTGACTTCCTCTCTTCCTATTTGAATACCCTTTATTTCTTTCTCTTGCCTGATTGCCCTGGCCAGAATTTCCAATAACATGTTGAATAGGAGTGGTGACAGAGGGCATCTTTGTATTGTGCTGGTTTTCAAAGAGAATGCTTCCAGCTTTTGCCCATTCAGTATGATATTGGCTGTGAGTTTGTCATAAATAGCTCTTATTATTTTGAGATACATTCCATCAATATCTAGTTTATTGAGTGTTTTTAGCACGAAAGGGTGTTGGATTTATTGAAGGCCTTTTCTGCATCTATTGAGATAATCATGTGGTTTTTGTCTTTGGTTCTGTTTACATGCTGGGTTACGTTTATTGATTTGTATATGTTGAACCAGCCTTGCATCCCAGGGATGAAGCCCACTTGATCATGGTGGGTAAGCTTTGTGATGTGCTGCTGGGTTCGGTTTGCCAGTATTTTATTGAGGATTTTTGCATCAATCTTCATCAGGGATATTGGCCTGAAATTTTATTTTCTTTTTTTGCTGTGTCTCTGCCAGGTTTTGGTATCAGGATGATGCTGGCCTCATAAAATGAGTTAGGGAAGAGTGCCTCTTTTCTATTGTTTGGAATAGTTTCAGAAGGAGAATGGTACCAGTTCCTCTTTGTACCTCTCGGAGAATTCAGCTGTGAATCTGTCTGGCCCTGGACTTTTTTTGGTTGCTAGGCTATTAATTGCTGCCTCAATTTCAGAACTTGTTATTGGTCTATTCAGGGATTCGACTTCTTCCTGGTTTAGTCTTGGGCGAGTGTATGTGTCCAAGAATTTATTTCTTCTAGATTTTCTAGTTTATTTGCATAGAGGTGTTTATAGTATTCTCTGAAGGTAGTTTGTACTTCTGTGGGATCAGTGGTGTTATCCTCTTTATCTTTTTTTATTGTATCTATTTTATTCTTCTCTCTTTTCTTCTCTATTAGTCTGGCCAGTGGTCTATCTATTTTGTTAATCTTTTCAAAACACCAGCCCCCCAGATTCATTTTTTTTTGGAAGGGTTTTTCACATCTCTATCTCCTTCAGTTCTGCTCTGATCTTAGTTATTTCTTGTCTTCGGTTAGCTTTTGAATTTGTTTGCTCTTGCTTCCCTAGTTCTTTTAATTGTGATGTTAGGATGTCGATTTTAGATCTTTCCCACTTTCTCCTGTGGGCATTTAATGCTAAAAATTTCTTTCAAAACACTGCTTTAGCTGTGTCCCAGAGATTCCAGTATCTTGTGTCTTTGTTTTCATTGGTTTCAAAGAACTTATTTATTTCTGCCTTAATTTCATTATTTACCCAGTAGTCATTCAGGAGCAGGTTGTTCAGTTTCCATGTAGTTGTGCGGTTTTGAGTGAGTTTCTTAATCCTGAGTTCTAATTTGATTGCCCTGCAGTCAGACAGACTGTTTGTTATGATTTCCATTCTTTTGCATTTGCTGAGGAGTGTTTTACTTCCAATTATGTGGTCAATTTTAGAATAAGTGTGATGTGGCGCTGAGAAGAATGCATATTCTGTTGATTTTGGGTGGAGAGTTCTGTTGATTTTGGGTGGAGAGTTCTGTAGATGTCTATTAAGTCTGCTTGGTCCAGAGCTGAGTTCAAGTCCTGAATATCCTTGTTAATTTTCTGTCTCGTTGATCTGTCTATATCAACAGTGGGTGTTAAAGTCTCCCACTATTATTGTGTGGGAGTCTAAGTCTCTTTGTAGGTCTCTAAGAACTTGGTTTATGAATCTGGGTGCTCCTATATTGGGTGCATATATATTTAGAATAGTTAGTTCTTCTTGTTGCATTGATCCCTTTACCATTATGTAATGCCCTTCTTTGTCTTTTTTTATCTTTGTTGGTTTTAAAGTCTGTTTTATCAGAGACGAGGATTGCAACCCCTGCTTTTTTTTTTTTTTTTTTTTTTGCCTTCCATTTGCTTGGTAAATATTCCTCCATCCCTTTATTTTGAGCCTATGTGTGTCTTTGCACATGAGATGGGTCTCCTGAATACAGCACACCAATGGGTCTTGACTCTATCCAATTTGCCAGGCTGTGTCTTTTAATTGGGGCATTTAGCCCATTCACACTTAAGGTTAATATTGTTATGTGTGAATTTGCTCCTGTCATTATGATGCTAACTGGTTATTTTGCCCGTTAGTTGATGCAGTTTCTTCATAATATCAAGGGTCTTTACAATTTGGTATGTTTTTGCAGTGGCTGGTACTGGTTTTTCCTTTCCATATTTAGTGCTTTCTTCAGGAGCTCTTGTAAGACAGTCCTGGTGGTGACAAAATCTCTCAGCATTTGCTTGTCTGTAAAGGATTTTATTTCTCCTTAGCTTATAAAGCTTAGTTTGGCTGGATATGAAATTCTGGGTTAAAAATTCTGTTCTTTAAGAACGTTGAATATTGATCCCCACTCTCTTCTGGCTTGTAGGATTTCTACACAAAGATCTGCTGTTAGTCTGATGGGCTTCCTTTTGTGGGTAACCTGACCTTTTTCTCCAGCTGCCCTTAACATTTTTTCCTTCATTTCAACCTTGGTGAATCTTACGATTATGTGTCTTGGGGTTGCTCTTCTCGAGGAGTATCTTTGTGGTGTTCTCTGTATTTCCTGAATTTGAATGTTGGCCTGTCTTGCTAGGTTGGGAAAGTTCTCTTGGATAATATCCTGAAGAGTGTTTTCTAACTTGGTTCCATTCTCCCCATCACTTTCAGGTACACCAATCCAACATGGGTTTGGTCTTTTCACATAGTCCCATGTTTCTTGGAGGGTTTGTTTGTTCCTTTTCATTCTTTTTTCTCTAATCTTGTCTTCACACTTTATTTCATTAAGTTGATCTTCAATCTCTGATATCCTTTCTTCCACTTGATCAATTTGGCTATTGATACTTGTGTATGCTTCATGAAGTTCTTGTGCTGTGTTTTTCAGCTCCATCAGGTCATTTATGTTCTTCTCTAAACTGGTTATTCCAGTTAGCAATTTCTCTAACCTTTTTTCAAGGTTCTTAGCTTCCTTGCATTGGGTTAGAACAGGCTCCTTTAGCTCAGAGGAGCTTGTTATTACCCACCTTCTGAAGACTACTTCTGTCAATTCATCAAACTCATTCTCCGTCCAGTTTTGTTCCCTTGCTGGCAAGGAGTTGTGATCCTTTGGAGGAGAAGAGGCATTCTGGTTTTTGGAATTTTCAGCGTTTTTGCACTAGTTTTTCCTCATCTTCGTGGATGTATCTATCTTTGGTCTTTGATGTTGGTGACCTTTGGATGGGGTTTCTGTGTGGACGTCCTTTTTGTTGATGTTGATGCTATTCCTTTCTGTTTGTTAGTTTTCCTTCTAACAGTCAAGCCTCTCTGTTGCAGGTCTGCTGGAGTTTGCTGGAGGTCCACTCCAGACCCTGTTTGCCTGGGTATCACCAGCAGAGGCTGCAGAACAGCAAAGATTGCTGCCTGTTTATTCCTCTGGAAGCTTCGTCCCAGAGGGGCACCCACCAGATGCCAGGCGGAGCTCTCCTGTATGAGGTGTCTGTCAACCCCTGCTTGGAGGTGTCTCCCTATCAGGTGGCACAGGGATCAGCGACCCACTTGAGGAGGCAGTCTGTCCCTTAGCAGAGTTCAAGTGCTGTGCTGGGAGATCTGCTGCTCTCTTCAGAGCCGGCAGGCAGGAATGTTTAAGTCTGCTGAAACTGTGCCCACAGCCGCCCCTTCCCTCAGCTGCTCTGTTCCAAGGAAGACAGGAGTTTTATGTATGAGCCCCTGACTGGGGCTGCTGCCTTTCTTTCAGAGATGCCCTACCCAGAGAGGAGGACTCTAGAGAGGCAGTCTGGCTATAGCGGCTTTGCCGAGCTGTGGTGGACTCAGCCGAGTTCAAACTTCCCAGTGGCTTTGTTTACACTGTGAGGGGAAAACCGCCTACTCAAGCCTCAGTAATGGTGAATGCCCCTCCCCCCATCAAGCTCGAGTATCCCAGGTCAACTTCAGACTGCTGTGCAGGCAGAGAGAATTTCAAGCCAGTGGATCTTAGCTTGCTGAGCTCTGTGGGGTGGGATCTGCTGAGCTAGACCACTTGGCTCCCTGGCTTTAGCCCCCTTTCCAGGGGAGTGAACTGTTCTGTCTCACTGGCATTCCAGGCACCACTGGGGTATGAAAAAAAAAAACTCCTGCAGCTAGCTCGGTGACTGCCTGACCAGTTGCCCAGTTTTGTGCTTGAAACCCAGGGCCCTGGTGGCATAGGCACCTGAAGGAATCTCCTGGTATACAGGTTGTGAAGACCATGGGAAAAGCATAGTATCTGGGCCAGAATGCATTGTCCCTCAGGGCACATTCCCTCACGGCTTCCCTTGGCTAGGGGAGGGAGTTCCCTGACCCTTTGCACTTCCCAGGTGAGGCGATGCCCCACCCTGCTTTGGCTTGCCATCTGTGGGCTACACTTACTGTCTAACCAGTCCCAATGAGATGAGCTGGTACCTCAGTTGGAAATGCAGAAATCACCCGCCTTCTCCCTTGATCTTGCTGGGAGCTACAGGCTGGAGCTGTTCTTATTTGGCGATCTTGCCCACAGCTCCCTTGCTTTCCTCTTTACTAGCATGTTGTCACATACAGATTTTAAGAACACTTTTGGTAGATGTGATCCAAGAGTAACTCAGAAGAGCATCTGTGGCATCCATTCTTCCCTTTGGTAATTTTTAAGAAAAATAATGCTGCTGCTTCTCTCTTTGTAAATGGTGACGGCTTTCTCCACTACATCCTGTATTCTCTCTGCATTTTTGCCTTCTTGATAGCATTAGCAATTCTCAGAACAGATAATAACCTAGAAATCCAGGTTTGATTAGTAAGTGATATTTCTAAAAAGTGCTTGCAAACCTCCTTTTATGGACCAGGGATATTAACAGAAACTGTTTTACAGTTCTTCCTTTCCAGGGACAAAACTGATCTCATAATCTGTGACCATTATTCCAAAGTGAGAATCCATCAGGCTCTGCATGTGGCTGTGAGAATGAACTTCCTATCCAGAGTGAGATCCATTAGGGAAAGCCAGCCCCTCCATGGGGCAGATGATGTCAGGAAGTGGTGGCTGGGTATCATCATAGCCATCATTTTGCCTCGCTAAATAAGGCATCAAAAGGGGACAGAACACATCTCCCTTTGGGGGCAGTTGTCCTGGGTCCCTTATATGTGGGCAAACCCCTCTTCACTCATTCCTCTGGGACTGGGAGTGAGCGTGCTTGTGACAGCTGTCTAGATGAACCTCTAAGCCGAAAGGGTACAGACATTGTTAAATGTCACACAGCCTTGCCTTAAATGAAGACCAAATGTTGCCTCAAACAACCTCTGTGCCTGATAGCCTGAAACCTGTGTCTCATCATTTTTTAAAGAGTCTACATAGGCCTAGAACAGAAAATGGAGCTTTTCCTATTTTTCAGCAAGACTTTAAAAGCATCCCTATGACAAGGATGGAAAAGAAAAAGCTGACTGCTTCTCCGTGCTTGTAAGAAGGTAAACTCTGTAGGGGAGACATGGCATGTTTTGTTCAGCTGGCACATGTCAGTATGACTACGACAATTGGTAAAATGCTGAAATACTTCCAGACCAATTAACACTCACTGTGCTGAGCAAGGCCCCAGAAATCGCCAACCACTAACAGAGAGGGTAGTGACTGGCCCACTGGGGGCCGGCGGGACCTGTTCCAGCCCCTTGACTTATATCTGTTCTGGTTGGCTGTTGCTGGAACCCTCGTAACTATTGATATTCTGCAGACCGTCCCTATTGCAGCCCAAGCATCTGAAGCTGTGCCTGGCAGAGGCCCTGATATGGTTTGGCTGTGTCCCCACCCAAATCTCATCTTGAATTGTAGCTCCCATAATCCCCACATGTTGTGGGAGGGACCTGATAGGAGGTAATTGAATCATGGGGATGGTTACCCCCATGCTGCTGTTCTCATGATAGTGAGTTCTCATGAGATCTGATGGTTTTATAAGGGGTTCCCTCACTTTTTTTTTTAATTAGACAGAGTCTCACTCTGTTGCCAGGCTGGAGTGCAGTGGCGAGATCTCGACTCACCGCAACATCCACCTCCCAGGTTCAAGCAATTCCCCTGCCTTAGCCTCCCGAGCAGCTGGGACTACAAGAGTGCTCCACCTCACCTGGCTAATTTTTTGTATTTTAACAAAGATGGGGTTTCACCATATTGGCCAGGATGGTTTCGATCTCCTGACCTCGGGATCCACCCGCCTCAGCCTCCCAAAGTGCTGGGATTACAGGCATAGGCCACTGTGCCCGGCCGGTTTTCCCCTCCTTTGCTCGGCACTTCTTTCTTGCCTGCCATGATGTTAAGACGTGCCTTTGCTCCTCCTTTGCCTTCCACTATGATTGTGAGGCCTTCCCAGCCACGTGGAACTGTGAGTCCATTAAATCTCTTTTTCCTTTATAATTACCTAGTCTCAGGTATGTCTTTATTAGCAGTGTGAATGGACTAATACAGAACCCCCCCATATATATTTGCTGAGTGAGTGGATAAGGACACCCATATATTCCAGCCACCTTTTGGTAGGTGGTTTATAGGGGTAGGCACAGGCCCTGACTAAAGAACTGGCTGTTTTGCCAAGGAAGGGACCTGAGCTGAGAAGACTCATTTACTCTCGAAGACTTAAGACAACATCTCTCTTGGACCAGAGAATGCTGGTGAGTAGCCCAGGGACAAATCACCCCAGTGGGTGCTGGGCTCTGCCGATACTTGGTCTTGAGGCAGCTGGGCAGCACTCATGGGACTCCAAGTTGCCCCCACCCACATCCCCAAGCTGAGAGGCAGGACTGACAGTGCGCTCATAACTGCCAACAAACTGATATTAAAATCCCATCCGATTAGTTAAAGCTCACCCTGTGAGCTCTGATATTTTTCAGGAAATAGGAAGGATGTCTGCCCCCCTGCACACACCCCCCCTGCCCTTTTCTCTTAGTTTTCTTTTTTAATAACACATTCAGAAGTGGTTTAATGGCTGTTGAAGGAAATTATTGCCACAGCAATCAGGGCTCTCTGTGTGAAACACCTTCAATAGTCCGTGGCCTCCCTCATGAGGCAGGGGGACATTTGGATATTTAAAATGCCACTGAGCTACATCTGCCGGCAAGCAGCCACTAATCATCTCTTAAGGCAGCAGGGGACCTACCCCAGGTCCTCAACTCACCAATACCTTCCTTAGGCGTGTTGCAGCCAGATGGTGGTTTCCTAGGCAAGGACAGCAGAGAACGAGGAATAAAGAAGTAGAAAAGGATCTGGCAAGAGGCCAGCACAGAGCGAACCATTTGCTCATCCTCTCTGCTCCAGGTGAGAACAGACCTGCATGGCTCACATTCGTGAGGTCCAATTTTCAGTTAAGTGGTGCCTCAGAGGAAGCATGTGACCTTACTTGCAGTTACATCCAAAGACTATACATTTTTTTAAGTGCTCCTGTAAGTTGAGCAGCTTCTATATGCTGGGTTGGGAGGATGCAGTCATTGGCCTTCCTGGATTCTCCTTCCTGCTTCTCTATCCTCTTCTGAGCCTGGGACGCTGGCCTGCCTGGAAGGCCCCCTTATCCTCTGCCTTCCACTGGAGTTTGGCCAGCGGGAAGAAGCAGCCGGAGTTAGAAGGGTGGGAAGAGAGTAAAGTCAGGATGTTTATTCTCCAGTTCACACCCTGTAGAGATACCACCAGGGGTTGGCAGTGTACGTCCTGGCATCAACCTCCAATCCTATTGGACGATCCTCCCCGTCATGCTACTTATATGTAGCAAGCATTCTGGATTCTGACAACTGTTTTCTCCTTTGCCCTTCAGGCTAACAGCTATAACAGCTACCCCCACTCCCCCGCCCATACACACCATTGCCAGCCAGGTACTATGCTATGTCTTGTGAGTCTCCCCATCCTTGCTGCGCCTTTGTACGTGGTCTCCTAATTTCTCTCTCCTCCAATCACCCAGTTTGAATGTGCCATCTGTTCCTTGCTGGGCCCTGGCTGCCACCCAGCTGCATGCGGGTCTTTCTGTACCTTCTTGGAGACCTTCATACCACTCCTGCAATGTCATCATAACAGTCTCCCTTTACAGAGAAGACACCACGTGACTTGCCCAAAGGCACTCAGCTCAGCTGGAATTTGTGACTCTAGGCATCAGAAGCATGTCAGTCTAATTTCCAAGTGTAGGCCCTGCTCCCTGCCCCCCTAGGATCTCTTAGACCTCACAGGGGTCCCCATATCCTTATTTCAATCTTCTCTCAGCACCAGCTGTTTTATGAACTAAACTTTGCTTACCAGCCTTTGGATCAAAGCACTTCGACACCTTTGATTTCCTTTGAGCCTTGGAACATGAATTTACTTGGATCCAAATCATTCCCAACATACCAAGAACCTACAGATGAAAAGGAATCCAGCAAGGGACCCGTTGGCAGAGGATCGGTGGCCTTGTGTCATCCTTCAGTGTATGGCACACCATGGGCACCCAGGAATGTCCTGGGGAGGCGTGGCATTGTCCCAGCAAGTAGAACCAACATGTGTACAGCTTGGGCTATAGCAGGGGTCATTCTGCCTGGTTCAAAAGTCCACTCTTCCTTTTAATACATGGCATGACCCATTTATATTAGGGTAAAGCATACCTCCTGGAGAAAGCAATCTTAAGATACAGTGAAGAATATGGTTTTTCATTTCTTTTTCTCAGATGTAAGCATCTGATTTGAACATTCCAGGTTGGCAGATCACTATGCCCCATGTGGCCATCAGGAACCCTTTCAGCTTGTCTCTGCATGTCCAGGAGCAGTGCTGCTTAAGTGTGGATTATAGGCAAGTACTAGTCCATCAAACTTCTTGGTAAAAGTCCACCATGAATTGAGTCGCGACATGGATAACACACTTTCAGAAACTTTTACCTCGATTTGACATTGCCATGACATCCAGGCACATGACCAATGGACTCGTCTCATTGAACAAGTTGTAGACCAAAAGTTGGTCCATGATAGATGGGAATTGGAGTTGGGTGGAAATCACATTCTTCAACACAGGTAGTTTCAGGAGTCCTGCTTTAGAGTCTACTATTCTATCTGGTAATTTCTGTAGCCAGCAAGAAAGAGAAAAAGAGCATGGAAGAACCACACTCTGTGTCTGTTGTTGTTGTTGTTGTTGTTGTTGTTGTTGTTGTTGTAGAGTAGCTGTTCCATTTTTATAGCATGAGAACAGTACAATCTACTACTTGTTCTGCAGTAACTCGTTTCAGTGATTGAGAATTTCTGTGATATGCAGAGATGGCCTATATTTGGTCTCATTATCCACTTGAGTCTAACATGATCTCTGCCCAAAGTTCCATTTCTTGGGCTTTGATATTTATTACTAAGTGCATATGTTGCTTGCTTTTCACCTTGTCTTATGCTTTCTGAGCAGGTTCAAACCTCAGAAAGAAAAGGTGAGGCTAAAAGCTCAAAGTGAGTAAGTGTCAGAACCACAAGGAAGCCCACCACTCCACAGTAGATGATCAAGACCACGTCCTCAGGTGGTAGGTGGCACTTGGAGAGGGCATAGTCTGTGGGTGTGATGCTACCCATAATGAAACTGGGGTTGTTTCTGTTCCTCCAACTGAAAGATGAGAGGCTGAGCTCGGGGATTCATCCCCCGTGGTGCACCTCGCAGGTGCTGTGCGTGTGGCCGCTGAGGACCAGGTGTGGCTGGAGTCAACACAGCAGCTTTTGCGATGCCTCCCGAGAAAGCACATCATAATTCTCCTTAATGGGGTGTTCTTTTCCTCCGGAGGAGCAACATCTTCCCCAGAACAGTTAGTGTCGCTTCTCCAATACAGAGGATAACGCTCTTGGGAGCAGTTCAGTCTGTAAGAAACTTCAGTGAGCTCTGCTTCTGCTTCAGAACAGATGCCACAGCTGTCCCCCTTCAGTGCCATGCTGTTGACCATCATGAAGTTAATCCTTTCCAAGAAAACAGGCTTTCAGAGATGAACACTTTCTCAAACCGTTCTACTTCGTATGTGTTCGTCTCATAGTGGAAGCCAGTGTCATGGTTTCCAGCAACTACCTTCAGCTGCACATGACTTGGGTGTCTGAACATTTTCCGAAACTGCTCCACATCATCCACCCAGGCCTCAGAGGTGCTCCACTTCCCTTCATCAAAGACATCCTCCAGGATGAAGACGACTTCCGGCTGCAGCAACCACAGAGCTGTCTGGAAGGCTCTCTCCACCTGCCATTCCCTTCGTAATTTGTCCAGCCAGTGACCTAGGAATTCCCTAAGCAAGTGGGTGTCAGCCAAAAACATGGCTTTGAGCACAGGCTCACACGTGGCCTGTTCACCATCATAGGCTGCGGTTTTCGCTTCAGGCCAATTACACCAAAAGATCACTAAGTAATAGATTAAAAATTCACAAAACAGAAGCACAGAGAAGACAATGAATTTCAACAGCAATCAACTCTTCCTCTTCAACGGATGAAAACTCTGTCTTCCAAACCTCAATCCACTCATAGCCATTTCTCAAGCAACTAACAAATCCATCAAGGGTTCACCATGAGAAAACTGCAGAGCCCTGGGTAGGGTGATGGCATTCAGATCTTAGCTGGGTACCTGTAATTTTTCAGGAAAATCACCGATTCACCTCACCTTTTAAAGAGAGAGAGATTGGTATGAAAGTAGTTAACTTCTGCTCCCCCAAGTCAGAATGCGTTTGTAACAGCCACGCTTTCCCGCCCTGTGAGCAACGCCAGGCAGGTGGTGAGAGGTGACAGCGTGCTGGCAGTCCCCACAGCCCTCGCTCGCTCTCGGCGCCTCCTCTGCCTGGGCTCCCACTTTGGCGGCACTTGAGGAGCCCTTCAGCCCACCGCTGCACTGTGGGAGCCCCTTTCTGGGCTGGGCAAGGCCGGAGCCCACTCCCTCAGCTTGCAGGGAGGTGTGGAGGGAGAGGCGCGAGCGGGAACCGGGGCTGCGTGCGGCGCTTGCGAGCCAGCTGGAGTTCCGGGTGGGCGTGGGCTTGGCGGGCCCCGCACTCGGAACAGCCGGCCGGCCCTGCCGGCCCCGGGCAATGAGGGACTTAGCACCCGGGCCAGCGGCTGCGGAGGGTGTACTGGGTCTCCCAGCAGTGCCAGCCCACCGGCGCTGCGCTCGATTTCTCACCGGGCCTTAGCTGCCTTCCCGCAGGGCAGGGCTCGGGACCTGCAGCCCACCTTGCCTGAGCCTCCCACCCCCTCCATGGACTCCTGTGCGGCCGGAGCCTCCCCAGCGAGTGCCACTCCCTGCTCCACGGCGCCCAGTCCCATTGACCATCCAAGGGCTGAGGAGTGCGAGCGCACAGCACGGGACTGGCAGGCAGCTCCACCTGCAGCCCCCGTGCAGAATCCACTGGGTGAAGCCAGCTGGGCTCCTGAGTCTGGTGGGGACGTGGAGAACCTTTATGTCTAGCTCAGGGATTGTAAATACACCAATTGGCACTCTGTATCTAGCTCAAGGTTTGTAAACACATCAATCAGCACCCTGTGTCTAGCTCAGGGTTTATGAATGCACCAGTGGACACTCTGTATCTAGCAGCTCTAGTGGGGCCTTGGAGAACCTTTATGTCTAGCTCAGGGATTGTAAATGCACCGATCAGCGCCCTGTCAAAACAGACCACTGGGCTCTACCAATCAGCAGGACGTGGGTGGGGCCAGATAAGAGAATAAAAGCAGGCTGCCCGAGCCAGCAGTGGCAACCTGCTCGGGTCCCCTTGCACACTGTGGAAGCTTTGTTCTGTTGCTCTTTGCAATAAATCTTGCTACTGCTCACTCTTTGGGTCCACATTGCTTTTATGAGCTGTAACACTCACCGCGAAGGTCTGCAGCTTCACTCCTGAAGCCAGCGAGACCACGAGCCCAAAGGGAGGAACGAACAACTCCAGACGCTCCACTTTAAGAGCTGTAACACTCACCGTGAAGGTCTGTAGCTTCACTCGTGAGCTGGCGAGACCATGAACCCACCAGAAGGAAGAAACTCCGAAAACATCCGAACATCAGAAGGAACAAACTCCAGACGCGCCACCTTAAGAGCTGTAACACTTACCGGGAGGATCCGCGGCTTCATTCTTGAAGTCAGTGAGACCAAGAACCCACCAATTCCAGACACAGTGGGGCGCACTGGGCATGGTACAGGAGCCCTTTCACCTGCGCCTGCCGACGGTTGCAGCAGCCGAGGGGCCCGGGCACTGCAGCCTGAGCCCGGCCGTGCACCCACCACACTCTGTGTCTTAAGATGTCATCTTGGGGATGGTTCATCCTCCTCTCACCATATGCAAGTGAGAGCTTTTCAATATGGCCCCTGCCCCTAACACAAGGAACGTTGGGAAACCTGGTCCTCCACTGTTCAGCGTGCATCCGCCACTGAACCCTCACCATGGACGATGAGAAGAATGGATTTTGGTGAATGACTACTATTTTTTTTTAATCACGTCACCCTTCCTTATCACCCATTCTTGAATACAGCCCACTCAAAATGAAAGCCACCATTTCTACCAAAAACAGTGATCAGCAGTCTTTCCTGTACACTCTCAACTCTCAGTTGGAACACACAGGAGTAGGAAAATGCTGGACCAGCATCCAAGACCTGCTTACTATTCCTACCTCTGTAGCAAAATGACTCTGTGACCTGGAGGACACTGTTTTATCTCTGTGCTTCAGTTTCCTCCCTTGACAATCAGGGATCATAATATTTATCAAGTAAAATCATTGTTGGCCATGTACACCATACGTTAATAGTGATAGCTAACATTTATTGAGTGTTTGCTATGTGCCAGGTGCTGTTCTAAGTATGTTGCATGTATTAATCCATTTAACCTTCACACCAACACTATAAGAAGGGTTCTATTATTGTCTTCATTCTACAGCTGAAAAAAAGTGAGGTACAGAGCAAGTAAGGAACTCACCCAGGGTCACCAGAGTCCAAGTTCATAATCACTGCCATCCTGCTTCCTTAATAGAGAGGTAAAGGGTTTTCAGAGTATTTTATCCTGTTTTCCTTGAATTTCCTGAACTTCCACTTTAGTTTATGGGCCATCTGGTCTGTCTCGCTGTGAGATGAAGAATTCTTTCTAGGAAGGGACCATTGATTTTCCGTCCTCATACCCCCAACCACAACCTATCCAACCTGGTGCTTTCATGTAAGAGTTTAGTGAATGTGTGTGGATGAATCTCGGTAAATACAGCAATGCAATTTTTATTGAATTCATGATGCCATCATGGAAATGGCATAAATTTGCCATCACCACACCTGGATTCAATCCCGCTTCTCCTGGATCCTAGCTGTGCTAGACTGGGCAAATTACTTATCCACCTAACCTCATGAAGCATTCTTTTTCTCCCCATTAAAATGGATGTAATATAGAGAAAAAGTTTAGTTCTTAAAGCCCAGGTTTCCTGTGGCAACTTCTGCCACTTATGGAATCATTCATAACACTGAGGAATACATCACTAATGCACACCTTCCCCAGCAGAGATTGGTGTGGCTGGAACAAGGGAAGGACCAAAGTGCAAAGCCATGCTGGCTCCTCTGTGCTGTTCAAAAGAGGGACTTGGAGAGAATGTGCCCCTGATGAGCAGACATGCTAATGAGCTTCCAGGTAAGCCTAGAGGTGAGTAGGGCTGGAGAACTCACATTTTTATTCTGCAAAAGTGACTAGGAATCAAATGGGAGAGAGGAGATGAAAAGATGGGAAAGAAAGGGGACCCAGAAAAATGCAGGGTGAGAGCTTAGCTGGGAGGAGAAAGGCCACACAGGTGAGAGTCCTCTTGTTGGAAATGGCCTACTAAATGCCAACAGAGGGATGCATGATGTTCAGTTTCTTTTCTTGCTTTATGGTGAAGCATCCCCATTCAACATTCTAAACCTTAAGTATAGTCTTCTACATACAAATGCTTTGAGTTAATAATATGTGTTGTGTGGTGGTGGGGTAGGGGAGGGGGCACTCCATATCTGGGTGATATGATCAGAAACGGACTGCAACATGGTAGGAACAGCAAGAGAATTTGCAAGAAGTCAGAGGAGCTTGAAGCCAGAGATCAGTGGGAAAACATAAGCTCCCACCCCCCACATGTCTCCTGAGAGATTAGAGGAAACGTGGCTGGCTGTGATAGCACACACAGCAGCATTGGAATCAACTTAATTTGTTTGTTTGTTTGTTTGTTTGTTTGTTTGTTTTTGAGACAGAGTCTCGCTCTGTCACCCAGGCTGGAGTGCAGTGGCATGATTTCAGCTCACTGCAACCTTCGCCTCCCAAGTTTGTGTGATTCTCGTGTCTCAGCCACCGAGTAGCTGGGATTACACGCACGCACCACCATGCCTGGCTAATTTTTGTATTTTTGGTAGAGACGGGGTTTCACCATGTTGGCCAGGCTGGTCATGAATTCCTTACCTCAAGTGATCTGCCCACCTAAGCCTCCCAAAGTGCTGGGATTACAGGCCTGAATCAATTTAATTTAAATCTCCAAGGGCAGGGGACCTCTGCTGGCATCTAGGCTACAAAGGTATACTAATATCCAAGAGTCATTTCTAAAAATGTAAGCAGCCTGTATGGCATGGCCACCAACGTAAGAATGAGATGCCAGCCTATATACCATCATGGTAATGTGATAAACATCAGCGCTGCCAATACCTACCTCCTAGAGCTGCAAAAATTGTAAAAATACAATGACATACATAAAAACTCAACAATGTAAAATCCAGCACATATAGGTCCTAAATAAACACCAGTACTCTCTCTTCTTCAGGTAGGAAAGGGCCAACAGGATCCAAAGATCTGGGGGAGATGGAGTGGGAGACAGAAAAATGGAATTTGGGAAGGAGTTCAGAGTTCTGCCATCCTCCATCCCTGCCAACCCAGGTGCATTTTAGAGGCAGAGGGAAAGGGAGGACCCCCCCCCTCCTAAGGGGAGACAAGAGCCAGCCTGGGCCTCCAGCATGACACAGAGAGCAAACGGATGCTGGGGTGGTATGCTCCACCTGTGAACTTAGTGTCAAGAGGTGGGACTTCTGAGGTCTAAAGATTTATTTAGAAAAAAATCCAAAATAGTTTAGGCAAAAAGGAGGATTTACAGACTCCCAGAAATTGAAAATGCCAAGGGATGTAAAGTTTTCAGGCTCAGTAGGATTCAGGAGGTCAAACCACAACACACATACCTTGGCTCCTCTGTCCTCTATTTTGACTTTATCCTCAGGTTCCATGTGGTGACAAAATGGCTGCCCATCACCCAGCCCATATCTCTCATGGTTCATGTCACTGGCCCATCCCTGAACCATCACTGTGGCCAAGGAAACTAAATACACTGGTTAACCTTGGCCATTGTCTTGTGCTTACATGCTCTCTGGCTTCATGTCATCCTATTCTCCCTCTCGCCTACTCTGTCTCAGCTACATGGGCCTCCTTCTTGTTCCTCAAACAGCCCAGGCATGCTTCACTTCAGGGCCTTGGCCCTTGCTCTTCCCTCTGCCCAGAGCATCTTCCCTCAGAGGTCTGTGTGGCTCCTTCCCATTTCTCCTTTGGATCTCTGCACAAATGTCACCTTCCCAACGAGGACCCCTGGATTTGAACTCACACTGATACCACCTGCTGCACACACTCACATATTCCCTATTCCTGTCTCCTGTCTTATTTTTCTCTAGAGCAGATTCCATCATCAGACTGTAACTAAACAAATAAGTAAAATAGGCAGTGTGTTAGTCTCCCTCCACCCCACACTGGTAGAAAATAAATTCCATGAGGCCAAGGACTTTTGTCTATCTTGTTCACCACTCTATTCCCAGAACCTAGAATAATGCCTGGCACAGGCTGGGAGTGGTGGTGCACACGTGTAATCCCAACACATTTGAGAGGCCAAGGTAGCAGGATTCCTTGAGCCCAGGAGTTTGAGACCAGCTTAGGCAACATAGCAAGACCCTGTGTCTACAAAAAATAATAATAAAAGATTAGCGAGGCATGATGGTTTGTGCCTGTAGTCCCAGCTATTCAGGAGGCTGAAGTAGAAGGATCGCTTGAGCCCAGGAGGTCAAGTTTGCAGTAAGCTATGTTCACACCACCGCACTCCAGCCTGGGAGACAGAGCAAGACCCTGTCTCAAAACAATAATAATGTCTGGAACATAGAAGGTTATCAATAAATTGTTTAATAAATAAATAATAAGGTCACAAGCTCCAGATGTGGAATGTCGGTAGGGGCTGCACTCAAAAGCCAGGGATTGAGGTCAAGGAGATGCAATTGCCTGAGTAAATGCGGGGAGAGGTAGCTACCAGTGGGAGAGTGAATGGCAGCTTGGCCTCTGAAACAGATGTCCAATTTCCCTCCCTGTCCACAATCCACACACAAGCCATTCCCTGGCTTCCACCTCAGAGTCACAGCTGGAGCTTCCTAAAGCAATTCCCCCTCTGAATGCAGCACCTCAGAGTGCAGACCCAGCCTCTTTCCAATCCCATTCCCCAAGCTAGCACTGGGCGCCTGGCCCCACGTGGACAGGGACACTTCAGTCTTGCTCTATCCACCCCAATCCCTTTATTCCCCTCCCCTCCACCCCACTCCCCTTTGTGCCTTTTTACATGACAATCAATAGCAGCCGGGCTTTGGGGATATTATCGGAGCCCTGATTGCAACCTCTAACATTATAATTCACAGGGTTGCGGGGAGCATTAGTACATCCAGGATAAATTAATTCAGTGTAAGTAAGCGCTTTGAAGCCGGGCACATAGCTCGGCTTTCGAAGCTTAAGCCCTGTTTAGATTACTTGATTAAAGTGGGTTCAAAGCTTCGGCGATCAATATATTTTGCTTAAGAGCAGTGTTGCTACAGAAGCAGATTTAATTGCATCCTGGTGCCCTGCCTTGCAGATAGCTCTTTAGAATATAATGAGATATCAGAGAGCCAAAAATTGAGGGTGGGAGGGAGGGAAGAGGGACGGTCATTCAAGTCACCACCCTGGAAATGCAGGGGACACATATTTGGATGATGTGAGCATAAATAATCCCCCAAAATGAGAAGTTGGGGAAAACTAAAGATGGCAATCTCTGCTTATAAAATCTTGACACACAAGACACCAGAGGACAATCTCGGTTATCTGGCTGTTTTGAGGATGGATTCCTGGGTTGCGACTGGGGGAAACAATTAGTCCTCAATAATGTGACATTTTTAGGATTACAGGCTGGCACTTAATCAAAGTCAATGTGGTTAATGAGGGGGCTGACCGGACGGCCCCCACGAGGCAGGAGACAGGCGGCATCACTAATATCAGGACAGTCATCTGAGTCTGCAGCAGGAGCCTGGACTAGGAGTCCAGGATGGATGGGAAGAGAGGAAGTAACGTGTGTCACATGCCTACTGTGTGCTAGCTAGTGCTCTGGGAGTTTAACGCTTTTATTAGGTTGACGCAAAAGTGATGGCGGGTTTTTGCCATTACTTTTAATGGCAAAAACCATGATTACTTTTGCACCAACCTCATATTTTATTTAATTGTTAAAGTAATGCTATTAAATGAATACAACTGTGCCCATTTTCCAGGGGTGGGCTGGTTGGGAAGGGAGTAAAGGCAGGATTTGAACCCCTGTTTCCCTGATTCTCAAAGCCATACTCTGCATCAGTTCTGGTCTCCATTCAGCCACTACCTATCTGTGGGAACATCTGCAAGTCATTTAACCAACCTGGGCTATAGTTATCTCTATTGTAAAATGAGAGGGAGCCTAAGCCTCCTCTGACTCAAAATCTTTGGTCTAAAATAACTCTGGCCTGGGAGTCAAGACAGCCTGGGTTTCTGTCTTTGCAACATCAACCAGCCGTGTGATGGGATCATCGTTTCACCTCTCTGCTGCATTTACCCATTTACGATGCCAAGTCATGATGCTTACCTGGCCGTGTGGTAGCAGTCAATGAGATGTCAGATGAGGGAGGCCTCTGACAAGTTGTAAATATCACTCAAGTGAATCTACTTAAAATCTTTAAATCAGGTGGGCCACAAACTCATCTCCTTTAAAGGAGCAGAAAACTCTCTATGCCATCATGCCCTGACGTAGTACAAAGACCAGCTGACCACGTACATTAGTCTGTTCTCACGCTGCTAATAAAGACATATCCAAAACTGGGTAAGTTATAAAGGAAAGAAGTTTAATTGACTCACAGTTCTGCATAGCTGAGGAGGCCTCAGGAAACTTACAATCATGGCAGAAAGCACCTCTTCACAGGGCGGCAGGAGAGAGAATAAGTGCCCAGCGAAGGGAGAAGCCCCTTTTAAAAGCATCATATCTCGTGAGAACTAATTCACTACCACCAGAACAGGATAGGGGAAACCACCCCCGTGATTCAATTATCTCCACCTGGTCCCTCCCACGACACATGAGGATTATGGGAACTACAATTCAAAATGAGATTTAGGTGAGGACATGGCTAAACCATATCGCCATGGGAGAGGAGCCCTCCACCTACCGACAGCCACACTTTCCTCTATCCTTGCAGTTCTCTCTCCTCATGGGTTCCAAAAGTTTACCCCTCAATGCTGAATTCTCTGTATGAAATCCAGGTAGCCTCATGCCTTTTTCTTTCCAAGTCAAACCCGATTACCTTGGAGGACAGGGCTGGGGTGGGAGAAGGAAGTGAGGAGAAGTGGCCTCCTCAGCAAACATCCCATGGAGGCGGTCTGCATCTCAAACACATTCTTCCTTTCACAGCCTGAGGCAGCTGACAGAGCGTGGGGGCTCCGGAAGCCTCCCTCCCTTAAGTTTCCATGTAAAATATTTTTATTTATGTTATAACAACATGATACAGCACCATATGCCCGTGAATCAGACCCAGTATAGAGTCTGCAGATTTGCCTTCCATTGGAGCTGAGCTGAGAACAACAGACTTCAGAAAACTCAGAGGAGGACACATGCCCCAACTAGGGGGAAGCAGGAAAGGGACTGAGTGCTTTGTTTGTTGGCTCCTTGGGTAGGGGTGAAGGTGGGAAAGTGAACCAGTATCTCCTGAAACTCTCATTCAGAGTTTCAAGAACATTCGTATTGGCCATCAAATCCCCTTTCAGGCTTTGGGAAACTCACCACCTTTTTGAGTATTGGTGGGTGGTGTCATTGGCTCTCACTTTAAAAGCAGAAATTGCCAGACACTTGCTTTCCCAGCCTCCCTTGCAGCTAGGACATGGGCACATGAGAGAGGCTCCACCCATCAGATGTACTTAACCAGAGTTTGCATCCAGGGTTAGCAACATAAAGAAGCAGGAATGGTAGAAGATGCAGCAAGATGGAGTTATGGAGCAGGGGGCAGTGACAGTGGCCTGAAGCTAGGGGTGGCATCTGGTGCTGGTGGCAGTATTGTGTATGGTGCTCAGTAGTGGTGGAGGGAGTGTCCTGCAGGCCAGTTCTGCAGCACGATTGGGGCACTGCTCCTGTGTGCATGACCCCAGCCTGGTTCTCCAGGCACTCCAGCAATTCTGTGAGCTCTCTTTGAATGCATCCCTTTGGTTAAGTTTTCTGTGGCTTCCTCTTAGAAGCTCTTTGTAGATGCAGAACAGAAATCAGAAAGCTGGGGCAAAGTCCTGGCTCCACTGGGCCTTGGTGCAATGGGGCACTTGCGCTCTACAATTTTTGAGTCCTATCCTGCACTGACACACCATGGTGGGAGAGGAAACCTCCAGAACACGCACAGCATCCTCAGGCATGACACGCAGTCTCTTTAGTCAGACTGGAGTTTCAGTCCTCCTGCCTCTGCTACCCACTGTGTTCTTGGAGACTTACATCAGAAAGCCTCAGTTTCCTCCTCTAAGAGTAGAACCTAAGAATAGTACCCATCACATAGAGTGAGGTAAGGGCTAAATGCAATAATCCATGTAAGAGACTCAATAAATTCTAAATCTAAGTCAGCACAGGAATTGATTGACACAAAGATGTCCTGAGCACTCCTCCTAAAATGAATTCCTGCAAAACAGTTTAAGCTTTCATGCTTACTTAAAACAATAATAATACGCATGCCACTTACTTTGCTTTAAAATTACATTTTAAGGCTGTTAATAATTTTTCACATTTTAACTCTTTTGAGCTTTACTTTACAGCTACCCTGTCTTAGTCCATTCTAGCTGCTATAACAAAATACCATAGACTGGATAGCTTCTAAACTACAGGAATTTATTTCTCATGGCTCTGAAGGCTGGGAAGTACAAGACCAAAGTACCAGCAGGTTTGGTGTTTGGTGAGGGCTGGCTTCCTGGTTCATAGACAGCGTCTTCTCACTGTGTCCTTACATGGTAGAAGGAGCAAACAAGCTCTCAGAGGTTTTATTATTTTATAAGGGCACTAATCCCATTCCTAAGGGCTCTGCCCTCATGGCTTAATCACCTCCCAAATGCCCTTCCTTCTAATATCATCCCCTTGGGGATGAAGATTTTGACATATGAATTCTGGGGGGACATGAACATTCAAACCATAGCATAACCTACACAAAGAAAATATTCTTACCCCTGTCTTAGAGAGGTAAGAGCCAGGGCTTAGAAAAAATAAATAAATAAATAAATAAATAAATAAATAAATAAATAAATAAAAACTCACCCAAGGTCTATTAACTTGGAAGAGCAGGGCAGGATTAAAAACCAAGGTGTCTTTATGTGAATGTAGTTCCTAACTGTCCCTGAAGAGGTACGTGCCCCAAACAAGAAAATTATTTTTTGGCTCCAGTGGTTTGTGCCCTTGTAGTTTCCCAGAGTCCCTGGAATCTAGCCATGGCTGAGAGCAGTTCTGCCCCTGGACTTTCCAACCATGTGAACTTGAAGCTCCCTGTGTTCACTTTAGTTAGTTTGAGTTGGTTCTTCTCGCTTGCCACCCAGAGCTCCAACTGTTTCAGAAGCTTCACCCCTCATGTTGTTTGCTTTTATCTATTCCATTTGACAGCCATTCACTGAATTATTGTGATGTGCCAGGGACCATGTCAGGCCCTGGGGATGCAATGATGAATGGGGTACAGTCCCTGCCTTCAGAATGCAGCCACCCCATGAACTAGGCATTGCCAGATGCTCCCACTTCTGTTTTCTAGGCTAGGAAACCTAGGCTCAGAGAGATTGAAGGACTTCACTCAGGGTCATAGCTTTCTAGTGGCAGAGCCAAGAAAAGAACCCCAGCAGATAATTTTCTACAGAGAACATTACTTCACCATTGGAGTCCACAGCTGATGGATGAGGGCACAACTCAACCACAAGTCTCAGGGGTTGCTTCTATCCTTTGGAATCCAATAAAGACTGAAAGAATAAATAAGTTCCAGAAGGGCTTAGAGGAGCTCACATGAATGATGGAGCCAGAATGAGTTATTACAGGGCAAGTCAAAGAGGCTCACATCCCTAACCTTTAGAAATTGACTTCACCGAAGGCAGCTACTGTGTTCTTCCCATAAAGCATCTCTTGCTACTACTGTCAGAGACAGAACAAAGGGACAGACCAAACTCTATTCTGTGCTCGTTTAGTGGGTCTCATATTTCAAAGGTTTTGGTCTCTGCCTCCCTCAAGAAATAGGATCCAAGTGCCTCAGAACTTATAATCAGGAAACTGAATCCCTTGCAGGGTAAAAGCAATGGTAGGGGAGAAAGAGATTTGCTCCTGAGGTGAGTCAAATAAGCACAGAAATTCCCTACTTGGGCCCTTTCTTATAGCTCCAGAGGTAGTGCCTATAGTTCGAATGAGAACAAAGAAGGAGGTGGTCACAGCACAAAGCCACACATCACACTGCCTAGCCATCACCATGGCAACAGCAATGTCCCTGGGAAGCCGGGAAGAGGAAGCTGCTCCTGCCACCATTTTCTGCCTAACAATCTGAGTGGCAGCCTCTAGGTGATGGGGAAAACTGGGGACAGAGCTGGCCAAGTGTCCAGGCTCACTTCTGTCCAGAGGCACCCTTGTGTCCCTAAGTGCCACCTGACCTCCTCTGTTCCTTCTCCAAACCCTCTTGAACACTATTCCCTCAATAGCGGTCTCCTTTCTTCTCCCTCCCAGCAGCCAGTTAGTGACCTACTTTTCAAACTTAACATTTCCCAGAATATCTGAACTAAATGAAGCCTCAGGTGTCATCTATTTCTACTGCTCCCCCATGTCCTCCCCCATTTTTCAGAGGAGGACAGGAAAGCCAGGCACATCATGTGATTTGTCCTGTGTCTTTTCTAAGGAGCGCCATGACCAGAACACATTACTGTGACCCAGACGATCTGTAACCTACAGCACCTCATTTTCACTCCCCTAATAAAGACCCATGTGCCAGGTTGATCTTCCCTCCTTCTCCCACCAGGTCTCCTCAATGGCCAAAGTGGAGGAGCCGCAGCCAGAGACCTGCCCCCACCCCGCCAACATGTTCCCTGTGTTCCTCTCCACAAGTTTGCCATGGCAGTGGTTTTAGAAAAGAAGTCAGCTGAGGAGAGCCAGCTTGGATGACAGCACTGACTTACATTTCACAGTCTCTAAAAGAACTCCCTAAAAAGAAGGGCAGTGGTGGATATTTACATTGTAATGTATTAGAATCAGCTTTAAATGATTTCAAAATGTTAAAACTCTCCCTATATTCTCAGCCTTTTGAGAGAACAACTATTTCCATTTTTTCCATCCTTTTTTCATTATTCATAGAAGCCTCCATGAGCAAAGTGACGTAGCAGCCATGTGCCCAACTGATCTCGGTCACATGACGAGGTCTTCTCTGCAGAGGGACTCTAGGAATCCGTGCAACACAGACAGATGGGCCACACAGACCGCTTTCAAAATAAGGGTCCCTTCCTCACTTACCTTCTATGATGACGAACATCTGCCTGAGCCTGAGGCTGAGCCTGAGAGTGGCCGAGGTGCCTGGGACCAGTAGTTCGCAGCCTTGACTACACGTTCGAGTCACCTGGGCATTAGTATTTTTTAAAACTCCCTGGGTGCTTCCCATGTGTGCTAAGGTTGAGCCCACCGCTCTAGGGGTTAGAAATGGTTCCACCAATTTTCAGTTAGCAGGTGATAGGGAGGGGCCTGGGGGCCAACTCTTACTTCTTGGAAATCCCTTCTGCTCCCTACAACCCTTGCAGTGACTCGACCTACAGTGAGAATAATGCTTATGAATACAAACTGCTCAGTGGGAAGATTGCAATGTGACAGAAGTTTTTATTTGCTTTTTTGTATATTTTATTTCTTATAAAATAAAATACATGTATTAATATTATATAAAATACAACAAATTATAGAAATAAATATTTGGATTTTATTTTAAATTTTGTTTTTATTTTACCTTCTCTTTACAGGTACACCTACAAATAAGTCCCTATTTGTAAACTAATGAGGAAGTGAAACATGCTCTTAAGTTAGGGCTGAGCCAAAGGACTTGACAACACAACACTATGACACTAAAACCTCTTGAGGCCAGGGGTCTGAAGTACTGGGACAGGGTCCAGGAAATTCCATAAGGCAGAGAGACTGTAACGTCTGGCCTGGGGCATTGGTACCTTTCTCCTGCACTAGCCTTGAGGCTCCACCCTCTGCACCCTGGGGTCTGGCAGATTAAATCCTTAGACACCTTGATTCAGAGGATGAGTCTAGGCAGAAAGATCCAAGCTCATCATCCACATGGGAGAGGCTATCTCGTGGTGAAAGGAAAGTCATTTCTGAAATCCGACATCCCTCCAATTGTATATAACCTATTTTCTCCCTACCCTATAATTTACTTTTTAAAATTTTTATTTGTTGTTGAAGTGAAATTCACATAGCATAAAATGAATGATTTTAACGTGAACAATCTAGTGGCCTTCAGTACATTCACAATGTTGTGTGACCACCACCTCTATCAAGTTCCAAATACTTCTATCACCCAAGAGAAAACTATCCCAGTAAGCAGTTACTCCCCATTTCTTTCTCCCCCAACCTGTGGCAACCACCGACACACTTTCTGTCTCTATGAACTTATCTATTCTGGACATTTCATATAATTGGAATCATGTACCATGTGACCTATGCTTCTTTCATTTAGCATAATGTTTTTGAGGTCCATCCAGGTTGTAGCATGCATCAGTACTTCATTGCTTTCAATACCTGAATAATATTCAATTGCAAGGAAGTACCACAATTTGCTTATCCATTTGTCCACTGAGGGATGTTTGGGTTGTTTCCACCTTTTGGCTATTGGGAATAGTGCTGCTATGAACATGCATGTATATATGTTTGTTTAAGTATCAGTTTTCAATTCTTTTGTGTATATACCTAGGAGTGGAATTGCTAGGTTATATGGTAGTTTTATATTTACTTTTTGAAGAACAACTATACTCTTTCCCCAATCTACTTTTATGGAAGAAAATAACAGAAGCATAAAGAGGTTTTTCCATTCATGCGGAGCTGAGATTAGGAGTCTTGACTTCTTGTCTCCTCTTCTTCCTGCCCCCTACAAGCCCTGCTATTGAAAATGTTAACATCATGCTTGGTCCTGAAGTTTGTGTTGTTGGCTGAGGTTCCTGCATGTCCTCTGAATTATGATGCTCTCCACAGAACTGTTGCCTGAGAAGAGACAAGATTAGGTGAACTTCTACTGACTGGCAGTCCATAGGAAGTTTCCTCTCGTTTCCAAATCCCACATATCTGCACATTTTATTACTCACGTCTTTCTCCCAAAAGAGGAAGGTGGAGGAAAATGCTTGTAGCTGAAAGTTCTGGCACAATGTATGTTTGGCTGCTAGAGTCACAAAGATGAATCATGGTATACACACTTTGTCTGGAGGGAGACATAGACCTATTCATTCAACATTCAAGGAATAAGTATTGAGTATGCATTAGCTCATTTAATGCTCATACAAACCCTAGGAGGCTCAGTAATCGTATTATTCCCACTTAACAGATGAGAAAACGAGGCAAAGAGACTTATTAATTTGCCCAAGATCACATGGATGGTAAGTGGAGATGCTGGGATTGGAGCCCGGGCAGCCTTTTGATAGCTCATGTCCCTGGGTCAATGCTCTATGCTCCTTGGGATGAGGGCATCTAACTCAACACCACTCATTGCACAGTGAAAGGATCCTGTGACCACCATCAACCTACCTAGTTTCCCCCTCCCAACTGTCTGCCTTCTGCATTTGTCTAATACTAGCAAAACCCCAGCAAGGCAGCAAATGCTTATCCTGATGCACAACCAGCTCCCTGCTGGCCAGCCCTGAGGGATCCCATGCAGGCGACTGGAGACAGATGAGGCAGAACTGGGCCACCTGCAAGGATGTGTTCAGAGCCAGTCAGACTCTCCCCTCCCTCCTCTGCACAGTGGCCTTTCTTTCCAAGGCACCTGCTCCCTGCATCCTTGTCCTTTTCCTTCGGATGAGCCCCTTAGCCATCACTAGGCTGAGCATCCTTTACAATCCAAGAAAATCTTCTGGTGAAATGCTGTTCTGGATTCCCTACTTTAGCACCTCCAAGATTGGGGGTTCCTCAGGAGTAAGGACCAAATCCCATTTACCTTTACATTTCCTAGAGCAAATATTTATTGAACCAAATTACATTTCTGGCCAGGTGCAGTGGCTCATGCTTGTAATCCCAACATTCTGGGAGGTCAAGGCAGGAGGATTGCTTGAGCCCACGAGTTTGAGACCAGCCTGGGCAACAAGGTGAGACCCCCATCTCTACAAAAAATTAAAAAGCTAACTGGGCCTCGTGGTGCACACCTGTGGTCCCAGATCCTTGGAAGGCTGAGGCAGGAGGATCACTTGAGCACAGGAGGTCACACCACTGCACTCCAGTCTGGGCAGCAGAAAAAAAAAAAATTCTGATAATCTTTAAGAAGTGAAGCATTTAGAAAGAGGAAAATGAAATAGAGAAAGGCAAGATAAATAAGGAAGCACAAGAAAGTCAAATTTAAGATTGGAAAGGGATATTAGAGATGGCTGAGGAAGGCACCGCAGCTATGTTGCTCACGACTGGAGGATTTCCGCTCTTATTCCTGTGACAGACATTAATAGTCAATCATAGATGTCTTTCCAACTTTCCATCTTCCGTTTTGGACTAAGCTTTCAAAATATTCTCAACACAGTGCACCACTACAGCAGAGCTGATGCTTGAGCTGAAACCTAATGCCATCCCTAATTTCTTATTTCAAAGATGAGGAAACTGGAGCCCAGAGATTTGCTTCAGATGGTTAATTACAGGCTGGTTCCAGTATCTGGGTCCTTTAATGACTGAGCC
Source organism: Homo sapiens (assembly GCF_000001405.40). Lineage (NCBI taxonomy): Eukaryota > Metazoa > Chordata > Mammalia > Primates > Hominidae > Homo > Homo sapiens. The sequence continues at coordinate 89,126,895 of NC_000014.9, forward strand.
CCAAATTCCCCACACTGGTTTCCAAACCTGAGGGCCACGTGGGGTAAGAAAGGGGACAGAGAGATGAACAACAGCAGGTGCTAAGCTACTACCTAGAACACCAGTATGAATTTTGTTTGTTTAGAAAACAAAAATATCATTTATTGTTTGAGTGCATATATTTTCAAAAGTAATAGATGGTCACTGTAGAAAATTTGAAAACATCAAAAAGTAAAAGGAAAGCCATAAAAAAATCTGTAATCCCACCCCCCAAAGATAACTAATGTTAATATTTTGGTTATGATTTTTATATATTCTGGGGGTAGGTGAGTATGAGTGTATGTACATAAAATACATATTTTAACGGAATCTGAATATTTATGTGTATTCATATATGCACACACATATTTGTTATCTATCTTTTTTTTGCTGTTTTTCCAGAATTGCTGCTGCTCAGACAGTGATATAGTGAGATGTAGGGTAAGGAGCAGCTTCAAGCATCAGGGAGTGAGATAGCCACGTGAGAGTGCCTCATACTTTGATAGTATTATAATTTCTTGTCTAGGCCTGTGAAGTCAGAAGCACATGTTAACATATTAATGTTTTATCCCATTAACCAAAGATATTTTTAAACATTAGCGTACTCAATATTGTGGTATATGTGTAGGGGAAACCAGTGCTCTTATATTTGGCTTCAAGAAGTGTACATCAGTACAAATTTTCTGGAGGAATACATGTCAATATGTAACAAAAACTTTGGAAAAACACATGTCCTTTGTTTAAGCAATTCTACTTCAGGAAATTATTTTAAGGAAATGAGGAATATATAACAAAAAAATGCACACTGAATCTTTCATTATGATAGCAAAGAATTAGAAATAATTTAAATATCCAACAATATGATGGAACACAGTGCAGCCTTTAAAATATATTAAATAAGAATATCTAAAGATACATGTTTATACCATATTGGTAAGTAACAATGTGCAGATTACAAAGCCGTGTGCCCAGCACAATCCTATTGTTGTATACTTGTAACGTGTCTGGGTACATGCATTTGCATGCCTGTATGCGTGTATGTGTATATGTGTAGGAGTGTGTTTGTGTATGTGTATTAGGCTGGAGGTGCATATCTTAAATGAGCAGCTTTCTCATGAACAGCAGGGTGAGATTATAGATGAGTGTTTTTCTTTGGGCTCTTCTGTATTTATCATATTTTCGTCAATGAATATGTATTACTTTGGTAATTTGAAATTTTAAAAAATGTTTTAAAAAAGCACCAGCCCATTTGCCACCTGACAGATGGGAAACTGCTCAAGCATAGAGAAAAACAATTGCTTTAAAGTTTTAAAATTAATATTTTTTAAAAATGAGATTTGAGTCCACAGAGTGAACTTTAGACAAGTTAATCAAGGTGCCCCTGGGGGATCAGACTCTAGTGTAGTTTTAAATAAATATCACTAATTTCCAGTCACCATTTGCTAAAATGAAACTGAAGAGTTTAAAACAAACCCTTCAGATTCCAAATCACATCGTTCTAAATGAACACCTTGGCTCTTCAATCCTGTTCTTTTAATCAGCCTCTTCTCTGTGATTAGGCAGGCCCCATCTGCCATTTTGCACCAGGCCAGCTTATGAACAATTGTCTAGAAAATGTGTAAAATACATAATAAAGCACGATTAACTGAAAACCTTAATTAATCAGACATTTTTGGCTTTGTTTTTTAGGAGAAAGATCAAGAGAAAATGTAACAGGCTTAAAAACGACAAAAAGTGCTAAAGCTCAACTTCATGTGCGTCCTTTTGCCTGTTCCACTTTCAAACTAATCCTAAAATGCAAGCAAAAAGAAGCTCCGAAAAGCAAATAGAAAATTAACATTGCCTATGATCTCATCCCGGTGATTTAGCCATCGAGTATGTTTTTGTGCACATGCTACCAGTCTTTAATGCATCCAAAACACATGTACATATATGCGTGCACACACACACACACGTACATCTGGTAGGATGACTGCAAGGGTTGATCCCTTCCACACAGAAGTTTGTAACTGGAGTAATAATATTTGAAATGTGTCGACAATATTCAGTTTCTGGAGGTACAGACATCATTCCTCTTTTGAGGCAGACTTCTATTGTTTTCAGAAAAAGCCTCAGTCTGGGCTCTTTTAATTGCACAAATGTAAATGACTTACCTACAATACCGAGAGAAAATAGCAAAGTCACCTTAAATATGACCACAGCTGTTTAGTCTGACACAGTTACTAACAGAAACGGAGCTGTTCTTTAGTCTGACTGTGCTCTTCATGAGTTAGAGAAACAGTTTTTATCTAAACAAAAATTTGGGTTGGCCTGTTGGTGTTCCTTATGTTGGGTATTTACAACTGGATTTGGGAATTGGGCTGACAACTGCTGTATTTGCTTGTTCTAGGGTAGAGGTGTCGAACTAAACCCTGAGTGCCTGAATGGACATGGTAGGTGGGTAGGTGGGGAGGGTTTCCCCTAAAGGAAATAGATCATTCCTCTTTCAATCATCCTGAGTAGGCGTGAGGGTCACTTCTTGGACCAGGAAAGGGCTACCTCATCTCTTGGGGTCTGGAGGAGGGCTGGCCTGGTCCCTGCCCTGTGGAGGCCTCTCAGGCTCCAAGCACAGACCCTGAGCAAGGATAGTTTTGGGCATGTGAGTACCAAAGGGATGTAGAGTCCTTAGATGCAAAGTTATTCGCTGTACTTGAGTCTGTGTTATTCCCCCAAGCATTCAGCAAAAATTTGCTAAACATTTGAGCTGGGATTTAGGCGCGTTTAGGGCAGCTAAGTAGCAAGTGGCCTAGAAAAGAAAGCTACTCTCCAAGACAGCCGGAGGTGACCTGCAGGCCTTCAGAACTGTACTGCAGCCAAGCTAGGACTGCTAGAGGAAGTAACAGCAAGCAGGTCGGGTTTGCGAAATGGTCAAGCATTCCCCAGTGCTTCCCAGAATGACCTTGGGTGGAAACTGGAAGAAGAATGGATTTTCTGTCATCTTTGAGGTGGGGAGTTTGGAAGAATTTGGATATTTTAAAAATGCAAACTTATTTTGTGCTCCAGCTGGGAAATGGGTGGTATATACTACATACATATATATATATATATATAATATATATATATATTTTAAAAGAGGGGTCATATGACATTGTGTTTTGTAACCTGTTTCACTTAAGAATATATTATAAATTTTCCATAACATTAAATACTTCTTTTTTTTGAGAAAGGGTCTCGCTCTGTCACCAGTCTGGAGTGCAGTGGCATGATCTTAGCTCACTGCAACCTCTGACTCCCTGGTTCAAGCGATTCTCCTGCCTCGGCCTCCTGAATAGCTGGGATTACAGGTACACATCACCATGCCCAGCTAATTTTTGCATTTTTTAGTAGAGACGGGGTTTCACCATGTTGGCTAGGATGGTCTCCAGCTCCTGACCTCATGATCCGCCAGCCTTGGCCTCCCAAAGTGCTGGGATTACAGGCATGAACCACCGCGCCTGGCCTCATTAAATACTCTTAAACAACATTGTTTCATATGACTGTTACATATTCTAATGCATGGACGTACCATAATTTATTTCCACTTTTCATTATGATAAGTGATACTATGATGAATATCTTGCTAAATCTTTGAATATACCTACATCTATTTAGACTAAAATCCTTGAAGCAAAATTCCTAGTCAAAAGACATGCACTTTCTTTCTTTCTTTTTTTTTTTTTTTTTTTCTTTTGAGACAGAGTCTCACTCTGTCGCCCAGGCCGGACTGCGGACTGCAGTGGCGCAATCTCGGCTCACTGCAAGCTCCGCTTCCCGGGTTCACGTCATTCTCCTGCCTCAGCCTCCCCAGTAGCTGGGACTACAGGCGCCCGCCACCGCGCCCGGCTAATTTTTTGTATTTTTAGTAGAGACGGGGTTTCACCATGTTAGCCAGGATGGTCTCAATCTCCTGACCTCGTGATCCGCCTGCCTCAGCCTCCCAAAGTGCTGGGATTACAGGCGTGAGCCACCATGCCTGGCCAAGACATGCACTTTCAACATTCTGCCACATTGTCCTACCCAAAGATTGTATTTCTACCAGCAACCTTAAATTCTTAGCAATTCAGGCTAGAATTACCATTAAAAATAATGTGTGACTTTTGATGGCAAAATAAAAAGAGTATCTACTGGCAGTGGTATACATCTGCCTGCATGCCAGCAATCAGAGAGTGCATTCTCTGTGAAGAACTTAAAAACAAGAACAAAACCTACTGAATTTAGTTTGTCTGCTTTTTATTAGCACCATATGTGAGCAATAGTAAACATCGCTGGTGATAAACACTCCTCAAAAACATGTTCTTTTGGTTTAAGCTCTAAACAGTTTCTGTGGTTATTGCTGAACTTTAATAAGACAGATGTAACCTTAACATTAGTGCATCTTTATGACATCCTTTAATATAAATCGCATTCTGCATGGGAGTTAATCTGGAAACTCCCAGTGAATGTGGTTGCTCCCAGTACGGGACACTGGTGAAGCAGCTACTCAGGTGATTTTCAAGGTTAAGTTCACAATGGCTTGAAATCATTTGAATTTACTTGGGGCACATTCATATCCCCACCCTCTGTGGTACCACAGATGGTTGTGTTTAAACAGAAATATGAAATAAACAATGATTTGAAATACATGATGACAGCATGGTGATTGCAACGACAAAGAAAGAGAACTTGAATGACTTCATCCCATGTGACCCCTTGAAGTTTTAATTTATGTCCAAATTTAAAATGAAACAACATGCAAACTGGGAGGTGTTTTGAAAATACACATTTTAGTTTGTGCTCGAAATATTTTGTTGAATTTAAATATGATCTCTAGCCAGGTGCGGTGGCTCACGCCCGTAATGCCAGCACTTTGGGAGGCCAAGGCGGGCAGATCACGAGGTCAGGAAGTACGAGACCTACCTGGCCAACATGGTGAAGCCCCATCTCTACTAAAAATACAAGAATTAGCCGGGCATGGTGGCACACGCATGTAATCCTAGCTACTCAGGAGGCTGAGGCAGGAAAATTGCTTGAGCCCGGGAGGCGGAGATTGCAGTGAGCCGAGATCGCGCCACTAAACTCCAGCCTGGGTGACAAAGCGAGACTTTGTCTCAAAAAAAACAAAAACAAACAAACAAACAAACAAACAAACAAAAAACTCTAAGCCCAGGTGTGATGGCTCATGCCTGTAATCCCAGCACTTTGGGAGGCCAAGGCGGGTGGATGACTTGAGGCCAGGAGTTCGAGACCAGCCTGACCAACATAGCAAAACCCTGTCTCTACTAAAAATACAAAAATTAGCCGGGCGTGCTGGCGCACACCTGTAGTCTGCTACTCAGGAGGCTGAGGCAGGAGACTCGCTTGAACCCAGGAGGTGGAGGTTGCAGCAAGCTGAGACTGTGCCACTGCACTCTAGCCTGGGCAACAGAGCGAGACTCTGTCTCAAAAAAAATATATATATATATGATCTCTAAGATTGAAGTTTGTTCTTCTTTTAAAATGATTGGTAGTTTAAAGACTAAAGAGCTAGTCAAGAAAATGAAACATCACTGAACAGTTATTAATTACTGAATAATTATTTTCATGAAATACTATTATATCACTGCCATGATCTGAAAGTATGTGTCCCCCTAAAATTCATATGTTGAGATTCTTACTCCCAAGGTGATAGTATTAGGAGGTGGAGCCTTTGGGAGGTGATTAGGTCGGAGAATGGAGCCCTCATGGGGGACTGGCGCCCTTGTTAGAGAAAATCCAGAGAGCTGCCTTGCCCCTTCCATTGGTGAGTACACAGAGAGAAGACAACCTCTTCGAATGATGAAGAGAGCCCCCTCACCAGACACCAAATTTAGCAGCACTTTGATTTTGGAATTCCCAGCCTCCAGACTTTGAGAAATAAACATTTGTTGTTCATAACTAATCCAGTATTTTTTTTTTTTTTGAGATGGAGTCCCACTCTGTGGCCCAGGCTGGAGTGCAGTGGCATGCTCAGCTCACTGCAACCTCCGCCTCCTGGGTTCAAGTGACTCTCTTGCCTCAGCTTCCCGAGTAGCAGGGATTACAGGTGCAAACCACCATGCCCGGCTAATTTTTTTTTTTTTTTGTATTTTTAGAATAGACAGAGTTTTGCCATGTTGGCCAGGCTGGTCTCGAACTCCTGACCTCAGGTGATCTGCCTGCCTTGGCCTCCCAAAGTGCTGGGATTACAGGCGTGAGCCACCGGGCTCAGCCCCAGTCTATGGTATTTTGTCATAGCAGTCCAAACAGACTAAGACAATCAGACTATAAACAACTGTTGAATATTTAGTTGAGCTTTTTTATGTGTGCCATAACCATTATTTTATTTTTAAAATCTTTAAACCTATATATTCTATATACAAAGTTTAATAAAGAATGTTTTCAATGACTACATTTCTCTTCTGGCCATTGTTATTATTTGTTTCATTTCATGATTGTTACAGAAAATACAATATATTGTTGCCATATAGAGAGGAGGGCAGTAGTTAATGAATGATCTGTTCCAGGCAGGACTGGCTATATAATTTCAAGGTCCTAGTCCAGGGCCTCTTGTTCAAAAATGAGGAAGAATTTCAAGATGGCAACAGTCGAGCACTAAACCAAGTAGGGGTGCCTTTGAGCATGGGCCCTCTGCAACTCGACAGATCACACACCCAGACAGCTGGCCTTGACTCTGAGTGCCCAGTATTCAGGGAATGCCACTGTCCCCTGGTTGGTTTCCTTTCTTGACTCCAGGTGGGGCTGTCATATCAGCAGCCCCTCCACCCTAACGGTCAGCAAAGAGCTGCTGCTCAGCACGATGGCTCCAAAGCCCCTCAGATTCTCCATCATTGCCGACAGGTAAAATCAGATCCAATTCCCCAAGCCACACCAAAGCACCAAGACAACGATGAACTCAGAAAAGTTTGCGTCCCAGAACTGCCCCCTCCTAGATCTTTTTTAAAAAAATCATTTGACCAAATGAGTAGTTTTAACTGTACCCTGGAAAAACGAACTCTTGTTCTCTTGTCTGGGGTCTCTCTGGGGCTGAGTTTTATGCTGAATCTGTGCCGAATACTGGGAGGTAAAGTTGGCCTACTTACCTCCTCCCACACCACTGCAGGAACATCCTCAAGATGGCTTGGGAATCACAAAATTGCAACTATTTGAAGATGAAGGGACGGTGATCAGGGTTGCTTATCTTTACTCAAGTGCATATTAGGCTCCATGTCCCAGACAAAGGAGAAAAGCAAGGACCAAGAAGCCCTGTCCAGCCCTGCAGGGCTAAGAGGGCTACTTACACAGCGGGCAGAGCAGCCCAGTCCAGGAGCAAGCCCTGATTTGCTGAGTGGGAGAGGCTGTGAGACAGCGAGCATCCCATGTCCTTGATACTCCCGTCTATAAAAGGAGCATCTATAAAACGCTCCACACCTGATAGGCTGCTAGTAAGAAATAACTAATAAAAACCCACTTGGGATGCTTAGAGTGCCTTCGACACAAACTCAAACCATACAAAGGGATGTGCTTCTAGGGTTTTCTTGTGGAGGCTGGGAGTAAATGACCCACAGCCTTTGCAAAGAGGCTGTCAGAATATTTGAGGCAAGAGTCTTGTTTTCATTCACTGACGAAAAGGGATCCACTCCTTGAAGCGAAGAATCCCCGATGTGCTGGATCAATGGCTGCTAACGTGCCTGTTTGGAGCTGGTAGGAAGTTTAAAAGGGATTTCAAAGATTTGTAATTGTAATTTAAGATAAGCCAGTGAAGCAAATGAAGCTGACATTTAACTCTGAGTGGCGGACTGTGAATTGTGGTCTCCACATGCACACAGACCCCTAGCACACTCCTTCTCTGCATGACACAGTGAGGGTGGAGCTCCTCTCTGGATCTGTGCACCAGGCCTGGGCTAGCTGTGTCCTGCCTCACAGGTGGCAGAGACTGCCACTCAGATATGGGCCTGGCTCTAAGCCCGGTGTTCCTCTGGTATCTGGGTGAATTTGCTCCTGCAAAGGAGGAAACTGGGGTGCTGATTTCTGGAATGTCTGCTCCAGGTCAAGAGGTAGGCTTGCAGTGGAAGTCCTTACAGACAAGTAAAGGTGGTGTGATTTCAGGATCCTTTCTCAATGAAGTTCATAGCATGGTTCAGTAGGACTAAATTCTGACCATATCAACGACACTGAGATCTTGGGCAAGTTCCCTTCTGAGCTTCATGTTCCTTGTCTGTAAGATGAGTGTAATCACTATCTACTGCAACACTCGGTGCTAAGTGCTTAATAATGGTTAGACGAAAAATGACACATTTTTTCACTTAAAACTAAGGCAGAGGGAATGTAATGAATGCCACTGAACTGTACACTTAAAAATGATCAAAATGGTAAATTTTATGTATGTTACTACAATAAAATATTTTTTAATTAAAAAATGTATAAGGACTTATATTTGAACCATGATGAAGTAATAGGGATTGGATTTACTCTCCTGCCTTAAACAACTAGACAAAACATATGAAACAATACCTTTCAGATATTAGAAAACAGATAATACAGAAAGTAATCCCCAGGGGAAGGGAAACAGGGGAAGTAATTTTCAGGCTACAGAACAGGGAGGGAGAACCCAAAGAGAGCTTGATGGTCTTCCTGAGTTGACGAGACAGAGTTGAGAATTTGAGAAGGCCAAGGAAGCTAGAATTTACAAGGCAGGATGCCTTAGAGAAGAGCACTGCACAGAGAAGAAAGAGCTACACAGAGAGAAAGTTCTGAAGATCTGCAGAGGGTTCCCCTTGATTGGCTACTGACCAGTGCAAGTGCATGCATGTGAGAAAACTACCCGAGCAGGAAAAAGAACCAACAAAAAGGAGCAAGCTGAATAATCCCTGGGACTCACTCGGGCTAGGAATAGTTCATGTTCCCACCAGCCGGAATAGAAAAACGTCATAATATACAAAATATACAGAAGGGTATTGTTTCAATAATAAGAAAACTTTATCCCTAAAGTCTGCTCTGGTCCCACCTAAGAAAGCTCAAAAGCAAGCCTCAAAAGGATTGAAGAAATTTAGCTGCCTACCAGAACAAATGTCAAGAATATTTGAAGGGAAACAAAAATATCCAGCATCCAACAACACAGCACCTAGTATTCAGTAAAAAAAAATTACCAGGCGTGCAAAGAAGCAGGAAAACATGCCCCAAATGAAGAGAAAAATTGATCAGTAGAAACAGACTCAGACATGACACAGATAATATAATTAGTAGAAAAGGACATTAAGCCAGTTATTATAATTGTTTTCCATATGCTCAAGAAGGTGGGCAAAAGCATGAGCATGCTGAAGAGAGACACAGAAAACATTAAAACAAGAACCAAATAAAACAACTAGAGATGAAAAAGATAATGTCTGCAATAAAAATACACTGCACAGGATTAACAACAGATTAAACATTGCAGAAAAATGCTAATAAACTTAAAGACAGCAATTGAAACTATCCAAAGTGAAACAGAGAGAAAAATGACGCCCCAAAACGAGCAAAGCGATCAGTGAGCTATGGAACAACTTCAAGCAGCCTAATATATATGTAACTGGAGCCCCTGAAGAAGAATGAGTAGGAACAGAAAAAATATTTGCAGAAGTAATGGCCAAAACTTTTGCAAATTTGAAGAAAACTATAAATTCAGGCTTAAGAAGCCTAGGAAATTCCAGGCACGAAAATCAGGAAGAAAATGATACCAAGGCACATGAAAAATTGAATTGCCTAAAACTAGTAGTAAAGAGAAAATCTTAAAAGCAGTCGGGGTAGGGGGAGGAAGTACACTTTACATACAGAGGGGCAAAAGAAAGGATGACAGCAGATTTCTCACCAGAAATAGTGTTAGGTTAGAAGACAAGACAGATGTGTCTTTAAAATCCTGAAATAAAAAAAGCTGTCAACCTAGAATTCTATACCTAGCAGAAGTATCTTTCAAAAGTGAAAGCTGACAAACTAAAAGCTGAATGAATTCATCTCCAGCAAACCCGCACTACAAGAAATATTAAAGTCCTTTGCACTGAAGAAAAATGATACTAGATGGAAACACCAAGAAATAAAGAGCATTAGAAATGTTATCTGTCTGAACAAATATAAAAGACCTTATCCTTTACTTTAAAAATAACTTTAAACACTAAAGCAGAGGATCTCTTTCTCCTGCCATTTAAATTGTCTATTTTCTGGAGTAGAGAATTCACAGAACTGTGAATCCATGATGTGAAATTTCAGCTTCTTGCAAATGACTGAAGGCAATTATTTACCTCTCTAGAACTCAGTTCCCCTCACTTGTCAACAGGGGACAAGATGATAAGCTAATGAATAACACAATCCTTTGTAAAATTAAAAGCAGCATATAAACATCACTGGTCTTCCTTTAATTTTGCAGTCCCTTCCAAGAAAACAGCTTCGCATGGTGATGTTGAGGCCTGCCCAGCTGGTGCTGATGCTAAGATCTGCTTCCCAGGCAGCAGGCCTGTGCCTCCATTTACCCTCAAAGGAGAATCTCCCTCCCTCCTTAGGGGTTGGGGAGATGCCCTGAGAACACACTTTCCCTTTCAATATAATCCCTTATTCTGGTGCCCCTCACCCAATACTCCTGCAAAACCTAGCAGTGCCTCAGTTGTTCTTGCTAGCCTTGCCCAGTGAGGGATTTGGGCTCATGGAATAACATTCTTTTCTGGCTGGGCACGAAGCAAGAAGTTGAGCCTCATTCAGAGTGGCAGCAGGCCAGGCCTTCTTGCCTGTTGGCTCTTCCTGTTTGCTCAGGCCAAGGCAGCACTGGGGTGACCCACACCGAGGGCCGCACCAGTGGGCAAAGGGCCAGGCCCAAGTTTGAGGTTTAGGGGTGGTGAGTCATGCTGGAGTCATGGCCTGGGCTGGGAGAGGCACCGCCACTCCAGCAGACTGCTCAGAACTCTGTCCCTCCAGCTTTCCTTTCAACAAATATCTTCTGGGTACCCACTTGTATACCCGACTCAGAGTCAGGTGCTTTCTATACATTGTTGAATTTCTTCTTTAAAATGGCCTGTGAGATTGGTCTTTATATTCCCATTTCACAGGTGTGGAAACTGAGGCTCAGAAGGGTGAAATTGTAGGTCCAAGTGCACACAGCCAACTGCAGACACAGCTGGATTCAAGCCCTTTTTGAACCTGTATGTCACTCTTCCTGCACGACCTGGATGTTTGCATACTCACAGGGCACAGGGGACTAAGGTGGCTTTGGAAGCAGAAGCGGGAGAGTAACAACAGCTAACATTTATAGAAGGGCTACCATGTGCCAGCCACTGTGCAAACTCCTCACAAGAATGGTCTCATTTCATCCTCGAAGGGACCCTGAGAACTAAATACTAGTATTTTCCTTATTTCTCTTGTGCAGCATTGCATAGTGTGCAAGGGGTGGACTGGGCTTTGCAGTAGATCCAATACTTTGTCCCAAAGAGACCACGGATCTTATGTTGGTTCCCCCAGGAATGAACCTGGAGACGGTGTAGTTTAATTGGGAGGGGATCCCAGGAAGCACTGAGTTGGGGAAGGTGGGTAGGTGGAGAAACAGGAAAGTGCAGGAAGCATGTAAAAGGTATGATGTGGAACAGGTTGCTACTATGGGCAATGGGGTCTTTATTCCTCCTGGAACCTTTGGAAAACAGCATGGGGCAGTGCTTCTCAAAGCTGAACACGCACTCGAAGCTCCTGGGATGCTGTTAACATGCAGACTCTGATCCAGAAGCTCAGGGTGGGGCCCAAGACTCTGCATGTCTAACAAACTCCTAGTGATGTCAGTGCTGCTGGTCCCTGGACCACACTTTGAGTAGCAGGGTTGTAGCACATATCTCAGAAGTGTTTCACTAGAAGGTGGAGGGGGCTGGGATTATGAAACTCCAGCTTCCATCTCTCCTTGGCTGAAGGCTGCGGGGAGTGGGGCTTCTCTGCTCTCCTGGCCCACCTGGGAAAGGCCTTTAGGTAGCCTGCTGTGTGGTGGGCAGTCCTTTGGCAGGTATTGCAATGTGAATGCCAGCGGGCCTGGGAGGACACTGACAGCTTCGACTCCACTGTGGGATTGCCCTGCGTGCACTGTCCTTCCAGCTCACAGGACTCCCGCCTGCCCCTCGGTGGGAGGGAAGCCTAGGTGTGCCCACGGGCATGTGCTGAGAGCAGCTGAGCCAGTCAGGAATAGCCACTCCTCAGCAGGGGTCCCAGGCAGTAACCACAAAAAAAACCTCTGGGCTGCTCCTAGAGCTAGTCTGGACCTCCGGATTCCTGAGTGGGGCTCCTCCCCATTCCTGCAACCACTCTTGAACACAGAAGTTGGGGGGCAGCTTTAAAAACACTCCAGTCATCAGGGGGGGTCTTGGCAGGGACTCAGCCAGAATCCGTGGACATAGACCTGTGGGGCTTTGTGTTCTTGTTTGGCCTGGCCTGGTGTGATCCCGGGAATGCGTCACGGAGGCTCCTCCCCACAGCGCGGGGCTCCTGAGGAAGGTGGCAAAACATCTTTCTGGCTCGAGACCTGCTCATTGGTCAGGGCACAGTCCTGGTCCCTTGGCAGACATCAAGAACCTCCCAGGCCCAGGGAGTGATGGCATGAAGTCTCTGCAAATGAAGGGGCTCAGGCAGCAGAACAGTGGCCGCCTCAGCCAACACTGGGCAGTAGGTGGGGCAGGGCTAAGCCTGCAGGTGAGAGAGAGCCTGGGACCTGTGTGGAGAGCTTCTCAGGGACAGGCCAGGAGGCAGGGATGACAGCTGGGGTGGAGCCTCCCTCACTGCCTCCTGGCCTTTAAAAGATGACTCGGCGGCTTTTCTTTAGGTGTGCCTCCAAACACCTGGGTTCAAGTCTTAGCTCTGCCACATAATAGCTATGACGCCTCAGGCAAATTATTTCACCTGTTACATCTCAACATCATCATCTGTCCAATGGGAATAGTCATCCTCCCATCACAGGTCATGAATGAGACAACACTGGCGTAGCACTTCATACAGGCTGCGCTTTGTGGTAAATGCTCAACAAGTGGGCGTTGTTCTCATGGAATAATGGGATACTCTTTTTCTTCCCACTGTATTTACTTTTCAACTCAGGGGACGGGGTTCTTTAGTAAAGTGGATAAAGTGCCAGACTGCTAGCTTACTAGAGCATAGGAGCTCTGCTCTGAGAAGAGGTCAATATTAACAGAAGAACGATGTGTTTGTCATGTAAATGCGCTACCGGGAAGAAGCCGGGACACCTAAGAAAGCCAGAGTAGGATGTGGAAATTCTGGAATGGAGCCTGCGTCCTGGAGGGTCAGCTTTGAAGCAGGGAAAGAGAAGAGCAAGAGGAGACCACAGAGAACAGGGGGGCTCCAGGATGCCCACTGGAGGGGCCTCTGTGTGACCAGCAAGGTGAGTTGACAGCAAAGGTAAACAATGTTTAGCATTCTCTCTGGGCTCTGTGCATATGGGTGCCCCGGATCAGGAGCCAAGCCACTGGGGTTCAAACCCCAGCTCCTCCCTTAACATCTGTGTTTTCTTGGGCAAATTACTCAGACTCTCTGTGCCTCAGTCCCGTCATCTGTAAAACGAGGATAATAAAATTAGCTGCCTCGCAAGTTTGAAGAGAGATGAAGCAGGTTCATATCTGTAAAGTGCTTGCCACAAGCCCTGGCATACAGCCAATGCTCAACATATGAGGGGACTTCAAAAAGTCTGTGGGAAAAATGAAGTTAAAAAATAAAAATTTAAAATATAAACTTTATTTTTCAACGTGAGCTCCATCAAGTTCAAGACACTTTTGTAAATGATGACACCAGCCATTTAGTACATCCCTAAGAACAGAGGGTCTTGGGAACTTAACCTTGTTAGTGCAGTCTTTTTTACATTATCACCTGAAGAAAAATGAGTGCCCTTTACAGATTTTATAAGATTAGGAAACAAAATGATGTCAGGAGGAGGCAAATCAAGACTGTAAGGTGGATGCTTAGTTACTTCCCATTGAAACTCCCACAAAATCGTCATTGTCTGATGAGAGGAAGAAGCAGGAGCATTGTTGTGGTGGAGAAGGACTCTCTGATGAAGCTTTCCCAGGCGTTTTTCTACCAAAGCTTTGGGTAACTTTCTCAAAATGCTCTTATATTAAGCAGACGTTATCCTTCTTCAGTCCTCCAGAAAGTCAACCAGCAAAATGCCTCACGCATCCCAGGAAACTGTCACCGGGACCTTTGCTCTTGACTAGTCTGCTTTTGCCTTGACTGGATCACTTCCCCCCTTTTGGTAGCCATTGCTTTTGTTGTGCTTTGTCGTCAGAATGGTACCAGTAAAGCCATGTTTCAGCTCCTGTTAGAATTCTTCTTTTTTTTTTTTTTTTGAGACAGAGTCTCATTCTGTCACCCAGGCTGGAATGCAGTGGCGCGATCTCAGCTCACTAAAAGCTCCACCTCCTGGGTTCAAGTGATTCTCATGCCTCAGCCTCCCAAGTAGCTGGGATTACAGGTGCGCACCAGGCTGGTCTTGAACTCGTGGCCTCAAGTGATCCACCCGCCTCAGCCTCCCAAAGTGTTGGGATTACAGGCATGAGCCACCATGCCTGGCCTCCTATTACAATTATTTAACAAAATGCTTCAGGTTCTTGATCCCACAAGTTTAAAATTTCCAATCAAAGCTCTGCTCTTGTCTGCAGCTGATCTGGGTGCAGTGGTTTGGGCACCCATTGAGTGGAAAGTTTGCTCAACTTTAATTTTTCAGTTTGAATTGTGTAAACTGAACCAAGTAAGATGTGTATGGTGTTGGTTACTGTTTCTGCTGTTAATCATCAGTCCTCTTCAATCAGGGCATAAACTAGACTTATTTATTTTTAATCACAAATTGATGTGGATGGTCTGCTGCTGCAGGCACCATCTTCAACATCCTCTTGTCCATTTTTAAAACAGATTATTCATTCGTAAACTGCTGATTTCTTTGGGGCATTGTCCCATAAACTTTATTTAAGGCATCAATGAATTCACCCAAGTTTTATCAGAAATTTGCTATTTGTTCTTGCTTCAATGTTAGCAGAATTCATGTTGCTGTGAAACGGGCTCTTTTCAAACTGATGTCTCATTCTTCTACATGCCTCAAACTAGATCCTGTTCAGACATGTTATAACAAGTTAGTAAGAGTTTATTTTGGTGCAAAAAGTTTTTGAAATCCATGCATAGCTTTTGCATAATAAGCATTTTCCACGAGCTTCTTGAAGACCTTTGTAGGTATGCTCTGTGACTGATTTTTCTTGACAGCCTTTGAAACCTCGATTGATCTCTGTTCCTCTTGTGCCTCAAATCTTTCATCTGCCACAAATGTCCCCCTACCCAGGTGAGGGAGAGTTCAGCAAACAGGAGGTATCATTGCTTACCATCTTTTACTCCAGGACCTGAGATTTCCTTGTCCCTATGTTTGTAAAAAGAGGGCTCCTACCAATGGCAGGAACACTAGGTGCAGAGTGGAGAGTCCAGCAGATGGAGTTGGGCCCTCCAATAACCCCCTTTCTCTGCTCCCACTGGAGGAATTCCACAGAAACAGGAGGAAGACTCGGTCACCCTGTGACCCCACTCCGCATAGGAACCCATGAACAGTCCCAGATGGGAGCAACACATAATGTTAATCAAGATGCTGGGAGTGAAACTGAGTTATTTGCAAAGCTCCTGGAGCAGTCCTGTATTTACTACAAATGCAGAAAGGAGTGATGTAAGATGACTAGCGTGGGTTCCTGCAGAACTGCCTGCTTCCACATGTAGCAGAGACATGAAACAATTATAGAGAAGATGCAGGCTAACGTGCTCCTGTATCCACTCTCAGCTCTCCATCAGTTAAGGTGAATGTCTCTGCCTTTTTACATTTATCCCGCCTTCCCCCACATGCCTGAAACACATGTCAGGTGGCCGGGGATTGTACTTGTTTTGAGTTTGTTTGTTTGATTGTTAAAGACAAGGCTTCTGGTATAATTATCCTTCCCTCCCATCTCCCAGAACGTTCTTGCTTTGGGTCTTTTGTGTTCATTTCAATGTGTTGATTCAGACCTTGCTTGCTTTCAAAAGAGATGTGAGGTATCTCACTGTCGCACTAACATTGATGAAGCAAAAGAGAAGCACAAAATGTAAAGAAAGGAAAGGAGGAAAAAAGCTCCCAAGAACTCTTGGCTGAGAAAAGTGATAGTAGTGACACACCCCAACTTCCTAGCATTGTGAGAAAAATGGGAAGCCTGATATTCCACCTCTCTGTCACTGTAGACCATCGTCATGGGAAAAAGTGAACCAAAACCCAAACTGATTGTTGGCTCTGAGCTTTGAGAAGATTTTGTCACGTGTCACGGGGACTTTGGCTCAGGGTCCTTGAGTAACATCATAAAAAATATCCTCAAATGTACTTATCAAATGCAGAAGGGCTTTTTTTATTGACTATGTCTTATACCAGTTCTCAAAACAACCAACTGCGTACTAAAGCAGGTTTCCTTAAAGGAGTTTAGGAGTCTACCTTATAATAAATAAAGCCAAAAAATTAAATACATTTTATATAAAAAGTTTGTTCATAATATAATATTGTGATTAGTACTTATGGATGACAGCAGGTTACCCCAAAACTTTAAGATAAAGTTTCTTTTCAGGAGTAAAATTAGGAAGAGTTTGCCCATAATGGCAGCAAGATTAGCCACCCATTAAACAGCCTGAGTTGACACCCATAAGACAATCCAAGAGTTATTGGTGGTTGAATTAATTTGCTAGAGCTTTCATAAGTAAGTACCACAAAAGGAGTAGCTTAAACAATGGAAAGCTATTGTCTTGCAGTTCTGGAGGTCAGAGGTCGAAGGTCAAGGTGACTGCAGGGCCACACTCACTCTGACGGGGTTATGGAAGGATCTATTCCAGGCCTCTCACCTAGTTTCTGGTAGTCCCTTAGATTCTGGCAACATAACTCCAGTCTCCACATGGTATTCTCCCTGTGAGTCTGTGTCCACATATCTCCTTTTAATAAAGACACCAGACATATTGGATAAGAGCCCAAACTACTCCAATATGACCTCATCTTAACTAATTACATCTGCAACAATTGTATTCCCAAATAAGGTCACATTCGGAGGCACTGGGGGCTGCGATCTTAACATATAAATTTTTGGGAAAGGGACACAATTCAATCCAAAACAGTGGCCAAAGACATGGGTGAAGCCGAAAACCAAGTCATAGGGACCAGGAAATACTCTCGGGTGGGGGGAAAAGTTGCCATGTTCCTGAGCCAAAACCCAATCACATGTCTTGTGTCCAGGCTGAAGGAAAACCTTATAATCAGAACAGCAAGAGTCCCCCTACAGCCTGGTGGAGAAGGGAAGCCAAAGAACAAGAATGTGTTTCCCCAGCCCTGCCAAGAGGGAGTCCACACACCAGGGGAATCCGGACACTCTGTCCTCTGGGGGACTCAGCTGCCAGGCAGGGAGCTTCCATGGCTTTGATAAAATCCCTCTGGACATCTTCTGGTTTCCAATTTTGAACTCACCAAACTCATTAATTCACCTTCTCAAGGACCCTAATACTGAAAACCACCATGTTGCACACTTCATATCATAGTATTCCTACTGCTGTTAGAACAAAATCCAAACCCCTTCTCATGGAGCCTGGAAGGTCCTATGTAATCTACTCTCCAACTTCATCTCCTAGGACTTTTTCTCTTCTCTTCTGAGCTCCAATCCCATTATTCTTCCTCTAAGTTAATTATTACCTTAAAGCCTTTGCGCTTGCTAAGTCCTGTGTCCAGAATTCTTTACCCCTAGGTAGTCATAAAGCTGATACTTTTTGTTTCTAATTTTGAACTCACTAAACTCGTTAATTCACCTGCTCGGCGACTCTAATACTGAGAACCACCATGTTGCACATGTCACATCACAGTAGGCTTGGTATAGATGCTGTCCCTGGCATTGCACAATGTACACCCTGCATGACCTACAATGTGGACCTAGGGTCAGGGTTCCTTGGACTGCAGAAGGAGCACACAGTCCCTGAAAAGGACTCTCTCTGTTTTAAACGAACCCTTTGGCAATCTGGTTTATTCATCAGTCTTTTATGCCTTTGGTTAATGGTAATCTGCTCTGCCTCACTCAACTTTTGAGAGGAACTGCCAAATCTAGAGACCAGTTCCTTGGAGATCCTAATTCAGAGAATAGATGGGAAAAAGCAAAGAGGACAGGAAGACTCTAGAAAGGGGGATACAGCAGTGGAACTGGTGGAACAGGTGGAGAGGAGAGAAATGTGGCATGAGCTGGAGGTAGAGAGATCGTTTGCATGTACTTGGCAGCAGGGGCAGGGAGTAGCACATTAAAGGCTTCAAAACAGCACTGGGTGCCAGAAAATTGGAAGAGGAAAGGTGATATAAGAAGCTTTCATGATGCTTCGGATTTTGTTTATTATTTTAAAAGAGATACAAGTTAAGGATTGGAATTCCTGGGTGTTGCTCACTTTTTGTTGTTGAATTACTTTTGGCTATTTGACGGAACTCCTTTGAAAGTGATTCCACATAGCACAGGGTAGCCAAGAAAAGAGTCACATATGCAATTTTAAATTTTCTAGCAGCCATTTTTTTAAAGTAAAAAAGAAACAGGTAGCATTAATTTATTTAAATATCTTTTATTTAACATAACAGATCCAAAATGTTATTTCAATATATCATCACGACTTTTAAAAGGTATCAATGAATATTTTACATTCTCGTTTTCATAGTAAGCCTTTGAAATCCAGGATCAATTTCATGCTCACAGCACATCTCAATTTGGACTCCACATTTCAACTGCTGTATAAAAGCCACGTATGGCTAGTGGCTGTTATATTGATCAGCATCATCACAGATACAGGGGCTGGGCTATGTAGTTCTGGGATTCTGAAGGTGAAATAATAATAATAGCCATAATAATAACAACAGGCATTTATTGAGCCTCTTAGATATGCCAAATGTTATATTAATTCCCTTTCTCATGCATCATTTCATTTAATCCTCTTAACAACCTACATTTTGGGCACTATTATCATCCCATTCTACAGATGCAGAAACAGAGCCTCAGAGAGGGTGAGTGCTTTGCCCAAGGTCACACAGCTGGTAAGCAGCAAAGCTAGGACTAGAAAACCAGTCTGTCTGTCACTAACCACTGCCTCAATAACTTAGGGTCAGTAAAGGAGCCAGCCAGCAGCCAGACTTTCCTCAGTCCCTTCCTCAGAGCCCATGCACAAGGAGTCACTTTGTTTTCTGATTAGCCAAGCTGCCATGTTGCCTAAAAACCAGACTGGAAAGAACATTCATTGTACAGCTGAGCATATTGTGTGATTGAGTGAGAAAAGAACAGCAACAAGATGCTCTGCCTCTCGTCAACTGTAGGAAGCTGCAAATTCAAGGCCAGTGACCAGGTTCACAAAATGCAATTGTTCTCAATGACACTTAACAAAGAGCCAGGGAGAGAATCGATTGTCATTAAAAGCTGGCCAAGAACATCGATCGTCTCCCCAGTGATGATCTCAGAATTTTGACTTAGCCAGGCCAAGAGCGTTGGTGCAGAGACGTTTTGATGTGATTTCTCATGTGGAAATGGGCTCCAGCATGGCGAGTCAGCACAAAACAAGCATGAAGCTAAGGACGGAGCAGCCAGAGCTCTGCCCATGCCTCTCCTGCTCCACCTCCATGCCCTGTAGACAGAAAGCAAAGGAGGAGGACTGGCTGGACTGGGAGATAGTAGATCCTGTGGGTCCTGTCCCTTCCTCTCTGTTCCTCTTTATCCAGATACTTTAGAAGCCTTTGGAACTGTGACATTTCTGGGCCTCACATTCAGGGGAAGGAGGATGATTCCTTCAGCCTGCTGGCCATAGAGAACCTGGCCATGGATATGGCCTAGATAAAACAAGCCAAACCATCTCCTATTTATCCCTGAGACCCCAAGATGGGCAGTGAGCAAGGCCTCATGCCCCTAGAGCTCTCCTAGGTGGGAGGGAATATCTTGCTGTCAAATGCTCCTGAATACAATTCCAACTCCTGCTCTGTCCTGCATCTTGCTGTGGTTGGGGAAGAGGGTGCAATGCTCTCATTTATAGTATGCAGGCTAGGATCTGAGCAGTAAGTCTTGTTCATCCATCTGTCTATCCAAAAAATGCTAGCTGAGTGACTGCTGCAGCCAGATGCTAAGGCAGGTCCTGGGAATAAACAGATGTACAGGGCAAAAAGCTTGCCCTTTAGGAGAACATGACAGACACTGGGAAATCAATAGCCACAGAGAAACATAGCAAGTGCTAGAATGAAAGCATGTTAACCACAAGGTACCTTGGTAGCAGGGAGTGGAGAAGTTGAACACAGAGGGAAGACATGAAGACATTCCAGAAAGGCAGAGAGGGTGGTCCATGCGAAGCAACAGAAGGCACTAGGAACATCCTGGGAACTGCAACTTACCAAGCAGCTGAGGCTCAGAGTGGGCCTGGGAGGGGATGGGAGATCAGACTGGAGGGCTGGCTGGGAGCTTAGCCAGAGCACAGGGCACAGCATAGGACTTTAGGCAGGGGCACAGTGTCAGATGGGTGATTGGACGGTCATCCTGGCTGCAGTGGGTTGTGGGGGAATGGATAAAAGAGGGGCAGGACCAGCGTGCTAGCCTGGGGGTTCCTGGTGCCCTCAGTTTCCTTCCTTGGCCTTCCTCTGCTCAGCTAGGCTTAGCTCTGCATGAGTATGAGTCCATTCTCACACTGCTATAAAGAAATACCTAAGACTGGGTAATTTATAAAGAAAAGATGTTTAATTGGCTCATGGTTCCTCAGGCTGTACAGGGAGCATGAGGCTGGCATCTACTGGGCTTCTGGGGAGGCCTCAGGAAACTTACAGCCATGGTGGAAGGCAAAGGGGGAGCAGGCACTTCACATGGCTGGAGCAAGAGGAAGAGAGAGAGAGGGGAGGTGCCAAACACTTTTAAACAACCAGATCTCATGAGAACTCACTATTGTGATGCCTTACTTTTAATGGCAAAAACCACAATTACTTTTGCACCAACCTATACTTGGTGTGATGGTTAATTTCCCGTGCAACTTGACTGGGCTAAGAGATGCCCAGATAGCTGGTAAAACACTATTTCTGTGAGACCATAGCTGGGTGAGATTAGCATTTGAATCAGTAAATTGAGTAAAGAAGATCCACACTCACCAATGTAGGCAGGCGTCATCCAATCTGATGAGAGCATGAACAGAACAAAAAGGAAGTGCAAATTTTCCATCTCTGTTCTTGAGTTGGGACATCTGTCTTCTCCTGGTTCTCAGGCTTTCAGACTCAGACTGAATTACACCACCGGCTTTCCTGGGTCTCTGGCTTGCAGACAGCATATTATGGGACTTCTAGGCTTCCATAATCGTGTAGGCCAAGTATCATAATAAATCTCTGCTTGTGTATCTAGACCTCTATCTATCTATCTATCTATCTATCTATCTATCTATCTATCTATCATCTATCTATCTGTCTATCATCTATCTATTATTGGTTCTGTTTCTCTGGAGATCACTGATAATATACTTAGAGTGTCTCCATTTCCCTGGTGGGGCCTGACTTGTACAAATGGAGAAAGGGGAAGCAATTAATGCAAGTTTTCTAACTGCAAAAATCCAACAGAGCAATGATATAGGTTTGCACAGAGGTTACTATCGCAGTGAGGATGGAACTTGGAGATGCTTAAGAGGTGGAATTGATAGGGTTTGATGGCAAAATGTGGGGAGAAAGGGCTAATTTTTTTGAAATTTTTGTAGTTAAAGGGTTTTGTCATATTGCCCAGGCTGGAGCAAGTTTCTTGTGGAAAAGAGACAGAGATATACCGCTTGCTGGCTCTGAATGAAAGAAAAATTTGGTGAAATGGACGTATCATTGCCAACTATCTGTTTAGCTAACTGAGGATATGAAAAACAAACACACACCTTAAATTTAGAACACCTTAAGTATCCAAGTGGCAGGCACCGTACTGGGGTTCAGCATAAAATACCATCTGATGCCTGCCCCTAAGCAGATCACCTCCATCAGGGGAGCCAACAGGTGGATTTAAAATCCTAACAGCCTGTGATGACAGCCACCAATAGAGACAGGACTTTGGTGGTCTGGAACTTGGTGAGAGAACGATATGACTTGGGCCTTGAAGGACTGACAGAGACTTTTCAGGAGGAGAGAGGTAGGGAGTGCATAGAGCATCCCAGGAAGGGGAAAAAATGTGAAGAGGCCCCGAGCCACAAAAGGCTGAAGAGTTTGGTGACTGGAGTCATTGAGGATGCCCGCAGTTCAGGTGGGTCTGAGAAATGACAGAATCAGAGGTGATTTGGAAAGAGAAGTCTCATGGTCCTGCAGAGGAATGTGTGGTCAGTGGAGACCAGCACCTGTGGTCATCATCTGGGCAAGAGGAAATGGGACTTGACCAGGATGGCGGCCAGAGGAGTGGAGGACAAAGGATGATCAAAGGTGAGTTTAAAGTACAACTGGCCAGACTGGGTGTTGGGTTCCATGGAGGAGCTGACAGAGCAGGAGGGACTCTGGATGATTTGAGGCTTCTTAGAAGGGTTGGTTTGGGATGGACAGGTTGACTTCTTCACAGCACGTTGTAAACATGAAAGACGAATGTTAAACACAGTGTGTTTATGTTATTATTAAGTTACAAGTCGTTAGACAGAGAAGAAAACTTCTGCCTTTGCAGCGTAAAAAAGTTAACTCAGGTGTAAAATATATATCCCTCCTTCAGAATTTTCTTAGTTGCCAATTGACATTTTTACTCCCAAGGGGATTAGTTACTGCCAGTAAAGGTGGAAAAATATAGAGTTGTTTCCCTCCTACTGGGTCTGATGGGTTAGATGAAATTTTTAGCCTAAGAGAAATAGTCTAGGCTGGGCATGGTGGCTCATGCCTGTAATCCCAGAAATCTGGGAGGCTGAAGTGGGAGGATCACTTGAGGCCAGAAGTTCAAGACCAGCTTAGGCAACACTGTAAAATCCCATTGCTCCAAAAAAAAAAAAAAAAAAAAAAAAAGCCAGATGTGGTGGCACACACCTGTATTTCCAGCTACTTGGGGGTCTGAGGTGGGAAAACTGTCTGTGTCTGGGAGGGCAAGGCTGTAGTGAGCTACAATCAGGCACTGAGCACTCCAGCCAGGTGACAGAGGAAGACCCTGTTTCAAAAACAAACACACAAACAAACAAAAAAAAAAAAAAAAAAAAAAAAAAAGAAAAGAAAAGAAAGAAAAAGAAAGGAAAAAAACAAGAAATGGCCTAGCAGAAAGGATTAAGCATCAAAAAGGCATGCTTTTTGTATAATACAACAAGATCCCTGTGAATCAGCATGCATGAACACATTCCCTCTTAGCTCAGAGCAGAATTTGCTGCCATGGTCCACATTCAGGCAGAAGGCTGGAGGTGATGAACTCCTGCAGGTCTATGCAGCATGTTCAGTGAATAAGAGTTTTGCAGGGAAGTCTAGCCTGATAATCAACAGAAGGCTTCATGCATCTCTCTGCACACCCTTGTTTGGCCATGATAGTGGCAGGAGGGTTATTAAGATAAAGTAAGAGCATCCTCTACCATTCAGGTTCTCCAATCTTTTGCTCTTAGAGCAATTTTGAGAAAGGAGTGATAAAAGTAAGGTGGTGGGGAGAAAAAGCCGGGAGCAGGGCAGGTATGGGAGACAAATGTTTGTTTATAAGCCAAGAACATCAAGCATCGTGCAGAAGAAATGTCCCAGATTCTTTTTATCACAGAGCTGGTGCCAGGCAGCAAGGATTAGTTCATTAAGAAATAATCCACCCATTGGAGGGATGGCTAAGTCTGCAGATAGTGGACAGGCTCTTATCCAATGTCTCATCAGCTAACAGGTGAGAAGAGGGGAGACTGGCAGGAGAAGAAGACAAAGGCTGGATTCATCTTTGCAACCAACATGCTTATGTCTAGAAAAGACCAACAACTACTAAAAAGTTTGGGGAAGGATATACCAGCTGCCAGTGAGATGCCCATTAATCAACACAGCTGGATTTTTGGACACGATCATGCTTGAAGGTAAGAGCCAAATTTTTTATCTGTGTCCCAGCACCTAACAGGATTGTCACATAGCAGTTGCTGAAAAACAAGTGTGAATTGACTATGACAATAAAGGAGAGAATCTATTTAAAAAGTTTCCAGGCTGGGTGAGGTGGCTCACGCCTGTAATCAAAGCACTTTGGGAGGTGGAGGTGGGTGGATCACGAGGTCAGGAGTTCGAGACCAGCCTGACCAACATGGTGAAACCCCGTCTCTACTAAAAATACAAAATTAGCTGGGCATGCTGGTGCACACCTGTAATCCCAGCTACTCAGGAGGCTGAGGCAGGAGAATCGCTTGAAACTGGGAGGCAGAGGTTGCAGTGAGCCGAGATCACACCACTGCATTCCAGCCTGGGTGACAGACTGAGACTCTATCTCAAAAATAAATAAATAAGTAAATAAAACAACCCTTTCCAAACTGTTTTTTTAACTTCTTTATTCTTTCGTGTTTTTGGATAGTCTTTTTAGTCTACTGAAGTTCTGGATGCTTAAATATATATGCCATGTTGGGTAAAGGGCCAACTATTTAAAAGTAAGTAGGTGCCAGAAGTTACCAAACTCCTGATAATATTTTTAAAGGAAGCTAACTATACAAATTCATTTGACTATACTTAAAGGCTAAGTACATGCTAGATAGGTCAGTCCCCTAAATAGGCATGTAAATAAAGTGAAGAAATACTACTAGGCATTATACCAAAACTTCCGGGTTGTAAACAGCAGACAATATCTGCACACTACAGATCCATGTATTAGTTTGTTCTCACGCTGCTATAAAGAACTACCTGAGACTGGGTAATTTATGTAGAAAAGAGGTTTGAAGAGGAACTGTGAAGTTCCTCAGGCTGTACAGGAAGCATGGCTGGGAGGTCTCAGGAAACTTACAATCATGGCAGAAGGGCAAAGGGGAAGCAAGCACATCTTTACATGGCAGCAGGAGAGAGAGAGAGAGCAAAGGGGGAAGTGCCACACACTTTTAAACCATCAGATCTCATGAGAATGCACTTACTATCATGGGAACAGCAGGAAGGAAATCTGTCCCCATGATTCAATCACCTCCCACCAGGTCCCTCCTCCAACATTGGGAATTACAATTCGACATGAGATTTGGGTGGAGACACAGAGCCAAACCATATCAATCCATAGCCTCAATGTCACCCTCTGAGTGAGAATCTTGGGTGGATTATTAAGAGAATAGTTTGCAAGCTCTTGGCAAGGAAGCCATCTTGGGCTAAGACAGAGTAAAGGAATGAATGAATTGTGGTTTCTTTTCATGTACGGGGTATGTTCCTCAAGACTTCATATAATAACTACATAAGTCAAGGCTAATTCCCCCATAGGAATAAAGTAGAATTCACATTATTTCAATGTTTATGCAATTAGTGAAATTTTATTCCTTTTCATTGCTTTATTTCAAATTGGCAGACCTTACCTTAGCATAGAGTGCAACTTCATTTCCTTTCTTATAAAGGAAGACTACAGACTTATACATGGAGAATGAGGAGGTACTTGACAAACTTTTGACTGGATGGAGACATGTACATTGCATCTTCAGAAAGCCTGGTGCCTGCATAACTAGTTGAATGATGAATGACTGACAATGAAAGGTGCTGACTGAGAAGAAAGTTGACCTACAAGGAGGGCTCTAGACCCATGCCACATGGCTCCAGCTTTGTCCTTATACAAAAGACATTTTCAAATTTGTGATTAAATGATACCTGGAAGGAAAGCAAATGTTTTTGATGACAAAATCTGAATCCTCATACCCCCAGCCCACTGCCAATCTGAACTGGCTTAAGACAGTGGACCAAATCCAAGGAGATTTGACAGAGATAATGTAGTCCCTCGCCGTGACTCAAAATGGGTATCTGGAGAAGAACATCAATAGACAGGACTTACTTGTTTTAGCTAATAGCAACTTCAATGTGAATCAGTGGTTTGGTTATATTAATGGAAATAGAGGATCTAGAATGAGGTGGGGAGAGTTTCTCATCATTGAACTGTACCTGGAATTCTGTTGTCAGTTCTCAGTTCTGATCACAAATGGGAACATGTTCAGAAGAAAGCAAATAGGAGGCAGAAGTTGGAATGTTTATTCTGAAAAAGACTTAGAAATTATTGTTGTTTTCAACAATATTATTGTTGCCATGTGCAAGATGATTTAAGTTTACATGTTTGTGGCCTTTTAGGATAGTCTAAGCACCTTCAGGTAAGTCTTAGGGAGCAGGATTTTGTCTTAATATAGGAACAATTAGAAGTGTCTGAATACGGTAAAAACCTCTGGAGGCAGGTGATGTTTGGGCATCTTGACACCATTTAATGGTGAACTGGGGACATTGTAGCAAGGAGTCTATAAATATGAATTCTCTCTTTTAAACTCTTAGAGAGTCACTTACAGATGATTCCACCAAGATAAATAATAAACAGTCAGCAAACATATGAAAAGTAATGTAACTTTGCTAGAAATTAAATTTAAATTAAAATGGCAACAAAGTACTATTTTTGTCTGTTAGCAAAAATTAAAGAGTAAAATCATATCCAATACTGGTGAGAGTGTCATGAAACTGGGGTTTGCATTCATTGCTGTTGGCATTGGTGCCTCTTAGAAAGTCTGCGTATAAATAGCTACCTCATTGATAACACTTTTGTTTCAATAGTCCAATAGGCAATCTAACTGAAAGACAAGTGGAAAGAATGTAAATTGCCACATACCTGAAGATGTTCATTGCAGTATTACTTATAATGGAGAAATTGAAAGCAATATAAACATTGAAGAGTAAGGTAACAGTTGAAGATGGCAGGACACCCATTCAACAGGATGTTATGTATTACTTCAAAAGATAATCATTTTTCACTATAGCTATATGGAAAATGCATAGGATATGGTAAGTGTGTACGTGTGGTGAATTGCCAGCTATGAAATCCTACAGATCTGATGATTATAATTACATACCAAATAAATGGATACAATAGAAAAGACAGAAAATTTCTTCTCTTTAAGTCCAGCTCCACGACTAGCTAGGCGTGTTATCCTGGGCAAAAATTTTCCTGTGTCTCAGCTGCCTGGTCCATAAAATGGGGAGTTTGGACCAATGGTCTCTAATATTCCTTCCTGTTTTATAATGTGAATAGACTGGACTCATTTAATGAAGAAACCGTATCCTGGGGGGAGCTAGAAATCAGCCACTATCTTGGTTTCAGACTTTCCCCACCAGACATAATATGTACTTCGTCCATATTATATCTTTTTAGAAGTCAGTTTGAAATGTGTACCAGGTGAGAAAAAGTAGAATTCCTGACTCTCTCAAGTAAGCTGCCGTATTTGAAGGAGATTTAGCCATAGATACTCCAAATTACTTTATTATGGAGTAACATAAAACGATTCTCACAAAAGTTACTGAGTCCAAAAATGCCCAAGAATGATTTCAAATTACGGTATGACTGCTATGAGCATTATTTAGACACACTGCTCTAGAAAGGTCTGTTCACACAAAACAAAGGAGCAATTTTTTAAAAGACTTGAGTACAAGGGAATAAACATATTATTTAATATTATTAAATGCTTATTCCCTTGTACTTGAGTCTTTTAAAAAATTGTCCACACCCAGCCCACAAACCCTGGTTTTGTATTCCTATCAATGAAAAAAAAAAGGTCAAAATACACTTCTGCTGGCATATGTAGGGCCATTTGGTTTGGTGATCTGGAATTAGGGTAACCAGAACATGAGCTTTTAGCTCATAAAAACCTCCTAGTCATATCAGACTCCCGAAAATGCCCTCATCTGTTCATAACTTTCTAGAAGGATGGTGACTTCTTGGTTCATACTTTCATCAGGCAGTGCAGTCAAAAGGTAAGGAGAAAACTGTTTAGGGTCTGCAGTGCCCCTCACTGGCACCCATCCAGACTCAGCTTCAAACCCAGAAGAGCCTTCATGGTCCCTGACACCATGGGGAGAAGTTCCCTTCTCTAAGAACCCATAGGAATTTGAAGACAGTGTTACCTGATCAGAATTTTGCAGGTGTGATCATTTAGACAGGGCTCCCTCAGGCATGCTGATCATCCACGTGGGGTCTCTCCTCCAGTCTCGAGAGTCACTTATTGAAAATGGTTGTTGTAGGTGCTGTTTTAAGGTGGCCCCACCTTATATTTGGCCTCAAGCACTACCCAATTTAGATGATTACTTGATTCATCAGATTCAGCTCCCAATGACTTTAGCTCTTCCTCCCAATCAAGTCTCCTCAAATATTGATTTGTACCCTGGAGGACACATCACAGCTTTGAAAGTGATTCAACAGTGGGATCAGATATGGCAGCAATAAGGGCCAAACCCACAGGATCCAGAGGTGACCACCTTGAGATGGGTAACGGGGAGGAATTTATCCCCGTAAGCTTACCAGGACAGATGGGCCTATGACCTCAGAATGATACCATAACTGCAGGAGGACAGGAGACGCAGCCCAAGCATCTTGGAGAACAAAGACACCAGTGGATGTGGGGGCCCAGCAGAAGGGTAGTGTCCAAGGCCAACTCTACACTACGGTTACTGTTGGTGGCAAGACCTGCAGACAGGACATGCTGAAAACAAAACCATCACAAAAGGAACCAGAGAGATGCACGAGAACATCCTCTTTCTACTCCTCCAGCACGGTGAGTGGTGCCCTGTGATCCCTTCCTTGTTCCCACTCCCCTCTCTCCCATCAGCTCCTTGTTGGCTCCTGGGGGATGTGTGTGCGAGGGTCTGGGGTGGGCACTTGAGTGATGACGTAATAAACCCTGGCAGATGAAGGTCTTAGGGCTAGGAATGTCATTACAAGAAACCCTCAGGATCTGGGATAGGCTGGCAGGCTCCAGTACTAAAGTACAATTGCAGTTTATTGTTTGACAACTTCCAAATGAAAGGGAAGCTCTGTCTAAACCACAAGTCTTAAGGCTCATGATGGGAGGCTGGCCAGCCACCAGCTACACCAAAGCTGGAATTCTCTTGAGATCCCGGGTAAGCCCAGCTTCCGAATGTGCATTTGTGTTTGCAGAGCAGTGTGTGATGCCCACCCAAGCCTACGCACGTGTGAGGATGGGCACAATAAATGCAGCTGAGAACCCCGAAACCAGACTGCAAAAACTGCACACACGCCTGACCGCAGGTAAGGAACAGAAATGACGTTGTGGACCAGCATCTGCACAGGGAGGCGCAGCACACATAACACTACGTGGTGTTTTTCTTCAATTGATGCAACTCAGTAATTTTTATTGCAACTGGAAGACAATACATCACAGAAACTTTATGGTAGGTCTGGGGAAAAGTGTTATTTACAATAAATGATGAAATAGTTTGTCTTTGGCAATATGATTACATACGAAGAATGCAAAATGCAGGTATGGATGCCTTCCAAGCAACACCAAGTCCCTAGAGTTCGGCTGATCGCGCCTGCCTCCACACTGTTTCTTTAGGTTTACATGAACATAACAGAACATCACGTTCTTTCTCCTTTATGGTTCTCCCTTTCTATTCATGATATTGGCAGTTTCATACAGAAAATACAGAAAAAAAATTGGCTTTTGAAAAATTATTACTCTCGTAAATTAATTTGGCCGTGTAGGTCTATTGGCCAGCCAAGGTCAGACGACCCTAAGCATCAATAGTAAACCTCTTGGTCTTCTGATTGCTTTATCACTTTTTTTTTTTTTCTGTAAAACAAAACAAAACTCAGAAATGTTACAGAATCAGAGTATTAAAAAATGTACAAGTGTATATGCTTCCCAGACACACATGGATACATTTTTCCTCCACATTTTCACCATGGCAGTATTAAGTAGTGAGTGTGAATGACACAGCATGAAACTGGTTACTGAATCAGCTATGAGCTCAGATGGCCTCAACATACATACTCAAGAAATGTTGCATGTTTAAATAACTGAGAGTGTGCTAAATCTCATCTAAAAAAAAGGAGGAGAGGGGCTGGGGAACTCAGGCCACAGTCATGAAAGGATGAATACAATTTCTAGGTTTAATAGGTTCACCATATCGAAGTCTTTGAGAATCCAATATGGAATATCAATTATTTTGCAAAAGGTAGAGAAAGCAGTTCTCAACTTTTGCAAATGAAATACAGTGGAAAAACACTGTTGTATATATTCCAAATAAATAGTCTCGATTTCAATGCTAACAAAACAACAGGAAGGGTACTCGTGAGCATCTCACGGTTAAGTCAGAAATGATCGTTCACACACGTCTGATTTCAGAAGTACAACAGCAAGGTGCAGCACCATAGACACATCGGTTTCGGCTGTTAAAAGATGGATCGTTTTAAAAACTGTGTTTTCCTTCCTTAATTTTTGGTCAGTGAAGCTAGCACTTGTTTGCTGAACTGTGGAAGAACTGCAAGGTCACACACATTATTCATGATAAAGCAACCGAGCTGACGAGTCTGTGCTTAATTCAAGAATAACCAGTAGGAGAGAGAGAAAACACAAGGAGTTAACCACCATCGCCGGTGCTCTCTCAAAGGAAGAGGGGTTAACAGATGAATTCACAAAGGTAGGCAGATCTATACAGAACACTGAATGCCATGTGTAAATCCTCATGAAACTCCAGAAACAGGAACACCACACAATGTATATACTTTGATTTACACATTCCGTTACAAAGGAAAAAAAGACACCATTACAGCTTTGTAACTGTGTTAACTGCAATATAAACCAAGTCCAGAGTTTGGCAGGTAACTAAAAGAGGGTTATCACTTAGGTTATATAGCAAAAGTGTTGATGTATATTATATATAGTAGTATAAATAATAAAAAAGTATTATTTAAATTAGATCACAGTGCTGCATTATGTGCATAACAGTGTTTGATATAGTATTGGTGGGCTGGGACCTACGACACTAAGGACTTAACTGTCAACACTGGGAAGTCACAATCAAGAGGAAACACAGAGTTCCAATGTTTTCTTTTGGTGGCAAAAAAAATCCTGAAGATGAAAGAAAAATACTTCTCTACAGAAACATAAAAATCAATTGCAACATCTGGGCAGCTGTGATCCACCAGAAAGAAACGAGTCCCAACCTGGATTAAAGGGAAAGAGAAATCACATGGAATTTAATCCAATCTCATCTAGAAAAGCTTCCCATTTAGGTCACTTGTACGTAACTCCAATTCCTTCTCCAAGAGCCCTTCCAGGAGAGGCCCAAGGCGCCCCCCACAGAGTGGAATGAGTGGAACTTGCGTCAGTAGCCCTTGGCCTGGGCAGTCCTGGCGTGGTGCAGAACTCTGAGCTGGGCACAGAAGGCCTCCACCTGGTTCTCACTCTACAGAGCCCACTGCCTGATGCTGTCCCTCAGGCAGGAGCCTCCTTCAACACAACGGCCCCTCCCAGAAGGCTCTGTGGTAGTAACTGCTGTGGCCAGCAAGCACTAGACACATTGAATGCCTCTGCAAAACAAAAGAAAACTCTGTTCTTGGGAATCGGCCTCTGGCACATTCCTTCTTAAAAACTCCCAAGATTGAGACCTGCCACAATCGTTTTGGCCATGGTTTTCTCCAACCACCAGTGAAATATGGGTTTGGTTCATTTTAGTTTCAGATAGATGGCTTCACCAAAGAACTCTTGAAAGAATACTGATTAGGGAGGGGCAGGGAAGTAGGAGCTTATGGTATATTATAAGGCTGGGAAAAATCTATGATGCAAACCCTTTCCACATAGTACTAGATAAAGACAAAAGACAATTATAATAGGATAAAAATAACTGTTTATATGTATATCATTTAAGAAAAAAAAGAGTGACTGTCTCTTTCTCTTAAATGTATCCGAGGGCCAATAGCAAGTAATCGTAGACGTCGTGGTGTTGATGTGTTCACGGTTGGTTTCCAAAGCATCTTTAAATATTGCTATAGTTCCCCGTTTCCCCCTCCCCCCTGCCCCGTGTGAGTATGTGAGATACTGGAATGACACATGAACCGCCACTTCTCCCAGCAGGAGAAATGAAAGCAAAAACGCCACACCTCTTAATGGTGTTCAGGCGATCTGTCAGACTAATGGATACATATGCTAGTTTGGAAGCTAAAAGAACACCTGACGTTTGGGAAGGAATTCCAAGACTAAAGTGAATGACACTTAAGCAAAATATTCTTTCACAAATAGGCTTGTGCTTAAATTCTCTACTGCTCTTGGAGGAGGGGATAAGAGAGGGTGCCTCCTGCCCCTTGGCTTGTTAAGGACACGGACAACCTCATTCTCCAATAAATTCACTACAAACAGCCACATACACATTGATACTTTTTGTTTTTGTTCTCAACAATCAAAATACAAAGTTAAACACAATTGAGCCATTGTTTTGGTTATGCATAATGTGTATGCCTCCAAAAACAGAAGAAAAATAGGAAGAAGTACCCTCACTAAAGGTTCCCCGACAAGTCTTCCGGCAGATCCAACGAAGGGAGACTCAGGAAAATCACACTTAGAAAGCTGCCCGATGAGGTATTTATGCAAAAAGAGTGGTTCTGGAGTTAAGAACACACTTTTATATTTCTCTATTTCTCAAAGAGATCAGAAAAGTAAATCACACACATTGCATTTTATTATTTTCTAAAAGAGGCCTCTGCCCCTTTAGAAAAATGAAATGAGGGGAGACAGCCCACGGTGGGGGTTTTAATTGGAAGAAGTCCTCGGCCAGAAACAGTCCTGAATGTTGAACCTCTGCCTTTCAGGAGAGAGGTCTGAATTTTATCATCTGTGGGGTGGGATGAAGGTGGGGGACTGAGCTGGAGGTCTTTAGGCTTGGTCAGGTGACAACACAAATCAAGGTGTCGCTCAGGTTCCATAGCTGTGGATGGCTTTTAGGGTGTCAGATGTCTGGGGAGACGGAGGGAACAGAGCACTGCGAAGATACTTTATTCCCACCTACACCCTGAATAAATATGCTGGAAGTATTCAGCTTCAGGTCATGAATTCGACCTGCTGTAGAGGTGTAGGTTTTTTCAGGTTCTCTCATCAGCAACCCACCGGAAGGTAAGTGTGGGGAATGCACCAGTTAGTTCCCACTGTCCGGGCTGATGGAGCTCTGACATTACCTCGTCCTGGCAGATGGGCTTGGCTTTGGCCCACAGCAGTCCCTTTTTTAAAAGTTAAGGTCATCTCTGTTCCCTCCCTCTCCTCACGCATCATATCCTGAGCCACAGTACTGGGTGTTTTTGTTTTAAAGTTTCCCTCCACTTGGATGGAAGATCATATTCTTTTAGAGATTTCTCTTTGTACCCCCGCCCCCCGCCCCCGCCATTAAAGAAAATTTCTTAGGCAAAGGTAACAACAGGAGTTTCTGGGCTGCATGACGTTGTCTGGTTTCTAAATTCAGCTCTCGCAATCTAGGTGGTCTTAATTCCAGGTTGGTCAGTGTGCTGAAGGTAGCGATGGCCGGCCCCTGCTTCCTATTGCGACATGGCATTGTGGCGATAGGATGTCTGGGGCTGGCCTTTCCTACCTCGGCATCGCTTCCTCCTTCACATGAACCCCATCTCGTCCCCTCACCCAATAAGGCCCATTAGCACGGTTCCCCTTCTTCTGGCTAATTTGCATAATTATTCACTGCCTTTTTCCTAGAACCAAATCATGGTAATGATTTTCTCAAGTAAGCGTCCCATAATTCTCTTGATTCTATCATACACACTCACTACTAAGTTTGCCCTCAAATTATTGCGTCATGTTAAACATGTACAGACAGAGAGAAAGGACACACTTTTCAACAGAGAATCAGAGGGGGTCGGGGCTGAAGTGCACACAAGGCAGTACAGAGTTCAACCATCCAAGCCCTACCAGAGCATGAAGATATTTTTATATTGCAGAGTAAGTTCCCCAACAGTCAGAATTTGTCCCTGAAGAAGGTTAAACCTTAAACACCTGCTTCAAAAAACCAAAACAAAATAACCCGAAAAAAAAACAAAAACAAAAAACAAAAACAAAAACAAAAAGGAAAAAAAGAAAGCAAAGAAAAGGAAAGAAAAAAGAAGAAAACCAAAAGAAACTCTAAGCCTAAGGGCTTAAAAATTACAGGCATAGCCTTTTCTCTATTTTCTATATTTATATGAAAATAATTCATGCTTCATGCTAAATACATTATTTACCTTACAAGAACTTTGTTACTTTTGAATAAAAAAAGTTTGTTTTTGTGATTTTTTTCTCTTTTTCTTTTTTTTCTTCAAAGGAATCCATGCATTGTGGATCAGAAATTTCTGCTGGCTATACTGGCTGAATGTGGAAATCACTGATTTTTGCAAAGATAAATCCTGATATTAATTGCAAACTCCATTTTGAGGGCAGTATAGGAGTTATTTTATTTTTTGCCATGTTTTACTTTTTTTTTTTGTCCATCAGTGTACCTTTAATCTTAAAAATACACCACAATACTAATGGCAGGTTCCGTAGCTTTCTAGTTTTTTTTTTTTTTTCACTTGGATCAAATAGTTTTGATAGACAGAAAAAGATCTGTACCATTATTTCCTTTCCTTAACAGCTATTGTAATTTCCTGGACTTGGTTGCTTTTCACTTGGGCAGTTAAGAAGACACAGCTTGTTTTCCCCATCAGTTTTCTCTCTCTCTCCTTCGTGTGTGTGTGTGTGTGTGTGTGTGTGTGTGTGTGTGTGTGCGTGCGTGCACAGGGCCAATCTTCAGGCTTATGGCTTTTGGAACATTTTCTTAATTTAATAGAGAACAGAATTCAATGATTAGCAACATCACTAAAAATTTACCCCATTTCTTCTCCATGAGTCACTGACACCCGATGCGCATGAACAGTCCAACGTCCACCTCGTAAGATGTCATCGGGCTTCAGGGTTCAGAAGCATCGAGGACTGGTGGCCGGCCCTCTGTGCTCGCCGTGTGACAATTCCAGTGGCTTTCCTGGCACCATCAGATGCCTGGTGCCACAAGCTTGGGTCTGCTCCTAGGGGGACGAGGGGTTCCTCCTCCTCCTCAATTGCTTTATGTGCCTTCACTCAGTGAACCCAATGGGATGGACAACCTGACTTTTTAAACCTAAGGGTTGGGCCTGAACGATGATTACTTTGCCCACGTGCCTTCTAGGTGCCGAATGTGTGTTCCTGTGATATTGACGTTGACATCCCTGCGGATTCAGCCACAGGTTTCTGACAAGCTGGAGGAAGCAATGGTAATTTTGGCTTTTTCGGTTTTGTCTTCAGATAATGAAAAGCTTTTGTAAAACAGCTGAGTGTCAATATGAGTTCTATGGCTTCAATCTCCTTTAAAAATAAAATTCTTAAGGGTCCAAAACAAAGAAGAGGGGGCAAATTAAAACAAAATAAAAGGAAAAGAAAAGAAAGAAAACCAAACCAAAAACAAGAAAAAAGAAAAAAAATTGCTGATATTGCCACAAATCATTAGAAATCTCCTGACATGCTGAAACCAAATGGTCGTAAGTTCAAAACAAATCAGTGACTTGTTTTTAATTTTTTGTGGTTTCCTTTTGCTCTTTCTGCCCCTTTGCCGTCCGATTGGTGATGTTATTCAAACAGGACCGGATCCCTGCTAAGTGCAGGAGGGACCCTGCCGCTTCTTTCATCTCCTCATCATCGCTCTCGGGGGGCTTTTCGGTGCGTCTCTTTTTGAGGGGCAGTGTGTCGCTGGGGACCTTCCTGGCCTTGGCGAAGTGCTGGCGCTTCTTGTGCTGGGATGCGTACCCGCTGTCCCCCAGAGAATCCTTGGGCTCCTTCTGGCTGTGCTTCCTGTCGTCCTCTTCCGTGTCGCTGGGGCTCTCGTGGCTCCGGAAGCTCCCCTCGCTGCCCTCGCTGCCCTCCTGGCTCCCCTTGGTGGCAAACTCATAGTGGTCGTCGGCTGAGGAGGAGGAGGAGGAGATGGAGTCGCTGGTGGGCGAGGTGCTCCGGGCGTTGGAGGACTTGGCACTGCTGTAGTTGTGATCCTCCTTGGGGTCTCCGCTGACCACTGGGGAGCCACAAGATGGCTCACTCTCAGTCCGCATCCGGCAGCTGGTGATGCCATTCCTGCAGAGCGAGGACAGTGGGGAGGGACGGGAGACAAAGAAGGGACACAGTTAGACGTCCTCAGATGGGGGCACCCGGCAGCCCGCCTGCATTCAACCATCAGTCCCTTTGTGTTCAATGGAGCCACTCGCAAACTGTGGGGGCAACAGGTGGATCTGCTTTGAAGGCAGGGTCCTAAATCCTGACACCTCAGTCTCCCCTGCTTATCTCCTATAATGGCAGTTTCACTCCATTTGTGTGGCTGAGACGTCAAAACAACAATCTTCTGAAGCGACAGTGGTGGAGGCTCCATCTCTTACATTAAACCATAAAAATCAAGCTGTGCTTGGTTCGTGTCCCCGCCAACACCACAGAGTCAGACACCGCCAGACGATGTTGGCTGGGTACTTCAGAGAAAAAAGCCTGCTCTCGTCTGAAGCGGCTACATTAGGAGGCTTTTGTCAGAAGACTAAACCAGTGTTCAGCAAAGATACCTGCCATGTGGTGACAGCTACTCACTCATGCATTCCCTCCCTCGTTCATGCAATCTACAAATACTCACTGAGCGCCTAACAGAAATGCATGACCTTAGGGAGGGTTCTGGGGGAGGGACACGGGGTTGGATCGGATATAGACACTGCCACAGCGATGTTGCAGCCTAACAGAGAGGCAAGCCAGGGTCGCATCACAGACCAGAGGGCAATAAACTACGACTTCCCGAACTCAACACCTGCCAGGCGCTCTGCTAAGTCTGTGCAGAGGACCATGTTTAACTCCGTAAGGTGGATATTAGCATCCTTATTTTACAGTGGCTCGAAGTGAAGCCTGGAGAAGTTCAGTGATGTACTTAAAGTCACACAACTGATCACTTGCGGAGCAGGGACTGGAATCAAAGTCTGACTCTCAGACTTGAGGTCTTAGCTACATCACCAGACCGACCCTCCTTTGTGATTTCCCTATAACAAGGTCCCTGCTACCCATGCCTATAAGGCGTCTGTAGCACTCATCACACCTCTGATTATTTCTTTGTGTCTTTACATCTGAGCGATGTACTTTCCTTGTGCTTCCTTATCGCGAAAGTGGGAATAGTAACTACACCTGCTCCCCGTGGGTGTGGGGCTGAGGACACGAATTAATGCCTGCAGGTGCCTGGACCACGGCTTGGCCTGACAGCAATGGCTGTGAAGCTTATTCCTGGTTAGGACCCATGCTCCTTATGTCTGGGAGGCAGCTGCCTGTCTGTTAGTGCCTGGCGCCCAGCCTTCAGAAGGATGAATACTTGCAGGAGAGGAGGGTCACTTGTAGCTGAAGGGGACGAAGGGTGGACGCCAGGGAATGTTTTGTGGAAGACAAGGCATCTGACCTTGGACACAAGGGCTGAAGAATTTGGCAGGGATGGGAACTGTTCTATGGCACCATGCTGGCCCGGTTTCCTGTAAGCTCATCTACCTCGTGATCCATTTCTAAGAGTTCTGGGGAACATGACCATACTTTTCCTGCCTAGATGACCCCAACTGTAAGTACTCTTACATCCCCTCCATAGAGGGCACTCCCCACCATCATTATGAACTGTGTGGTCATGTGTCCCATTAGAGAGCTAGCTCCATGAGACAGGGTGTGGTTACTGCTAGGCCCCCAGTGGCTATCGCCGTGTCAGCACGGTGGACACAGCAGATAAACTGAGGAAGTGCGGCACAGGTGGAATCACGTGGCTGAGAGCATGAAGCTTGGGAAATGACTGTGGGTCTCCACCACCATGACTCACCGGGCACACGCTGAGGATACGGCACTGGTAGAAGGGCTGTGGGGTCAGGACCACCAGTGAGATAACAGTAGTGACAATCTCTACCCTGGCTTTTCTCCTGTCACCCTCATGGGCCTTGAGGCTCAGGGAGACTTCAGCTGCATCCCACATAGAAAGTGAAAGGGGAAGGGAAAGAGTCCCTAATGAAAAGGGTGCAGTAGGGAGTGAGGCGAAGGAGCTGCTCTCCTGGGGCCCCAGGGCCGGTGGTATTTTGCTAAATTTAGGCTGGGGGAGAGACTCCGTACTGTCGTGTCCACCAGCAAAATGTATGAGGGTCATTATCAAAACTCAGCCTTTGCTAGATGTCCGAGAGCCTCCTGATGAACCCCAACACTTACAATGTGTGCATTTGTACACGGAAGTCCCAGTGAGACCCAGAAGGGTCCCAGCTTGTGTCCTGTGCTCCGTGATCCCAGATACACACCACCTCCCCTAAATCCTTACAGACAGAGCCTGGCTTGCAAGCCACACACGCCTGTGCTCATATCCCAGTGTTGCTTACTGGTGACTTTGAGCAGGCTGTTTTACTTCTTGAAGACTCAGCTTCCTCATCTACCTTGTGGGGCTGCGTGAGGATTAAATGAACTGTCCTGAGCACAGAGCAAGGCTGTTTGTGGTGCCTGATCATGTTTTTTACTTGTGGTCCGATTCCTGCGACTTCCTGCTGCTGTGACTTGTTCACTCTGAGCAGTCTTGTTTTCTCTTTCTATTCTGGATCGGGAGGCGTATGGGAACCCAGCACCAAGTCAGAGGAAACAGGCCCTTCAAGAGGAGTTCCTCCAGGGCTTGCCTGTGAACACAGCCCCTGAGCTTTGGGGTTTGGCCTCCTCCGTATCTGTTTTCTGCAGACTTCCTATTTCTTGGCTGTGTCTTGGGTGCATAAAGATGGCTGGGATAAGATTACTTTGAGGTGTCACCAAATGTGAAACTTGGTAAATGTAATTAATCATACAGCTAGCTATTAATAGTTATTAGAGCAAACGAAAATGAAAGTCTCGTTGTATGGTCCTTTTAATTTTTGCCATTTGAGGGAACTACTGTAAAATACAAAAATAATTCACCCACTGAACTAACATCAAACAGTTTCATAGTAAATCTAAGTATACTTGAAAGAGTAAAGTGGGCTATATTTAGCTTTTAATAAATGGATTCAGTTCTGAATGTTTCTTTTAAAAAATAACTTGGGGCTTACAACTCACGTCACTACCACAGTTAAGCAGAACATGATCCCTCTCTGAACACAGATGGGGAGAATCACGAGTGGGAGAGTGAGAAATAAAGCAAGTGCTCCACAGTGCTGATTCCTGGTGAATCTAGGTGAAGGGTCTGTGCTATTCATTGTGCTTTTCTTTCCCTTTTTTCCTAAGTTTGAACATTTTTTAAATCAAAGTTTTAGGGAGGGGGAGAAATACTCTAGAACCAAAGCAATGATGTTAAACGTGAGCTCCACACTATCATAAGAGGAATGGTTTCGAGCCTGAGAATGTCTCTTTCTTTCTTAAACAGGGAGATTAGCAGCATTAAAGAGGGGGATCCAAATGGAAACTTTCTTCTTAAAGAGATCCCATGGATTAAAGGGAGAATAGAAAAGAGAATGATTCCACAGCCCCTGATTTGATGCTGTGTGGGGCAGAGTTTCCGGTACCACCTAGAATCAGACTGCATGCCAACAGAGTCCATGACCCAAGTCCCTATTGGAACACTGGCCTACTTAACCCATTTCACAGAAAAACAGAAGCTCAGAGAGCCCCATGGTTGTTGAGTGGGGTGGCCCGGACAGTCTCAAAGATGGTTCAAGCAGGAATTCAAAATATCTCCCTGTCACTCCTGAAGAAGGAAGTTTACTGTGATGAAGACAGAAAACCAATACATCCACTGATAATATTTCTGGATGAAAACAGGTACACAGACATAACTTCAGGGAGTGAGAATTAAAATATAAATGTCTCTCTTTCTCATTTGATGAAATTAACCTTCCCTGAGATTTTAGCTTGGGATTATGTAATCCATAAGTTACACACAAAACTCAGCAGGAAGTGAAAAGCTCCTTCAATTATTAATAACTTGGTGCAATGTTATTCACGATGGTGCAAGCCAGCTGCACTGACTTGGTGTCAAATGTTTCCCGCCGCAGGGATTGCCATTACAGGACAACAAATGCTTAAAAGAAACCAGCCATTCTGAACATGTTGGAAGGTGAATTTCTAACCACTTTCTTAAAAATCATTCATTAAAGTGAACATGTGATACATCCGAAATGCCTGCAATTTTTCAGTTTTAGCTGAATTTATGTGTAACGATATTGCAATTAGCATAAATCAGAGCCACCTGATTTTACTGGGCCTCTAAAAGTTTAAAGCATGTGGCTCAACAAAACCACGTGCTATTCATCTCAGATAAAACCTGGTACTCATTCTCTTGTCAAATAGTTGGAAAATATCAAACATAAAAAGAGAAATCACATTAGTTCAAACCCAGAATGAGCAGGCTTTCAGCTAACAAGTCAAGGTGTAGGTTTACGACATGGCCATCTGCCATTTTTTGTTTGTTTGTTCATTTGTTTAACCAATTAATTAGGGGTTCCACTACAGTATAATGAGCATGTGTCATCTCTGCCTCTTACCTGGTGCACTAGGAGTCTCTCTGGAACTAATGGCTCTAATTCTAAAGGATATCATGTAGGGTAGTTGTCCTCCCCAGGGATTTAGTTGAGGACTCTGATCTTTTGCCAAATGTGAAAAGTAGATGGGATTAATGGGATTGTAGAAGCAGGGGACTGGAGCAAGTTCAAAGCTTCTTTTGAAAATCAACTGCAAGTAGACATGGAAGAGAAGAGATGACCAAAGACTTCCACCTCCAGCCAAGTGGTAGAAAGACATTTGGAAGGTTCTCTTCTGACTATAATATAAAAGATCCTAGATCAAGTACAGTAACTTGTTTTAAAGGCATTGCTGAGTTCACTAGAAAATAAGGGATATTCAGAGACCCATAGAGACATACACACAAATAAAACATTTTAAAGTAACCTGCAGTGTGAGCAATCAGGCAACTAGGCAACGAAGAAAGCCAAAGTTTCTCTATAGCGAACGTCTGCCCTCGCAGTAGAACAAGAACCCAAACTCACTCAGTGGGAGGCAGGAAGGGAGCAGCAGGAAGGTTGATGCTGGCTGCTTCCTGCTTACTGTGTACCCTCTAAGGGCGTTCAAGTGGCTCCAGGTATACTGGTCCCCCAGGCTCCCCACCGAAGTTTTAAAAGCAAATCCTCTCTGAAAGAACATACTTTAAACCCAAGCCACAAGGAATTTCCACAGATAAGATTTCAAGAACATGGGTTCATAATAAAAAAACAAAAATTAAAAACATTAAACACAATGGGAATAAGCCACCATAAGCAAAGAGACAAGAGAACAGAGAAATGATAGAATCTGAACGGCAAAGACTATAAATGTTGAAATAATTCGTTACAGAATGTAAAGTTAGTATGTTTAAATAAAGGAGGGAATTGAAAAATACTAGAAAGGAAGATCAGGCTATATTGGAAAGCACTAAACAGAACTTCTAGAGATAAAACATATAATCCTGGAAATTAAAAACATCAATGCAAAGTGTGGTGGCTCACACCTGTAATCTCAGCTACTCAAGAGGCTGAAGAGGAAGCGCTTGAGCCCAGGGGATCAAGACTAGCCTGGGCAACATAGCAAGACCCTGCCTCAAAAATAAATTAATTAATCTACACTGAAGGTCTCCTAAAAAACTCAATGTAGCTGAAGAGAAAAATTAGTGAATTGTTAGATGGACCTGAAGATACTACATAAAATGCAGCAGAAAGACACAGAGATAGAGAATATGGAAGAAAGGTTGGATGAGACGGAACACAGAAAGAAGAACCAACGGAAACCTAACTGGAGTTCCAGTGAAAAGAAAGAATGGAGAAGATTCAATACTTGAATAGAAAATGGCTAGAATTTTCTAGTTTTGATGACGGTACCAATCTTCAGATTCAGAAAGCCAACACGTCCCATGCGGGATAAAAAAAATAAAGTCCATACGGAGACACATCACAGTCAAACTTTAGAGCAGACACAAAAAAGACAAAAAGATTTTTAAAGTAGTAGAAAGAAAACGTATCGCCTAAAGTACTAATTAAGATAAAACAAGTGAAGCAGAAGAAAGTGGAACAATATTCTCAAGAGAGAAAATAACTGTCGATCTAGAATTTTATATTCAGTAACACTAACTTCTAAGGGTAAGGGCAAAATATAACTTTTCAGGCAAAAATTCAGGACTTTAACTACAAATAAACCCTTACTGTAGGAATTTCATAAGAATATATTTTAGGAAAGAGAAAAATGATCCAAAATGGAAGATCTGAGATGTAAGCAGAAATGATCAGTACAGAAAATGTAGGCTGGGTGCTGTAGCTCATATTTGTAATCTCAGCACTTTGGGAGGCTGAGGGAAGTGAATCTCTTGAGCCCAGGAGTTCCAAGACCAGCCCAGCAACATGGTAAAACCCCATCTCTACAAAAATGCAAAAAATTAACTGAACATGGTGGTGCATGCCTGTAGTCCCCACTACTCGGGAGGCTAAGGTGGTAGGATCATTTGAAACCAGGAGGCTGAGGCTGCAGTGAGCTGTGTTCGTGCCACTGCACTCCAGCCTGGGCAACAGGAGTGAGACCCTGTCTCAAAAAAGAAAAGAAAATGTGGCCAAGTATTGATTGTACAATACAATAATAATAATGACTAAGTGGTTACACACACACACACACACACTCACAAAACACACACACACACAAAACACACACAAAGAAACAAAACCAGAACCAAAGTACTGGAGAAATGTAGCATATCAATTGGGAGGTGGACAGAACTGAATTTAAAGCATTCCCAGAGCCCTGTATTGATCAGAAGGTTAAAGATATTGATTAACTTTAAATACTTAAAAATATTCATGCTAAAAGTTCTAGGATCAACACTAAATGAAGAAAAACAGAATGGGTAACTTCCAAACCATTAGAAAGGGGAAAAATGGAATGAGGAGTAGGAGAATCAATTTAAAATAATGCTAGAAACAAAAAAGAATCTGAAAAAATAGGGCAAACACAAACGTAAAACGAGATGATAGAACCAAACCCAAAAATGTCAATAAAAATGCGCTAAAAATCTTCAGCTAAAAGGTACAGATCATTAGCTCAAATTTAAAAAAGAAAAAAGAAGCCATGTGCTGTTTGCAAGAGACAATCCTAAATAACAGGATAAAGAAAAACAGGTTAAAAGTAAGACTGGAACAAGTTGTGCTATGCTGGTATAGCAATATTAAAATGAGATCAGATAGATTTCAAGGCAAAAATCATTACTCCAGATAAACAGTCATTCAACAGTCTAAGGATTCAACCCATCAGGAAGATAAAACCATTCTAAACATTCACAGTTTCATTAAAATACCTTCAAAATATATATGTCTAAAATTGAAAGAGGTACAAGAAGAAACAGTCAAATCTACATTGGAATGGGAGATTTTAATGCATCCCTTTCAGTATGCAATTGATCAAGCTGACACGCACACACACACAAAAGTTTCATATGGAGAAGATTTGACATAAACATAGAACATGTGCTAATAATGGAAAAGACATATTTTCTGATGCACACATGACATCTTTTTTATTTTTATCTACTTATTTATTTTTCATTTATAACTGATAGAGATGGGGTTTCACTGTGTTGACCAGACTGGTCTTGAACTTGTGGCCTCACGCAATCTCCCACCTCAGCCTCCCAAAGTGCTGGGATTATAGTTGTGAGCCACCACGCCTGGCTGAAATATTTTTTAAAAACTGATATATACTAGACCACACAGCAAATGTCAACAAATTTCAAAGAAGCAATAATGTACAGATAAATTCTCTGACCACAATGTATTCAAATTAATAGTCAATGTTGAGAGATAACTGAAAACAAAAATTAAAAACAACCATCTTCTCTTTAGTGTGGAAATTCAAAAAACACATTTTAAAAATACCCATGGGTCAAAGAAAAAATCAAAATGGCAATTAGAAAATACTTATACCTTAACAATAATTAAAATAAATATACCAAAACCTATAGAATGTAATAAGCAGTAGGGTGAGGAAAATTATAACCTTAAACTTCTATAGAAAAAGAAGAAAGGCTTGAAATAAAAGTACACAATCTAGACAAAGAAAAACAGAATAAAT
This sequence comes from Homo sapiens, assembly GCF_000001405.40. Taxonomy (NCBI): domain Eukaryota; kingdom Metazoa; phylum Chordata; class Mammalia; order Primates; family Hominidae; genus Homo; species Homo sapiens. The sequence goes on from NC_000014.9 coordinate 89,170,974, forward strand.
CCAAAAAAGAAAGGAAATTATAAATAGCAGAAATCAATGGAATAGAGAATAAATGCAAAGTAGAGCTAATTTAAAAAGTTGATTCTTTGAAAAAAAATCTATGGCGAAATTAAGCAAAAAAGAAATGATACAAATGAAATAAGGAATAAAAAAGGGACATAGTTACAAAAGATGTTTTGAAAGATGACAAGGTATATTATGAATAACTCTTTGCCAATATATTTGAAAAGAAAAACCCCTAGAGTTGCCAAAAGAAATTCAAAAGGAAATTTAAAAACACAAGTCATCCTATTATCATTACGTAAATTAAATCAATAGTTAAAAATCATCCCACAAGGAAAACATCAGTGCCAGACTATTTTGCAAGCAAGTTCCAACAAACATTAAGCAATAGATATTTCCAGTCTTAGATAAACTCTGAAAGAATGAATACGCCTCAACTCCTTTTCTGAGGCTAATGTAATCTTGACACTAAACTAGATAAAGACAGAACTAGAGAAACCTGGGTTATAAACAAAGACACAAAATTCATAAATAAAACATTAGCTTGGCAACTCCAGTAATATGTAAAAAAAAGTATCATAAGCAAGTATATTCAGAAATGCAAGTTTTGTTCAAAACGACAAATTTATAGTATAATTCACCACAGTAAAAAAAAGAAAGAAAAATTTTATAGTTATCTTAACAATGCAAACTTTTTTTTATGAAACTCAATAACCACTCATGATAAAAATATCACAGCAAAGTATGAATAGAATAATTTTGTTATGATAAAGCATATTTCCTAAGAAACCTTTAACTAATGTCCTATCAACTGTGAATCAGTAACATGGGTCCATTTAAAATATGAAATAACACAAAGATGCCTGTTATCATAACTTCTATTCAGAGGTCCTGGACTGTGCAATAGGACAGGAAAAAGAAAAGATACAATAATTAGGGAAAAAAACCCCACCAGTATTGACAAAAGATATGATTTGTGCACAGAAGAATCTATAAACTGTTAGAGTTACTAATGCAGTTTATTTAGCAAGGTTGCTGGAAAAAAATCAATAATGTGAAATAAATTGCATTTCCATATATTAGCAGCAAGTAGAAAATACATCATATTAATTTGTAAAATTTATAACAGCATGAAAAAGAATCTATTCCATGTAGAATAAATCTAACTGAACAGGCATAAGAACTTTAGGGAAAAAAATCATAAAGCTACAATGAGAGGCACTGTAAGATTTAAGTAAATGGAGAACTATACATGCTCATGGACTGAAAGATGCAAAAAGGAGGTTTTGTTGTTAAGAGTCAGGGTCTCACTATGTACAGGCTGGCCTCAAACTCCCGGGCTTTAAGCAACCCTCCCGCCTCAGCCTCCTGAGTAGCTGGGACTACAGGTGCATGCCACTGCACCTAGCATTCAATATAGGAGTATTAATCCACAACAAATTGATGTAGAGATTCCATACCACTCTAGTCAGGAACCATAATAGGGTGTCTTTTCTTTGTTTTTCTTGTTCGCGCACTCCCTTGCAGTTTATCAAGCTGATTATAAAGTTTATACGCAACTGCAAAGAGCCAAGAATAGCAAAGACACTTTAAAAAGAACAAGGTGAGAGAACATGTGCTCCCAGACTTAAGAACTTACAAAGATATCATAATTCAGACACTGTGGTATTGCCATGGTACAGGAAAATATGAAATAGGACCAAGAGTCCCCAAAATAAACCCACAAATAGAAAGAAACCTGATATATATCAGAGCTAGCATTTCATATCAGTGGGAAAAAGAGGGGCTACTTAATAAGTGATGCTGAGATAACTGTTTATTATTTGAAAAATATTTAAGTGTATCTTTATCTCACACTGTAACTCCAGATGGATTAGAGACTCAAATAATAAGACTTAAATGTGAAAGCAAAAAACTTTCAATCTTTTAGAAAAATACTATAGGAGACTATATGACCATAGAGTAGGGAAATAAATTTTTAAGACACCAGATTTCATAAAAAGATTGATAAATGTGATTAATAAGAATGGAAATTGAAAGAGAGTGAAAAGACCATCCGCAAACTTAGAAAATCTGCAACATATGTAGTCAATACAAGATTGATATGTAGACTATACCAAGAACTCCTATGAAGAGAAGAAAAAAGGGAACCCAGTAGAAAAATGAGCAAAATGCTAAACAGGAAATCCATAAAATAATATATTCAAAGAGCCCCTTAAATATATGAAAAACTGTGCAACATCTTTAGTAAAAAGGGAAATATAAATTAAAGTACAATGAGATACCATTACGTACCTACCAGATTGGTTGAAATGACAAAGCATGACAATTCTAAATGTGTGTGAAGATGTGGAGGACTAGGGACCATCACACTCTGCTGGTGGCAGTGTAATTGGAAACAAGCACTTTACAAAACAATGTGGCATTACCTTGTAAAGCTGAGCATGTACATACCCTATAAATCAACAATTTCACTCCTAGACATCTTAAATGAATCTGAGACATGTATAAGAATTTCCACAGTAGCACTGCTTGTAATATCAAAGAACTATTAATGATCCAAATGTCTTTTTTAAAAAAATGATAGTATAGTCACATAATGGGATATTATATAGCAGTGAAAATGACTCAATTACAGCTAGATGTCACAAAACAAAGAAACCTAATATGAGTTTTTAAAAAAACAAAGTTAAGAAAGACACAGTATTATTCTAGTTATTTAAAAAACTCAGGGCTGGGCACTGTGGCTCACACCTGTAATCCTAGCACTTTGGGAGGCTGAGGTGTGTGGATTGTTTGCGCCCAGGAGTTCGAGATCAGCCTGGGCAACATGGCAAGATGCCATCTTTACAAAAAATAGAAGAATTAGCCAGGAGTGGCGGTGAGTGCCTGTAGTCCCAAACACTTGAGAGGCTGAGAGGTGGTAGGATCACTTGAGCCCGGGAGGATGAGGCTGCAGTGAGCCGTGATTGTGCCACTGCATTCTGGTGTGGGTGACAAAGCGAGACCCTGTCTCAAATAAATAAATAAATAAAAATAAAAAGACAGTAGCCTCCCCAAACTGTAAAGATGAACACTACGAAGAATGATAGGAAATACTAAGGAGCATGCAGAGAATCATTTAATACAAGTTGCATAAAATACTTCTCACCAGGTATCAAATTCTACCTAGGAGAGAGATGCCATTTAGGTCATTAAACTGATTTAACTTGTTAATTTACAGCTCTTCCCTACCTTTTTCACAAAATCCAGTCTAATTCTACCTGTGCCTCGGCTGTAAAATCAAGGTGAGGTTTAAGATCCCTTCCAGCAGCCCTAGAATTCTGCAATCTGGCAGATGCATGGCTAAAAAGGTAAAGGACGTCCAGGGGCCAGGTGGTCAGCTCTAAGAGTTCTAACTCAGTGGTAATATCCAGGGGGACCACAATTTTCTCCCATGAGCTGCAAACTGCTCCCCTAAACCACTGAGATAAACATGATTTCCTTTTTGCAAGAGATCACACAACACAAATAGGAGTGATCCTACAACTCTCCTCCATGAATTGTTTTGCATTTACAACAGTCCAGAATCATTGGGAGTTTGGAGGATTTCTAGGTACAACATGAAAAGGAGCCACCAGGACTTTCAAAGGCATTAACGAACGTCATTGATATGAAATATGAGGAGCAGCTCTAGAATGTTGATCAAATTTCACAGTTTGCTGGTCGTTGTTTAAATTTCTGGACCAGAAGGGCCCAAAACAAAAACTACGCTCGCTGAAATGGGCCCAGGAGGGAATTCAGTGCATGCTTTGTGTAACTGGGATTCTTTCCCCACTTTCCCTTAAACCTAGCTCTTTAGTATTTTCTCTTCTCCTCCCACTACAAAGCAAAATCTAATACTGAGTTTTGTAATTGCCTTCAAAGACCATGATTTCAAAGACAAAGGCCAACAGGTGTTTGGTCTTTACATACAGAACAAAATACAACACTAGAAAAGATCAGCAGCCAATTTACCCTCAAGTTACATAATTGGACAACAACCCTATCTTAATACTAAAGGTTGCCACCTTCCTACACTACTGAAACAAACATCTTCTCAAGGGAGGAGATAAAGACAGCTGATCCGGAGCAGAACTTAGGCTGAGAGATGGGTTTTCCCGATGATTCTATTTTGACATGACCTTAAGAATTAATGTTTGCTACTACAGTCAGACCATTAATGCCTGACTTGCTTCATGTTCCATGGGAAGTGCAGTTTTTCACTTGAGGTTGCTGGAGATCCAAATAAAATTAAGCAGCCTTAGACGGTGATTGGATGAAACTCTCATATAATTTGGCAACAAATAGGGTGATCTAGACTTGTAGTCCAGATTATGGCCAGCACTCTTCAAAGCCAATGGCTTTGCCAACAAATGTACTCTGTGCTGAAAGGTGGCATGAATTTAATTTAAGCCTTCTCCTAAGGTTTTGGGGTACCTGAGGTTCCAGTGCTCAGGAAGGAAACCTGGGAAGGTCTGTGAGAGACAGGCTAGGTGAATCCATGAGGCTTTCCATGTTACTTATTTATCAAACACCTACAGAATGCTGACTATGTGCTGGGCACACAGCTGTGTGTGAATCCAAATAACACATGAGGCAGACACACGTTTCCTCTTGAGAAGCCCATGGGCACTTCCCTGAGGTCACACGGCTGCAGGAGATGGACCGAGGAAATGTGGTTCCTGAGTTCACGTACGTATTTTGTTGGTTCAGTTGCTACAGAACAGGCCTTCCCCACATCAGCTTTTTCCCAATCCTCCAGCGAGCCCTGGACATGTCATTCTTTTCTGCCACCTGATGAGGCATGTAGGGATCAAAAAGAGCCCTAAAGGTTAAAAGCAAGGTGGCTGAGATCCAGGGAGGTTGCTGTGACCCAACCCAGGGTGTGGGACAGCCCACGATGCTGTGAATGTAAGAAACCTGGGACTCCTCCTTCCCAAGAAGGCCAGCAACAGCTCTCCCAGGGCTATCCATCATGGGTTCCATTCAATGCAATCTCTGCAAGGGATTTTCCTGGGAAAGCAGCCGAAGACACAGGCATAAAACTTTAAGATGTGTGAGTAGTTATTTTGAGGATGATGTGTCTTGAGGACTTGACGCCCAGGCAAATTTAAAAATAAGCAGGTTTCCAACGTCTAAGGATGGGCCAATCTTGGAGGTTATTGAGTAAAAAGTCAACACCGTAAAGTCAATTACACTATTGACAGATACTCTTACAAGGAGATTTCACATCATAATTATATGCAAAGGAACCTGGCAAATAGAAGCTGTGTAATGATCAGCTAATAAAAGTAACACTTCATCTATGTCAATAACAGTTTCAGAGTTAAGACAAACAAACATGGCCTTTGCCACTCTGTGGAGGAAAAAAAAATCCCTGAAAGACAAATATTTTCACTTAAGGAGAAGTCGCTTAGATTCACAAGGAAAACCTGTCACACAAAAGAGAGTGGGAAATTGGTCTTTAGTGGGTGCTAATGACTCTCCCGCCCTCCCTGGGCCCCAGCTGAACAGACTGGGGCAGCAACCCCTGTAAACATCTGAGCACACACAGAATACTTGGGCACTGCCACGTGGTCTGGGAGATAACATTCTGTGTTGTTCTAGTCTCCACTGCACTGCTTTCCTTTTTAGCCTTGGCTGAGTTTGGGTTCCACTGACATGTGGCCAAATTAAAAATGTTAAAATTATGATGAATGTGAAAATGCAAAACAAGATGTTTTTCCCCAAGCACTTCTTAATGGGTTTTACACAGACACTGATTAGGCAGATGCCTCCATAGCTATGTTTGTGTTCCTTCTTTCCAAAAGCATCTCAGTGTCTACTACCTGCCCTACAAAAAGAGGGCAAAGATACTACAAGCAAGTACCCCTAATGTTCCAGAGCTTACTACCCCTCTTCCCCTAATTTCCCTTAAAACTGAGGGGGGCAAGTTCAGAATTGGTATTTGGACAATTAACTGCTAATGCACAATGGTTTTCTTTACTGGTTATCTCTCTCTCTCTTTCTTTCTTTTTTTTTTTTTTTTTTTTTGACAGAGTCTTGCCCTGTTGCCCAGGCTGGAGTGCAATGGCACAATTTCGGCTCACTGCAACCTCCACCTCCTGGGTTCAGGCGATTCTCCCATCTCAGCCTCCTGAGTAGCTGGGACTGCAGGCACATACCATCACACCCAGCTAATTTTTGTACTTTTAGTAGAGATGATGTTTCACCATGTTGGCCAGGCTGGTCTTGAACTCCTGACCTCAGGTGATCTGCCTGCCTCGGCCTCCCAAAGTGCTGGGATTACAGGTGTGAGCCATCGTGCCCGGCCTCTTTACTGGTTATCTGTTTATGCAAATCGTAACTTGCCTAGCTTCTGCAAACTATGGTTTCACATTTTACCAAAATGATTTTGTTCAAAACTCCTATGATGCTCAGGAAAGTCACTCCTTAATTAGACTATACATCCTTTTGTAGTGGACAGAGATGAAGCAAGCTGTGCCATTACAAAGCTATTGCCACTCAGTCTCAAACCCACCCTTCTACTCTGTTTCCCAAACTGGGGCTGGGGCTGGGGCTGGGGCTGGGGCTGGACTTTACCACTGGGTTCCATGTGAGGCTCCGCCACCAGGGGGTGCCATAGAGAGACTGAGAAGGTGGTGGAGAAAGATAGAACTGGCTCCTGCCTGTTTCCTGTTCTTGTGCCACCCAGCAATGCCTCTGTACCTCAGCAGCAGCATTCATTCTCGGAGGTGCCAAACCCAGTTTGCAGTTTTTCCAGCACTTGCAGAACTGTGTTCCCTTAGGGGCACCAGCACCATCAGAGGCTGCTTCCTAGTCCCTGCCCCCCACGCAAAGGTGAGTTTCAGCTCCATGGGGTGATCATTCCAACCTCTTCCCTTTGTTCCGTCAACCCTAGAGGTGGTAGCTGCCTCCTGCAATGACTCTCTCCATGATACCCTGAGTCATCTTTTACCCTTTCAGTTACCTAGTTAATAACTTCCTACCTGGTTCACAGCTTTGCTTTCTTTCTAATCATTTTGATTTTTACATGGTCTCACTCTGTCACCCAGGCTGGAGTGCAGTGGAGTAATCTCGGCTCACTGCAGTCTTGACCTCCCAGGCTCAAGGGATCCTCCCACCTCAGCCTCCAGAGTGGCTAGGTCACAGGTGTGTGCCACCATGCCCAGGTCATTTTTTTTTTTTTTTTAAATAGAGATAAGTTTTCGCCATGTTGCCCAGGCTGGTCTCAAATTCCTGAGCTCAAGTGATCCACCCGCCGGAGCCTCTCAGTGTTGGGATTACAGGCGTGAGCCAATGTGCCCGGCCTCGGCGAATTTTTAAACTTTTTGTAGAGCTGGGATCTCCCTATGTTGCTCAGGCTGGTCTTGAACTCCTGGCCTCAAGTGATCCTCCTGCCTCAGCCTCCCAAAGTGCTGAGATTATAGGCATGAGCCACCACACCCAGCCCTGGTTAACATTAAAGTCTCTCTGTTCAATTACTTGGTGTGGTTTCTGTCTCCCTACTGAACCTGTCTGATACACAAGTTTGGCTCAGAGGCTGTCTTGTTTTCTTTTACTCTGGAAGGAGCCCAGCTGAGGCACTCAGTGGACTGCATGAGTGGCAACTTTCAACAGAAACAAGACTGTTTGCTGCAGTGCTTTGTTATTCTCTAACTAGAAAGAAACCATCGGTAGTTGAAATAACACCTCAAGAGGGAACTAATCAGTAAAATTTGTCATCATAAATGCCATGAGAGTAAGAATTAAAATGAGAAGGCGGCTCCTGTTGAAGGTCCACCTGTTGTCCGCCTGGCTTTTCTGTGCCCTTCTATAAGGTATGGCTGGGCCCATAGTGAAAGCTACTCTTGAAGGCACTAAAAAAAATGGTCAAGAGGATAAACTGTAAGTCTATATTTAGAATCTGCTAATAAAAATACATTGTTGCTCCAAGCAAAAATAGTTCACAGTCTCCAAGTCTTCTCAACCAAGAAGGTAAACTATGAGGCAACACAGGAAAGATTTTAAGAAAGAATGAAAAACAGAGTATGTCTTTTTCATAAATGTGAGGTAAGAGCATTGGAATTTTGGCTTCATGGAAAGAGGCTTACCACTTAGGAACTCAAGAATTATTGACCTGAGAGTAGCCAGGAAAGATACCGGGGAGGTACAAGAAAAACCTTTCCATGTATTTTTGGAAAATATCCCCTTGTCAGATTAGTAGAAATGATAAGTGGTTTTATAATTTGTTGCTATTCTAATTGCTAACAACTTCCCATCTTATCAGAACCTATAGACCTTTGCTCTGAAGATTATGCGACTTGTCCTGACAACAGCAGGAGGAGTTAAAAGACAAGCTCGTGGAGAAGCTGCACGCGGCAGGGGAGTTTGACCTTGCTTCTCCCTCAGGCCCAGCTAAACACACTTTCTGGGTTGGTTTCCTTTTGGACATGAAACACTATGAAAGCAAAATGGCCTTCAGGTGCAAACTTGATCCGTAAACGCAGAAGGAGAGGGATGGTACCTTCAAGGGATGCAGCTCAGTGAGACAGGCTTTTTCTAAACAAGCAACCAGGACCTGGCACATGCAATAGTGATGCGGCATCAGACAACTGATTGAGAGCTAGCCCTCATCCTCAGGACACAAAGCACCCAGGACAGAAAGGGACACACAGAGAAACTGCTACCATACAGGGTCACTCATTGAAGGGCTAAAGCATGGGGCTAATCGGTTCACGGCAAAGAGAAGTTTCTCTGATGCTGGTTCCCAGACCACATTAAAAAAAGCATTGGGAAGGGATCATCTTTTGTGTCAGATTTTGAAGGACGTGCTGCCTTACATATGAGGGTGAGGGGAATCTATGCAGACAAAACTGTATGAATAAGATGGGCCAATACTGGGCATATTTGGGGAACACATTTGGCTCGAGGAGAAGGAAGGACTATCAGGGTGATGCAGGGGCAGTCACAGAAGGTGCTTCTGCAGACAGCTAGAGGGGCACGGAGTTAGGAAACTGGTCTGGCAGTGGTGGATGGATGGGCAGGAGTGGGTGTAGAAGCAGCTGGCGGATGGGAGGAGGCTCCGCCAATGGTGCCTATGAGGGCCGCAGGCTGGCGGTGGACCCTGATCCGGGGCTGACAGTGGAGATGGAGAGCATGGAGGAGAGAAATGTCCCAAGGAAGGGTTCATGCGGTTTGGCAGCTGGCCTCATTCTTGGAAGCAGGGGAATGATGCCACCTGCTATTTATAGACCACGTACCAAAGCTCGCCTCACATCTGATTTTGCATTTGATTTTCCCCGCAACCCCTGGTAGGAGGCAGGAGTTTCACAGATGAAGGAACTGAGCCCAGAGTCACAGGACAGGGGAGGGACAGGACTGGGTCTTGCGCTAGGCCCGTTAGCCTAGAATCCAATTAATATCCTGCCTTCTGTTTTCTTCTGCCCACCTCTTACCCTGCCTTCTTAGAATAAAAAACTTAACTTGCCTCCATCTCCTCATCTGTAAAGAGACCAGGATCATCTGGTGGCCCGAGAAAGAGAAGGGGGCATTTGGATTGGGAGTTCTTGGGGTTACTTTCACATTTCTGAGCACGCAAACCAGGTTTATTGCTGTCACTAGTTCGAAGCAGCTCCTCTCTGTCTCCAGAAGGGACCCCGTGGACAGAAAGCTGCCCTTCCCACTCCCCAGGCTGGCTCTGCCCAGCGCACTCCCCACTTACCTCATGGCCGCTGTCACCCCAATGGGAGTGATTGGCAGCGGCCGCACGCCAGGAAACAGCCCTCGGCTCAGGACCCGCGCTCCATTTTGGATCACTCCTGGAGGAACTGAAAAAGCAAAGGGGAGAAAGACACCGCACGTGAATTCAACTGTGAAGATTTCCGTTCCAAGTCAGAAATTCTGGATAGACCAATAAGAGAGAGAGAGAGACAGAGGGCAGAGACAGAGAGAAACACACACACACACGTGCACATACACACACACACACACAGTCACACAGACATGCACAGACACACACTCACACAGTCATGCACGCGCACACACACACACATGCAGACACGTACGTACACCTGCACATACAGACATGCACACACACACGTGCACACACACACGGGGAAACAGAGACAGAAAAAGATACCCAGAGAGTAAGACAGACAGAAAGATAATCTGGTAAGTAAAAATCAGACTAGTAGCTCGCAACCAAAGGATTAATGCCTAGGTTAAAAAAAAAAAGTGAGTTTTCAAAAGTAGGCTTCAAATAGTATTTTCTCACATTTATTAAACATAACCTTTTACCTTCAGTCAGAACCTAACAACAACTCAAAAACCCCAACACTGTAGGAAAGACACCTGGTGACCAACAAAAGCACCTCCCCATGCTTTGCCATGGGCAGAAGCTCAGAACATCTTTCCATTTATCCTTAATCCAACAAGGGGAAAAATATGACCCAAATTATCTCTCGTAAAAGCCGATTTTAAAAGCTACTTGGCATCTCAGCACGCACCACACAGTTCATCCCCCCAGGCGATCCTCGTGGCCTGAGGAAAGGCCCCTCCCCGGGGTATCCTCTCAAGCAAATCTCCTGAGAAGTCGCTCCTCATCCCACCTTCTCCTAAACACACGCATCCCTGGAGCAACCCTAAGTTCCCCTTTCACCAGCAACCATCAGATCTTGTCCATTCTCCATACAAACTCCAAGATCTCCACACCAGCCTGATTTTGTCTGAGGGTTACCTAAGAGGAGAACCGCAGGGAATCCCTGATGTAACCTTTTCTAACCCTCCAAACAGCAATTTCATCTGGTCCAAGCTAATATTCTGCCATCTGCTACATCTACCAAAAACCCTCCCTACGTCTGAGGGGCAGGGGAGCATCACTAAGTGAGAACACGGGTGAGCTTTCATCTGAGTTCTCTTGTGTGACTCTGTGCAGGTCTGTGGATCTCTGTTTCCCTCTCCGAACACTGTTCTTCTAAGACCCTGTCTACCATCATGGGTTCAAGACTCCCCAGAGCTCTGGCTGTGCCCATATAGTCCCTGGCACAGTCTCAGATAGTGGCAAGGTGGGTAAATAGTGCTTTTTCAAACAAAGACCGTTGAAAAGGCTCTAGAAAATTATGTATTCCAAAATGAAAACCACTCTGGACATTAGGTGTGTAAGCCAATATTATATAGGTAGAATAAATGCTTTTCATAAAACACATTGCCATACTTTTTACTTACATAATTTTTAGGTATCTAAGGACATGTTTTCAAACCTTGAATCAAACATCATGTAGGATGAATGTCCACTATTGAATACGGGGTAATTTTACAGACTGTCAATTCTTTGGGCATTCTGCACTTCTTGCTAATAATTTTTGCCATTTATTTTCCTGGTTTGCGTAAGGCCTTTGTTACTAGGTCTTACAAAAGGTGGGATGGGTGACAGAATGGAAACTCTCGCCTAAGTCAGTACTACTATTACAGTCCAGGGTTCCATAATCTCCCCCGTCACTTACCCTAATTAATTGTGAGAGCAGGCAGACCCAGATCAGTAGCTCCTACCATTCCTGATTATCAGCCTGATTTCCGCTAACAGACCACCTTATCTGAGGCAGGAGACTTACCAAGTATCTTTAAATCACAGAACTGTTAGAATGTGGTATGCAGCGAATTATCATGTCTTACACAGTTGATGAATTCTCTATAAGGAAGAATGTCTAAAGTTTATATTACCTAATTTATCTTATCTGATTTTCAAGATTTCCTATAAAGTTACAGGAACCAGGACACTCTCATACTGGCGTAAGTCTAGACATATAGACCAATCGAACAGAAGAGCATTCGGAAATAGACTCACACGCATGTGGTCAACGGATTTTTGACAAGGGTACTGAGATAATGCAAGGAGGGGAAAGCAAGTGTTAGAACAACCAGAGATCCATTTGGGAAAAAAATGAACCTTGAGCCTTACACCTCATACCACATATAAAAATTAGAAATGGATCATACACCTAAATGTAGGAACTAAAACGATAAAACTTCCAGAAGAAAATATAGGAGGAAAAATAGCAATAATTCTCAAGGACAGACATATGTAGAAGACAGCAGAACTCTTGTAGATAGATCCTTTGGATGAAATCTATGTGTGTTGTCTAAAACGATAGGCTTTTTGTTTGCCTGTTTTGGGGATTGTGGGAGAGGGTTTCCATAATTGTGGTGTACGGCAGTCTCCTAGAAATGGTCAGATAGCCACAGGTTCAGTTGAATTCTGATCTAATATATCCGTCACTAGGGATCTCAGGTAGAGCAACAACTTAGTCTGATATAATGAACCATGCTGATAAATAACAGAAATATTTAAAATCTCTAATACAGTTGTAATTCACGTCAGTAAAAATTATTACACTCCCATATACAGTCACTAAAACTTTTACCAAGTACTTTCCTATATATTAGATGATGGGGATATAAGGTAACTACAAGCAAGAGGGAGGGGGAGATAGAGCGAGAGAGAGAGAATGAATTAAGGAGGCAATGAAAATATACTATGGTACATGCTAGGACAGGGGGCCTAGAGGCAGAAAGGATGGAGACACCTAACCCAAACTAAGGGGTATTTGGGAAGGCTTCCTTCCTGTAGGAAGTGTCAACTAAACTGGAGTTCAAAGGCAGAAAAATGGCACATACAAAGACCTGGAAGTGATTTTTTAATGATGCAGAATGTGCTCAAGAACTAAAAGGCTGCTTTTGGACAGCACACAATCCTAGCAGAAATGAGATGTGTTTGGACTTTATCCTATGGGTAGTGGGAAAACCATTAAAGGGTTTTGAGCAGAGAAGTGCCCTGCGCTGCAGCAGCTGACAGCCAGGCTCTGCAAACCAACCTAGGTCTACATCTCATCTCTGTCAATTATTGATCGTGTCCCCTGAGCAAGCTACTTAAACTCCTTAAGTAAGATGGGGGACAAAAATGATATTTACCCAGGGTCTCTGGAGACTTAGCTGAGTTACGGAAGGCACGAGTATTTGGAAAATACATGTTGGTCATCAATATCGTCATCATCAACATGATCAACATCCACAGAGGAATCCTGAGGCGGCCTGTGCTTTCTCTACTTCAGAGGAGCTGAAAACCCATAAGGAACAGAATGGGACAGAAACCAGACCATGCTGGAAGAATGTAGCCATCTTCCTGGTGACAGAGTTGCTGGAAGAGCAACAGATGCTGTTATGGTGCTTCTGCTCCCCTTGTGCATAGCATGTCATATCAGAGCCACCCTTGCAGCAAAAACACCCAAAACACGTAAAGTTGGACAAAGATGAGGGAAGCCCTGGAACAGGAGCAGAGCAAATCCAAGTTAGGGAGCGCAAGTTCTTCTTAACCCTAGCATGGTTGTCAAGCCATCTGCCAATCAAGGAAGAAAAGCACCCCTGGGGAGAGTGTGGCATGACAGAGTCCTCTGCCCAAATACTCAGAACATGTAAGCATCAGGCGCATGGCCAGCAGAGAGGAAAACTAGGAAAGGAAGCCAGTCGTCACCAAGTTCCTACTGGAGACCACGTTCTTTGGATGTTCCTTGTCTCACGGAACCCTCAGGGATGAGGTATACTGCAGTGGTTAAGAGTGTGAGCTCTGAGCCACACAGCCTCAGTTTGGCCTTGCCCCGTTACTGGCTCTGTGGCCTTGGCCTAGTGCCTTCACCTTCCTGGGTCTCCATTTCCTCACTGGTGAAGGAGGCTTAAACATACCTTGCAGGATTGCTCTGGGGATGAAATAAGATAAGCTAGGTCAACGGCTTAGCTCAGTGGCTGGCTCGTTATGTAAGCTCATCATCGTCATCGTCACCGTCATCCTTCTGCCATCCTATATCACCTCTCCAGCATCCTCTTACTAATGATCTACAAGGATAGGGCTGAAAGGGGTCCGGACATGGGGAAATACTTTCAGCCCATTATGCTTTTTGTAGTTATTCCTAACTGCATTTACCTATTAAAACATCTTCCTGATTAATGAACAGCATTCACTTCAAAGAGAATCTCATGGACAAAGCTCTCTTGCAGCATTAATAGGCTTTCCCTGAGCTATTTCCTGAACCTCACAAGACTCCTGGCATGTAGACTCAGCTCTTCCTCTGAATCCTGCAGCTTGTTCTCAAATGAGCTGCAACTAAATGCTGCCTCTGCCAACCCTGGCACTTCTCCGTCCTCATCATTGGCAGTCTTCTCCATGGAGAGATGGCGGATGTGCTCGTGTTTGCTCACCAGCTGCCAGAAGCCAGCTGTGACACTTAACTATACCCCTGTCTTTCTCCTTTCTGTCCCCATCCCCAAGTGTCAGGAACGTGGCTTCTGAAGAACAAGTCACAGCCAGTCTAAAATGGCTCTGTTAGAGAAAGGCATTCTGAGGCCCACAGTTCACTACTCTACATTAGGAAGCTCGGTGGGAACATGAGTCCATTCTTCAGCCTTTTCTCTACCAGCAAATCTACTCTTTCCCTTCCTTTTACTCTGTTTCCCTCAGAGCATATTAAGACACCGAAAGACCAAAACCTTTACAGCCAATCTGACGCACCTGATGTACTGAAGTGCACTGGCCTCCAGCTATGTAAGACATCAAAAGGGCTGGACGTTGAAAGTCAACTTCTTCCTCGGATTTGTGGCTCTCTCCAGACAAGGCCCAGGCCTCTAGCATCATCCTTGCAGGTTAGGCCAGTTACGTATTTATCTTTTAGATGAGAGAATACCCACCCCTGAGGCTCTCAGGATGAGGGACATTGGCGCCACACTTCCCCACACTTGCCATCAGCCACGTTCTCTGCAGTTAGAGAGGGACTCTTAAGCTTTCTGGTTTTAACTAGCAAGAGGGCAACCTTCACACATAAGAAGAGAGCCAAACAGAGCAGCACTGCTCATTGTAGATGCTATGTTCTAAATGGGATAACGCAATCCTGAGAATCTTAAAAAGAAAAAAGTCTAAGGTCCAAGACAAACTCCTCCACGCTACATTGTCCCTCAGCACTTCCCCAGCTCCCCTCCTGAGGCTTAGCTTCCTTGGTTTTTCACAACTTCTAAAATTAACCTCTGAGCTCTTGCCGCTGCCTTTGGAGGGCAGCCCTGGCTAACTCTCTCAGAGGCCATAAGCTGAGCAGCAGGTGATTCCGCTAATCCTTCCCTTTCCTAAAGTCAGCCTTTCCACCTGCTTACTTGGAAGCACACTGGGGAGGGGGCTGGCACGGGGAGACACAGCCTATTTCCTAGTTGTCTTCCCTCTGCTGTGCCTGGTGTGTCTGACATACATCCCAGTTCCAGGCAGGGGGAGGAACGCCTTCCCCCAATCCCTCCCCTTCCCTCGTTCCATTTTGTTGTTTTGTTTATTATCTAGTTTGTCTCTGGGAACCTTCCAACCAGGGATTATATAAGCCTTTGAAGATGAGTAATGGAGATCTGGCTTCTCCTGACTAACAAGTCCTCCATTGGGGTTAAAGCTGACTCACGGGGCTTGTCAAACGGGAACTGCAAAGCAGGTACTGAAGGAGATACTAGAAGCTGGAATGAATCTACATAGCCATTTTGAGGGTGGAGAGGGTGGGGTAGGCAGATGGATTTGACTGGAGCATAATCCAAAGTCCAGGGGGTAATGAGCCAGCCATGTCCCATGCTGACTGTTCTGAAGGCAGCATCCTATAGAGCGCGTGAGACATGGTGGCTCTCCTTGCAGAATGTTTCCTATGCTGCAAACGGGCAAAGTCTAAAAGGGCTAATGTCACATGCACAGCGGATGCTGCCAGGAGGACAAAATGTTGTAGCCTGAGGTTTTTATTAGGTGCACACTGCCGCTGCACTGCAAGTGAAGCATTAGACTGAAATGAGAGGTGGAGGGACCCCTAGGGACTCCAGCCCAAGCAAGACATGGTGTGCTGGGCTCCCTTGGGGCAACACGGACCCTCCAATGATAAAGAGGCTTGCTCTGCCTGGGGCTCTCACCAGAGTCTGAGCCATTTCCTTTGTGCAACCTAGTCAGCTTCAGACCCTGGACTGTGGCCAGTCTGCCGGCCTTGAGCTACCTTTACAGATGCTGAGCAAGGGTAGGAGGAAGAGAAAAGATCTAAGTGGCTGCCATCTGGTGACCTGGAGTGGCTATGAAGGGTGAGGACAAAGGAAAAGCCTTCCAGCTATCCAGGCCAGCCTCTATCTGCTGGGAGCAGAACAGCAGCAGAGACTAGGTTGGTGGCCCCCATGCAAGCAGGGGCATCTAGCAGCCCAAGAGGTGAAAACAAGGGGCTATAAATAGCACCGCACGAGGAAGCTCTATCAACAGAGCCCAGCCATAGCACCAGCCCACGGGGGAATACAGGCAGGCTCTGCGCAGACAGGAAATGTGTTGCTCTCCGAAGCCACACTCTCCACTCATGGGCAGTGGCAGGACCCCTCAACCTAGAGAAGACCTGGGATATATCCACACTGGGACACAGGCACACAAACACCCCTACATAGGCTGCCCACACACCATCACTGTGGCTGGCTGGCTGTTGCCTTTAACCATTTTTGCACAGGAATAGCCTCTCACTTTTTCCAGGCCTTGGGCGATGCCGGCAGGGCAGGGGATGACTGCCTAATCATTCTGCCTGTAATGCTTCTCCCTTAAGAAGGCAAAGGACTGCCTCAAATCCCAAGGCAAATAACGTTATGCAATATAAAATGAAAAGAAAGGTGGCGGGGGTAGGGGGCACGGAGAAAGAGTGAAGCCAGAAAGAGCTAACCACAAGCTGCAGATACATTCCTCTGGTTGGGTTTATGGGGAGGATGGGCCAGCTGGCTTCCCAAGTGCACAGAGAAGACGCTCCATGCATCTTCACTCCCTTGCTAAGGAACTGCTCCAATCCTTGGGGTCCTTACAACCTGCTCCTTGACTGTACTTGCCCTTGACCTCCAGGGCATTGAACCAGGGCTGGCGGTCAGATGGGACGGTGAATGCAAAGGTAGACTCCCTACTTTCTGCCCAGTCTTCACATTTACTTCTCTGTTATTCCTGTCCATGAGCGTCTCCTTCTGTGACCTTTGTAGGCACCCCGGGTTCTTTCCTTCCACTGTCTTGGAGCCCCGTTCTTGGCCTGGGGCTTTCATGAAGGCTGTGGCTGGATTTCTCACACAGCGGTAATAGCCTTCTAAAAAAAAGCCTTCTAAAAATGAGCCTACAGCTTCAAAACATGAACACTGAGCTTGTAAAACTCAAATTCAGCATTTCAATGTAAATAGGACCGTGGCTACCCTGGAAAAAGAAGTATTTACAGTCTGAGTATTACAGAGTTGGAGAGGGGAGGCGAACACTGAAAACAACTCACTTGTCAACTCATCAGGAGAAGCCTTTTTCCTTTCCTACCTATGCTCAAGAATCCAGTAATCATGGACGTTTATGGAAGCTGCTGAGGATCTGTGAAGGATCAATCAGTCCCCTTGCCTGGCTTGGTTTCATTTCAAAGATATTCCAGGCTCCAGCAGGCCTGCTTCACCAGACTCTTCTCCAAAATGGCAGCTTGGTGATGAGGTCCCAGAAGAGACAGAAATTTCTAAAAATGGGTACTGCTCCGGTCCATTACGTTTAAGCTGGCCCCATATAGCCTCTTCTAGCAGAAGGTCATGGTCCCATTTTCCCTCTGAACTTCAGCAACCAGCTGGAAGTATTTTTGTGAAACTAATGATCACTGTGTAGTGGCTGGGTGCAAAGGAAGGTGCTCGAATCTTACATGGCTCTGATGAAATCAGTATGTTTCCACTGGGTTGAGTTATGCAACTTAATTTTAGAAATCTTTTCAGCCTGGAACTTGATTACAATCTGGTCTGTACTTTTCCTGCAATGCCATCTAAGAATGGAAGTTTATTTAAAAAAAAAAATTTAAAAACATATACATTTCTCTGAAATATGAAACATCATTTAAAAACCACACTCCAGGTTAACTGCTAGTTATAGAGCTAGGCCAGTGACACATCTGCTTAGCAGTGGTGTTTGCATGTCAGAGGTGTAGGCAGCCCAACATTGCAATGGCTGGAGGTCTGAGTTTGGAAAGAGAGAATCAGAACTCTAGACTGTTCGGAACAGGTAATGGCAGCTCCAGGCAGAGGAACAAGTCTCCCTGAGAATGCTCAGCTGAATTTCTTGGGTCTTTTAAAATAGGAACAAATAAGAAAGGTTGGAGTCAAATATCCTAAAGTTGTCAGGAAGGCTGGGACAAGCAGAGGGGCTATGACGGATGGCCTGGAACTCCACGTAGTCCAATACTAACAAAAGGCACCTGTTTTGGGTCTGAGGATGGATGTTTTCCTGTGTGAAGTAGCATCCACTCCAAAGGCAGGGACTTCCCACTGCTCAGCAAGCCATGTGGCCCTCAGAGAGCCAGAACCCAAAATGAGCTGAAGGCCTAGCCATAAGAAGGAGATAGGTGAGTGCCAGCCCCTAAGCGGTGGTGTTGTAGTGGCGTCTGCTGCTTCATGTCACTATTTCCTCACTACCGTGTTTCATCAGTAAGAGGCTGTAACACAGCAATGTCCTAACAACAAGCTGAGCAGACCTTGGTAAACCAGCTGTCTGTGTGTTCAACAGGGTTCTAGCTGGGTATGGGATGTGGGCACTGGTACTGACCTCGAGTGGGGAGAAGGAAGGGACAGATATCTTTGTTTGAAGTCACTCTTCATCCCTTGGGAAGAGATCTTTCTAAAACCATGGTAGACTATCTCCAGAGATGGTAAAAACCTCAGGTGGTGAGAAGAGAAGTCTCAGTAAGGAAATGTTGTCTCAAACTTGACATTGTTGAAGGCCAACAAAAAGAAGGTGAGGATGGGAGTCCTGCTTAGCTAAACAGCCCTACCCTGCTATCTGGGGCAGCCTGGGAGGCTGGATAGAAATGGTCCAAGCTGGTAGCGTGGTTTCATTTCAAAGATATTCCAGGCTCCAACAGGCCTATTTCACTAGACTCTTCTCCAAAATGGCAGCCTGGCGATGAGGTCCCAGAAGAGAAAGAAATTTCTAAAAATGGGTACTGCTCAGGTCCATTAGGGTTAAGTTGACCCCATGTAGCCTCTTCTAGGAGAAACTACAAACTCACAGGAACAATACCTGCAGGAGCAAGGAAGGCCTCTTCACTGGGACTCATTAAAGGATCTGTTTCCCTTTCCCCAAGTCTTAAGTCCTGAAATTATATAAGAACTTTCTCATCTTGGAAACACACCTATGCATTCATTCATACATATGCATGGCTGCATGTTTATATGCATATGCATGTAATCATGCACTTATGTAGCTTTTAAAGTGATTCTATAAGGGAAGTTCTACTTTAGCATTAGTTCTTCCTATGACCTGGTGTATAAATGAGAAGGTTAAGTTCACAAACTATGGTGCTGTAGGCTATAGAAATATCTACTCACAACCTGCTTGTATCTCAGGGGGAGTATTCAAAAGCATCATGGCACTGGCAGCATCAATGTCAGGATCTGGAAAAATCAACCAATAAATAACATTATTTACAACGGGGCCGGTGTGTGTGTGTGTTTTTCCCCCTGCAAGTTACAGTTTATGAATGCAACAGAGAAAAAAAAAATATCCAGCAACTGGATGAGCTATCCCAAAGGCGACTTTCTTCCCAGTGGGATTTGAGAAGAAGAAAAGGTATTCTAGAATGAGATTTAAGGATCATGTTAGTAAATTTTTCATCACACAAGCATGGTTTCTTCTCATTTTGTTAATTTTATAATTTGCACTGTATGTTCCTGATAAATTGCTGATCTATGCACCCCCACAGCTTTTACCGTGGGGTGAGGAGCAGGAGAGTCAGTGACAATAGGAAGTTCAGCCATATGAATCTTTAATGAACTGGGGAAAGCTCACAGCATCAAGAAAGCATTAAATACACCTGCATCTAGTGAGATACAAACAAGACATGTGGTCATTTCCATTTGTCAGCAGAATGTAAATTGTGTTTCACGAGGTTATGTGTTTGTAACAGTGGTGTGGATGTGGTGAAGGCATTAAAAAAAAGCACTTAAAATATAAAGAAAAAAGTAAAGTTGTCATGTTGAGGGCACAATGTTTGCTTCCACTTCTATTATTGCTTTTAATATGGGTAAAAAAAAAATACTCATCACTCCATTGCTATAATTCTTAATAGGTTTCTGAATCCTTACTGATCCACCAGTTGACAGATGGCAGGTTATATAGAGACAGAGAAAAATATTATCCTTTTATAACTAAATTCATTTTCCTCTGAGAAACAGCAGCTCTGCTGCTATGGAAATGAAGGTCACCATGGCAACAGTAAACAACCCCCAAGAATGGTCACTGAATAGGCTGAAAAGAACATCTGCCCCAGCGCAGCGTCCCAGCTGCCCTGGGGCGAAATTCACTAATAGTGCGGTGATGCCGCGTGACAGAAGCTGCCGCCTGTGCCCTGTCCAAATAAATGAAGTGTGCAATTGAAGTCGACATCAAAATGCCTTCCCTTGCAGATTACTGCCTCTGTGTCCGCCAAACCCAATGACTAATGATGGGGGACAAGGGGCTCGCACTTGTCAGTTTTTGTACAAATTACATACCAAAAAATTCAATTTGCTACTAATGGCTCCATGGCACCTTATTTTGGATATTATGCTAGAAAATTACTTTTTTAATGTTTAAAAAAGTACATTTTTCATACTTTATATGTGTGGTTTAATTCCAAAGGAGTAACATGATTGGTAAAAAGAGGCCCACAAGCGATTAATGATATGGATAATGCTGGTTCCCGAAAACAGGGTCTCAAAAAAAAAAAAAAATAGAACTTGACTTTGAAGAGTTTTTTTTCTATTTTGCCTGCAGGAGGCCTGTTACTTACATTCCATAATGGACTAAAAGTTTATTTTAATAAGTACATTATATGAGAAACAAGTAAATTAACTTATTTGGCAACCCTAGGGGTGAAATTCCTAAAACAGTCACCATTTCCCACTGATATTAGTATATATATATATACACATATATATAACTATAATATATAATATATATTAGCTAATATAATTAATCATTAATCATCAACTAACATATATAAACTATTATATATAATAATATACATACTATATTAGCTATTATATATAATAGTATATATACAGTTTATATATTTGGCAACTCCAGGGGTGAAATACCTTAAACAGTCACCATTTCCCACTGATATTAATATATATTATATATTAATATATTAACTACAATGCACATTAAATATGTATATGAATATTATATATTAAGTATATTATATTAACCATTATATATAACAGTATATATTAAGTACTTATATATACTATATAATAAACTATGCATACTATTATATATGATCATTAATAAAATATATAGTTATATGTAATAGTATACAGTTTATATATTAACTATTTTATATAAGTTAATATACAAACTACAAAATATCAGTTTATAATAGTTGTAATAGTTTATAATACATAAATTATATATTATATATAAACTATAGTTTATATATACTATTACATATAATAGTTAACATTTTATAAACTATATATTAGTTTATAATAGTTGTATATAACTTTATAACATATGAATTATACAATATATAACACATATGTTATATGTAATATAAACTATATAATATAAGCTATATAAACTATATAATATAAACTATATAAATCTTATATAGTTTATATATACTATTATATATAATAGTTAATATACACTACTATATATAATGGTTAATAGTTTATACTATTATATAATAGTTAATATATGTATACTATCATATATAATAGTTTATATATTATTAGTTGAATTTTATATATTTAATATATATAAATATATAAGATATAGAAAAATATATATATTTATATATAAAACCATTCAGCTAAAAAACTAAAAGTTCTTCCCACTGCCCCTGTGGCTCCCACTGCCCCGGGTCCCTTGGTCCCCCACAGGGCCTGTTGCCTGCAAGCAGCACTCACAGCCCCAGCATTCTTGCTGGCATCTCACAAGTCACAAGGGACAAGCAGTTCCTAAGGGGGGCTGTTAAGGCCTCAGGCCTTTCCCTCTTGCCCCTCGTTTTAGAAAGGGCCTTTTCCTTTCTCAGGGGGTAGCCAAGAAAAACGATTTTTTCCTGCCAAGCAAAAGGTCTCTGCCATTATTGAGAACGAAAGTGCTACAGGTGACCATGGTTGGCCTGGCTACATGGTCCCTGCCTCCGCAGGTGACTCGTACCCAAAGTTTTTCTCGGTGGCCAGGAGGTTTGCTGGGCCCAGAACAAGAAGAAACACAGGGAGGAAGTCTGGAGTCTTTTCCTATTTATATGGCCAGAAAATTAAAGAAAATATTTCAGTATTCTTCCAAAACACATTAAAGGAAATTGTAGAGGGACACAAATAAAAAGAAGACATAGTGAAAGAAAGAAAACAGAAAGAGAGAAAGAAAACCTTAAAGGAAAAGTATTCCATCAATAATCACACATGTGGGAGAACCTAAGTGGGACATTCCCAAGGCACACTTGTGGGGGTGCTTTGGATCTGTAGAGCATCCACCTATGACCCCCCACCCCCCCACCTTCTGTTATTCATCAAAGATGGGGTGTCAATAGTTCATTCCTTATGGCTATCGCTGAGTGGTAGTCACTGAACGGAAATACCGCAATCCATTCACCGGTAGGTTGACACTGGATTGTTTCCAGTTTGGGATATGATAAAAAAGCTGCTGTGAACTTTTATACCAGTCTTTTTTGAACCTGTGTTTTCATTTCTCTTGGAAAATTGCTGGTAAATGTATATTTAGCTTTATAGAGAATTGCTACATTGTTTTCCAAAGAGGGTGTACCACGTAGGAGAGTTCCAGTTGCTCCATATTTTTTTTGCCACTACTTGAAATTGTCAATCTTTAAAAACGTTAGCCATCTAGGGGATATATAGTAATATTTCACTGGGGTTTTCATTTTTATTTCCCTAATGACAAATAACCTTGAGCATCTTTTCATGTGCTTGATGGCCATTCGTATCTTACATGAAAAGTCTGTTAAAGTCTTTTACCCATTTTTTAGTTAGGTGGTTCAACTAGTATTATTCAGTTGTAAGATTTTAAAAAATATTCTGAATATAAGTCCTCTGTGAGATACATGGTTTTTTTTTCTCAGTCCATGGTTTACTATTCAGTTTCTTAAGAGTGTCTTTTAATAAGCAGAAGTCTTTAATTTTTTAGTCCAGTTTACCATTTTGTTCTTTTATAGCTTAATGTCTTTTGTGTTCTAAGAAATCTTAGCCTACCCTAAAATTGCAAAGATTTCCCAAGTGTCATCTTTTATGTTTTCATTTGTGAGTGTACTAGATATAACACTTTCTTGGTCCAATATCCAGATTTACAGGCAAACAAAAATAGAAGTAATCACTCAGACCTCTTTCCTTAACTAGCAAGCTGGTTAAGCACAGACCTAGCACTGTAGATCAATGCCAGGAGGACCCTCTTTGGCTCCTGGGTTGAACACCAAGCAGCCTAATGAGTCTGACATCCTTCTATGGAAAAGTGTCCTGGACTCTCTGCTAGAACGTCTCATATGCCTTTCTCCTTGTCACACCCTGACACCCTGTGAGTGCTTCTGTCTTCAGAGCCAACAGCCTCCTGTCTCTCCTCTCCAAAGATAAGAGATACTATAATGCTTGCTCTTATCTATTATTAAAATACTTAAGTTTTTCCCTTTTTATTAAAAGTCATGAAAGTAATATGTGCTCACTGTAAAAAAAAAAACACTAGATGGATATAATTTGAGAGAGAAATGCCTTCCCTATAAGCTTACTTTCAAAATCATACTTTCTTATATATATGTCCAAAAATTATGTATGTGAAAATAAGCATATATGTACATATTCATTGAAAAACTAAGACACACACACATATATATACGTACTCATGCATGCAAATCTATTTTTTTAAAAAATAGCTTTATATGGAAAATAGTTTCCTGCAACTTAAAATTTTTTTCACTTATTTCGTCAGCCTTTTATATTAGTATATGCTATCAAAAGTTTTTCTACGGTGAGAATTTTGTGCATAAATACACACTGCACTGTTTGTACAGGCATTGCCTTTTCTTTAGATTGCAAACTACCAGAAGGTAGAAAGAAAGTGTTTGGGCTGATTAAATAACTTGTGCTCAGCACGGTACTCCAACCTACAGATTCTGGGCACCTAAGGGCACTGCCTCTGCACACTTCTCCCAGTCCCCTCACCCCAAACACCCCTCCCTTTGATCTCTCTACCCCACCCCTTCCTATGAGGACACAGTGCTGCCCCACTCTCTTCCTCCTGTGCCTCTCTCTGGGGCTTACTCCCACTCTCTACCTTAGGTGATGTGCTACTTCTCATCAGCACACTCTGGGTCTCTATAAAAAAGTCCAAATTTTCTGTGGTCAAGAGAGACTACTGGTGGTTTACCTCTTTAGATAGCAGAGGAACTTTCTGATGCAGGCACGCTATTGTGGTAGGATGCTTCGGACCAAAGACATTGGAGATTTGTGGCTGGAAGCATTTCAGGGAACTGGGTAGCTGTTTGGTGGACAGCGGGGGCTTCTGCTTCAGAGGCATAGCTGATTGTGAAGGGTAAAGGGCCCAGGACAAGATCTCCAGGAGGGGAGCAGTGGATTGGCTTTGTAGGATCTTCCCTAGATGGTCCAACCCAGTTTATCAGCAAAAGAAAAGAGAAAGGCATTTTGGCCAGGAACTCTTTCTAGGAATGGAGACCCACTTGGCAGGAGTGCTTCACGTTATATCTCAGGGGAATGAAGTGAGACAGGGGGGTACGAGAGAACAAGCAAGTGCCACCTTTTAAATTTTTGGATGGGCAGGGTCCTCCCATCAGTACCTAATTCAGCAATCAGTACCTAATTCAGCATTCCCATCAGTACCTAAATCATTGATTGCTGGTTAATTCAGTATCACACCAAGCATGCTGTCATGGGTGCTGAATAGAGTTATGACCAACCATCATCCAGACTGAGCCAATCTCAAATCCCATATTAAAAAAAAATTCCTCCTTCGCCCATGCTTCAGTAACAAATGTTACTTCTCCTCTGGACCGGTTCCCAGCAGCCTATTTCAATTTTCATCTTTAATGTAGTTGTCTTATCACATTGCCTCTTCTCTGTAGTACGAGACTGGAAAACGGTCACACGTCTTAAAGATGTTTTCAAATCCTCTTCTTTTGAATGTACACACACAGTTATATTATGCTGCAGGGAGACAAACAGGTAACACAGTTTCCAGAATCAACGGTCCAGCTATTTGGGTGAAGAAAAATATTGAGCCTCAGTTTCTCAAACTGTTGAGATGGTTCCATGGGTTGTGGAAGAGGCTTCTCCTCCGTGGACAGGACGGGAAAAGCACTGCACTAGACATGAGGATTCTTGGGTTTAAGTCCTGGGTCTGCTGACTTTCCTTTCATTTTGCTGTGCCTGAGTCCACTCATTTTAAAATGATGGGTGGGTGGCTGCAGACTTGGAAGGGGCCGGTTTGGTTTTTCATCCCTTTCCACATAGTTCCTGCTCTGTAATGTCCCTTGATTTGCTCCTCCCTTTGTGACTTGTGGCTGCCAGAGCTACGGATTCCAAGGAACACCTACCAAATGGGGCATCTACTCCAAAGACCTTAGGGGCAGCTAACAGCCTTAGTAAGGCTGGGAGAATACACTATTGCCTCCAGAAAGCCATAGCCTGTCCTGATGGGTCCCTGCCAGGTCTGTTTCACAGCAATCCATCAAGCCTGGTGTGGGTATTCTGTGGGTTCCTGGTGTGGTTTCTAACCATGTTCATTCCGCTTCCTCTGGGATTTAGTTTCAGTGGGAAGTGACTTGGAGAGGCCATTTGCTTTAACAAACTAAGAATACAAGGCCAGCAGGAAGCCCCTGGTTCAATCCACACTGCGATATATACCTGCTGCAAAAATGTAAGCACTGCCTTCAGCACCTCTGAGCTGACCAACCTAACAAAACAATGACAATGAAACACTTCCTATAGAGAAAGCCTAAGAATCATAACCATTACTTTCTTAGAAATCATGTGATTTTCCACAGGGCTAATGTGTTTTGTTTCTCCAGCTCTCTCTGCTCCCCCTCACACCTGAGGGGTCTTATAGGATGATGAAATCTCTTTAACTGAATAAAAGAAATTCAAGAAACAAACAAACAAAAATACCAAATAATAGATGACACACACTCAGACAGAAATGATCAGATATAAGAACACGGGTAGGCTGGGAGTGGTAGCTTGTGCCAGTAATCCCACCACTTTGGGAGGCCAAGGTGGCAGATTGATTGAGGTCAGGAGTTCAAGACCAGCCTGGCCAACATGGTGAAACCCCACCTCTACTAAAAATACAAAGATTAGCCGGATGTGGTGGTGCACACCTGTAGTCCCAGCCACTCGGGAGGCTGGGGCATAAGAATTGCTTGAACCTGAAGGCAGAGGTTGCAGTGAGCCGAGATGGTGCCACTGCACTCCAGCCTGGGCGACAGAGCAAGACTGTGTCAAAAAAAAAAAAAGAGCACGGGTACATGGTCAGATACATACACTAGGGTGTTCCCTAGCACCTAGAACAGTGCCTGCAACATCCAGAGTGCTGGATAGTTAGTGAACAAGTAAATGGATGGCTTGTCCAATCTGCTCCTGGGTGAATCCAGCTGCCTGAGGCCTGGCACCCAGCTTGGGGGAGAAGTACTGGATGCTCCCCAGGGCATAAGCCTCCAGATGTGCAGTGAAATTCCACGGGAACCCCAGAAAACCAAACATCAGGCTCCACCCTAGCTGAAGGAATCTTTGTAGGAATCTGTCAGGGAATTCTGAAGTGTTTGAAAGGCGAAGAACGGCTGTCGCAGTAAATGAAGGATGCCATCCAAAGAAGCCATCAAGGAAGACAAGTGCTGCCAGATCTTCTGTAACATTACTAGACTTCTTTGCTTTGAAATATCTTTGTCCATTTTCTCTAACTCTGCATGAGAATGACACAACTGGGGCATTAATTAACCCCCTACAATGAAGAAAAAATACAGTCAGCCCTCCATACCCATGGGTTCTGTACCTGTGGTTTCCATATCCATGGATTTCATCAGCAAAGGATCAAAAATATTAGGGAAAAATAATTCCAGAAAATGTTACACTGTTGCTGACATGTATACTATGTAGTGAGATGATGGCCGCGTCTGTACTGAACATGTTCAGGCTTTTTTCTTGTCATTATTCCCCCAAACAATGCCATCTAACAACTATTTACATAGTATTTACATTGTATGACGTATTATAAGTAACCTAGAGATAATACAGAATACAGAGGAAGATGTGCATAGATCACATACAAATACTACACTGTTTTATATCAGGGACTTGAACATCCTCAGATTTTGGTATCTTAGGGGGTCCTGGAACCAATCCCCCATGGATACCGAGGGATGACTGTGCTTAGATAACTTTTAGGGCCAAAGGGATAAGAACAGATGAAAACAAGCAAGCAAACAAATAAACAAAACTCCAAGTAAGCTGTGGATTTTGTGGGGAAATGCTGAGTAGATCTGCATTAACGCACACCTTGTATACTAAGCCAGTATTTCCAACTGCAGGCAATTTTGCACTTCTTTCCCCCAAGGATGTATGGCAATGTCTGAAAATGTTTTTGATTGTCATGACTGGGTGAGAGCTGGAGGGTGCTACTGGCATCTAATGGGCTGAGGCCAGGGAGGCTGCTCAACATTCTACAGCGTAAAGGACAGCCCTCACCACAAAGAACGATCCAGTCCAAAAGGTGAATAGTGCTAAGGCTGAGAAACCTCACACTAAGCTCACAGATACATGTGGTATGATCAAGAAAAGCAGCTCTTCAAACCAAACTATCTCCAATAGAACACATCAAAAGTAAACAGATATACAATTCACTTTGTTGTTGACGTCTTTCTTTTCCTCCTTTTTGCAAAATCCCTAGGCATCGGTTAAGACAGATAGGATATCTACATTTGTTGCTTTGAAATCACTGAAGTAAGTAAGAGCCATACCCTTTGGCTTCTGTTGCAATCAATCAAGATATCTATAACAGCCGCCTCTGATCTTGAAGGCAGCAGAACACGGGGTGCCGTCAGCTCTACTGACGTCATTTGCCATGAATATTTCTTCCACTTCCCTTTTGGCTGAAGGTTATTGAGAAAGAAGTTGCCCGAGTGAGCAGGAGGGATGAAGTGGGAAACAGGAGACTGGATTCACTGTGGACATGAACTGCAAACACCTTAGGGGTTCTTGTCACAGTGAGACAGGAGACAAAGTGACGCCAGTGAGCCCGGTGCACAAGCTTCTGATGAGCAGGATTTTAGGGAACAAAAATCTCCCACTAAGTTGGACACCAAGTTGTGATTTTACGCATCATCTTTAGGATGGAAGTTGGAGACGGAGAACACCAAGAGGGGCCTTTCTTCTCCAAAAAATGAATCAAAGAGCACCCCAAACTCTTGCTGCTCTGAAGACATGAGGCAAGCTCAAAGCAATGATTAAGCAAACTGAAACTAACAGCTGTTTGTTGGAACAAAAGATGATCTAATTAAGTTGGTAGGTGAGTGGGGGACTCGGGGGGAAAGGGGAAAGGATGAATGATCTATACAAATACTACACTATTTGTGGTGGCTCATGCCTGTAATCCCAACACTCTGGGAGGCCAAGGCAGGTGGATCACTTGAGGTTAGGAGTTCAAGACCAGCCTGGCCAACATGGTGAAATCCCATCTCTACTAAAAATTCAAAAAATTAGCCAGGTGTGGTGGTGGGTGCCTGTAGTCCCAGCTACTTGGGAGGCTGAGGCAGGAGAATCACTGGAATCCAGGAGGCAGAGGCTGTAGTAAGCCAAGATTGTGCCACTGCGCTCAAGCCTGGGCGACACAGCGAGACTCCATCTCAGACAACAACAACAACAACAACAACAAAAACAACAACAAAAACTGCACTATTTTATACAAGAGATTTGAACATCCTCAGGTTTTGGTATCTTAGGGGGTCCTGGAACCAATCCCCCATGGATACCCAACGGATGACTGTGCTTGGATAATTTTTAGGGCCAAAGGGATAAGAACAGATGAAAACAAACAAACAAACAAACACACACATCTCCAAGTAAGCTCTACATTTCATTGGGGGTACTCTGGGTATGAGGCTCCCATTCACACATTTCCTGAGTCTTTCCAGCTTAAATACAGTGACTGGTAAACTCTAAATGAAGAATGTACGGGCTCTGAGGAACAGTATCACAGTGAACCCTGCAAATTCGGAATACATCTGTCCAAGTCAGCTCCCCAACAGGGGGCATCTTTCTAACTCGTGTAAATTGCCCATCTATTACCCCTCATTTCACTTAATCAGGAAGGGGATTCTAGGAAAAGCTACTGGAAGGTAAGTACAGAGCTCAAAGAGCATCCTGGGCTGGGAGCCTGGTGCTGAGGGCTGTCTCAGGCGCCCCAATTCTAAGGTGGTGTTAGGATGGCCGGGCTGGAAGCTCTCCGGGCCTCTCACTTCCTCAGAGTCGATCACTGTCCCTGCTGCTCCTCTGCTGGAGAAATGAAAGGAGTACCTTGATACTCCCCAGGCAGATGCTTTCGTATTTCTGTTTTCTCCGGGCAACAAGAACCGCTTTAACTTTGATGTCTTCTGAGTCCCTTAATTCTAACGTCCTTTTCGCCTCAGCAGCGAGGTCTGCGTCACATTGCCGTCACATTCCCGAATCTGTGATTCCAAAGCAAGTGAACGCATCACCTCCAGCCCTTTGACAAGACACTGCCATCCCAGACACCTCTTTTATCTGGCACTCTAAATTTTCCTACTGATCAACATTGACTTCTTTAATATCTTTGACCAGTTGATCAAAATCTTTCTAGCAGCTGCCTAGGAAAAAACTCAAAGAACCATGTGGACAGAAACTGAGAATACCAAAAAATCTAAACTTCTAGATTTGAAGCCCAGGACAAAGGTGACAAATGACCCAGACCAAGTTATGATCCTGTCCCATGGGTAATAAGACAGAGCCATTATTGAAGAGGCAGGGGGTTTTGATTTGGTTCTGTTTGGCTTGTTAACTGTGCTGGACTTGTCTGAGGTCAGTTTATATATTTTTTAAATTTTTTAAAGCTCCCTATAGATGAATGAGAAACTACACATTCCTCTCAAGTCTCTTCCCCTTTGCATCTCATCCAGTTGTGAATCTCTGCTTACTGCATTCTCTGGTTTCTGTCTCCTGGGTCACCCCTCTCTGGGGATGGCAGTAGCTCATAGCCATGTGCACAGGGGACATTTGGGGTTGCCGTGGAAGAGATTCTGACCCTGCAGGGAGGGAGGAGAGGGCGATTAATGCCGAAGCCCTCTAGAGTCTGGCATTCTTTGCTTTGAAAATGTCCTGCTTGCTCCTGGTTTCTTCATCCAGTGTTACAGCTGAAGCTCACCGCCCAGGAGGGGACTGGAGCCAGCCTCAGGTGCAAGAAGGCTTCCACAGGGCAGGAACAGGAATGGAGACTCCCAAGAGACCCCAGAGCACCTCAGAGCCTGGCCACACTGGTGTCCAAGAGAAAGGATGTGCCACGGCCAGAAGCCAGAGGTGGGACCAGGAAGCCCCTTGAGACCACAGCCAAAGGCCCAGGGAGATGCTCAGAGTATAGGGGCCTGGGCACGGCCAGCCAGGGACCACCAGTGCATCTTTCTTGAGTCTGTTTTTCCCCCTCTCTATGCTATAAGGTCATCTTCCCCAGTGATTGGCTTTCCCCAACCATCACTTCTCTCCACTTATTGGAAGATAGCTCCTGCCCAGTTCCCACGCCAGAAGCCACTTCCTCCTCTAGTAAAAGGGTTCGTGGTTGCTGGTAACCCCTGCACCAACTTTCCCACAGCTGTGGGGGTGCTCATAGTGGCTTGGCCCCAGCAGGCATGGCAGTGCTTGTCAGTGCTGAGAATTGAGTATTTCCACATGCACGGCATCTTCATTAACTCTGTCTTCAACTGGGTCAATGTGCAAATAATCTTTTACAGAAGGAAAGATTCCATCTCAGAGTGACACTGGCAGGTGTGTTAGTGAGAGTAAATACCACGCAGAACCCTGCCATCAGTGCTTCAAGGCACACACTAACTGCGTGCCCACCTCTCCACTGTCTTCCTCCCTAATGCTCGAGCACTGAAGAACTGGAGGGTGACTCTGAACATAGGCTCACTTTGCCTGGGGATGTATGTCTTATACTAACTCAAAATAATTTAAAAAGGAACTATGGAGCCAGTGATGTTCCCACACCTGACACCTGCCTCTCATTATAGAGACACAGGACGTAGTCTGAGAACAAAACCTCACTGTGTTCTTTCTGGGTAGACTTCTACCATATTGAATCACACACCCGGTCCCACTATGCCATAAACCACTGTTCTGCTGAGGCAATCTCTTTGTTACAAAAGGTTTTGCCTTTTGATTTCCTTACTAGAAAGCTGCTTCTCAAACATCTGGAAGGGGATTTGTAATGTGCTACAGTTTAATGTGCTCGACCTCTCTAAAGCACATGCTGAAGTTTGATCCCCAGCATTGGAGGTGGGGCCTCACTGGAAGTGTTTGGTTCACGGGGAGGATCCCTCGTGAATGGCTCAGAGCTGTCCTTGTGGTCATGAGTGAGTTCTTGCTCTATGTGTTCCCGTGAGAGCTGGTTGTTAAAAAGAGCCTGGCACCTCCCTCCCTTCCCCCATCTCTCTCGTGCTTTCCCTCTCACTCTGTGATTCCTCCCCTCCGCATTTCGCATGAGTGGAGTAGTCTCAGATCTCCATCAGAAGCTGGTGCTGGCGCCATGAAGTTGTACAGCCTACAGAACCATGAGCCAGATAAACCTCTTTTCTTTATAAATTACGCAGGCTCAGGTATTCCTTTCTAGTAATACAAAAAAACCCCACAGAACTTTGGAGCCTAAATCTCTAAGATCACGTAAATTCTGCAGCTGTGAGATGCTACAGCTCTGGGGCAATGGTTATCTTCCACAGCCAGGAGTGACCCACCATTTCCCTTTTTTAAACTTTAAGACAGGTCCAGTGGTGCTCTAAGAACCCATCTGCAACCAGGGAATGTGGGGGGGGTGGGGGGAGGGGGAGTGAGGAGAACATATTAAAAATAAAATAATTCAACTATTTACAGCCCATCAAGTAATCAGTTACAGATCCCCAGCAATAGGTACTCCAGGGGGCTGAAACCCGAGAATGCAATAGGTAGAGATGTTGAGGGGAGGGGACTTCAGAGGGATGTGCGGTTTCTCACCTTGACTCTTTATGCCTGCACCACAGGATTTAAGAGCAGTTCAAGCAAACATCGCAGAATTCCCTCCCTTTGCTACAGTGGACTTCCAAATCAAAGTCTAGGGCGTTCTTCAGAGAGAGGCTCTGGATATCCAGCCAAGGCCCAGATCTGTTCTCCCTCCCACATAGACCAGCAAGCCTCATAGTGCCCTGTGTCTGTGGCACCCGAGGGAGGCTGTCTGCCAGGCTAGGTGTGCCTGGAGCATGTCCCTCCTCTGGGAAGGAGGGCATGGAGGGCAGAAGAACCAGTCCTGACCAGGCTGCCCCACTGGAGTCATGCGCTGAGCGGGCAGAGTGTTTAAGGAAGCGGGGGCGTGTGGTATGAATACTCAGATCACAGCATGTGCATGGGGCAGGCAGATATGCTGCTGGGCTGGGGCTGGACAAGGTGGAGGGCAAGGAAGAGTGGGCAAATGTCACACATTTCTTCCGCTCCCAGGGCTCCTTACTTTAAGCTGAGACTATAATCTTCTATGGTTTTCCTCCAGCCAGTCTGACGGTCCTCATCCACCCAGAGCACCCCACAGAAGGGAAGCTGGTAACGAGCCAACAGAGCAGGGACTTCTGCACGCCTTTAGTGCTAAGAAAGCCAGCATTGGTGCTCTGGTTACCCTGCTCCCAGACTAAAAGTCACAAGGCCACAAGCATAATGTACTACTAAAGCTTGGTTTATTTAAGCCATATTTGGGCCATCTTATCCCAAGGTCAGAAAGAAATACCGGTATAACCAGGCATACTCCCTTACACACACACACACACACACACACACACACACACACACACACACACACACAACTACTACTACAACCACCCACAGGAGCGATCTCTCTCTTTCTCCCTTAGAAACCCGAGCTTCAGGCACAAAGAGGAACCAAAGGACATGAAAGCACATTTCCCAGTGGAGACTTGGGATACTTATTCTGGCTTCGGTCTGTCCACACTGAGAGCCACTCCCATCTTGGGGTGGCTGTGGTACACTCTTCACGGGAAATGATGGTGCATGGCTGGGCTGCCCTCCTCAGCTATTCCTCTAAAGTGAATTCGGGGGCTGCTGATTCTCAATTCTCACAGCAGGTCTCATGGGCACCGAGCTCTGTCCAGGCCTCAGTTTCAACACTTAGCCTTTTACTCTCTCTAGTCAAATTCTTCCTCCGAAAAATAGACTAGGAAAAAAATAGAAAAGCCAATCAAATGCTTGGTATTTTTTTTAAAAAACTTTTTTATAGTTTTCTGAGATGTGTTGATTCAGAAATAACCCTCACATATTATCAGTTGAAAAATAAAACAAAGCGCCAAAAAAGCATTTGCATTTTCCTTTATCTTACACGGGCCCTTCACCTACTGTCTGCCTCACACCTAAAGCAGAGCCTGGTTCCTGGGAAGTCCTACATTGGTACAATGAGAAGGCTATGATAATATAACTGCCATTGCTTTTGCTTTCCCTGAATAGTGCATATTCAATTTGATACAAAGAGACATAGGCTCCATCCATCCATCCATCCATCCATCCATCCATCCATGCATTCATGCATCCATCCATCCATCCATCCATCATTGAGAACAAAAGATATCGTTATGCTGTTAATGAGTATTTCATTTTAGACACAATTAAGTATGGAAATGTAGATTCAGGATTAAGACTATACATAAAGGTATCATGGAAATAAAAGAATTATAGTGCAAGAGCTGATTTTCTGGTGAGCGAATGGGAAATGGGTTCTAAAGAAAATCTCCACAGAATTTTCTAGAATGGTTATTAAGAATGGCTACATCCCTGGACAAGTATTCTGCATGTCAGGAGTCTACTTTGAAAGATGCTTCTTTTTTGAATGTGTTTGATTTAAAAAAAAAAAAAGGCAAGTTCCTTACTTTCTAGCCACATGGTCTATGTGGGTGCTGTGATCAGAATGTGTGTGTCCCCCAAAATTCCTATGTTGAAACCGAATCACCAAGGTGAAAGCATGAGGAGGTGAGGCCTTTGGGAGGTGATGAGGTCATGAGGGAGGGGCCCTCATGATGACACGGGAAGTGCCGGGTACAGAAGGGCGGGGTCCCTGGCGAGGGCTCCACCCTTGGGCCTGTGCCCAAGGACCTAAATGAGGACAGGCATTTCTGCTTTCATGCCCAAAAAGTTGCCTTCTGGCCTGCCACACTCCCATCGTGTGCCCACAAAAACCCAAGACCCTAGTAGGCACTGACGTAAGCGGCTGGACGTTAAGAGGAGCAGAACAACACATCGACCGACACCAACAGACACCAGCAGGCCATCGACGGCGGGACGACGCGGAATTTGGCTGGAGGTGGTTGGAGGAGAGTCTGCTCCATGCCAGGGGAAGACCACCTTCTGGCTCCCCATCCACCTCTGTGATAAGGCAGAGAGTCTAACTGAGCTGATTAACACAAGCCGCCTGCAGATGGCAAAACTGAAAGAGCGCCCTGTAACACACGCCCACCGGGGCTTCGGGAGCTGTAAACACTCAACCCTAGATGCTGCTGTGAGGTCAGGGGCCAAAAACGCTCCCCACGACCTTCCCGTCTGCATGCTCCCCTTAGGGGTTTGAGCAATGGGGCACTGAAGAAGCAAGCTGCATCCCTGTCACGCGCCCTGGGAGCGGGTTAAGGGAACTTCTCCCGTTTCAATGAATGGGATGAGAGCCCTCATAAAAGAGGCCCTAGAGAGCTGCCCGTCCCCTCCACTATGGGAGGACACAGCAAGAAGATGCCCTCTAGAACCAGAGAGCAAGCTGGCATCAGACGCGGAATCTGCTGGCACCTTGATTTTGGACTTCCCAGCCTCCAGAACTGTGAGAAATAAATTTCTGTTGCTTATAAGCCACCCATTTTGAGGTATTTTATTATAGCAGCCTGAATGGACTAACATAGTGGGTAAAACGCCCCGTACATAAGCACAAACACTAAGTAAGTGTCATGAGGAATAAAGGAGGCCCAAGCGTGAGGGCCAGAGCCTGGTCAGGGACACATGCTTTTAAAGGAGGTGAGCTCGGGCCAAACGTGGTCTCCTCTTGTGGATGCTGCGTATTCATTCCAGACAAAACTGTAAATGCTAAGCCAAATAGAGCTCTTCAGTTTGTATCTGGGGCATACTTGTTTTTGGAAAAACCAAGAGGGCTTGATAATCGCCAGAAAATATGATGAACAGACCCAGGCAGATTGGAAGGGTAAGATCGACGGAAGATGATGGCGTGGACAGCGGAGGTTTCCGTTCCCAGTGGGGCGGCAGCAAGGACAAAAACATCTGGAGAGGCGCTCTGCAGGCCCGCCTGGCAAGCTGGTGGATCAGGTTACTTCATGACGGCAACTGGGTTCGTTCCGTACCATGAAAACCATATTTCATCTTTCAATAGGAAAAAAATTACAGCTAGTGTTATACAAGCAAAACGAAACAAAGAAAACTGGAAAACAGAGAAGGAAAAATCAACCACCGTAACTGCCATCATGCCTGCGGTTTTCTCTCATCCTTTCAACATTCTTCTAGAAAGAGTTTCGACTTTTTTTTCTTCTTTTTTTAAACTAAGCTTGCTTTAAGCCTAAGCCGTGCCTGGGAGCCTTCAGACTTTGACTATGCCAAAGGACAGTGTGGCCATAAAATGTTTAGGGGAAGAGATTTAGAGGGGAGCAGAGGGGAAATAAAAATGAGTATCTGTTTTTAAGCCAACAATTCAATCTCTTCTTTAACAATAAGAACAACAATAGTAGTAGCAGTAGCGGCAAGAGAAAAAGACAGTGGTAGATAAATATGGAAGGAGAACTCATGGTAGCAGGCACCTGTAATCCCCACTACTTGGGAGGCTGAGGCAGCAGGATCGCTTGAACCCGGGAGGTGCAGGTTGCAGTGAGCCGAGACGCACCACTGCACTCCAGCCTGGGCAAAAAGAGCAAAACTCTATCTCAAACAAAACAAAATAAAGCAAAACAAAACAAAACAACACAACTCCTCCAGCTTAAAGGAGACCTAAGGGACACATCCATCAGTTACAACGTATGGAACTTTATTTGAGTCTAGATTAAAAAAAAAACAACTGGCTAAAAAATTATAAGCTTTTGGGGAAATACAAACACCGATGGGATAAATACTAAGGAACTGTTAACACTATAAGGTGTGCTATTGATATTACTATAGTTGTATGTTTAAGAATCTGTAAATTATTGAAATACGTAATGAAATACATACAGAAGAAATTATATGATAACTGAGGATTTGCTCCAAAATCCTCATTACTTGGGGGTGAAGGAGGTGGTGGAAAGTGGGACAGGGGCAGATGAAATAAACTTGGCCAGGATTGATGACTGCTGGGTGAAAAGTATACAAGGGTTCATGATTCTGTTTTTTGTGATATATTTGAAATACTCTACAGTAAAAAGTTTTAATGGGGAAAAAATGGTAGCAAAATATACTAAACGTACTGTACCAGATGTGGAATGTACCCTTTGTCAACAAAGACAGGGCCCATAACATGGAGCTCCAGGTGACACTGTGCTCCAAGAATGCCATCAGGGAAGACAGGCTAGGTCTAAGCTCATTGAAGTTTTATTTCCCTCTTGCAGATGAGTTAAACTTGACCTTCCACTATAATCAGTGTTAAACAGTGGTTAAACCTGGTGCTTAAACAGCGTGAGAAGCACAGCAGGCCCAAGTGTGTCTGCCTTCAGTGCATGCCTGGTTGGGGTTGGGGGAGTCTATGCGGGAGGGGACAGACATGAGCACCCTTCTGACCCCTGCAGGCAATTAACTGATACTTTCAGGCAGGGAGTGCCATTATCTTTAACTCAGCAGGCATCACTGTACATAATGAGAGGTCATAATTATAGTTCTCTTTTTAAAATGTGACCACAGTATCCAAATTGACCTCTTGTGGCAGGCTGGCCTACATGCTGGGAAGTACAAAAAAAGGCGGGTACGGGCCCTACCCATTGGCGTGACAATGATGGGCAGCCAGGGTCCCTTTGCAACTTCTGAGGTCAGGCATCCGCGCTTATTCCCTGGGGAACTTCAATCTGTTTAGGGTTTACTAATTATCATTTTTCACTGAGTAGCATTTTACTTCTTTAAATAGACACAGACTAGCCAGGGCTTTTTACTGGGGAAAAGGCAAAAGCAACGACTCAAATTAATATGCCAGTGATGATGTGCATCTACTGTCTATCCATGGAATCACCAAGTTGAAAAGATCAATTTCTGATCATTTTTCCACTTTAGTATTTTGTAAGATTGCTACAGAGACTCTTTCACTTTAAAAATGCTGACTTATTATACTATTATACCTTATAATTGGCCCCACCTAGCAATATCTCGAGCTCCTACAGCCCAAACCATTATATAGACTGAACTGTCTGTGGGGAAATGCAACCTGCCTGGATTTTCATATAGACAGACTCTCTCAGTTCTAAGCACAGAATAATAGAATTTTTGAGCTAAAAGAGACCCTCTGAAATCATCTTACTGATGAACAGTGTGAAAAAGATCTACTTGAATTAGCGGGCTGGATGGAGGCTGAGACAGGAGCCAGGTTCAACCAGGGTCTTGAGCCACAATCTGCTCGACCCCTCCACCTGTCTCTTAAACATCAAAGAAGCTACATCCCAGTGATGCCTTCCAGAGAAACACAGAAGATCTCCCAGTTTTTCTTTTTTAACAACATTAGACAAGTCCTCTCAAAGGCCTCATTTCCTAACCACGCAACGACAAACACACTAAAATAAAATGAGGTACTCACCTACCTTCCACGGATATTTGGAAGAATAAACTTTTTGTTACTCTAAAACACTTCGGACTCACTGGATATTCCATATATATGAATGATATAAACAAATGTGATGATAAAATCACAGGGGTGAGGAACTCACAGAACCAGCTGTAGTTACCACCTTATCTGGCGGCCACGTTAATTCCAGTTCTTGCTTCCAACACAAAGCCCAGGCAGCTAATCTGTGCCTCTCCCATTCCTTTACGTATTAGGAGCTTCTGCTCCTTTACCTTTCCCCAATAGGTATTCAATAACCCTGACGAATGGCCAATATTTTTCCAATGATATTTCAAATCCTTAGCCAACACTAGAAAAATTTGAGAGATATTGGAGCACCAGCTAATTCCTTCCCGGCTGAAAGGAGGAACAGAAAATTCCAAAGTGTGACATAAACAGTTTCAGATAAATAGCAGACAATGTCACACCACAACATTTACACAGCGGAGTGACGATTCCTGCTTGAAGGCATGGGCTTTGAATAAATGGCCCTGAGAAATACAGTTTTTACCAATATGCTTTTCTTGAATAGAACCTGGGAGTGAATGATGTTCTCTATATTTGTAAACACTTCTTTATTCAGAAAAGCAAAACTTACCCACTATTCAGAGATGGCCAAAACTAGAGTTTAAAGAAAAGAATAATTGCTTTACTCCTTTTCTAGGCATGTCACTACTAAGAAATATGACTATTTCCTTTTGGTTCAGTAAAACAACACAAAGGAACAAGTCTAAATACATCACAACAACGGTATTTAATTGGGCCTAGTGCATTTGCATCTCAATATAAAGTCACTGCATGATATACCAATGCGGATGCACTGATGAACTTCATTCCACCATTGTTAACAGATAAGGAGAAACTTTTCGGTGGGAAATTCTTCATGTTTTACATTATTTATTGGAACATTTCATGTACTTACTTGGCTGAGAAACTCCAATTCCATGCTACACAAGTATTTTGCAAAATATGTGCCTACTTTTCACAGTCCCAGAACTGTGGCTTGACACAGCACCTAGCATACTGATACGGTTTGGATCGGTGTCCCCACCAAATCTCATGTTCAGTTGTAATCCCCAGTGTTGGAGGTGGGGCCTGGCAAGAGGTACCTGGATCATGGAGGTGGATCTTCCATGAATGGTTCAGCACCATCCCTTTGGTGCTGCTCTTGCAATGGAGTTCTCACAAGATCTGGTTGTTTAAATGTGTGTGGCGCCTGCCCCCGCCCCTCTCACCCTCCTATGAAATGCCAGCTCTCCCTTTACCTTCCTCCATGATTGTAAGTTTTCTGTGGCCTCCCCAGAAGCTGAGCACGTGCCTCCATGCTTCCTGTACAGCCTGCAGAACCGTAAGCCAATTAAACCTCTTTTCTTTATAAATTACCCAGTCTCAGGTATTTCTTTACAGCAATGCGAGAATGGACTAAGACACATACTGTTGTCACTCAAATACTCTATTTAAATAAAAGCCCTGATTCTCTAGAGTTTTGCTTTGCTGCTCAGTAAATCAGCCTCTACTATATTTATCCCTAAGTGTCATTTGCAGCATTAATTAACACAAACAAGCCACGTATTTAAAGACCATCATTTCCTATTTTAGTTACATTTTGGTTGTAGACTGCACATTTCATTTAGTTATTTGTCAGTGTAAGGACAACCTCAGCACCCAGTAATGGAAAGGGTTAAAAACAGAGGTGCTATCGAGTCAGCCCCTTCCTTGGGTGGTTCATCAGACAGGTTATCAAAGTGAAACACTCCATCGACAGGGTAAAATCCTGGCATCTGCTGAGTGGCAAATTCGGCTCACTTCATTTTGCTTTATTTTATTCTCCAAAGAAACTATACAGTTTGGACTACAGAACACAATTAATTTTTACATTTCTCCACTCTCTGGCAGCTTATTTTCTCCATCTAGACATGTTGCAAAAACCAAAAAACAAAAGAGAATAGCTAACAAAGCCATAGTGGATTTATTGTATTGATTCCATTTCACATAAAGATGTTAATTCATCCAATTCTTTAAAAAGTTTCATTACCTTTCAACTAGAATATACTGTGTCCCACCCAAGCCAGCTGATGTCACTCTACACGTTTCACTGTGCAGTTTTTACTTCTGGAGGGACCTGAGCCCAGATTCAAAGCAATTTTGGAGATTAAGCTTTGCAAGTAAATTCATTTTTATCACAATCTTCATGTTCCAAAGTGGCCAAGTTATCTTGGTCATGTTTATTAACTAAAGGTAATAGGAAAGATCCTAATCAGAGCTTCAGTGTATGCAACTGTAGAAACCAATTCTCTCTCTGGATGTGGACAGAAAGTTCTCAACTCCAACCACTGAATCTCATTAGTGTCCTGGGACCTGATCAACAGTACCATGGCTTGCTGATGACCACCCAAACAAAAGCAGTTTCTGGAGGAGCAAAGAGTCGCTTATACTGAAGAAAGAACAGGAAACAGGCTACAAAGAGGGATCTGGGGTAGGTGGTCAGTCCACAGGAAGACTTAAACCTGCAGAAAGTACATGTAGACACTGGGAATTTGTGCATGTTTCTGGAAAGGGTCCATAGCTTTTATCCAATTCTTTTAGGAGTGGATTATACAGAAAGGGGTAGCACTGGCTTCAGATTCACTCATCATTAGGTTGAGTCTCACCCCAGAGAGCATCAACAGAACAGAACGAAATTCTCTCCCCTTGCTAAAAGGAAGCATTATGATCCTTTGGTCTGGGATGATCCTGAAATATTTGCTATAACAGGAAGATGTGTTCTGCTAGGGACTGAATGTTTATGTCTCCCTAAAATTCATACATTGAATCCCTAACCTCCAATTTGATGGTATTTGAAGATAGGGCCCTTTGGGAGGTGATAGAGTTAGAGGAGGTCATGTTCTTCATGATGGGATTCGTGGCCCTATAAGAGTAGCATAAGTAGTGACCACATAAGAGAGATCTCCTCTTCCCTCTCCACACAAGCACAGAAAAAAAGGGTAGGTGATGATACAGCCAGACGTGAAAGTCTGTACACCAGAAACCATACCCTGCTGGACCTTGATCCTGGACTTCCAGCCTCCAGAACTGTGAGACAATACATTTCTGTTGTTTAAGCCACCTAGTCTGTGGTATTTTGTTATGGCAGCTGGAATAGAATAAGACATGTTCTTTGGCCAGTGTTATGTTATCAGAATCTCACAATTCACAAGGATCGTGTGTTGGGGGCACTGTGGATTGCTCCTTCAAACTGCGGAGGTTGGGAAGCTACAGTCTTCATCTTCCAGACTTCCTTGCAGCTGGGGTTCTGGGGGTAAATTCAGTTCTGCCAATTAGATGAAGTCAGGCTGAGGTGAGGTGAGGCCCCCTTTGGCTGTGTGAGTGGCCTGCAATGCTGCAGAAAGGCTGGGTTTTCCTGCCGTGACCTCCCAGTGCCCATTCTCCAGTGCCTGGGTGTCAAGAGGCAGTTGCAGGGGTGGCAGTGGGCTCTGGGTCACAGCCATGAGGTGTGTTCCTGACCACACAGATCCGGCGATGGCAGCCTGCCTGGTGGCTGGCTCCTTAGGATTCTGGAAATCATTTCTGAAAGGCTGGCCTGGGTCCCCCTCCTTTGGCCCTTCCAACAATTTTGTAAATACTTAATTCTTTGTATTGCCTCCCTTTCTGCCTCAACCCCTTAAACTACTTATCACTTCTGTATCTCAGACCACAGAACCAGGCACATCATTAAAATCCTCCATGTCTGGAGGGCCCAAAGAGCTGTTTGCCTCCAGGAGGGCTCTGCTGGTTTAATGAGGATCAGGTTTGACACCGCTAAGGAGCAGTTACTTTCTGGAGCTCATTGTTGCTAAAGAGATACGTTATAAAAAACTCAGGTCTTTTAAGTTGACAATTTCAAAAAGCCACTCAAAGGCAGACCAGGCCTCTGCAGTTTTACAAGGTTAGTAGAGGGAGGGGGAATTTCCTCATTTTGTTTTTCTGGACATAGAGATACCATCTGGGCATGCTCCTGGCTGCCAGCTAAGGCCTCCCCGTCCAACATCCTTCCCAGGCACAGGGAAGTGTCAGAGCAGATGGATAGAATGTGACCACACACCTGCTGCCCATCTCTCCCCCAACCTTCCATACAGCATTGCCTGGAGACAACCTCAGTTCAGCTCTGAATCCTTGCCTTTCACCAAGGGCCTCATAAGAAAAGGGTATCTGTGGAACCTTCGTAACTACATTAAATTCTGTTAAAGACATTTCTTACCTTACTCATTGAAAGCCCCAAGACAGGGGCTCATTCTTAGAGGCAGGCACTTCACTGGTATGTGTACTTATACCAGAAATAAGAGCTGTGTGTACCATATTTCTCTTTTTGCCTTAGCTGCTAGGAAACTCGAAGATGGGTTTTGAATCGGTCACTCTAGTTTCCTTAGACCCTGCAGAGTGACTGTCCCTCTCTCCCCTTTTTGAAACATATAGCTACTGTTTCAAAACCCTACCTTAAGGATGGCTGATTCCATTGTTTCTTGCACCTTATCATTATAAGTCACCTCTCTGTTTTGGGAGACAGCTGAAATATACAGATAAGTAAAACTTAAGTATTTGTTTTTGGCTAGCTACTGGTTTGAGGACATGAGCCTTTCAGCCCACCCTGTGTGGAAAATACTGAAGAGAGGTAATAAATAAGGCCCTTTCCCATTTGTCCTGGGGGAGGCAGTAAGACTGCCCCCACCCCAGAGGAAATTTGACAACTATGTTTCTTAAAGAAGGCATACAAATATCAAAAATTGTGGTGCAGTTGCTTAAGGCTATACCTAATAATTTATTAAGCTATTGTTTCTTCTAAATTTTATACTCACTGTAACAGTAACAAAGATAATATTACCATGTACATTGTTGACAGATGGGTCTTTACTCAATGAGTTTTCTCACGGATCTTTAAAGAGTTTAAAAACTAAGTCTCTTGGGGCAATATGCAAACAAAAAAAAGTGGCAAAATGTTCTGGAAGAAGTTACAAAGTTCCCAAAGATGAACAAATAATTCAGTGTGCCTTCTCTCTCAACTTTGATGATATATCTTTTTTGTTTGTTTGTTTAAAATACCTACCAACCAGTCTGGGCAGGTTTCGGA
The DNA here is from genome assembly GCF_000001405.40 of Homo sapiens. Classification (NCBI taxonomy): domain Eukaryota; kingdom Metazoa; phylum Chordata; class Mammalia; order Primates; family Hominidae; genus Homo; species Homo sapiens. The sequence continues at coordinate 89,214,176 of NC_000014.9, forward strand.
TGGCCACTGTTTCCTTATCTGTAAAAGAAGGGGGTTGGACTAAACCTCTAAAATGGATTCTATCATCTGTGAAGCAAGCTCCGTCATCCTCAGCTCCACCCGATGTTGAAAGAGGACCAGGTTTGTACGTGCAAGTCCCTACTAGAGACCAGGTCCCTGCCTCCTGCACCGTGCGGATGACTGCACTCCCTTGGCTGGACAGAAAGGGTCACCCTTGCCAGGCCTTCTTGTTTGGTTAATCTCTTCACATCTATTTGCTCCGCTGCCCCGACAACTTAACAGCAAACAAAGGCCTGGGCTCCATGCCACTCACTCCGAATCAGGAACCTGCCTATTTTGTTTACTTTGGGGCACAAGAAGGAAGCAAACAGCAGCTTTTGTAAGTCAAGTTGGTGATAGTCTTCACTCAATTACGGCCGTGAAAAGAGGGAGAGATGGAAAGGACCCTTTTCCAGGGCAGGCACTTCATGCTGACCCACTCTACCCAAGTTTCCTTTCACTGGCATCGACCCTGGAAGTGGCTCGACTTTGAGGGAGCTAACCATATTTTCTGCACTTTGTCAGACTGTTTTTTTCTCAGCCCAGTGGGGACCACGTAATGTGAATGCCTTCTATCTAAGCAGAGTATTTTCTTGAAAGAAAAAGCACAGGCTACAACTAGCTCCTTGGGAGTAATACAATTCCATTTTCTGATTCTTATCATCAGGCCAGATGCTGCTTCTGACTATAAAACTATTACCGGGTAAGGTGAGGCAAGCCAAGTGCTTTAAATAAGCAGAATTAAAAGAATTTACCATCAGATGGTTAACAAGAAAAGGGAGAAGGTACATTAGGCGAGGGTAGTATATTCTATGGAAAATATTTTGCAAGGCGTCTAAACCAGACAAAAACAGGATTGGTTGGTTTATTACATAATTAAACTGCAGTCAGCAATGGGCAGGGTCTTCTGTCTTTTAAAATCCAAACTAGTTATTCAAGTTTCATTAGATACAGTTTAGAGATTCTATTTGGGGAAGGAACCCAATTTTTTTTTTTTTGTCTGGGTTAGAGTTAAAAAAAAGAAGTGCTGCTTTGCAAATCTGGATTCTAGTCTCAATAAAACAATCACAATCCCCTCCTCCTTCCTCAAATATCTTTTTTGCTTCATTTCTTCAGAGTTAGGAGAATAGAGATTTTTTTTTTTTTGGCAGAAAGCCAAAGTAATATCCCAACAAGATATCTGACTTCTTTACAGAGAGACATACTGTTTCATGTTTGATTTTGATTTTCAAAAGCAGAATAATTTTCACATCATTATATAAAAGGCTTCCACTATTTAAAATGTCATTTCTAAATTAATTTTATACCCCTGAGGCAAAATGCATCCGACCACATTGAATTCTACCCGTTTAAAGAAGGTGGGGACTTGGTGAAAGTGGCAGAAAAACTCTCAGTCTTTAGAACAAGAAGTCAAAGTCAGTTGTTTCTGGAAGCTGGTTTTGTTTTTCATATGGCATGTCTCCAGTTGTGAATCCCCATCAGATGAAATGCAGAAGAAAAGTGGCTCTTCTGTGCAATTTCTGCAGTGTGGCAGTCAGGAGAATTTGTTGGCCCAAGAGACCTACAGCAACATTCCTGCGTCTGGCGGCGGCGGCAAGACAGCTGAAAATTTGATGACTTGCTATCTTAAAATCTTAACAGCTGGGCAGATGACGGAATAATGAAATGGCTCCTTGTATCTAAAACTCTTCATCTCACCTTAAAGACAAGCCAGCATATTCTTAAGAAAAGAACCTCAGTGACCTCCTGATAAAGTATATTAATTTGCCAAGTGTTGTTCTAGAGGAATGCCTACCTTTTCTCATCAAAAGTCAGAAGTGACCATTTGTGCCCAGGAGCAAAGAGTTAAGCTGAGCAGTCCAGTGCCCTATGGGGCTACAGGTGCCTAGGCTGATGTATCCTAGTGATAGGAAAGTTGGTTAACAGGCACTTACAGAGGACTTCCTGTGGACACGCACACAGGTGTAGGGTAGGGGCTGGGAGGGAGGAGGTAGCTCAAGGAGGAATCATTCCAGCAATAAAAGGCTTTATGCTCTAATCGGGTACAAACTTTCCATCATCCCTGCTTGATAAAAAAGAAAAAACAGATAAACACAAAAACCCAAATGTTTACCCAAGGCAGAATCAGCTGTAAGGCATAGGTCAAAGGGGAAAATGTCTCGGCAGGTAAGGAGTTTATAACACCATCATAGAATAGATGCATTCAGAATGCATCTAAGCCACTCTCCCACAACCTAACCCGGGTGCCCAACATTTAGTGCCAGAACCTCTGGAACTACCTTCCAACAGGTCTCCCTGCCTCAGTCTCCCTCCCTGCTATCCCACTCTCCTCATGGGACCACACTCAGGCCCCTTTTTCCTTCTAAGCTTCTGTAGGCTCTTCTCCATCCTTCAAGATGGTCCAACTCTGCTCTCCAGCATTCAAAGCCCAATGGCTTGTGGCCCTTGCTGAACCAAATGTCCCCCAGCCAGGTTCTCACTGACCTCAGGCCAGGTTTGGTCTTAGACGGTTTTATCCATGATGCCACCCATCTAGAATCACTTCCCCAGACTTTCTTCCTAAGAAAACTGTTCCCACCCCTTAATGAAAATCCACCTTCCACAATCCACAATCCTCATTGTTCCCTGCTGCGTGTGGCTGTCATCAAAACCTTCCACAGCCATCTGATTTTCCATTTTTATTACCCTACAACCAGGCCAGATGCTTCTTGAGGGCAAGGAGTGTGGAAATGGCATCTTCTTATTCTCTATATCTGCCCTTCCCCCAGCCTGGCCCTATGCTGTGCTGATTCTGTTGAAGATAACTCTTTAATTTCTCTTTTAGGAGGATCCTGGGTAAACGGGGTATGTAAATCTGGAAGCTGCTCAAAAAAGAAACAGTTGTTTTAGGAAAATGACAAGGGTGTGAGATCTCAAAATGTTTTTTTGGTTCGTTTTTGAGACAGGGTCTCACTCTGTCATCGAGGCTGGAGTGCAGTGCTGCGATCACAGCTCACTGCAGCCTGGACCTCCTGGGCACAAGCAATCCTCCTGTCGCATTGCAGCCTCCCAAGTAGCTGGGACTACAGGCACCTGCCACCACACATGGCTATTTTTTTCCTTTTTGTAGAGATGGGGTCTCTCTATGTTGCCCAAGCTGGTCTTGAACTCCTGGGCTCAAGCAATCCTTACTGTCTTGGCCTCCCAAAGTGCTGGGATTACAGGCATGAGCCACCACGCCTGGCCTCAAAATGTTTTTATGTGTTCTTCACCTCTGCCACGCCTAGCTGCTAGTAAGAAGAGTGCCAAAGACTCAGAGTCCTGGAGCCAAACACATCTGGGTTCTAATTCGCCATTTCATTCACTTGCTGTGTGCTTTTGGGCAACCCACTTCACTTCTCTGAGCTTCAGTTTCCTCTCCAAAGGGGACCATGCACCCTAGTTCATAGGGAGGTGGTGAAGAATTACATCTTCTTTAAAAGCACAATTAAAAATTATATTTAAAATAGTCTTGGTAGTTCCTTTGGAAATGTCAGCTTCCCATGCCCACCCATGGGTCCCAACAAACTACCAAAGGGAAGGAACAAAGTCCAGTCCCCGCCAGCTTTGCAGTGACCCACTTCCCTCCTGTTTGTGGGAGCCCTCCCCAATGCTGAGCCTGCAGCACTGCTGCCGGGCCTGGCTCGCTATGCTGGTGGCTCCCTGAGGTGCTGGTGCACTCAGGCAAAATGAACCGAACATCTGTATTCTATTTGCTAATGAGCAATCATCATTTGTACCTTTTTCCAGCCTGGGATTCAGCTGCTTGGAATACTAATGCCATTAGAAATTGGAATCTTTTTTGAAAAACACATACTCTTTTAGCAAAACCCGGTTTCACTCACTGACATTTTTATGGTTCCTGGGATTCCTTGGCAATTCACTGCTGGTTACAAAGCCCTTAATTCCCCCTGGGCCCCTCTCCGCCATGCCTGCACCTATCTGTGTAATATTTGGGTGTGTGGGTGGGGATTGGGATCCAGAAGACTTGACTGGTCCTAGACTTGCCTTTTCAACTAATTCAGTGACTATGATCGGACAAGTCAATGGAGCATTCCTTTTTAATCATGTGATTTTTAATTAATCACAAGATTAATACAAGACTACAACTGCTTATTTTAAAACTCAGGTCATCACAAGAGAGGTCACCCAATCCTATTCCCTTGCCTTTTCCCTAAAGGTAACCTTACAACCTTGGTGTGCACCTGTCCTGAGCTTTTTTCTATGAAGATGAGCATCTGTGTCTTTCAAAACAATTGAGTATTAAGTTTGTGTGTGTTTTACACATGTGAAGACAAACGTATACATTGTTCTACAGCTTGCTTTTTTCATTCAATGATAAGTTTTGTCTTCTATTCAAGAGGGATATGGCTCATGCCTTTTCATTGCTGAAATTCAATCTATTTCAACATTTCCCTGGTCATGAACATTTTAGGTTGTTTCCAATCTTTGGCTTTTATAAAGAATGCTGTAGTGAGCCTCCTTGCACACGTCTGGCTGTGGACATGTGGGGCTGCTTTTCTAGGGAAAGTGACTCAAAAGAGACTTTCTGGGTCTTGCTTTCCTCATCTGTGAAATGAGAGGTCTGGACTGAACAGTCACCATTATGACCCTACTTCTATTGTACGTTTTGTGGCATTAGGAACCAACGTAGGAAGCCTTTGTTTCTATACACAAACTCTATTCTCAATTCAGCACCCGCTAAGACTTTCCCTAACCTTCCAAGGTCTTCCATAAGCAAAGCTCATTTATTCTTATTTTCTCCTTTTATTTAACAGATTGTTATTCTCAATCCTGCATCTTTGTCAACTCCCTTCTTCCCCTAAGAAATTCCTGCTTAATACTTGACAGGCACTGATATGGTTTGGCTCTGTATCACCACCCAAATCTCATGTCGAATTGTAATCCCCACATGTCAGGGGAGGGAGGTGGTGGGAGGTGACTGGATCATGGGGGTGGATGTCCCCATCTCGTGACAGTGAGTTCTCACGAGATCTGATGGTTTAAAAGTGTGGCACTTCCCCTTCTGTCTCCCTCCTGCTTCCATGTAAGACATGCCTTGCTTCCCCTTTGCCGTCTGCCACCATTGTAAGTTTCCTGAACCCTCCAGCCATGTGGAACTGTGAGTCAGTTAAACCTCTTTACTTTATAAATTACCCAACGTCAGGTATGTCTTTATAGCAGTGTGAAAACGGACTAATAAAGGCATTATTGGAGATGCTCAGAGCTTCTAACTTTGTGTTTGCACATGTGTTCCCATGAATGTCAGCCCCATGAGGAAAGGGCCTTGTCTTTCCTTAGCCCGTGTTCCCCGAGAGCATGGCACCACATGCAGTGGGCTGTCATCAAACATCTGGCGAGTGGATGGCTGCGACTCTTACCACGTACTGGAAGTACAACTTGGGGCAATTTGACGTAACCGCTCTGTGCCTCAGTTTCTTCACCTGGAAAATGTGATAATAGCACCCCCTTCCCTTACAAACAAGTTGATACACGCAAAGCCCTTAGAACAGCGCCTGGTTTGTAGGCATTGTCAATGAATGTTAGCTACTATTACAGTTGTCATTAAAGCTGTGTTGGTTGGATATTCCATTTGACCAATAGGATATGTATCCAGCAGCGCCCCTGAGATTGCTGGGATGCAGCACTGAGGTATCATTGGGCTAGGTTTGCCAGAAGCTGTTAGGAGAGAAGTCTCAGGCAGGATCCTTGCCACTTACAGAACTAATCATCGGTCTGCAGTTGACTATTTTTTTAAAATTATAATGATGTATATAATTCCATACTGATATCAACTGATGAGCTGAACTTTATGTTTGCTTTGCTCCATTTTGCTATGCTTTTTGCAAGCCACACCTTCCTCCTCCTTTCTTCTCATCACATTATTCTTCTTCCTCTTGCGAGGCCCAGCAGATCTCCCAGAGAAGCCACATGCTTTGGATTCATTTGCGGCCTCCCTTGGTTCCAATTCAGACCATGGAAAGTGGCAGAGCAGTTGAGGATGCAGGCTCTGGATTCAGGTGGCATGGGTTCAAATCCCGGCTCCAGTACTTACCAGCAGTGTGACCACAGTCAAGATACTTAACCTCTTTGTGCTCCAGTTTTCTTATCTGTAAAATGGGCTGAGGATTAAATGAGCTGGTGTGTAGAAAGCATGTACAGAGTAGCTGGCACACAGCACTGAATAGTGCTGCACCATCTTCAGATCTAAATGATACAACTAAAGCATCACCATTTTCAGGACCCGCAATGCAAGCTGTGTGCTGGTGATACGACTGATTTTTCCTGGCTGCAAATACACACACGGCTCTTTCCATACTACCTACTTCATACTACCTACTGTACACCAGCCTGGGTCACGAATGTGTATTCATGGGCTGGATCGGGAAGAGAGCGGTGGCCATGACTGTGGTAAAGATGTCTGATCTGGACCTAGATGGTACCCTGTCCTTGGTCCCCCAGCATCTCTCTGGGGCTGACCTGCCAGGCAACTGAGCATCAGTACTCCTATCAGACGAATTTCTCAATTGTATCCAAGTGTTAATACATGCTTTGAAAGACGGCCAGAAGAATGCCCTGAGAACCATCAGAAAGCAAAGATTAGCTCCAGGTGAGGCAGTTCTACTACACAGGCTAACGTGATAGAACGATGACTGAAAAATCACCAAGGGGAGGCAACCCTGACAGCAAGGAAAAAAATAAAAATTAATTACAGCACTCTATGGAGAAGGTGTTCAAACCCTGAAGCTTATGGAATCAGGCTGGTAGCTGAAAGTGAGTTCAGGGATGCATTAAAAACAGAACCTATTTTTACACCAACAAGCAGCAGAGGCAATAGGTACAAAACTCTCAAACGAAGGCAGAAGCCTGTGTGTGTAATACAAGCCCTAGTGTGGTGTAAGGGCCACTGAGAATTACCACTAAATGTAGCGTGGATTTTATTATTTGACAGTAAACATAGTGGTAACAATGATTATTTTGTTATAATGGTAGTTCTATTCCAGCGAAGTGTCTTAGGCTAGCATTTCCTCCTTTCTCTTGGATGGTGTTCTATTGCTATGACAACCAATAACATTTTGCACACCACAGAGCACTATATCATGTATCACCACGGCAGAAAAGGAAATGCCATACTGTACTTAAAAGCCACCTTCTTTTCTTTCTCTCTTTTAAAGTCTGTTATCACTCCCCATGCATTATTCACTATGCCATATTATATATAACCTTTACCTTTGGTTACAGTCAGATTTGTGATATATGAAGCAAAAGCCAGAAAGCCTTGCAAATCCCTTAACATTTTCTAACAAATAAAGGATAACCAAACTGTATTATTCTGATTTTTCTTCAACACAGTCATAAAGAACTTGATTTTGCCAACTTCCTCACTGGATCAAAGGCCTTTGTCAGACTTTCGCCACTGTTTGTCTTATGCAGCAAGATCTCTCTCAGTGACACGGCTGGGAAGTAAAGTATCCCCTCTAAGAGAATTTTCCAATACAAGAAGCATCACCTCTTAAAATATCATTTTTTATTTTAAATATTTTAACCAAATTAAAAAATCACATCATACACCAACTTCCCTGTCTATATAATCTTTTTTTTTTTTTTGAGATGGAGTCTTGCTCTGTTGCCCAGGCTGGAGTGCAGTGGCGCGATCTCGGCTCACTGCAAGCTCCACCTCCCGGGTTCACGCCATTCTCCCACCTCAGCCTTCCAAGTAGCTGGGACTACAGGCGCCCGCCACGGCGCCCGGCTAATTTTTTGTATTTTTAGTAGAGACGGGGTTTCACCGCGTTAGCCAGGATAGTCTCCTGACCTCGTGATCTGCCCGCCTCGGCCTCCCAAAGTGCTGGGATTACAGGCGTGAGCCACCGCGCCCGGCCTACACAATCTTTTCTTGAGAACTTAGTTGTCACCGTGGAAACCCATCACTGGCCATTGCTGTGGCACACAGAGCTCTCCAGAGCTGATGTCACCTGAGAAGTACCCTGCCTATGCCCACTGTGGGGCTGGGGAGCTCTGGACAGAGTCAACTAAAGCTGGGAATATACCAGCTCATTTTAACATCTGTCAGCGTTGCCTGGTCCCCCAAGACAGGAAATACATGAAAATTATGCACAATTCCACAGAGTTTCAAGGTCTTTGGATTCTAATGGAAAGACGCTTACATATATTAAGATACAAAAAAATGTAAATCCAGTCTAGTGACAGCCAGAGGGCAGGGGACGTAGACTAATACAAGTGGACAGAGAAATCCGTAATGTTTACCGTGAATCTAAGGAGTGTGGGCCACATGAAATCTGCCTCTTTATTTTGTGGCCTCATTTACAAATGACTATAAAAAGGAGCTCAACCCAGGAGTCAGGGGCACAGACACCCAGCCGAGCTCAGGAGGACACCTGTTGGTCACCGAAACATCTCAGCAAGCCGGGAAGGCAGCCCCACCTTCCCACCCAAATTCACCTAGGAAGGCGATGCCCAAAACTACCTGGGATGACACAATTGATGGTTTCTTTAGTGAAATAAACATCATTTTCTTTGCTCTTCTCTCCTACCTCCCTCTACCCTTCCTTTAAAAAATAAAATAAAATAAAAATTTTAAAAAAGGAAATAATTGGGGGCAAAAGTTTTGCTGAGAGTATCTAAACTATGGAATCTGCCTTTAGTGTTTCTGTAGGATAAGAAACAATTTGGCCTCAATTTTTTTTTCTTTTTAAACAGAGACAGGGTCTCACTATGTTGCCCAGGCTGGTCTTGAACCCCTGGGCTCAAGCAATCCTCCCACCTTGGCCTCCCAAAGTGCTGGGATTACAGATGTGAGCCACCGCAACTGGCCTGGGCTTGGTTTTTAAAAAATGTGAACTGGAGAGCCAGATTTACTTACTGGTCTGTTATTTCCTGCAATCTCAATGACCGTGAGGCTTGTGACTGAGGCACAAGTTGAGTTGAGCCACTGTATGCTAGATCTATGAGGATGGGAGGCCGAGGGTGGAAGGGAAGCTGGCGAGGCTGTGTCGGGTGGTCCTGAAGTCGGCCTCCAGTGGGAAGAGCACTAGTCCCTGGGTGGGCAGGTGCAGACCACGGGCTGTGGTTCCAAGGCCAGACCCCATGGCCTCCTGCCTCCCCTTTCCCACAGCAAAGGTCACCACAAAGGCCAGGGGCAGGTTCTCCTGGGAGATCGCCCAGGGTGCAGGTTGCTGATGGCTTCCTACATTTCGGGTGAGAAGGGGCCTGCTTGTCCACCTTTGTGAGCTTCCTCAGGGCGAAGAAGAATTAGAAATTCCGAGGACTGAACTGCATTCCTGGGCAGCCTCCAGGAGCCTCCAATTGCTCAGACTTTCCTTCTTAAAGTTGCCAGAAGCCCCTGGTAGGTCCCTTTCAGAAAGCATCTGATTTGGAATTTATAGCAATTCTCCCACTGGGCAGTCGAGGGTGAGAGGTGGGCCGGGTGCGGCGCTGGTTGCTGGGGAAGAGACGTTTCCAAAGATCCCTGAGGTGTGGAAGTCAGGGGGAGAGGCGTCCTCATGGGAAGCAGGTCTTTCCATGCTTGGACAATTTGTGTGAGCATCTTTTACCCCCAGGAACATTTAGAATAAAGCAGAGAAATGCTTAAGGAAATCAGGTCTGTAGAATGAATTCCTTAAACAAGACATCAATGCAGATCAACATATCGATGCAGATCAATGTATCAATTGTTCTAACTATTTGAAATACTCACTGTATTTCAAACATAGTATTTCAAATATTTATAACGATTAAGAGAATCTGTCCATTAGAATAACAGACCAGCCTTGAGACTTTAACTTAAAATGTGGCATTAAATAATCAACTTAGATTTTGATTTGAAGTCAAAATCTCAGTAAGGTCATATATACTATACAAGAAAACTTAAAAGACCACAAGGTGTAACATACTTATGAGCTTAATTAGACTTATAAGAATTGCTTAAGTGCTCTAAGAGGCTTGTTTGTTGAGTCAGGCAATTGAGTACTTATAAATTTAATAAGTTCGATTTCCTTTACAAATGCAGCTTAAAATGTTTAAAGGAGTTTAATTAACTAAGTTTGCAAATCAGACCAAACATTAATAAAAGGCCTCCTTAAAAGTGATTATTAAAAACTGATAGGCTTATAAATAAAATGAGATCTGTGAACACCTGTCAAAAGCCTAAGGAGAGGTGAGAATTTAGATTTCATAACTTTCATAAAAATTAATTTCAAAGAGTAAATATCAGAATTACCTTTTCTGCCCCAAATGCTTTGGAACCCTACCTTGCCCATATGATGTGATATGTTTTAGTTTTCCATCTTCAATAACAACTTATTGAGGCACCTACTGTGTGGCAGGTACTATACCAGGCACAACTGGGTATGTTCTAACAATCATCTGGTAGGAGAGATGTAAATATGTGCTACATGAATAACTGCTACATTAGAAAACGGGTGACAATCAACTAAGGAAGACAAAATGCTACAGAAATTCAAAGAACATACATCAATGAAGGCATCATAATAAAATCTTATTTGGAGGCCAAGACAGGAGGATTGCTTGAGGCCAGGAGTTCAAGACTAGCCTGGGTAACATAGCAAGACCCTGTCTCTATAAAAAGAACTTAAGGACGGGTGTGGTGGCTCACGCTTGTAAGCCCAGCACTTTGGGAGGCCGAGGCGGGCGGATCACGAGGTCAGGAGATCGAGACCATCCTGGCCAACGTGGTGAAACCCCATCGCTGCTAAAAATAAAAAAATTAGCTGGGTGTGGTGGTGCGTGCCTATAATCCCAGCTACTAGGGAGGCTGAGACAGAAGAATCCCTTCAACCAGGGAGTCAGAGGTTGCAGTGAGCCGAGATTGTGCCACTGCACTCCAGCCTGGCGACAGAGTGAGACTCCATCTCAAAAAAAAAAAAAAAAAGAACTTAAAAAAGAGCCAGGTGTGGGGATGTGTGCCTATAGTCCCAGCTACCTGGGAGGCTGAGGTAGGAGGATCACTTGGACCCAAGAGTTCGAAGCTGCAGTGAGATGCGATCACGTCACTGCACACCAGCCTGGGTGACAGAGTGAGACTGTCTCTGAAAAATATATAATACAAAAGCCGGGCACAGTGGCTCATGCCTGTAATCCCAGCACTTTGGGAGGCTGAGGCAGGCGGATCACGAGGTCAGGAGATCGAGACCATCCTGGCTGACATGGTGAAACCCCGTCTCTACTAAAAGTACAAAAAATTAGCTGGGCATGGTGGTGGGCGCCTGTAGTCCCAGCTACTTGGGAGGCTGAGGCAGGAGAATGGCGTGAACCCAGGAGACAGAGCTTGCAGTGAGCTGAGATCGTGCCACTACACTCCAGCCTGGGCGACAGAGCAAGACTCCGTCTCAAAAAAAATAAAAATAAAAATAAAAATATGAAATAATATTTGAACTAGATCTAGTCTGCAATTTACTTTTTGAGTTGACCCCCTCCCTCACTGTCCTGAAGCATCATCCGCTGACCTGAGTTTGCCTTACACACAGGTTCACGCTTCTGCTCTTTTACTAACTGGAAACTCAGCTTTCACAACTCTGTTAGGATCGTGTGTAACATAAAGGTTAACAGGATGTGAGTGAAGGCCCATCAGGCTCTCTGAAAGGGTTTATTTCACAAACGTTTTAACATCTTCACTCAGAACTCTTTCCATTTCCTTTGAGACCTTGGTTCTCCATTCTCTACCCATCTTATAGGTGAGGTTGTCAGATAATTGGCCTCTGGACAAGTATTCTTCTATAAGTAGGTTTATCCCTGACCAATTTTAAATGAAGAATAAGAGCAGCTTTATTTCTAAAATTAAGTCCAAAAGGCAAGAATGCCATTCTGATGAGAAATTAGTAAATTCCCAAGTGATGGGGGCGGGGGGAGGGGAGGGGAAGGAAATCTAGTTGTTTTCTGACCATTGATCTACCAAGGAGACATAAAAAAAAAAAAAAGGAGGGACAGGGAGAGGGAAAAGGAGAGGGAGAGGTAGAGAGAGAGAAAGGTAGAGAGAGAGAATCTTACTGTCAACCAGGCTGGGGTGCATTTGGTGTGGTCATAGCTCACAGTAGCCTCACATTCCTAGGCTTAAGTGATCTTCACACCTCACCTTCTCTAGTAGCTGGGACTACAGGCATGTACCACCATGCCCAGACAAGTTTTAAATTTTTTATAGAGATGGGGTCTCACACCACCACGCCCAGGTAAGTTTTAAATTTTTTGTAGAGATGGGGCCTCACTATGTTACCCAGGCTGGTCTCGAACTCCTGGCCTCAAGCGATTATAGGCATGCACCACCATGCCTGGCCAGGGAGACTTTTATTTACTCGCTAGAGTAGTATGACTAGTGGGAAAATTTCAGATTATTCTTCATTAAGTGTTATTGGTTGACCTGTGCCTCCCCCAACCCCAATTCATGTGTTCAGGTCCTAACCAGTACCCCAGAACCTGGTCTTATTTGGAATCAGGTTGTTGCTGACATAAATAGTTAAGATGGTCATACTCAAGTAGGATGGGCCCCTAATCTAATATAAGCAGTATCCTTATGAAAAAGGGAGATTTGGACGCAGACAGAAACACGAGGAAAACACCATCTGAAGACTGGAACTCTGTGGCCACAAGCCAAGGAACTACCAAAACCTCAGAGAGAGACCTGGAACAGATTCTTCCCCAGAGCCTTCGAGGGGGACACAGCCCTGCCCACATCTTGACTTCAGACTTCTGATCTCTGAAACTGTGAGACAATAAATCTCTGTTGTTGAAGCCGCTCCGTGCTGGGTACTTTGTTACGGCAGCCCTAGCAAACTAACATGCTAAGCAAACAGAGCCAGAAGAAAAAAGCAATTTCAGGAATAGCCTATTACATTATACAAAGACCAACTCATTCCATTTCAGGCTTTTTTATATACCCTGAATTAGACTCCAAGTAAAACAAGAATGATCTCAGTCAACATGCTGGTACCCCTCAGCACCCATGAAGGAGGAATTTTAAGCTGTTCTGGGGTCTGGCTGACTCCCATTTGTCCAAATCAGGATTTTTCTATGTCTCAAAAAATAAAGTGAATGAGGCTGCAATATTGACATAAACCGTAACACATGTTCACAGCGGATCTCCTTCCCAACAGCTTGGAATAAGCTCTTTGCTCTCATTTAATTCTTCATCAATTGGACTCCCTTCACGGCATTTACTCCAACTAGACAAAATAAGACTGATCAATTTTTTCCATTTGGTCATGTTGGGTTTCTTCCTGTGGATGGAATATAATAGTCGGTGAACTCATGAAATGTGGCGGGTCAGTCATGTTGTTTTCAAAGGTTCTAGACCAGCGGTTCTTCTGAATTTTTGTGGGGTGATTGTGGCAGGTGAACATTAAGATGACCCCCAGTGAGTCATCTCTCTCCCCTTGAATGCAGATGGGACTTGTAACTGCCTTCTGGTAATAAAATCCGGCACGATAAAGCACAGTCACCCTGAGATTACCTTACATCACAGAAGGCTCCGTCTTAGCAGACTGCAAGAAGAGAGTCTCCTATGGCCTTGAAGGAATCGGAGGGCTGGTGAGGGCAGGTGCTCCAGCAGCTAAGAACGGCCCCCAGCTGATAGCCACCAAAAACAAGGGACCTCGGTCCTAACAACTGCAAGGCACGGAATTCGGCCAACAACCTTATGAGCTTAAAGGGAAACCCAAGCTTTTGTAGAGATGGGGTCTCCCCAGGCTGGTCTTGAACTCCGGGCCTCAAGCAATCTTCCCACCTCAGCCCCCCAAAGTGCTAGTATCACAGGAATGCACCACCGTGCCTGGCCAGGGAGACTGTTACTCACTGGTGGCAGCCTGGGGAGACATTAAGCAGAGGACCCTGCAAAGCTGCACCCAGCCTCCTAAGCCACAGAATCTGGTATCATTAAAGTGTATTGTTTAAAGCCACTGTTTGTGGTAATTGTTATACAACAAAGAAAACTAATACAGTGAGGATGTCATTTGATGGTCTGATAAAAGAGGCGATCTCTCATTAGCAAAGCTCAGGAAGACACGTTTTGAATTTGATTTTAGGGATTTGTCAGACCTTCTAAACTCTTCAATGTACCCTCAAGATGTTCTTCCACGTTCTGGGTTATGAACGTTTCTTTTTGTTTAGTCAATAAAACCTACTGCAAAACTTGGTGACATCTGGGAAACTAACAAGGTCACAGTCCGTAAGAATGGCTAAGAATGGCTTGCTGGGCCATTTCAACAGTTTTCAAATGTAAATTTAAATAATTTGTTTTATTCTTAACCTGTAAGATAGGACCACATTTTAATATTGTACCATATTCAACTTGTGTAGAGTGATAAAAAAGCATAGGTTTGAAGAGAAGGCAATTTCTTATTTTATTAGGAAAGTATCTTCAATCCTGCCTCTTCTAGATTAACTATAGGAATAAAAAAAGCTGTAGTTTGTAGAAACCATGTGAGTTTTAGAAAGGACATGTTTAGGAAGATGGGCTCAGTTCATTTCCTGACAGAGGACTTGTTCAGAACGAATATAACACCTGGAATAAACTGATTTCCTAATCCAAATGTCCTTTGGAGTGATATATTAGAAAGAAAACAAACAAATAAAAAACTGTAGATTTAAGTCCTTGTTCTATTACTTCCTAGCTGTGTACTTGGGAGGAAGTTACCTTATTTCTCTGATTCTGTGTTTTCTTAACCATAAAATGGGTTGTTGCTTCCCCTCCCGCCTCTTTCCAAAGCATGCTGGCTGTAAAAACGGGCTGTTTTGAGGACCAGATAAAATAATAGTCATGAGAGAGCCTTGCACAACACCAGGCCTCGTAATAAGCAATCAGAACAACCAATACAGCCCTGACAAATGGGGTTTATTCCACTGCCCCAGAGAGGGAGAAGGGAACAGAGGAGTTGAGGATGGCTGCTCTCCAGCACTCGTGTCTAGGGAAAAAGAGGTCTGAGTGGTAGCTGCAGGGACTAAAATAGATAAGAGTGTCACCCATGACAAAATTCGTCACATTGATTGCCGGGCCAATACCAAACACAATTCAGACTTAGTCAAAGATTTTGTTGTACAAAAGAACTAGAGAAACAAACATAACCCTAAAACAAACAATCAAAATATCCTATTGCACAAAAGTATTTATTAAGCTCTTGCCACTCTGACCACGGGATTAAAGTAGCTCAGCAGCGAGAACACTCTTCTATCTTGGTGGCTGTGGGATCACATGAGGGACAGAAAAGAACAACAAAGTTTGCCAAAAGACAGTTGGGATCCATCTTCACCCAAGTACACACTGTAATGACACCCTAGTTGCAGAAGTTAGATGAGTTGTGAGAATCAACGTGTTGCTGTTTGGGCAGGAACCAAATGCTACTGACCCTTCCCTAGCAGAAAATACACTTCCGATGGTGTTTCTTTAGTAGGCATGTGTCTCCCCAGCCAATCCTCTGCCAGGCTTGGAGTGCAAGTCCGTGTGCAGTGCTGGGTACAGGTGGTAAGATGCAGTAGGTTGTCCCTCTGGTGACACTCGCTGAGGCCAATAAGAGATAAAAGGAGGTAGGGCAACACTCAAAAGAGCAAAAAAGAGCTATAGTACAGCCACCGACCAAACCGAAGGATGTCCACAAGACCTGGGCCAGCCCTGCAGGTACAGGCAGAGGAGAACAGCTCAGGATGGCAGAAGTCCCTGGCTCCATGGCCCAGAATCCAAACAAAGCAGTGAATGGCCCCACTGGCCTCTTACCCTTGAAGCTCTGCAGTGAGAGACAGGGTACAACACCACTGATCAATGGACTTCAGAAAAAGGTAAGGCCCTCAATGCCATGAATTCACTAGTCCAAAACCAAAGGGTCATGGAAACCAATGCTCTTCCAATATGGTATCTCCATAGGAAACCAGGGAGGAAGGTATATCCCACCATGCTATCATGTGATTTGCTTATATGTCTGTGAACCCAAGAACACTGTAAATCCCTCTATGGAGGGATAACACACACCCTTTTCATTTCTTTCATTTCTATATCCCAGGGATCTAACTCATTGGCAGGTACAGAGCACTCAGAAAACGTCTGCTGAATGGACAATCCCTCTTACTTCACTCTGTTTCTTTTCCCACATTCTCATCACCTCCACCATCCTCTGCTGAGCATCTGCTCTGATGAAAGCCAGGCTGTGTGAAATGGAATTCCAGCTAAAGCACTCGTGTGCCCCTGGGCAAGTCACTTCATCTCTGTGGGGATCATTTTCTCCCAATGGGTTATTGCTATTATCTCCCTGCTAGGGTGTATGGGATTAAGTATACATAAAGGGCTTAGACTTGTGCCTAGCACTAAGTAGGCACATCTAAGTGCTAGCTACTATTATTATTTTGACAACTTGCTTTTTATTTATCATATTTATTGTTTCTTGTCTATCTCACGCAGAGTTCCACAAGGGCAAAGATTTGTGTCTGTTTCCTTCACTGATGAATCCCAAGTATCAAGAACTGCACTACGCACACGACAGGCGCCACACACTCTTTATTAAATAAATAGATAAACAAACATTCTTGGATAGTAGAGGTCACATCTGCTTTAAATTCTGTAACCCTCCTTACAGTGTTCAGCCTTGTTTCTCAATGGAGATGAAGGTTTTCATTTTTCTGTTGAAAAAATAGCTTTCATTTATAAAGTACTTCTTCTATTTTCTCATTTGAGCCTCGCAGCAACCCTGTGATAAATCCCCCATGGCGTCTACTGGAGTAGCACATAGCCACTAGCTCTGCGGGAACATCAGGACTTGAGGTTGATGATAATGATAACATCCCACCCATCTCACCTGTGACAGGCCATTTATTACTTGATGAGGAGAAGCATGCCTGCCTAATTTTTTTGCATTGACTTACCTGGGGTGATTTTGTTGTTGTTCTACTGAACATAAAAGATGATGTGTTTTTATTTTCCTTATCCCAAACTGCTCTTTTAAAATATACTCTTTTCTTTCTAATGAAAAAAAAAAGTATCTGTTCGCCAAGGAAAACTTCAGCAAAAGCAGTAAGAGTATAAAGAAAATCAAAATTACCCATATCCCATATAATGTTAGAACTTGCTTTGTAGGAAATACTTGCAACAAACAATTCCTGTTTGGCCAAGAGAGACACTAGCTGGCCTGTTGGCCACACAGCATTCTGGGAGTCAAGAGCCGGCCCAGCCTCAGGAGAGGAGAGGGCTGCCAGGAGCTAACAAGCCAGGTGATCCAAGAGGGAGGGTGGCTGAGACTGAAAAAGAATGCAGGGGTCTCGGTCCACTATGGAGGGAAGGGCAGAGTAGGGATATGATCTGATTTGCCAGGCAGTATGACAGAGGAGTGTGGTTCTGTTGCCTGGACTTCTGTTACAGCGGGATGTGGGCACCAGCAGCTATTCAGAAGGTCTCAGCCAGGGCCCTAAGGGACAGACACAGAACCTTCGCATCTGGAGAAAAAGGAGGGGACGCAATGGTACAGCCGCTCCATGCAATACTGTGCTCCAAATCGGACCTGCCTACCTTGCGGTGCCTCTATGCTGGGGCACAAGGCAGACATGCCCATGGTTCAATCCTTCCAAGACCAAGCAGATGGAAGCAGGTGGTGGCGGGGAACACACGGGTAATTAATCTCTAGGTCTGCTCAAAGCGATTGGCTGGGAGCATGGCAGGGCAGCAAATTATGGCCACTGAGATGACATTTGCAAGAGCTGGGAGAGGCTCCAATGGTGCCAGCAGCCACTGCTTCAGGGACAGGTAAGCTCAGTGTTGCGGGAAGGCGTGGAGCTAAGCCCCAAGAATACTATCTGCCTTCAGGGTGTCACGTTTCCTAACCGAAACTGGGCCAAGACTGGAAAAAGCCACAGGAGCTGCCTCATGGCGGATGTAGAACTCACTGATTTATTGGACTTTTCCACATCTAGGCCTGCCCCAAGATTCTGACCTGCTAGTAACCTGGGCAGAACCCAGAAGGTTCCTATAAGTCAGACTCCAAAGGCCAGTTCTTTCAAACTGCTCATCTGTAGGAGGATACATGTGTCTGAAACTTATTTAATATTCTACAAACACAAACCGTTCGCCTATACATAGTTCATTCTGCAGATAGTGTTACTGATGACCAATAGACCCCGAGTGCTTTAATCAATGAAATTACTGCCTCGGCTATTACAGGAGACTATGAACTGTTGCAATCTTCTATCCACATTTCAATCGATGTAAACCAGGGCAAGAAAAAACAGGACCCTTAATTATATAACCGGGAAGGATTATATAACAAAGGTCCTGATGCAGCTTTAACTGTCTCCGTGCCTACGCGGGCTGAAAGAGCACACGTTTTCAGAGGGAACATGAGCAGCCCAGAGTTGTGCAAACCATTTTTCAATATTGGTTTAACTAATCCCACTTACTCACCATCGACAAGTCCTCTGCTCTTCTAACCTTGTTTTTCCACAGCCCTGGATGGAGCAACCCCATTTCAGGGTGATAGTTTGTTAAAGTGACAGCGCGCCAGCCTTACGAGACATAATTTGAGGAAAGCTGGCGAGAGCGTCAATTTCTCTGAGAGGCTGGTCTCAGCTATCCAGCACGGCAATGATAATTTCATAATGCTGCTAAAGCCACTTCTGCCATTTCAAAATGGCAGGACACTGATCACTTGTGACAGGAAGCATTTGCACTGAGAGATACTTGAAAGCCACACAGCATTTCTTTGTTGGAGGAACCCAAGAAACAGTCATAGTAACAACAAAAAATAACCACCTCCCCTCCTTCCTTTCAGCCTGTGCTGCCGAGCAAAATGATCCCTCTCCATGTGTCCTTTATGTCTTACTGATAGAAATTACATTCGAGGGCATCCGACACAAAGGACACTTGTGCAAGCAATGTACCTTGTATGTGACATTTCTTCTGAACCCTTAGGAGAGATATTGATTTAAAGCTACCAAGATGCTGTATATGCAATGCTGCGACCATCATGAACCTACCCGGCATCCCACTCTTGTGATTTAAAGCAAGCCTGGAAAGCTGAAATCTAACTGAAATAACATTAGTTGCTCTACTTCACCCTGCAGGAGGAGGACAGGAAAGTCAGAAAAAGGCAAAAAGTGGTAACTTGGTGGTGTCTGAGGTCACATAATGGCTGCTGATTTTGTAAATTCTATACTCTGTAATACCTAGGTGTGATGAGTCCATGAATGAAGAAGCTAGGAGCTGGAATTTCCCATCCACTGGGTAGAAAATTATTTTTCAGTGACACATAGTAAAACTAAGTATCTATGAATTTTTAAATCATATAAACTTGATCATTCTTTCAAATCCCTTTCCTGAAGGTCAACAGTTCCCTTTTTTTCTTTTTCTTTTTTATGATCTGTCATCCCCCTCCACTCCCAGTAAACACAGTCTAATGGTTTAACTTAAAATTCTGTGCCCAAGAAAATTTTCAGAAGTGAGAACCACAGAATCTGGAGTCTCTAGAAATCTCAGTGATCTGGATGTGAGATTCAAGTTCCAAGTTCAAGTTCTGATTCTGCTACTAGCAGAGTGACCTCGGGTAGGTCCCAAGATACTCCCTGGGATAGTTTATCATCTGTCAAGAGGAGGAGTTGGAGTAAATGAACTCAAGGCCTTTGGCCTAAACCCCATGACGCCAGTCTAGGTCCCTATTTTCTAAAGGGAACCATGTCACAATTGGCTGTACAGGTAGTCCCTGAAGGAATCAGAAAGAGCCTGTGCCTGTTCACTCCATCCTCCCCTCACCAGGTCACTCTGTCCCTCGTGTAGATCCCAGAGACGTCAACCTACATACAGGATAGAAAGCCACAGTGCCCCTCGGATCATCAGATTCTCCCCAAAGACCACTTAATAGCCATTGGTTGACTTCAACAGGCACATCTAAACTGCTCTGAAAGACTAAGGAGAACCCAACGAAATTCCTCTAGTACAGGGGTATTTCGTGTACTACGTGTATTAGTTCTAGGGCCACTGCAACAAAGTGCCACAAACTGAGTTCTTCAAAACAACAGAACTTTAATGACCATAGTTCTGGAGGCTAGAAGTCCAAAATCAAGGCATTGGCAGGGCCACCATGCTTGCTTGGAAGCCTGCAGAGGAGACTCCTTCCCTGCCTCCTCTTAAGCCTTGGCGTTCCAAGGCTTGTGGCTGCATCGCTCTACTCTCTGCCTCTGCTGTTGTACGGTTTGAATCTGAGTCTCCACCCAAATCTCATGTTGAATTGAAACCCCAGTGTTGGAGGCGGGGCCTGGTGGGAGGTGACTGGATTAATTAGGGGGGCAGATCCCTCATGAATGGTTGAACACCATCCCCTTGGTGCTGTCCTTGTGACAGTAAGTGAATTCTCATGATATCTGGTTGTTTAAAAGTATGTGGCATCCTCTCTCTCTCTCTCTCTCTCTCTGCCCCCCTCCCTCCCCCACTCCCCTGCTTTTGCCATGCAACACATATACTCCTGCTTCACCTTCCACCATGAGTAAAGGAGAAGATCTTTATTTTTCAAGGGTTGGACAGGTGTGAGCTGGTAAGGAAAGTGGAGTTCTCTCCCCAGTCGAGCCCTACACACCCCTGCATTGTGCTTACCCTGAACATGCTTATGTTTTCCTGTCTTGGCCCACCTAGCCCTCGTTGCCAGCAGGGCTGCCCCATCCCCAGCTGTTGAAGTCTTACTCACTCTATGAGTGCCCGCTCAAATTTGCCCTTCTTGCAACCTCCCTAATTCCCGCAGCAAGAAATGAAGTCACCTGCCTCTGACCTTTCCTGGCTTTTGTCTGCTCCCTGATGATACTCGTAACTTTATGCCTTGAACTATGGTCACTTCTGCCCACTCTCTGGCAACTGCCCCCTGAGAGCGTGGGCTATTTCTTATTTAATCCTTATGCCCATAGGAGGTGACTGTAAGTATGTGCTAAAGTAAACCTGCAGGAAGAGAAGAACAGAATGGAGAGTAATGCCTGATGTTTTGAAAACATCACCATGGAGAGGGCCCTTTGGAACCAGGGGCTGTTAGAACCTTGTGGCTTACTGATTCCCTCACTGTCTCTTTGTGACCTCCTTCCCCATGCCATGTTGCTTTGAAATCAAAAGAAAGCCCAGAAGATAAGCTAACCACACAAAGTAAAGTATAGGAGTGTGCCTGTGTGAGGGGCTTCTGCCAACCCCAATCAGCACCAGCGGCTCTTGGAAACCATCAGCCGTTGTGACCCTGGAGGTTTCCAAAAAAGAGGATGACACCTGAACGCCCAGCAGGTCTTTGGAACTGTGAAATGCTTCATCTGTGGGGTCCTGGCAATCATGGCAGTAAGCATGTCTTCTCCAAAGGATGTCCACATCCTGATCTCCAGCACATGTGACTATGTTAGATTTCATGGCACAGGGGAATTAAGGTTGCAGCTCGAATTAAGATAGGGACATTATCCTGGATTAGATAGTCCAGGTGGGCCCAGTGTAATCACAAAGGTCCTCACAAGTGAAAGAGGGAGGTCAGAGTGATTTCATGTGAGAAGAACCTGACCCGCTGTGGTTGTCTGTGAAGATGGAGGATGGGGCCACAAGTCGAGGAATGCAGGCAGCCTCTAGAAGCTGCAATAGGAAAGAAAGCGGCTTCTCTCCTATTTTAGCCCCCCAAGACTGATTTTGGAGTTCTGATCTCCAGAACTGTAAGATTATAAATTTGTGTTGTTTGAAGCCACTAGGTTTGGGGTGATTTGTTATAGCAGCAGATGGAGAAACTGAAGCCCAGGCAGGTTAAGGAGTGTTTGGCCTGAGGTCACACAACTAAGGAGTGGCAGAGCTGGCGCTCATGGCTGGGTCTATGGCTCCAAGTCAAGCAAGCTTTGCTCTATGAAAAATACATTCCTTTCTTGGATGTAGTCACTAGGCCCCTGGCTCTCAGCTAAGGAGAAGCACATCTCCCTAGAGGCCCAACCTATCAAAAGTCTGGTCAGGGTCACAAGAGCGACTGGAAGCCAGAAGGAGCCTTTGAGAGTAGCATGCAGGCCGGGCACGGTGGCTCATGCCTGTAATCCCAGCACTTTGGGAGGCCGAGGCGGGTGGATCACGAGGTCAGGAGATCGAGACCATCCTGGCTAACACAGTGAAACCCCATCTCTACTAAAAATACAAAAAATTAGCCGGGTGTAGAGGCAGGCACCTGTAGTCCCAGCTACTCGGGAGGCTGAGGCAGGAGAATGGGGTGAACCCGGGAGGCGGAGCTTGCAGTGAGCCGAGATCACGCCACTGCACTCCAGCCTGGGCAACAGAGCGAGACTCTGTCTCAAAAAAATAAAAAGAAAGTAGCACGCAGCCAGCACCTCCTCTACCACTGAGGACTCTGGAGCTTTAGAGAGGGCCAGCATCTTGGCAAGGGGCTATGGGAGCTAACAGTAAGCCAGAAGGGGGTTTCTGCTCATTTGTTCCCAATTTGCACATGCTGATTAGAAGCTGAGCCTTTCATTGTCCTGATAGGGAGGCCTAATGCCCTCTCCCCAAAGATTAAAAATGCTCTAGCTGTGGGGACACTTAAAGCCTCTAGTTTTCTGGCCTGGAGGCCTCAGTTCCAAGCCTTTAAGAAGTTCTACCCTTTGATGAATTCCATCTTCTGCCCACCAAGCATTGCATCCTGATGCCAGGAGCTGACCTGGAGAAATTCCAGCCACATGTACCCCACCACTTATCAGCTCTTTTAGCCCAGAAAGAGATTCTCACTGGTCTTCTAAGAACCTCTCTCTTCCATCAGTCACCACCATCTGTCTACATACAACAGAAGACAAATTCCCCCTGGACCTAAGTTTCAGGCCCCCCTCTGACACATGATCATTTGGCAAACAACCAAAATCAGCAACTGAGAGCATGTGGCAGGGCAATACTGAATATATACAAAGCTGTCATCATTTCAGGGAAAAAAAAACAAATATCCAACTAGAAAGTGAGCAAAAGACATAAATAGACATTTTGCAGAAGAAGATTTGCAGATGGCAAATATGCACATGGAGATACCCCTTCAACATTATTATCCATTTGGGAAATTCATATTAAAACCACAATGAGATATCATTAAATACCTTCAGAATGGCTATGAAAAAATAGTGACAACACCAAATGCTGGCAAGGATGCAGAGAAATGGGATCACTCACCCACGGCTCATGAGAATGTAAAATGGTACAGATACTCTGGAAAATAGTTTAGCGGTTTGTTAAAAAACTAAACATGCAATCAACTTATGAACTAGTGATTGTATTCCGAAGCATTTATCATCGTAAATGATAGAAATGTTCTGTATCTTGACTATATCAATGTCAATAAGCTGGTTGTGATATTGCACTACTGTTTTGCAAGATGTTACCGCTGGGAGAAACTGCATAATGGGTACACAGGCTCTGCCTGTATCATTTCTTACATGTGAATCTAGGATCATCTCAAAGCAAAGGCTTAACCGGAAAACAAAAACTGACCACCCCTCCCCCTAATTTTTCTTCTCACATTGAGAAGTACAGTAAAGTACTAGAAAGGATTAATAAAGTAGTACCTCAGCCATGCTTGATCTTTACTCTGCTGCATAATTCTTTGTAGCACTCATAGCTGTATGATACTACATTGCATTATATTATATGACATCACATCTATCTATCTGTCCACGCTGTGTCTTGTTTCTCCCATAGAGCTGTGTGCTGTACGATGGCAGAGATGTCTTAGTTCACACTCTAGCACATTATGGGCACCAAAAAAAGTTGTTGGATGAATATGGGGAAGTCAGTAATGTTGCTCCAGCCTTTTAAGTCAGTGTATTTCCAACTACCTAAGTTCTCTTAAATCCGATCTCCTCTAAGGAGTTGCTCTTCAGCACCCTCTACCTTTAAAGGAGGAAACTTTAGTCTTTAGTCTTTTCCAAATTCCCATCCTTGTATACTCACAGCACCAGAACGAAGCCCAACACTGGGAATCCCCGCAGGTGAGTTGTGGTCTAGGTTGCTGGAACCTCCCCTTGAGGCACTGCGGCTTCAGGCAACATCAATGGTAACTGTGTTTACCCGGTCCCTACAGCACAAACATGCCTCCCAATCCCACTCTGTTTCTTGACTGGATCAAACTGATGTACCGCAATTTAATTTGCACACAGATACCAGGGACATCTGGAACAAATCTGATCTTCAAATTATGTTTTCCAAGTCTGTTTCAGCTGCCATTATCACGGAGGAGGACTTAAATGTAAAATAAGAACTTCACTTGCCACTGGCTTCTAACTTCTTACCATATTCCTCACAATTACAGTGCTGGTAATGGAGGAGTGTTCGGCAGCCTACGGGACACACACTCAATGCCACTAGCCACACAGTGGCTTAAGGGGTCACTTGGGAAGTCCCTACAGTTACATAGAGAACTGCAGAATATTTTATTTTTTATCTAGTTCATTTAGAGGTATGTCCTAAGCAACTAGTACATATTGGATACTCAAAAAATGGTTGTGAGTTTAACGAATTAGCCAAAATACTGGGTGCCTTTCAGTTAGTGTATAGTGGGATTTTTGAGCTTAAAACCTCATAATGAATATCAATAACAATGCATTTACTCAACTACATCAAGAGTGTGAGTGAAATGTATCCATTTCTAAATGGTTTTGGGGTAGATTATAAACTACAATTCTTGCTATTGGAAGAATTCTAGCTTACCACCCTTGCCGCCACGGAAATGACAAACAGACAACATAATTGCAGACTGCCAGTAATTAACATTCACCCAGCTATAGCACACATGAACATTTAAAATGAACAATTATATACTAAAAAAGAGACTGCGAATGATCAACCAGGGGGAAAAGGCAGAAATCTATGAATGAGATAGTGTTAAACAGTTAGATGTAATTCACTCCGCCCCCCTCTTCCCTCAGAGCTTTTTCAGCAAGGAGCAGAGAGTGTTTCCTGTCAAGCCAGCGGAACCACAAGAGCTGAATTGGTATCTCCAAGCAGGCAATTTTCCTAGTTGTAAATAACCAGCAGTTTTGTGGGAATCAATTAGGAGGTTCCCATCTCTTCTTTGGAAGTCTTATTTCAGCCATCCATCTTCCTTTGTTAATTTCGTAAGCGGGGTTTAAGAGATCCAGAGAGAAAGATCTATTTTCTGTCCCTCAGATTTCTTGGAGGGGGGAGGAGCGGTTTTTACATCTTTCCCATTTAGAATTCAAGTAGAGTACTTTCAAGTCACTCTCCCTTTTCAAGGCCAGGAAACTGCATGGGATTTATGTACTATGTCTAGCAACAGAGGTGCAAGGCCTGAAAGAAAATTATAGAGTCACAAGGCAAATGAAATAGACATAGGTGCAAAGAAGCTTTTATTGCAAAGATGCAGATGGCCTGCACACCAAATTGCATCCTTTGGAGCGGGTTCCTGAAGTCAAAGTCCAATATAACATGGTTGCCGCATTAACCAATTGTTCAGTCTTAGCCCATGCCTCTACTGTCAATCGTTTTATTTATGGTGATGATAATAACAGTCATATCAATGATACTAATATTAGAAGCTACCAATTATTGAAAACCAATCATGTGCTAGCTACTTTAAATATATGGTTCTTCTATTGCTCACAACCACCTTGCAACACCAGTCTTATGATCCTATTTTCTAAATGAGGAGACTGAGACCCAGAGAAGGTCACATGACCCATGAATTCTGGAGCCAAGAGGGTCTGCACCCAAGTTTATGTCTGGAAGACCAGTGGTTGTAAAGACAATCTTGTCCCACAAGGCCATGCTCTCCCTCTTGTTCATCCAGCAGTGACTGGTCAAAGCTCCACTCTGTGTGGAGCAGACACATCCCTTTACTAAGTATCAAAAAGATAAGTACAGAATGAGCCTTGCTGAAAACTTGCCATGGCCACACCTCAAAAACATGGAGAAGGGCCTTTTACTGGGTACCCAGACTTCTCGATGGACACACGATGGGTCTCAGCAAACCTCCAATCAGATCACTTTCCCCAGAACTGACCAGCACTTGGATCATTATCTCTTTGGAAAATATGATGTAACAAGAAAAAGCAATTCAATAGGAAAAAAAAAAAATGAGCATGGGGCATGAACAGAAACTACACAGAAAAAGAAATACAAATGGACTTCCTTTCCAGTTAAGGAAATAAATAACAACAGAATATCACTTTTAACCAATAGTGAAGACATGTGTGCAAAGATACATGCAGGAGTATTCACTGCAACACTGTTTGTATAATGCCCACTACCAGTGGTGGCTTGAATACATCTGGTACAACCATACAGTGAAATACTCTGACATCAATAACAAGGATGAATAAATCTGTATGCACTGATACAGAGAAAGCTACATGATAAAAAAAAGTCAGGATAATGCACATGGCCTGTGCCCATCTGTGTAAACATCCACACACATCCAGGGCTGTGTAAAGGCATCAGCTGTCAAATGATACAGAGGAAACTGGTCATCGTGGTTACCTCCGGGGAGGAGGTTAGGAAGCTGTACTTCCTTGACAAGAGAATGCCGTACTTTTCACTATATATCTTTTGGTATAATGTTTTTTATTACTATTTTTTTAAACAACATACTAAAAAGAAAAGGAGAAAGGGCCTGAGTGGAGCAGTAACCTGCCTGGGGTCCCACGAATGGCCCAGGGGTAGGGCCGGGCCTGGCTCCCAGGACTCCCAGCCCAGGGTTCTTTCCACTGCAGCAGCATGTGTATAGACAGTTTGATTTTATTCCCTCTACGCCTCACTCAATACTTGCCACCCACAATAATCACTCTTGGAAAAACTGCACCCACTTCCCAGTGATTTTATTAGTTAGCAGTGACTCTGACAAGCCTCCATTTTCCAATTAGCGCTACCCCCCATATCACTGACACTGGCATCCTCTGAGTGACATGTAGTGGCTGAGCCAGACACTCCCTAACCAAAGTGACACAACGGCATTGCTCTTCGATGGCCTATGGCTCCAAGTGCAACCCAAACGTTTAGACCGATTTTAGATTTCTGTATAGATAGCTCATGCCAAGCTTAAGTTCACACGAATGTTCACAAATATTACTTGGCCTGTAAATTATTCCCAGCAAATTTTCCATTTCAGGCCAACTTCTACTCAGCCACTTCCCTATTAACTATCTACTGCTCTCTGTGCATGCTCATGAGGTGGCCACCGTGAGCTTGTGAAAATTCAACCCAAAGCCACCATGGTGGCTGAATGAGACAGACACACGTGGGTTCTGCATTTTGGGCTCAGCCAGCATCAGTGACCCAGCTTCCTCCTTTCTGGCTGTGTGACATCAGGTGATACACTTACCTTCCAATCTCAGTTTCCTCCTATGTAAAGCGGAGTGCCTCAGGAAAGAACCAGAAAGCCTGCTGGTTCTGTGGAAACAGTAACTGGAGTTGTTCATACCAATGATTCCTTTTCTCCCACTAGGCAACAGACAGTTGATTATAAATAGTTTTTTGGGATTCTCTTCAGAATCCCACGCTCCTGCCCTCAGTGTCAAGGCTCTGGGATACAGCACGTGGAACCCTGGAGAAGCATGAGAAGTTGCCACTGGAGGCTAGATAAGAATCTGGAGTCTCTGTCTCTCTCAAGAAAACAGAAAATGGGGCTCTGTTTGGGGTGTCTATCCCACTCGCAATGGGGGGCCTCTTCCCCTCGGAGCTCTGCCTCTCCCCACCCATGGAGAAAGCCCCTGGCTACCACGTTTTTTCTCCATGCTGCTGCTCCCCCGGACAAGGCGTCAGGACCAGGTAGGTCACATGCTTTCAGTGACTCCATTCACAGAACTTCTGTTGCTCCTGGGAAGTGGGCACTGGAACTGAAAGACAGCCAGGCCACCTGAGCTATTCTCTTCCATGGAGGATATTTGGCTTGAATGCCACAAGGTGACCACTGATCATCCTGCACATGGCATTAGAGAAAACAAAGAGAACACAGAAAGTGACAGAGAGAAGGTACGAGTGGTGCCCGCGTTCCTGGCAGCCTTCCAGGTTCCAGTCTTGATGACCGCCAGCTATTATACATGCTTGGCCTTGGGGTCCTGAGAGACCCACAGTACTTCCTCCAATAGATTCCCTGCCCTCATATATATATATATGCATTTCTTCCTAAACTTGTTGCTTTCTGTTACTTGCAACCAAAAGAAGCCTAAAATATTCTGATTCCTATCTGTATAAATCTCCATCAGTATTTGAGAATGGCCTGAAGGTGGCACTTTCCATTCTGAGACAAAGAATTACTATAAAAATGCTGAATTTGTGGCATTACCTTTATTTTGCCTGATTGCATTACTCAAACAGAAAGAGCTATGAATAATAATAATAATAACGATACCACTAAAGTAAAATATTTGACACTCACAAGATTAAAAGCTGAATACAGTAATCTTCTCATAATCATCACGGGATATGCAGCACTTAATCAACAATTACACTGGGAAAATGCCCGCGACTTAATGCTTAAGTACCGGGAAAAGGCAAAGGAGAAAAGTAGGAAATCAATGCAAGGGGAGCAAGAAGTGTATCCAATCTAAATACTGCATGTATTATGATAACAGAGTTCTACATTTTCCTATCAAGGCTATGCAGAAAAATAATAAAAACAATCCAAGAATACACACCCCAAACCAAAACACTCTCGTGAAAGAGCTATTTTTAAAAATCACTTAGAATATTCATCTGATGGTGACACAGTCCATTAATCGGGGTGCTTATTTTTTCTTAACAGCTTTATTAAGGTGTAATTTACACATTCTTTATGCCCAAGTTTCTTCCCCGAGTCCTGCCCCCTGATGGGAGACGGAAGTGGAATGGCCCATGCAGGAAGCCAGAGCCTGGTGGAATAAGAGGCAGCAGTGTGGCCGACGCAGGGAGGAGAGAAGACAGACCCTCCCTCCCAGGAGGGGGCTCCTATCCCCAAAGGGCCTGCCAAGTGATTGTTAGGAAGTAGGTAGGTATATTCATATCTAGAACATGTAAATTTTTTTAAAAAAAGCAAAGCCTACTTGCCAGATCAAAATATTTCATGACCCAGAGCAAGTAACTCAGCAACCTTGGGAAATAAGCAAGCATTTACAACAGCCCACAATCTCTTTTGGCTGTCAGATCTTTACAACATGAGTTTTATTTTTAATGTTCTTTTTAAAGAGCTAATTCTTCATTCAGGATGCGCCTGCCCGATGCAAGCAGCACAAACACCCGCATTGTATTATAAATAGCCTCTTTTAAGGAGGGCTGGGTGGATAGCAACATTTTTTAACCTAGATACAGTTGTGACAACCCGTGACCTCCACACATCAGCCTTATTGTGTTATTTTATGAAGAATGTATCCTTGATGACTGCAATGATAGCCAATGAGGCCACAGTATGACTTCATGAACACATAATAATGCTGCCCTTTCATTTTCTGAGAGGGTTTATCTTCCTTCTGCTACAGGTAAATACAGTAAATTTGACATCATGGAATACAATTGAAGTAGCAAATGATCAATGTCAACCACAATAACAGTGCTTCAAAAAATTACCTCAACAATCCTATTTTCACCATTTTCCACAACCTATGGAAGTGAGGGAGTGGCATGAATGGGCACCTGGTAACTGAGAGGGAAGAATCTAAACATAGCTGCGTCTGCATCGCGCCCGCCAATGAAACCACATAAGCCCTCCCTCCGGGATGCATCAGTTCACATAAGGGCTCCCCTAAGCTCCAACTCGCAGGAGAATGAAAACAATAGAAAGCTATCTTCAGCCCTGGCTCCACAAGAAAAGCTCATTGCACTGATGCTAAGGTGGCTTTGCAGAGGAAACAGCTACAGACAAACCAACCCCCAAACCCAACTCTTAGTCAACTAGTCAAGATAGGCATTCAATCTTAATACTAGAGATCTGGGAATCCTCTTTACACAGAACTGAGGTGAAATCACCCCTGAGAAAACCAAGCAAAATGAAATCAAGTCCCTGCAAAAGACAAAATATTTCCTTAGACATACATACATGATATTGGTAACGGCCTTCCCTGCCTTTAAATTTGACCTTATAATACAAATGCAACCTCAGGCAAGTT
Source organism: Homo sapiens (assembly GCF_000001405.40). Classification (NCBI taxonomy): domain Eukaryota; kingdom Metazoa; phylum Chordata; class Mammalia; order Primates; family Hominidae; genus Homo; species Homo sapiens. The sequence continues at coordinate 89,244,293 of NC_000014.9, forward strand.
CCCAAAATAATGCAGGAACCTTCAAATATTTCCCCGTCTAAGCCATACCTACAAATGTCATCTATAAGCCCTCCTATTGTATCCTTAGTAAGCAAAGAGACACAGGAATCTGCCTCTGGCCAAATATGCTCAGAGTTCACCTACCAACTGTCATGAAAACCTTGCAAAGTGTGAAGAGTATGAAAAGGCAAAGCTATTAGACTTTTTCTAGGTCTGTTGACTGATTTCCTATAGGTTCTGGGCATATGCTAATATCAAAGCTGAAATACAAAAAGAAATTGGCCCTTCAGGATAAGACCAGTATAAGAATTTCACTTCAAACAAGATGAAAGGAAAACCACTTACCTTGTCTTATAGCTACAAGAATGAAGATTCCCCATACTTAACTTGCTTAAGATTACAGAGAAGAGAAACATACCAAAAGTTAAGATCAGGGAATGTGAAAATCCGGTTACCCTTCAGATACGTACAAAACAGTGTCAGTTTCTGGAGAGAGGCTACAGCACGATGATAAAATGTTCAAGCTAGAGGGCTCCTTAGAAATCATCAAATTTTCTTTTTGCACTGGGCACCTGTGCGTTCATTTCCTTCAACTCATATTAACCAATAACCTACCAGATGCCAAGCACTGTTCGATATGCTGGGGATAGCACAATGAATGAAGAAGAAAGTCCCTGTCCTCAGACCTTCGACTCTAGGGGTGTGGTGGAAGTAACAAAGATACATACTGTCAGGTGGATGGAAGTGCTACAGAAGGCACAGTGGGTGCTGCTGAATGAATTTTATAGATGAGAAAGTGAAGCTTCAAATCACAAAGCTAGTTTGAAGGCAGCAGCAGGACTGCATACATTTTTTTAATGCAGAAAAGGAATGCTAAAACGTGAATAAAAACAAAGGAAAAATCGAGTATGATGAACAGACTTGTATTTTTGGAAACATATGCAAAAGATACGCAGGTGGGTCATTCGGGGCCCTTTCCTCTTTCCATCTTCCTGACGCTCCACGGATCTACTGACCAAGTGGATCATTCTCACCTTTAAATATGACATATCAAAAAAGTGTTTCTGCACACAAAACACCCAAGAGTAAGAAATGTTTCTTTGTTTGAAAATGAGAAACATTTCACTGTCGAGTTCTCATTTCAAAATTCCTTGGCCTTTAGGTGCTTCAAAAAGGCATTGGAGAAAAAAAAAAAAGAAATGGGGGCTTGGTTTCTCCAGTTTTCTTTTCTTTAACTGGGTATTTCTTGTAGGATACTTCTTTCCCCCTCATTTATATCGTTTCTCAGCCTCAGGGTTATAAACCACTTATGAAATAAAGTAAAAGGGGAGCCTGTTCCATCCATCAGGACCAGCATTTGGAAAAGTGGTTGAGTGAGAAAGAAGAAATTTTCAGATAAAAGAGATATAAAAGAATGCTTCAAAATTCACATTTTTCCTTTTTCTCCAAAAAAGTGGAGCTTATTCTATGTGGGCCAAGTGACTTGTTAAACAAACAAACTCCTGAGGACACGCAGCCGGAGAGGCAGCCCCCTGAGATACTCCAAGTAGTGAGATCAGCCCCCCATCCCGCATCTGGCATCCCCCAGACCCCAACCCGCAGCCCTGTGACACTTGCTGGAAAGCCACTTGCTAATCAGAGTGCTGAGAATCATTGCTCACTTTCCTGCAGGCCACGACTTGCCAGCTTGATTTAATAAGTCATCATTTGGTGTGAGGACGGGTGATGGCTTAAGGGTACAGGGTTTTTCCCCCGCACTGGGTGATGAAAATATTCTAAAACTGCTTGTGCTGATGGCTGCACAACTCTGCGAAAAAAAACCGCTGAATTGTACTTTAAATAGGTGAATTGTTTGGTATGTGAATTATATTTCAATAAAACCCATGTTACCTTTAAAAGTTACCATTTTCATCAACCCCAAAATGTCAGTGGCCTTTCTTATTACATCACCCTCACAGTAAAGGGCTAAAGCTGAGAACTGGTGTTTACATTTTAATTGTGTTACATCTTTAAGTTAAAACATATATTTTCCCGGGGCATGATTTCCTCCAGGCCTGGGAAGGTTAAAGGCCATCAGGAAATGCAGCCTAGGGTAGAGACCCCTCACCCTGAAACCATGGTTTTCACAGGCTCCGAGTTCTGAGAGCCACAATGAAGAGTAATTCTACAGAGTGGGCAGAGAATCTCATCTGAGTGCCCGCCCCACCCAGCGCCCACACCTCCTTTCTCATCTTATTTGCAGGATGCGGCTTTTTTTTTTTTTTTTTTGAGACAGTCTCACTCTGTTGCCAGGCTGGAGTTCAGGGGCGTGGTCTCGGCTCACTGCAACCTCTGCCTCCTGGGTTCAAGCAATTCTCTGCCCCAGCCTCCCAAGTAGCTGGGATTACAGGCATCCGCCACCACGCCTGGCTAATTTTTTGTATTTTTTAGTCGAGACGGGGTTTCACCATCTTAGCCAGGCTGGTCTTGAACTCCTGACCTTGTGATCCACCCGCCTCAGCCTCCCAAAGTGCTGGGATTACAAGCGTGAGCCACTGTGCCCAGCCGGATGCGGCTTTATGGCTGAAGAAAAGAGAGCATGACAAGACGGTTAGAAAAGTTCAGATCTGGATTACTAAGAAAATCTAATTAAATGAATAATAACCCCTCCCTCAATTCATCCCTCCAATCTGGGCAACAGGAGAAAGAGACTTCCCTTCCTCCCTTCTCTCCCTCTTTCCTTTCTTTCTTCCATCAAACATTCATCCACCCAATAGTCAGTCTGTTGATCCATCCATCCATCCACCCACCCACCCAATAGTCAGTCTGTCCATCCATCTGAACACCCGTCCGTCCATTCATCCATCCATCCCTCCATCTCATAATTTTTCAAAATTCTCCTGTGCAAAAACAGTGATACAAATAAAATACTTTCTGTAAATTGCAAAGTGTAACACAAAGCTTAAGCATAATTATTGTATAAAACATGACAATTATCCTTTTTCCCTCTCTTCTCCATCCCTAGCTTAAAACCAGTCAAAGGTTATTACATACCCAAGCCTGGGGACTAAGAAAATTTTGACCAATAAAACTGGGTTGCTAGTGGAGCTTTCTGGAACCTGGGAGAGCTATGAAAGGCCAGGGAAGTATTAGTAGATTTTAAACTTAACCTTACTTCTAGGCTCAATTAAATAGATAATTTATTATGCTTCTACTATAGGCCAGAATTATGATAAGGGGACAGGAAAGGATGTCTAGTGCAAGGTCTTGAGTCTCTAAGACAAGACCTTGGACTAGAGGTCTAGTGCACAGTCAACTATATCTCACCACTGCTACCACCATAGTCTCGGTCAAATCATGATCACCCTCATCTAGGCTATGACTATAGCCTTGTAACTGGATTCCACACATAACCCCTGTTCCCTGTCAACCTACTCTGTTCTCCACCCTGCAGAGTCATCTTTATAAAAAGTACACCAGATTTGGTTTTGCCCTTCCTCAAAACCTTCCAGTGGCTTCCCATCACAATTAGAATAAAATCCAGTCTCTTCTTCATGACTTACAGTGATCTGGCCTCTGCTAATCATTCCCAATTCCTGTCCTACCACTGTTTGTCTTGCTCATTCCTCAAACATTGCTGTTCTTTCAACAAGCCGTGTTTGTTCCTACCATCTTTGCACCTGCCCTCTGCCTAGAAAGCTCTTCTCCTCCATGGTGGCACAATTGCACCTTCTCATCATTTTGGAATCGATATCAATTCTTCAAAGGGCCTTCCCTGGCCACTTTACCTAAAATAACACCTTCCTCCTGCTCCAACCCCTCTACCTTCACCTTACTTTTTTCTTCTGTCTGGCGCTTAGCTGGACCTGAGGTCACATTACATATATGATTCTCTACTTGTTTGCTTTCTGTCTTCCCACTACACTATAAAATGCCACAAGCGCAAAGACTTTATCACTTAGCCACCACTGTCTCTAGGGGCCTAATCCAGCGACTGATATAAAATACGCAGTTTACAAATATGTGAACTGATCATTTCAGTTTTAGTTCCACCTTCCATACTTTTGCATCTTAGTATTGTCTCACTTTCCACCAACAGGAGCAAATGATTTATAAAAAATGCCCAGCAGAATAATTTTGTGACTTCATTATTAATACTCTCCCCATCCCTGTCTACTCTCTTCCCTAGGGACTGGCTTTAGTCAAATTCAGCTTTAAGCTGACATGGGCCAGAGACCCTGAAAATGTAAAAGCTGCTGTATTTACAGAAATGATGCCCTGGGGGGAAAAGTCAGAGTTTAAGGATTTCTTCTGGAAGAAAAGATAAGTGCATGCCTACGTGTGCTGTGCTACGTGAGGCAGTGGAAAACTGCCTGCTTTCACTTGGTGGGGAACAGTCTGAGGCATGAAATCGACTTTACCCATAGGAATAAAATTAGAACTTCCTCCGCTATAGACATGATTTTGATTTGAAGTAAAATGAAAAGGCAAAAACTTCAATTAAGTAAATCTCAAGAGCAAATGATCCAAGAAACAGGTGAATTTTTTTAAAGCCATTCTAATGGTTTAAACAGCTTATTCAAGTGGAATACTTTAAAATGTCAGGAATTCAACCTCTTGATTTAAGAGCTCTGGAATTCAAGTGCTTCAAATTGAGAAAATAATACACAAGTAAATGGTTGTAATTTCTTGTTTGTGCATCCTGGCATTATACCCTCCACGTATACAAGCCTGTGCCTGCACAAACCAGGCTACTTGAATGCCAAACATCATTCCTGGGTTGAAATTATAAAGAAAGCTCTTGCTTTAAAATTATAAACAAGGTATAAAATAAGTATTTCAGGGGCTCATTCAAATCAAGTCTCTTGAGAGTCTGGACACAACAGATACACTGTACTCACTAAAGCTTGCCAACAGTGGAAAGGAACATTCTAGAAATTCCTGCAGAGCTACACAGTATATTTACAGGCCACCTGTAGCAGGAAAGGCTTCCGTTGCTGTCATACCTGTCTCTTCTCCATCCTCCTTTCCAAAGCCCTTTCCCCTTTCCCCTGACAGTCTTCGCTTACTCACACTCACAGGCACTCAGAGCTTCTCAGCTGAGTAACTCTTAGAGCAGCCACTGTCAGGTAAAGAGAATTTATTTACAAGCATCACAGCCTTTGAAATGCTGAGAGGGCAAGTCAGCAACGCAGACACCGTGATACTACTAAATACCTTCCAGCACGGATCTCTCCAAACAGATGTTGCCTTCTAGGAATGAAACAATAACTTCCAAATTTTTCATGTAGACACAGCCATCCTGCAAGTGGGATAATTACTACACCATTCATTTGGAAGGCATTCAGCAAGCACCTATGATACGCCAGGGACTCTTGGCTGTAGAGGAAGGTCTCATAGTCCCTGCTCATTCGGGAGAAAGAAACACAAATCCAACGATGGGACAATGCCATAAAAGACACGGTGGTGTATAGGACTACAACAGGAACTTGGAGGAAATCCTGTGACTGCAGAGGAGGGACAGGCTCTTCAGCCCATGGGCCAAATCCATCTGTTTCGCATGGCTTGAGAGGTAACAGCGGTTCTATACATTTTTTAATGATTGAAAAAAAAGTCATCAATATTATATGAAATTCAAATTTCAATGGCCATCAATAAAACTTTTTTGGACACAGCCATATCCATCAGTTGACATGCTACCTGTGGGTGCCTGGGCAGAGCTGAGAAGTGAGACAGGTTCTGTGGCCTGCAAAGTCTATTAGACTTACTGTAAGACCCTTTCAGGAAAAGTGTGCCAAACCCTGAACCAATTTGACTGAACATGATGGAGGTTTTCTGGTTTTGGTTTTCTTTGTTTCAGACAGGGTCTTGCTCTGTTGCCCAGGCTGAAGTACAGTGGTGCAATCACAGCTCACTGTAGCCTTGACTTCCTGGGCTCAACGGATCCTCCTGCCTGAGTCTTCTGAGTAGCTGGGACCATAGGCATACACCACCATGCCCAGCTAATTTTTTAAATTTTGTAGAGATGGGGGTCTTCAGATGTTGCCCAGGCTCATCTTGAACTCCTGAGCTCAAGCAATTATCCTGCCTCAGTCTCCCCAAGTGTTGGGATTACAGGCATGAGCCACTGCATCCAGCCTGGTTTTGTTTTCTAAAGTGGAGCATAAACATATAAGAATATCAAACTCTAGTTGGTCATGTGATAGCAATGGAACAATTCTGAGAGAACTGCAAAAACACCTGTTGGTTATAAAGAAAAGCAGCCTTTGATGTCTCCCAGACCAACTCACATATGTTACAGATGAGGAAGCACATCCTGAGAAGTCAAGTTATTCTGCCAGGGCCATGGGGAATGGCACATTCTAGAAGAAAATGTTTCTTCTGTCCCCAAACTCATATATGTTCCCGATATGGGTTGGCTGTGTCCCCACACAAATCTCGAATTGTAGTTCCCATAATTCCCATGCGTTATGGGAGAGACCTGGTGGGAGGTAATTGAATCATGAGGGTGGGTCTTTCCCATGCTGTTCTTGTGATGGTGAAAATGTCTCATGAGATCTGATGGTTTTATAAAGGGGAGTTCCCCTGCACATGCTCTCTCTCTTGCCTGCCACCATTTAAGACGTGACTTTGCTCCTCCTTTGCCTTCTGCCATGACTGTGAGGCCTCCCCAGCCAGGTGGAACTGTGAGTCCATTAATCCTCTTTATAAATTACTCAGTCTCGGGTATGTCTTTATTAGTAGTGTGAGAAGAGACTAATACAGTTCCACAGCACTGACTGGAAAAAATTATCTTGGCCAAGAAATGGCTGAAGAAAAAGATTAGTATTTGAAAGTGCTGGATTTATGCTTTGTGTTTTTTCTAACAAAATGCCCCTACTTGTGAGCCACTGGTGCCTTAGAAGGTGGCATTTCCTCCTTTTCTAGCCTCCAGCCTTCTTCCCACATATCCTACATTTCTCAGACGCCTCCTACAGCCACAGCACACCCATGCAAGTACTGTCCCGGAATTCACCCTAGGCAGCTGACCTGACTCACAGACTGCCCCTTCTGCCTAGAATCCTTTACCAGTTGTTTGATCCACCAGGTCCCCTAATTCTGGTGCTTGGGCCTCCAAGCTTTCTGTAGCCTATGCAAATGGGTCAGCCCAAAACACAAAATTCACTGGAAAAGCACCTCGCACATTTGAAATAAATGCTCAGTTAAATGTCTATAAACATATGTTAACCAATCAAGAGCAACTAAATTCAACTCTTACATAGCTTACATATAATGATATTTAATGTGGAATGTGGGTGGATTTCAGTTACTTTACTGGCATAGGAAAAAGCCTCCAAATATTAAGAGTACATGGACCTAATCAAGTACTTAAATTTAAAATGTCTGTTTTCCTTCGATATAAAGATCCCACTCAACTGCCATCTCCTTTATGAAATATTCCATTTTAAATTTATTTTCTTTGTACAATAATTCAACATGCTGCTTTGGATTCATAAAATCATTACTATAAACAAATAACTTGGCATATTTACAGAACACCAATGATGTGCTATGGGAAATGCAAAGGTGTCTTTACATGTGGTCCCTGACCTCAAAGCACAAGCAATAAGACAAATGACACAAACATGCTCAACCTTATATAACAAATCCAAGGTTTAAAGCATTCAAAGACATTTGCTTTGCGATAAACTAGCTACAACTGCAGACAGTAGGCTTTGGCTGAAACAGGGATAGTTCTTTGGAAGAACTGTGTCTTGAATAACAACCATTCATTGTCTACTAGGTGCCACTTTTACACTTGGCCATTTAAATGATCATCTTTCATTCTTACAACAACCCTACAAAGTAGTGATTCTTATGCCCGTTTAACAAATGAAGAAACAGAGATTAAGTAACTTGACAAAGGTTACTCAGCTAATAACCTGCTAAACTACCAGCCAGATCCAGGCTATAGAGCCAAGGATTATTAATACTTTTAATATGTGAGCTTTTCAAAGTAGGCCATATACTACCCCTGGTACACAGATGGGTTTTTCGTTGCTGTTGGACAGGGTGATCTTGAAAATTCGAATTCATTGCAGTACTTAAAAATCAGGAAATTGGCTGGGTGCAGTGGCTCACACCTGTAATCCCAGCACTTTGGGAGGCCGAGGAGGGCGGATTACCTGAGGTCAGGAGTTCGAGACCAGCCTGACCAACATGGTGAAACCCCATCTCTACTAAAAATACAAAATTAGCTGGGCGTGGTGGTGCATGCCTGTAATCCCAGCTACTCTGGAGGCTGAGGCAGGAGAATTGCTTCAACCCGGGAGGCAGAGGTTGCAGTGAGCCGAGATCGTGCCATTGCACTCCAGCCTGGGCAACAAGAGGGAAACTCTATCTCAAAAAAAAAAAAAAAAAAAATCAGGAAATTTTACATAAATATCTCGAAGAGGTGTGTGAAGATATGAGGACTCAAAATGCAAATGGGACATTTTACCTATTCCTCGATTTTATATGAAAATCTTGGAATAAAGAGTTAAAGTATGCAAAGATATTATTATCTTTAGAGAAACAACAGATACAGTGTGAAATAGGATATAAAACTGGCATGCGTTTTCAACTGAGTGTGTGCACAACATGGCGGGTAGGTACTGTCCCAAAGGGTGGGTAGATTCAGGACTGCAGGAACCAAAGTGGGAAGCGCAGTCACTTTAGAGAAAGGAGACAAGCTCCGAGAGCTTGGAAGGGGGTTGTCAAGGACACTAAGTGTCTGGTGTTTTGCCTCGGTGCTGATCCTGGTGGACTGTGCCAGGGAGAAGAATGCTGCCTCATGATGGTCAGCCTGCAGCCACCACAGTTTAGCTATAAATGGCTCCCTCCTGCCCCAGGTTGTCAGGGCTCATTAAGGCCTGATGCGAAACAGCCTGCACCTGGGGAGGGGACCAAAAATGGAGGGAGCCTGAGTTTGGAAACTTCCTTTTTCAGGGAGTGCTCACCGGCATCGCGGAAAAGAGCCTCTGGCAGGGATCTGGCATTCGCTCTAGGGCATGAAGCTTCTGGAAGAGTGAATTCAAGAGCTCCCCAGGGAGAGCTGCCCAGGGCCAGCACGTCTTTGCATGGCCTCAAGGTGGAGATTCGGTTCCAGTTTTCACCACTCCGTGAGGCGTGATCCATCCTGTTTGCCCTGATGCTGCCCACGTGGGAGATCAAACGGCTCTTTCCCAACAAATAGACTGGACTGAAGAAACCTTAGTTGTGAGCACAGAAAAGATCAAGTCTTATTTCACTCCCGGAGTTGTTTCTTAAGGGAAAAGTTTGGCTGGTGGGGGCTCCTTTCTTTGGGCTACAGCACCAAGAAAACAGACGCCAAATTAAAAGAGAAGCAAAATTCAATCCTGTTTTAAAAAAACAGAATGTACAGACATATGTGTCTAAGGCCTTCTAATAAATCTTTGGCCTCCTCCTCCTCCTCCCTCTCTAGTCAATCTGTACCCTTCTCACTAGCCATCACTGCGTTTTTCAAGACCCCAATCTCTTTCCTGAAATCCCCCAGGACTTTCCAATTCAGCTGCCCTGATGGATTCCGGACTCCAGCTGTATGCCTGAGCAGATCACTCATCTTTTCAAGCCTTTGTTTCCTCATCGGCACATGGTACCTGTCCCAATGGCTGTTGCTGGGATCTATGGCCATGGCCCATCAAACCACCCAGCACGATCCCTGGCCTGTATTCTGCACCCTGTAACTGTTATTTTTTTAATCCCTGGTCAAGAGCACCAGTCTTGGAACGGGCTGCCTGGATGGAAACCCCAGCTGTGTCACATACTAACAACATGACATGGAGCAGGTACTTGCCCCTGTGAAACTTAACACTTCAGTCTCCCCATCTGTAAAGCAGGATCATAATGGCCCCTTCCTCACACGTTTCTGTAGGATGAATGAGTTAAAGCAAGGAGAGTGCTCAGAAGAGGCTCTGCGCATAGTAGAAAGTTCCATGTTTTAGCTGCATCATCACCACCATCATCGCCATGCTATCCTGCCTTCTGCAAGGCTGCTTGAATTGCCTGAGCCTGGAACGTTTCCCCAACAGAAGTCAGCAAGCTTGTTCCCTAACCAGGGACTCAGTTCAAATGGCTGAGTGTCTGTAAGGGAGGTGGGGAGAAGGGGTGGTGCAGGGAAAGGAGCGAGTGGTCAGAACTGCACGGCCAGACAGACAGCTCGGAGTGTGGCTGCTCAGGTCCAGCCAGTTGCTGCCCTGTAGCAAGGCATGCCCGGGGATGCTCCATCTCCCAGATGTCAAGGGAAGCTAGAAATCCAGATATTTATGTAAAATTTCCTGATTTTTAAGTAGTGGCAATGAATTCAAATTTTCAAAATCACTCTGTCCAACAATAAAAAAACCCATCTGTGTACCAGTGTGCTGGCTCTGCTCCCGGGGCCATCAATCTGTGTCCTCTGCCTGGTGGGGTGGGATCACCTCCAAGTTCTGCCTCTGAACACTCGTCTCCTCCATGAGGCCTTCCTAGGGGGCCTGAGAAGAGATACTAGTCCTACTCACCTTTTCAGACCCAGAGTGCTCAAGGCCACCTTCTCTGACCACACCTTTGCCACTGCGGCCCAGCCATGGGCCTTCTGTTGTCCACTCCCCCACTAACGACGCACTTAGCAGCACTTAGCAGAGATCTGCAGGAAAGCTAAGTGCTTTAATGACACTTGTGTATCGATTCAGAGCTTTTTTTATTCCCCCCATGAGGATTTCCCATGTGCGGCGCATTTGGGGGCAGTGCAAATTCTTAGAGGCTAAGTTCCCAGAGGCCAGGGGCTACTCTATAAAGCTCTCTCTGAACACAGGGAGCACAGGCCTCAGCATCAGCGACTCCTTCTTCTGATGAAGGGCGAGAACGCTAAGGACACAGTGCATTGTGAAATGTCTTTTAGAAGAAATTCACACATTAACACTTCTTTCAACACCAGCCATGAGCCCACGTTGCCACTTTCCGGTCTCATTTTCACAAATGCGGCATTTCAACTGATGCCCAAATCTCCAACTGTGTAGACTTGAGTCAAACACAAGGAAACCGGCTCTCTGTATTTAAATCAGGCACCAGCTGCCTATGAAGATGAATTACTGTTGGTCTGTGTTCATTCATTCATTCACTCATTCATTCAACAAGCATTGGTTCTCTCGGTGTCAGACGCAACAGTACTAGGCTCTAGGAATGGCGAGAACAATTAAGAACAAAAAGTCCTATGACAAAAGTCTTCTCCCTCACACCCAGAATGCCAGAGGCTAGATGGGATCTTAAGAAATGGTCCCATCCAACACTCTTCTCCTGGTGAGGATCTGAGGCCCAGGGAGTTGACTATAAATTGCACATGTCTGTTTGGCTATGAAAGGAGGATACAAAAGGTGCCAAGGTTAAACCCAAGGCCCTTGCTCCTGGCCCAGGGCTCTTTTCAAAGCAGCACGCAGGACATTCTAAGCGGACTCCAACTAAACCACTAACAAGGCCTGGGGTCAGCAAACTGACCTTCCAGGAGAAACCGCTGGGCACACCATTCATGACTGTCCTCAAGAAAAAAGGTCTTCATAGGAGTAAGAAGCAGGAGTGCCACTCTGCACAGAGACCCTGCCATTACCCTTCTACAACCAGCCTCCAGTGGCTCTCACACTTTCGTTTTTTGCAATGTACCAAGGCACCTAAGGAACAAGACACCTCCCCATGAGTGCCAGAGGCTCACAGTAAGTCTAGAGGGCAGGGTGGAGGTGGGTCTGACACCAGCCCCAGAGGCACATCTGACATGCCCTAATAAAAGAACTCATGGTTGCCTGGTGCCAGCGGGTCAGAATGAGTGTGCTGGCACCACCCTTCCCTGCCTGCCACCCTCCTCACACTGCCCTGTCCCCTCAAGGACACCTGTTGTCATTTTCAAGGGGAAAATCGAGTTTTTCAATGAATAACTGGCATAAAAAAGGCTCTCCACACAATATGCTTCAAACTCTCTCATATGAAAATCAATCAATCAGTCAATCATCAATCAATCAATCAATCAGTAGGACCATGTCACTGGCAATCAGAGGGGAGAGTTAGGCTTGGACAGATGATTGATGAACGGCACTGAGGGAAGCAGGGGCAGGAATCACAGATGTCTTTGAGGACCTACGGTCACGCCACATTCCACAAGGCCAGGACAAACAGGCTGGGTGGACGTCTATTTTGGTCACACAGCTGCAAACATATGATTTATGAAGATGTTTAACGCTGGCTCCCAGGAGGTTTGTGCATCACGCTATTGCTGTCCCGGCCGTAAGAAGCTGAGCCTCTGATGCTTGGCCCATCCTTCCTCTTCCCACTGAGCAAGGTGTATTCTCAAGCTCTGATCCCTTCTGACTCTTCCCAAGACACTGGTTTTCTTTTCTGCTCTCCCTAATCCGTGAGAGTTTAAGGATGTGCATTATTGAGTTTGGCATCCATTGGCCTCAATGTTCTCTATCATTCCACTGCAAAGCTGCCTCTTCTTGGTGAAATTTAGCTTTATTGATTTCTATTTCTGACTTTCTCGACACTGGCTCATTCATTATTCAGGGAAAATCTGGCTATGAGACCACGGTTTGATATTCTGCCAACAGGAGCCTGAGCAGGTGAGACCTCTGCAAGTCTACTTTTCAAAGAATCAGAAGAAGCTATAAAAAGCAGTATAGTTTAGACCCCTCAAGATATTCATTATTTTCTGTGTGAACTGCAGGTCAGCTAGTAGGAAATAAACCAGTTATTTTTGGGCAGAGAAACATTCCATTGTTTAGCTGGAAAACAAACCCCTCCTTAACCACCTATCCTGCAGGTTGCGGTGAGAGTCCCCCAGGGCTAGGGCAGGAGGAGGTGGCTCCATCCACCACCATCAACAACTCATATGGACACATGGACCTATTTCCATTCCATCATGAGGGGCTGAGTCCCACCACCTTCCATGAGGCCCATGGTGTTTGTGGGCAAGGTGACATTTTCAAGGTGTTACAATAAGATGCAGGGAATGGACCCATTTGTTTATTTTCCTTGTCATAGAGGACAGAAGTAAAGGAAATTGTATTCAAACCATAAGAAGAGAGGTTCAAATTAGAGAGTGTGAAGAAGTTCCTTCCACGAAGTTGGGCTGAAACATACTACTGAAGAAAGTAGTCGAATTACCCTCTAGAGAAATCTTCTAAGAACAGAACTAATTACCACCTGTAAGTACCAATTCCTGTATAATCCGATCCTGTGGGAAGAGACTAGATTAGGAAATCTCTCAAAATCCTCTTTGGGCTTCCCCACCAGGTGAATTTTCACCATAAAGAGTCTGGATTATGTTTAGTTGGGCATAGTGGCGCACACCTATAGTCCTAGCTTCTTGGGAGGCTGAGGCAGGAGGATCATTTGAGCACAGGAGGTCAAGGCTACAGTGAGCTATGGGCACACCACTGTACTCCGGCATGGGTGACAGAGTGAGATCCTATCTCCAAAAAACAAAAAAATGAAAGTTTCAAAGACTTTGGCTAATGTCCATTTAAGGTCTTGGTGTGAGACTGGCTTGGTCCTCGATGTCCCGTGGATTTTGATTTTAACCTCAGAGCAATGCAAAGCGAGTGGCATGGGTGCCTGTGAGCACTCTCTAAGGGGTGACATTTCCTCAGAAGACAATGGTGTGAGCATTTTTACCAAGGCTTGAGGATGGTATCCTAACAGCAGAGTAGAGCCTTCATGGTTTTGTTTTCTACTTTGTAAAAGGAGACATCATAAAGAATGAAACTGGGAATGACCAACCATCCTTGAGTGTACACACACACACACACGCACTAGAGCCATGACAAATGCATCACAAAATCATGGTGGGCCAGTGCTCTGAGAGGCAGCAACACCCTGGAGCAGTGGTGTTTGCCTGGCTTTTCTGTAGGGGGCTGAGGAGGAGGCTGAGCCAAGTGACCCTCAGCCTCCCACCTCCCTTAGTTCACCAACAATGGACAACAGTTCTGATTTCATGTTCTATATTATTTCAACCCCCTGGAAGGGAGGAGAAAAGGAAAGGGGAAAGAAAGCTTCATAACCACAGATAGAGTGCCAAGTTTATGAATTCTCTTGGAATGGGCAAATCTGAGTAAATCACTGTCACTGATAGGGAGATGATGATGATGACGATGATGATGATGCCACTTTTCCTCCACAGATCTCTGGTGAGGCTCAAGTGAAGGCATGCAGGTATGTGCCAAGCTCCATGCCTGGAACACAACAGGCCAGGTTAATAAATAGTAGTCATTGTGATACCACCTGGACCACCTACATCTTATTTTCTAAAATGTATTTTCCCAGAAAACACCTACATCTTATTTGCTAAAATGTAAGCAGCTTTTTTCAGAAGATAAATGTAACTAATAGTTACAGTGGTCCCAATTAAAGATATATTCAATGCGCTTTACCTTCAAATGTCTTCTTCACATGACAGTATACCTTTCCCATCTATGTAGCTTCTTCTAAACCACATTTGTGAAAGGGTTTAAAACGAGTATGAAGGTTCTCCCTTGGGAATGTGCCCAGGTCTTTTCCTCTTTTGGGGTCCTATCAGGCTCATTCGTCCACACCCTCTTTCCTTACTAGGCTCACTTCCTCTGAGCTTCACCTCTCACATCCTCTCACATGCTCGGTTATCCCCTGATCACGAACAACTCACCAACTCTGTGTTTCCAGCTCTGGCCACTTGCCTAGCTTAGTTATCTGTTTCTCACTGCCTATAGCAGACAGCATCAAGCCTGTCTATACAACAGAATCACCTGGTGGCTTTGAAGACTACAGATTCTGGGCCGGACCTCAGACCCAGTCACTCAGAGACAAGAAGGCAATGTTCCTGGAACTATCACTGAATAATTGACTTCTACATCTCTGTTGCATTGCTTTGCCTAGAGAGATGTTACAGGAAACTGCCTTTGAAACCAGGCATATTATTAAGGATGCGTCTTGCTGTATGACTGATGATCTCTTTCTATGAGAATCTAAAGGACAAGCATCTCTCAGGTTTTAGTATTACGGACCTCTGTGTTTCTCTTGGGTAATGAGTCAGTTTTAATCTTCTGAACATTTAAACCATACAAATGATCATGTTTCCCTCTTTGCTCTGGTCACTAGGAAGCTCAGAGCCAAATTCATGACTGATCCCACTCCCAAACCAATACCTAGAATTTACAATATTAATTTTGTATATTAATGTTATCCTCTAACTTTATCTTGGGTTTCTTGCCTTTATTTTCCCTTATAATTTCTGCACTTCCTTTAAAAAATAAAATAAAATAAGATAAAAAATAAAACCTCTAGGTATACAGCACTTTTGTAGGCCATTGCAAATTCTTTTTGGAACTAGGCGGGATATGTTAGACAAATTAATTAAATATAGTCATTGACATACAGCCTCTCACAGCAGAGCAGCTCTAAAGCAGATGGTAGTGAGCACCAAAGTACAGACCAGGGCTCGGCAGAAACTTCCAGGCTTTGGGGTCAACTCCCCCGACAGAAACCTTCCTTCCAGCTTTGGTTGTCACAGAACATCTGGAGGCCTATCTGAACTGCATATTAAATATGTTTTAAGATTACAAAAAGACTTAAGTGAAATAAAAACAGCTACACACATTCAACCTCTGGAATCCTGACATTCAGTTCTGAATCTACTCTCAACCAGCATATCCACAGACAGAACTTCTAAAATGCTGGTCCTTATGGAACTGATCAGGTCAGTCTATGGGATTCTCTACAAGTAACAGCAGATAGTGGAAGTCTGCAGCCTCGTGTCGGGCAGTGTGAATGGATCATTTAGAACACCTGAAAAGTATTCCAGTTGTTAAACAACACGTAATGATTTTTATAATCCTGGGAATTCCAAATAGCTTACCGGTCCTCACCCTGCACAGTCGGTGCTTACGTAACTGCTCCTCCATAGTTTTAATCTGAACTAACTCCCCAAATACTACCTGCTTTCAAATGTGATCAACAAGGTCATAATCTGCCACTGAATTGCTTTCCCTTTTCTGTACGGGGATCTGCTCTCCCGGGCACGAAGCTGAGATCACTCCCGGTGAGGCCAGGTCTCTGGGAGAGCCCGACCACTGCGGCAGCCTGCACCAGAGCTCTGGGCTGGCACCCCTGTGCTCCCGGCAATCAGCAAGAAAAGAGGGGCTCTCTCTTCTTAGCACTAACCCAGCTCATCTATATCAGGTGGGAGGGGACCAGCCAAAGAACTCCTGGCTGGCACAGCCTGGGTGCAGCCCACTTTGTCCCCAGGGTCATGTGTACGGCAATGGGCCTGATGGCCGACTTGCTATTAGTTGTTATTTCTTTCACGTAACAGCTTAAGGATATGGATTGTATTTATTTGAAGTGTAGAATGCTCCGGCACAGGCAACTAGGCTCAAAGAGGGGCCCAACTGAAAGCTTCCCTACCCCCTAATATTTAAGCAGCCCAAGTGTCGGAATCACTCTGCCATTTGTATGTTTGCATGCGCTGCTCAGATTTTTAAAGATCTTAACTAACCTTTAACATTACCCTAATGACATAAACGAGCAGCTATAACATTTAATTAGTTTTGTTCTTTTATGTATTTTAGTTGTGTAACCAATATATTTTTATTATGGCAAGTATAAAATTCATTAAAAACTATCCACACAATTCCACAGCTCAAAATAACCCCAATTTACATGTTAGCATATGTAAATTGCTCAGTCTGCTACCTGTGTTTGTGTATGTGCATGTGTGCGGACTATCTTGAACCACAGGTTGAGCCTTGGGTTGGGCTGACCCTGGAGTTGGGGTCATCCTCAGTCAAACTCTGGACCATGCACATAGCAGTGGGTTGGGGCCAAGTCCAGGCAGGCCTGGCTGGGGCCTGCAATGTCCCAAAAGGAACCTAAAAGGAGAGAGACCCACCAAATGGTTCAGTGGTAGCTTTGAGGTGTGGAGTGATTCCCTGTATGGCAGGCATGGGAGCAACACCACTGAAGTCTTTCCTGAGATCTATCACTGTGGGTCTGACTTCCCAATTCATAGATAGAGACACTGAGACCCGGAAAGACACACGTGCTGCTAGCAAGCAGAAACGCTGGGACTCAAGGCCAGGGGCTGGGCCCAGTATGATGAGAAGGAAGTTTCAGCTGTACATTCCTGCTTTTATTACCATATATACTGCAGTTTGGGTTTCTTTTCTACCTTTCCATATTTCTGAATATATTAAGAAGAGAAGGAGGGCCGGCGGCAGTGACTCACGCCTGTAATCCCAGCACTTTGGGAGGCTGAGGTGGGTGGATTGCCTGAAGTCAGGAGTTCGAGACCAGCCCAGCCAACAGGGTGAAACCCTGTCTGTACTAAAAATACAAAAATTAGGCCAGGCGTGGTGGCTCACACCTGTAATCCCAGCACTTTGGGAGGCTGAGGCGGGCGGATCACGAGGTCAGGAGATCGAGACCATCCTGGCTAACACGATGAAACCCCGTCTCTACCAAAAATACAAAAATTAGCTGGGCGTGGTGACAGGCGCCTATAGTCCCAGCTAGTCGGGAGGCTGAGGCAGGAGAATGGTATGAACCCAGGAGGTGGAGCTTGCAGTGAGCCAAGATCATGTCAACTGCACTCCAGTCTGGGCGACAGAGCGAGACTCCGTCTCAAAAAACAAAACAAAACAAAACAAAATTAGCCAGGTGTGGTGGTGGGCACCTGTAGTCCCAGCTACTCGGAAGGCTGAGGCAAGAGAATTACTCGAATCCAGGAGGCAGAGGTTGCAGTGAGCCGAGATCGCGCACTGCACTCCAGCCTGGGTGACAGAGAGAGACCCTGTCTCAAAAGAAAAAAAAAAGGAGAAGAAGAAGAAGAGAAGGAGAGTTTATTCCAATTTGATGGCTGGAAAAGAGAGCTGGACTGACCTGAGAAGGGGCAGGTTTTACCACCAGTTTGCCTGTGACTCAGGGCAAGCCCTGACTCTGGGCCCAGTTTACTTGTCTATTCATTGAGGATGGGGCCAGCTAGGTATCTAAGAAACCTCCTCGTTCTAAAATGCTATGATTTAACTTAGACCCTGCACACACACAAATATGCAAACTGGAGGCCAGTGTGATCTGTGGCACTTTGCTGCTATCACAAAAATAATGATCCCAGACACATAGGAAATACTATTTAAACTACCTTGTTCCAAGAAAACAAGCTTTTTATTAGACATTGGAGAGGGGAAAGGATCAACTAGAACAGGGAAAATATGCTAAAGAGGAAGAATTCAAGAGTTAAACTAGTCAAAATCAGGACATGTGGGTAACTAACCTTAACTAAAAAAAGAAAATATTGTCTTAACTCTTTCGGGAAAACAAATACAAACATATCTGAGATTCCCTGTGCCCCTGAATATGGGGCTAACAGAGTCTTTGGTTCAGAAACACTCTCAAGATAAAATCTATGTCGGAGTATTAATATTAAAATGATGCTAATTTTTTTTTATTACAACACATTCTTAAGACATTTGGAAACCTAAGAGGCAGCATTAACCACTCAGTATTTACAAAGGGCTGATGTATGGAGACTTTCAGTTTAATTGAAGATAACAAATGGTTCACTGAACTGACAGGCAACCTTAATCATTTCAACAAATTCTGCAGAGAAAGAGGATTCTTTTCAAAGCGAACCTCTAAGGTACTGGTATAATTATATATGTTTCCCGACTAAAAAGATCTTGGCTATCCCATATTCCACTGGAAATTATAGATCGCAGTGAAATTGGCCTGCTTGTTTTTAAATCTCCAAAGTTTTCAAGCACAATGTTTTCTGCCTAGAAAAACGCTTGCTATGAAGTTTCAAGGTTTAAACAATAGTTTATAAAACAATTACTTCACCGACATATTTAACCATCAAGATATTATGGTGGAAAGAGAAACCACTTTTGTCTACATAAAATTTTAAAGCTTATATAATTTACCAATGTGTTTTGGCAAAGGCCTTCTCAAGTTTTTGCTGAAGGGTTTTCATTTTTTTCCTAATTTCACTTATAGTCACATAAGTTCATCTTAACTTACAGTTGTGAACCTAACTCTCTGGCAATGAATTTTTGAAGAAAAAAAAAAACCAACTCATTCTTGGGAGAGACTGACATTCAGTAATCTTTGCCAGCTGGAATGTTCAAAATGGAATCTAAATATTGTATTAACAACATCAATAACAAGCAGGTTTGGAGAGACTTTATAAAATATGCTTGAATTGTGATAAAAATTCTTGTTACTTTGTGTTTCGCTCAGCTCTAAATTACCACTTGATTTGATAAAATCTATGACAATCCTATTTTTTAACCATGTAAGAATTCTGAGGCTCACTACATGTACATAATAAAAATCTGAAATCAAATAGGTGTAATGAAATTGCAGCTGCCCAATCAGTTTTGAAACTTTCTATTGGAATAACGTATGTCCAGCAAAGCCCTTGTATGTGTACAGCTCAGTGAATTTTCCCAAACAATTTACCATGTAATTGCCAGGGTGGTGCCTCACGCCTGTAATCCCAGCACTTTGGGAGGCCGAGGTGGGGGGATCGCCTGAAGTCAGGAGTTTGAGACCAGCCTGATCAACATGGTGAAACCCTGTCTCTACTAAAAAATACAAAAATCAGTCAGGCATGGTGGCAGGCACCTGCAGTCCCAGCTACTTGGGAGGCTGAGGCAGGAGAATCTTGCTTGAACCCAGGATACTGTAGAGGTTGCAGTGAGCCGAGATCACGCCATTGCATTCCAGCCTGGGCAACAAGAGTAAGACTCCATCTCAAAAAAAAAGAAAGAAAGAAAATTTACCATGTAATCAGCACCCTATGAACTAACAGGGGGCTCTTGGCACCTGAGGAGCCCCCCTCTTGTCCTCCCTAATCATTACCTTGCACTCTGTATTAGTCCATTTTCATGCTGCTGATAAAGACATACCCGAGACTGGGTAATTTGTAAAGAAAAAGGTTTAATGGGCTCACAGTTCCACATGGCTCAGGAGGCCTCACAATCACAGCAGAAGGCGAAAGACACATCTTACATGGCAGCAGACGAGAGAGAAATCAAGAGAGCCAAGCAAAAGGGGAAAACCCTTATAAAACCATCAGATCTCATGAGACTTATTCACTAACATGACAGAACAGCATGGGGAAATCACCCCCATGATTCAATTATCTCCCATGGGGTCCCTTCCCATAACACATGGGAATTATGAGAGCTACAATTCAAGATAAGATTTCGGTGGGGACACAGCCAAACTATATCACATCACAAGGATAACCAGAACCTTGGCCTGTCTTTGTATACTGTCCTTGGCTGGGGCAACATACAGCCAAGGTGATCAGATGAGAATCAGGCCCAAGAAGAGCAGGAACACCCTCAGGGTGGGCTCACAAGGAAAGGGCTCCCCATGAGTTTCCATCGTCAGGAACCTGGCTATGAGGACGCTACTCAGTTTCCACAAACAAGTGCCATCCACATCAGGAGGATGCTGGTACCACCTAACCCCAAAAGAAACAGAATCAGTTCCTTCTCAAGTAGGATTCCATGCAGCTATCTTCATCATCAAATCAAAATTCTCAAAGACTTCTACATCCCCCTCCTATCACTGCTGCAATAATTCTTACTGATGATAACAACAGCTTCCATATATTCATTCCTTACCAGGTGACACTGTGCTAAGAATGTACACATCTTTTCACAGATGTTCAAAGAGCATGATATTGAGTCCAAGAGGCACCAGTCACCAAATTATTATTTGGATTTTCCAAATAATAATTCCCTGTGTTCAAACTGTATGTCACAACCTTTGCCTTTGCCTTCATGATCTTATTTAGAAATTGTATTATGAAAGCTCCTGTAGCTCCTGTATGGTGTACAGGGCAGGTGTTAATAGCTTTATCAGCTAGTAATCTTTCCATCTTTAGCGATTTTTAAAAACCGAATTGAAGAGATTTTATCGCCTGTGACTGGGAAAACCAGGAACAGTGATGCCTTTCAAATGGCATTTACCAAGCCCTACTCTCTGTCCCCCAACTCAGCAACGCTGCTGGTGAAAATAGGCTTGGACAGGCTCTCCTCTGTTCACAGGTGGCTGCCGGCAGCCCCTGGGGCTACAAACAGCAGCTTTGAATCTAGCATTTCCCCAGTGTTCACTGGAAAAGGTCTGAGAATCACTGTAATCAGACCAGCCTCTATCACATGACCACCCAGACACACCAGTGTAGCCAGAGGAATGAGAGTGACTTAAACTAGTGGTAGAGACGTCACTTGGAAGCACACAGATGAATGAACTGGGGGGATGGAGGGCTCTCCACCTGCAAGCCAGGGTTAATGCCTAAAAGAGGGAAAAGGAACTGTCCATTATAGCAGCACGTCCACTTTTAAAAACAAATCATAGACCCCAAAAAGGTAAAATTACACATGCAAGTATACACAGCTAGTAAGTGGAAGGTCCAAGGCCAGACTGCAGATCGTCCTACTTGAGACTCTTTCAGCTTTCTTTTCATGCTAATTGCTATTATTCATGGGTGTACAGAACTGCCAAGGTCTCGGGGCATACGGTGATGTAGGTCAAGTTAAAACAATTTCCAAGAGGCCCAGAATCTTAGTTGATGATGACATTCACGTTCCCTGGTAGGGTGGGAATGCCTGAAACAGCCTTAGCCAGACTTGCCTCACTGGTGGTGAAGGAGGAGTGCAGGGTGGGACACAGCTGCCCATTACTGTGGATTTATCTTAAGCAGCCAACCTTGGGATCTTCCCAAACTGCCCTTAGCAGCCAAAGTTGACCCCTACAGTCCCAGCTTTGGGATACAAGGTGCTAGGACAGTTGGTAAATATATTAAGTCAGTTCAGGCTGCCAGAACAAAATACTAAGACTGGGTGGTTTAAAGAACAAAAACTGATGTTCTCACAGTTCTGGAGGCTAGAAGTCCGACATCAAAGAGCAAAGAGGTGGCACGTTTGGGTTCTCCTGAGGCTGTCTCCCTGGCTTGCAGGTGACCGACTTCTCACTGTGTCCTCACGTGGCCTTTCCTCAGTACATGTACATTCCTGGTATCTCTTCTTACAAAGACACCAGTCCTTATAAAAACTCCTCCTTTATGTCCTCATTTCATCTTAATTACCTCTTTAACGGCTCTATCTCCAAATTCAGTCACATGCGGGGCGGTGGTGGTGAAGGCTTCAACATATAAATTTTGGAGGCGGCTGGGGGGGCGGTGGAGATGCAATTCAGTCCATAACAGTAAGTTACATGGATATATTTTACAAACCTTCATTGATCTCCTACCGTGTGCTGGGTAACCTGCAAGGTGCTGGAGATAGAGATAAGAAAACTCCAGCCTCAAGGAGATTACAGTCTGGCTGGAAGACAGAAGTAACGGGATAACCAAACAATCTTAGTGGTTCCTGCCATGGCGAATGAGCTCAGATCCTGGGGGAAATAAGTAAGGTGTCAGGGAAGACTCTGCTGCTTATACGAGAGGCTGCTGTTGCTGCCTCTCTTAAATCTACCCTCCTGACCGGCTCAATATGGTCAACTGTGCACTTCTCCATCACAATGTCACTCCAGGCCCTAAAACAAAAGAGACGCCATTGTATTTGCAGCAACACCAAAAGCTCATTTGGCGAAGCTCACCCAGTAATGAGGCTCATACCAAAGGCACGAGCCATGAGTCAATGCACAGACAGCACTTGAGCATGACACGTGTGTATGTAAAAGCAAAGGGGAAAAGTGATGAAGCAGGATGCGGGGAGAAAACATCACCATCTCCCTTTTAGGTAGTTTACCTTCTTCCCTTCTTCCCTACAGGAAAAAAGACAGGGAGATGAAAGAAATGTGTTTCAAGCAGTTGAGGGGCAATTCTGATAAAGGTACTGTGAGCAGGTTTGACCCTGAGGAGATGAGGGTGGCTACACAGTGGGTTCTCAGGGTAGACGGTACAATTTAAATCTTACATTTAAATGAGGCATATAAGGAAGGGCTGGGAACTAACATGGGAAACTGCTGCAGGATGGTGAGCACTGCATCACGTGATTACAATGCGCAAGTTGGCCAGGATCCCTGGCGCTGCAGTGGTCATAGCTGGGCTGACGCTGGAAAGACAGGGAAGCAGCTGCCTTCGCTAGGTTAGGTGGCTCACCAGGTAGACCAGGAAGCAGGGGCTGGGGCGGTGCTCTGGCTGGGGGAGGGGAAATGGAAGGACAAGTGAGGTAGCAGAAACTCAGATCACTATTAGTCTAGCATGCCTTTGCATTTCTCTCATTATCCAATCTACTTAGGAAAAATAATAATAATCACATCTCAAATCAGTATAATTTGAAGAGTAATTGAGTAAAGAAAATCCAGGTCAGAACCAAAGATATAGCCTCTTCAATCTCACTTGCTAGTTCCCAACTTAATTTTTAAAATTAAGACACCTCTAATGAGACTCAAAATTGTTCACAATGAATCTAAAATGCAGTGAGGGGAAGATCAGATGTTAAAAGAGAAAATGTGTTCCATTTCCAAAACGATCAGAGTATGCGTGCGTGTTGGCGGTGGGGGCCGTGGCAGGGGGTGAACACAGTTCTTCTCTATATAAGGCCATCTAACTATAAATGGCATTGGTTGGACATGTGAGTCAATGAACTTGGAGGAAATGGGGATTGCCTAAAATAGCATTTGTGCTATAGACCTGAATTTAGCATTTGAGGGACCTGGCTTTGAATCCTGACTCTGAAAATCCTTCATAATAATACATACACACACATACACACACACATGCTCATCACACTTAAACATATATGCACCTACACACACATACAGCTACACATTAATTTACACATATACATATATGCTGCTTGGTTTAGCCAAATGCTCGACTTTAAGCTTCTGTTTCTTCATCTGTAAGATCAGGAAGATACCACCTACCTCTCAAGAAGTAAGTGAAATTACATGTAAGCCAGGTCTCTGCAGCTATAATGGGGGATACGTGGATGTGAGGAGTATTACTACTATGATCCTACTTTCTTTAAATCAAGTCACTGTCTCTGAAAACTCTCCAAGCTCACCTTCTATTCTCTCAAGGGACAGTCAAACCACTAAGTGGGCCTCTTAAGACAACAAAGAGGCTGAAATGACACTGACACACAGAAATCACCAGTGCTGTATACTTAGTTTAACTAACACTGTTAATTAGAAACACTGTATTCATCATGACTCTCGACTGTACATAAGAAAAACCCAATTCAAGCTGGCTTAAGTATAAAGGAGAATTGATGAGCCCATCAAATCCAGCCACAGGTAGGGCAAGGAGAGAGTGGCCCCTGTCTGTGCGTCTCTGGGCTGGTGCCATTTCCCGTACCCCAGCAGATTCCATGTGCAGGGCTCGTGAGGCCAGCACACCCTGTGGAGCTCCCAGAGCCAGGATGTGAAGCCTAGGGTGGAATTCTGGCCTGGACTGGGCCACGTGCCTATCCCTCCACCAGTCACTAAGGCCAGGGAGTTTCTGTAAGAAGCTGGCACCTCCCATTTGGAATCTATGGGAAGTGGAGGGGTGGGAGGAGAAAGCTGTCCTGACAGGGTTCCTGGAACCCATACTGTCCATGTGAGCCACCGCAACTTGGGCCCATGACAGCTGCAAAAAGTGAAAACTTCATAACTATTTCTTTTCCAGGCCATGCATGGCAAAACACAGAGACAAAAGTCTCCCAGAGCCTGAGAAATACAATACACAAATGATCAGCACACAATCGACCTTTATACATGTCACAGCCTTCTTGTTTCTTATCACAATATCCTCACAAAATTCCTCAAAATGTGGGAAATGAATCCACAACTAGGACGTTGGGAGCATCTCTACTGGCAGACGTCATCAACACCAAGACCTGTGGTTCTAACTCCAAACTGCAACTGTGTCAAATTAGCAGGACCAGATCATCCTGATCAAGCCCCATTAGAAATCACAGCCTACGGAAAGAGGGGCCAACCAGTGTATGCTGCGGTGACCATGAGGTAGGGAGAAGTTCAGCACAAGCCCTTCAATGACTTTGTAAAGTTCCGTATCACTGCAAGTATGGCTGGCTGTCTTGCAGTCTCCCTGTGGTCTCTGAAACTAGTCTTTGCAAATGTCTTAGTCTAGTTTGCATTCTTGAAACCAAGGGGTTAATTTGATCGGATCTGCCTGTACTGCTTGCTTTTGGTCACTTGCTTTTTGTTTTGTTTTGTTTTTTTTTTTCCTTTTTCCATGAAGCTGAGGCCTTGCCACTGAATGCTGGAACTTGACCTTCACTGGCTACTTTACAGATAACATTCATAGGTCACCACGGTAATGGTCGCAACAGTTGTTTTTCAGAAACTAGGGCAAGCTCCTGTCCAGTTCAAACCAGTTAGGACCACTGCCCCTTCAACTGGGCCTGAGCAAGTGCCGGAGAGGTGGCCTTTTGACATTGGAGGGCCAAAAGCTCCACCTCCCCCAGATCACGCTAATGCTGCCATTTACTGAACATACTTCCTTTGAGATGCCATGAACCCCGACTATGCTTGTGCAGAATGAACCTGTTACTTCATTTTTTCCCCATTGCCAATCACTTTTCCCCACACGTTAGACCACCCTGCTTCCCTAACCCATAAATATCCCCGAGCCTTGTCTTCAGGGAGGTGGATTTGAGAGCTGTTCTCCTGCCTCACTTGGTACCTTTCTGAACAAATCTTTTCTCTTTTGGAAAACCCTCCATGTCACAGTGATTGATTCGCTGTGCTAAGGCAGAACGGACCTGGACCTGGCTGGAAGCGTTCTAACACAATCAGAGGGACAGATCACAAGCAATTCCAGCCCATCTCCAAGGAACTTTCTTTTTCTGTCACATTTCTGCAGGATCTTAGTCACTCAGAAGGGTCAGAAAGGATAGCCAGTCAGGACTCCTATTCCACTCCTTCCATGGCCATCCTGTGGGTATTTGCCTTATGCATCAGGAGCTTCAGAGAGACTGAAAACAGTTTGAAACATTCCTGAAGGTATCACTTCGGTTCAGCTGGGGAAGGATCTATGTTACTATTGCTTTTGCTGTTGTCTGTCGGGGGTGGAAGGTACTGAACATCTTAGGAAATTGCAAGACATTGCAGAAATGCTATCATAAGCATCATTAATTCTATTTATTGGATACCCAATCATCACCAGGCACTGTGCAGGTCTCTGTCCAAACATTATCTTTTAATTCTCACAAAATCCCATGAAGTAAGTACTACTATCTATTTGACTGACTGGAAAGGAAAGGCTCAAACTCATTGGATGAGTTGCTCGAGGTCACTCAGCTGGTGGGTGGCAGAGGCTGGCCTTTGAACCTAAGGTTGGCCAGCTCCAAGGTCCATATACTTCTCTCCTAGTTATGCTGCCTCCTCTGGAGTGAAGTGTGGCAATGGCACCTGCTCTTGGAGCACCTACTAAGTGCCAGGGATGCTACACAGATCATCATCAATCCTCATAGTAATCTTGCAAGAGGGATTTTTTTTCATTGTATAGCAGCTCAAAGAGGGTTAGAAAACTTCTCCAAAATCAGGTGGCAATTAGGAAGCAAGGTGTGGAATGGACTCAAGTATACCTGACTTAAAAGCTGAGGTCATTTACCCTATGCCTGTGTGTCACGACTCACAAAGGCCAACAGGGGACCTGGGGAGAAAGACGGGCAGAGGGATGGCAGGAGAGATTCATTCTGAAAGTTCACACTTGGCACTGGTAAAGGCCTGAGGGCAGGGGCCACATTCACTCATGCATGTGCACATACCTGCACACACACACACACACCCACTCCCATGTCACGTGCACCGCAGCAGGTACTCCCCAGAAACTCTGAGCCACACCTTTTGGTTGTCAAGGGAACCAAACAGGAACACAAACTTGACCCCTTGCAGTTTATAGGTGGATGATTTTAAGTCCACGTCTGAAACTGTCATGCAAACAGCTCGCTCAGAATATATTCTAAAGAGTTATTCTTCCTCATTAAAATCTCTTGGCAATTGTATAAAAATATTTCTAGACTTCCATTTACAGTTCAACAGAATTTCAAGGGGAATGACTTTTTCAATTGTATTTTAAGACTGAGCACTGTGATAAAAGCAGGTTCTGCAGTGCAATGTGATCCAAGGTTGTTTAATCTTTATATTTTATAATCTAACTGATATAATTTAATAGACTAGAAAAACATTTTTAAATGCTCAAAAATTAAATAAGGAAAGATTCCTATACATGAATTATAATTGGTGTAAAATTACTTGTATCTGCATCTGTCTATCTACTAATATAAAATTCACATAGACTAAAATAAAATATTCATTCTATTAAAGAATGGGTGGGTTCCTCTCACTGTGTTAATCTTTGAATGACTAATTTTAGGATTTCCTTTTTTCTCTATCTAGTTTTTAAAAATCATAAAGTGAACTGTGTAGGAACGAGGAGGGAAAATGAAGCACCTTAATTACTTAAATGAAAGAAGACAAAGTTTTCATTTCCATCTTTTTGTCTTATTGTAAATTACTTATAAACGTAACAGGATTCTCCCTCAGCCCTAGTCTGCAAAACACTGTAGAACACCCAAATATCTAAAGTAGAAAACTGTTTAGAAATATTTATGCCATTTTGAAGTAAAGACTGGTGTGAGTTCAGGTTTCTGTGACTTCGAGCAGAACAATTGCTTCAGGCCTTGTTTCTCCCATCTACAAAATGGTAGTAACCATATCAAATGCATAAGGCTAGTACAAAGAAATAATGCAGGCCAGGTGCAGTGGCTCATGCCTGTAATCCCAACACTTTGGGAGGCCGAGGCGGGTGGATCACCTGAGGTCAGGAGTTCGAGACCAACCTGACCAACATGGTGAAACCCCGTCTCTACTAAAAATACAAAAAAATTACCCGGGTGTGGTGGCACGCGTCTCTAATCCCAGCTACTTTGGGAGGCTGAGGCAGGAGAATCGCTTGAACCCGGGAGGCGGAGGTTGCAGTGAGCTGAGATCGCACCACTGCACTCCAGCCTGGGTGACAGAGCGAAACTCTGTTTCAAAAAAAAAGAAGTGATGGTTGCACAATGCTGCAACTATTAAATGCCTCTGAACTGTACACTGTAAAATCATTAATTTTATGAGTCTCACTTCAATTAAAAAAAAAGGTATAGGTATTACATGTGGATGGTAAAATTAGGAGTAATTATATCTTTAGATTGTCTATTTTCTATAACAAAGACATATTATTTTGGTAACAAAAGCAATAGATGTTATTTGGGGTGGGCAGGAGGGACTGACATTAGAAACAAAAATTAAGCTGCGAGCGGTGGCTCACGCCTGTAATCCCAACAGTTTGGGAGGCTGAGGCGGGCAGATCACCTGAGGTCAGGAGTTTGAGACCAGCCTGGCCAACATGGTGAAAACTCTGTCTTTACTAAGAATACAAAAATTAGCCGCGCATGGTGGCGCACGCCTGTAGTCCCAGCTACTCGGGAGGCTGAGGCAGTAGAATCACTTGAATCTGGGAAGCATAAGTTGCAGTGAGCCAAGATCACGTCACTACACTCCAGCCTGGGCAACAGCGCAAGACTCTGTCTCAAAAAAAAATTAAAATAAAATAAAAATAAAATAATCCTAATTTGAGGAGAAAGAGGCATGCTAATACAAAACCCCAGAGCCCTGAAATTTTTTGCTGAAATTGGCCTCCTATTCTTCTATGAGGGGGCTCCTGCCCCTTCCTTCTTTGTGAAACTCTGCACCTTTCATTTCAGTGATTTCCCCAGTTTCGGACTGAGCCGCTGCTTCTTCATGGCCACTGTTGTTTGCTACTACATCTCTCACTGCTGTAAACCTAGCTCTTGAATATGGGTCAGCTCTCTGGACCCTTTTCCTCTTTTCCATTCTATAACCTCCTGCAAAGCTCATCTATGCCCATAACCTATGCCCATAAGCTTCCTCCCCGCCCTGATTCCCCTCTTCCGAAGTCCAGCCTCAGTTTCCACCTCCTACTGAACAGTTACCCTGAAACATGAGATTAAGCCCACACACACCCCAGCAGGGACCTGGCCTGGAGGAAGCTCTTAATAAAGGCCCTCGATTTCCTGACTTCTCTGTTTCTGTTCACAAAACTGCCATTTTCTCAGTGTGCATCACTGGATTTTGGTTAAAATGGTTACTATAGACGGGTAGCGGGAAGAGCTGAAATTAAAGTCAGACAGGAAAATACAGGATATCTGACTGGTATTTTCCCAGATTCCACACCAGGCTGTAGCCACTGGGGAAGAAGGGGGGTAACTGGAGATTGGGCAAATTTGGAACCTCAAGAGATGGCAAAGATCAGAATCAACCAAAGCCTTCTTTTAAAATTGCATTTCCTTGTATTTTTAAAGTAACTTAAGACTGTGTTCTGCATGTTCTCACTGACCACATAAAACCTTGAGAGATCAGAGCTGCAGACCAGCAGCCCTGTAAATTCACCGCTGATTGTAAGCAAAAGCAGCTAGCTGACTCTATTACTGTAGTTACAGAAATATCTTTACAAATAATGCAGTGCAGAACAATAAGACAAATGATGCCAAGAATAAAGGGCCCCTCCTTGAAACCAGAGGGCCTCTGCAGGCCCAAAGAGGACAGAAGGCAATTAGGACTTAGGTGTTGGGGGGAATGGAGAGAGGTTTTCTTATTTTCCTTTTCTGCCATTGCTAATTTTTTTTAATGTGTATGCCTGAGGGTGAGAATCAGGAGATTTATGCATTAGGTGGATGCCCTCCTTTGCAAAATGGACAAAAGAGTCAGCTTGCGGAGCAGATTAGATGGAAGAGGCCAAAGAGCCCAGGGGCTTCAAGCTCCAACCAAATGGGAAAGCAATGAGTGGGCGAGGGTCAGGGCAAATTCAAACAAAACCTGGGATTCATTGGCCCTTACAGAGAGGTAAGGGGTGCCAGGACTCCAGACCAGAGGCTGTGGCCAGACACAGGAGTCTGGTAGTGACATCCTGGTCATATCAGACAGTGACACTGAAAATGGAAATCATGAGAAAGGAAGGTATTTGGGAAAATGCTCGTTTGGAGAGTTTTGGAAGTTTTTTCAACTGGAATATACCTATGAGAATGAATGGTCAGAAACCTGAGGCATGAAACATTGAAGGCTAAAGCTGACTTCGTATGGAGCATTTGTGAGGTGTCAGGTACCAGAGTGACTGACATTCACAGTTCTTTAATCTTCACCAAGACTACAAAGATCACAAAGACCTTGGGCCTCAGGTTTGATTGTAAAACGGGGTTGTGAGAAACACATCTCGCAGGCCCATTTTACAGGCAATCAAACCTGAGGCACAAGGTCAGAGAGCTGGTGCCCAGAGAGGGAGGGATTCAGCCCCAGTTAACTGTGATGCTAAAGCCCGTGCTCCTTCACAAAGCTATATGTGCACCTGCTGTGAATATACACTTTGAGAGTATCGAGTACAGCTTGGTACTTGTGAGCTAGGTGAACTTCTCAAGGAGGCAGTCCTATTTATGAGGAATTAAAAGTGTCTGAGATAAAGATATGTACGAATTCTCCTTCAGATTTATGTATACATCCAACAGGCTCTGGGCATCCTCAGCCTTTGCCCCATCCTGAGAACTGCCCAAACAGATGGGCAAGAGGACTTTGAGCCAGGAAGGCGAAGAGTGCAAGGAAACCACATTCGGAGGATTTTAGCCCTATTTTCCTAAGAGTTGCAGTTTTGTAAAATATTTCAATAGCTAACCTTGATTGGGAATTTAGCATGAACTGTCCTATGTGCTTGACTAATGTGAATCCACCAAATCCTCACCAGGACTCCAGGAGACAAGCATTGTCATGACTCCTAAAGAGAAGTTAAGCCAGCTGCCCAAGAAACCAACACAGGGTTCACTTCCAGGTTGTCCAAACCTATAATATATCGTATTGTCTCCCTAAGATCCAAAGGACCTTGGAAAATCATCTTGTTTGGGGATGGGTATCTTCAGCCAGCCTTCCACCCACTCTGTCCTCTCCTTGCACCCGCAGCAGACACAGCTGGCTGAAGGTAACACTCTTTCTCCACTGAGCCAGAACTAAGCATCAAAATCCATTCTGACCTATTTTGGGGGAAGTTGCTAGAGTGGAACAGAGCTGGTACTAGATAGGGAATCTTTGCCATCGCTGAGGTCTGCTCCTTAAATTGCAAATGAAGCGCTAGGTATGCCACGTGGCTTGTCCAAGGTCACAAAGTTTACCAAGTGAAGGGTTGAGACCAGAACCCAGGTCCCTTGACTCATAATCCAGTGTTCCTTCCACTATAACTTCCTCTTGAGCCTTTCATGGCATGAAAGACAACCAAGGTGAGGTATCTCATACATTTCAGCAGTAAAAGTTCGTAGCAGAGTTATGGGAGGGGTAAGAGTTGTGGAGAAGGGGTGATAAACGCTGTTACTCCCAAGTAAGTTTGGATATGAAGCCAACCTAGAACATGGGAAACTGGTATTCCTCAAAGCAAGTCATCTAACCATCATGTCAACTTCATGCACATTCTACGGACTGCGTGTACATTGGTGCACATGGAGGAACAGCATGCATCTCACAGCAGAAGACCTGGTTTCCTTTTTCCCTATTTTAGCTGTGGGGGTGGGTAGGTGGGAGTCTAAGGCAACACAATCCTCCTCTGTGAGCTGAAAATGCCTTTAAGTCCTTCCATTACATTAGCTCGTCCAGTGTGAGTTGTCAGAAGTAAACGGATGGCCAGGCACAGTGGCTTAAGCATGTAATCCCAGCACTTTGGGAGGCCAAGGCAGATGGATCACATGAGATCAAAAGTTCGAGACCAGCCTGGCCAACACAGCAAATCCCCATCTCTACTAAAAATACGTAAAAATTAGCTGAGTGGGGTAGTGGATGCCTGTAATCCCAGCTACTTGGAAGGCTGAGGCAGAAGAATCACTTGAACCCGGGAGGCAGAGGTTGCAGTGAGCCAAGATCACACCACTTGCACACCAGCCTGGGCGACAAGAGCAAGACTCCGTCTCAACAACAGCAACAATAACAACAACCAACAGAAGTGAATGGAAATAAAATATGTTAGATAATTTATTTTAATTCTACCACCGCATCCTAGGGACACAGAGTTGATAATAATTAGAGGCCCAATACTATAGTGACGGAGAAAAGGAAGAGGGAAGAATGACCAGAAGGGTATAAGGGTGTCAAGTGAGTCACTGGAAAGGTTTGTAAAACCAGTGGTTTCATCTGTGCTGAGAGTGGCTGGGCTTCTTAGAGTGGGTGGGCCAAGCAGCCTTTTCCAAGAAGGGCTAGGACTCGTGGTCTGACCACAGAACGGGCTGTGAGTGGTTGAGAGGGTGGGACCTGGTTGAGAGGGTGGGACCTGGACTTCCCCTGGGGATCTCCAGCCTAACCCAGGACTGGACACACAGAGATGTACCATCAAGAAATGCTTGCAGGTGGGGTGGGGAGGGTAGGCCCAGGGAATGCCTGCTTGGAGGAAGAGCTAGAAATAAAAGCAGGCCAAAATGGTCAGGCAGTAGCTCCTCTCTGAACAAAACTCCGTGGGGAGCTCTGAGGCCAACAGGGCCTACCAAGACCAAGAGGGCAGAAGTAGGATATAAAATCAGCATGGCTTGTGGCAACTTTCAGCAGAAGGCATGAAGCTACCAAGAGCAGAGGTGCCTATGTCATTTTGGGATGAAACCATCAGAGACCAGATGAAGGGTCAGATTAGGGGTGAGGAATGTCTTTAATTATGAATCACTGACTCATTACAACAAATCATCCAAGGGTGATGTTTTAATAAAGTAACCTAATTTTAAGTTTGATGGGTGAATGGAATATGGGGGAGGGGGACAGGGAGTTTGGAAATGGGAAAATATAAAAAAGACTTTATTCTTTTCATTAACAAAATAAGAGAGATTAGTAAATGAATTAAACGAATAAAATAAAGAACACGTTTCAAACACATAGAGACCGTAACACAGAGACACACAGACACAAGAAGAAGGCACGGTGGGGACACCTGTCAGCTGGCCACGCCTGCAGGGCTCTGAATAAGCCACTCTTCTGTTCAGCCTGCCCTGGGTCCCCTCTGAAAAATGAGCTTGTCCCCTTCTAATGCTCTGCTTGGTTTCCATTGTACAAGAATTGAAGTGCTCTCTAGCCTGCTGAAACTGTCTGTAGCAGCCTAAATGGCATTTAAAATAAAGACTGTGAACTGATGAAATGACCAATTATGTTAAGTACCCATGCCTGGTGTAATCCAAACCAAATCTTACCCCATTATCCTCGAAACCGAGAGGTGATTCAGCAGCCCCTCTTGCCAGTGATTCTGAACCAAAATACAGGCACCCGACGTCCAGGGAGGACCTCGAGAACAACCAGTTAATTCTTACAATTGGTTTTGTGCTGGGAAAAATAAAGGTACTAAGTTTCCACTCTAAACCAAACAACGATTTGACAATGAAAACTGGTGCCCCGCTCTAACTATTAGGTCATTTTGATTTCAACTTTGCTTCAGGTTTTAACTTCCATTATTTCCTCTTCAGACATTGCATTATTCTTCCCGTCGCTATACAAAGGTGTCTATGAAGTGCTCAGGTTCCGCGCTGTTGCTATGGTCTCTGTGAAGCTAAGTTCTCTGGTTATTTCTCTTTCTTGCAATGACATTTTTTTTCTATTTCCACACACCTAAATCTATCTGCTTTTTTAAGGCCTTAAGTGTCAGTTCTCCCAAGAAATGACAGCCCCTCTGCTCCCACCCTTCTGACAAAAATAGGTCTCCCTCCTCTACACGACAGGGCACCCCCACTGTATTAGTCCATTTTCACGCTGCTGATAAAGACATACTGGAGACTGGGTAATTTATAAAGAAAAAGAGGTTTAATGGACTCACAGTTCCACGTGGCTGGAGAGGCCTCACAATCATGGTGGAAGACAAAAGATACGTCTTACATGGCGACAGACAAGGGAGAATGAAAGCCAAGCAAAAGGGAAACCCCTTATAAAACCATCAGATCTCGTGAGACTTATGCACCACCACGAGAACAGTATGTGGGAAACCGCCCCATGATTCAATGATCTCCCACAACACCTAGGAATTATGGGAGCTACAATTCAAGATGAGATTTGGTTGGAGACACAGCCAAACCATATCCTACTTATTTTCCTATCCTGCATTATTGAGTCCTGGGGAGACCACTCCATGAAGCAAGTTATCCCCCACCCTGGTTCAATTCTGCCAGTCCTGCTAGTGATCCATAACTCATGATCCATAACCCCGGCTGGCTTCTGCTGGCCAGTCACTGGTCCCACAGCACCCTAAAGAAAGATTCCCACGTCACCCCCATGTGACCAAACTGCACCTTCTCACCCAGCACTGAGAATTGCCATCTTTGGGGACAAGCATCCTCGTTCTACTTGCCCTCAATTCCAATGCCTGTGGCTGGAAGCTATTAACAGAGTTCCCTACTCGTCTGATTATCTAGAAAAATTTTCTTCCACTTGCTATAGGGAAAAACGAGGGATGTGCGTACATTTTTGAAAACAGAAAGTGAGAAATCAAAAACCTGAGAGAGTGGCATTAAACAGGCACATTTTTCTTCTACTTGATTCTAACCCAAACCTTCCCCTGGCATGACTGGACAGTCCCTTCTTTAGGTACTCATATCTTTATTCGTAAAATCTTGCTTGTGGGCCTTAGCAACTTTCCCATGGCCCAGAACCACCCACCAAAGGACACAAAAATATTAATTAGGAAGAATACCCACATATTCCAAAAAAATATTATCACAACAAAAGTGTCTCCAGAACTCTAGGGAATGAAGAAACATCACAGAAAAAAAAATGAATGTTAACAAATCTCTGCCCACCCTCCCAAGCTCTCATCAAGATTCTTCTGATTTTCAAATGTACAAAATTTTAATGGGTTGCATTTAACTGGATGTGGATTCAATAAGCATCTGAAATCTGTACTAGTTTAATTCACAGTTCCTAGAGCAACTGGGGGAATTTGTAACCCTATCAGGAAGAGAAAAGAAGTCTACACCCGCAGGATAATCTCATACTGACATCTCTCAACTTCAGAAACCTTATCAATATTAATATTTCCCTCATGTTTTTGCCCCACAGAAACGAACAAAAAGAACTTACCTAATGCCAAAGTGAATGAATAAAAATCGTGAGAAAAGGCTCTAAGAAAACAAAATCTCTTTTCTCAAAATAATCCAAACCTGAATGATATTCATATCACTGCTATAGTTCTAGAGGAAAAATGACGCACATAACTTTGAAACTCACTTGAAAAGAACCCAAAGGCTGATCCTAATCAGTTTCCACTTCTACTATCTGAAGGGAAAACAGAATAGATTTTTTTAAATTATGTGTTAATTTTTGAGAGTGGAGGGACTTCCTTTTGTTTTCTTAAACATTTAGGATATCTACGATGATTATTAAAATTAGGTTTAACCAAACTTGCCTGACTACATTTCACCTGTACGAAGCAAAAATACAAAGAAACGCTTGATTTCCCAATTTCACAGGCTATTAAAATCACAGTATGCAATTGCGTGGCCTATAAAT
The DNA here is from genome assembly GCF_000001405.40 of Homo sapiens. NCBI lineage: Eukaryota > Metazoa > Chordata > Mammalia > Primates > Hominidae > Homo > Homo sapiens. The sequence goes on from NC_000014.9 coordinate 89,279,840, forward strand.
CAGCACTAAAAATGTGATGACATCTCTGACAAGGGTTTGAGCTACTACGGAAACCTGAAGATACATGTCTCTCTTCTTAACCATACTTATCTCCTACTCCTTCACACACAGGGCCGGCCCTCAGCCTCTACTTCTAAGGGAAAGAGGCTAAACAGCTCTCAACCAATCAATAGACACTAAAATCCCTCACCATAAGCCCAGTGTAGTTCAAAAGCTCTTAGCACAGCCAAACTCATCCACATTTGGCCAGCAGGGCCTGTCTGACTCCTAGCCAATCAACAGAAGTAGGAGGGATAGAAAGCTCGAAGGCCCCGGGAACCACTCAATTCCATTTTATTTACAGAACAGATATCCAAAATAGCGATAACCCCAAAGTAATTTCTAAAAGGATTAAAAATGAACCTCTTTGCTATTTTTTAAATCATTTATTCCTCCTTAACTTTGGCCATTTCAAAAGGAACTTAATGGCAAAAGTAGAGGTGAAAGGTCATTGGAATTCCATGAGCACACCGCCTAGGGACTAGGACAAGGCAGCTGAGTTGAGCTGGACAACAGCAAGGGTGTCCCCTGTAGGTGACACTTGTGGGGACCAATGTAGGGTGACTGGACTCCGAACCTCAGAACAAACCACGGCCAACCTTCCAGGTACATGTAGATGTTGGGCAACAGTAAGAAATGCATGCACCTCCATGATGATACAAGTGCCAGAATAACCAAACCCTCCTTTTTCAGCTCAAGTTTTTGAAACATGTAAAGGGGTTTGCTTTTATCAGCCTAGTTTATGTTTCTGTCGCATTCTAATTACCATGTAATTCCAACATCACCAAAGCAAGCCGAACACTTCCAGAATATGAACAGTGACGGCGGGCCAAAGAAGCAGTCCTTAGAGGCCTGGTTTCAGACTCATGATTCACAGCGACCGAGAAGCTTGAGTAGGAACAAATAAAGAGAACTGGACAAATAGTCCCCACCCACAACAGTCACACTTCTCCAGAAAGCGGCCACTCCTAAACGGGACAGAACTGTCCTATTTGACACCAAGCACAAAGGAGTGATGAAAGGCGGGTGGGTGAGGGGGAGGGAGAGGAAGGGGTGTTACTAGGGACCTACCTTGGAGAAGGGCTCCATTTCTCTTGAAGAAGGTACTGCCCGGCCAGATGGGTGGACCTGATGTGCTGAAAGAGAAAAGAAACTAGCATAAGGCCAAGTTCATCTGCACTCACACACCTGCAACCCCTTCCCACACTTCCCTCAAAACATTTCCCCAAGTATGCATTACTGACACCCTTTGAAAATGCATCCTCGAAAACCATGAGGTCTGCTTTATTGTAAACAGGCTTCATATTTCACAGTGCAGAACCTATCTGTGTGAGTATTCTGCTTATCATCTTGACCCTGCTCACACCTGGGCACTGGAATGACCGACAGATACACAAAATGGCAAATTCACATGGTTTAACGGCATAGCGTATAACTTAAGGATATTTGCTAACCTATTCATAATTTCATGAATGTATGTGGCAAAGAAGTCCTAATCATGTTTTCTGAGACCAAGCGGGTTTTCCAACACTTCCTGGTGCCACCTGCCTGCTACAAATGCAAACTTGTCATTCTTGGCATTTCTACCACTAAATCCTTAATATATGGAGATGACCTTAATCGATTTCCTCCTTCCCCCTCTTCTCGTTTCGTATCCTGTTTTCAATTTTTTGGCTTAAAATGTTGCACTCCATACCCTATAAAACATTTTGCAGATATGTTACCACCCACAGTGTGGTAACAGGAGAGGCAAGAAAATAGGAGAGATCAATATATCACAAAGACACTTACCGCATTCATAGATGAGCATTTTCACTGTTTTAAGACAGCCAGTAGAAAACTTTATAACCAAGCCAGCCTTAGTAAAATGTCCTTAGAGTGGAAAGTAGGTTATATTCTAAATCAAGGATTGGTTTAGATTAATGTTAGAAAGTACTTAGTCAAAAATGTTACTACATCCAGCCCAAGAGGCAGTATAAATTACTCTCATCAAAATAGTACATGACAAATTATATTGGTTAATGCATTATCAATCACCTTCAATATGAGAAAAATAGGTTCGAGTAATGCATTTGTAAGTTTGGCAGAAACACACACGCACACACACAGAAGAATCTGAAGGGCTATACGGTGAATGCTTCACCATTAAACCAGGGTCTCTAGTTATCTAGGACAGCAATACTGTTAGCAAGCAGAAATGCCAATGACACATTCTGCCCACTGGAATTTCATTACCAGAGGTACAAATAGTATGGCAGGTATAGGGACACATTACATGATTGAGGAGGAGTAGGAGGGAAGAAGAAATGAGCTACAGCACAAAAATGCTATCCCACATCAAAATCATGTCAAATGTGCTAGAAAATACATACTATAAACCTTGATGTTAATGAACCTTTTGTTTTATTTTGTTTTGGATCCACTATACTAAAATTAAATGAGCATCACGCATCTCAGCCATGGTATTTCCCACAGCCCTGATTCTCAGCCAGGTAGTTGTGACCACAGAGTGGCCAGGAGCTTCACAGGGTAACAGCAGACCGGACTGGAGTCTCAGGATGATGACACCAGCTGATTGCTCTTCGATTGGATTCTGATCTTACTGTTTCGGGGCACTTAAGGCTCAAAGTTGCATGAAGAATAATGTGCATTAAAATACTTAAGATTATCTTTTAACAATCCCAGCAAGCTCTCAGGATTTTACCATCTAATTTTTATAACAAAGCAGGGAACAGCAAGCTGGCTGTTGCCAATACAGAATCACCTGATTTATAAAGATATTTTAAAACTGAGGACTTCATTATAGCAGAGTTGGTGTTTCTAGAGAATTCAATAATTGAGTATTACTGCAGGAGCCTGAATATCCAGCTTACTTCCATCCAAACCTCTTCTTTATCCTGAGCTTGATTTGGCTGAAAACTGAGTAGACATCAGGGATGGAGCACTATGGGGAATGAAGGTCGGATAAATCCAGTGGTTTAGATAAGGAAAATTCTCTGTATGATAAAGATTCTTACAACATACCTAAAGATTCTTACAACATCCTTTTAATGTACTTAAATCACTGATCACCACTGTTCTATGGTCAATCTGTGGTGCTGTGGAACTTATCTGTACTCTAGTAGTGGAGAGAGACTTGGACTGGCCACCACCTTCTCTTTCCTGGCCCCTGTTGTAATTGATGAATTCACAAGTGGTCTCTTTCCAGCTCAGGGTAAGTCAGCTCCTGCCATGCTAACTGCAAAGTTTTCAAGCTCCCTGGCCCATATCTACACGCTTCTTTTGGAGGGTTCCTCAAAATGACATCTTCTAACTGTTAGAAGATCCGAGGATTTATTAAACTCCTGCTGAGAATTGTGCTTGGTGTTGAGAAAGACTTGAGGGGAAAATTTAAAACCCTATTTTATGACCTCTAAGAACCTGCTGTCATACTTACCTGGCTCCAAACTCCTCTGACTCTATCTAATGAGACCAGCAATGCCTATAGACAGACTCATGGTTATGCCTCCAGTGGCTGCAGGTTGGGAAGGCAACAAGCTTGATTTTTTCCCCCCTCCATCTGGAGATGTCCCTGGATGATTGGCCTTTAAAGCTTAAAGTTGGTTAAAACCACACATAGTACATGAAATTACTTAGAAGTGTCTATTAACCACAGTAATTCAGAGATGAAACCAGTGACAGAAGTCTTTGTGGGAGGAGTTGCAAACCACCCATCCTCAGGCAGCTCAAAAGCGGGGAGGGTGGGAGTGGCGGGTGAAGGGGAAGAATGGGGTGCGCTCCATACCCAGCCATGTAAATATCACTGCCATGAGAAATGACCATGGGGGCCCCTTGTTAACCCTGAGTGGGTTTTAATCACCTTAAAATGGTGTTTGCATTACATGACCCTAGGATCAAGTTACCATTTACTGAGCATAGTAATCAACCCTTTTCCATGGAATCCTCTAATTCTGCAGGGTGAGCAGGGCAGAAATCACCTTCCTGTTTTTTGGGGGGTTTTTTGACAGAGTCTCGCTCTGTAGCCCAGGCTGGAGTGCAGTGGTGCGATCTCAGCTCACTGCAACCTCCACCTGCCAGGTTCAAGCAATTCTCCTGCCTCAGCCTCCTGGGTAGCTGGGATTACAGGCACCTGCCAGCAAGCCCGGCTAATTTTTGTATTTTTAGGAGAGACAGGGTTTCACCAACTGATTTCAGTGGCCAGGTTGGTCTCGAACTCCTGACCTCAAGCGATCCACTCGCCTTGGCCTCCCAAAGTGCTGGGATTGCAGGGGTGAGCCACCATGCCTGACCCATCCATTTTTTTTTTTAATTTTTTTAAATTGAGACGAAGTCTTGCTCTGTTGCTGAGGCTGGTCTCAAACTCCTAGCCTCCAGTGATCCCCTTGCCTCATCCTCCCAAAGCACTGGTGGTGTGAGGTACCATGCCCGGCCACCTTCCCCGTTCTATAGGGAGACAGACAGAGGTCCTGAGAGGTGAAAGGACTTGCCCAAGACACTGCATGACAAGTTAGTGATCAACCCAAGAAGGACTAGGGCTTGCCCACTGTACCATAGAGACACACGCATCAACAGCTCCAATTTCATTTCTGATCTTCCAGCTTTCCTCTTCTGCTCTTCCAGCACTAAACTCTTAGTCATCCTTCCCTGTGGAAGAAGGCTGTGAATGGTATTTTGCTAGGACTCTCTCCAAGGCAAAGTCCCAGGCTAGAAAAAGCAATCAGACTAACCATATGTGAAAGACACGCGGGCTCCTATTAGCAGAAACAATACAACGCCAGTGCCACAAATGTCTCATTTCAATAATATGCTAGCAAAAATCCCATGACCTTCAGCAGTATAAGCCAGACCAACTTTGTAACAAAGAAAGCAGACCAACAGGTTAAGAGGACCTTGCCGGCCAGCAAGGTGGAGTGCGACCTGGCATTTGAGAACATTGATCCAGCTGATCGTTAAGAGCAGCGCTGAGCCTGCAAATCCCAAGAGGTGAGTGATACCATCCTGAACAGCATACCCGGCGGCTGCCAGAGACTCAGCCCTCAGTAATTCCCGGATCCCACACTCTGAGCTGCACTACCTCCAGCTCCCAAGGGGATATCCTGAGTCAACAGGTCGGACAGCCTGAGGGTGGCTCTTAGCAAGATGACGTGATCCATCATGTGTTCTCTATACCCAGGAACCTTAACCATTGTGAGAACCACCTGGATTATAAACCAAGACCCTGGAAGGTTCCGCCAAGACACACACCTGTATTCACCAGCTGAACTTTCTGTGGATCTCAATGAGAAATAAATTAAGAAAAGGACTGTTTTCTAAGATCTCACCTGCCAAATGTGAACTAGGACCTACAAAAGAGAGAAGTGGGCCAGGCATCGTGGCTCACGCCTGTAATCCCAGCACTTTGGGAGGCCAAGGTGGGCAGATCACAAGGTCAGGAGTTCGAGACCAGCCTGACCAACAGGGTGAAACCCCGTCTCCACTAAAAATACAAAAATTAGCCAGGCATGGTGGCGCATGCCTGTAATCCCAGCTACTCAGGAGGCTAAGGTAGGAGAATTGTTTGAACCCAGGAGGCGGAGGTTGCAGTGAGCCGAGATCACGCCACTGCACTCCAGCCTGAGTGACAGAGCAAGACTCCGTCTCAAAACAAAAAAAAAAAAAGAGAGAGAGAAGAAGATGCTACAACATGGATGAACCTTGAAAGCAAGCTAAGTGAAATAAGCCAGAATAAATAAAACAGATACTGTCTGATTCCACATAGAAGAGGTATCTAGAGTAGACAAATTCACAGAGACAGAAAATGGAATGACGGTTGCTAGAGGCTCATGGAAGGAGGAGTAGGGAGTTTAATCGGTACAGAGGTTCAGTTTTACAAGACGAAAAGAGTTCCGGAGGTTGGTTGTACAACAATGTAAATGCACTTAACACTACAGAACTGCATACTTACAAAATAGTTAAGATGGTAAATTATATGTATTTTACCAAAAATTTTTTTTTTTTTTTTTTTTGACAACAGGGTCTTGCTCTGTCACACAGGCTGGAGTGTCGTGGCACAATCTCAGCTCACCGCAGCCTCCAGCTCCTGGACTCAAGCAATCCTCCTGCCTCAGCCCTCAGAGTAGCTGGGACTACAGGCACACACCACTATGCCTGGCTAAGTTTTTTTTGTTGTTGTTTGTAGGACAGGGTCTCACTATGTTGCTCAGGCTGATCCCAAACACCTGGGATCAAGTGATCTGCCCACTTCAACATAAATAATTTTTGTTAATGTATAAAACAAGAGAGGAGTAGGGAGGGGAGGAGGGAGAGGAGTAGGGAGGGAAGAAGGGAGGGGGAGGAAGAAGAAAGAACAGAGAGATTGAGATGATAAGAAGGACTCTGAAGAAATGAATGAAAGCCTAAAGTGCTTGGGGCGGGAAGAAAGGAAGAATATCTGAATGTCCCCCATGGTCAGCTTTCTGCCAGAATGGTCCACAGCACACGACAAAGCAGAAAGCCCAAACCAACGGGGATGGGGTGGGGGGAAAAAGTGGGTGTAGCAAGACCAGCCCACCCTGATTTAGCACTCATGGAGGCCAGAGCTTACCCACTACTCTTAAGCAACCGAGCACAGAGTCCTATCATACTCTTAGCGCTGGAGATGGACTGTGATGGCAATCCCTTCGGATGGGTGACATCTACCACCAGACTGCAATTTCCCCAGGAATAAAACAGTCAACGCAGTTGTAACAAAGGGAGAATCACCCACCACAAAAAATCCTTGAAATTCCATTGTTTTGCCTTATAACTGGGGATTAATCACCAGGAAATAATAGAAAACCAAATGTGACCTACGCCACAATGTAACAGGGGCTCTCTGAGTGAAGGATGTCACTCGCTGGCATTTGGAACACGGCAACCAGAGCAGGCTGGACAGAGACGTGTGTGGGAAGCTTCACAAAATACCACTCACCGTTTGAGAAGCATCACTAAGAACACAGATGAAAGTTCAGATTCTCGGGGACACTCTTGACACTTTTCTAACCTTCCAAAGAAGCTTGAGTGTCCCGGCAATTAAAAGGGATCTCTGTGGCCACAGGGTCCAATCCAGGGTGAAGTGGAGAGACCGTGGGATTTGGACTCAGAAATTTTGTTTAAAACACAGACTGAAAGTCTTTTAACTTGTCAAAGTCTCAATTCCATGCCTGCAAGCCGGGGGCAATGTGTGAGAATAAAATGAGATGATGGGGGAAAAAAATTGCTTTCTAGACTGCAAAAATCCCAAAGGTGGTTTTTCTTTTAGTTGTTTTTGTTTTTGAGACAGAGTCTTGCTCTGTCGTTCAGACTGGAGTGCAGTGGTGTGATCTGGGCTCACTTCAACCTCTGCCTCCCGGGTTCAAGCAATTCTCCTGCCTTAGCCTCCCGAGTAGCTGTGATTACAGGCATGCACCACCATGCCTGGCTACTTTTTGTAATTTTAGTAGAGACACAGTTTCGCCATTGGCCAGGCTTGTCTCGAACTCCTGACCTCAAGTGATCCTCCTGCCTTGGCCTCCCAGAGTGCTGGGATTACAGGTGTGAGCCACGCCCAGCCCCAGTGGTAGTCTTGATTGCAAGCAAACCCCAGTTCAGAGTTAACTGACACACTCAAGGCCACACAGCAACATTGTGGCCATTGTCAGGTGGGCACCAGCACTTCCTCCTAGACATCCTTAACTCTCCCAACTTGGCCCGTTTTTCCATTCCTGTGACAGATGAGGTAACTGCACTTTTCCTTTTTTCTTTAAGGATTCTTGGAGATGTTCTAATTGCAAATATTTCTCAGTCTAAAGTAGCAACACTTACTAAATATCCAAGAAGCAACTTCACAGATGTCACTTACTCTAAAGAATGCTAAAAAAAAAAAAAAAAAAAAAAAGTAACTGTTGGCTCACCCCTGTAACCTCAGCACTTTGGGAGGTCTAGGCAGGAAGATCACTTGAGCCCAGGAGTTTGAGACCAGCCTGGGAAACGTTAAAAATAAAACATTTTTTTATTCTACAAAAAATAAACAAAATCAGCCCAGTGTGGTGGCATGTGCCTGTGGTCTCAGCTACTCAGGAGGCTGAGGTGGGTGGATCGCTTGAGCCCAGGAGCTCCAAAGCTGCAGTGAGCCTTGATCACACCACTGCACTCCAGCCTGGGCAACAGAGCAAGACCCTGTCTCAAAAAAAAATATATATATATATAGCTCCATGCAGAATCCTGCAAAGATCCAAAATGGGCACGCGATCAAGAGACAGAAAGAGACCAGGTAGAAACCTACCAAGAGTGGCCCATTTCAGAGGATGACAATTGCTGAGGAGGCATGACTGAAGTGATCAGACCACAACCAACCAGGCCCACCAACACTATAACTGAGTGTGTGGCAAGATTACTCAGAGGGCAATGCACCAATCAAGATAAGAAATGGAATTGCTCTGTAAACTTAGCCAAATGTTGACACTGGAGACTCAACTGATTTCAAAGGTATCAGCCTGCACATAGTTCTTGTATGCCCAATACCACCAGGACCCATGAGAATCTGACAGGTGGCAGCTGCTCTGGCACCATATCTATCGAGCTATTTTATTTTACTTTTAAACAATTATCATTTTACTTTATTTCAGAATAAGTTTACAGTTGAAAAATGATGTTTACTATCAACATTATACGAACAAAACTTTTATAGCAAAACCTTGGTATGTGAGCATTAATAATCCAAATACTACACAGATATAGAAGATATTTTAAAAATGGAAACGACATACTCCAAAGGCTGTAATAGGCACTCTCTTTCTCTCTCTCTCTCTCTCTCTCTCTCTCTCTCTCTCTCTCTCTCTCTCTCTCTCTATATATATATATATATATATATATATATATATATATATATATATGCTTGCACTGGGTCCGTAAGCATTATACTATAATTCATTAAATGTCATCCAAGAAGTTGCAGATTTTTCAACACTACGTACTGAAAAGATACAAAGGACTATCATAATTTCTCTTAACATTGAAAAAAACATGGGGCCGGGTGTGGTGGCTCACACCTGTAATCCCAGTTGGGAGGCGCAAGTGGGCGGATCCCTTGAGGCCAGGAGTTCGAGACCAGCCTGACCAACATGGCGAAATCCTGTCTGTACTAAAAATACAAAAATTTGTTGGGCATGGTGGTGGGCGCCTATAACCCTAGCTACTCAGGAGGCTTAGGCACAAGAATCGCTTGAACCCAGGAGGCAGAGGTTGCAGTGGGACGAGATCATGCCACTGTACTCCAGCCTGGGTGACAGAGTGAAATTCTGTCTCAAAAAAAAAAAAAAAAGAAAAGAAAAAGAAAAGAAAAGAAAAAGCATGTATTAGCAAGACTACAAAATCAGAGCAGAAAGCCAAACTAACAAATAATTCCTTAGGCTTTAGGAGAAGTAATACATCCATGGCTTTTCTCATGTTCATTTTTGCGACTGGTTAGCAAGTCTGGCAGGCAGAAAAGAAAAAATTAGACTATAATAAAACATTAAAGACACCATTTAGAAGACATCTGACATTTAACATGTTCAAAATTGGAAAACAGACACTGAGCTTGATTTTTGGGCAACACTGCGAGGTACTACATAGCAAAAGCACTGTTTCCTCCCATCAATCTGTTGACACAAAAATCTCTTATGCAGAAAAGTAAGTTTTCAAATGACACGGTAGAAATACATATAAGATGAATAATTCAAATTTATACTTTTGGTTTTTAGTAACTATAAAGAATATAGGTCTTTCAAGGACAAAGAACCTGAATTTGGTCCTTAATATGAAATGTTCTTACATCTTTTAAAAGCGTGGGCGGAAATACGTACTCCTGCTGACAGCATATCCACACTGCCAAAGGTGAACATGTGCTCACGATAAGAAAAAAACTGTACATTTCTCAGGGCACATTACTACTACATCATATTGAAATTGTCTAAAAGATAAAAATGTACATCTTAGTTTATTTTTCAACAAGCAATTGAACATACGTGGAAAATTGAATCATGCAGTATTTTTACCTATCAGTTACTATGTTTGTGATATGAGGGGAACAGACTTCTTTTTTTTCCCTTTAAATCCATAATGTTCACAAGTCACCACGTGGAACTAAAATCGCACACACACAGGCAAATCATGAAGAAATGTTAAGTACTTCAAAATGCCCACAAAGTCGTGCCAGAAACGATGCTGTGTCTATAGCACAGAATTGTCGGAGGCCAAAACTAAAGTGGAAGGTGCTTCTGCAACTTCCAGTTCTTTACTGCTACTTTTTTATTTGTTTGATGGAGGGACTCAGGTGAGGGGGTTCACTGACCAACTTGGATCCATCCCATGCTGTCTTGAACTGCTCAGGGACAGGAAATTCTCTGTCATTACCACCCTGACGAATAAGTATATTCATTTTGGATGATATGATGCTCACAATCTCACAGTCTAATGCATCTTCCCCGAGTTAGGTATGTGTGGCAACCTTCTGTCTTATTAGTGGAAATTGCTGGTACTCTCCCCATTACCTGGATTTGAATGTACTTGGAGTTGGTCATTTCCCCAATGCCCACCAAACTGTCAAAGACCAGACCAAACTTCTTACAGTTTTCCACTGGAATGGAGTTTACTTTCCCTTTCATCGGGAGAGCTGATTTTTCACAATTGAAAATGTAAGCCACTTGTTTCAGCTCAGTCTCTGAAATCACAAGGTCATTCCTGTCTTCTTGGTACTCTGCTCTCCATTTACTTCCTTCCAACTTGAACACGGGTGCATGTTGCTGGGAAGGATGAGGTTTGGGAGATGTGGGACTTGGAATGTAGCTTCTGTGGGGAGACGTACTTTGCCCTCCGTGAGCCTGCAGGCTGGGATTCTTATATAGGCCTTCTGGTCATCAGTGATGTGCCAGAGCCCTGGTTCTGCAGGGTTAGGCTTCTCCCTGGTTAAACCGGGCAAATAAAGCTGAGCATGAAGGAGAGGACTTTTCTTTTGTGTCTTCATTCTCAAAAAGTGGAGGGGCCCTGGAGGAGGTGAGGAGGATGTGGAGAAAGGTCAGGCCCTCAGGAGAGAACAGAAAGCGCTGATGTGGGTGCTGCGGACCTGTTCTGCTCCACGTGAGGCCCGTGGTGTGGTGCTCCTTGACTCATGCTTGAAACTCACTCCAAATGTTCACATATGACCTCACCCAATCCACACGGTGTAAATCATGTTTGTAGCCCTTTAAGACCCTGTTAGTGTAAAAGGTGGCAGCATCACACATCTCGTTGACGTAAGTACCCAAGTTGGGGGGCACAGTTATGCAGCCAAGGGCAGGGAGGCTTTTGCTGACATCCGAGAGATGACTAAACATGTTACTCCCTCGGTTTCTCTCTTTGAAGGTTTGGACTTCTGAATCTTTTCTGATTTGGGTTTCAGAAATGCAGCCACGCATTCTCTCGGGGTTGTTGGTCATGAGATGCCATCAGAAGGAAAGCCCTGTAACACCCTTTCTGCATAAGTCTCCATGTCACCAGCAAGGATGCTACTGTTCTTTAAAAACTTGGCCACCATGCTGTTCATCAGCTTATCAAAGGCTTCCACGGAGGGTGCCACACCTCCACAGACACTCTTGCTTACCCCGCCATCCCCAGGGGGCCTGTGGGACTCTGCAGACAGCGACTCCAGGCAGCTGACAGCCCACTCCAGTCTTTCCAGCAGTCCCTACATGTCTGCCATTCTGCTTTGCTGCCCTGGGGTCCTGTCTTTGGCAATGCAAATCTGTGGCCGGCCACTCATGCTCTCTTCCTGTGGCCCTTATTGTGTTGTTTTAAATATACTGAAGTTTCATCACATTCCCCAAAGCCTGCCATTCAGTTGGGACTTCATTCCTTGAACGTGTTTGCGAACTGCGATTGACCTACGGCCGGATTTCTTAACCTCAGCATTACTGACATTCTGGATTGGATAATTCTTGTCCTGGGATGCTACACTGTGGATGGTAAGATGCTCAGCAGTCTTCCTGGCCTCCCACTAGACACCAGTGACACCCACCTCATCAGCTGTGACAACCAAAAATGTTTCCAGTTATTGCTGTGTGTCCACTGGGGAATAAAACTGCTCCCAAATGAGAACCCAGGAACACTGGCCCCAATCTCTCCACTCATCAAGTCCCAAACCTCCCGCTCCATCTTTCGGCAGGCACCGTCACCTCCTCTTTTCTAAACGAAGGACATGCCCTTCCTTCCACCTCCGTTCGCTGGCTCCATTATTTCTGCCTGCGCGTGCATCTTCTTACTTGCCAAAGTAACATCTCTATTACCCTTCTTTTCCTCTGGAATCTTTCCTCCCTCCACTACCCCTTGTCTCCACTTACCTCCCCCTTCCCAGGACTGATGATTTCTTATCTTAGCCATCGCCACACATAAACTGGTGTCCAAGTCCTCCTTTTGGCTCCCATTATTCTTTCCTGCACTCACAAATCCCAAGAGCTGGCACCGACAGCGCAGCTTCCACTCCCCCATGTCACCACCACAACCTCTTCCTGCCAGGGGTCACCTGGGTCCCCCAGTTCCCCAGGTGCTATGGTTTGCATGTGTCCCTCCAAAATTCAGGTGTTGCCAAGGTGATAGTGTTAAGAGGTAGGGCCTTTAAAAGGTGATTAGGCCAGGAGGGCTCCTTCCTCATGAACGGGATTAGATGACCATATAAAGGGGCTTAAAGGAGGGAGCCACCCCCCTTTTCTGCCTTCTGCCATGTGAAGACACAGTGCTCCTCTCCTCTGGAGGGTACAGCGTTCAAGGCCCCATTTTGCAAGCAGCCCTCACCAGACAATGAACCTACCACAGCCTTGATCTTGGACTTCCCAGCCTCCAGCATAGCGAGAGATCTATTGTTTGTAAATTACCCAGTTTGTGACAGCAGCACAAACAGACTAAGACGAGCGGTCACTGCCCTTGATGTCACTCCAGCCTCTCTCCCCTCTCCACCGCACGACCTCCCACATGCACTCACATGAGAAGCCTCTTTCTGGGTTACACAAACTTCCTGTTACTTTTGACAATACTCTTAAAAATCCTTTCCACCTTTAGCTACAAAACACCCTCCTGGCCTGGGTTCGGCTCCTCCCACTCTTCTTGCCGGACAGTCGGCTAGCTCTCTGTCCATGCTCGGCCCCACCATCAGAGCATTCCTAGAGTTCTAGCCCTCTCCTCTTTTCTTCTCATGCTCTTTTCCTAGGAGAGTTTGTGGAAAGGTTGGGTTTGCCACTTCCCCACTGCCAGCTGATTCTGTTTCCAGATGCTGGAGGGTATCTCCAGCGGGCTCTGCACAGAGCAGCTTTCAGCTGCCCCTAGCTCCCACATCCGCTCAAACCAGAAGGCAGCTTCCCCCCTCTGCCTTGCTTGCCAGTTCCCAGGGCACGCTCTCCATGCTGCCCAGGGTTTATCAGTGTCTATTCGTTTGCTGGGGCTGCCATAACCAAGTGCCACAGACTGGGGGGTTTAAGCAACAGAAATTCCTCCTCTCACAGTCCTGGAGGGCAGAAGTCCAAGATCAAGGGGTCACAGGGCTGGTTCCTTCAGCAGGCTGTGGGGGAGAATCTGTTCCTGGCCTCCCTCGCAGCTGCTGGTGTTTGCTGGTGTTCTCTGGCTTGCAAGAGCATTGCCCTGCCTTCATCTTTACACAGCATTCCCCCATGTGTACAGCTGGCTTCAAATTCCCACCTTTTCTAAGGACAACGTCATGTTGAGTCGAGGGTGCACCCCACTCCAGTGTGACCTCATCTTAACTAATGACATCCTGCAAGGACCTTATTGGAAATATGGGCACATTGGAAGTAAGGGCACATTCTGAGGAACTGGGAGTTAGGACATCAACATATGAATGGAGCGGCGGTTGGGGGTAGGGGGAGAGAAGCACAATTCACCCCAGACAGTGGCTATTTCCCTTCCACATGCAGTCTCTCCAGGCTATACCAAGACACCTGTGGCTGTCTTTTCCTGAATCCCTAATACCTACTGCTGTGCTTGGAACCTGGCTGCCACAAATGTCTGTTGAGGGAAGTAAAGTTTATCCTTTAATTCAGCATTCCGCAAAGAACAAAACAGAAGAAAACAACGGACCCAGCCTTTGGTAATCACCTGGCAAATGCTCTAGTTCAAAATTCTGGAGGCTCTGACACCTTCCTCAGCTACGTCCCTGCCTCCAGTCCCCATTGGGGCCCACCCGTTCTTCCCAAGGGCTCCTGCACTTTCCTTTCCTTTCTGTTTCTACTCCCAGGCCTGGGGTCAGCTCAAGTTAAGATGTCCTCTCCTGAATCCTAATAGGCCTCCCTGTCTCCAGCCTCTCTCCCCACAGCAGGCCGCCCTGCCTGACACCTCAGCAGCATTCTCAAAGCACAATATCTTCAGGCACAGTCCCCAGGGCTTGCCAACGTGGAGAGGTGCCCAGAGTGCTATCAGGGGTGGGGGAATGGTATCACCAGAGCTGCCCAATGTCAACAAAGCCTCTCATTTTTCATGTGTCTCATACACCGACTCTCCATGTGCGTCTTCATTCGAAGAGTTTGGTGGCTACAGAAGTGTGAATGTGCCAGAGGCGTCTGAACCACAGCAACTCCATCATGAATAGGGGCTGGGTAAAATGAGGCTGAGACCTACTGGGCTGCCTACCCAGATGGTGAAGGCATTCTAAGTCACAGGATGAGACAGGAGGTCGGCACAAGATGCAGGTCACAAAGACCTTGCGGATAAAACAGATTGCATTAAAGCCAGCTGAAACCCACCGAACCAAGATGGCAATGAGAGTGACCTCTGGTGGTCCTCACTGCTACACTCCCACAGCACCATGACAGTTTACAAATGCCATGCCAACATCAGGAAGTTACCCTATATGGTCTAAAAAGGGGAGGCATGAATAATCCACCCCTTGTTTAGCATATCATCAAGAAATAACCATAAAAATGGGCAGCCAGCAGCCCTCCGGACTGCTCTATATATGAAGTAGCCATCATTTTGTTCCTTTACTTTATTAATCAAGTTGCTTTCACTTTACTCTATGGAATCGCCCTGAATTCTTTCTTGTTTGAGATCCAAGAGCCTCCTCTTGGAGTCAGGATCGGGACCCCTTTCCTGTAACAAATGCTTACAGGGCAGGGTGAGAGCCAATCGGTGCTGGTACCCCTCAGAAGCCCTCCTGTTCCTTCCCAGCATGTCCTTCCTGCTTTCAATATGCCGCCTGGCACAGGTCTCCAGAACACCTGCACCCAGGAGGCTTTTTGGGCCCATCCCAGCCCAATCTCTCCCTCCGCTGCATGAAATGCCCTAGACCCATGTTCTCTTCACCTGTTACAGCCTATTCATCCTTTAATGTTCAACTCGAATCCCAGGTACCCAGGACACCTTATCTGGTCACTCTCACCCTACAACCTCTCCCTCCTCTGAATCCTTCTGGCAAATACCTTCTGTGCAGCTCATCTGGGAATTAATTGCACTCTGCAGTGTCTTCCCATTCTAACGCCTTATACCTTTAACCCACAGGTATGTGTGTCTCACCTTACCTTGGCAGACGTCACGTGAGCAGAGGCTAACAGTGACTCCTCTCTTAGAACCTGGCCAGGTTCACAGCACACGGAAGATGGTTGTCATTATTCTAAGTGATTCTGAAAAACAGCGGGAATGCTACCTGCACCTCCTACACAGAATTATCTCAAACACTAAGGATTTTTTTTTTCCTTTTTTTTGAGGCAGGGTCTCACTCTGTCACTCTGTCACCCAGGCTGGAGTGCAGTGGCACAATCGCAGCTCACTGCAGCCTCAAACTTGCAGGCTCAAGCAATACTCCCACCTCAGCCTCCTGAGTAGCTGGGACTACAGGTACATGCCACCATGCCTGGCTAATTTTTGCATTTTTTTTTTTTTTTTTTGTAGAGACTGGGTCTTGCTATGTTTCCCAGGCTGCTCTTGAACTCCTAGGCTCAAGAGCTCCTGCCTCAGCCTCCCAAAATACTGGGATTACAGGAGTGAGCCACCATGCCCGGCCAGGATTTTTAAAACATCTCTTATAAACATAATTAAATCTCTCACAAAGAAACTAGCCTATAGTAACACATCTTCTTCACTATCATCATCTCAAATAAAAACTCAAAAATATTTAAAAATTGAAAGAAAATTATAAATCTCATTCATAGTAAGTAATAGATTAGGTAATTTGGATTCCTCTTTTCTGTGATTTCTTGATTCCTTAGGAACAGATAAATAACTAGATAAATACATGCATATTTTTTATAATATGGGATGCATGTTTTGAGTATATACTGAAAAAACTCTGCTTAAAACCACGGCTACGATTTTACATGCATACAGCTTATGATACATCTCATGAACAGATGCAAAGGTGTTTATCATTATCTTTGTGCTACACAGTTTCTAATTTTACATATGAAAACCAAGGCATCATTCAGTATAAAGTACATTATTTGCATGATATATTTGCATTTGTAAAACACCCACATTTACTTTTACTGCTTAATGGGCCCTGATTTAAATGGGCCACTCTATATAAATGGAGCACACTGGTTCTCCACTCAATGGTGTTGATAAGAAAACTACTCCTTTTAGATGCAAATGAGCCTACTAATCACAATTAGAATGGTGGAGTTAAGGGAGGCAGAGCAGCTGGGCCAAGAGCTCCCAGTCTAGTAGGGCCAGTTTGGTTCTAGCTTCATCTCTGAAGCAGCAACTTGGGACTTCCCCAGAGGACATCTGCCCAGGGGCCCCAGGGATAAACTCAACATTTCTCAACCGAGTCTCGCTCTGTCGTCTAGGCTGGAGCGCAATGGCACGATTTCAGCTCCCTGCAACCTCCACCTCCTGGGCTCAAGCGATTCTCCTGCCTCAGCCTCCTGAGTAGCTGGGATTACAGGTGCCTGCCACCATGCCTGGCTAATTTTTGTATTCTTTAGTAGAGGCGGGGTTTTGCCATATTGGTCAGACTGGTCTCGAACTCCTGACCTCAGGTCATCCACCCGCCTCGGCCTCCCAAAGTGCTGGGATTACAGATGTGAGCCACCGCATCCAGCCGAAACTCAACATTTCTGAAGGGGCTGGAGGAGAGGAGAAACAGCTTCAGAATTTGGGCCTGCTGTGCTAGTGTGGATCAATCTATCCATGGCCTTTGTTATCCCAAACCTGTCCAAAGTGCCAGATATTAAGCAATACTTTTCAAACATAAGTGGAATCATACGGAAGGAGAATAGCATTTGTAAAACTAACAAGAGGAAAGGCAAGTAAAGGGAAAAGCTAAGTAACTATATAAGACATTACCCAAACTAATGCCACGGAGGCGGCGCAAAAGACATCCCCTTAAAATGGTGCAGGCACTCTGAAAAAACAGTATGGCGGTTCCTAAAAAAATTAAACATAGGGGCCGGGCGCGGTGGCTCAGGCCTGTAATCCCAACACTTTGGGAAGCCGAGGCGGGCGGATCACAAGGTCAGGAGATCGAGACCATCCTGGCTAACACGGTGAAACCCTCTACTAAAAATACAAAAAAAATTAGCCGGGCGTGGTGGCGGGCGCCTGTAGTCCCAGCTACTCAGGAGGCTGAGGCGAGAGAATGGCGTGAAACTGGGAGGCGGAGCTTGCAGTGAGCCGAGATTGCGCCACTGCACTCCAGCCTGGGCAACAGAGCAAGACTCCCTTTCAAAAAAAAAAAAAAAAATTAAACATAGGAATGCCATCAAATCTAACAGTTCCGATTCTGGATATATACCCAAAACAACTGAAAGCAGGGATTTGAAGAGATACTCGTACACCCATGCTCATAGAAACATTATTCACATCTGGGTGCGATGGCTCACGCCTATAATCCCAGCATTTTGGGAGGCCAAGGCAGGAGAATTGCTTGAGGCTAGGAGTTCGAGACCAGCCAGGGCTACATAGCAAGACCCTGATTCTACAAAAAAAAAATTTTTTTTTAAGTCACCGGGTGTGGTGGCACACACCTGTAGTCCCAGCTACTTGGGAACCTGAGGCAGGAGGACGGCTTGAGCCCAGGAGTTCAAAGTTACAGTGAGCTATAATCATGCTACTGCACTCTGGCCTGGGTGACAGACAGAGAACATGTCTCTAAAAAAACAAAACAACAAGAAGAAAAGAGAAACATTATTCACAATAGCCAAGAGGTAGAAGCAACCTAACTGTCCCTCGATGGATGCATGGATAGACAAAACAAGAGAATAATATTCAGCCTTTAAAAGGAAGGAAACCCTCACATACGTTATAACATGAACCTTGAGGGCATTATGGTAAATGCAATAAGCCAGTCACAAAAAAGACAAACACTGTATGACTCCACTTTTATAAGGTATCTAGAGTCATTAAACTCATAGATAGAAAAAGAATGGTGGTTGCCAGGAACTAGGTGGAGGGGAACGGGGGGAGTGGTTGTTTAATGAGTACAGGGTTTCAGTCTTGGAAGATGAAAAAAATGATGATGGCAGTGCTGGCTGTACAACAGCTGAGCATCTTTAATGCCACTGAACTGTAAACTTTAAAAATGCCTGGATGGCGCCACTGCACTCCAGCCTGGGTGATAGAGGGAGACTCCGTCTATTTAAAAAAAAAAAAAAAAAAAAGGCTGGATAGTACATTTTATTTCATGTGTCTTTTACCACAATTTAATAAATAAATAACAGATAGACGACAGACAGACAAACAGACATTTCCTAATGGCTGGCCAGACAGTACATAAGGCAGGTGACACCTCTGCTGCTCCACTGCCAGGATCTAGAAATAAGGGCTGGTTTCCTCACTCTCTTTTCTCTCACTCATCCATTCACTGAATAAACATGTTTTTACATTGCTATGAGGACGCTGTGACAAAATAACCATCCTGTCCTCCAAGAGGCAGGGACATGGATGGCAAATTAGCTCAAGGATTCTGAGATGTACAGAGGAACCCCTGCAGCTGCCTTTGGATGTCTTGGTTACTACACCAAGAATAAAACCAGACACTAGAATCTTCTGGACAATGTTCCTCTTGTTGGGTAGAATACACTGACAGTCTCTTCTATGAGGCCCATGCCCATTCCTTGACCCTCATCTGAATCTTCTCTGAGCCCTAAAAGTGCTGCTGTGGGACTTCAATGCCAACTGTCCTGCCAGTTCTCCAGCTGCTTCCCTGGAAAAACTATAGATCCTCCAAAGGTGACATCCACCTTCTGGGTGCTCACACCCAGTATGTGCTCAATAAGTGCTGCTATTATCACAGCCTAGAAAGTAGCTGATATGGTTTGGCTGTGTCCCTACCCAAATCTCACCTTGAACTGTAATAATCCCCAAGTGTCAAGGGTGGGGCCAGGTGGAGAGATTTGAATCATGGGGGCGGTTTCCCCCATACTATTCTCAAGGTAGTGAATAAGTCTCACAAAATCCAATGGTTTTATAAATGGGAGTTCCCCTGCTCAAGCTGTCTTGCCTGCCACCATGTAAGACGTGATTGTGAGGCCTCACCAGCCATGTAGAACTGTGAGTCCATTAAACCTCTTTCCTTTACAAATTATCCAGTCTTGGATGTCTTTATCAGCAGCATGAGAACAGACTAATTCAGCAGCCCTTCAATATCTTCTCTTTGGTGCACTCCTGAGGAGCTGAAACCTGGAGGCTTTGCTCTATCCCATGGAATCTCTCCATCTCAGCCTCACTGATCCCCAAATACGGAAGCCAAGTCCCTCAAGGAGCAGCTTGCCTCAGAGATGGAGATGATAGAAGGTGGCCCGGGGATACCTTCTACACCTCCCACTTTGGCCGTGCTGACCCCAGAGAGGGACCAGGTGGCCAAGTCTGGACTGGAGGGACTCTGAGACTGAGGAAGCCCAGCCACTCCCTCCTTCCTTTGGCAACAGTTTCACGGAGGTCTTGACAATGGTACAAATGGCACCAGTGCAACAGGTGGAACCAGCTGAGGACTAGACAATGTTAGTATGGCCAGGGTGCTTGATCCAAAGACAGTGGCAAAAGCTTATCTAAAATCCCCTCCATCAAGAGCAAACACATGGTGAGTAAAAATATCATTTCAACTTGAACTGAATCGCAAGGAAGCAAGAAGGCTGGCCACACTTGCATCTTCTGTCCCAGCACAGCAGCATCATTTTGAGGTGGTGACCAACAACTACACACTGCCCATTATATAATGTGAGTAACACAATTCCCTCATTACTCCATGAACTGATACAACATTCAGCAGAAGTACCTCAATAATAAAGGCAAAAGTCACTATGACCTATTTATCTTTCAGGATTTCAAGCGAGATCAAGAAATGTACTTTTTTTTTTTTTTTTTTTTGAGATGGAGCCTCGCTCTGTCATCCAGGCTGGAGTGCAATGGCATGATCTTGGCTCATTGCAACCTCTACCTCCCAGGTTCAAGTGATTCTCCTGCCTCAGCCTCCCAAGTAGTTGGGATTACAGGCACCCGCCATCATGCCCAGATAATTTTTCTATTTGTATAGAGACAGGGTTTCACTATGTTGGCCAGGTTGGTCTCGAACTCCTGACCTCAGGTGATCCACCTGCCTCGGCCTCCCAGAGTGATGGGTTTACAGGCGTGAGCCACTGTGCCCAGCCAAGAAATGTATATGTTTTAATCCAAGTTTTTGACAGTCTGGCTCCCGGTACTTCCTATGATGCTGAAAACCAGTCACAGACAAGAAAATAACCTATTTGTGGAGAAATTGTGATTTCCCTTGATTATTCATTTCCTCCCTTTGACAGCTAGTCCCATCCCATAGTCCACCACGAAGATGAGAGACATAAACACTGATTTTGGAAAGCTGATGACATAGAAGGGACACCTCGATCTAAATGCTGTATCAGGAAGACCTAATCTGGGCACTCAATTGCTACAGTTGTATGTAATAGTGCAGATGTTTGTTTGTTCATTTGTTTATTTATTTATTTGAGATGGAGTCTCGCTCTGTTGCTCAGGCTGGAGTGCAGTGGCACAATCTCGGCTCACTGCAACCTCCGCCTCCAAGGTTCAAGCGATTCTCTTGCCTCAGCCTTCCACGTAGCTGGGATTATAGGTGCCTGTCCCCATGCCCGGCTAATTTTTTTGCTTTTTTTTTTAGTAGAGACGGGGTTTCACCATGTTGGCCAGGCTGGTTTCAAACTCTTGACCTCAAGTGATCTGCCTGGCTTGGCCTCACAAAGTGCTAGGATTACAGGCATGAGCCACTGCACCCAGCCTCAGATGTTTATTTTTTATAAAACATTTTTCCTATGGTTTATTACATCTATTTATGGTTGGCTTCAAAGTGACAAAGTGATTTTAAATTTCCAAAATGTAAGACATGCCTATAATCCTACCATTTTGGGAGACTGAGGCAGGAAGACTGCTTGAGCCCAGGAGTTTGAGACCAGCTTGGGTAACATAGGGAGATCCCATCTCTACAAAAGAAAAAAAAAAAAAATTAGCCAGGTGTGGTGGCACGCACCTGCAGTCCCAGCTACTCAGGAGGCTGAAATGGGAGGATCACTTGAACCCAGGAACTTGTGGCTGCCATGAGCCATGATCATGCCACTGCGCTCCAGACTGCGTGACAGAGTGATACCCCATCTTAAAAAAAAATGTGGTGGGGCTCGGTGGCTCACGCCTGTAATCCCAGCACTTTGGGAGGCCGAGGCAGATGGATCACGAGGTCAGGAGTTCAAGACCAGACTGGCCATCATGGTGAAAGCCCGTCTCTACTAAATATACAAAAATTACCTGGGTGCAGTGGCAGGCTCCTGTAATCCCAGCTGCTTGGGAGGCTGAGGTAGGAGAACTGCTTGAACCCGGGAGGCAGAGGTTGCAGTGGGCCGAGATCATGCCACTGCACTCCAGCCTGGGCTACAGAGTGAGACTCTGTCTCAAAATAAAAAAAAAATTCCAAAAAGTAATCTCTTCTGTCTCCCAAGGCAACAAAGTACTGTGATGGGCATCAGCGCCTTAACCATGTCTTTGTCCTGATACTTCCAACTGAGCAGAAAGGCCCGGCCCGACCTCAAAGGTACCCTGTCTACTCACTCCTTTCCCGGTGACCTCTGGCCACCTCCCTCACCACCTGTACCAACCTTTTCCTTGCTTGTGACTCTCTGCTGTTCGCAAACTGTCCCACGTGTCCCTCTCTCAGTCCCTCCCCACATAGTGTAGCTCAGGAAAACCCAAAACGAAATGGTTGGGAAGGCCAAGTGCGTTGGTTTTCTTCCACCATCACATGGGCTGGAGCCGAAGAAACTGATTCTTACACACCTAGTACCTAATACCCATTCGATGCTTCGAGAAAAACTATAGAAACATCTATTCCTCTCCTGGAAGTGAACTGAGGCAAATAATGTTGCTGAACTTCCATGATAGCATTAAATTCGAAGAGAACATAGTTTCAAAAGAGTAATGTCACTTCTTGGCCATAGTTATGTAACTATGAGGGTGTGTCCATCAAGCTTTACAAAATGTGGTAGCACACCATGCCTTCTCAGCACCTTTCTTTCTGGGTGTAAACAGTTACGTATGATTGTGAGGGTTTTGCTTTGTTTTACTTTGTTTTGTTCTGTGCTTCCCTCTTCTTTGAATTCCTATGGCGAATAAAGAGGACCACACAATTGAAGCTTTAAACATAACCCGAAAAACCTTAGCCTCCTGAAACCTTTGGAGGAAACTGACTCACACACATGGGCTGTGCTTCTTGGTGCTGGGTCATTGGGCTCACCTTTGCAAGTCCCCTGAGCACACACAGGCCACACACCGCTGCCAAGGCTCGTGCCTTCCTCTTCAATGCTACCTGGCCTGAAAGCTCCTGAAGGATGTGACTTATCCTCCAAAGCCACTTGCAGAGCCCAGTACCAATCGGGTCTGAGAAGGTATGCTACTTCTCTCCCTTTCATCTGCCCTTCTCTGTCCACCTCCACCCTCTTCAAAGGCTGCCCACCTCCGCCCTCTTCAAAGGCATTGTTCAAAGGAGTCACAGGCCACCAAGTTTTAGTACTGTGCTACAGCTTAGCCTTTCCAGGGAGGACACTTTATGTGTAGGGCATTCTTTGCCTGCACTAAACTGCTACCACTTCATATACACAGATTCAGGGACTTTTGCTAGCAATGACTCCACTTTAATTTGTGTATAATCCAGTCAATCGTGTGCTCAAAATGACTCCTGGCTCCCTGTGACCTGTGCCACTTCCAGGTTCTTTAGCACTAAACAATTGGCTCCACTTGCTCCAGCTTCTCCTGCCACCCCTTGTCTTTTAGTTTTTTTCGCTCTGACAATACCAAGTTGCTCATGGTCCCTTGGAGACACCAGAGCGCCTTTGACCTCTGTCATTGCTACTCAGTTGCCCCTGCTTGGAATGTCCCTCACTCCCTTGTTTTCTTTGCAAACTTTTATGCTGTCTTGAAAATACTGCTCCTCCTGTCTTCTTCCTGCCTCCCTCCATGCTGAGAGCAGATCCTATCTGTCTTATGCTGTCTCCTTTCCATGAAACACAGGGTATTATAAGTTAGTTATTTATGGAGCTAGACTGTGAGCTCTCTGAAGACACTGACGATCTGATTCAGCTCATGTCCCCAGGAGCTGGCATGGAGTAGGTGTTCAATAAACATCTGCTAAAAAAAAAAAACAAAAAAAAAACTAGCCCTATAAAGTATATAGGGCTGGTATTATGATCCTCATTTTGCAGCTAAGAACACTTAATTCAGAAAGGAAAAGTCACTTAATGAGGGTCGCATGGCTAGTAAGTGACTCATGCTCTCTTCATTGCCATGATGCTTACATAACTACCTCCCGTTTCCTGCTGTCTCTTGAGTTTGGTGATCTACAGAAAAGAAAAGGAAAACTGAAGAAACAATACAAACACTTCAAAAGTTTAATGGATGTTTCTGAGCATCTATACATCGCCTTCTTCTCAGAACAGACATTGAGGACAGTCCTATAATTCACTATTATCAGTGTATCTACTTTAACTTGGAGCCCAGGCAACCAAGCACTAAATTAACACTGCCCTGTCTCTGCAAAGGTGATGGGGGACAAGACGCCTTGTAACTTTGAAGAAGAGATTTACACACCCCTGTGTCTCCCATATAAATGGACTCAAGAGCTGCAGCAGTCCATAAATGATCCTTTCTTTCCACTGTTGATAGTTGAAGGCAGCCGTTTCCAGCTTCTTGCCGGTGATCACTCTGCTAAAAATAGCTTTGATGCTGTCACATGCAAACTTGAACAGAACCTGAAAGCAGTTCCCCTTTTAGTTCTGAGCTGGTTCAACTTTAAAAGAGAGGCAGCTGTGAACACACTCCAGCGTGTTTACATGATGCTGAAGTAGTTCAGCTCGTAGTAAAAATACCACTGAAAAGGGACAGGCTTGGGTTTGCAGCCTCTGCTGACGACATTTCTTCCTGCTGAGCTGGAGCCCGGGAAGGGGCGGGAAGGGGCGGTAAGGTTAGCAGGGAAAATCCAAAATGTCCAGTTTGAAGGGGAAAGTGGCTGTGAGCAGAACCGCGGTGAAGACAGGAGAGAGATGTTTGTTGAGATGTGAGATTTCTGACTATGGTGGAGGTGGGGGCAGGAGAGGCGGCAAAGATCATATAGAAAAGAGAACTTAGACAACAGGGGGTGCTTTTTAAAAATTCTGTTAAAAATATCTAAGGGCTGTTTTTTTAGAAATCAAGGAAACAAAGGATGAAATACATTCAACATCTTGGCCATTCATTTGATACCTTATGTTGGTTTGCTGGGCAAATGGATGATTCTGGATGTGTTCTGAAAACTGGGCCCAAAACTAAGGATAAAGCAGAGTATGGGCTTGGAAACCAGAGAAAACCTGGGCATTCAACCCGGCTGCTCCTCGTCTGGCCCCCATAAAACTTGGCTTAAGCACTGGTGTCTCCCAGACCTTCTGCACAGAGCTGGGAGTTAAGTGAGAAAATACACACCGAAGTGCCTGGTGGAGCGGGGGACCCTGACCCATAATAGACAACGTCCTTTAAAAACATATACCCAGAGGAGAGGAAGCTGACAGTGATCTGCGGACAAATCTGGAATACAGTGTAGTTTCTTAAAAAAAAAAAAAAAAAAAGTACCAACCAAATAAATAGTGTTTTTTCTTCCTTCTTAATTCTATGTGGCCAAAGCATGACTCACACTATATTTGCTTATGAAATGAGAATTCATTTTACGAAGTTGTCCTAGAAAACTTACGCTGAGCCCGGCTGATCTGGAGGGGACGAGAGGAAGGCCTGGCCAGCACCAGGACGGATCACACAGGCCGGGTGCTGGTGTCTGTACCCACTGAGGGCCACTAGGAGATGGGAACTGAGGTCATCGATGGTGAACTCGCGGCTCCTGCTTAAGAACCAGAATCCTGACTTCAGACGTTTATGCTGGAGCTTCACATATGTTTCAGAACCCATCGTTCAACAAAAACCTCAGATTCATCTTAAGAGCCCTTGAGAAAAGGACGCCTCTATGACATCACTGTCCTACCCGATGAGTTTCAGTACCATGAGCAGATGACATGTGACCCAAGTACGAAGTGAGCAGGTTCTCTAAACAAGCTATAAATTTGAGCAGCACACTGAGGTTATATTAGCATAGGAATTTATCACGTAAGTTATATGTTTGAACAACAGAACAGACTTAACATACTGCTGTATCTTTAACTATCATTTTTTGTTAACAAGACAAAAGAATTTACAGTTTCTGCCAACTGTTTTGTTGGCCCCTAATACCACGATTAGCTGTTGCCAGGCAACCATGAAGCATGCTTCCTCCCAAATCAGGAAGACCCACTGCTAAATCTAGACTAATTATAAAAGGAGACAAATATTTAAAAGCCTTATATTTATGAAGGATTTGGGAGGTGCCCTGATAAGAATGATTCTTATTAAACGGATCTAACTAAATACAATGCATATGTCTGCAGTGCATTGTCACAGGTTTTGTAAAACAATTTAGGAAAACTGAATGTTTCTGCAACTTTCCTAATTTCCCTCAATAGGATACTAAACAAAACCAGGTGTTTATAATTTGTGGAAGCATGTCTTTTGCCTACTTCTCTAAGAATAAGGATGAAAAGAAGCAGCTGAGAGACCTAAGCCTTTTAAAATACATATATATTTGCAAAGAAATTATGAGAACACCACCACCATTTTCACAACCCTTACAGAGCTATGTGCATATAATGCTCAGCAGCTTTCCTCTCAAGTTTCTGCCTTTGTCTGCATTCTCAATTCCCTCTATTTCAAGAGTCATTTAGAATTCTCTGTGTGGAGAAGAGTTTTTCAGTCCCTGAGGCGAGCCTCCTTGCCATCAGCACTAAACTGCTGGTGGCAGGCTCCAACAACCGGAGTTCTAATGTCTAGAGACCCTGCTTCATCCCCAAGAGGGGAGCTGAAGAAACAGAAAAGCTCAACACACACACACACACTCACAGACACACAGACGCATGCACACACACACACACACACACTTTGGTTCTCTTTTTTTTTTTTGAGACGGAGAGACGGAGTCTTGCTCTGTTGCCCAGGCTGGAGTACAGTGGCACCATCTCGGTTCACTGCAAGCTCCGCCTCCTGGGTTCACGCTATTCTCCTGCCTCAGCCTCTGAGTAGCTGGGACTACAGGCGCCCACCACCACGCCCGGCTAATTTTTTTGTATTTTTAGTAGAGACGGGGTTTCACTGTGTTAGCCAGCATGGTCTCAATCTCCTGAACTCGTGATCCGCCCGCCTCAGCCTTCCAAAGTGCTGGGATTACAGGCGTGAGCCACCGCGCCCGGCCCATTTTGGTTCTCCTTCATATGCAAAGTGGAGTTTTCTCCCCAAAAGACAAAATTCTGACTACAAAGTCAGAACTAGGACGGGGGTTGGCAAATTATGAACCAAACTGTACTAGCTGGAAGCTAAGTATGGCTTTGACATTTGGTAATGGTCAGGGAAAAAAGAATCAAAAGAAGAATATTATTTCTTGACAAGTGAAAATTATATGAAATTCAAACTTCAATGCCATAAATAACATTTTATTGGGACACAACACACTCACTTGTTTATGTGTACGTCTATTTTGTGCTAAACAGTTACTACATGACCCTTCATAGAAAAAGTTTGCAGAAGCCTGAAGTGGAAGACAGAGTAGTGACATTTTAATCTTGAAAAAGAAATTGATTTTGGATTAACTTTAAACGCGACCAAAACAAAGCAAATAGGCCATGTCCCACCCAATGGCCTGAAACCTAGGTTGCTCTGAGTGTGTGTGTTACTCAGTGACTGTCCTACCAAAATTTCCAGAAAACAGTCCCTGTGGAACGCTAATCTAATTATTATTAAATGTAATAATCATTACTTGGAAGCTTTCTGATTTCACTAACCCAATCCTCTCTCCACCTCCACACACAAATTCAAAATGTTTTTCTTAAGATTGTTTCTCCTCTGTGTTACTAATGGAACAATCTGAGGCACTCATCAGACTGTCTATGTAAATCTACACCTTTTTTTAAGCTGAAATAATTCTGGTTATTAAAAACAAACATGGGTACTGTTTGTAGGTCTGAGAGGAATATGGAATCAATTATATATATGTGTGTAAATAAGGCCGCCCACCAGATAATGCTGGATGGCCGGTGAACTTTGCTAGAAAAGTGCTGATGCAGATGAAAATTTGGACAGGCTCTCGTGAAAGTCGGAAACACCAAAGGTCTCTTTGCTTTTGCTACCCTCTCTCCCTTCGGTTCTCCATTTACCGAGCCACAGTATTTCTTAAAGCTCGTTGGCAGCCTGCACCTCTGCTTATTCTTGGGAGACACGTGTTTGCATCCTATTACAACCCATAGTTTTTGCATAACCATGGTGAGAGGAACCATCCTTCCCAATCCCAACCTCAACCAAAGCTTAGAAAAAGTGCCATTCTTAACCTTTCAGAATCACTCATAAGTAAATCCTATAGCAGTCTCTGCTAATGCAAATTTCAATGTGTGCCCGATATAGGTAACTTTTGTACACTCTGCACCGACATAAAGAAAAGAACAAAGATCTTCAAGTTTTGTCAGTATTTGCATTTTTGGAAGAAGAGCATGAAAATAACATCAAAATGAAAAATTAGGCCGGGAGCAGTGGCTCACACCTGTAATCCCAGCACTTTGGGAGGCCGAGGTGGGCGGATCATCTGAGGTCAGGAGTTCAAGACCAGCCTGGGCAACATGGTGAAACCCTGTCTCTACCAAAAATACACAGTTTAGCCAGGCGTGGTGGCACCCGCCTATAATCCCAGCTACTCGGGAGGCTGAGGCACGAGAATCATTTGAACCTGGGAGGTGAGGCTTCAGTGAGCAGAGACTGTACCACTGCACTCCACCCTGGGTGCCAGAGTGAGACCCTGTTTCAAAACAAATGAACAAACAGACAAACAAAAAGAAGACAAATGAAAAAATTGTATATTTCTGTCCCTAATCCTGCAGGATGGAATTAGCTCTCCTAAAATGAGCTCGAATCTTCTGGAATTTGTTCGAGATGTCCCGCACCGTTCTGTGCAGATGCACGCACTTGCTGTGGCCACTATGGGTCTCCAGTCTACTCTGAAAATAATCCCACTGTCTTCAGGCTGTACCTGGGGAAAGGTGTCATTCTGTGAATGAAGATACCTGGTGAAGTTGCGGGTCTTTGGGAGCTCCTGGCCCACACTGTCCTTATAACGCCTGAACCCACATCCGTGGCCACATACTACGGGAAGAAGCAGAATCTGGCCCCAGAACTGGACACAAAACATAGGAGTTCAAGTAACCTATGGCCTAGTTGGCCTGGCTCAAAAAGAGAAGCTGAGTCATTCAGAGTCCCCAAGACTAGAATTAAATGAGTAGATTCTTTAAGGAGGAGGTAGAGAAAGGAGAAGCTGCTAGGAGGCCAGAAAGCAGCTGTGGCCTGAGCAGATGTAACACACTGTGAACAAATGGAAGGAGGCAGCGAAGGACAGGTAAGCACAGCAGGGGAGCCTGGTTCCTGCAGAGGCTAATGGAACCCAGGCAGAGGAGGACAGAGGAACAGGTATCTGAAGCCCCTGGGGACAGCTCTTGCAGCCTGAGGGGTCTCCTGTTCCAGGCACTAGTTCCCTTGAGGCCTGGCCGCACGGTGGTCTGGGGCCTGTGTATGGGATTTCCTTGATGACTATAAAACTGTCTCTTTGTTTGTTTTTTTATTTTTCCTTGTAGTAGTTTAAATGCTCTTTATATTCAGAAATCCAAACTACGATACACCAGGTTTGAGGGTCTCCCTTCAACATCACAGCTTACAGGCCATTCAATCTCTCCAGGGCCTCTCCTCCGTTAAGTGTGATGGCTGGACTTGGCGCACCCTGCAGCCACTTTGGATTAATATTCTAGGACCCCATTTCCAAGCCTCCAGGAGTTGCCACGTGCCACCACTTCTCTTTACCCATCGGAACACGAGATTGGGGTTAGGGGAGGTGTGTTCCAGGACTCACCCACAGTCACTCACTGGGCAGGCGCAGAGGGGCACCTGGAAACCAGGTCACCGCTGTTTCCATGACACGGGTGGCCTCTGGTATTAGAATTAAAAATTTATAAACAAGAAAATGGGGGAAGCAGATTTCACAGAAAAGTCTGTGCTTTAAGCAAAGAAAAAGGAATCTGAACACTTCGTTAACTGGGTATAACTAACCATTGGAGCAACAGCAAAACCAAGGCAGAGGCTGAGGGGGAGATGCACTTTAGCCCAGGGGGGTCTCTGGAGTCTGCTCTCTGCCCTCTGGGTGTGCGTTTTAACCCTTCCACAGCCAGCCAAGGCCCGGCCTCTACAGCAGATTCCCACAGGGGTGCGACGGAACCATTTTCTGGTTTAATGCTGAAATGGCAGGCTTGAGCCTCACCTCACTCAGTAAAAAGAATCTCACTTAGTAATGAAAACCCAATTAAGCTCTGCCAAGAGTGACCGATGGCGTTGGCTGCCTGGGGCTCTCAGTCTGCAGTCACAGACCTACCTGAAAGAGGAGTTTCCGCTGCCTTAAGTCACCAAGACTGGGCAAGCCCAGATCTCTAAAAACAGGTCTGTATCTAAGCCTGACAGTATGAACTCTTCTCTGTGTGAAAATAGAACGTCGCTAAGTGCCATCCTACCCATGCGGGGGTGGGGACAGTGACCAATGCTCCTGGCCAGCGAGCACCCATTCCCTCCAGCAACGGCTCTCTAAATTCCCCTGGGTGCCAGCACCCTAGTGCAGAGTGGGCATAATACCAGCCACAAGTCAAAAAATGTACACCATCCTCTGCTACAATGAATAGCTTAGGGAGGGGGATATGGCTTTAGGTCAATGGCAGTCAGGTCTGAATTTTGTGGGAGGAGATCTTCTCTTTTTTCACTGGACTTGAACCTGCAGGGACTCACAGGGGGTCGGGCAGCCATCCTGCCTCCACGAGGCGACAGAGTGCCTAAGAACCAAGCCAACACAGAGAAGAGATTCTGAAGGATGGAGAGAGCGGCTCGGCTGACCTGCAGCCAGGAAGTCACAGCTTCATGTCTTTGTCCAAAGTTAGACCTACTCCTGGACTTTCCAGTTGGATAAAGCTGCCCGATTTTCATTGGCACGAAAGCCACTTTGAGTCATCTTTCTCTCAGTCGCAAAGACAACTACTAATGAATCCACTGATAATGAATTCAAATGGAGACGAAGCTCAAGGTTACCTCTTCCACTGCCTTTAACAAAAGGGTCCATCATGCAAATGGAATTATTACAGACAAGGATGAAAAGAGAAACAGGGATTCTGCTTAAGAAAAGTACCTGCTAGCATTTGGGCACCATATATACCACACTAACTACTATAAAAGAGCCTTATTACCTAGTCTTATTTGGGGCTGGACGGCCTATCAGCATTCTACACTCGGCAACCCTTTAGTTAGCATCTAGTTGACATGAAAAATCCTTATATCTTTTGGCCAGGCACTGTGGCTCACACCTGTAATCCCAGCACTTTGGGAGGCCGAGGCAGGCAGATCACCTGAGGTCAGGAGTTTGAGACAAGCCTGACCAATATGGAGAAACCCCATCTCTACTAAAAATACAAAATTAGCCGGGCGTGGCAGAGCACACCTGTAATCTCAGCTACTCAGGAGGCTGAGGCAGAAGAATCACTTGAACCCGGGAGGCAGAGGTTGTGGTGAGCCAAGATCGCGCCATTGCATTCCAGCCTGGGCAACAATCGCGAAACTCCGTCTAAAAAAAAAAAAAAAACCTGACATCTTTTAAAAAAAATCTTATATCTTTTAAAAAAAAGATCTTTAAAAATACCTTGTATCTTTTAAAAAATAAGGTGTATCGGGCCGGTGCGGTGGCTCATACCTGTAATCCCAGCACTTTGGGAGGCCAGGTCAGGAGTTCGAGACCAGCCTGGCCAACATGGTGAAACCCTGTCTCTACTAAAAATACAAAAAATTAGTCAGGCATGGTGGCATGTGCATGTAATCCCAGCTACTCGGGAGGCTGAGGCAGGAGAATCACTTGAACTTGGGAGGCGGAGGTTGCAGTGAGCCAAGATCACGCCATTGCACTCCAGCCTGGGCGACAAGGCGAGACTCGGCCTCAAAAAAAAAAAAAAAAAAAAAAGGTGTATGGCAATCAAAAGGATGGGATACTAGCATAAAACTAGATACCTGTGGCCGGGTGCAGTGGCTCATGCCTGTAATCCCAGCACTTTGGGAGGCCAAGGTGGGCGGATCACAAGATCAGGAGGTCAAGACCATCCTGGCTAACCGGATGAAACCCCGTCTCTATTAAAAATACAAAAAATTAGCCGGGCATGGTGGCACTTGCCTGTAGTCCCAGCTACTCAGGAGGCTGAGACAGGAGAATCGCTTGAACCTGGGAGGCAGAGGTTGCAGTGAGTTGAGATCACGCCACTGCACTCCAGCCTGGGTGACAGAGCGAGACTCCGTCTCAAAAAACAAACAAACAAACAAACAAAAACAACTACACACCTACCTCTGTGAAATCTAGAAATAGAACAAAGCACTGGTGCAAAACGAGTGTACTATAAATGCAGCATTCAAATCCATGGGGGAGATTAGGACAATTCAAACCCGGATGCAAAGAACCATCAAAAATGAGTGAAGGCCAGCCGGGCACAGTGGCTCACACCTGTAATGCCAGCACTTGGGGAGGCCGAGGCAGGCGGATCATTTGAGGTCAGGAGTTTGAGACCAGCCTGGCCAACATGGTGAAACCCCATCTCTACTAAAAATACAAAAAGTAGCTGGGTGTGGTGGCGGGCACCTGTAATCCCAGCTACTCGGGAGGCTGAGGAATGAGAGTCACATGAACCTGTGAGACAGAGATTGCAGTGAGCCGAGATTGCACTACTGTACTCCAGCCTGGGTGACAGAGCAAGACTCGGTCTCAAAAAAAAAAAAAAAAAGAAGCCAAGGCCCTCGGACTAAAAACTGGGCCTTAAGAGAAGAATACAGCTGGCCAATCCACACGGGCAAGGGTGTCAGCCTCAGCAATTGTAAAAGTAAGGAAAATCAAGCCAAAAAAAAATCTCTATCAATTGGATTAGCAGATACTTAAAAAACTGACAAGACCCAGGGATGACAGGAGAACAGTCAAATATAATATCACAGGACATCTAAGTTGATATAACTTGGAGAAGGGGTAGGGAAAGAAACTGGGATAAATATGTCTATCTCCTTGGTCCATAAATTCAGCTTCTAGGAATTAAACTTTACATTCTACAGCCCACCAATAAAAGGACTCGGGCTTTAATACTGGACAGACCTGAGTGTGTCTTACAATCCCACCACACCTTGCTAGCTGGTAGACCCTGGGAAAGTTACTTGTAGAGTAGATATATACTACTAGCCCCTACAACATTGGACTGTTAGAACTGCATTTATGTACTTAGCATAGCACCAGGCCTAAAGACAGGACCACAGAGGTTATGAGCACTCGCAGTGATACCTCAACCCATATCCTCTGTGTTAGAGGCTGCCCCCACTACCGACTGCCCTGTAAGCTCACAACCACCACCTTCTACAGAAATCCTTTTCGCTGAAGGTCTCAAGAGGCCTGGGATTACAAGATAAATGACTGATAGTACAAAAGCCCTGTCGCTTTGTCCCAAAGAGGACAACTCTAGAACAGTCCCTCAGCAAATCACTCACAACCAAGTCCCTGTCTCAGATTCTGCTTCTAGAGAATCCAGCCTAAGACCCAACTGTTAGGATTTTTATTACCAGGCAAGGGTGCAAAGGTCTAAGTCTCTGCATGTTTACTGAGGCATAACATAAAGAAATGGAAAACAACCAAAATGTCCAGCCACAAACAGATGAATCCATACAAGGGGACATTGCACACATAGTAAAAAAAGAGTACTGTGTATCCATATGAACTGACAAGACTGCCGGGCGCAGCGGCTCACACCTGTAATCCCAGCACTTTGAGAGGCAGGGGATCACTTGAGGTTAGGAGTTCAAGACCAGCCTGGCCAACATGGTGAAACCCCTTCTCTCCTAAAATACGAAAATTAGCTGGGCGTGGTGGCGCATGCCCGTAATCCCAGCTATTCGGGAGGCTGAAGCAGGGGAATCGCTTGAACCTGGGAGGAGAAGGTTGCAGTGAGCCGAGATCATGGCACTGCATCCAGCCTGGGCAACAGAGCAAGATGCTGTCTTAAAAAAAAAAAAAAAGAATTGACAAGAGACGAAGTCCATGTATACTACTGTATGACGCAGCACATGCAGTATGAGCTCAGGCACAAGTAAAGTTTGTGTGGGTAAAGTCACATGTGAAAAGATATTCCAATACCAATGTCCACAGCAGCAGCAGTATTCACAGTAGCAACCCAAATGTCCCTCGATGGCGAATGGATAAACAAAATGTGGTATTATACATACATACAAGAGAGTATTACTCAGCCTTGAAAGGGGCAAAAGTACTGATACATGCTACAACATGGATGAATCTTGGGGACACTGCGCTAAGTGAAAGAAGCCAGTCACAAAAGGACAAACACTATATTATTCCATATATATGAGGTACCCAGAGTAGTCAAATTCGTAGAAACAGAAAGTAGAATGGTGGTTGCCCAGAGCTGGAGAGAGGGGGAAAGGGGGAGTTGGAGAGTATCAGTTTTGCAGAAAGTTCTAGAGATTGGTTGCACAACAGTGTGAATATACTTAACCCTACTGAACTATACTTAAAAGTGATTAAAAGTACATTTTACATTATGGGTATTTTACCACAATTAAGAATTAAAAAGAAAATTTTAAAAATTTTTCTTAAAATGTAACAACACAGAAGTAGGGATACTTTTATTCAGTTCTTTAAACTGTTTTATTGTTTGACCATTCTACATGAGTATATATTGACTTAATAATTAGAAAATACAATAAGCTATTTTAATTCTGGGAAAATACTAATACACTACAAAACGATAAATATTTTACTACACTAGGCTGGTAATCTAAGTCATTCAGGAGTGTGGGTCTTTGGCAGTGAGTGTTTACTTGTTTTTAATAGTGTATAAATTTAACTCTGGTCACTTGTTTTGTCAGCTTCATTTCTTATCTCAGCTCAACCAAAAGAACTTAAATGACATCATCAGTCATTGTTCTGTGACCATTAAAATGTCTAGGTTAATTCCAGAAAAACTGTCAACTAAAGATACTTTTAGAAAATTCCTCTTCCAGATTTTCTTGATTCATTCATTCAACAAAGACTTCTTAAGTGCTTAATAAGTGTCGTGCAACACACAAAGTCTTAGGGACACCATGGTGGCCAAGATGAGCTCAGTTTGTGGATCTCAAACTGGGAAAAGACAGACATGAGATGGACAGGGTGGTGTGGAGCTCTGCTTGTGTTTCCCTACTAGGCCACACGTGTATGCACAAACATACAGACACAGTCACTGAAGCCATCTTTCTCAATGATGTTGATGTTAGCTAACCGAGAACCTTCAAAAATCCCAACAGAGTAAGAGATTTTCAGTGACCAAGACAGTTGAATTTGCTTAATCTGAGACACTCTCATAAACTCAGCCTAAAAGAATGGAAATTTCTTTCTTGCTCAAATTTAATTACTCTTCACGGCTTGCAATAAAGGTCACCTCCCCAGTAATCATGTCTCAGAAAGCCTAGTCATCTCCTTGAATTATTTTCCTAAATGCACTTGATAGATGTTCTTTGATACCAGATCAGCCCCCTCCATATCACCTGGCTCAGACAAACAAAGAGAAGGGGGTGATAAATGTGTCTTTGATGCCCAGGGCCCAGCATCATTCTAGGGCACAAAGACCATCGATCCTTTTTATTCCTTCTCCTACTCATTCTAGACTCTAAATCCAAACACCTTTCTGATCTTAAAATCATTTCCTGAATTATTGTCTCTTGGTGCAGCATCACACAGCAATATCTTGATGAGATAGCACAAATAATTGCTAAATAAAATCTTTAACGTCGGCATAACCCTGAAAGGATATACAGTGAAAATAAGATCGTTACAACGAGGATGAAGCCAGGCGTCAATAGTCCATCAGCTCACCCTTCCACTTGCACAGGAGATCAAAGGCAAGGGCAGCAAACCCAACTAACGAATCTGGGTGTCCAGTCTCGTAGGCATGTCTTTGATTCTCCCCCTTCCCCGAACTCTCCTCCATGGCTTTGCTGTCCTCAGAATGTTGTCCACAGCACGGTTAGAGGAACAAAGAACAGGCAGACCCCAGAATTGCTGTCGAACAGAATGAATATGCAGCTCAGACTCAGGGCAGGCTGAGAAAACTGCAGGGAATTTTAGATGTCACTCTGCCGAAAGATCTGCGTGGGCTATATTGCATACCAGCTCTGAGTTCCTTTTCTAGCATTAACATCAGATTTGTGCTGATCCAGCCATATTCTCCTGGTGGCTCCTGTGGGACTGAGTGCCCATCAATCTGTGAGCCAGATGGCTTAAGCTTATGTGTAGCTGCTGGTCACAGAGGGAAGTGGGGCTAAAGGGGCCCATGCAGATGGTGAGTGGAGCTCTCTAACCACTGGCTGCATCTATCCCAGGCAACTCTCTAAAGAATGATGCTGCTTTCCCTTCTCCCAAGATCCTAGATAAACTCCTTGTTATAAACTACTGCAGCAATGGCCCATGACAATCATGCTTTCCTGTACCCACACCCTCCTGTGGTCCCCGCCAAAAGGAATCTGGCTTGGCCTCTTGACTTGCTACAGCCAATAGGACATTAGCAAATATGACACAAGGAGAAACTGTTGCGTATTGTGTATTGGGGCTTGCTTTCTCTTGTTGCTGGGAACCCTTCTGCCATCAAGTGAAAAAGCTTGGAATCGCTTCCTGAAGGATGTGAGACCCCACAGAGACAGGCCCCAGCTGTCCCAGACATCCCAGCTGAGGTCCAAATATACAAGGGAGCCCAGCTAACACCACAAGGAATAGAGATGAGCCATTCAAGCTGAGCCAACATACAGAACTGCTGAGCAAACAATGATTCTTCTTCTTCTTCTTTTTTGAGTCTCACTCTGTCACCAAGGCTAGATCATGGCTCACTGCAGCCTCGACCTCCCAGGCTCAAGCAATCCTCCTACCTCAGTCTCCTGAATAGTTAGGACTACAGACACGTGTCACCATGTCCAACTACTTTTTTTTTTTTTTTTAATATAGAGATGGAGTCTCATTATGTTGCCCAGACTGGTCTCGAACTCCTGGGCTCAAGTGATCCTCTCACCTCAGCCTCCCAAAGTGCTGGGATTACAGGCATGAGCCACTGCGCCCAGCCTATGATGAATTTTTTTTTTTTTTGAGATGGAGTCTTGCTCTGTCACCCAGGCTGGAGTGCAATGGTGCGATCTTGGCTCACTGCAACCTCCACCTCCCAGGTTCAAGTGATTCTCCTGCCTCAGCCTCCCGAGTAGCTAGATTACAGGGGCCTATCACCACGCCTGGCTACTTTTTGTATTTTTAGTAGAGACGGGGTTTCGCCATGTTGGCCAAGCTGGTTTTGAACTCCTGACCTCAGGTGATCTGCCAGCCTTGGCCTCCCAAAGTGCTGGGATTACAGGAGTGAGCCACCACACCCGGCCACCAATGATGATTCTTTTAAGCCATTAATTTGAGGTGTTTGATCAGCAGCAGGAGCTAACTCATATAACATTCTATGCAGTAGAACCTGCACCACAAAGCAGGATTTCAAGACTGCAATTGGCTTCAAGATGTAGTTTGACAGGTGACTTTAGTGGGTACCTAATGCAAAAAAACAAAAAATAAGTAAAACAGTAAAAGCAATTGACAATACTTTATAAAGCCTGGCCTCTGACAGTGAGTGAGGAAGCTCATAGGATGAAATCATCTGCACATGGCACAGCTGTTTTACATTCAACAGCAGCTCACTCAAGGTAACTCTTCCTACCAGCTCAGTGATGCCAGCTTCAGGAACAGCCACCCCACTTCCTGCGATGTTTTAGAAGGCAAGAGTTCTGGGTGTTAGTGCTGGAGCTGACAGGTAAATGTCCTCTGAGAGTTCCTTCTACCTCTGAGAGCCAGGAAGAAATCTAGACACCCTGGAGGGAATCACTCAGAAATCATTAGACAGTCATTGTACTTCTGAAAGTGCCTGTTTCCTGTTAAGCAGCTCAAAATGTCACCTGAGGGAAAGGCAAATTTCAGCAGGGGTAAAGTGTAGGGTCCCGCAGGAAGACTTCACTTATACGACTGTCTCTTAGAAGCACACCGGATCCTGACACTCCTCTTTCTCTGTGGGATCTGAAATGGTGACAAATAGGAGTTTGGCACCTTTGATTGCAACAATTGAACCTACCTCCTTTCCCCCCCCATAGAAATCCCTCCTTTCCCTGAACCTCTTATGGTACCAGTTCGGGGCCTGTTAGGAACCGGCTGCACAGCAGGAGGTGAGCGGCAGGCGAGCAGGCATTACTGCCTGACTTCGCCTCCCTCCTGTCCCATCAGCTGCAGCATTAGATTCTCATAGGAGTGCAAACCCTACTGTGAACTGCACATGTGAGGGATCTAGGATGCGCGCTCCTTATGGGAATCTAACTAATGCCTGATCCAAGGTGGAACAGTTTCATCCCAAAACTATGTCCCCTACCACTGAAAAACTGTCTTCCATGAAACCACTCCCTGGTGCCAAAAAGGTTGGGGACTGCTATATTAGGGCATCTTATATCCCCCAACTAGCCAGTAAGTTTCTTTAGAGTAGTAACTATGTTTTAATCTTCCCTCCTTCCCTCCCTTTTTCTTTTCTTTCTTCTTCTTCTTCTCTTTTTTTTTTTTTGAGGCGGAGTTTCACTCATGTTGCCCAGGCTGGAGTGCAATGGCGTGATCTCAGCTCACTGCAACCTCCACCTGCCAGATTCAAGTGATTCTCTTGCTTCAGCCACCCAAGTAGCTGGGATTACAGGTGCCCACCACCATGCCCAGCTAATTTTTGTATTTTTAGTAGAGATGGAGTTTCACCATGTTGACCAGGCTGGTCTCAAACTCCCGACCTCAGGTGATCCACCCATCTCAGCCTCCCACAGTACTGGGATTACAGGTGTGAGCCAACACACCCGGCCCCTTTTTCTTTCTCTCATTCATTGATTCAGCAATTGGTTATTAAAAAGCTACAGCCAGGCACAATACAGGAAGCAGCTCACAGCCCAGAGGGGAGAATGCCAAGAAATAATTATAAAACATAATCTTGGCTAACCGTTATCAAGCACCTTTTATGTGTCAGGCTGTGTTCTAAGGATTTTAAATGTTCACTCATTTAATCCTTGCATCAACCCTATGAGAAAGGCAGTGTTTTTATCCTCAGATACAGACAAGGACACTAATGCACAGACAGGTGATATAGCCTGGTTGTGCGCAGCAGTGACTGGTGGAGCTGACCACTCAAATCCGGGTTCTCCCTGCCTTCCTGCACCGTGGCCAGATGAAGCCGCCGACCCGATGCATCTGTATTCTATTTCATGGGCAATGTCAACTCAACCTAGGTTTTGGACTAAACAATGGTTACATCAAAGACGGGCTGGAATGGAGAACGGAGGCAGAAACACCAGACAGAGAAGCTATTGCAGGGAGTGTGAAGATGAGGTGCTGAGGGCCCAGACTGGGCCAACAGGAAAGGCCACCAGGGGCCTGGGCCCAAGAGGACACTTCTGAGACAAAATCAATAGGATGTTGGTACCTGAGTCAAGGGAAGAATCAAAGACAATTCTGAGTTGCTGACTTTGGATACTGGGTTGTACTGGGGTGAAGAGAAAGACCTGAGGAGGCAGGAAAATTCAAGAGGCAGAACAGCTTTGGAAGGTATGTGAGGGGTCACCAAGACCACCCCCAGTGAGTCACTAGGAGGACTCACAGGACACAGCGTACAGTCATGCTCATGGCTATGATTTATTTCAGCAAAAGGATATGAAGCACAAATAGCAGAGGGAAAAGGTGCATGGGGGTGAAGTCCAGAGGAACCCAGATGCAAGCCCCCACCCAGGAAAGTCACACAGAATGCACTTGCTTCCCCAGCTACACATCCTGCCAGCACACATGAAGTGCTGTTTGCAAGGGAAGAGCCTCAGAGCCTCAGTGCCCAAGATTTTTACTGGGGACTCTTCAGGTAGACACCCTATGCCTAGAGCACACCAAAATGTCAGACTTCTTCCACCAACCACAGTGTTTCCACAAACGATGCAGGCACCAGGAGCCCCACTTCTAGGTCTGGGAGTGCTGAGAACCCTCCTGAAATCCAAATTTGCAGACACCAACCAAGGGCTAACCTTGCAAGCAGAACTTTCTAAGGAGAGAACCCTCAGACTTGCTATGTTCAATCTTCTGCACTGGAGGAAATGATGTAGCTCCATTTTATACATGGGATGTCTTACACGCAACATCCAAGTGCTCAGATTTTATACAAGATAGTAATCCTTGAGTAATGTTCAGATGATTAAACTTGAGTCAATACTTTTCTCATATTTGAATATAACATCAAAAATAAACAACATATTACAAATCACCAACCAGGGCTAATAGGTCTCGAGGTTGCTGGTACTTCCCTTGCCATCCAGTAAGAGCGGAAGCTCAAGGATGACGCTTTGCATTTCATTACTAAGACAGGTAAACATCAGATCTGCTGCAGAATCAAACACAATTAAAACTTTAATTAACTGAAACCTAACTAGCCCCCAACTTCAAATAAAAAACATTTGCGGGCAGCCGGGAAGGGGAAGATAGAGGTTACAGTACTTCATTTTTAAGAAAAAGGGGAAAGTCAGAGGCTCATATATGGAATTTATTCAAAATCATCATCTCTTGCAGCCTCCCAAGGGTGGGCACGTATTTTACATCAACATAATTACACAGTGAACACTGAAGGGCAAAATTCAGTGTCCTCCAACACATCAAGTATTCATTCAGCGTATTCTATCTATTGGCAGAAAACAGACCCATTGATTTGGAATGTATTTTTAATAATAGAAGTTCAAACAAAAGGTTTGTAACCAGGGTACCCCTGTTTCCCAAACTTTGTGTTAACTCAGGATTCCATGGTATGAAAATCTCTCAAATATTTTCCGCAGAATCACCCACACACTGGTCCCTTGCTAGAGGCTAAATAAACCTGATATCCTTTAAGTTTTCACATAACCTGGTATCCTCTTGCATACCTCGGTGAGATAGCTAATCCCCAACCATCTTGCAAGAATCAGACTCAAGTATTATCAGCAGTGAGACAAACCCCTCATGGGTCTCCTCATCACACTCAGGGGAATGAGAAGTCCTGCTCTGATAAAGACAAAAAGCCACTTCACATCAATACAAACTTCAGATAAAGCAGGAAGGCTGATAGCATGAGGAAGGAGAAGCTAACTGAGATTTAGGGTTCAGAGGCACCTGGGCTAAATGCCAAACAAAATATACCTCCCAGGAAGCATCAAAAGTGAAAAAAGCCTTAAAGTATTAAGAGAACTGTTATGCTGGCTATAAAACCCAACACAAACGGCAGACAGCATGGCTGCGCGATTCTCACCCAGCTGACTCTGAGGAGTTTTTATGAACTGTTTATATGCGGGGAGTTGGGGTCAAGGGGAAAGGAACCTTCTTCTTGGGGTTTGAAATTTTAAAAAATTGGCCAGGCATGGTGGCTCAAGCCTGTAATCCCAGCACTTTGGGAGGCCGAGGTGGGCAGATCACTTGAGGCCAGTAGTTCAATACCAACCTGGGCAATATGGCGAAAACCCCTCTCTACTAAAAAACACAAGAAAATTAGCTGGGCATGGTGGTGTGCACCTGTAATCCCACCTACTCGGGAGGCTGAGACACAAGAATCGCTTGAACCTGGGAGGTGGAGGTTGCAGTGAGCAGAGATTGCGTTACTGCCCTCCAGCCTGGGCAAATCTGTCTCAAAAAATATATTAAAAAATAAAAAAAAATTAAGGGCTGGGTAATCCCAGCACTTTGGGAGGCTGAGACGGGTGGATCACGAGGTTGGGAGATGGAGACCATCCTGGCTAAAATGGTGAAAACCCGTCTCTATTAAAAATACAAAAACTAGCCAGGAGCGATGGTAGGCGCTTGTAATCCCAGCTACTTCGGGAGGCTGAGGCAGGACAATTGCTTGAACCTGGGCGGCAGAGTTTGCAGTGAGCCGAGATTGAGCCACTGCACTCCAGCATGGGTGACAGAGTGAGATTCTGTCTCAAAAAAATAAAATAAAATAAAAATTAAGAAGTTGTATTCTGATCACACTTCCCATTCACTTTCTAGACTTTGGCTTGAAGACACACTGGCCAAAGACGTTCTTTCAAAAGAGGTTGTCTTTGTATTCTCTTAATAGATCTTGCATTCAATTTTGTTTGTTTAGAGTACTTGACAACTGAGTTTCTTTTTCTTTCCATTCCTGTCTTTCTTCTTTCCTTTTTTTTTTTTAAATAAAAAAACAAACAAGAAGCCCAACAAACACAACTACAGATCAACTTATTTTTAAGTATCTGAAGAGGCCCACGGCAATGATCTACCACTCCAGACCCTCAACTGGATTGTCTCACTGCCTTAAAGAAAACCGGTAAATTATTTCCTGAACAAAAGCAAGAATCTTTTAGGTCCTATAATCTCATTTCAAATCCTTTTACCCACTCCCTACTCCACTGGCCCTGATACTGCAACCCTCTTTGGGTAATCTGAGGTCCGTGGGTGCCAGGGCCACAGTTGCCTTAAAGTTCCTCCCGGCTTGCTGCCGTTGCTCACTGCTGGGAGGGGCAGCATGCCAGGGTTCGGGACCCCATAATGGCTCTGCTCTTACAGGGCAACTGTTAATAATTAGCAGGAAGCATTTTCCCTTTAAATCTCACAGCTTGAACAGTAAGATCTCGTAGTGCCAAAGAAACATTTAATTCCAGAGAAGTGAGACTTGCTTCCAACATATTTTGTGTGGTTCTACCCATACAATTAAATGGCTTCATTCATCTATCAGTAGATGGTTATGAAGCCAGGTGCTAAGGTAAAGTTGGGGGCATGAAGGGGAACAAGAGAGGATACGGGCTCCTGCCCTCACACAACTTGGAGTCTACTGAGAAGAGATGCCTTTAAAGTGTAAATGCCAGGACAGACAATATGCTTGGGCCACACAAGGACATAGTGTTCTTGTCTGGAGGGGGCTGCAGAGGGAAGAACAGAGAAAAGAGGGAGCAACATGGTGGCATAGTCAAAAAATGAAGGACATTCAGTAAGGCTGAGAAGGGGACCGGTGGGGCAGTCAAGAGTCATATGAGGTGCTTCTCTGCAAGGAACTGTCAGGGCAAACAGATGTTTCGGAGGAATCACCATGCTGAATACTCGCTGAGTACTAGCCAGGTACAGCAGAGGCACACCAGGAAGAGGCAAGAAGGAGGCCAAGTGGGAGTCAATGGCAGCTATCCAGTTAGAAGGTCATCCATCCATCCATCCATTCAAAACTACCAGCCTCGTGCTACTATGGGCTGGGGACTGTTCCAAAGCCTAAGGATACAGCAGAGAGCAAAAGAAAGTCCCCGCTCTCAAGGAATTTACATAAAACAAATACATAATGTGCAAGTGGTAATAAAAGCTAAGGAGAAAACTTAAAGGCAATGGCAATAAAGAATGACAGTGGGAGCCGGGCGCAGTGGCTCATGCCTGTAATCCCAGCACTTTGGGAGGCCAAGTTGGGCAGATCACAAGGTCAGGAGATCAAGACCATCCTGGCTAACACCATGACACTCCATCTCTACTAAAAATACAAAAAATTAGCCAGGCGTGGTGGCAGGCAACTGCAGTCCCAGCTACTCGGGAGGCTGAGGTAGGAGAATCGTTTGAACCCAGGAGGCAGAGGTTGCAGTGAGCTAAGATCACGCCACTGTACTCCAGCATGGGCGACAGAGCGAGACTCCATCTCAAAAAAAAAAAAAAAAAGAAAGAAAGAAAGAAAGAAAGAATGACAGTGGGGCACGAGTATTTTGAAGGGGTGGTTAGGGTAGGTGTCTTTGAGAAGGTGACACCTGAGCAAAGACCCAAAGAAGGAGAGGTCCCAAAGAAGAAGAGGACCCGGCTGGGCACAGTGGTTCACGCCTGTAATCCCAGCACTTTGGGAGGCCAAGGTGGGTGGATCACGAGGTCAGGAGTTTGAGACCAGCCTGACCAACATGGTGAAACCCCGTCTCTACTAAAAATACAAAAATTAGCTGGGCGTGGTGGCACACGCCTGTAATCCCAGCTACTCAGGAGGCTGAGGCAGGAGAATTGCTTGAACCCAGGAGGCAGAGGTTGCAGTGAGCCAAGATCACGCCACTGCACTCCAGCCTGGGCAACAGAATGAGACTCCATCGCAAAACAAACAAACAAACAAACAAAAAACGGAGAGGACCCATGGCAGTGACAACATCGATCTAAAGGAGCAGGCACAGTGGGTAGCAGAGGGGGCCAGTTCCTGACAGAGAGCAAAGGCAATTGGGGGTGGTGGTGAAGTGTAGATACTGGAACCATGCTGCTGGGTCCAAGTTTTGGCTCTGTCATTTACTAGCACTGTAACCTTGGATGTGTTTTAGAGACTCATTAGAGGCAGGGACCTCTAGCGTGGTGCCTTTGTGCTTCAGTTTCCTTGTGGTGCCCTGGGCAACTCCTCAGATACAGCTTAAGTTGCAACCTGCAACAGACATCATATAGACAACATCTAAGCCACCACCATGTGATGTCTGTGAGCCATTCAAGAATGAAAAGTATCCACCAAAATAATTAAACATATAGTCCAATTCCCAGCTTTGCCGAATATCAGTAATAGCCAAGCAACACGCCCATTAGCTAAAGTGATTTCTCCAATGGGCATCAAAGAAATCTGCAAAGTTTTCTGTAACTATTGTTTTTGATGGGTTAAATTAGCACCATTACGGAATAGAAATTATTAATACATTCAGGGAGGTGGGGGGACATTTTCACTTAAAGAGAAAATGCTACTTAGGCTTTTGAAATATTGATCACTAGCCAGAGTGCTGGGAAGCATTAAGAGAACCACAGCCTAAACATACTGATTTGGTTTGAAACAGCTAAGTGTGTGCGTGTG
This sequence comes from Homo sapiens, assembly GCF_000001405.40. NCBI lineage: Eukaryota > Metazoa > Chordata > Mammalia > Primates > Hominidae > Homo > Homo sapiens. The sequence continues at coordinate 89,324,449 of NC_000014.9, forward strand.
TGTGTGTGTGTGTGTGTGTGTGTGTGTGTGTGTGTGTATGTACCCACATCTTTACTAGCAGGGAAAACAAAGCGGCAGTAGGATACATGAGAAAATAACAGCAGAGCTACCCTTTGGGGAGAGAATATAGGAATACAGAGATTAAGGAGGTTTATGAGGAGGAATACACAAAACAGCGTTTCATCCTAAGATGACAGCTACAGAACTTTTTTCTTTGATCTCTTAACCACAGGGACCCACACACATGGGTCCCCTGAAAACCACAGCAGGTTGTGAGAACAGCTGAGAAGGCAAAGAAGACAGCAAGAACCTTCCATCCTTGACCAGCACAACTGCCTGGAAGTCTCTGGAAAGACACTGAGAGGTTTCAAGGCTGGCCCAGTGTTTCTTAAACCACCTGGAGATTGTATTAAAAAGCAGGTTCAGATCCAGCAGGTCTGGGGTGACGTCTGAGATTCTGCATTTCTCCCAGGCTCCCAGGAAACGCACACGTTGCACATCCTTAGGCCATAGCAAGGCTCTAGGGTGGCGCTGTCCAACATGGTAGCCTCTTGCCACATGGGATTAGTTACATGAAGACTAAAGGAAACTAAAAATGCAATTCCATGGGCACACTGGGTGCATCTCAGGTGCTCAACAAGCCACATGTGGCTAGTGACTACACAGCGGACAGCATAGACACAGAGTACTTCCACCACTGCAGAAAGTTCTGCTGAGCTATGCTATTCTTCGGGCTCCTGCTCCCATGCCCATGCCAACACACATGCACCACCACCACCACCATCACTACCACCACCACGACCACCACCACCACCACCATCACCAACACCAACACCAACACCACCAACACCAACACCACCACCACGACCACCACCACCACCACCACCACCACCACCACCACCACCACCACCACTACCACCACCGCCACCACCACCATCACCACCACCATTATCACCACACAGGTCTAACCTCTAACTCTGCACTGTATCATGTCAGAGACCCAGAGACTGAGGCTACTGGGGCCCTTTCTTCTTCTTCCCTATCTCATGCAAGAGTAAGAGGTGAAACAGTTCTAAATGGAGGGTGGAGAACCACCCTCTTTGTTAAAGGGAAACATCACAGGAAGGGAAAGGAGTTGTAAACAGATACATTTATTGAACTATCTCTGTACAGAGGACATGACTTGTGGTGATCTCATTGAATAGACACTACCCATTGTGGGTGGTAGACACTACTGGCCCAGTTTTACAGATCAGTGAACAGAGAACAGAAGAGGTGACACTGCAGGCCCTGACATCACAGAGCTAGTGAAGTGGCAGGTATAGAACTGCACAAGATGTGTGTGAGTCCCAAGATGATGCTCTGCCCCTGGGGGCTCAATGAACTGAGCTGGGCATTACCTGTGCCTCTTGGGGACCAAGCCTAGCCCCTGTCCTGTCAAGTAAGATAGCATGGCTGCACTCTCAACACAGGTCTGGCGTCTCCCAACACTGAAAACAGCTCCATCTAAGACATTAATCATGGGGAATTATTAGAGACAGAGGCACAGAGAACTTTTAATCCAGAAAACACTTTTACCGGTGATGAAAGAACACTTTTATCAATGATGTAAAGCAAAACTATTGTATCTCATGCGTTCTCATTCAACAAACGTTTACTCAACAGCTACCAAGCGCCAGGCACTGTGTGGGCTCTGGAGCTAAGTAAAGAACAAACCTACCATGTCCCTGCCCTCCCAGAGCACACACCTTCTTTTATAGGTGCTGTCAAAGAAAATAGCTTTCCTAAGGCAGAAGCCTTTACATATTCTATCTATACCCAATTCCAACTCTCTGGATGCTTAAGAAAATATTAAACATGAGGAATGAATAAGACACAAGTATATTTTCAACCCCAGGAACTGTACAGAATTTTAATTTTGCTTCATGTGCTGCTTTGAGAAGGACAATGATCAAATCAAACTCTTCTTGAATCAAAAGCATCCCTTCACCAAGGCTACTTTAATACTCGGCAGAATCCACAATCCTCTGGCTGCCCGGGAAGTCATCAAGAGTGGTGCACACACTCACAGGCGCACTGGACTTTAGTCAAAAGTAATGAATTTTGTGATAGAAAATTGATCTCTCCTGTTCCCATAAAGCAGGCTCTGTCGAGAGAGCAAACAAACAGGGCTGTAATAATTAATTGAAAAGAAAGAGTCTAATTAAATTTTTATATTAGTGTACATAATGGCCAGAAATAGTAAACATTGCTGTCAAAAAAAAAGAATCAGAGCTGTAAAACCACTAAAAGCTCTATGACTCTTCAGACAACCAGCAACCACTTACCACTATTCAATGCAAACACAGCTTCATCTTATTTTCTAGCCCATGGTAAGTGGCATAAAGTAGGAAGAATAGAGAACCATGAAATATTTAGCCACTACAACTCGGTACAATTCAACAACTATTTATTGAGTGCTTCCCGTGCCTGACATTGTGATCCATCTATCCCGCCAACATTTCCCGGGTACGTAATATGCACACACACACATGCTCACACACGCACCACCCAACCCAGCTGTGGGGTCTTTGCTGGTGATTAGATGCAATCATTGGCTCCAAGAGATGAGTCCAATTCTGAAAGAGAAAAAGCACATGTACACATAGGACCACAACATGAGGCCATAATTGCCAAGTATCATCTAGGTGGTCCGGGAAACTTATTATGACATGCAGTGAGAGATCATATAATGTTTCCTTAGAAAAGGTGAGATTTATATACAAAGCAACTGAAATATGAAGAAGTACACTAAGGAGAGAAGAATGCTCCAAATATTTATCTACCATTATTATATGATGTGCTTAACGACTACAGATCTTATCCCTGACTGGGTGCCCCTTGCTAGGAGCTTGGCTGCTGCCATCTTTGGGGTTACCAGCCCTGGAATGCTGAGGATGGTGCTTACAGAATTTAAAAGTGACAAGTATGCGACAAGGTTTAAACTGGGCAGGAAACTGACCTACAGCTTCAAGAGCAAAAGGAATGGATAATTTTAACCTAATGGATTTATACAAATCCACAAGTGGACAGAAGGATAATGGTAAAAGGCACCTCTACCCGCCAAAAGCCCTATGAAAGTTGATGAGGCTATTTACAGATGGTATCTTTCTTCTGGAACTTCAGGGCAAGACATCTGTTTAGTCTTTCAGACTACTAGTTTACCCCTCAGATGGGGCCTCAAAGTGTTGCTAGGCTTCTGACCATACCAGAGTTGCCCAAGTCTCCCCAAAGGCACAAATGAGCAGGGAAGCCACTTTAAAAACTTACAATAAATCCTCCTCACAAAGGCTGGCTAATCTCGAAGTTTCCAGTCTTTAAACATTATAATAAGCAGAGGCTACCAGAATCAGAAGGAACGTTAGAGATGATCTAGCCCAACCACCTCATTTTATAAACCTAGGGAGGGAAGTCCATTAAGATGAAGTGACTCAGGTTTACAGGAATTAGCACACAGCTAATCAGGGCCAGTGTCAACACTAAAAACCCAGGTTTTCAGACTCCCAAATAGCATTCTCCCAGACCACAGGCTAATGCCTTCCAAAATGTCACCACTGTGTTTCAGTACTTCAATACTTGGGAAGAGCTTCAAAACAGCCAGGATCGTTAAACTACAGCACTTTTGTACAGATGACCGAAAGCAAGTCTCATGTTACATTAGATTTGTTTACAAGTCCATCTTTCTAACTGGAGGTGTACGCTCTGATGACAGGAAACCTGGCTCAGTCATCAAGGATCCCAAGTAACCCGCACAAAGCATGGCACACAGGAGTTCCAGCAGCCCTAGATGAATGGGCGAAGAGACATTCCCACCAGCAGCCCTGGATGAATGGGCAAAGAGACATTCCCAACAGCAGCCCTGGATGAATGGGGGAAGAGACATTCCCACCAGCAGCCCTGGATGAATGGGTGAAGAGACATTCCCAACAGCAGCCCTGGGTGAATGGGTAAAGAGACATTCCCAACAGCAGCCCTGGTTGAATGGGTGAAGAGACATTCCCAACAGCAGCCCTGGGTGAATGGTTAAAGAGACATTCCCAACAGCAGCCCTGGATGAATGGGGGAAGAGACATTCCCACCAGCAGCACTGGATGAATAGGAGAAGAGACATTCCCACCAGCAGCACTGGATGAATAGGAGAAGAGACATTCCCACCAGCAGCACTAGATGAATGGGCAAAGACACATTCCCACTAGCACAGCCTCAAAGGGAAACGGAGGCTTGGCTTTTTGGAGGATGGCCCTTAGGAATCCATCTGGGGCTCCAGAACAGGTAATTACATCACAGATAATTCCATGATCTCAAATAACTGACACCACGACAAGGGTAGAGCTTGACAGGTGATAACAAGATAAAGAGCAGGTACCATCCTCCATTTAGATGTGGAAGAGAAAGATATAAGACGTGCAATGAAATAAGCTGCCTATGTCATTCAGCCATGGGACTGGCACAGAAGGAAAAGAGGACAAGTAGTACTCAGAGGCCACGGATGCAGGCCTCCTCCATCTCAGCTTACCTGCTCCTGTGCTCAGCTTATAACCATGCAAGGCCTCGGCCTGCCATCTGGGAAATACAGCAAAGTAGATGATATAAGAGAGGCCACCGACCCTCACCACTGTGCAATTCTTCGGCAGCTGGACCACACCAGAAATCATGTTGCCCAAGATATAGCACCCCTCACGGAACCAAGCCTAGTACATGGGTAACAGATTCATTCTGACATAGATAGTAGGTGTTAATTTTTCCCAGGCTGTGATGCTTACACACCCTTTAATACTAATAAAGCAGGAATCAAACCAAAACCCCAAGCTCTTTTTCATTATTATTTCCAGAATATCCATGGAAAAAGTCCTCAACATTTAAAACTCGGAACATAGCAGAAGGGATTTGGGGTGTGCCAGTGGTCCTCAACTGGGGTTGGTTTTGCTCCCCAGGGAACATCTGGCAATATCTGCAGACGTTTTCCATCACCACAACTTGGTGGTGGGTGGGGGTGCTACTGGTACCTGGTGGGTAGAGGCCAAGGATGTTTCCAGACATCCTACAAGGCACAGGACAGCCTCTCACAATAAACAATTCTCTGGCCCCTGCCGGACGCGGTGGCTCAAGCCTGTAATCCCAGCACTTTGGGAGGCCGAGGCGGGCGGATCACAAGGTCAGGAGTTCGAGACCATCCTGCCTAACATGGTGAAACCCTGTCTCTACTAAAAATACAAAACAAATTAGCCGGGTGTGGTGGCGGGCACCTGTCCCAGCTACTAGGGAGGATGAGGCAGGAGAATGCTGTGAACCCGGGAGGCGGAGCTTGCAGTGAGCCGAGATCGTGCCACTGCACTCCAGCCTGGGCGACAGAGCGAGACTCAGTCTCAAAAAAAAAAAAAAAAAAAAAAAAAAAAAAAAGAATTATCTGGCCCCAAATGTCAATAGTACCAAGGCGGAAAAACCCTGGGTGGACCTAAAACTCACAGACTATGCTAACGGTTTCAAGATCATTATCATGATGTGTGCCAGCCATCCCTGCTCCCCCGCCATTTGTGGTAAAGTTCAATGTAACATAAAAATAAACTATTTTCTTAGCTCCCAGTAAGCCCAGTTAACTATTTTCACTGGTGGAGTTAGAGAGACATCCTCCAGGTTTCCTTTAATGCTGCTGCTGACTTGAGGGCTGCAGAGATTCTGACAGGGTGGCTGGAAGCACAAACCTGTTTGTCAATAACAGTGGAGGGGCTAGAAGCACAGGGGTGCCTGCCAGGTAGTAAGAAATCTCCAATGCCCTCAAATAGAGCCAGCGGTAGACTCCTATCTGCCACAGCTTGTACGGGCAGAAATTGCCCTGCACTGGGAGTATCAAAAATCTTAAGTCAGCTACAAGAAAGAAACAGACATCCCGCTTCTGCTACCCAGCTGCCCCTGACCTCATTTCTGGCTCACCCCGAGTCTTCTGACTCTCATATCCAAACATGTGAAGCAAGAGTACAGAATGGAGCCAGCGTGAATCACTGTAACTTGTGGGTAGGAGCATGTCGCTTGAATTGCCATTTGCAGGGAGCCTGGAGGTCTTGCAAAGAAAGAGGGAAGAGTAAAGAGAGAAAAGGCTATTTGTTTATGGGTTAAGGCTAAAGACCAACTGATGAAAGGGGTGAGACCAAAAGAAAAACCATAAACGATGTTTTTCCTTGGCATTCCAAAAGCAAATTGTGGGTTTATCCAAATGCTGCAATTGGAAAAATCAGAGCTATTAGCACATGAAAGGTCATTGGCTAAGCATCACTCGCTGCTGTAAAATGCATCACCTGTGGAAATGCCAGCAGTCATCACCTGCCAGGGATTCCAGAATCAAGGCCACACTTGGCCACAGTCGGTTCCATGGATTCCTAAGGCCAGGGAGCCTGTCCTGTTTGCCTCAGAATCCTCAGGACCTGGGCCCACCAAGGGGTAGGCTGAAGGAATAAACGGCTGCTGGAATGTGAAATGAGGTCTGTCTACAAGAAATGCTACGTTGTTCTGTTTCCTCTTCTTCTTTTGCGCCTAGATTCATTTTGGAATGTGTGATAAAATACACAAAATATGAAATTTGCCACTTAAACAATTTTTTAGGTGTACATACAGTTCAGTGGCATTTGGTGTATTCACACTGTTGTGCAACCATCCCTACTATTTATTTCCAGAACTTCTTCATCATCCCAAACTCTGTACACATTAAATACTAACTCCCCATTCCCACCTTCCCCCAGGCCCTGGTAACCACTAATCCACTTTCTGTCTCTATGTTATTTGTCTATTCTAGGAAAACTTCATATAAGTGGAATCATATGATATTTGTCCTTTTGTATCTGGCTTTTTTCACTCTGCATAATGTTCAAAGTTCATCTATGTTGTGGCCTGTGTCAGAATTTCATTCTTTTCCAAGGCTGAGTAATATTCCATTGTCTGTACAAGACACGTTTTGTTCATCCACCACCTGCTGATGGACGTTTGCGTTGTTTCCCTGAGTGTTGCTTTTTAAACAGGATGGTCTATGGATTTAGCAAAAGCAGTGGTGAAGGGGACTGAGGATGAAGAACAGACTCAGACTCAATCTGTTACTAACTCCCCGTGTGATCTTAGGACCACATGGGTCTCCTCTGTGTTTTCAGTTGTAAAATTGAGGAACTGAATCAGACCAGTCTTCTCCAGCGTATTTTTGGCCACCATTTATAGTAACAAATAGGCTTCATTCTGACTGAGTTCACACAAATATACCATACATAACTGAAACAAAGGTTTCACAAAATAATAGCCTCCTCTGTGCAATGCACTCTGGTATTTCTTATTCTACTGTATTATTTTTTGTAAAACAAAAAGATAGTTGTAACCCCTACATTGATTTCATAACCCATTACGGAGTGGTAATCTTTATTTTAGATTACTTGTTCCCAAATTGGTGTTCCTTGGAATATGTTGATCAGTGTGCTGTGATTTTTTTAATGTCTGTTTGATAAAATGTAGGAAATATCTTAATTTTGGCTTACTACAAAGAAGTTATAATGAGCTGCGTTTCCCAAACTTATTGACCACGGGCAACTTCATGTATACTCAAAACTAAAGTCCTAACAACCCCAGGAAGCTGTTCATGTGGTGTCCCACCTAAGGACTCTAAACTGGGTGATTTTAGGTTCTTTTCTGCTGCAATATTCTATGATTAAGACACTAATTCTCAACATGTATTTTCTGTTGAACAGCGCAGAGAGGGGCAGACACCCTGCACAGTTAACTATGACTCACTAAGTCAATGATTTTAAATACCATATCCAGCTCTCCAGGGTCAGGAAAATTATATACATATATTTTAATAACAGACTTCATCTTTTAAGAGAAATTTTAAGCTCACAACAAAAGTGAGCAAAAAGTACAGTCAGTTCCCATATACCCTTACCCCCATCCCCGGTCTCCATGGCCTCTCCCACCATCAACACCCTATATAATTTTCTTAATGTCCCTCTTGTGATTCTGATGCTTCACTCCTTGTCCCTTAATGCTGGTCTAAAGACTTTGTTAAAACGAAATTTTCCAGACAAAAATCCACTCAAGATGGATTAAAACTTTAATTCAATGTTAAGACTTGAAACTGTTAAACTAGAAGAAAACAAAGGGGGAAAACTCCATGACATTGGTCTTGGCGATGATTTTTTGGATACGACACCAAAAGTACAGGCACAAAAGCAAACATAAGTGGGACTACATCAAACTAAAAAGTTTTTTGTACAGCAAAGGAAATAGTCTACAAAATGAAAAAGGCAACCTACAGGACGGAGAAAATACTTGCAAAGCACATATCCAATAAAGAGTTAATATCCACAATAGAAAGGCACTCATACAACTCAACAGCAAAACAAAACAAAACAAAAAACTAAACAAATCCCACAAATAACCCAGTTTAAAAATGGGTAAAGAACCTGAATAAACATTTTTCTAAAGAAGACACACAAATATCCAGCAGGTATATGAAAAGGTGCTCAACATCACTAATCATCAGGGAAATGCAAATAAAGCCACAATGAGATACCACCTCACATCTGTAAGAATGGCTACTATCAGAAAGACTGTCTGTACTGGTGAGGACATGGAGAAAAGGAAACTCTAATACCTTGTTGGTGGAAATGTAATTTGGTTCAGCACCAGGCCGGGCTCGGTGGCTCACGCCTGTAATCCCAGCACTTGGGAAGCCGAGGCAGGTGGATCACGAGGTCAGGAGTTCAAGACCAGCCTGGCCAAGATGGTGAAACCCCGTCTCTAATAAAAATACAAAAAAAAATTAGCAGGCACCTGTAATCCCAGCTACTCGGGAGGCTGAGGCAGGAGAATCACTTGAACTCAGAGGGCAGAGGTTGCAGTGAGCCAAGATCGCGCCACTGCACTCCAGCCTGGGTGAGAGAGCGAGACTCCGTCTCAAAAGAAAAAAAAAAAAGGCTCAGCACCTATTACGAAGAACAGTATGGAGGTTCCTTAGAGTATTAAAAACAGAACAGCTGGGTGTGGTGGCTCATGCCTGTAATCCCAGCACTTGCAGATCACCTGAGGTCAGAAGCTCGAGACCAGCCTGGCCAACATGGTGAAACCACATCTCTACTAAAAATACAAAACAATTAGCCAGGCATGGTGGCGCCTGCCTGTAATCCCAGCTAACTGGGAGGCTGAGGCATGAGAATCGCTTGACAGAGGTTGCAGTGAGCCGAGATGGCGCCAACTGCACTCCAGCCTGGGTGAACACAGAGAGACTATTAAAAAAAAAAAAAAAAAAAAAAAAAAACAGAACCCCCATAAGATCCAGCAATTCCACTTCTGGGTATATATCCAAAGGAAATAAAGTCACTATTTCAAAGAGATACTATATCTGCATGGCACTCTCAATTTCATTGCAGCATTATTCACAATAGCCAAAATATGGAAACAACCAAAGTGTCCACTGACAGATAAATTAATGAAGAAAATGTGGTGTGTATATATATATATATATATATATATATATATATATATATATATGTATATAAATGTGGTATACACACACACACACACACACACAAAGGAATATTACTTGACCTTAGAAAAGAAGGAAATCCTGCCATTTTTGACAGCATGGATGGACCTAGAGGACATCATGCTACATGAAACAAGCCAGACACAGAAACACAAATAGCACATGATCTCACTTATATATGGAATTTTAAAAAGGCAAACTCACAGAAACAGAGAATAGAAGGGTGGTTACCAGGGGTTGGGGTTGGGGAGTGAGGCGGGCTGGGGGAAACGAGATGATGTTGGTCAAAGGGTAAAAACTTGCAGTTATAAAATGAGTAAGTTGGCTGGATGTGGTGGCTCACGCCTGTAATCCCAGCACTTTGGGAGGATGAGGCAGGTGGATCACCTGAGGTCAGGAGTTTGAGACCAGCCTGGCCAACATGGCAAAACCCTGTCTCTACTAAAAATACAAAAATTAGCCAAGTGTGGTGGTGCACACCTGTAGTCTCAGCTATTCGAGAGGCTGGAGCAGGAGAATGGCTTGAACCTGGGAGGTGGAGATTGCAGTGAGCCAAGATCATGCCACTGCACTCCAGCCTGGGTGAGAGAACAAGACTTCATCAAACATAAAATAAAATAAAATAAAATAAAAGCCCTAGAGACCTAATTTACAGCACAGAGACTACAGTTAATAATACTGTATTTTATACTTTAAATTTGCTAATAAAAGAGTAGATTTGTTTTGTTTTGTTTTGTTCTTTGTTTGTTTTGTTTTGAGACAGAATCTTGCTCCTTGTTTTGAGACAGAATCTTGCTCCGTCACCCAGGCTGGAGTGCAATGGTGCGATCTCAGCTCACTGCAACCTCCGCCTCGCAGGTTCAAGCAATTCCCTGCCTCAGCCGCCCCAGTAGCTGGGATTACAGGCGTGCACCACCACACCCAGCTAATTTTTGTATTTTTAGTAGAGATGGGGTTTCACCATCTTGGCCAGGCTGGTCTTGAACTCCTGACCCCATGATCTGCCCGCCTCAGCCTCCCCAAGTGCTGGGATTACAGACCTGAAAAAGAGTAGAACTTAACTATTTTCATATCACACACACACACACACACACACACACACACACACACACACACACAAATGGTAACTATATGAGGTAATAGATATGTTAAACTGTGGTAATCATTTTACAATGTGTGTATCACAACATCACACTGTACGCCTTAAATATCCACAATTTTTATTCATCAATTATATTTCAATAAAGCTGGGGGCACAGAAGGACCAAAAACCCCCAAGTTTTCCAAGACTAATTGTAAAACAACTCAGTGGTCCAGCACATTACTTTCAGTTGAGTCTCTCAAACTGAGTGTCATTCCTACACCTGCTTAGATTACTGAAAACATCCTCACATGTAGCGTTTGGCCACAAGTGGTCTATTGAACTTGGCACAGCCAAAATGACCAACAGTGCTCATCATTCCTACGATCTAAGTCTTGCCTCAGCAAATATGCTATTTACAGACACTATTTTGATAATTATTTAGAGCTTAATTTTTATACACTTGGGTCAACCAGAAATCAGCCAGGCATTTTTGGAAGAATCTTCACTGCTTGTTCCTTAACAAAATAAAATTAACCCTGTGTCTTTAATCCATTTTATGACTTCAATATCAAATAAAAGGATGCTAATTATATCTATTCATTTTTATTTCACAAATATTTACTGTGTACAATATTAGAGATTCAGGACGGTGGTTAGAGAGATTTTCATTTTTAAAGAATGTTAACAAAATATGTTGCTCTAACAACAATAATTTTTTTTAAAAAAACTAAATTCAAAAGATGGTGAGAGTCCTTGTCAGTTCTCCCTACAGACATATCAAAAACAAATACATATAAGAAATGATTAGAAAGATAGCTGAAGTATAGACATTTATTCCCAAAATGACTGAGAGTTTAAGAGGAACAAAACAAGAGGAAACCCTCATTTGCTCTAAGAAGAATTCATGGGCAAGAAAGCTTTATAATATGGTGAGGTTTGACTCTCTTTTTTTCTTATTAAACAAACGTATAAATAATCCCTAAAATATTGTGTGATTCTCCCCACCCTACATTCGCTTTTCGATTTTGTCTAAAACAGAAGTGATCCTTACACACACACACACACACACACACACACACACACATTCATAATCCTTAGTCACCCCTTCCCCATTCTCCTAACGGTGCCTCCATCCATCCATCCATCCATCCATCCATCCATTCATCCATCCACACAGAATCCTCTCTGCTTCCTCCCCACGCCTCCCCCATCAATTTCCATGGCTCTCCCTCTAATTGTCATTGTTTCCTCACCATTGCCAGTTTCCAATGGCAGGAACTCTCACCTCCCATCTCTCTTACTCTCACTATGCTACAAACCCTAAATTCCTTTTTAACAAGTGATATGTCATTCTTCCTTTCCAAAGCTCATCGAAGAATGTTTCTGCAGAAGACAGTGACCACAAGGTGGCAAATTACCTTGAGAAGAACTCAGGCTATGGGGTCAGAACAGTCAGATGAGGCCGGCTCAGGTCCCAGCTCAGCCATCTGCAAGCTGTGTGACCTGCTCTTTATAGGCACGTGATAGCCTCTCACATGCTGTCTGTATACCAAGTCTGACACACAGTAGGTGCCCAATAAATGCTTGGTTTTCTGCCTCTCAATCAAAATCCAGAATGGTTTGGAGTCCAAAGCAGATGGAATAAAATAAATTTAAAATTCTTTACAGTCCTATAGTGCTAAACAGCTTACTTTCATAGTTCATTTCTTAGAAGCCTAGAATATCGGATGGAAATAGATTTTTGTTTTACTCTACATCAAAGAGTTGTATTAGAGAAATTCAGGTTGGTTTTCCTATAACTTTAACTTCAACAACTCTGATGATGGAACATGCCACATCTAAGGGGTGAGGGTAAGAAAGGGTGGTGTTAGAAAGAGGGAACTTCAAAGGGCTTTAATAAGAATAAAATTCCATTGGAGTCACCGTATGTCCAATCCTTCCTTTCTCAAGAACAATCCATTAAAAATCAGGGAGGGGGAGGTGCCCAAGAGAGGGGTCCTTAGGTAGTCAGGCCATGGTATGCCGCCAGAATGCCTCCAGAAAAATCAGGACCTCTGGCACCACAGATTTGTGAGTTCTGCACACAGATTTGGTAGTACAAAGAATTGCGATCTTCCTCTTTTAGCAGGTAGAGAAGGATAGCATTTGGGTGACTTTCTTCCTATGGGATCAAAGTGCGACAGGGAGATTTCCTGGGAGAGAAAAGCAAGATTGGGAGCTGGGAGGAGCCGGGCTTTGTTCTCATCAAAGAAGAAAAGAATGTAGGGGAAAAAAACTAATGAGTGACTGCCAAGAGATTTAAACACGGATTATGTATCTGGTAGAGAAAGAACACAATTGAGTGTTTGGGCTGGCCTGGGGTGAAAACTTTTCCCATTATGACTGGGGCAGGGAGAGCTCCGGCGCCTTACCTTTCAAGTGCCAGTTCCGCAGAAATGTACAGAGGAGCAGAGGGAGGCTTCTTTTCAAAGGAATAATGAACAAGACAAAGCTGGAGCAATTCCTGGCCTGCACCACCGTCAGCACATTTGCATTCTCTTTTCTTTTCTTTTTTTTTTTTGAGACGGAGTCTTGCTCTGTCACCAGGCTAGAGTGCAGTGGCACAATCTCAGCTCACTGCAACCTCTGCCTCCTAGGTTCAAGCAATTCTCCTGCCTCAGCCTCCTGAGTAGCTGGAATTACAGGCACGTGTCACCAAGCCCAGCTAATTTTTGTATTTTTAGTAGGGATGGGGTTTCACCATGTTGGCCAGGCTGGTCTTGAACTCCTGACCTCAGGTGATCTGCCTGCCTCAGCCTCCCAAAGTGCTGGGGTTACAGGCGTGAGCCACCGTGCCCAGCCACATTTACATTTTCTACAGCAGCTGCAAAAAAGTTTCCTCCTGTGACAATATTTGGTGCCTTGGAGTCAACAGCCTGGAATTTATAACCTTTCTATCCCTGGGCAGCCTGTCTTAGGCTTGAAGAATGACCAGGTCCAAACAGTCTGGCCTCGTGCATACCCAGAGGGACACTCGGACCTTGGCAGACAGATGGGGAAGTAGATGGAAGGTCAGAAACACCAACACTGCAAAATTGCTAAATTGTCTTTCATAGAGTCCAGCTTCTCCCTCCCCCTCCAAACATCTGGACTTGTGACTGTAAAGGGGAGGAGGGTAGCCAATGATTTCTGGCATCCCAGAGCAACTAAAGGAAAATATTTTTCACTACTCTTATAATCTATGCTATGCATTCTAAGAGAAATCATTGATAAATAATATATTTTGAATAACACCTACATGTGAAGTTTATAGCACCAGGAGAACTTGCAAACAGTCCTGGTTTTCACAGATCTTAAATCTAGGGGAAAGCACAGAACATAAAGTATAAAAAGATTCCTCACAATACAAAACCATATATATAAGGGCCAAACTGGTATGCAGCCGGCTGGGCGCGGTGGCTCACGCCTGTAATCCCAGCACTTTGGGAGGCCGAAGTGGGTAGATCATCTGAGGTCAGGAGTGCAAGACCAGCCTGGCCAACATGGTGAAACCTCGTCTCTACTAAAAATACAGAAATTAGTCAGGTGTGGTGATGGGTGCCTGTAATCCCAGCTACTCGGAGGCTGAGGGAGAAGAATCACTTGAACCTGGGGGTGGGCAGGGAGGCATGGAGGAGGCTGCAGTGAGCCAAGATCATACCACTTCACTCCAGCCTGGGTGAAAGGGCAAAACTCTGTCTCAAAGAAAAAAAATATTTGGTATGCAGCATTTGCAGAAACAAGACTGCACAATTATTAAAAGACAGTGGCAATGGTGAGGAAGGAGAAATCAAATTCAATGACTTTCCCTGGGCCAGGCACAAGGGCTAGGCATTTGGTACATCATTTTACTTAATTTAATCCCTAAAGCACTCGTTTAAGACAAGTATTCTTTTTGTTGGTTTGTTTTTGAGACAGAGTTTCACTCTTGTTACCCAGGCTGGAGTGCAACGGTGCGATCTCGGCTCACTGCAACCTCTGCCTCCTGGGTGAGTTGCTGGGATTACAGGTGCCTGCCACCATACCCAGCTAATTTTTGTTCTTTTTAGGAGAGACGAGGTTTTGCCACGTTGGCCAGGCTGGTCTCAAACCCCTGACCTCAGGTGATCTGCCCGCCTCGGCCTCCCAAAGTGCTGAGATTACAGGTGTGAGCCACCACGCCCAGCCTAAGACAAGTATTCTTATGCCACAATGAGTAACAAAACAGAGGCTCAGGGACCAGAGGCTTCAGGTAACATGTCCAAGGTCACACAGCTAGTGAGTGGCCCAGGGAGGCTCTAACCTGAGCCTCTTTCTAGACCTAACTAAGATCTGCTCTGAGCCTGCTGCGACATTGGCCAACCTGCAGGAGCTGGGAGGAAGCATGGAGACCCTCCAGTCCCCGTCTGCACCAGGGCAAGCGTGTGGTTCTCTCGGATCCTGCTCCTTCCAATGCTGGGGAGGCAGAAGGACCTCTCTGGGGCACTAAAGCTCATGGGAGACAGGCCCAGGACAGAGTTTCTGACTCCTGCTCTACTGCGGGCAGGATCGGGCAGGCGGGGAAGCCAGAGTCACGCTTTGAGAGCTTCAGACTGTGGGATCTTTTTCATTTCTCTGCTTCCTCACTGTTTCCTCGGACTGGCCTCCTCCTCCTGAGGGTGACAGAGCCGCTGTGCCCATCTGCAGCACCAATTCGGGGCCACTCCCCTGCAAATGCAGGTGAAGCTAAGCCTGGGCTGGAGGCCTGGGGGCTGGTGAATGCACCAAAGCCAGGCCAGAACCCCCACCTCCCACGCGGGACTCTGCTGGGAAGCTTGAAATGCAGGGAAATCTCTTGATGTGTTTCTCATCAGTAGAAAAGAATAGGAGGGTTTGGGGGTGGGGGGCAATTTCCAGTTCAGAAGAATCCTAAGATAAGAAACTCTGCTCTCCTTACAGTTAAAACAAACAAACAAAAAGCTTTCATTCAGAAGACCCACAGCTGCAAAGAGAAAGAGAGAGGAAAGAGAAGAAGGAAGGGGGGTGCAGGGGAAGGAGGTAAAAAAAGCTACTAAAATTTGGTAATGTTTTTTCCCCTCTGAATGTGTTTTTCCCATTCATTTTTCTTCTGCCCAAACTGGTTGGGGCGTGTGTTCTGAGGGAAGGGGGAAACTGATGTGTGTTAGAGAGACATATGTTGGAATAAGCAGCTCATAAACAGACTTTGACCAAAACTTTCCATTTAAAAGTAAACACACAGGAAACATGTCTCAACTTGGACTATGGTGATTAAGCAACTCAATTTGAGAAGATAAGGATTTTTTTTAATGTGTCTCAATGGTTTATGGAGGTTTTCTCCAGATGATTTAAAAATCAGCAAAAGTTAGGAATTAATGTGGAATCTCTGATGCTTCCCACGCTCTTTCCGTACCTCTCACATCCATGGCAGAGTCTCAGAGATGCTTTGACAAATAATGCAACACGAACCTTATGTAAGAAAAACAAAAGGTTATGAATGTGATCAGAGACTCTGGCCAAGAACATGTGCTTCCACAAAACAAGGACACCAGTTTGGCTCTTCCATGGAGATTTATGCAAAGGGTGGGTGTTATTCTCATCAATTCAGTGGATAAACAATAGGGGGGAGGTTGGGATGATTTGATGGACAGCTTTTGGAAATGATCTTCTGCTTGGCAAAACACTGCCGTGATCATTTTATTCACACGGAAGGAAATGCAAAGAAGTGTCACTAAAACAAGGGAGGTAATTGTAGGGCATGAATCAAAAAGCTGGATGACACAGAACGAAGAGTAACTGAATTAGTCCCATCACGGTCTTGAAATCTGCACTTAATTTCAAGAGAAGAGCCTGACCTCTCATTGCTGGCTAACAAAGCTATGCATCTATTCCCTCAAGTTTCATTTCCACCTTATAAACTACAAACACCATGTTGCAGAGGGATATGCCTCGACTGTCATGGCAGCCCAAGAAACTCAGAAACAACATCTCAAGAGCTGGAAGCGATAACCCTGCAGTTCTCCAGTAAGAGTTAAATCTTGGGACGACCCTGGCAGCTGGTTGTCTAGCCTCGACTGGCATCCCTGGGGGTAGCTCATTCTACCTTCATCCCCTTCATCTGTCCACCCACCCAACAACTCTAGCATTTACCCAGCTTCTGTTATGTGCCTGGCACACTGTCAGATGCTGTTCTGTCTTGACCCCAAATCCTTCTTTCTATAACTTCGATCCATCAAGTCCAAATCTGTCCTCTCTGATGGTGAGGATGGCTGGCATGCTAACCTTCTGAAGGTGCTCTTCCCGGGTTACACATTCCCTGTTCTTCAACAGTAACACATGGATGCCCCTGCCAACCTGATCGCTTTCCTTATCAATCCCCCATTCTATGTTCTTCAAATCTTTTATGAATGATGGGTTCCACTTCCCATCTAATTATACTGCACCTCTACTTCTTAATCTCCCTCCTTTGTTAATCTAGAAAATTTGCAAGTATTTAGTGTGACCAGAACTTGGAGAAGACAAAATGCTGAGATCAAAAATATTCTATGAGACCATCTTAGATGTGCTAACAGGTTTTTATTTTCTATTATTGATGAAAAATGTGCTATTTTTAAGCTTCTACAAGACAAAGTGCCGCCTGTTGTTTCACGTTGTACACGGTTGATTTCATGCACTTTTGACAGTTTTCCTATTTCTAACATGAGGATCAATTTCTCCTCCTCTGGGAAGGCGAGGGGTTTGACAAATATGCAGAATGCAGGTGAGCCCCACTTTGCAGACACTTCCCCCTCTAACGATGCCTAAGGCGTCGCTGTGCTCAGGAATCCTTGGCTGGCTATCCCGAGAAGTAAATACTCACCAAGCAAATCTGCAAAGACTCCAGGCACCTACTAGGCCCATCAACACTGCAACTTTCTTCTCATGAGGTATTGGAAACACAGAGTTTCTTTGGTATCCATCATCTCAGGAGTTAGGTCAATGGAAATTTATCTGTAGTAGACTTAAAGAACTTCTAACGCTTTGGCTATTAAAATACAAACCAGGGACTGAGGGCACCCCAGGAGGTCAGAAGATAAAAAGGTAACTCGGAGTGGTTCTCTCAGTCACGAGTTTGACTCAGTACCTGAGTAAAATAGATATAATCAGCCCAGCTACTTAAACATTCAACTTTCAAAGTGAGTGTGAAAACAGAATGAAATTGGATGACTGGGCATAATATTCATGAGCTACCCCTGATACAAAGTGCTCAAAGATAACAGGGACTGTTTTCCATTTAAATAAAACAACACAGGATTGACTCAGAATTAAACGTATAATGAACAGCATACCGAAGGCAAAATGCTGAGAACAAAATTATTCTATGAGACCAACTCAGGAAATATAATGGAAGTCAAAAGACAACATGATTTGATATGAAAATAAAATTATAGCCAACTAATGGATTTTTAAAGCTCCCACTGTCAATGAGCACTGTGTTTTTTAAAGAGTGTGCCCTTACAATTTAAGCCTTTCCTATTCTTCATCCCCTCCAATTTTTTAACAAAATATAATGTATATTTGGAAGTGCTACCACTTTGAAAGCCCCGGTATTCAATCCCACATCTACTTTACTGCATTAATTTACCACACTCTCCTACCTGTTTAGCACCATGAAGCTTCATATTGATTTTTTTAAATTTAATATTCTTTCAAAAATTACTCCCAGCAAAAAGTGCTGTTTAAACATAATCTTTCAAAATGCATAATGCCTCACGCTTTTAAATTAAACTTATCCAAATAAGTGTATTGAATATGAGGGGCATTTAAAAAACTATTTCGGGTTTCCATCAAATATGTTGCTTTCAAGTAAATATATTTGTAATAATGAAGCAACTAATCGAAATCCTTGCAATCTTTCTTTATGCTTGACTGAATTAACACTTGCAATGACACCACAATCTAACAATTAAAGTCCTTCAATGTAAGTTAAAACTGATTTCATTGTGGCTTTGCAGTGCTTCTGCCAACTATTAAACGCACAACACTCTGAATAACTAGAATGAAAGATGTCTTATAAATTAAAAAATTATTGGATCCTATCCAAGCAATGAATAAGCTATTCCTTGCTGTGTGCAAATTCAGCATTCTGAGTGGAGGAATTAACACCGTTATGTTAACAAGATTAACATTTTAAGGATTTTCTAATCTTCTAATTGTCTAAAAGGATGAGTTCCCTAAACACCTCAGTACCTTCCCCACCTCCTCCCAATGCAATTCCCCTATCTACTATTCCCAGCCTCACTATGACAGCCAAAGATTATTTACCTGGTGAACAATGACTGATAACTTTGTTAATTTGAATATACAGTGACCACTCTGTACAATTTCTATACCCTTAGCAGTATTACTCTATGAAGACATTTAAATTAAAAAAAAAAAAGGACATCAATAGGGCAGCAGGCAGGATAATAGAACTTGCTGAGTCAGCACTAAAATCTGCCATTTTCATTAAGAACCTCAATATCAGAAAGGCCAAAATCTTTGGAGAGGCCATTAATGTGTGTGGTTTTTTTTTTTTTTCTTTTTTGCGGCTCGTTAAATTCCTCTGAGGAAGCAAACAGAAACAGCTAAAAGGAGAAGCTTAAATGTCTGGAATTTATTCCAAAAAAAAAAAAAAGATGAGAGTAAAAGAAACTTTATTTTGGTTGGTTTGTTTGTTTTGAGACAGTCTCACTCTGTTGCCCAGGGTGGAGTGCAATGGTGCAATCTCGGCTCACTGCAACCTCCACCTCCCAGGTTCAAGCAATTCTCCTGCCTTAGCCTCCCGAGTAGCTGATTGCAGGTGCCTGCCACCACACCCAGCTAATTTTTGTATTTTTTGGTAGAGATGGGGTTTCACCACGTTGGCCAGGCTGGTCTTGAACTCCTGACCTCAAGTGATCCACCCACCTTGGCCTCCCAAAGTGCTGGGATTACAGGCGTGAGCCACCGCATCGAGCCGAGAAACTTTCTTGAAATGTTCTAACTCTGCAAATTTTATAGTCATCCAAAAAATAAATCTTTAGACCTAGATCAGCAAATGAGTCTTGTGGATTTTTCTAACTTTGTACATGTTAAGCCACAATACTTTACATGAAATATAGACTATGATGTCATTATTTTTACATTGAAAATTTTAAAGCAAAAAAAGGGAAAGCTCATTAAAGAAAAAAAAAAAAAAACCATCTCACTCAGTTTCTGACCATCTAACACCCAATCATGGTCAATCCATCATGGAGGCCAAAGGTACGTAGGATGCTGGGATTTCTTTGGAATTACCAAGGAAACACAAAACAACGCTGGCTCTGAAAACCAATCATCCAGGAAACTCTCCATAAACCATACTGTTTGATTAAATGCAAAACCTGTTCTCCAACCATGGTGAGAGAGGATTAAAATGTTTTTCTGGAAACTGACTTTGGATTGGTGCCTATAGCAGAGAAGGTATTACATAAGACCCATATATATGTCACTCTCTAAAAACAATCTGTTGTCATAAACATTATTATGGGGAGAGCTGCTGTTTATAGGGTGTTAATGTAGTGTTACGAAGTTTAAATACCCCCACTATAAGTACCAAAATCACAAAGTCAAGGTCACCCATTGAGGAACTGTCTTTTCATTTAACTGTCAGACATTGAGAAAGGTTAGAAAAATAGAAATTTCCTAAAAAGTTGGTGGGAATGTGGACTAGAACCGAGTGTAAAATCAGAAGGCAATTTGGCAATGTCTACTGGAAACATTAAAATACGCATATTCTTTAATGAGAAATGACGTATCTAGGAAGGAGGGGCACAGGCAACATAAAGATTAGAACAGCTCAGTGGACTTTTCCGAAGAGGTACGGGCAAGCAACCCAAACACACCACCCCTCCTTCCACTTTCCAGATCTAGATTCCGAAGGCCCCACGCCAGAGTCTCCTTGGCAAAGGTGTAGATTCCCCAAGCAAGCTGGCGTGGCTCGGTGTGCATGAGTAGCCCGAGCTCAGCCACGGGTACTCTACAAAGCACAGTGGAGTGCCATTTCACAAAACTAACGTTCCAAGAACTGTAGTATCCAAACTACAAAGAGACCCCTCGTGTGGCTCAGCAGATCTTCCAGAGAATGAGGCAAAAGCAAGAGCCCTTCACAATCAGCTCTTCACTAAAGTAGGTCAGGCAACTCTCAGTGCTGCAGTGATTTTACTTTTCATTCTACCAAAAACAATCGGGATATCTAAAATTGATCAATGAGTCTGCATTTTGGAGACTGCTTTAAAAAAAAAAAAAAGGAAAGAGAAGTTACAAAGATAGCACAGAAAGCTCCTGCATACCCCTCACTTAGTTTTCCCTGATGTTAACACCATATATTACTAATAAGGCACTTGTCACAACACTGGTATACTACTATTTTTTTATTTCAATAGTTTTTGGGGTACAGATGGTTTTGGGTTACATGGATAAATTCTTTAGTGGTGATTTCGGAGATTTTAGTGCACTTGTCACCCCATAGATAGTCTTTTATCCTTAATCCCCCTCCCAACCTTCCCCCTACTCCCCTCCGAGTCCCCAAAGTCCATTATATCATTCTCATGCCTTTCCTTCCTCACAGTTTAGCACCCACTTATAAGTGAGAACATACGTTTTCCATTGGTTTTCCATTCCTGAGTTACTTCACTTAGAATAACGGCCTCCAGGCCGGGCACAGTGGCTCACGCCTGTAATCCCACTTAGGGAGACCGAGGTGGTGGATCACAAGGTCAGGAGTTCAAGACCAGCCTGGCCAAGATGGTGAAACCCCGTCTCTACTAAAAACCACAAAAATTAGCAGGGCTTCATGGTAGGTGCCTGTAATCCCAGCTACTCGGGAGGCTGAAGCAGGAGAATCACTTGAACCTGAGCGGCAGAGATCGCAGTGAGCCGAGATCGCGGCACTGCACTCCAGCCTGGCGACAGAGTGAGACCCTGTCTCAAAAAATAAAAGAAAAGAATAATGGCCTCCAGCTGCATTTAAATTGCTGCAAAAGACATTATTTTGTTCCTTTTTATGGCTGAGTAGTATTCCATGGTGTATATATACCACATTTTCCTTATCTACTCATAGGTTGATGGGCATTTAGGTTGGTTCCATATCTTTGCAGCAGCAAATTGTGCTGCTATAAACATGCAGCATACTACTATTACTATTAACTAAACTGCACAGTTAATTCATATTTTGCACATTTTCCCCTAATGTCCTTTTTCTGTTCCAGGATCCCATCCAGGACATCATAGGACACATTTGCTCATCATGTCTTCTTAGTCTCCTCTGGTCTGTAATAGATTCTAAGACTTTCCCTGTTTCTGATGACCTTGGGGCTTTGAGGAGTGAGGATCAAGTTATTTTTGTAGAATGTCCCTGCTGAAGGACAAAATCATTGTTTGATGTTTTTCCCATGACTAGACAGGGGTTATGAGTTTGGGGAGAAAGACCACAAAGCTGAAGTGCCAAATTTATGATGTCCTACGAGAGGTACCCGGTATCAACATCACATCACTGAGGATGGTACTTTCATCACCTGTGGCATACTGTTCACCAGGTTTGTCCACTCCAAACTCCCTTTTCCAACCTTTTCCATGCTCTCATCTTTAGAAGTAGGTCATTAAGTGCAGCCATTCCAGGAGTGGAGAGTTCCGTCCCACCTCTTTCAGTGGAGAAAGAGCTACATCAAGCATTTGGAACCCTCTGAATGGGAATTGTGTCTCTTCTCTCATTTATTTGTTTGTTTATTTATTCAATCATTTATTTCTATCAGTCTGGACTCATAGGTATTTATTTTATATTTCCAGTTATAATCCAACACTATGTTATTTATTTTGCTGCTCATCACCGTCCCAGCTTTGGCTACTAGGAGCAACTTCAGGCGAATCCCTTTGACACCCCTGCCCCCCACCCCACCATTTTGTTCTTTAAATATTTCCTTACTTTCTGCTTCTCCATATATTCATCAGCAAAATGTCTCCCTTAAGAAAAGGGTTGCTATGGGGTGATTTATGCCTCCCCAAAATTCCTACATTGAAGATCTAGCCCCCAGTACATCTGAACATGACCTTATTTGGGAACAGGGCCATTGAAAATGTAATTAGTTAAATAGGATGAATTATTACGGGAGAAAGATGGGCCTCTAAGCCAATACGACCAGTGTGTCCTTACAAGAAGGGAAAATTTGGACATAGACACCACATGGAGAAAACGAATGCCAAGTGAAGGTGAAGGCAGAAATCAGAGTGATGTTTCGACAGGCCAAGGAAGGCCAAAAGCATTCCAGCAAAATGCCAGTAAACCACCAGAAGCTAGGAGAGAGGGGTGGAACAGACCCTCCCTCACAGCCCACAGAAGGAACCAACCCTGCCGACACATTGGTCTCGGACTTCCAGCCTCCAGAACCTTGAGACAGTAAGTTTCTGTTGTTTAAGTCACTTGGTTTGAAGTACTCCACGCTGAGCTCTGCACTTCGATTAAAAACAATTCACAAATTTGGTATCAACAAAGCAGGTGTGGAAGAACATCCTAACATACATTCAAAAGGGCACTTTAGAAAACAGAGGCATGGGCCGGGCGCGGTGGCTCACGCCTGTAATCCCAGCACTTTGGGAGGCCGAGGCGGGCGGATCATGAGTTCAAGAGATTGAGACCAGCCTGGCCAACAAGGTAAAACCCCATCTCTACGAAAAATACAAAAATTAGCTGGGTGTGGTGGCGCCTGCCTGTAGTCCCAGCTACTCTCAGGCGGCTGAGGCAGAAGAATCCCTTGAACCCAGGAGGCGGAGGTTGCAGTGAGCCAAGATTGCACCGCTGCACTCCAGCCTGGAGAGAGAGCAAGACTCCGTCTCAAAAAAAAGCAAAAAAGGAAAACAGAGGCACGGGTCTACACATCTCAATATTTAGCATGGTATTTGGATGTGAGCAAGGTCTGGGCAGTGCTCTCAAATGTCTCGCTTTTCCCGCAGCATTTCCAGCCACCTGCAGCTCAGTTCAGAGTGACATTTGCCAAGCACACCTGCAAGTCCTAGCAATAACCGCCCATCTAGTATAATCACCATCTTCTTCAGGATGCTAAGTACCAGCCCCATGAAAGCCAAGCACTTCCCAGGTACCCCTCACAGCGATCCAGCAAGGGGCTGACGGGTGATTCCCCGCATCACAGTGGACCCAGCCAGATCACGTCAATTCGGCATTTTGGGGTCCCTGTTTAATGACTCGGTGTTTCACTTCCATCTTCTCTAGGTCATGTCAACAAGTGGCCTGATGGCTTAGAATTGAACCAAATGCCACATCACTGTTAAGACACAGAAATATTGTACAATTACCCAGTGTTCAGTGGCTTCAGTGCAATTTCACACACTAGAGGATCCTGAAGCAAACTCTCAGCTTTCAGATGAAGGGATGACAGTCCCCAGGAAAGAGAAAGTGACTTGTTCTCATGGACTTAAGGCATGGAAGAGGCAGACTAGAATCTCATCTGTCATCTCCCTCCACCGCCAGTGACCTCTGTGGAGGTGAAATCTAAGCACCGCATGGGCAGAAGCAGAAACTGGTTTTTTTTCCCCCCTCAGTCAACTGGGGATAAAGGCTGGAGGTGACGGAGTGGGGTCTGAAATATTCCTTCGGAAATGATTTTCATTACAAAAGCTCTGGTTCATCTGCATTTTTATGTCTATATTAAAAATCAAATGAAGTCATTAAGCTAAGGCCAGCTCAGAATGCCTCTCGCCTGAATATGCATTCCTGTTCCAACCCCCAGAGCTCCTCTATAATCCTTCGAATTATTAAATAATTACTGTGTTTCCCTCGGGGTCACATTTGGCAACAAAATACTGGTCTAAAGGAACCAATGACATGACCCAGTGAGTAACACTCATGTTCTTAACTTCCTAGAAGCAAAGGGAGATGAAATACTTCTGAGGTGCAGAGTGGAAAACCCAGAGAAGGGTATTCCATGCAGCTTGGAGAGTCGGGGGGTGGGGGTAGAATGACAAAGAAACATGAGAATCTGGGAAATATTTCAATAATTAGTGTCACGTCCTCCTTCACCAACCTTGTACATCGGCAATTCTCCACTCCAATCCTGGTTCTCTTCCATTTGGGGAGTGGCTATGGCCACAAGGAGAAAACCAAGCATATGGCTCTGTCCTTCTGGACATGTCTACTATGTTGGCTGGGCTGCTTTGGAAAATCCCACTTTCTCTCCTACAGCTATATGACCTCAAGTTGTCATTTCGAATAAAGTATGCTTCCACTGATTTTTATGAACACAGACAAAAGCTGCTACAACCTTCCCCCCCACACACCAAACCTTTCAAATCAACTGTAGTTGCTATGTAAGGTTATTTGTTTCTAAGGCAACAGTGTATATCTAAGTACTAATGGCCTGTCCTTTTGCCAGGCAACAAACAGCCTTGTGATGCAACTGCACCTGTCTCGGCTACGCGTTACTATGGAGACGCTCCAGTTGCTATGGGTACCATCACGCTAATCGCCTAGCAAAGGCAGACATACAGCAGTCTTCTCAGAGAGCCCAGCTGTTCCTCCCTGTCTCTTGCTGAAGACTGATTGTCTAGGGCCTGTGATGGAATGCTTCTCAACTGAGATGCAGAAGAACTTCATTAATGCTATTTCAGAAGATCACTTTGTGCTCCCTCCTGCAGAACAAACAGCAGACTAGGAAAAGAATCTGCAAAGAAGTGGACTGTAAAATTCCTGAAGTCTATGACATCATGCCATCCCTAATTAACCTCAACTTGCAGTCCAAGGATAATTCCTCTTAACTAGGTGGTTACGATAGAAACATTTCTATACATTTTTAAATATTTTTTTGTAGAACTGAGGAATGCACTTCAAATTCAAGTACTATGTATTCATAAAAATTGATCTTAAAAATTTGGTTCTGATTATTTGGCTCTCTTTTGGAATCTAACATTAAGACACTTTTTAAAAAAGTGACAGGCTACTTACCCTCCCTTCCAATGATATATTTGTAAAAATGGTACCCATGACCTTACTGTCTCAAACAAATGGGCATGTGAGGAGGATAAAATGTCTCTATTGTTTCTACTGTTCTCCTTGAAGAAGCAAAGACCAAGTAACCACAACAAAATGGTCACCTGGGAGCACCGTCTACATGGAGACTGCGAAAGACAACAGTGGGGACAACTGAGTGAGCCTCCACTGAATGTCTGCAGAGACCGGCCAGATGAGGGGATGATGGAGTTGCCTGCTTGACTCGTTCCTGTACTTTTATCCCAACAAAACATGACACACACCGAGATGTGAAAGCTGTCGACTTTTCTTTGTAAATGTTTCTACCCAGGAAGACATGATTTCACCCACCATGAAGCCTTCTGGAAGCACATTCCTCTGACGCTGCAGCAGCGGTAAGGTTTGTAGGAAATACAACAGTGGATATGCCTCCTAATAATACTTAATTTCTTTCTCATTTACCTGCAGTTATTTTTAAAATCTCGTACGGCCTATTAAATTAATTTCCGCGCAGGTCTCTGCCAAAATAATGCCATTTCAGTAGACCAAAAAAAAGAAGTCTGAATTGCTTACCTTTGATATGCCTGAGGACAGGTGGGAGGTGTATTGAACACGTGTGGGTGTGGGTGATAAGGTGTCTTTTTCAAAGCCTGAATTAGATTTTGTCTATACTCTGGGTCTATGCACCACAACGACCCTTTCCCAATACTCTGCAAAGAAAATTAAAATACAAAGGCATTAATAGAGAATTATTAAGTACTTTGCAATAAGTAGATGTATAGCTATTATCACTTCTTTATTTTTAAAAGCTTCTCATTTGTTGACTGTTTGCCAGCCTTAAATATTATACTGACAGTAGAACTCCATAAAATGCACTTCAATCTTACTTGTATTATGTTTGATAGGCAAAATGAACATATTATTACCAGGTTATGGTGATACAACAATATTACAATTTTCATACCCAAACTACCAATAAAATGAGAATCTCATTGTTTTTCAGCGTCAACATTGAAGAACACGTGCATTCTCTTCTAAAAATGAATTTAACTGTGTCAGATTTCTAAAGTTTGGGGAAAAAAAAAAGAGGGCCGAGACACCCCCAAAAGTCCATCTCTGCTCCAGAAATTTAGTTATGTTTTAAAACCATATGACATCGGGATCATTTTATAAAAACAGAAAAGTAATCCCCTTGTTTCTTTCCAGCTTACTCACAAAAGAATGACATTTACTCTTGGAATAGAATTCTGTAATTACCTTCCCTAAGCAACAAAAGAACTCAGGCAGCAATGGTAAAGCCCAACTCAGAATCCACTATTTATTTTTTGGATTCCTCAGTTCCCAGCAATCGACTCCAGCCATTAAGAGTTGAATCTTTAGAAGTCAAACTTTAAAATGCAAATTTTCTAAAACCGTTCTGTGGAGAGAGGGAGGCTTCCTGTGAGGCCCACTTCCTGTGAAGCGTTTGGTCTATGGACAGCCTATTTTTAAAAATGTAAGTCCTTCCTTTGAGGCCCCCCGGAACTGGCAGCAGGCCGACGGGCAATCGTTCCTCTGGCCGCACACTTTCAAGTGACCGAATGTACCCAAACTGTTTGATAAGGTCATTTGTAAATATTTACTGATTTGCAGAGAAAAGAAGTTAAATTACATAAACCCGTGCCCACCTCCTGCTTTCAGCCAACAGTAAGATTGATGTTGTCCTCCAACATTTAGAAAGCAAACAAGAAGCTGTTTAACTAACATGGGGGAAGGGGACAATCCAAGAAAATCCCACTGAAGGAGCTGTAAAAACAAGTTACTCCTAAAATCTTTTTAAAAGTTTAAAAAAATCTGTGTTTCATCATCAGTTCACCCGAGTAGTTTCCTTACAAACATTATTCACAGAGCCCATTAAAATACTTTATTATCAACAACATCAGCAAGCCGTGCAACTGGAATTAACTCTTTCTGGTGCAATGAGAATAGGAGAATTGCTCAAAACCACAGCCAGGGGCTGGAACCTCTGACCACTCTAGTCACCCACCCCCACGTGCAGGCCTGACCCCAGACACAGGTCAGAGTCTGGCTGGACACTCTATGCTTAAACATCAATGTTCTCAGTTTAACCAACCGGATGTTTAAAGACCTGAAAGATTTCAACTTTGGAAAATTCAACATTCCTACGTGTTTTTTCCTTTCACGCACACATTCTCAAACCCAGAATAGTTCAGGGGGAGCAGTGAGACTTTGCAAGTAAATCAGGCGGGCCACTCAATAATCTGCCCTGGAAGCTTCATCCCTTCCTTTGGAAAAGAGCTGTGCAGAAGAAAGCCAAAAGCTAAGGAGTGGAGAGGTTTGGGGGGAAAGACAGGAGACAGGTAACTACCAAATTTGGAAAACATAAAACAAACCACCAAATCCTGTCAACAGTAGGGGTCTGGCCTGATTCCATCAAAGGCTCCCGGTGGAGCCCTGGGCCAGTGGGACCTGCCTTTCTGATCCCTTGCACCCAAGGCTCCAAACCAGCAATAGCTACACTGAGGGCCATGGCTGACATGTGACCCAAACATTTCTGCAATGATATTGTCTCAATTCTGGAAACCCAATGGCTTTTGTTCTCATCATGGTGGCTTTCAGGGTGGGACCATTTAATCTTAACGCTACAAAAATAATATGACAAAGAAATGAAGGACAACCGGTTGGCCTTCTCAGGGAAATAACCGTAAGCCAAGAACGTGGTTTCTCCTAATCCTAACCTAAGTGTTTGTTTACTGTACCCTTGTATACCCATATTAATGTATGCTACCATTTAAAAGCTAAGCAGATTGAACCCAGGAGCCAGAAGCTGCAGCGAGCGGAGATCGCACCATTTGCACTCCAGCTGGGGCAAGAACAGTGAAACGCCATCTCAAAACAAATAAATACATAAAAATAAAAACAAAAGCTAAGCAGAATAAACCCCCAGGACTGTGCAGGACATTCACAAGGTAATTGATCCAGATGCAGAGAGGCAGGCTGAAGAATAGTAAGAACAGGTGATCTGGAGCCACACAGACGTTTCCTGAGTGGCCCTGCACAAATCACAGCGCCATGGGAAGTCTTGCTTCCTCACTGGTAAAACAGTGACCCACTTAGAGATAGCTGGGAGGCTCAGAGATGGCATAATATAAAACACCTTCAGTAGCGGCCCTACCTACAGGTACTCAATAAATGGCAGACAGCATCATGAAAATCTCCTTTTGGACACAAGAAAGACAATGAAACTGGCTTACAATGTCTTTCATTGAACCATATCTGATTGATTTTCATCTCCAACAGCAGCGGTGGGAAGGGCCTCCAGCAAACAGATGGGACGAGTGAAGATAAAATGATCATCTATTTGAATGCAGTGGTGGTCCTGGCTCAACAAATTCACTGGGAAGAGCTTTTTGACATTCTCAGCTCCCCCTCTATTTTCATCACTCCCTGCATCTGCTTTCTATGAACCCCACACCCCACACTCACTACTGGGACTTCTCCCTTGCTAGGGAAGCTACTATCACTGACTCATGACTACCTGGCTGCTGAAAGTCTTTTGCCCAGGTCTCTGCACTGTCAACATCAAGCTGAGGTTTAATTCCATACTTGGTCAGTTCATTGTGGCCATCTCCCAAAAAAAATTTTTTTTTTGAGACAGTCTCATTCTGTCACCCAGGATGGAGTGCAGTGATGTGATATCGGCTCACTGCAACCTCACCCTCCCAGGTTCAAGTGATTCTCGTGCCTCAGCCTACCAAGTAGTTGGTATTACAGGCGTGCATCACCATGCCTGGCTAACTTTTTTTTTTTAAGGAAAGAGATGGGGTTTCACCATGTTGGCCAGGCTGGTCTTGAACTCCTGCATTTTCAAGCATTTTCTTGGGTTTCATGTAACAGTTTGGAGTAGTAAAATGGTTTACTTGAAAACTTTAAAAATGGAAATATGCAAAGGATAGAATGCTCAAGTTTCTTAGGCCAGGAAAAATTACATTTAATGTTTCTAATAGGAGAGAGAAGGCTATAACTTGATTATAGTTGTGTAGTAAGTTTGAGAGTTGGAGCTTTCTTAGAAAAATATCTGCATCTCATCTGAAGACAAGAATATGGAATGCTTTTTTTGTTTGGTTTTTTTTGTTTGTTTTTTCTTAGACAGAGTCTCGCTCTTGTTGCCCAGGCTGGAGCGCAGTGGCACAATCTTGGCTCATTGCAATCTCCGCCTCCCAGGTTCAAGCCTCTCCTGCCTCAGCCTCCTGAGTAGCTGGGATTACAGGCACCCGCCACCACGCCCGGCTAATTTCTGTACTTTTAGGAGAGACAGGGTTTCTCCATGTTGGCCAGGCTGGTCTCAAACTCCTAACCTGAAGTGATCCGCCCACCTTGGCCTCCCCAAAGTGCTGGGATTACAGGCGTGAGCCACTGCGCCCGGCCGTGGAGTGCTTTTTATTAAAAAAAAAAAAAAAAAAGAAAAGAAATAGGCCAGGTGCGGTGGCTCATGCCTGTAATCCCAGCACTTTGGGAGGCCGAGGTGGGTGGATCACCTGAGGTCAGGAGTTCGAAACCAGCCTGACTAACATGGTGAAACCCCATCTCTACTAAAAATACCATAATTAGCTGGGTTTTGTGGTGGGTGCCTGTAATCCCAGCTACTTAAGAGGCTGAAGCAGGATAATCTCTTGAACCCAGGAGGCAGAGGTTGCAGTGAGCTGAGATCGTGCCATTGCACTCCAGCCTGGGTGACAGAGTGAGACTCCGTCTCAAAAAATAAATAAATAAATAAATAAATAACTGTGAGGGCCACACACCATTAAGTGTCGGGGAATTCAAAATAATAAGCGAAGAATATTCATTTATAGGAAAGTATGCGTGTGTATTCACACTCACATTTTTGTGTGTATATATACACTAACACCCCCAGAAAAAAAACTGAGAAAAATTACATGGAAAAATGAGTAAAAAAAATTATGGATGAGCCCAAGTTTCTTTTAAAATTAAAAACCACCTGGGGGAATAAAAATCAACTCTCTATTAAAAATAAAAAATCAATGCACAAAAAGAAAAGCAAACAAGAGCCCATATTGTAGGAAGAAATGGTTAGCAAAAATGTAAAAAAAAAAAAAAAAAGTAATTTTTTTTTTTCTTTTTGTGGAAATGGAGTCTCACTCTGTCGTGCCCAGGCTGGAATGCAGTGGCGCAATCTCAGCTCACTGCAACCTCCGCCTCCCGGGTTCAAGCGATTCTCCCGCCTCAGTCTCCCGAGAGGCTGGGATTACAGGTGCCCGCCACTATGCCCGACTATTTTCTTTTTTTTTTGTATTTTTAGTAGAGACGGGGTTTCGCCATATTGGCCAGGCTGGTCTCGAACTCCTGACCTCAGGTGATCCGTCTGCCTTGGCCTCCCAAAGTGCTGGAAATACAGGCATGAGCCACTACGCCCAGCCTATACTTTAAACATTGTTATTCAAACCGTGGGCCAGATACATTCATGGGTCATGAAATGAACGGAATGGATCATAAGCAGCACTGTTTTAATGGAACAGAATGTAACAAACTAGAACCAAATAGAATGGACTACCATATATCTGCAGTAACATATAGTGAAATTTGTATTTGCATAGTTGTGTATATACATGTTTACTGATCACCAAGTAACATACACTTCTTACTGGGAAGCCGGGTCAACAAAGTTTGGTATCCACTGATCTAGGACAGTAGTGTCTGGTTGTGTTTTTTCCCCCTTCTCACCACTTGTGAGGAAGAAAGCCCCCTATTAGCAACAGTGGGGGACTTACACGTGGCTCTGGGGCAGTGCCTAAAGAACGGGGATAAGGAGGCAGGCCCCATGTCAAAGTGGAGCAGGCACCACCTCTGCCCAGGCCTGTTCTGCCCTGGCCAGGGAGGGATAGCCTGTAACAATTTCAGTTTGTGCAGAACATTCAGGTATGAAAAGAAAAAAAAAGAAAAAAGAAAAAAGGACCAAAAAAAAAAAAGTATGATTTTTAGACTTTAAAATTAAGACAGGCCAGGCATGGTGGCTCACACCTGTAATCCCAGCACTTTGGGAGGCCGAGGTGGACAGATCACCTGAGGTCAGGAGTTCAAGACCAGCCTGGCCAACATGATAAAACCCCATCTCTACAAAAATACAAAAATTAGCCAGGCATGATGGAGGGTGCCTGTAATCCCAGCTACTTGGGAGGCTGAGGCGGGAGAATCACTTGAACCCTGGAGGCGGAGGTTGCAGTGAGCCAAAATCGTGCCATTGCACTCCAGCCTGGGCGGCAGAGCGAGACTCGATCTCAAAAAAATATATAATAATAATAATTAAATTAAATTAAATTAAAACAACACAGAAAGTTTACATTTTATAACAACCTTATTATGCAGATGATATTTACACTTCAGAAATATTTAAGACAATTGTAACCCTGTAAAGCTGATGAGATATTAAAACAAGACAAAAACTGAAAACGAAATGGAGTGGGGAGCTGGGTGTGTGTTGGTGATCTTGAAACAATAGCTTTTGATGTTTCTGACACACCATTTTGGAGGGTGCTTCTAACACTACCCACCTTCATTCATTCCTTCATTCATACGCTCATGCATTCATTCATTCATTCCTGTGGTGCCTACTACATGCCAGGCACCATGAAGGGTCCACTTGTGAATACAAAACAATACAAAAAGGAGACCGACCTCCTGAAGCTTGGATTATAGATGGGAAAAAACACAGTAAGTAAAGAAATAAATAAGCAAGATTATGACAGACTGTAATACCTGCTAGGAAGGAAACAGAATAAGCCATGAGTTAGAAGAAAGGAAGTTGCTGCTGTGTGAGAAATAAATGGGCTGGAAGTGGCAAGAGCACCTGCAGAGAACTGATATGACGGTCCAGGACCAAGATGACCATGGGTGTTGGTTCAGGTGGGCAGCAATGAGACGGAGAAAGGAGGACAGCTCCCGAATGTACTCTGAGGCCAGTTAGCGGCTCACACCTGTAATCCCAGCACTTTAGGAGGCCAAGGCAGAAGGACAGCATGAGTCCGGGAGTCTGAGACCAGCCTGGGCAATACAGTGAGACCCCATGTCTACAAAAAATACAAATAAAAATTAGCTAGACTGCTGCTTGAGCCCAGGAGTTGAGGTTACAGTGAGCTATGATTGTGCCACTGCACCCCAACCTGGGCAACAGAGCAAGACCCTGTCTCTTTCTTAAAAAAAGGAGATAGAGCAGGGCGTGGTGGCTCACGCCTGTAATCCCAACACTTCAGGAGGCTGAAGCGGGTGGATCATCTGAGGTCAGGAGTTCAAGACCAGCCTGGCCAACATGGTGAGACACCATCTCAACTAAAAATACAAAAAATTAGCCGGGCACGGTGGCATGCACCTGTAATCCCAGCTACTTGGGAGCCTGAGGCAAGAGAATCGCTTCAACCTGGGAGGCGAAGGTTGCGGTGAGCCGAGATCGTGCCACTGCACTCCAGCCTGGGAAACAAGAGTGAAACTCCATCTCAAAAAAAAAAAAGAGAGAGAGAGAGAGCTAGAAACCTGATAAACAGCAGTTGACACTGGCAATGCAGATCAAGTAGGAGAAGTAATTGAT
This sequence comes from Homo sapiens, assembly GCF_000001405.40. Classification (NCBI taxonomy): domain Eukaryota; kingdom Metazoa; phylum Chordata; class Mammalia; order Primates; family Hominidae; genus Homo; species Homo sapiens. Next base: position 89,357,699 of record NC_000014.9, read on the forward strand.
ATTCAGTAATGGTGTGGGATCATTTGATTTTCCATATGAAAAAATATGTATATAAACATATACTAACTGGGTTTGTGTACATATACTTTGTGATGTTCTCATGATGATGCAATTGCCTAACGACGTATTTCTCAAAACTTATTCTCGCTATTATGCAACGCGCGACTGTATCTGGAGGAATGGACTGCATAAGCCACCTCTCTCCCCTCTGCTATACCCTCATTGACCCCAACCTTTCTAGCAGAAGCTCATAAATGTCATGGTAGGCCTGAGATTGTCTGGCTTTAGAGGTTTAACATCAACTGGTTCCTCTGTAATAGGGGTTAGTAAACTTTTCTTAAACAACTTCTCTTTCTGTTACCAGGTCCTCTAATGCATGGCCAGGTCCAACGGCTTCTCAAAGTACATTCTATAGTCTCTGTAGGTCACATGGTCTCTGTTGCAACAACCCAACTCTGCCATCATAGCACAAAAGCAACCATCAATGTAAACAGATAAACGTGGCTGGGCTTCAGTAAGACCTTATTTGCAAAAACATTATCCATAGTTCACTGCCCACTGCCCTACAGCTCCAATACTGGTACCCAGGACTGAGACTCACAACTCCCAGTTTTAGGAAACTTAAAAACCAGAGAAGGAGTTTTCAGGGTTAAGGGATTTGGGCTGGGTCCTGTGGGATGGGTGGGGTGTGGATGATGGCCTAAGTCAAGTGCTCCAAGGTCGAAAAGGAAGACCCCCATTGGGGGATACAGACACGGACTAGAGTAAGTTACCCCATCCGTAATAAGAACACATACCTGGTTGGGCTGCACCTACCATCACTGCCTTGAGTAATCATGGCATACATGCAGCTCACTCCCCACCCCGGGTCTTAGTTTCCTCATCTATAAATTAGGTGCTGAGATGAAATCATCCCAAAGGCCCATCATTCTATGCTTTGGGAACGTGTGATTACAGATTAATTAGAATACATGGGTCCTCATGTCTCCAACTCCTTCACAGTTTCAACACAGCCAGCTTTCTGTTCTAGGCCAGTACCACCCATGTGTGGGGTCAGTGAGAAACACATTATTGTGCTTTCAAAGGGGAGCCCTTACTTGGCTGACATGGACATTGGAGTCAGACAGACCCGAGTCTGAGTCTTGTTTCAATTTCTCAGCTGTGTGGACTTGGGCAAAATACATAACTGCTCTGAGCTTCAAATTTTTCATCCATAAAATGGGAGTGAATTAATAATACCTGCTTCACAAGATTGTTGTGAGGATTAAAGGAGATAATATTGTGCTTGCTTGGCACATGGTAACAGTTCAATAAATATCAGCTCTCGGGCCAGGTGCAGTGGTTCACACCTATAATCCCAGCACTTTGGAAGGCAGAGGATCACCTGAGGAGTTTGAGACCAGCCTAGTCAACATGGTGAAACCTGTCTCTGCTAAAAATACAAAAAATTAGCTGGGCATGGTGACAGGTGCCTATAATCCCAGCTACTTGGGAGGCTGAGGCAGGAGAATCGCTTGAACCCAGGAGGTGGAGGTTGCAGTGAGCCGAGATCACGCCACTGCACTCCAGCCTGGGCAACAGAGCGAGACTCCATCTCAAAATAAAATTAAAAAAAAAAAAAATCAGCTCTTGTTATTATGATGGCAACAAAATATTAAATAGCCAGCTTTCCTTGACACTGAGCTCCAAACCATTCAGTGCCTGCCTGATGGAATAGGTACTTGTCAAATTGTGAAATCATGCAGATTTCATCTAAAAAAATTGCACATGACTATTTGTTTTCCATAGTCTGATGTTAATTTCCTTGGTCCAAAAGAAGCGTTTTGTCTCAGATGCACTAAGATAGAGGTGGAAATGGAAGGATCGAAATAGAACAAAGCAAAGAGCCAGCCACTGGAGTAGTGCCAAGAAGGACATGGGACTTTGAGAAAGCTACTTGCTTTGAGTCATGTCTTCGTGCACACTGAGAGATGCTCCGGCCGGTATGGCAGTCCAGGGCTTCCTAGAGAGGTCCTGCCCCAAAGGGCTTACCACCTGCCACCTCCTTCCTTAAGGAGGAGAGGCCCTGACCCCGATACTGCAAGGGAGCAGGACAGGGCAACAGCCTGACTTAGAGAATAAAGCTGGAGTGGGCAGAGGTGGATAAGAGAAGGGTCTCCCTGGCTGGGGCAGCTGGGCCTCTGAGGCCACTGTTCTCTCACGGATCCTTGAGCTCATGGTGGGAACTGGAGCGGATATGGTCCACTTCCTCATCACCAAAAGATACTTGTAACTTTATAGAGAGGTGGCCTAGAGTTGGTACTCCTCATCAAGCTGTCATTCTGTCCAGCATATGCCACGGTCTCCCAGGATCTGGCAGGCTTGAAGGCTTCTCCTGGAAACGGCCTAGGTTTATTTCACTATGAGTGCCCAGTTAATTCCCCGGGGCCCCTGCACACTGGCCTTGCGTTTCTGCCCCCACTGCACAAAATGCCCTCCCCTCCCGCCAAAACTGCCTCCTCCTCTGGACCTGGCTCTGGCTCAACTCCTCAGGGCCCAGCTGCCCCTAAAGGAGGAAGGAGAGAGGGAAAGAGGGAGGGATGAGAGAGGAAGAGAGAGGGATGGAGAGAGAGAGGGGAAGAAAGAGAAGGAAAGAAAGAGGGAGAAAGAGAAAGGGAGGGAGGGAGGGAGGGAGAAAGGGAAAGGGAGGGAGGGAGGCAGGAAGACAGGGAGAGAGGTAAAAAGAGAGGGAGGAAGGGAGGAGGGAAAGGATGAGAGGGAGAGGGAGGGAAGGAGAAAGAGGGGAAGGAAAGAGGAAGGGAGGGAAAAACGGTGAGAGAGAGAAGGAAAAAAAGGGACACAGAGGGAGTGACGGAAGGAGGTGAGGAGAGAGAGAGAGAGAAGAAGAAAGGGAGAGAGGGAGGGAAGGAGGGAAGGAGGGAAGGAAGGAAGGCTGGGGCAAGAGCTGATACCCTCACAGCCGCAGGTTCCCCCATGTTTCCACAAAACTCATCCTCAGCTACCACCACCTCCAGCACTACCTCCACCACCACCACCTCCAGCACCACCTCCACCACCACCTCCACCACTACCACCTCCACCACCACCTCCACCACCACCACCTCCAGCACCACCTCCACCACCACCTCCACCACTACCACCTCCAGCACCACCTCCACCACCACCTCCACCACCACCTCCACCACCACCTCCACCACCACCACCTCCACCACCACCACCTCCAGCACCACCTCCACCACCACCACCTCCACCACCACCACCTCCAGCACCACCTCCACCACTACCACCTCCAGCACCACCTCCACCACCACCTCCACCACCACCTCCACCACCACCTCCACCACCACCACCTCCAGCACTACCTCCAGCACCACCTCCACCACCACCACCTCCAGCACCACCACCACCACCACCTCCACCACTACCACCTCCAGCACCACCTCCACCACCACCACCTCCAGCACTACCTCCAGCACCACCTCCACCACCACCACCTCCAGCACCACCACCACCACCTCCACCACCACCACCTCCACCACCACCACCTCCAGCACCACCTCCACCACCACCACCACCTCCACCACCACCACCTCCAGCACCACCTCCACCACCACCACCTCCAGCACCACCTCCACCACCACCACCTCCAGCACCACCTCCACCACCACCTCCAGCACCACCTCCACCACCACCACCTCCAGCACCACCTCCACCACCACCACCTCCACCACCACCTCCTACCACTACCACCTCCAGCACCACCTCCACCACCACCACCTCCAGCACCACCTCCACCACCACCTCCACCACTACCACCTCCACCACCACCTCCACCACCACCACCTCCAGCACCACCTCCACCACCACCTCCACCACCACCTCCACCACTACCACCTCCAGCACTACCTCCACCACCACCACCTCCACCACCACCTCCACCACCACCTCCACCACCACCACCTCCAGCACCACCTCCACCACCACCTCCACCACCACCTCCACCACTACCACCTCCAGCACTACCTCCACCACCACCACCTCCACCACCACCTCCACCACCACCTCCACCACCACCACCTCCAGCACCACCACCTCCACCACCACCACCTCCACCACCACCTCCACCACCACCTCCACCACTACCACCTCCAGCACTACCTCCACCACCACCACCTCCAGCACCACCTCCACCACCACCTCCACCACTACCACCTCCAGCACCACCACCTCCAGCACCACCTCCACCACTACCACCTCCAGCACCACCTCCACCACCACCTCCACCACTACCACCTCCAGCACCACCTCCACCACCACCTCCACCACTACCACCTCCAGCACCACCACCTCCACCACCACCTCCACCACTACCACCTCCAGCACCACCTCCACCACTACCACCTCCAGCACCACCTCCACCACCACCTCCACCACTACCACCTCCAGCACCACCTCCACCACCACCACCTCCAGCACCACCTCCACCACCACCTCCACCACTACCACCTCCAGCACCACCACCTCCAGCACCACCTCCACCACCACCACCTCCAGCACCACCACCACCTCCTCCTCCTCCACCACCACCACCTCCACCACCACCACCACCACCTCCAGCACCACCTCTACCACCACCACCTCCAGCACCACCACCACCTCCTCCTCCTCCTCCACCACCACCTCCACCACCACCACCTCCAGCACCACCACCACCTCCTCCTCCTCCACCACCACCACCACCACCTCCAGCACCAGCTCCACCACCTCCTCCTCCACCACCACCACCACCACCACCACCATCTCCACCACCACCACCACCATCTCTACGACCACCACCACCACCATCTCCACCACCACCTCCACCACCACCACCACCACCATCTCTACGACCACCACCACCACCACCATCTCTACGACCACCACCACCTCCACCACCATCTCCACCACCACCACCACCATCTCCACCACCACCTCCACCACCATCTCCACCACCACCACCACCACCACCACCACCACCACCATCTCCACCACCACCTCCACCACCATCTCCACCACCACCACCACCACCACCACCACCACCACCACCACCACCATCTCCACCACCACCTCCACCACCACCACCACCAGGCCAGAATGCAGACTTCAGTGGGTCACAAACCCATTCAAACTTCCGTGGGCCTAACGAAAGGTGGATCGTTGGGCCTGATTTTGAAGCAGGTCCCTGAACACCGCTTGTAAAGAGCTAACAGCACAGGAGTTGGGCAGGGCCCTGTGACACAAAGGCAGGGTCCGTTTCCTTAAGGTGGGGAACCTCTAGAGGAACACAAACAAGAAGTGATTACAAAGGATTACACAAGCTGGCCAATGGGCTGCCAGACAACAGAGGACAAAAGAGATGAGCCCTGGGGGAGGAAGGGGTTAAAACTGCAGGCGTGCACACACATGTGCACCAGCTCCTCCTGGGGCCTCACATCCCTGCTCAGGAAGCCCCTCCAGCTCCCACCTGGGCTATCCCCACAGTAACACCCCCACATCCCCAGCCTCTTAGAGGCTGGGTTCTTGTCACCATACCTCCTCTGGCCTTCCCACCAAACCCCTGCATGGGGTCCAAGTTCCCAGGGTCATGTGTCTCTTTCAAGATCATGAGAGACAAATACTACAAACTAACCCATGACTATGTGCCCATGAGGGGCCACAGGCAATGCCAGGACTTTCCCAGAGAACATTCTGGAAAGAATCCCCACATGTAGCTCCCAACAAGGGGATCAAGTGGTATGGTTCTTGTCTACACTGCTAACTTGCTGTGTTACTGGATGGACAAACCACTTGTCCTCTTAGCTTCACAATCTCTTCATCTGTATATTGGCAAAAATACCATCTTCTCCAAAAGTCATTTTGGGCTTAAATGGGATGATGACGTATACAATATACCTAACACCATACTCAGCATGGGAAAGGCAGTTAATCCACTTAATTCTCCTCTCTGTCAAGGGACGTCACAGTAGAAGTTAGGTGGTACTAGCAGAAGAACAAACAGAACAGAGCCAAGTTATTCACCATGAACTTACAGCCTCTGCTTCAAAATATGTAAGGAAGGAAGGCCAGGTGCAGTGGCTCATGCCTGGTCACAGGACTTTTGGGAGGCTGAGATGGGAGGACTGCTTGAGCCTAGGAGGTCAAGGCTGCAGTGAGCTATGATCGAGCCACTGTACTCCAGCCTGGGTAACTGAGCAAGACCCTGTCTGTAAAATATATATATATATATATATATATATATATATATATATATAATATATATATATATTCTTCCATATCAAAATGTTTAGCAAGTGACTGATTCCTGAAGGCCCTTCATTTTCTAAAATTCTATCATTTACAGTCTAACGACATTGGGGAAATGTTTACACTTCAAAAATTTAAAAAGAAAACCAGCCAAGTACATAAAAGAGGGAAGAAGAGAGGCAAAAAGAACAAAACTGATTACAAAGAATTTTTTTCTAGATACCTTATTGTCTATTCCCATAACAAGATCGACAATTACTCCAGCAGTTTAGATTAAAAAAGAAAAAAAAAAGATTGCTGTAATAACTGAGAGAAAGTTTCAGTTTTATGTCCAACCTTGCTCTCTAATAGTTTCTTTTTGTTTGTTTTTTTGTTTTGTTTTTGTTTTTGTTTTTGTTTTTGTTTTTTTTCAGAAGGAAAGATGGAAAAGAGAAGTTATCATTTCTTTCTCAAGATCCTGGCCCCATGAGCCTCAGTGTAGCCCTAGTTCCTGGGATCAGCACCAACAGGCAGGGAGGAGAGGCTCTGGCGCCCTGCAGACAGCACCAGGTTCTTGGCATCAGGAGCTGGATACAGAGTCCCTGATAATCCCAGCCACAGAATATTTCAAACTCACCGACATGTCCTCTAAATATCAGATATGAAAAGGCTTCCACTCTTGCACCTGTCTTGCTATTATTTTACAGATGTGTTCTAAAAGCTATAAAGACGGAAATCACTATTAGTGTGTCACTTATGTGATATTCAGACACCTGAGCTCTGTGATGATTTTAATGCCCCACAGGTCTTTCAGAAATCCACCTCATATACCTCAGAACGCCCCTCCATCTGCAAGGGAACGCATGTGGAACAGGTGGAGAAGGAATTCTTTTAGGCCCATGGGTAGAATTGTAAGGACTCTTGTAAATGCTTCTTCTGTAGTAGAGAAGCTGGACGGTATGTGTGTGTGCTTATGCGTGTTTGAATGGACGCAGGAAAAATCAATAATCTGCTTGCATCAACACCTAAATAAAACCAAAATAATCCCATGATTTGCCTAAAACCAAATTAATCTCTAGGAAAAGCCTGCTGTGACAGAGTTGTGTGGGGGCGGGAATTACAAAAGAAACGCAGAATTTCCCCGAGCTTCCGCTTTGCAGGAATCTCTGTTCCGTTACTCACTATTTTGAGAGAGCCCTGCTTCTTCCTCCTTCTCCCCACCACACGTCAATGTCATTTTCACAGGGGGGAGGCTACAGGAAGCACACATCTGCAGTGTGTCACCTCCCGAGGCTGACAGATCTACTCAGTATTTGTTTGGGTTGAAAATAGTTATTTTTTTGTACTCTCTACACTATTGTTTCCCAAGTGCCAAAAGCAGTCAAGAGCTAGCACGCTAACAACGATCAATCATAAAATGATCATGAAAACATCCAAATTATATTGACTTTGAAATACTGTCAAACTCTACACTGCTAAGTTCTAATAAAGAAAAGGAAACAGAAACACACCCCTCATACTCCAAGTCAGAAGGCCAAAGAGGTGGCATCTTTAAAATCACTATCTAGCTAAATCGGTTTTATCCAACTAAATCTTAGGATCCTCCCAAATTAGTTTTACCACTCTGTCTTGGGAGGGCCTTTAGCAAATAAGGGTTTAACTCTTCTTCTCCATCTGAAACCTCATCGCATGACATAGGCTGACTAAAAAGGGTAGAGGCACAGAAGCATTTAAAAAAACTTCAAACACATGCAAAACACACAGGAAGCTAAAAAGCGGATCGTTTTATATACTTCTAATAGCTGCCATGCTATGCCACTTCAAAGAGTCAAACTATTACTCAAATGAACTCAATATATTATGTGGCATGAAGCCATAAACTCTCACGTACACACAAAGTACACATGGAGAGATTTTAAAATTTAACATGAAAGTTAAATAATTATTACAGAGAAACATAAAGTAACTAGAATAACTAACATAAAGTTATTCTGTAATAACTTTATTATAGGCCGAGCCCAGTGGCTCACGACTGTAATCCCAGCACTTTGGGAGGCCGAGGCGGGTGGATCACGAGGTCAGGAGATTGAGACCATCCTGGCTAACATGGTGAAACCCCGTCTCTACTGAAAAATACAAAAAAATTAGCCTGGTGTGGTGGCGGATGCCTGTAGTCCCAGCTACTCGGGAGGCTGAGGCAGGAGAATGGCATGAACCCGGGAGGCGGAGTTTGCAGTGAGCCGAGATTGCACCACTGCACTCCAGCCTGGGCGACAGAGCGAGACTCCGTCTCAAAAAAAGAAAAAAAAAAAAACTTTATTATAGAAAAAAACATGCACATTTGAAAAGTTTTGTCTCCTGATAGGAAACAGGAATGTACAATGATGTGGTAAACTTGTCTGGAACGTGGGCATGTTCCTCTTTTTTTCTAACAGTTGTTTGTATCACACCCACAATCTTAAAGTCGAAATTGCATAAGCAAATTACAAAGAGGATAAATGGTAAAGTAAAAGACATACATTAAATTGCCCTCTTCGTGCCTTTTTTAAAAAAAAGTTTGAAAGGCAAGCTGACAGTGCTAGTAGGGATGAGGGGAAATAAAATTCACCACTCATTGCATTTACATAAATAATGTGTTTAAATACATAAATATTCATTTTTAAAGCTCAAGGCCTAGTAAAAGAATTTCTAAGCATATTGAATGAAGTGGAGGGGGCAGCTGACAGCCAGCTCTGACTTCAGGCTGCAACTGGGCGCGCACTCCTTCCAGTACCTCCACTTTCTTTAAGGTGATTTCCATGCTGCACACAGTAACAAACGAGTCAGGTTTTATGGACGGCAATAAAGGTAACGTGGGCCTGACACATGGATGCCCTTGGTTGGATTACAACTGGCCCACCTACTGCCACTTTATCTTCTGGTTGTCCGTAGTTACTCATCTATTTTTAAATGTTCCAATGTGATCTTATCAAATTGGCACATAATTTGATCACCATATTTCCATAACTGGAAGTTGTTCAAAGTACCTGGCCAGGTAACAGTGACAGGGTGTGTGTACTAAGCCAGAGAGCTTCAGTTATGATTTTTTTATTTTAATAAATAATCATGAGCCCTTCTCTCTCAGTGAAACACAGACACTGGGTTGTTTGGTGTTTGTTCTTGCGGAGTGGCCATTGGCCACGAGATCACCAGTCACCCATCTTCCCTAATTTTCAACAGGGAACTTTCCTGGGAGTTCCTGGGTTGTGAGCCTGGCTTTTAGCCACAGCATCCGGCCAACCAACACATCCACTTTTAAGGAGACACTGCCTCTACAGTGCCTCTCAATTCTAGAACAAGCACTCACTCCAACCATGAAGCAGATCCCTTTCAACAAAGGGTGTCTAACACCGACTGCACCCTGATGTGGCGGCACCCGGCTCCAAAGATAAATCCGAAACCATCTCCGACCCACATGTGAGAAGCTGCAGGGACCAAATAACATTGTCAGTGTTATCGATTCCTCCAGCGTTCTTGTCAGCGCTGGGTAAGATATGGACAAAGCACCCGGGAACCAGAGGATATGCCCGAGGTTGCCAGGGAGAGGACAGGGGTGCCAGGGAAAACTGCAGGTAAGAGGCTGCCAGACCAGTGCTCCAGCGGGAACACAGGGTCAGGGAGACAGAACGGGGGTTGGACGCAGGGGATAAATTCACACTGTGATTCACGGGTAGGGGGATGGAGGAAAAAATTAAACAAACAGAATCTACCCAGAAAGACCAACTGACCTGGCCCCTGGGAACAGTGGCAGCAACCACGTGGAAAAGGCACTGATGCCTGAGCTATCTGTCCCAGTGGCTGTCCAGAGAGCCAGGGCTCAGCAAGCCGGCCTCCTGCCCCAGAAACCCTCCCCTCGTCTCCCAGAGGCCTATGGTAGAGAATTTAAAAGGTAAATGACTCAACCCAAGCATCGTATCTTCCTCAATCCCAGCATCCCATGCTCCTCACCAATTATGTTCCTGTGAGATCAAAAGGTAGGAGCTGCTGACCTCGGCAGGTGTGTGTCTACCTCAGAAACTGCTGAGTTCTGCTATCAAAACGAATCCCAGGCCGGGCACAGTGGCTCACACCTGTAATCCCAACACTTTGGGAGGCCGAGGCGGGTGAATCACTTGAGGTCAGGAGTTCGAGACCAGCCTGACCAACATGGTGAAACCCCGTCTCTACTAAAAAAATACAAAATTAGCCAGGCATGGTGGCACATGCCTACAATCCCAGCTACTTGGGAGGCTGAGGCAGAAGAATCGCTTGAACCCAGGAGGCGGAGGTTGCAGTGAACCAAGATCACCCCATTGCACTCCAGCCTGGATAAAAAGAGTGAAACTCTGTCTCAAAAAAAAAAAAAAAGAACACCGAATCCCTGGCCAGGCACAGTGGCTCATACCTATAATCCCAGCACTTTGGGAGGCCAAGGAGGAAAGATCACTTGAGCCCAGGAGTTCAAGACCAGCCTGGGCAACATAGTGAAACCCAATCTCTAGAAAAAATGCGAAAAAATTAGCCAGGCCTGGTGGTACACGCCTGTAGTCCCAGCTACTCAGGAGGCTGAGATGGGAGGATCACCTGAGCCCAGGGAGGTCAAGGCTGCAGTGAGCCATGATTGTGCCACTGCACTCCGGCTTGGGTGACAGAGTGAGACCCTGTTTCAAACGCAAACAAAAGACAAACCTGAACCCCAGTCACTAAGGTATTCACCTCAGCTACTACAGTGACCTAGAAGATTTACACAGGGTCACAGGGGCAGCTGGGATAGCATACCTGTTTCTAAAGCCTTCTCAGCTCAGCTGAGAACTCACTGCAACCTGGGGCACAGAACAGTCCTCCTGAGAGTCAACCCAAAGCTCATCCAGTTAATTAATAACTGACGTGATAGCCAACGAGAGGGCTATGGGAGAGAAACTCCGCCAGGGGTTAAGAGTTACTTGATTAGGAAGCATAGGGGAAAAGATCCCTGGCTGAACAAACACTTTACACAGTGCGTTTCATCTGACAATGCCGAAGTGCCCTCTGGCCACCATGTCATGAGTCCTGAGCTGGGCCTCAGGAAAGACTCCTAGAGCCACTCTACCAATCTTCCTGGGGGAGGGGAGAGGCAGAGAAGCTTGATGCGTTATCCAGGAACACACATGGATACTTCCCAACCACACTCTCAGACCGTGCTTCAATTATTGATTAGGATTTCCAAAAACAGCCAGCTTTTGATTATCTGTGGAGACTTTATACATAAGAAATTTTTAACTCACTCATTATACTGCTGAGTCACCTGGCCTAAGTGTCAGTCCAGCTTGGAACTTAGAGTACACACAAACATCTTTAGTAGCAGTGATAGTAGCAGCAACAGCAGCACTGGCAGTAGTAACTATTCATATTAACTTACAACCGACCATGTGCCAAGCACCAGCCAAAACATTTTACGTACATTATTTATTTCACTTAATTCTACCAACAAATCTAGAAGAGAGATAGTATATGTTATGATCCTACAGATAAGGAAAGGTTATTAGTCCATTCTCATGCTGCTGACAAGGACATACCCAAGACTGGGTAATTTTTTTTTTTTTTAAAAAAGAGGTTTAATGGACTCACAATTCCACATGGCTGGGGAGGCCTCACAATCATGGTGGAAGGCAAAAGGCATGTCTTACATGGCAGAGAACAAGAGAGAATGAGAGAGCTTGTGTAGGGAAACTCCCCTTTACAAACCCATCAGATCTCATAAGACTTGTTCACTATCATGAGAACAACACAGGAAAGACCTGTCCTTATGATTCAATTACCTCCCCCTAGGTCCCTCCCCACAACACGTGGGAATTATGGGAGCTACGATTCAACATGAGATTTGGGTGGGGACACAGAGTCAAACCGTATCAGAAAGTAAAGTTCAGACAAGTTAACGAATTTGTCTAAGGTGAAATGCAGGCAGCTTGATTCTGGAATTGATAAACACCACTGCATAGCTGCAACAAAAACTGTATCACTTCCAAGTCAAATCACAAATAATTTTGGATTATCCAACTGCACTAAAATGTACATCCTTGAACAGCAGTGTCACAAAAATGCTTTCTAATACTGTGTGTGCACACACGTTTTCTTTAATTATTCATTTCAGCTAAGAATGAAAGTCAAAGTCACTATTGTCTTTATTACAACTTTGTATTTGTGCTGCTGGCATGTGACCACATATGCAGAAAAAAAATCATCTGTTTGTACACCACATTTCAAAGAGTGATCAAATATCTCAGGTGGCCCTAAATAACTCAGTGAAGGAATTTGAGATTATTAAAGCCATTTATAGCTACAAAAATGGTCTCTGAAAGGACACAGGCTTTCCCAAGATCACAACCAGCAAGAGGCAGCAAGAGGCAGAGCCAGGCTTCAAACCTGGGTCTTTGGGGTTGCCCCCATGACAAAATTCAGCCCTCTAGAAATATTTTCAAATAGGTTGGGATGGTTCAGAGGGTTCCCACGGCTGCACAAAGGGCTGTACCAAAACACACAGAATCCCAAAGAGTGGGAAACTCATGCACATCTGTGCCCATGCTGACAGTCTCCCCAGCAAGCGGAAGCCAAGGTTTCTGAATTCACTTGGCAAGAAGCAGGTTCTTCAAAGTGTGTGCTACTTTAGAAATGTTTAAAGGGAATAAGCAGAGAAAGAACTTTGGTTTGATGCGCATGTTCCAAAATGAATGAGAGAAAGCTAGAGCCCAGTGTCATTCTTCTGGAATTATCTACACTGGATTTGTTTGGCAAAACACACAGAGCCGTAAATTACACTCAACTCCGGATAGGGTCTGCATGGCCCGTAGGGTCCATCTACCCCAGTGAGGACGTAACTTCATTTCTGGTGGTTACCCCCTTTAAGTACATAATGAAACTTGTAAGTACACAGAAGGCACTGTTATCAACCTTTTAAGGCAACAGAAAGGAAAGTACTTTGAGTTTTCCAGCAGTGCAGCGGTTCCCCAACACAACAACAAAACCGTGCGTCTATTTCAGCACCACTGTCTTTCCCTATGTGGCAGTCCTAGGGACAACTCACGGCTTGCTTATTCTTGAATGGTAAGCAGCTTTCTTACAAAGTTTTGATTTTATTTTTTTTAAGGGTTCACTCTGATCACTGAAGCCTGAGTCAATCTGAACAGTAGCACCCAAGAGTCACCAGGGTCAGAGAGGCTGCGAAGAGGCTCACTGATCAGAAAGGCCAGCTCTGTCCTCTTCCTGCCCGAAAGTGGCCCGGGGAGGAAGGTGGGGGCTCTTAACTTTGGGAGGGATCTCTTCTGATTTTGTACCCTCTTCCAATGATGGGAAAGTAACTATCAAGTGCTTGAAAATAAAGACTATCAGAATACAACCGAGAAGAGTCTGGGGTTCTGTTTAGGCTTTTTAATTAAAGAAAGATCCTTAGATATTAAACCAACCAACAATCCAAGAAAACCTCCCATCATGACCCACTTGGCCACCAGAAGCCTCATTCATCTTGTGTGCCCGGCATTAAGCACACAAATCTACTAGATATTCAAGGCACATGGGAACTGCTGCAACAGCTGTTGGTCCTCTCCCCAGTCTATATTATGTACGTGTGCTGGATATATTCCACCTGCCCCGCAGAGCACCTCTTTAGCCTCCTCCTGCCTGCTCCTAGCCCCAGGAGACTGACATTTATGGATGCATCTACAGGCTCCCCTGCTCATGGACTTCCACCAAGCTCCACCAAAGGGAGGCACCAGAGCAAGCAGAGAGGGGAGGAGGAGAGTGAGGATAAGAAAGTTAACCCCCTGACTCCCTCTGTGCTGGGCTGCAGTGAGTGAGCTGCACCCTGCTATCAAAGACCATGACCCCCACCAGACACCCATTAGCCCAGCTACTTTCTCCTCTGGCATCTATTATCTGCTCTTCTCCTTCACCCGTTCAGGTCCCGGGGGGATGGAAGTTCCCTGGGGGTAGCCTGCCATCCTCATCCTGGGGGAGTGCACCCCCGGCTTTGCTAGTTTCTCGCATCCCTGCCTACCACTGAGAACTCATCCTCTCCCCACAGTTTCTTCTTTCTGAGTGTGCCATCTGTCTTCTGCCAGGACCGTGACTGACAAAATAAAAAACGGAATTGATTATCCCAGAATTTCATTCTTGGAATCTACATGCCACAGTATGTACATAATAATTCCCCTGCAATTTCCCCAAGTCATAAAGGATAGCAATCAGGCAGGAAAAAAAAATATGCCACCGAAACTACCATAATAATTTACTATCCTGCAAAACTTGAAAAAACAGAATTCATCTTCCTAAAAAGCACAGTAAGCTTTGAAACATGAAAACTCGATTACAGTATTAGAAAAGTATGGTATTACTAAAAATATTCTCTGTAGAATTCCTTGTAAGTGCATCATCAATGGTTACTATTATGTTTCAGAGTCAGTCTAAACGCACATAAAAATTGCAAATAGGACAACAGTGTCAGTGAGGCTTCCAATTTGACAACAGCTGACTGAAACAAAATCTTACCTGAGCCACTATATAGAGTTGATATTAACTACATTTATTATAACAGGAATTCATTTATTGTAACAAGAGCACCATACAACCAAACTTTCCAAGAGTTTAAGACTTAACAGTCAACCTCATCCTGAAGACCACTGTTGTTATTTACTAGGTCAGGGTAACCCACAGGAAATTAAAACAGGAACCAAAGTTTCAAATTTAAAAACTATGCGCTGTCTCATGGGGTAAAAAAAAAAAAAATCTCCAGCAAACCTACAAGATATAAAACAAAAAACACCACACTAATAACAATATGCACTGATACTCTTTAATCGCTGAGGGAACTATTCAAATCCAGGTCAATATCACAATGTTAAAAATAAAATTTAAAATGGCTTTCAACAAGTTAAATGTAGGCTGGTGCAGTGGCTCACACCTGTAATTCCAGCGCTTAGGCCAAGGCGGAAGGATCGCTTGAGCCCAGGAGTTCGAGACCAGCCTGAGCAACATAGGAAAATCCCATCTCTACCAAAAATTTAAAAACTAGCTGGGTGTCGTGACGCAGGCCTGTGGTCCCAGCTACTCAGGAGACTGAAGTGGGATGATCACTCAAGCCCAAGAATTCGAGGCTACAGTGAGCCATGACTGCACCACTGCACTCTGACCTGGGCAACAGAGCGGGACCCTGTCTCAAAAAAAAGAAAAAAAACAATTAAATGTAAACCATGTGTTACCAATATATTTTTAAAGACACTGAAAGCGTGTTTCAATCAGGGTTCTATAAGGAACAAGTCTGTAAGACTTCTTCATCTAAGGCCAAATGATCAAGTGAAAGCTATCACAGCTTTCCAAGACCTGAGTTCTATAGTGGGGTGCTGGTTACCTTCCCAGGGTTTTGGCCTGTTGCTACAGGTCCTGGAGTTATAGCATTTCAGAGGAAGTATTTTGCAACAAGTATTAAGAGAGGGAGCACGTAAGCAGAAAGTCTTTTTGGGGTGGGGGTGGGGGGAGACCAATGATGAGATCCAGGTAACAGCAGCCTTAACTCTTTTCTGTAGCTTTCCCATACAGCACAAAGCAGTGACCATTTTACATTTATTTGTGAGGTTGTGACTAATGTCTATGCCCTCTAACTAATACGTTAGCTCTATGAAGTTAGGGGCTGTCTCTGTGTTTGCTCATGACCCAGGGCCTAACACAGTGCCTGGCACACAGTAGGTGCTTAATAAATTCTCCAGTCATCTAAACCACACCTTTAATAGTAGGATTGAGGAAAGTAAAAGTTTGATAGGTCACTACATATACTTTTTAAGAGATTTTTGTCTTTGGAACTAGTAAAAGTTTTACTATTCAAACTAAAAATTAAGTCAAAGGTAAGTAATACAAATTAAAATAAGATACAACTACATACCACTGGAATGGCAAAAATGAGAACACTGACAATACAAAGTGCTGTTCAGATTGTGAAGCAAGCAAGCAAACATTCACAAATAGTAAGAATGTAAACTAGGGCCAGGGGTGGTGGCTCATGCCTGTAATGCCAGCATTTTGGGAGGCCGATGCAGGAGGATTGCTTGAACCCAGGAGTTCAAGATCAGTCTGGGCAACACGAGGAAACCTCATCTCTAGAAAAAATACAAAAATTAACGGCATGATGGTGTGCGCCTGTGGTCCCAGCTATTTAGGAGGCTGAGGTGGGAGGATCACCTGAGCCCAGAATGTCGAGGCTGCAGTGAGCCATGACTGTGCCACTGCACTCCAGCCAGGGCAACAGAGTGAGACCTTGTCTCAAAAAAAAAAAAAAAAAAAAAAAAAAAGAAGGAAGGAAAGGAAAAGAAAAAGAAAAAGAGAAAAGAATGTGAACTAGTACAACCACTTTGAAAAACAGTTGGACAATTTCTTATAAAGTTATACACATACTTGTATGACCCACCAATCCCACTCCTGGGTATTTCTTCAAGAGAAACGAGCTCACATATCCACATAAAGACTTGTAAAAGAATGTTTAGAGCAGCTTTATTCATAACATCCAAAAACTAGAAATAATACAAAACCCATCAGAGGGCCACTAGACAGACAAATTATGGTATGTTCATAAAATGGAATACTACTCAACAATAAAAAGGAATGAACTCCTTACTGATACACACAACATGTATGATTCTCAAAAACATTATGCAGAGTAAAAGAAGTTAGACATAAAAGTATACTATTCTTGCCGGGCGTGGTGGCTCATGCCTGTAATCCCAGCACTTTGGGAGGCTGAGGCACGCAGATCACAAGGTTAAGAGTTCGAGACCAGCCTGACCAACATGGTGAAACCCCATGTCTACTATAAATACAAAAAAAAAAAATTAGCCAGGTGTGGTGGCGCACGCCTGTAATCCCAGCTACTCAGGAGGCTGAGGCAGGGGAATCGCTTGAATACAGGAGGTGGAGATTGCAGGGAGCTGAGATCACACCATTGCACTCCAGCCTGAGTGACAGAGTGAGACTCCGTCTCAGAAAAAAAAAAAAAAAAAGTACTATGTTATGATTGCATTAATACGAAATTCTAGAAAAAAACTAATCTACAGGGACAGAAAGTGGTCACACCACTTCTGTGGCTGCCTGAGGGTTTTGGTGGAGGGGTAGGAGATTGACTTGACTACAAAGGAACTGAAGGAAAACTTTTCATGATGAAACTGTTCTATATCCTGACAGTAATGGTGGTTACAGAGGTATGTACATATTAGTCAAAATACTTTCAATGGGTATATTATTTTTCACTAATCCCTCTGTTCATCGTCAAGTATATGTTGTTATTATATGTAAATTATGCCTCAATGAAGTTTTTTTTAAAAAAGCAAACCACAAATTTAAATTTTTTTAAGAAGTACACAAAATAACCTAACTAAAAAAGCAAGTTTGCAACATAACCTCACCAGAAAAAAAACTCTTTCATACCACATTTTAATTCAATACTGATTATGTATCCTAGTAGATGTACATCCATATACTACAGATGAAATTGAACTACAAAGAAATATTGTTTCAGCCAGACATGTATTACTAATAGCAAGACAGTATAATTTTGAAACTATTTTATGCACATTATAGAATAAAGCAAATAAATGTGTTCACAACATTAATAGTATTAAGAACCAAGCAAAGAGATATAAATACAAAATCAAAGATTGCTAAGAAAAAACTCAGTAACATTAAATGTGAATTGGCAATAGCAATATAAATTCATGAAAATAATAATACCCCAGCTATAATGAATACACCCAGTGTCCAGTTTCGGTTTATCTTATTTTATTTTATTTTTTTTGAGACAGAGTTTTGCTCTCGTTGCCCAGGCTGGGATGCAATGGCGCAATCTTGACTCACTGCAACCTCCCTCTGCCCCCAGCCCCCCAGATTCAAGCAATTCTCCTGCCTCAGCCTCCCAAGTAGCTGAGATTACAGGTGCCTGCCACCATGCCTGGCTAATTTTTTTGTATTTTTAGTAGAGACAGGATTTCACCATGTTGGCCAGGCTGGTCTCAAACTCCTGACCTCAAATGATCCACCTGCCTCAGCCTCCCAAAGTGCTGGGATTACAGGCGTGAGCCACCACACCTGGCCTCCAGTTTCAGTTTTTAAATACCATTCTCCACTGAAAGGAATCAGGGCTTTTTGGAGAAATGGATGATCTCATGTCTGGATATGAAAAGTGTAAGATGAGTCCAGAACTTTTTTTTGTGCAAGAAAGTACTTAAAGACTAAAAGGAGTATGTTCAAAGGACAAAAGAAGCAGCTTAAAGGGCCTCAATGGCCAAATTTAGGATAATTTGAGCATCAAAACAATTATTATAATTGATTATAAAACAACTGACTAAATAAAAACCCATGAGTCCATAGTGATAGTCACAGACAGATATTTATTTGCCACCATTAGAGGCGATTATTACACCAACTCTTTTTTGTAAAAATTGGTCATTATAGTTCCTTTTCAGGAATATCAACTAATGATAGAATTAGAAAAATCACCATTTTGCAACTTTCGGTAAAATAATTCAGGCAAGAATCATCAATGGTTATGCACACAGTGCCCAAGTATCTCTCCGTAGGCTATGTGCTCATTGCCAAAAACACACCTTCCAATGGAGAGATCAGCATGACCACCCTTGGCCGCTGATCAGACTTAGCGTCACTAACAGTGGACAACCTGGTGAGACATAATGGTTTAAGAAGCACCCAGCATTGCCTGGCAATTGTTTAAATAAGCTTGAGCTGCCGGGTGCAGTGGCTCACACCTATAATCCTAGCACTTTGGGAGGCTGAAGCGGGTAGATCACCTGAGGTCAGGAGTTCAACACCAGCCTGGCCAACATGGTGAAACCCCGTCTCTACTAAAAATACAAAAATTAGGTGGGTATGGTGGCAGGCGCCTGTAATCCCAGCTACTCAGGAGGCTGAGGCAGGAGACTTGCTTGATTCTTGAACCCGGGAGGCAGAGATTGCAGTGAGCCGAGACTGCACCATTGCACTCCGGCCTGAGCAAAAGATCAAGACTCTGTCTCAAAAAAAAAAAAAAAAAAAAAAAAAAAAAAAAAAGCTTGAGCCTACATAAGCATTTGGATCTGACTTCCATGGGACACAAGGCAAGGTGAAAGACACCACAAGGAAATAATCCATCAAATTCAGGATGTGGGCATTCCACAAAACAACTGGCCTTGACTGTCTCAGAAAAAAGAAAAAAAGTCGGTGTCATCAGAGGGGGAGAGGAAAATGGGAAGATCATTCCAGACTAAAGAGATTAAAGAGATATAAAAACCAACAGCAGTGCCCACATCTTCACTGGATGCTGGTAAAAAATAAATAAATAAATAAATAAATAAATAAAGGTCTTAGTGGACAACTGGAGAAATCTGAATATGGACTAGATGACAGACATCGAACTGAATTATTTGAAACTTTCTTAGGTGTGACAATAGCGTGGGGTTATAGAAAAGGATGTCTTTGTTCTGAGCTTCATGCTGAAAAGTTTACAGGTGAGGTGCCATGATGCCTAAAACTTTGTTTTCATCAGTTCATATAATCTACACATAAAGAGGAGGCAAATACAACAACATGTTAACAATTACTCATTGCTATTCTTGCAACTTTTCTGCATGTTTGAATTTTCTCACAGTAAAAAATAAGAAGGGAAAAGAAAGAAGCAGAAGATAAATGACCATCTGTAAAACCTTATTGCAGAGAGAACCTGCCCTCTACCCATCTCCACAGGTGTTACAAAATGAACTGCACAACTCGTATGTTGAAACCAATTCACGTGTTGAAGCCCTGGCCCCGAGTACCTCAGAATGTGGCTCTATTTTAACACAGGGTCTTAAACAAGTAATTGGGAAAATGAAGTCATTAGGGTGACCCCTAATCCACTATGACTGGTGTCCTTCTAAGAAGAGGTTTGGACACAGACATACACAGAGAAGACCATGTGGAAGACATGTGGGGAAGGCGGCCGTCTGCAAGCCAAGAAGAGAGGCCTGCAAGAAACCAACCCTGCTGACACCTTGATCTTGGACTTCCAACATCCAGAACTGTGAGAAAATAAATTCCTTTTATTAAGCCAACCAGGCTGTGGTACTTTGTTATGTCTGCACTAGCACAGTAACATCATGATAGGGAAGATTTCCAGCAAAAGGAGAAAGATGGTTCCCCTAATCCAAAAGGAAGAACAGCTTTTGCTACCTTGTGCATATTATCCATTCATTGATACAGAAAATCAAGAGCTCCCAGGATAGTACGTGAGTGTGCATGTAGGGGGTGGGAGCTAAGATAGCTACTCAGGATGATGTCATGTCTGCACCATCAGCTGGGGAATACCCAGACATGCTGGAATCACAGGCTCTCTCTCGTGCACCCACAGGACTCCTTCTCTCAGAGCCAGACAGGTCTGGGGACAGCCCTTGCTGCCTGGATGATATCCTGGGAGAGATGCTTAAAACGCCCAAGTCTGCCTGCTGTAAGTGATCTGACATTGGATTTTTCATCGCTGAGCAGAAACGTTTCAAATATATATTAAAGTCATTTCTCCTTGACATAAAAGAAACATTCTCAGGCTTATCATGATAAGAGGGGACAATTTAAATATTTCTTTAACTGTGTGCATTTTCTCCCTTTTGGAACAAAAAAAATGCAAATAAAAACTAGGAAGAAAGGAGAAAGGCAGGGAAAATGAGGTCACATTGAATCTCTTTTTGCACTTTTTTTTTTTTTTTTTGAGACAGAGTCTCACGCTCTGCAGCCCAAGCTGGAGTGAGTGGTGCAACCTCAGCTCACTGCAACCTCTGCCTCCCAGGTTCAAGTGATTCTCCTGCCTTAGCCTCCCGAGTACCTGGGATTACAGGCACACACCACCACGTCCAGCTAATTTTTGTATTTTTAGTAGAGACAGGGTTTCACCATGTTGGGCAGGCTGGTCTCAATCCCTGGACCTCAAGTGATCCACCTGCCTTGGCCTCCCAAAGGGGTGGGATTACATGCATGAGCCACTGTGCCTGGCTCACACATTTCTTGAATCATGCCCAGGTTATGAGAATAGAGGGTCAGGGCCAGAATCTTGGAATATGAGTTCTAGAAAGGGTTTTCGTGATACCCTGGCTGGCTTTCTTCACTTGGCATTTAAGGAAACTAAACTCAGACGGGAAGAGCTTGCCCAAGAGCATGCAGCTACTGGTCTGGCTGTGTCTCCTCGGTGCCAGCCATGCAGGCCTCTCCCCATCTGACCTTCACTCGGGGACCTTCCCTGGCTGTGCTGAAACCCATGGCTTCATGAGTTGTGCTGAGCCCTCCCCAGTCGACAGTGGTGAAGATCGAAAGATTTTGCTGGATTCTAGACCGTGGTTTCTCAATCTCAGCCCTATTGGTATTTGCGGCCGGGTAATTCTTTGCTGTGTGGGAGCTGTCCTGTGTATTGTAGGACACTGAGCAGCATCAATGGCCTCTACCTACTGGATGCAGTAGACCGCTCCCCCGACAATCTCACAACCAACTCCAGACCTTGGCAAGTGTGCCCTGGGGAGCAAAATCACCTTCAGTTAAGAACCACTGCTCCAGAGCATGAAGAACTACTCAGCTTTGGCAGAAAGGGAATCCCAAAATATAAGCTCAATTCATTTTATTTTATTTTGTTTTGTTTTATTTTTATTTTTCATTATTATTATTGAGATGAGTTTCGCTCTTTCGCCCAGGCTGGAGTGAAGTGGCACAATCTCAGCTCACTGCAACCTCCGCCCTCCCTCCCCACCACCAGGTTCAAGGGATTCTCCTGCCTCAGCCTCCCGAGTAGCTGGGATTATAGGTGCCCACCACCATGTCTAGCTAATTTTTTTATTTTTAGTAGGGACAGAGTTTCACCACATTGGCCAGGCTGGTCTCAAACTCCTGACCTCAAGTGATCCACCTGCCTCAGCCTCCCAAAGTGCTAGGGTGACAGGCGTGAGCCACTGTGCCTGGCCAAGCTCAATTCAAACGCAGAATAACAGTACCTTTTCCCATACCACTGACTTCACTACTTGCAGATGACTAAGGTCTGTTCCTTGTTAAAGTCTGATATGATTTAGCTGCGTCCCCATCCAAATCTCATCTGGAATTGTAGTTCCCATAATTCCCACATGTCGGGGGAGGGACCCGGGGGGAAGTAATTGAATCATAGGGGCACGTACTGTTCTGTGATAGTGAATATGTCTCACAAGATCTGACAGTTTTATAAATGGGAGTTCCCCTGCACAAGTTCTCTCTTTGCCAGCCACCATGTAAGACATGCCTTTGCTCCTCATTCATCTTCTGCCATGATTGTGAGGCCACCCAAGCCACGCAGAATTGTGAGTCCATTAAACCTCTTTCCTTTATAAATTACCCAGTCTCAGGTATGTCTTTATTTGCAGTGTGAGAATGTACTAACACAAAGTCCTATTTCACAGGGATACCAAAGGACTTTAGTCAAGCCTAAACTCCTCAATCATGTTAACATCAAACAGCAGTCAAGCTTCCTGAGAAGAACATTTTGCACAACTCAGAAAGACCTCCATGTTGACCATGCAGTCCAGTGAGCCCGTACACCGTGCCCGTCTGTGCGCCCAGCATGAAGGCGACTGGAACCACACCCCTTATAAGTCGTATCAGCAATCACCTGCTTCTCACTCAGCATGCTGAGGCCACGCACCAGGGTGCCCACAACCCCGTCCTATAAAGAGCGGAGGCAATGACACTGTCAGCCTCACAGACCATGGGCAGTTTTCTAAGTCACATTTAGAATCACTACTGAAGATGCTTCCCCTGTGGACAAGGGGCAAAACCAGTCCTGAGATGCCCAGAGCTCTACATGTTAAGACTCAAATCAGGCCAGGTGTGGTCAGGCCAGGCGTGGTGGCTCATGCCTATAATCCCAGCATTTTGGGAGGCTGAGGCGGATGGATCACTTGAGGTCAAGGTTTCAAAACCAGCCTCACCAACATGATGAAACCCCATCTCCACTAAAAATACAAAAAGTAGCCAGGTGTGGTGGCGTGTGCCCATAATCCCAGCTACTCAGGAGGCTGAGGCACGAGAATCACCTGAACCCAGGAAGCAGCGATTGCAGTGAGCCAAGATCATGCCATTGCACTCCAGCCTGGGCAACAGAGTGAGACTCCCTCCGTCTCAAAAAAAAAAAAAAAAAAAAAAAAGACTCAAATCAAACTCAGCAAACACAGGAGAAAAGCCTCCTTCTAAGATAAATCACCACAAAGGTAACAGTCATCTTCAGATATTATTGACAAATAGCAATAATAATTGTCTACTGTGGACTATGTACTCCCAGGATTCCTTGGGTGACTCACAGGATACCTCGAACCCCGAGGCCTACAAAATCACACAGATGATAGGTTTGTTTTTAATTTTATAACTAAAGCCTTTCCAACATCTGGTGACATAACCATAAGAGCCCTCTCCAACTAATTCTAACATTGCCCGACATCCTGGCCATGTAAAGTGTGCTGCCAAGTCTGGCTAGGCCCTGCACCTGCAGCCCAAAAAAAGCCTCAAAAAGCAAAAAAAAAAAAAAAAAAAAAAGGTTTGCTTAAGTGAAGGTACAGGCCAAGTGTGCTGGCTCCCACCTGTAATCCCAACACTTAGGGAGGCAGAGGTAGGAACATCACCTGAGCCCAGCAGTTTGAGAACAGACTGTGCAACATAGAAGACCCCATCTCTATGAAAAAATTAAAAAAATTAGCCAGGTGTGATGGTGCGCACCTGTGGTCCCAGCTACTCAGGAGGCTGAGATGGGAGGATCTCTGGAGTCCAGGAGTTCAAGGCTGCACTGAGCTGTGATCATGCCACTATACTCCAGCCTGGGCAACAGAGAAGGAGGGGAGGGGAGGGGAAGGGAAGGGGAAAGGGAGGGACGGAGGGAGGGGCGGCAATGCCCCAGGCCCTTTGCTTGATCCTCTCAACTACTCCTAAGCTTGACCTGGTGTGTCTGCAGCCCACACATCTGCCTGTCAATTGATTATCCTCTCTAGATGACCCTTTGGCCCCTTGAGTCCATCATGGCCAGACCACAACCCATTCATCACCTTGCCCCACTGCTTGTCAGACCAAATCCATTCTCCTCCCTATTCCCCTCGCCTCTAAGCAGACTTAAACCTAGATTCTTACTTCCCTTCCTTGTCTGCCTACCCTATGACCCCCACAGCTATCATCAGAGCCTGTGGGTTCTACCTCTGTGACAGTAGGTCTGGTGTCACCAAGTGTACACCTTGCTGCCAACCTAATTCCATCCTTCATTATAACCCGGCTGGACCGCTGACCCATCACTCTACTTCATTATACTTCAAATCCCACTCCCACACTCCATGCCTCTCCGTGCTCCAAGCCTTCAAATGTTCCCCAGTAGAGACACAAAACACCCTCACTTCCAAGCCTGAAAGTCAAGCCCTTCCCAACATGGCACCTTCCTATCTTTCTGGCCTTCTCTTATGCCAACCCATCTCTGTTCCCTCATGTTCTCCACTTCTACAAGTTTTCTCTCCAAATGCATCTATACTCATCTGCATTGGCTCAAGCCACTGTCCCTACCCCACCCACAAATGCCCTTTCAGGTGGGGCAGGAAGCACGTGGGTTTGGGAATAGGAAGGATCTGAGTTCAGATTCTGTTCTGCTCCTTCCTAGCTGTGTCACCTGTGATCGGTTACCTAATTGCCTCTCTGACCCTCAGTTTCCTCATCCATAAAATGGAACAATCATTGCCACTTTACAGAGTGTTGAGCTCTTTAGATAACATATGAAACCGCTTGGCAAAGAGGGGATGGTGTTTGAGGCACAGAAAACACAGACAAAAGCTTGGAGGTCTCCTTGATGATGACATGTACGTGAAAGGGACGGTGAAGAAACTCCCCAGCTGGAGGAAGTGCCCTCCTGGGTCCAAGACGGGAGAAGCAGTAGCAGGAGGCTCCCCAGCAGGGATCCACCCAACACCATTCCCTCGATACTCTATTGCTCAGAACACTCAAGCAGTTTTGTGTTTGGAGCACAGTTTTGGGTGGTGTTTTTTTTTTTTTTTTTTTTTTTTTCCTTTTTTGGCTAGAGTCAGTACCATCTGTGAATTACACTGCGGTAGCCAGGTTTTTTGATAATTTGAATAAGACCTCAGGGAGTCTGAACTAAACATATGTCCCTCAAAAATATAAAGTAATTCATATGCTTTCATCTATTAATTGGGAAAATGAGCTTTTATCAATGTCTAAATGTTCACGAACAGGCAGAGAAATGTCAGGTTCTACCACATGTGACACGGCAAAAAAGACATCTTCCAATGCATGAGGCTTCTCCAGGCAGACATGAAGAGGGACACACTAGCCTGATAGAGCAGGCAAAATGACGACAAAAATCAGAGGTGAGTGTATTGCACCAAATTAGGTTGGTGCAAAAATAATTGCAGTTTTTGCCATTACTTTCAATAGTTTCCCAGAGCTGCCATCACAAATTAACACAAACTTGGTGGCTTAAATCAACAGAAATTCTCTCACAGACCAGAAGTGTGAAATCAAGGAGCCGACAGGACCTGGGGAACATCCTTCCTTGCCTCCTCCTGGCTTCTGGCGGCCCCCGGCCGATCTTGGCACTCCCTGGCTCACCCCTGCATTGGTCCAGTCTCTTCCTGTGTCATCTTCCCCACGTATCTGTTTCCTTTCCTCTCCTCTCCTCTCCTCGTAAGGGACGCTAGTCAATGACTTCAGAGCCCACTCAAATCCATTCTGACCTCATCTTAACCAATTACATCTGCAAAAACCCTATTTTTATTTTTATGTATTCATTTTTTTTTTTGAGAAGAGTCTTGCTCTGTCGCCCAGGGTGGAGTGCAATGGTGCGATCTCAGCTGACTGCAAACTCTGCCTCCCAGGTTCAAGCAATTTTTGTGCCTCGGCCTCCCGAGTAGCTGGAATTACAGGTGCCCACCACCATGCCCAGCTAAAAAAAAAATGCTATTTTAAAATAATTAGGTCACTAAATAAGACTCCAGGTGGACATGAATTTGGTGGGGGGGGACATTTCAGCCCACTACAGTGATAACAGAGAACATCAGGGGATATGCTACAATCATTAGAGCTGAAAGAACCTCAAAGGTAACCTTTTCCACAGATGTTAAACAGACTTCTTCTCTGATGCCAGCCCCAAGGGACTGGTGGTGGCTTCTGAGAATGGTGCTCACAGAAGCAGCTGAGGATGACAGCTGTGGCCAGCGATGGATGGCTGCCCTGGGCGTGGCATGTGGGAGAGGAGATCAACTCCTCACCTCTGCGCCCACCAGCCTGCTTCACTGTGCTCACTTTGCAGATATAGAAACTAAGCCTGTGAAATGCTGAAGTGATAGTTCTACTTAGTGGAAGAATCAGGACCAGAACCCAAGTCTCCTGAGTCTGCATCTGACAACCAGCTCTTCTAATACGTACCAGGAACATACAATTCTGAGTCACAGACAAGCTACTTACTATGGGCAGACACTAAAAAACAACTAATGACTTTCATTCATATAACATGGTTTCATCCACTTGGAAAACTGTTTTTGTAATCTAGATTAAAAAAAACTTCCTTTCTTCAACAAACATCAGCCCCACACCTACCACAATACCAGGAATGAGTCCTAGGAATACCTCATCTAGTTGTAAAAATATATATATAAAGCAATACAGAGATGCAGAGATAAAAATAAGCCCTGTCTTATGGTTCCACTGAGAAGAGGGACATGACCCAGCCTGAGCAGGGAGAATCATGGCAGACTTCTTGGAGGCGATGATGGCTGTCAAAGTCTACAGGATGAACAGGCCTTAGCTAGGGGCAGAGAAGGATAAGGTCATGACTAATGGCAGGAACAACAGCCTTGATGGCTCTCTGAACTGGAGCTAAGGTTGCTGTACGTGTTGTAAATTACATGGTTTTATATCCCATGGAGAAACAGCCTTACAATGAAATCTTTTTATAAACTTGCACCTGGAGATTATGTCTCTCCCCTAAGTCGGCATCTTACCAGGGAAGGAGAATTATGGAATCTGCCGAGTTTCCATTTTTGCCTTGGCTGTCAGGCACTCAATCACAACAAATATATTAGGTCAAGAATTTGGAATATTTGCTTTCCCCTCTCTCTACTGCATTTGTCTATTTTCAATTTTTACCTTAGCGACCTGATTGTGACCTATATGTCTTATGGCAAGCCCTATGAAAAGGAAGTGGGGTATAAATTATAAATGTGCCAATAAAGAATACTGGCTAATACCTACATAAACATGCTAATAAAGAATATTGGCCAATATCTATAGAGAGGGTCCGGGAGGTCTAAAATCTATAACCCTATCACCTTGAGCCTAAGTTAAGATGCCACATGGCCCATCTTTTTCAAAAGTCCAAACCCATCAACTTCAGAGAGGAAAAGGCTTAATTAATTATAGGTAAAGCCATCCGTGTCCTGAGGCAGATGAGACCAATTTCTCTCTGAATAACAAAAGCTGAGGCAAACATTTAAAAAAAAAAAAAAAAAAAAAAGGAGGGCTGGGTGCCATGGTTCACGCCTGTAATCCCAGCAGTTTGGGAGGCAGAGGCAGATGGATCACCTGAGGTCGGGAGTTCAAGGCCAGCCTGACCAACATGGAGAAACCCTGTCTCTACTAAAAATACAAAATTAGCCAGGCATGGTGGCACATGCCTGTAATCCCAGCTACCTGGGAGGCTGAGGCAGGAGAATTGCTTGAACCCAGGACGCGGAGGCTGTGGTGAGCCAAGATCATGCCATTGCATTCCAGCCTGGGCAACAAAAGTGAAACTCTGTCTCAAAAAACAAGGAGTTGGCTAACGTTCTCTCAGGCCTCTTACTGTGAGTGTACATGAGAGGGAGAAAAAAGCAAAAGAGGAGAACAAGATGAGAACTACTTACGTAACTGAGGTGTCAAGATACTGGCTGAAGGCCATCCTCACAAAGACTCACTTCTACTCACTGAGAGAATAAAAGAATTGCAGATTCAGACTCACAACGGTTCTACTCTCCAACAACTGAAAACTTGATCTCTCTTTGCTTTTGTCAACTCAGCAAGTTTATGGGTAGGTTTGACACGCAAATGCCTTCGCTGACAGCAAACAGCTCAGAGGATGCACACGGGGGAGCTCGGGAGGGTGGGTGAAAATTTCACTCTTTCTCCAGATGTAGGAGGAGCTAAGTGTTTGGGGAAAATTAACCAACCAAAAATTATTTTTTAATTGCTTCCTGTGCACAGAGCACTTGCTAAGTGCCACCAGAAATGAAATATAAGGCAACTCCCCTGACATCGAGGAGTGTGTCATCTGCTCTCTAGTGAAAGCAGGAGCACTGGAGTCAGGGACACACATGTGGTCTCCCATCTGTCAAGGTCGTCCACGGACAGCCGCAGAGGCCTGCCCTGCACAACTGCAGGAGGTGCCATTTCACAGGGCTGCAACGTGAAGTCATAGTTCTAATCCTGGCACTACTAGGCTAGGGGAACTTAGCAAGTAACTTAACCAACTTCTAAAGTGGTTTTGAGAATTGAGAGATTAGACAGGTCAGGTTAAGTAAGATAGTGCCCAACACCTAACAAGGGCTCAATCAATGCCAGCTCAACAAATCATCATCTAATTAGAGCCAAAGCACACTCTATTAGTCAGCTCAGACTACCAGAACAAAATACCACAGACTGCGTGGCTCATACAACAGAAGTTACTTTTTCACAGTTCTGGAGTCTGGGAAGTCCAAGGTCAAAGTGCCAGCAGCTTCAGTTCCTGGTAAGGACTCTCTTCGTGAGAAGACGGCTGCCTTCTCACTGTGTGCTCATGGGGACTGCCCTTGGTGTGCGTGCATGAATAGAGTGATCTCTCTTCCTCCTCTTATAAGGCCACCAATCCAATCAGATTAGGACCCCATCCGTATGGTCTCAACCTTAATTAGCTCCACATTGAGGGTTTGCGCTTCAACATATAAATTGGGGGGTGCCAGGCATGGTGGCTCACGCCTGTAATCCCAGCACTTTGGGAGGCCGAGGCAGGTGGATCACTTGAGGTCAGGAGTTCAAGACCAGCCTGGCCAACATGGTGAAACCCCATCTCTACTAAAAATACAAAAAATTAGCCAGATGTGGTGGTGTACCTGTAGTCTCAGCTACTCGGGAGGCTGAGGCACAAGAATCACTTGAACCCAGAAGGCGAAGGTTGCAGTAAGCCGAGATCGTGCCACTGCACTTTAGCTTGGGAGACAGAGCAAAATTCTGTCTCAATCAATCAATCAATCAATCAATAAACAAACCAACCAATTAGGGGGGAGACACAATTCAATCTATAGCACCAACATGAAGGAAATGACCGTCAGTATAATATTTACTGAGTGTGTACTATATTCCAGGAGTTGTATTATCATTATTTAATCTTTAAACAGCCATGTGAGAAAGGCATTATCCTCTCATATCAGAGATGAGAACGTAAAGCTCATTAACAGTAATTACCTTGCTGAAGGACACACAGCTAGCAAGTCGTAAAACAAAGATTCAGCCCTAGGTCTCTCTGACTCCAACTTCCACCCTCCTGAAACTCATCTGCTCTGCTCCTTATTTCATTAGATGACAGACTTTATTATAAAGTTTATTATAAACTACATAGACAGACTATAACTGCCAAGGGCCAGAGAGAGAGAGAGATTAATAAGATCAGGAGTAGATTCCATTAAGGAAATGGGCTTTAAACGGAGCCCTTAGGACAGAGTTGGTCTGGGGTATACAGAAAGAAGAGGGAGGAGGAGCAGGTAAAGCCAGCATGAACCATGTGCACCATGCAAGGTGAATTCTGCAGGGCAGGGCAGGCACCCACCTGCGTCTAGCAGCGGCACACTACAGAGAAGCAACATGAAATAAGGTGGCTAAATGGGGCTGGGCACAGTGGCTCATGCCTGTAATCCCAGCACTTGGGGCAGCCCAGGTGGGTGGATCACCTGCGGTCACAAGTTCAAGACCAGCCTAGCCAACATGATGAAACTCTGTCTCTACTAAAAATACAAAAATTAGCCTAGGCGTGGTGGCGTGCACCTGTAGTCCCAGCTCCTTGGGAGGCTGAGGCAGGAGAATCGCTTGAACCCAGGAGGTGGAGGTTGCAGTGAGCCGAGATTGCGACATTGCACTCCAGCCTGGGCAACAGAACAAGATTCCGTCTTGGAGGGAAGATAGCCTAAATGGGCGAACACACACTCCATGGGGCCTGGAAAGTCAGGGAGGAGATGAGAACTCACTTCCATGGATGGCAGCAATCACTGAGGCCATCTGAGCAAAGGATACAGTAATGACAGTGCCCAGGCTACCAGGACAGAGCCTGGAGACAGTGAACGCTGCACCTGCAACTCAGGGATGGAAGAGTGGGGCCGCTGCAAGCAGGGTGTGGGATGCTGCTGGGTGTGGGCCACAGGGCCCAAGAGCTTGGCTCTGCCCTTATCAAGTTATCAGGGTCAGCGCCTAGGAAGCCAGGAGAATGAATGCGCCATTGACTTACTCAGCAGAACCTCTGGAGCCCCCTGCACACAGCGCTGTCCCAAGCACTGGGTTAGACTGACTGTGAAGCTTACATTTAGAGGAGACACGTGATGAACAAGTCACAGATAAATGTGTAAATGCACCTGGAGCTAAGTGTTGCCAGGAAGGCGAGCAGGAGGGCTCAGAGAAGACCTCTCTGAAGGGGTGTCATTAAAGCTGGACCCTGATAAATAAGGTGCCAGCTTGATGAGAAGCAGGAAAATCAAGAAGAAGATGCATGAGAGAGGCCAAGAGAAAAGCCCTTGAGCAGGGAAGACATGATGAAACTGGATGGATCACAGACACCAGGGGTGGGAGACGAGGCTGCTACCAGTGGCTCAACAGCACCAGCAGAGCACAGGCCCCGCACTGTGACACCAGGCAGAGTTCAGCAAGGGATCCCAGAAAACCAAAGTCGGGTGATCCAGAAACAGAAAACTGGGCCATCTGAGGCTCTGGGAAGAGAACTCAGAGATTCAGGAAATACTACAAGGGCTGATTTTGGAGACTGGGTGACTGGGTGCTTGCTCTTGTGAAAAGGAAATGCTGATCCAGGCAGACTCCAGCAGGGAGAGCTGCAGCCTGAGGGGAACTTACAGGCCCGTTTGGGAGGAATTTGTCTTTATGGACAATTCCTCTTTTTTCCCATCTCTGATTCTTTCCTGCAAACGAATTTGGAAGTAAAATGTATGAAAGTGAAAAAAACTTACATGTTACAATGTGCATCTCTTAGGTATAAAGAACTATTCCCTTTTTTAGAGTACTTAAAACAAAAAAAAAAGAAAGATTATAAAATCTCTAAATATACCTAATGTCTCAGACTCAAGCATCCACAATTACTTCACAGCATTTCATGAACACCCTTTCATTCTATCCTTTCCCTTCACAGCGGTAGATCCCACAAGCGCCCAATCAAGACCAAAGATTCACGCCAATTGATTTCCCTCTTTCTCAATTGATGTGTTTAGGAGAATTACGCTCTTTCTAACTCCTATTATTAACCTTTTTAATTTGTCACTTTCATTTTAATAAAACAAGGGCAAAGCACATAAACAATTCAAATGATTGCACAAATAAACCGTGCTATAAAGACAAAGACGGAAAAACTGGTGAAATTGATCTGCTGGCTGGCAGGCCACGGTGGGATGGCTAGAAATAGTCACTTGTTGATGTGTAGGTGGCCAAATTCACCATACAAAGGGTAGCTTGGGGGCATCAATATACGATCTTAGCAAATCCACCAGTCATCTCACAGAAATGACCCTACCGGGTCAGAGGTGACTCCTGTCCTTTGGCCCACAGCAGAGGGCTGGACTCAAGGAACAATAAGGCTCTTTACAACTACAAAATGTCATAAAATAAATCCTTGTTTTTCACTTTTATAAACAAAAAAAAAAATTCTGGCCAGGCACAGTGGCTCACACCTGCTATCCCAGCACTTTGGGAGGCCGAGGTGGGCAGATCACATGCACTCAGGAGTTCGAGACCAGCCTGGGCAACACAGTGAGACCTCATCTTTACAAAAATAATAATAATAATAATTAGCCAGGCATAGTGACACAAGCCTGTAGTCCTAGCTATTTGGGAGGCTGAGGTGGGAGGATTGCTTGAGCCTGGGACGTTGAGGCTGCTGTGAGCCAAGGTCATGCCACTGCACTCCAGCTAAAATGACAGAGTGAGACTCCCTTTAAAAAAAAAAAAAATATGCACTGGGCATGTTTTCAGCCATATGTTTCAATAGATCTCTCTCGTTCTCTTTCTCTCTCTCTCTCTCTCTCTATATATATATAAATATTATCTATATAATTTTATATGTATAAATAATATAATTTAATACATATAATTTTTTAAGTAAGGAAAACTATTACTTTAAGAAAATGATAAAGCAGTGAAATCCACTAATGTATTTTTCAATCAGGAGACTATGTTCAGGGATTTTCTCTAAGCTGCTTTTTAAAAAAAAAAAAAAAAAAAGGAAATCTCAACACAGAGCTGACAATTAGCTTTTTCTTCAAACTGACGAGCAGTATCATTTAGTAGTGGCTACTACAAAATTCTTATTATTGAATGTGCCTTTATTCTAGGGGGGAAAGCCTAGCAAAATAAAACAGCAGGTATTACAGAAAATAAAAATGGCCCAAGGAAGCTCCAAAGTAATTGAATCTACTCGTATGACCAAAATCTCCAGAAACCCTTCCAGAGAGTCCCTTGCCCTCCCCTGCAGATGCTGTAAGAGGTGCCTCGGTTGAAGTTCTGAGGGTGAGAGCTGCCCCCGCAGCTTGCAGGACTAAGACCCTCTCTAAGGCCAAGTTCAGACTTACACTTAGTCCAGTTTCTCCCACAGTTCCTGTACTTATTATTTAGGAAAGAGGGTCACTGAGAGAAGCCCAAAGCCTCAGAACAGATGAGTCGAAGACAGGGTAGGCAGACAGTGTCTCGAGAAACTCCTTTCTCCAGTTGCTAAGGTTAACGGTAGATCCAGCCCACCACAGTCCAGAGGTGAAGAGGACCGGCATACAGAAAACTGTCTTTCCTTATTTATGTGTGGTCTTCCGAGGCCAATTACAGAGGGTGAAAACTTTGTAAGAGAAAATCACCTTGAACCCAAGGAACAGTCCAAATGCCCATCACCAGCCCCAGACTGACCTTGGTTTTCAAGGGCGGTAAGTGAATCCTCCTCCTCGAAAAACAGACTGTGTTAAAGGGCACGACTGTGTCTCAGAAATAAAATACGGTTACATTGGGCAAATGGAGGACACCTGACAAAAGTGCCTTCAGATGTTTAGTAAAACCAAGGTCATACAAACACTGAGTCATCGTGAACAAAGCAGCCAGTACGTTCATATTTCCAAAGACAGGCATCCCGTCCCTCTGCCTCTGTACCAAGAATTCAGCCAACTTGGGCATTCACAGTTGTGCAAACCGAGTCTTATTATTTCATGGTTCAACCAAAAGGATCTGCTGCAGAAGAACACGCTCCCCCAAACAAAGGCTGCTTCTTCCCAGTTCAAGGTTTAACTAGGCCCTGAATAAGAAATGTTGGGCAGGTATTGCATCTTATTGTACCAATTCAAGCCTCAGCACCAAGTGCATGAAAAATAAGCGACAGTCCCCAAATACAGCCTGGTTGGTTGGTGCCACCGTGCTCTCTGCTTGCAGGCTATGTAGCTAATAAAACTGGAACCCTGGCCGGGCGCGGTGGCTCATGCCTGTAATCCTGGCACTTTGGGAGGCCGAGGTGGGTGGACTGCTTGAGCTCAGGATTTCAAGACCAACCTGGGCAACATGGCCAAACCCCATCTCTACTAAAATGTAAAAGAAATTAGCCAGGCATGGCGGCATGTGCCCATATTCCCAGCTACTCAGGAGGCTGAGGCGGGAGAATTGCTTGAACCCAGGAGGTGGAAGTTGCAGTGAGCTGAGATGGCACCACTGCAATCCAACCTGGAACCCTATAAACTCTTTCCATTTTGTTGTCAAGATCTGTGATCCCTTCATTCCCCATCAAAAAATGGAGAGGAAAAAAACCCAAACCATCTGCCCCCTAACTTTATGGCATTTCTTTAATGTGAACCCAGTTAGGTTTCAAATATGTTCCCATAGGCAGCATTAGGAGGGAGAGAAGTTCTAAGCCCAGGAGACCTGAGTTCTGGATCCAAATCTATCACCAGCCCCCACTGCGTGGCTGTGAGCACCTCTCTGGATCGTTCCCTCCTCTGTAAAAGGACACAATCCCACTGCATATTCCTAAGTACCTTCCATTAGGTTTTATTCCTGAAGTCTCTCAGTGTAGGCAGAAACTCATAACTCACTGCTACTTCTTTCTGTTGCTCTGTTCCCAGGGCTGCTGTAACCAAGTGCCACAAGCCGGATGGCCCCAACAATAGAAATGTATTTCCTCACTGTTCGGGAGGCTTGAAGCCTAAAATCCAGGTGTCAGCAGGGCTGGTCCCTTCTAGAAGCTGGGAGACAGAATCTGTTCTACGACCCTCTCTGGTGATGTCAGAATCCTTGCTGTTCCTAGGCTTGCAGAGCCATCACTCCAACCCCTGCCCTCACACTCACACGGTGCTCTCCCCTGCACATGTGTCTGTGTCTCGTCTTTTTTTTTTTTTTTTTTTTTGAGATGGAGTCTCATTCTGTCACCCGGGCTGGAGTACAGAGGTGCAATCTCAGCTCACTGCAACCTCCGACCCCCAGGTTCAAGCAATTCTCCTGCCGCAGCCTCCTGAATAGCTGGGATTACAGGTACAGACCACCACGCCCAGCTAATTTTTTTTTTTTTTTTTGAGACAGCATCTCGCTCTGTCGCCCAGGCTGGAGTGCAGCAGCATGATATCAGTTCAGTGCAACCTCCGCCCCCAAGGTTCAAGAGATTCTTCTGCCTCAGCCTCCCGAGTAGCTGGGACTACAGGCACGTACCACCACGCCCGGCTAATTTTTGTATTTTTAGTAGAAATGGGGTTTCACCATATTGGCCAGACTGGTCTCAAACTCCTGACCTCGTGATCCGCCCACTTCGGCCTCCCACAGTGCTGGGGTTACAGGCATGAGCCACCGTGCCCGGCTTAATTTTTGTATTTTTAGTAGAGATGGGGTTTCACCATGTTGGCCAGGCTGGTCTCGAACTCCTGACCTCAGGCAATCCACCCACCTCAGCCTCTCAAAATGCTGGGATTACAGGCATGAGCCACCCCACCTGGCCTCCTCTCTTCTTTTTATAAGAATGCCAGTTACATTGGATTACAAACCACCCTGATCCAGTGTGACCTCATTTTAACTTGATTACATCTTTTCCAAATAAGGTCACATTCGTGGTACCAGAGATGAGAACTTCAACATTATCTTTCTGAGGGATACAACTCACCCCTGAACACCTGCTTACACAGGAAACGCACAGAGTGCCACAAGACATCCAGCCACAGGACTGTGGGAATAAGCTGCCATTTCTGAACAGATTATCTGAAAACATTCATGGCTGTCTCTGAAGTGCTGAGGGTGAGCGTTGTTGTCAATCTCCCATGGCCACATGGCGGCCAGAAACGGAGCTCCCCCATAAACCACCACACCTCAGCACCAGGGTATACAAATGGCACAAACTGTGCAC
This sequence comes from Homo sapiens, assembly GCF_000001405.40. NCBI lineage: Eukaryota > Metazoa > Chordata > Mammalia > Primates > Hominidae > Homo > Homo sapiens. The sequence continues at coordinate 89,393,643 of NC_000014.9, forward strand.
GCCACACACTTCACACAGAGGGAAAAAAGATCAGTTGGGATTACATTTCATAAGACTCAACCACTGCTAACAAAATAACCATCTGGCAATAAATCACACCTGCAGAGATGGCAGGCTTGTCCAGAGTGAGGCAGAAATGACACACTGACAGTTACAGAGGGGCAAAAGTAGAGGAGAAAGAGCCCAGAGGTACAACTTGTCTAGAGCAGGAAACTGGGTGGGGACAAGGGAAGATCACAAGTACATTTCATAGCCCCCTGACTTCATTGGGAGTTGTGGATAATTTATAAAGACACAGATTTGTTTTCTCGCAGTCTGGAAGCTGGGAAGTCCAAGATGGAAGGGTTGGCATCTGGTGAGGGCCTTCTTGCTCCATTATCCCATGGTGGGAAGTGGAAGGGCAAAGAGGGGAGTGGGAGAGAGAGAAAGGGGGCCAAAACTCATCCTTTTATAAGGAACCCACTCCCACAATCATGGCATTTATCGATCCATGAAGGTGGTGCCCCCATGACCCAAACACCTTCTATTAGACCCTAACTCCCAACACCACCACAATGGGGATCGACGTTCTTTTTTTTTTTTTTTTTTTTTTGAGATGGAGTTTCACTCTTGTTGCCCAGGCTGGGGTGCAACTCACTGAAACCTCTGCCTCCCGAGTTCAAGCAATTCTCCTGCCTCAGCCTCCCTGGTAGCTGCGATTACAGGTGCCCACCACCACGCCCAGCTAATTTTTTTTGTATTTTTAGTAGAGATGGGGTTTCGCCATGTTGGCCAGGCTGGTCTCGAACTCCTGACCTCAGGTGATCAGCCCACCTCAACCTCCCAAAGTGCTGTGATTACGGGTGTGAGCCACTGCGCCCAGTCTCAACTTTCTAATACATGAAGTTTGGGGGACACATTCAAACCACAGCAGGAGTTTAGTAAAGCTTTTTGATAAAGAAAATGACATCATCAAGAGAAGTGTACAGAGAGAAAGAAAAACAACAACAATGCTCAACGTGGACATGCCTGGCCTAGGGCATCTGGCCAGATACATGCATGCGCTGAGCGCCCTCACAGCCATGAACACACCTGGGATTCCAGGAATAGGATACCTGAAGTTACTATTCTCTAATCCCGGGGTCCCATTAGCATTGGGGAAATGGTCAGAAGAGCTAGATTCCAACTGCTGTGAGACACAGGAAAGGACGAGGAACCTAGTAGGCCCCAGGGATACAGATCATTGGAAGCACAGCTAGTGACTCCCCAACTAAGGGATCTCCTAGAATTGTAATAACAGCATAGGAGAGGGCTTTGAAAATCACACACAACCCATCCGGGTTTTCTGCTATGGAAAGGCTCTTCTGCAGAGTTAGAATTATGAGGACAGGATTTTATTCTGACACTTCCCCAAAGCCTTTTGGAAATCACGCGTTCATGTGCAACATTGTTATGTAAGCTGCCACATCTAGCTCCTTTGCTTTGGGCAGAAATATTCTCAACACACCCTATGGACACTGGTTATCTGATGCTGGTCACAGCCTGTGACTGATGCTCATGTGTCTAACAAAAGCACAGAATAAGGAGGAGAATAAAAGAGTCCCCTGTGGCAAGTAGTTCAGGAACACGTGTCCGGGACAATTCTGCTTACAGATGAATGATTAATTAAACATACTGAATGAACACAGTGGGCCCACAAGAGAAGGTTTACTGAATTGAATGGAGGAATCTAAGGTTCAGAGAGGTACACAGCTGGTTAGCAACCAAATTAGCAATAAAACCCAGATCTCCTAACACCTAGTTCAATGCTCAGTACAGCATCCAAGCTTTCTCTCTCACCAATTTGTGTAAAATGAAGCAGCACTCACACCCTCTCCTGCCCAGCACAGCATCTCATATGCCTGACATACACGAAGGTGTACAATGACTATTTCTTCATGTGTCTGTCTCTCCCACTAGACTAGAAATTCCTGGTGGACAGAAACTATACCTTCATCATCCGGCTTTCCTGATGCCTAGCATAAGCCTGTTTACAAGCATGGAATCAACATTAGCTGGATGGATGAACAAGTTATGAGAAAGTTTAGGATACCACACAGGAGTAGTGTAATTACCTTATTACTATTTATTAATATTAATATTATTATTTCTGGGAAAAAATGCCTGCCCAATATAAGCTGATCTCTAAGGCTGGAGGGGGGGGAGTTTCAAAGTAAGTCAAAGAACCAAAGATAATGAACATAGAGTTTATCAAGACAGACAGTTAAGTAAAAAATTTTCTAAGAGTCTTCCAGTCACACTTGTCACTACTTCTGGGAAATATGCAAACTCTCCACATAACATCAGCACCAAGAAGCAGATCAGGTCCTTTGCTCACCAGGAAGGATCTGTGTGGATTTCATCAATGGCTAAATACTAATAGGCAGGTAATGCAAAATAGTGTCCAGAGACTCATTCGAAGGCTAAAATTCAAGGACATTCTGAGTAATCAATGAAACAAAAATTTATAGGTTAAAGCATACTCTCAAAGACTTAAGCACATTTTCAGAAGTTACAAACAGAAATGAAAAATCACTTATAAAAACTGAGTATATTCAGTGACCCAAACTAAGATGTAGGAAGGAAAACAAATCCCACATAAATAACACCAGTTTATGTCCACTTCCAGTTAATCAGAGTCCTTGAAGAAGAGGTGAAGCAATGCACTGATGCAGAGAAAAGAGCATCAGGCCAAGGGGCAGCTGACCAAGGCTTTCGGCACAGATCTGTGGGTTTTACCAAGTCACTTTCACTGGACCCCAGATTCTTCATGTATAAACCAAGATCATCTTCCAGGATCCCAGCAAAAAGAACTCTATCAGAGTATGATGGGGACCACATCAGTCAAATCCAGGTACAGATGCTGGACTGGAGCATCAAGAAGCCACTGCTGGCTGGGCACGGTGGCTCATGCCTGTAATCCCAGCACTTTGGGAGGCGAGGCGGGTGGATCACGAGGTCAGGAGTTCAAGACCAGCCTGGCCAACATGGTGAAACCCCGTCTCTACTAAGAATACAAAAATTAGATGGGTGTGGTGGCAGATGCCTGTAATCCCAGCTACTTGGGAGGCTGAGACAGGAGAATCGCTTGAAACCAGAAGGCGGAGGTTGCAGTGAGCTGAGATTGTGCCACTGCACTCCAGCCTGGGCAACAGGAGTGAAACTCCATCTCAAAAAAAAAAAAAAAAAAACTTAAAATGAGAAATATGCTGCAGTAGACTTTTTTTTTTTTCCTTATTTGTTAGTGCACAAATCTGGTCCAAGTCAGTTAAAGCTATGGAAAATCAGCGACTGCTGTGGCCTTTTTCTCCATAAATTTCTGGGCAGCAAGAATCTCTGCTGTCACTATGCACAATAGCAAAGCCATGGAATCAACCTAAGTCCCATTAATGACAGATTGCATAAAGATGTGGGACATATACACCATGGAATACTATGCAGCCATAAACATAAATGAGATCACGTCTTTTACGGGAACATGGATGCAGCTGGAGGCCATTATCCTCAGTAAACTAACACAGGAACAGAAAACCAAATACCACATGTTCTCACTTATAAGTGGGAGCTAAATGATGAGAACACATGGACACATAGTAGGGAGCAACACACACTGGGGCCTATTGGAGGGTGGAGGGTGGGAGGAGGGAGAAGATCAGGAAAAAACTATTGGTTACTAGGCTTATACCTAGGTGGTGAAATAATCTGTACAACAAACCCCTGTGACATGAGTTTATCTATATAACAAACCTGCACATGTACCCCCAAACCTAAAATAAAAGTTAAAAAAAAAAAAAAAAAAAGAATCCCTGCTGTGGAGACCGAGGCTCTGCAAGAACCTCTAGGGCATCAGAAGGAAGCACTTGACTCCTTTGTCTGTGCTGTGGCTAGGCTCAGAAACGTCTGAGGACCCCCTACCACCTTAGGGGGAAAGTCTGGGCTCCCTGGCACTCAAAACCCCCCAGTCTAGCTCAGCCTACCTTCCCAAACTTATTTCTCTCTCTATCCCACTGTGACCCTTTGTTTTAGCCAATTAGAGTGAAGGAGGAGCAAGGAAGTGTCAGACCTTGGCTAAAAATATCTGGCTGTGTCAATTTAGCAAGCCACTGAACCTCTCTGAGCTTCAGTTTCCCCATCTGCAAAGAGCATATAATACCTGCTTATAGTTGTTAAAAAGATGTAAGACCATGGATACAAATGCCTCACATGACTCCAAACAGCACCCAGCAGGTCCTATGGAAATGTCACTTCCCACTTTCACACTCAGTCTTCCCCCTTATGCGTCCCTACCTCTGGACAAGCCACGTCTGATGACTCAAGGGACCTCCTCTCTCCCTGTCGCCAGCCCCAGTCTGACTATCCTGAAGGAACCAGCTAATAAAATGCTGTCTTCAGGATTCTTCCAGTGGCACTGCTAAACCTTAGGAGTCCCCTTCTCCTTTGGCTTCCCCAACCACATAATTCTGGCCTTTGCCCAATCCCCTGGCAACTGGCAGAAGCCACTCTGTAGCCTTCCTGGTCTCTTTTTATTTTGTTGAGTATCCTCCACCAGAGTTTTGTCATCCCCAGTCCCCAGGATAAAGTAATTATATTTTCCCCTATTTTGAAAATAACGCAATGATGCGGGCTAGTGCATAACAGTCAGCAAGAACTATTACCAAACCTCCTGATCTTGACTATTAGGACAACTTGTATTGGACAGCTGACATTTATTTCTGTCTGGATCGGGGGCTAGAGTTCATAATTTCTGGTAATCGCTCAACCCTGTGATTACGGGCACTTTGAGGGCAGCTGACAGGGAGAAGTAGTCACCAAAGAAAAGCTTTGCTAGTTTGGGAATTGCCAGCCCCCAATTTATAAACTTGGAATGAAAGAAAGATGAAGGCACCATGGAGATGACAAGAAAACGGAGGTTCAAGATAGTCCCCATGTTCTCTGGCATGTTAATCCTCATCACCTAGAAGAGGTATTCTGAGGGGACAGAGGGAAAAAGAAAGCACAAAATATTCCAAAGTTCCATATTACTTTTCTTTTCATTAGTACTGGGCTGGGCACGGTGGCTTAACACCTGTAATCCCAGCACTTTGGAAGGCTGAAGCGGCCAGATCACCTGAGGTCGGGAGTTCAAGACCAGCCTGACCAACATGGAGAAACCCTGTCTCTACTAAAAATACAAAATTAGCCACGCATGGTGGCACATGCCTGTAATCCCAGCTACTCGGGAGGCTAAGCAGGAGAATCGCTTGAACCCAGGAGGCGGAGGTTGTGGTGAGCCAAGATCGTGCCATTGCACTCCAGCCTGGGCAACAAGAGTAAAACTTCATCTCAAATCAGCCAATCAATCAATAAAATGGTCTTCAAATGATCAAAGGCTTTCCTGAATTTTTTTGTTGTTGCAGATATGTTTCAGACTCAAGCCCCAGCCCAACCCCAGATGAAGGGATTTTCCGAGCAGCTATCTTGATCCGGTGCACAGGCCCCTGTTCTGACCAGGGCTGAACGCTTGGCCCAGGAAAAGGACAAGTCCTAGTATCTAAAAATGATGACAAAGACAAGGCGCAGAGATGATGGTGCTGATGCCACTGGGCACTGGAACCATCACATCACAGGGACTGGCACCAACATCCCAGCAGGGCAAGCCAACAGTGTGAGAAGGCAGGAATCAAGAGCACACAGAGGGAGCTGGGCTGCAAAGAGGAGGCTAGAACAGATCCTCAGAGAAAGGCAGAGATGAGTGTCCACGTGGCCGCAGAGGAACAGAGGAGGCACTTCCAATGGCCGTGGACCTGAGATATGCTTTGTTGCTCTCTGACACTGCTCCCGCTCCATGGGACTGGCTGTTATGTTTTTGGGACAAGTACCCTTTTACTTAAGCCAACTCGAGTGACTCTCTTGTCCTTGCAACCAAATGTACCCTTGACTGTAACATTCTCCTTTGAGCTAAACTAAATAAATTCTGCCAGGAGATCCCTCTTGTAATCTATTTCAACTGACAGCGACTACTTTTGTCTGATTTATTACAGCTGTAAGCCCTTCCTTCTGGAAGGGGGAGGGGCTGCGATCTCTTTTAAAGCTAGACCAATTTTACACTGGCAGGGGCCGTGTGTGCGGCTCTACATTACAGCGCCCTACAGGATGCATCTAAACTAGTTTGGTCAGCTTATCCATTCCCTGAAAGCAAGGAAGCCGCCACATCAGTAACTCCGTTGCTAAGGCAACTGCTTACTTTCCATATCAACTGCAAACTCGTTGCTATGGAGACACATATACAAGAAAAATTCCTCTTTCCATCCAGGGACCAGATGGCAGAGAACTCGCAGAAGCCATGGGTTAGGGGGCTTTGCTAAGTAAGATGTTTACTGGAGTACATTTCTCTCCTGATATCAGAGATGCGGCTGCCCCAAGCACATTTAGAAGTTGCACTCTTGGTACAAAAGTAAAGGTTTGTTCTCTTCTGCCTGCAAAACTACAGCCAGCAACTAGAGGTAAGTTATTGCTGAAATAATTCTGAGAGGGTCTCCCTCTAAATGTAAACCTCTTTTGTTCTTATTTCCCATGCTGAATATACCCCAAAATGAATTTCCTAGTCAAACACTAATGGAAATACAATTTCCTGTAAGAACTGAAATAGAGGTTTGATTTCACTCTTTTTGATTGAGAGGTAATCCAGAAATCTCTTTATTTTCCAACACCTATGCACTGTGTTTCAGATTTATACCTCCACCCGAATGTCTCCACAGAGCTTGAAACTCATATAGGAAACTTCCTGACAGCTCCACTTAGATGTCCGCAAACCATCTCAAATTTAACATGGTCAAAAGAGAATGTTGGCACTAACGCCCATCCAATTTCCCAACCCAAATTTGCCCACACATGTTCATCTGCAACCCCCAACCCTGGCTCAAGCTAGCATCACTCCCACCATCTCTCTCTTGCACCACTGGAACAAGCCCCAGAGAGGTAGATCCCCTTCCTGTCCTTTAGACATAACATTCTCCCCTTTCTAATACACTAACTGCGACCCCTCTTTCTGTTCCTTGGACATTTTGAGCCATTGCCACCTCAGGGCCTTTGCACTTGCTGTTCTCTCTGCCCAGATCTTTGCATAGCTGCATCCCTCTTGCCATTCAAGGCACGGCCTAGTCAGATCCTCTGAGAAGCCTCCCACCATCCCACCCTCCTCCCCTAGTACATTATCCTGTTTTATATCTTCATTGCATGTAACACAATCTGGTACATTACCTACCCTGTCCATGGAAGGAACTACTATTTACCACTTGCCTCCTCCTCCTCCCCTACCCTCACTGCTACCCTATGGAAGGTCTAGGAGAGCAGCCAGGGACCCGCCAGAGGTCACCACTGTATCCTCAGCACCCAAAACAGTGCCTGGCACTCCACAAACAAGGGTAGCACGAATGAACCACTGCTGAAAATGCTTCTAAAATGACTGAAGCCACTTATTTTCATAAATACAGAGTCCAATTTTTACTTTGCAAACTAGGGGCCAGACATAATGGCTCATGCCTGTAATCCCAGCACTTTGGGAGGTTGAGGCGGGCGGATCACCTGAGGTCAGGAGTTCAAGACCAGCCTGGCCAACATGGTGAAACCCCGTTTTCACTAAAAACAGAAAAATTAGCTGGGCATGGTGGCATGAGCCTGTAATCCCAGCTACTCAGGAGGCTGAGGCAGAAGAATCACTTGAAGCCAGGAGGTGGAGGTTGCAGTGAGCTGAGATGGCGCCATTGGCACTCCAGCCTGGGTGACTCAACAGCAACAACAACAACAGTAGGTATTCTGCAAGACCTCAGAACCATAGCTGCAAACACCAGTTCTCAACTTTACAAGCCTCAAAGGAATTCGGCACACAGTGCGGTATTCCAGGAGTACCTACTGTGATGCTATGCCTTACCTCTGTGCCAGGCTCCCTGTACCTTGATTCTTGGAGATTCGGGACTTTTCTTCCCCCTCTACTATAGCCACGATTAGAGTCAGCGCTCACATGACTTGGCCTTCTAAAAACAAAGCATGTGCACATGTTCTGCTAGGTGGGTGTTTTCTGTCTAATGACATTAGTTAAATCACTTATCGGTCCTGTCCCTCGAGGAGGACAGTCACAGCCTTCTATGAAGCACTTCACAGAACTCCAATAAATAGAAAGAAGACACTGAACTCGACCCCACGGGGCCCAGAGGGAAATCCCACACACCCTGTGAAGACCAAAGGAAGAAAAGGAAGGGTAATTGGAGAGCTTTTTCCCCTGGGAAGCGTATAGCCTCTCTGCCTGTATTTACTGTCTCCTGCTGAGTTCACAAGGAAAGGTACTCAAACAAGCACACACACACACATACACAAATCAAAGACTTCATCCTGTTCATGGAACTGTCTGTAATCTTACATAGCAATCCATCAAGTTATTACTAAAAGAACGACTTCACACTACTCTCTATCTTCAACCATCTATTTCCTTGCTTTTCTTCTTATCATCCTTGGCACAGACTACATCTTCACCTCAATCAAGCTACCGCTTTTGATGACACTAAATGCAATTTAACCAGAATCTCTTAAAGCAAAACCTTGGTTATTTGGAATGTTTAAAAAATGGGTCAGCATCTCTGCTTTACTTAAGTTACCAATGCAATGTAAAGTTTTCCATTTAGCATCCTAGCTCCTCCAACAGTCCCTATTCTTATTTACATAACCTTCCAGCCACCATCTCTCTCCGTCCTTTCCTCTGACGCTGTTCCAACACATCCCTGGGGTCCAGTAACATTTGCCTCCTAAACATCTAGACCTTTGTGACAGAAAGTTCCAAGTTTGCTTGGCAACAGAATCAACATTTAACTTGGGGTTCCAATGGATCAGGCAAAAGAGTCCATTTCCCAGGCTTCCTTGCAGCTAGAAGTCATGTGACCAAGCTCTAGCCAATAAGATCAAAGCAGAGGGTGGGGTTTCTGGGAAAGCCCCTTAAAACCAGAAGTCAGCAAGACTCCCTCCTGTCCTTCCCTGCACTCCCCTTCTTGCTTCCTAAAATGGGAACATGCTAGCTGATGCCATCTTGGACCATGAGAAGACTGAGAATGGAAACCCGCAATGCCCTAAGAACAGCAGAGAAGAGGGAATGTGCGTCTCTGTCTAGCTCCTCAAGACTTCTTTCATGTAATGGAGAAATACGCCCCTAGCTTGTTTAAATCATTGTTAATTGGTTTTCTACAATAAACACTCAAGCCTCCTTCTGATCAATCCATCCTTGGAGGTCTAATGCTCATTCCCACACCCGAAGAATGCTTTGTAACAGCTTATTCAAGTGAACATAAGGAATATTCAAAACTCGCCCATCACTATCTTTTAGCTTACCCAGTGCCCCTCTTTGGGAAAGGGAAGCCAGCCTAACTTTGAATGATACCAATCTCACACTGATCGGCACACTTCCAGTACTTACGGTAACTTATTCTTTTTTATTTTGCATTATGTTTCCTGCTTCCCTGGAATGTAAACTACTAAGAGTACAAAAAGCAAGAATCAAATCACATTTTTTTTTTTTAATTTTTTGTTGTTGTTGGAGACATGGTCTCACTCTGTCGCCCAGGCTGGAATGCAGTGGTGCGATCATGGCTCACCGTAGCCTCCACCTCCCGGGTTCAAGCGATTCTCCAGCCTCAGGAGAGTAGCTGGGACTACAGGCACATGCCACCATGCCCAATTAATCTCTGTATTTTTTGTAGAGACAGGGTTTCACCATGTTGCCTAGGCTGGTCTCGAACTCCTGGGCTCAAAGTGATCCGCCCCACCTCGGCTTCCCAAAGTGCTAGGATTACAGGCGTGAGCCACCACGCCCAGCCTAAACTCATAACTTTCAAATAGGAGGTCAGAGTGCCAACTTCCTATGTTATTTACTGCAGAGAATTATCCTGCAGCCAAAATGATTTCAAAGGGAAATCCCAGCCCAATGGGGAAGGTTCTGAAAACCATTTCTTGCTGGTTGGATATACAGGCAGTACATCGATGAAGTATCTGGTAGACCTATCCAGGTGCCACAAAGCCCTACCAAAGAGAATGCAACATTTTCTCAATAGGAAACAGGGGGAGATACTGGACAGATACATTGATAGGGCCCTCGGGCCCAGAAGCTTTCCCAGCAGCCTCAGACAGACCCCTATCCAGGTTAGTGGCATCTTCCTGGCCAAGTCACTGTGAGGAGTAGAAAGGTAGTGTATCCATGAAGGGCCAGAAAAGCAACGATGTGAGACAGAAAACAGAGAATACAAAGGGCATACAGCAGTGGAGTAAGAGCTTCTGCTAGAGAAGTTCCACTAGTGAGAGGGAGACTCTGAGGGGAGGGCTCGCTGGACCATGAGTGCCTTACAGGCAGTGGCCATGGTACATTCAATTCTGTATTCTTTTAGCACTTAGTAGGTACTTTAAAAAGTTTGTTGAATAAATGAATGAATGAGCAGACAAATGAAAGGTTTGCCAGAGCAAGACAACGGAAATGTGCCCCCACCCAAGACACCTACTGACTGGAAGAAGAAGGAACGAACAGTCTGGAAGGAACAAATCAGCAGGATGGGGCTGCGCACGGTGGCTCACGGCTGTAATCTCAGCACTTTGGGAGGCCGAGGCGGGCAGATCACAAGGTCAGGAGTTCGAGACCAGCCTGACCAACAAACACCCTGTCTCCACTAAAAATACAAAAATTAGCTGGGTGTGGTGGCACGCACCTGTAATCCCAGCTATTCAGGAGGATGAGGCAGGAGAATCGCTTGAACCTGGGAAGGCGGAGGTTGCAGTGAGCCGAGATTGCACCACTGCACTCCAGCCTGGGTGACAGAGCGAGACTCTGTCTCAAAAAAAAAAAAAAAAAAAAAAAAAATCGGCAGGATGGGTCAGGGAGCTGCGCTTTCTTGGGATCACAGGATGCTGGTATGAATGGCTTCCTATTCCAGGGCCTGTGACAAGGGAGTATTTTTATTTCTGGCCCCTCAGAGACCCTGGTAAACTCTCAACCTTCTGAGGTGACATAGCCTATAGCACAGACAGCAGAAAGCAGCCCGCCTGGCAGTAGGCACCGGTGAGAAGGAGGCCGTCTTCAGGGAGAGCCATTTCCGACGCTGGACAAGGCAGCCCCAGGTCGAGGATGAAGAGGATTGTCACTTCACCCAGAGACCACAGAGGAGTCTCACACACATTACAAAATTACATGTTCCACCCCACCCAACATTACACTAATTCTTAGGAATTTACACATCCGAACCAGACCACACTGTCTTCCAATGAGCATTATTTATCCAAAAAAATAATAATAATAAGTCATCTCTTCCTCCTAAAAGGTCCATCAATGAGACAGGTAGGTTGACTGGTGTCACGGTTAGGGGAAATGCTCTTGATTCTGCATTCACAACACCAAGAAGAGAAAACTAGAAGCAACTGCTCACGTGGGGTGCTGACACATAGAGGTGCAACCTCAGTTTCTTTTTTTGTTGTTGTTTTTCTTTTTGAGACAGAGTCTCACTCTGTCGCTCAGGCTGGAGTGTAGTGGCGTGATCTTCACTCACCGCAACCTCTGCCTCCCGGGTTCAAGCGATTCTCCTGCCTCAGCCTCCCAAGTAGCTGAGATTACAGGCGCCCGCCACCAGACCCGGCTACTTTTTGTATTTTTAGTAGAGACAGGGTTTCACCATGATGGCCAGGCTGGTCTTGAACTCCTGGCCTCAAATGATGCCCCCGTCTTGGCCTCCTAAAGTGTGGGATTACAGACGTGAGCCACCACACCTGGGTGCGACCTCATTTTCAAAACTGCCTTTGAAAAAGAATCTCATCTACCGAGAGCAAACGTGAAGAGAACAGCAAATTAGAGACAATTTGTATCAACAGTGTACACGCAGGGAGAAAAGCTTCCTCACTTGGCTCTGATGCCACTGAAGGGGTCCTATGAGGCAGGGGGCTCAGGATGGAGCCTGGAAACCGGAAGCTGAGCAGACAGTTGTGTGCTCTGTGCAGATGCAAGAACTTTACATGTGCTGACAATTGAGCCCCATCTCAACGGTACAAAAATATACTCTGTATTTGCCTTTCTCTATCCTGTGCCCCCAGAGTTAATTCTGGGTTTATTTGGGTTATTTCAATCCCCTATAACCCATATTCACAGGATATTTAAAGGAAGCACAGAGAGATCATCTACAATGTCTGCTATACTGAGAAGGCCTAGGCAAGCACCAGGGGTAAGCACATGCCCTTCAGAATTGGAGGGAATCGGGCCAAGCATGGTGGCTCACAATTGGGAGGATTACTTGAGGACAGGAGTTCAAGACCAGACTGGGCGACACAGCAAGACCCCACCTTTACTAAAAATATATTATTTCTGGAGACAGGATCTAGCTCTGTCACCAGGCGATCTTCCCAACTCAGCCTCCTGAGTAGCCGGGACTACAGGTGCGTGCCACAATGCCCAGCTAATTTTTTTATCTTTTGCAGAGATGCAGTTTCATCATGTTGCCTAGGCTGGTCTCAAACTCCTGGGCTCAAGTCATCTGCTTGCCTCGGCCTCCCAAAGTGCTGGAATTACAGGTATGAGCCACAGTGCGCAGCCCTACAAAAAAAAAAAATCTTGAAATTAGCTGGATGTGGTGGCATGCACCTGTATTCTCAGCTACTTGGGAGGCTGAGTCAGGAGGATCACTTGAGCCCAGGAGTTCAAGGTTTCAGTGAGCTATGATCATGCCAGTGTACTCCAGCCTGTGTGACAGAGACCCTGTCTCAAAAATAAATTAAATCAATAATTTTTAAAAAGTTGGAAGGAATTAGGTTCCTTCCAATTAGGTTCCTAGTAAGTTCTGCACTTGCTAGCTGTGCAACTTCTAGCAAGTTACTTAACCACTCAGAGCTTAACTCATCATCTATTTTAAGAAAGAAAATAATAGGGCCTACTTCATAGGGTTTAGTGAGGAAGAAATCAGATACTGCATATGGAAAGCACAAAGCAAGCATGCCTATATTTATAAGCTAAAATTGTATTTAAAGCACTCAGCTCTGGATATAATAAACATACTTTTGTACAGTGTTTCCTTTATAAACCCTTTGATGACAATGTTTTTTGTTCAAGTAGCAAGAGGAAAGGTTAAAAAAAAAAGGCACAGAAATAGAAATACACACATACCTTATAATCCAGTCTGGAAAAAAATAACTGCATTCTACTTCTCATTTACAAGTACTCAGAGAGGTTAGTACATGCTAATCTTACACTCCTAAGTAAGACCTGTATTTAGGGAGTGTAAAACTTAATCCCAGACATTAAAACTCTACCTTAATTGATTTAGGCACAGATCATCCATAGACGAAATGAAAAAAAAAAAAAAAAAACTAATGAGAAATTTTATAGAGTAGGGAACAGTGACCTCATGTGAACCCATGGCTCAATCTCAGCTTCCCCAAGAGGGGGATGACCAGGCTTCTGGAAGTGATATATCCAGAATGTGACCCAGACGTTCGTACTTCCTTCCATTTGACAGGAAATAGAAGGAGAGAGAGAAGCAAGTTACACGAAATCACAAGGAAGTAAACAGAATGCAAGTACTCTATAGTGTAAGCCATGGGTCTCTTTTAACAGGGAAGGGAATGAAAAAGGAAAGAGGGCATAGGAGTGCTGCAGACTGACACAGACAGGAAACATCACAAAAGGCACTGCAGGAACCACATTTGGACCCTAATTCAAACAAACATTTTGTAAACAGGGATATCTGAATATGGACCTGGCATTAGGCAACACCAAATAATTGTTCATTTTGTTAGGGGGGACTTGAGCATGGTTGTTATGTAAGAAACCGTCAATTATTCTTATGTATACCGAAATGTTTGAATTGTAAATGTCATCTGCTTCAAACTACTTCAGCAAGGCTGGGTGCAGCGACTCATGCCTATAATCCACAGCACTGTGGGAGGCTGGGGCAGGAGGATTGCTTGAGGCCAGGAATTTGGGACCAGCCAGGGCAACATGGCGAAACCCCGTTTCTATGAAAAATACAAAAAAAAAAAATTAGCCAGGCATGGTGGTATGTACTTGTAGTCCCCCCTTCGGAGGCTAAGGCTAAGGCTTGAGCATGAGAGTCTGAGGCTGCAATAAGCCATGATTATGCCACTGCGCTCCAGCCTGGTCAACAGAGTGAAACCCTGTCTCAAAACAAAAAACCGAAAAACAACTTCAGAAACAGCGACAACAAAAAAGAATAAATAAAATAAGTGTGACAAACCTTTGTCAACTACTGAATCAGGATGTGTGTTATGGGGGTATATCAAGTCATTATACGATTCTAGTTCTGTGTATGTTTGAAAATTTCCGTGATTCAAAAATAAAAATAAAACTCTTATCTTCTGAAGTCCTTTCAGAGATAAAACGAAAGCCAAGCTGTCTCTTTTGCCCTGACTGACTCATTCATGAGAACATGCTCTTGATGAAATCTCAGCAACTGGAAAGACCTCAAGAGGGCACCTAGTTCAGGGATTCTCAAACCTGGCTCCATGCTGGAAACACCTAGGAAGCTTAGCAGAACTACCAGTTTTCCCCAACCCACCTCACACCTAATGAATCACAATCTCCAGAAAGGGGCCCAAGAAAACGGGAATTTTTTTTTTTTTTGAGACAGGGTCTGGCTCTGTCACCTAGGCTGTATCTCGGCTCACTGCAACCTCCACCTCCCGGGCTCACACCATCCTTCCATCTCAGCCTCCTGAGTAGCTGGGACTACAGGAGTATGCCATCATGCTCAGCCAATTATTTTTGTATTTTTTGTAGAGACATACATGTTGCCCAGGCTGGTCTCAAACTCCTGCACTCAAGCAATCCTCCCGCCTTGGCCTCCCAAAGTGCTGGGATTACAGGTGTGAGTCACCGTGCCCGGCTGGGAATTGTTTTTTAAGTGCCACAGGTGATGTAATCTAGTATGTTCCCTCCCCAACATCCCAGCCAAACAGTTGTCCAGCAGGGTATGTGTTCCAAGCCCTCAGGGACAGGGATCACACAGGATTCCACATTTTCACTGCTACGTCAAGCCTAACCGTATTCTTCACTTTCAGAAGAAAATTAAAAGTGGAATAGCTAATTCACTGCATACAACTTGCAAGGTTTCAATGTTCTCGTTCAATTTAAGGTATTTCTCACCAACCTTCAGGTGCATTTAGTCACTGTGTTGAAGGCAACTTCAGTGTGGGAGCTCCCGCCAAATAAAATCTCATAGGAAAAAACAAGTTTACCCATAGAGCTAAAGGAGCTTTCACTGGGCAGAGTATCAGGGAGAATGCCATAGTAGCATACCCCAAGTGACTGGGCCAGGTCAATGCCCTGGAAGGACCTGGGTGTACCTGAGCATACCTGGGAGCCTGCACCTCTCACAGCAGCCAGCAGCTGGCCTGGGGGAACCCAAGAAAGAGGAGAAAAGTGGAAAAACTCACACCTCTTGCTTTGTTCTCACAGAATCGCAAATGCTGGGAACAAACTCCCAACCACAAAACTGACTGGCATTTGATCAGAAACATGTCAACACAGGTCAGGATGGCTGGGAAGCCAGAACTGAATGTTTCATAACATTAACAATCTCAAGTCTTTAAAACCATTCTCTTTCAACAGGTGATACCTGAATGTATCCGGATTGACAATCTTCATCCCTGGAAAACATGACTCCCAGAATCCAGCGGTGGGGGACGGGGGGGTCGCATGGCGGGAGAACAGCTCCTCCCAGTGTGCCTCAACACAGGGCATCCAACACCCACTTGTCACTCCCAAGGCTGACTGATGAATAATGTTCCCAAGTCTCGCTGCACGCCTTGGCGTTGGTCTTTTCTAACATTTCAGAGTGTGCATTTGCTAAATTACTTCTATGTGCACCGGCATTATGTCAAACACGAAGATTCAAGCATGCAGGAACTTGCAGACTCGTTTTACACCAAACTAAACGCCCTGTTTGTTGCTTTATCACTGCTGTGAGGCTTTGGGGGACCTGAGCAGCACTTTCTTCTCCACGTTCTCAGTCTGGAATTGCTTTTGAAGACTTTCCCTTTCTTGCCACAAAGACCCACCTATACAGAAGCTTTAAATACCACAGACCTGGTTCTTTACAGAGGAGCAATGAATGTCCTCTAAGCTCAAAGAATAATCTTAAAGCACTCAAAAAAAGCCAAGTCCAGAGGTGGCTCTCCAAATGCCCAACCTGAGATACGGAGGGAAGGAGAAAGAGCTTCATGGTCAAGGAAATTCCTCTCCCTGATTAAAGGGGCATACTTTGATGGTTACAGCTACACAAAAATAAGGACCTGGGGAGGAGGGAACCAGAAACTTATGAATATTCAGATCTGCACGCTCGACCCAGGCATCATTTGCACCAGTGATCAAAGTAAATCTCTCCTTAGTGCCCACATCTTTCCTCCCAGGCAACACCCCTCCCCAAGCCCCGCGTCCCCACCCCCCATCTCAAACAGAAACCGAGTGAAGAGCATTTGCACACAAACACGTCCAATTTGAGCAAGGAGCAATACGGTTGGCCACTTCCTGATTCATACTCTCCCATGCCAAAGACAAGGAGAATATTCTCAGGCTCAAGATTCTACTTGAAATGGTGACATGTTGCCAGAGAGAAAGAAATTGAAGGCCCCAGCCCCGCACAGCCACTGATCCCACACAACAGTGGTCCTGCGCCCGAACCTGAACTTCAAAAAGAGGGAGAACCAGCACCCCAGCTGCACACAGCAGCATTATTAACACAACACACAAAGCGGGAAAACACAGTCACATGAAAACTTAGTGGAAGGAACTTTCTCTGGCAATTTATCTTAACCGCGGCTGCATTACTTTTCAGGGCTCAAAGTCAGATCACAATTTTGTTTTCCACTTCTTAACAGCTGCCCAATTTCTACGAAACCTATTATGTTCCTTAAAACAAAAATAGGCCAGGCGTGGTGGCTCATGCCTGTAATCCCAGCACTTTGGGAGGCCGAGGTGGCTGAATCACTTGAGCCCTGAAGTTTGAGACCAGCCTGGGCAGCATGGTGAGACACCATCTCTACAAAAAGTATAAAAATTAGCAGGGTGTAGTGGCACACACCTGTGCTCCCAGCTTGTTCGAAGGCTGAGATGCGAGGATCACTCAAGCCCAGGAGGTCAAAGCTGCAGTGGGCAGTGATCACACCATTGCACTCCAGCCTGGGTGACAGAGCAAGACCCTGGTCCCAAAAAAAAAGAGGAAAAAAAAGAAAAAAGAAAAAAGAAAGAAAAAGAAAGCAAATTATTAAAACCGTCTTCTTTTCACTGACCATGAAGTACAAACTATGGCTTTAAAGCAGGGGTCCCCAACCTGGGGCCATGTACCAATCAGTGGTCTGTTAGGAACGGGGCTGCACAGCAGGAGGTCAGCATTGCCACCTGAGCTCCACCTCCTGTCAGATCAGCGGTGGCATTAGATTCTCATAGGAGCACAAACCCTACTGTGAACTGTGTATGCAACGGATCTAGGTTGCGTGCTTCTTATGAGAATCTAATGACTGATGATCTGAAGTAGAACAGTTTCATACCAAAACCATCCCCCTTGGCTCTCCACAAAATGGGTCCCTAGTGCCAAAAACATTGGGGACCTCTGCTTTAAAGTCAATATTAAACTTTTTAAAAGTCAGTCTCTAATGGGACCCTCACTCTGAGCCGGGAATTTCAAAGTTGTCACTTATACAGACACCAGATTTCATGACAGTCACCTGGGCAACTCATGTCTGTTTAGTCTGCGAGCGTAAGTATACTCAAGTCTCTTCTCAATGTTCATCACTGTCCACTTATGCCAGAACACTGGAGAAATTTCCCTTCTCCTAGTTCATATTCAGGGAAAAAAAGAAACACCATTTTTCTCTAGCCCATGGTGGCAGTGTATATACACACACATACTTCACGGTTAATGGCTGTCCTTGGAATACTGACCTTTGTTAAGACCCTAAAACCAAAGTGACCCATCCACACTGAGGGATGTTAACTGAGAACTAATCAATTCTGTAAACCACTGTTTTATCTTTATGGAAACCCTATCAGTGGGAAACTCTCAAATAGTACAAATGCTAATAAACAGTACATAACTAATAGGCTTAGGGAAAGGAAATTCTTTAAAATTATCTAAATGAATTAAATAGACTAAAACCCACTTACAACTGCTACTTCAATGTGGTGAATAGAAATTCATTTTTAATAGAGAAAAATTTTAAATTAAAAAAAAAAAAAGAAAACCTTGGGTTCCAGACACAGAGGCTTACCTGACTCCTCTCTTTGTCCACTTTCTTAAAACACTTATTCAATGATAAATTGTGTCTCACTGAGTTTTTCCACCCAGTAGGTGCATTTGCAAAATACGGAAAATGTTCCAAGATCCAGTTGTAGATATCCTTCACTGGCAGGCGCTTGGTTGGAGAGTCCTCGATGGCCATAAATATGAGGCAGCTGAAGGAGTAGGGGGGTTTGCAGTTGGGGTTCTGCCTGGCATCGTAGGGCATGTCAGAGTGGGCAGGGGATGGGGGGGTGTCATCGTCCAGGTCCTGGACGGGGCTGACACTCCTGAGGACCGACTCCCCAAAGCTCTTCAGCAAGTTCTTGCTCTCGTGCAGCCAGTTCAGGTTGGTCAGCTCTTCATCTTCCATGGCCCCCTCTTCTAATCGGATGTCAGGCAGAGAAAAGTCGAGGTCATCGTCTTCCTGAAGGGCCTTGGAGAAACCGCTGCCCCCGTAACACTGACTCAGTCCACTGGAGACACTAATTCCTGAGCTTTCTGGCTTCTTACTGGGAGGCATGACTGGACCCATTTACGTGAAGGCTCCTAGTAAAGACATCACAAAGAAATGATGAGCTGGCGAGGCCCAAAACAGAAAGGCAGACTGTACCCCTCTGATCCTGTTGCCTCCCTCTGCCGCCTCTATGGAACCCCTGCTACACAGGAACACCACCTTGTGACTCCCACACTAAGCAACACAATCCCACAATTCCACCACAGAGAGATAGGCTGATGAGAAAAATCAGCCCGCCATTCATATAGCAAGGTGACCTGATGCCCCTTAAATAAAATAAGACCAGTAACACCGGCCAGGCACGGTGGCTCACGCCTGTAATCCCAGCACTTTGGGAGGCTGAGGCGGGACGATTGCTTGAGACCAGGAGACCAGTTTTAAAGTACGTTAAATTTTACTGTGAATTATTTTTTCTTCCAGAACAGAAGAAAAGCAAGTAACTTCAGGTACCACACAGAATACATGGGAATGTAAGATAAGCCATTAACTGAAATTAGAGCTGGTGAAAAAAGTCAGGAGAGCAACTGCCAGTTTCAAGACAGCAAATTCAATTCAATTCAACAAAACATGCCATAGAATTCTATCCCTCCACCCCGACCCACCACCATCCCCATTTTTATCAATGACCTAGAACACGGAGTAAAATAACATCTGATGAGAAAAGAAAACGAGGAGGTGGTACGTTTACAAACAGAATGACCCCTACAGACACAAAGCATGTTCAACCCTCCAGCACCCAACGTAACACAGAAAGAACAGTAAAGATAACCAAAAAGGTCTCCCACTCTCCGTAGCGCTAAAACAATATGCTTGGTTTAAAACTGTTAGGTTTTAATTCCCCCCACAAACGAACAGTAAGAAAATCAAGCATCTACCTAGAAAACAAATGAACAGGCTGGGCATGGTGGCTCACGCCTATAATCTCACCACTTTGGGAGGCTGAGGCAGGAGGATCACTTGAGCCCAGGGGTTTGAGACCAGCCTGGGCAACATGGCGAAACCCCATCTCTATGAAAAATACAAAAATTAGCCGGGCATGGTGGCATGTGCCTGTAGTCCCAGCTACTTGGGAGGCTGAGTGGGAGGACTGCTTGAACCCAAGAAGCTGAGGCTGCAGTGAGCCATGACTGTACCACTGCACTCCAGCCTGAGCAACAGAGTGAGATGCTGTCTCAAAAGTTTTGAAGAAGGTAAGGAAGAAGGGAAGGGAATGGAAGAGAAGGGGGAAGGGAACGGAAGAGAAGGGGGAAGGGAACGGAAGAGAAGGGGGAAGGGAAGGGAGAAGGGAAGGGAAGGAAGAAGGGAAAGAAGAAGGAAAAAAAGAAGGGAAGGGAAAGAAGAAAGGAAGGGAAAGAGAAGGGAAAAGGAAGGGAAGGGAGGGGAGAGGAGAGGAGGGGAAGGGAGGGCAAGAGAAGGGAAGGGCAGGGAAGGGCAGGGCAGGGCAGGGCAAGGGGAGGAAGGAGGAAGAAGCGGGAGGGGGAGGAGAAGGGGGAGGAGGAGGAGGGATGGAGGAGGAGGAGGAGGAGGAGAAGAAGGAGGAGGGATGAATGAACATATTTAAAAGCAAAGACATAGGCCAGGCATGGTAGCTCATGCTTATAATCCCATCACTTTGGGAGTCTGAGGCAGGAGGATCCCTTGAGCTCAGAAGTTCAAGACCAGCCTGGCCAACATGGTAAAACGCCATCTCCACCAAAAAAATACAAAAATTCGCTAGGTGTGGTGGTGTGTGCCTGTAGTCCCAGCTACTTGGGAGGCTGAGGTGGGAGGATCACTTGAGCCCAGGAGGTTGAGGCTCACTGCACTCCAGCCTGGGCAACAGAGGGAGACCCTGTCTCAAAAAAATAAATAAATAAAATTAAAAAGGCAAAGACATGACCCTTCTATGTCTCTTAAATGTTCATTAACACCACATCTAAAACAACTGCCACTTCAGCTGTGGAAGCTCTATTAGGGAATTCTAGAAGGCATAATCCTGGGCACTAACCTACCAGCCAAGGGTGCCTGTGAATTATAGTACCTTCCCTCTTCCAAAAGGTAGAACCTGCTAGACGCAAGGCCTAAGGGGGAGCTGTGGTGAGAGGCCCAACCGGTTTTTTTTTTTTTTTTTTTTGAGACAGAGTCTCACTCTGTTGCCCAGGCTGGAGTGCAGTGGTGCAAAATCCGCTCACTGCAACCCCTGCCTCCCAGGTTCAAGAGATTCTCCTGCCTCAGCCTCCCAAGTAGCTGGGACTACAGGCGTGTGCCACCATGACTGGTTAATTTTTGTATTTTTAGTAAGACGGGGTTTCACCATGTTGGCCAGGATGGTCTCAATCTCTTGATCTCGTGATCCACCCGCCTCGGCCTCCCAAAGTGCTGGGATTACAGGCGTGAGCCACCGCGCCTGGCCAAGATGCCCAACTCTTAAGGAGAGAAAACTTCATGAGGCATTGCAGTACAGACCAGGCAGGATGCTCCAGACGTCTTGGGTTCACTCACAGGGAATATTTCTTTCTGTCAAATAAGGAGGTTACCCTGACACATTTCAGACAAAAAACAAGCTAGCATCTTTTGGCTTGGGGATACAACAGAGTCTGGTCTGATCCTGCTTTTAACTTCTTTATGAACGAATTATAGCACCACTTGTCTTTCTTAAAGTTTCCTCAGATCCCATCAGAAAATTTTCTGATGACCAGCATATGCCCACAGTAGAGTATAAAACAGAACTACCCAGCCACTGAAGTCAACTTTAGCTCTAAATGAAAGTTTTATGTCTCCTGAGCTTCCAAACAGGAAAATTATATCATGGCTGACAGTAAAGTAATTTAATTGCACTGTTGCTATGACAACATGCTGCTCTCTTTCTTTTTAATTTGCTTATTTGTCAGTAGCTTCCCAGAGGAACTAACACGCTATTCTCCATGTTTCCTTTTGTTTTAAACAAACACTGCCAGCAATATGGTTTTAGGAGAAAAAGTGGCATTGTCACGAAGAGAGGGTTATGGGAGTTCAGTACCCTTGGATCATGTGTGCGTTTTGTGCTGGGACCCCGTACTCTCCAACCACTCACTGCATCCCTATAAATCCCGCATTTTATACCAACAGGGTGAAGAGCTGCTGATCACTACAGTTCCATGTAAAAACAAAACAAAACAACAATAACCAAAAAAAAAAAAAAAAAAAAAAAAAAACAGTTCCCAGAAACCACAGCTGAGGAGTTTTCCATTATTATACTCTAACTACAGATTTCGCCAAATCTTTTTTTCCTCCTGTTTCAGAGGGAAAAAAAAAGAATCTGGATCATGTGAGTTGCAGTTAAGCAAACATTTTTAATCTGCTGCCAACAAGGCTGCTCCACCAGATACGCAAATAGTTATTCACTGGTGACCTCCTTACAACTTTTCTCTACACACACACACACACACACACACACACACACACACCCTCTTTTGTTTTTTTTATGACTTGCTGTGTTTTGTTACCCTCTTTATTTTTTAACGGAGAAAATGCGGCAAGAAAGCTTAGTTTCTCGCCTAGTAAACAGAAGGTCTCCAAATAACTGACAAAGACATTACTGGCCCAGCTCTGAACAGATGTTCGATGCGAACTTTAAAAAGTTAAGAAATCTTCCCAGAGCCGAGCAGTAGCGAGTTTGGGGGGCCGGGTCACCCCCGCCCACCCAGCACGCGCGCGCGCGCACGCACGCGCTTCACTCTCGTCTACTGTACTTGTCAAAAACATTTCAAGGGGACCTGCGGGAGTGGCGATTGGCTGCACCCCGCGTCAATCAGCGGCGTTGCCGGGCAACGGGGGAAACTGCTCTTATCCCCATATACAGGGCAATTGGGAGCTCGCATACCTTCACTGCCGGTCAGATGTCATAAACCTTTTATTGGCCGCACCGCGGCGAGCCTCGAAAACAAATCAATAAAAGCCCGCCGTCCCCCAACTTATCCAGGGCCCAAGGAGGGTTTCAAACAGGGCCGGGATGAGGGGGGTCGGGCCTCGGGGGTCTCCGGAGACGTTCGTTGCCTGTGCCAAGTCTGCACAGTTTGGCCGGGGGGTGATCTTTGTTAGGAGCCTGTTTCTCATCTTGGGGTCTCCACTTGATCGGAACCCCCTCCCCGGCCCGGAACGGCGGGGACCCCGTCCTCCGCAGACAATACCAACTCTGTTCCTTGCGGGCGTCTTTTCGGAAACCGAGGCACCGGGAAGCAGCACGCACGTCGGGGCAGGAAACTCTTCGGACCCGGCAACTTCCCGGCTCGGGGGCTCCCGGGGTCCACACCCGACCCTCCCCCCAGGACCTGCGGGGTCCCTCGTCTTCCCAGAGCGGCGAGGTAGTCTCCAGGACCGTCTCGGACGCGCCTCCCGCCCCGGGTGCCCCCCGAGCCCACGCGGGAGCCGGCAGGAGCGGGGTGCAAACTCACCTGGCCGGAGCGGGGCACGGGGGTGCGGGGGCGCCGCTGCCCTTCAGCAGGAGCCGACAAACTTTCGCGGGCGCCCGGCGGGCATCGCTCGGTGGCCCCGCTAAGGACGCGCGGGCGCGGCGCGGCGAGCCCGGGGCGGCGGGCGGCGGGGGGCGGCCGCGGGCGCGGGCGGCAGGGGCGCGGGGGTCGCGGCGCGGCATGGGACCTGCGGCGTCCGCCGGGCGCGCCGCGCGTCCTCCCGCCGGCCCCGCCGCTCTCCCCGCCCCGTCCCGCCTCCCGCTCGCCTCCGCCGCGGCGCGTCGGGCCGGGGCGCGCCGAGCGGCGAGAAATTGTTTCCACTGCAAACAAAAAAAGGCGACACATGACCAGGCAGGAGGAGGGGAAGCGCGGGGAGGGAGGAGGGCGGAGGGAGGGACAGAGCGGAGGGCGGAGGGAGCCGGAGAAAGGGAAAACGTGGGCCTGGCCGCCAGCGGCCTGGGGCGCGGGGCACTGACCCGCCGGGGCGGACCCTGCCCGCGCCCCTCGCGCGCCCCAGCACTCAGCCAGGGCGGAGGCCGGGGCTGGGCCGCGCGGCCTCGCCTCTTGGGCCCCGCGGGGCGGGGGTGACCGGCGCGGGTCCCGCGACCCAGGGCGGCCGCGACCGTGGGCGGTGGGGCAGGTGGGTCAGGCGGCGCGTGCCCTGTCCCCTCCCCGGGCTCCGGCCACACGAGCGGGCCGGCGCTGCGCTGCTGGCAACGTGTCGCGGGAACGCTCCTACCCCATCTGCATGCCTTACATGGCTCGAAAGTAAAAATAAAAAGAATTACGATGCGGGCGAGGCTTGTGGGGGTGAGAAGAGGAGATTCCACGTCTCCCCAGTGCTGCGTCCTGATAGGACCCCCAGGGCCTTCCGAGCCCTCTCCCAGCGACCACCTCGTGTCCCGGAGGTAAGCACCGCAGCGTCCCACCCAGGTGGCCGCGTGTCTCCCGAGGGAGGGCCGGTGGCCATTACAAGACAAGAGGCACCGTCCTAAAGGCCACGCCGGTGGGGCCTCTCAAGTGGGTTGTGCGGAACGCCCCGGCCGGCCTAGAGAGAAAACAGGTCTCATTTCCATCTCAGTTTGAGCTCTCAGGAACCAGACTGACAATTCGCAAGCCACCCAGCGAAATGGTGCAGCCACCACTCTAAGTCTCTAGGCACCTCCAAATAATAGCACCCACTGCTAAAGCCACACCAACCAGCCGCCTTGGGAGAGGATGAGAGGAGAGAGTCCAACAGGACACCCTGGTGGTGACAAAAATAAAAATGTGATTGCACATTACTCCCAGGTAGCCAAATTGGTTGGTTCCTCTACAGAGGAGAAGCCCAGGGCACCCTTCCTGCCACCCCCTCCTGAGCCAGTGGACAGGACATCGTGAGCGGTCTGAAAACTACAGAAAAAAACAGCGAGTAGACCTGGAGAAAGCTTTCTAGCATGCAGTACTTTTAAACCTAGCCAAAAGGAGGGACTAAGGGAAACACCAGTTAGGCTTCTGAAAATTTTTTCTGTCTCAAAAAATAGACCCCCCCCCCCCAATCTGAGAGTCATTCCCCCTAACAAAGGTTCAAGAGGGCAGGTGACAAGTCTTCAGCAAAGATGTGCCTTTCAGACTCACCGGAGACCTTACTACTTCCAAGTTGTGTGGCATCTCCCCATCTGGAGACAATTAGGAGGTGGAAGCCCAGGGGTAGCCTGAGGTCATCCAGCCCCACCCCTTTGATTACTGAGCACTTGATGCGACCTACCCAAAGTCACTAAGCAAAAGGCACAAGGTGGCAGAGACAAGTCAGATGATCTTTGAAGTCTCACGCCAGAGATTCTCAGGGTTAGAAGTGGTAACAAAGCCAGGATGAGACAATGTGTACCCTGCTTTCCTGTAGCTCCGGCTAATGCAGGTCCTGCCCCTCCATCAGCGCGTCAGTTGAGGGTGCTTATTCTCCGCCAGAGGAACCAAGGCCAGAGACCTTTGTCCAAGCCCTTGCTGGCCTAGAGAGGACGAAGTCGCCCCCTTACATCTTCCTCTTCCATCCCCAGCCCCCAACCCCACCCCCAAGTCCCCCAGCTACACTCACACAATAGCCAGAAATCTCTTTATATTAAGTAGAGGTGGCACCTTATTTTCACCGGCCCCAGTCCCCTCCTGCTTTCTCAGAGTTCAAAAAGAGGGGATGTGAGCCAAAGGTGATTGTACATGGAATATGTCATTCCATGTGTGTTTTTGCTTCTTGCATTCTCAAACATATTTCTTAATTTCTCTCTCCCATTACAGTTGCAGCAAGAGATGTGAGAAGGTGTCACCCTGAAGAGGAAGTGGTGGACCAGCCCTGCCTGATGTGGACAGCAGGGGACACATGTCTGCCTGTCGGTCTATCTGAAATGGGGGAAAAAATGCTGAAAGCCAAAGGAGGGCTTAATGTGGCCTTTTCCACCTTCTAATTCCATAGAACCTCAGCTCTGGGACTTGCTTCCTGACCTAGGGTGCAGGGGCCAAATTTGTTTGGGAACAACCCCATTCACAATTCCCCATGAACTTTCAGAAAGGACCCTTGCGTCTTAGGTCCTGAGAAGTCACAAATAAGCAAGCTGCATTGTCTAATGTCTTGTCTACACTGTTTTACAAACACATTTAACAGCCGAATTGTATATGTGCCCTAGAAATCACTTTGAGAAACACTTATTTCCTGATAGAGGACTTGATGGGACCATTCTGCAGCCCCATCTGAGCATGGGCTGGAGAGTACATAAGTATCTGGGAGCTGGAAGTCCTCAATTCCAGGCTTATCTGCCCCCATCAGCGTGGGACCTCAGTTCCTCCTCCAAGGAGAAGAGCGCCCCTCCCTTGATGTTTTGTGCATTCTTTTGCTAAATGTTTCTCTGGTCAAGAACTTTAATCCCCCTACACACACACTGTATTGGTTATTAGAGCAGCATGGCTATTTATGGAATAGTTAAGTATAAAACCCGATATACCTTGCCCCCCTTGAGGCAGTACAACTGAGTAGGTGAGCAGGTGCAGTCGGGAAGACCTGAGAGACTGCCCAAAATAGGAAGAGTCCGAGGCAGGCCTGGAAAGACAGTCTTCTGGGGAGGGATCCTGCAAAGAGACTCCAGTACAAAGGATATATGAGAGGAAATACGGGGAGGCTGGGCAGGCACACACCGCTGGCCTGCACAGAACCATATTCCTTTCGTGCTTCCCTCTATAGGTGACTCCACTCTCTACCCTGCAGGTTGGCTTCCTCTGCTCAATGATAACCACACAGGGCTGCCAGCAGCAAGCCCTGAGGCCTTCTGACTTTTAGCACCCACCACCTTTGAACTGCCTCAAGCCTTCCATGACATAGTTTAACTTCTCAGGGAAATAGTGCGATTGGCCTAGCCTGAGTCACATGACTCCCCTACGCGCATGGCCCCCCACCACTCCCTACTGCTAACAGCTGAGACAAGGGACATGGTGAAACATCTGGGGAAGGGAGGGGAGATGACTTTGGAAGTGGGATATCTAATAAGGGTGGGTTGCTGTTTAACCTGTGGAAATGGGGAAGGGGTGTTCTTGACCTGAGCTTCTCACCTGGGGATGCCCATCAGAACCATCCAGAAGCCACACCTAACCAACTAGAGTCTTCTAGGATGGTGCCTGGATATGTGTATTTTGAGAAAGCACAAGGGGATGATTTTGCTTACAAACTGCTGTTCCAAGAGAAATCGATGGCACAGAATTACCAAATCTGACTTGATTGTAGTAGAAGAGGAACTCATTCACTGAACAAATATTTGCTGAGTGCCTACCAAGTGCATGGCATTGTGTTAGCTGCCAGAGATAGACGGTCTTTGTCCCTAAAGAGCACACAGATTAGTGGGTAAGAGTGCAAGCATCATATCACCAAACTCCTTGAATAGCAGGGTGAGCAATTTATATGTGTTAAGGTCAGAGGGCAAAGGTGGCTCACTGAATATTTTTGAGCCCAGAAGTTGTATTATCAGAGATACGAATTAAAAAAAAAAAAAAAGATAAATGGGGATGGTGGATCCAAGATGAATTTCGGGAGAGGAAGAGAGAAACTGGAAGATCAAAAACCAGCAGAACAACTCAGAAATCATTGCAGTAATTCATACAAAACAGAATGAAGACTGTTTAAGAAAAAAAAAAATTGGGGAAAAAAGGCTAAAATAGTGGTTCCTTCTGAATGTTAGAGTTATGGGATACTTCTTTTTTGTGTGCTTCTTTCATACTTGTCCATATTTTCTTTCTTTCTTTTTTTTTTTTTTTTTTTTGAGACAAGAGTTTTGCTCTTGTTGCCCAGGCTGGAGTGCAATGGCACAATCTCGGCTCACTGCAACCTCCACCTCCCAGGTTCAAGTGATTCTCCTGCCCCAGCCTCCCGAGTAGCTGGGATTATAGGCATGCACCACCACACCTGGCTAATTTTGTATTTTTATAGAGACGGGGTTTCTCCATGTTGGTCAGGCTGGTCTTGAACTCCTGACCTCAGGTGATCCGCCTGCCTCAGCCTCCCAAAGTGCTGGGACTACAGGCATGAGCCACTGCACCAGGCCAAACATATTGCTGAGAATTCATGTGAAATCGTGCAATTGTCCGTGTGGGCAATTGGTTTATGGTGTTTCCACCCAGGGAAATTTTTTTTTTTTTTTGAGATGGAGTTTTGCTCTTGTTGGCCAGGCTGGAGTGCAGTGGCGCCATCTTGGCTCACTGCAGCCTCTGCCTCTGGGGTTCAAGCAATTCTCCTGCCTCAGCCTCCCGAGTAGGTGGGATTACAGGCATGCACCACCACGCACGGCTAATTTTTGTATTTTTTTAGTAGAGACGGGGTTTCTCCACGTTGGTCAGGCTGGTCTCGAGCTGCCAACCTCAGGTGATCTGCCCGCCTCAGCCTCCCAAAGTGCTGGGATTACAGGCGCGAGCCACCGTGCTGGGCCCCGCTATTTTTCAAATGGTCTACAATAAACACCCATTACATATATACATACATATATACATTAATTTATTTGACAGAGTCTGGCTCTGTCATCCAGGCTGGAGCACAGTGGTGCAATCGTAACTCACTGCAGCCTCGAACTCCTAGACTCAAACAATCCTCCTTCCTCAGCCTCCAAGTAGCCAGGACTACAGGCGCATGCCACCATGCCAGGCTAATTTTTCTGTAGAGATGGGGTCTCGCTATTTTGCCCAGGCTGGTCTCAAACTCCTGGTCTCAAGCAATCTTCCGGCTTCGGCCTCCCAAAGTGCTGGGATTACAGGCATAAGCCACCGCACCTGGCCCATTACATTTATAATGTTATAAGGGGGTTGAGGGGGCGTCCACTGGAGCAGTGGTTCTCAAACTCGTGTATGCATAGGAATTACCTGAAGGGCTTGTTAAAACACAAACTGCAGGGCCCACCCCCAGAGTTTCTGGTTGGGGAGGTGTGGGCTGGGCTTGAGGATGTGAATCTCTCACAAGCTCCCAGGTGAGGCTGCTGGTCTGTGGACCCACTTCAAGACCAAGTGAATCAGAAGAGTCAGTGAGACTGGAACAAATGAACGCAAGACAGTCTTCAAAGGAAGAACCAAGAGGATTTGTCAAATGATTGAATATGAGAAGAGAGGGGGAGATTATGTTCAAAGATAACTCCTTAATCATGGGTTGACTAAGAGTCTCTTTGAGATAAGGTCTGAGAACGCTGTTTGTAAGAGTAAAAAAACTCCTCACTTTCCCGCTGTGGAAAAGAGACGGCGCCCCTCGGCTGGAAGACCCTTAACATCTTGGTGTGTGTAAAGTCTTGGTCAAACATCATTTGAACTTTCTGGTCACCGTCTCTTGGGATTTTCCTTTTGTGCCTTCTTGCTGTTTACTTGACAGATTCTGAAGGGTGGAGCCTGGGAAAGGGCTTATTAGAATTTCTCCAGCAGGGAATGCAGCCAGGCTTACTTTAAGAGGGAAGCAGGGTGTGTAGTAAGGGAAAGTACAGCTGAACTGGTAGGGTGAAGTTCATCAGCTCAGGTGCCCTCGCCAAACCTGAGCTTGTCAAGCCGGCTGCTGGAGGCAAAATGGAAATATAGAACCTGTCAACTCCTCTTTGAGCATAAACACAAGTGTGAGCCGATGATCTAGAATCCAGATTTACTCAATTAATTCCGTCAACAAGTAAGCATCTAGCTCCTCTATACCCAGTGAAGAGTGGAGGGGACTGGGAAGAGGCCAGGAGAAACAGAAGACACGGCACCTGCCCTCAGGGAGGAGTAGGTCTATGAGCATTTATAAAGCAACCACAAATAAGCAAACACACACACAGAGTCTAATACCAAGACCAGTAGTGGGGAGGCGCAGTGGTTAGACACAGACTAGGTTCGTACTCTGATCTTACCACTTACTAGCAGGTTAACCTCAGTCAAGGTTCTTAACTTCTTTCTATCTACCTAGTTTTCACTTCATAGGACTGTTGTGAAGATTAAATAAATTAATCTTTGTAAGGAACATAAAACAGGGCTCTGGCACTTAGTGAACACTATTTTTATTAAGCCAACAAATCAAAATGAAAATCTTGACATATTAGACTGCATACCAATTTAGAATTGTGTGTAAAATCAGGGGTCATAAATAAAATTTAAAAACAAATGAAATATTGGACATGCAGATGAAAACAGGGTTAATATTTTAAATTTATAAATCTTACAACTCAATGAGAAAAAAATTATCACTCTAATAAGAAAAGGGGCAAATTCACAAAAAGAGAAACAAAAATGAGACTATCCCCATGAAAAGACGCTCAAAACTGTAAAAATCAAAGAAATGCAAATTAAAGCAATTGTGATATCTCATTTCATCTATCAGAATGGCAGAGACTTAAAAGAACTAACCATGCCAATGTTGGTTGAAGGCACTGGTGGGAAGTGGTATAACTTTTCAAGAGGACAGTCGCAAAACAAATTAAAATTTCAGTGAGCACGGACAGCCACTGATCCTAAATTTCCAACTTCTAGGAATTTATCCTTGGGAGATCCTATAAGAGAGTTAACTTCCCCACCAGACTGACTACTGGGAAGAGGCAATAAACCCCAGGAAAGCAGGACTCCAGCCTATTAGATTCAGCAGTGCACACCTGGCATTTATGCCTGGCAGAAGACACTCAATAAATATGTATTGAATAAATTAACTGAAGGAAGCAACAATGTATTTAGGAGGATTTTGCTGGGACGTTGTTTAAAATCACAAAAACTTGGAAATTGCTGAAATAAGAGGCCAGAGGCATATTATTACATTCTGTGGGGCACAGTGGGGCCATGTTCCCTTTGTTCCCTTTCATTTGCATTTTCCAGTAGTTTTAAGTGAGGCTTTCCCTTTTCTGAATCATTTTCACATTCTCAGAGACTGTACGTGTGAAACAATTTGCAAAGATTTCATAAAGTAAGAGTTTAGGGGAAAATGAATATGTTGGCAAAGCGCTTCACAAAATTAAAGCATTCTGTGATCTTTTCAATCAGGAGGGACAAAACGATCCCCTTCTGAAAAGCCTGGTGCTCTGAGCAAACAGGAGAATTGCTAAGTACAACAAACATTATATCCTGTGTTATGAGGTCTATTGTCTGGCCGTGGGAAGTCTTTTGGTTTATAGGTTTTGAATATCAAACTTTCTCTACAAACTCTTACGCAGGTTCCAAGATTCAAGAGTTCAAAATACTCTTGAATTAAGAATTTGTGGGGGAAGGCAGGTGCGGTGGCTCACACCTATAATCTTAACATTTTGGGAGGTCGAGGCTGGGGATTGCTTGAGCCTAGAAGTTCAAGACCAGCCTGACAACATAGGGAGATCTATGACTCTACAAAAAAAAAAAAAATAGAAAAATTAGCCAGGCATGGTGGCACGTGCCTATAGTCCCAGCTACTCAGGAGGCTAAGGTAGGAGGTTCACTTGAGCCCTGGAGGTTGAAGCTACAGTAAGCCGTGATCATGCCACTAAATGTGGTTACAAGTTATTTTTATTTTTCAGATCTGATAGAAAATCTGTGCCCAGCTGAGTTACCCCACATGACCAGAGCTACTAATGCTTCTCCTGCCCCAGGGATATTCGTGATGCTTATCTGATACAAGAGGAGATCACCTCTCTCAGTTCTTGAACTCATTTTATGTACAGCTGACTTTTTTTTGTTGTGTTTTGTTTTGTTTTCTTTTCTTTTTTTTTTTTTTTTTTTTGAGACAGAGTGTCACTCTGCAGCCCAGGCTGGAATGCAGTGGCACGATCTTGGCCCACTGCTACCTCTGCCTCCCGGGTCCTGGTTCAAGCAATTCTCCCACCTCAGCCTCCCAAGTAGCTGGGATTACAGGCACATGCCATCATACCCAGCTATTGTTTGTATTTTCAGTAGAGACGGGGTTTCACCATGTTGGCCAGGCTGGTCTTGAACTCCTGACCTCGTGATCCACCCACCTTGGCCTCCCAAAGTGCTGGGATTACAGGCATGAGCCACTGCGCCTGGCCTGTTTTGTTTTGTTTTTGAGACAGAGTCCTGCTCTGTTGCCCAGGCTGGAGTGCAATGGCTCAATCTCGGCTCACCGCGACCTCTGCCTCCTGGGTTCAAGTGATTCTCCTGCCTCAGCCACCTGAGTAGCTGGGATTACAGGCTTGTGCCACCATGCCCGGCTAATTTTTTTTTTTAATAGACACGGGGTTGAGCATGTTGGCCACGCTGGTCTCGAACTCCTGACCTCAGGTGTTCTACCCACCTTGGCCTCCCAAAGTGCTGGGATTATAGGCATGAGCCACCGCGCCCAGCCTATAGCTGATTATTTTTATTCATAGTAGTTGTGTTCTATAAAGTGTCACAAACACTGAATTAACAAATCCTGAATCATTGCTCCTAGGGGAAATATGGGGTTAGGTTCCTGTGAGCCTCCACTCACAACCCTTTCATCAACCAATGAAAACTTAATTTTACTGATATATTATCACATCATAATTTTGTTGATATTTATTTTATCTGTGTTTCCATTTAAGAAGCTTTTTGAATATATATTGTTGTTCATTCACAACGAACTGTGCCAGAATGACGCTTATCTAATACACATTTTATCCATAAGGCATACCACAGCCTTCCTGTACTTAGAAACACTAGATAGCATTTCAGCAGTGCTTGGGCTCCGTTTCAAACAGCAAAATGAACAAAAATGCAAAAAATGTGGTACTAAACAGACCACAAAAAGGACACTTGGAAAGCCAAAACAAGCGGGCAGAACATCACTTTGTTCACCCTCAGCTGGGAACGTGCACACTGAATGACTCATTTGTACGTGTCCATGAGTGACCACAAAAGCACCAGGAGTACTGATTTTTTTTTTTTTTTTTTTTTTTTTTGAGACAGGGTCTTGCTCTTGTCACCCAGGGTGGAGCGCAGTGGCATGACCTCAGCTCATTGCAATCTCTGCCTCCCAGGTTCAAGTGATTATCCCTGCCTCAGCCTCCTGAGTAGCTGGGATTACAGGCGCCCACCATCACGCCCAGCTAATTTTTTGTATTTTTAGTAGAGACAGGGTTTCACCATGTTGGCCAGGCTGGTCTAGAACTCCTGACCTCAGGTGACCCACCCGCCTCGGCCTCCCAAAGTGCTGGGAAGGCCTGAGCCACCATGCCCGGGCAGGAGTACTGATTTTGAGATTACAGGTAAATTTTAGCAAGAGGGTGAATTCGCAAATACAAAAACTACCAATGATGAGGACTGACTGCATTTAACAAACACCGAAATAGCACTTAACTGGATGCCAGACAGTGTTCTAAAGCTCCGAAAATATTCACTCATTTCAGCCTCACATTAATCATGTGAAGTAGGTACTATTATTATCCCCATTTTATCAACTGAGATTCTGAGGCACAGAGAGGTTTGGCCACTTGCTCATAACACACAGCCGGTAAATGATGGGGCTGGGAATTGAACCCACACAGTGAGTTTGGGAAAGCTTCAGAACACCTGGCTTCTTAGAGAACCTCTCAGGGGCCTAGGACATGAAGGACAGGACCCGTGGGGTACAAGGGAGACAAAATTGTGACCGAGAAATAGAAGAGGAGGGCCGGGCGCGGTGGCTCACGCCTGGAATCCCAGCACTTTGAGAAACCGAGGCGGGTGGATCACTTGAGGTCAGGAGTTCGAGACCAGCCTGGCCAACATGGTGAAACTCTGTTACTAAAAATACAAAAATTAGCCGGGCGCAGTGGTGGGTTTCTGTACTCCCAGTTACTTGGGAGGCTGAGGCAGGAGAAATGCTCGAACCAGGGAGGTGGAGGTTGCAGTGAGCTGATATCGTGCCACTGCACTCCAGCCTGGTCGACAGAGTGAGCCTCTGTCTCAAAAAAAAAAAAAGAAAAGAGAAGAAAAAGAAAAAGAAGAAAAAAAGCACAAGAGGAGGAAGGAAAAGGGGACTTTTTTTTTTTTTTTTTTTTTTGAGATGGAGTCTTGCTCTGTTGCCCAGACTAGAGTGCAGTGGTGCGATCTTGGCTCACTGCAACCTCCGCCTCCTGGGTTCAAGCGATTCTCCTGCCTCAGCATCCCAAGTAGGTGGGATTACAGGCCTCCACCACTGCGCCCGGCTGATTTTTTTTTTTTTTTTTTGTATTCTTAGTAGAGATGGGGTTTCACCATCTTGGCCAGGCTGGTCTCCAGCTCCTAGACCTCGTGATCCACCTGCCTCGGCCTTCCAAAGTGCTGGGATTACAGGAGTGAGCCACCGTGCCCGGCCAGGACTTTTTAACTGAATGAAAAGGCACTACTTGCAAAAACTCAAAGTTCAACTTCTATGTCATAATCAACAAAGTATGGTGTATCTTTGTAATAAAAAAATAAATCAACTAGATACTGAACGTCACCAACAGAGTGTAAGTGCCTTGAGGGGCAAGGGACT
The DNA here is from genome assembly GCF_000001405.40 of Homo sapiens. Classification (NCBI taxonomy): domain Eukaryota; kingdom Metazoa; phylum Chordata; class Mammalia; order Primates; family Hominidae; genus Homo; species Homo sapiens. The sequence goes on from NC_000014.9 coordinate 89,427,780, forward strand.
CTGTTTTCTCTTCTGCTCATAGCACATGGCACAGTGGTAATAAAAAATATTGATCACTTAACAGGAAAAAAAAAAAGTCTCCTTTTTATCCCTCTCTCAAGCTGGCATCTATTAACTCTACAGATCAGTCAGAGAAAAGTAGCCTCATCAACATTTTCCTCCTCCAAAGTTTTTAAGAGATTTTATTGTTTTCCTCTCTTTAGTGAGTACACCAAGTACCATAGTCTCATGGGTTTCGGTGGCTAAGTCTGCCAAAGTCTTATCCACGCCAAGAAATAACTTCTCTCGTTTTACTTTTTCAGAGGGGTGTGAAAGAAAACAATTGATTCTTCTCTCTACGAGAGTCTTTTTAAAACAAAGTAAGAGCTCTGAATTTGATGAACTCTCTGAGAAACAGAATATAGATTAAATGATTACTAACATATTTCCCTGCAGCACAAAGTTCTTTTTTGGAGATTAGCAATTTATTCCATTTATTACAACAGCCAAACCTGAAGTCTCTTTTCATTGGCTAGTCAAGTTCACCAACCCTTTCTGTTTTGAAATCCTCACTCCTTCCCAAAATAGTGTATCTTGTGCCTTTAATATTGAGGTTGAGGTGCAGGCAAAAGGTGTCCAGAAATTGTGAGACGTGACTGCATGTGAGTACTCAATCTTAAAAGGGTCGGGGCTGGAAAGGAAGCAAGCAGGTGAATTGCTAGCTCTTTCTGTGGGTATGTTCAACAGCACCTCACTTCTCTGCACTCAAAGACGTGATTCTGACTGGTTTCAAAGATTTGGCCCCCAAACAACCAGGCGTCCTTTTTAAGTTGGCATTGCTTCCAGAGAGGAATCCTGAACATGTTTCCTCTATGCCTCACACAGCGCCAGGCCAGCTGTCTAACAATATGGGTCCCGGAGGGGGTGCTGCCCACGTTGGTGACGGCAGCCATGAGTGCCTGTTGCTCGCAGCAGACGTCAGAGAGACCTCAGCGCAGGGGTCCAAGCACCTGGCCAAGGCACCCTGCGCAGGCCTCCACGCCCCACGAGTGCCTGCAGAGGCTACCTGAGGACCAAGGTGGGCATGCCACGGTGTCCTGGACTTCTGGATGGAGGCCAGTCCCAGGGAGTGAATGGCAGAGCTCTCCGGAGGCTGCCCAGGCCAGGTTCAATGGGAGGGATGAACTTCATGACATCCGTTCCAAAGAAATCCCACCTGCTACTGGCATGCCTAGGCTTGTCTTCCCCACATACCAGCCTCCCAGGCATGTCTCCAAGGGCTCAGTGAGGAGGCAGCTGCAACAGTTCGCTTTCTCTTAATGATTTGGAGTTGGGAGGCACAGAGATGGGGAAGAGGTAATGACCATTCCCAGTGATCCTGGACCTCCGTGTTGGCTGCGACCTTGAAAAGTCATGCTGTCAACCCCTTTGTAGAAAAAATGCAGTTTTCTTTGTCCGTGGAAATCTGGCCTCGCAGATTTATTTGCTGTAGCAAGTTTCTTTACCCTCATCACACTGATACTCAGAATTGAAACAGTTCAAACCTACCCTGAAACATCCTTCTCCCTCCAAATTCCAGTGACATCCTCGGTCTAAAACGCCTGGCACCATGTGGGAGCCTGGCTCCGCTGCCTCTCAACGCACTGGCTTGCTTTTTGCTTTTGAGTAGCTTGAATATCAAACCAAGCACAAAGGGAATCATACCCAGGAGTTGCTGGAAAAAGCTCATTTCATCCACCTCATTCCCCCATTCTCTCTGGCAGACACAACTGATTTTTTTTTTTTTGAAGCCTGAAAAACTTCTCATTTAAACTTGGGGTGCAAAAGGCATGTGAAGTGGGAGAGTTGCTGCCTGGACCAGCGAAGGGTTAGCCAGGGAAGGATTCAACGAAATACAAAAGCCAACACAGACCTGAAGGGGAACAGGCGGCCCCAGCAACAACTGCCAAACTGTCATTTTGCTCCGCGGCTGAACAGAAGGCTCGAGTAATGACAACCACAAAACTCATTTAAAGTCTGAAAAGGTGACTAATGAGCTCATTCATGCTGGCTATAAATTATTCACTACAACACTGATCCCACTCAAGACAAACAGTAAAGTAAACTTTAAACACAGACATCGCTGGCCTTCCAAAGTGGAACAAGTTATGCCTGTAAAAGTTTTCACAATGAGAGAGATACTTGTCTCCCCCTTGTCTATTGTCACATTCGTTCTTCTGTTTACTTTTTTTTACTGCCTTTAATCAAGTTTAAGCAGACACAGCTGTTACACATTTATTTCTCTGAGTTTTTTTCCATTAGTTATTACAAGCAATCATGATGCTCTAAAAATAGCAGCAAATTATATTCTCTAGAAATTGAAGGCTGACCTTAAAATGAAGCCCAGGTCTTCAGAAAGAATATTCATATGCACATGTTGGATAAATGACAACAATGCACAAAGGCAAAATAAAAGTACAAAGCTTTTTCCACTCTTTGAGAGGTTTTTGATTTGCTTCCAAATTTCCTTTGGTTCTGGTGGAAACAGGTTGCTTCAAAACCTTACCATACAGAACCTGCTTCCAGTGGTCATGATTCCAGTTTGAAGGATTTTCCTTCAAACTTACAATCTTAAGGCAATCAAAGAAGAAATGTTTCATTTAGGCTTTTTCAGCACAGATAAACACAGCAGCAGGTTGCTGAAAACCCACCACATTGCTGCAGACTACTTTCGGTTTCCTGTTTAATATTAAATAAAGAATTTTAGCTCTTCTGTTTTTATAAACTGTGCTATTTGCTACTACTGTCACTACTAAAAGCATTATGACTGGGTGGATAAGTAGTCCTATGATTTTCAAGCCTTCTTTTTTCTTTAATCTTAGTATCTATTTTGAAGACATCGCGAGAGTTAAGAGTCTCAAATCTGTTTAATTGATTTTTTTATTTTTAAAAGGCCCAAATAAGTACTTCCGTTAGCTCTTAGATCTCTGAACATTATGTATTTTTAAACCACTTTGAATACTTTGAAAAGGGCCACAGAAAACACTCATATTCAAATACCACCAGACGGAGGTTCTGCCTAACCAAAAGTAAAAGCAGAAAAGTTTAAAGCTGAATTGTGCCCTGCACACACCTTGAGATTGTAGGGGTGAAATGAATGGTCTTGGGCCGGGGATCTTGCTAAAGGCATGATAAATCATGCGTTGCAGGCAAATTAAGACCCAGGCTCTAACTTGAACCTCAGACTGTGCCAAACTCCATCTCCATTTAAGGAAAATGGTTTTCTCAGTTTCTTGCACATGACCTAAAGGCTTGTCCAGTCATTTCCGTTGTCTGAAATGCAAAGCAATCTTTCTTTTTTAAGTAGAGAAAGAAGAGTCCTGAAATATTTATAGGAAAGTGCTTCACTACCTACTGACAGCAATGTGGTTGGTCTCTACGTGTTTAGCACATTTTTTTTTGTTTGCTTGTTTCTTTGAGACAGAGTCTCTCTCTCTCTCCCAGGCTGGATGGAGTGCAGTGTTGTGATTTCAGCTCACTGCAACTTCTTCAGCTTCACTTGAACCGGGTTCAAGTGATTCTCCTGCCTTAGCCTCCCAAGTAACTGGGATGACAGGCGCCCACCACCACACCCGGCTAATTTTTGTATTTTTGGTAGAGACAGGGTTTCACCATGTTGGCCAGGCCGGTCTTGAACTCCTGACCTCAGGTGATCCACCCGCCTCGGCCTCCCAAAGTGCTGGGATTACAGGCATGGGCCACTGCGCCTGGCCAGCATGTTTTTTATCCATGTTTCTGTAGCTAGTCAAAAGCCATTCTTTTGACCCTCTGTGCAAGAGTTCTTGCAGCTGTTTGTTTTTGTTTTTTTATTTTGTTTCGATATGTTTTATTTTTTTAGAGCAGTTTAAGGTTCACAGCAAACTTGAGTGGGAGGTACAGAGATTTCTCATTATCCACTGCCCCAACACAAGCATAGTGCTGTGGTTGTTGTTTTGAGAAAGAATTTCACTCCTGTTGCCCAGGCTGGAGTGCAATGGCACAATCTTGGCTCACTGCAACCTCCACCTCCTGGGTTCAAGCAATTCTCCTGCCTCAGCCTCCCGAGTAGCTTGGATTACAGGCGCCCGCCACCACGTCCAGCTAATTTTTGTATTTTTAGTACAGACGGGGTTTCACCATGTTGGTCAGGCTGGTCTCAAACTCCTGACCTCAGGTGATCCGCCTGCCTCGGCCTCCCAAAGTGCTGGGATTACAGGCGTGAGCCACCACGCCCGGCTGTGTTGTTGCTTTTTTATAATCAAACAATATGTGATGTAAAAACCCAATTCCAACCAAAGAAATAGGAAAATCATAAAGAACATCGCATTGCAGTCTCTGCTGCTCCACAACTCGCCACTAACTGGATCCCTGTCACCTCTCTGTGGAAGGGTATAAAGGAAATATTGGTTTGAAACTAAGCCAAATGTCCCATCTTTTCCTAGCAATGTGTCTTGCAGGCAGACTCCACCTCTCCATTTATGGGTGGGAGACCTGGAATGTCCAGTGACGGCCCTAACACCACCCTGCTCCTAATTTTCCTAGGAAGGACCAAAGGTGATGTCAATTTTGCCTTGAGGACATTCAAGGCGCTTGAACAACAGGAGTCAAAACAATGAACACCAAGTACCCAATGACTGCGATCCAAAGGATTATAAAACATGCATAACAACAAAAGCTTCCTGCAGGCCAGGCACCGTGCCAAGAGCTTTACCTGCATTATTTATTCCATCTTTCCACCACCCTTACAGGATAGGTGCTGTCATCCTCATTTACAGATGAGGACACCAAGGCTTCAAGAAGCTCACTCATTTGCCAGAAGTGAAATGCAAACTTAAAGATCCCCATGTCCCTCTGGCCTGCACAGCCCCACCGCCTTGACCACTGCTCTCACCTGTCTATTGCTATTCTCCAAGATCTCATTTCCAAGATCACAGAATGTAACTTTCTGCTGGTCATCTCTACCTCTTAGGCTTCTTCTTCACAGTTTTGGGGTTTTTGGGAGGGAGTTTTTGTTTTGTTTTGTGGCATTGGTTTGGTTTGAGTTTTGCATAGCATTCTTCATTTTCTTTTTCTTTATTTAGAGATGGGGCAGAGGGGTCTCACTATATTGCCCAGGTCGGTCTCAAACTCCTGGGCTCAAGCGATTCTCCTGCCTTGACCTCCCAAACTCCTGGGATTACAGGCGTGAGCCAACGAGCACCTGGCCTGCATAGCATTTTTCAAGGGCTACTAATCATAGTCACCCTTTCTACCCTCACCATTACCTACAAATGCTCACATAGAAACAGACACATTTGGCTGGGCACAGTGGCTCACACCTGTAATCCTTTGGGAGGCCGAGGCGGGGTGAGTCACCTGAGGTCAGGAGTTTGAGACCAGCCTGGCCAACATGGCGAAACCCTGTCTCTACTAAAAATACAAAAATTGCTGGGCACGGTGGCTCACACCTGTAATCCCAGCACTTTGGGAGGCCAAGGTGGGCAGATCACAACGTCAGGAGTTCAAGACCAACCTGGCCAATCTGGTGAAACCCCATCTCTACTAAAAATACAAAAATTAGTTGGGCGTGGTGGTGCGGGCTTGTAGTCCCAGCTACTCGGTAGACTGAGGCAGAAGAATCGCTTGAACTCAGGAGGCTGAGGTTGCAGTTAGCCGAGATCGTGCCACTGCACTCCAGCCTGGGCGACTAAGCGAGACTCCATCTCAAACAAACAAACAAACAAATAAATACATAATACAAAAATTAGGCTGGGTGCGGTGGCTCACGCCTATAATCCGAGCACTTCAGGAGGTTAAGGCAGGCAGATCACGAGGTCAGGAGTTCGTGACCAGCCTGGCCAACACGATGAAACTCTGTCTCTACTAAAAATACAAAAAATTAGCCAGGCGTGGTGGCAGGCGCCTGTAATCCCAGCTATTCAGGAGGCTGAGGCAGTAGAATCGCTTGAATCCAGGAGGCAAGGTGGCGGAGGTTGCAGTGAGCTGAGATCACGCCACTTCACTCCAGCCTGGGTGAAAGAGCGAAACTCTGTCTCCAAAAAAAAAAAAAGAAAAGAAACAGACATATTCATTAAATGGACAAACGTCTAAAAATACTGAAATATCCAGGGCAATGGTCACACACCAGTACTGTGCTTTTATCAGAATTTTTTTTTTTTTTTTTTTGAGATGGAGTTTCACTCTTGTCGCCCAGGCTGGAGTGCAATGGCCCCATCTTGGCTCACTGCAACCTCGCCTCCCAGATTCAAGCAATTCTCCTGTCTCAGCCTCCAGAGTAGCTGGTATTACAGGTGCCTGCCACTACGCCCGGCTAATTTTAGGTATTTTTAGTAGAGACGAGGTTTCACCAGGAGTCAACCTGGTCTTGAACTCCTGACCTCAGATGATAGCCCCACCTCACTGTCCCAAAGTGCTGGGATTACAGACGTGAGTCACTGCGCAAGCCTTTTTTTTTTTTTTTTTTTAAGATGGAGTTTTGCTCTTGTTACCCAGGCTGCAGTGCAATGGTGTGATCTCACTCAGCTCACTGCAACCTCCACCTCCCGGATTCAAGTGATTCTCCTGCCTCAGCCTCCAGAGTAGCTGGGATTACAGGTGCCTGCCACCACACCCGGCTAATTTTTTTGTATTTTTAGTAAAGACAGTGTTTCACTGTGCTGGTCAAGCTGGTCTTGAACTTGTGACCTCAGGTGATCCACCTGCCTCGGACTCTCAAAGTGCTGGGATTACAGATGTGAGCCACCGTGCCTGGCCTTATCAGAATCTTAAAACACAAAGGTTTTTTAAGAAGCTCATGATCACTCCAGAGCACAGGCCTGGAACTCCAAGTCCATCTCCATCTCCCATCTGAACCCTTGGGAAGAACAAGCAGCTGTAGAGGTACCCATTTTCAACTCACAGAATAATCTCCTTTTTCTCCAATCCTCACCCTATTGCCTGCTCCCAAACCACCAAATAAACCTTCTTTGAATGTCCTACTACCACAAGGACAAAAATCTGATGGATTCTCTTGAAGGTAATGCTTCCAAAGCACAGACATTTGACAAGAAACCATTTTCAAACTATGTATCTTGTTCTTTGCACTCCGGTAGTTATTGTCTGCCAGTTTAGAAACACCACTGACCCTCACACCAGAACTACTTTCCAAAAGCTGTATTACAGAGAATTATTATAGTTACAGGTACAGATCAACCTTAGTCAATTCTGTATAAACGTTCAACAATTAGCCAAGCACAATTTGAATACACTGTACTGCTAATCAGATTAACTTTCCCCCATATATCCTAGACAAGAGGGTAAAACTCTCTTACTAAGGCAGCCTGGGGCCAGACACAGTGGCTTATGACTACAATCCCAATACTTTGGGAGGCTGCGGAGGGGAGGATTGCTTGAACCCAGGAGTTAGAAGCCAGCCTGGGCAACACTGCAAGACCTCATCTCTACAGAAAAAATTTTTGTAATTAGCTGGGCGGTGCACACCTGCTACTCATGAGGCTGAAGCAGGAGGATCACTAGGGCCTGCGAGGTCAAGCCTTCACTGAGCTATGATTGTGCCACTGCACTCCAGCCTGGGTGACACAGCAAGACCCTGTCTCTTAAAAAAAAAAAAAAAAAATGGCAGCCCAATACCCCCACAGGCCCTCAGAGCCTTCACCCAAGCTGTATACATGAGAGACAGAGAAGAAGCATACTCCCTTAACTCACTGCCATCTTCCACACCCACGTCATCTCCACGTCCATGGCGCTCCCAGATAGACTGTGGTACGACAGCCAAAGCATTCGTTCCCTCACAAACCACCCCAGATGCTTCCTTGAAAGCTCCCCTGGTGCCACTACTAGAATCTCATCTCGAGACCAGCCAACAGCTCCGTAAAAAGGGGATGAAGTAGAAAGCTGAGGTCTGTGGTTTCATTCTTGAGAAACCCTCAGCTATCCACAGGGATCTGATTCCACTGCCATTTAGAGTGACTCTGGCTTCTGCCAACACCAGCTCCCTTTGAATCCAAATTAAACCTCTCACAGATTTCCTGTGACACCAGCCTTACAGCAAAGCCTCCCAATGGCTACAGTCATGCAAACAAGCCCTGCCCAGACCTTCCTGGATCTCCTCTGAATGAACAACCAAGTTGCCTTGGCTGTTCAGAAGATAACACTGACTAAAGGCACAGCAGGTTTTACGTACTCCATTTCCTAGGGCTCCTCCCTCACATCCTTCATCACTCATTTTTCTTTATTATTTTTTTTTTCAGAGATAGGGTCTTGCTATGTTGCCCAGGCTGGTCTCGAACTCCTGGGCTCAAGCGATCCTCCTGCCTCGGCCTCCCAAAATGCTGAGATCACAGGAGTGTGCCACCGCGCCCGGCCTGTAGATCAAAATCTACAACTCATGGGTAGGAAGAAAGTTACCAATGCTGACTGCCCTGACTTATCATTATAATCTAAACAGAGCTATTTATTTACTAATTACATTCTTGGTTTTATAGCCCTGGCCAGAAAAGGTTTGTTTATTCATTAAAAAAAAAAAAAAAAGTTAATTTATAAAGAAAATAAAATCTACAAGGTTAGCCTTAGGAAGACTTTTGGTCATGGTGTCATGCCAGCCCCTAATTTAATGAAGCAACTGTGACCTAGAAAACAAAGTGACGTAGGGTCACATGTTAGGGTGCACATTTGTGGTTTCCTCTCCAGTATCTATTTTTCTTCTCTCCCTTTCCCAGAGTCCCCCAAGTTTCCACCCTTGTGGTCTGGGTGGGACTGACCCCATCGTCTGCGCCAGAGGCATGGGGTTCGTCGAATGGGCAGCCGCAGCTTAGGACTCAGTGCACAAATCAACAAGATCCCCCTGTCGTTTAGACAGCCTGAGCTGGCTTTTCGGTCACTTACAATCAAAACATCCAACAGATACCCATGGAGAGTTAGTGGTGGATCCAGTTTCTTGACTTCCTGTTCACAAAGTAAAGCCTTTAACATTAAACAACAAAGAAAGCCATAGTTTGACAAGTTTAGAGGCCAGATTTGATAGGAATAAACAGATTTGGGAGAAAAGTACCAAATTATACATTATCACTGAACTTAAAAGTATGGCTTAGGCCAGGCACGGTGGCTCACACCTGTAATCCCAGCATTTTGGGAGGCCGAAGCAGGTGGATCACCTGAGGTCAGGAATTCGAGACCAGCCTGGCCAACATGGTGAAACCCCGTCTCTACTAAAAATACAAAAATTAGCCAGGCGTGGTGGCAGACACCTGTAATCCCAGCTATTCAGGAGGCTGAGACAGGAGAATCAATTGAACATGGGAGGCTGAGACAGGAGAATCAATTGAACACGGAAGGTTGCAGTGAGCCAAGATCGCGCCACTGCACTCCAGTCTGGGCAACAAAGAGCAAAACTCTGTCTCAAAAAACAAAACAAAACAAAAAAAAACAGTATGGCTTAATGTCTAAATGTGGTCATGTTAATAGAGTATTGTTGATGAATGGAGAATTCATGAGTGGAGATTAACTGTAGGGAATCCATGGTTAATGAAGGAGAACAACTCTGTCTAGAACCTGAGGCAAAACATGACACCCGCTGAGCTCTCTGACCTTAACCTGAACCTGGGCCCATTTCTACCTCCAAGGGGGACAAATATCTCAACCTTACATCCCCAAGTGCCACTCCAAGATCAGGTGCTGATGGACAGATGATGGTGGTCATGTCAGAGGCGTGTGAACCAGGGCAACTCCATCTTGAATACGAGCTGTGTAAAATGAGGCTGAGACCTACTGGGCTGCATTCCCAGACAGTTAAGGCATTGACTGCTATACTCCCACCAGTGCCATGAGAGTTTACAAATGCCATGGCAACATCAGGAAGTTACCATGTATGATCTAAGAAGGGGAGGCATGAATAATCCACACCTTGTTTAGCATATCATCAAGAAATAACCATAAAAATAGGCAACCAGCAGCCATCAGGGCTGCTCTGTCTATGGAATAGCCATTCTTTTATTCCTTTGCTTTCCTAATAAAGCTGCTTTCACATTACTGTAGGAACCCAACCTGAATTCTTTCTTGTGCAAGATCCAAGGACCCTCTCTTGGGGGTCAGGACTAGAACCCTTTATCTGCAACAGTCATAATGGCTAAGTTTATTGAGTGGTTACTACATGACAGACAATGAGCTAGGGTTTTATCTGCTTTATGTCACAGAAGGCTCCCAACAATCAAGGTGAAGTTGGTTGATCAAAGTAGATGGTTAACAAATGATAATGAATGAACGACTGCTGTACAGATTTAACTAAGATTATATTTAGCATGCATAAGAACACATTCTTTAGTAATTCCAAAATTAGAAAATTAAAGTGTCAATAAAAATCATACAAATATAATTTAGTTAATGTTTATTGAGAACTGACTTACAAGAGGGCTGACCATGAAACACTGAAGCTGAAAGCTCAAGTCTCCTCACTCCCACTGGCCCCTTCTTGGGCCCTGGGATGGGTCCCAGCAATGTGCTGAATGAGCACCTTCAGTAAATAAGATGAGTCATTGTACAAGAACATTTAAATGCCATAAAATCTGACGCCTTATATATGAAAGAAACTTAAGGTTTTCCCAAATTTGAGAGTAGTCCTAAACGTTTACATGGTGTTACCAACAACTAGTTGTGAAGCTTACAAATTTTTTTCTTAGCTATCAATAGTGAAGAACAAATCCCAACCATTCAGGCTGGAGGAATAAGAAAATTGAAAATTATCTTCTATTCTCTCTAGAGATAATGGCATTCCAAAATCATTGTCATATGAAGAAATGATCAGAATATATAGCCTAAAATATGTAGGAAGAAAAATAATGTAACATATCAAACAGATAACAAGTAATCATATTTTATTTTTCTGCATTTTGTGATGTAAGGTTGTCAGTTTCTTAAACATATACTTCCTTGTGTTTTCTTTCATCATTTGAAATCTATACTCACTCTTATATCTGGTACTTTTACATTCTTTTCTTTCTTTTTTTTTTTGAGACGATGTTTCACTCTTGTTGCCCAGGCTAGAGTGCAATGGCGCAATCTCGGCCCACTGCAACCTCCGCCTCCCAGGTTCTAAGGATTCTCCTGCCTCAGCTTGAGTAGCTGGGATTACAGGCATGCACCACCACGCCCAGCTAATTTCGTATTTTTAGTAGGACAGAGTTTCTCCATGTTGGTCGGCTGGTTTCGAACTCCCAACCTCAGGTGGTCTGCCCACCTCGGCCTCCCAAAGTGCTGGGATTACAAGCGTGAGCCACCACGCCTGGCCTTACATTCTTTTCTTAAAGAGGTACCCACCCCTGCCAAATTGAATAGGCTTTCAGGCCACACAAAGCCTGCATCCAACCCTGTGTGTGCCTTCTATATGCTGGGCTCATAGCTTTACACAGACTAGCTCCTCTAGCTCTGCCAATAGCTCTTTGAGGTAGGTACTCTCAGAGGCACGTAATCCAGAGCAACTCCATCATGAATAGGAGCTGGGTAAAATGAGGCTGAGACATACTGAGCGGCATTCCCAGATAGTTAAGGCATTCTAAGTCTCAGGATGAAATGAGAGGTCAGCACAAGATGCAGGTCATAAAAACTCTGCTGATAAAACAGTTTGCATTAAAGAAGCCGGCCAAAACCTGCCAAAACCAAGATGGTGACGAGAGTGACCTCTGGTCGTCCTCACTGCTACACTCCCACCAGCACCATGACAATTTACAAATGCCATGGCAACATCAGGAAGTTACCCTATATGGTCTAAAAAGGGGAGAAATGAATAATCCACATCTTGTTTAGCATCTCATCAAGAAATAACCATAAAAATGAGCAATGAGCAGCACTCAGGGCTGCTCTGCCCATGGAGTAGCCATTCTTTTATTCCTTTTTTTTTTTTTTTTGAGACGGAGTCTTGCTCTGTTGCCCAGGCTAGAGTGCAGTGGTGTGATCTCTGCTCATTGCAAGCTCTGCCTCCCAGGTTCACGCCATTCTCCTGCCTCAGCCTCCAAAGTAGCTGGGATTACAGGCGCCCGCCACCACGCCCGGCTAATTTTTTGTATTTTAGTAGAGACGGGGTTTCACCGTGTTAGCCAGGATGGTCTCAATCTCCTGACGTCGTGATCCACCCGCCTCGGCCTCCCAAAGTGCTGGGATTACAGGCGTGACCCACCGCGTCCAGCCTCCTTTACTTTCTTAATAAACTTGCTTTCACTTTACTCTATGGACTCGCCTTGAATTATTTCTTGTGCCAGATCCAAGAACCCACTCTTGGAGTCTGGATTGGGACCCCTTTCCTGTAACGGTGCTATTATCCCCATATTACCTAGGGGGTACCTGGGCCTCAAGCAGGTTAAAATGACCTGCCATGGTTATCCAGCTAAGAGGCAGACTTGGCACTACTCCCACCAGTGCTGCTTCTTGGCCTGCCTACCCCTACTAAGGCAAGAAAAGGAAAAGACCACCCCTTCTCTGATCTAGGGGTGCTTTCCTGGCCTCTGGCTGCAGCAGCAGCCTCCTGGTAACCTTTATAGGCCTTGGGGATACCAGAATATCTCAAACGCATGGAGCAGAGAGACCCCTATTTCAGTACTGTCAGGCCTCTGAGCCCAAGCCAAGCCATCGCATCCCCTGTGACTTGCACGTATAGGCCCAGATGGCCTGAAGTAACTGAAGAATCACAAAAGAAGTGAATATGCCCTGCCCCACCTTAACTGATGACATTCCACCACAGAAGAAGTGTAAATGGCCGGTTCTTGCCTTAAGTGATGACATTACCTTGTGAAAGTCCTTTTCCTGGCTCAAAAAGCACCCCCACTGAGCACCTTGCGACCCCGACTCCTGCCCGCCAGAGAACAAACGCCCTTTGACTGTAATTTTCCTTTACCTACCCAAATCCTATAAAACGGCCCCACCCTTATCTCCCTTCGCTGACTCTTTTCGGACTCAGCCCACCTGCACCCAGGTGAAATAAACAGCCTTGTTGCTCACACAAAGCCTGTTTGGTGGTCTCTTCACACAGATGCCATGAAAAGTACACTGCAAAGCAGTGCGTTCAACCCCTGTCAACCTGTCAATGGGCAACAGTGGGACTCTGCAGTGGGTTAGTAATAGGCTCTTTTCTTTGATGTTATTTATGGTTTCAGGTGATGCTAACTAGGCTGTAGCAAGGCAGACATGATGGCAATGGTGGGTTCACGTGTCCAAGCCATGAAGAGGGGCTGGATGCTGACCTCTTTAGGAGAGAGGATGGGCACAGGTCTGAATGCACAAAAGGAACCCCTGAATTAAGTATGAGAAAGTGGCCGAGGCTCCGGCTTCCCTTCCTCCCCAACCCTGCCCTTCCCCAAAGTCTTATCTCTCAGCCTTCAGGCCAACTCCCCCAGAGGCCTTTGCACTGTCCCAACCTGCTGGGCCCTTTCCCTCCTCCCTGCCTCGATTCAGAATAACAACAACAACTGCATCTGCATAATGCTTTGTGACTGAAGAACTCCCCAACGACTCCATTCACTAACACCAGTCTCTCCTGGAAAACCCTCCTCCCAATTACCTGAACCCTATGTAACCCATCCTCCCTGCAGAGACCTGAACCTGCTAAATTTTTCATACCATTCACCTTACGTTAAAAAGGATGAAACTGAAAGGTGATTTGTGATTTACCTTCTTGGGGCAGTAATAAGCCGGGGCAAGAGGAACACAGGGAACCAACGGAACACATTGCCTTTATCTTATACTGTTAAAATAGCCTCGCTGATCATTACAGGCGCTCTTAATCACTTTTAGGGTCTAGGCTCTGCCCCAGACACCCTACTAGCTGGAACAGAAAGGGCATCATCCTTCCGCAGGGTTGGACCAAGGGCTACCAGATTGGGGTATGGATATGCAAAGTCCCCAAGAAAGAGACAGAAAGAGCTCAGGTCCAAACCTGCCAAGTGGAATGCATTAACATATCTATGAAATAAAGCGTCCTCTTGAAAGGAGGGAGGGGGGTGGAAGTAGGCAGGAAGTTGGGATCCTGGAGGGTCCCTATGGATTCCACACAGGTGACAGCTCTTCCAAGCCCCACCCAGCACACTGGCAGCATTAACCCTGGCCTTGAGGTTGGGATCTCAGCACCAATGCTGAGTTACACAGGGGGCTGAAACCGGCTGACTTTTTTTTTTTTTTTTTTTTTTGAGATGGAGTTTCCTCTTGTTGCCCGGGCTGGAGTGCAATGGCATGATCTCGGCTCACCGCAACCTCCGCCTCCCAGGTTCAAGCGATTTTCCTGCCTCAGCCTCCCAAGTAGCTGGGATTACAGGCATGCGCCACCACGCTTGGCTAATTTTGTATTTTTAGTAGAGATGGAGTTTCTCCATGTTGGTCAGGCTGGTCTCGAACTCCTGACCTCAGATGATCCATCCACCTCAGCCTCCCAAAGTGCTGGGATTACAGCCGTGAGCCACCGCGCCCGGGTGAAACTGGCTGACCTTTCCAATGACACTCAACATTCAAATCATCCAACCTTCCCTTCCCTTTTCCCACGCTCATCAAGCCACTTTCAGGCAGTAATAGTTGTCACTGTAAATTAATGCACAGGCTTTCTGATTTGCTACACCTGTGTCTGAACTTAGTTAACAGGTTCAATCTTGGGAAACAGGTCTGCTCTCTCGGCTGAAGACAGTGCATGGCAGTGAATGTCACATGCTGAGGTCTCCTATAACTGCACCCAGCGCTGCCACTGGCCAAAATGACTCCTATCTTCTGAGCAAGCTAAACAGGCACAGTCTGCCCAGCAGCTAGTAAGCCTTAGAAATCTTTGCCAAGTGAGAGACTGATGGATGTGCTCTGGGAAACAACGGATCCCTGAGTTGTATGCAGTGTGTCCCCAACATGTCTCCCTTGTGACCACAGCCCATGTCCATGGCCCACGGGATGACTGGCTGTCTACTGCTTGAAGATCTACAACTTCCCAGTTTTACCCCAACCAGCCAGTCTTCACTCCAACCAGCCAGTATTTACTCCAACCAGCCAGTCTTTCCCAGCCATGGATGTAATTTACACATTAGCCTACACCCAACTGGAGGGCCTGCTCAGTGTTCAAACCAAAATGGTGAATGGTCTTAGGTGCTTTCACACTACAGTGCCAGAATACTACAGTTGCAACAGAGACCATATAGCCTGCAAGCCTGAACTATTTATTCTCTGGCCCTTTACAGAAAAGGTTTGCCAACACCTGCTCTAAAGGAGAGAGGATAACAATAGCAGAAGGAAACTTGGGTTCAAGTGCTGTTTCTGCCAACGGCTCAGCAAATTGCAAATAAGCAAAATGGAGCCCAGCAAGTAAAATACTGGTGAGGTCATGCCAGTATTTTCATCTCTCTGCTTCCATTTCATTCATAAAACAGGACTAGTCATGAGTGGTAACTGCATGACAAATAATTAGCTAATACCACAGAATATGCATTTTAAACGTGCAACAGGGAAAACTGGCTATTTGTTTTCTGAAGGGAAAGAGGTCCTCCCTTGGTATAGCCATATTTTATGGCTGGCACAAAAAGTGTTCCTTTTTAGCCAGCTGTACTGTGCATATTGTTTTCATTGGTGTTTATGGAGCCCCTGGGACAGGCAGGGCACTGAGCTGGTTGTAGCCCTCCAGGACATGGGACTTCAGTTAAAGACAATATGTGATAAGGGAAACTGAGCTCATCACCACAGGCTGAGATATTCAAGGAATGTTTTGGTTTTTCAAAAAAGGAAAAATACAAATAGTGCCTGGGAGGAAGGGCAGAACTTCAGAGAAAGGAAAGGGGAGGGGAGAATATTCTACCGTGTTCTTTACTGGCAGGCACAGTAAAACAAAAGCTCAAAGTGAGGAAACCTAAGAGCAGATTCAGAGAACCAAGAAATGGACCAATTCATCTGAGTAGGAGTCCCTCATGGGACTGTCAGGAAAGATGGTTGCAAAGGTAAAGTTGGGGCCGGGCGCAGTGGCTCATGCCTGTAATCCCAGCACTTTGGGAGGCCAAGGTGGGCGGGTCACCTGAGGTCGGGAGTTCAAGACCAGCCTGACCAACATGGAGCAACTCTGTCTCTACTAAAAATACAAAATTAGCTAGGCATGGTGGTGCATGCCTGTAATCCCAGCTACTCAGGAGGCTGAGGCAGGAGAATTGCTTGAACCCAGGAGGTGGAGGTTGCAGTGAGCCAAGATCATGCCATTGCATTCCAGCCTGGGCAACAAGAATGAAACTCTGTCAAAAAAAAAAAAAAAAAAAAAAGCATACTTGGAAGCAGACTATGAAGAAATCCGAAATCTAAACCCATAAGTTTGTATTTTATCCTAGACAATGGGGAGCCATTAAATGTTCCAGAGAAGATGGGAGAGAGAGGTGGAGATGGCATTATGAAAGTGGTATTTTAGAAGATTAATCTGATCATACTATATAACATGAATCTGAAGAAACTGAAATATAGAGGAATTGAAATTGAAACACAGGAAATAGCTGTCATACTGGAACATTCTTTTGATGGGCGGGGGCGGTGGGGAAGAAACCAATTCTTTATTTTAACTTATATTTTCCTCTGTATCCCTAGTATCTCATATGTTTTACTATCTGTTAATCACTGCTAAATAAGCAAAATGGAGCCCAGCAAGTAAAATATTTCACATAAAAAAAAAAAGAAACAACATAGGTCAGGCCTTAGTGTAAGTTATCACTCTTTCAAGAGGTATAGGTTTATAAGGTGTAATAGTTGGCCTTTGATTTCTAATCACAAGTAGGAGAAACGGTTATTATAGTGAGCATGAAGGCGGCTGTATCTCTCTCTGTCAAAACCCAATTTTATCATTTACAACCCCACAGAAAAACAGCTAAAGTAGCTTTCTCTGTATCAGGTTTCATCAGAAATAAGATTTTGCCCTTCCTAAGTCTCTATATTCCGCAGCTTCCCGATGTTCTGTCACTTGATGGATTACAACACCCATCACACATTCCCTAGCTTTAGACATCTGTTTTTATGGCTGCAGTGGAACTTGCTTCTTAGTCTGGGAGGCAGTTCAGAGCAGAGATTTAAAATGTTGCTTCAAGGCCAGGTGCAGTGGCTCACGCCTATAGTCCCGGCACTTTGGGAGGCCGAGGCAGCAGTATCCGTTGAGCCCAGGAGTTCAAGACCAGCCTGGGCAACATAGCAAGACCCCATCTCTACAAAAAAAATACAAAAATTAGCTGGACATGGTAGCACATGCCTGTGATCCCAGCTACTCAGAAGGCTGAAATGGGAGATCGCTTGAGCCCAGGAGGTTGAGGCTGAAGTGGGCCATGATTGAGCCACTGCACTCCTGACTACCTAGGCGACAGAACAAGCAGAACAAGACCCAATCTCAAAAATAAAATAAAATAAAAAAAAGTTGCTTGCAAGCAGACTAGGGTTTGAATTCCAGCCTCTGCTACTCTAGTATCCTCGGGTATACCCGACTTCTGAACTTGAGTTCCCCATCTGTAAAATGGGGATGGTGACTACCTATTTCAAGCAGTGTCATGACCCTTAACTAGGAAAATGTCCCCAAAGTACAGTGTTGGGCACTTGTGTAAGGCTCAATCAATGGAGCTGCTGTCATTTTGTTTGCCTGGGGTGCAGTGAGATTTGGGTAAGCAAGTTAGGCCAGGTACACCAATCATGCCTTGTTTTTATTTGCTGGGCAAGAGGCACTTCCTTAATTTAATTATCATATGGCTAATACAGGAACTCTTTTTCATTTCCCCAGTTGAATACATCACCAGATTCCTGGAGGACCTGGGCCCTGGAGACCAAAAGTGCCCAGGGATTAGGGCTTCAGCAAGGCAGCCTGGCTGCTGTCCTGCCTCCTGGGGAAAACTCCAGGCCTTTTCACACTGCCGTAAAATCCCCCAGGGTCCTCAGAAGAGACCAGAGTTTGAGATCTCAAAACCTGGGCTGGAGGCCACAGAGGTCTCTCCCACACTGTGTGGAGGAAATTCAGCGTGGTCCTCTGACTCATTCAAAGTCTCACCACAAGTTTAAGGAAGATGGCTGAGCATGGTGGCTCACACCTATAACCCCAGCACTTTGGGAGGCCCAGGTGGTGGAATCCCTTGAGCCCAGGAGTTTGAGACCAGCCTGGGCAACATAATGAGACGCTATCACTACAGAAAACTTTAAAAATTAGCCAGGCATGGTGGGGGGTGGCGGGGGTGGAGGACATGCACCTGTAGTCCTAGCTACTTGGAAGGCTGAGGTGGGAGGATCACTTGAGCTTGCAGTGAGCTGTGATTATACCACCGCACTCTAGCCTGGGTAACAGAGCGAGACCCTGCCTCAAAAAAAAAAAAAAAAAAAAAAAATTTTAAGGAAGAGTTGGGTCTAGAACCCAGGTCTGATTCCTTCTTTTTCTCTCCTTCCTAAAAGTCTTTTTTTTTTTTTTTTTTCTTTTTTTTTTGAGACAGAGTCTCACTCTGTTCCCCATGCTGGAGTGCGAAGGCCCAATCTCGGCTCACTGCAACCTCCACCTCCTGGGTTCAAGCGATTCTCCTGCCTCAGCCTCCCGAGTAGCTGGGATTACAGGCATGCGCCACCACGCTCGGCTAATTTTTGTGTTTTTGGTAGAGACGGGGTTTCACCATGTTGGCCAGGCTGGTCTCAAACTCCTGACCTCAAGTGACCCGCCTGTCTTGGCCTCCCAAAATGCTGAGATTACAGGCATGAGCCACTGTACCTGTCCCTAAAAGTCACTTTTTTAAGAAATTACAAAAATCATAATGACCACTGTGGACAACTTAGAAAAGAGTTTTTCTATTTATTTAACAACAATGGAATCACACTGTAAATACACTTAGTACTCCACTTTTTTCTACTTCATATTGTATGAAATTTGTTTCTACAACAACAAAATTGTGAGCTCCATGTGGGCTGAGACCATATCTGCCTTGGTTGTCACTACACACTTTTCACACCTACCAGGTGCCTGGCACATAGTAGGCATTCAATAAACTGCAGAGTGAGTGAATGACCCATGGTTTGGCCACTTGCCACTTTTTGGATATTTAAGTTATTTGCAGTTTTCCACTATTATGAACAAGGCCAAATGAACAGCCAGATTCATTAATATATCTTGTACAGATCTCTATTTCCTTAAAATGAATTCCTGGGCCGGGCACGGTGGCTCATGCCTGTAATTCCAGCACTTTGGGAGGCCAAGGCGGGTGGATCACCTGAGGTCGGGAGTTCGAGACCAGCCTGACTAACATGGAGAAACCCCGTCTCTACTAAAAATACAAAATTAGCCGGGTGTGGTGGCATGCACCTGTAGTCCCAGCTACTGGGGAGGCTGAGGCAGAAGAATCGCTTGATCCCGGGAGGCAGAGGTTGCAGTGAGCCGAGATCGCGCCATTGCACTCCAGCCTGGACAACAAGAGCAAAACTCCGTCACAAAAAGGAAAAAAAAAAAAAACGAATTCCTAAAAGCAGAATTGCTGGGTCCAAGGGTATTCCCGTTGTAATGCCTTGGATACCTGATGCCAAATTGGTCTCTGTAAAGACAATCTTCATTTACTTCCTCCACCAGTCATACAGGAGAGTGAACGCCTAGTTTTCTCCACAGAGATGAGTATGTGAGTTAAGAAGGTGGGCGGCGGGAAGGAACTGTGAAATCCTTCAGCAGGTGTTTTAATGAAAAACTGAGGGCTAGACTCAAAGTTCACTCTGATATCCAGCAACCCCACATAGTATAAAGTGTCTTTCTGAACTTTCACCAGCCCTCCCTCTGACATCCTCTCTGTTGAAAAACACTGTGTGGCACCTAATATTGCCACGAGGAGAAGTACCAACTCCCAGCATCCAAATATATACTCTACTAGGAAACACACCCCATGCCTAGGAGACCGGCAGGCTCCCAAGGGCCGCACAAAAAAACCCAGTCTTTCCACATAAACAGTGACCCACACCAAATCTGGGTCTCTCTGCTACCAAGTCTGTTTTGCTTGACTTGTCTGTAAATATCTGCAGTTGAAAGTCATCATCCGCAGTGGTTTCCTGATGCCTTTCTTCCTTTTTTTTTTTTTTTTTTTTTTGAGACGGAGCTCACACTGTTGCCCAAGCTGGAGTGCAATGGCACCATCTCGGCTCACTGCAACCTCCGCCTCCCAGGTTCAATCGATTCTCCTGCCTCAGCCTCCCAAGTAGCATTAGAGGCACCTGCCAACACGCCCAGCTAATTTTTGTATTTTTAGTAGAGACGGGGTTTCACCATGTTGGTCAGGCTGGTCTCGAACTCCTGACCTCGTGATCCGCCCGCCTCGGCCTCCCAAAGTGCTGGGATTACAGGCGTGAGCCACTGTGCCTGCCGATGCCTTTCTTCTTACATGTACACATTAAAGATATACTGTTAGCCTCAAAACACACTTTTCATATTTGTTTCTTAGAAAAAGTTGGGTTCTTCCTCATATAAAATCAGCTAAATAAATTCCAAATGAATGTATTGATCAAAGAGTTCATATCATTTCTTCCCGCCCCACGCCCACACACACAGGTCAAGGAGGTGATTTGTGGGAAGAAAATGGAGCTCTATAGATCCTGAAGCTTAAAGTTCCCAGCCCAGGATCTGCATAAGGTGGGTGCTCACTGGGAAGTCAGCAGGACCATGTCAGCAAGGAAGAGGCTCGAACACCCACATGCACCCTCCCTGCACCACACCATCCTGTACACAAGGCACTCAGGATACAAACGTGATCACCAGCTTGATCCTCCTCCCCTTTGCCCACTGCTTCTCCCTCTCTCCTCCCACAGGGCTGAGAGTTGATTGCCCTGGGAAATCACTGATTTTTCACAATGACCCTGTCTGACAGGGCAAAAGATGAAAAGTTACTTATATTCTCTACATAAGAAATCCTGGGTGGGGTGCGGTGGCTAACACCTGTATTCTCAGCACTTTGGGAGGTCAAGGCAGGAGGGTGGCTTGAGCCCAGGAGTTCAAGACCAGCCTGGGCAACATCAGGAGACCCCATCTCTAAAAAAAAAATACAAAAACTAGCCAGATGGGGTGGTGCGGCGCCTGTAGTCCCAGCTACTCAGGAGACTGAGGTGGGAGGACCAATTGAGCCTGGGAAGTCAAGGCTGTAGTGAGAGCTGTGATTGCACCACTGCACTCCAGCCTGGGCAACAGAGCAAGAACACTGTCTCAAAAAAAAAAAAGAAAGAAAAGAAATCCTGGATTCAAATCCCACCTCTGTCACAAAATTATTGGGTCAAGGTTACCTTCTGGGTCTTCATTTCTCCATCTTCAAAGTGGGATGATTTCTGCATCTCTCTTGTGTGTTACAGGAACTTTACAAGGAATTAAAGCACAAAAATCTTTCATGTGTTCTGACAGACAAAGTACCCTCTAAATTCAATGTATTCCTTTGTTTTGAGGTCTGCTTTTTGGCTTACTGATTGAACACAGCTCTTCTATCCAAACCTTCCCCATACCTAAGTTTCTGGTGGCAATGCCAGCAGGCTATCTCCTAACCTTCTGAACCATCTGTGATTTCTTAAAAGTCCATATGGCTCTTCAAAATCAATTAATATGAGCTTCCCTTTGCCTTATATCCTCTTCTTATATTTACATACACATACCTACACAATACAGAGGTCCAAATTCTTTTCTTTGTCTCAAACCCCGAGTCTCCAGTACTCAACAGATAAAAATCTCCAAGCCCATGTTCACATTTATCCATGAAAGAAATTTAATAGTTCAACATGTCACACAGCAAGTCAATCAGAGGACTGAGAAATAAACACAGAAGTTCTGAAGTCCATGTTTCCAGTTTTCTTGTGATATGAACAAGACAGAATTTATTTGAGAAGAAAATGCCAAGGTGACATTTGGAATTACCACGTTTTTGGGGGGCAGGAGGCCAACTTATAGGACATTTTGCAATCTCGTTTGGAGCAGTGGGTGAGTAGCTTGCCAGATCCACAACCCCATATGCATACAATTCAGCCAACTCCCCACGGAGGTCTGACAGCTTTGCCCCCCTCCCTCCCTCCTCAACTGAAGGGGAGTTTTCCATCAGGCAGCCTCTAGGAAGGGGGAGCTCATGGGGAGAGCCAGAACACTGCCCTTTTAAAGAAACCCAGTTGGTCTTAGGTCAGATGACTTAAGGGGAAGAGACAATGGGGGCCAGGAGTGGGAGTGGGTGGTTCAGAAAGAAGACAGAGCAGAAGATGAACAAGAGGACATCTCTGTCACTCAAGCCGCACTGGTCAAGCCACCTTGTTCCTAAGCCACTGACAGTGCTGGTGGGACCCACTTGTTGCATGGAGTCAGAGCCAATGGCCCATCCGCTCCATTTTCTACTCTGTAGGGGCAATGACACTGGACCAGTCTGGGCAGTGGAGTCACCCTGCAGCTCTTGACACTCTCTGCTCTTGCAAGTCTGCCTTAGAGCTCCTACCCTTACATGAGCCTTCCCCAATGTTGTTGTACCTGAATCTCTGTCTCCTCTTCTATTAAGACACCAATCATTGGATTTAGGGCAACCTAATCCATGGTGACCTTGTCTTAACTAATTATACATGCAAAAACCCTATTTCCAAATAAGGTCCCATTTCTGAGGTTCCAAGCAGACATGAATTTTGGGGGGACACTATTCAATTCAGTAAAGTTACCTAGTATAAAATGTGCCTCCGTAGAATGCCCCCTTAGCAGATAATATAGGCATGTTAAACACCATGATGGACACCTGGACTTAAGTGTCTTCATCTGCCAACGAGGGGCAGGAATAGCTCTTCTTTAAAGTTCCTTCCAGCTCAGAAAAAAATAACATTCTCGACTTCATCTTTCCTTTTTTTTTTTTTTAGACAGAGTCTCGCCCTGTCGCCCAGGCTGGAGTGCAGTGGCACAATCTCGGCTCACTGTAACATCCGCCTCCAGGGTTCCAGTGATTTTCCTGCCTCAGCCTCCCGGGTAGCTGGGACTACAGGTGCCCACAACCACACCTGGCTAATTTTTTGTATTTTTAGTAGAGACGGGGTTTCACCATGTTAGTCAGGATGGTCTCGATCTCCTGATCTGGTGATCCGCCCACCTCGGCCTCCCTTTGCTCCCTGTGCCTTGCATGGAAATAACTTTCAAGACTTGCCTGTTAAACTAATCTAGGACATGTGGCATGCCACAAAGGCCCCCCAGGGTGAATTCCTTCCTAGGTATCCATGGGACACCTATCCATTGCATAGCCTAGAGGCAACATCCTCCTACCCTTGGTTTAAAGAATAACTGCCTTAGTTTCCCCATCTGCAATCTGTGGGGCAGACCGTGAAGCCGAAGATGTCTCTCAGCGAGAAGTGAGAGGATTCTGCAAGTAGAAATCTCAAGCTAATCGGCAAGGGACAGGAAAGGAAGAAAGAAAAGCCAATGTTGACTGAATACCCCAAATCAGACATACCTTAGCTGTCTCTCATTTTGCTACTGATGTAAGGACACAGATGACACCCAAGGAGGTATGGTAGCCGGGCCCCCTACCATCAATCCAGCCTTGGGGGACATCCAATGTGACTGGTTACAAAGGTAAGGCAAAGACAGTTTGGTAACAAGATGCTCTGAATAACCTGCCTGATTGTCAGGAAATCTAATTCCTCAAACCAGGGCTCTAGCTCTAAAAATGACCGCTGGCTACCTGCCTACGGCCCGTCGGTCAACATTTCTGGAAATGTAGCTTCCGGACCAAGTTAAAATTTACCAAGGCTTTCCTGAGACTGGCCTTTAGATTGATATAATTTCAGTTCTTCGTGTTACGTGTCAGTAACTTGTCACCTTGCAGATGTCAGCTTGAGAACTGGTCAGGATGACAGGGATGCTACCGTGTCTCTGTGTTCATTCTGGAGAATTACTGTAGCTGGAGGGTGACAGCCCCGCAAGTTTAATCTTCATCACCCCTGCCTGCCAGTCGTAACACCTCAGATTCACTTTTTTTATCTTCGACTGTATTCGCTCACTATCCATTTGAAAATTGTTGAAGTCTTGTGTGTATATATACTATATGGTTTCCATTTTAAAAGCTTTTAGAAGATACCAAGTACATTTTTGAATGCTGTCACTCCAGCACTGGTAACGGGGGGCTGCAGTGTTTCCGGAATCATACCGACCCCAGAGGAAGGCACTGCTCCTCTACCTCCTACCCTGTCTCAACATCTCAGCCGCCTGAGTTCACTGTAGCCTCAGGAGAGGACCACATCCCTTGAGTGAGTTCAGGGAGTAAGAAGGAACCACAACCTAAAAGTCCCTACCTGAAGTTCGATCCTTACCCTCTATTCCCTAGGGTCTAAAAACCAGTATCTTACGTTCATACTAGTGTGTCAATGACTGATACCAGGGTCATGCCCTACAACAGGCTGGGGGGAAAGCAGGGACCCTGTGCCCCAGGATGTAAAGGTGTGTAGTCAGGGTGTATCCTACGGGGCAGAAGGACCAGACTCTAAGAACAAGGAGGTCCCTGAACCATCTTCCTAATTTGGTTCTGAATCAAGGGGCATCCCCTAACAAACCTTCCAAGGAAAGATAAGGTATCCACCCTTGGTTTGACTGGTGCCTGAGTGGAGCTGCTGTGGGAAGGTTCCCTCGCCAAGCCCATCCCCATCTCCCCAGCACGCTGGGGAGGGCCGGAATGAGCACAGCTGAGACCGTCATCGACCATCACAGGAGCTGCACTAATGTGGACACAGGAGGTGCAGGCTCATTCTCCCCGGCCAGGTGTCCAGGCTGCGAGGCCATCTGGGTTAGGAAATGCGTGCTCTAAAGCCTGCTGGGGAAAGCCCGTTTTGATGGGAGCTCAGCTTAAAATAGGCCACCTTCAAGAAGTTTCCCCAGCCCTGGCCCATAGTAAGATGGGCCTTGGGAGGAAATTGGCTATTTCCCCTCATGCAGCCCTGAGAAAACTGATGCACCCACCCAACAGCCTAAGGACAGGGGTCCAGAGAAGAAATCAGCCTCAAAAGGAAATGAAGGAAAATGTTAGGAAGGGACGAGACTTTAGTTTCAGGTTTCCAAAAACCTGAACATATAAACCAGAAATCAAAACCTTTCAAAGTGCCTATCTAAAACATAACCACCACAACTTAAACTCCTTGTACTTTGGTGTAAGAGATAACAAACACTTAAAAAATGAACTTAAAGGCCGGGCACGGCAGCTCACGCCAGTAATCCCAGCACTTTGGAAGGCCGAGATGGGCAGATCATCTGAGGTCAGGAGTTCCAGACCAGCCTGGCCAATGTGGTGAAACTCCGTCCCTATTAAAAATAGAAAAATTAGCCTGGCATTGTGGCACATACCTGTAATCCCAGATACTCATGAGGCTGAGGCAGGAGAATCACTTGAACCTGGGAGGCAGAGGTTGCAGCGAGCCGAGACGGCGCCATTGCACTCCAGCTTGGGAGACAAGAGGAAAACTCCGTCTCAAAAAAAAAGAACTAAAAAAAGAACTTAAAATGAACCCAATGATAATGCTGTCTCTTTAAAAATACTTAGCTGCAGGCCAGGCTCGGTGGCTCAAGCCTGTAATCCCAGCACTTTGGGAGGCCGAGGCGGGCAGGTCATGAGGTCAGGAGATTGAGACCATCCTGGCTAACACGGTGAAACCCTGTCTCTACTAAAAATACAAAAAAAAAATTAACCGGGCGTGGTGGCGGGCGCCTGTAGTCCCAGCTACTCGGGAGGCTGAAGCAGGAGAACGGTGTGAACCCGGCAGGCAAAGCTTGCAATGAGCCGAGATCACGCCATTGCACTCCAGCCTGGGCGACACAGCAAGACTCCGTCTCAAAAAAAAAAAAAAAAAAAAGCTGCAGCTTATTTCAAAATTTCCTATGTACCCCATAAATATGTACGACCATCGTGTATCCATAAAATTTAAAAACAAAAATACTTGACCACAAAATTGAAAAGATGGGTAAAAATGCAATGTAGTGAGGAAGTGAAGAAATAGGCACTCTTGTTTTGGTGGGCCCCATCATTTTTAGAGGATATCTGGCAATGTGGATTATAATTTAAAATGCACATCAGCTTTCACCCACCAATTCATCTTGTTAGCATTCATTGCACAGAAATACACTGCTATGGACTGAGGTTTTGTGTCCCCCAAAATTCAGATGTTGAAGCCCTAATCCCCAATGTGAGATGATTTGGAGGAGGGGCTTCTGGGAGATAATTAGGTTTATAAATCAGATCGTGAGGGTGGGGTCCCCAAGATGAAATTAATGCCCTCTTAAGAAGAAGAAGAAGAAGGACTGGTGTGGTGGCTCATGACTACAACCTCAGCACTTTGGGAGGTCGAGGCAAGAGGATCACCTGAGGTCAGGAGTTTGAGACCAGCCTGGCCAACATGGCGAAACCCTGTCTCTTCTAAAAATACAAAAATTAGCCGGGCATGGTGGCACATGCCTGTAATCCCAGCTACTCAAAATGCTGAGGTTTGAGAATCGCTTGAATCCAGGAGGCGGAGGTTGCAGTGAGCCGAGATTGCACCACTGTACTCCAGCCTGGGCAACAGAGTGAGACTCCGTCTCAAAAAAAAAGAAGAGAGACCAGGGTGGCTGTGGCTGTCTGCAAACAAAGAGAGTCCTCGCCAGGAAGCAAAATGGCCAGCACTTTAGTATTGGACCTGCCAGCTTCCAGAACAGTAAGAAAAAAATGTTTATTGTTTAAGCCACCTAGTTTATGGCATTTTGTTATAGCAGCCTGAGCTGACAAAGACATATGCAATTGTGTAAAAAGATGCATGTATAAGGATTATTTCAGATTCATTTGTAACAGAGAAAAACTGGATAAACATTCTCCTGCCTCACTTGTAAAAGAGAAAAACCGGAATAAACTTGTTCTGGTGAATGAGGGATCATTAGCTAAATCCTGGTCCATTCACATAATGGAAACTACAGCTTTTAAAAGAACGAGGTAAACTGAGTTGCTGATAGAAGTGCTTATCATAGCAGGTTTAAAGTCTCCATGATAAGCACTTCTTGATTGGTTAGAATGTTAATGTTCTTTTTAACATTAAACAATAACTTATAATCAGAAGGAAAAAATGAACTCCATCTTCATGTTGTTAATTGTCTTCAAACCCATCCCTAACCCAAGGTCATCCTTATCTCACCCTGGAGAAGGAGAGGGAGTGGGGATATGGTTCCTATATGTTCCAGAGAATAGTGGCTGTTGGCTGTGTATTTAATTCCAGTAATTCCATTGGATAAATGGCACAAAATCCCAACTCTTCAGATAACTCCTCAACTAAAGATACTTTTTGCTTGAGAAGCGGCCAGTGTAATGGACACAATGCAGGAGAGCGACTCAGGAATGTTCGCTCGGGCAGGCTTTCTTCCCGCATTCCAGTTTCCTCATCAGTGAGATTAAAGGCCTGATGAGAATCATCTCCAATGTTCCTTATAGAAGGCCCTGAGCTCTCCCTGCCCGGCCGATATGCCATCGGCATTTGTGGAAATCCTGGAGGACAGACAAGGGCCTGAAGTTGGGAAACAAAGGGAAAAGGAAAATTTGAGAAAAGCTCCGCTAGCATCATCTGGAGTTAGAGTCAGCCAAGGGAAAACCGTCAAAGGGTTTTTGACAAATACAAATACATTTTAGGTTCTCAGCTGCAGAAATGAATGCTGTCATTCGGGGGCTGGTACAGGAACAGGGAAAGGAAGGGGCAGATGTTATCACCATCTAATGGGTGGGGGCAGAGATGTTAAACTTGCTTCAAAGAACAGGTCAGTTCCACGCAAGTTCCACCCTAAATGCCTGCAGCAGCCACTGGAGTAACGCCGAGGGCGCCCACTGGATTAACAACCAGCTGAGTGAGCCGGCCACAGCCACGTAGCAGGCAGTCTCTTTGCAGTATCAGCTTCTTATCTGACAGCAGGGCGGGACCGGACCTGAGGGCTGAGTGGGTGTGGAAGGAAAGCAAGGAGGCAAGAAGGACAGAATCTCAAGGAGACAGCCCACCCTTTGCAACCTGCTCCCAAGTCAGTTTTAAAACTGCAAATTGCCTAACTCCGAAATGGCCCATTCTAGATCTCCTACCGTAATTGTACTTGCCTGTTAATAAATACTGATAAATAATTAAGCTTCCTTAAAGGATCCGAATCTCTACAGTTATATGCCAGATTAAAAAGTAACCACAGGCCAGGCGCGGTGGCTCATGCCTGTAATCCCAGCACTTTGGGAGGCCAAGGCGGGCAGATCACGAGGTCAGGAGTTTGAGACCAGCCTGACCAACATAGTGAAACCCGTGTCTACTAAAAATATAAAAAATTAGCCAGGCATGGTGGCGGATGCCTGTAATCCCAGCTACTCAGGAGGCTGAGGCAGGAGAATTGCTTGAACCTGGGAGGCGGAGGTAGCCGTGAGCCGAGATCACGCCATTGCACTCCAGCCCGGGCAACAGTGTGAGACTCAGTCTCCAAAAAAAAAAAAAAAAAAAACTAACCACAAAAGAGCCCGTGGGCCCTGCAGGTTCAAGGCTTTCATATTAGGGTTTGGCCAACGTGCCCCTACTCTCCTAATTTATGTGGGTATCCCAGGCCCATTTATACCAGGCTGCTGTTGCCTGGTGTAAACTCCAGAAAAGGGAGACCTTGGCTCTGTCTCTCATTATACCCCATGGCATCTCCAGCAATGAGAACAATGCCTGGCACATAGTAGGTGCCCAATAAGTATTTTTTCTAAAATAAATAAATGAGGCCGGGTGCAGTGGCTCATGCCTGTAATCCCAACACTTTGGGAGGCCAAGGTGGCTGGATTGCTTGAGACCAAGAGTTCAAGACCAGCCTGGGCAACATGGCGAAAGCCCATCTCTACTAAAAATACAAAAATTAGCCAGATGTTTGGTGGCGGGAGCCTGTAATCCCACCTACTCGGGAGGCTGAGGCATAAGAATCGCTTGAACCCAGGAAGCAGAGGTTGCAGTGAGCCAAGATCGCACCACTGCACTCCAGCCTGGGTGACAGAGTGAAACGCTGTCGCAAATAAAATAAAATAATAAATAAGTGAATGAAAGATGCAGTGGGAAGAGACTGAGCTGAGAAGCCAGTCAGAGATGGGTTAATTATAGGCTGTGTGGCCCTGGGCAAGTCACTTAACCTTTCTGAGCCCAGGTCCTTTGTCTGTGAAGGGGAATAAAAATAACCACCTCTCCAGGGTATGGGGGAAGACTGGAATGATGTATGGGAAACATTGAATATGAACTACTTATACACGGCAAATGGGAAGTAAATTTGTATCACCGTTATTAATGATTCAGACTCACACTGCAGCCCATGCATGACCTGTAATCACAAGTGTCACACAAAATCACACAATTCAAGTCTACAGCTTGACTCTGGGAGCTACTGGTTAATAAACAACATGGCGATAGCCTCTTTAAATACAATGGTTCTCCTGTCTCTCCATGCAAGCAGCTTTAGTCAGGATATTGTCAGTTGGTGCATTCTTTCTAGAGACCTTCACGGAGTGCCTGTAAAGGTGTGTGAGGCAGAAAGACGCGAAGACCAGCCAAGGAGAACAAGCAGGTGTGCAAGCCATTCTGGTCCAGCTCTGGCCCAAACTGTTGAGGTTTGATTCTGATTGGGCTCCTGATACCTGGACCTGTTTACTAGGAAAATCCAATGAATGCATAGTGGCTGCAAGCATGGAACCCGGAGCCTAATGCTTAGGGACAAATCCTGGCTCCACCACTCTTACCGTATGACCTTGGGCAAGCTACTTAACCACTTTAAACTTCAGGTTCTCATCTGGACAATGGGGGACAACAATAGTACCTACTTGAAGGGAAGAAAGGGAGATTGTATTTCTCCTGCTTTGTGAAAAATCATGGAAATCCATCAGCCCATCTGCAGAAACCCTACCCAGAGGAATCCTCTACATGAAGGCTATCTGTCCCCTGTTCTCCCATTTTCATTAATCATACAATCGTTTGGGAGAAACAAGAAGTGAGCATGGAGCCGGGCGCGGTGGCTCATGCCTGTAATCCCAGCACTTTGGGAGGCTGAGGAGGGTGGATCACCTGAGGTCGGGAGTTCGAGACCAGCCTGACCAACATGGAGAAACCCCATCTCTACTAAAAATAGAAAAAATCAGCTGGGCGTGGTGGCACATGCCTGTAATCCCAGCTACTTGGGAGGCTGAGGCAGGAGAATTGCTTGAACCTGGGAGGTGGAGGTTGCAGTGAGCGGAGGTTGCAGTGAGCCAAGATTGCGCCATCGCACTCCAGCCTGAGCGATAAGAGCGAAACTCCATCTCAAAAAAAAAAAAAAAAAAAAAAAGGAAGTGGGCATGGAGAGTGCTGTGTCTCACCTGCTGAACATTACTCTTGATGTCAGAGTGATCAGGAGATTTGGAGGAAGGAAGGTGACATGGTCAAACATCAGATAAGAGGGAAGAGTGGCTCCCAGCACTTCTCCACCCAGGCCCTCTAAGGCTTTTTCCCCCATAAGAAATATCTGTAGTTTTCAGTGTCTCTTGTCATCCGAATCATTTCCCTTTGCCTTGCCCGGGGCTCTCTGGGCCTTGCAGGCTCGGCTCCCCTTGCCTTATCCTTGTATTAGAAACACACAAGGTGCACTTTTGGAGACAGCCACTTGAGCAGCCCCTCCTTGTGTGTCCTGGACTCTCTGTTAAAGGACTTCATTTCCTGGGATTAGCACATTGTGCTCCCTCAAAACTCAGCATGCGGGTAATCCATGGACGCCAACGGTCTTCATGATGCCCTCTTACCAAGTATTTTACAATGCAGTTCTCAGGAAAATGACCCCATTCCTTCTGTATCTCAGCAGGGAGATACAATGTGAACTGGGAGTTTGGTTATTATGCTTGTGAATAATTTGAGTTTCAACTTGGGTTTCAAGTGCAGCCTTGGCATGCCTGAAAACAAATGATTACCAAAAAGCTATCCAGCTGCCCTCTCAACACTGCAGGCTATTTTGTCGGGGGTGTGGAGCCCTCTCTGCTGGTTCCATGTGAGCCTCAGCAAACAGAGCAATCAAGACCCCCTCTAGGTCCCAGTCAATCACACTCCAGCCACAAGTTTTGGCCAGTCCTGCCCCAGAGAAGATAAAGCCCTTAAATAAAGATTCACCACGCTCAGTCCAGCTCCACTCACAGCCAAGAGTCAAAGTCGATATTTGCTAAGTGGAAAAGGACAAAAGGAAACAAATTCATCTGCAAGCTCTCCAAACAGACTAGAAAAAGTAATTCCCTACTGCTCACCCCATCCACTTTTAAGAAGGCTAAGCTAATATGTTCTGAGTTTGCAGGAATCTCAACACTTTGGTCTGTGAATCACAAACTAGCAGTTGGGCATTCACAGAGAAACGTGCAGAGTGAATCCTTTAAACGAGAAACAAGACCTGTGCTTGGTGAATCAGGAAAAAAAGAAGAAGAAGAAAAAAAGGGGAAAAAAAACAGGGCCATTTTAAATGACCTTATGATGACATAAAATGACAAGATTATGACACTGATGCAACTTCAAACCAGTAGGGGCTTGGGAAACCTTTGGAAGGAAACTCCTAAAAGGTCACATTATTTCTTGACAATCCACTGAGGAGCTAGGCCATTAAAAGAGCCCTTTTAATCAGAGTGAATTTAAATCTGCACCCAAACCATTAGCCTTTCAGGAACAGGGACAGCACATTAGCATTAGAAGGAGGTTTAGGATCTGGTACCATAGTGGTTACTTTACACGTGGGGAAAATGAGCTCCAGCGAGATTATAGGACTTGATCTAGAGCCTGCAGTGGACTGGAGCCGAGATTAGAATACACCACTCAGCCCCGTCTAGGCAGCTATGGAAAGCAAATGCTTTTGCTAGTGGAACTCACTTCTTGTTCATCCAGCAAGGCAGAGAGGCTAGCCCCAGAGAAGAGGCTGGGGGCAGATGGAAGCATACCCTTCCTCACTCCCTTGGCCCACAACTTTCATGGCTTCCCCTGTCTTTGTGAGTGATAACTGGATTTAGAAAGCAGGCCCTCAGGTACATCCATAAACCCGGAACCCTTTGCTAGGAAGGTAATTGCCTGGATAGTACAGAATCCCCCCACCGAGGGCAATATTCCTACAATGGGTGCCCAAGGCCAGATGAACAACTCAAAGAGGACTGTGAGGTACATATGTGCGTGGGATGATAACAGCTTACCAAGGTCAGCCCTACAGCAAGAGGGGAAGACAATACGAACTCTGCCCGACAGCTGCTAAGGAATGCCAAGATGTTCCCCTGGAAGTCTGGTCCCTGCTGGAATTCTCCTGGGATTCCTCAGCACCCTATCTGGAGTTCACCGTTCACTTTCTTTTCTCTAGAAAGCCAAGCTACTTCTCGATGTGGGGAAAGCAAGGAGCTTCTTTTTCTTGCATTTTGTTGTAAAAGACAAGGACATCCTAGTTACACCATTTTTTCCTGAGCGTTCCGGGGAAGGCTGGCAGGCTGTGTCTAACAGAGCTGCTACCCCAAAATGACATCCTCCAAAGGTCAGAGCCAAATACTAAGTGCTTCAATTAAATGCGAACATTCCTTTTCTGGCGCATGGGTGCTGTTTCATCTGTGTGGGATCTAGTAACCAACAGGAATCGCTCTCCGCTCCAGAAAACTCAAGGAAACATCTAAATAACATCCCACACCTAGTTTCTTCCGGCATAACAAATGCCAATGATATGCAAACACAGACACTTAGCAGAGAAACACCGTCAGAGTGCACAGTGAGCGGGCTTCATTTGTCCCGCTTCTTGTTCCTCTCACTCTGCCGGGGAGGAGGAACGTTAGCCTGCATCCAGGAGTCACTCCCAGTTTAGATCTGCACGTAGTAGGCATTGCCTTTATCCATCCAAAGGATGGAACATGGAGAAAATTAATTAAGTAGAGTTATCAATCAATCAATCAATCAATCAATTATTCTACAAGTTCCTACCTTGGCTAGGCATTGGGGAATCCACAAAGAGGCATGTCTTTGGTAAAATAAATGAAGACAAATGCCGGGCGCGGTGACTCACAACTGTAATCCCAGCACTTTGGGAGGCCGAGGCGGGCAGATCACCTGAGGTTGGAGTTCGAGACCAGCCTGACCAACATGGAGAAACCCCACCTCTACTAAAATACAAAATTAGTCAGGCATGGTGGCGCATGCCTGTAATCCCAGCTACTCAGGAGGGTGAGGCAGGAGAATCGCTTGAACCCAGGAGGAGGAGGTTGCAGTGAGCCGAGATCACGTCATTGCACTCCAGCCTGGGCAACAAGAGCGAAACTCCATCTTAAAAAAAAAAGGGGGGGGGAGGGGGCTGGGCGCAGTGGCTCACACCTGTAATCCCAGCACTTTGGGAGGCCGAGGCAGGCGGATCACGAGGTCAAGAAATCAAGACCATCATGGCCAACCAACATGGTGAAACCCCATCTCTACTAAAAATACAAAAAATTAGCTAGGCATAGTGGTGCATGCCTGTAGTCCTAGCTACTCGGGAGGCTGAGGCAGGAGAATCGCTTGAACCTGGGATGTGGAGGTTGCATTGAGCCGAGATCACACCACTGCACTCCAGGCCAGGCGACAGAGTGAGGCTCTGTCTCAAAAAAAAAAAAAAATCTCTCAGTCTGCCTGTTGTCTGTCTTCACCTACCAGAATGTATGCACCACCAGAATATACGCACCAGGAGAAGAGGGAACCCTGCAGTTTGCTTAACACTGCATCATATCAGGGTATTTCCCAGCCCATGACACACAAAGAATATTTTCTTGAATGAATAATAAATACACTAATGAACTAACAAAGAAAGCATATCAGAACACCAATGCAGAGAGTAATATTATCCTTGAATCCATTCCAATTTGAAACATAATAATAAAAAGCAAGTCCTTTTCAAAATGTAGCACAATAACTATGATTTGTAGGAAATTACTTGAAATCTACAACATGATGTCTAGAGTAGGAGGCAGAAGGAAAATGGCAGCCCCAGAGCTGGTGTAGTCAGGAGGAGCATCCAGGGGCAACGATCTGGACAGACCTTGAAAGATAGGTAGGATTTAAGCAGGGAGCAAACTAGAAAAGGGGAGAAAAGGGTATTCCAGAACTTGAGGGCCAAAATGAAAGAAAGCCTTGATAGCACCCAGGCATCCAATTCTTAGGGATCCCATATCCTATCAGGAGCAGGACTGGGCACAGGGGGTCTTGGCAGTGCATACGACAGGCCCCTTCTTCTGTGAGCTTCCACTCCAGCTAGTAAAATCAGATTTGTAAATATCGACTTTTGCATTAATAAATTATTTCCTAATTACATGGTAGGAGCTCTGAATACTTGCTGGCTGGAAGGAAATCCAGAAGACTATTTAACATTGATTAGAAAGTTGAGTTTAAGGTGGAAGCAGGAATCTGCCTTTGGGGTAAACCCCTCTATTGTAGGAAGGGCAACCTTGATGGGCTCTCCCAATCATGAGGATAAAAGTCAATTTCTCCTCCTCTTCCTTAGCAGAACTCCTGATATTGGTAAAGTCTTCCAAGGTCAAATACACAGGACTGGGACACTGAGGAATCTGGCTAATACTGTCAAAAGCCACCTCACCAGGAGCATATCATTCCAGTGTAATTTCTTTATTTTAATCATGCCTCCCACCTACCTAAGCCACTATTATTGGAGAATATATCTGGCAAGTTAATAGGAAACACTTAGAGTGTAGGATCTTACTCTATTTTCTGTTGCTTATAACAGAATCCCTGAAACTGAATCATTTATAAAGAAAAGGAATTTATTTCTTACTGTGGTAGACACTGGAAAGTCCAAGGTCAATGGGCCACATCTGGTGAAGGCCTTCTTCCTGATGGGGACTCTGTCTACAGAGGTCCAAGGCAGCACAGGGCATCACATGGCAATGGAGGGGGCTGGGTATGCTAACATGCTTTCTCAGGTCTCTCTTCCTCTTCTTCTTTTTTTTTTTTTTTGAGATGGAGTCTCGCTCTGTCGCCCCGGCTTGAGTGCAGTGGCACGATCTCGGCTCACTGCAACCTCTGCCTCCTGGGTTCAAGCGATTCTCTCACTTCAGCCTCCTGAGTAGCTGGGACTACAGGCGCCCGCCACCACGCCCAGCTAATTTTTTGCATTTTTAGTAGAGACGGGGTTTCACCATGTTAGCCAGGATGGTCTCGATCTCCTGATCTCATGATCCACCCATCTTGGCCTCCCAAAGTGCTGGGATTACAGGTGTGAGCCATCGCACCCAGCCCTCTCTTCCTCTTCTTAAAAAGCCACCAGACCGGCCAGGCGCAGTGGCTGTAATCCCAGCACTTTGGGAGGCCAAGGAGGGCGGATCACGAGGTCAGGAGATTGAGAAGATCTGGCTAACACGGTGAAACCCCGTCTCTACTAAAAATACAAAAAATTAGCCGGGCGTGGTGGCAGGCGCCTGTAGTCCCAGCTACTCAGGAGGCTGTGGCAGGAGAATGGCATGAACCCGGGAGGCAGAGCCTGCAGTGAGCGGACTCCAGCCTGGGCGACAGAGCAAGGCTCTGTCTCAAAAAAAAAAGCCACCAGATCCACTCCCATGAGAACACATTGACCCATTAATGCATTCATGACAGCAGACCCCTCGTGGTCCAATCAGCTCTTAAAGGACCCAGCTTTCAATGTTACCTCATTGGGGATTAAGTCTCCAATACATGAAATTTGGAGGACACTTTCAAACCACAGCAATAAGTTTAAAAGTAAAGATTCACAAGACTGCATGCAGGTTAAGCAATTTTGAAGTATTCCATTCTTACCCATGGCAGGTCTTCCTAGCCAAGTACACTGGGTTCCAATTATCCCCACAGCATTTGGTTCTTCTAGAGCAGAGAGAGTGTATTTTTGAAAAGCCTCCATTCCACAAAAGCATCTGGCTCCTGAGACCTCTTCAGTACAGCCTCAGCCACTGGAGCCTGGGACATGACATCATTGCTTCAGGGCCATAAGTTACTAGGGCTCCCCCAAAAGTTTGGCTGTGGAGACTGGGGAATCAGAGATATGCAGGGGTAGTGGTCTCTCTCTCTTTTTTTTTTTTTTTTTGAGATGGAGTTGTGCTCTTGTCACTCAGACTGGAGTGCAGTGACGCAATCTCAGCTCACTGCAACCTCTGCCTCCCAGGTTCAAGTGATTCTCCTGCCTTAGCCTCCCAGGTAGCTGGGATTACAGGCACATGCCACCACACCCAGTGAATTTTGAATTTTTAGTAGAGGTGGGGTTTCACCATGTTGGCCAGGCTGGTCTTGAACTCCTGACCTCAGGTGATCCACATGCCTCGACCCCCCAAAGTGCTGGGATTACAGGCATGAGCCACCGCGCCCGGCCTGGTAGTGGTCTCTTAGCCCACTGTTCCCTGCCAAGGTAGTGCAGACAGAGTGGATCCCAGTCTCCTCCAGATTTCTCAGCTGAGTAGAGATGTGGCACAAAGGAATAAGGAAGCGTCACGTATAGGAGGGGCCATGAGATTCCTCTACCTTCTTTCTGTTTCCCAGACCTGCCCCATTTCCTAGACCTGGGAGTCCCTAAGCTAACTTGGAGTTTAGAGGCAGCTCAAGTGCCTACTCTACTTGGAGATAGCCTTCCCCTGATTCATGGCCAAGAGCACTCATCCTCTATAGCTCCTTGAAAAGCAATCCTGGTGTCATAGACACATGACCATGGTATCAAGCTATCTTTTCAGCAACAGCAGGAAAACTTCCGAGTGGTTCCCCTTTCCAAGAAACCTTTGCTGAGAAAGCTTCCTTAACTTTGTTTATAAAATGGGCTCTATCCTTTTGCTTAACTTTTCAGTAATATCTGTGATATGGTTTGGCTGTGTCCCCACCCAAATCTCATCTTGAATTGCAGTTCTCATAATCCCCATGTGTCACGGGAGGGACCAAGTTGGAGGTAATTGAATCATGGGGGCAGTTACCCCCATGCTGCTTTTCTGTTTTTGTTTTGTTTTGTTTTGTTTTTGAGACGGAGTCTTGCTCTGTCGCCAAGCTGGGGTACAATGGCACGATCTCAGCTCACTGCAACCTCCACCTCCGGGGCTCAAGCGATTCTCCTGCCTCAGCCTCTCGAATAGCTGGGATTACAGCTGCCCACCACCACGCCCGGCTAATTTTTGTACTTTTGGTAGAGATTGAGTTTCACCATGTTGGCCAAGCTGGTCTCGAACACCTGACCTCGTGATACGCCCACCTTGGCCACCCAAAGTGCTGGGTCTGCAGGCGTGAGCCACCGCACCTGACTTCCATGCTGCTTTTCTCGTGACAGTGAGTGAGTTCTCCAGAGATCTGATGGTTTTATAAGGGCCTTTTTGCTCAGGACTTCTCCTTGCAGCCGCCACGTGAAGAAGGATGTGTTTGCTTCCCCTTCTGCCATGATTGTAAGTTTCCTGAGGCCTCCCCAGCCATGCAGAACTGTGAGTCAATTAAACCTCTTTCCTTTATAAATCACCCAGTCTCTGGCATGTCTTTGTTTTTTTTTGTTTTGTTTTGTTTTGAAGACAGAGTCTTGCTCTGTTGCCAGGCTGGAGTGCAGTCGCACGATCTTGGCTCACTGCAACCTCCGCCTCCCAGGTTCAAGCGATTCTCCTGCCTCAGCCTCCCAAGTAGCTGGGACTACAGGCACCCGCCACCACTCCCAGCTAATTTTTGTATTTTTAGTAGAGACGGGTTTTCAACACATTGGGTAGGATGGTCTCAATCTCTTGACCTCGTGATCCACCCTCCTCCCAAAGTGCTGGGATTACAGGCGTGAGCCACCGCGCCTAGCTTGAGTATGTCTTTATTAGCAGCATGAGAACGGACTAATACAATCCAGAAGAACTTTTCAAGGGGGTCCCACAAGGTTATGTTTTGTACCACTGTCTGCACTCAAAAGAGACTCCCTGAAACTCACAGGGTTCAGAGTTGCAAAGAATGTGAGGTGTGATCTAATACCTCCAACTTGAGCTATTTATCATTTCAGGTACTGAGAGGCTATGTTACATCCTCTCCAATTGATGAAGATTTGTTCTTAATCATTGACTGAGGGAGAAGACACTTGGAATTTTCCATTTAAATCTCAACTCAAGAGCTTTCTAGATGCAGTAAGCTAGGACATCACTCTGGATTGTATTGTAAAATTAATTCAAACATTGTTTCCAGTTTTTAGGTTTACATAAAACAGTGTCCTTTAAGACAGGCTGATTATTTGAACAGAATATCAGGGTCATTCCCATCTCCATCTCATTAGCTTTATTCACTTATGCACATGCACACACAAAGTATCTACCAGCTGCCCCCCACATAAGTCACAGT
This sequence comes from Homo sapiens, assembly GCF_000001405.40. NCBI lineage: Eukaryota > Metazoa > Chordata > Mammalia > Primates > Hominidae > Homo > Homo sapiens. The sequence continues at coordinate 89,466,048 of NC_000014.9, forward strand.
GTGATCGTCACTGAGCAGGTGGGTAGGGAGGAGTCAGCCAGCAAACACAGGGCTGCCCCTCCAGGAACTTCCTGGTATTCCAGCCTCCAGCAACGACTGAATGCCTCTAGTCTGCAGCTTCCACTTCATTTTCTTCCTTTTCATCTCTTTTCCATTAGTATCTGTGCCTTCCGAAATTACAACTTGGTCGTCTAAGGCATTCAAGTTGATCCGCTTAAGGCAAACTGAGATGTGAGTAACCAATACATCCAGACCTCCCGGGGGCCGCCATTTTGCTGACAAGTATGACTTTGCCACAAACTAAAATGAAGCTCCACTTATTTCTCCTCTTTTGCATCCTCTTCCAATTGACGGCAAATGCAGGGAATATGTTTTTCGTGCCAGTTGCTTTCTAAGGCCTCTTGACTGCTCAGATAACTGTTTTGCCCAAGAGCACTAACCCTGTCCATGTTGGAAACGTGCTTGGAGTCCTAATTCAGGGCCCATTCTAGGCATTTGGATTTGAGAGATGAATCAAGACCTTGCCCACCAGGAGCCCACAGCCTAGTGAAGCACACCACCCGCAGCAGCAGTTACAACACAGGAAGTGCTGCAAGGGAGGTGTGAACAGACTCTCACCAGGGACCACAGGCTACAAGGCCTCCCTAACTAAAGCCACCCCTCTAGCACGGCACAGAGAATTACATGGGACTTGGGGCAGCTGGCCAAGGACCTGTACCACTCCCTTTGGGTTTTACATTTCTCTCGAGGGTTTTCTCATTTCAATTACTGTTCCAGTCACCACACTGATCCCCTCAGGCCTACGGCAAGGTGGGGGCACACTGCTTTCATTACTGAAAAAGTAAGGCAGAAGAAAGGGAGAACATCTGAATCTTCATCTATGGAATGGGGAGGAAAAACAGTAGCTACAGTGTCTGCACATAAAGACGTGATCACAGCGCCTGACACAAAAGCAGCGTTAGCTTTCGTTGCTGGGACCTACCACTGTTGGGCGATGGTAATAATCATGAACTCAGATCCAATCCAGGACGGAGCCTGCTGGAGCCTGCCCGGGACTCCCAAGCACAGGCAGCTGCACATCACACCCCCTTCTCACGGTGGCTCTCCACCCAGACTCAGACACAGCTCTCTGCTAGGGAAGAAAGTGAGGGCTGGCCCGGCAGGACAAGCCCACATCCAGCAGAGACTGGTGTGATCCCACAGCTTCGCCTGTTCCCGGGGTGCGTGTCGCCATCCACCACCTGCTGTAACTCTGAGATCCTTGTGGGCAGGAAACATGGCTTCATTACACGTTGTAGAAAAGGGGCTGGGAACATGGGAAATTTCTAATCTGGAAGGGGCTCTTGGAGAGAGTTATGTCCAGCTGTTTCACTTTAAAATACAATTACTGATGACATATTTTTTAAATGCCGAAAAATTAAAAGAAAATTTAAATGGTCCACCTAATCCCCGACATAAACGGATTAGCCAAATGTAAATTTTTTTTAAGTGATAAACATGCCCTTTAAAAAAAAAAAGGCAAAACAGCACAGGAAGGAAGAAAATTAAAGCTAAAACATTTTGTTCCCTCTTGCTTTTTTTTTTTTTAAACATATGGGGTCTCACTGTGTTGCCCAGCTGCAGTCTCAAACTCCTGGGCTCAAGCTCCAGCAGTCCTCCCTCCTTAGCTTCCCAAATAGCTGAGACTATAGGTAAGTGCCACCAAGCCCACCAAGCTCCCAGCTAATTCTTCTTCTTCCTTTTCTTTTCTTTCTTTGTTTTTTTTTTTTTTTTTTTTTTTTGGGTAGAGATTAGGTCTCACTATGTTATTCAGGAGGGTCTCAAACTCCTGGCCTCAATCCTTCCTCCCACCTCAGCCTCCCAAAGTGCTGAGATTACAGGCATGAGCTAGCACTCCTGGCATTTTCCTCCTGCCCTGAGCCCCCAGTCCTTCCTACTTTTTTCTTGTGGATCCTGCCAAAAATAATAATTAAAATATGAGCATATATATGCATGCACATATATACATGCATCTACATAATTTGATTATTTTTTTTTTTATAAATAGGATCCCACTTTCCTGAAACTTGCTTTTTGTACTTCAGGCAATAAGCAAAGTTCTGAAGCCAAAATACTTGGTTTACAGGCTGGGCCCAGTGACTCACTTCTGTAATCTCAGCACTTTGGGAGGCTGGGGCGGGCGGATCACCTGACGTCAAGAGTTCAAGACCAGCCTGGCCAACGTGGTGAAACCCCGTCTCTACTGAAAATACAAAAATTAGCCAGGCATGGTGGGAGGCACCTGTAGTCCCAGCTACTTGGGAGGCTGAGACAGAAGAATTGCTTGAACCAGGGAGGTGGAGGCTGCAGTGAGCCGAGATCAAGCCACTGCACAACATCCTGGGTGACAGAGGAAGGCTGTGTCTCAAAACACACACACACACACACATACACACACACACACTTGGTTTGTACTCCACACTCCCATGCCAATTTCTAACTACAGTATGATCTTGAGCAGATTATATAACTTGACTGTGCCTCAGCTTTTTGATCTGAATGATGGGGATAGATGAGTTAACACACGTAAACTTCTTAGAATGCAGACAGCACTCAAATATGTATTGCTATTATTTACTCCTGTTATATCTTCGTACCCCCTCCCTATCCTCCTATTTAAATGCTGCCCAGTGTGCCAGGACGTATCATTTGGGCTTTGAACCAGTCCCCTGGTGGTGAATATCGAGGTTGTATCCAGTTTGGCTGTTGCTGTTACAAACAATATTAAGACATCCTTATTCACCAGTTGTTAATACTGTAGTGAGAAAATCCACCAGACATATTCCAAAGGGTGAACTTGCTGGGTCTGTGCATCATACATTTTGAGAGACGTCGCCAGATGCCCTCCCAAAATGCTCTGCCCATATACCCTGACACAAAAGCCAAGTGAACGTGCCTTTTCCCAGCCCCTCTCCAGAACTGGATATTCTCAAATTTTGCATCATATCTGCTCTCTAATAAGCAAGTGACAAAATGGCACTCCTTGTGTTGATTTGAACCTCTTTTATTATGAGTGAGGTTGAGAACTCTTTAATTTGCAGATGAGAGAAACTGAGACCCAGGGGTCCCCTAACTGGCTTCAAGTGTGACCCTGAGGTAGTCAGTGGCACAGACAAGCCTGAGGTCAGAACACCTGTCGGGGATCACCCTAAGATGCCCAGACCCACAGCACCAGGAGGAGTGTCTGACAGCCATCGGCCAATCCCTGCCTCCTCCCCTCTCCAAGGCATACCCAGTTGGGTTAGGGTGACCAGCAATCCCAAGGCAGGCAGAAGTTTCAGCCCTGTCCTCAGTCCAGGAAGCAGGGTTGAGGGGCTTCTCCAACTGAAGGTTGCTGCCTGCAGCTAGTAGATAAGGAAAGCCTTGTCTCCACACTGCCTGAGGTTCAAGGGTGTTTTTCTCTTATTCCTGTTATCTCAAGTCTCTGTTCTGTCTTGGAGCAAAGAGTTCATGTTGTGACTGGGCTTTCGTTTTCTTTCTCCACCTCCTCTGTGGACCTGGACTTCTTTAACTGGGAAAGAAAGCTCCTTGGAGTAGGAAATGGGTCTGCTTTGATCGCCCTCTGGGTGCCTTGCCCCAGTGGATGAACGGAGCAGGAGCTGATGGACTAGCTCTGGGGGAGAGAGAGTGAGGTCTAGGTGATGGGCTCTGCTACTCCCTGGCACTGTGTCTTTGGGTAAATCCCTCTAGGTCTCACTGTCTTCATCCGAAGGAGAGAAAAGGCACCTAACACGCAGGATCGTTCCATGTACACGTCCGTGCTTTGAAAACTGTGAAGTGCAACACAAACAGAGGATCCTGGTGAATGTCAGCGAGTTGGTCGCCACGGGCTTCCACGCAGGTGCGTTTTTTTAAAGAGGCAACCAGCTTCAGTCATGCAGGCAGGGCCTGCCCCTGTTTTGAGATATTCCTGAAGCTGTCCACCTCCCACCCAAGCACACCAGAACCAAGCTGATCATCATAACACAGACTGAGTCGTGGTTTCATCTTGATTGGGCAAAAAAGTATTTCATAAGCGTCTATTTATACACCAGCTAAACTAGATGTTCAGCAAATCCTCATTTGTTTGGCAGACGCTGGAAGCTCAGTCCTACTTAGTGGAATTTCTCAGCCAACTGATACTCATCACACATTAGAATTAGAAAACAAAACTGGCTATTTTGAAGGGAATCAACCTACAATTATTACATATTTCTCTCTGACTTTCTAAAAAAAAAAAAAAGCATTAAATGCAGTTCTACTCTTTTTCTTATCTCACTGCCACCACCATAAACACCAATTATTCTACTGACTCTAGAATCATAAGAGCCTGTTCTACCACTCATAGCTTTGAGACTTTCGGCAAATTATTTAACCTCTTTGTGCCTCAGTTTTCTCATCTATGAAAGAGGATCAGAAAACCAAGTTAATTAGGAAATGTGGCTGCAATGAGAACACAAAACCAGCAATCTACTTAAAATTTAGTGCATGGATTTGGAGATAACTGTTTTTCTCTCTGAGATATTTTTTATTCCTACCCAACTCCTGGCTATATTCCAGATAGCTGAATTTGCTGGCAAAGTAAACATCTCTTATGTGGACATGAATTTCTTTTGGGGCCTTGAAAAACATAACTAAGGCCCCCATGGAACGCATTATGCCAACAAGCCAGGCACAGACACAGGCACTCCGTCCCAAGCACGGAGATTTTCAGCCAATGCCTCGGAGCGGCCCAGTAGAGCTAACCTAAATGAACAGAGAGAACCAAGTCAAGGAAAGCAAAAGCTTCCCTGACCTTCATGAGGGGGAGGAACCTTCTCTACCACTCAGCAATAAGTAGAGACCAATGTCCAAGCCAACTGGGCTTGGTCCTTGCAAGGAGAAACATGCAGATCCCAATAGGGGAAATGAAATAAAAAGAATGACTTAAAACACTGGGACAATCCACAGTGAACATGTAGGAGGGAAGTTAAGGCACTGAGGCCATTCCAGTTTTCTGTCTAGGAGGAGCATGAAAGTGGCCCTCTAGTTGGCCAGGAGGCGGGAGGCTGCAGGTTGCCATGCAATGCATAGCAAGCGCACAGTATGTTTGCTTGAGTGGCTTATATTTTTGAGCAAAAGAGATTATGGGCACCTACCTAGACCCTTGAGCCACCCTGTGGTTCAGACCCTAGAAAGGACAGTGCTGAAGAGCTGAAGCCACCCTACCTGAGAGTAATCCATTTTCCTCAGAAGGATGTAAAGAATTCTCCTGGGCCGGCTGTGGTGGCTCGTGCCTGTAGTCCCAGCACTTTGGGAGGCCAAGGTGGATGGATTGCTTGAGCCCAGGAGCTCAAGACTAGCCTGGATAACATAACAAGACCTGTTATGTCTACAGTTTTTTTATATTTTTTAATTAGCCAGGTGGCACACACCTGTAGGAGTGGGAGGATCACTTGAGCCTAGGAGGCTGAGGTTGCAGTGAGCCGTGACTGCACCACTGCACTCCAGCCTGGGAGACAGAGCAGGACCTTGTCTCAAAAAAAAGACTTTAAAAAAAATTATCTTGCTTCAGTTGAGCTAGGTCTCTGGAGTTCTATCTACAATACTGAAGACACATACTACAAACATCACAAGGCCATTTATAAATGCTTCAGCTCTCTCTCCTTCAACTACACAGTTGTATTACATTTCCCTGCCTGCCTGAAGTTAGGGGTGGCCAGCTATGGCCAATAAAATGTGTGACACGTGTCACTACTGGACAACTTTAGGAACCAGCACCTGGTTCGTCATTTGCACCTTTCCCTCGGCCACGGAGATGAGGAATGACCCATCAGCTTCGATCCAGGAATGGGAATAAAGATGACTTGGAACAGAGTCCTCATCAATCTTCAACAGAAATGTAGAGTAAGCAAGAAAAGAAACTTCCGGCCAGGTGTGGTGGCTCACGCCTGTAATCCCAACACTTTGGGAGGCCAAGGTGGGAGGATCACCTGAGGTCAAGAGTTCGAGACCAGCCTGGCCAACATGGCAAAGCCCTGTCTCTACTAAAAATACAAAAATTAGCTGGCATGGTGGCGGGTGCCTGTAATCCCAGCTACTCTGGAGGCTGAGGCAGGAGAATCGCTGGAACCCAGCAGGCGGAGGTTGCGGTGAGCTGAGATCATGCCACTGCACTCCAGCCTGGGCGACAGAGTGAGAACCCATCTCAAAAAAAAAAAAAAAGAAAGGAAACTTCCCTATTTTATGCCACTGAGTTTTGGGGTTTGTCTGTTACCCCACAACCCAGCCAACTCTGAGTGACACATGTGCACAACTCAGCCGCCCAGAAGTGACCTTCTTCTTCCAAGTTGGTAATTGTCAAGTGTTTAATTGCATTAAGATAGATTGTGCAGGCCGGGCGCGGTGGCTCACGCCTGTAATCCCAGCACTTTGGGAGGCCAAGGCGGGCAGATCACGAGGTCAGGAGATCGAGACCACCTTGGCTAACATGGTGAAACCCCATCTCTACTAAAATTACAAAAAAATTAGCTGGGCGTGGTGGCGGACGCCTGCAGTCCCAGCTACTAGGGAGGCTGAGGCAGGAGAATGGTGTGAACCCAGGAGGTGGAGCTTGCAGTGAGCCGAGATCGCGCCACTGCACTCCAGCCTGGGTGACGGAGCAAGACCCCATCTCAAAAAAAAAAAAAAAAAAAAAGATAGATTGTGCATCCTTAAAGTACACAGTACTAGGAACTCAGTTGGTCATTATATATGTAGACATAATTTTTAATTATCAGATGCCAGACTTCTTTCCAAAAGGTAAATTATAAAGCTGAGCTCTCAAACAATTTCCATAACCCTTCTGTGAGGTTAATTTATCACCAATTCCTTTCCTGAACTCAGCAAACACATTTCCAGGGGCAAAGTCAGACAGTAAAACCTGCTCCAAATGCATTTGCATTGCCCACCAATGGAGGAGAAGGTGATCATTTTTATTTTTATTTTTTATTTTTTTTGAGATGGAGTCTCGCTCTGTCACCCAGGCTGGAGTGCAGTGGCGCGATCTCAGCTCACTGTAAGCTCCATCTCCCGAGTTCACGCCATTCTCCTGCCTCAGCCTCCCAAGTAGCTGGGACTACAGGCGCCTCCCACCACGCCTGGCTAATTTTTTGTATTTTTAGTAGAGATGGGGTTTCACCATGTTGGCCAGGATGGGCTTGATCTCCTGACCTCGTGATCCTCCCGCCTCGGCCTCCCAAAGTGCTGGAATTACAGGCGTGAGCCACCGTGCCCGGCCAGAAGGTGATCATTTTAATAAATTCCAATTTCTGATATGGAAGATTTACTCCACAACGCTTTTTTTTTTTTTTCCTTTTGCTCAAGCTGGAGTGCAGTGGCGTGATTGCAGCTCACTGCAGCCTCGAACTTCTGTGCTCAACCAAACTTCTGTGTGGTGCTCGCACCTCAGCCTCGCAAGTAGCTGGGACCACAGGCGCACACCATCATACCTGGTTAATTTTTTTGTAGAGATAGGGTCTTCCTTGTTGCCCAGGCCAGTCTCAAGCTCCTGGACTCAATGGATCCTCCTGCCTTGGCCTCCCAAAATGCTGGGATTACAGGCACAAGCCACCACAGTTGGCCTCCACGACACTCTTGACCAACAGCTACATTCACTCTTGTAGATGTCAGGATGGGCTGGCCAAATGAGAATTATTTTATTTTCCTGGTAAATCCAGAGTTTTAAAACTCCAGATGTTCTTTGAACATTACCATGGGTTGACACCCACTAGAGCCAAGTTCAACATCATTATCTCATTTCTCCAAAGGCATATTTCAATTTGTCATTTTATTTAATACACAAAACATGAATTTAGGACAAAATTTGTAGTATTCTCCCACGCTAAAAAAAAAAATAAATCCACAAATTAAGTTTTTCCATAGCAAAATACATCAAAACACATATGTCTTACACAGTTGCAATGCAGTCTAAGAAAGTCTGCTAAGCTGTGACCGATAACATCTTCATCATTGCTACGTAACAGACCCTACAGACACAGATGCTGTTTACACAAACCTACTGATTTACTCATCTTAGGTCAGATTTACTGTTTTAGCCATCATTACTTTTTTCACTTATAAATCAGAACCAATCTAGCCATTTTAGTGGCCAAAATAACTATACCATGATCTAATTTCTTAGATTGTTAAAATAACCAGATCAGAGTGAGTCACTGCTGGTGAATCAATAAAGTGCTTGGAAATAAACAGGGGGAAAAAGACATGACCAACCAATTGGCTATCAAAGCCAAAGGACCTGCCCACCACCACATCCTCACCCCAAGCCTTGTAATTTACACCTACATTCTGATATTCCAAGGTGCCGAGGGCCAGTCTGTAAGTACCTTGATGTATGTGTGGCAGAACCACTTGGTTATAATAGTCAATTAAATTATTAATGAAAGAACTGTACAAATAAAAGCATCATGCTCTTTTATGGAGTAATAATTATTATCTTAAGCAATGCAAATTGAATAATAAGAATCGTCAGGACAGTTCAGTGATAAGCTAACAATTTGCGGCAATCAGACCAAACATCTCTGCTCAAGCTGTCTAATAAAATAAATAGCAGCTTGTTGACATTTTTGTTCAGTTGAACACACAGACAACCAGAGGCTACTTGTATGTCTCGGGTAGAAGAGCCAAGAAAGAAGTGGAGACTGAATGATATAAAAGTGGAACCAGTTCTAATGGTGGTAATTTAGATGTTTACATATCTTTTTATTTATTTATTATTATTATTTTTTCTTGAGATGCCGTCTTGCTCTATCACCCAGGCTGGAGTGCAGTGGCACAATCTCAGCTCACTGCAACCTCCGCCTCCTGGGTTGAGGCAATTTTCCTGCCTCAGCCTCCCGAGTAGCTGGGATAACAGGCACCCGCCACCACGCCCGGCTAATTTTTGTATTTTTAGTAGAGATGGAGTTTCATCATGTTGGCCAGGCTGGTCTCGAACTCCTGACCTCGTGATCCATCCGCCCCAGCCTCCCTAAGTGCTGGGATTACAGGCGTGAGCCACCGCGCCCGGCCAGGTGTTTCCATATCTTAAGGAAACAACAAATCCTATAAAGTGTCCCAGAATCAAATGACATTATTTATACACACCCATATATATAAAGACATAGATATTTACTTATACATATGCATTCCATGAATAGACCTATATATAAAACAATATTGTAACCAAGTATAATGTTGCAGTTACATTCATGTAAAGAAATAAATCAAATGCTGTGGTAATAATAGGCCATCTCTAGTAAGAAGTAGTAGTTAGAATAGTAGGTCATCACTGCTAGGAGCAGTGGCTCACGCCTGTATTTCCAGCACATTGGGAGGCTGAGGTGGGAGGATTGCTTGAGCTCAGGAGTTCAAGATCAGCCTGGACAACCTAGGGAGACGCCATCTCTACAAAAATTAAAAAATTAGCTGGGCATGGTGGCACATGCTTGTAGCCCCAGCTACTTGGGAGGCTGAAGTGGGGAAATCACTTGAGCCCCGGAGTTTAAGGCTGCAGTGGGCTATGATCGCACCACAGCACTCCAGCCTGGCCAGCAGAGTGAGACCCTATCTCAAAGAAAAAAAATAACAATTTAAAAGTTAAACAAAAATAGTTATCAAGCACCTAACTACCTACAAACAGCCTTGTGCCATTCCATAAAAGAGCAACCAGCAGGCCATTCATTTCCTTATGTAACTTATAGGGCCCCAGTGGGATAATGAAGAATCATATAGTCTTCAAACAGAACTTGGTACTACCCGATTCTTCACCAGTTTATCCAAGACTGATCCAGGAGAGAGTGTGTCAATACACAAGATCCAACAACACAGGGAAAATCTATTAAACCTGAACTGATGAGTAATTTGGACCTTTCGGTAGCTGCTATTTCCTGCCCCTTGTTCACCTGGGAAACTATGTATCGCTGTGAGATAAGGATAACCTGTGGTATTTGGGGTGGGGGTGCCGTGGGAGGGGTAGGCAAAGGCAATTAAGTCTCATCAACTTCCAGCAGGAATAAACACTGAGGAATGGGTTTAAACTTCTTGCTCTCGGATGTTTGCATGTCACAAACACACACCTTTTTGTACTAGAGTCCTAGTGTTAGGTAAAAGTCCACCTGTTCAGAGGCCATCTGACTGCACTTTTGGGGTGAGATAATGCCCTTTCCAAAAGCCTCTCCCCTCCTTCACCGTGAGCTGATACATCTATCATATTGACTGGGCCAATCTGAATGCCATTCTCCTTCAAGAGATCCCAACTTCAAAACAGCCCTTCCTCCTCAGACTCCCGGCAGATGCCCCTGCTCGGACCCCCAACTGCTCCTCTGAACCAAATTCTGCCCAATTAAACCAAAATGCTCTCGCGTGTACTATGTTGACACCACCACTGAGGGAGCTATGAGCTTTGAGCATAGTTGAGTTTGGGCTCAAATGACTTGATCTCTGGTTAATGCTCAAATATCCATTTTGGGAGTTCATATGCACACATCAGAGTGAGAGAGAAATCAACATGGACACATAAACCACATAAACATATTCACTAGAGGGAAACAGCACAGTGTCGTATTTTCCACAGCGATTAAGAGTCACCTCTGCCTTCGCAGGGGGTTGGGTCCGCCACATTTCCACCAGGAGATAAACCTGAGTGACCTAGAGTGCTGAAGACCGATGCCTGTTTATCTTTTCAAATGCTATCCCCCCACTCCTTAAACCAGGAAGAAAGTCTTCATTGCTGGTGTATCTCTAACACGTGATAATCTTCTTTTTCATAAGAAGGATAAGCCACTGTCTTCAGACCTGCAGTGAATGGTAGTAAGGCGCCAGGAGGGAGAAATAGAGAAGGAGGCAAGAATGACACCCAGGAGAAGGGGCAAGAGAACCCCAGGCAAGGAGGCTCTGGGATCTGGATTTCACCCAGCAATAAAATTTCAAAAATAGTTTTAGGGACAGGCGTATGTACATGGCCAACTTTTTGTTTTGCCAAGTAAGGATATTGAACTCACTGTCTTGAGCTTATTTTTCTCATTTTGCCTTAGACTGGGGGAACACTCACGTTTGAATACCTACTTGTGCATATCTGTGTACTGTCTGTGTCCCCCACCCCCTTAGACTAAGCCCAAGCACGGCACCTCGGAATTGCCTCTGCCTCCCACACAGAAGCTCCCTAGGGTCCAGAAACCACTGAAATAGACCAGACTGGATCCCCGATCTGAGGAGTATTCCATATTTCTCCTTTCACTTGAGAATGTTTTACACTTCCTTATCTTCCTATCTTCCTTCAGAGAATTTCTGTGAAACATCTTTTCTAGGGTGTTATAAAGCCATCTTAAAAAAAAGAAATCAACACTTTCTCCCCAGGAGTCACTTCAACCCTTGATAAGAAAGTAGTTTATGTGCTTCTGAAGGAAATGAATTCTAACTAAAAGGGCATTCCCACTTTCGGCCTTGGGGCCTCACCCACAACAGCCAAGAACACAGCTGCAAAGAGTGCCAAGGCCTTCTTCCTCGGGCAGAGCAGCCAAGGGGCAAAGACTTTCCAAGCCTGCATCTTGAGAATACACCACGGCCAGCCAGGATGACTGGGCTGAAGGGAACCAACTTGAAGGCTCTGGGCCAGACCCAGAGCTTTCAGCAACAAATAAGGATTTAGACCAGCTTAATTTCTGAATTCTTGGAAGACAAAGACCATGTATATTAAAGTGGCCGGCACGATGCCTATTTGCCATGTGTAAATAGGCATTGAGTCAATTTTTTATGGCAATCGTGATAATGTTGATGAGAACAACAGGAGAAAAAAAAAATAACCAAAGTCCTTTATCCCTTGAGAGGAGACTGGATCTGGCCTGATGACCCCTCACAGGTTATACCAAGAGCTTCCACAAGGCCTTCAACGCTGATATAGTTTGGATATTTGTCCCCACCCAAATCTCATGTTGAAATGTAATCGCCAATGTTGGAGGTGTGGCCTGGTGGAGGTGTCTGGGTCATGGGGGAGGAACCCTCATGAGTGGCTTGGGTCATCCCCTTGGTGATAAGTGTGTTCTCACTCTGAGTTCACATAAGGTCTAGTTGTTTGAAAGTGTGTGGCGCCTCCCCTCACCTCTTTCTCCCATTCTCGCCATGTGACGTGCCTGCCCCCACCTTGCTTTCTGCCATGATTGGAAGCTTCCTGAGGCCTCCTCAGAAGCAGATGCCACTATGCTTCCTGTACAGCCTGCAGAACCATGAACCAATTCAATCTCTTTTCTTATAAATTACCCAGTCTCAGGTGTTTCTTTATAGCAGTGCAAGAATGGACTAATACAAACAAGGGCTGTTTGTTGAATAAACAATGAATGAATTCTCAAATTCATCTTATCTTTCAGTACACAAAAACAACTGGTTTGGAAATCTTTTAGATTAATTCTCACTTAAATAAAATACATATTTTAATCTTACTTCCAATTATCAGTCAGGATCATACATTCTTGGGTAATAAGAACCATAATAGTAATTTTAAGAGCTGCCACAGAATAAAGTACTGGGCCAAGTACTTTAAGAGAATGATTTTATTTAATTACCACAACACCGACTGAGCACAGTGGCTCACGTGTATAATCCCAGCACTTTTGGAGGCCGAGGCAGGCGGATCACTTGAGGTCAGGAGTTTGAGACCAGCCTGGCCAACATGGTGAAACCCTGTCTCTACTGAAAATACAAAAATTAGCTAGGCGTGGTGGTGCACGCCTGTAATCCCAGCTACTCTGGAGGCTGAGGCACGAGAATCGCTTCAACCCAGGAGGCGGAGGTTGCAGTGAGCCAAGATCTAGCCATTGCACTCCAGCCTGGGTGAGAGAGCGAGACTCCATCTCAAAAAAAAAAAAAAAAAAATTACCACAACACCTCTACAAGGCAAATATCCCTACCCCTATTTTACAGATGGGGAAATGGAGGTTCAGACAGTTTACATTATATTCTCAGAATGCACACCTCAGAAATCCCATCCCAATCATGCAGCTGAAAGAGGAAGGACTGGGAGCTGAAACTGTGGCTGACAGCCTCACCCTGGCATCCACTGCCTCAGCCTGAAGATCTTGGGCCACTTCATTAAAACCCACCCTGCCACAAGCTACAGCTTTTAAGGTACACACACTTCAACTGGAGCTGCTGAAAACCCAGGCCAGTCCTCTTTCCTGGAAGCCTGTGTTGTTTTCATTCAGTTTTAAAGCCTGTTCAGCCTTTATACCCTCTCTCTCGGGAGCCCTAACTTCAGCCCCCAGGCCTTGGCACCACTGCAACAAAGGACCCTGTTGCAAAGTCATTCTTCTGGATTAGACAAACCCATTTCTCTCAGGATAGTTAGTGCAATTCCAAAATGGCTTATGATGAGCCAAAACTCTCAACTTGTTTTAAATAAAGCAAGCTCTCCAGAATCCCAGAGCTGTAGTCGGTGGTGGCGGTGTGATGAACGCTGGTGTGAAGCTGTGCTCCCTTTCTGCAGATGTCTTTCTCTGTGATCTCTGTGGTCCTTAGTTTCTCTGTATTTAGAATACAAACTCTTACCTACCTCACAGAAATGATTGTAACAACCAAGTGGGATAGCACAAATACTTTTTGAAAAACATTAAATGCCTTCTACCACTGAGATGTTAACATCAGACTTTTCCAATAGGACAGGTTATGGAAAATTCAACTAGGCATTTAGAAGGCCAAAGCATGGATCCAAAAGCTCTCTCTGATACATATATGGTGATTTCCATTTAATTAACTGTTTCCGGGGAGCACCTAGAGCCATTACCAAAGGTGCTAACTGGGCAGCCAATGGGAAAACTCTTAATAGGTCTATGAGTCAGTCCTTCAGAAAGTTTCCGTCTTGTGTTTTAATATTTGGGCTCCATTTATGACTCAAGCATACCTTTCCTTGGTATTAAGTAACAAGGAACTGAGATTAATTGCCCAATTTTTAACTACATTTGGCCTGTTTGTATCCCATGTTGTAAGCACCCTACTGGGGCTGTAAGAACAAGGTATTTGTCACTGACTATTGTGAAAAAGCTTGGGCGTCTGAACACTTTATGATCAGTAAAATACAGGATTCTAGCCTCTTAAGAGGCGGGCGGATCATGAGGTCAGCAGATCGAGACCATCCTGGCTAACACGGTGAAACCCCATCTCTACTAAAAATACAAAAAAATTAGCCAGGCGTGGTGGCGGGCGCCTGTAGTCCCAGCTACTCGGGAGGCTGAAGCAGGAGAATCACTTCAACTCGGGAGGCGGAGGTTGCAGTGAGCCGAGACCGTGCCATTTCACTCCAGCCTGGGCAAGAAGAGCAAAACTCTATCTCAAAAAAAAAAAAATGGTTTGAGAACATCACAGGAAACCATGCTGAACTCAGTGTGTTGACTTTTACACCCTATAACCTGGCCAGCTGGCTCTGTGTCTCAAAGCATCAGACTCCATTTTGAACATGGATTTCTTTTTTCCTTTCCGGAGTCTCTCATTTTCTCCATTGTATTCATTCAGAGGGAAAAAAAAAAGACCTCATAAATGTCATTTCATATTCCAAGCAATTTGCTATAGGCAACTACACCATTACTTTGTACAAATAAATTTACATAAATCATTATTAGAATGTTTTATCTTGGCAACATTATTTGGTTCCCAGAACACAAATTAAATGCATGCTTAAAGCAGAATATTTTAAAGTTATTCCTATATTGTTTATGAGACAGGATTAGAAATTTCCATCTAATTTTTCTTTCATAATGGAATTCCTTTAGTTTTCTTTGTACGTTTAGAAACCATATGTATAATTTTATGGGGGGTTTCTTGAAGCAAGCCATGCAGTAGATGACTGTGCCATGTTTCGTTCATTTTTCAGCTGCTGTTCCCTTTGATTTTGTGGGTTTGGTTTTGAACACTGATTAGGAAGGCCAGGAACCAGGGGAATTGCAATACAGACTCCTAAGTAGATGGCTTTTTATTTGATAATATTCTGCACATAAACTGGTCTTTGATTGTGGTTAAGCTTTTTTTTTTTTTTTAATAAACAAATGTGTAAATAAACTCCCTGCACTCAGTTTCTCCTGGCTGTTTGGGTTGGGAAGGGGCCTGTTTGGATTCTCTGCACAGCACATGGCAAGTCTTCACTGGCTGGAGTTTTACTCCACCCTAGATTTCAAAATAAAATCTTTTCCATGTAAAATGCAGCGCCCAGTTTTAAAACAAGCTGCACTTGTCAACATCAGGGTAGGGAGTGGTGGCAGGGGACCGGACGGGAAGTCAGGAGACACGCACGTCAGTGAGGCCTGCTGTTGCTGGCTCTGGAAAACGACGTAGTGACTTCCCGGCTCGTCTTCTCATTGGTGTCATAAAGGGCTGGACTCCTGGCTCACGGCTGGAACTTTCTACCAGTATGTGGTCTGAGAACAGATTCCAGGGCCACTGTCAGGGAAGTGGGGCCCCATGAGGTCAAGGGTGCAATACTCAAAAACGAGGAGTGAGGCAGCCCCATGGAGGGCTTAAGAACACAGATTCCAATAGTCAGGTTCAAATCGACACACCAAATCAACCACTTGCTACCTGTGTGACTGAATAATTCAAACCTTTCTGCATCTCTGTTGCCTCATCTGAAAATGAAGAGATTATGCATACACACCTAGCAGTCTTATTTTGGGGATTAAATGAAGCAACGCAACAAAAAGCTGAGAAGAGTGTCTGACTCTTAGAAGAGTCTCAATAAACAGTAGCTAACATTAATCTTAAAGGATGACCAGTGGAGTCAAGCTAGGGCGATCATATCATTTACGGTCTAAACCAGGATATTTCTGGGTGTGAAAGGGAAGACTGTATGGTAATTATATGGGGTAAACTGGCGTATGCTAGGACAGTCCTAGGCATACTGGGACTTGTGTGACCCTGCACCTAGCCCATACCATTCAAGACTCAATAAAGAAATTTATTTTTTGCTTACAATTATATATTACATATTTTACAATTTGTTACTCCTTTTAAAGTTCTTTCATACACTTTATTTGAACTTTTCTTAAAATGTGTTAAAATGTAGGACTGAATTAATTACCACTTAATAATAAGCAAACAAAGGCACAAAAAAAGTATATACTTTCCCCTAGTGACTCAGTGTTGCTGAGCAGTGGGGGACAGTATCCCATGAGCTCCTCCATACTTCCCGGCCTCCTGCCAGAGAGACAGGGTCATGTGACTAGTCCTGACCAATGGCCTGTCACCTCTAGTCTTAAGCACTGAAGAGTGTGTGTGCAGCCGGGCACATTGGCTCACACCTGTAATCCCAGCACTTTGGGAGGCCAAAGGGGGAGGATTGCTTAAGCCCAGAAGTTTGAGACCAGCCTGAACAACATAGCAAGACCCTGACTCTACATAAAATTTTAAAAACAAGACTACAGCATGCCTGTAGCCCCAGCTACTCAGGAAGCTCAGACAGGAGGATCCCTTGAGCCCAGGAGTTCAAGGCTGCAGTAAGCCATGATCACGCCACTGCACTCCAGCTGGAGCAACAGAGCAAAACCCTGTCTAAAAAAATGAATGGAGCTGGGCATGGTGGCTCACACCTATAATCCCAGCACTTTGGGAGGCTGAGGCGGGTGGATCACTTGAGGCCAGGAGTTCAAGAGCAGCCTGGCCAACATGGTGAAACCCTGTCTCTACTAAAAAATAAAGAAATTAGCTGGGCATGGTGGCACGTGTCTGTAATCCCAGCTACTCAGGAGGCTCAGGTGGGAGGATCCCTTGAGCCCAGGAGTTCAAGGCTACAGTGAGCCATGATCACACCACTGCACTCTAGCTGGGGCAACAGAGCAAGACCCTGTATGAAAAAAAAAAAGAATGGAGCCAGTGCAGTGGCTCACACCTATAATCCCAGCACTTTGGGAGACCAAGGTGGATAGATCACTTGAGGCCAGGAGTTCAAGACCAGCCTGGCCAACATGGCGAAACCCCATCTCTACAAAAATACAAAAATTAGCCAGGTGTGGTGGCGCGCTTCTGTAATCCCAGCTACTCGGGGGACTGAAGCAGGAGAATCGCTTGAACCCAGGAGGTGGAGGTTGCACAGACCCAAGATCGCACCATTGCACTCTAGCCTGGGAGGCAGAGTGGGACTCTGTCTCAAAAAAGAAAAAAGAATGGGTGTACATTCTCAACTCTCCTTCACATGTTGCAGCAGCCAGGAAGCCATGTTTTGAGATGTAGATATCACAAGATGAAAGAGGCCTGGGACCTCAAAATACTGGATGCAAGAGAGCTACACTGGCCCAATCCCAACTCTGGGCAAATGAGACATAAGCTTTTGTTGTACTAAGCCCCTGAGATGTGGGGTGTACTTTTTTTAAGACAGAGTCTCACTCTGTCACCCAGGTTGGAATGCAATAGCGCGATCTCGGCTCACTGCAACCTCTGCCTCCCGGGTTCAAGTGATTCTCCTGCCTCAGCCTCCCAAGTTGCTGGGATTACAGGCACCCACCATCACACCCAGCTAATTTTTGTATTTTTGTAGAGACGGGGTTTCACCATGTTGGTCAGGCTGGTCTTGAACTCCTGACCTCAGGTGATCCGCCTGCCTCGGCCTCCCAAAGTGCTGGGATTACAGGCGTGAGCCACTGCACCTGGCCTGGGTGTACTTTTTACCCTGATATACTACTGCCTGCCCTGGCTCAGCCGGTTAGTAAGATTAGAACCCACATCTTTTACTATAGTTTTCATTCAACAGTATCATAAAATGCTACCAGATTGGGAAAAAGCATTGCCAAGATTAAATGCCATAGCTTACTCATGGTAAGCCTTCAAAGCTTACTTGATTTAAAACAAAATATTTATTTGGTTTAAAATAAAATCGTTCACACCCAGAGCCAAGTAAAAAGAAAAAAGTTCCAAAATGCAAGGTTTGTTTTAATTTGGTGCTGATTTATTCCAACATTTAGGTTAATCCAAGAAGTCTGGATGCTTCATCTTACAGACAACCCTAAGACGAAATGGCCTCATGTTGCATCTAGGTTTTATTTTAAGTTAAAGAGATGAATGGAAATATCCAACTAGAGTGTGACCAATTCGCTTTCTCACTCCAGAAAATCCCCCCTTCTGCTCCTTCCTATTCTAATCCTACTCATCCTTTCAACCTATTTTCTTAATGGGGAGAAAGCTCCACACATCAAATTTCGCAAACACTTACGTCACACAACTGCCTAGGCCAGGAGTTGGTAAGCTTTTCCCATAAAAGACCATAGGGTAAATATTTCATGGTTTCCATTGCACTTATTTAACTCTGCCATTGTAAGGGCACAACTGCCATAGATAATCCAGAAATGAACAAACATGGCTCTGTTTCAATAACATTTTATTTAGGGACACTGAAATTTGCATTCCATATACATTTCATAAGGCACAAAATTTTATTCTTTTAATTTTTCCCAACCACTGAAAAATGTGAAAACCATTCTTAGTACATTGGCGATGCACAGACAGGCGGCAGGCAGTATTTGGCCCCTGGGCCGACTGTGGTTTACCAACCCCTGGCCTGGGCTTAGGAGGGGTGGCAACAATCTATTAGGCAATTTCTGCAGTGGGAGGAGAACACAAATACTGCTATTCTAGTTCTTCCGCTTCCTGGTGGCTGGTGATCCCAGGCTATGATTCCAGAAGGCCCAAGCTTCTGCACACCTGTGTGCAGGAAGGCAGATGGTGTGTGGCCAGGGAGGACCCAACAGGCAGTGAGCGGGGTCTCCACTGACAACTCTCAGTAGCACCTTTAAGACCCAGGACAGGCCAGGTGTGGTAGCTCATGCCTGTAATCCTAGCACTTTGGAGAACGTGCCTTGGGAGGCCAAGGCAGGAGGATCACTTGAGGTCAGGAGTTCGAGACCAGCCTGGCCAATATGGTGAAACACCATCTCTACTAAAAATACAAAAATTAGCCGGGCGTGGTGGTGGACGTCTGTAGCCCCAGCTACTCAGGAGGCTGAGGCAGGAGAACAGCTTGAACCTGGGAGGCGGAGGTTACAGTGAGCAGAGATGGCGCCACTGCACTCCAGCCTAGGTGACAGAGCAAGACTCTCTCAAAAAAAAAAAAAAAGACCCAGGGCAGTGAAAGCCACCACTGCTTCCACCAGCTTAACAAAGGGCAGACCTGGGGGAGAGTGAGGGGTGGACAGGATCCACTGCACCATACCCAAATTAATCAGGGCACTTGGCTCCCATCCCTGACTACAGCCCCAGCCCTCCCCCTTGAGACCCTCCCTGAATTCTGGCTTTCAGAACTCTCTGGATGAGCTCCCAGCCTTACTTTATAAATGCGTGTTCTTAACTTATGCTTCCTCCCCTGCAGCTCCACTTCTCAGAATCGCCCCTTGTGAATCACCAGGAACTGACCTCACAGAGCTCATCCCAGGGCCCTGACAAGCCCCAAAGGCCAGACAGAGCTCAGAGGGGAGGATGGCAGGTGTGTGAGAGTAGAGTAAATAATCAGGTAGACAGGCAGAGGCAGGGTGTGGACAGGCCCAGAGAAGCAGAAAAGATCAGCAAAGCAGTGGCCAAGCCAGGGTGGGGGCAACAGAAACCACTGTCCCAGCAGGACAGTGCCAGCCAAAGCCCCTCTGCAACGGGAAGGTGGAGTTTCCCCAATGGGCTCCACTCCAGGATCCTTAAGGGACCCCTGACGGGGAGTCTGGTTCTGGGTGGGGCAGAAGATCTGGGTCCTCTAGACCTTCTGATCGAGGCAGTCAGGCCCTCACTGCCTGGGCTCATGGTGGGTTCATTCCTGTCTTCCCCTCAAGGCTCAATGCCACGCCTCTTCCTTCTGCCTGGCCAAATGATCCACAGTGACAAAGCCCAACTGAGGCCCTCCCTGGTCCATGAATTCTTCCCTAATTATTTCAATCCCAATCCTCAAAGCTTCTCCATTCCCTGAACCAAGGAACTACCGCTAGCTCATAGCCCTGGCCCTATGCTCAGCACCATCTGCCATTTTCTTATGAGTGAGTCAACTTTGCCTAAACTGTGGGCTCCCTGAGGATAGGAGCCAGCCTTCTACTTTTTCATCCCCACCTGTCCCAAGAACACACAACAGATACTCAATACTTATTGAACTCAACTAAAAGTACAACATTAGAAAGATTAATACGATTAAAGTAAAACATGAGATTGTGGCAACAAAAATAATTTAGAAGCTAATTTCTATGTGAAAATTCCCAGCAATGTTCTGGTGGCTTTGTATTTCTACGACTCACACCAGAATTTTAAATAAAGATGTGATTCAATGTTTTTAATCATCTTAATGCCTAAATTGGATTGACCACATTGTCAAGTCTGATCAGCTGCATAAATTGATCATTAAGAAGATTGGGGGGAGGCGGGGGAGGATACCAGTTGATGGAGAAATAATCAATTTGGCATTTGCATTTAAATATAGCTTTGGCATTTCATGTATTCAATGCAATCTACGTAAAGCATGGCGAGCTGGGGAAGGCAGTGTGATTACCTGAGTCGGAATGGGTCCAGGAAACCGAGGTCAGCATTGCTCCCGTCACAGAAAAGACAGAGGGGCCTCCATAATCACGAGAATGCTGGTCTTCTAGAGGCTGCTGGAGAGGAGCAGTAGGAAGTCAGAATTAAGCAGAAGCAGCAGAGAGAGCCCTTGCAACCACAATGGATGTCATCTCTGGCCTGACTCTAGAAAATGACGCACTTCAGTGAAAAAGCCAATTGTAACAGTACCTCTTTATTTCTTGGATCATTATTAAAAGACTGGATCTTTCACGATGGAGTGTTTTTGAAACTGTCTCATGGGGCATAAGAAGATCCAGAAATTTGAAAATACATGCCATCTCAATGTGAGATTATTTTATTTTGCTACAACTGCCATTGAGACATTTGTGAGATCATTTTATGTACTACAGCTGCTACTCAAACACTTGTCTACATAAAGGAAAAACATCAGAGCACCCACAAGCGCTCAAGGCCAGCATTCCACCCCACGGACCAGCCTTGATCCACTGGGTAGACCAAGTGTACACGCTGCAAAGTCAACGACTCTATTTTATTGTTGTAAAATGAAATGTCTCTGGCTCTACTCCTCACTAAATGGGCTGCAAGTTATCAGGCCATGGTTAACCAATAATCTTGCAAAATAGGAAAGTTGGTACATGAGACAGATTGCATAATCATCTCTGAAGAAGATATCTTTTTAACCGGGGCCTCAAGGATAACAAATCAACGAACTCTCTAATGAAAAGAATGGCATTAGCCTACGCGCTGTAGTCTGAGAATGTTAGGAGTATATTAATTAGATCGGCGGTTCCCAAACTGTGGGTCTTGGAATAGCAGCATCAATATTGACTGACAGTTTGTTGGAAATGCAAATTCTTGGCCCCTACCTGATATCTACTGAGTCAGAATACATTATCCAGAAGTAGGGCCCAGAAATCTGTGTTTTAACAAGTCCTCCAAGTAATTCTGATATACCTTAGATCATTAATTTATCCACCCATACAAAGACATTCTGTTGTAAAATAAAATCACCCTACTCTACTTTGTGTTTAAGCTCCTATAAGGACAAAGCATAGAGTTAGGGATCGCATCATGGAGGGATGAAGAGTCAGAGATGATAAAGAACCGGCCCTCGAGAAATATATTGTCCACTATGGACAATAAGACACATACACAAGCAACTCAAATACTGGCAGACCGTGTTATTTCTTATAACGGCTGGAGAGTGTCAAGACAAAGGAGACATTTGTTTCTGTTTGGGGTGAGGAGTGGGGGGTGCCACGAAAGGAAGGCATCATGAAGACAATAATAATGGCCTTGAGATTAGGACAGAATTTTAACAACAACAAAAACCAGACAGCAACCAAAGCGAAGGCCCGGAGGTTGGAAAGCGTGAGGGCTATTCGGGGGCACGGGGTAACCAGGTCTGGCTGATACAAGAGAAATTTGAAGGTGATCTGAGTGAGACAAGGTTACTTCCAAGTGCAGACAGGTAAGAGCTAGGGGCTCTTCTTTTTTTTTTTTTTTTAAGACAGAGTCTCTATTGCCCAGACTAGAGTGCAGTGGCACAATCTCAGCTCACTGCAACCTCTGCCTCCCTGGTTCAAGCGATTCTCCTGCCTCAGCCTCCCCAGTAGCTGGGATCACAGGAGCCCACCACCACACCGGGCTAATTTTCGTACTTTTAGTACAGACAGGGTTTCGCCATGTTGGTCAGGCTGGGGGCTCCTCTTTTTCATTAAAGACCACCGAGCAGGCACCAGTGGCTGATGTTTAATTAATGTCTGGGCCAGGCATGGTGACTCATGCCTGTAATCCCAGCACTTTGGGAGGCCGAGGTGGGCACATCGCTTGAGCCCAGGAGTTCAAAACCAGCCTGGGCAACGGGGCAAAACCCCATCTCTACAAAAAATACAAAACAAAACAAAAAAATAGGTGTGGTGGTACACGCCTGTAGTCCCAGCCACCTAGGAGGCTGAAGAGGGAGGAGCATCTGAACTTAGAGGTCAAGGCCACAGTGAGCCATGATGGTGCCATTGCCCCATCTCAAAAAAAAAAAAAAAACTACATCCAGTTTACTTTTCTGTACTTTCGGCAGTGCATTTTCTAGAGGGAAGAACCGCAACTGCTTCAATGATTAATAGCAGAAGATTTGTCCAGGAGGAAGAACACACACACAAAATTTTAAAGTAGGTACAAGAATCTGGAAGTCACAGTCACCTCGGGCCATTCTGCAAAGGGGCAAAATGTTACCACGCCTCGACAGCCCCTGAGGACATCTCTGGTTTTAGCTTTAAAAAAACACTGTCACTCAAGTTGAGAGGGGTATGACTTAGTCACCAAAACAGTTAAATTAATACATCTCCAATTAGAGGAAAAAATGCTTCTCATGATCAAGTTGGTATGGCATTGCTTCTAGAAAATGGACATAAATAGAAGGTTTTATTTCCCGATGTTGGTAGGTGAACAAGGGGGTACTGAAAATGTTTTTCATGTCACACCAAGGCTAGGATTGAAATGAAGCCGGATTCAGAATTGGCAGTCTCTGCTTACCCATGCCAGCTTTGCCACTCAAATTTCTGAGTCATTATGGACAAGGCACTAAACCCCCTGAACCTCAGTTTTTCATCTATCAAGAAAAAGAGGCACTGACCTACCCCACCTTCTTGGAAATTTAAATAAGAAAATAGAAATGAAGTTGCTGTGAAAATTATAAAGTGCCATACTATATAGAGGTATAGAATTATCCTCCTCATCGAGGCGTTTGGCTACTAATTAACACTTGTTATCCTACTGGCCTTTGAAAATATAAAAGCAACATGTTTCTGATGCCCTTGAGATTCTCCTTTTAAATATTTGCAGATACAGCAGTTCTGAGGAACAAACTTGGCATCAACCAAACCATTCTCCCAAAAAGCATTTCAAGGTAAATCTTTTACTTGTAATTAAAAAATTTTTTTATATTCCTCTAACCACAATAGAGCATCTAGTTATGTTTTAGCAGCTCCTGGTGAGCACAACTCAGTCTTCAGCAACACCGACATATACGATGGCAATAATTTATCATCTCTGCAGTAGTTTAGTCCCAGATGGACCATTTACTAATTTATTTCCATATGTAACTGGCAGAGAGATTAATCAGGCTTCCAACTCCAAAACCTGAATTGCGCTTTATTCCCTTAACAGGCTAACTCTGGGCAGAAGAGGCACACATTTACACAGAAACCAAGAGTTCCTCTTAAAAAGCCTGTCAGCCTCAGATGCAAGCCTTACACACACGCGCGCGCATGCACACACATGCACGCACATCTTTCTTGAGACAGCTTGCTCCTATGTCAGCTTGGAGGGCTGGTTCTTTTCTCAGATCCTCATGGACTCCACACAGGAGCTGTGTCTGATACAACTGCAGGCAGGAGTAAAACGTAATGCCAAATGCAGTAAAGTTGCAGCCACATTCCCCTCCCTGTCTGCAAGGTCGGAGGCTCAGATTTCTGAAAACGAAGAGATCTTTTTTGCCACAGTGCTGCGCCCAGCTGGCCCAGTGATACGGTGCCCAGGCGCTGGGAGGCATGTGCTTTCTTTTTTCCACTCTTTTTAAGGGTCTGAACTTGCCTGAATTCAGCAGCTGCCGTGTCCTCAGCGACGGCTAATGAATTGTTAGCTTTGCTCCTGGTTCCCCTGAGCTCAACTCCCAGTCCACTTTTGTTTTTAATTCTATCCCAATGATATCAGCGTTTAGCAAAGAGTGGTGAACGGATTGTTGTTGGATGACGGTGTTTACATATAGAAAGCATGTCAGACATGGGCAGAAAGCACCAGCTGATCCCTGATGCCTTAAGTGGAACCCAAGGCCATGCCAAGAAGGCCTGGTAGACAGGAGCATGTGGAGGTATTGTCGGCTAAGCTAGGTCCACACACCTGGGGCGCTAACCAACTCTCTCGCTTTGAAGAAGTCACTTGGCAGTTCAGGTTTAAAATTCTCTCCTCTATAAAATGAATTTAGCTCCCTGAGGTTCCTTCTGGCTCTAAAATCTAGTGAGTCTATGAATATGAAAAAGATCAGCCATTCACCTGGTTTGTTCCATGAGTTTAGCCGATGACAAACAGCAGGAAGTTTGGAAGCATCTGAAAGTGGCTGAATGGGTCCAGATGCTTTTGGTGCTGTGACAGACACAGCCTTCGGAATCTCAGCAGCCAACAGATTCCTTTTGCTCAAAGAACAGAAGCATTTGACAACTGGTCCACAATGTATATCTTTACAAGGTTTTAAGAATTCAGTTAAATACAACAGTTCCATTACAGTATTATTCTAGGTATGGCGAATCCTACAAAAGTACATACGTCATGGCCCTTGTCTTTAATACATTTACATATTAGTTAAGGAGATACACTCCTAATCATTTTTGTTTTTTTTTGAGATAGCGTTTCACCCTTGTGGCCCAGGCTGGAGTGCAATGGCACGATCTCGGCTCACCACAGCCTCCGCCTCCCGGGTTCAAGCGATTCTCCTGCCTCAGCTGGGATTACAGGCATGCGCCACCACACCTGGCTAATTTTGTTTTTTGTTTTTTTTTTTTTAAGTAGAGACGGGGTTTTTCCACATTGGTCAGGCTGGTCTCGAACTCCCGACCTCAGGTGATCTTCCCGCCTCAGCCTCCCAAAGTGCTGGGATTACAGGCGTGAGCCACTGCTCCCGGCCACTGCTAACCTTAATACAATGCAATATGTGCTATGATCATTGACAAATAAATGGTTAAGTGAACGCGGAGGATGGAGAAATCATTTCAATGAAAGGGGGAGATCTGTAAGGTTTTACAGAGGAAGCAGAATTTAAGCTGGGCCTTGCAAAGCAAAGATGGGACTATAGGCATCTGGACAGAGGTAACGGTGAGAGCAAATGCCTATGTGCTTTCAAGTATGGTCAGGGCACAGAATTCAGGACCCATGGACAGGGGCACAGGATGCCCAAGGAAAAGAAAACACAGTGAGACGAGAAGCTGGAAAGAAACTCAAAGTGGAAAGCCCTGGATGCCAACCTTTCATCCTGTGGTCTCTGGGAATCTTCAGAAGTTCTGGGCAATGGAGACTCCAGATGAGCTCTGCCTCGGGAGGTTTATTCGGACCATTTTACCACCATTTATGACTGGGAATAAGATCCGTCTGTACCTTCATGCTTCTCTTAGTCATTCCACCTTGCCACTATTTGGGAATCCCTCAAATTTATTTTATTTTTTCTAAATCAATTTCCTGGCCCTTTGAATGGAAGCGATTGAGTTTCCTCTAAGTACTGCCAAGATTTCACATTCCAATGACGAGTTCAGCCTAGCGCTTTACATTTAGGTTCATGTGTTTTTCTATTCTTACAAAAGAGTTAAAATAGCATAGACGGGTGTTTTGTTTTGGTTTGTTTCTACACTGGAAAATATTTCTGTATGATGAAAAACATACACAAACGTCCTGACTGTTGGAAAGGCCTGCTCCAGCACTCCCCAAAAAACAAAAGTTGAACTAGTCATCCAAGTAGTTCACTGAAACTTTTTTGTTCTCCAGTGTCAGAGTCCCAGGTTATTGAGCCCAAGTTTTCCAAGGTCCTTCAAACACAATAACAGAACGTTATGTAAACTCTCTCCTACCAATGCTATTTGGTCCCCTCAGCCTGGGGGGGCCAAGCACACGTGGGATCATGCAGCTTTCACACAGAGAAGTCCCAGGATACATGGGGCACACACCAGGCAAGCCAGGGCATGGGGACAGAGGTCTGCCCTCCCACCCACCCCAAAGATGGGTCTTAAAACTCCACTGAAGTTGGGGGTACAAGTGGGCAGAGCAGCTCGTCCTCTGAGAATGGAGCTGCCTTCGGTATGAGCCACCATTAAAAAGTTTCCCAAGGTCCGCACCTATAATCTCAGCACTTTGGGAGGCTGAGGCGAGAGGATGGCTTGAGCCCAGGAGTTTAAGACCAGCCTGGAAAATATAGTGAGGTCTTTTAGTTGGGCATGGTGGTATGTGCCTGTTGTCCCGGCTACTTGGGAAACTGAGGCAGAAGGATCGCTAGAGCCCAAGAGGCAGAGGTTGCAGTAGGGCGAGATAGCACCGCTGCACTCTGGCCTGGGCGACAAAGTGAGACCCTGTCTCAACAAAATAAAATAAAACCAAAAAACAACCCCCATAGAAGACACAAATTTCAATTCCCATCTCTGGATTGCTCAGACTACACATGGGCATATATGGAAAGCTTCAACATTCATTTCATTTATCAACTTATTTAGAAAGGCACATTGTATCTACCCACTGGGGTGTGGTACATTCCAGGGTTCAAGTCCCTGGTTTATAATCCAAAACCTGTCCTGGCCCTCCACATGCGTGGGTGCTCAGAAACTCCGAGCGCCTCAGAGGTATTCTCTTAACATCTGATCAAATAATGACTATAAAGAATAATATGCAGTACATACTGTAGATAGTTCCCTGTGCACATAAAAAAATAGTCTCATACAGCCCAAAGAGCTGTCTGCATCGCTTTTTCTAAAAGTCCACCTATGGTCGGAAAACTAACCTTCTTCAAATGAATAGATTAGCTTAAATTACCATGCCATTTTACATTCTCTTCACTGATACACGAATAATAAAACTATGAGGTAAATGCAGGCTTAAATCGAATAATGGGCATAAATAAAAAAATTTTTTGACATTAAAAACTCAGTGTAAATTGCACTACAACATACTTGAAAGCTCCCACAATCATAACGTGCACATTGAAATCCATTAACCTAATACCTAGGCTGCTATTCAAAAGTAGGGGTCTAGCAGGCAAATAAATACTCATTTGAACACTCCTCCGAAATTACTGCACAATTTGGTTGCAAAGTCACACACTTACAAAGTCTATCATCTTTACTTGGTTGCTCTGTAACCAACACTGAAGTCATATAAGGTTACAATGTGGCAGCATGAGATCAACACAGATACCAGCAAATGGTACTAAAAAGTAGCAGCAAATGTCAAAGACAAACCAGGGTCAGCTTGGAGAGAATGAGATATTTACATAAGCTTTCAGAAAAGACAATGGAGCCCCGATTTCCCCTTAACCGCACACCTAATCAACCTCTCTGCTCCTCACCTGATCATTCTGATATAAAAGCAATTTCTACAGTGATACATTCAAAGACCTTAGTTGCCATAAACTCAGCAGCTGTTAAAAAGATTCTGTTGCACATTCGATTTGCTTTAAGACTCAGCTATTTCCAACCAAAGCTTTCATTTCTTATCCATCTCTACCCCCCTCCAAAAAAAAAAAAAATAGCTTCATTAACAATATCCTTCTTTGATATGTCATCTGCCAAGGCCATTTTCTTACCTTTGTAACTCACATTTTTTTTCATTTGAGGATATTTACCCAAGCAAGGACAATTGTTTGACTGGAATCTTGCAACTTTCAACTTTGCCCAGATTTTGCCATCGTGCAGAAGGGGAATGCCGCAACCCCCGACACATCGTTCAGTTGAGCTAATACACATCTGAATCCAGAGCTATATTTTAAATTCTTTTACACTTACTTAATATAGTGCATGCCGCCTGTCCACTGATGCGATATCAGAAACCTGCAAGCTACTATTTCTGCAACTGTGTCACTGTAGATAGTCTGAAACATGTACGTAGCTGTTGCCATGGAAACAAACACAGCTAGGGTAGAGTGCCACGCTGTGTTAATTCCTTCACCCATGAACCCCAGGGGAATGCTAACATTCATCTTCTTTCTCCTTTAGTCTCACACTGCTTTAATATTTTTTTAGCATTATCAAATGATGTACTAAATACATATGGTACACCTGAAAATACGGATGGCTGAAATGAGCCGTGGTACCAACCTAGCCTGCCGGCTGGGCTGTCTGCTTAAGGTGGTGCAGCTCTGCAATGGATCCTTTCCTGAACTTCTCCTGGGAGAAATAAAGAACTTTGTCTTTCTTTTAAAATGGTGTGGGAAGGACAGAAAAGGTGAGCATCTTGTCTCCCCTAAGAACAGTTATCCTGGAATGGCACCAGAAGAAAGATGCTATCAGAAATGTACCTTCTCAGTTCTCTGAAAGGCAGAGGGAGGCCTTGCAAACTTTCTGAAGTGGATCCAAGCTAAGAGTTGTTCTCCCTTCCAAGTAGAGCTGCATTAGCAGGCTATAAACCCAATAGTTTTAATTAGGCAAAAGCATAAACCCTTAACAAGGGATTCATCTGTCCCCACTTGGTCTTTATTCCTAAACCCATGCAAGAAGGTATTAAAATGAGTGAGTAGGCAATGACATGGAAATCTGCCATTATTCAGAAAGGAATTGTGATTTTCCTGGAATTTGAACATTCTCTTTTTTGCTTCAAGTTCATATCTCTGTCCTTATCAATGCTTGGACCTGTGAAGAAAAGTCAAACTCATTCACTGCACCTAAAAGCCAAAATGTATGGTTATTGGTGCACTGGGCCACCTTCTCATTATTCAACTGGTAAGCCGCTTTAAATATTGGGGTAATATTCATCACGGTAGACAAAAGTAAGCTGTTCAAAATCTTAATTACATCATATCCCTTGGGCTGGTTAATAATATTCAATCTAGATGAAAATGGCCACGTTTTAGATTTGCATGCTGATGTGTTTCACTTGAATACAATTTTCGCACTAAATAATCACTTGTAGGCTTTAAAAGTGCAGCTCTGTGACCCTGAACTGGCATATTTTAAAGAAACCACTACTTTATTTGTGGGGATTATGGCAAAA
The DNA here is from genome assembly GCF_000001405.40 of Homo sapiens. Lineage (NCBI taxonomy): Eukaryota > Metazoa > Chordata > Mammalia > Primates > Hominidae > Homo > Homo sapiens. Next base: position 89,495,334 of record NC_000014.9, read on the forward strand.
TTAGCCTAGAAAAGATGAGCAAACTTTTCCTGTTATTTTCCTAAATTGAATCATGCTTGGCTATTTACTATGATAATAATAATAAATTCATTCCTAAAATAAAGCAGAACAGAAAATGGATATATACACACCTTACTGGTTAAAGAAATTCATCACTTTTTAAAAGCAATCTCAAAAAGATGTTAGGGTCCAGTAGAAAACCTAGTCTTCAAGTATTAGCAGGGCAGGTAAGGATTACCCTTTAACTAATCACAACCAGTACTCATAAACTTCAGAGGCAGAACCACAGCAATGAAAACTGCAGTCCCTTCCATTAACTTTACATTTCTGCCTCTTATTTGCTTCAAGTTCAAATCTCTGCCATTATCAATGCCCTTACATTCCTCTAGTATCACAAAGCATTTTGACATAGGTTATTTCATTTGACTCTCATGAGAGTTCCACGAATTAACTTGGTAGGTATCACCAATCTCATTTCACAGAAGATACACTGAGGCTCCAAAAATCAGCAACTGGTCCTAGGCCACAAGGTAAGTGTCAGACCTTGCTTAGGTCACCTGATCCGATGTTCTCTATAGGGGCCGTGCTGCTCCTAAGCATGCTCACAATGCAGTTGGCTGCCTGTAATCCCAGCACTTTAGGAGGCTGAAGCGGGTGGATCATGAGGTCAGGAGCTCGAGAACAGCTTGGCCAACGTGGTAAAATCCCGTCTCTACTAAAAATTCAAAAATTAGCTGGGTGTGGTGGCAGGCACCTGTAATCCCAGCTACTCGGGAGGCTGAGGCAGGCGAATCTCTTGAACCCGGGAGGCGGAGGTTGCAGTGAGCTGAGATGGCACCATTACACTACAGCCTGGGCAACAAGAGCAAAACTCCGTCTCAAAAAAAGAGTACTTGACTAGAGTTAACAATAGTTATAAAAGGATAGATACTAAGTATCAGATTAATTGGTTTGGGGATTAACTATGGCTGGTGGTGGAAGTTAGGCAAATCCTCCTCTTTGACCTCACCCACCCATTTCTTCTCCCAAGGCTTTAGGAGTGCAGCAAGCGCTCCCAGAGCAGATCATCTCAGCCTGCTCACTACACCCCGCGCCACCTTCCTTCCCAGGAGTGCCAGCCCAAGTCCTGACACCACTCCTCAGAGAGGGCCCTGGAGTGGAAAGATACCTGGGGGGGTCCTTGGGCTTTGGAAGTGAAAGGGGGATTGGGAGCAGCAGTAATTATTATATTTAGCCTCCCTAAGGAAGTAAGCCATTCCAGATGCTGGCTGTCATCCCCCTACACCCCGCAATGTTTTTATTGTGGTAAAATACAGATGACATAACATTTACCATCTTAACCACTTTTAAGTGTATAGTTCAGTGGTATTAAATATATTCATAATGACATGCAACCATCACCACCATCCATCTCTACAACTCTGTACCTAGCACACAATCACTCCCCATTCTCCATTCCCCCGACCCCAGCCCTTGGTAGCCTTCATTCTACTTTGTCTCTATGATTTTGACTCTTCTACCTCATAAAAGTGGAACCACGGAATATTTGCCTTTTTGTGACTGGCTTATTTCACTCAGTGTAATGTCCTCCAGGTTCATCCATGTTGTAGCATGTGTCAGAATCTTCTTTCTTTTTTTTGAGATGGAGTCTTGCTCTATCTCCCAGGCTGGAGTGCAATGACGCAATCTCAGCTTACTGCAACCTCCGCTTCCCGGGTTCAAGTGATTCTCCTGCCTCAGTCTCCCGAGTAGCTGGGATTACAGGCGCCCACCACCACACCTAGCTAATTTTTGTATTTTTTAGTGGAGATGGGGTTTCGCCATGTCGGCCAGGCTGGTCTAGAGCTCCTGACCTCAGGTGATCCACCTGCCTCAGCTCCCGAAGTGCTGGGATTACAGGCGTGAGCCACCATGCCCAGCCAATTTTCTTCCATTTTAAGGCTAAGTAATATTTCACTGTACAGATATACCACATTTTATTTATCCATTCATCTGTCGACAGACACTTGCGTTGCTTCCATGTTATAGCAATTGTGAATGATACTGCTATGAACATGAATGTATAAATATCTTTTTTTTTTTTTTTTTTTGAGATGGAGTTTTGCTCTTGTTGCCCAGGCTGGAGTGCAATGGCGCGATCTCGGCTCACTACAACCTCTGCCTCCCAGGTTCAAGCAATTCTTCTGCCTCAGCCTCCCCAGTAGCTAGGATTACAGGCATGCACCACCATGCCCGGCTAATTTTGTATTTTTAGTAGAGACGGGGTTTCTCCATGTTGAGGCTGGTCTCGAACTCCTGACCTCAGGTGATCCGCCTACCTCAGCCTCCCCAAGTGCTGGGATTACAGGCATGAGCCACCGTGCCCGACCTGGATGTATAAATATCTCTGAGACCCTGCTTTCAGTTATTTTGGGAATATACCAGAAGTGGACTTGCTGGATCATATGGTAATTTTATATTAATTTTTGGGGGGAACTGCCGTACTATTTTCCACAGTAGTTGTACCACTTTACATTCCTACAGCGGTGTCCAAGGGTTCCATTTTCTCCACATCTTCACCACACTTGTTATTTCCTGTTTGTTTGTTTGGTTTTTTTTTGAAATGTTAGCCATCCTAATAGGTATGAGGCAGTATCTCACTAATTTCGATTTGCATTTCTCCCCAATGATTAGTGACATTGAGCATTTTTTTAACACTCCTACTGGCTATTTGTATATCTTCCTTGGAGAAATATCTGCTCAAGTCCTTTGCCCATTTTTGAGTTAGGTTGTTCTTTTAGGAGTTCTCTAGGTATTCTGGATATTTATCCCTTATCAAATATACGATTTGCAAGTATATTCTCCTATTCTCTCTGGCTGCTTCTCTCTCTCTCTCTCTTTTTTTTTTTTTTTTTTTTTTTTGAGATGGAGTCTTGCTCTATAGCCCAGGCTGGAGTACGGTGGTACGATCTCGATCTCGGCTCACTGCAACCTCTGCCTCCTGGGTTCAACCAATTCTCCTGCCTCAGCCTCCAGAGTAGCTGGGACTACAGGCACGTGCCACCACACCCAGCTAAATTTTTTGTATTTTTAGTAGAGATGGGGTTTCACTGTTAGCCAGGATGGTCTCGATCCCCTAACCTTGTGATCCGCCCGCCTCTGCCTCCAAAAGTGCTGGGATTACAGGCGTGAGCCACCGCGCCCAGCCCTCTGTCTGGCTGCTTCTTAGCCACACTTATATGCACTAGATAACTGAAAGTGAATTTCATCACAATTTGGGTTATTCCTGACCTCCTCCCGAATTACCCTGGATATTGAGAACTACCTGGATTTGGTCACGCTACTGTTGGGTGAAAGAGGACTTCCTAGAGGTGAATGTTTCCAGAACGCAGAATTGTTTCTAGGTAGGTCTGGGGGTGTTCATGCAGCCACAGAGGCATCCTATGGACAGAGCTCTTGGTGGTGGGCTGCACACAGAGGGCGGGGGGCTCTTGGTGGGTGGGCTGCACACAGAGGGTGGGGGGAACTGGGTGCTTTATAAGGATGCTCCAACTCACAAGTCAATGATTGGACGCTTTGCGATGAAAAGCTTTTCAAAATGGATTGTATATGAAAACAACGAATTGGGCAAAGTCTGTGGCTCACGATTTAGCCTGTTACAGATATTTTTCACAGCTTGCCTGGCTTTATGAACCTCTGCCCATGATGATAGAGAGGCAATCTCAGAAGCCACAGCAGTGTAGGAGTGTAGGAAGAGGTCACCCGTCCAGGAAAAGGCCCCACACTAGGGTGATTTCCTAATCCTTGCATTTACATTTTAATATTCTCTGGCCTCCTCCCACCCCACCCTGCCTGTCAGGGTATCAGCGGGTCTTCTCACTGTGCAAAGTGGCCTGGCTCCCACAGTTCCCTCCTGTTTTGATTCGCATCTAATATGCCAGAGGCTGAGAAACCAAATAATAGAGTTGATTAGAATTTTGTCTGAAATAAGATGAATACAGGCCTGAGAAACTGTCCCTGAGCACTGAAGTGCCGACTTTTGGAAGTCATTGACTCTAGGTCAATTAGCCTAAAGCCAGTTGCCTAATGAGCAATTTGCCTATAATTTAAAACCTTTTTGGGTGTTTTTACATGGGAATGTCTTTTGATTTTGATTTTTTTTTTTTTTGCCGTGTCTTTGGCATTATAAGGTTTGTAAATCAAGCCTTCTAAGGGCCTACCCAGCTTGTTTTTAAACTTTACTTTATGCTTAATTTTAGTTTCTAAATTAAATTAATTTTTGAGATATTGACAGGGAATGCAAAAGACACTCAAAATGGAAGTAAATTTCTGATGAACTGGTTATAAGGTAAATCGAGAGGAACTGGTTTTAAAGACTCGTTTACGTGTAATTTTCATTTTTTTGCTTGCAAAAACTATCAAGGGAACTGTGACATCTAGTCAGACTAAAGTGTGCAAACTGCTTCTCACATGTTCCCTGTGCCTCTTTTTCTTTCTTGTCCTATGATTGTACAGGACTCTCCCAGTTGGGGTTGCAGCCTCCACGGAAGGGGAGTCATTTTGTATTGTTTGGCTTGGGTTTTTTGTTTGTTTGTTTTTTTGAGGTTGCTCACCGCAACCTCCGCATCTCGGGTTCAAGTGATTCTCCTGCCTCAGCCTCTTGAGTAGCTGGAATTTCAGGCACCCACCACCATGCCCAGCTTATTTTTTTTGTATTTTTAGTAGAGATGGGGTTTCACCATGTTGGCCAGGCTGGTCTCGAACTCCTGACCTCAGGTGATCCACCTGCCTCGGCCTCCCAAAGTGCTGGGGTTACAGGCGTGAGCCACCGCACTCAGCCAGCTTGGGTTTTTTACACCATGAATTTCATTTACGGGCACTCTTCAGTAGAACTCAGCTTGCCAACTCTCACCCAGAGCAGTGCTCTCCTTCCCACTCCTTCCATGAGCCACCGTTGTGTGTTTGGAAGCCATCGGCACGGATGGCCTAAGAGGCTCCTGTGATCTTTGCACTGAGGCAATGAGTCAATTGCAGAAGTCTGAGGACCACTCACCTGAAAACCCAACTCTTAATGCAAGGAGAGACTGGGAGAAGCTTCACCCAAGGTCAGTGGGCATCTGGCATGATAGAGACTGATGACATCAGCCTTATTCAATAGGAGAGGTCAGGGACCTTTACCACTCTGTTTCAAGCGCCCTTTGAGAGGGAAACCAAAGAACAGACCTGCCTTTAAGGCCAGAAGCCAAGCTGACCTGTGAGATCAGGACCATGCTGGGGGTGTGCCCCTATCCAACAGCATCGGGGCTGGAAAAAGGGACAGGGAAAAATGGGAGATGGTTCTTGTTACCCTCTGGGCCACTCATCCACTCCGCAGAAAGCAGGTATTGTAACCAGCCTGGTACCCTGACCTGGCCCTGCCGGCTGGTGAGAGGTGGCTTTGTTCCTGGAGCAGCCATCCCGCAGTTTGTCGTGCAGGCATGGGAGTCACGGGACAGCCTCCCAGAGGAGAGAACTTGACCAGGAAGGCCTCACTCTGAGGATGATTCCACAGATGCTCAGGCAGGATTCGGGAAGGAAATTCTCCTATGAATGGAAACGTCTCCTTTTCATTCTGAAATTATCACAGTGAAGTTTGCTTTAAATGTCTCCTGTTGAGGATTGAGTAGCTAACTGTCCTCAGCATGCATGAACTCCCTCTATCTCTGCATGGAAGACAGTGAAGGGCTCAGATTAATGCGCCCTCCACGGGATCGTGTCGCCTGGAGGATGGGACACAGATATCTAGCCATCGAGGAAGTGGTAAGATGTATTTTTTCCTTTTTCTAAATCTGAGGAAATGTTCAACTGTACACATGTATCTTATGCTAATCCTTAAGAAAAAATAAAGTTTTTAATACAAGAAGTCACTAGAAATGTGCACGATCAAAATATAAACCATTTATATTAGTGGGAACTTTTTGTGTGTGGCTGTTTTAGTAGAGAACAAATAATACTGGCTTAAATAAAAATACGTTTGTTGGTTTGTTTACTTCTCACACAGCAGCTCACGATGGCGGGCAGTCAGGTCGGGAGTGGACGAGCTGGCACTGTGAAGGCAGAAACCGAGGGTTTTTCTACCTTGTTGCTCCAGTATTCCCTAGTGTGTTTCCCTCCTCTGCATAGTCATAAGTAGCTCACAACCACCTTGACCCTGTCCTAATCAGAGGGAACGAGGAGAAAGGATATGAAGGGCTTGCTCCTTCATTTTAAAGGAAAAATCCAGAGGGTGTACTCATCCATTCCACATGCATCCATCAGCCAGAAGTTAAGTCATGAGCCATCACTGGCAGAAGCTGTCTGCATAAAGCTCAGGGGTTCTACTATTCAAAGGAAGAACAGGGAATGGACACTGGTGGAAAGCTAGCAGGGTTTTTAAAACACTAAATATGGGGACACTGAGGCAGGAGAATCGCTTGAACCTGGGAGGCAGAGGTGGCAGTGAGCCCAGATCTCACCATTGCACTCCAGCCCGGGCAACAAGAGTGAAACTCCATCTCAAAAAAACAAACAAACAAACAAACACACTAAATACGGCCAGGTGCGATGGCTCACACCTGTAATCCCAGCACTTTGGGAGGCCGAGGCAGTTGGATCACCTGAGGTCAGGAATTCGAGACCAGCCTGACCAACATGGCGAAACCCCAACTCTCCTAAAAATTAAAAAAAATTAGCCAGACATGGTGGCATGAGCCTGTAATCCCAGCTACGCGGGAGGCCTAAGCAGGGGAATCGCTTGAACCCGGGAGGCAGAGGTTGCAGTGAGCCTAGATCCCACATTCCAGCCTGGGCGACAAAGCAAGACTCCACCTCAAAAAATAAAAATAAAAAATAAAAACACTAAATGTATGTGTTTAATGGATATAAAGACATACAGTCAAAATTTACAAACATGCATGGAAATGACAGGCACCAAACTCAAGATGGAGTTCCCATGGGACCCTGAAGGAGAGACAAGGTGCAGGATTAGGGAAGGACCGGGGTCTTCAATTATGTCTTCAATGTTTTATTTTATTTTAAAAAAAATATTTGAAGCAAATGTTGAGCTCTGCCAAAGTTGGGTAGCAGGTACATGGGTATTTTAGCTCTGTCCATGTTAGAAATAGATCATTTTTATAAAAAATTGACAACATTTGGCATTATCTCAACTACCCAGCTGCAGCTGACCTCATCATATATTTCACCAATTATAAACTGCACATTTTTCTACATAGGAATCCTCTGAAATGAGTGCATCTATTAGGCAGCATTTTTTCTTCTTAGCGGTGCATAAAATCATGATACAGTTTACAACTGATGGTGACTTAGATTTGAAGATGTACAGTGTATAAATTATATTTCATGGGGAATATGGTGTATTTTAATAAGTGTCGGGGGGAAAGAAGGAGTAGGTGTCTCACAGGGGGTCATCCCAAGGACTGTGAAGCTCTTAGAGCTGCAGGTGGCTTTAGGGAAAGGGCTCCTGGGCCACCCGTTACGGGGCAGTTTCTGACTTCCAGGCCAATGTTCTTTCCACTCTATGTTGGTGTCTCTGACAGAGGTCATGCAAGATACAAACTTTCAGACTTATTTTCTCTGCAGCTGAGGAAAACCAAGCAGATAAAAGCCCTCTTTTATGAGTTCTGAAGTGCTTGAAAATCTCTTACCTGGTGAGAAACAAAAGCATTGAATGGCACCTACAAACTAAACTCAGCCCCAAGCGGGAAGAAAAAGGAATCGGATCATTTCTGAATCAAAATTTTGCTGAGAGGACACAGCAGACACAGCCATTTGAAGACGACAAAGGCTCCTCCCTCCACCCAAAGCTCCCGGCCAGCAGAGGTGGCCCAAAGACTCCATGACCCATTTTCCTTTAATGTCTGACACGTGCTACTGCAAACTCTTTTGCAGAAAATTAGCTAAGAATACACTGGAAACATTGTTCCTTCTATATTATCAAGAATGCAAATCAACCAAAATGAAGAAAAAAAAAACCCATACAGCTGGTTTATCTGAACACAGAAAAATAAATCACCATTTATTTTTAAAAAAACATTTATGAAAGTTTTCTTCATTTCTCACATTCAGTTAGTATACAGTTGGCATTTTCAAAATTCAAACCTGGTGTGGATTTCAAATTCAATGAAGCACATTGGAAGACATCTGAGTGAAAAAATAAAAGTTCTAGCCATATGCTACTGGTGCATGAATTTGAATATTTGAAAGGTAATCTAGAAATGAGAATGCTTCCAATTCTCCTTACCAACACCGGTAATTCATAGCAACCACACGTTTTATAGATAGAGCCACTTCCCCATCTGAGAGACAACAGTAGGACCGAGTCAGGGACTGGGCTTCTGGCACAGCCTGGCTCGGTTACAAGTGTGTGATTTTTCACTACATTCACTTGACAACCCCGCAGCTCTGTTTGGTCACTGGTGAAGGAGAAATCACGATGCTTGTCTCACCGGGCATATTAACACATAAGAGGGTTTCTAAAATATTCAAGATGGTTAGCAACTGGAGGAAAAGTCAGAGGATCACACACAATGGCTGCTTCCAAAGACAGATGCGACGCCATGAAACAGGCTCTAATATCAAGCCCATCGGATTTGCCCCTTACTTCTATTTATCTACATAGCTACAAAGGAAATGACCAGAGCCAAACAGACAGCAGAGACTCTCCTCCTCACCTTGCTCTGACACTTGTTTGCATCCTGGACTAGGAAGGAAGGTGCCCCCATGCCCCAGCTGGGAGGTTTCCCTGATGGTACCCAGCTAGCTTTGCTCATCCTGTTCCTGGGCCAGGAACTGGGTCACTCAGCCAGAGAATATACAAACCAAGTAGTCATGTGCATTGCTAATCCACTCACGTGCATTCAGGGGACACCAACCCCCAGAAGACCAAAATCCATAGCATTATGCTAGCTCACTTTCCCAGGCACGTGTCAGGAATCCAACCCATGTGTTTGCAGGACGGCTGCATTGCCATGGGGTAAGTCCAAACACTGAATGTTTTGATTTCTATGTATTTGGAAATGGGAAGTGGATGGCAAGGCTTGTGAGAGAAGTGAGCAATCTTTTACCTCCTTGTTGGTGAGCTGGGAGAACAAAACAATAGCCTTTCTTCTGGATCCATACTGGCAATAATTCCCAATGGACTAATTCTTCAATCTGCCCCAGTTTGTGTAGAGCTGTGCTCTTCCCAGGGGCATTAGAGAAGGCCACAGTAAGGCCCAGAACCACAGCCCTGCAGGAGGAAAGTGTCCAGAACTGCCCATTCCAGGCACCTAAGTCTCTACCACTTCCCCACCAACCAAGTCCAGATTTTAACCCTAATCAAAGCTACAAATCTAGGAGAATCTCTGAGGAGTGGCTTCACAGTGGTTAAGCAAAGACACTCTTCTTGGTATAGACTTCTTGTAAGATGACACATCACAATCTTACCACTATTACCAAAGGCAACTCCCTCTAACAGCAACCACGGCCCACAGGACCAGCTGTTACCACTTCCCCAACCCCAGTTAGTCCTGTCTGGAGACCTGATGCCCAGAGCTCTTGGATCCATTCCCCACTCACCCAGGAACTTCTAAACCAGACATGAGCTTGTAATGAGTACTTTCTTCCCCAACAGAACTTCATGCATCCCAGAGATGCAGAATGAGAATGATCTCCATCCTGGTCAGCGAAATACAGCATACGGTGGGATAAAGGATTGAAAAAGATGCATGCTCCGTGAATTACTTCCCCATGTGGTTTCTGCCTGGCTGAGTTATGATGGTCAAATCTTACCTCTGCAGCCTAAACTAGATCAGAGATGCAGCATGACTGAGGCAGTTTTAGTTGTTATTGTTGTTGTATAGTTCTTTGCTTTAGTCTGTAGGTTGCCTAACGCTACACAGCTAATGAAACACTGTCCCCTCTCCCTCTCCCTCTCCCTCTCCTTCTCCCTCCCCCTCCCCCTCCCCCTCTCCCCACGGTCTCCCTCTGATGCCGAGCCGAGGCTGGACTGTGCTGCTGCCATCTCGGCTCACTGCAACCTCCCTGCCTGTTTCTCCTGCCTCAGCCTGCCGAGTGCCTGCGATTGCAGGCGCGCACCGCCACGCCTGACTGGTTTTCGTATTTTTTTGGTGGAGACGGGGTTTCGCTGTGTTGGCCGGGCTGGTCTCCAGCTCCTAACCGCGAGTGATCCGCCAGCCTCGGCCTCCCGAGGTGCCGGGATGGCAGACGGAGTTGCGTTCACTCAGTGCTCAATGGTGCCCAGGCTGGAGTGCAGTGGCGTGATCTCGGCTCGCTACAACCTCCACCTCCCAGCTGCCTGCCTTGGCCCCCCAAAGTGCCGAGATTGCAGCCTCTGCCCGGCCACCACCCCGTCTGGGAAGTGAGGAGCGTCTCTGCCTGGCCGCCCATCGTCTGGGATGTGAGGAGCCTCTCTGCCTGGCTGCCCAGTCTGGAAAGTGAGGAGCGCCTCTTCCCGGCCACCATCCCATCTAGGAAGTGAGGAGCGTCTCTGCCCGGCCACCCATCATCTGAGATGTGGGGAGCGCCTCTGCCCTGCCGCCCCGTCTGGGATGTGAGGAGCGTCTCTGCCCGGCCGCCCCGTCTGAGAAGTGAGGAGACCCTCTGCCTGGCAACCGCCCCGTCTGAGAAGTGAGGAGCGTCTCCGCCTGGCAGCCACCCCGTCCGGGAGGGAGGTGGGGGTCAGCCCCCGGCCCGGCCAGCCGCCCCGTCCAGAAGGGAGGTGGGGGGGTCAGCCCCCCGCCCGGCCAGCCGCCCCGTCCGGGAGGTGAGGGGCGCCTCTGCCCGGCCGCCCCTACTGGGAAGTGAGGAGCCCCTCTGCCCGGCCAGCTGCCCCGTCCGGGCGGTGAGGGGCGCCTCTGCCCGGCCGCCTCTACTGGGAAGAGAGGAGCCCCTCTGCTCGGCCAGCCGCCCCGTCCGGGAGGGAGGTGGGGGGGTCAGCCCCCCGCCCGGCCAGCCGCCCCGTCCGGGAGGGAGGTGGGGGGGTCAGCCCCCCGCCCGGCCAGCCGCCCCGTCCGGGAGGTGAGGGGCGCCTCTGCCCGGCCACCCCTACTGGGAAGTGAGGAGCCCCTCTGCCTGGCCAGCTGCCCCGACCGGGAGGGAGGTTGGGGGGGTCAGCCCCCCACCCGGCCAGCCGCCCCGTCCGGGAGGGAGGTGGGGGGGTCAGCCCCCCGCCTGGCCAGCCACCCCGTCCGGGAGGTGAGGGGCGCCTCTGCCCGGCCGCCCCTACTGGGAAGTGAGGAGCCCCTCTGCCCGGCCACCACCCTGTCTGGGAGGTGTACTCAACAGCTCATTGAGAACGGGCCAGGATAACAATCGCGGTTTTGTGGAATAGAAAGGCGGGAAAGGTGGGGAAAAGATTGAGAAATCGGATGGTTGCCGTGTCTGTGTAGAAAGAGGTAGACACGGGAGACTTTTCATTTTGTTCTGTACTAAGAAAAATTATTCTGCCTTAGGATCCTGTTGATCTGTGACCTTACCCACAACCCTGTGCTCACTGAAACATGTGCTGTGTCCACTCAGGGTTGAATGGATTAAGGGTGGTGCAAGATGTGTTTTGTTAAACAGATGCTTGAAGGCAGCATGCTCGTTAAGAGTCATCGCCACTCCCTAATCTCAAGTACCCAGCGACACAAACACTGCGCAAGGCCGCAGGGTCCTCTGCCTAGGAAAACCAGAGACCTTTGTTCACTTGTTTATCTGCTGACCTTCCCTCCACTATTGTCCTATGACCCTGCCAAATCCCCCTCTGCGAGAAACACCCAAGAATGATCAATAAAAAAAAAAAGAAAAAAAAAAAAAGAAACACTGTCCCTGAACCCATCCACTCTACACAGCATGGACAGCAGCTGATTAAGCAGTCAATCAGTTTAGCTTAGAAAGCCACCTAACAGCATAATGGCAGAGACCTGAAAACAGTAAGCATTGGGCTAATCTGGAATTCCAAGGTGGTAAGGTAAGATGCAGGCAATCGGAGCTATCGAGTTGCCCCACCAATGGAAAATGGCAGTGACAAATGGAGACTGCTTTCTATTAGAGTCCTTAGCAGGCCAGGTAACACTTGAGAAATTTGAGAATTTGGCCACAACTAGAAACCAGTGTTCAATAATCACTCCACCATTGAGCCAGGGCTTTGCTGAAAAGGTCTTTCTATTTGATTGCAAACCATACATCAACTTGCCTTAACTTTATTGTAAGGAGAAATCCAAAATATATTCTGAAAGAGATCAACCCTAACTTTATTTAGGTCATGCTGCTGCCATACACAAACAATGAGAAGTGTGTGACTAATTCAGAAACAGCAAGGAAAGGTCAATGCCCAGTTTATTTCTTAACCCACAGTAATCTGTGAGTAATATGAAGAGGCATTTGCCACTACCTGCTCATCAATGCTGCAGTCTAAATGAACAGAAGGAGGGAGACAATTTCACACTCATTAAAAAAAGAAAAAAAAAAGGCACACTAGTATGTAGTGACGTAAGCCTGGAAATGACACATTTAAGGACAGCTCTCAAAAGCATTTAGATAATGAAGCCTCAATAACTTGTGAAGTAGAAATGATTGTAACTGTTTTATCAATAAGCAGCTTGATGTTCACGCATGGAAAGTCATTCACCCAGAGTCCCTCAGGAGTTAACAATAGTTAAGCCAAATAGTTAGACCTGAAAACTCCAGGCTCGGGACCCAGGCCACAGGGCTGTGTGTTTTGTTTTGGGAGGGTGGGCCGACTATATGATGCCCAATCCTAGCATAAACCAGTCAATACAATACAACATCTGTGCTTGTCATGAAAACAGGCATTTCCATCTACCCTTGAAGGCAACCAGCCTTCCGCATCTGGAACCACTGGGTGCATAAGGGACCTGGCAATAAATGATGGGAATTTGGCCTATAGGTGAATCACCAGGCTTGTGGCTCAGCTCAAAGCATACGCCCTGCTGAACGGAGGAGTGGCATTATGTGCACACAGAGAAGGCAGCACCGTTCCCTGTCACAATATAGACTTTGTAATACTCTACTATGAGGAAAGAACATCTTCTCTGAGCACACTGAAGAAAGACAGCCTAGAAATTCCACAGAGCCAGAGTATCAGCTCCCAGAGGCACCTTCCCAGTCTACACCACCCCAGAGAGAGATTGGTCTGATGGATGGGGAAAGCGGTGTTGAAAGTGGCACTCGCTCAGAAAAGCCGAAGAGCTTGGGCAGAGCAGAGAATGTCAGCATCATTCTCATCTCCTTGCAGGTGAAACTACAAGAAAACTGAGGCCAGCAGGCAATGAAGTAGACATGTTTTGAGCAGCCCCCAGGGCTTCTGATGCCCAAAGTCACAGATGACTCCAGACCATTGCTTCTCCAATGTTCGTGGGCCATGGATCACCTGCAGGCCCTGTGAGATGCAGGTTTCGATCCAGCAGGTGTGTGGTAGGGCTGAGATTCTGCATTTTTAACAAGCACTCAGGAGATGCCAGTGCTGCTGGCCCTGGGACCATGCACTGAGGAACAGGATCTGGAACAGCACCACTGTGCCCTTATGATTTTAGGCCTTTCCTGCCTTCCACATGACAGGCTTTGCATGTGGCAAAGAATAAAACAATCGCTATGGATTGGCCCTGTGGAGGGATGTCATATCACCTCCCTGGACACCCTCCCACCAGTTTTACATCACCTGCTATCTACCCCCAGCCTCCGCTCTACCCCCACTGATACTGCTCTGAGCTCATCTCCTACTTCCCTCCCTCTCACTCTGTTCCACCCACCCTGACCTCCCTGATAGTCTTGGAGTGGACCAGGTCCCTATCAGTACCTCCACACTGGCTGAGCATCGACCTGCCTTTCCCTCCCCTCCATCAGTGAAGGAATCTGCCCTGCCCTCTGGGTCAAAGTTATAGCACCCATGCTTGCATCTCCTGGACCTTGTTCCCTGCTTCATCTTTATCCATAGCACTTACCACTATTTGCAAATTATATACAGTTTTTTTTGTTGTTGTTTGTTTGTTTGTTTGTTTTAAGATGGAGTCTTGTTCTATTGCCCAGGCTGGAGTGCAGTGGCATGATCTCAGTTCACTGCAACCTCCACCTCCTGGGTTCAAGCAATTCTCCTGACTCAGCCTCCCAAGTAGGTGGGATTACAGGTGCCCACCACCACGCCTGGCTTATTTTTATATTTTTTGTAGAAACAGGATTTCGCCATGTTGGCCAGGTTGGTCTTGAACTCCTGACCACAGGTGATCTGCCCGCCTCGGCCTCCCAAAGTGCTGGGATTACAGGCATGATCCACCACGCCCAGCATTGTCCATCTCCCCACTAGGATGCCAGCCCCAAGAGGGCAAGGATCTGGTCTGTCTCATTCACTGCTGTATCCCAGTACAGGACACATAATGGGCACTGAAATATTTGCTGAATGAAGAAAGAGTTTAACTTTTAATGAAAACTGTAAAGTGCCAACCATCAATCTCAAGGACACCAATGAATTGTTTGCTTACATCTGCTATAAATAGTTTTAATCTGAATAAATGACTTCTTCGAGATTTCAAAATGACCCATTGTGGCAGATTGCAGGAGATAGTTTTATCCTGTCATGCAAGTATGGACATCATGGAGAAGGGCATGTTTCCCATGAAGAAGGGCATGTTCCCCATGTTTCCCAGCTCTCATTCACCAGTCAGCTTAATGGAATTCCCCCTTCCTCCCCATAGAACCCACATGGATGAGAGGCGGATAGATATCAGCAGGCAGACCTCCTCCTGGGAGAGGCCTCTCACCATGGGGGAAGATTAGAGAAAAGCAGGAGGCAGGAAGGAGAATTCCTCCATGATGCACATGAAAACCCTGAGGCTCAGGGAAGTTGAGTGACTTGCTCAAGGTCTCACTGCCAGTGAGACTGGGACTGGAACCCACGCATGCCTCCTAACTGCCGATATTCTGTATACATTGCTTCTCTTAACAAGTAGAATCTGCGACTGGTTTGAGAACAGCTTCAGTTCCAAAACTCATAAGAGGGATTCTGAATAAATCTTATGACAGCCACAGAACCAGAGAAAGTCAGATCTGCCAGGGAGCCAGCCCTGCATATGCACTGAGGGCAGCCACAGCTAAGCAGAGAGGGGTGTGTGTCCATTGCAGCTCCAGGACCCAAGCTGCCCTCTAACCTGACTGTGCATCTCCCCAGCACACAGCTCCGATCACACATGAGACCAGTGTGGAGAGGGGGTGGGTAGCTCCACCTCGACTCTCAGAGGAACCACAAGCACAGTCACACTCAGAGCGACAGGAAGTTGTCAGAGTTCAGAGACTGTAGACTGAAAAGAGTACCCAGACTAGGCACGGTGGCTCACACCGTAATCCCGGCACTTTGGGAGGCCGAGGCCAGCAGATCACTTGAGGTCAAGAGTTCAAGACCACCCTGGCCAACATGGTGAAACACCGGCCCTACTAAAAATACAAAAATTAGCCAAGCGTGGTGGTGTGCGCCTGTAAATCCCAGCTACTTTAGTGGCTGAGGCATGAGAATCACTTGAACCCGGGAGGCGGAAGTTGCAGTGAGCTGAGATCACACCACTGCACTCCAGCCTGGGTGACAGAGTGAGACTCCATCTCAAAGAAAAGAAAACAGTAACCAAATTCATCACCCCCTGCCTTTTCCCAAAGGCTTCTTCTCCTGTTCCATTACAAAAGTGCATGCCTGACCAATGCAGGCGTTCATGAGTGTCCAGAAGGTTCCCCAACTCATATTCCAATCATCCCAGCGGTAAAGCATCTCAAAAGACCTGCTTGGTGTCTTTCTTTCTTTCTTTCTTTTCTTTCTTTCTTTCTTTCTTTCTTTCTTTCTTTCTTTCTTTCTTTCTTTTCTTTCTTTCTTTTCTTTCTTTCTTTCTTTCTTTCTTTTCTTTCCTTTTCTTTCTTTTCTTTCTTTCTTTCTTTCTTTCTTTCTTTCTTTCTTTCTTTCTTTCTTTCTTTCTTTCTTTTTTGAGACAGTCTCTCTCTGCTGCTTAGGCTGCAGTGCAATGGTATAATCATGGCTCACTGCAGCCTCAACCTCTGGGCTCAAGCAAACCTCCCACCTAAGCCCCCTGAGTAGCTAGGACTACAGGCGTGCACTACTACACTCAGCTAACTTTAAAAATTTTTTTGTAGAGATAGGGTTTCACTGTGTTGCCCAGGCTGGTCTCATGGGCTCCAGCCACTGCATCCAGCCGACCTGCCTGGTTTATAACTCACATTTTAACTCACATTTACTCCAAGACCAACTTGCCCTGAAGCCTTGAGGTTACCCCCTACAGGACTGCACCTGAATTAACCTGTGCTCAGTGGTCTTTGCAGTCCTGATATGAAGAGTATTGTATTAGTCCATTCTCACACTGCTAAAAGGACATACCCGAGACTGGGTAATTTATAAAGAAAAGAAGTTTAATTGACTCACGGTTCTGCAGGGCTGGGGAGGCCTCAGGAAACTTACAATCATGGTTGAAGGTGAAGCAAACACGTCCTTCTTCACATAATGGCAGGAACAAGAAGAATAAGTGCCCAGCAAAGGAGGAAGCCTCTTATAAAACCATCAGATCTCATGAGCACTCACTATCACAAGAACAGGATGGGGAAAACTGCCCCTGATTCACTTACCTCCACCTAGTCCCTCTCATGATGCATGGGGATTAAGGGAACTACAATTCAAGATGAGATTTGGGTGGGGACGTGGCCAAACCATAAGTACAGACCCTTAGAGGCAAAAAGGACAGTTTGCTGCTTTCTCAGAGGGCACACCGCTGTTCTCAGCTCTTTCCCTACAACAAACGACCTTCTCTGTGACCCTCCAGAGCAGGACATGAAGCCATAGT
Source organism: Homo sapiens (assembly GCF_000001405.40). Lineage (NCBI taxonomy): Eukaryota > Metazoa > Chordata > Mammalia > Primates > Hominidae > Homo > Homo sapiens. Next base: position 89,512,181 of record NC_000014.9, read on the forward strand.
GAGGGGCAGTATGACCAGCAGCTTGGGAACTGAAGGGGAAGAGACTTTTTCTCTAGGTTCTATGGCTGGGACCTGTGAATTGAACTGATAAAAGATTAACAGTAGAAAACGCATACGAATAATTATTTGATGTTAACATTTTTACACGGCATAGGGTAGGGAGAGGGGCTTTATAGAAAGACGTGAAAACCACAAGGAAGCGGTTAAATATACCATTTTAACAAAGAGAAGTAAATTGTGGAGATTGGACAAGACAAAGGAAAAGAGGGTTTGGGCTAGGGGCAGAAAATTGTGGGAAAGTGACTAGGAAATATATGAGGGAAACCCACGGAAGATAAGAGTTATTCTAGTAAGGTTTGTTTGTACAGACTCATCTCAGCATCTGCTCCCTAACTCCAATGATAAGAATGTTCTCCTCTTCCCGGTACGGGGAGGCCATCTTTCTCATGGAGAATTTATGCCTTGCTTTTAGGTAAAAAGGGGCAGGACAGAGAGCCCTACCGCACAACTGCTGTTTCTCAACTGCCTTCAGCTCAAAATAATCAATGTGTCAAAGAGACATATTTTGGGGTGGAATGTTCTGATCCCCATTGGAACTGTGAAGCAAGTACTGTCAGGTGGTGTGGGGGCAGACTTTCACATGTCAAGAGTGATGAGTGAAATATAAGAAAGAAACTAGGCTGGGTGTGGTGGCTCATGCCTGTAATCCCAGCACTATGGGAGGCCGAGGTGGGTGGATCACGAGGTCAGGAGTTCAAGACCAGCCTGGCCAAGATGGTGAAACCCCTGTCTCTGCTAAAAATACAAACATTAGCCGGACGCAGTGGCAGGTGCCTGTAATCCCAGCTACTTGGGAGGCTGAGGCAGGAGAATTGCTTGAACTCGGGGGTCAGAGGTTGCAGTGAGCCGAGATCGCGCCACTGCACTCCAGCACTCCAACCTCGGCAACAGAGTGAGATTCCATCTCAGGAAAAAAAAAAAAAAAAAAAGAAAAAGAAAGAAAGAAACTAGGTAGTCACAGCTTTCCCAAACCACTTCCCAAATGTGATTTCCACAGTCCCATCCTGTTTCTTTTCTTCCCTCTTTCTTTTTTTTTATTTTTCATGACAGGGTCTCACTCTGTGGCCCAGGCTGGAGTGCAGTGGCCCAATCATAGCTCTCAGCCTCCTGAGCAGCTGGGACTACAGGTGTACACTACCATGCCCAGCCAATTTTTTTGTTTTGTTTTGTTTTGTTTTTAGTAGAGACAAAGTCTCACTATGTTGCCCAGGCTGGTCTCGAACTCCTGAGTTCAAGCCATCCTCCTGCCTCAACTTCCCATAGTGCTGGGATTACAGACATGAGATGAGCCACTGCACCCAGCCCATTGTGTTTCCAATACTACCATTTTTTGAGTTTGTTTGTATTTTTATTTTTATTTATTTATTTTTTGAGACGGAATTTCACTCTTGTTGCCCAGGCTGGAGTGCAATGGCACGATCTCGGCTCACCACAACCTCCGCCTCCTGGGTTCAAGTGATTCTCCTGCCTCAGCCTCCCGAGTAGCTGGGATTACAGGCATGCACCACCACATCCGGCTGATTTTTTTGTATTTTTAATAGAGATGGGGTTTCTCCATGTTGGTCAGACTAGCCTCAAACTCCCGGAGTTTGTTTTTAATCTCAAAACCCTATCCACTGTTACACCAATTCTAAATCTCTCTCTCTTTCCTTCTCTTTCTCTCTTACACACACACACACACACACACACGCACGCACACACGCACGCACACACGCCCTCTCCTACACCTAGAGAAAAGTTGACAGCATTTTCAGATGAAGTAGAAAGGAAGAGACATCGCTGTCTTTGTTTCTTCCAGGATGCAAGTGGCTAATGCTAAAGGGCTGCCAGAGAACCAGGTGATGACGCTCATCTTGAAAGACAAGATAATAAGGGGACAAGCCAGAGCAAAGGAGATACCAGAAAAAGAAGAAAGTGGTGAGGGAGAAGGAGGATGGAAGGTGGGGAGAAGTTGTCCTAAGGGCTGGGGAACCAAGCCTTCCACTCCTGCTGCACAGGGCCAGAACAATGGAACAATCTTCTTGCCCCAGTCATGCTTCTGGGCGGCAGGTCTCAAAGGGAACTGGCTGTTGTAAATGCATTTGCCCTTGGCCTCAGCATCAATCAGACTTGAGACCTTAGCGTCTGTGATGGCAAACCGATGGCCATCCACACCTCCTTCCTAAGGTGAACCTCTGTGTAAATCACATGCCAAGACAACAGCAACGTTACCTCGATTAAGTGCAATGAAATTGCCCAGGAAAGTTCGTTATCGTGGACTCTGAGAGCTAGAGCCTTAGACCTTAGACACAGACATCATCTACCGTAACCAGACTTTACTGACGTAGAAACTGAGGTCCAAAGAAGTTGGTCAAGGTCATGCACATTATTAGGTGCAGAGCTTGTGCCCCGACTGTCAGGACGGCACTATTTCCACTACTCACACTGCCTAGCACAAATACATTTAATTTTAGTTCATCACACATTCAGCCTGTGCTTTCGAGGAATTTTATAGTCCTCACTCCATCTGTGCATCTTGCCATTCTACCAGCTTCCCTTCACTCAGTGCCTCCCATGTATCTATCTGTCGCACTGTCCTGAAAAGAAGAGGAGAGGTCCAGGAGTTTAAATTGATCGCCATCTGTGTGTCATTTCGACAGCATCGAGATGGCTAAAACAACCACAGCTGAGAATGCTCCATTTCCTTTTTTTTTTTTTCTGAGACGGAGTCTCGCCGTCTCCTAGGCTGGAGTGCAGCAGCACAATCTCGGCTCATTGCAACCTCCGCATCCGGAGTTCAAGCAATTCTCCTGCCTCAGCCTCCAGAGTAGCTGGGATTACAAGCGCCCGCCACCACGTCCAGCTACTTTTTTTTGTATTTTTAGTAGAGATGGGGTTCCACCATGTTAGCCAGGCTGGTTTCAAACTCCTGACCTCAAGTGACCTGCCCACCTCGGCCTCCCAAAGTGCTAGGATTACAGGCATGAGCCACCACGCCCGGCCAAGAATGCTCCATTTTCTTCTGAAGGGCCAATTCTGGATCTACAGTCCACTTTGGGCAAGGGGAGGAAAAAGATTGACAGCCACTAAGATAAGGCCACCATTGTCAACTTACAGCACACACTGTCATTTAGAAAGGTATTAGGTTTTACTTTTCAGAAGTGACTGCAATACAGTTAAGACCATTTAGGTAGAAACCAACCAGTCAGAATGTATTCAAATGTGGCCGGGCACAGTGGCTCACACCTGTAATCCCAGCACTTTGGGAGGCTGAGGCGGGTGGATCACCCGAGGTCAGGAGTTCAAGACCAGCCTGGCCAACCATGGCCAACATGGTGAAACCTCATCTCTACTAAAAATACAAAAATTAGCTGGGCGTGGTAGCAGGCACCTGTAATCCCAGCTACTCAGGAGGCTGAGGCAGGAGAATCACTTGAACCCAGGAGGTGGAGGTTGCAGTGAGCCGGGACCGTGCCACTGTACTCCAGCCTGGAAGACAGAGGGAGACTGTGTCTCAAAAAGAAAAAAAACAAGCATGTATTCAAATGTGCACAGTCATTAAAATAACGTGTATGGAAAAGTTAAAGGCTTGGTTTTCAGATTGCCACATGATGAAAGCGAAGGGTGCTGAGCTGCAGCATGAACCCCATTTCTGCAGCCCTTGGTGCCGGAGGAGCATGTAAAGTACCATCATTGTGACGGTGTGGTTGCCTCTGGAACCCAGGAGCAGATGTTCTCCTCATCTCTGCCAGGGCTTTGGTCAAAAGCTACACACCACTTGAAATGGCTGTAGAGTTTTCAAAATGCCACCAGGTGTGGAGGGAAAAAAGCAATTAAACATTCAAATGGTTAAAGAATAATAGTTTGTTTCATCCGCAAGTTGTGCATCTTGGGGAGGCAGCGTACACAGCATTATTGTTTGTGAGGCACCAACCAACACCAGAAAGGCATTTTATTTGTGCGCAGATACTATATGTGCAGAGATGGCTATCTGTGAAGATAAATGCTTCAGGGACTTTGAGCTTTAGAAAAAAATGGGATCTGGCTAAAGTTTCTCCTCTCTGCTTTCTCAGTTACTTTAATCTTTTATAACCTTACACAGGCCAGATGGAAATGGAGGCTTCCACTCATCTAAGGTGTAGAAGTAAGTAAACCACCGAAATTTCACAAATGAACACACGTGGTATTCTACATGCAATAATGTGTCTTTCTGCTGTAACATAAGTTCTGACTTCTGTGATTAAAATGCCATGAAGGACTCCAGAAAACACATGATATTTAGTGACTTCTCAGCACATGCAAAGTTCCGTGCTAGGCACCGTGTTTCAGGCTGCCAGTAGTTTTTTTTTTTTTTTTTTTTGAGACAGGGTCTCACTCTGTCACCCAGGCTGGAGTGCAGTGGCACAATCATGGCTCACTGCAGCCTCAAGTTCCTGGACTCAAGCTATCCTCTCACCTCAGCCTCCCGAGTAGCTGAGACTATAGGCATGCACCACCACGCCTGGCTAATTTTTTTTATTTGTTGTAGTAACAGGGTTTTGCCATGTTGCCCAGGCTGGTCTCAAACTCCCGAGCTCAAGCGATCTGTCCACCTTGGCCTTCCAAAGTGTTGGGATGACAGGTGTGAGCCATTGGATCTAGCCCCAGTAGCTTTTAAAAGCGGACATTCCATGGAAAAGATACTCTGGCCAACAGTCACTGTTCTTAGCCTCAGTCCTGAACTGCTCTCCTTGACCTGTCTGTCCAGAAAACTTGGCTTCTCTCCTCCACACTCTCCCCAGAACTGACTCAAATACGTGATCTCCTGTTTGTGCTGTGTCTCTAGGATTGATCACATTTAGTTGCCTCTTCGGCCACCACCACAGCTTTCCTGAAAAATGACTGCAGTTCCAGACTCTGCTCCACCTGAGGGCCAGGTTCTCCTACCTAGCATGCACCCCAACCAGACAGATGGTCAACATGGTGAAACTCCATCTCTACTAAAAATAGAAAAATTAGCTGGGCATGGTGGCACACGCCTGTAATCCCAGGTACTCGGGAGGCTGAGGCAGGAGAATCACTTGAACCTGGGAGGCGGAGGTTGCAGTGAGCCGAGATCACACTCCAGCCTGGGCGACAGAAAGAGACCCTGTCTTAAAAAAAAAAAAAAAAAAAAAAAAGGTTTAATTGGCTCACAGTTCCACAGGCTGTACAGGAAGCACGATGGCTTCTGAGAAGGCCTCAGGAAACTTTCAATCATGGCCGAAGGCAAAGGGGAAGCAGGCTCATTGTACATGGCAGAAGCAAGAGGAAGAAAGGGAGGGAAGGTGCTCACACTTTTAAACGATCAGATCTCACGAGCACTTACTCACTATAACAAGAGCACGGTCAAGAGGGAAATCCAGCCCCATGATCCAATCACCTCACACCAGGCCCCACCACCAACACTGGGGATTACATTTGACATGAGATTTGGGTTGGGACATAGATCCAAATCATATCACATACCAGCATCTTTAGTCTTAGATGATTTTGAGGAGGACTAGAAGAGCAATTGCAGAGGCCTTGGCTTTCTTTGAACTGTATCCTTCTTTCAACTCGCCTCCCTGCTACCAAGATCAATGGGATGAATCTAGGTGTTATCTAAGTGAATCAAAGACAGCCCGTGTGTATTGGCCTGTAAGTTGCTTATTTCTTCACTGAAGGCTGAAACGTGTTAGAGCAAAACTCTGCTGGTACCAAACTCAAATTTGTACACATCCAATTATTTTAAAAGAGCCAAAACAAGCAAATCTTTAGCCATTTAGAGCTGACTGCTTTGCAGACCCCACAAAACTACAAACAGCATCTTCTGGTCATTGACAAGACAGAGCCTTGTGGTTAAACAACCCTAAGCAGCTACTGCCTTCAAAGCAATCTGACCCAGAAGCTCCCTGTCATGCTGCTGAGCAACAGACATCACCTGGGCATGTGTAGGCCCCTCTCCCCCTGAAGGTTCCCTTATCCTCCCCTTCTGACCTTCGACAGTCTCCTGCCATGAAGGGCTTTCCCACATGCAAACCTGTCAAAGCATTGCCCAGTAAAACTTCTATGTGCTTCTGCTACTTTGCGGTCATATCTTTTTCTCTGATCAGCCCCCAAATCCCTTGAACCTCTCATACCAGGTTTCCAGGTTTCCAATCTTGTGACCTTGCTCTCCTGGCAAGACTGATTGGAGGAGGGGCACACACCTATCCCAAGCCAGGCCAATCAGATTAACTTTCTTGGGGATACAGAATTGGGATTTAGAGAATGGGAAACAAGTTAGACAGCCAAGTATCCTTATACTGTGTTCTCCCTCCTCCCTCCCCACCTTTGCCAAGAAAAACTAAGTTTGTTTGAAGGGGGTCTCTATTACTTGCAATGAAACCATGTAAGCTCAACATTTTAAATAAAATGTTTAAACATAGGGAGAGATGAATTTCAACCACTGGTGATCAGAAGAGATTTCATGCAAGAAAAGAATTCAGGAATTGGAATCAGGTCTTAAAGAATAAGTTCTGCTGTGGTGGCTCATGCCTGTAATCCCAGCATTTTGGGAGGCTGAGGCCATTGGATCATGAGGCCAGGAGTTCAAGACCAGCCTGGCCAAGATGGTGAAACCCCATCTCTACTAAAAATTCAAAAATTAGCCCAGCATGGTGGTGGGCACCTGTAATCCCAGCTACTTGGGAGGCTGAGGCAGGAGAATCGCTTGAGCCCGGGAGGTGGAGGTTGCGGTGGGCCGAGATCATACCACTGCACTCTAGCCTGGGCAACAGTGCGAGACTCTGCCTCAAACAAACAAAAAAAGAGAATAAGTTCTTCCAAGCACTCATCTATAGAGCTATGGATGAACACGGTGCGCCTGCTCAAAGGGAAACCAGGCCAGGCTGGAGGAAATGGTCAAGCTGGAGGGGTGGGGAGAAACGGAGGTCAGACGAGTGGGCTAAGCCCCAGCTGCAGATGCCTGCGGTAGCACAGACTACAAGCCGGGGAATCCCAGTGTATCTGAAGGAAACCGCATTTTCATTTCCCTGCCGTCCAGAGGTGTTTGTGAGACATGCCTGCCGAGAGAAAATTCTTGGAGGAGGGCTGAGGCAAGAGGTTTCTCTTCACACTGCCTCCCTCACCTTCAGGGAGGTTGGAAAACCATGAAAAAAAGGGTTGTGAAAAAGAGTGTGAGGGCCGCTGGCTTCCAGAACTACTGATGTACCATTATGTACGCGTCAGAAGAGCCTGGTCACAGTTCATGGAGAGCCACTGGAGCTCTCTGCGTGTGGTGGAAACAGTGAAGGTGGTATTTTAGGAAGTTTGGGCAAAGCTGTTGGCGACGATTTGGAGGAGAGAGTCTGGAGCCAGAAGGTCAGATGTGAAGGGACAAAAGCCTGTCCTAAGATGACAATGACACCAATAGGAATAGGGAGATGAGTGCCCACCATTCCTCAAGGAAAAACAGGAGTCAGGACTAGCACTGACTGGGGTGGAAGGGGGACAGTAATGCCTTCAGGCTGTAGGACCGAAGCAAAGGGAGACTCAAGAACCTAGGGCCAGGGATAAAACTGTAAAAGTTAGGAAAGGAGTGGACAGTATGTTTCTGGTGATAGCAGCATAGTTTCTCTTGCAGATAAAAGCTACCAACCTTAGACTGGAAAACAATCAAATAAGCAAACAAACAACACTGCCTGAAGGTAGTGTGGAATACAAAAGCAGCAAAAGCTATAAAAGAATCTACCTTTGAAAGAAAGGAACAGCACTAGGTGAAATGTCTGGGTTTTTCTTTTCTTTTTTTCTTTTTTTCTTTTTTTTTTTTTTGAGACAGGGTCTTGCTCTGTCACCCAGGCTGGAGTGCAGCGGCACGAGCGCGGATCACTGCAGCCTCCACCTCCTAGGCTCAAGCGATCCTCCCACCTTAGCCTCCTGAGTAACTGGGACTACCGCCGTGTACCTCGACGTCCAGTGACATTTTGAACTTTTGTAGAGACAGGGGTTTCGCCATGTTGTCCAGACTGAGTTTTTCTTTCTTTTTTTTGAGGCAAGGTCTCGCTCTGTCACCCAGGCTGGAGTGCAAGTTGGCGCGATCACAGCTCGCACTGCAGCCTTGACCTCCCAGGCTCAAGCAACGGGTTTTTTAAAAAAGATTTTTCACTAGTCAATGCAACATGGGACATTTAAAATCTGGATAGAAACCCAAGGTCTCACTGGTTGGGAAAACCAAAAGACAAGAGTTTGGGACAACCATGAAAGTTAGAAATAGAAAGATGAAATCCCAGAAAAGGGAGTCTGAGAGTGGAAAGCCCCAAGTTTTGTGTAAAAACTGCTGAAATCTGGCTATACATATGTAGGGAAAATCACACAGACAAGCTAAGGCTAAAGACACTAAAAAGATATTTACCTGCTGCTCATTGCAAGAAAGACAGGAGTTGCAATTAGTTTCCTAAAGATAACCGCTTCAAACAAATTAACATTTTTCAAGAATAACAGAATCCAGAGTCTCTACAATGTATCATTCACAACAACCAAGTTACTATCCAAAGTAACTAGACATATAAAGAAATAAGAAAATAGAGCCTGTACTGGAGAAAAGCCAACAGCAATCAGAAAGACTGATCCCAAGGTGACACAGAGGTTGTAATTAACAGACAAAGATTTTAAACACCCATTAAAACAATGCACATGATATTTTACCACCAAAAAATCATGCACATGATGTAAAATATGCTCATCATAAACCAGAACTGACTAGGAAATCTAGAACTGAATTACAGAAGTCTGAAATTTAAAAATTTCCTGAATGGGTTTAAGAGAATGGTGAGGCTGGGCACGGTGGCTCACACCTGTAATCCCAGCACTTTGGGAGGCCAAGGCAGGTGGATCATGAGGTCAGGAGACAGACCATCCTGGCCAACGTGGTGAAACCCCGTCTCTACTAAAAATACAAAAATTAGCTGGATGTGGTGGTGCGTGCCTGTAATCCCAGCTACTAGGGAGGCTGAGGCAGGAGAATCGCCTGAACCAGGGAGTCAGACGTTGCAGTGAGCCAAGATTGCACCACTGCACTCCAGCCTGGCAACAGAGCAGGCTCCATCTAAAAAAAAACAAAAGAGAGAGAGAGAATGATGAATCTTCATAGATGATAGATAGAGAGAGAGAGAGAGAGAGAGAGAGACAGATAGAATAAAAAGAATAGAAGAGAATCAATGAATTTGAAGGTTCTAAAGAAAGGTTTACCCAATCTGTAAAACAGAGAAATAAAGACTGGAAAAAATCAGAACTTTAGATACCTCTGAGACTATTTATCTATCCATATATAGGAATTAAAGTCTGAGGAGAGGACAGGAAAGGAGGACAGAGAGAGAAAGAATGAGACACTAAGTCAATATGAAGAAATAATGGCCACAAACTTTCCAAATTTAAAGAAATATATTTTCATGTTTAAGAAACTCAGTAAACACCAAGCAAAATACATGCAAAGAAAACCATACCTTATAATATCATTGTCAAACTTCCAAAAAAAATTAAAGATCAAAACAAAACAAAAAAAATAGCGAATTTACTGAGGGGTAGAAAACACATTATGTACGGATCACTTGAGCCCAGGAGTTCGAGACCAGCCTGAACAACACATCAAGACCCATCTCTAAAAACAAATTAGCTGGGCATGGTGGTGCACACCTATAATTCCAGCTACTCAGGAGGCTGGGGGTAGGGGTGGGGTATCCATTGAGTCTGGCAGCCTGCTTTAGAGAACCATGATCACACCACAGCACTCCAGCCTGGATGACAGAATGAGACCCTGTCTCAAAAAAAAAGAAAAAAGAAAGAAAAGAAAACTAACAGCAAAGATAATGGTAGATTTCTCATCATAAACAATACAAATCAGAAGTCAGTAGAGCTGTATCTTTATTGCTCTGAAAGGAAAAAAAAAACCTTATAATGCTGAAAGAAAAAAACTGTCAAATAAGAATTTTATACCCAGTGAAAATAGCTTTGAGAAACAAAATGAAATAAAGGCTTTCAGATGAGATTGGGCACATTCAGGGTGGTATAGGGCTGTAGACACAAAATGAAATAAAGGCTTCCATTTCAATAAATGAAAAAAGCTGAAAGAATTCATCATCAGCAGACCTGCACTATAAGAAATGTTAGAAGAAGTCCTTCAGGCAGAGAGACAGTGATACCAGATGGAACTCTGCGTGTACACAAAAGAATGAAAAGCACCAGAAATAACAATACAAGTTAATATAAAATAACTTTCTTTCTTATTATTTTAAATATCTTTAAAACAAAATCGGCTATTTAAAGCAAAAACAATAACATGAATGGTGGGGCTTATAAGAAGTATAGAAGTAAAACATATGTCAACAACAATAGCAAAAATGCCAGGAGGTATTGCAGTGTCTTCTTTTAAGATTTTTATACTATAAATTAATATAATATAGTTCAAAGGTAGACAGTACTAAGCTGAAGATGCATATAAGTGTAAAGCAACCATTAAAATAATACACAAAGATATATAGCTATTAAAGTAAACAAAGGAGATAAAGTAAAAAAAAAGAATACTCAATCCAAAAGGAGGCAGAAAAAAAAAGCAATTGAGCCAATATAAAACAAATAACAAGTTAGTCAGTTTAAACCCAATCAAATCAATAATCACGTTATATATAAATGGTCTAAATACCCCAATTAAAAACACAGACTGTCAGATAAGATTAAAAAAAAACCCCACAAGACCAAACTATATATACTTATAAGAAAACCACTTAAATATAAAACCACAACTACGTTAAAAGCAAAAGGATCGAAGAAGAAATATCACACTAATATAAATCAAAAGAAATCTCGAATAGCCCTATTAATATCAAGGTAGATTTTAAATCAAGTAATATTCACATAGTAAAGGGGATAATTCCATAATGATAGAGGAGTCAGTTAATCAAAAGAACATAACAACCCTAAATGTCTAGACACCTAATAACAGAATGTCAAAATACCTGCAGAAAAGTAATAGAACATCGAGGAAAAACAGACAAATCGATAATTATAGACTGAGATTTCAGCAACCTTCTCTAGGTACCTGATAGAACAAACAGACAATCAGTAAGGATATAGAAGACTTGAACAATACTATCAACCAAATTGGGCTAATACCAAAAACACTACACTGAACAACAGAAGACTACATATTCAGGTGAACATAGAACATTTACCAAGACAGATCTCATTCTGGCCATAAAACATGTATCAATAAATGTGAAAAGGTTAAAGTCATAAAAACTATGGTCTGTGATCACAACAGAATCAAATTAGAAATCAACAGAATGATATTTGGAAAATTCTTAAATATTTGAAAACTAAATAACACATCTCTAAATAATCCATGGATCAAAGAAGAAATCAAAAGAAAAATCAGAAAGTACTTCTAACTGGATGAAAATGAAAACACAACATACTAAAATGTGTGGAACACTGCTAAAGCAGACATAGAGGAAATTTAAATATCTGTATTCGAAAAGAAAGGTCTTAAATAAATTGAATTTCTTCCTTTCTTTATGTTTTTTTTTGAGACAGAGTCTCGCTCTGTCACCCAGGCTGGAGTGCAATGGTGCAATCTCAGCTCACTGCAACCTCTACCTCCCGGGTTCAAGCAATTGTCCTGCCTCAGCCTCCTGAGTAGGTGGGATTACAGGTGTGCGCCACCATGCCCAGCTAATTTTTGTATTTTTAGTACAGACGGGGTTTCACCATGTTGGTGAGGCTGGTCTCGAACTCCTGACCTCGTGATCCACCCACCTCGGCCTCCCAAAGTGCTGAGATTACAGGCGTGAGCCACCACGCCTAGCCAAATAATTTGTTCTTCTACCTTAAGAAACTAGAGCTGGGCACGGTGGCTCACGCCTGTAATCCCAGCACTTTGGGAGGCCGAGGCGGGTGGATCACGAGGTCAGGAGATCGAGACCATCCTGGCTAACAAGGTGAAACCCTCTCTCTACTAAAAATACAAAAAATTAGCCAAGCGAGGTGGTGGGCGCCTGTAGTCCCAGCTACTCGGGAGGCTGAGGCAGGAGAATGGTGTGAAACCCGGGGGGCAGAGCCTGCAGTGAGCCGAGATCGCACCACTGCACTCCAGCCTGGCGACAGCAAGACTCCATCTCAAAAAAAAAAAAAAAAAAAAAAAAAAAAAAAAGAAAGAAAGAAACTAGAAAAAGAACTGCAAATAAAATCCAAAGCAGGCAAAAGAAAGTAAATAATAGAATGGAAATAAATATAAAACAAACAAAATTAGGGAAAAAAATCAAATAAAAACAAAAGCTGGTTCCTTGGGAAGATCAATAAAACTCTCATCAGTATTATTAGGAAAAAAGGAGAGAATACAACAGATGACAAATATCAGGAAAGAAAGGTGATGTCATCACAGTCTACAGATATTAAAAGTATAGGAGGACATTATCAACAACTTTATGCCAATAAATTCAATATTTAAATTTAGTTGACAAATTCCCTAAAAGATACAAACAAAAACCAATTTTAAAAAAGTAGGCTTACATCTATTAAAGAAATTGAATTTGTAGATTAAAATCCTTCACATAAAAAAGACTCCAGGACCAGAATGTTTTCTTAAATTGAACACTTATTAATCTTCCAGATATCACCTTTTGTCAGAAATTGGAGTTATGAATAGCCCTCACCATACTGACGCTTTGACTGAGCTCCTCTCTACCCCAAAAACAAGAGACCCTCATAGTTAGGCAGGAATATCATCACCCCTAGTCAGCCTGAAGAAGTTACAGAAGATGCATCTTTGTTCCTCTACAACCCTTAGGATTAAGGGTTCTCTTATAAAAGCGCGGGGCTGGGGAGGGGAATATGTCAGAGGTGTTCAAACCAGAGCAAGTCCATCTTGAATAGGGGCTGGGTAAAATAAGGCTGAGACCTACTGGGCTGCATTCCCAGGAGGTTGAGGCATTCTTACTCACAGGGTGAGACAGGCGGTCAGCACAAGATACAGATCATAAAGACCTTGCTAATAAAACAGGTTGCAGTAAAGAAGCTGGCCAAAACCCATCAAAACCAAGATGGCCACCAAAGTGATCTCTGGTCATCCTCACTGCTCATTATACACTAATTATAATGCAATTAGCATGCTAAGAGACACTCCCACCAGCACTATGACTATTTACAAATGCATGGCAATGTCAGGAAGTTACCCTATATGGTCTAGAAAGGACAGGAACCCTCAGTTCCAGGAACTGTCCACCCCTTTCCCAGAAAACCCATGTATAATTCACCCCTTATTTAGCATACAATCAAGAAATATCTACAAGTATCCTTAGTCCAGCAGCCCGAGCTGCTGCTCTGCCTATGCAGTAGCCATTCTTTATTCCCTTACTATCTCCAATAAACTTGTTTTCACTAAAAAAAAAAAAAAAAAAAGACTCCAGGCCCAGATAGTGTCAGTGGTGAATTCCACCAAACATTTAAGGAAAAATAATACTAATTCTACACAAATGCTTCCAAAAAATTGAAGAGGACAGAGTGCCTTCTGCTTTATTCTATGAGTCCAGGATCGCATCAATACCAAAACCAGACAAAGATAGACAAGAAAACTAAAAACCAATATCTCTCATGAATATACACATAAAAATTCTTAACAAAAAAAGCTTAGCAAATCAAATCCAATAATAAAGGTAAAAGATAATACATGGCCAAGTGGAGTTTATTCCAGAAATGCAGGCTTGATTTAACATTAGAAAGATCAATCAATAAAATGGACAATAGTTAGAACTAAAAAGAAAAAAAAAAGTCAAATGATCATCTCAATAGACACAGAAAAAATATTTGACAAAATCCAACATCTATTCTTGGTAAAACCTGTTATCAAACTAGGAATAGAAGGAACTTTTTCAACTTCATAAAGAGCATCTACAACAAAAAGCACCACAGCTACTATTATATCAGGACTGAATGCTTCCCCTGTAAGATTAAAAACAAGGCAAGATTTTCTGCTCCCATGACTTCTATTTAATATTGTATTGGAGGTTCTAACCATGCCATCAAACAAGAAAAAGAAATAAAAGGTAATCAGGTTGGAAAGAAAGAAGGAAAATTGTATTCAAAGATTATGTCATTATCTTTGTAGAAAATCCCAAAGAATCTACAGAAAAGATCCTAGAACTAGTAAGTGAGTTCAGCAAGATTGCAAGATACAACATCAATATACAAAAAGCAGCTGTATTTCTATATCTTGGCAAACAACAATCAGAAACAAAAATAAACAATATAATTTACAATAATATAAATAATTGAAATGCTGAAAGATAAATCTGACAAAAGATATACAAGACCCGTATGCTAAAAAGTACAAAACATTACTGAAAGAAATTAAGGACCTAAATAAGCGGAGCAATATACTATGTTCATGGAAGATTCACTATTGTTTAGATGTTAATTTCCCTCAAATTGATCTAAAGATTTAAAGTATTCCCAACAAAAATCCCAACAGGCTTTTTTTCTAGCAGGTGCCAAGCTGACTGACAATTCATATGTAAGTACAAAGGACCCAGAATGGCAAAAACAACTTTCAACAAGAAAAAAATTAGAAGACTTACAGTACATGACTTTAAGACTTATAACACTATAATGATCAAGACAATGTGCTATTGGCAACAAGACAGACAAATGGACCAATGGAACAGAATAGAGTCCAGAAATACACTCACATATATTTGGTCAACTAGTTTTAAACAAAAGTAAAAAAGTAATTTAGTAGAGAAAGGGAGTTTATTCTATTTTATTTTTATTTTATTGAGGACAGGAAAGGAGGATAGGGAGGGGAGGAGAGGAGGAGGAAGGGGAAGGGAGGAGAGGAGGAGGAAGGGGAGGAAAGGAGAAACAGGATGAGGGGGTGAAGGGGAAGAAACGGAGTTTTTTCAACAAACGTTTCTAAAACAATTTGAAATCCATATGCAAAGAAAAAACAGAACTTCAGTACATATCTTGTACCATATAAAAAATGAATTCAAAATGGACAACAGAATTAAACATAAGACTATAAAACTGTTAAAGGAAAACATAAGAGAAAATCATTGTGATCTTGCATTAGGCAAATACCTGTTAGATATAATGCCAAAAGTGCAATCCATAAATGAGAAAGTTGGATAAATATGACTTCAAAATTAAGAATGTCTGCTCTTTGAAAGACATTTAAGAGAATGAAAAGACAAGTAACAGATTGTGATAAAATATTTGCATATCACACATTTGATGAAGAACTTATATCTAGAATACCATAAAAACTCTCAAAACTCAATGAGTAAATAACCAACCCAACAATATAATGGGCAAAAGACCTGAATAGGAACTTTACTAAAGAAGATCTTAATGGCAAATAAGAACATGAAAAGTTGCTCAACCACAATAGCCATTAAGGAAATGCCAATTAAATCTACAATGAGATATTACCATTACATTCCTATTACAATGGCTAATTTTTTTTTTTTTTTGATACAGAGTCTGGCTCTGTCGCTCGGGCTGGAGTGCAGTGGTGTGATCTCAGCCCTCTGCAACCTCTGCCTCCCAGGTTCAAGCAATTCTCCTGCCTCAGTCTCCCAAGTAGCTGGTATTGCAGGTGTGCGCCACCACATCTGGCTAATTTTTGTATTTTTAGTAGAGACAGGGTTTTGCCATGTTGACCAGGTTGGTCTCGAACTCCTGACCTCAGGGGATCCACCTGTCTAGGCCTCCCAAAGTGCTGGGATTACCAACAATGGCTAAAATTTAAAAAGCCTGGATCATACCAAGTTTTAGCAAAGATGTGAAGCAACTGGAACTCTCATACCCTGCTGGTAGAAATGTAAAATAGCACAAATACTTTGAGAAATATTTTGACAGTTTCTTAAAAAGTTGAACATATATCTACTATATGACCTAGCCATTCCAATCTTAGGTATATATCTGATAGACATGAAAGCATATGTCCTCCATACAGAGACTGGTACACAAAGGTTCACAGCAGTTTTGTGATAGCCCTAAACTGGAAACAATTCAAATGTTCTTCAAAAGGTAAATGGAAAAACAAACTGTGATATATCCATACAATGGAATACTACACAGCAATAAAGAGGATAGAAGTGTTCATCCATACTCAACATGGATGAATCTTTTTTTTTTTTTTTTTTTTTTTTTTTTTTTTTGAAAAAGAAAGAGTTTTGCTCTTGTTGCCCAGGCTGGAGTGCAATGGCACGATCTTGGCTCACCGCAACCTCCGCCTCCCGGGTTCAAGCAATTCTCCTGCCTCAGCCTCCCGAGTAGCTGGGACTACAGGCATGTGCCACCATGCCTGGCTAATTTTGTATTTTTAGTAGAGACGGGGTTTCTCCATGTTGGTCAGGCTGGTCTTGAACTCCTGACCTCAGATGATCTGCCCACCTTGGCCTCCCAACGTGCTGGGATTACAGGTGTGAGCCACCACACTCGGGCTGATTAATCTTAAAATAAGTATGCTGAATGAAAGATCCTGGACACACACACACACCCCTCAAAAAAGTACATGCTATATGATTCTATTATATAAAATTCTAGACAGTGCAAAGTAATCTACAGTGACAGAGACAAAATAGTTGTTGCCTGCATACTTGTTGGAGGGTGGGGAGGAATGAAAGGAGAGATGACAAATGGGAAGGAAGCAGCTTTTGCGGATGATAAGTATCTTCATTACCTTGATTGTTAGGATGAAGCCACGGATGTACACATACATCAAGACTACACACTTTGAATATGTGTAGTATATCATATATCAATAAAGTTATTTTTGAAAGATTACCTGATATGTTAAGACATGCTTCCTAAAGTTTTCCACCAAAGTATCCCTACAGAATGAAACTCTAGGGATCTAGGGCTATAATCCATTACCCATCAATCCCAAAACCCAAATTTCTTTAAGTCTCATCCTATCTTCTGAAAATCATACATAGGTGGTTCCTTCCTAGTCAAAAAACAATTCGTGTTTGTGTGTGTGTCTATGTTTAATATTAATTACTAGTTAAAATGCATAATATTTTACCCCAACAAATGTTTAAATTAAACAGATACCACAGAGGATGCACCCTGTTTGCTCCACGGCATTCCTGACCCCTGGCACACAACAGAAGTATAAAAACATTTTAGCCAGTACAACTTTACTGTTATAAAAACATTTTAGGCAGTACAATTGCAAAGTCTAGATGCTTTTACTGTCTTCCTATAGTGTTTCTCTCTCCCCACTCGTCTTTTCTTTTTTAACTTGTAATTTCTGGGAAACTGGGACAGAAAATATATTTGCCAGTATTAGACACTACTTTCCTCCTTTAAGGAAGCAGTGCCTAAGAATTTCAAATGTTTATCATCTAAATGATTTGAAATAAGCAAACAAAAATTAGACTCCTATCCAGGAAGGGGGCATTTTTGGTTCTGATTAACTGAATATTCTAGATATTGCAGAAATATTGTTGTTGTTTCCTTTCCACTGGATTATACAATGCTTCTGGATTATAATTAAGGCCTTTAACTGGGCATGATGGCACACACCTGTAGTTTTGAGTCTTGGGAGGCTGAGGTGGGAGGATCCCCTGAGCCCAGGAGTATGTGAAGTTGCAGCGAGCTATGAGTGCACCACTGCACTCCAGCCTGGGTAACTGTATTAGTTAGTTCTCATGCTGCTAATAAAGACATATCTGAGACTGTGTAATTTTTTTTTTTTTTTTTGATACAGGGTCTCACTCTGTTGCCCAGGCTGCAGGGCAGTGGTGCGATCTTGGCTCACTGCAACCTCTGGCTCCCAGTTCAAGTGATTCTCCTGCCTCAGCCTCCTGAGTAGCTAGGATTACAGGTGTGTGCCACCACGCCTGGCTAATTTTTGTATTTTTAGTAGAGACAGGGTTTCATCATGTTGGTCAGGCTGGTCTTGAACTCCTGACCTCGTGATCCGCCTGCCTCAGACTCCCAAAGTGTTGGGATTACAGGCGTGAGCCACTGCACCTGGCCTTGAGACCACGTAATTTATAAAGAAAAAGAGGTTTAATGGACTCACAGTTCCACTTGGCTAGGAAGACATGACAATCATGGTGGAAGGCAAAGGAGAAGCAAAGGCATGTCTTACATGGCAGCAGGCAAGAGAGCATGATCGGGGAACTCCCCTTTATAAAACCATCAGATCTCATGAGACTTATTCACCACCACCAGAACAGCACAGGAAAGACTGGCTCCCATGATTCAATTACCTCCCACCAGGTCCCTCCCATTACACCTAAGAATTATGGGAAATACAATTCAAGATAAGATTTGGGTAGGGACACAGCCAAACCGTATCAGCGACCAAGGGAGACCCTCTCTCCATATGTATATATATTTTATTTTATTTTATTTTATTTTTTTGAGACAGAGTCTCAATCTATTGCCCAGGCTGGAGTGCAGTGGCACGATCTTGGCTCACTGCAACCTCCGTCTCTTGGGTTCAAGGGATTCTCCTGCTTTAGCTTTCCAAGTAGCTGGGATTACAGGCGCCTACCACCACGCCCGGCTAATTTTTGTATTTTTAGTAGAGATGGGGTTTCACCATGTTGGCCAGGCTGGTCTCAAACTCCTGACGTAAAGTGATCCACCTGCCTCAACCTCCCAAAGTGCTGGGATTACGGTGTGAGCCACCACGCCCGGCCTCTATTTTTTATATTTTTATAATGAAATATATATATTATATATACATATATACACATATATAATATATACATATATATCTACACATATATAATATATATACATATAATATCTACACATATATAATATATACACATTTATTATATATACACATATATATTATATATACACACACATATATATACACACACATATATAATATACACACACACATAATATATATACACATATATGTATTATATATACACATATATATATGTGTATAAATGTATATGTATGACCTTCAGGTTTCTTTACGCAGT
Source organism: Homo sapiens (assembly GCF_000001405.40). Taxonomy (NCBI): domain Eukaryota; kingdom Metazoa; phylum Chordata; class Mammalia; order Primates; family Hominidae; genus Homo; species Homo sapiens. The sequence goes on from NC_000014.9 coordinate 89,531,209, forward strand.
CCCGTGGCTGTAAAGAAAGGCAGAAAAGAATGTGCAGCGTAGAAGCCCTGTGAACAAATCTCTCAGGTCTGCAGGCTCATCCCTTTGCTACTTTGATAAACAGTTTATAATTTCATGATGCTTTATAGGAAAGTGGTTTATAATAAATACATATATCATTGTCTCTAGAATTCAGAAACTAATTAAAAATTACTTTTGAACAGTATAGAAGTTAACTCATCCAAGCAAGTTCAAACAAGGTCAGACTGACCTCAGTTTGCCAGAATGTTCTCTGAAAGAATAAGTGCCTAGGAGTTCTGATTTCTTTAGGACTTTCTCTTTCTCTCTTGCTTCGACACTTGTGGAATCCCAGTGCTATCACTGGAGCATTCATGATGTTGCAAGGAGTTAAAAGCAAGATGTCTCAGACTTTAATGTGCAAACAAATCACATGGGGCACCTTGTTAAAATATAGGTTTGGATTTGGCAGGTTTGGAATGGAGCCTGCATTTCTGCATTTCTGCCAAACTTCCAGGTGATGCATCAGCAAAGTACAATATCTACGCTGCTGGTTCTGGACAACACTTAGCAAAGACTTAAACGCCAGTGGTTCTTGTTTTGTTTTGTTTTGTTTTGTTTTGAGACAGAGTCTCACCCTGGCACCCAGGCTGGAGTGCAGTGGCGCAATCTCAGCTCACCGCAACCTCCACCTTCCAGGTTCAAGCGATTCTCCCCCTCAGCCTCCTGAGTAGCTACGACTACAGGCATGAGCCACCACACCTGGCCTTAAACTCCAGCGGTTCTTAAAGTATCATACCTGGACTGGCAGCACCAGTATCACTTGGGAATGTGGGAGAAATGCCAGTGTTGTGGCCCTTCCCCAGACCTCCTGAATCAGAAAGTCCGGTGGTAGAGCCCAGATGGCTGTTAATTGCCTTCCAGGTGATTCTGATGCACACTGATAGCCAAGAAGCACTAGCTTAGAGAATGAGAAGTAACTGACTGCAGCTGCTGAAAAACAGCTCAATTTCAAAAGGTCTGCAATGCCCAGAGAAAGCCATGGAAACTTCAGGAAGAAGCGTAGTTATGGAACAATATTTTAAACCAGACTGTGTTTAAGTCTTCCAAGAGACATCATCAGTTCTAATGTTTTTAAAGAAAGAAAATACCACCTTAAATACACAAACATAGAAGCTTTCTTGTTGACAAGGTACAATATATATACCACCAGCATAATCACAAGCTCCATTTTCTCATGTTTATAATAAACATGTCACAACCATATTTTTTAAAACCCTCTTCCCTCTCCAAACTGTTTAAATTTGAACACATAAAACTACATCTATTCTTAAACTTTACAAACCTTAAATAATGTGTGAGAACATTACAAAATGATCAGAAAAACACTGCACAGCCACTGATTTACTGTGGCAAAACAAAAATCTATCAGTTGGGCAAACAATATAATTAGAGGATCCTATTTAGAATGATATTGGCAAGTTGATTTCACTCCAAGTTTAACCAGCATTTCCACTGATCACCAAATGAGAATGAGGTCAACCAGATGATTATTTTGAATAATCGTGCCACTTACATAGATTTAAAAACAAAACAAAAACCACTATTGTAGGCACCAGATAAAAGACATTTGTATAGCTATACATTTTGGTAACAAAGGTATAGCTATACATGTAGGTAACAAAGGTATACCTATACATATAGATAACAAAGACCTGAGAGATACATTAAACTGAATCACAAATAGAGAAAGGTAGGAGGCTGACATGCCAGAATTCAACAAAAATGGGAAGAAATTGATAGAGAAAAACTAAATTGTTATACTCAGGCTCCCCCAAAGGTCATGTAGAGAATAAAAAGTATATAAAAATTAGTATCTACAAAAAGGGCAGTTGAGAATGTAAATAGGCACTGATTACACCAAGTTGCTTGGGGCCACATAAACTCAAAGCTAAAAAATTACTGTGCTTTGGCTTCATTCATGTCATGCATGGAGGAAAGCCACACATGAGGCCCCTTGTTCCATCCCGTCTTTCCCTTTCACTCTCCTCCGGCTGACCTAAGAAAACATGAATGCCAGCTGATGACACTCATGAACTGCCCTGCCTCTCAAAAGCGCAATCCAGGGGCCAGCATCATCCTCACCTGGAGGTGCACTGTCAGATATGCAGATTCTGGCTGGGCGCGGTGGCTCACGCCTGTAATCCTAGCACTTTGGGAGACCCAGGCGGGCGGATCACGAAGTCAGGAGATCCAGACCATCCTGGCTAACAGGGTGAAACCTCGTCTCTACTAAAAATACAGAAAATTAGCCGGGCATGGTGGCGGGGGCCTGTAGCCCGGCCACTCGGGAGGCTGAGGCAGGAGAATGGCGTGAACCCGGGAGGCGGAGCTTGCAGTGAGCGGAGATCGCACCACTGCACTCCAGCCTGGGTGACAGAGGGAGACTCTGTCTCAAAAAAAAAAAAAAAAAAAAAAAAAAAAAAAGTTAGTGAGTTATTTAAGGTGAAAGCTTATTATCAGCAAAGTACTGACTAAAAGCCATGTTTCCTCTTCCTTATGTTACAGCATACTGCCTGGTCTTCCCTGGAAATCCTAAAGAGCAACGAGAAAAGCTCCCACTTAAGTTGAGATGTGGGGTTCTGGTGATCTGACCTATAACCAAGAATGTGGCTCTACTGTTTTCGTTCTTCTTTCTTTGGTTGCTTTTTGCTTGACTGGTTTTTGGCTTTGTTTTTTATAGCAGCAAATCAGGGTCAAGATTTTCATTCCCCAAGAAGCCTTGGTAAGTGTCACCTTGTTAATCATCCCCTTCCTGGGAATTTTGCCTGACTAGAGATGTGCTTCCCCCCCGCCACCCACTATGGAATTCAGATAGAATATAATTATACATTCTTTTTTTTTTTTTTTTTTTTTTTGAGACAGCGTCTCACTCTGTCACCCAGGCTGGAGTGCAGTGGCTCTATCTCGGCTCACTGCAACCTCTGCCTCCCGGGTTCAAGCAATTCTCCTACCTCAGCCTCCCAAGTAACTGAGATTACAGGTGCGCACCACCACACCCAGCTAGTTTTTATATTTTTGGTAGAGACGGGTTTCACCATGTTGGCCAGGCTGGTCTGGAACTGACCTCAGGTGATCCACCCACTTCAGCCTCCCAAAGTGCTGGGATTATAGGCATGAGCCAGCATGCCTGGCCCTGTGTATTCTTTTTGATAGGAAAAACTTTCAAGACTCATTTTTCGAAGAAACATTGGAATTTTACCTTTTAGCCCTTAAAGAAAGGAAGCTGTCTAACCAGCCTTAACCCAGGGCTCTGCTCCAACGTCTGCCGGTGCATGCAATCTTCCAACCTAAGTCCCTACGGCAAACTGCCCTAGCTGCAAGAAGAAAAAGAAATTAGTCACCTTCTAGGCCAGTGCTCAAATTTTGCTGTATATTAAGACTCCCCTGGGGAACCTGTAGAAATGTCCATGCCCAGGCCACATCCCAAACCAATTCAGTCAGAATTTCTGGATGTGGAATTGGGCATCAGACTTGTTCAAACTTCCCAGGTGATTCCAACGTGCATCAAGGTATGAGAACGGATGCGCTAGGCGGTGGCCTCTACCAAGTCTCCCTCTGATGCCAAGAGGCCCGTTCTATCCACTGCTCCACTCATCCTGTTTATGCCATTCTTCCTGCATCCCAGGCAGCAGAAGCTCCGGGGATATATTTCTGCCCACATCTCAGAATCTGCTCTTCTAAAACAGCTGCTTCAATTGAAGATATATTTTGTGCAAGGCTCTTCCATTTAATGAAGAATTTTTTTTCTCATTCCCTTAATATTCCTTCCCATTAAGGCATAACCTACAAACAGCAGATGAATTACACTTACGCAGTGACTATAAAGGACAGCTGTTTTATCTCAATGGAGCATTTTCTCTTTATGATTCCATTATTTTACTCTGGCATGACATGCCTAATGTTTTAAATAACGCACAGCTTTCCTTTTCTTTCCTCTTTTTTTTTTTTTAAGTTAAGGTGAAATTTCAGCTGGAAATCTACTCTAAAAGATCTTCAAGAAACAGTCCATATAAGAACACGGCAGTATTTATTTTTTATGAGCAGCTGAAGGTTGATCAAAACATTCCTCCCCAGCCACAAAATGTGTAACCCTGGCATTTTTCAGTACTATTTCTTGGCACACTGAACACAGGTCAAGACATGGAACAGCATTTTATTTGAATTATTATTCTTGAGCTTCCTGAATCTTCAAGCAGTAATACTTAAAAGACACCCATTCATGGTTAGCAGATAATGCAGCCTTTTTTTCACCCAGCAGTGACCTAGTACAGAGAAAATACAGTGAATAAACTTTTTACTAAAGAGGTGCTGTTAAGTTGTCCTTGGATTGCAACTGCCTGTGTGTGAACTTCTAGAATATTTTCCAGACTGTCTTTTCAACAAGCAGAGCTTGCTGAGTTTGCCAAACCTACTTCCTTACCTTTGTCTATTCTGTTCTTTGGCAACTCTTCTTAACAAGCCTACCCCATTCAAGATCTTTCCCCTGCTCTAATCCATCTCATTATATTCTCTACAATTTCACTTTTTACCTCTTCATAATATGGATCTTCAGAAGAACTCCCCAAAAGGATGAAGTCAGAGTCACAATTGATTTTCTGTTAACAATGGGAGGGAGATTTATGTATATGCCCATAGAAACATAAGTCGTTTGTAACACCCAGTTAGTACAAAAGAATTAGTCGTATATTCTACTCCATAAACTTGGTTCTATTCAATGATAAAAGACTATATTATTAAAGACAAAGATTAAATAGTTGTAAATAACGGCACATGTGTTTGAGCTGATCTTGAGTCTTTCCAATACATCAACACTCTGCAAAGGTCACTGGAGGCAAAATAAAGCCACCGGCAAGATGTTTTAGGTGAGGAATGAAGCACAGATGAAAAGCCTTGCCAGCACTGTGTGGTGGCTATGGACATGGGGGCTCCAAAATCTGGTAGGCCTGGTTTCAAATCCTGGCTATGCCACTAGTCCTAGCTGTGTATCCCTAGGTCAGGTTTCAGCCTCTGTAACTATCTGCATCTCTAAAATGTAAGTAATAGCAATAATGACCTTTGTGAAGCTGCTGTGAGGATTAAAGTGCTTAGAAAGTAGTGAGTACACACTAGCTATTTTAATAGCATTTCACAGATAAATGCAACCCAAAGAAACCCATAAGCAAGAGGAATAGGTATTATTTGTGTCTGTCTTCTAGATGTGAAAAGTGAGGCTTATAAAGATTAAATAAGGTCGGCGGGCGCGGTGGCTCACGCCTATAATCCCAGCACTTTGGGAGGCCGAGGCGGGCGGATCACGAGGTCAGGAGTTCAAGACCAGCCTGACCAACATGATGAAACCCCCGTCTCTACTAAAAATACAAAAATTATTGTATTGTGGTGCATGCCTGAAATCCCAGCTATTTGGGAGGCTGAGGCAGGAGAATCGCTTGAACCTGGGAGACGGAGGTTGCAGTGAGCCGAGATCGGGCCTCTGCACTCCAGCCTGGGCGACAGAGCAAGTCTCTATCTCAAAAATAAAAAAAAAAATTTAAAAAGATTTTTAAAAAAAGATTAAATAAGGTCATCCTCCAGGTTTATCTTCCAAAAACAATGGTTGTGCTGTTCTCTGTTTAAAATCATCAGTGGCCCCCATCACCGGGAAATTATAAAGAAGTATAAAATCCAAATTCTTTATCATGGCATGACCCCTTGATTATATCTTCTGTTTCTCTCCTCAACTCAACCCCATGTCAGTTTTGCCACAAAGCGTCTCCAGAGCACCAGAAGGAATGCTGCTCCTCTCTCCTCTGGGATGCCATTCTACCTGGACACGCTTCTAACAAAGCACCCACAGCATTTCTCTGAGGGTGTTGGTTTATGTGTCTGAATCCACATCCTAAACAGGAAGTTCCTTGAGAATGGGGACAATGTCCTATTCATCTTTGTAATACCAACATCTAGCCTGGTGGGACTCCACAGAATGGAGGATTCCCGGTGGATTCCATGAAATGCTTGGTGGATGAATAAGTGGATGGATGAATGGATGGATGGTCTGTTCCATCCAATGAATTCCATGGAATGACTGATGGATGCATGGATGGACTGTCCAACCTAGAGGAGTCTATGGAATGTTTGATGAATGAATGAATGGATGGATTGATGGACTGTCCAATTTAGAGGATTCCATGAAATGTTGGATGGATGGATGGATGGATGGATGGATGGATGGATGGATGGATGGACTATCCAATCTAGTGAATTCCATGAAATGCTCAATGGATGAATAAAATGCATGGATGAATGGATGGAAGGATGGCCTGTCCAAAGCCATGCAACAAGTAAATTGCAGAGCCAAAGCAGCTCCCACATCTTCCAACCTCTTGTTGGGGCATCATTCCCTTGGTTCCCCCACTGCCTTTGCCAATGTGTGAGTGACATCTCTGAAAAGACTGGTGAATCAATCTCTAGATCCAGAATGAACTTACCAAACAACTTTAGGCCATGTTGTTAAGAACAAACAAACAACAAAACTGTGTGCATCAATTTACATATCTATAAAAGAGGCTCATACTTAATACTGGAGTTTAGAATACATGGAGAGGTAAAGGAGGAACAAGAGAGAAGCCTATGAGATAACATTGACAAGTTCCTTCTTCAAAAGTACCTCAATGGAAAACTGTCACAATAGTAAATATAATTAGATAACAATAATAATACCATACACCACAGTTTATTACTATCCTTTCTTCTGAGGCTTTCAATTGGAACTGAAAACACAATTACTAATTAAATGAGACAACAGGAGGTATCATTTTCCAAATGGAACCCTAGTGATATAAATGAGTTACTGCAGCTTCTCAAATTTCTCACTGTCACCCAAAGAGGGGGTTAATCACTTGGCTAGAGTTAACTCAGAAAAACAGATCCACGTAATGTATTTGTTCTTCTGCTCAAAACGCAGTTCATTCATGCATTTCCTAAGTAGCTACTGTGGCCACTATAAGGTCACAAAGATGTTAAAACCCAGTTCCTCCCCTCAAGGAGCATAACGTACCCAGAGCGCACAGATGGCACAAAATGTAGCCAGGACTTGGATCAAAAAACGAAGGCCTCTGGGGAGGAGATAAGAAACAGGGCACTGATATTCCTGGTCTTGGAGGAGTCCAGGTAAAGAATAAAAACAGAATTTTGAAGTGAAGACAGAATGAAGCAGGAGGCTGCCATCTCTAGGGGGCTTCAGAAGATTCTGTTTTCCTTTTTCCTTTTCTTTTCTCTTTTTTTCTTTTTTAAGATGGAGTTTTGCCTTTGTTGCCCAGGCTGGAATGCAATGGCACGATCTTGGCTCACCACAACCTCTGCCTCCCGAGTTCAAGCAATTCTCCTGCCTCAGCCTCCCAAGTAGCTGGGATTACAGGCATGCGCCACCACGCCTGGCTAATTTTGTATTTTTAGTAGAGACGGGGTTTCTCCATGTTGGTCAGCCTGGTTTCGAACTCCCGACCTCAGGTGATCCGCCCGCCTCAGCCTCCCAAAAGAGCTGGAATTACAGGCATGAGTCACCGCACCTGGCCTTTTATTATTATTATTTATTTATTTATCTATTTATTTATTTTTGAGACGGAGTCTCACTCTGTCGCCCCGGCTGGAGTGCAGTGGTGCGATCTCCGCTCACTGCAACTTCCGCCCCATGGGTTCAAGCGATTCTCCTGCCTCAGCCTCCTAAGTAGCTGGGATTATAGGCGCCCGCCACCACGTCTGGCTAATTTTTGTATTTTTAGTAGAGATAGGGTTTTACCACGTTGGCCAGGCTGGTCTCGAACTCCTGACCTCATGATCCACCTGCCTCGGCCTCCCAAAGTGCTGGGATTACAGGCGTGAGCCACGTGCCTGGCCACTTTTCTTTTTTTTATTTTTAAAAATTTAGTTGTATAATACCAAATTCTTCACTTGTCTTTTAACTGAAACCTTTCCCAATTTGTGCTTTTAAAGGCATTTGAAGATAAAAAGGTTATGTAGTCAAATGGAAATTTGAGAAAAGGAAATAAAATAAAACAGTATCTCCTAGAAAAGGATATAATGTGCAGTTTTGACCAAATTAATTTAATGTTTGTTTTTTAGGAGCTTGCTGGCTAGTGTTCTGAAAAACACAGAAAATACCGGTCCAGTGAAAATGATACATAAAACACTCCCCTGTTTTTATTTTGCCATTGTCTCAGTTTAAAAGAAAAACAAAATGGGATGTCTATAATGGAGAAATAAAGCAGGGCTCATAAGTAGGGTCGATAACAAAATTTCAAAATCATATAAACACAACCTTGGGTCCTGCTCACCACTTACATTGTGTGACTTGACTTAAAAATTGCTTCCACTTTCTCAGCCTCAGTTTCCATATCAGTCAAATGGGAATAATATTAACTGCCTCTTAGGGTAAGTAGGTGTATTTATTGAGAAATTCAAGCCAAATCATCCAGCAGAGTACTTAGCACAGAGCACACTTTGATGGTCAGGAACTGCTGCGTGAGACACTGATGGGTGACAGAGGGAGGCTCGTTAGGGTTAGTCCACGGCAGCTGTGCCTTCTGATACTAAAACAAAAATATATTCAACTTCAATGTGCTTGAAAAACTAGACATAGGCTGCATGAGAAAAGAAAAAGGAAACATACCAAAATGGAAGAGAAGTCTGAAGAACACTCATCTCAAGCCAGATTTTCAAGGAAATGAGTTTAATATGAAATTACAAAAACAGTGCCCTCGGCTGTTTCTACTTTTCTATGAAATCCGATAGCCAGATATCACGATGCAACAGAACAAAGAAAATGCAAAGAACAGCAGGATAAATACTTTTAGTTGTTTTCTCACGCCACTCCTTCAAATTGGTGTTTGCAGCATGGTAGTAGAAGGTAATGCAATAACCATGTGAAATTTACAGCAGACTTTAGGATTGTGGACATTTCTGAGCAAATAGAGATAACAACAAAGGCCAGGAACAAGTGACTGTGGGGTATGTGGTTAGATCAAGACCTTGAAAACAGATGCTTTACCTAGCCAAGTAAACCAATGTTTACCACTGTCCTCTAAAAGGCATGCTTAACATAGACCTAAAACTGAAGCAAATCCTTACACTAGAGTTTGATAGCATTTTTTTAAAATCTCGCATATAAAGTTGGCTGGAGACCTAAAGCAACCAGTTACAAAGAAAATGAGGCTGGGCACGGTGACTCACGCCTGTAATCCCAGCACTCTGGGAAGCCAAGGCGGGCGGATCGCGAGGTCAGGAGTTCAAGACCACCCTGGCCAACATAGTGAAACGTCGTCTCTACTAAAAATACAAAAAAAAAATTTAGCCGAGCGTGGTCGCACGCACCTGTGGTCCCAGCTACTTGGGAGGCTGAGGCAGGAGACTCGCTTGAACTGGGAGGCGGAGGCTGTAGTGAGCCGAGATTGCAACACTGCACTCCAGCCTGGGTAACACAGTGAGACTATGTCTCAAAAAAAAAAAAAAAAAGGAAAATGAACGAGTTATATGCCTTTAAAAATCAAATTTTGTTAGGATAAAACATCCAAAGACTGCTGCTGCTAAGAAAAATCTATATGGAATGTTCCTTGATATAAGTGACTCAGATCGGGTCTTAAAAATACTTTTGTTGTGCAGAGATTTGCAGTAGTAAGTAGGAAATGTCTAATAAGTGTTTGCAACATGAAGGAACTGAATGAATGAATGAATGAATAAACTAAGTGGCTGAGTCAGAGTATCTCTGGCTGAGTCACAGTATGTTAGAATTGGAAGAATTCTAAGATTCTTACCGATTTTGATTTCAATTTGTACATTGTGTCATTGGAAGCTCAGGACCTCACCAGACAGATCTCTCGCAAATATTTGTTGGATATATGAATGGAACCAGAGCTACAGAAACAAGCACTTTTCCTTCCTGGTTCAATTCAAACACATCATGTGGGTGGTGCTGTAAGAGGTGTTTGAACCACATCAACTCCATCTTGAATAGGAGCTGAGTAAAATAAGGCTGAGATCTACTCGGGCTGCATTCCCAGACGGTGAAGGCATTCTAAGTCACAGGATGAGACAGGAGGTCAGCACAAGATACAGGTCACAAAGACCTTGCTGATAAAACACTTTGTGGTAAAGAAGCTGGCCAAAACCCACCAAAACCAAGATGGCCACCACAGGGACCTCTGGTCCTCCTCACTGCTACACTCCCACCAGCACCACAACAGTTTATAAATGCCACAGCAATGTCAGGAAGTTACCCTATATGGTCTAAAAAGGGGAGGCATGAATAATCCCCCCCTTGTTTAGCATATCATCAAGAAATAACTATAAAAATGGGCAGCCAGCAGCCCTCGCAGCTGCTCTGTCTATGGAATAGCCATTCTTTTATTCCTTTACTTTCTTTATAAACTTGCTTTTGCTTTACTCTATGGACTTGCTCTGAATTCTTTCTTGCATGAGATTCAAGAACCCTCTTGGCCTCTGGATCAGGACCCCTTTCCCGTAACAGTGCTATGGCTGGGATTTTGCTCCCTGCTCTGCCACTCTGGACATAGCTGTACATCCTTGAGCAAACTTTTTCACTTCTCTGGTTTCCTTACTTGTAAAACTGGGCACATGGAACTACAAAAGGTCCCTTGCATCAGCAATATTCTAAGATTACTCAGGAAAATATAAGCCCAAAGACCCAAGTTGTTAAAGGAAAGGGGTCCCGATCCAGACCCCAAGAGAGGGTTCTTGGATCTCGCGTAAGAAAGAATTCAGGGCGAGTCCGAAGTGCAAAGTAAAAGCAAGTTTATTAAGAAAGTAAAGTGGTGAAAGAACAGCTACTCCATAGATAGAGTACGATGTTCCTGAAAGTAAGAGGAGGAACGCATCCACCCTAAGTACAATACTTGTATATATGGGGAGATGTGCTCTGCTACAAGGGTTTGCGATAAAGGATTAATTTTCTTAATTACTATATTTTGCAAGAATCGATATTATTATCTTTAAAGCAAAATTAAGAGTGCCTTTGTTCTCCAGATGTCAGGATACCTGGACACTCCCAAGTCTGAGTCTGTTTAGTAAACACTATTAATTTGTTCCCTTAACCGTAAACATCTAGAGGCTAGGAATGCCTAACTTTCTGAGAATGGAGCCCAGCAAATCTCAGCCTCATTTTCCTAGCCCTTGCTCAAAATGGAGTCACTCTGGTTCGAACGCCTCTGACAGACTTTTCACAATTAATAAAGTTCAGCATGATCAGAACAAATAAACGCAACCTGAGGTTAGTCAAGTTCGTCATTGCTTTTGTAGAACAGCTCGTTTCTCTACCAAACCACAAACTACTTTCTGCATCTTTTCTACATTTGTGCCTTAGAAAAAGTGGGGCTGATGAGATGGCTTGGAGCAACCCCTTCCTTGTCTACCCAGAGAATTTCTGAAGTGTATTAAGGAGATTTATAATTTGAGATGCAAGTGCCATTTCATTAATTGGCATTCTTGGAGATTTTGATTTTTTCCTGCCATCGATGGGTTAATATGCTGAGATCTTCTTTTGTTTTACAAAGAGGCAAGGAAACACATTTGGCTGATACAGTCCATTATTAAAATTGCATTTCAGCAGTGGCAAAGAACTCCAGCCACCTGACGCTGGACTTAGGCATCATCTTCCTGCACTACAACCCAAAGCTATTACATTAACAGCAGAAGCAAAACAATGGGGCTGCCAGCAGCACAAACTCCCCTGGTAGAAGGAAACCATCAATCCTGCCGGTGAAGTATTTAGCTACAAAAGGAGAAAAGACACTCTTTGACTGAAGTGTAAGAGGAAGGAATACACAGGTGCTTTTCAATCAGAGCTGGATCACGTATACTTGAAGAAACAGCAGCTTCAACCACCAAATAAGTTTGCCTCTGGAAGGCACAGCCAACAAGTACACCTGGTGAGGACTTGGAGTAAGTATGGGGGCAAATGAGGTCAGTCTTCTCTGCTCCCCCTTCAACTTGGATGCTCACGGTCCACACCCATTGCCTGTGAGGTAGTTTCTACAGAGATGAAACAATGAGCTTCCTTAGGGGCCAAGGAGGCACAAGACTGACCTCTTTAGCTTCTACTGTGCTAAGTAATATTAATAAGCTCTAAGTCTTTATGTAGAAGTCAATGAAATTAGCAGTAGGGTTTAGAAGCCAGAAACACGGTGCTGGGTTATTAAAAAAACAAAAACAAAAAAACCCCGACCATTCTTTTCAGCTAAACTCCAGCTCCAGTTCTCTGGGCTAGAATAGTAGTGTTAATAGATTCCGCCTCGACTAAAAAGGGAGCCAGTGGCAGAAAATCTATTCCTCCGGCAAGGTTGCTGGGCAACCAGCAAGCTTTTGGCATGTGGCTGATGTCTCCAGGCAGCCCGGACTACACAAAGTAAGCTCTTCCATCACTTACAACTAACTTGATTTTGATGGATTAAAACCGAATAAAAATGTACTGTAACTCACTTCCAAATTCAGAAATCAGAGAGAGACAGAAAATATCCCAACACCCAACTAAAGACTAACTTATCAGAAACACTAGGATTCACTGAAGTTCATTCTACTGGGTGATAAATCTCTTCTGCATTCTAGTATACAACCGATTTGGTTTTAAGACCAGAATATCCAAAACCAATGGGGGTGGGGGGGAAGTACTCAAAATATTTTGGAAAAATATTAATGTTATGAAGATGGAGCTTCGATGTAATGGATTCTGGTGTCAAATGCATCTTTATGCCTGGTATTCTGCTTTTTAATTTTGTATTTTTAATTTTAATGGGTATACAGTCTGGTACTATTTTAGCTGCATTTTTTTTAAGAGATTGCTTTTTTTTGTTTTGTTTTTTGAGACAGAGTCTTGCTCTGTCGCCCAGGCTGGAGTCTCCTGCCTCAGCATCCCAAGTAGCTGGGACTACAGGTGCCTGCTACCACGCCCAGCTAATTTTTTGTATTTTTAGTAGAGACGGGGTTTCACTGTGTTAGCCAGGATGGTCTCGATCTCCTGACCTCGTGATCCGCCCACCTCGGCCTCCCAAAGTGCTGGGATTACAGGCGTGAGCCACTGTGCTGGGCCTTTTTTTTTTTAAGACAGGGTCTTGCTCTGTCTCCCAAGCTGGAATGTAATAGCGTGATCACAGGTCGTTGTAAACTTAAAACTCTGGGCTAGAATTTAGCCACAATTATTTAGCAAAATCTCCTTTTGCTAACATCTGAGGACATCAGTCAATAATCAACAAACCCTTACTAAGGGTTCTGAGATCCCAACCTTATGCTGTAGGGCGACAGAGAAAGGTAAGACCTTGGGCCAGGCCTTATTTGGAATACATTTACTATCAGGACATAAAGTAAAATGGCCTCTTCTCATCAGCTACAGTAGTCCCTCCTTCTCCACGGGGAACAAGTTCTAAGACCCCCAGTGGATCCCTGAAACCCCAGATAGTACCAAACCTTACACACCTATGTTTTCTCCATCTAACGGAGACAGCTACTGGGTGACTTACAGATGGGTAGTATATACAGTGTAGAAATGCTAGACAAAGGGATGATTCATGCACCGGGCAAGACAGAGCGGGACAGCACGAGATTTCATCACAATCCTTAGAGCAAGGTGCAACTGAAATATACACTGTTCATTTTTGGAATCTTCCATTTAATATTTTCAAGCTGCAGTTGACTGTAGGTAACTCAAAGCATGAAGAGAACAGTGGATAAGTGGGGACTACTTCCACAAAAGGTTAATTTGGCATTTACTATGTTCATTTCTGAAAGATGCCTCCCAGAGATACTGAACAAGCTGGCTGGACTCTAAAAGTGGTCAGTTTTTCCCAGGGTTCTGGAATGAAGCAGGCCTACCTGCCAGGGCTCTGAATGCCATAAATACCTTCACACCTGATGTCTAACTTTTCTTTCTCTTTGAGAAACACATGCTTGATAGCATTTGTAATGAATCGTCACCTTCAGTGAGAGCCTCTTCAAAAAACTGCACATACTGGCATGGACAGGACATTTCCTCTTCTTTGCAACCCTGAACCTGGGATCTCATTCGTCGATACGGGGGCCACCAGAGGAGAGACTGAGGGTAAATGCAACCAAAACAAGAAGACGAGCAATCGTGCCCACATGTCTAAGAGTGTCGGGTGAAACCAAACTGTGCCTACTGGCTCCTTCTAACACGGAGAATGCATATGACTTCTAGAGAAGCACTTTCATGGTCCAGCCATAGCATGTCCCATTCGTGGCCTCCCCAGCTCCCAGTCCATTACACATCCATTACACCGTTAGTCAGTTTCCATGTTTCTTGCAACACATTAAAATGCACTGCAAGAGCTAAAAGCAGCCTCCTCTGAAACCATTATGATGATAAAGTGCAACTTGATGGAAACTGATAAATTATTATTGCTCCCTAACAATACATATGCCCTCAGGTAACAAAAAGTTGTTAATTTTAATATGAAAAAGAGGCCTAATGGGTATCCTCAGGAGCTTGTGAAGGTAACTGATCTGTGGGGCAGAGCTACTCTCAAGTCCAACACTGGCCACCCTTCACAAACGCCACCCCAGAAATCCTTTGCTGAGCCACTGCTCCCCAAACTAACCTTTCCCTGTTACCTATAGCTCTGCCTGTCCATGGAACCTTCTCTACTCTACAGTCATTCTTTGCCTATTACTTTCCTCTCTCCTACTAGGTATATGTGCCCCACGTGCAGTCCTAGGTTCTTATTCACAGAGTTAAATGCTCAATCAAGGTTAGATGATTTTGTTTTTCACTGGAGAACACAATGGCATGTAAACATAACCCCTGAAAAATTAAAACTTTTTAGGTTTCTGGATAATCTGTGCTATCTGATCAAACTGTTAGCTCCAAGATGTAGAAAGAAGAACCTATGGTATGAATATTAAGTCAGCCAAACAGCTTTACCCTTTGTATGGGAGTGCTTTTTGCTTCCTGTAAATAGCCTAGTAAATGGTTGTTTTACAGAGAATTATTCAGTAAGGAGAAGCCATGGAAAAATTAAGAGGAAATGATTTTTTCCCAATAGCTTCTTTTCTTTTTTCCTTTTTCTTTTTTTTTTTTTTTTTTTGAGATGGAGTCTCGCTCTGTCACCAGGCTGGAGTGTGGTGGCGCAATCTCGGCTCGCTGCAAGCTCCGCCTCCCGGGTTCAAGTGATTCTCCTGCCTCAGCCTCCCAAGTAGCTGGGACTACAGGCGCCTGCCACCACGCCCGGCTAATTTTTTGTATTTTTAGTAGAGACGGGGTTTCACCATGTTGGCCAGGATGGTCTCAATCTCTTGACCTCGTGATCCACCCACCTCGGCCTCCCAAAGTGCTGGGATTACAGGTGTGAGCCACTGCACCCGGCCCCAATAGCTTCTTTTCTTAAAATAATTTTTTATATTATAAAAGCAAACCAAATTTCCTGTATAACCTTTGCCCTTTTCACATATATGTATATACATACACATTTTTATATACACATATGCATACACATACGCATACACATACACACATATACATAGGCAAACATTCATATATACACACAGAGTCTCGCTCTGTCAGCCAGTCTGGAGTGCAGTGGCGTGATCCTGGCTCACTGCAACCTCCGCCTCCCAGGTTCAGGCAATTCTCCTGCCTCAGCCTCCCAGATAGCTGGAATTACAAAGCACCTGCCACCACACCTGGCTAATTTTTGTATTTTTAGTAGAGACGGGGTTTCACCATGTTGGCCAGGCTGGTCTCGAACTCCTGACCTTAAGCGATCCACCCGCCGCAGCCTCCCAAAGTGCTGGGATTACAGGCGAGAGTCACCACACCAGCCCTGACACTAGGTAATTTATAAAGAACAGAGGCTGGGCAAGGTGGCTCACGCCTGTAATCAGATTGCTGATGGGAATGTGAAATTGGATAACCACAGTCACTGTATGTTTTGTGCTTCTATAACAGAATACCAGACACTAGGTTATTTATTTATTTATTTATTTATTTATTTATTTATTTATTTATTTTTGAGACATAGTTTTGCTCTGTTGCCCAGGCTGGAGTGCAGTGGCACAATCTTGGCTCACTGCAACCTCTGCCTCCCAGGTTCAAGCGATTCTCCTGCCTCAGTCTCCCAAGTAGCTGGGGCTACAGGCACGTGCCACCATGCGTGGCTAATTGTTTTTTTGTTTGTTTGTTTGTTGTTTGTTTTTTGTGGGGTTTTTTGTATTTTTAGTAGAGATGGGGTTTCACCATGTTGGCCAGGCTCGTCTCGAACTCCTGACCTCAAGCAATTGTTAATTGTTGATTTCCACTAGAATTTTCACATTGCCTGATGAGTATGCCACATTGCTTCTTTCAGATTTATTGATAATAGCATCCCATTTGTTTCCTATCTAGAAATTATCATTTGTAACCAATTATTTGTTACCTCCTAGTTTGCCCATCTCCCCAACGGACTGTGAGCTACCACAGGTAGATACTATTTCTATCTTACCCTCCATTGCATCCCCACTGACCAGCACCAAGGCTGGTGTGAATGTTTGTTGAATGATCACTGCCTGAATTAACTGATTATTTAAATAATGCCTAACTGAAGTTCTAGCTTAGTTGAGGGTCTTCGAAATAAAGCTGGTGATTTAGCAATTTGCCAGGAGATTTTGCTTCACAGAAACGCTTGCAACCCATAATTCTGAAGCTAGTTATCTCCTCTAGGAAATCTCAGGAAGCCAGTCTCTAACCCTAGGAGAGAAAGTAGGAGGTGGAAGGGGGAACTGGCAAAGGGAAAATACTTTCTCTTGTTCAAAGACAGCATTCAACACTGGACACACCTCTGTTCAATTATTCACGATAGAACACTTGAGTTGAAATAAAAAATATCTATGTGTTTTTAAACACAGCTTTGGGACAAGAAACACCCCATTCACTTAGAGTAAAAATTACCTTTCACTTGCTTACTCCTGCCTGCGCTTTCTCTCCCTCCCACCCTTAATCTCTGCCCTACATATTTCCAAGATTTTCTCAGACGGTATTTTATATCATTTCCTAATTATTCCTCACATGTATATTTATGTTTGTCAGAATATATGCATGTATGCGGCTAGGCTACATATACGGTTATAAAGATGTGCACATATCACAGCATTACTTATTTATTTACTCTTGCTAATATAGCAGGGTAACAGAGACGGAAAAATCAAAGCGGTAGATAATTTAAAAATTATTCATATTTGACTCTAGGACACCAACAATTTACTTAAACACTAGACTTCTATTCTTAATTCCATTTAGCTTAGGCTATTAAGACTAATTTATGTTTCAAAGGCATACACTAACTAATCGTATGGGATAATGTATGTAAAAGTATTCTATAATTAGAACCTTAATGTAAATGTAAGTTATTACCATAATAATGATGACTTTTCTTTTCAATTTATATATATGTATGTATGTATGTATATATGCCTATATATTACAAGATCTAGGTAGCCTAACACAATTGTTTTCAAATACCTGCTCACAGCCAATACTGGTCAGTGACAAAGTTTTCAAAATGAGAAATATCAGAACAAGGTATTCAGTTTTTTATAATGTGCCGGGCGCGGTGGCTCACGCCTGTAATCCCAGCACTTTTGGAGGCCAAGGCAGGTGGATCACCTAAGGTCAGGAGTTCGAGACCAGCCTGATCAATATGGTGAAACCCTGTCTCTACTGAAAATACAAAAATTAGCCAGGCGTAGTGGCCGGTGCTTGTAATCCCAGCTACTCGGGAGGCTGAGACAGGAGAATTGCTTGAACCTGGGAGGCGGAGGTTGTAGTGAGCTGAGATCATGCCACTGCACTCCAGCCTTGGCGACAGAGTGAGACTCCATCTAAAAAAAAAAAAAAGAATTTTATAATGTTAAATGTATTATATTTTTAAATGCTCTTTATTCTGAAATTAAATTCTTACTCATGTGTTGTTTGAAAGGCCTTTTGTTTTATGAAACTATAGTGATAACAAATGGTAATTTTTAAAGTCCTTATCTGTAAAAAAAAAAAAAAAAAGAACATTTTCTTTTGAAATGTTAACTAATCCATGGAATTGAAGAATCTGTTAAAAGCTAATTCAGGCAACAAAAACACCAACGCCTGTCCATGGTCTATTTGAGAAAAGAAAGCAAGGCTCCTCTTAGCCTTCAACAATCCCAATTACAACGACATTCGAAAACATCCGGAAAGACGCATCCTCTGAGCAGAGCCCTCTCTGGCCCCAGGCACTCCAGCACCTAGTGGCTTGTGTGAGCTCACTTCCTACTCCCCAATATCCCCCAAAACAGAAGCACCACTTAAGAACAAACCCCAAATCTTATACTAGTCCAAGGTGGGGGCGGGGTGAGGGAGGAATTGAATCCAATTTATTATTGGCAAAGAGACTTCAACGTTTCCATCTGATGGTTCAAACATCCATAACAGAATCGGTATTTCTTTTCAGATTCAAGGCATGGCCAAGTCGCACAGGCTCACTTCAGGGTCCAGTTTTCATCTTGGAGGCTGCAACCCAAGCGAGCTCCCTGCCCTTTGATCTGGATGGAGCCAGTGTTACAAATATGCTTGTATTAAGCTATCTCCAGTCTGCCTGAGGGCATCAGCCTGGAATGCAAGGATGGGAGTTTCAGACTGTGAGGTTCCCAAGTCTTCATTCACATTACATTTCTTTCTGGCAGGCCGGCTAATGCTCCTTCAGTGCGATGCCTGTGAGCCATGGTAATGCATGCGGCATCACAAGCAGGACTAGAGAGTTTTGCCTCCATCCTCCAGGCCAAGAATTCAGATGAAGAACAGGAGAACTACAAGCAAACACCAGTACTCTAAATTACACCTTTATCATGCAGCTGGCAGGCACTGACTGAGCACCCATGAGCTCCAAACACCATGCTATGAGACACAAAGGAAGCTCTGTGGTCTTTGGCCATCAAAACATCCATGTTCCGCCACCCATCTCTGGGGTAAATGAATCCTTACGTGGACCCCATCCCCTTCCATTCTGAGGCCTTATCCTCCTAGACTTGACAGGGCAGGTCTTCATTTTCCAAATCAAAATGTATAAAAAACTTGTTATAGCTGGAAGACATTCTGCGTGAAATAATGTACAGTGCACAGCAAACACTTCCAGTAGCACTGCCAGCCCTTCCCCATTTCCTGGACAATCTACTGAAAAATCTTCCACTCATTCTTTCATAGGCTGAGGGTGTCTGCTGGGCCAAATTGTCTGCCGGTGACAGAGAGAAACCAACAGACTCTGCATCGCCCAGGGATAAAACTGAAAAAGAGAGACAGATGCCCTTGACAAACAGCACACTCTGCACTACACCTGTGTGACTTGTCACCAAGAGATGTCCAACAGTGGATGATCAGAGATGGGGAGAAAGCAGCTCACTTATTTTTCACCAGCTCATACCACATCAGTCATAATCCAAAACAAAAATCAAGAACTCCTGAGTCCTCGGGCGACTGCTTCATGCAAACACAGAAATGGTATAACTGTGACCACTGTTTTTTGACTCTTCCCCAGAAGTAAAGGTACTGATTTTAATACCATGCTTGCTGGACATCCATCATCCAAAACACAATGCAATCATTGTAAGACGGAGAGAGCGAGAGACTCTTTTCTGTGGGGGTAGGGGCAGGCAAACTAGAGCCTCTGCAGACACGCAGGGAAGAAACAGTCTTCTACTTCTTGTTGGAATAATGGTGGGACGCACACACGAATGTTTCTGGCTCGCCTTAAAAGAAAGAAACTCTTTCAGAGAGCAGAGCCCTTAAACATCTTATCAGCCTTTGAAGTTACGCACAATGACATCCTTTGGTTCCTTGCCCGGGATAGAGGTTTAAGCTTTAAGACTCCATTTACTTACCAAGAATTGTAGAAATGTTTTCACTGCAGCAGAAGGCAAAAGAGCTGACTTAGTAAGCAGCAAGTGATAGGATGGTGAGGTGGAGGACAACATCCTTTACACGGGGCACCCGACTGTGCTATGGGGCTCAAGAGCTGTGGGTCTAACTTTCTGGGGTTAATTTCCTTGATTTCCTGTCTTCTGCACAATCAGATCAGTTTTGTGAGACTAAAGCCAAAATCCTAGAAGCAGAATAGGTTCTGATCCATCCACTATCCCTTCAACCCGTCCCTGGTCCAACCTGTCTTACTAACTAACACTTCTCCTTCCTCCCAACACCACTAGATCACTACAACCCATCTCACAGCCCCGACAAAAAAGGTCACAGCACTCAGCTCCCTCCAAGGTACAGAGTTCACAGTGCTGGTATCTTTTCCCATGAGAAGCCAGGAAAGGAGAGGGCCATGTGCCAGCTGCTGCCCCACACAGTCCTCTAGGGCTTCTGGACGAGTGTGTAGTCCCCTCGCGGCAGGTCCTGTACATCTGGTGGACCACTCTATCTCTGCACAGTGTGTCTCCAGCCAGCACAGTGTCCAGTATGTAGCAGGTACTCATGACACGCTTGTGGAACAAAGGCCTGGTTGCCCCCACCCCTACCGTTCCTCTTTCCTTTCTGCTAGATACTCATCTAGGGGTAACTCTATTTTTAGGGCCTCACCCATGACTAAATCCCAGACATCAGAACTGCTTCCCAGAGCTGTTTGGTCTGTTTTTGTTTTAATCTCACGCCACAGCAAAAATTCTCATGCAACACCCCCAAAAGCTGGGAACCCAGAGATTCTAGGAACCTAGTACTAGTCACCTAAGAAAAGGTAAGAATATCACATGCTGCTGTTATCATGGTCTGATGATCTCCGGAAAATTAATTACTGAATTGGAGCCAAACACTTGAAGGAAAACAGAAGGAAATCTGTTGCCTTGAGATTTATCTTTCTTCTTCAAAGAAAAGCGCACGGTTGCTTCCATAGTACATGATGTTAAGACAGGACTTGGGCCAGTCATTGTAAAGAGCATCTGAAAAATCACTCCGAATTGTGTGTTCAGTTGTTTTGTGAAGGATATAACTATTTGTTTACTGAAGTGGGGCCAGAAAAATTCTGTGAAAATATCAGCCAAACTCAAGTCTCTACCAGCAAATACGAGCATGCAGTTCACATATGTGTCACCGTCACGTGTATTATCTCTGACTTATACATAAGAATAATGTGTAAATAAGCTGAACCCATTCAAACAACCAAATGATTTTAGTTCGCAATAGAAGCATAAACATGACCCTTGGTTTAAATGAGGTTTTTACTCTAAATTGTCTATGTACACAATAAAACAAACTCCTTGCAGGGGCCTGGAGGGTGTCTCCACATGGTTGTGTGAATTCTCCTAATTAAAAGTGTTGGGGAGGCTGGGCACAGTGGCTCACACCTGTAATCCCAACACTTTGGGAGGCCGAGGCAGGCAGATCACCTGAGGTTGGGAGTTTGAGACCAGCCTGGCAAACATGCCAAAACCCCGTCTCTACTAAAAATACAAAAGTTAGCTGAGCGTGGTGGCATGTGCCTGTAATCCCAGCTACTATGGAGGCTGAGACAGGAGAATCGCTTGAACCCAGGAGACGGAGGTCACACTGGGCGGAGGCTGCAGTGGGTGGAGGTTGCAGTGAGCCAAGATCGCACCACAACACTCCAGCCTGGGTAAAAGAGCGAGACTCCGTCTCCAAAAAGCAAAAAGTGATGGTGAGTCAACATGAAGGGACTCTTTCAAACACCCCATTTGGCAGGTGTTTATGGTGGGCCTCTATGAGAAAATTGTCAAGACACTTTGGGAGGTCAAGGCAGGAGGATCCCTTGAGCTCAGGAGTTCAAGGCAAGCCTGTGCAAAATGGCGAAACCTCGTCTCTACAAAAAATACAAAAGTTAGCTGGGCATGGTGGCGTGTGCCTGTGGTCCCAGCTACTAGGGAGGCTGAAGTGGAAGGATCACTTGAGACCAGGCAGTTGAGAATGCAGTAAGCAGTGATGTCGCCACTGCATTCTAGGCTGGGCAACAGAACGAGACCCTGTCCCAAAAAAAAAAAAAAAAAAAAAAAGACAATTGTCAAGAAATTATTTCTGGTGTGGGGGGCTACATTTGGCCTCATAGCCAAGAAGCCACACAGTTCCCCATAATTACATAATGAGGACAGTCTGGTAGGGAAAGACTATAAAGTAGTGCTTGTGGGTTAATTGAGTTAAAAGATGAGCCTAAAGGAACCCTTTACTCAAATAACATGAAAGTGAAAAAAAAAAAAAGGGTAAAATAGATTTAGAAAGCAAAACTCAGGAGGTAAAAATGACCAAATACTAACTTTTAATTCCTGATGAAGCAGGAAGGCAGAACTTGAGTCACATCTCAAGATGTCTGACACCCCAATTAGGATCCTCAGCCCCTTGAACAGCTATGTAATTACCCTGGAGATGAATTCCCCCGGCAGCCCCACAAGTCTTTCCAGCCAACTCCATCGCTCA
The DNA here is from genome assembly GCF_000001405.40 of Homo sapiens. Lineage (NCBI taxonomy): Eukaryota > Metazoa > Chordata > Mammalia > Primates > Hominidae > Homo > Homo sapiens. Next base: position 89,553,680 of record NC_000014.9, read on the forward strand.
TCCGGAAGTCAGGGAAAGGGAATATCTAGGTGAGGTTTGATGATCACAACTACTCAAGGATTACTCAGATCTCAGAAATAAAGACTGGCAGATCAAGGGGAAAGCGCAGTCAGGACTTTTTGGTTCATCAGAACGGTGAAAATAAAATCACTTTTTGCAGTTGTAAGGAGTCAACACAGGTTAGTTTTCCAGAGCCTAAATAGTAAAAGGAAAATAGCTTTACCCTAACAAACAAGAAGGCATACGAAAGTCAAGCAAGACAGAGGGTAGAAAGAAAAAAAAGATACTAATTCCACTAAACGTGACTTTCTTCTTCGTTTTTTTTGTTTTGTTTTTTTATTAGACGGAGTCCCGCTCTGTCGCTCAGGCTGGAGTGCAGTGACACGATCTCATATCACTGCAACCTCCACCTCCTGAGTTCAAGCGATTCTCCTGCCTCAGCCTCTGGAGTAGCTGGGATTACAGGTGCCCGCCACCATACCCGGCTAATTTTTGTATTATTAGTAGAGACAGGGTTTCACCAAGTTGGCCAGGCTGGTCTTGAACTCCTGACCTCGTGATCCGCCTTCCTCGGCCTCCTAAAGTGCTGGGATTATAGGCATGAGCCACCACGCCTGGCCTACTATGTTTTGATTTTTTCTAGAGATGAGGTCTCATATGTTGCCCAGGCTGGTCTCGAACTCCTGAGCTCAAGCAATCCTCCGCCTAGGTCTTCCAAAGTGCTGGGATTACAGGCAAAAGCCACCACACACGGCCTCTTTCTTTCACTTTTATCTTATTGGAAGAAGGAGAGTTGGGGCTTTGGTTATATTTGTTGTTGTTCACTTTTGGTTTTCCATTTACTTTTGTTCTGTTACAATTTTTTAAAATGGTAATATCTGGATATAGTATAAACTTCAAAAAATTATCAAGAATATGCAGTGAAAACTTTCTCACCTCTGTGGCCAGCCACTCAATTCTACTTCTCAACAGCAAAAGAACAAACAAGAAACAACAAATACTACTAAAAAAGCAAAAACAAAAGAAAGAGAAAAACCTAAAATAATTATCTAAATCTACTGCTGCATCATTTCAGATATAATCTATGTAAATACTAGCATTTCTTTTTTTTTTTTTTTTTTTTTTTTGAGACGGAGTTTTGTTCTTTTGCCCAGGCTGGAGTGCAGTGGCGTGATCTCAGCTCACTGAAACCTCAGCCTCCCAGGTTCAAGCGATTCTCCTGCTTCAGCCTCCCGAGTAGCTGTGATTACAGGCACCCAGCACCATGCCTGGCTGGTTTTTTTGTATTTTTAGTAGAGACTGGGTTTCACCATGTTGGTCAGGCTGGTCTCAAAGTCCTGACCTCAGGTGATCCACCCACCTTGGCCTCCCAAAGTGCTGGGATTACAGGCATAAGCCACCACACTCAGCCAAATATTAGCATTTCTTTCTTTTGTTAAAATAATGTGGTTTTTTTTGTACACTGTTCTGCACTCTGCTTTTTTCACTTAACATACCTCAGAGATCATTCCCTATGAGTATATCTAGAGCTGCCTTACACTGTACAAGTGCAAGTACATCTGTAGGATAAATATCAAGAAATGGAACTGCTTGGCCAAAGATATGCATTTTCAGTTGCAATTAATATGATCAATTTGCTTCCCGTGAAGAAATGTATCAACTTATACTGCCATCAGCGACAGGAGGAGGCTCTGCTTCTCACCTCAGCCATTCCCTCAACAGTAGTCTTCTCCATAGAAAGTAACAGTATTATCAACTTCACTAATTGAACAGGTAAAACCAATGTCTTGAGGCTAGTTTGTATCTCTTATTAGCAGTAAGGATAAGCATCTTGTCATATGCTTAAGAGCCATGTATATTTTCTGTCAACTGCATGTTCATATCTTAGGTGATTTTCTAGTACTTCCTGTTCTTTATTAAAGGCAATCTCTAGGAAATAATATCTACACTGGTCTTTTGGACAGTGCTTTCTAGTTTTCTAAGCCCATTCATTCATCCTAATTTGATAATCACAATAACCAGGTAAGGAGGCATAAAATATTATTTCTTTTTCATAGCCAAAAGAGCCAAGGTTTAGATGGTTAGGAGATTTGACCAAAGACCCCATTGTAAGTTTGTAGCCAGGACTAGCATTCATAAAGCTTACCTTCTAGTTCATGGTGTGTGTGTGTGTGTGTGTGTGTGTGTGTGTGTGTGTATGTGGGGGTGTATGTGGGGGTGTGTGTGTTGTGTGTGTGTGCAAGTGTTGGTACTACATCAAAATGCCTCTTAGATTGTAGAAAAGATTAGAAAGAAAATATTCTCTTTTTCTCTAATGATGAATTTTTACTTTCTATTTACCTGGCCAGTTTTCATCATGTAACAAGCAAAATTTAAGGGATGCTAAAACTTTATTTGCTCCCATTTTGTCATTTGGGCCAAAGCCTAAAGACAAGCATCAGAGGCCGGGTGTGATGGCTTATGCCAAGAATCCCAGCACTTTGGGAGGCTGGGGCGGGGGGATCACCTGAGGTCGGGAGTTTGAGACCAGCCTGACCAACATGGAGAAACCCCGTCTCTACTAAAAATACAATATTAGCTGGGCATGGTGGCACATGCCTGTAATCCCACCTACTCGGGAGGCTGAGGTAGGAGAATCGCTTGAACCCAGGAGGCGGAGGTTGCAGTGAACCAAAATCACGCCATTGCACTCTAGCCTGGGCAACAAGAGTGAAACTCCATCTCAAAAAAAAAAAAAAAAGACAAGAATCAGACTCACTATGTGCCTCATCAATGTATTAACCTATTCTCACTGGGTAGGCAGGGTATTGAGGGTGGAGGGGAATTAGGAGGGACTATCTGCATACCTACCCCTGGAGATCTGGTATCTTGGACAGGCCTTCTAATACTGAATGATGTGGGAGAGAGAATGAATAAATAAATGAATGCACCAACTCCTAGGAAGGGGTAAGGGAGGAGCCTCCCAGGAGGGCAAAGAATGTACCCAAAGGAAGAGAAAGGTAACAAGTCATGTGGGCCTGCCACGTTTTGGCTACTGACAAGGAATGCCTGTGGATTCAACCTAAGATATTGATTCCCAAGCCGTCTCTGGCCTATCCCTGGAAATCTGGTCTCTGGTCTACCAGAGAAGGGCTGTGGAATGGAAAGTGCCCTGCTGATTTGGGAAAGGGATGGGAAGAGCTGTATTCTGCTCTGCATTGTGGAGTGACAGAGCAAGGAAGCCAAAGGTATGGATGATGGGGGCAAAAACAGAAAGAGGCAAAACACAATCAGAGCCGCCTCTGAGCACCTGGGGTATAGACAGACACCGGAACCTGTGGGGTGGGAAAGAACTTGGGGAGTGTGGCAGTAGTTTAGTTATCGAAGCTGTGGTTTAGTACTCTTGTGCTATTAACAAATGGGATTGGAGCTCAGATCCAAAACCCAGTGATGGTCACCCAGCTCTTGACTGTCCTCAAGGCCAGTATGGCCAGAACATATGATGAGCAGTTTTTCATAAACCTGAACTCACACCTTTAGCAAAAGGTGCCGATTTCATCCTTTGGTTAGTACATTAATTGGTTCATTTCCTCTCAAGACTAGTCCTTTCCATAGAAAGATAAGAAAAAGTCTTCTCCCAATTCCCACTCTTATTGGGGGGTTAGTATATCCTAGGTTTCATGAACATGTCAGGATGTTTCAGAGATTGCGCTGTAGTCTGATGGAGCTCCTGTCCCATACATAAGGTGGTGAGATGTGCCAGTTCAGCACGATCCTTGAACAGGGGATCATTCCAAGGGAATCTAATGGAGCTCTTGCAGACACCTACCAGCACCACTACTGGTTTCAGCCAGCCAGCCCCAGGAGCTGGCCCATATCCTGGACTACGGCTTGACCTCGCCTGGTTAGCTGTGGACAAGGCTTATTGGTGGGGCTTCAGCAGAATTGCTTGCTGGGGTGTGGCAGAAGCTGAAGGCACAGATTCTGTTGCAAGCATCGGAAGGAGGTTTCTGACACCACACAGAGAAGAGGTGGGTCTCATGTTATGCAAGAATGAGGTACCAAAGGGGGGCACGGTGGCTCACAACTGTAATCCCAGCACTTCAGGAGGCTGAGGCGGGTAGATCACTTGAGGCCAGAAGTTTGAGAGCAGCCTGGCCAACATGGCAAAACCCCATCTCTAGTAAAAATACAAAAATTAGCTGGGCATGGTGGTGCGTGCCTGTAATCCCAGCTACTTGGGAGGCTGAGGCAGGAGAATCACTTGAACCAGGGAAGCGGAGGTTGCAGTAAGCCAAGATCATGCCACTGCACTCCAGCCTAGGCGACAGGGCAAGATTCTGTCTCAAAAACAAACAAATAAACAAAAAAAGAATTAGGTACTAAGCCAATACATAAGGCAAAGAAGCAAATACAGACAAAACTACTTTAAAATTTTAAAATTACTTTAAAATAGAGTAACCTTATAGATGTAAAAATTCACAATGTGTACTTACTGATGGGGCACTGAGGATGGGTTTTAAAGACTCATTTGTACTTCTCCAGACAACTCCTGTCTAGCTAGTTAGCTATTTTAGCCAGAAGCACAAAAGGTAGGGTAGCAAAAATACAAGTGGTAGTGCAGGCAAAACGTAGTATGAAGTCAGAAAATAGAATAGCCTGGACATGATGACCGAACCACGAAATGGGTCATCCAGGAATGCAATGGTGCAGACATCGAAGGTGACAGGCAGACCGTCTGCTGGGGCAAGCAGGACCCCACCTGTGGGGCAGGTATTAAGAAGCAGGCTCTCCTGAGTGGATGGGGAATGGCTAAGCACAGGACCCTCGTTTCCAGGGTTCTCAGCCAGGGAAACAAGACAGCAGTTTAAGGCTCAAAAACAAGGTAGGAACCTGGTTACCAGTCTGGACAATCAACAGAAAGAACTGAGACTCAAGGTCAAGACTGGACTAGGTGATGAGGATTCTGGGATCAAACTCCTTGAACAATGCCTCAGGTCAGGATGAGTCCAAGGCCTTGGGCAGGCCCCACCCCTCAGGGAAGGTGGTGCAGGGAGGAGAGATGCCATGTTCTGGAGCTCGGACCCAGCCATGCCAGAGGTGAGCAAGGAGCAGGTTGGGTACACCATTGCCCCAGCTGCCGTAGGCTCACAGCTGGAAGGTCGGGGCGACAGCAGGGCCAGGTGGGCCATGAGCTGATTGTTATTAGCTGACTGAGACGCTTAGTGCATCTCGTGTGACCCACTCACATTTGGGCACACTTAGGCTTCTTAATATGAAACTTCTTCTGATTTACCCCCTCGCATTCTTGCCCACCCTTTCTGGAACGCACAGCGCTGCCAAAGAAAAGTTTGGAAACAAAGTCATAGGAATGTTTTTGTTTTTTTTTTAACATGATGTAGCAGAACTTATGCGAACAGGACAGATTCGGTGGCTCACACCGGTAATCCCAGCACTTTACTTTGGGAGGCCAAAGTGGGAGGATCACTTGAGCTTAGGAGTTCAAGACCAGCCTGGGCAATATAGTGAGACCGCCCCCCGCCCAACCCCATCTCTGCAAAAAATACAAAAATGTGCCAGATGTTGTGGCATGTGCCTGTAGTTTCAGTTACTTGGGAGGCTGAACTGGGAGGATTTATTGAACCCAGGAAGTTGTGCTGCAGTGAGCTTTGATCACCACTGCACTCCAGCCTTGGCAGCAGAGCAAGATTCCATCTCTAAACAATGTAGCAAATAAGGCCGGGCGTGGTGGCTCACGCCTGTAATCCCAGCACTTTGGGAAGCTGAGGAGGGCAGATCACCAGGTCGGGAGATGGAGACCATCCTGCCCAATATGGTGAAACCCCATCTCTACTCAAAATACAAAAATTAGCTGGGCGTGGTGGTGGGTACCTGTAGTCCCAGCTACTTGGGAGGCTGAGGCAGGAGAGTTGCTTGAATCCAGGAGGCGGAGGTTGCAGTGAGCCAAGATTGCGCCACTGGACTCCAGCCTGGTGACAAAGCAAGATTCCATCTTTAAAAAAAAATGTAGCAAATAAAATAAAATTTTAAATAAAAAAAGAACTTGTTTGTAAAAACAGTATGCAGAAGCAAAGCTCCTCTGAACACTGAGTGGAGGGTGTCAGGGAGTGAGTGAAGTTATTCTCTTTATATCTGGGACAGGGAAGCAATAGCTGGGGACACAGAGGCAGTCACCCGAGCTCTCAGATACACTTCAGGGGAGGAGGAGGTCTTCCAAAAACAGTGAGGGTCTGTGAGGCTAGCCTTCCTTGCATGAACCAGTAGTGAGCTGTGTTAGTCCATTCTCACATTACTACAAAGAACTACCTGAGACTGGGTAGTTTATAAAGAAAAGAGGTTTAACTGACTCAGTTTGACAGGCTGAACAGGAAGCATGGCTGGGGAGGCCTCAGGAAACTTACAATCATGCAGGAAGGTGAAGGGGAAGCAGGCAAAATCTTCACATGGAGAGAGGAGAGAGAGAAGGGGGGAGTGCTACCCAGCTTTAAATAACCAGATCTTGTGGGAACTCACTCACTATCATGAGAACTGCAAGAGGGAAATTTGCCCCCATGATCCAGTCACCTCCACCAGGTCCCTCCCCCAACACTGGGGATTACAGTTCAACATGACATTTGGGTGGGGACACAGAGAAAAACCATATCATGAACACAGGCAAGGGACTGGCCAGGCTGCGGCCATGTACAGCCCCTGGATACAGGGATGGGCAGAGAACATGGAGGCCACCCCCTCAAAGGGACTGTCTGTCCTAGATACAAGGATAGGGAACCATACCCCATCCCTAAGTTACCTACAGAACTCAGTGGTGACGCAGAAGCTCTGGACAGCAAACACCTACCCCTGGAATAGACTGGCTTTATGAACAGTAGTATACCTTATCACTAATTTTAGAATTGACTCCACAGCCAGTTTACAAATCTGAGTCTCATTTCTTTATGATGGCCTATCGTTATAGACCAAACATTAACATAACCCAGCAACTATTACCTGCTTTCCAAAGATTTAGGCTTTGTTGTCTCTGAGGATATTCAAAAGAAAAGTAAAAGAAAATGTGTACTACAGGGCCAGTTACTAGCATAAGCACTTTATACACATCCACGTGGCTTGCAGAGGAGGTCACTAACATCCTCAAGGAATCTACCAGTCAGTAAACAAGCTGGCATTGGAAACCAGGTCTCCCTTTGGTAACTCTGCTTTGTGGCCTCTAGATATAGCCCCAGTAGAGGTGCTCCAGGTTATTTAAAAAGGTAGCAATTGCCACACTCATTCCTGGACCAATTGGAAAGGACACTGGCAATCAAGAACAGGTAAGGGAGTTTGGATGCCTTCCGGTGAAGCCTCAGCTGAGATGACTGGGAATACAGAACGGCTTCTACCTGGAGCAGAAGACGGAGATCCATGCAGCCCTGGAGAGGAAGTAGAAGAAGATGCATGACTGGTGGGCATCGCCAACGGGTGGCCTCCGTGATAAAAGCGTGAGGCCCCACGGTGGCCTCGGCACATCTTCAAAGGCAGTATTTTGTTCATTCATTTGTTTGTTTATTTATTTAGAGACGGAGTTTCACTCTTGTTGCCCAGGCTAGAGTGCAAGAGTGCAATCTCGGCTCACTGAAAACTCCACCTCCCAGGTTGAAGCAATTCTCTTGCCTCAGCCTCCCAAGTAGCTGGGATTACAGGCATGCACCACCACACCCAGCTAACTTTTTGTATTTAGTAGAGACAGGGTTTCACCATGTTGGTCAGGCTGGTCTCAAACTCCTGACTTCAGGTGATCCACCTGCCTTGGCCTCCCAAAGTGCTGGGATTACAGGCGTGAGCCACCACGCTTGACGGGTACTTAGTTTCACAGACATTAGGGAAATATGGTAGCAGAGGAGGGAGGTCTTCCAAAAATACTTGAAAAAGACATATGTACAATAGTGAGCAGTGGCATTTATAAGAAAGATGGTCTATAAACATTACTATTGCTCTGGCTTTACCTTTAGGTTGGTGTGATCCTGAAGGAAGGAAGTGCGTGTGTAGGAAAAGGAGTTCCAGGGGGGTTATGTTAATTTACAATCATATCAAAATAACATGACTCTTCCTCCTCTCCCTGTAGCTGTATCTAGGAAGTAGGAGTTTAACATTTCCCCATTCAACCTCTTACCAGAAAACTACTCCTAAATAAACATCACTAATTTTGCTGCCACATCACTAAGTCTTGACAGAATTACCCAAATCATATGTGCTAGGAAAATCAATTGTCAACAGATTTTGAGCGTCCATGCCGTTCTAGGCATCATATTTGTATATGAAGAGAAAAGAAATATATTAGCTCCCAAAGGGATTTCTATCTTTATACCCACAGAGAAAATAGGGATGGGTAGACTTGGACTTGGTGTAAAAAATGTACAGGTAAGTAATACCCAAAGTCAAAAGGAATTCAACAATTTTGCTAATATCAAACAGTACACAGTTGGCAAATTTGGGTACGTGTGTACACAGATCGTACAAAGTATTTTAAGCAACATACTAAAATTTTACTTCCAAGTTGTCGTCTGCAGGGTTTTTCCATTTCTTCTTATTTATCTACTTTTTTGTTATTGTTGTTTGTTTTTTTGAGACAGAGTCTTGCTCTGTCGCCCAGGCTGGAGTACAGTGGCGCGATCTTGACTCACAGCAACCTCCGCCTCCCAGGTTCAAGCAATTCTCATGTCTCGCATCCCAAGTAGCTGGGATTACAGGCATGCACCACCATGCCCAGCTAATTTTTGTATTTTCAGTAGAGACGGGGTTTCACCATGTTGGCCAGGCTGGTCTTGAACTCCTGACCTCAAATGATCCACCTGCCTCAGTGTCCCCAAGTGCTGGGATTACGGGTGTGAGCCACCGTGCCCAGCCTATCCACTATTATTTACATAGCTACTCTACACAGGATGGTGGAACAGAACACTGTACCAGAAACTCCCCCACAATGTGTAGAACAATTCTGGCCTCATGTAGACCTTCAAAGGGTTATTACAAGGACATCACACAAACCTTGATGCTGTCAAAACTATGGTCAATTAAACTAATAGAAGATACTCCATTTCAAAACATACCCAGGTTACATCCTCATGAGGAGGTATCAAAAGAAAATGAATTTGTGCCACTTTTGAATGATGACATCTGCGTTACCACAGCAATTCACCTATCAAACTAATTTAGGTTTAGAGCCAAAATCAACACTGCTGTCAGAGAGTTTATTTCTATTCATTTAAGAACCTCCAGGTTAAAGAGTGGTCAGTGAGAATTTTAATGTCTTGGGAAAAGAGAGAAAAATGAGAGTCTAAGTACTGCACACAGTAACAAGAAGGGGACTTTCAGTTTACCCAGCAAATAGACCAAGCAGCTAGTATCAGGTTCTATCCTGTACATCGAAGAGATGCCAAAACACAAACTCTGTCTTAAAGGGGCTTACAGTCCTATCTGCAAAGAATTGACAATGCAGATGTCACAACGATGACAGCTAACTATTACTGATGACTTTCTATAAGCCAGGACTGTCTTACATGCTTTATTAAATTAATCCTCACCAAGTACTGTCCCATTTTACAGGTGAGTATATAAAGGCACGTTAAATAACAAATATTTGAATAGTACTTCTCATAGATAAGTTGCAAATAAATATGATATTCTATCTCATCTGATTCTCAGAACCGCAGTGAGGCAGACAGTATCCCAGGTGTCCCACAGCCATACAGAATGGCAATGGCAGATCCATGATGGAAGACAGGTCTTGTGGCTGCTAATCCACTTCTACAGATGGCACTAAAAGGCAGGCCTATGAGAGCCAAACAAGATACAGACAGAGAATTCTATAGACCTTCACTCAGGAGGAGATCACTTCCTGTTTGGGTTGTCCAGGCTGCATCCACAAAGAAGGGTGATGCATGCGAGCCTTGGGGGAGTAGGGGTGTTTAGATGGGCAGAAAGGGGAGGGGATGCCACTTGAGAGAGCAAGAGGAAGCAGAGCAAAGTATGGAAGGGGCAGGTGTGAGGGACATTTGGGCATCAGAAAACAGATCTGTTTGTTTGAGGGAAGGTCAATGGGGCAATTGCAGGAAATACTGACAGCAGGAAATGGTGTGCCATTGCAGATTTTGCCCAGCATGATAGGATGGGAGAAATTAACATGGTAAAGCTTTCCAGAAGGTTTTGGTTTTTTTTGAGACAGAGTTTCACTCTATCCCCCAGGCTGGAGCACAGTGGCTCAATCTCGGCTCACTGCAAACTCCGCCTCCCAGGTTCAAGCAATTCTCCTGCCTCAGTCTCCCAAATAGCTGGGATTACAGGCGCCTGCCACCACATCCAGTTAAATTTGTTTGTATTTTTTTAGTAGAGATGAGGTTTCACCATGTTGGCCAGGCTGGTTTCGAACTCCTGACCTCAAGTAATCCACCCGCCTCGGCCTCCCAAAGTGCTAGGATTACAGGCATGAGCCACCGTGCCTGGCCCAGAAGGTGAATTTTAAGTGAGGGGATAGTGAAAAAATAATAGTTAAGGAGAAAGGATCATTGTGATTACTAAATATACAATAAATAATATAGAATAATCCAAATTATAATTATAGAATATATACAAAAATAAATAGAATTAACCCTCCAAACTGAAGAGCTTTAATGCTTTTGGTAGAACCCAGAGAATCTCTACAAATAAATGTCCGCAACTCAAATCTCGTCTCTGAATTCTTTCTAACTTCACTTTTGTTTTTTATGGCTAATCCTCAGATTGACTCACATGCCCTCCTTCCGTGCTAAAAGTGAAAGCTACATATCATCATCGTTAATAATACATGGACGGGACTCAGGTTCCTCACTTGACAGGAAAAGCATAAAGACAGAGCAAGCTCTGAATGTACAGTTGAAGGTGGTAATGATTCACCGCAGTTTAAAGTCTCCAAAAACCCTCTATGGAAAAACCTTACCCGACCTCACCTGGTATGCACTGAATTGTATTCCCCTAAAAAGATCTGTTGGAAGTCTTAACTCTCGGAACCTCAGAATGTGACCTTATTTTGGAAACAGGATCTTGCAGCTGCAATTAGTTAAGATGAGGTCATCCCGGAATAAGGTGGGCCCTAAATCCAATATGACAATGTCCTCATAAAAAAAGAAGATGGCAGTGGCTCATGCCTGTAATCCCAATACTTTAGGAGGCCTTGACGGGTGGATCACCCAAGGTCAGGAGTTCGAGACCAGCCTGGCCATCATGACAAGACCCCCTGTCTCTACTAAAAATACAATATTAGCTGGGCGTGATGGTGCACTCCTGTAATCCCAGCTACTTGAGAGGCTGAGGCAGGAGGATTGCTGGAACCCAGGAGGCGGAGGTTGCAGTGAGCCAAGATAGCACCCCTGCACTCCAGCCTGGATGACAGAAGGAGAGCTCGTCTCAAAAAAAAAAAAAAAAAAAAAAAAAGGAGAAGAGATACCAACAGAGAGACACAAGGAGAACACCCCGTGATGATGGAGGCAGAGACTGGGGTTATGCTACCCCAGGCCAAGGAACGCCCAGAATTGCTAGCAACACCAGAAGCCAAGAGAAGGGCATGGAACAGATCCCCTCCTGGAGCCTTCAGGCTGCACAGCCCCGCCAACACCTTGATTTTGACTTCTTGCTTCCAGAACTTGTGAGGGAGTAAGTTTCTGTTGCTTTCCCACCCAGTTTGTGGCACTTTTGTTATGGCAACCCAGAGAAACAAATCCACTGGCTTCATGTCCACTTTTAAGAGGTAGGACAGAAAAGAAAAAACACAGACTCACCCAGGACCTGGGAGACATGATCGAGTTCCAGGCTCCCTTCTGCAATCCCTGCCCAGGTGAAGCTCTCTGGGCCCGCCGTCCTCATCTTTGACATGAAGTGTTTGGGCTGGACGAGGCCTAAGGCCATTTTTAGCTTTAAAGCTCTAGGATTCTATCACATCATAGCCAAAATAGGCATTTGGTCTCATATCTACCAAAGGGGAGATGAAAAAAAGGAAACCACTTTCAAACTCCAGAACCCTATGCCCACAAGTAGAAGTCAAGGAGAAAGTGGAAAGAAAGAGTAATTAGTGGTGGTGGTTGCATTTGCCATATGCCACATAATCATTCCATCTTCACGTCAGATCTGGCCTGCAGCCCTCATGCCACAGCAACTTAACACAAAGAGATGCTGGGAGCTGCCAAACGCAGAAAATTAATACAAGGGATGCAAGGAGAATCTCTGCAACTACATTTTATTTCTCTAACCTGCTAGTGTCAAGGTCATTTCGCCCCGGAAATATAAAACCTGCTGTGTAGCGAAGGGGTAAAAGAAAGAAAAGAAATCCTGGCAGTTAAGCTGTCCCTGTGACCCTCGCCCCAGAATATCACTTACTTTTCATCTCACATAATTCCTGGCCGGTGGGCTCCTCGGAACTGCTAGAAACTGACAATTAGTAAAACAAATCCCACGAGTAAAGACCAACAAGAAATTCCTGTAAAAACCTCACCCATACACACTGTACTATTTTACCTTTTTTTCAAAAGTAAATTGTGGCTGTCAAATGACACCCTTTCATTACTGTCACTGACTCTTTTAAGAACGGCTAATCAGAAAAGCCTACAGAGGTATTTAATCAGATTTTTTTTTTCTTCAAATGACCTAATGTTTTGGTATAAAACTGCTGCCAGCTCACGCTGGGTAGAAATTTAGCATTGTCAGCATTTAATTATTATTTTATCACGGATTTCTTTACTTTCCTACAGGGAAGAAATAATTTTTTTAAAAAAAAATGCAGCAAGTGCTTAGCTTTTAAAATCACAAGACGCTTGCTTCATTATTGTGCTTTGTCAAAAATTACTAGCTCAGGACATGGGACATATCACGGAAATGCACTTTAGGTTAATAAGTGGTACTGCCATCACTGGCTTCAGTCTTCCAGGACATGGAAAACTGGGAAGTGAAAATTATGTTCATTGTGTTGGTTTTCGGGAAATGAGATTATTCTAGACTCATTCACATTTGTGTGTCATAGCAGCTACATATTCTCCTACCCCTAGGACACCTGGGTGAAGCCTGTGGCTTTACCATTCCCTCCTCCTCCTCCTCCTCCTCCTCCTTTCACTCCATCTTCCTTCTTCTCCACCTCCTCATCCCCTACTCCCTTCCTCCTCCTCCTCCTCCACCTCCTCTTACTCTCACCCCCCTCCTCTTCCTTACCCTCCTTCCCCTACCCCCTCCTTCTCCCCTCTTCCTCCTCCTCCCTTGCCTTTTTTCCTCTAAGGTGGGAATAAGAGAGTGGGGAGGAGAAAAGGAGGAAAAATGGAAAGAGAAAGAAAAGACAGGTGTGTATCTGTGACCTCTAGCCAACTGACCCAAGGCTACAAGTATATGGCTAATAATGGTGGCACAAGGACCAGACATCCAGGTGCGTTCCCTAAAACTACTCTTTCATTTTTTCCTCATCATTCAGCTAAAATCTCTTTTTAGAAAATTACCTGTTTCATCATCACCACCACAAAACCCTTCATCTGCCTCTCTTCCCCTTTAACCAGTTCCTTTTTCCTTGCTTTAGAGTCAAGCTCTGAATAAGCTGGAAATGTTTGGTGCAGACAAGTCAGCAACAATTCTTTCTTGAGCATCTACTGCAAGCAGATAATTGTGCTCACTTCTGAGGGTAGGATGGGGTATAAACCTAGGTATGAAGTAGTCCTAAGGCAAGACTGTAAAAGGTACAGAGCGATACTAAGGGAAGACTGTACTAGGTACAAAGTGGTACTAAGGGAAGACTGTACTAGGTACAAAGTGGCACTAAGGGAAGACTGTACTAGGTACAAAGTGGCACTAAGGGAAGACTGTAAAAGGTACAGAGCGATACTAAGGGAAGACTGTACTAGGTACAAAGTGGCACTAAGGGAAGACTGTACTAGGTACAAAGTGGTACCAAGGGAAGATTATTTATTGGCACATGATACAATTAATGAGTGGCAAGGACAAGGAAGGTTACAGTTACCTATTAGCTTCAAAGGTGTTTTGTGCCACCAAACAAATCTCGTTGATTTTTTTTTTTTTTTTTTTTAGACAGAGTCTCGCTCTGTCTCCCAGGCTGGAGTGCAGTGGCGCGATCTCGGGTCACTGCAAGCTCTGCCTCCCGGGTTCACGCCATTCTCCTACCTCAGCCTCCAGAGTAGCTGGGATTACAGGTGCCCGCCACTACGCCTGGCTAATTTTTTGTACATTTAGTAGAGACGGGGTTTCACCGTGTTAGCCAGGATGGTCTTGATCTCCTGACCTCGTGATCCACCCGCCTCGGCCTCCCAAAGTGCTAGGATTACAGGCATGAGCCATCGCGCCCGGCCAAATCTCGTTGATTTCAAAGAGAACTTGAGACTTCTCCCCAAAACCTATCCTCCCCTAAAACCTATCCTCTCGCTGCCCCCCCAAATTTCTCCCATCTTAGTAATTGTCACCTCCTAAATGTCAGCATCTGAGGACTTTGTTTCCCTCCCCGCTTCCATTCTAATGCACTAGAAAGTTCTCTACATCTTCACCACTTCTGTACTTCACTTTAGTCCAGGGACTTCGCTCACCTGGTCTCCGTGACTGCACTGCTGCCCACCTATGAACCATCCTGCATGAAACAGCAGAAGGGATGCTCTGAATAGAAACCTGACCATGCCACTCTCATGCTTGAAACTGGCCGATGTTTTCCCATGAGAGCTAGAATAAACCTAACCTCCTCCCTGCCCCTGACCACCTCCCCGCACATCCATGCCACACTCTCCCTCACAGTCGCTCCTTCCACAAGCCCCAGGGTCTTTGCACAGGCTCTGCCCTCAGCACGGAAGCCCTTTCCACCATGTGCACAGTGAACTCCTTCGGGATTTTTAGGACTCTTTGTAAATGTCAGCTCCTCAGGGCTGGCCCCTAACATTTGCGTCCTTTCTTGCTTCTTATCACAATTTGCAATTGTTCCACTTGTCTGTTTACTTGCTAATTATACAGAAATTCCTTGCTGGCAAGGGCCCCCTCTGGTCTTCTTATTCCATAACCCAACAACTAGCATAATGTTTGGCACAAATGAGAAATTCAGTATTTTTCACAATGAATAAATAAAATGCTTATTTATTTCCCAAAAAAAGTCTATGTGACAGGAGGAAGCTCCTAAATGTATTTACACATGGTTTGGATCATGGATGGTTTGGCCCTTTCTTAGATAAACTTCAAGTTGAGTTATGATTATGTTTAAAAGGCGCCATTGGCCGGGCACGGTGGCTCACGCCTGTAATCCCAGCACTTTGGGAGGCCAAGGCGGGCAGATCACGAGGTCAGGAGATCGAGACCAACCCGGCTAACACGGTGAAACCCCATCTCTACTAAAAATACAAAAATATTAGCCGGGCGTGGTGGCGGGTGCCTATAGTCCCAGCTACTCTGGAGGCTGAGGCAGGAGAATGGCGTGAACCTGGGAGGTGGAGCTTGCAGTGAGCCAAGATCGCACCACTGCACTCTAGCCTGGGGGACAGAGCGAGACTCCGTCTCAAAGAAAAAGAAAGGTGCCATTTCCATTATCCTACCCAGACTACCCACTGACAGCAGAAGGGCAAAATGCATGGAGGGTGGGGGTGGGTGCCCATCTAAGAGTCAGGGAAAGTAGTATTTAATACGTAGGTAGTGGAAAGTGACCTTGGGTGAGCAGTGGGCTGTAACAAGTCCTCCCAGTAAGATTTCAGCCCAGCTCTGCTGAGCTGCAGCTGTGGCCTGCCTTCTATTTCCACCTCCTAAAGGAAATGCTGCTTCCTCCATGAGGCGGCTGTGTGATCACACTGAGCACTGTATACTGAACCAACTTAAAATGTATGGCTACTTTGGAGGTCTACCTGGACACACCACTGACATAGATAATCAACCTCAAAGAAAACTTCATGCCACCAGAAAATCTTGATCATGACAAATTAATCCAACATATATTTGTTGAGGCCAGACATTGTTCTAGGCAATGGAGAATAATAGTTAAAATGAAAAACTAGTTGCTGCCTTTAAGGGACTTACAGACCAGAGTGAGAGGAGTCATCTATACAACATCTATACATCTGTGGCCTCAGATCCGTGCCTGCCAAAGGGCACCATCATCATACCTGATGGGGAGCCATCAGGTGTTGCTCTTGGCCATCACCCTGACTCCTCTTACCACCCAGGGAGCTATCCACAAGGAACAAGGGCCTAAAAGGAAACTCAATTTAACTTTCTCAAGAGCTGAGTCCAGTGCAGAGCTCCGGCAAGGCTTACTTACTCACCTGGCCACAGGGAAGACAGGAAACACGTGGAGTCACTTGGTATGTTTTTTTTTTTTTTTGAGACGGAGTCTCACTCTGTCGCTCAGGCTGGAGTGCAGTGGCGCAATCTCGGCTCACTGCAATCTCCGCCTCCCAGGTTCAAGCGATTCTCCTGCCCCAGCCTCCGAGTAGCTGGAACTACAGGTGCATGCCACCACGCCCGGCTAATTTTTTGTATTTTTAGTAGAGACAAGGTTTCACCATGTTAGCCAGGATGGTCTCAATCCCCTGACCTCGTGATCCGCCTGCCTCAGCCTCCCAAAGCGCTGGGATTACAGGCGTGAACCACCGCATCCAGCCGGTACACTTGGTAATTTTTAAGGCACAGTAATCTTGCACATCATTGCTTGTGGCCCATTTCAAGTTCTATAATTTGGCATATCAGTCTCACAGCTGCTCCACCCAAGCAGTGTGGAGGGCAGTTGAAGGGTGGAGCCGAAAACATGGTGTCCCTTGCAGCAAACCTCATGATGCATTAAGAAGCTCTCCCATTTTACAGATGAAAAAACGGGAAAATGAAGGGATTGGATTGCTAAGGCCATAAAGCCATGGAATAGCTGAGTAGGATGGAAAACCAAGCTTGTCCAACCCACGGCCTGCCAATGGCATGCGGCTCAGGACGGCTTTGAATGCAGCCCAACACACATTTGTAAACTCTCTTGAAACATTATGAGTTT
Organism: Homo sapiens; assembly: GCF_000001405.40. NCBI lineage: Eukaryota > Metazoa > Chordata > Mammalia > Primates > Hominidae > Homo > Homo sapiens. The sequence continues at coordinate 89,570,676 of NC_000014.9, forward strand.
TTTGCAATTTTGGTTTTTTTTTTTTAGCTCATTAGCTATCATTACTGTTAGTGTATTTTATGTGTAGCTCAAGACAATTCTTCTTCAAATGTGGCTCAGGGAAGCCAAAAGATTGGACACCCCTGATCTAAACCCAGGTCTTTGGACCTCAAGTTCAGTTGTCTACCTTTGCCTTCAGACTAACCATGGTAGCGATGCCCCATGTAGGAAGTGGATTTTACAACAAATCCATAACCACTGTCAGCAAATAAAAGTAACCATTTCTAGACATTTCAAACTTTGTTGAAATTTTAACTATAACTATCCAGAATGACCTAGACATTTAAATAAGAAAGGAGCACTAAGTAGCTAAAAGCCCATGCACTGTACTCAGCACTGCACTCAAAGACTGTCCCCTCAAACTTTTGTTCAAAACCTACAGACTCTTACTTTGAACCTAATTCTAATCAGGTGTGCAGTCTGGCTTCTTAACCCCTAGACAGGTAGAGGTAAGTAAATTAAAACAAATTCCTAGAGGGAGAGAGAGTGATTGCAATGAAAGGTGATAGACTGGCCTGGCATGGTGGCTCACGCCTGTAATCCCAGCACTTTGGGAAGCCGAGGTGGGTGGATCATTTGAGGTCAGGAGTTTGAGACCAGCCTGGCCAACATGGTGAAATCCCACCTCTACTAAAAATACAAAAATTAGCCAAGCGTGGTAGCAGGCGCCTGTAGTCCCAGCTACTCAGGAGGCTGAGGCAGGAGAATTGCTTGAACCTGGGAGGTGGAGGTTGCAGCGAGCCGAGATTGTGCCACTACACTCCAGCCTGGGCAGGAGAGTGAGACTCTGTCTCACAAAAAAAAAAAAAGAAAAGTGACAGACTGAGAATGAAAAAAGAATAAAAGTTGGTGAACTTTTTATATAAAGATCAGAAAGTAAGTATTTTAGACATCATGTACCACACCACCTCTGTTGCAACTACTCAACTCCACCACTGTAGCTCAAAAGCAGCCATAGACAACACCTAAACAAATGAGTGTGGCTCTGTGCCAATAAAACTTTATTTACAAAAAACAGATGGTAAGCCCGATTTGGCCTTCAGGCTATAGTTTGCCTACCCATAAAATATAGGAAAGCTTCAAAGCCAACACAATGATGGTAGTTTGGAGCCATATCATTAAGAAACACCTCAAAAGCCCTTCAGATACCTGGTATTACTGAGTAGCATGGTCCTTGATCATAAAATTATAGAATTTTAGAAATGTCAACAACCTTAGGAGTCTTATGGTCCAATTCTTCATTTTTATAGATGAAGAAATAAATGCTCAGAGATGTTCAGAGACTTGCTAAAGGTCACACAGTGAATTAATGATTAAACTTAAATTAGAAGTAGAGTTTTGATTCCAAGTTTAGAACTCTTTCCATTACTCCATATCTATTATTTTAGCCTTTCGGTAACAATGGAATGGAGGAAAAGCTCATTTAATTAAAAGACTACACCCTTGAGATTGTTAAGATTCTGGAATCACTAAAGTATACAGATCATACAGTTCCAGATGTTTATAAAGATGATTTTAAATCAAGTCAAAGGTTAAATTAGGTTTAATGTACTCAGAGAATATAACTTTAGAAGCAGTGCTAAAACACATTTCAAATAATTAAAAGATTAATATATGTGGAAATTTGTATTCTCCCTTGTGTTTGGGAAAATGAAGTCTCACTGTCTATTAGTATAAGAAGAAAAGCTGGCCACTGAAGTTGATAAGTTTAGACATGCTCATAGGAATAAATTCTGACCAGTTTCAGGGCAGCCCGAGAATCGCCCAGGCACTGGCTGGCCCTAAGTAATTTTTCTAATTGCTGGATGCCACATATTCATTCAATTGCCTCATTCAACTGAAAAATAAAAGCCACCCTTCATCCTACCTTTGTGATCTTCCCCTTTCCTATCATTAGCAATGTCTTCTGCTCCTTTTCTGAATTAATTAGGAAATAAAAATAGAACTCTGACATGTTTACAAAGATGCAGAGTGCTGGTTAAACATGAAAGAACAGAGGTTGGGAACACAGAGGTGACAAATTTTATTTCTGTGATGACAAGTTAGAGTCCTCCTGCCAGCTGGCCCTTGCCATAGCCAGAAGTATGCACCTGTCTACAGAGAAGTCAGGGAAGAAGGGGGAGCTGAAAAAGCCTCGGGGCCCCAGCTTGGCCTTCCATGCCATGCAAATGAGTTCTAATTGCTCGGGGTCATCGAACAGGGTTCCATGTGGCACTTCCATGACAGCTCCTGGCAGAGAGGGAGGCAGGGACACAACTTCTGTTAGCCTAACCACAAAGGTGGTCCTGTTTCTGCTTAGACCCTAGAGCAGGGCTGTGGTTTGGGGAGTTCACCTCTCCCTACCTTCTGCCATACAGGAAAAGGGAGAAGGAGGTGCGTCACCTAGTGCTTCTGAGTGTCCCCGAGATGCACTTCTAGTTTGACAGTGCTGCCAAAGGAAATGAGAAGCGATAAGTGATCCAGCCCCGATTAGATCAGCCGCCGTGGGAAAGGTGCTGAGCCAGAGATATTTCACTGAAATAAGGAGAATCTTGGGAATAGATTTCTGGCAAGCAATCCCGAAGCAGATATGGTCTGAATTGGAAATAGATTTCATGGGCAGATAAAGTCTAATAAATGGCAGGTCACTCAAAAATCATATATCATCAAGTCTCATACAGTGTCTGTGAAGTTTATTATCAATAATTTAACACGAGAAGAGCCTAGCCCTTAGCAAATATTTAATTTCAAAACATACCTACTGATTTACTCAGATACAGCATACATACTATATTACAAATATATTGCAGGAAGCCAAATGCCAATAAAGCTGCACTTAGAAGACCAGCATGCTTTTTGCTTTCCAAATCCCGTTAAGGAAGAGAATGGCCTCCCATCCACGGGATGGGAGTCCAACAGCAGTTTCTAAATTGCACTGGAAAAGAAAGTTTGCACATAGACAATACCTGAGCCCCTTCATCCCCAGGCCAAGCAACATGCCAGATAACACATATACAAGTACTGGGGACAACAATTAAGGACCCCATCAGAATGTGCATGCTGTGCCTAAAGGCCACAAGAGGATTAAAGCAAGGTCATGGCCGGGTGCATGATCTTTTTGGAAGCCCATAAGTTCGAGACCAGCCTGAGCAACATGGGGAGACCCTGTCTCTATTTTAATAAAAAAACTAGCAGGCTTGGTGTGGGGGCACCTGTGGTCCCAGCTACTCAGGAGGCTAAGGCAGGAGGATCCCTTGAGCCTGGGAGGTCGAGGCTGCAGTGAGCCGTGATGGTGCCATTGCATTCCAGCCTGAGCAACACAGCAAGACCCCATCTCCAAAAATAAAATAAAGTAAAAAGAAAGCAAGGTCCTTAGTAGCAAAGAGGAGTCACTTTTTTAAGGAGATAGGAGGCAAAGGGAATTATCTCCATGGCCACTGTTTGCAATTATTGTTGGTCTGAGCCACTCTCCCTTCAGCCCCTACTCAATAATTCACTCCACTCCAAAGCAGACCCCCACCTCTTCCTGGCTGAAAAGTGCCACCTCTGGGCAGCCAACATCAGCAACAAGGGTTCTAGAAAAGTGGATGTTTTATAAGAGAATGGTAGTTCATTTAACCAAGTTAAAAACAGAGGCATGGTCTAATAAGGACATATTCGTTCCATGGTTCTAACTTCCAGAATAAGGTTTCTGGTCTTCTCTGGCGAGGTGGTGATAATGGCCTGGCAGGGATACGCTTGGTGGCTGGCAGGGAGAGAGCAGAGAGAGAACCAGTGGGTGCCTGCAATCGCCTTCTACCCAGGAAACAGGGAGGAGACCACTGAACTGAGTGCTTGAGGGAGCTTGGTGCCAGTCCCAGCTCTGCCCCCTGCCAAGACACAGCCCCAGGATTTCACTCCACCATCTCAAAGGGCCACTCCCTCCCATAGTGTTGGTACATAACTGTTATCAGCTCTTAGCAGAAGGATTTCCTACCACTTTACATCCCTATGTTGGAATCTCAATGGGAAGCTTCTCTGATCGTCCTACAGGCAGTGGCTGGAACAAGAAAAGAAGACTGGGCCAAATGTTAGGAGACCTGGCTCTTAACCTCCAAGCTTATCTAGACATGCAAAGACCTCCGAGGCTCCTCCAATTCTTAAAATCTCTTCCCTATGAAAATCAGAATTGCCTTTACAGCTTTAAAAAAAAAATTGTAAATTTCTATTTCTTCTGTATGTTGTGCCTTTATAGGAAAGGAAGGGTGTACTGGAACTCTAAAACACTCTACTGCTACCCCACCAGCTGATCGGTATGCAAACAAGGCCAGCGGGAAGCTGAAGCAGATGAGATCAGGTAAGAAAATCACGAAGTGCTCTAAGCCAAAGTGAGGTGTTGAGAGCAAGGTTGTCTATACTGACTCTGATGAAAGCTAACTCAGACTCAAAGTTTCTCCTTCATAAACTGCAATCATCCTTCCTCCTCTATTTTCCCTGACAAAATCCTCACCTTTCTGCCAACCCACGAAGGGGACCCCCAAGCGACACTGACTCTAGAAGATCATAGTTAAGATCACTCTAAGATGACCTTGAAGGACCTTGCTATCTGGGTAGGCTCACAGGTCAGCTGGTGACCAAGCACTTGACCCTTGAGATTCATGATAGAGATGGCAGAAAGGAAATTGGGAGGTCGTTTTGGGTCAGTAAACCCTGGCTGGGGTGGGGATGATAGGGAGAAGGGATAAACACTATAATAAACTCAAGCGACGGGGGCTGGACAAACTGCCCACTCCCTGCTTTTACCAAAGGCAGGTCCTCTCCAATGCTGGTGAATTCTCTGCAAAGCAAAAACCCAGTCTGCAACTCATTGTTATAGCCAAACACAAAGCACAGCTCCAGAGCACAAAAACCACCAAGTATGTACAAGTCAGCATTTTGGAAGCAGAAGGAGCTGCCACGCTCGGGCCCTTGGAGGCTGCTTAGGGGAAGCTCTTTCCCTCTCTCGTGGCATCTCTTGAATCAAAATTCAACTTAGCTCCCAAATCAGAGGATACCGATGGTCTCTAACAACTGTTTCTTATTTAGGTTTGATAACCCCAGTTCACGCTTTTGTCTACTTTGGGAAGCACTAGGCAAAGTCGTGGCCATGTGATTGGCTCCCAATGCTGGGCTGGGGCTGGCAACCGCCCTCCGGCCTCCACGCAGCGCCTGTGAAACTCTTCATTCAGCAGAACTGGGGACCAGATGCCTCTATGCCCCACCGATAAACTCCTCGCTCTGAAGTTAGGCTAAGCAGAAGAATCAGGTCTTTGATTTTTGCACAAGGTCTCACGGAAGCAAATTCCATCGCTGACATCGTAAGTGACTTGTTTTCAGCTGTTCCTGACACCTCTGATGGCTCCCAAGTTTATTTTCCAGAGACACCCATCTTAGGCAATTCTGGGAGCCCCAGGGGGAAAATGTTAGAAATATCAAAACAGCCACGTGCTCTAGCATTTAGCACATTGTAGAACAATATAAATTTAGTGCATTTAGACCACTTTATATTAACTAATTTAGAAAACGTTGCTTTCGCAGACTTCGCCGGGTGCCTTTCACTGCCAAACTAAATACTCCACTTTAAAATACGCCCCTGCGTACTCATGTGATTTCTCCTTTTAGGCTAGGAATGTAATGTTGACATAAATGTCAAATAAAATTAATGAGAGAATGGGCCCTCAAATGGTGCTCCTGTGAAGGGAATTTGTTAGACTGGGACCTTTGAGCCCAAATGTATATATAATTATATAACACTCAGACAAGGAAGGAATCTGAATGTTAAGCTTTAGCAAATGTATCACCTTTGTCAGAAATGCTGTTACCTACAAAAAAAAAAAAACCCAAAACAAAACAAAACAGGTTGCAAGTAAATTAAGATGAAAATACCATCAGATTAGAAGTCTGTCACGGCAAGCTACTGCAGAATTAGAAGGGTGGCCCATCTGCTGGGTATCCAATCCTTCCCTTATCTGTATAGAATTCGGATCAGATGTCTTCTGTTCCCCGAACACTTCCGCTGTTGACTTTGCAAATGGACCTCCTCCCGCCCAACCCAGCTCCTTCCCTCCCTCCTCCGTCTCTCCCAACTGGCCACTTAGGAAGAGTAAAAATGGCAATTAGAACAGGAGCAGCTATTTTCACTCAGTAGTCAAAGAATTGGATACTAGCACAGTGGCTGCCTCCATCCGTATGCTGATACATAACTACTTTGTCTTGTATTTGTAGTCTCAAAAATCTTCCCTAAGTATAGTAGAATCAGAGAAAATCGCTCTAATCATTGAAAAGCGCCCTGTGCTGAGTAAAGCAGCCAGTCTTCTCTTGTCACCGTAAAAGGCTGGGAGTAAAATTTCCCATAAACACAGGGGAAACCTACATTTACTCACATGCCAAGGAAAATGGCACGGAAGACCCACGTGTAGCCACAGCAGAGTCTATGCAGAGGGCCTGCAAATGCCTGGGGTGCGAGTGAATGCCTGGAGGGGCGGAGTTTCCAAGATAACAGCTATTGTGTTTTCTTTTTCACACTTCAGAAGAGAATCCTAAGGACTAGACTCCGCTCAGTGCATTCCTTTTTCATACACTGATCTCAAGTACAATCACATAATTTTGAAAATCCATGTAGTCCTCCATAAATAAAATTATAAGGATAGGTTTCTATTTCCTTCCGATTACCTAGATACCTCCGTCTTCTGGAAAACCCCAAAAAGACCAGTAGACGAATCAGGAAGGTCCTAGGAGTGATTCCTCCAATGGCAGGAATCATAAAGGAATAAAAAACCTGCAAATTCATGGCAAATGATGTCAGGATGAAATGATGCCACACATCTTTACAAAGTTCACAAAATCCATATATTCCCGGGGCAATCACGGGGAATTTCTAATTAAATTTCAGGGAGGGAAAGAGAAAACGGTTAACCACCAGCTTCAAACACCTCACACTCCTTCTGTTCTCTAGGAAGTCATTCTTACCCTGGATAATGTGGAGTGCCTGCTTCGGACCCGGGGAAAATTCTCCATTTTCTCCTTTTTCTTCAGGCTATCAGTTCATCATGAACAAATATGGAAATTTTCCTGAGGAGGAAATTCAACTACCAAAATAACTCCTTCATAATTCACACGTGCAATCACAACGGTGATTAATAAAAACCTGAAACAGCTCCTAAAAGCCTAAAGCATTAATTACTCTGTTAGATGTCAGGACTCTATGAAAACCTATGACAGCAGGTTACTCAGGCAAATTAAATCATGTGAACTTCCAGTGGAAAAAGAGAAATCTTCCCTTGGTGGATTTGCAACCTAGCAAATGCATGCTTTCGAAGAGAGGTGACCAACCCACAGCTCTTCAGGGCTCTATATTTCAACCTTGAAAGACATATGAAAGGGAAAAAATGCCATGGCAATTTGAATTTATGCTGGGATGAAAGGTAATATAATATCCTTTGAAAGACCTAAAATGGATGAATGATACTTTTCCATTAAAGAAGAAACTAACTCTCTTTGAATGTCTACAGTGTGTCCAGCCCTGTGGTTTTGCAACACCAGATGCCCACTTCTCTTTCAGCAACTTCAATGAGAGTTCCTTCTCAGTGATTTTTGCTAGCTAATCTTTTTTCATCTGATCTTGACATTTTAGTGCTCAGGACTCTGTCCAGGCACTTCTGTCTCTTCTACCCCCTCTCTCTGGATGATCTTACCCAACCTTCTAGCTACAGACACCGCGTACATGCTAATAACTCAAATTCCATGACTCTCCCCCTGAGCTCCAGATGGGTACAGCCAGCAGCACTCCCTGACACGTGCAACAGGCATCTCAAACTTAGGCTGACCGACACAGAACTCTTGTTCTCCACTTCCCCACCCCAAATGTGTTCACTCCAAGTCTTTCCAATCTCAAGAAATGATACCACCTTCCAAAATTCTAAAATAATCCTCCATTCCTCCCTTTCTCTCACCCTCCCCTTCTAATCCGTCAGCAAGCCCTGTTGCCTCTGCTTCCAAACACAATCCTGAACTGCTCTTTTTTTGCCGTTCCACTTCCTCACTCTAACCAAAGCCCCCTTCTTCTCTCCTAGACACTGTCACTCCTCTTAACTGGTCTCTCTAATTCCATCCTCCACACAGTAGCCAGAATGATTTTTTTGTTTTGTTTTGTTTGAGACAGGGTCTTGCTCCTTCGCCCAGGCAGGAGTGCAGTGGCACTATTACAGCTCACTGCAGCCTCAACCTGCTGGGCCTAAGTGACCCTCTCACCTCAGCCACCTGAGTATCCGGGACTATAGTCACATGCCAACACACCTGTTGAATTTTTTAAATTTTTTTCTAGAGACGAGGTCTCACTATGTTGCTGAGGCCAGTCTCAAACTCTTGGCCTCAAGTGATCCTCCCATCTCGGCCTCCCAAAGTGCTAGGATTACAGGCATGAGCCACCATGCCCAGCCATTTTTTTTTTTTTTTTTTTAGACAAGGTCTCACCCTGTCACCCAGGCTGAAGTACACTGGCATGATCATGGCTCACTGCAGCCTCAAACTCCTGGGCTCAAGGGATCCTCCCACCTCAGCCTCCTGAGTAGCTCGGACCACAAGCACATGCCATCACGCCTGGCTAATTTATTTATGTTTTTTTTTGTAGAGACGGGGTCTCACTATGTTGCCCAGGCTGGCCTCAAACTCCTGGCCTCAAGTGATCCTCCTGCCTCAGTCTCCCAAAGTGCTAGGATTACAGGCATCAGCCACTGTGCCCAGCCAAAATATTCTTTTAAGAATATAAATCCAATTCAGTGACTTCTTCACATAAAATCCTCTAGTAGTTTCCCAATATACGAGCAATAAAATCCACATTTCTCTTGCCCATAAGCCCTGAGGTGATGGGATCCTGCCATTTCATCTCCCAGCCATTCCACAACTCACCAACCTCCAGCCACACAGGTCCTTCTTCCTGTTCCTCAGACATGCAAGCTACTCCCACCTCAGGACCTTGGCATGTACAAGGCTAGCCCCTTCCATGCAGAGAACCCGTATCTGGCCACCCTTACCAAATGGTTCAACTACCATTCTTTGTCATTTTTTTTACCCTGCATGATTATCTCACACCCCATAGTATCTTGTATATTTACTTGTTTAGCTGTTTGTTATTTCCTTGTGTCTTCAATTGAATCATAGAAGGAACCCCGACTCTCTCACTGCTACAGAGTACATACCCAATAACACTTAATAAATACATAAAGGAATAAATATGTATCTCTACAATTTTCTCTAACTTTATGAGATAGATTATTCCTATTCTGAAAAGAAAAAAAAATGAGGTTCCCAGGGTTCAGTGCAAAGTTATATAGAGGTAACTGAAGGCAAAGCCAGAATTTGAACCTGAATCCATTTGACTCCATAACCCATATTTCTAAACACCAGATTGGTATTTCTAGCAGAGTCTAGGAAATCAGTCAAGAGCAGTAATTTTCCTCCTAAGAGTCTCCAGAAATAAGTTGCCCAGGAACTTGTATTCGGCTCTTCCACCACAATTACCTCATCTCTAAAATGGATGAACAAAATGAGTTTCTTACAGACATGTTAGGAGGAATAATTTCCTTCCAGATTACAAGGTGTTCTGTAAACTCTCAGAGGATGGTTTTCCAGGTACCATGCTGAGTAGTTTTAGCCAAAACCTGTTCTGTGCTCGAAGGAAACCACCACCAAGGGCTGTCAGTCAAGCTGGGTAATTGTATAAATACAGTCAAGAGTTAAGGACCACATAACAGTGCCATATATGGACTCCACTTTCTCAAAACCCTTTAAGGGGATACAGTCTCATCCTACTGGAAAATGTTAGGCAAAGGATGGAAATAGTTCGTTTCTAGATGGTCCCCCACCTCTGCCCAACCTCCATCTGTGTAATTCTTTGTACTAACACCTGATCCCCCTCCAGAATTGAGGCAGCTCTCCCTCAAATATGTGTTCCCTAAGGATCTTGACCTGGTTTTATTTCTAGTGGGAATACATTTGCTCCATAATTGATGCAAGTTGAGGGCAAGGGACATGACATTACTTTATTTCTTCTAAATCAAATTAAATCTGGATCCCAAGGCCTCACTTAATGGAAATTTAATTTCAATTATGTTTTTAGGGACCTATTCCCCTTCTGGGGTCAGAGGGACATCTTGGGGGCTTACATGGTACCTAGAGAATAGGGGGAAATGGCCAGGTGTGTTGGCTCATGCCTGTAATCCCAGCACTTTGGGAGGCCGAGGTAGGAGGATCACCTGAGCCAAGAAGTTCAAGACCAGCCTGGGCAACACAGTTAGACCTCATCTCTACAAAAAAAAAAAAATTAGCCAATCGTGGTGGTGTGTGCCTGTAGTCCCAGTTACTTGGGAGGCTGGGGTGGAAGGATCACTTGAGCCTGGAAGGTCGAGGCCACAGTGAGCCATTATCATGCCAATGTACTCCAGCTTGGGTGACAGAGTGAGACCCTGTCTCAGAAACAAAAACAAAAAAGGCTGGGTGCGGTGGCTCACGGCCATAATCCCAACATTTTGGGAGGCTGAGGGGGGAGTATCACCTGAGGTCAGGAGTTTGAGACCAGCCTGGCCAACATAGTGAAACCCCGTCTCTACTACAAATTTCAAAATTTGCTGGCCACGGTGGTGTGTGCCGGTAATCTCACCTACTTGGGAGGTTGAGGCAGGAGAATCACTTGAACCCAGGAGGCAGAGGTTGCAGTGAGCCAAGATCGTGCCATTGCAGTCTAGCTTGGGCGACAAGCAGAAAACTCTGTCTCAAAGAAAAAAAAAAAGAGAAAGATAGAATAGGAAAAAAGCACGTGGTTTAAAGTTCCCTGGGTCACTTGTATGATACGTGTCATCCGACTATTCCCCGGTACCTGCTCTTTTCCCTCAAAACCAAGTGGGACCACAGGAGTGCTTGACTGTGGCTCCCAGGGCCATGGTGTTTGATGTTAAGTCCTTCCAGCATCCACATGCTAAGCTATCCCAGAGTTTGGCACATTCTCTTATACCACAGGACAGTGGACATGGGTCTCTTCTACTTCAGGGATTCCCTCTCCTAGAGTCAGAGAAGCCTAGCAGCCCCGCACAATCCCCCATCATTCACACTGAGCCATTTTTGTATTCTCAATTCCTAGCATCTGCCTTCCTCACATCCTTGACTTTTATCCAGTTTCCTAAAAAAGTCTGAGTTGGGGTTGACTTCTAGGTATCTGGAAACCCAACATTTAGCCCCAGGACAAAAAGTTGTAACAACTCTCCGAGGCAAGGGAGACCAGATTCAGAGTACAAACATTTCACTGTTTTATTGGGAAGGAAGGAAGAAAATTTTTTCAGGTCTTCTGCAGCAGTGAGAATAAACACACTAATGTGTCCACCAAGTGTCATGCCACATGTTCCCCACGTTCTCCTCTAATAATCTTACTAAATCTTCTGGCTCCAACAGTCCCCCGTCTGTGGGAAGCATGTAAATCATTATGTCCATCCTTGTTCTCTTCCCAAGTATGTCTTGGTATTTTCAGCTGCCCGCTCCTCATCTCTACCAGGTAACACATCAGACGCCCCAAACTCATGTCCAAAATGAAACTCATCACTTACTTCCCAGTCCCTTCTCCAAGGTTCTCTATTTATATTAATAGCCATGCATAGTGTTCAGCACATAATCAGCACGCAATAAATATTTTTTAAATTAGTGTTTGAATAGAGGAATAGCCAACTGAAGAATATAAATACCTTAGCCTAAGCGTGAAGAGCCTAGGTGAGTTGACTTTAAACTCACCTTTTTTTTTTTTTTTTTTTTGAGACGGAGTCTCGCTCTGTCACCCAGGCTGGAGTGTAGTGGCGCAATCTCAGGTCACTGCAAGCTCCACCTCCCGGGTTCATGCCATTCTCCTGCCTCAGCCTCCCGAGTAGCAAACTCACCTTTTTAAAACAGCTTTATTGGGATATTATTCACACATTTAAAGAATGCAATTTGATAGGTTTTAACATATATATACACCTGTGAAACCATCACCATGATCATCATCTCCAAAAGTTCCCTCTTGCTCCTTTTAATCCTTCTCCCAGCCATCTCCCCTGCCATCTCAAATCACTTATATGCTTTCTGTCCTTATAGATGAGTCTGCATTTTCTATAACTGTATACATATGTAATCATACAATATATATGCTCTTTTCTGGTAGGGTTTCTTTTACTTAATACAATTATTTTGAGATTCTTCCATAATGTCATGTGTATCAATAGTTTATTTTTATTGCTGAATAGTGTTCCATTGTATAGATATACCACCATTTGATTTCTCATTGGCCTGTTGATGGCATTTCCAGTTTGGTGTTATTGTAAATAAAGCTGCTATGAAGATTACATACAAGTCTTTGTGTGAATGTACGCTTTCATTTCTCTTAGACTGGCATTCTCTTAGACTCATTGACTGTAATGAGTAGATCATATGGTAGATATACGTTTACCTTTTTAAGAAATTGCTTAACTGTTTTCAAAGTGATTGCTATGGCTTGAATGTTTTTGCCCCTCAAAATTCATTTATTAGAAACTCATCCCCAATGCAGCATTGTTGAGAGGTGAGGCATCTGGGCAGGTGCTCAGTTCATGAGGTCTCTGCCCTCATAGATGGATTAATGCCGCTATAGAGGGGCTTTCAGGAGTAGGTTCTCTCTCTCCTGCTCTTTTGCCGTACAAGGACACAGCATTCATCCCATTTTGCGCTTCCGCCTTCTGCCATGGAAGGATGCTGCAAGAAGGCCCTCACCAGACCCAATGCTGGCATTTTGATCTTAAGACTTTCCAGCCGCCAGAACTGTGAATTTGTGTGTTCTCTCTCTCTCTCTTCCTGTTTTTATTTTTGTTTTTTGAAATGGAGTCTCACTCTGTTGCCCAGGGTGGAGTGCAGTGGCACCATCTCATCTCACTACAACCTCTGCCTCCTAGGCTTAAGCAATTCTCCTTCTCAGCTTCCTGAGTAGCTGGGATTACAGGCGTGTGCCACCACATCTGGCTAATTTTTGTATTTTTAGTAGAGGCAGGGTTTCACCATGTTGGCCAGGCTGGTCTTAAACTCCTGGCCTCAAGTGATCCGCCCACCTCGGCCTCCCAAAGTGCTGGGATTATAGGTGTCAGATACCGCACCCAGCCTATTTATTTATTTTTTAGATGGAGTCTTGCTCTGTCACCCAGGTTGGAGTGCAGTGGTGTGATCTCGACTCACTGCAACCTCCGCCTCCCGGGTTCAAGCAATTCTCCTGCCTCAACCTCCCGAGTAGCTGGGGCTACAGGCATGTGCCACCACCACACCCAGCTAATTTTTGTATTTTCAGTAGAGATGGGGTTTCACCATGTTGGCCAGGCTGGTCTTGAACTCTTTACTCAAGGAATCTGCCTGCCTCGGCCTCTCAAAGTGCTGGGATTACAGGTATGAGCCACCACACCTGGCCCTAACACTAGGTAATTTATAAAGAACAGAGGCCGGCCAAGACCAGCCTGGCCAACATGGTGAAACCCCATCTTTACTAAAAATATTTTAAAAATTAGCCAGGCATGGTGGTGTGTGCCTATAGCCCCAGCTACTCAGGAAGCTGAGGCAGGAGAATCTTTTGAGCCTGGGAGGCGGAGGTTGCAGTGAACCGATATCGCACCACTGTACGCCAGCCTGGGCGACCCAGGGAAACTCCATCTTGATAAATAAATAATAAATAAATAACCTAGTGTCAGGTATTCTGTTATAGCAGCACAAAACGTACAATGACTGTGGTTACCCAATTTCACATTCCCACCAGCAGAGTATGAGAGTTTCCGTTTCTTTACATTCTCATCAACATTTAGTATAACTGGTCTTTTTAATTTTATACTAGGTGGTGCAGTATCAAAATATGAATTTAATTTCATTTCCCTAAAGATTTATAATATGAATATATTTTCAGGTACTTATTTGTCATCCATATATCTCTTTGGTAAAGTGTCTTTTCTCTTCTTTTCTTCTCTTCTCTTTTCTTTTCTTTTTTCTTTTTTGACAGAGTCTCACTCTGTCGCCCAGGCTGGAGAGCAAAGGCACAATTTTGGCTCACTGCAAACTCTGCCTCCCGGGTTCAAACAATTCTTCCACCTCAGCCTCCTGAGTAGCTGGGATTACAGGCACCTGCCATCATGTCCGGCTAATTTCTGTATTTTTGTAGAGATGGATGGGGTTTTACCGTGTTGGCCAGGCTGGTCTTGAACTCCTGACCTCAGGTGATCCGCCCGCCTCAGCCTCCCGAAGTGCTGGGATTACAGGCGTGAGCCACCGTGCCCGGCAAGTGTCTCTTTTCAAATTGTCCATTTTTTATTGGCCAATCTCACTTTTCAACCTTATTTTTTCCAGTATTCCTCTTTGTGTACCATTCAGTCTAATCAAACGCAATGTATAAGCCCCTAGACCCACACACCTCACACTTTCCTCTATAATTTTGCTGATGCTGTTTCCTTCGCTTTAAATAACTTAATGCCTTCTTCACCTATATTTTTGCCAATTCGAATTCTATTGATCCTTCAAGTCCCAGAAGAGATGCTACATTCATTCTCAATCCTTTCCTGAGCCCAGTTTGAGAGTAATGGTTTCCTCATCCAAGCTGCCAGAAATGTCTTTTTCTTCTGCCATTTCTAACTTTCTACCTTGATTTCTACTTATTTGTTGTTGTTTTTAATAAGAAAAGTAAATGTGTTTAAGTCATGTCTGCTTTATCATATGTATGCTAGAGAAATTCATTCCCCCCAGATCTTTGAGGTTTACTTTACCCAAATTCATTCATTAAACAAATATTCCCTGAGCATCTACTATGGGCCAGGCATTACTGGAGGCCCTTGGGATACATCCATGAGCAAAACAGAGACTAAAAAAGCTCCCTGCCCTGGCAGAGTTGACATTCTAGCAGAAGGAGATGGATAATAATAAAGAAATAATAGGCCGGTCTGAGTACAGTGGTATTTACAACTAACTGATCACAAAAACTAATAGATTTATTTGTTCCTTCTCCACTCCCACTGCTTCACTTGACTAGAAAAAAAAAAAAAAAGAAAGGAAGGAAGAAAGAAAGAAAGAAAAATAATAGACACAACAAATAGTAAATTACATAGTATGCTGAAAGATGAAGAGCGTTTGGCAAAAAGAAAAGGTAGGGCAGGATGAAGGAGATTAGGGATGCTAGAGATTGCAGGGTTGGGGCAGGTGACAATTTAAATAGGGTAGTCAGGGTAGGTTTACATGGGAAGTAACATTCAAGCGAAAGCTTGAGTGAGATGGGATCGTAGCCCATCTCACTACGTATGTATGTGAAGTAGTATGTGGGGCTACTTCCTCACATAATCTTCCTATATTCTATAGACTACAGGTCTTGAGGTGGAATCTCTATCCGATTCAGCTTGGTATCTTCCCTCTCAAATTACCCAGCACCAATGCCTGGCCTGGCATACCGGATCAAAAGTATTTGCTGAATGAATGATAGAATAAATGAATGCATGGACAGGCTTCAAATCTGCTGGGAAAATATCCAAAAATGTGAAATAAAATGAAAGCAGGATGTAAGAAAAGAGAAGAGAAAGGTTAATACAAGAGACAAGATGCCAAAAGCTGAGGCTAAAAAGGAAAAATAAAGAAAAAGCTACAAAAGCACTTCTCACAGTAGAAACCTTGTCAGGGACTCTGTGGAGGTTTTAGGTTCCTGATCACAAAACCAGCATCAGAAGCTGATGCGGTCTCCTGTGCTTACCACAGATTAGTGTGAGGTTCGTGAAGATGTCATACTGTCTCCAGAAATAAGCTATTCAACTGCTCAATTCCAACTACTATCCCTGATCATGACTCAAAAAGTGTATGTTATCTGAAGTAGATTGATGAAAAGGTATGCTGTTTTTTTGTTTGCTTATGCCTCTATCTTAGAAAATATTTAAGATGGCTTACCCCAGTGCAGGGGATGCGGGCAGGTAGATTTAAACTAAACAGGCTCGCCAAATGCTCTCCCTGACAAACCTCAGATTCTGGTATTCCCTCCCACCATTTCACTAGTGTGCCTCTACTACTGGTGATGTGTACCCATCAGGATTCATTTGCTGAAAGACCCAGATTTGATTGTAAGCTTTTCCTATCAATGCAAAAAGGGAAACATTTCCAATCACATGACTCAGTATCCATAATATAAAAGCAAATCAACTGTTGTCCTTGAAGGTCTCTATGAAGAGCTCACTGTATGTACTAGGCAGTGTACTTAAGAGAAACAGAACCAGCAGATGTACAGACATTTATAGAGATCTCTTTTAAAGAACTGGCTTGCACAATTACAGGGGCTGGTGACTCCAAAGGGTACATTGGCAGGCTGGAGACCCAGGGAAGAGCTGATGTTGCAGTTCAAGTCCAGAGGCCGTGTGAAGGCAAAATTTCCTTTTTCTTGTGAAGGCAAAATTTCCTCTTTTTCGGGGGAACCCCGGTCTTTTTCTCTTGGGGTCTTCGACTGATTAGGTGAGGCCCACCCACATTATGGGGGGTAATCCGCTTTATTCAACGACTGCCAATTTAAATGTTAATCTCTTCTAGAAAATCCCTTCACAGCAACATCTAGACTGGTGTTTGACCAAATACCTGGGTATTGTGGCCTAGCCAAGTTAATACATAAAATTACACTGTCTAAAGCAGGATTTGCAAATTCAAATGCCCACAGGAGCCAGGCAGACAAAGAAACTGAGCGAAGCCAGTGTCAGATGATAGAGAACGATAAGGACTGGGGTCATCTAGAGGGTGTATGCCTCATGTAAAGGCAACGAAATTGAAAAAAAATTTAAACCACTGTGTGGGAGAAGCAACATTTATCTCCGGGGAAAAAAGCTCAGGCATCAGGCCGGGCACAGTGGCTCATGCCTGTAATCCAAGCACTTTGGGAGGCAGAGGCGGGCAGATCACTTGAGGTCAGCAGTTTGAGACCAGCCTGGACGATATGGGGAAACCTCGTCTCTACTAAAATACAAAAATTAGCCAGGTGTGGTGGCATGTGCCTGTAATCCCAGCTTTCAGGAGGCTGAGGCAGGAAAACTGCTTGAACCTGGTAGGCAGAGGTTGCAGTGAGCTGAGACCACACCACTGCACTCCAGCCTGGGTGAAAGAGTAAGACTCTGTCTCAGAAAAAAAAAAAAAAAAAAAAAAGCCCAGGAATCATAATTTTGGGTAAATTAACAGATAGAGCAATGGGCATATGGGGGCTTTTTTGTTTTAGCATCTGATATAGTTTGGATCTGTGTCCCCTCTAAATCTCATGTCAAATTGTAATCCCCAGTGTTGGAGATGGAGCCTGGTGGGAGGTGACTGGATCATGGGGATGGATTTCTCATGAAAGGTTTAGCACCATCCTCTTGGTGCAATCTTCACAATAGTGACTTCTCGCAAGACCTGGTCATTTGTAAGTGTGTGGCACCTCCTCCCTCTCTCTCTTGCTCCTGCTCAGGCCATGTGACATGCCTGCTCCCCCTTTGCCTTCTGCCATGACTGTACATTTCCTGAAGCCTCCCCAGAAACCAAGCAGACGCCAGCATCATGCTTCCTGTACAGCCTACAGAACCGTGAGCCAATTAAACTTCTTTTCTTATAAATTACCCGGTCTCAGGTATTTATAGCAATGCAAGAATCACCTAATATAGGACAAAAAAAGCCCAGGAATCGTGACTTGGGTAAAGTAAAAATTCAGCAATGGGTGTTTGTCAGCTTTTCTGTTTCAGCATCCAGCAACTTAACAACCATCAACACCGCCCGATAGCACCAAGATAAAGGACAATTCAGGGAGTGCTCTAGGCTAACATCATGTTACGTAGAGAGCTCACTAATGGCCAGGTTAAATTCAGGAACAGGTCAGACAACCAGCAATCCTCCACAGATATCACCATGCCCAACCAAATACTGGAAAGGTGTTGGGTAGCAGTATATTTGTGGTTAAACTCCTGGTCAGTACCTGGATGGTAGCTCTCCTATATAGCTAGTTAAGTATGAAGATATGTGATTTAAGACATAGCAGGGGTAGGGCTGCTGTCTTCATGAAGAAGGATTTGGCAAAGATGGAAACCCAAGGCGTTAGATACCCAGGGGCAAAGCCAACGCTCCTCTGAAAAACAATGATTTTGGGACACTTTAATACCCAGACAACTGGGCCATCTAGTTCCCATGACTGAAATACTTCTAGCCTGGAATTTTGTGAAACCTAATCAAACACACATCTTTTAAAGGGTGTACAATGTCTAGCTTCTCACCATGCAACTTCTTAGTGTGCCCTCAAAGATTAACTAGTTGCAAAACATATGCCACAAATCTAGTGACTTGCTGTATGGTATTATTAACTATAAACCAAGTCAAGGTCGGGAAACATCTACCAAAAAAAAATTAAATATTTGAACTGCAGTCATTTTTTTTTCTGATAATAATTAACCAGCACAGCTGTTTACCATGTGCACTCCCAGATCATGAGACCAAAACACTCTTGCCCTTGTATGAGATGATGTGTTTTCCTAATATCTAGAAAAGACACACCCTTCTCTCCAGACCACTACCCAGACTTACAAAAGCATTTCAGATTTACCTACAGGTGTGAGTCACTTAAAAACACAATAAACTTGTCAGAACCTTTAATAACTTCCACAAAATCAAATCATTGATAAAAGTCAAATCAGTCTCATTTTGAAAAATCTCAAGATGGCAGAAGGCACCACCAGTTCCTTGAGCCTGGTCGTGGTAGTCCTCACAATTTGAGAATCCCACAGCCCATGCCAGGCCTCAGAAACATTTCCTATTCCCTGCTTCGACTGCATAAGGGGAAGAAGAAGAAAAAGCACACCCAGCCGAGGTCTATAGGCGAACAGTTGCGGCCGCACCATGCAGCATGAATCTGAAATGCTGTGAAGGCAGCCCAGGACTGGAAGTTGGATGCTTTCTACCCTGAAACCACCTAGCAACAGTCAAGATGCAGCTTCTTAAAATCAGCCATGAGAATGAATTGGGGGCGGGGGGGCGGGGGGTGCCTATTCCTAGTGATTTTTATTTTCCATAATAAGCAAATTCTGAGAAGGGCTGTGTGGTTGTATTCACATCACAAAGCTCCAAAGGCTATTTTAAGAGCACCCTGTTTCTGCTTAGGAGAGGAAGAGAAACTCAGCCCCTTCAGGCACCTCAGAGCTGTCCCAACTTCCCCTCCTGACTCCTCCTTTCTGAACAGTTTGGAAACAAGGCAGCTTGGCCAAAGAGGGCAGCAGTGCTTGGCACAGGGGAGGGACTGATGCCGGGCAGGCCCCAGGTTTCCTGGGCATCTAAGCAGCCGAAAGGAGAAGGAACCTACTAAGAGTTGGATATGGCACCAAGTCGATGTTACCATTTGAATCTACCCACCTGCCAATGACACACAATAGAGAACATTTTTTTTTTAAGCTCAAAAATGGAAAAAGGGCAGAGTATTTCAATGATTATGGAGATGGGCAAACCAATCAATGAATGATTCTTAAGCCTTCATGTTTGCCCTGTAAGCAAACTGAAGACGTGCAAGTCATCCTTTTGGCCCTGGGAGAGTTAACGTTAACCCACAGGGACAATGAGAAAGGGAGAGGAGACCCAGCAGATGAGAAAGATGGAGTAATTTCTGGAAGACTGAGGGTATATGGAAGAGTGACAGATGAACTCAGGCAGAAGGAGGAAAGCTGACACTCAAAAATTCCGGCAGAGGGGAGAACGGAGCAGAATCAAATGCATTCACCCCACTGAATCCTAAGAAGGCTCAGGAATCAGAGGCATCAGATACGGAGAAAGTGGGGATGACGTGTGGGAATTTAGTTAGACTAGTTGGGGCTCAGGAAACAATACAACAAAGTGGATGCTTCAGAAGTAGCCCCAGAAGCAAAGTCCCTCTCTGACTTTCTCCTGCTCTCCTGTCTCTCACCCCCTCATTTGCCCTCGAGGCAAGCCATAGAAACTAGAATTCCTCTTCCCCAAAGAAGGACATAGAAACCAGAACCCCTCTCCCCGAGAGTCAGCCGTAAAACCTAGAAATACATCTCTAACCTTCCCCTCCATCCCCACCTTTCTGTGCAAGAAATTCTCTGATTTACCTTGTCTGATAGTAGGTCATAAGACCCTCATTCCAGGGGAGGTCTACCCCCTACCTGGAGTGAAAGAATGCCACTCAGAGAGGCCAGGAAGAATCTGAACGGTCAGGCCTTGCTGGGGTCATTCTCTCCTTGTCCAATCACCGCTCTACACAACTATCCATTATGCATCAAACCTAAGCATAAAAATGGATAGCTTTCTCTGTATCTTTAGGTCTTCATTCCAAAGGCTCTTGTGTCACATAAGGCTATGATTAACTAAATTTGATATGGCTTACTCTTGTTAATCTGTCTTTTGGTATAGGAGTGTCGGCTGTGACCTTTACGACAGGCAGAAAAGGGATCGCCTTATTTCCAGCCTACAGAATCCACACTGAAAAGTTTGATCTTCATATTCTCAACCCTGGGAGCCACAGCTTGGAAGGGAGAAGAGATGAGACATCAGACTGAAAAGCAGAAGGCAAAAGCTAAACTTCGTGCACTGAATGGTAAGAGCCCGTGACCCTTGCCCACCTGGCTCCCAGAATGCCAGCACCCAGGTTTACATCCCCTACACAGGAGATTAGGAGATTCTTCTCTGAGAAGGAATGGCCCCAGAGGAAAACCTCCGGAGAGATACTGATATTTGAGGAACTGGCTCAAACATCCGACCACTCCACAGGGAAGCTCCCCAGTCCATGAGCAGCGCTACTCAGGCACACAGTATCCAATAAGCTCTTCTGAACCTTGTAAGATTCATTTCAATATGAAAACGAAATTCAGGCATCACCAGGAATTTAAGGAACATCTACACTGTGAAAGTCAGACATCTAAACAAACAGGAAAGGTGTGGTAGCTCCCACCTGTAATCCAAGAACTTTGGGGGGTTGAAGCAGGAGGATCGCTTAAGCCCAGGAGTTCAACGCCGGCCTGGGCAACATACGGAGACACCATCTCTACAAAAAATTTTAAAATGAACCAGGAGTGGTGGCACATGCCCGTAGTTCTAGCTACCAAGGAGACTGAGGCAAGAGGGTCACCTGAGCCCAGGAATTTGGGGTTATACTGAGCTATGATCATACCACTGTACTCCAGCCGGGGTGACAGAGAGAAAAAAACATTAAAAGTGAAATGAAAAGCCAGTAAGAAAAACAAGAAACTCAAAGGAAACAGAGATAACACAGGAAACAGAAGAAAATGCCCAAAACTCTAATTAATGTTCTAAGAGAAGAGAAGGCATTGCTTATGTTAAAAGAACAAGAAACATTTAGGAAAAACTTAAAAGGTCTTGGAAATAAAACATATGAAGGAAAAAGAATTCCATAGATGATTTGAAATTAAAGTGATGGAAATTATCCAGAAAGTAAGGCAATAAGACAAAAAGATGATTAAGAAAAGAAAAATAAATAAGCAAACAGAAGGATCACCCCAATGTTCAACTAATAGAGTTTCTAAGTATTGAGAGATAATTTTTTGGGGGGAGAAGGGTTTAAAACAAATTAATACAAAAACAAGCAAATAAGCAAAACCACAAAATCCACAAGAACCTTCCCTAGAACAGGAGCATAAGTCTTCCAGTTGAAAGATCTGTTTAAATGTACAGCAGAATGACTTATAAAGACACAACAAGGCTGTAGTATCATGAAATCTCACACCGGGGATAAAATTAAAATTCTAAAAGCTTCCAGAGGAAAAAAAATCTGTTCACATAGAAAAGATGAACCATCAAAATGGTAGATGGACTTCTCAACAACAATAGAAACTAGACGTTCATTGAGTATTGCCTTTGAAATACTGAGGAAAACTTATTTTCAACCTATAATTATATACCTAACCAAACGACTGACCAAGAGAGGGGATAGATTAGAGATACTTTCAGAGATGAAGTTCTTGGAAAATTCACCTCCTGTGCTCACTTAGTAAACAATTAGAGAATGTGCTCTAACAAAACACCAAATGTAGCAAACCAAAAGAGAAGAGAACATGGGATCCAGGAAATGAGAACAATATAGGAGACAGGTGAAAAATAAGTCCCTGCACAAAAGCTGGGCCAAAACAGGCTTATAGAGCAACCAGGCCAAATTAGAACAGGAAAATCAAAGTGGAAGGCGTGCATTATTTGCCAAGTTTGAGCAACAACAAAATCAAATTGAAAGTCCGCTGGAAGGCATGGGATGAACAGGTAGGAAGGAAGGAGTGAGGAAGACAGGGAGGCAGGAAGGAGGGAAAGAGGGAGGGAGGGAGGGAGGAGGAAGGAAACAAGGAGGGAGGGAGGGAATGAGGGAAGGAGGAGGAAGGAAAGAAAGGAGAGAGAGAGAAAGGAAGGAGGGAAGGAGGGAGGGAGGGAGGAGGAAAGAAAGCAGAGAAGGAAGGAGGGAGGAAGGAAGGAGGGAAGGCAGGAGAGAGGGAGAAGGAAGGGAGGAAGAGGGAGAAAGGAGGGAGGGAGGGAAGGAAGGAGGAAGGAGAAGTATGTTTAGAGAGAGAGAATCATATAGAGAGAAAACAAATATATATAAATCAAAAAGAGATAAGGTTTATTAATAGCAAAAAAAACTAAAAGGGCGTGGTGGCTCATGCCTGTAACCCCAGCGCTTTGGAAGGCCAAGGCGGGTAGATCACCTAAAGTCAGGAGTTCGAGACCAGCCTGGCCAACAGGCAAAACCCCGTCTCTACTAAAAAAATACAAAAATCATTGGTCTCACTGATGAATAGTGTTCACATTATATAAACAGAATGTCAATTCAAGGGAAAAGAAGGGGTAAGGTCTATATTCTCATCACAATAAGTCTATGCATAATTTTAAATTGATTAAAAGTGAAGAAAATGATCTTAGAGGGTTTTTTAAATATAATTTTTTAAATGTTTACACTGTGAAATATCACACAGAGGAGTGCACAAAACCCAGCTCACTACAGGCTCAACCTCAGCCTCTCTAGTAGCTGGGACTACAGGTGCAGGCCACACTCCCAGCTAATTATTTTATTTTTTGTAGAGATGGGGTTTCCATGTTGCCCAGGTTGGTCTCAAACTCCTGGGTTCAAGTGATCTGCCCACCTTGGCCTCCCAAAATGCTGGGATTAAAGGTGTGAGCCACTGCACTGGGCAGCTATAGTTTCATCACGTCTATTTTTTGAGCTTTATATAAACGGAATTCAGATGTGTATGGTGAGGACTTCTTTCACACATTAATGTCAATGAGACTCATCCAGGTTGTGTAGCTATAGTTTGTTTTTATCGGTATGTCACTTTTCACATATACCATAAAGTATTTGTGTGTGTGCACACAAGTATGCACATTATATTATACTCTTGATGGACACTGGGTGGATTCCAGTTTTGAGCTTTTATCAATAATGCTGCTATGAACATTTCTATCCATAATTTTGGGTACATATGTATTCACTTTTCCATTGTGCCTGTACATCAGGATAGAACTACTGACTTACAGAATACGCATATGTTCATCTTTTATTAGGTAATGCTGATTAGTTTTCCAAAGTGGTTGTACCAATTTACACTCTCACCACCAGTGTATGAGAATTCTCATTTCTACAAATCCTCACCAACTCTTGGTACTGTAAGTAATTTTCAACTGTAGGCATTGTGGTGGACATGGAGTCACATTTCACGTGGTTTCTAATTTATATTTCCCTGAAGACTTATGAAGTTGAACAACTTTTCACATGTTTATTCAACATTTGAATATCCTCTTTGGTGAAGTCCCTATTTAAGACTCTTGTCCATTTTTCTACGGGGCTATTTTGTTTTTCTTGAATTGATTTGTAGGAATTCTTTGCATATCCTTCATATAAGCCTTTTGTAAATTATAGACGTTGTAAATATCTCTTAAGTTGCCTTTCATTCTCTATATCTTTTGATGAACAAAAGCTCATTTTAGTATAGTCCAATTTTATCTGCCTTCTCCTTTATAATTGGTTCTTTTGGGTCCTGGCGCACACCTGTAATCCCAGCTACTTGGGAGGCTGGAGCAGGAGAATCACCTGAATCCGGGAGGCAGAGGCTGCAGTGAGTCGAGATCCAGCCTAGGCAACAAAGTGAGACTCTGTGTCAAAAAAAAAAGTACCTTTTCTACTCTTGGCATTTTGTGTTTCCACATAAATTTTAGAATTGGCTTCTCAATTTTCACAAAACCCTCAGGATTCTGATTGGGATTACACTGACTCTATACATCACTTTGAGATGAACTGACATCTTTTAAAAAGTAAGTCTTCCGGCCAGGCGCAGTGGCTCACGCCTGTAATCCCAGCACTTTGGGAGGCCGAGGCGGGAGGATCACAAGGTCAGGAGATCAAGACCATCCTGGCTAACATGGTGAAACCCCGTCTCTACTAAAAATACAAAAAAAAAAAAAAATTAGCCGGGCACGGTGGCAGTCGCCTGTAGTCCCAGCTACTCAGGAGGCTGAGGCAGGAGAATGGTGTGAACCCGGGAGGCGGAGCTTGCAGTGAGCCGAGATCACGCCACTGCACTCCAGCCTGGGCAATTGAGCGAGATTCCATCTCAAAAAAAAAAAAGAAGTAAGTCTTCCATCTCATAAACAACATATATCCCTCCATTTATTTAGGTCTTTAATTTATCTCAATAGTGTTTCATGGTTTTCAATATAGGGGTCTTGTTAGATTTATTCCTAGATAATTTGATTATTTTTATTCTAATGTAAATTCATGTTCTGATTATTAGTGATAAAGAGAAATACAATTTACTTTTTTCATATTTACTTCATATGCAACAAACCTGCTAAATTCATTTTAGTTCCAACAACTTAACCGAAATTTATTTTGAATTTTCTTTATACTCAGTAATTTAGTCTCCCAATAATTAATAGTTTTATTTATTCCTTTCTAATCCTAATACCTTCATTTCTCTTTCATGTCTCATCACACTAGCTAAGATCTGCTGTGCAATAATGAATAGAAGTGGTGATAGATGGCAGATTTGTTTTTCCTACTCTCAAAGGGAAACTTTCAACATTTCACGCATTAAGTATGTTTTTTACTTTTTAATGATGTAGGCTATTTTTTGTATATATGCTTCTTACAGTAAGAAAACTCCCTTTTTATTAGTTTGCAGAAATCTTTTTTAATCGAGAATAAATGTTAATTACATCACATATATTTTCTACATCTATTGAGATGATCATGATTTTTTCCCTTTATGCTGCTAATATACTAAATAACACTTACTGATTTCAAATATATTACACTAACCTTGCATTTCTAGAAGATAACCAACTTGATCATGATGGAGTAATTTATTGCTAGATTCATACTACTAATATTTTGTTTAGAATTTTATTTATTTATTGAGACAGATATTTTATTGATTGATTGATTGAGACAGAGTCTCACTCTGTCACCCAGGCTGGAGTGCAGTGGCACAATCTCGGCTCACTGCAACCTCCGCCTCCCCGGTTCAAGCCATTCTCCTGCCTCAGCCTCCCAAGTAGCTAGGATTATAGGCACGTGCCACCAAGCCTAGCTCATTTTTGTAGTTTTAGTTGACGGGCATTTCACCATATTGGCCAGGCTGGTCTCGAACTCCTGACCTCAAGTGATCCTCCCACCTCAGCCTCCCAAAGTGCTGGGATTACAGGCGTGAGACACTGTGCCCGGCCTTGTTTAGGATTTTAAAATTTATATTCATGAGTGAAACTGGCCTGGAATGTTCCTTTCTTATAACATTTCAGTCAGGTTTTAGTATCAAAATTCTCCTGGCCTCTTGAAACCAGCTGGGAGTATTCCTTCTTTTTCAATTCTCTAGTGGAGAGTTTGTGGAAAATATGTGTTATTTCTTCCTTAAATATTTGGTGACCTCAACAGTAAAACTATCTGGATCTGAAGTTTTCCTTATGGGAAACTTTGTAATTACATATTCATGAGGAGACATAGAGCAACTCAGCCTGTTATTTTTCTTACAGCAGTTTCAGTAAGTGGCATTTTAAAATTTTTGTCCATTTCCTCTAAAATGTCAAATATATTGCCATAAAGTTTTTCATAATATTCTCTTACTATCTTTTAAAGATAGTTATACCCTTTTTTCATTCCTCATAGTTGTTGTTGGTGCTATTTTTTCTTGATTAGTCTCACCAGGATTCATTGATTTTATTAGTCCTTTGGCTCTGTTGATTCTCCCCCCATTTCATTACCTTTTATCTTGTCTTTATTATCTCCTTTCTTCAACACTGTAAAAAAAATTTAGTTGTTCTTTTCTAACTTCTGGAAATTAATGCTTAGGTTATTTTTAAACCTCTCTTCTTTTCTAATATATGCAAATATAAATAGGCTTTAAATATCCCTCTAAGCATTGCTTTACATGCATTCCACAATTTTTGCTGTCATATTTTCATTGTCATTAATTTCCAAATATTTTCTACTTTCCATTGCCATTTATTCTTTGACTTGTGATTGCTTAACTTCTAAACATATGGGGATTTTTCATTTATATTTTTTGTAATTGATTTCTAGCTTAATGTCACTGTAGTTGGAAAATATACTCTATGATTTCCATCCTATACTCTATGATTTCCATCAATATGTTAAGAGTTGCTTTATGACTCACCAAATAGAGAACACTGGCAAATATTCTATGTGTACTTGAAAGGAATATCTACTCTGTATTTGTTGAGTGCAATGTTTTATAATTAGATGATGTTTGTTAATTAACTTTGTTCAAATTTTCTATATCCTTATTTATTTTGTCTCTAGATTGTACCAATTACTGAGAGGTGTTTTAAAATTTCTAACTATATAGATATCTGTATTTCTCCTTGTAGGTCTTATAATTGTGTGTGTGTGTGAGAGAGAGAGACAGAGAGAGAGCAAGTGAGTGCAGTATAAGTGAATTGAATCTTTCTTATTATGAAATATCTCCCTTATCTCTAACAGTGTTCCTTGCCTTACAGTTATGCGATCTTTCTTTGGGTTAGCTATACAATCTTTCTTTTGCATGGTATATCTTGCTACATTCTTTTGTATCGGGCCCTTCTGTACGTTTATAAGAAAGGTATGTCTCTTTAAAGCATAGTTTTAAAAATCCAATCTGATAATCTTTTGACTTTTAATTTGACTATTTAGTCTATTTATATTTAATATAATGGCTGATATTTGATATAAATCTATTATTCTACTATTTTTTATTTGTCTCACCTACTCTAGGATCCTTTTTCTATTTTTCATCTTTGTTTGAATTTCTTAAGTATTATTATTCTATTTTCCCTCTTTCTTAGCTTGTTATTTATACATTCTGTCATCATTCTTTTAAAGATTATCTAAACTTTAAAACATGCATCCTTAACTTATCAATGACAACACAACTTCGTTATCACTTCCTGTACACTACAAGGAACTTAGAATGATTTAACTTCATTAACTTCTTTGGATTTATGTTCTACTTTTACCATGTATGTTATTCCCTACATATTTTAAACTCCACAAAACATAATAATTATTATTTTATAAAGTCAATATTTATTTATATTTAACCATTGAATTCTTATTTCTATTGCTCTTCACTCCTTACATTTCTGAGCCTTGATCGGGGATAATTTTCCTTCTGTCCCAAGGATACTCTTTACTGAATACTTCCTTTAGTATAGATCTGTTCATGATTTTTAAAATTATTTATTCATTTATTTTTATTTTTTAATGGAGACAAGGTCTCACTATGTTGTCCAGAGTGGTCTCAAACTCCTGGGCTCAAGTGATCCTCTCACGTCAGCCTCCCAACATGCTGGGATTACAGGCATGAGCCGCCATGCTCAGCCTCATGATAAGTTTTTAATATCTTTAACTCTTCTTCATTTTTGAAAAATCTGGTAGATAGAATTTATAGTTAATAGTTGTTTTCTTTCAGCAATTTGAAGATAGCATTCCACTTCCTTCTGACATCTATTGTTCCAGTTCAAAAGTCAGTTGTCAGTCTTATTTTTCCTTTAAAGATAAGAGGTACCCACTCCCCAACCATGATGCTTTTCAGCTTTTCTCTTTTTCTTTTATAAATGTTACCATGTTGTCCCTATGTTGTTCTCGTTAGCTTTGTTATCAGAAATTTTACTATGTTGAATCTTTGTACTTATCCTGCTTGGTGCCCTAGGGCTTCTGGATTCTGTGGCTTTGTGTGATTTGTTAGTTTTAGAACTATCTCAGCTATTTTTTTCCAATTATTTTTTATGTCCCACTTTCTCTCTCCTCTCCTGCTGAACCTCCAGTTACACATATATTAGGCCTTTCCACCATATTTAATATGTCTTTCACAATCTGATATTTATTTTCCATCTAAAAGCCTCAAAATGCTTTATTGTTGATATTTTCTTCTGCTTTATCTTCTGGTTCACTAACTCTCTCCTCAATTGCATCTACTCTATTGAACCAATTCATTTGGTTTTTTTAAAGCTTAATTTTTAAAGTACAATTTACACAGCATAAAATTCACCCATTGTAAGTACACATTCAATGGTTTTAGTCATTAATTCATTTATGCAACCATAACCATCACCACAATCCAATCTTACAGCATTTCCATCACCCAAAAAAGTTCACTCATTTAGATTTTAACTGCAGTAATTGTATTTTTCAGTTCCAGAAGGTCCATTTGGTCTTATTTACAATTTTCAGTTCTCTGGCAGAGTTTTCAATCTTATCTTTTAATCCTTGAAACATATTAATCACAGTTATGGTAGGGACCATATTTGATTATCTATTATCTGGATCTCTTGTAGGTATATCCAATTTGTTTATTTTTTATTGTTTTTTTTAATCATATCTGGTCTTCTCATGTGATGTGTCTATTATTTCTACTGACTGACAGATATAGTACATGAAAAACTACAGTGATAACCTGAGTTTCTGGGAAAAGCATCTTCCTCCAAAGAGAATTTTTATTCTGGCTTCAGGCAGACATCTAGGCTAGGGGCACTAATCTGAAATTATTTGAGTTTTGGCTTCACTACCTATGTTTTATTTCTGATTCACCTAGACTCAGGGTTCTCAATGAAAGCCTAGGTTGTTTACTAGGGCTTCTGCCTTTTCACAGGACCTAAATACAATTACCACACCCTCAAGCCCATGAACTTGTTGAAAGCTCTGCTAAGTTTCTTAATCTTTTAGCCTCTACTTTTTGAACTGAAATTTTTCTCAAGAAGATAAAACTCAAAAGCAGAGTTCACCTCTCTGAGTTTTCTACCACTTCTTACTCACCCCACCAACCCAGATCTTGGTTCTGCAATTCCCCATTGCCCTGATGGCTCTCCAATTTTTCCAAACTGACTTTTTTTCTTTTTAATTTTGAGCAGCTTTTCTCAGCAGAAGAGTTAAACAGAACAAACCTGATCTACTATTGCTAAATATATGCACTACCACTGTAAGTTAGGTGACCATAATTTATCAAACCAGGATGTTCTTGAAAATGAAAGTAGACACTACTAGTGATTACAAGGGGGTAGTAAGCATAAAACAAAACTGTCACAAACATGTCAGACTGTATGGTCATCCTAATAATAATGCATGGAGTGAATGAATTCTCTTAACAATCCAGAGGGATCAGAAAGGGCTCATTTCAACACCACATTTCAAAAGAAACAATTGAGACAGATTAATCTGATGCCCCATGGAAATTCCACTGTTGTTTGTAGGGCCCCTTCTAATCTCCTTTAGGGATTTAGCTTTTTCTCCAAATTTTTATTTTGGCAAATAAAATATAAATTTTCTCCAAATTTTTATTTTGCCTAAACAAAAATAAATTAATTTAAAAGTCACATTGGCCACGTCGAAGATATGGAGGTCTGGTCTCTTCCCTTTATGGTGACTGAATTATTTGGTTTTCAGGATAGAAGTAAACCCTTACTCATTGTGGGAAGAGACTACTCAGTGGCTCATTGCATTAACAGAGGAAGTTAACTATTACAGCCTGCCAGTTCCTGGACCCTATATACTATTAATGCCCTTGGCTGAGACTTGGTGCATTTGTGTAGTTTTGGAAACTCCTTCAAGCAAGAGAGAAATTTTTCTGAAAAAATAGAGAAACCTTAGACTTGAAAAGAAAGTGAGTACAATTTGCAAGAAGAGCACTGCACCATATTCCCTTTTCTATTTTATTAGAAATGCTGTATCTTGCTTTCATTTAGCAGAAATTCTATGCCTTATTCCATGAAGCAAACAACATAATAAGTAAAGGGCTTGCTCTGTCTTGGCTTCTGAGAGAGCTAGATTTGCCTCCTGGGTCATCTTCTTAAGTGAACTCCTTTGGGCTGGAGAGCTGTTCTCTGATTAATGCCAGAGCCAAGCCCAGGGAGATGCTCAATCAGATAAAATAGCGTTGATGCCTAATTATAGACTCACCATGTCTTGTATTTTGCAGCCTGACCCTTCCTGGAATTTTGACGATGCTATTCAGGATACCACTTCCTATTCATAATCTGCATATTTAAGATGGCTTGATTCAAAACAATGTTTTGGATACAAACATTCCAACATTTTTCCAAAACACAGGCTTTATCAGCATATAAAGTAATTTGCCACATGCATTGTGTTTGCATCCTAGCAAGTGGATAATAGATTAGAGTTACTAAAACGTCAGTGTGTTTTCCCATCCATAGTACACTGCAAAGGACTCAATGAAAGGAAAACAAAATATGATTCCACAATTTAACTTAGGTCCATATGCCATTGTCATTTAAGACCAAAAACAACAGAAAATAAAAATGAGGCATTGAAAACACTGAACCTAGCAACAAAGCAATTAGTTAAACTCAGGTACAGGGTGATATTGAGGCCAATAACCTAGGGTCTGTTTCAGCTGAGATTATCTATGGCCCTGGGGAATATTCAAGAGCTAAATTCCTCTGCTTGTTGATATGCTCAACACTGGCCTGGAGACAGGTCAGCCTTCTTATGGGAGGCCTAAAACCAAAGGAAAAATGAGTGCAAGGTTTTTTGTTTTTGTTTTTTTTTCCTGCTTCTCCCTTGTTTGTCTACACTCCATCTAATCCTCTCTGGGGCAGGGTCTTATCTCCCTACATCCAGCCCCTCAATAGTACTAGCACTCGTAGACCTCAACAAATATTTCCAGGTAGAGTAAATGAATTTTCACAACAATCCAGATGGAGCAGAAAGGGCTCATTTCAAGATAACATATCAGAAATAACTGAGACAGACTAATCTGATGTCCCATGGATATTCTACTATTGTTTGTAGGGTCCCTTCTAATCCCCTTCAGGGATTTAGCTTTTTCCCCACATTTTTATTTTGGCAACTTTCAAACCTAAAGAAAACCTGAGCCTGGTCAACATGGAGAAAGCCCATCTCCACAAAAAATACAAAAATTAGCTGGGCATGGTGGTGCACACCTGTGGTCCCAGCTATTTGGGAGGCTGAAGTGAGAGAATCACTTAAGCTTGAGAGGTAGAGGTTGCGGTAAGCCGAGATCACACCACTGCACTCCAGCCTGGGTGACAGAGCAAGACTTTGTGTCAAAAAAAAAAACACATGCGAAAGAAAAAGAAGAAAACCTGAAGGAATAATACAATGAGTAAGAGGCAGACCATAAATATGGTCTGCATCCCTAAATATGTCAGCAGGTATCTCCCTAGAACAAGAACATTTTCAGGCATTCAGAGGCTTAATTTTTTTAAAGCACACTGTGCATTCAAAACTGAGTGGTAGGTGACATTTTTTTCTTTTTTTTCTTTTTTTCTTTTGAGATGGAGTCTCGCTCTGTCGCCCAGGCTGGAGTGCAGTGGCGCGATCTCGGCTCACTGCAACCTCCGCCCCCCGAGTTCAAGTGATTCTCCTGCCTCAGCCTCCCGAGTAGCTGGGATTATAGGCACCTGCCACCACACCTGGCTAATTTTTTGTATTTTTAGTAGAGACGGGGTTTCACCATCTTGGCCAGGCTGGTCTTGAACACCTGACCTTGTGATCCACCTGCCTCGGCCTCCCAAAGTGCTGGGATTACAGGTGTGAGCCACTGCGCCTGGCAGGTGACATTTTCAAAAGTCCAGCACAACATTCACACCTCAAGGAATGTATTATACAGTTGGTGACTTAGATTATACAAACATAAAATGATTTGGGGTAATTAAATCCTAAGGTTGATAGTGCTCTTTATAAGTAAAATAAGAGCTCAGAGAAGTGAAAAGTAAGGGTGGAATGAAGTTTCCGAGAGGAAATATGTGGCAGAGATGGACCAGCTGTTCATCAAACCTGTTTCTTCTTCTTCCTGGGCAAACACCTAGACCACCTTCCCAGCAATCCCCCTTGCAGTCAGATGTGGCCACCTTACCAAGTTCTAGCTAATGGAAAGGGAAAAAAAAACAAATTGAGCCACATCTGGGCCTAGCCAATAAAAACCAGCCACTCATGAGCCTCCACATGCTTTTCCTTTTTTGCTATTATGATCCAAATAAGCACTGTGACCTTGGAGCCATGGGTTGAAAATGACAGAGTCCTAAAATGCCAAGTAGTTGGCTTGCTAAAACCTTAAAGAGTGGTATCCACTAATCGGGTCACCCATTTTGGGTATGTAAGAAACAATTTCTATTGTTTTGATTCATGGCACCATTTTGGTTTTGTTAAAGAAGCTAGCATTACCTCAACTAATATGTTGGAACTTAAAATACCCCTGAATACCTGCAGAAGGAAGTGGTAACTTGAAAATAAGGATTATGCTTTTTTCTCTACTGCTTTCTGCACATATGATCTGTACCGTAGTTGGCCAAAGGCATTCATGTGTTTCGGGATATATTAATATTATTAAAGAAGGAACACAAAGAGAAAGCAGGATGTAAGTTTCTTTTCTGGTAGTAATGGCAGAGTAAGTACCTGTCCAATCCTCCAACTGAAAACAACCAAAAATGCTGGACAAAATATTTCCTCAAAAATTGTTTGAAACATATTCATGAGCTCACACAAAAAAATAAGGCACATTCAGAACAGAGGGCTTATATTAGTTTTCACCTTGAAGGCATTTAACAAACTGGGAGAACCTGAGCTTCTGTTTTTACAACTTAGCAAGACACAGGGGAAAGCAGATAAACTTGGTGACATTTACAAAGGCCCACCAAGATAGAGTGTATAATAAGAGGCATCCAGCTACAGAG
This sequence comes from Homo sapiens, assembly GCF_000001405.40. Taxonomy (NCBI): domain Eukaryota; kingdom Metazoa; phylum Chordata; class Mammalia; order Primates; family Hominidae; genus Homo; species Homo sapiens. The sequence continues at coordinate 89,603,916 of NC_000014.9, forward strand.
AGGACTTTAAACTGCCTGTCTCAAAAATAAGTGCTAAGTAGAAAGGGAAAAGTCTTTACTAAAAATGTGTAACCACAAGGTAATCCTCACAGGGGTTTACAGGACAAACTGATTACCTGTTTTGTCCCCAAAACCTCAAGTTGAGAATTTTAAGTCCTTGCTTTGCAGGTTGATAATGATCCTAGGAACCTGACAAAAACAAATGCAAATTCTGGAGAAACTCACTTTCAACTCCAACCCACTGATAAAGAATTCCCACTAATAGAGTTTCCAAAAACAAAGCAAAACAAAACACACACACACACACACACACACACACACACACGTGCGCGCACACACACGCGCGCGCACACACACAGAGAGAGAGAGAGAGAGAAACAAAGCACCATGAACAACAACCAGTGAAAACAATAGAGAGGAGAACCCGGCCAACAAAGACTTCAAACTTTAAAATTAGACACAAAACATAAAATATTGTTTAAATAAATAAAAGGGAACGAGTATATAAGAATCGAGCTAGATCAGATAGATTAGACACAGGAAACCAGAGGGAAAAAACTGAGTAAATTATCTAGACTGCAGCACATAGAAATATAGAAATAGAAAAGATGACAGAGAAGCTAAAACATGGAAAAGACAGAACAAAGGTATAACATATGCTTAATCTCAAACCTGGAATTAGAGAGAAAGAGTACAGAGCAGGAATAGCAGCCTGAGAATCTTCCAGTTCTGATGAGAAAGCCAATCCACAAAATTATAAAGCCCCAAACCCCCAAACAAAATAAACACATACAAATAAGTTGACATCTGAACACTTTATGATAAAATTGCCAAACACCAAAAACAAAGAAAATATCTTAAAAAACAGTCGTAAAGTACTCTTGGAGAAAGAATACCTTCAACACAAATGGCAATGAGACTTAGCATTGATTTATCAGCAGTGGAAGTCAGAAAACAATTGAGCATCTTTAATATGCTGAGAGAAAATAACCATAACTTTATACCTGGCAAAAATATATTGTATACCTAGCAAGATTCCATTTTAAGAACAAGGGGGAAATGGACATTTTTCCAGTGAACAATAGCTTAAAGAGTTTTCCATCGATTTATCCTCACTAAATGAAACCTAAGAGAAGTGATGAAGGGGGTGGGTTGGGGGAAGGAATTATAAGCAAAAAATGTAGTAAACACATGGGTAAATCTTAACAAACATTTCTGGTTTAAAATGATAATATGTAATCTGTGAGATTAAAAAAAAACACAAAAAAAACAAGATAAAACTAAAACACTGGGCAAAAACGAAACCTAAATTGGTAGAGCAGTGATTGGAGTTAAGTGGTCTAAGGTCCTTGCATTGTTTGAGAGGAGAGGAAAGATGCTAATTGGCTTTAGGCTTTGATAAGTATGCATGTTAAAATTTCTAAAGAACCACTAGAAAAGGATCTAGAAATAAAATATCTAGAGGACCACTAAATGAATCATATAGAGAATAAAACTTCCAAACTACTATAGAATACATAAAATAAGACAAAAGAATTCAAAAGAAAGCAAGAAATAAAGAAAAAGAAATATGGAAGAGGCAGGAAAAATGGAAAAAAATGAAGAAATAAATTAGAATATACATGTAATTACAATAAATATAAATGCATTATGTATTTCAGTTAAAAGACAATTATTTTCAGACTGCACAAAAACAATATCCAGCTACATTTGTACATGTCATATATAAAAATGCAGCTTAAATATTAGAACATGAAGAGTTATTTATATTAGAAAAAATATATTATGTTTTTGTTAACATATTAGAAATGAAAACTTCAAAAGTAATTAACTAAGCTGTCAGAAAAATACAAGTTTTATACTCTATTAAACACAAAAGTGTAAGAAGAATAAAGATACAAACAGAAATTAAAAAGAGGCTGAACGCAGTAGCTCACACTTGTAATACCAGCACTTTGAGAGACTAACGCAGGAGGATTCCTTGAGCCCAGGAGTTCAAGACCAGGCTGGGCAATATAGCAAGACCCCATCTCTACTAAAAAGTAAAAAAACTGGCCAGGTGTGGTAGTGCCCCATATAGTTTAAAATGATAATATGTAATCTGTGAGATTAAAAAAAAAAGTAAGCAAGCATATAAATGATATCACAAATGAAAAACTGCGATGGCACAGAGATTAAAAATAAGAATTAGAGGCTATTATAAACAATCATTATGCCTCCCAATGTTAAAACCGAGATGAAGTCAATAAATTCCTAGAAATGCATAAATTGGTAAAATGGATTCACAAAGCAATAAAACACCAGATTAGTCTTACTATAAAATAAGTTGAATTAGTAGCTGTAATCTTCCTAAAAGAAAATACCACTTCCAGATAAACAGATGACTACTATCAGAAGGTAACTACTATTTTGAGGTATACATAATTCTAGTCTTATACAGACTATGCCAGATAATAGAAAAACTCTTTATTTTAAGAAGGATAGAAAAACATTGATACCAAAATTTGATAAGATCAAGGTTGAGCATTGAAGCCAGCAAAAAAGAAAAAAAAATTGATAAGAAAAGAGAATTATAGGACTTCTCACGCCTGAACATATGTATCTAATACATGTGCAAAATTTGGAGTGTGTGTAGTATAAAAATAAAACTGTAGCCGGGCGCAGTGGCTCATGCCTGTAATCCCAGCACTTTGGGAGTCCGAGGTAGGCGGAGCACCTGAGGTCAGGAGTTCGAGACCAGCTTGGCCAACATGGCAAAACCCCAACTCTACCAAAAGTATAAAAATTAGCTGGGTGTGGTGGCGCACGCCTGTAATCCCAGCTACTCAGGAGGCTGAGGCAGGGGAAGCTTGAACCTGGGAGGCAGAGGTTGCAGTGAGCGGAGATTGCACCACTGCACTCCAGCCTGGGCGACAATAGCGAGACTCTGTCTCAAAAAAAAAATAAAATAAAAAAATAAAACTGTATACCTGCCTCACACACTATACACAAAAAACAATTCTGGCTTGACTCAAGACTGAAATATAACAGCCAAACAGGCACTTCGTAAATGAAGAAACATGTATGACCAATAAACATAAGATGCGTAAGCTTATTAATAACCAAGAAAATTAAAATTAAAATGAGATTATTTCACACCTACTAAATTGGCAAAAATGTTAAAGTCTGACAATATTAAATATCAGTGAGAATATGAAACAACAGAGACACTTAATGTTGGTGAGGGTGTTAACTGGTACAGCCACTTTTGCAAACAGAAGGCATTAAGATGCTGGAGAGCAGTGAGCTTGCCTCAAGATCTGTTGTGGCCAGCAGAGAGGACCCCATTTAAAGACCACCAAGTGGCTAAGACTCAGGTTTGGGCCAAGCCCGGTAGCTCATGCCTATAATTCCAGCACTTTGGGAGGCCGAGGCAGGCGGATCACTTGAGGTCAGGAGTTTGAGACCAGCCTGGCCAACATGGTGAAACCCTGTCTCTACTAAAAATACAAAAATGAGCCGGGCATGGTGGTACATGCCTGTAATCCCAGCTACTCAGGAGGCTGAGGCAGGAGAATCGCTTGGACTCGGGAGATGGGGGTTGCAATCAGCCGAGATTACCCCACTGCACTCCAGCCTAGACGACAGAGCAAGACCGTGTCTTAAAAAAAAAAAAAAAAAAGGACTCAAGTTTGCTGCCCATGCACACAGAGGTGGGACCGAGTCAGCAGGGAGTGCCACACAAGTTCTGATAAAGCCAAGAGGATGACCAGGCTAACATATTTAGCAAACTGGATCACTTATTGGAACCCAACCAATCTTTCTTTCCTTAACTAAAATAGAATGGAGTAGGTCAATCTGGATTAAGTGTAGCAGGGATGATAAAATCTGGTAAAATTTATGCTTCAACTATACATGCTATCTTTTTTTTTTTTCTTTTGAGACAGAGTGTCACTCTGTTGCCCAGGCTGGAGTGCAGTGGCGCTATCTTGGCTCACTGCAACCTCCACCTCCCGGGTTCAAGCGATTCTCCTGCCTCGGCCTCCCGAGTAGCTGGGACTACAGGCATGCGCCACAACACCCAGCTAATTTTTTTTTTTTTGAGACAGAGTCTCGCTCTGTCACCCAGACTGGAGTGCAGTGGCGCGATCTCAGCTCACTGAAAGCTCCGCTTCCCAGGTTCACGCCATTCTCCTGCCTCAGCCTCCCGAGTACCTGGGACTACAGGCGCCCGCCACCATGCCTGGCTAATTTTTTATATTTTTAGTAGAGATGGGGGTTTCACCCCATCCTGTTAGCCATCCTGTTAGCCAGGATGGTCTCGATCTCCCGACCTCGTGATCTGCCCACCTCGGCCTCCCAAAGTGCTGGGATTACAGGCGTGAGCCACCGTGCCCAGCCAACACCCAGATAATTTTTGTATTTTTAGTACAGACAGGGTTTCACCATGTTGGCCAGGATGGTCTCGATCTCCTGACCTCGTGATCTGCCCGCCTCGGCCTCCCAAAGTGCTGGGATTACAGGCGTGGGCCACCGCGCCCGGCCTATACATGCTATCTTATAAAAACTTTTGTTTCATCTATCCACAGCATACATACATATATGTGGTGTACAATGTATCTATATCTTACTGTAGGTCTTTGAAAACCACTAGACTAGACTATGTGTTATAAAACCACAGACTTCAACTGCTAGTATAGCTAAACAAGCAGCTCCCAGAAGGCAAGAAACCTTGCCTCCAACAGCAGAGGCCACCGAGCCTAGGGACCCTGAGTTTGTTCCTCCTTCATAAGAAATAAACAGAAGAGCAAGGTTGACATTCCTTCCCACATGCACTATCATAGGCGAAGAACTGGGGATGGGGTAGGCGAGACAACCTGAGGGAATAGCATTGTTTTCCTATGGAAGACTAGAATTATCTTAGGGAACTGTTTGGATTAGCAGATCCAACTAAGTTTTTTAACGGGTGTGATCAAAAGTTATTCTTTCTCTTGACGATCAATGGGTGTGTGCTGGGAAGGAAGGCTCACTGTAGACAAAATGAACAAACTGCATTTTCTCTGTACATTGGAGTTTTCCAGTGAATGAAAGTGGTGACTGTACAACATGGAGGAAGAAGGTTGTGGCCAGGGAACAAGATGTACAAAGGCTGGGAAGCTAGAAGGACCACAGCGAGTTCAGGGGTGAAGAGACACTGACTAGATCCTGGGGCATTCTCTGAGCAGTTTAATAAGTGGGGCAAGATTATAAAAGAACTTGAAAGTGAGGCAGAAAAAGAGAGAACTTGGTAGACTGGGCAATGAGAAGCCATCAAGATTCTTTTTCGAGACAGGGTCTCGCTCTGTCACCCAAGCTGGAGTGTAGTGGCGCAATCATGGCTCACTGCAGCCTCAACCTCCCAAGCTCAAGTAATCCTCCCACATCAAGCCTCCCGAGTAGCTGGAACCACAGGTGCACACCACCACGCCCGGCTAATTTTTGTATTTTTTGTAGAGATGGGGTTTCGCCATGTTGCCCAGGCTGGCATCAAGGTTCTTAGTAGACAAGGAACACAACAACATTGACAACATAACAATAAAAATAGCTACAATAATTTGAGTTGCAACCACGTGCCAGGCTCCGTGCCAAGTGCTTTTCAGGGACTCATGATTTAGCCCTCCCAATAATCCTTTCAGGATTTCCACATTACAGAGTTTTATTTCCATAGTACTTATGGAAATATCACCTAGGACTTGAGTCTTAGGTTAAGTAACTCGCCTAAAGTCACACAGCTGTTAAGTGGCAGGGAGGGGGTCTGAGAACAGGAAGTCTAGCTTCAAAGCCCATATTTCAAGAGGGTTTTAGGGACAGAAGTCTTCCAGAGCACGATCAAGGTCACTCGTAGTTTTTTTTGGAGGGAAGCACCAGTAAGGGTTGTGGAGATGAACAGGAGGTGGATTTTAAAGAAAGCAATGAGAAGCCCTGGGGATAAATTAGATACATGTGATGTAAAACGAGGGCGGGGGCGGCGGCGGCTGGCGGTCCAAGTTTTCTAGCCTGGGAAATAAGGATAATGGTTGTAACCGAGGGAGAAAAAAATGAGGGCCCTTATGGATAATTTCTGCCTAAATGCTTAACTCTGAAATTATGCCACTCCTCTTGTTCCCATTTTTCAGGCTGAAAAACCACTCTGCCAGGATCTTCATGTTGAAGCTTAAAGGGACTATTAAAAATGATTATTCTAAAACATCTATAGTTGCAAGACTGTAGAAGGAACTGAAGAGGAAAGAGTGGTAGCAGAACCTGCTGATGTCCTGGGCACATGGCTTTCAGGCTTTACCATCTCAGGGCATGCCAGCCCAACTGCCACCTGCTACCAACGGCATCAAGAAGTCCCTGAGAACCTTCTCTGGCTGAAGGCTACTCTGACAGCTTTCATAGATCTCAAGTACTGGGATCAACACGCCCTGAGAGCAGTCTTCAACCCATGACCGAAAGCAGCGTGGCTGGCATAGGTGCCCCACGTGCCCCAGTGCGGCTGAGCTCCACCGCCCACAATGGATCTGACGGGATAACTCACGACTGGCTGCCTTCCCTTCCTCATTTCCCTCTCCTGCACCTACTGGTGTCTTCCTGGGATGGTCTCCCAAGAAAACCATCCACCCTTCAATCCCCCTTGCAGGGTCTGTTTCTAAATTAAAACCAAAGGCATAATATCTCCAGGAAGGATCTCATGAGGGTGGCACTTCAGTCTGTCTATATCTGCTTAGAATATGAACTTCAAAAGAGCCACATTTGGGGATATTTCCAGTTAAGAAACCTATGAGAATTACAGAACAGGGGATAGTCTGTCTGGGAATGATTTCTTCACCCTCGTATCCCTATCATAGGGCACAGTTCCTGGTATGCAGTAGGTGCCCGCAACTGCTCACTGAATGAACGTGAGGATGATTTGTTTCCCCCGATTTGTGCATATGTCTTTGGCATTTCCCTTGATTGATCTTTTAAAATAATTTCATACATGTGAAATATGTGAAATCAGACCTGTGAAATATTAATTAGTTCCATCAAGTTCTGATCATTCACCTGAACTCTTTAAGAGAATTAGAAAAGCAGCAGACACACATTTGACTGAAAATGTCTACATCTGTTCCATTGCTAGTTCCACCTGGTCACACGTATACTAGGCACAGTGGCATGCCCAGTGATGATTTAATTTTTAAGTTTCCCCTACACTCTTGCAAGAGCAGAGCTCTTGCTTAGATGAAAAAATCAAGCTGAACCCCAACCTAACTTCGTCTCTGTAGACTTTATATGACTTAGGGGTACAGGGGAGCCCCAAAAAGAAGACTGAATATCTTGCTGATCTGCTGACTTAAGCCAGTTTTTCTTATTCTGAAAGAAATCAAGGAGATGTCAGTGTATCTTAACACCTGAGTTTGTTGAGCCGTTCAGACCAAGTGTAAAAGTGAGTGCTGTCTAGGAAATCTGTTTTTTGTGTTAGACATGCTGCCAATTATAGCCAGTTAGACTGGGTATAATCTTTGGGTAATTCTGGAATTAGGACTTTTTATTTACCAAGTAGGTAAACGTGCTCAGGGATGGACGAAGAGAAAGTCAAAAGGTGAAGACAAATAAAGAAAAATAATGAGGCCGGGCGCGGTGGCTCACGCCTGTAATCCCAGCACTTTGGGAGGCCAAGGCGGGCGGATCACAAGGTCAGGAGATCGAGACCATCCTGGTTAACACGGTGAAACCCCGTCTCTACTAAAAATACAAAAAATTAGCCGGGCATGGCAGCGGGTGCCTGTAGTCCCAGCTGCTGGGGAGGCTGAGGCAG